>NC_000004.12:21822916-24322916 GCF_000001405.40 Homo sapiens
CCATGTTGGCCAGGCTGGTCTCGAACTCCTGAGCTCATGATCCACCCTCTTCAGCCTCCCAAAGTCCTGGGATTACAGGCGTGAGCTGACCAAATAATTTTTACATAAATAAAATATTTGGCCAAAGAGCTAAACTTAAATATAATTTTCCTGATTATAATTATAATTATTTAGATACAGCATGCATATCTCTTAAAATAAAAATATCTAATTTACTATTTCTCTCTCTCACCTTCTTTCTTTTCTGAAATTCACAATGTTCAAACTTGATTAGAAAGATCTTTCTAGACAAATCTTTCATACAAGAGCTACTGCTGACTTCATAGAAGGCATATTATCAATTAAACAGTACTTCGCCATTTTATAATATACACTTTAACAAACTTTTAAAATATTATTTATTTACATGAAAGAAAATTTGTTATATGGTTAAACCAGAGTTTCAAATTAAGTGTATGCTAGAGGGGTTACAGAAAACTATATTATTCAATTTTAAAAAAATAAATTCTAAAATTTCAAAGAAATACAAGCTTTCAACAGCTGCATTCTCCTTGTCCAAACATAAATGTGCATGCCATTTTTGTTCTGTCTTAAAAAAAAAAACAAAAAAACTACAGTCCTTCCAGATCTTATACATCTCAATACACTGGTACATTTTTTAAGAAAAGATTCTTGCTCCCCACCCCAAATACACTAAATCAGAATAGGGTAAGGGAAGGATGCTGAAATTTACACAACAGTGGGCATACAAGGTGTTTCAATACACATCCCAAAATGTGAGAATGACTACTCACCTGAGAAATCAGGCTAAATAGTTAGAAAGGCAGTCAGTGACTCAACTTTTAAATTATTGAGATTCTAATTCTAAAAACATGACTTTTATGAATCCCTCTTGGTAAATCACACACATAAAAAAAAATGACCACCGATTTTTCCCATTCCTGTATAAACACCCCTCTACAATGCAGCTTTGCAGCTCCTCCCATTAAGAGGTGGAATGCATATCTATACCTCTGGGTATCCATTTTTGGCCAGGTGACATATTTTTGCTAACAGGACATTAGTGAATGCGACAGAACAGAGAGTGGATAAGAGCTCGTGCAATGGGGCTTGCTGCTTTTCATGTTTAGCTACGATGTGAAGAAGCCTGGGCTAGCCTGCCAGTGAAACAACCACCTTTGCAAAATATCATAACAATGAGAAAAGCTCTGATCTAACGGACTCCATCTTGCTTCTAACCTCCAAGCTGCTCCTGTTATTCCTGGATATAGGCCAAAATAATGTTGGGAGAAACTTGGTTTACAGTTTAATTTTGAAACGAAGATCATAATAGCCATTTCCCAAAACAAATCCTCTTCTTGCCTGGGGACCAGACTGCCTATGTAAGACTAACAAATTAGCCACAAGATTAGAAATACGGTTTAGGAGTCATGCAGCCAGAGGCCGCAAGATTCTGAACTTCCTAAATTGCTCCTAGGGATAAAATCACTATTGTTAAAACCTAAGATTGGTGCTCAAGGCATTTTTCAGAACCTGCATTCTGATGCACCAGCTACTACCAACCAGACCAGTAATCTGGCTCAACCAATTCTGTGATCAGAATCAGAAGAGAAGACAGCAAGAAAAATCCACTTGGACCCCCTATGATTTCATTTCCAACCTGACCAATCAGTACTCCACACTCTCTGGCCTTGCACCCACAAAATTATCATTTAAAAACCCCAGTCTCTGAATGTTCAGAGAGTCTTATTTGAGTAATAAAACTCTGGTCTCCTGTTCAGCCAGCTCTGTGTGAATTAAACTATTTTTCTATTCCAGTTCCCCTGTCTTGATAGATGGGCTCTATCTGGGCAGCAATCAAGGAGAACCTGTTGGGCTGTTACACCAGATGCTAGAGACACAGGGCCCAGTTGCCTCCATCATTCAATCAACAGCAAGATATGTGAGAGCGAGGCCATGCTGTCCCCATCCAATCTACTAGCTGACTGCTAGTGAGGCCCAGAGACCAAAATGGCCAAACTATAATATTGCAATAAGGCATGTTGCTTAAATAACTATTATTATAGGTGTTTTGTTGTACAGAAAAAGCTAAATGATAGACCACTTTCACAAAAAAAGCAAATAGAAGACGATGTTTCTGATGTTAATTTTGGTAGTGTTCAAGCTTTACCACATTCTGGAATTATTTCACATGTTTTCATTTCAGGACTTGACGTAAGTGGTAGACATATCTGTACAGAACTAGATGAATTCAAGAAGTTTAAACATACTTTTTATCAAGTGCCACTGAGAGATGTGACCAATGCAGGAAGAAAAAAATATGTATAAAATGAACAAAATACTTTGTAGAAATAAACATGAAAAAAAAAACCTGCAACTGGAAAAACCAGCTCTGACATTTATTTTTGACTTTTACAAAGGAAATTCACTTGCATTGTTGAAAATTTAAGTTTACCATGGTAACTGCTTCCTCACACATCATTTTTATTCCCAACAAAGGTATTTGTAGACGATGATATACACTCTGTTGAATAGGAAATTTCCATCATAATGCTTGTGTAAGATATTAAAAGTCAGATCATCAGGCTGCTTGTATATATAAAGATTTTATTACACTCAAAGGATAATTAGAATGGTTTCCACAAGATTGAAGGTAATGACATGAAGTATGTGAAGATGCTTTAAAAGCTTTCAAGGGCTACAAAATATTGTATACTATTACAGCGACAAAAATATTATTTTGAAGGAGACTTCCACTATTTAGTTTTATTCATTGATTTATGTAACATAAGAGCACTGTTCTGTGCCTGGCTCACGGTTACCTACTAGGTACATTGAAGTTATTACTAAGGTAGACAATTCCATGCTCTCATGGAAACCATATTTTAGCAGGAAAAACAAGACGGTTTCAGGTGTTTACAAGTTCTGTGAATAAAACAAAACAGGAAAATGTGAGAGAGGATGGCAGATAATTTAGAATGGAGAATCAGGGACCCCTTAGGGAGATGACATTTAAGATGAGACCCGAATAAAAAGATAGAGCCGGTCATGCACATTTTGAAGAGCTGAGTATTTCACTAAAGGAGGACAGCAAGCTCAAAGAACCTAAAGTGCAAATGGAATTGGCCTTTTCAGTGTCCAGGAAAAGGCCAACATGGCTGATACCTAGCGAGCCAAAAAAGAAGTGCTAAGGGATAAGGTTAGAAAGGTGCACAGTGGGCAGAGTATGTAGCATTTTATAAGCCATGCAGAGCCATCTGGATCTTATCCTAAATGTCTGTGTATATTTGAAATCTACATAAGTCATTTTTGACAGTTACATGGGGATTTTGCCTGCCTACTCGACTTCGGTAATCCACCATATGAATACAGCAAGCATGGAATGTTAACTGAAGCAATACAACAATTTCTAAACTGACTACTAAATGAGTAAGACTCTGGAAATATTTTGAAAGGCAGGATATTTCCACAAAAGATTCACTTCTAAAACCCTTTAAATATTTCCTATACATTTCCCACTCAGATATCTTGATCGTAGCTTATTTGTGTATCACTAAAACAGTAACAACAATAAAAAAAATACAGAACTAGTCAACAAGGTGTTTTTTAAATAATTTAAATCTAGGATAAAAGCTATAAGACTTAATCAAAAATTTTTAAACGGTCACTGAAATAGGATTGTTTTAGTAAACTGGTGTTGAGGTTGATTAAAGATATGATCACATGTGAAAAAAATAAAGACAAATAAAAATTTGCAAGTAATTCAGAGGTCCAATTACTCTCCTAAAACCCAAATAATAGTAAGTTGGAGAAAAATCTGTGCTATACATAGCAAAATATATTTTATTCCCTCTATAAATTAACTGTATAAATATGATCATCTACATATGCAAACTGAATGAAAAAGTAGAAAAGATCATGTTTTAGCTGAAAAGGGTTGAAAAGTTTGAGATTTCAAGTAAATACTGAAAACCTAAAAAGAATAGCAGAAGGGAGCTTGAAAAACTTTTCTGAGGCTGTTTCCACAATAGAAGTTTTAAAAATACACACAGTTGAATAATACAGAAAATAAATTGTCATGAAAACAAATCTGAATAAATGATGTGTAGAGTTACTGCTTCTTCACATACAATATTTTGGTAATATAGTAGATCCCCCCTAAAAGTAAACTTAACACTGCATCTTAAATAATAATACAATTGGTTGAATACATAATGTGAATAAGCAATAAATTTTAAGAACACAAAATAAATTCCATTTGTGTCTAAATATTTCACTCTAAATAGGTGCTCAGCTATAAAAATCCAGTGTATGGTGGTTTTATTCAACCATAAAATCTACAATATGCTCTAAAAGGAAAAATGGTTACAGTTTGTGCATCTAAAATGCATCCTTAGTAAAAATTCATAAAACTGCAACCTAGGAGACTTAACAACAGAGTAAAATCAATGGAGTAAAAAATACTTCTTGAGAAATTTCAGTGTTTTGCAGTATAGAAGAAACAGTCCTAAGGCTTAACAAAATACTTTTAAAAATTTCTAATGTACTGATCTGTTGAAACAAAAAGGAAGAATTTCAGAAAGGCCAAAAACAAAGTGAAAGCAGAAACTAATAGATAATCAAGCATCAAAGTTTGGTTACATCCTCAAGGTCTCTGCCAAATTCTGAAAACTATGAGATTCTTTTGTGAAAGGTGTTCAGAGAGGACAGAAACCCCTACATAAATATAGAACCACAAAATAAATAATCTTGCCACAAAAAATAAGATAACAAGCAAATTCGCTGGTTTTGAATTTGGCACTTGGTTAAGAAAAAATAAATACACTTTCCTAAGAATCCCTAACCACAAGCTGAACCTCCCATGAATTTACAATCTAAGTTTACACTACTGTGTCATACAAAACAGCAAGCCAAGAATTTCATTTAACATTTTCCAGGTGTGGTGGTGCTCCCTGATGTCTGAAATAACAAAAGAAAGCTTTCTCTGGAGTCAAATGATTTCAACCCAGGGCTGAAATATTTCTCATATACAAAATTTTGGGTAAAACGAGCCGCTCTAACTTATAAACAGGAAAAAAGGCACCATTAATGAGAGTCATGTAAAAAAAAAAAAACCTGTAGAAACAAGACCACAAATACTTCACTTCTTAGAATTATCTCCATTGGATGCTAAATACATCTATTAATAGTATGAGAAAATAAAGTAAAAATTAAAAATATAAATTAGGAATAAAAGACTATAAAAGTTGGTACGTATATTTTAAAAAATCTAATAGAATTTTTAAAATAATACATAACAATTGAAATTAATAATAAAATGATTAAACGGATTAGACACAGTATATTAGAACTGGTAAACTGGGAAGCAGACTTAAATAAGTCATCCTAATTGAAGGACAGATAAACAAAGACAGAGGGAATATGAAAAACTTAAGATATTCTGAAGGTAGTGTAAGAAGGTCTAATAACAATGTAACTGAATTTTAGATGAAGATAATAGGAGAGAATGGAGAAGCAAATATACTCGAAGATATAATAACAAGACTTTCCAAAACTGTTGAAAGACATAAACCCTAAAATCTGGAAAGGAATATAAATTGAAAACAATGTAAATAAAAATAAATCCATTCCTGGACACATGGCAGTAAACCTAAAAAATGCCAGACCATAACAAGATTTTAAAGCAGAATAAAAAACAAAAAGAAAAGAAAGAACAGGTCGCTTACAGACTAATAGTGATTAGAATGATGACTGACTTCTAAATAATAGTAAAGGCACCATGAAATCATGTCTCCGAGTGCTGAGAAGAAAAAAATGTATATCAAAATAGAAGTATATATTCAATTTTATTGTTGAAAACCAAAAAGAAATCAATAAAATTTCTGACAAATGCCCAAGGAGAGTTTACCACGAACACACACTATCTAAAATAATAACAAATATTTTTAAGGCTGAAGGAAATGTTGCCCAATGAGAGCTTTGCAATGCAGTAAGAAATGGTGATAAATACATGGCTTAATATTTTGGTAACTCTGCAAAAATACATATAGGGGAAAAGCAATATGGGATGGAAATGAAGATGCTTTTCAACATATTGTATCCCAATATACCCATCATAAATTAAAAATATTCTAAGTAAAAAAAAAAAATTAAATGCTGGCAACACAGCAGACAGTCCCCAACTTACGATGGTTTGACTTACCATTTTTTTACTTTACAATGGTGCAAAAGCAATCTTTGGGTTTGGATCGGTTATTGATTTCAATAGAAACCATAACCCCATCACAAGACAAGAAACTCCTCTATTTATGATAGAGTTACATCTTGATAACCATTGTAAAGTAAAAAAAATCATATGTCAAACCATTGTATGTCAGAAACCATCTGTAGAGAGAAAAATAGCACTGACACTGAAAGGGGGTGATGGTCATTCAAACATTCTTAAATCCTTGTATAGCTTGAAAAGATGGGTACACATCTCTATTAATCATAGATTTCATTAGTAATAAATGGTAAGGTATAAGGGTAACTAGTAGGAGAATACAAATTGAGTGTAGATTTTCCAAAAAAGTAGAGGAAAAAAATGGAATAACAAAAGAAAACCTAAAGAACAGCAAGAATGAGTTTTAAAGAATAGAATACAAGGACTAAGAAAAAGCACAAATAATATAGAAAAAAATTCAAATTAAGTTGTCCTCAGTTTAAAATAGCCTGTTACAAAATGTTGTATATAAGCTTCACAGTTCCACAAAGCAAAAACCTATAGCAGCCATAAAAAATAAAAACTAAGCACACCAATAAAAATTAACGTAATAGCAGAGAAAGAAAGAAAAAGAGGAAGAAAGGAACAAAAGTTCTATAAAACAACCAGAAAACAATTGTTTTAAATGACAGTAGTTTTTATCTATCAATAAGTATTTTGAATTGAAATGGATTAAATTATCCAATGCAATCAAAGCATACCAATAAAAATTAACCTAATAGTAGAGGAAGAAAGAAAAAGAGGAAGAAAGGAACAAAAGATCTATAAAACAACCAGAAAATAATTGTTTTAAATGACAATAGTAAGTTTTTATCTATCAATAATTATTTTGAATTTAAATGGATTAAATTATCCAATCAAAGGCATAAAGTAGCCGAAGGAATAAACCAAAAGTTAAGTACATGCAGCCTACCTACCACAGACTCACTTCATCTTTGAGGAAACACAGGATAAATATTAAAGATGGAAAAATATTTTCCACAAATATAAATCAAAAGACAGCATAGGGAGCTAAATCTATACCAAATAAAATAGACTTTAAGTCGAAAACTGTAAAAAGAAGAAAAGGTTATTCTAGTATAAAAATGGCTCAATTCATCAGGAGAATATAACAATTATATATATGTACCCAAAATGAAAGCATTTAAACCTATAAAGCAAATATTAACAGATTTGAAGGAAGGTAGATTTTAATACAATCATAGTAGGAAACTGGCCAGGCATGGTGACTCATGCCTGCAATCCAAGCACTTTGGGAGGCCGAGGCGGGCTGGATCACTTGAGGTCAGGAGTTCAAGACCAGCCTGACCAACACAATGAAACCCCGTTTCTACTAAACACAATACAAAAATTCGCCGGGTGCCACTGTGCTGTAATCCCAGCTACTCAGGAAGCTGTGGCTGGAGAACCTCTTGAACCTGGAAGCCAGAGGTTGCAGTGAACCAAGATCATGCCACTACACTCAAGCCTGGGTGACAGAGCAAGACTCAGTCTCAAACAAACAAACAAACAAATAATAATACTACTAGGAAACTTCAATACACATTTTCAGCAATGGACAGACAGATCATCCAGACAGAAAATCAATAATGAAACATCCAAATTAAAGTATATGTTAGGTCAAATGGATATAAAAGACATATATAGAATGTTCCACCCAACTGCAGCAGAATACACATTTTTCTCAAGAATTAATGAAATATTCTGCTGGACAGATCATATGTTACGTCCCAAAAGAAGTCTTCAGAGATGTTCAAAATTTAAAATCATTTCAAGTTCTTTTCCTGACCACAGTGGTATGACTAGAAATCAATAACAGGAGAAATCCTGGAAAATTCACAAGTATGTGGAAATTAAACAACATGCTCCCGAACAACCAGTGGGTCAAATAAAAAACTAAAAGGCAAATTTTAAAATATCTTGAGACTTACAAAAAATGGAAACACAACATACAAAAACTTCTGGGATGCTGCAATAGCAGTTCTAAAAGGGATGTTTATAGCAATAAAGGCTGACATCAAACAAGAAGAAAGATCTCAAATAACCTGACATTATACCTAAAGAATCCAGGGGGAAAAAAAATCAAACTAAGCCCAAAGTTAAAGAAGGAAGGAAATAAAAGTCAGAGAAGAAATAAATGAAAAAGAGACCAGAAAAATAATAGAGAAGATCAAATAAACCAAGAATTGGTTTTTTGAAAAGATAAACAAAACTGACAAACATTTAGCTAGGTTAACAAAGAAAAAAAGAAAGAGGACTCAAATAAAATCAGAAGTGACAGAGGAATCACACTTAACAACTGATACCACAGAAATACAAAGGATCATAGAGTCTACTATGAACAATTATACACTAACAAATTGAACAACTAAGAAGAAACAAATTCCTAGCAGCATACATGTCCCAAGACTAAATCATGAGGAAAGAGAAAATCTGAGCAGACCAATAATAAGAAGATTGAATCAGCAATTAAACATTTTTCATCAAAAAAAAAAAAAAAAAAAAAAGCCCAGGACCTGATGGTTTCACTGGTGAATTCTACCAAAGATTTAAAGAATTCACACTAGTTCCTCTTAAACTCTTCCAAAACACTGAATTGGAGAGAACACTTCCAAACTCATTTTATACAGCAATCACTACCCAGATATGAAAACCAAACAAGGATACTGCAAGAAAAGAAAATTACAGACAAATATCCCTGAGGAACATAGATGCAAAAATCCTTACCAAATACTAGCAAACCAAATTCAATGGCACATTAAAAAGATCATATACCAGAAATCCCTGATGAACCTAGATGCAAAAATCCTTAACAAATACTAGCAAACCAAATCCAACAGCACATTAAAACAGCACATATATCACAATCAAGTAAAATTTATCCCTAGGATGCAACAATGGCTCAACATACACAAATCAATAAATGTGATATACCACATTAACAACCTGAAAGACAAAAATCATATAATTCTTTCATAGATGCAAAAATGAAGCATTTGACGAAATTCAACATCCTTTCATGGTAAAAATGCTCAACAAATTAGGTATAGATGATAATAAAGGCCTTAAATGACAAACTCACAGCTAATATTATACTCAACAGTGAAAAGCTGAGAGCTTATCCTTTAGAAACAAGAGAAAGATGCCCACTCTTGCTGCTTCTATTCTATTTTTATAAGGGTGTGCTATTTAGTGTATTGTGGCTCTGACATAAGGATGGACAGAATGGCAATGCCAGAGACAGACCCAGTACTATATGGAAAGATGGTGAGCTGTGTCAATTAGAGGGAAAAAATGGTCCTGGGGCAACTAATTACCCATCTGAGGAAATCATCAGTTTGAAACCCACTCTCAATCCAAAACAATTCCAGATGAATTAAATTCTTTTTTGTTTTTATTTTTTTTATTTTTTTTTTTATTATTATCATACTTTTAAGTTTTAGGGTACATGTGCACAATGTGCAGGTTAGTTACATATGTATACATGTGACATGCTGGTGCGCTGCACCCACTAACTCGTCATCTAGCATTAGGTATATCTCCCAATGCTATCCCTCCCCCCTCCCCCCACCCCACAACAGTCCCCAGAGTGTGATGTTCCCCTTCCTGTGTCCATGGGTTCTCATTGTTCAATTCCCACCTATGAGTGAGAATATGCGGTGTTTGGTTTTTTGTTCTTGCGATACTTTACTGAGAATGATGATTTCCAATTTCATCCATGTCCCTACAAAGGACATGAACTCATCATTTTTTATGGCTGCATAGTATTTCATGGTGTATATGTGCCACATTTTCTTAATCCACTCTATCATTGTTGGACATTTGGGTTGGTTCCAAGTCTTTGCTATTGTCAATAATGCTGCAATAAACATACGTGTGCATGTGTCTTTATAGCAGCATGATTTATAGTCCTTTGGGTATATACCTAGTAATGGGATGGCTGGGTCAAATGGTATTTCTAGTTCTAGATCCCTGAGGAATCGCCACACTGACTTCCACAATGGTTGAACTAGTTTACAGTCCCACCAACAGTGTAGAAGTGTTCCTATTTCTCCACATCCTCTCCAGCACCTGTTGTTTCCTGACTTTTTAATGATTGCCATTCTAACTGGTGTGAGATGGTATCTCATTGTGGTTTTGATTTGCATTTTTCTGATGGCAAGTGATGGTGAGCATTTTTTCATGTGTTTTTTGGCTGCATAAATGTCTTCTTTTGAGAAGTGTCTGTTCATGTCCTTTGCCCACTTTTTGATGGGGTTGTTTGTTTTTTTCTTGTAAATTTGTTTGAGTTCATTGCAGATTCTGGATATTAGCCCTTTGTCAGATGAGTAGGTTGTGAAAATTTTCTCCCATTTTGTAGGTTGCCTGTTCACTCTGATAGTAGTTTGTTTTGCTGTGCAGAAGCTCTTTAGTTTAATTAGATCCCATTTGTCAATTTTGGCTTTTGTTGCCATTGCTTTTGGTGTTTTAGACACGAAGTCCTTGCCCATGCCTATGTCCTGAATGGTAATGCCTAGGTTTTCTTCTAGGGTTTTTATGGTTTTAGATCTAAAGTTTAAGTCTTTAATCCATCTTGAATTGATTTTTGTATAAGGTGTAAGGAAGGGTTCCAGTTTCAGCTTCCTACATATGGCTAGCCAGTTTTCCCAGCACCATTTATTAAATAGGGAATCCTTTCCCCATTGCTTGTTTTTCTCAGGTTTATCAAAGATCAGATAGTTGTAGATATGCGGCATTATTTCTGAGGGCTCTGTTCTGTTCCATTGATCTATATCTCTGTTTTGGTACCAGTACCATGCTGTTTTGGTTACTGTAGCCTTGTAGTATAGTTTGAAGTCAGGTAGTGTGATGCCTCCAGCTTTGTTCTTTTGGCTTAGGATTGACTTGGCTATGTGGGCTCTTTTTTGGTTCCATATGAACTTTAAAGTAGCTTTTTCCAATTCTGTGAAGAAAGTCATTGGTAGCTTGATGGGGATGGCATTGAATCTGTAAATTACCTTGTGCAGTATGGCCATTTTCACGATATTGATTCTTCCCACCCATGAGCATGGAATGTTCTTCCATTTGTTTGTATCCTCTTTTATTTCCTTGAGCAGTCGTCTGTAGTTCTCCTTGAAGAGGTCCTTCACATCCCTTGTAAGTTGGATTCCTAGGTATTTTATTCTCTTGGAAGCAATTGTGAATGGGAGTTCACTCATGATTTGGCTCTCTGTTTGTCTGTTGTTGGTGTATAAGAATGCTTGTGATTTTTGTACACTGATTTTGTATCCTGAGACTTTGTTGAAGTTGCTTATCAGCTTAAGGAGATTTTGGGCTGAGACAGTGGGGTTTTCTAGATATACAATCATGTCGTCTGCAAACAGGGACAATTTGACTTCCTCTTTTCCTAATTGAATACCCTTTATTTCCTTCTCTTGCCTAATTGCCCTGGCCAGAACTTCCAACACTATGTTGAATAGGACTGGTGAGAGAGGGCATCCCTGTCTTGTGCCAGTTTTCAAAGGGAATGCTTCCAGTTTTTGCCCATTCAGTATGATATTGGCTGTGGGTTTGTCATAGATAGCTCTTATTATTTTGAAATATGTCCCATCAATACTTAATTTATTGAGAGTTTTTAGCATGAAGGGTTGTTGAATTTTGTCAAAGGCCTTTTCTGCAACTATTGAGATAATCATGTGGTTTTTGTCTTTGGTTCTGTTTACATGCTGGATTACATTTATTGATTTGCATATATTGAACCAGCCTTGCATCCCAGGGATGAAGCCCACTTGATCATGGTGGATAAGCTTTTTGATGTGCTGCTGGATTCGATTTGCCAGTATTTTATTGAGGATTTTTGCATCAATGTTCATCAAGGATATTGGTCTAAAATTCTCTTTTTTGGTTATGTCTCTGCCCAGCTTGAATTAAATTTAAAGTGAAAAGCAAAATTTTAAAACTTTCAGGAAAAAAGTTTCACCCTACCTTACAGTAGGGTGAGATTATTTTTAAAAACACGACACAAAATGTAAACTATGAAAGATGATAATAAATTCTACTACATACCAGTTTAAAGAGTGAAAAGACAAACCAGAGACAACAGAAGGCTACTTACACTAATAAATGACTATTTGCAAACTCCCATTACTAAAAAGTGAAAAACAAATAACATAATAGAAAATTTTAAATAGTCTATAAAAAATAAAAAGGTGATCAATCTCATTAGCAATTTGGTAAATGCAATTTAATTATGAAATACCATTATATATAACTACTAACTTCTAAAAAAATTAAAGCTGTCCAATACTAACCTTGGATGACCCTGTGAATCAATCCAAGCTCTCAACAATTATTAGTAATTATTAGGAGTGCGGAAAATGGTGCACCAACTTTAGAAAAGTTTTTCCAAATGTTTTCTTACGTTTTTTTTTGTTAGTTTTTTTTTGTTGTTGTTGTTTTTAACTAACAATCTTACTTGTATATGTTTCCAACATTTACAAATTAAATTATCGGTATTTTCATACCCTATAGCCCAGAGTTCTTTTCTGAAGAAGCTTTCATGTATATGTATCAGGGGCCATGCATGAGAATGTTTTCTACTGTTTATAAAGACTAGAAGCAAACAAATACCAATCAAAAACAGAATGGATAAATCAAATGAGGCATATTTGATTCAATACAGTTTAACACTGAAAATGAATAAGCCACAGGAAATAGCTTCAGCAAGGACTGACCTAAAAAAAATATTTAGCAAATAAAATCCACAAAGAATACATTCAGTATGACTCAACTGTACATAATTCAACTATAAGCAAAACTAAAAATATATGGCTTATGGGTACCAACACAGGTGGTAAAAGTATAAGAAAAAACAGGGCAAAATTAAGCCAAAATTCAGGAACCTCTTTGGGTGGACTGGTTGTGAGACTGGCAAGGGGCACACCACCCCTAAATTACCTGCAATGTTTTATTTTTTCAGCTGGGAAGTGGGTGCATTGTTTTCACTTAGGTTCTTAAGTTTAAGTGGTAGATCATTGGGTCTTACATATTCCATAACAAAATTTTTTTAAATTACAAAGAGAAATAAACAAGAAGGACTCAGCTGCACTTCTTGATGACATGCCCTTTCTTTAGACACCCTGGGAAAACTCAATTATTGTACATCAACAGCTTTTGCCTGAAAGTAGAAAGCCTAGAAAGGAGATAATTGCCTCTCCACTATCTGTGATTGGGAAACTATAGCCCGCTGGGAAAACCCAGGTGCGCAGTGATGCCAAGAGATGTCCTATTTTTTTCCAAGTTTTAACACAAGAGAATGGTGTTTGCACTCCCTTCGATTTATTCTACTTCAATGTACATTTTCCAGAAAAAAAAATTGAAAAAAATCACAAAACATGGCTGTTGGAAAATTTGCAGTTAACTAGTTCTCTAATATGTTGATGTTTTAACATGATGCCTTACTTCACACTGTAAAAAATGCTGGTCTCTAAAGGACAGGGGAATGTTGTTATGGAAAGAAATAATGGAAAATCCAGTCTTGCTATTTTCTAAAAGCAAAGGAGCTTCTTCCCAGAAGAGCCCAGCAAATGTCTCCTGGGTTTCAACTAGTTCCAGGGCCCTGAAACCAGGATTGTGGTCAGACAACTGAGATATATTAATGGGCTTAATCTAGGAGCCAGATGGATTTGTCCTCTCCCAAAGTGCAGAGGTATTAATATGTTGCTGAAGTTGTGGAAGCTCAAAAAAGCTGGGATAAATTTTTTTTTTTTTTTTTTTTTGAGACAGAGTCTGGCTCTGTCGCCTAGGCTGGAATGCAGTGGCACGATCTCGGCTCACTGCAAGCTCTGCCTCCCGGATTCACTCCATTCTCCTGCCTCAGCCTCCCAAATAGCTGGGACTACAGGGGCCCGCCACCACGCCTGGCTAATTTTTTGTATTTTTAGTAGAGATGGGGTTTCACCATGTTAGCCAGGATGGTCTCGATCTCCTGACCTTGTGATCTGCCCGCCTCAGCCTCCCAAAGTGCTGGGAATTACAGGCGTGAGCCCCGCGATCGGCCAAGCTGGGATAACATTTATCAAAAGAAAGAGGCATGGCCAAGGGCGGTGGCTCACGCCTGTAATCCCAGCACTTTGGGGGGCCAAGGTGGGTGGATCACCTGAGGTCAGGAGTTCGAGACCAGGCTGGCCAACATGGTGAAACTCCATCTCTACTAAAAATACAAAAATTTAGCTGGGTGTGGTGGTGGGCACCTGTAATCCCAGCTACTCAGAAGACTGAGGCAGGAGAATCACTTGAACCCGGAGGTGGAGGTTGCAGTGAGCTGAGATAGCGCCATTGCACTCCAGCCTGGGCAACAAGAGCAAAACGCTGTCAAAAAAAAAAAAAAAGAAAAAGAAAAAGAAAGAAAGAAAAGAAAAGAAAGAGGCAGATAGATAGAAAAGAAAAAAAATTGACAACTACTCATTTTTAGGGTTTCCATAGGCTGTTTCTTTCTCTCCCATACCTCTCAGAGATAATTAAATAATTTCATTATTGTAAGTCCATGAAGTTGTTCAAAATGAGTTAGCTGCCAAAATTTAAAATCATTTAATTAAGATGGCTAAAAGACAGAAAGAAAATTTTATAAATTGGAGTTTGGGATCCTGAATAATCCAAGCTGATTATCTGCCATTGCTAGTGAAAAGGCTTTTCTTAGAAATTCCATCAATATTTCTACTAAAATAATGCCTTAATTTATTTTGGGCAGCACTGGGCCAATTATCTCCAGGCATGTTTTTCTCCCTATGCCTGTCATTTTGTGGCATTACATTAAATTGTGTTTAAAAATATTCCATAAATAATGAATTATTACAAAAATAATTTATTACTCACTTAAAAGCTATAAAATATTAAATATAAAACTTAAGGACAAAGAAGTAATTTCTAATTCACATTGCTTACACAAAATAATAAGGCCTGCATCTTCTGTTACACTATGGAAAAGAAAATATTTCACTTATTTCCTTTCAGGCTCCAAAGGGCAGAAAGAAGAGTGAAAACTCTTTAATCTTCAACCCCCCTGGACTAGCAATAACTAATAGGAACCCCCTGAAAGTGACATCAAAAAAAGTCCGGAGGCCAGAGTGCCAGAACTTCTGCCAAGCTAATTATTCTCATGGTATTGAAAAATCACTCTCACTCTTGTGTTGTAAAAGTGGGACAATCGCAATGGACAATTCCTAATGTTCTTCGTGGACTGGTAGCTCACATGGGGCTTTATTACTCCCCACTGGAACAATAATGAGAGTTCGTGGTCTCATGGAGAACCTTTCCACCCCAGTCATAGAAGAATGAAATAACTTCCTTAGTGAATTTCTTCTATGTATTCTGGTTACCCGTTGGTCTACCATCATTTTATATCTATGGATACATTAATGCTATGACCACACAACACTTTTATGAATTCGTATTGGGCTACATATTAACATTGATATCACTTAAAAGATAGTACAGCCATCAGCACTATGTTCTGTGCTGAATTTCCCACCATTTCTCTTTCACCAGTGTAAAGAAGTATACATTTGTATCTATAGGGAGGTACAAACAGTTTGGGGCTCTGGATCCTTAGAAAAAAACAAACAAAAAACCACTTCTGTACTTTCTTACTGGACTACAAAATTTTCTGCCCATATTATATCTGATCAATCAAAGAAATGAACTAAATTTTTTCTCTTGAATATCTCATTCCCTATTACTCATAATAGCCACATGATATTTACTGTTGCATATGATTTTCTATGAATGTCCTTCAGTCAAATAGTCCAGTTACTTAAAATATAGTAAGCAAGAGAAAAAGTCATTTTTGAGGGCACAATTGTGTTTTCTGAATTACATTAAAATAATCATTTAGAAGGAAATATGCCTCTAGCAAGTTTGATCAAGATAAACACAAAATGCTCCATTTCATTGAAATTTATATTCTCTCAACACTGAATTTTATTATATTTAAAAGTTTTTTAGCATATATAAGTGTATAGAAATCCTAGTATCTATGTTCACAAATAAAATGTAATTGAATAATAAATCAAAATTAAACTTTTAATAAATAGTATTATATTCCATTAGAAGTTGCAACGTATTATCTAAATGTAACAATGATTTATTTGTATTAAGGTTCATGTGATGCAAACATAAGTCAGATTATAGAAATCTGAAGTTAGATGTCTCTAAGTCTTCCAGAGGAACTTTAAAACAATGCCAAGTATTTGAAAAATATTTTGTAATATATGTCAGGTGACACACTTCCCCCATCTTTCCTAGAAAAAGAAAGAAGACCAGTTGCAAAGGCTCACGTCTGTAATCTCAGCACTTTGGGAGGCCGAGGTGGGTGGATCGCCTGAGGTTAGAAGTTCGAGACCAGCCTGACTAACATGGAGAAATACTGTCTCTACTAAAAATACAAAATTAGCCAAGCATAGTGGCACATGCCTGTAATCCCAGCTACTTGGGAGGCTGAGGCAGGAGAATCATGTGAACCTGGGAGGTGGAGGAGGTTGGGTGAGCTGAGATCGCACCACTGCACTCCTGCCTGGGCAACAAGAGCAAAACTCCATCTCAAAAAAAAGAGAAGAAATAGTGTGCTTTTCTATAAGTACTTTCTCTTTTTTTGAAGAATGCGGACCAATGCTGAACACGGAATCAAGCTTGGGATAAGAATAGCTAGAGGACAAAATGCTGGTGTGTGGGTTATTATGCAAGTAAGATGCCTTGGATCTCCGTCTCATATAAGGTGGAAACTCTCCCTCCCCACCCTACATCTTGCCACTCTCATGAATTCCAGGATAGTTGGTAGTTTCCTAATCAAGAGCTTACTTATCGAAAATACTCCATGGCTTTTGTAGAAGCTTCTGTTTGACAATTCCTCACTACACATTGGTTCTTTACCATTACAAAGCACCGCGGAGGTAAGTTCATTATGCACAGCAGATGTGTAGGGCACATTTGGGATAATGGAGAGGGGTTAGGGCATGGCAAGCACAGAAAACAACTTGAAATAAGATACTAGATACAACTGTGCTGAAACTCCACCAACCAGCCCCAGCAAGAAGAATGTCATTCCGGTGATGGGTCTCCATAGAACCTATACATTCTACCACACTAGTGAGTCTCCTCTGTAGTCTGTAGTCTTCCACCGTAGACGACGTTGCACAAGTTGCTCTCTGAATTTACAAATGCCTTTTATTTTATGTGCAGAACAGCTGTTTCTCTTCTGTTGTGCCCTGCTCTTGCTAAATATGCATTTTGAGGAAGAGGCAATGTTGAAAGAAGCTAAGAGGGGTTGAAAATTCATGTTTCAAACCAAATGGCTCAAGATGGTGCACATCTGTGTTTTCTTCTGACCAACTTACATCCCTCTTTTTCCAATAATGGCACCCCAATTTTGCTTTGAGAAGCTATCCACGCCCCTTGAATAATATGTTGGTGGGGTTGTTAAAGAGTTTTTCTTTCCCAAGCCAAGAAATGAGCAAGGCTTTGAAACTATATTCTCTTAATACCTTTTCACTAAAATTTTAGTCTTGAACAGACTGAAACAAGCACATAAAATGCCCAGAATTCATCACCTTAATGGCATCTTGAAGACACTATGTATTAATTTGTTATAGCCAGACCTGCATAAAGGCTCTGGTTTACTTGAAAGTCAATGTCTCAGAATTTTCTTCAGTGCTGTGAGCTATCCTGTCTCATCAATAAATTTCTTTATTGCTTATGTCATGCACCACCAGTTTCTATTGCTGACAACCAAATTAAACTAACTTATATCATGGGGATATTTTCCTAACAGAGCTCCATCTGCTTTGAAATTAATTGTTGCTACTGAGTATGTGAAATAAACCATTATAAATTGCTTTTTATATGTCTTCCTAATATTTGTTTCATAAAATTTATTTTTAAAATAACTATAAAATTATTTTTTCCTGCTGAAGCTATCCTTGAAAACTTTTAGGAAGAACTCTGAGGCATGTTCTTTCTTACAATTCTCATAATGCTTATGAACTAAGGCAGAGATCACCAACATTCTTAACGTCAAAACATTCTACCATTTTACTTTCTCAGGTCATTGCATTTGAAAAGGTCCATACAGATCATTTAATCCAAACTCAGCAGCCCAAAAGGAATTCTTTCCATATTATACCTAACAGATGGTTACCTGGTCTCTTTTTAAACACTTGTTAGCAGGAAGCTATTCGTTTATTTGACCAACCCATTACAATTTTATAAGAATTTATCATGAGAATGTTCATCCTTGTGTTGAAAAAGAATGTGACTTCCAACCTTATTCTTTCTCCCAATGTCTCTTTTCCTCTTCATATGCATCCAGGAACTTCTGCCTATAAATTTTATTTCTGCATAAGTGATCACTGGCATCTGGCTACCCTTCAAAGATTTTAAGATGACTGTCCAATTTCATGGAACATATCCCTGTTCTCCTAAAAGAATTCCAAGCAAATCATTGAACCATATGAAATCTATAGGTCAAAATCTATAGGTTGTTTTGAAATTTTCTGAAGGATTCTTAAAGTGATTGGAGACACAGGGTGTCAAAAATCCTAAATGATATTTTTAAAAAATTAGCTCTGAAAAAAACAAGTAAGGATTAGTTGTTTATAAAATGTTATGGTGGTTCCTTTAAAACAATCATTTCTTAAGAGTCAGTGCACTTAAGATTATCTGAAAACAAGTTATCACTTCAGGCTCTCAAACAAAGTTGCTTCTTTTGTGCAGCAGCAGATTAAAGGTGGCGTCCTTCAGCAGCAAAGTCTATGCTGAAGACCACTGGAAATGCTCCTCCTTTTTAGGAACCCTTCCCTCAGAAATTGATGACAATCACAAGAAACCACATACCTTGGCAGAACCTGTAAGTGCTGAAAAAGTAAAATGCTTTGAACATTTGCCAGGATTTATTATTCATCAATAAAATATATTATTTGCTAATTCATGCCCCAAAATAATTATTCATGTCTTTAAAATTTTCAAAGTAATAACCATAATATGCAGAAAGTTGATTCAGAGTTCAGTAAGATTTTTTAAATGCCTACCATATATGTCTCTGACAAGAGGCTCCTCATACCTTATTACTAATTTGACATACATTTTATATACAAATAGTTTTACACTAGATTTTTAGAGCTCCAATGAGATGCTTTTGCTTTTTTTAAACAGTCTATGTTGCCATTTCAAATTGGCACATTTTTTCACCTAATAGAGATTCCTAACAAGTAATATTTATCTCTGAATATGTCATTACTTCAAATATTACTCTCTCTTATATTAAGGTAACAGTACGCAATGTTGTACAAATGCTTTTTATGTACAAGTACTTTGACACTAGATTTTATGTACAAAGGCTGTATTTTATGTACAAATACTTTTACGCATTTTATGTACAAATATTTTAACACTAATTTTTTAGAGCTCTATGGAGATACTTTTGCTTTTTCTAAATATTGCATATTGCCATTTCAATCTGGCACATATTTTCACCTAATACAGATTTTTAAGAAGTAATAGTCTTCTAAATTGTCTCTGATAGTTCTTACTTCAAATATTACTTTCTTTCATATTAAGGTAACATTATTACAACGATTATTAATGTAGGGCTAAGAGTAAAACAGCTTGAATTTTCCTCTAGGCTCTGCCATTTCTATTCCTTTCTGTACCTTAATTTCCTCATCTGTAAAGATAGCCATTCTACCAACCTCACTGGGATGTTGTGAGGATTTAGAGTTAATTCCTTGTAGAGTACTTAGAACAGTATATGGCAAATAATAAGTGCTCAGTAAAAATTAGTGTTTCATACCTACATTTCAGAATTAAAACTTTATTATCAGAAAATAAATGTTTTGCTTTATATTATTTTAAAGTAGATGTTACTCAAATTCTCTTAAAGAAGGGTAAAAGCCCCAAATTTGAGCAAAATATGTGATTCATCCTGTAAATTAGCATCTTTTGAAAACTAAGTTAACTTGTTAAAAGCTATTGTTATTTATTGGGAGAATGTA
The DNA here is from genome assembly GCF_000001405.40 of Homo sapiens. Classification (NCBI taxonomy): domain Eukaryota; kingdom Metazoa; phylum Chordata; class Mammalia; order Primates; family Hominidae; genus Homo; species Homo sapiens. The sequence continues at coordinate 21,843,200 of NC_000004.12, forward strand.
AAAAATAAAACTCAGCTACTAATAATAGCTTCCACTTCTCGAACACCTTTTATATTACTGGGACTTTGTCAAGGATCTTATATTATATCTTGATTAATCTTTCCATTAGCATTATATAACTGATATTTTCATTTCCATTTTGCAGATGAGGAAACCAAGGATTAGATAATACAGTTTGATGGGGTTTAAGACATGTTAGCCCAAAAATATGGCACCTTGACATTGGAGACTATAGCAGAAGCAGGAAGGTCATTCTCACCTTCCCCTCAAATTTGGTCCTAAAATCCAGGAAGGATTTTTCTGACCTTCCCTTGAAGTGGGTCATAAGACCCTCATTCTAGAGTGGCTTCCATATTCCCAGAAGAAAGCAAAATCCTATCTCTGAAGAAACAGGATACAGAGGAGAATCTGAACCAACTGGCCCTGCTAAGTTCTCCCCAGTTTATTTCCATTAGATCACACTCCATTTTTCCAATCACACTCCATGCTGCCTCTTCATCAAACCTAGCATATAAACTCAACTTGACATGACTACCAGAAATAGCTGGAAAGAGAAAGAAAGAATACGACAATTACAATTGCAAGTAATATGACAATATGAGGTCTTCAATGAACAGACAGGATAGTCTCAAACTCCTCAGTAAGTTTTATATTTTATTACTTTCATGAACATGAATGAACAACACATAACACAGCACAGTGCCTTGCACAAACATTCAAGAGGTGCCTAGACAGACTAACAGGACCTTTCAATGCATTCAATTCCAACATTTGTTAATTGCCCCTAAGCATAGTAACTGAAAGGAATAGTAAGATAATAAATGAGTTCTCACCACAGAGAGCTTGCAATGCATTCACTCACTCACTCTACACATATTTATTTACATCCTTACATGTTGAAGGTAATGGGAACCAAACATGAATGAGTCAAGAATCATGCATTGAAGAAACTCACAGTATTTCAGAAGAATTTAGGACACATATACACAAGCAATTAGAATAGAAAATAGAAAAAGTATTTCCTAAGAACACAGAGGAAACAGTGTTTGAGAGATTAAAGATGGGTACATGGAAAAATTGATTATCATTCTTCAGCCTGCACAGTGAGATATACATTTTGTATACGTTATATGCTTCAAATGTTTTTAAATAAATATAATACATGGGTAGAATTTATAAACGTAGAGATAAGAAAAAAAGCTGGTTGGTAATTATAAACAGACAAACAGCATAAGCACAACAATCTGACAGTCAACTCCAAAATATGGAATTACTTGGCCCTTTTTTAGCACTCTTTTCTTTGCCTCTCCTATGTCCACACCAGAACTGCAATTTCTAGATTGCAGTACAATGGTGAATGGGGATCATAATCTTCCTGCTAGCTGACCTTCATTTTTTGAATCCTGCTTCCTTTTCCAAGTCCATTGATGAGGTGAATGAAGTCCAAGAATGGCTACGTTTTCAGAATTTACATGGGTATTTTAAGAAAACCTCATTCCAAAACCCAAATATGTCCCTGCTTTATCTTTATGAGACTACATATTTCAACAGGACACAGTGTTCATGAAGTCATTCTATTATTAAATACATGTGTTCTATGTTATGCTGAAATTGATAACCCACTACATCACCTCCCAAAGAAGGTTGTGTAAACTTGTCACAAAAAAGAGAATTATTTCTGTAATTTTTCCATTGAGAAAACCAAGGCTGAGAAAGGTTGTATAACTTATCATATTGGTAATAAATAGAATAAAGATTCAAAAAAAAAAAGAGGTTCTAAAACTGCACTGCATATTTGGATGCAATTTTGGTTTACGGTTTTAATTCAGGAAACAATATCAAGACAATAGGAAGGATGTTTAAAACCTACCCACATATACTTACTTATTTGTCACTTTGTTTGTTTCTAGGCACTAACTCTGCTTCCTTACAACATTTCAAGTACCTCCCAATACCATTGCTCTATTATCCAAATAGAGGGTTGGCAAATTGCTTCTGTAAAGGACCAGTACATGTTTTAGGCTTTGCAGGTTATACAATCTTTACCACAATTACTCAACTCTGCTGGCATAGCACAAAAGCAGTCATAGGCAATATGGAAATTAGTGTGGCTATATTCCAATAAAACTTATGTATGGACATTAAAATTTAAATTTCATATAATTTTCACAAGTAACAATATTATTCTTCTTGTAACTTTTATCAACCATTTATAAACATAAAAATCGTTCCAAGTATACAGGCCTTACAAGAACAGGTGGTGGGCCAGATTTGGCCCATTTGCTTACCTCTGTCCTAAATCATAACCACGATTCTTAGAAAATTCTTTTTTCCAAAAGCATAAGAGCAGATTTTTTTAAGTGTTTACCTACTTTTCTTGCTTTTTTTCTTGCAAAAGGAAGTTACATAGGAGCTTGACACTTCTTAGTAATAAAATTTACTTTTCCGAGCACCTTATATCAGTGATGCAAGGTGAAAAACTTAACCCTTTCGATTCGACATGTAGCTTGGCACCAGACTCACTAACTGCCTAAGTTAGTTAACTGGATTAACTAAATTAGACAGCTTCCCCAGTACAGTGTTTTTTGTCTTCTAGCTTTGTGATAACTCATTCGACTTTGAAATATCTTAGTAGCTGGATTGGCTAAATGTTCTGACTCACAAAATATTTTAGTTTTTAGTAAGTATCTGTTCAAAGATTCTTCCCAACTGCAGTCTTCTCCTCAATAACAGTCATATTAAATATGCCCTAGTGCTTATACGTGATTGCCTCTGTTTTTTTGTCTGTTTTGTTTTGTTTTTACTGCTAAAAGATTTGATCAGCTAACTCAGTCTCTTACTGAGACTTAATGTCATATAATATGGATGCTTCAATATTATACTTATTTTAATTTTCCTATTGTGCTCTTTTCAAAACACTCATAGATCTATAGTTTCTTTTTAAGCTCTAATAGAAATTTCTATTCTTGTCCATGACACTGGGATGAAATTTGAGATACTAATTTCCATGCACAGAACCAACATTAATGTTCTAATTTGTAACATAAATTCAATTCTTGCCAATAATTTGCATATTTCAGAGAGATAACATACAGACAGATATAGATACACATATAGAAAGATAAAGGCATTTACACATATATGGCAAGGGGATATACACAAAGAGAGATAGAGAATGACTAGAGTTCACAGAGTACAGCTAGACTTCCTGAGTTCAAATCCCAGCTCTGCTTCTTCCTATCTCTGATCTTTAACAAGTCATCTAACAAGTCTGTCTCTGTTTCTTCCTGTGAAATGGAGACAGTAATGGACATGCACGTCATAGGATTGCTGCGAGAATGAAGTGATTAAAGAATGCTTACTAGTATAGCATACATTCAATAAGTGTTGGTTATTATTATGATGCACCAGCTACCTGCATTTGTATTTGACTGATTTACAGTGACCAGATCTCAACTTATACTAGCTTGAGGATTTATTTGTTACCCCAAATGGCAAGTCCAAGGATTCAGGCGATCCTATTTTCTGGAGGCTCAATCAGTGGGGCCAAGGGCTCCACCTGTCCTGGGTTTTCCATCAGGCTCCCACCATGGCATGGATAAAATGGTAAGTGGCAACCCCAGATCCCTATACAACTGAGCAATACCTGTTTTTTCCATGTACTCTGGCAGAAAGTAGCCAAGGAGAACACTGGCCCAGTGCAAAGCATATGCCAATCTATGTTGGATAGAGAAGGGGAGATGAGTCAACCCCACCTAATGTATTCACAACCAAGAAGATGAGAAAAGAGATCCTGGGTAGACAGGAACAACAGATAAGCACCGTTATTCACAATTCTCTTTATAGACATTACCCTTTGTTTATTCTGCAGGTGAGCCAGTTTGGCCTTGTCTCTGTTGCAAAATCCACAGGTCCTGATGTTTCAGTTCATCACCTTCTATAACCACCAAAGCGGTAGTAACAGAAGTAATACCTTTTTTCCATACTTGATCTCCATTTTATAATAAAAGCACCCTGACAATCTCAGGTTAGTAAAATGCAATAGTTGAAATACACTCAGTGCTGCACTTTTTACATGTCGCTATCCCCTAGGGGTATTTCAAAAGAAGACCAGACTAGCCCAGTAATTAAATGCCCCCAAGCATACGTGGTAAAGCCATGTTATGGCAGATGTACTTTTAACATCACACAAGGATGTCTAGCAGCACCTAGTGAAAAAAAACACACATTTTCTTGTTTCAACTCTACCACTTATTTTAGAAACTAGACAAATCAAGCACTAAGTTTCTATATTTCTGAAATAAAGTCTGAAATATCCACTTAACCAATTACGCAGGAATATTGTGAGGGGATTAAATGAAATATCACACGCAGAAGTACTTCATATGTGTAACGAAAATACTTAGCAATATTATCTGTAATAATTAAATTGTTTTTTGTTTCCTAATCCTTCTCTTAATCACAAAAATGATTTCTTTCTTTAGTCTCAGGTTTCTTTTGTGCTCTTAGAATAGCTGTCACTTGACACCCTGTTGTCATCCCTTACACAAAATATTTCACCTTTTTTTATCTTTTCTGACACTACATTTACTCACTTTCTCTGCAATTTTTATGCTCATCTCTATGTTCTCTCTTTCCCTGTCTCATTTCCTTCTTTGTCTCTCTTTGCTCAGTTTTATTTTTTTAATTGGTCATTATCCCTTCACTAGCAACAAAAGCCCGCCTTTCCTTTTTCCTGTGTGGCAGAACCATTGCAACACGCTGGTTGGAATGTTCAGATCTTGACTTCATCTTGGCTATTTGACTGTATTCTGTCAATTCAGAATCACTGCAGAGGAGCTTCTGAGTCTGGCACCATTCTGAAGGTTTAACATTGTGGGAAGTCTCACTCCAGATAATTAAAAAGGTTGAACTTCTCAGCAGCTCAGATATTTGAGTAGCCTCTCAAGTTCCACTTAATGAATTAATTCTCTGTGCTTCTTGAAAAATAAACCACTCACCCTGAAAAGCCCATGGCACCACCTGCCTTCAGCATAAGGATTCAACATATGTGGGTGTTTGGGAGGACTGTTTTAGACTGACCTTGGAACTGGAAATAAGAGGCAGCAGCTGAAAGCAGACAGAACACACAGCTTCATAATCAGGCAGTGCTGAGGTCAAATTCTGGCTCCGTCGCTCACCCAGCTGTGTGACCTCCAGCAAGTTATTTAGGTGTTCTGAGTGTCAGATGACTAATTCATAAAATGGACACATTAACACCTTTCTCATGGAAATTTATGAAGACAAAAAGCACTCAACAAGCAGAATCCATCATCATTCTCATTAGCATTTTTGTTATTTAAAAAATCTAAACATTGCTCTAAAATATCCATAAAGGCCTAATTCTTTCAACAGATGTTCTTGATCATGATTTTTGTTATTTAAAAAATCTAAACGTTGCTCTAAAATATCCCTAAGGGCCTAATTCTCTCAAGAGAGGTTCTTGATCATCACCGCAGGTAAACATTATGGGTTAGATTTCAGATGGCACCCACCTCGGGAGCACGATTATTGAACTCAATCCTTAAATTATTTCTGGAGAATATGAGTATAATCCAGAACATGCAATCAGGTTGTGGCTGGGAAAATATGTTCACTCTGGTAGCAAGTATCACAGGGTGCTAAGAATACATGTGGGTTCTAAAAATGAATGGGACCTAAGGAGATACTGCCACAAGAGAAAAGGGTTACTTTGTGATATACATATATGTGTGTGTGTGTGTGTGTGTGTGTGTGTGTGTTTTCCTCTAAAAAATACATTGTGAAATAGGTGATTGGCACATGCCAAACCTTAGTTGTATTTTTACCATTTGTTGGAATCATTCCTTCTAAGAGAAACAAAATAAAAGGAATCACTCCGTCTACCTGCCGGTCTCAGTTCATTTGCAATGAAAATATTCATTTCTAATGAATGCAATATTTTATGACATAGAACAGGATTAATTCTGTTGTGCAATCCTGAGACTTTACTCTGTATTCTAATCCACTCTATTCTTTTAGCTGTGCAAAAAGAATAGGAGAGTGCTTATGGCAATATCAATTATGCACATCTTGAAAGGGGGCATTATAAAGAGAGAACATTAAGGTGAACCACTGTGTTAGCACGTAATTCCTGTGATAAGTGGCTTTTTTTCTAATCTAATGGCATCTCTTTCTATTATAAGAGTGGATCTTTGCAATCTGCAAATCAGTCTGGACATCAGAGAAGAAAGTCACCTAAAAACAAAACAATTATTGAAATTTTGCCTCATAGAGACTGATCAGCAGCAAAAATCAGCTCTAATCAGTGTATGCTCACATCGTCCCAGCAGAAAAAAATCAATCCAAAATATTGATCATCATGTTTTATTTTGCTGTCAGAGACAACTAGTACCAGATACGACAGTACTTATACAAAATGATGGCAATAATTACCTGAATTTATATCCAATTTAGATCATTATTAAAATTATTTTAACAATATAAAGAAAGAATACTAGATGTGAAAATTCTAAGGGAGTAGATGCTGCTCTTCAATAATCTTTATGCACAGCAAAAGAATTCAGTAATTCCCAAGTTGATAATACTAAATTAATTACATATTATCAAATTTTGATAAATGTGTGTGTGTCTGTGTGTCTGTGTGTGTGTGTGTTCCTATTCACTACACAAATAAGACTTAGGCCTTCAGGGCATAAGTAATGTAAATGTAACTATAATGGCAAAGCTTATTTGCTAAAAAAGAAAAATGGGCCTAGAACTTACATATGCTGAATTCCATCCAGTATTCCTACAACACATTTCAACTGGTGAAAATAGTAAGTCCAAGACAGAGTAACTGAAACAGAGTTATTTTGTGAGATAAACAGCAAAATCTACAAACCTCAAATAACTTTAAAAGCTAAATTAAAAAAAAAATTTAAGGACATTATAGAGATCTTTATATTTGGTGCTGTTTAGGACATATAAAATAATATCATCCCGACCACCAATAATACAGATGAAAGCTATCAGTCAGGGTCCTCATACTTCAGCAACTGAGAGACACTAATGAAAAATGTATGTTTTATTGGTTACTAACCTGGGTGACACAGTGGCCTTGTTGTAGAGCCCTACAAATATTCAAATCAATGCTATGATTTGAATATTTGTCGCCTCCAAAACTCATGTTGAAACTTAATTCCTGGGTTAATGGTTTAATGGGTTTTAATGGCATGGGACCAGTGGCTTCATAAGAAGAGGAAGAGAGAACTAAGCTAACATGCTCAGCCCCTCACCGTGTGATGCCCTGTGTCACCTCGGGACTCTACAGAGAGTCCCTACCAGCAAGAAGTCCCTTCAACCTTGGACTTTTCAACCTCCATAACTGTAAGAAATAAATTCCTTTTCTTTATAAACTGCCCAGTTTCAAGTATTTTGTTATGAACCACAGAAAACAAAAAAAGCTCATTTAATTTCAATTACATGATTTTTTTTCAGTTTTAAACTTTTATTGTAGTACAAAATAAGATTTTTTACATCAGTTTGATCCCGATAAGATCATCTTGAAACTGGAGATGGTCCCATTCACCTCAGCTCACTGACTCCACGCTCAGGCTTGCTGTGGAGCTCATGCCTTTTAACCCAAACACTACATATTCCCTCATTAACCGTGCACTCAACATTTGTGCAAGATTCAAAACTGATTGTTAGGCATGCATAAATAAAGCAGACAAAGTCTCTAATCATCATAAAGCTTAGAGTCTTGCGGGGCAGACTAACACAGAACATAATGACATAGGAAAAAAAACACTAAAAGCACTGTGAAAGAACACGATAACCTAGCTGTGGTAAAGGGAGGAGTAACACTCAAGTTTCTAAAACAATGTCAAGAAAACTGAAATAAGGTTGAAATATGCTGATATTTTTAACTTTCGATCCCACCCTAGCAGACAGAAGAGAGCCACAGGCATTAGTGCAGGGAGGGAGGAGAGGAGAGGGGTTAAGCTAGGGTTGAGAGTCCCTCAGGAAGGCATTCAAATCCCACTTACACAGATGAGAAAACCAAGGCTCAGAAAGGCTTTCTGAAAATCCAACACTGCATGTTCTCATTCATAAGGGGGAGCTAAATAATGTATACAGGGGAGCTAAATAAGGGAGAGCTAAATAATGTGGATGTAGAGTGTGGAACAATCACACTAGAGACTAAGAAGGGTTGGAGGTTGGAAGGGGTTGAGGGATGAGAAATTACTTAATGGGTACAATGTACATTATGCAAGTGATGGTCACTCTAAAAGCCCAGACTTCCCCTAAAGCAATAGATCCATGAAGCCAAACTGCACTTTACCCCTTAATTTTATGCAAGTGTTTAAAAATTAAAATGAAAAAAATACAAACACGGGCTTGTGTGATTCCATAGCACATAGCTTTATCCCAAGGTAAGGGGGCACACCTTAAGACAGCCCCCACTTTGGTGAAGGCTGCTAGTTTCTGGGAAGCTAGCAAAACATTTCTCCAACCAAATTGCGGAAAAGCTATATATACCACGTACACTAATAATAAAAAATTGCCAACATGAATCTCCAAGCTTTAGTTTTTTAAATTGTCAGATGGGTGCATAGGTGAAGGAGACAAGAAACACTGGCCAGGGGAGACTCTCAAGATACTGGAACCCTCGTCTCAGTTCTGTCTTAATAAAATTTTTGCTTTTGAGTTAATTGTTTCATGCCTATATGCTGTCTATGGTACCCTCTTAGTATAAGAAGTCTAGACATAAAAAACCTCTACAATTCAATTAATATGTGTGTGTGTGTGTGTGTGTGTGTGTGTGTGTGTGTGTTCACAGATTATAGAGATTCACAGCTGACAAAAAATAACTTCTGGGAGATAATTTTCTAGTGGGAAAGAAACATCAACAATTCATTACAAACCAATAAGGTCACTGTCAAGATAAGTGTGTGGGGACCTCCAAGGAAGCTCTCTATTTTACTAAAGTCCAGAGAGTCTGTCCCGGGAAGGCTTCCAGACTGCAGCTCATTGGTTTATTCAGCCAGTGTGTACTGAATGCTTTTTATAAGCTTTGTCCTCATTGAGGTTCTGGAAATAAATATTGTCAATAAAGCATGGCCCCTGCCTTCCATGAGGCAACTCACAATCTCTGCTAAACCCCAGGGAAAGGGTGGTTCAGCTACTTTTTAGGAAGAATTCTGGAAGAACTGAGAATGTTTACCTCTTCTAACAGTCTTCTCTCATTCACGTTTAATTTAATTAGAAATGGTCTAAATTGAACTTCGGCAGAGCAAAGCAACAAAACAACCTGAGAAACTCTATTTGTTAATAGGGTAGATTTAAGTCGATGTTCTCTAACACAGTAAACATAAGCTTAAATGTTCCCTAATTAGAGATAGTGTGAACCCAGCAGAGAATACCAAGTCCTATGGGGTGAGCCCACAGAGTCACATGTGCTCAGAGTCACATCAGTAACTCAGCATCATACATGACACATTCAAACTCACTCTGCATGCAACTGGTCTGTAGATTTATTTTTATTTACTGATTTTCTGCATTTTCTATTCATATTTTTAAGTAGAATTCTAACAGTTTTACTGTAGACTTTTGCCTTACCTCAGTTGGTACACAATTCCAAAATTCACCTATCTCACTAAAACAGTGAAGAACCATGATTTCCTTACTGTTACAATTCCCCACAAAAAACAAAAATGAATCAGGTCATTGTTACTTAAGTGATAAGTACCTTAGAGAAAGCTTTTTAACATACAATCACAGATCCCTTGTTGAAGAACACTTTTGCTAACAGTTTTGCCTTGCTGAATTAGGAAAAAACATTCTTTCAAGGACAGTAGTAAGATTGACCAGGTTTCTTTGTACTCTCTATATTTGAAGAAATTGAGCCAGTTCAGTCCAAGTCACTTAAATCCTGAGTCTTGATTGCCTAATTTGTAAAACTGTTCAGCTTCCTGCCAGACTCATAGGGTTGTAGTGGGGAGTTCAGTAACATAAGGCAGCATTTGGAAAGTTGTAAGAAAAAACAAAAATGATTATGAAGTCACTTTAAAATATAGGGCTCTAATATTTTACTGTCAATCACTTTCAAAGCAGTGGGACATTGTAGGCAAAACACCGGTCTGGGAAATGAAAGACCCAGGAGAACTAAGTTTTCATCTGGGTTTATCAGTGGCTGATTGACCTTTGAATAAGTCATATAATATTTTCTGAGCTTGTTTCTTCCTACTTATTAGAGAAACTGACTATATTATTTTTAAGTCCCTTTTCATTTATAGAAATCAGTGTTTCCATGATCATTTGTTAATTCAATTAACATTTTCTGAGCACCCTCATGACCCAATCACTTCCTAAAACCTCACTTCCTATCACATTACTTATTAGGGTTCAACACATGAATTGGAAGGATACAACAGAAACATTCAGATCATGCAAAAGTTACACATCAGAATCTGACCAGAATCAAGAAAACATTATTAATCCACCAGGCCATAAACATAGGGGAATATCTGAGAAAAGCTATCTGTCTAGGGTATCCATAAGAAAACAAGGTTAAGCATGAAGATAACAAACCTTCAAGGTAAGAACTAGCTGGGCTGCCACAGGCAAGTCACTTAACCTCCCTGGACCTCAGTTTATTCATCTGTCAAATAAAGAGTTTGGGGTCATGTGCCATCCATGGTCCTTTGAATAGCATCTAATGTTGTCATTAAGTGCTGCTCTGTGCAAGGCCTTGAGACGATAGAAGAACCATATGACCCGGGAATGGTAATAAGTTCAGTGATCACACAGCCTAGGTTGCTCAGGGCAGTGTCTATTTATGCCTGTTGTCCTCAGTAACTGTTCATAGCCCCAATAGCACTCTGTCTTCCCAAGTTTCACTCTCCAAAGTGTTCCAGTTTGAGTGCCCACATATAACCATCACCCTAGTAATCAGGCATATACGCACAAGCTGATAAGGCAAGATGATAAAACGGTAAGTATCAAGAAAGGGACAGACATAACTGCTCCTGCACTCAGCAGTGCAAAAATTAACAATCTGTTTACTGGATTTTCTAAGGCTTCATGAAGGAGTTGAGACAGAATTTAAACCTACAAGATGAGATAGCTAAATGGAGGGGATTCGGTACAACATATACAATTATGTTGAATGTCAAACTGCTTCTCATCCCACATATTAATTGCAGAGCAGAGTTTTTACTTTTTTTTCCATCAATGTTATATTTAACTTAATCATCCCCAAATCTACATTGGTCTTCTCCCCTTTTGAGTGTTTATGACCCCAATTGCTTAAATTCCCCCCAGTGTACAGGTGAAGAATGACAAAGGCATTGCCTATCCTGTGTGAATCTAGTAAACCTCTGTCTACCAGACTTTGATAATTGTCTGGGCTCTACCCTTGGCACACCATTCTTTGTACTCTACATTTGCTCTTTGAGAAATACCAGTCATCTCTAATGTTTGCTAGAATTGACTCCTAAACCATATTCTAAGCGATTGTGTTGAGCCTTGACATCTCTTTTGGAAACCAGGCCCTTCTTTCCAACAACTGGACATGGCCACTTGGATCTCCCTATTTCTTCTTTGGACTCTGAAGCTCACCCTCTCTAAGAGTGCTAATACAACATTTGTTCTATTTCATTTCTATTAGATACTTAAATGTGTATCTGCCTTGAGAGTTTGGACTGTGTTTTAATCAATATTGGATCATTAGGGCCTTTTCTTGTATCTGACAGTTTCCAATGAATACTATTGAATGGAAATGGCTGTTGATTTTCATTCCCTGCTCTATCATTTGCCCCTGCCAACTCTTCTTATTCTTGTCTTTGACTAGAGATGACAGATACTCCCAGGATTTTAAAGGTCATTTAAACATCGTCTTTAAGCAACAGACAGAATCTTCCCCCTACAGGGAGTTCAATGGAGAGCCGTCTATTGTTCAATTTTCGGTATCAAGCTAACTCAGAAAGGGAAGAATCACCCCTGTATCTCCGCTTTCCCATTTTTCTAGCATGACAGTCTACATAAGAGTTTTTAGTTTATGACTTTGTCTCTCTCAGTCTTCTCTCCTGCCAGTGACTGCAGTCTGACCTCCGTTAGCTTTTCTTCAATCTGTTTTACAAAATCACTCTGGCATTCTATTTTCATCTTTGTTTTCCAGTGTCTAAACCGCTGAAGCTGTGACCTTTCAAGCAAATGTAGCAATGGTACCAGCGCATCCTCTGATTGAAAAATAAAAAGTGAGCCCATAGGTAGTATAATTATTCTGTGTGTGCAGGAGTGGTGTCTGCACTTGCAGAAGGCAGATAATTGGATTTCAGATTATTGTTAAAAATATGCACATTCCACCTGAGCCCTAGCAGTTTCTTTTTTCTGGGACCCTAGAGAAACTTGAAACTTCCATTCTTCTATAAGTTCTTATCCATATACAATTGGCTTCTGGGTCCTACCTGTTCTATCCCCTGGAAGTCGCTAGCCCACTCTTTATTCTTCATTTTTTCTGTCTCCAGAATGCTTTCTACTGCTCCAGTACTCGCCACCATTATAATCCATCTGGACAGTCTGAAACTATCTTCTTGTTTGCACCCTTGCCCTTCTTCCCTCCATCTTCCACACACTTCCTAGAATTACCACAAGATTCTATCTAGTTGGGCTTTTCCTTCAAACTTGTCAATGAAACCTTTTAGCCCACATACAGTCTTTTAAAATTTAAATCAATTAACAACATTGAAAAATCAGAATATGTCTGTTAAAATGAGAGTTTTTACTTAACAGTTCTAGCAGTTCTAGGCCACCATTCCTATACAGTCACAATTAGCTGGAGCTGACTAGTAGCTGCCTCATAAGGAAAGGACAGAAGCTGTTCCTGTTGCCATGGTCTGTCCCCCTCACTATTGTTAACATTTTGACATCACCTTGGGTGGGGTCATTTATCATGGTGCTGATATATCACCAGAAGACTTCACTCATTTACAGGCTGGCTGGTTCCTGGAGACCGTGTGGACTCTACTCTATATCTTATTAGATGTAGGGATGCCAGAATAATAACTAATAAGTACTCAGAGCTACATTTGAGGGATAATCCCAAATGGGGATTAAATTTATTTGAGGGTTCCTGTAGATGAATATAAAGTTGTGAGTGGCTCTCTTTACAGAAATTTTAGTAAACATCTTATTGATGCCAGTGGCAGCCCATCTGGAGTGGCTGCTGCCATGATGCCGCATGCGGCGGGAGAGGACTGGCCGGGGCTGCCACCATGGAGTCAGCAAAAGCCAGGAACAGGCGGAAGCTCCACCCCCTTCTGAGTTGGCAGGGCAGGAGCCTTGCACTCCCCAGGTGCAGCTGTGGCACCCAGCTGTGGCTGCAGACCTGGGCATGCCTGTGCACTTGGGGGCTGGAAGTAGGCAGGAGCCCCACCTTCCCGGGCACACCTACAGCTGCCCAATCTGTGGCTGTAAATCTGAGCATCTCTGCACTCTCAGGAGCCCTGGAAGCCCTCCCCTTCCACTGCCTGGCCTCTTCCTACTCCAAGCACTTGAGGGTGCCTGCTCCTTCTGCCTGGCCTTTCCCCACTCCAAGCGCCCACTCCAATCTCAGAGCAAAGTGGAGGCTGAGCCTGAGTGCTGTCACAACCTGGCTAGGTATGTGCACTCTTGGGGCAGCACTGACACACCAGCCCCCTGCTGCCTTGGACTCCTCCAGACTTTGGGCACCGAGGAGCATGGGATGGAGGCCAAGGGCAGCTCAGAGCTGGCCTGCTGGCACCACTCAGCACAAACAGTCTTGGCATCATGAACAGTGGCAGGAGGCAGATAGGCTCCTGGGTGGAAAGACACAGGTGCCTGGTGAAGCCCCACCTTCAAGTGGGGAAAGGCCTGAAGCCTGGGGGCAAGGCTACCAGTTCTGCAGAGTGGGAACTTATGTTTTTTCTGGGCCTACCCATGGCCTTACATGAACCAATCAGCATACACTTCCTCTCCTTTGAAGTCCATACAAACCCCAGAACTCAGCCAGATTCAAAAAGAGATGACATGACCACCAGCTGCAGAAAGGAGCTACCTACCCCCAGGGTCTCCTCTCTGCTGAGAACTAAAAAGAGATCACAAGATGATCAGCTGTGGAAAGGAGCTATGCATGCCAGGGTCTCCTCTGCTGAGAGCTGAAAAGAGATGACAGGACCACCAGCTGTGGAGAGGAGCTACCCACACCAGGGTCTCCTCTCTGCTGAGAGCTGAGAAGATGATGGAATGACCAGTTGTAGACAGGAGCTACCCACCAGGGTTTTCTCTCTGCTGAGAGGTGAGAAGACAATGGAAAAATGGACCTGTGGAGAGGAGCTAACCACTCCAGGGTCACCTCTCTGCTGACAGCTGAACACTCGTCAGGACACCCTGCCTGAGGAAAGGAGCTACCCACTGTGGGTCTCCTCTGAGCTGTTTTATAACTCAATAAAGCTCCTCTTTGCCTTGCTCACTCTCCACTTGTTTGCATACTTCATTCTTCCTGGCTGCAGGACAAGAACTCAGGTTCTGCTGAATGGCAGGGCTGAAAGAGCTGTAACACAAAAAGGGCTGAAACAACCCCCTTGCTCGCCACATTGCAGGCAACAGGGAGAGAAGGGCAGTGGCCCTTCAGGGAGCCCAGACTTAGCTCCCAAGCCAGGGCTGTGACACCCTCTTTGGGGTTCTGCAGTTTCTGGTCTCTCCAAGCTTCTGAATGCCACCACATTCCCCAGTGCCAGCTGTGGAAGCTGCTTGCTGTACACCTGGTCCAGCAGCAGCCTCACAGGGAGGTGGCACCCGTGATGGTGCCTGGAGCTGCCCACCCCACCGCAGCCAGCATGCTTGGCTGCGCACAGTGGCTGGACCCCATGCTCACTCACTCACACAACCCTCACCACTTCAGTCACCCTTGGCAGATATGGGATCCAGGCTGGTAGCATGAGCTGAGCTCAGCCTGCCAGGTCAAGAGGGCCCAGTGGGCAAGAGCAAAACTCAGGCAAAGGCGCCACTGGCCACAGAAGTTTCCAGCTGGTGAAGTGACACCCCAAGGATCTCATAACATTATCAAGTTTTGTCACGGTCACTTCTATAATTGGATATTTTCAGTGTGAAAGAGAACAAAGAAGAAAAATGGCTAGGAAAAAGTTTAATTTCTTGATAGCTCTAAGAAGTGCTTTTCTTGTCATTTTCTGGATTGATTACTAGCACAAGATAAAATGAAAGTGTCTCAGCTTTCTCTGAAATGAAATTTAGCTTAAAACTCTAGTGGCCCAATTTCTGCCTCATTTCATTCCCTAACTCTCCATGGAGTTTACATAGAAATTATGGTTATGCGATGAAGAATTCAACTCAAAAGGTTCACTGTAATATTACAATAAAAATTACTTTTACAAGCACATTGGCATTTTTAATATATTTAGTTTATAATAAGGTACCACCAAAATAAAGTTAAAAGCAAGGTAACTTGCCATCACTCCTAATTGTGTGTGCTTTTTAGACAAAATTTTAACACAGCTTAAAAATTTTCTCATAAATCAAAATCAATTAATTTCCTTTTTAACAGTATTTAGGAAATCCTACTGATTACTGTTTTAAGACAACTTATTTTCCTAAAGTTATTGTGGCTGTTAGCTGAAACCACAGTATCCTAAGATATACTCATATAGAGTATTAATTGTTTATAGTTCTTAGGCTCCAAATTTAGAAAACACAGGAAATTTAGAAAAACAAACATGATGTTATAATAAAACTGTGTGGGAGTAAAGAAGAGATGGGAATCTATAGGATTATCCAACCCTCAAAGCAAAATCAGACACAAGGAAGATCCTCGAAATCACTGCTCTTAGATAAGGGAATTTTATCAGACATAGGACATAAGACCAAAAAGAGTAACTGTGAGTAACAAACTTCAGCCAAACATAAATAAACAATCTTCCAGCAACTTGCCACAAGTTGCTGAACTAGTCATCCCTATGCACACTTGGCAAAGGGCAAGACATTTCCAGATTTTTTGTGGAAGCAGGCAGAATGGTCGAGAGAGACAGACACTTGACTTCCCTTCATCGCTGTCCTGCTATCCTTTTGAGGACCCTTTCACCTGGCTTAACTGGCCTGTAAGGTATTGTTAGACTAACCACTTCTTAAGAATAGTGCTCTCGGGTGGATCACGAGGTCAGGAGATCGAGACCATCCTGGCTAACACGGAGAAACCCCGTCTCTACTAAAAATACAAAAAAAAAAAAATTAGCCGGAAAAATTAGCCGGGCGTGGTGGTGGGTGCCTGTAGTCCCAGCTATTCGGGAGGCTGAGGCAGGAGAATGGCATGAACCTGGGAGGCGGAGCTTGCAGTGAGCCGAGATCGCGCCACTGCACTTCAGCCTGGGCGACAGAGCAAGACTCCATTTCAAAAAAAAAAAAGGAATAGTGCTCTCATTTACCTAAAGAATCATGTCAAATGGTCTACTTCTGCAACTAGAGAGTACAGCTATCAATTAGTGTCTGAATGGAGTTTAAAAAATTGATTCAGAAGGGAGTGGCGGCTCATGCCTGTAATCCCAGCACTTTGGGAAGCTGAGGTGAGAAGATCGCTTGAGCCCGGGAGTTGGAGACTAGCCAGGCAACAGAGTGAGACTTATCTCTACAAATAATAACAATTACAAAAACTAGCTGGTGATGCTGGTGCATGCCTGTAGTCCCAGCTACTCACTACTTGGGAGGCTGAGGTGGAAGGATTGCTTGAGCCCTGGAGGTCTAGGCTGTAATGAGCTGTGATGGTGCCACTGCACTCCAGGCTGGACAACTGAGAGAGACGCTATCTAAAAAACATCAACTGATTCAAAAGGGTATTGAACCAAACATAATTTTTAAATGCATGTATTTATGATCAAGGAGAAGATTTGTCAATAATTTTTGTTTTGTTTTGTTTTTTTGAGATGAAGTCTCACTCTGTCGCCCAGGCTGGAGTGCAGTGGCACAATCTCAGCTCACTGCAACTTCTGCCTCCTGGGTTCAAGCAATTCTTGTGCCTCAGCCTCCCAAGTAGCTGAGATTACAGGCATGTGCCACCACACCCGGCTGATTTTTGTATTTTTAGTAGAGACAGGGTTTCACTATGTTAGCCAGGCTGGTCTCGAACTCCTGACCTCAAGTGATCCGCCTGCCTCAGCCTCCCAAAGTGCTGGGATTACAGACATGAGCCACTGTGCCTGGCCAGATTTGTCAAGAATTTAGAAGAGTTTAAAATGTTTCATATTTGAGATGACTATAATTTTAAATGTTATGACTTTTTTCCCATTTTTGCTAAAAGAATATAATTATTTTATCTCACCTAAATATGCTTAAAAAGAAATTTGATACTTGAACAGTGGAATTTGAATTCTGAGATCTCTTAAAACACTTTTAAGATAATTGGCTTATCATTAGACTCAGATTTCTACTGATACTAAAAAAAAAAAATCAGATATAACATTTTGTTTTTAAAGGACATTTAGAGCCCAGATCTCAACATGGATGCTTGTATACACAATTGAAGTTATACACATAGCCTATGTAGTTGTATAGATATACACGTGACATAACTATGGCTCCAATAATGTGCTAGTGTCACAGTCTACAAATATTCATTCTTTTATTTTGCTAAATCTTGAAACTGATTAATTTCTTCCCTTATAGAAAATTCTGAAATTTTTTTCTTACCCCCAAAACTGCCTGTTCCTCCCACCCAGTCAACAGCCACTCCATTCAAAAACTCTCAGTGCTACAAATGGCAACTATATTTTCCAGAGCAGAACAAACTATTCAAGAATATCAAAAATGGGGCAGTTGTCAGATGTACATAGATATTAAAGATTGAGTATTTTGTCATCAATTATTCAAGGTGTAACATCCTAGAACTTAACTCATCTCTTCAATAATTTCACATGCTCATTCTAGCAAGGCTTTTCATATTTCAAATATTACAAAGTATAACTTATTTCCTTAAAGATGTTTTTCAAGTATAACCACACAATGGGAGTTAACAGAACTCACTGGTTTCAAGGGATATGAATTTTTTGGTAAATTTATATAATAATTCAATTTAAAAAGTCAAATTAAACCTTGGAGTCATCTTTGTGTGCTCTTTACCACTCTGCATCCAATCTATTAGGAAATTTCTTCAGCTCAAGCTTTAAAAATATTCCCAACTTTGGGAGGCCAAGGCAGGTGGATCACCTGAAGTCAGGAGTTCGAAACCTGCCTGGCCAACATGGTGAAACCCCATCTCTATTAAAAATACAAAAATTAGCTAGGCATGGTGGTTTGTTCCTTAAACCCAGCTGCTTGGGAGGCTCAGGCAGGAGAATCACTTAAGCCGGGACACAGGAGGCGGAGGTTACAGTGAACCGAGATCATGCCACTGCACTCCAGCCTGGGCGACAGAGTGAGACTCCGTCTCAAAAAAAAAAAAAAAAAAAATCCCAGCATCTACTTTCACTGCTGGCACCACTATTAAATTGAGTCCATAGCCTCTGTCTCACACCTGGACTCACACAGTGGCCACCGACCATTGTTCTTTCTTCCAACTATTGTTCTTCCTTGATTGACAAACATAGCCCCAGCAAACGCGGGTCAGGTCATGTCACTTTTCTGCTCAAGAAGTCTTTATAACTTATCTCACTCAGAGTAAAACCCCATCTTAACCACAGCATGCTTGATCTGGCCCCTATGCTATGTCTTCTCTCTTTTCCTCTCACTGCCTCCCACCCTCCTCCAAGCCTCCTTAAACATCTTGCTGCTCCTTCACTACAGCCAGGGATAATTCCACCTCTGAGCTTTTCATCTGTTCTTCCCTTTGCTCTGAAGTCTCCTCCCCAAGAAGTAGCCTGGACCATACTCTCACATCATCCAGGACCAAATATCACCTCATCAGCAAGGTGGCCTTGCTGGCCATCTAATCTAAATTTGCCCCTTTCCCATCACTCACTGTTACTTTAGGCTGCTTTACTTTGTTTCTCAGAAGGAGGTCAGCATCTATCTAGTTAGCATGCTTAGTGTCCATCCATAGGCAACAGAAACAGAGGGAGACCACAGGCAGGACCTCATCAATTCTTCAACAAATATTGTTATTTATTTCCTCGTGCCAGGCATAGTCCTAGATGCTGACAATATAACTCAGAATAAAATAAAATTCTCTGTTCTAAGGGAGCTTAAGTTCTCATCAAAAGAGATAAGAATACATAAGTAAAATACAATCAAATGATGGTAACTGCCACAAAGATAAAAAGGCAGGAAAGGAGAATAGGGAATGCTGATGGGTAAAAGCACAGCAGAGGGGTGGTAGTTTTCAGTATAGCAGACACACAAAGCTTCATCGAGAAAGTGACATTTAAGTAAGGGAAGGGCTGTATTTGTCTTGATCACTGATGATTCCCAGCCAGATGGTAGGTGTTCAATAAATATTTGTTAAATGAATACGTAAACAGAATTAAGGGGCCCAGCGTGGTGGCTCACGCCTGTAATCCCAGCACTTTGGGAGGCTGAGGTGGGCAGATCACGAGGTCAGGAGATCGAGACCACGGTGAAACCCTGTCTCTACTAAAAATACAAAAAATTAGCCGGGCGTGGTGGCAGGCACCTGTAGTCCCAGCTACTCGGGAGGCTGAGGCAGGAGAATGGCGTGAACCCGGGAGGCGGAGCTTGCAGTGAGCCCAGATCGCGCCACTGCACTCCAGCCTGGGTGACCGAGTGAGACTCCGTCTCAAAAAAAGAAAAAAAAAGAATTAAGGTAGAATTCTCAAACATTCACCTTAAGTGATTTTTTTTCCCATACTTTGGTACTGTTAATACCACCAGTTTCATCATCATCGCCAACAATAAGGGCAAAAAAATTAAGTGTTCATACTACTATTTTTGCTGATGTGGCAAAAAACAAAAAAACTGTTATTCTATGAAGTCGTTATTCTTCATCAAAAGCAATCCAGAATTATTTCAGGTAATTCCTAGGCAGCTTTTGGTAAGTGTGTTATCCATATATATGGCTAATAAATTCCACGGATTGAATTTTTTTTTTTTTTTTGGCAGATGGTCTATTTAGAAGGAGGTCAGCAGATAGAAATAGACAGAAAAAACTATTTTAAAAATTCCTGGATGAAGTAGATAGCAACAGCATTCTGCTTCCTGGCCTGTGGGAGTGAGTATGTCACATAAACCTGAACTGTCAAATATGTACTATCCCCTCTCAATTTGTAGGTAAGGGGATGGCTTCATTAACCGAGTAAGGACAATCAGTGCCCTGCCGCTATTTTTGATAGATAGATGGGGAGGGGGAAGGTATTGCTTCTCTTTTCTGAGGAAGGAAGAGAGGCACAGAACAAATAGGACAATGCTAGAATCCGTCTTACCCAATGCATGAAGAGAATGAGGCCAGACCCAAAGCAAGGCAGTGACACACAGGGCTTAGAGCAGGAGAAGAAATGGAGAAACAAAAAGTAGAAAGGAGAAAAAAGGGAAAAAGAACCTTCATGATCTTGCTTGAGCTCCTAGATCCAACCATACCTGCAACTATCCCCACAGATCCATTTCCTCTATTAGCTGTGAAAGTTGAAATTGGTCTCTGAGCTTTGTCACTAAAGCTGGCCTATGAACATATTTACAAAATAAAGGATTATCTATTATATGTGAAGAGGCTAAGGTGTCTCGGTTTTCCTTGGCAAATGCAAATATTAAACAACCTACAATTATAATTTGCTTTAACACAAAAACAATTAGTCTTTGATTTTCCTGTAATATACTAATGAAGACCTGAAGTAATGTTTTTCCACGGTAGAAATGTAATAATTCTATGAAACTCTGATGAATAGTGACTTTGTTACATGACTAGCATCAGATTAATATTTCCACATTCCCATGAACTCATTGTCATAATATAATAATCCAAAGATGGGTTATAGTTTTCAGCACACTTTCTCACTATGAGATGGCTAAACTGCTTAAATTCCATTTTTGCTGCGTCTTAGTTAATTTCCATGGATAATACTGCAATATATTCTGCATAAACCCAAAATATTCTCAAACGTTTATAAGCAAGGGAAACACAATAGGTAACATAGATTATTTTATTTATTATCAAGGATATTCACAAGATCACATTTTATTTTGTCTCATACTGATACAAACATGCTTCTCCATAACAACCAGGTTTTTAGGACCATTTCATTTTTGCATGTGTGCTTTAAGAAAACTGGATTGGACATGATAATGCCCTATATGAAAAAGCAATGAGAAGATGTTCATTTGTGTGACTCATCAAAACTGCCAGACTGAAAAATCTCAGGATTCCTCCAGTTATTAGATATCTGTCATACATGTTCAGTCCTGGGATTCCAGAAAATAAAAGGATTAGAACAAGGTATATATTTTTCAATTGATGAGGGATAAGAAATATTTCCTTCCCTCTCTCATACATCTACTTTTATCCACATGTCTGGTATCGAGAAAAGGGTGCCAGGGCTAGAATTTAGATTTGTCAAAAAGAAAGAGCTCCCAGAATCCCTCATAGTGAACACCAGATCCTTATGCAAAACTCCAAAGTCCCATGAAGACTGGTTGACAAAAGCAATTTTAATTACCTTCCAGTGAAATAAAAGAGAGAAAGAATGCTGGGTAATAGGCATAAATGCGGAAAATTGGGTTTCCTACCAGACATATGCAGAAGCAGCAAGCAACTCAGTTCAGCACATGCCACATGCTGATGATCTGGACATTGACAAGATGATGCTGAAATAAACTAGATGACTGAAATAAAGTTAAAAAGAAATATCACCACTTAGTGATGGAACTCCATGCATGGTCCCAAGGAGCTATAAGAGAATATTGCCTCTCTTTTTTTTTCTGCTGTTTCATACTTGAAGAATTTAAGTCAAATTTTAAAAAAAAGCTAATTGATGAGAAGAGAGAAAAAAATCCTAAATAACAAATAACTTTCTTTTCAAGATGATAATTTATCTGTTTGACTTCTGAAAGATAGATCCCCATAGGAAGCAAAAGATGATTCAGTGGTTCACTCACCATTCATGATCACTTCCATCATCAATAAAAACAAACACAAACAAACAAAAAAAAAAAGAAGAAATAAGTGGGTGAGGAAGGGAGGAAGAAAGGAAAGGAGGAAGGGGAAAGGAAAGGATAGAACAAGACAGGATAGGACAAGAGAGAAAAGGAAAGGAAAGGAAAAAGGAAAAGTACAAGGAAAAAGAAATCAGCCTGACTCATAATGTTGTACTGATTTCTGAATTTCACATCAAAATATGACAAATGAGACTCTTTTTTAATTTTTATTTTATTTATTTGTTTATTTTTTTGAGATGGAGTTTCGCTCTTGTTGCCCAGGCTGGAGTGCAATGGTGTGATCTCGGCTCACTGCAACCTCCGCCTCCCGGGTTCAGTGATTTTCCTGCCTCAGCCTCTGGAGTCGCTGGGATTACAGGCATGCGCCACCATGCCCAGCTAATTTTTGTATTATTAGTAGAGATGAGGTTTTACCATGTTGGCCAGGCTGGTCTTGAACTTCTGACCTCAGGTGATCTACCTGCCTTGGTCTCCCGAAGTGCTGGGATTACAGGCATGAGCCACCATTTGTAGGTGCCTGGCCAACAAATGAGACTCCTTTAAAACAACTAGAAAGGTTTCAATCATACATTTGCCACCATATATATATATATGGTGTCTCATATATATATATGGTGGCAAATGTATGCTATATATATATTATATATATGGCATCTATCTATGAAGTGACTTTGATGAACTTAATAAAAAATAAATCTCAATACAAAAATAAATGCAACAAGACTAGAAGAGTTATTTCAGAAATGATTGCCACGGCTGCACTGTGGATTTAAATAAAGCTTGCAGAGTTGCATTCCTATGGCTTGGTAATTAAAATAATTCATTTTTTCTAAATGTTATAAAAACATACAGATAATCAGCAGCTTAAATTGAAATTGGTGCAAACACTGAGACTTTGCACATCTTCTCTGGATTCAGGCAAATCACAGCAAGTCTTCTCCATTTGCACAACTAACTGAAATTTGTTATGTAAAATTGCCTTCTCCACTTCTCTGAGGAGGACCAGGGTCAAGCTCTGTTTATTCAGGGGAAAAAGCAGAAAGCAGCTCCACTACCATAAATAAACCTGTTGTCTTTTGCCATAATATCTGTAGGGAGTTGCTGCTCCCATTCATAGGACAGGCGCCCCAAATGAGGTACAGTCTGGCCATGAAATGTAGAAGGAATTAGTAAAGACAGTCTCTTCTGATTTTCTGATTTTTAGGAATCTACACTTAAAGAGTAGGAATGGTCACGTGCATAATGCATACAAGACACTAGAAGAGAAAGGAAAAGCAGGTATAAAGTATGCTGTCCTTATCCATGCACATCGACAATGACAACAAAGTACTTGGTCCATAAATACTGGTCAAACTGTATTTCTGTTTCAGAAAAATGTAAAACTCTCAATCTAATTCCACACCTATTCAAAGTGAATTCCATAGTTCAGCCTGGATTTTTTTTTTTTTTTTTTTTTTTTTGAGATGGAGTCTCGCTCTGTCGCCCAGGCTGGAGTGCACTGGTGCTATCTCTCAGCTCACTGCAAGCTCCGCCTCCCAGGTTCACGCCATTCTCCTGCCTCAGCCTCCCCAGTAGCTGGGACTACAGGTGCCCGCCACCATGCTCAGCTAATTTTTTGTATTTTTAGTAGAGACAGGGTTTCACCATGTTAGCCAGGATGGTCTCGATCTCCTGACCTTGTGATCCAATGGCCTCGGCTTCCCAAAGTGCTGGGATTACAGGCGTGAGCCACCACGCCCGGCCAGCTCAGCCTGGAATTCTAATGCTTCAACTTTAGTGTTAATTTGTATCAGAATTAAATTTAAGTATGTGTCTTTCTTGCTAAATTGTATTAAAAATTGTACTCTAAACCAAGATCTGCCTCCATGACATATTGCAAATACTAGAGGTGCAATAAACTGTTGAATTTAATGTAATGAATTCAGTGCAACAATTTGAAGGAAAGGTTCATTTAAGTAAATCACCCAATGTAGAAGTAGAAATGAGTCTCACTTTTCATAAAAAAATTTACCAGAGGGGGTGGGGTGCTGTAGAAAGCAAGTATACCAACTTTCTGCTCATAAAGTCTTGATATGAATTACTAGAGTCAGAGTTAGTTTGCAAATTCTCTACTACTACATTCTCTGTCTCTGGAGTCCAAAACGTGCACAATACTGGACAGCAGCTTCTACAGACCAGTAGCGTTCTTCCAGTTCCTTAAAACAGATCACACTAGAGGTTAGGACAGGATTGACTTCTGCAGGGCAAAGGATCACTGATGAAGCTAGTCACTGAGTTTTCTCAAGACAGAAAGCAGAGATGCTGGAGCATCCCATAGCACAAGCCACAACCAGGCCAAAACCTCTACATGGAAAAACGGTTCTCACCAAATCAATTGAGCAAGTGAGAATCCTCTAAACCACAGAAACAATAGTTACAGGAATCCCTCAAATTTAATAACATATTCTAAATAAATCTTTTCATCAATATCAATCTTCTTAATCTTTTTAGAGCCATGTTTTCATCACAGTGAGCCAATAAAACAAAAGCATTTGTACCTTCTAATTTACAGAGATGGTCTTTTTTAAAAAGATGTCCAAATGATCTTCAAGAATCCTTTCGGGTCATTCTAGTGCACCCTATATTTTTGTCAGTTACCTTAGTTTTAAAATCATCCTTCACTGTAATAACAAAAAAAAGAATGAGAATTCCTTATCTAGCCAAAAATATTTGCCGACCTAGAAGTCTTGCTTGAATTGCTCCTAGTATAACCAGAGGGCAAGGGATAATTAATCTTTTCAGTCTCTGAAATCCTATGGATAGCATTTTCATGTGTATTCAGTAACCTAAACTCACAAAGGCCAACATCAGAACACATTCATTCCTGACCACCATTGACAAAATAGCATAGATATTTTATTGAAAGTTTAGGGCTTGAGAACAATAAAATGGGATTATCAAAAACTGTACTATTTCCAATAACCCAAAGTTATTTTATCAAGGGGATGTACACATTACGCATTTTATATGTGTATATTGTACCCCATAAATATGTACAACTTTTATCTATAATAACTAAAAATTAAAATTTAAAAAAGAGGTTGTATAGGCTTAGAGTGGAACCTGATAGCCTAAATGTATGACTAAGTCTGCTACTGATCGCTGCTATGACACCGTTTTCAAAAGACCTAACTTCTACACCTCTTGGTTTCTTTATCAGTAAAATAGAAGTAAGAATAGTAGCAACCTCTAGTATTTGATAGCTAACACTAAGGTACTTGAAAGAGTGTCTGGCTCATAGGCACCCAGTTAAATGCTAACTATTGTTACTGAATCTAATTCTATTTCCTCAAGGAAACACAGATGTGCTGACATCCTTAAAACGTAGTAATTGACTGTCGATTTGGAGATAATGAGAATCCATCCTGAAACACATTTCAGGAAATACAATTTAGAAAACATTTACAAAGGCAGGTGGTATAGACCATGGGGTGGCTTCATATCACGCCTCCAGAACATAATGCCATAAAGAAAAAAACCCATTGGAACTGATCTTTCTTTGACCACATATTTACACGACAGGTTGATAGCAAAAGGTGTTTATAAAATAGGCTGACGGCAACAGGATTATTTGTTAAAATGTTCTCACTGGGAAAACCAGTAGAAGTTCCAAAATAAGCCTGAGGAGAAGCACCTCTTCACTTTCTCAGAACACTGAAAACCCTGTAACCTAAGTTGACCCTATCTATTCCAATCTTATGGGGTCATGGGTTTCTTTAATATCCAAGCAACTTGACCCCATTCTCTATCCTATTTGCTTGAGGGACGTCCTGCACTGCTGCTATTATTTTTGAGCATCCTGGGGGAGGGAGCCTCGATTTTCTTATCATTTCTACCCCAATTTTCTCCTCCCAGCTAGATCCTCATTGCTCTGTACACCATCCTGTGGTCCTCTTATAGCTCCTTGACTCAGCCCATGTGTGGAGTATGGAGAACTCCTTTTCCTTTATTCTCCAGAGCACATCCTCTACCCAGTAGGCTCCTAGAAGGTTGAGAATGACACCTGAGGTAGAATCCAAAACAAAACCGAATCTAAATTGCATTATTTGACACTTTTAAGTTTCTGGGCCTTCCTGTCTTCAAGGTTTTCTTTCTTACTATTCATTCTCCTCCTAGGTCTCAACCTGGGCCACGATCCTTCTAAAAACCTTTCAAGTCCCCTATTTCTTCCCAAATTCCAGGGCCCCAGACTTTGTTGAACAGCCAGGGTCAACCTAAATTCCCTGTTCCTGTATTATGCAAAACAATTCTTTTCGTTCTCTCTTATGTTTTCACTTTTAGGAATTTTTTTTCCTTTAGGGCTTACGCTTAATATCTCTCTCTCTTGCTCTTCCCCCCCACCGCCACATAGAGAGATAAGGAGATAGATAGATAGATAGATAGATAGATAGATAGATAGATAGATAGATAGATAGATAGACAGACAGACAGATAGATAGATATAGATCTATAGATAGGTATATCGCATACACACATACAACACACATACAACACACATACAAGCCTGATGCCTGGCTTAGGCAATGAGGTGTCTGAGAGATAACCAGCCAGTCTAAACGCATTTAAATTTAACACATGAAATACCTGCATATTCTGTCATAGTAAATAAGTGGGCTTTTTAGTCAGCAAAATCTGGCTGGATCACATCCCAGGACTGTCTTATACCATCTGTGTATCTGCGGCAAGGTAAGTAAGATTAGGAGGCCATACTAGCTGTTCCCTTTGTAAGAAGCCCAGTGGACTCTAGGTCCCTTGCAACTTAGCGTCACCTTAGTGTGTCAGCATCTGTTTTGCAAGGTAAAGAGTTTGCAAGGTAAACTCTTTTGCATTCCTATACGATACCACCAGACCGCCAGATGGTTACATGTTCTCAATACCTAGTAAGGCCTAGAGAAGGGAACAAAAGTCTTTTATTTGTGATGTACCTCCCCCAATCTCCAGCCGATCAGCACTGAAAGCCCAGGAAACTACTAGTTATAAATTTCTGCCTTGTGGGGGCTAGGGATTTCTCTAGGGTCCCGTATGCACAACTAGACTCAGGGTCTAGCTTATAGTAACCTTTATGTCATAACAGTAAAAAACACACCCCTAGGTGGAGATTTTATATGCTACTGATACATGTGATGCATGTTAGAACATGTAGATGCTAAGCAAATGCTCCAACTGCAGGTCTGCTTTTGCATACTTGACCTCATCAGTATGAGTATGTATGAACAGCTCCCATAAAAAGAATTCCTCTTAAGGCACTATCTGCCATCTCTCCCTTTGAGCAGCTTGCTTCGCCTCTCAGAGTATACTTTTGTTTTCCAATAAGCTTCTTTGTTTACTCTGACTTTGGACTCGCTCTCAAATTCTTTTGTGTGGCAAAGTCAAGAACCTGAACCAGCCCACCAACAACATATTATTGGACAAGGTAAGATCTTGGGAACCTTTCTGAAACTCATTTGCTCATTTATGATAGAGGGAGCCATATTTCAAATTTGTTGTCAGGATTAAACAAGATGAGGCACATGAAGCAATTAACATACTACATGGATTAGAGTTAAGTATTAGTAATAATAAATAATAGCTAACTAAATTCAAATCGAGTAAGAAAAAAATACCAAATACTAGTAAAGGAAAAAAAGAATAGACAGAAAAACATGTGGTTGACAAAAATTCTCTCCTTGACTAAATTTTAATCAGGATCCTCTGAGTCCAATTAAGCCCCATTCTTGAGCATGTCCTTCAAGAGCCCAGTTTTTTTTTTTTAATACTTTAAGTTCTAGGGTACATGTGCACAACATGCAGGTTTGCTACATATATGCCATGTTGGTGTGCTGCACCCATTAACTGGTCATTTACATTAGGTCTATCTCCTAATGCTATCCCTCCCCCCTCCCCCCTCCCCGCTCCCCACCTCCCCCCACCCCACAACAGGCCCCGGTGTGTGATGTTCCCCATATAAATCATACTGCTATAAAGACACATGCACACGTATGTTTACTGTGGCACTATTCACAATAGCAAAGACTTGGAACCAACCCAAATGTCCATCAATGATAGACTGGATTAAGAAAATGTGGCACATATACACCATGGAATACTATGCAGCCATATAAAAGGATGAGTTAATGTCCTTTGTAGGGACATGGATGAAGCTGGAAACCATCATTCTGAGCAAACTATCGCAAGGACAGAAAACCAAACACCACATGTTCTCACTTATAGGTGGGAATTGAACAAAGAGCCCAGTTTTAGCAAGATTCCTCTCAAGTTGCTTTTGCCAGAATCCATCAATATCTTATCACCCTCAATATCTGATCCAATTTCTCATCCTCCACCATCTCCCAGTGAATTTGATCACCCAGGTTTATCTTCAGCAAGAATCCTGTTAGGCCAATTTAGCCAGATCCCCACCTCCCCCCACCCACCCCCACCCCCCGCCTTACCCCTGAGATTTCCTCTTAGAAATTTTCTGTTCACTGATCCCCTCTCCTCCACTCTTCTCCTTGGCTTTGATTTCCCATTATTTCTTGTTATATTCAGGGTTGAGCCCAGTCTTTCTCCCCTGCTGCAAAACCACACTGCAGTTTTCCCTGCACCAATTGGAATAGTCCTGAATAAAGTCTGCCTTACCGTTTTAACAAGTGTCTGAATAATATTTTTTAACACGGAGAAAGAAAAAAAGCAATGGGAAATGATGATGCCTTGTCCCCTGGTAGATAGAACAGAGAGCTTAAGTGTCCTATCAGCTGCAATTCCCTGACCTGGGAATCTCTGCAGCCCTCAGAGAAGGGGAGAGCCAGAAGGACCCAGCTGATCCTGACTACAAAAGGTTGATATTGCTGAACTAATTCACAGCCACTGTCTTATCCCCAGGAACAAAATTCCCTCCAACCCACCTACCTTCTTTCTCACAGGCCCCCTGAGAAACGTGAACGCCTGGCATTCATCATTCACACTCAGGGCTTCTGAACTCCTACTCCAGCGCTATGAGCCAGGATTTATTCTATCAGGTTTCTGCCTTTGTCCTTCAGAGTGCTGAATGTTTTGATAATCCCCTTTAAAGGCAGGAGTGATCCACAGGCTAAAGAGAAGCAGCAGGCGTTTTGACGATTGTAGGTATGAATAGACTCTTGTTTCATTCCAGGTCGAAGTACAGAATCGTGACCCAAAGGCTAGTGATCCAAAAACGAGATTTTTATAATGCCTTAGAATACATGAAGAAAGGAGGGACAGAGAAAAAGGAGATGCAAAGACCTCCTGATAAAAGTTATCTTAAGAAGGAATAGATAATAGATTCAGTTACCATGAATGTATTTCACTCTTTCTGTGTCTCAAATAATATGCATACAACCCTAAGATCTAATTTATTTCATTTCAGCAAGGGGAGTATGCCTGAAGAGATGTACTGGCAAATATTTTTCAAGAATTGTTAAAATTGTCCTGAGGTTGTAAAGCTTCATTATTTCTAACTAAATGGCAAATATAGTATTAACTTTTTCTATGAAGCCAGTATAGAACACATCCATACAGCTGTCACAGAAAATGTAACCTTCACCTTACAATTGTTTCTTAGATTCCACTTGGAAGTGGTCTGGAACTTAAAACCTAATCATTCATGATTTCCAACATGGTCCATTAGCTCCAATATTCATGTATAGATTCATTGATATCATTAGTAAAAATCTTTAGAAATGTGAACCACAGAAAGGTATCCACCATTTTGTATGTGCATTTTCTCTGTCACTTTTCAAAGTATGACAGAAGTAGAGAGAACCACGTTGTCCAAATAAAACCCAATCTCTTTGAATGTTTAAATATTAAATTAATTTATTCAACAAAGATTTAGAGAGCCTTCCAGGTATAAGGTGATATATACTTGAAACGAGCTTGTAGTAAAAAGGTTTCCTCTCATAGAAAAGGAGTGTTACTAAACCTAAATGATACAATGCATTATGCAAACCAACCACTCAGCTGACCCACAGTTGAAAGCACTTACTGCCTCATAGCCATGCCCATCAATTACAGAACTCATTTCTGCTGAGCCCTAGATAGACCTGAAAATCTACCTCAAAAGAACAATGCAAAAACAGTATTATCAGTCCATCAGAATTAAAAGAAATGAAAATAATTTGGCCTTTTAGAGTTAGCTAATACACACATACCACAGTGCCTGGCACAAAATAGTCACTGAGAAAATGTTTGGTCAATGAATGATTCACTGAATTCACTGTTGAAAGACTGAATTATTACTATTGGACAAAATCATGAGACTAAACATTTAGGACAATCTATCTGAACATACAAACAGCCTTGCCAACCACAACAAAATTATAAAAATAAGACCCAAAGGAATCCCTAATTGAAAGCATCCCGGTTACAAAATAAGTCCTGAAGTGAATTCTGTAAACAGATCAATAGGAAGTTTCAAATAAATAGGTCTTGTAGGAGTAATCAATGCTGTCTGGGTGAAAGATTCAGCAGGCTTCTAAACAACAGAGGGCATTTATCTTTGAACAGATTCCTTGGCCATTTGAGGGCAGGAAGGTGAACAAGGCTGAGACCTATTGTCAGGCTAGCTGAAATTCTACCTCCCCATGCATTTTGTTCACTCTGCTCACACAAGATAATTTGCTTGCTCTCTCTACATTTTCTGAAGACTTGCAAGGCAAAAATCCTGGGCTCTTGCCAAGCTGTATTACATTCACTGTGACTGATACGCATAGCCGCAACAAGGAGTAGCACTGTTATTCGAAGGGGGCACTTAACCATATCATTGGGTGGAATTGTTAGACCAGAATGGTTATGTCACATTCGATTACAATGTACACAACATGTTAAGTCTAAAGCAGGAATTATTTATAGAACCCAACTTTCATTGTTAGAGAAGCTTCCTGAGACTGCTTGAATTCTTACTGTTCCCTCCTTCTCTAAATTGCTAAATGTATCTTTTAATATTTTGCTGACTAATCTCAGTTGCCTCTTCACATTTACTCTCTGTCCTTCTCCATCATGCTGCATGAGGCCGTCTGTCCAAACTGCTTTACCTGGGTTCCTGAGCTCTCTGGCTTTCAGCTGGTTTGGGGGTTGATGGAGACAGACATTAGAATGTATGTTCTCTGGGATCTGACCCACAGAGGGAGAGAGAATGGCTGTGCTCCTTTAGATAAGGCTGTAACTCCTATCAGGAGGTATTTCCCTGCAGTGATAGCCACAGCTCTCTCCAGATTCTGGAAAAGGCTTCTTCCCCTCTCAGTTTCATGGGTTAGTAATGGCTCCTGATATTTGCTACTCCTTGGGTGCTACACCATTCTATTTTGCTTCTCTTTTTTACCCACAAATTGGTAAATTGTTCTCTCACTTAACCTCTCTTCAATCACCCTATTTCATGCCAGGATTCTAATTTATATAAATACATATCACAACATTTAGCATTCTTTTTACTATTTTTACTACCTTTCCATATTTCCCATCTGATTCCTGTATAAATTTCTAATTTCTAACTTGATTGTATTTCTCTGAAACAAGGAGTGTGCCACATCCTCTGGGCTCATAAGATTTCAATAGAGGGTAGGAATTGATGTGGTTCTCGAACTCTTATTGCTGGGAAGGAGGCATATTTGAGAAGAGTTCTGACAACAAACAACGACAACTAAAAATTGTTGAGAGCTCACTATCTGCCAGACAACTGTGACAGACATTTTCCCTATAAGTCTGTGTTTTATATAACTACCTTGTAAGTTATATCTTATTATTGTCATTTCTTAAGATAAGGAATCTGAGGCACAAATGTAACTTAAACAAGGTCACAGAGCTAGTCAGTAGAAAAGCCACGATGCAGACTTGGGTCTGTCTGATTCCTGAGTTCATGCCCTTTCCCACTATTTGAGATCATCACTCATAATGGACACCATGACTATTGCTCCAGTGAGCCAACTGCTGCAAATAGAGCTGATTCTTCATTAGACACAGAGTCACCAGCAGCCAATAGAGACAGGATTTGATTAATTCTGGAATTAAATTCAAACAAATAAATAGATAGAAATAAGTATTTCTGTGGTTCATGTTTTTCACCTATTTACTCATAAAATGCTTTTCTACGTTGAAATAGTCAGTGGTGATTTGGACATGTTGCACTTAGTACTCCATATCTGTGAGTTGTATTAGGCATTTCTATACCAGTAGAAGTGATTTTTTTGGCACAATGTCTAGTATGCTGTAAGCACTTAATAAGTATTATAATCAATTAAGTTGTTATAGAAGCCTTCTTGTCACCGGAAATCAATGCCTGTGTTCAGCACTGAGAGAAGAACATTGTATCCTTCACAAACAAATACGATTTTTGATTATTTGATGCTGAAAAATTAAATATGGCAAATTTTCAGATGAGTATAATTGCACTGTATTAATCACACAGGCCTGATTTCATTATAGTAAATGCTAATTTAATGTCAGATGCATTTTTTCTAATTGGCACGAGAAATGCTTTTACTTCACATGCCACATGAAAATATTTCAGATCATAGAATTTCAGAAGAAAATACAAGCTTATTGACTTAGAGGCATTTCAGGACAAGTAAAATACATTCAAATTATGGTCTACATAGAAAAAGGAGACTTCAGAAAAATCAATTTAAGTTCTTAATTGTTTTTGAACCATGGATCCCTTTCACAGTTTTGTGAAGCCTATGGCCTTCTTCTCAAAACAATGCTTTCCAATGAATAAAAGAAAATACACAGGTCCATAAAGAAAATTAATCATATTGAAAAAAGCTATAAAAATATTACAAAAGTAAAATTGTGACATAGTGATACACTTCACTATGAACGTATTAACTATCAATATGTAGAAATGGGTCAAATACTGTAATTTTTAACTATATCTGTAACAACTGCAATGTGATATTATGATTATGATTCTATCTATGATTTTACTGGAGGCAAAGTTGCACATAATCTCTGTGCTTTGTTGCTTACACACCCATAATTTAAGGACCTTAAATTCACTGGAAGTTAGTAAAATAAAGATTACATTTTTATTCCTATGTAAGTTCACTGAACCCTTAAATTCTATTGGTGGGTCCTGGGTTAAGAAGCAGAAGCAGGATTGTAAGCGGAGTACTAAATGAGGAAATACATTAATTAGAAAGACAGGAGGAAGGAAAAGACTCCCTTTCTCCAAGACTAAGTGGAAAGAAAACTGGGGCTGTTCGAGTGGAATTAATTTTAGAGCCAAATATACTCTTGCTCCACAGAACAAAATAAAATGCTATTTTAAAAAAATAAGTTAAAATAGATTTCAAGCAGACTGCCTCATGAAAGTCTTTGAAAACAGAATGTGCTGAATTTTGAAGTGATTGACAGGATGAAGTGTTTTTTAAAATTTCTAATGTATATTTCATCATAAAAAAGTGAGTGAAAGTTCAAAAAAAGAAAATGGTAGGACTATACATTTATTTTATATACATGATAAAATCAAACATGTTTTGTCAACGGGAGACTTGAGTCTGGATTATTTATGTTAGCACACTCTCAAATTTGTAGTGATAACAGGCCATGTGCAAGCCAGTCCATCTGCTAGTGGCCAGACAATCTTAGACAGGCACCACTCAATTGCCTGGATTAGGAGAAAAAAAAAAAGGATTAAAGATCAGCAAAAATACACTGACTAAGAACAATATCAGCAGATTTAAAAATAGGTCCATTAAAACCAAATACTGGGCTGGGTGCAGAGGTTCACAACTGTAATCCCAGCACTTTGGGAGGCCGAGGCGATGGATCACCTGAGGTAAAGAGTTCAAGAACAGCCTGACCAACATGGTGAAACCACATCTCTACTGAAAATACAAAAATTAGCCAAGTGTGGTGGCGGGTCCCTGTAATCAGAGCTACTTGGGAGGCTGAGGCAGGAGAATTGCTTGAACCCGAGAGATGGAGGTTGCAGTGAGCTGAGATGGCACCACTGCACTCCAGCCTGGGCAACAAGAGTGAAACTCCATCTCAAAAATAAATAAATAAATAAATAAATAAAACCAAACACTGAGTTACCATTGTCATTAAATGTATAACATAGGACCAAGGTTGGTTTTATGGTGTTACCCTAGAATGGATCAGGAATTTAGAGGGCATATAGTAAGTATTACTCAACAGGACTAAATGGTCACCATAGTAACAATCTAGTTACTCTGTATCTTAAGTCTCTCCTCCTAATTTCCCTCTTCAATGGCCACACTGAATTTCCGGGTTCTTGGTTTTTCCTACCACTCTCCTTTGTTCTCTGGCAATGACTGCCCTCCTGCCTACCTGATTTTTCACCACTGCATATTCTGACCTGAAGAACTTAGTTCCATTTTAGTACAGATGACTAATCTCCCTGCAGATGCCTCTATTCTTCCTGGACCACCAGGTGTTCTCTAGTCCTGCTTCTGTTTCTAACCCTTCTCCTTTTACAAGAATATCTCTTAGATATTAAATCTTGGTCCAGCAAAAACCTAGAAGGCCTTTTCTCTCCATGTCACACAATAGACACTGAGGAATGTTCTGGGGTTGTGGACAAAGAGCCAGAGCCTTCTCAGAACAATTCAGATATGCTGAGTGAGCACAGAGAGATTTCTGAGAACAGGAGGGTAAGAACTTCCAGAGAACACAGGCCCATGGAAACTTACACTTTTGTATGTGTGTGTTTTGGGTGTTTGTTTGTTTGTTGTTTGTTTTGAGATGCAGTCTCTCTCTGTTGCCCAGGCTGGAGTGCAGTGGCACAGTCTCAGCTCACTGTAACCAGTGGTATGGTCTCTGCTGACTGTAGCCTCCACCTTTCAGATGCAAGTCATTCTCCTGCCTCAGCCACCCAAGTAGCTGGGATTACAGGCACACACCACCACGCACAGCTAATTTTTGTATTTTTAGAAGAGACAGAGTTTCACCATGTTGGCCAGGCTGGTCTCTAACTCCTAATCTCAAGCGATCCACCTGCCTCGACCTCCCAAAGTGCTGGGATTACAGGCATGAGCCACAGTACCCGGCCTTGCCCTTTTGATTTGAAGATCACTGTGTCCTCTGATCAACACTTTCTGCATACAGAATAGTTTTCACATCTTCTGCCTATATTAATTAAGTTCATATTGTTTTCTGCTATTGGTCTGCATTCTTTCACCTACTACCATCACCCTTTCAAGAAGTATGTACTTTCTCTGCAAATTAATGTTCCTGGTCCCTTCCAGCTAAACCTGGCAATACCCAAGATGACAATGAGCAATGCTTTCAACATTATTTTAGCAAATTTACTACTTTAAAGCTTAGGTCACCCTTAGGGCAATTTCTATATTTAAATGAATTATTTTATTTTCTTTTTATTCTGGACAACATGAACACAAACGTGAAGACTCATAGACAATACAATGAAATATGGTCAGACAAGCAAGCTACATGTACTTCCCACACCTTGTGGGCCTCAGTACTCTCGTTTTTACAAAAAGGACAGTGGATGTTATTAGAATGAAGTGAGATGAACATAAAGAAGTGAGCTGAGTACTACTTAGTGTCTCCTTAATTGGGAGTTCCAAGACCCTTGTGGGTCCGTGGCAATACTTTCACTTACTTATGATGAAATTCAAAGAAAAATGCAATGAATTTTTCAGAAGACAAAATTTATCCAACTAAAATATTGTTTTGTATCCTTAGATTATCATGTGCTGCCTACATTTTTGGGTAGAGCTCTTTCTTTCATAAAATCATTATGATTATAGACAGTAGCTTTTCCCCCCTTAGGTCCTTTATATTGCAAAATGAAAATATGAACATATGCCATGTGATCACAGTCCGCTTTTTAAAAAAATTGCACACCCTCAAGGAACTTAGAGAGGTCTGAAAAGCTTAGATCCTTGTCATAAGGCAAAAAAGTTTCTAAGCATAGTTGAACTCTTAGTTGTCTTGGAAGCTCAGAGGTATCATATTGAAACCAAGCAAACCCCATGAACTGGAAATGTTTTGGCAGTGCTACTCACCCCTATCCCTCAGCATCCTCTCCCTGTCAGAGGCCGCGGACCTGTGAGTCACTCCTCTCAAATCAGAGGCCAATCTGACCAGCATGGCTGCCCCCTTCAGGCAAGCCTGACTGTTGGCTGAAGAGTTCCCTGGACTCCTGCATTCAGGCTTCTTGTCCAAACTTTAACTCAATAGATCGACTTCATCATTTTGTTCTGTTTTCCTGAATATAAAGTCATGTCTTGCATATTGTAAAGATGTAGAAAACACAGGAAAGTATCAAGAAGGAAAATGGAACTCATCAATAACCCACCATTAAAGACAACCAATTTTTCCCTTTGAGTATTATTTTCTTGTTTCGATAATTCATATATTATTTTTATTTTTATATAATTTGAATAATAATCTATTGATATGGTTT
Organism: Homo sapiens; assembly: GCF_000001405.40. Lineage (NCBI taxonomy): Eukaryota > Metazoa > Chordata > Mammalia > Primates > Hominidae > Homo > Homo sapiens. The sequence continues at coordinate 21,879,756 of NC_000004.12, forward strand.
CGCTGTGTCCTCACCCAAATCTCATCTTATAGTTCCCATAATCCCCACATGTCATGGAAGGGACCCGGTGGGAGGTAATTGAATCATGGAGGCAGTTACCTCCACGTTAGTCTCATGATCGTAAGTTTTCATGAGATCTGATGGTTTTATAAGGGGCTTTTTTTCCCCACTTTCACTCTGCACTTCGCCTTCTTGCCGTCATGCAAAGAAGGATGTGTTTGCTTTCCCTTCCACCATGATTGTAAGTTTCCTGAGGCTTCCCCAGCCCTGCAAAAGTGTGAGTCAATTAAACCTCTTTCCTTTATAAATTACCCAGTCTCAGGTATGTCTTATTAGCGGCGTGAGAATGGACTAATACATCTATGTATAGTTGACTGTCTTGCTTTTTAAGGAGATATGGCATGGGGAGACTTTTGTCATGCTATTAAGCATTCTCCGAAATAACTGCATTTATTGACCAAAAATGTTTCATCATATATTTTTTATTATTTAAAAATAGCCTAATGGAAATGTTTGTTTATAAATCTTTGTAAGAAAATATAATTATCATGGTAAGCAAATCAGCAGAATTATTGAGTTGAAAGGTATGAAATTTTAAGGCATTCCATGTAGTCAATGTATATTAGTTTTCCTAATTTATATTCTTACCATCAATATAAGAATGTCTGTATCTCCCATATTGGTACCTATTCTTAACCACAGTTAATCTGAAAATTGAAAAGCCAGCAGCTAGTTATTTTTATATTTTCATCATTAAAAACTACTGAGGTTGAACATATTTGATCTTTATTAGTCATAGTTCTTCCTTGGTCATTGTTATACAGGTTGAATTAAGTTTTTTCAACATAATGTTGTTATTCTGTTTATTTCTAAGGGAAAAAGAAGAGAACAAAATGATATTAACTGAGAATTTACTGTATGGCATGTATAAAGCTTTATTCCAATCTTGTAGTAGCTCTCATAATTATTCTGGTGGATAGCCATCTAGGTTTCCCAGCAAATGGCAATGCTAGAATCCAAACCAGGTGTGTCTGTCTTGAAAACCTTGAGCTTCACAATCTGGTACGCTTCCAGGAATGCTAACAATGTATGCAACTTAACAATGACCCTATAGTTTTAACCTCTTACTTCTTATGTGGATTTGTCAAGGGCAAAACTAAACCAGAAGTTGCAAAAATAAAGATAAAACTCTTATTAATTGATAGTTTTCCATTCTTCCTTTCCCAAGAATACCTGCTTCTTTGTTTGGGAAGACATTTGTAATGTTAAATTGTTAAGCTGTAATTGTTGTTGGAGTATAGTTCATTTTTAAATCCTTACAGTGAATTATAATATTTTTTAAAGTCTCCAAGTTCTTAATTTCCTGGCTTTATTCTAAAAGAAATTCTCTTATTTCACTCTAGAGAAATTTTGCTGTTCTGTCTTGACTAATATTTTTCTTATGGATATGGCTGTCATTTGTTTTCCGCTAAAGACATTATTCAAAGAGAAATTAACTCTTTATATTGAAATAATGCAAATGAATAAACGTGCTATCATAATAGGGTGAATGTAGAGAAGCCAGCTTTTCTTCCTAATGTTAATATGTTGGATTATATGTAGGGTTTAAAAGCTAAATGTGAAGGCAGTGAAAGAAAAATAGTACCCTAGGATAAAATAGTAAATATTATTTTCAATCAATAAACTTATGATGAGTATTTGAAACCTTAATCTCAAACACATTCAAGAAAATATAGTACTATAACTAGGTCACTGTCCTTGAATTTTTCAAGGGCTTTTGACCTGATCTAATGATTCTAGTGAATAGACTAAATTGCCTTATCAGAACTATACAGTAATTGTTAAGTTGCACACGTTGATACGCACACAGTATTAAGCAGAGTTAAAAAGCAGTAGTATATCTGGGTTTGTGGAAATTACCCAGTAATAAAAACTCACAATGTAAATAAAGGTCATTTATGTATTAATAAGTTTCTAAATATGTTTTGGGTGAATTGCAAGTAGTCCATTGTTAATGACAGTTTCCCAAAACAACAACTTTAAAATCTTTGAGGCATCTTAGCCTTGACCCAAACTTAGCTCAATATTTTTCTGCTGCTTCATATAAAACAAATGCTACCAGTACTCACAGAAATCTGAGGACCTGCCACTCTCATTTACTATAGACCCGTATCCCATGAACATATTAAGACGGGAAAAGATACTACGCATGGAAAAGATTATTTCCACACAAACTGGGAAGGATCAAGGCTGGTTCCAATCAAAGGAAATTTGAATCTACTAACGCTTATTAAGCAGAAATTGTATCTACTACATTTATAGTTGTGTCTTCATATGAAAGTGAGTGCAATTAAGTATATTATGTATGTGAGATGTTACCTCCTCTTTCTGGAATTACTGCACAGTTTAATAGACATCAAAGAGTAAGATTCATAAGAAGGAAAGCACTATGCTATGACATTTAACACTGGCTTATTCAATGCTCAACTGACTCATAAAGTGACTATTACTGTCTCACCACTGTGAGTGAAAAAATGAGGCTCAGAGTGATTAATTTGCTCAAGGTCACACAGCATTCAAATCTGGTAGGCAAGGGCTTGAACAACCACTAAAGAAGACAGAAAGAAGCAGAAGACAGCGAAAAAAGCATTTTACAAAACATGAAGAGTTTTTCAAATTTTGTGTTTTGAGACTTAGTTGATCTTTAATGTCTCCAAGGCAAAGTTCAAAGTTAAGAAAAATATGCATTTCAAGGAAAAGAAAAGGAGAAGAATTTCTGGAGTTGGGACACGGAAACATAAGTAGATGGGCAGAGGAAAAGCTTGCAGAAGAAGAAACGGAAGCATGTAGGAGACCAGACAGAATCAAAATAGAAACTGAGAGACTGTACCAAAAGTAGCCTAAAGCAGTCTTTCAAGTGGCTGCGTCCCTGACCCCTGTAGGGAAAGGGCAGAGGGAGTTTGAACTAGTGTGGACTTCAGGAAGCTTGGGCTTCATTTAAATGCATGGAGAGCTCATCAGCAAAAATGAAATGGAAGTCTCATCCATGAGTGACTTTTCCTAAGGAGGGTCTCAAGAACTTCTTTTCCAGAATAACCAGACATTGCCATGTGAGCTTCTGAGGTACTATAGTTTTGCTAATGTAGTAAAAACAAATATTAAAGAGCTCAACAGAATGTTTTAATACCTGATTATTTTTTTCCCTGAAATTCACTTAAATTCCATGTAGTTATTTAGAATCTGGAAATAAAATTAAAATGTACCCTGAATAGACCTTATATTCTATGCTCTCTAGGCCCAAGAAATAACATTCTAAGACCAAAAGATAGATGTCAAAGAAAGGCAAATAAGCTTTATAAAAGACATTTAAATGGACAAATTAAAAGTTTGTTTCTGAGTTGTTGTTTTTTTTTTTTTTTTATAAGAGACAAGGTCTGCCTCTGTCACTCAGGCAATCACAGCTCACTGCAGCCTTATACTCCTGGCCTCAAGAGATCCCCCTGTGTAAGCCTCCCAAGTAGCTAGAACTGTAGGCAAGCACCAGCATGCCTAGCTAATTATTTAAAAAAATTTTTTTAGAAACGAGCGCTTACTAGTTGCCCAAGCCAGTCTCAAACCCTTGGCTTCAAGTGATCCTTTTGCCTTGGCCTCCCAAAGTGTTGTGATTACAGACATGAGCCACAGTGTCTGGCCTAAAACATTTTTAAAGTTGGGGAGAGTTAGATTAGACTGATAAAGGTATATTAATATAAGATTTTATATTTTAAAAATCTTAGATACACGTCATGTGTGATGAACCATTGCTCCTGTGTTCTGTTTGATCTAAAAGCAAAGAACTTACTTTCTTTGTGACTACTACTTTGGCAGACACATAATCCCAATTAACTTTGAACATATTTCCATTTTAGCAAATGTCATCCACAGTGCTACTGACTATCCACATTCTGTATCTTTTTTCGGCTATAGGCTTATTGAAAAATAGGGTGGAGGTCTTTCCATAGTGTTTGTCTTTACATTTGTGACTAACAAATTCCTGGCCTATAGCAATCACTCAATAGCTTATTGATGAAACAACCTTCAAATCGACTGATGAATGAATGAAGTGAATGGAGAATGGATAGGGTGACCAAATGAATGGCCCAATAGAGACTTCTTTTTGGAATAAGCTACACACACATTAAATATTTCTGTTGTTAGAAATATTCGGGAGTAGGTCACATCATCACTTGCTGGGAATATAGTAGCAGGAACTCAAACGTAAGGTAATCAAATAGATTAAAATTGCTTTGTAGGCTTCCTCCAAACTGAGAGCCCTTCATCCTATTTACTGTTAATAGCATAAACGAATGTAACCTATCCGAGTGAGTTGTAGGAAGATATATTTTAGGATGATAATAAGCCCAACAACAATAACATACATTTGTTTCAAAGTATAAGTACTTCCTATTTGCTGGCGGCATAATGGCCAGTTCTTGGTGACAGGCTACTATGCAACATAACACTTCATTTCAAAGGAAGAACATGGGGAATAGCGCATGGAGAAAGGTTGTACTCAGAGGGCCACTCAGTTCTGAGTGCTACAATGCCCACCAACCTCAGGAGGAGCACTTCCAGACAAGAAAGTACAATGGAGCCGTTGTCGTTAGAAGAAATGCCCTCCTCGTCTAGCCCCACAGTTAGAGGCCTGGTCTCGGCACAGTAGTTTCCCAAGATGGCCAGATGGATGGAGCTCATTATCTTTACAAAATTCCAAACGGGATAAATGGGACTTATTTCTTATTAATTCCCCAATGGAGCTACCATTGAGGGCTCTAAATTTTGTTATTTACAATCATCAAGTAAGCAGAAAGAAAAAGAGAAAAAAAGAGGAAAGAAAGAAAGGAGGGATGGAGAGAATCCATTAAGCAGGTGATCTATGATAAAGGCTTAGACAATGTGTCTTCAGGACATGTTGCTAGGGCCAACCAGAAGAAAAGGAATGCCAACATCATCACTTGCTACTGTCCCCCTCTCTCACTACCTTCTAGTCATTCTGTCCCTCTTACAGATTCTGAAAGACGATGATGTCACCACCACAGTCACTGCCTTCCCTCTTCCTGAAACTCTCTACCACCAGGTCTTCAGTGGCTCGTGGCTCCAGCTCACTACTCAGGAGTCCATCTCAGTGATACCCTGCCAACAAAAGTACAGTAGCCTCCCCCCCACTACTGTTATTTTCAAACTTGATTATTTAATTGGGTCCTTCATGGCACTTGTCACGATTTGTGTGTTTAATCCATTTACTTCCTTATGTTCCACTTTGACCATTAGAATATAAGCTCCATGAGGGCAAGCAAAGTTTTGTGTTGTTCACTATGGCATCTCTAGTACTTTCTGCAATTCCTAGGATGTAACTGGGGTCCAATAAATACAGAAAGCAAGAGGAAGAAAAGGAAACAGAGGCTGAGGAAGAAATACTTGTAGCATTTATCTTATTTTATAAAAGTCTTCCATAATTTCATTCAATGTTCATTTATCAAGCAATTATTATTGACTGCAGGAAGCCACTACATTCTGTAGAACTGAACATTGTTCTATTCGTGAAAAAAGTCTTATGAAAAATACAGATGCCATATTTAGTAAATGAGTAGTATTTTGCTTCATTGTTATTGCAAAATCCTAAAAAATGCAGCCACATCTTCATTTCTTGACCCTTGATCTACAACTCTTTCTTTGTCTTGTAGCCTAAGAACTGCAGGAAATAGAAATGAATCACTTTCCCACCAACTTCTATTTCTTGTTTTCTTGCCACGGGTTCTATTCACCCACTTAAGCATCTTAAGTCAATCAAATTTTTATAACCAAATCTCCTTAACAAATGCAAAACTCACTTCCCACCAAACAACCCTAATTTAGCACAAACTTTAAATTTCAAAGGAAATTTGAACGTGTTTTGCTTTAAATGTCAGGACTAGATTTTCAGACGGAATAATTAAGAGGGAGGAGACACTTCCTTCCAATAAAATAGATTGCTAGTTTGTGGAAAGTACTAAGAATATTATGTTTTTTTCCATATGCTACTAATGGGCATCCTGATGATCACATGAAGCTTGCTTCTTTGTCCTGATTGCCACGAAGATGAGAATATTCGCACTGAAATCCAAAGGATAGACATCCGCTCTTAAAAGGCAGATCTATCGGCTTGTGTCTTCTATTACGCCTGCAGTTTTCAAGTATCATTACTCATTCTCACAACAATCCATAATCCCCTTGTCATGTGGATAAGGCTTGTGGATTATTTTTTCTTACTATTATATAATATGTCATATTTCTTACATAAGTAAGCAGTTTTTTAGAACATGAAATTCTGTATTGTTTGGAATGAATGAGATTCATGCAGTTTTTGAAATGTTTTGGAAATTTTACTGAAACTTATTATGATTTTCCAGGTTTAATGTTTAGAATCTGATCATCATGACTGAAAAGTTATGTTATAAACTGATTTATACAGCATAATTTTCCAATTCATTGAGGGTGAAATTAAGCTCCAAAAGTGCCAAAAGCTTTCAAGATGCCAGAAAACAAATAAAAAGCAGATCTTTGGAAATGTTTTTGCCCAACACAAGCATTTTTCACACTACATCCTATCTTCTCTCCCAGGCTGTTTTCTGAAGGTCCTCCCATTTCTCTAATTATGTCAGAGAAGGCTTCTCAGTTACTAAAATGTACTGCCCCTCTTCAACACTTAACCCTAATGTATTTTTACAGAGGGAGTAAGCGGATGGGTTTCTGCCAGCACCAGGGAGCTATAAACAGTTCCCACAGGGGGTGAGAGACAGGGTCTACATAAAGCTTCCATCAAAACTGTAAATCCCAAATCTGTGAATGCAGAGGTTTTCCACATTGAAAAGTGTGATTGTGATCTTTGTGTCTTACCAAGAGATGTGACATTTAATAACTTTAAATATCTCCAAAGACTGACTTCAAGATCAGTGATATTCTCAGTGAAGTAAATGCACCTGATACCTGTGGCAACCATGGAGGGCACACACACACAAATTACATTTGGCTAAATTACAAAAGCTCTTCTTTTTATTTTTCATTTTTCTTCATTTTAAGATGTTCGTTATATTAGGAAACTAAGCCATGTATAATAAATGCTTTTGCTTTAGAGAGTGTGAGCGTTCATTTGAAGACCACTGAAAAAACTGGATGAAATCAAACAGTCAGGAATACAGGCTAAAAGCCCTGGTCTTAATTAAAGATCTACTAAGCAGCAAGCTATTGACATCATTGCCAGCTTCAGGACAAAGATAAAGTACAAATTTTTTTAAAAAGAGAAAACTGACTTTGTGTAAAATATAGACTCTAGACACAAAATACATAGAAAATGCTGTCCTTAAGAGTAGATGATAATGGCCTGGTGTCTTAGTCAGTTTGGGGTTCTATAACAAAAGTACCACAGATGAGGTGGCTTAATCAACAGAGATGTATTTGTCATAGTTCTGCAGGCTGGAAGTCTGAGACCAGGGTTCCAGCACGGTCAGGTTCTGGTGAGGACTCTCTCCCTGGTTTGCAGTTGGCCATATTCTGGTTGTATCCTCACTTGGAGGGGCGCAGAAAGAGTTAGCTCTCTGGTATCTTCTTACAAGGACACTAATCTCATTCATGAGAGTTCCACCCCCAAGACCTAATCACCTCCTAAAGGCCTTACTTCAAACCACCATCACATTTGGGATTCGATTTCAATGTATGAATTTTGGGGGAACACAAATATTTAGTCCACATCACCTGGGGACAGGATGCTCCAAAGAGATTTTGAATGATGAATTTCACCCTTCCCCCATTTACCTTCCTAAATTGTTTCAGACACAGAAACTTACGAAAGAAAATGAATATTTTCTCTTTAGTCATTGTCATGCTTAAGGAAATTATGCTGAACTCATTTGCATGAAGATGATTCAGCCTTCTGAATGATTTCCTTAACTAACACAGTTATTATTATAGATGAGGTTATATAACTGAAAAGCTTAAAAGAGGTTGTAACCATCCTTTATATATTCTAACTCATAAAGAAAATATTGCTGATGATTGAAACCAGTTGATTTTGCAGAATATTTGCTGATCATAAAAAGTCTTTGAAATTACTTTTTGAATTTCCAATGTAAAGTTGGGCCAATGAGGAAAAAGAAACTTCTGGTAAAACTTTCTACCTAGTGTTTTATCATTAGTTGTTCAACTATGATAGTTCATATTTATGTAACACTTACTATGTGCCAGGTATTGTTCTGATTCTTCTTCATTATTTCATTTTATTGTCACAACAACTTTATGACTTATGTATTATTAGGTATGATTATTATCACCGCTTTACAGAGAAGAAAATTAAGGCAGAGAGAAGTTAAGTGACTTACCCCAAGGTCTCACAGAGCTGGGATTCAATCTTTGCTCTTAAACTCACTAAACTAAACTGATTCTGAATAAGGATAAATACAACAAGTTTAACACTCTGACTCATACACAGAATAACTTAAAGAAGAGTAAGGGAAAACTGGTGCAGGCCACAAGAATTACTCATGGAGGTCCTCTGTGGAACATTATGCAAAGTGTGTTGGATAATGTTTATCTTTTAACAACCAAAGTAGAACTGGTGACTAAATTCTCCCTGTGCTTAGACTCATACGATTCAGATGCAATAAAAAATGAGTCAAAACTTCAGGTTTGTATTTCCATAATAATGTTGCACCCAAAGCCTTGTGAACACAAGAAGATAAAAGGAAACTAGAAAGAAACAAGACTTTCAAAAAGACTAGGACACATAAGGGTGATTAGGAGCCACTCTCCTCAACCGTTTTCCTTTGCCCTCAGGTGCAATCATGCCAGAAGCAGTTAATTCTATACCCTCCCCTTTGTTAATTTCATATTTTGTATGCTCTGTGTCATTACATTCACCATGCTATTATAACTGTCCACACCTTCTGAAGGGCTTCTGCTCCTGCTCAGAGCTGGCCTACAGCTACTGTCTTCATGACTCACATAACTGCTCAAGGCTTTGCTTCCTCATCTCCAATCTGAAACTTCTATCTCACTGAGCTTTTTTGGTCTTTGGCTTCACATCCAGTTTAGCTCTTTTTATGCAGTCACATGGATCACCTGTCAAGTTTTACTTTTACTACTACAAGTTAAGCATATCGAATCTGAAAACCTGAAACTTGAAATGCTCCAAAATTCAAAACTTTTTGAGCATCAACATGACACAATGACAAGTTAGCCTGAACACACTACTTTTTCACTATATTAATGGCATGTCATATTTTTATTGCTAAGTATTTATACGTGAATGAGTGTAAGAAAATGATTGCTTATAGGTACAATATAAATTTAGAGTCAGGAGTGACAGTGATGCCAAACAACCACAGGTTATCCACACAGGTGGCTGAGATAGTGACACTTTTGCTTTTCCATGGGTCAATGCATGCAAACTTTGTTTTATATACAAAAATTATTTAAAATATTGTATAAAATTATCCTTGGGCTATGTATATAATGTGTATATAAATCATAAATAAATCTCATGTTTAGATTTGGGTCCCATCCCCAAGATATCTCATTAATTATGTATATGCAAGCATCTCAAAATCTGAAAAAAAAACATCTAAATTCTGAAACACTTCTGATCTCAAACATTTTGGATAAGGGATATTAAACCTGTACTATTAATAGCTACCTGAAGGCATTGCATTAGGTACTCAACACTCATTTACCACAAATGTAGATCAACCATGCAAGGCAGGAGCTATCATCCCTATGATCCTAATACACAAGGGAGGCCAGAGGTTTCTCTTGGGGAGTGACATTTGAGCTGATAGCTTAAGTACGAAAAGGGTTTCAATTTGTGAATACTAGAAACAACTACCCTAGGCAGATGGTTCAGAACATGTAAAGGTTTTCGAGTAGGAAAAAACCTAGAACTAACAATAAGCTAATGTGGCTAGAGAAAAACCTGTGAGGGACAGAGTAGCAGAGTGGCCCAAGAAGGGACCACACAGGCCAGGCAAGACCGAATAATGCTGGCTTCATGATGTATTTCCTCCACTCAACTATGTACTCAGTAATGCCATAGACCGTGTTTCCACGTTTGATTCATGTGGGCTCCCAGAGTCTTGTATATTTGCTCACCCTTAGTGTTAGTTTGAATATTGGTTTTGGAATTGCTGGTGGCATTGATGATGAATTTGTTGTTGGTATCCACAATGGAATTGGTGGTGGTATTGGCGATGGAATTCTGATGGGATTGCTGGTCACATTGATAGAGGCATTGTGGTAGTACTACTATTCACTAGAGTAGAAACACAGTGAATGTCTACTGATGATCACCCCCTAAATGAAGACCTGTCTTAATGCACCGTATGTTATAATTCACATCATTCAGACGCAAATGATAGTTAACACTGAAGCCTAGATGAGAAGGTGAAAAGCAATTAAAATGTTTCACCTGGTTTTATTAACATGCTTGACCAGAGGCAGACTTAAGAATTTGGAAAAGCTGAATTTAAATAATTTATATACCTTAATGACCACATCCCCAGCATAATTCTTTCTGTACTTCTGGAATATGCTCTAACTCTTGTGTAAATACAGTCTGACTCTCCTTGAATCCCTTAAGTGTGATGTCATCTGGGAATGTTCTTCATAGAAATAACAGATTTGAAGAGCCTAAAGACCAATTTTATATTTTATTAGTAATTTGGTATTCATCCAGATGGGGAAAGGGACCAGAAAATATCCCCTTTCATGAGAATGTTATAAATCACAAATTCCCTTAAAAATGTACAGGCAGCTTCATACCAGATACTACCACAAGGATGAGGAAGACACAGTCCCTGAACTTTGTATCCATCTAATGATACCACTTACTCAGCACCACATACTTGTATTAAGCACATCATGTCTATTATATTATTTAATCTAATGGAAATGTTATTATTCCAATTTTATACTTGAGGAAACAGGCCTAGAGAACTGTCTTTCCTCTTGGGAAAAGCATGCATTTATGTCAGCCAGACCCCGATGGATTTCAATAGTGATGGTACAATGTCCAAGAAGCTGAAGAAGAAACCCAAAGCCAGAGAATGAAACATAGGGTTTATTAAGAAGACTTACATACAGGGCAGTTCAGTAGTGGCAGGGTAGACAAGAGAACTGTGACCACTTGTAAAAAGCATGCAGTTTATATAGCATTTTAACTTAGCTTTCTCTTCCAGCAACCTCCACCTGGCAACCTTCATTTAACCCAAAACAAACAGCCTAGATACTCTGTATGGCCTGTGTTCCAAGGGACGGGCTGGAGGTTCAGATGTTCCTCATATATAAGGAATGAATCCCTGGGTTGAACACTCTTGCATTTCTTAGATGTTCCTCATAGATAAGGAATGAATACCTGGGTTGACCACTCTTGGATTTCTTAGACTCCCCATAGGGTCTAAGAATAGAATTCAGGGTATGCTTAAATTAAGTGACTGCTGTCAGGTACATCTGCCATACAACTTGCCATTCATGAATCTCACCTCCCCCCTTGCTCCTTGGATCAACAACCTGGGAAATATTTAAGTATTGCTTAGTACATCAATGAACCTTAAAACTAAGGATCCAGGGTCTATGGGTGAGAATTCCATAGGAAAGTTCCATAGGGTTCTTCGGATCCCTAAGAAACGAGTCAGCGACAAAGAAACACCTGAAGGATAGACACCAGTGATGAATCTGAAGTACATATGGGCACACCCTCTCTGAGCAGGGTGACAGATTTTTACCAGTGTATTGTGTAGAGTGAGGCCAGGACTTGGAGGGAATGGAAGACCTGTCTAAGTGCACAGGGTCTAACAATGATCAGTTAACATCAACGAGTAAACAATTAATTCATTAATCATTTTGTGTTTTTCTCATAACATTTTGTCCAAAGGAATTTAAAGCAAAAATCTGTATCAAATAAGAGAAAACCATTTGCTGAACTCTACCAATAATTCTTTTATGCCTGGCTCACCGGTTTCTGAAATTCTACAATCAGAAAGTTGTCCCTTTAAATCAAAGCACTATCCTTAGAAATAAATTAGGAATTCCTAGGCATGGTATAATGTAGAGTAAATTAATTTGCCTCTGTCTCTTTTTCAGAACGGTTTTGATTAATTGAGAGTTGTGGTAAGAATTATAATTAATAAAGAAGGGGAAAGTTTGGAAGGGAAAGGCTGGGGGTGATTTCTGTCAACTTACAGTTTAAAAATTACAATGTGAAAATCTCTGGATTTACCGAGGTACATCCCTAATAGAAATACGTACATGCTTACCAAAGATATGTTCCAGACTGTTGAGAGAATGCTGTTGTCAATAGCTAAAAAACTGAAACTGCCAAATTTTCCACCAATACTAGAATAAATAAAATAATTGTTGTATATTCATGCAAAGAACCAAGGGTAAATTAACTATTGCTACATAAAACAACATGGATGAATCTGACAGATGTCAGATGTCATGATCAACAAACAAGGTCTACATGAAAGAGTTCATATTAGGTGACTCGATTTATCCAAATACAAAAAAAAAAGGTGAATCTAGGCTATGCTGCTAGAAGTTGGGATTGCGATTACCCTCACAGGGCAGGGCAGTTAGTGACTGTTGTAGAACAATAGGGAAGTTTTTGTGGTGCTCATTAGAGTGTGTATGTTTGGTGTGTGAAAATTTCTGGGGCTCTACATTAATGACATGGCCATTTTCTGTATGTATATTATGACTTTAAAAAAAAAAAAGCAAAAGCAAAAAAGTAAAAAAAAAAAAAAAAAACTATTGATTTTGCATCAGAAGTCTACTTAAAAAATTAGGTCCCAACAGGTTATACAATCTTAGGTGATCACTTAACCTCTATAAGTCTTAATTAAGTTGTCTATAAAATAGATGCCAATCAAAACCGATTAAAATAGATTACAAATTGTAATATGCTTTGTAAATTATAAAGTTCTGTACAACTGTTAATTATTTAGACCAGTGGTTTACAACTCTTGCTGTGATTAAGATTCACCTAAGAAGATTAACAGGGGCAACAAAATAGATATGTTATTCCCACTACCCTACAGATTTTGATTTCCTAGGTCTGGAAAGAAGCCAGTGCATCTCTATTTTCAGCAGTTCCACAGGCGATATAGCCACAGCTTTGGGCCATTGATTTAGAAAATATCTTCTTATTTCAAAAGTTAATACCCCATTTCGGTTTTGTTTCTGAGATCTGAATAACTCATCTACATTTTGCCAATCACAAGTTACAGACACAATGACATTTCAGGTAACCTAATGCATTTAGATAACAAATATCTGACGAGTAAGCAAGAGCCTTAATGAGCAAAAAGATATTTCATATTAAACCAGGCACCCAGAAGCAAAAATTGTGTGTGTGTGTCTGTGTGTGTATGTGTGTAAAACTCACAAATAAATTATAAGGGCAGAACGCCTTCCTAGTAATATCCAAAGCCTGAGTACATGCCATTGCATATCTATGCCAGAAATCATGATCCAATGTATGCTTTGGTTTTATTTTCCCTCCACTTACGAAATGAACACCAGATGTCGAAACAGTTTTTTATAACGTTTCTTCTGACATCCTTTTCATGTTTTTAATAGTATGTTGTTCCAACGATGAGGCTTCTTGGACTTATAAAATTGCTAGACCTCAAGAAGTATATCAGTTCCCATCAATGAGTAAAATGTATAAAATCTTAATGGTTTGGAGTTTTTCTTTGAATCCCTATGATATTCAAATTGCATCATTCATCTCCCCCTAATTTTCTCCTTAGACAAATTCATTACACACAAGAAAGAGTTCAGAGCAAAGCAATCCAACATTTGCAATTTACTTGTGTACATGTTGCCCCAACAGTAGATACTGAATAATGGTTGAATTTAACAGATTAGTCCTTTTGAGACTAGATCATTTCCTATAGCCAAAAATAAGATACTAGATTTTATGTAGCCCAGTTGTGGAGATGCAGTTAAAACCAACTCTTCCTCAAATACATGAAGCTGTAGTTGCATGGTATTTTTATTGGCCAACATATAGTTTTGTAGTGGATTACATCTGAACTGAATTTTCAGTGCTGCTGTGTGCATATTAAATGTTTCCCTTACTTCCTGCTTTAGGATCCTAATTAGCATTATGCATAACCTTGAAAATAATCTAGTCCAGTATCATTCTACACTTTTATCATATATATGCTATGGAATAATCTGTCACCTAGATCACATACTGAATTTTTTTTTAAATAAAACAATGAGGCCAGGCAGGGTGGCTCAAGCATGTAATCTTAGTCCTTTGGGAGGCCCAGGAAGACAGATCGCTAGAGGTCAGAAGCTCAAGACCAGCCTGGGAAACATGGTAAAACCCTGTCTCTACTAAAAATACAAAAAAAAATTAGCTGTGTGTGGTGGCACGTGCCTGTAGTCCAAGACACTTGGGAAGCTGAGGCAGGAGGATCACTTGAACCAGGAGGTAGAGGCTGAAGTGAGCCGAGATTGAGCTACTGCGCTCCAGCCTGGGTGACAAAGTGAGACCCAGTCTCAAATAAATAAATAAATAAATAAATAAAACAACGAAAAGCTACTTTTTAATGCAATCTCTCCTCAAATTTTTCTTAGAAACTTGCTTATAGTTAATTAGGTATGGTTCATTAATTCCTACCTGTTCTAAAAACTAAGGCACTACAAAAATAATAGGTACATCATTTGTGACTCTCTGAGGAAACACAGAGCTTACAAAAAAGAAACCTAGTAGTAACATAGAGATAATATGTCATTTTCCATTTTCAACAAATCATGTCATCAAAGACATAATGCAGAGAATTATAGAATATTCAACAGCAAACATTAAAAATTTACATTCTGATTAGTGTTATTTTATCACTTATAAATAATTTAAATAAAAGTTTGGTACTGTTCTGTTATTTGACATTGCTAAGGTATGAACTTGCCAACAGAAGTTGGTTTTTTTCCATCTTCAAAGAAAATCTAAACTTTAATCTTTTACACAAGGCAGGGATAAAATCCTTCTACTACTTAGTGCAGAGAAAATGCTGAGTTAAATGTCTTGATACCTTAGTACTCCATCTCTTTCCTTTCTGTTGCTTCTGGAAGCCATCTGAAGATCGACTATCATTCCTGTAGAGCTGACTCAGTCTTTCCTCATTATCCCTGTCCCTTTAATCCATGTTCTCTTATCTCTTCTCTCTTCTTCCCCAACTTTGTTCCCTCATTTTCCAGGTGAGTTGGGGGGCTTTCCATCCATAGTGGGACTGCTGCCTTACATTTCTCAATTGGAAGATGAATCAGTTGGACAATTTTGTGGGACATCTTTGATATAGATGTCTTGCTAAACCTTGATATGCCCTAGAGTATTTGTTTGTTTTGTTTTATTTTCTTCTTTGTTTTGGTAATAAGATAATCTTGATTGAGCAAAGGTCTAGAAAGATGAGCTTACTTTTGGTCAAAATGAGACAGACAACTGATTTCAACATTTCTTTTTCTCTAGGTATGTGATAAGGACAAAAGATAAAACTCTCTCAAATGGTACTTGAAATATAGAGTTAAGGGTGCTGTGAACAACAGAGTTGCTTTTAAAACCATTTCATCAGCACAATACCGTGGTTGAAAACATGAGATACTAAGAGTTACGCTATCTACATTCAAACGTCAGCTCTACCACTTATTAGCTGTGTAACCACAGCAACCTCTCTATGTCAGTATTAGGAATGATAATAAATCCTATTTAGTAGGATCACCACAAGAATTAAATAAGTCCACACATTTAAGGCACCTAGAATAGGACCTAGCAGAACATAAATGTTCAACTATTAAATTATTTTAATATATTTTGGGTTTCATTAGGCCTGCAAAAGTAAGGTAAGTATCTATAGTCTGGATAGCGAGAACCACAACAGGAAAGTGATTACACTATACTTTGCATGAACAAAAAGGAGCTAATTAGAAAGTGGCCCATAGCATCTGTCCTCAGATTGGGAATGGGAAAAGAACCTTCCCCTGTACTCTCCCAATTGGTGGCCATCTAACAACATCCAATAAGACTCAGATTGATTTATTTATACCTCTCTTTTTCTATCAAGGTGCCTTAATGTTGCTAAGTGATGCTAAGTTCTAGGGTGATTCTAGGGTGCCTGAACCATCCAGACATCCCTAAAGAATAAATGAATGTTGGTGGAAAGCTGTTTGGTCTGTACTGATGAGGCTTTGCCAACTCCATCACTAACCCAGGGTTTCAGATATTTTACTGTAAGTTTGTTTGCTCTAATCCATGCTAAGACCTTTCCATACATTGTCTCACTTCCTCCTTACAACCTCTCTATGCGACAGAGTTCATCATTTTCTCCATCTTACATATGAAATTTCACTATTTGCCAGGCACTTAAAGTTCAGATAAAAATTATGCAGATACAGTCACCACTCTCTTAGAATGTACACTTTCATAGAGAAAAGACATTGAACCCTATTAATAAAATAATGTGCTTAAAATTGTTATACACACCTAAAGGAGCTCCACAAGGTACTATCAGCCCTGGTTTTAGAGACTACAGAAGGACAAAGTATATGTAAAAATATAGCTGGTAGCCCATGGGATATCCAAGAAAAAGGACTTGTGTTTGCAACGAAGCTGGGGTAGAAGGTATCATGGCATATTCTAGGATATGAGAGAAGACCTGGCTTGTTGGAAGTCAGACAGAGAAGAGGAGTAAGGACAAAGGAAAATGTAAGTGTGGTCTGTTGAGGCTATCATGAAAGGCCTCAGGATCATGTTAAATATTTTGGGCATGAGGCATATGACAATGCACAGCCATTTAAATATTTTAATCATGTCAGACATGGTGGCTCATACCTGCAATCCCAGCACTTTGGGAGGCCGAGGCAGGCAGATCATTTGAGGTTAGGAGTTTGAGATCAGGCTGGCCAACATAGTGAAAACCTGTCTCTACTAAAAATACAAAAATTAGCTGGGTGTGGTGGCTCACACCTGTAATCCTAGCTACTCAGGAGGCTGAGGCAGGAAAATTGCTTGAACCCGGGAGATGGAGGGTGCAGCGAGCCAAGATTGTGACACTGCATTCCAGCCTAGGCAACAGAGTAAACTCTCAAAAAAATACATAAATAAATAATAAATAAATAAATAAATAAATAAATAAATAAATAAATATTTTAATCATGAAAATAACATGCTTATATTTGTTTATACCCTGGCTATAGTGTATAGATTGGATGTTGCCCCTCTCTCTTGCATTTAACTCTTCAGCCTCTCTTTGGTGGTATTTTTGTGTAAAGCTTTATATAAGACTTTAAAATTTATGCTTTACTTTTACTATAAGAGAACAGTATGCCCTTTAGCCACATTTCATTTTTTAAAAGATATTTATAATCCTCAAGAAACGATAGTAAAGGCATTGTCTATAGAAATAGAGATTTGAGAATAAGAATTTTTTTTTCCTTTTTGCCTATGTTTTAGTATTTCAGAAGTTCTAATAAGACAGTAAAAGAACAGCATGCCTTTAAAAGCAAGGTTCTAATTTACATACCAACTTAATTGGCCATGAGATCTTCAACTTCTATTTCTTCCAGCACAAGTATCAGAATTTTTTTTCTTGCCCTTGCTGTAAAAATCCTCGAAGAGTAAATAGATTTATGTAACACAATGTTCTTAAAACTTTGACCTAGTCATAATTCAGTGTGATTTTAATTCCTTTATACCTAAGTGCTAGGCAACATGCCACAATGTGAAATAGGAAGGGGAAAAAGATATATTTAGAGTTTGGAGGGCAAGAAAACTTTAAAAAACAAAAATAGGGCTAATAATTGTAAAAGGGCTTTAGAATGAATAATCTAAAGGACTTCCAGGAATGAAAATGAAACACTCTTAGAGAGCAGAGAAAGACGATCAACTAGAAGCCTCCAGTGATTGTCTTCCCCACAGGAACTCCAAATTGAGCAACTATTCATACAAAAAAAAGCAACTTCATAAGAACCAAAAATCAGGTAGGCATTCGCAGCACCTGGTTTTAACATCATATTAAGGAATGAGGCACTGAATACAGGAGGGAAGACGGTTTTGTATGGCCTACACCACTCCATCACCATCCCCTGGCAGCAGGCACGTGGTGTAGAGGGAGAATCTGTGTGTTTGGGGGAGGGAAAGTGCAGTGATTATGGGACTTTGCATTGAAATGCAGTGCTGCCCTGTCAGAGTGGAAAGCAGAACTCAGAAAGTAGGACAGGGAAGAACTCAGCCAGTGTGGATGGAGGGAGCATCTAGACAAGCCTTAGCCAGAGGCAAAGTGTCCATCCCATTGGTCCAAATCTGAGTTCCTGCAAGCCTTGCCACCATGAGCTAAAGTGCCCTGGGGTCCTCAATCAACTTGAAAGGCGGTATAGGCCCCAGTTGCCAAGCTGCAATTCCTGGGCAAGTCCTGGTGCTGTGCTGGGCTTGGAGTCAGTGGTCTTGGGATGCACATGACCTAGCAAGATGCCAGCTAGAGCAGCCAAGGGAATGATTGCATCATCATGCTTCCCCAACCCCAGGCAGCACAGCTCGCAGTGCCAGCAGAGACTCCTTCCTTTTGCTTGAGAGGTGAGGGGAGAGTAAAGAGGGCTTTGTCTTGCAACCTGTATGCCAGTTCAGCCACAGCAGGACAGGGCACCAGACAGAGTCCTGAGGCTCCCATTTCAAGCCTTAGCTCCCCAATAACATTTCTAGACACAGCCTAGGCCAGAAGGGAACCCACTGCCTTGAATGGAAAGAGCCAGTCCTGGCAGGATTCATCACCTGCTGACTAATAAGCACCTGGGCCCTGAATAATCAGCAATCATACCCAGGCAGTACTTGCTGAGGGCCTTGGGTGAGACTTAGAGCTGTGCAAACTTCAGGTGTGACCCAGAATAATCCCAGCTTGGATGGCTATGAGAAGAAAGAGACTTCTTCTGTTTGAGGGAAGGAAAGAGAAGTAAAGGGGACTTCGTCTTATAGCTTGGGTACCAGCTCAGCCACAGTGAGGTACAGCAACAAGTACACTCATGTGGTCCCCGAGCACAGACCTAGGCTCTTAGACAGCATTTCTGGACCTGCCCAGGGCCAGAGGGAAGCCCAGTGCCCTGAATGGTGCTGGTCTGATAGAACCCCACCATGAGCTGATGGTAGTTGTGGCCACAGGGAGAGGCACCTCTGCATGTGGAAAGGGGAGAAAACAGTAGGAATGAATTTGTATTGTGATTTGTGTCAGCTTAGTCACAGTAGAATAGAACACTAAGTAAATTTCATCATGACTAAGTGGGATTTATCCCAGGGATGCAAGGATAGTTCAACACACACAAATCAATCAATGTGATACATAATGTCAAAAGAATGAAGAGCAAAATCCAAATGATTATTTTGACAGATTCCAAAAAAGGCATTTGATACAATCAACATCCCTTCATGATAAAAACCCTCAAAAAACTGGGTATAAAAGGAATATACCTTAACACATAAAAGCCAAATAAAGAACAAATCCCCAGATGGTATCACGCTGAATGGAGAAAAACTGAAAGCTTTTCCTGTAACATCTGGAACAAGAAAAGGATGCCCATTTTCACCACTGTTATACAATATAGTACTAGAAGTCCTAGGTAGAGCAATTAGACAAGAGAAAAAAGTAAAGGGCATCAAAATAGGAAAGGAAGAAGTCAAATTATCATTGTTTGAAGATAATATGATCTTATAGTTGAAAAACCCTAAGGACTCCATCAAAAAAAAATATTAGAACTGATAAAAAAATTCAGCGAAGTTGCAGGATACAAAATTAACCAGAAAAATCACTAGCATTTCCATATGCCAACAATGAACAATCTGAAAAAGGAATTAAAAAAAGTAATCCCATTTGCAACAGCTACAAATAAAATAAAGTACTTAGATGCAAACTTAATTAAAGAAAGGAAGGAACTCTACACTGAAAACTACAAAGCACTGATGCAATATATTAAAGAGGACACACAAAAATAGAAAGATATCCCATGTTCATGGATTGGAAGAATCACTATTGTTAAAATGTCTATACTACATAAGCAATCTACAGATTCAATGCAATCTCTATTAAAATATCAATGACATTCTTCACCAAATTAATATGGAACCACAAAAGCCAAAGCTATCCTGAATACAAATGAAAATTAAAAAAAAAACTGGAGGAATCACATTCTGACTTCAAATTAAACTACAGAGATACAGTAACCAAAACAGCATGGTACTAGCAGACACATAGACCTATAGGATATTTTGTTTCAATTCTTTGATTGCATTTCTAATAGCAATAGTTTTTCTTAAATTATAGAAAAATCTCAACATATATTTCAAATGTGAAAACATATCAAAAGTTTTCATTGTTTCTGTAAATCTGGGTTCACAAAATTAACCACTAAGAGAATTTGCAGATGGTTTACTAAAATAAGTCTGACTTAAAAGTAATTAGAAAATTCGGAGGCACTTCAATTTAACAGAAAAAACAATCATGTAAATAGAAAACCAGAGTGTCCTATCTGATAAGACTGATGGAAGCCTATTGAAAATAATAGAGCTTCTCCACTAATTTGGTTGACCGATTCATTTCCTGAATGAGTAATCCTCATCTTTGCCTGCCTTTACTTTAGCCAAGAGAAAGGTCCTTCTTGCCTGGCTCCCTAAAATGAGAAAGTAGTACCAATCCAGTAAGCTGCCATAGCTTTTGGGTGGTGTCCTATAGGCCATCAAAAGACTGGGAACCAGGGACTTTCCATATTTAGTGGATTAACTGCATTTTACTAAATATGTCATTTTTCAAACTTTTCTACAACTATACTTTGAATATACTACATTTGTAAAAATTTGCATCTTAAGTTTTGATTTCTGATTGTATGTCTAGTCCCTAGGAATAGTGTAAACATTGTTATGCTAGCAATAATCTATACCTTTCTACTTTTTTCCCTGCCATATTTCTATTTGATGTGTTCTCCATTGCAGTAAGTACATGCTTCAGATTCAGATCCACTTCAAAATATACTGAGTTTTCTGTGCATAAATGTCACTTTAATGACTACAACAGTTCATCTTACGAATGTACCATAAATAGCTCATTTCTTCAGTGTTCAACATGCAGGCTACTTCTGCTCTTCTGTTATAATAAATACTGTTTCAATGAATATCATTTTCTGTAAATTTTCATTTGCATTTTATGCTACTTTTAAGGTAGAATTCCAGCAGAAAGATTCAAAGATCATGAATACTTTCAGTTATTGAGATACATTGCCAAGTGCTTTCACCAGAAGTTGTAAAAGTTTTCAGCTGGAAACTGCTTATGATAAAATGTTATTTAAAAAGCTGAGGATAAAATTTAACATATAGTGTGCACTTAACCTGTGAAGTGCAAAGTGAGGGGGTGGGAGTAGTCTGGCTGAAGGAGAACTATTTTATCACTGCCATTGTTTAGAATTGCCCAAGCATGGTGACAACAAAAAGCAGACCCACTATTAGTTGGTTTTACTATTGCTATTAAATTCCCTTCAAACAGCGCACCCTCTCGTGCTTACACCTGAGGGGCCACTGCTTTTAATTACATAAATTTATATACATAAAATAAGAGCCATATATCAAGTTGTTGACACAAGCAATGTGTAGTTTATTTATTAAACAATATCTATTGTGTGCTCTTCATGTGCCCACACCCCATGAGGTAGTAGAGATGGAATGTTAAATAAGACAAAGTTCATGCTCTCAAGAGGTAAAGTGGGGGCTGGAATTATGGGTGATTTTTTATTCTCTTCTACATACTGGCAGTGCCCACATTTTGCAAAAATGAACAAATTACTTTTATTTTTAGAATAATAATAAATGCATTAATTACTACAAGTTAAAACTGCTATGATGAAATCTATTACTACGCATTCTTTAATATTGCAAACTAGATTCATTACTCCCTCCACAAACTTTGTTTTCATACAAGGGGTCATTTGAAAGTCCCAAAGAGAGACAATATAAAAATGCAAATTGATGAATGTAGGTTGAAAAATCTGGGGAAGTTCCCATGTTCAGAATAGGCCCTCCTATTCCCTCCCCGATCCCATTGATCTGCCCAAAGACACACCTTCAAAAAGTGTCATGGAATTCCTCAGATACAACCAACAATAGATACTTTATAAATTTAATAGAATCACAATTACAAAGAGGATTTGAGGATGTTACAAACTGTGTCTGAGTCATTGCCAAGTCATCAGCTATATTACTTTCAACTTTTGAAATGTTTGAAGAACATGTGCTTTGTTAGAAACCTGGGGGAAGGGATGGGAAAATTCTCTGAGAAATTTCTGCCAAGAGGGAAGGAATGAACAGAAGTGATGCCTGTTTGGGTGGTGTCATATAAGATCTGGGAGTTGAGGCCTCATGAATACAGGGCATTTCCTTCATCACACAGAGGACATCATCATCCATTTATTTATATTACAAATATTTTTGGTATACTTAAGTTATAAACATAAAGTTATCCTGGATATATAGAAGTGAATTAAATATTTGAAGTTTTGTCCTTATGGCTCTTACAATTTAATAAGTCTAATAAAATGAGAAAACAAAGTAAATAAATCCATATTTTCAAATTTGTTATAATATAAAAGAACGTGGTGGTCTGAGAAAGAAAGATAAGGAGCCCTTATGTAAGATGAGATGTTCACAGAAAGACCTTCTGGGAAAGAGACATTCCAGCTGAATCCCAGGGCAAAAAGGTGCTAGATATTATAGAGTGAAAGGAAAAACTTTCAGGTCAAGGAAATTGCAAGTGAGAGGCTATGACACAGGACTGGTAGCATGAGAAGCTCTGAGAGATCATTTGGCTATAATGAAGTGAACAAGCGGGAGAATGGTGTAAGAATGAAGTTGGAAAGGTGGGTAGGAATTAAGTTATCAAGTAGAGAGATATCTGGAGACCAGTAGACAGAAATATATGGTTGAGGCTTGGAGGGATTTGGGAAAGATTATAATGGAAGGGACTTCATAGAAGCGGGACTGCTGTGACAATCAGTACATATAGGAAGCCACCGTATTTTCTCTCGAAAGAGAGGGACCCAGAAAGGTGAGTTCACATGGAAGTCATAAATGTCACTGTTTCTGGGCATCTTCATAAGTCCTAGGTAGCAGGAATTGGAGGGAGAGGGTATGAAATGGAAAGCCTGCCCATAATGTCTAATGACTAAGCAACACAACAGAGCATGGTTACCAAGTAAACCAGGGTGATCACTGGTCATTTACATCCTACTTTATCACGTAGCCACTGGTGCAAACTGCTAATAAAATGAAATTCAGTGTCTCTAATCTCTGATTGTGTCTACAACATGTACAGTATGTTTAAATTTGATAGAAGTATAGAATGATAGTTTATTTCTTTATTCCTTCTGAAGCCATCTTCCTCTCAATTTGAGATATTTTTTTGACATGGATAATGCAGGTCACAGAAGGAAGCCTTCTTTTTTCTTTGAATAGACCAGGAATAGGAATGATAAATAACAAATAACTGAAATTCAAGTCAATCTGAAGCCAAAAAGAAAATCTGATGATATAATATTATTAACCATATGGAAAACCCACTTTAATTGCTACACTAATTCTGCTACCAATAAGATTAGTGCAGAAAAGACTGAATGAAGTCACTTCAATATTAATTGGTCTTTCAAAGCTTAAACAGAAATGGCTATTTTAAATTAATTTAGGAAGACTACAGGCACTGATTGTTTCAAATAGTGGCGTGAAAAGAGAAAAAGTAAGTGCTAAGAGGCTTAAGAACATTATTAAACTCATTTATTATTCTTTTTTAATATAGAGTAAATTATAGAAATCTTACAAAATCAACAGAAGGAAAGATAATAGGCTATCATGAAATATGCAATTTATTTTTTAAATGGGAAAAGAACTATTGAATCATAAATGGAAGAACCATTAGGAAGTTATGTAAATGTTTCCCCTTCGAGTAATATAAATCCCATATCACCCTAATGTGTACACCCCAATAGTTTTATTCATTATCATAAATTTCAGAAGTCTCATTCCTTCACAATATATTTCAAAGGCATTTTATTTTCATTTTTAACAATTAAACAATTTTATCGTCTCATATCTTCAAAATATATTCTGCAGTTTGTTAAAAAGAAATGGGACTTGCCTAGCAATTAACAACGTAGATAATGGATTAACTTGATTTTGCTTTACTTCATTGTTATCTTTCACCTTTAGGAATTACAATTTTTAAGACTGGAAACAGAAAGGGCCATGGGTAGTCCAAAATTTCAGAAATCATGAATATTCTTTGTTATAATCCTGCCATAGGGACTTTGCATTAAAAACAAACAGGAAAAAAAATTCTTCAGTCCCCTCCCTAGCTTCACCTCTTACCAAGAGAGCAGGCTCATGACCTAAGAATCAAATAGGTTCTAGAGTCAGACATACCTGGATTCAAATTCTTGTTCCTCCATTTATTAATACCATAATTATATGCTTGAATAAGTAAGTTATTAACCACTTCTGGGCCTCAGCTTTCTACTCTAGAAAACAGACACAAAGATATCCCACAGGAACCACTTACAGTGTATGTGACAGGATCTAATATAATACTTAGCAGACATTAGCTGTTCCATAAATATTCATTTTGCTTTCCTTAAAAGTCAGTTGGCATACATTTTCAAAATCTGGCTGATTGAACCAGTGTCTCACCAAACATCTTTTCAAATTCTAGAAATCTACTGTAGAAGTTTAGGGTCAAAACAGTGGAGTCATCCTGAATTATCTTGGATAGAAGACATAAACTTTCTAAGTCTATTTCCTTGCCAGTGAGATGAACAGTAACACAGCCTATTTCGCTGGGTGAGAGCAGAATTTCTCAGCCTCAGAATTATAGACATTTTGGATGAAATCATTTTTTGTGGTAGGGGGTTGTCTTGACAATTCTATGATATTTAGCAGCATGACAAGCCTCCATCCAATAGATGGCCTAAGTAGCTCCATCCCAAGTCACAACAACCATAAACATCTCCAGACATTGCCCAATTTATTCTGGGGAACAAACTAAGCCTTCATTGAGAACTACTGGATTAGAATAAGTAAAGTAACTTGAAAATCACTTAACATAGTACTTAGAACACAGTGATTTTCAATAGATGTTAGTGATTAATTTTTACCCAGGTATAAAATTAAGGATTGCATTTCTGATTATGTTATCTCTTCAATATTATGCATAAGCATTGGTGACAGTAAAGAAACTGCTCAAAGAGGAGCCAGATTTTTCCATAATGACCCCAAAGCCACCAAAAATAAAATGATTAGATACAATTCTTTTGGGCAAATATTCATTTGGACCTTGGGTATAAGGTGATGCTGGCATCCTGCTCTGCCTGACCTCCTTCTAGGGACCATTCTGTCTTTCCTAGTTGGTGCCATGCTGTGTCTGTGTCTCTTAAAGCAAGGTTACATCATGCTGCTCAGGAAGCAGGCTGAGCAATGGGAATAGCTCAACTCTGCATTGAGTTATGCCAGTTTGGGCTTCATGCAGGGCTGATGCAGCTTGCACATGGCTATCACTTCTTTTTTTTTATTCTATTATTATTATACTTTAAGTTTTAGGGTACATGTGCACAACATGCAGGTTTGTTACATATGTATACATGTGCCATGTTGGTGTGGCACATATACACCATGGAATACTATGCAGCCATAAAAAATGATGAGTTCATGTCCTTTGTAGGGACATGGATGAAACTGGAAACCATCATTCTCAGCAAACTATCGCAAGGACAAAAAACCAAACACCGGATGTTCTCACTCATAGGCTATCACTTCCTTCGGGCTCTCCTTTCTTTCAAAAAGCCTTCTGCCAAATCTACCATGTGACCAGCATGTGTGCACATCTTCTGTGTACGCTTCAAAAGTGCAGGTGTCACAAATAAATGAGTTCACAATTTAGGATGCTGTTAGTAGATTCCTGACTTTCTCTGAAAGTTAGAAGTGTATTATAAAAACAAAACTTACATCTATATGTAAGTTGACTGCATCAGACTCACCCCATGGGCATTAGAGTGTGACATTAGTAGTGAGCCATCAGTAATGTCCCAATAGATCCCACTGACTTGCCACACGTAACACTTGTTTGCATAGACCACAGGACTGCAAACTTCAGCAGCCACTCACTCCCAGTCAAATCCAGGCCCTCATCTCTTTTCCAAATAAAGTGTTATTGAAACACAGCTACATTCATTTGTTTCATTCATCTATGAGTGTTTCAGGCTACAGTGGCAATGTTAAGTGGCAGAAACTATATGACCCACAAATCCTAAAATATTTACTACCTAGTTGTGGTAATGTGATAATGACTCCCAAAGTCATTGCTATGTTCTAACTTGTGAGTGTTACCTTATTTGGGAAGAGTCTTTGCAGGTGTAATAAATAAGTTAAGGATCCTGAGGTGAGATCATTCTGGTGTATCTGGGTAAGCCCCAAATTACAGCAAAAGTGTCCTTGTCTAAGACAGGTAGAGGGAGATTAGACACACTCAGAGGAGGAAAAGCGAACGTGAAGATAGAAGCAGAGATTGGCGTGATGTAGCCACAAGCCAAGGAATGTCAAGACATGTTGGCAGCCACCAGACTCTGGAAGAGGCAAGGAAGTGTTCTCCCCCACAGCCTGCCAGGGAGGATCCTGGCCCTTCAGAGCCCATGCTGGCACCTTGATTTTGGACTTTTGGCTTCCAGAACTGTGAGAGAATAAATTTCTGTCTGTTAGAAGCCACAAAGTTCAGGGTAATTTATTACAGTGGTCCCAGGACATTAATACTCTGGCCTTTTATAGAAAAAGTTTTCTGCAACAGGCAAAACCTGTACCAATTAATGCATGTATCTACTGCCCAACATAAGGAAGAAAATCTTTACACACCTATAAAAGCTATCTGCATACCCTGCCCTGATAACATCTAAATGTGATATTTACCAAGCCTGTGTACATCTTTTTACATACATCAATAAGGTATGCATCCAAAGCAAAACAGTATCATTTAGAATATGTTACATTTTACATAAAAGGTATATTTTTATGTAAGCTTCTAAAAGTTGCTTTTCTAGCTCACTATAATATTTTTAAGATTTATCCACTTTGATACACGAAGCTTTAGTTTCTCTCAATGTTTTAGTATATCACAATTCCTTTATTTACTCTCCTATGGATGGACACTAAAGTATTTCTCATTCTCATTATGATGAAGACTACTGCTATACTTTGAGTGTGTCCCCCACAATTCACGTGCTGGAAATGGGGTTCTTGGAGTGGCAATGTTGGCTGGTGGGTTGTTGAGAGGTGATTAGGGCATTAAGAGGAATTAATGTCACTCTTGAGGGACTGGGTTAATTCTCAGAGCAGTAAGTGAATGAGTTCTCGCTCTTGCAGGACTAACTCCGTTACTGAAAAGAGTGGGTTGCTATAAAGCAAGGCCGCCCCTCACACGTTGTCTCTTTCACACACACTAGCTTGGTCTTCCGCTTTTCCACCATGTTATGAGGCAGTACGAAAGCCTTCACCAGAAGCTGCCACCATGTTCTTGGACTTTCTAGCCTCCAGAACTACTAGCCAAAATAAACCTTTTTATTGCTACAAATTATCCAGCCTCAGGTATTCTGTTACAGAAACAGAAAACAGAGGAAGACAAGTACTATTATGTACTTTCTTATATACGTCTCTTATGCACAATTGTAAAAATAACTCCAGGATTTTTATTTAGAAATGAACTTTATGGGGAATGTGTCTCTTCAGCTTTATGATGTCAATTGCCTTTGAAACGAATTCAATAAATTACACTGCAATCAGTAGTGTTTCTGTGTTCCTGTTTCCCCAATCCTCACCAACCCTTGACATAAGCAGATTTTTAAATATTTTTTCCATGTGTATGAAGTAAGCATCTGCTCTTTAGAGTAAAGCTTGCCTTAGTACACAATAATAATGTTTTATAAATGTTAACTCCCCAACTTCATACTCACAGTGGAAATAAGGAAGCAAGTTTATGATAGAAAAAATACCAAAAATAATAACAAAAGAATTTTTAAAGACATAGTTTAAATTGTATCTGGTATACAGTTGAAGAATCGGCAAAAACACATTGGATTCACTGTGTGGGACTTTACGTCAACCATTTTAACTCTTGTGCAAACTTTTTTTGTTCATTAAATGGGAGGTTACTCTCTCTGTGGCCCCTTCCTGCTCCAAAAGTCTCTGCCTGTAATAAAAAATAATAAAAATAAATAGAATTCCAAGCAAAGTTCACAATTCTATCACTTTAATGCCTCTTTTCTTCAGAATATATGAACACTTGCACAAAAGAGTCATATATCCTTTGGGTGGTTTTCTGCTGTATCTGCCTACCTCTACAAAGCAGGAACTATTCCACACTTCCCCTCATTCCTTCAGCTCCAGCTGTCCTGGCCTTCTTTCATTCCCTATTGCTCCAAGAGGCAACATTCTTGCCACTGTATGACTAGCTAATCCCTACCCTCCTTCAGGTCTTGGCTCAAGTGTCACCTGTTTAAGGAATCCTTCCCCAAGCTCCCCGTCAAGATCAAATTCCCCTGTGATGGCTTCCTATGCAACACACTTATCCTTGTAATACAGGCAAGCCCATTATTAGGCAATAAATGAGGTTCACCATTCAATCATATAAAATGTGGGATCATGCTAGAGTGAAGTTTGTGGAAAACCGTTACTTTTCAGTTTCTCTTTACTGTCACAGAAGGCAGAAAGATAAACACAGTGAAAGGTATCTGGAATATAACGGACTGAACTAAGAGTTCCCAACAATAATGAGATTGGAGAGGAAGTTAGGGATCATTCAGTTCCTTATAAGGTTTAGGAAGGATTTTAGAGCTTATTCTCAATTTAATCAGAAATCATTTTATTTCTACAGTGTCTTATTATATTTTTCTTCCGCAATCATAAAGTAGTTGAAAAAACTACTGAACTACCCTTCAACTCCTTAATGAGGTTTGCCCTAAGAAATTAAGAACTGGAAATTGAGAATGGAGAATGAACACTGGATCAAGCATCAAAGTCAACTATGTTATAACTGGTTCTACAACTCTGAGTTTGTGTGTTATGGGATACGTTTTCTTGAGTTTTAGTCCACATGAACTCTAGTTTATGTGTCATTAGATTAATGTCCATCTTATTACCTGAAAATTAAACTTCAGGAAGGTAGGATTTGGTGTAAATACAGAGTAAATGTTCAGTAATCACTAGTTGAAAGGAAATGAAAAGAAAAAAAGAACCATATCAATAGTTTATTACTGGGAGAGAAAAAGAGAATAGGACACTATAGAAATAATACACTTTATCATTAAATTTAGGATAAGCTTCAAAGTCCTTTCTAAACCCTCTAAGGGACTGAATGATGCCTACCCTCTCTCCAGTCTTATATTCCCGTGCCCCTCACTCATCATCCTCCAGCCAAGTAAATGTCTCTGAATTCTTCAGTCAGCCCAGGCTTCTCCCCCTGCCTGGAATTTTCTTCTCCCACATCTTTACTTAAGGGTCTCCTCATCTTTCTCACCTTGTCTTACACATCACCTCCTCAGAGAAACTCCATCTGAAAAGCCTATTTAAGCCTAACCTACCCATACCTCCAAATCCAGTTATTACTTTCTGCTGCTTGTTTATTTCATAGTCTTCTTTCTAGGCTTAGACATGTTTCTTAATTTGCTTTGGGTTTACTCGTGTGTTAACTTCTTTATGTATGCAAGCTGCATTAAGGCTTACCTCTTTGTATTCTCAACTCCTATCACAATAACTGGTTCAGAACACATACTGTATTAGTTTGTTTTCATGCTGCTGATAAAAACATACCTGATACTGGGTAACTTATAAAGAAAAAGAGGTTTAATGAATTCACAGTTCCAAGTGGATGGGGAGGCCTCACAATCATGGTGGAAGGCAAAAGTCACATCTTACATGGCGACAGGCAAAGGGAGAATGAGAGCCAAGCAAAAGGGGTTTCCCCTTATGAAGCCATCAGATAGATCTCATGAGACTTATTCACTACCACAAGGATAGTATGGGGGAAACTGCCCCCATGATTCAATTATCTCCCACCAGGTCCCTCCCACAACATGTGGGAATTGTGGGAGCTACAATTCATGATGAGATTTGGGCAGGGACACAGCCAAACCATATCACATACTTAATAAACATTAGGTGAATAAACAAACGAAGATGATGCTACCCTGAAAGCATAGTTACCTGTGCAGGGGGAGGGCACAGAGCTCATAAGGAGAACTCAGAGGAACTACGGTGTCTCTCTCTGATAAAAGGCTCAAACACTGACACATCTACCCAAAAGAAGGAGATGAGGTCAGGTAATATCCAATCTTCTCTTCCAGCCAGCAGGACAGCCAGCTGGAGTCATCAGCATCAATGCAAATGTGTTGTCTATAAGGTCTAAATTACATCAATTTATCATCAAACTAAAATTTAAAACATTTTTCAAGAAAAACACACAAGCAAAACATACGAAAGTATTTTATTCCAAGCAGCTTACATGATTTCTCATGAAATTCTGGGTCTTTTCAAGGTCATCAGAAAACAAAACCAAGCAGACTGGAGGCTTCTACATATCCAGTCTCCTGATTTCATCATAGAATTAAATATAAGGCCTCATTTAGGAGGATCTTGTGAAGCCCCAGAGATTCCCTCAAAATTCATTCTGAAATTACAGACTTTAGTTCTAAAAACAACCATGATTAAGCATGACATCTACAGATGCTTGCTCTTCAATAAAGCTGTAATTTGGGAAAAATCAAAGCCATAAGGCACTAAATTATATAAGGGAGGCTTTTCATTACTCTCTAATCTAGCTCACTCTGAGTTAAGAGGCAAATGAAATTTGATTATTCGGCCAGTTACTTTTCAGCTTCTGTGTTTAATTTACTTTTTCTCAGAAGATTAAAAAAGTCACACGAACTATTATTAAATGTAGATTTGAACTTGAGTTTGCTTTTTTAAGATCATTTGTTAAGTGATTAGTATTTTTAAGGGGCCGAGGCCATTCATTTACTATGATTTACCCTAGCTTAGTCAATAAGATGCCTTAATTAAAGTATAGCTGAAATCTGCTATTCATTTTTTAAAATAGCTATTCCAAATAAAAGTGGAAAGCAACCTTATTTTTTATTGACTGTTTACAGTTTCTTTTTTTTTCTAGTGCATACAATGAGTTGACAGCCTCAACTAACCAAAGAACTAATTTAATATTTAAAAAGATCAATTTTGGCAACTTTAGAACCTTCAAATCGAAAAGTCCTCTTTACAAAAAAGGAGTTCAAACAATAGTCTCCACTAAGGTGTTGCTGTTTTTAATTAAGATATGAAAGATGGAAGGTTTATAAAAAGATAGCCAACCCCTAACATCTACTGCAATGTTCCTATACTTGTCAATTAGACAAGATACAAGTTTTCTGTGCATAATGTGGCAGCTATTTACATATTCTACAAAAATGTTTTAATGGATTTACAAAGAAAAAGAAAACTGGTTAGAAGATTCTCTCATTTTAACTGTCTAGTACTTCCTAACATCTATGTCCATGCAATGAAACCACCTGAGCTTTAAAATGAAGACAAAAAGAGAGTGAGAATTTTTTACAACTCCAATCCTGAGAGGCGCTTGACTTTTTTTTTTTTTTTTTTTTTTTTTGGCACTTGACTTTTTGAGATGGGATTTCTGAAAATATTCCTAAGTTCTGAAAGGCAGAAAGAATTGATATTCACACACACACACACACACACACACACACACACACACACACACACACACACAGAGTCTGGTATTGGTGATGTACCTGCTAGACCCCTGCCCAGTATCATCAGCAATAGCAGGGTCCTTTAGTACTTGGTGCTTGGTCCCATCTTGTAATTCAATCATTAATGATTTCATGGATCCTAATTCAGGCACAGCCCTCCAGTCTTCATCAGTACAGACACGGATTCTTCATCATCATTGCCTGTTCGGCCAAGATATAATCTCTCTTTTTAGTTCTTGCTCTTTCACATAAAAATTCCCTTTACATCTGAAGATACTAATACATACTTTCATGTCACTAATTCTACAACATTTGCAAAGCACTAACTCACCCTCACTGATCTCCTGGCTTCCTAAAAATTAGGTGGTAACATTTCTTTATCTCTTTTACATCAGGCAATTGCCTTGTGCTATAACCATAACTGCAACATTATTTCTGTGATAACTCACCGAGAGCATCCCTGGCTTTTCAAAACTCTCATTTTTTAAACTGTAATGAACACTTATCAAATCCCTATTATGTGCTGAATATTGTTATGGGTATTGGGGATACAAAGATGATTATGATATTGTCCCTGTGTTCAAGGGGTTTGATGACTATGGTATTGTCCCTGTGTTCAAGGGGTTTATTATATAGTCAGGAAAATGGAGAATCTGACTGATGTTTTTAGCAGTGTGTGAAAAGTTTCATCATTTATTTACTCAGCAACTATTTGAGCACCTCATATGCATTAGTCTCCATATTAAGTGTCAGGTATACAATGGTGAAGAAATCAGTTCTGGTTTTTGTCCACATGTTCATGGAGTTTACAATCTAGTGTAGGAAACAAACAATAAGCACTGAAGTAAGCACAATTTTAAAAGTCAAATCGATGTTAGAGCTATGACAGAAATAATGTGGATAAAGAAATACAATATACTGGAAGGGGTAGGGCTCAACAGTGAGGCGTCTATGAAGGTTTCCCCAGGAAGGTGAGGTAGGAGCAGATCTGGAAACACAGAATGAGCTGGCCATGTGCAAAGGTCCTGAGACTGAAAGAAGGGTGGCATAGCTTAAGGATAGGAAAGGGCAAGGCCAGTGTGACTAAAGCTTAACAGAGAAAGCAAAGAGTGGTGCAAGATGAAATGGAGAGGTAGAAGACAGATCATATATTACATTATATGTTTTATATAATATAATATATATAACATAATATAATATACAGAGAGACATAATATATATTCCCTTCATTGCAATAAGAAGCCATTGAAATTCTTTTAGGTTGTGGACTATATTTACATATTTTTAAAATTCCCCTCTGAATATCATGTAGAGAGTAAACTGAAGAAGACAGGAGTGGGGGCTATTGTGGTAATCTAGGTAATAATGGTGGGTTAGACCATCTACTCATTTAGCAAAAACAATCACTAACCTATGGTGCCTTTGAATGTGCCCCCTCCAAAATGCAGGTGTTGCAACCTGCATTTTAATAGTATTAAGTAGTGGGCCTTTAAAAGGTTGTTAGGCCATAAGAATGCTTTCCTTTGAATGTTTCTTATAAAAAAGGGGTTTGGTAGCCAGGCATGGTGGTACATGCCTGCAGACCAGCTACTTGGGAGGCTGAGGCAAGAGGATTTCTCGAGTCCAGGAGTTGGGGGCTGCAGTGAGCTATGATGCTACAACTGCACTCCAGCCTGGTGACAGAGTGAGACCTTGATTTGTATTTTGTTTTTTTTTTCTTTTTCCTTTTTTTTTTTAAAGGTATTTGGCTCTCTTGCCCTTCTGCCTTCTGCCATGTGAGGACACAGTATTCCTCCCCACCATGAGGGGAGCCATCTTGGAAGCAGAGAGTGGCCTTCACAAGCAACCTCTCTGATCTTGGACTTGCCAGCCTCCAGAACTGTGAGAAATAAATTTCTGTTCTTTACAAATTATGTATTTCAGATATTTTGTTATAGCCACACAGACAAATTAAGACAAGCAATTTCTTGTGCCAAGCATTGAACTAGGATTTGGCACTGAATAAGCAAAATCCTTGCTATGACAAAGCCATCAGTCTAGTTGGAGAAACAAAAGACAACTGAAGTAATCGAATAAGCATTACATGTTGTGTGATAACAAGGACTATTGAAAAAAATATGGCAGGGTAAGAGATTATAGCATTTGGGAGTGTTGATGGGGTTATGTTCTGAGTGTAACAGAGAATCACAGAGTGGTCTAAATCAGCCTGGGGAGGGAATGAAGACTTCTGAGAAGAGAAAACACTTGAGCATAAGTGGGATAGTCCAAATAATATAAGGATGGGGAGATAGGTGGAGGGATGTAGGAAAGTGGATGTAGAGGAAGATTTCAGGAACCACACCCCCAAGGCTTGAATGAAAGTTTCAGTGTAGAGAGCCAAGGAAGACAAGACTAGAGCCAGCAGAGGCCACCGCATGAAACAAAGGCCTGTGCAAAGCTGAGAATTTGGCCCTTCATCCAAGAGCTATGGAAAGGGCTTCAAGCAGGTGAATAAATTAGAACTATCAAGTTTGGCATTATGGAAGATGGTTAGGAAGGAAGTCACTAGAAGACAAGGAAGTCAGTAGGCAAACATTGAGCATAAGCCAAAAGATGATGGTGCCTGTTAAAGTAGTGGGAAAGAGGGAGATCTGAGAGATATCAAGTATGTAGAATGGACAGAACTTATCACACTGCTTGGATGTGTGCATAGGGGTGGGTGGTGGAAGGGAGAATAGTCTAGTGGACCACGTTGTGAGATGCAAAATCCCTTACAACCTGCTCTTTCTATATGCTCTGACCTCACCTATGCCAGTTCTTCCACACCCTGTGACATTACCAGTGTTCTGTCAGCCCCTGGACATGCCAGGCTCCTTCTCAGCTCATGGTCTCTGCACCATGTGTCTCTCTGTCTAAAATGCTTCCCCCAGGCCTTTGCTGGTTTATCCCTTCTCTTCAGGCAGGTCTTTCTGCTCACATGTCACCCACCTAAAAAGCGCTTCCCTGATCATCCTAGGCCGATCTTGATTACACTTCATCACCTGCTCCTCTCTTGCAAATCATCTTACTTTTAAATCACATACATGTTAATTTGCTCAGAAGTTGGTTTATCCACATTTCTGTTTATATGTTTATTTACATATATGGGGAGAGTCACCGCTGAGCTCCCCAAGAGCAGTGGCATCACCTTCAAGGTTTACCACTCTGTTCCCAACCCCTTGCAAATCCTCAATAAATATTTTTTGAATGAATGGATGGATGAGCAGAGGAACTGGGTAACAAATTACATACAGGGCTTAAAGCTTAGTAGTGAAGCTGCCAAGTATGAAAGGTTCTTTTTTTTGGAGACACACAAATTAAAAACAGAAAGGTACGCATTTGAAAAAAAAATCAAAAGAAGAAAAAGACAAAAATGAGAGCAGTTGAATCTTATAAT
Source organism: Homo sapiens (assembly GCF_000001405.40). NCBI lineage: Eukaryota > Metazoa > Chordata > Mammalia > Primates > Hominidae > Homo > Homo sapiens. Next base: position 21,915,055 of record NC_000004.12, read on the forward strand.
AAAATGTTTACTTCAGACCAGGGTGCTGTAGCGGCACAGAGAGTCAGTATTTTAGGCTTTGCAAGCCGTAAGGACACTGCTGTAACTACTCAACTCTGCTGTTATAAACATAAAGCTGCCACAGACAACACATAAACAAATGGACATGCCAGTGTTACAATAAAATTTTACTCACAAAATTGGCTGAAATTGGCCAGAGAGGGATGGTTTGCTGACTCCTGCTTTATACTAATCTAATAAAGGTAAAAAAGAGTGACACACAATTGAAGCATATAAAGAAGAGGACCTAATCTTATTGAGACTCTTCTATGTGCTAGACCTTTTGCAAGATCCTTTGTCTACAAAACTCATCCAATCTTTTTAACAACTCCAGTAGATAAGCATCATTATGAACATTTTGAGTTCCAAGAGGAAAAATAACTTATCTAGGTCATACAGTTAAGGAGCCAGGCCTTAAATCCAGGAGGTCTTTCTCCTCCAAACCTCCACAATCATCATATATGTTTTTATCAATTCTTCCCTTATAGCCACAAAATACCTTTCTATCCCTTTTTGGAGAGAGGTATAAACATCTGTGCATATGACATAAATATGTTGATTTCAACTCCACAAACATTTACCTATTACATAGTATGTGCCAGGCAGGCATTGTGAAATGTGCTGGAGATTCAAAATTGTAGAGACCATCTCTTTCTACGATTTGTCAAACTGTAGCTTGTTAATGTCAGGCTCTGAATTTCAAAGTATGTCATGTTCTTTTTTATTTTGCTAGAATCGCTAATGGTGCTCTCCACCATATTAATGATGTGTCTTCCATGGCCCTTTCTGCCCTTTGTAAACAACCACAGGTGTGGATTTTGTTTTGTCTGTGTGCAAGGCTTGCTGCTGAGACATTTCCCCATTAGACTGCTGCCCACAGCACCAGCTGTTGTTACAAACTGCTGATTCCCAGCCACACAGCTTTTCGTTTCCAGTTGCTTCAGATGGTATAATTCGCTGTGTCCTTGAAGCCTGCATCCATATGTTTGGGTCAAAATACCTTCTCATCCTCACTGGACCAACATAATATCAAGAATGTTATTTCTCTAAGTGTTTCTCAGACAGGCTTAAGAGTAAAGACGTGACTATATGTGCCACTGGAGTACAATTTTTAAAATACCTGCTTCTTTCCAGCATTGTCCTGTGTGACGTAGAATTTAGCCAATAAAAATCTCCTATATTTCTTATCTAGTTATTAAAATTAAATCTCAAAGTTACAATCATGCCTTTTTTTCCAGTTACTTTTTATGCAATGACATCAATATTTAAGAAAATTGTCTGAGGAAAAGGAAAAAGTCCTGATGTCATAAGCAATCTCAGACTATTCTTCACTTTAAAAACTTTATTCAGAAGCCTGTACCTACAAAATTTAGGGTATGGGATTATTTCATAGAAATTCTCCATGATTACATGTTTCCTTATCCCATTACAGTTTCAACAGAAGCAATCAATATTTCACATTATCAGTGTACCGTCTACCAACATCCTATTCTATCTATAAAAAGAAAAAGTCATATAGGGAATATTTTGTCTATTATTTTCAAAGAACCACCACTTTCAGTATTTAGCATGGTTCACTGTGTTGGAAATCAAAGTGAATGCTATTCTGGGAAAAAGCTGGGCTTTGAGGATTTTCAAAGAACAACTCAAATGACGTTATTTGTTACCTAGCTTGCCTTGGCCAGAGTTCTGTCTCCAGCAGAATTGGGGCCAATCAAGAGTTAGGATGCTCCTTCTTATCAGCAATATCAAAGCTTCTCCCTCTGTTTCATCCTCTGAGTCAAGGGAGTCAACTAAATACTGTAAGTTCTCTTTCTTACATCCTAAATTGTTCTTCCATCCTCTCCTCCTGCACCTCTCTCTTCTAGCACCTGAGGCCTTTGAGAATTCTCAATAGCATGGATGCAACAGATTCATCAACCTTGTGGCTTCTTTGCTTCAGGTTTGCTCCTCTGTGGTCCATTCCTTATGTAATCGACTAGTGTGATCATGTCATTAATGATAAGAACTAATATTTATTTAGTACAGTTTTGTTTTTTGTTTGTTTGTTTGTTTGTTTGAGACAGAGTCTCGCACTGTCGCCCAGGCTGGAGTGCAATGGTGTGGTCTCGGCTCACTGCAACCTCCACCTCTCGGGTTCACACGATTCTCCTGCCTCAGCCTCCTGAATAGCTGGGATTACAGGCATACACCGCCACACCCAGCTAATTTTTTTGTATTTTTAATAGAGACTGGGTTTCACTATGTTAGCCAGACTGGTCTCAAACTCCTGACCTCGTGATCCACCCACCTTGGCCTCCCAAAGTGCTTGGATTACAGGCATAAACCACCACACCTGGCAGAGTACAGGTATTTTTATGCATTACTAATTAAATTCAAAGGCACACAGATACGCCCCAAACCACTATCAATGCCATTTTTCAAATGAAAACAAAACAAAAAAGGCTTAGAGAAGTTAAGGACTTGACCACATCCAAAGAGCTACTAAGGGGTAGATTGAGGATTCAAACCCTGGACTGTCTAATCCATATGTGACCTTGTTGTGTCATTCTATGCAAAATTTCTATTTCACAGATACAATATCTGATTGATATAGCTTAGGTCAGATTCCACCTTTTGCCAGAGAGAATAAGGCAGCTTCAGTTACAGTTTTATTAACAGTATATCTAATAAAAGAGGGGTCGATTTTCAAATAAAATAAAAGAAGGTTGCAATTACAAGACGAATGAGTACTGGATTGGCAAAAGCAAGACGTTCATGGTAGTTTCTCTCAGTAATCAACTGAAATCTCTCATTCAGACATGATCTCAAATTCTGTTATTAGATAGATACAGTAGACACTCCACCTTGCAGTGAATTTGGCTCTTAGAGTGCTACAAGATGGACACTAAAATATGGATTAACTGAGTGGTGTCATTGGGTTCAAGAACAGGGAAGAGCTAGGACTTTGACACCCCCATTAGGTGGTGGCAACATGTTTGGTAAAATTGTGACATATTTTACCTTGACTTAGAGACCTTATGCCCACCAAGGTGGTAGTATTAGGAAAACATCAACATATTGGCTATATTTTTCTGCCTTCAGAAATGTCCTATAAGAGAAATGAACCTACATCAGAGTGAAACTAAAAATAATGGAAACATAACTGTGATAAAAACAGGCACTTTGAATGCTGTACTTCTCATACTTTGGAATCTTGCTGGATGAAAAAAGTATATTTTTGTACCACCCTACAGTAAGCGGGAGATATAGGAAAACTGGAGCTCAACAGGAGGTAAAACTGATAAGATTGGACAACTAGTTCTTTCCATGCACATCGTATTAGAAAAAGAGTTCCACAGGCAAAGACACGAAACTGTGGATTTGCTGAGTGGAGTTAGTGGGTTGGAGAACTGGGGAGAGTCAGGTGGTCCAGGCTAGGACTGTGACACCCCCCTCCACTGACAGTAACATGGTTGGTCAAACTGTCACCTAATTCACCTTAACTTAGAGACCTTATGCCCACCAAGGTAGAAGAATACTAACCAGAGTAAGATGCCTGCCAGCAAATGCAGAAATAACAGTGGTGCGTTTTATTTGAAACAAATTTCTAATTTTCATAGGGAGAGGCCATTCAGCTAAAAAAAATAAGAAACCTTTGGTTTTAAGACAGTGTCCGGTCAGATCACTAACTATGGTGATCAGGGGATGAAATTTTCATGGGCAAAAAAATAGACTGGAAGCCTATTAAGTATGTGAGGAAAACGTTTTGCCAAGGAAACCCAAAATCTAGCCACGCTTCCTTAAGTCAATCCTGAGATCTTGGAACTCCATTTCTGGGGACCTGCGCTGTTATATCTGGGTAGACCTGTGAAGTATATCCTTACCTATAATTGACCCCAGTAGGGACCATGGAGAAATATAAACAAAGAACATCTTATAAGACAGAACAAGAGGCCAAAGGGGATGATGAACAAAAGAGATTCTTCCAGAAAGCAGACAACCTAGGCTGCCCCATAACTGACTACAGAATTTAATCCACTGTCACGGTAGAGAGTTTTGTCTTAACAGTTCTGCCCCTGTCCAGCAAGATGTGTGTGCTGCAGATTGTAGACTATAGCGTGTTCCCTTCCTGTCTTTTTCCAAATGGGAATCTAATTGCAGTTTACAATTGCATATTCAGAATATTGGGGGCCAATTAAGTTTTAACTACATTGAACAGCTATGAAAATCCATATCCAGTTACTATTGAGATGACCATAAATCACCCAGAGATCTTGGATTCGAAGATAGATAAACTGGATGAAACTTGGGATGGTCACCCTCAAGGAGAGGGTAAGCACATTCTAAGTAGCTTTGGTAATGTTAAATATATATTTGGGAAGAAGCTTTAATAAGGATGTGAGACAGCCCAATGGATGAACCATACCATTCAGCATTAGTAGCCTACCCAATGGCCATTTCTCCTTTCCTCCTTGATAACAGAAATACGATTATGTTTAAGGTGGCAATATGCCCAGCTCCTGGGATAAATTATGATGAGTCTATCTAGATAAATCATGGGGTTCCCATAGCCCTTTGCCAAATACTCACTTTCCTACTCACCTTGCAGCTTCAGGTAGCCAAAGGAGACCTAAGGGTGAGAATATCAGGGGTGGAAAAGTTCTATACTCTGATAAAGGGAATATTTCCCTTTATTTTCTATACTTAGAAAAATGTGGAAGTCATTTTGTGATTATGAAGCAAGCAATCAACGCAAGGATAAAAAACTCACATGCTGCAGATTGCAGAAAAGTGAGAGAATCTGGATCAGATTTCTTGTTAAGTAAATCAACCTTATAATTGATGTCATAGCGGAGATTTATGTTATAGTTAAAAAAAGGTCTAATTAAAAAACCAATTCATAAGCTGTATGCAGCATATGGAAGAAAGACACATATTTGAAGAACAGGGAGCAAAGATGATGATCAAGTCTTTCTGAATCCTGACTTATTTAAAGACTACTGTCTATACCGTTCTTGAAACTGTTATTTTCACAAAGTATTATCTTTTCTTTAAACTGATGCTGAATTTGTGTAGTATGTGGAACTGTTAATAAATATGCAAAGGGTCAAATCATACCAAAATAGACAAAACACTTTACTAAATACAACTGAGTACAGTTGACTTTTTGTATCTGTAGGTTCCACATCCTTGGAACCAACCAAGGATTGAAAATATAGTTTTAAAAATTGTCTGTACTAAATATGTACAGACTTTTATGTGTCATCATTTCCTAAACTATATAGAATTACAACTGTTTACACAGAATTTGCCCTGTATTAGAGATTATGAGTACTCCAGAGATGAATTCAAGTATACAGAGTGATATAATGGATTTTGGAGACTTTGGGGTGTTGTTTGGGAGGTGGGTGAGGAATAAAAGGCTTCATAGTGAGTACAGTGTACACTTCTCTGGTGAAGAGCACACTGAAGTCTCAGAATTCACCACTATAGAGCTTATCCATGTAACCAAAAATCACCTGTACCCCAACCTATTGAAATAAAAATAATTATAATTAAAACAATAAAGTACATGGGATAATGTACATATGTTATATGCAAAAATACTATACCATTTTATATCAGGGACTTGAGCATCCATGGATTTTGGTATCCAATGGAGATCCTATAACCAATCCCCTATGGATACCAAGGGACAACTGTATTTACTGAACTGTTACCAGCAGGCTGCAGATATAGTCAGATACTAATGGACACTTAAAATTGAAAACCTGTTAAGAAGTGCACTGTACATTTTCTTTGTTTGCTTAAAAGCAGCTTCCTAGAAGCTGTCTAGTTCTACCTCGTGTTAATCTTTTCACATCCTACAGAGTTTTACAGACTTTTAGAATGCATCCTGGTAAGTGCTGTCTCTCTAATCATTGGACTTTTACTTTTAAGGCCAGCTTTACAAGATATTTTCCTTTAAGTGCTTGAGTTTTCCTTGTTTAGCTTCTCTGATATTTTTTTCAATTTTACTTCTTTTACTCTGCTTAATACTATATCTATTCATTTTTATTTAATGGTTTGTTTCTTCCCTAACTAATTAAGATTCTCAGTAGCATTTGACTCAGCTGTCACGCCTTCCTTCTTGGTTTCCATGACATCACACTCCTTTGATTTTTCTTCTCCATCTATGACATTTACTCTTGGTGCTTTTGCTGTGTCCTTCCTTGCTCTATCTCTAAATGTTAAGAAGTCCCAACACGTATGCCTCACCTTCTTCTCTTCTCTATGCATGATCTTCCCATGGGTAATCATGTTCTGCCCCAATTTTAAAGAAAATATACATTACAAGGCTCAAACATTAGTATCTTCAATCCCAATCTCTACTCTAAAATATATTATCTAATATATCCAATTCCCTAGTTGACATTTCTACTCAGATATCTAGAGATACCTTAACTCTGACATAGCCAAAACCGAATTGGTTTTTCAGCCCCTTTCCATTCTTCTTTCCTCAGTTTTCCCCATGTCAGTAAGCAAGGCCACCACCCATGCAGTAGCTCAAGCCAAATGCCTGGAAGTCATCCTTCTTTCCTCTCAGTCCACATCTCTCAGTTCACAAGTCTGCTTACTCTACCTGCACAATACATCTTGAATCTATCTAATTCCATTGACATTCCAATCTAATGTAGTCACCAACACCTCCTGCCTGGGATACCACCATAATCTCCTAACTCATCCTCCTGCTTCTTTTCTCCCCATCTCAATATCCATTTCCCATAAATCAGCCAGAGTGGTCTTTTTAAAAATGTAAATTATATCCCATCACTTCTCTGCATAAAACCCTCCTCATAGTGTCCTAACACAGTTAGATTCAAATCCAAATGCAGCCTCCAAGGTTCTCCCTGGGTGATCCGGCTCCCACCTACCTCACTGACTCATCTCACATCTCTCTGCCTCACTCCCTATGTGATAACTTCTCTGGCCTCTTTTCTCATCCTCATATAATCCCAGTTTATTCTGCTTTGGAGTCTTTGCATGAGCAGTGTCTTCTCTCGGGAAAACTTTTCCTCCAGATAGTCACATAGATGAATTTTACTTATAATCTAGGCCTCTGCTCAAAGTCAGCTCTTCAAAGAAGCCCTCTCTGACCAATAAACCTCAACAAGCCACCCTACTGCTCTTGGCCCATGATGCTGCTTTCCTTCCTTCCTTCCCAACAAGCACTGTCTTCCTCCAAAATAACCTACACTCTTTGAGAGCAGGGACTTTGCCTGACTTTGTCATTGCTGTGTGCCTGTTTCCTAGACACAATACACATGCCCAGTAAGTATCTGGTGAATTGCAAATAAGTTTATTGGGTTCTTACGCATTAGGGAACCCCTTCCTAAAATTCCCTTAGCTCCTCTACCTTAGGAAAAGTATTTTCTTTTATATGCTTCATGGTTTTAAGATTAATCAGAAAAGACATTTTGGAGCTAATTCTTTATTCATTCAATCAAGAAATATTTACTGTGCCAAACATTTTGCTATACAAAGAAAAATGAGACAGCAGATTCATTATCTAGTGGTACAGAATGGCATGAAAATGAGTAAGTACAATATAAACTGAGATCAATCAAACTACTAAGATACCTACTAATGTGGCCTTGTGCAAAGGGGGCCAGAAGTGGAGTGAAACAAAAATCAGTAATGAATACAGAAGAAGGATGACATTTGCTACATATAAATGAGTCAGAGGTTGAGCTCTATAAGCTACAAGGAGAAAAGACTGCATTTGTTTCATTTCTCAATCCCATACAATGATGCCCTCCAAAATCACAATTACAGAAGGAGAGATTTTTCTTTGTAAGTCACAATGTTATTATAACCCGAAAGTCAAGTTTTACTGAATTCAAGGACACTGCTTCCAAGTATCTTATGTGATTCAATTACACACAATTCTATATTATCATAATGCACGGTGACAGATTACATAGAACTGCCGTAAAATAGATGCTCTCTCAATTTATCCTCCTTCTCACAGCTGCCACCCTATTCTCTGCCAGCTTCCACTGCACCCTCTGTCATCACCCACTGCCCATGTCCCATGGCTTCCCATTACACTCTGATCTCTGATACAAAGAATATAGGACTAAGCTTCTACCAACAGACTGGCCTGCCCACTGGCCTTCAAATGTGCCTTACTCAATCCTACATTCTCAACCCAACTACCCATTTAAAATACCTTTTCTTCTTATGCCAAGTATGGTGGCTCATACCTGTAAGCCCAGCACTTTGGGAGGCCAAGGCAGATGGATCATCTGAGGTCAGGAGTTCGAGACCAGCCTGGCCAACAGGGTAAAACCCTGTCTCTATTAAAAATACAAAAATTAGCCGGAGTGGTGGTACATGCCTGTAATCCCAGCTACTTTGGAGGCTGAGGCAGGAGAATTGCTTGAATCCAGGAGGTAGAGATTGAAGTGAGCCAAGATCATGCCATTGCACTCCAGCCTAGGTGACAGAGTGAGACACTGTCCCTAAATAAATAAATAAAATAAAATACTTTTCCTTCTTGCTTCTAATATTCAAATGCTACAAGTTCTTCAAGTTCAAGGGGCTCATCTCCTCCACGAAGTCTTCCCCTCCAGCCACTCTAGCCCACCGTGGGCTCATCCTTCTCTGACTACACACAGCATTCACTGCCTCTGCTGGCTATTTGCAGCTTTTTACAAACCTCCTGGAATTGTTTAAATGTTCATGTATCTGAGTTTTAACAATCTCCTAACTAGATTATTTGATTTTTTAATATGGTGGCTCTGTCTTCTAGTTCTTGTCTATCCATACCCATAAAAAACAGTGGTGTCACCAGAGGAAGTGACCAGTTCCCAAATCCCAGCATTTTACCTGCATGAACATGTTTTGTCATGGTGCCACAGAAGAGAGTCAGGTATAGGTCAGGAGTATAGGTTAAACCAGTGATTGGGTTTCTACTTCTACAATGCAAATCCTTTTACACTTAGACCAAAAATTATAGGTGTCAATAATCACATATCCAGAAAATTAGTAGATACAAATAGTCTCTGAGATAAATTAATGTTTCTTGTTGAAGAAAGAAAAATAAACTCCTTTAACTGAATAGTAATATAACCACAAATGGTTTTTGTACATAAGGAGGACAATTTCTATTAATGAATATATTTCTTTTTTTTTTTTTTTTTTGAGACGGAATCTCGCTCTGTCGCCCAGGCTGGAGTGCAGTGGTGTGATCTCGGCTCACCGCAAGCTCTGCCTCCCCGGTTCACGCCATTCTTCTGCCTCAGCCTCCCAAGTAGCTGGGACTACAGGTGCCCACCACCACACCTGGCTAATTTTTTTGTATTTTTAGTAGAGACAGGGTTTCACTGTGTTAGCCAAAATGGTCTCTATCTGCTGACCTCATGATCTGTCCGTCTCGGCCTCCCAAAGTGCTGGGATTACAGGTGTGAGCCACCGCGCCTGGACAATATATTTCTATATAATTCAGCCACATGGTCTTTGGATTAGGCTTCTGGATTAACAACAAACAAAAAGCTTTTTCTCTTATCTGCAAGAGCAACTTTACTGGCTGTTGTCTCCATCAATTTTTTAAGGGTCAGTGCTGACTCCACAAGCATAGATTTGGAGTAGATAAACTGTTAATTTCAAATAATTTTCTCAACACTCACAGTGGAAAGAGTTATTCAGGCTGCTGCCCTAGGGTCCCTTTCCTATACCCCTCTCCTCCCTCTCCTCTATCCTCCTCTGTCACTCTTCTATAATCTACCACTCCTCCCTGGCCCCCAATTGTTTAAGTTGAGTTTGATCATGCTACTCCATTGGTACCTTCTGCTGCTCTTAAGCGAATGTCCTGAGTCCTTAAGATAGTGGTCAGTGATCTCTAGCATGCATTTTCCTAATCTCTCTTGCATCACCTCTCTTCTCTCTCCTCCTTACTCACTCTACTCCAGTCATACTTGATTTCTGTCAACTCTTAGAAGATGTCATTTCATTTTTTTCTTTTTTTTATTTTATTATTATTATACTTTAAGTTTTAGGGTACATGTGTACAACGTGCAGGTTTGTTACATACGTATACATGTGCCATGTTAGTGTGCTGCACCCATTAACTCGTCATTTACATTAGGTATATCTCCTAATGTTATCCCTTCCCCCTCCCCCCACCCCACAACAGTCCCTGGTGTGTGATGTTCCCCTTCCTGTGTCCATGGGTTCTCATTGTTCAATTCCCACCTATGAGTGAGAACATGTGGTGTTTGGTTTTTTGTCCTTGCAATAGTTTGCTGAGAATGATGGTTTCCAGTTTCATCCATGTCCCTACAAAGGACATGAACTCATCATTTTTTATGGCTGCATAGTATTCCATGGTGTATACGTGCCACATTTTCTTAATCCAGTCTATCGTTGTTGGACATTTAGGTTGGTTCCAAGTCTTTGCTATTGTGAATAGTGCTGCTATAAACAGATGTCATTTCTTTTTCATCCTCCAGGGCTGCACTCAGGAGATTCCCACTTCATGAAATTCCTTTTCCCCCCACCCTCTATTGTCTGCCTAACTCTCACTTCTTCCAATTAAATGTTACTTCTTCATGAAGGTCTCTAGGAAAGTTTAGATTCCTCTGATGCAGTCTTTAACGACAACCATGAACTTTCTTTGGTAATACTCATAAAAATAATTTAATATCTAGCGGTCCACTATATATCAAGACCCCACGATAAGAGAGACTGGTGATCCCAGCAAATTCCAGTGTCTGGCATATAATTCATACTCAAGAAATTTGTTGAATTAATAAATGATAATGGGACACTGGAGCTGGAAGACCTAGGTTGGAGCCCCATTTTTGCTTACTGTGACCTTGGACAAATCACTTATCTCACAGATCCTCAATGTCTTAATCTTCAGAAAGGGCATTATCATCACCCACTTCTAGTATACTGAAAGAACAAAATGATATATATTCAGCTAAAGAGTTGGTAACTTGGAAAAGATTTATACAATTTAGCTGTTATTTTTAATTGACTAAAGATAGCCATAAGATTCACTGAGCTATATACAGCCAATACTTAATCAGCAATTGCTGTGGCTAAAAGCTTTCTATGCATTATCTCAAATAATGCTAACTTTTACAATACTTCTAGAACGTCAGTATTGTTATTATGAAGCCTCTTTACAGGCGGAGACAAGTCACAAAATAAGTGATGAATCTGAGATTCAAAGTACAAAAGGCTCCAAAGCTTAAATGAGACCACAACAAGCCTACCTCCCATTACTACAAATTAAACTCCATTACTTAGAAGAAGAGAGTTCAGTTTTCAGAGCAGAAAAACTATAACTTTGCTCGAGTCTAGTATAAAGCTGAGAAGCAGGTGTTTTCACTATTTGAATCATTGAGAAGAATCCAACACTTTAAAGAACCCTCATAATCACCATGACCATTTGTTAAGTGGGCCTTGTGTGCCAGTCTCCAGGATAGGCACTTTACAGTTGCCAGTCCTAAATTTCTCCAAAACCATCAATTTACCAATGAGAAAATGAGACTCAGGAAGAACAAATCAAGCAATCTGTCTTCCTATAAGTCGAGCTTCAAGGCCAGGGTTGATCCCACCTCTCTCTAACTCCAAAGCTGTGCTCTTCAAACTACTACCTCTTAGACTACCTCTAAGAACCTATACTGAGAAGCCTCATAAAAACATTTATCCTTAAGAAAAGCATATCCATTATTAAGATGTATATCCTTTCTCTAAGTATGTTGTTTATATTATTGTAAAATACTAGTGAAACAGATAACCCTGTGGCCAGGTATATTCATTCTCTATTGTTGCTGCAAAGAATTACCACAAACCTGGCTGAAAACAAACAAATTTATTATCTTACAGTTTGGTAGGTCAGAAGTCTGACACTGAACTAAGACTAAAGTATTTGAAGTACTGGTGCTGGGTTCCTTTCTGGAGGCTCTAGGAAAGAACTCATTTGTCTTTTCCAGCTTTTAAGGCCACCTACATTCCTGGGCCTGTGTTCCCCTTCTATCTTCAAAGCCAAAAACTTTGAATCTCATTAAGCATTCTTCTTTAGTGACATCTCTCTCTGACCACAGTAGGAAAGGATTTTTACCTATGAGGACCCATGTGATCAGACTGGGCCCACTGACACCTGATCACCCTGGATAATTGTCCCATATCAAGGTCCTTAACTTGATTATATCTGCAGGGTCCCTTTAGCCATTTGAGGCGACATATTCACAAGTTCCAGGAATAAGGAATATGGACATCTTTGGAGGCCCTTTAGTCTGCCTATCACACCAAAGCAACAGATCTGCTAGGGGCCCACTCCACCTCATCTACTAACACTCTCTGGGAAGAAAAGCAATACTCAGTAACTTTCAAATACCAGGGACTCAATGGAACCCTCAAGACATAGCAGAGGAGGCCTAGAAATTAGAGCGCAAAAGTGAGAGCTCCTGGAGACCTGTATCCATGTCTTGGCCTCATGAATGGCCATAACCCACCTTAGAGCTGGGGCATCCCAACAAATTTCAACATAGTGTATTTATCATGCTGTGGCTAGAGAATGAGTAACAAGTATTCGGTTTACTTTTTTACTTTCATGTGTAATATTCAAGTCGCATTACCTTGTTTCTAATGAATGTGGGAGATGTATCAGTCTTCTACACAAATTTGAGAGAATCTGACAATGAGTAGAAAGAACAAAGGCTTTGGAGTCAGATGGACGTTAAATCCATTATCCACATGCTCTGACAATTGCTGCATGAGCCTCAGTCCCTGTATTTGTGGAATGATGACAATACTCACCCACACGATGAGGATATAAGGATCTAAACCATTTATACGTGTACACTCTAAAACAGGGCCTGACACCTACAAGAGCAAAATAAATGTTAAGCCCTCTCCAAGCAGTCTGTCTACATAGGTTATAAGTATAATAATCATAGCAAAAATACGATCTTCATTTTTGGATCCTTTCTCTTCTCACCCACTCAGTAACTGGAAAAGTGCCTAGTCCAGATTAGACTATATATATATATATATATACACACACACACACACACACCATACTGAAGTTTTCTTTTCCCTTTGGATCTAGAGAATAAACCCCTGGTTTGGATCAGTGATGAATTAAAGAGTCAGCTTGGGCTAGCAAGACCTAATTCCCTGAGTCACCCTCTGGAGCCCTGGACACTGCTAGATGACTTCACAATACTCACACACAGACTGTGAAACTTAAAAAATGGTCTTGCATGTAAGCCATGGTGGGTTATTAACATACAAAATAGATTAAAATACATAAAACAGCCCAATTCATCATACCCAGCATATCTTTAATAAGAGCACAAGTGACAACTGGATGAATGTTTTCCAGAAACCTGAAGACAGATTTAAATCACAAAATACCCTGTAATCAAAGAGTAAATCACCTTTTCACCTAATGCTAAAAGAACATATAAATTAGAAGAGTTTGTGGTAAACAAACTAATATTTTAGAAGCTAGTTGGTGTTTTCTAGTTCTAATCATTCATAAAGCCCAAATGAAGAGAGACTACAGTGTATGTCTGACTCTTGCAGAAATAGTATCTATTTGGGATAATCTCCCCCTGATTAAGCAAAGGATTATAAATCCATGACACACTTCTCAAATCCTAATCCCCCTTCTCTGAAAATGATGCTTCCTCCTATTTCGCAGAATGCAAATCCGTTGCACATGTCCTCCCCAAACCTAATTTATTCCCTAATGTCCCCAAGAAGAGACTCAATACCCCATATTCCTTCCCGAGATCAACCTAACAACAACCTAACTGAGATATAACTCAGTTTGTATATCTACAAACTGAGGGTATAAACACAAACAACATCCCATCTCTGCCCCAGAACAACTCACCCTCTTAGAGAGACATATACAGCAATAAAGTATTGCACAAATAGTATTCAGCACTTAGGAGGAGTAAACTATATCCACGAATGCAGCTAGATCTCAAAAACATAATGACAAGTGAAAAAGTCTTAAAATACACCATTTGTGTAAGTTTAAAAACATACACATAAAACATATTAAACACTGCTCATGCATACTGACATGTCCAGATAAAGGATATTAAAATTAATGGGAAAGATAAACACCAAATTCATGGTAGTGGTTGTAACTGCAGAGGAGAGGCGATTAAAAAGGCAATGTTGTAGGTGATAATAAATATGTCAACTTTATTGCTAACATTTTATTTATTTTATGGAAAAAAAGGCTGGAAGCAAATATTTTCAATAATTGTTAACTAGCAATTTGGGGCAGGAATCCCCAGGTATTTGTTACTGTCTACATTCTTCAGTATTTTTATAAGTAGTTAAAATTGAAATAGCCAATTGCATCATGTGTCTATATGGCATATACAAGGTACAATAGTGCACTAAAAGAAGAATAGTTCTTTCTATTGTGCTTTTACGCCATCGTTCTCCACTACTCAACCACTGTTCTAATGAGGCCAATGCCTATAAACATGCCCAAACTTTTCCTGCTAAACAAAATGAACCCGCCAGTAGTTACTCCCAAGAACTGCTCAGTCTATTCCTTTTCTTTCTCAGCTAAACTTCTTAAAAGAATTGTCTACACCTGCTCTCCCACATCTCCTTAATCTCCTTACTCATATCCAAGCCCACTGCAATCTGGCTTCTGCCCCACTTAAATTGCTTCAACTCCTAACTGCCAAATCCTTTCAATTCTCATTTTACTTAACCATGCAAAGCACTTAAGATAATTGGCCAAATATTGGAAAACTTCCCTTGCCTTGGCGTCCACAGTACTACTCTTGGCTGTCATTCCTTTTACCTCCCTACATGTTCCATCTCTGATTCCTTCTCCTGTTGCAGTCACTTAATTCTAGTCTGTTTCTCTAGTAGTACATTCTAAGCTCTATTCTCCTCCTAAGTGACCTCTTCTGTTCGCATGGCTGTATCTGCAATCCACTGGCTCCTAAATGTGTATTTCTAGCCCCTTCTGGGATCAAGACACACACCTTCAACTGTGAGCTGGCTATCTAACATTCTTTGCAAGTATCCCAACCTCAATATGTACTAAAGCAGCCATATCCTCAAGGATTCCGCTGAAGATTAAAGCTAGACATGGGGAAAACTTCTCTACTCCTACTTTTCTTCCACTTATTCTGATACAGATTGTCTTCTTGATTATACCTGCTACTGTATCTCTTGAATGCAACACCTCTTCTCTACCTTCCACACTGCTTTAATTCAGGTCTCCTGGTCTACATTGTTCGTACCATTTTTCTAACTAGTTCCCATGACTTCTATGGAACTGCCTCATAATTTCCTGCTAAACAGAAGCAATTGACTTTACCTTGCTTAACACCATTCAAGAGCCTGCAGATTTTAGTTTAAACTCCTCAGTCATAAAAGCAAGGCTCTGAAATAGTCTACTACCATCTACTTTTCCAGTCTTACTTTTGGATACATTTTTCTACACTGCCAGTATTCAAGCCACATGGACCTCTCACCATTCCCTGACTATGGCTCGATTTTTCACACAAATCTGAGCCTTTGCACAGGCTGATCCTACCTCTAAATCCCTCTCTCTCCTCCACTTGATAAATCTCAACACAGTTTTTTAAGATCCCTTTGGGATGTCATTTCCTTCTGCAACGTTTCCTTAGCTTCTCTAAGTAGGTAGTTATTCCTGCACCTTTGCTTCCATGAAACTTTGTAGCTGGCTCTATTTTAGCACTTACGTCATGTTGCTCTAAGAGCTACTTGTCCACATGTCCCTCTCTCCCAGTGAATTGCAAGCAGGTGCTAGTCTTTTGTGATGGTTTATTAATTCAATGAGTATTTGAGAGCCAACCATCAGCAGACCCTGTTCTAGGCTTATGCCATATACTGAACAAAACAGACAAACTCTAAACTCATGGAGTCTCAATTGCTGAGAACCAAATTATGATTAGTAAACCTCAGTCATGATTTGGAGATGTTTAAATCATCAGTAAGGCCATTACAAAATCAGAGTGTTAACTAATCTTACTGTGGTAGCTTTTGCATGTCATTATAGAACAACATCTCTAACTACAGCCCATCTTTTACTTCTTTGCACCAGTGACAGAAATATGCACCTACAATAGGAGCTTTAAATGATTGAAGCTCAGCTTTTTTTTTTTTATGAAAACTATCCTTTTCTTTGTTTTTTTTAAATTATACTTTAAGTTTTAGGGTACATGTGTACAACGTGCAGGTTTGTTACATATGTATACATGTGCCATGTTGGTGTGCTGCACCCATTAACTCATCATTTAACATTAGGTATATCTCCTAATGCCATCCCTCCCCCCTCCCCCCACCCCACAACAGGCCCTGGTGTGTGATGTTCCCCTTCCTGTGTCCGTGTGTTCTCATTGTTCAATTCCCACCTATGAGTGAGAACAGGCGGTGTTTGGTTTTTTGTCCTTGGGATAGTCTGCTGAGAATGATGGTTTCCAGCTTCATCCATGTCCCTACAAAGGACATTAACTTATCATTTTTTATGGCTGCATAGTATTCAAATGTATTCAATGGTGTATATGTGACACATTTTCCTAATTCAGTCTATCATTGTTGGGCATTTGGGTTGGTTCCAAGTCTTTGCTATCGTGAATAGTGCCGCAATAAACATACGTGTGCATGTGTCTTTATAGCAGCATGATTTATAATCCTTTGGGTATATTCCCAGTAATGGGATTGCTGGGTCAAATGGTATTTCTAGTTCTAGATCCCTGAGGAATCGCCACACTGACTTCCTTAATGGTTGAACTAGTTTACAGTCCCACCAACAGTGTAAAAGTGTTCCTATTTCTCCACATCCTCTCCTTGTCTTTAGATGCCTGTAGGACCCCTTCCAAGAGACAGTATACAATTACACATTGTAGTTGGGTAGGCCAATACTGACTCAGTTTCTCCACAAGTCAGCAGACATCAGACCCACACTGCATGGATTCAAGAAACAGAAAAAAACACAGACAAGCTCTGTGTGGTTGAGTCAGAAAATGTCCACATGTTAGTGTGGTAACCTATACCATATGCCTTTTTTAAATAGGCACTAGTACCATGAGTATCTAATGTAATCTTTGAGTATTTTGCAGACAGAGAAATTTAGGCTTCTCCGTAACTGATACATGTGTCGTGAGTGAAACAGTGAGAAACTCGGAAAACAGAAAGAATTTGCCACTAACAAAAAAGGACAATGCAGTGTCTGATCCATGAAGAAAAGTTCTCAGCTGGAACAGGAACAACAGTAACTGGCCTGAAGCCTTGAGGAAGGATGAATAGTTAATAAGAGATTGCAAGGAATCATTACCTATGTGATACTTGCTATTTGTGTTAGCAAACAGATAAATATATAGGGAAGTTACTTGCTGATACAATTGCACATTGCTGATAGTTCTTTGCCGCTCACTGGTTTGTTTTAGGCTTTAAAGTCTTCTATATCAGACTTTTCTCTTTATACTAGTAAAGCATAAAGAGAAATGCCTGTACAAGAGGTTACCAGTATCATTTTACTGGTGTTCTGACAGAAATCAAAACTTTCAGGCCAGTCAACTGAGCATGCCTTAATTTAAAGGTCAGATACAAGGATGAGGTGAACCAGACCAGTGAAATCCTAAGTCTGGTGTGATCATCACTGGGTGTGTACACCTGGAATCAGCAATAAAATATTACTACTGCCATTGTATCTACTATTATCTAAGAAAAAAAGGAGACAAGCTCTATTAATAATTAGCATACATACATCTAAATGTATACATGTATAATCTATGAAAAAATCTATCAAAATGAAGAACATGCCCTAGATATTTTACAGATAGGGGTCCATGATCAAAACATTTTGGAGACTGCTGACCTAGACACCAGATGACTAATTGTGAGTTCTACGTAACAGACCACAGTCAGATTTCAGAGGTAAAGCAAAGCAGAAAAGAAAAGGTAAACGAAAAAAAAAAAAAAACAGAACACCAAAATAGAGAAAATGAAAAAATTATTCCAGATATCACAAGGGCAAGCAGTACAAATACATGATCTACAGTTTGCTGATTATAGAAATATTGTCTTCTGTTTTTTGCTGGGTGCAGGGACCAAGATCAGATAATGTGATGTGACTATTTGGTTATCTTGTTCCCCTGCTTAAAACCTGTGATCACTTCTCATTGCTCTTAAAATAAA
The DNA here is from genome assembly GCF_000001405.40 of Homo sapiens. Classification (NCBI taxonomy): domain Eukaryota; kingdom Metazoa; phylum Chordata; class Mammalia; order Primates; family Hominidae; genus Homo; species Homo sapiens. The sequence goes on from NC_000004.12 coordinate 21,933,283, forward strand.
GTCCAAATATTTAATAAAACTCAGACTCTTAGCCATCTGGACCTTATCTTTTGTCACTTGCTGTCTTTTTGCAGGGGTGGAATGGGGGGATGGGAAGGACCTCCTCATTTCACGTATGTTCTCTAACCTTGTTCTTGTCTATCTCTAAGTGTAATTCAAATGTTGACCCAATTTCTAATTCCTTTAATCATTATTTTCTGACTTATAAAACATATTAAGTCTTTTTCCCATATGTTCCTATAGCCTCCTGTGCTTGCTTTTCTGAAAAACTCAGCATACTCAGAATGTATTTTTCAAGGTCTTTCTTCCTTGCTAGCCATCTGTGAGGACAGGGAAGGTATCTGTAACCCCAAAGCACACAGCACAATGTTTGATGTATAAGAAGTGATAAATAAATGTGTTCATTGGAGTGAAGTTGAATGAAATGTGTCCTGACACCCAGAGAGAAAAATAGTTTGCCTCTGAGCTGCCTAAGTACTTGCTAATTTAATAGGATGATGGCAGAAATATGAGACTTACCTAATAGTTAAAATAATATTTGACTGCTGTTTTATCAGTACCTTTAAAGGCATTTCATATTCCACTGGTAAACAAATATTTGAGTGCCTCAATGGGTCTTGAAAGTGCTATGGTGTCTTTACTCTGGGTTGGCAGACACCCAACAATTAATTAAAACTGCTTTCATTAAGGCATAATATTGAAAGGATTCATGACTTATTCTGGCAGGACAGAGGATAGCTGAAGTTCATTGCTTACAGTAATGTTATGTATTCTGAGTTGGTTAGTCTTAGCAAGATTCCCTGTGCCCATTGTCCTTGGAGGGGGTTGGAAATGCAGGTGCATGATCAAGCAGTGGAGGGAAGGGAGTATGAGCAGCTATGCAAATGCAATGCTCCAGATAAAAATCTCTTTGCCCAGGATAAGATATATCCTTCAGAAGCTTGCCTATGTACTGCACTTCCAACGACTAGGCTGCCCCAGACTCTTATCAGGCACTAGTTTGTCCACAGTGGTCATTTTCATCAATTCCTTCAACTCAAGCTCAGGGAGGCCCTGCAGGTTACTTTCATTGCCATCCAAACCCCTCAAGCATTTAATGGTTCTTTTTCCCAACCCACAAACCTAAGTACTAAGGTTTCCTCTTCCCATGTAATCACTTCCCACCAGGCTCCACCTTCAACACTGGAAGTCACAATTAAAAATAAGATTTGAAGGGGAGAAAATATCCAGACTATATAAGATCTCTATACTGTATATAACATAGAAACTCACAGGGAGATTTTCCAGTTCATTTGCTCTTTAACTGCATGCACCACCAAACTGGACAACAAGCACTAATTCAACTAAGCCAAGCCCAGTCCTCCCAGAATGATTCTAGCTCAGCTCAGAGTACCACGTGCCACCCTCCACTCTTCCCCTGTCCTTCCCTGTCCAGGCAGGACAGTCAAGAAATAAGAGTTCAGAGTATAGGCTGTGGAGCCACGATGCCTTGGTTAATAAATACACCCACTCTCTCAATCACTGGATGTGTGACTTTGGGCAAGTTGCTTAACCCCTTTGAGCCTCAATTTACTTATCAATAAAAAGGATATTTAAAATTGCTTGAGTGTCCCTCTTACCAGGGTATTCCTCTAGCACCCCAAATATAATATTGAACTCAATGCTTTTGACCCTATGTGCATGCACATGTACAAACACACACACAATTTCTTTCTTCTGTCCTCTGTCATCTGAATAATATCCTCCCATCACCATAAGCAAAGGCCTTCATCAGTTACCCCAGCTGGAGTATAGAGCCTGCCTAGGTGCATGTCCTTGACTCCTGCTCCTCCTTGATCTCCCATCTAACTCCACCCACACATTCAATCAGTTACAAAGACCAACCACAATGCCCCAAGAACCTTCCACCAACACCCTTCTCTAACTATACCTTCCTACTTAATGCCTCGACAACTTTGATGACTTCTCAATGACCTTTCCACCTGGAAACTCTCCCTTCTTTAATCTTTCATTTACATCAGACAAGAGGACTCTTCCTAAAGCATCACTTTGATTATGCCATTATTGTCCTCAGAAACCTTAAATGCCTACCCACTACATAAAATCCACGTTTCTTAGACTCTCCAATCTCATGTCACAGCCTCATCACTTCTCAGGTCACCACCTATGCCATCCAAACTGCTGTCCCTACACATTTATTCATGCCTCCCCACTAAATGCTTCTTCTCAATCCCTCTGAACTCCACTGGCTATTCAGAGTGCAGCTCTTCCACAGAATCTTCCCCAACAAGTCACCCCAGAGTGACCTCCTGTTCCCTTCTACACTAGAGGACCAGATTTATCCCTTCCAGAGAGCAAATGTCACTTCCTCAGAACTCCCTCCCTCCACGACCCCCACATATTCCCAATCTTTCCTCTCTCCTGACTTCTCATCCTCATGATTAAAGAACATTTTTCTCAGGCCAAATAATTATAAAAATGACCACAACTCACATTTATAGGGCCTTATCTATTTGTCAGGCACTGTGCTAAGCACTTCATATGCATTAATTCAGTTAATCCTCAGTGCAACCTGGTGATATAGGTTCTCTTCAGTGATTCGCAACTTAACATAGATTTGAGTACATTTTCATAGAAAGATAGTAGAAAATAAACAAATATACCCAAAAGAAATGAAGATTATATATATATATATATGCGCACATGTATAGCTACACACACATAGTATATATAAAACAGCATTATCAAATAATAGTATAGCATATATCGTATGTCTATATTTTTTTCTTTTACGAAGTATATAAAAACTATGAAGGAAAGTAAAGCAGGGTAAAGAGATTGAGAGATGACAGGGATTGAGAGATGATATGGTTTGGCTGTGTCCCCACCCAAACCTCATCTTGAATTGTAGCTCCCATAATTCCCACACGGAACTCACTGAGAGATAATTGAATCATGGGGCGGTCCCCCCATACTGTTCTCTTGATGGTGAATAAGTCTCACAAGATCTGATGGTTTTATAAGGGGCTTCCGCTTTTGCTTGGCTCTCGTTCTCTTTGCCTGCTGCCATGTAAGATGTGGTTTTGCTCTTCCTTGTCTTCTACCATGACGGTGAGGTCTGCCCAGCCATGTAGAACGTGAGTCAATTAAACCTCTTTCCTTTATAAATTACCCAGTCTCAGACATGTCTTTATTAGCAGCGTGAGAACAGACTAATACAAGAGGCACAGGATGGGTTGTTATATTAGATGAAGTCATCAGAGAAGTACCATATCAACAGAGACCCAAATGAAGTGAGGAAGAAAAGCAACAGAATTACCGGGCAAGAATGGTCCAGGCACACATTAAGAAACTAAACTACAGAGAGGCCATGTGGCTTCTCAAGGTAACGTGATAGCAGGCACAGTATGTGAATCCTAATTCTGACTCCAAAGTCTTATCCTTAGCCACCAATCCTCACCTTCCATTAATGTTCTGCAGCAGTTCATTCTATTAGCCAGCTCTGGATTTTTAAAACTCTCTTTTTTCCCTGTTAGTTAACAAATATGGGCCTTCTACATGCCAGTCACTGACCTCCATTCATTGGAGGTCACTTACCTCTACAATTTCTTCTCCAGGTATAACACGTTTCCCTGGTTTCACCTCTATCTCCCACCCTTATTCTTTACAGTTCTGACTCTAGACTCTATTCCTTATCCAGTTCATGACTTCAGTTACCATTATCTTTCTGCAACTAATTCCCAAACTGGCACCCCAGTTTAATTTGATAGCCAGCTTCTTGGGAGCAAGACTGTGCCTCATTCATCTCTCTATTCCTAATACTCATCACAATGCTGGACGTGTAATAAATGTGTGCTTCTCTGAAATGGATTAAATTTGGACTCTGCATTTCCATCTGCCTTTGGGACAGTTTGACCTGGATGTTTTCCCAGTATCTCAAAATCAATATTTCTAAAAATGAACACATTATCTTCCCTCCAAAACCTGTTCCTCCGCCTATATTCCTTGTCTCTCACCGCAGCACCACAAAGTATCACAGTCACCAACCTTGCCATCTTTCTCCCCCACAACAGTCATCTCACCTTTCCATTCCCACTGCCTTTACCCTTGTTCAAACGTTTGTTTTCTCTTGCCTAGACTAATGGGACCGCCTCCTCATGATATCCCAACTAATGGTACTTCCTACACAGCTATGCAAAATTAATTCCCTTCATTCTGTCACTTTTTGTGAAATTTGATGGTCTTCTATCCACAAAATTGAATCTCAGTATCATGTTCCAACCCATATGGCCCAATACCTATTGGGCATCTTCTCCACTTTGATATCCAAGAAGCCCTTAAATTTCATTGTTCTTCAAAACTAACCATTCAGGTTTTTTTCAACCGAACCTCCATCTCTGTATTTCCCATCTTGGTAAATGTATGCCACCCAACAGTTCCCCTGGCCAGAAACTGAGAGTTGCTCTTGTCTTCTATTTGTCTGATGTGTACTCTCTGCCTTCCACTGCATGACCAATGCCTTGCTCTGTCCTTCCTTATGTCTCACCTGCAGCTATGCCACACAAGTCTCTGCCTGCTGTTTTACTCCCTTTTTGTCCATTGACTACGTCACCAGTTATATTCCCAGTGTGCAAATGTGGTCATGCTGTGCTCTTGATTGAAATCTATCAGTAGTTTTCATACTGCATCACATCTTGACCGTGACTACTGTCCAGCTTCCCATCTCATAGTTTTCTTCTTCCCCACACATTCCCACAAAACCATACAAAATTCTTACTGTTCCCTGATTGTAGTACCATGTTCTCTTGGTCCAGCCTCAGGACCACAGTTCTCCCTGCCTGAAACATTCAAAATTCACCTGCCATCTGTCCCTGAAAAATTCATTCTCATTCTCCAGTCCTATCTAGTCTAAGTAGCTTTCTACGACTATCCCACTTGCGTAGTATGACTTATACCTGTTTCCAAAGCAGTCTGTGCTTGGTGTTATTACAGGGCTTTTGAAGTTCTAATTTTCATCTCTCATTTCTATCTCTTTAGATTCAGGGCTTCTTTTCCATGGGATATTTTTCAACTCTGTATTCTAGTACTTAGAAGAATACTTGGGAAATGATGTTCAGTATATGTTTTGTGAAAGAATCAATTGGCTCACATTTGGGGAAGCCCCCATGATATGAAGGAGTAGTAATATTATTTAATCTACAGAATAATGCTCTTTTCTACGTAAGGTTTGTGTTGTATTATACATGATTCTGTATTATACACGATTCTGTATTATACACGATTGTGTTGTATATACACGATTCTAAAAAACTACTATCACTCAATAACAAACCATGTGATTATGATAGATTTACTGTGTGTTCCTTCAGCTTATTATTTCACAGAAGACAAGGACTGCACCTACTGATATCCTTCATTAAGAACATACGATGGGGTCCTAGGAAGGTATTTAGCACGTGGCTTTGAAGATGAAATAAACTAACATACGCTGTGTAATTAATACACAATTTGGGTCAAGTAGAATTCTGGGGTAGAGAAGGAAGATATGATTTAAATGTTTAATTCCTATACCTTAAACAATTAACATATCTTTTTATATTCTGAAACTTTTACTAGCACTGTGTCTCTCATATAGGAGGTGATTGATAAACGCATTTTAAATGAATGATTGTTTAATAACATTCTCAAAAATATTTCTAAAACTACACAACACAAATTACATTAAGGCTGAAATTATAACTGTCATTGAGATCTAAAATTTTGCTGTAACAGTAGTTATGGAAGGCCACAATCTCATGCTCAGGGATCCAAGGATAAATAAAGCTATGTCTTAAATTGCAATTCTTCTAACAAGTTAGTTTTACCCTTTTACAGTTTAATCTTCCCATTGTAGTGGTGGTGGACTTTTCATTCTCACTGTTTATTCTGAGAGGTGAACAACAATTTTCAAAGTACTTTTTAATGACTAATTTTCATTTGGAGGTTACATCCATAACTTTAACTAGAGGACTTACAGGGTGTAGCGGAGACTCCTGTACTTAAATTACATCAGAAGTGTTAGTATTTATTACCTTCCAGCTTCCCAGTTTAGATGTGTGCCCTTTCTTAAAAACTATCTTACAACATCTCCATTTTAAAAGATGAGATTTATTCTATAAATCCACAGTAGGAGAATTCCCTCACTCCATGTCCCTGGATATTGTATTTTACAGGTTCTGGCTTCCTTTTTCCATGTTTCTCAATGCCTGGTTCTGCACTCTCATTGTTTTATACTTGTCCCCAAGATTTTCCTCCCCACAACTTTTAAATTAACACAGTGCACCTACGTTTCAGAGTATGTGCCAACTCTCTCAGATATCATGACTTCAGCAGAAAATCCTGATGAAACTGGACCATGAGCGGACAGGGAACAGATAACCACTGCAATAATACTGTGCATCAAAGTAGAAAAGACTCATCTTCAAATTAAAGGGAGTTTATGAAAGTAGATGATATGGAAAAAGTGATTTAAAATTCTTGGAAAGGATGTGAGAAAAGTTGAGCAGAATGTGACTTTCACAAGTGCTTGAAATATTAGATGATGTATAATAATATCCCTAAAATAAGTGATTCCCAAAATTAAGTTTAAAAATTAGAGAAACATCCTATTTAATTTGAAAATTCCTACACCAATTTGAAATGCCTCTGCCTACACCAGAACATCATGTAAATTCCCAATAAGAGACCTGAGCATTTTCAAATTCCTTTAGGATTATCTTTAAACAGAAGTTATAGCTCACTTGAACTCTCCAAGCTTCCAAATCATATGTTTTATGAAAAAGGTACATTTCTTTACAGACTTCCAGTATCAAAGAAGGTTTTTAAAATCTTTAAAATAGCTTAGATAATGTAATGTCTTTAGGTGACTGAAAGATAAACCCATATTACAATTAGAAAAATTGGTAGAGGGTAGGAAGAAATGGAAAATAGAACAAACACAGAACTTCAAGCCCACTTCTTCTCATAGCTTTATTCTATAGGTCCCCAAAGAGTAAAAGGTCAAGTTCAATATCACTGTGTGCTTCCACTTGGACAGGAACAGCACTTATACCAACTGGAAGTAATTTTGCTTTTAAATATCCATCTCACTTCATCCTTAACTCTGTTATGAGAATGAATATTTTAAAATAAACATGTTTAGGCATTTATTTTCTCCTCAACTTGACTATCAATGCCTCATGCATATTCAGTTACTAAATCTTGGATAAACAGTAAGCTCTTTAGAAGTAGACTCTATGTCTCAGTCGTCCCAATACTAAGTAGTTTCTTTGTAAATATTTGCTGAATTGATCTCATTTCATCATTACAGGATCTTTATAAGCTACAAGTAGATATCATTACCACCATTGTACAGAGGAAAAAAGAAAGAAACAGCAACATTAAACTCAATGGCTACTTCATATATTCTCGCCTTTCTAAATTAAATTAAAATTTCTCTAAATTAAACTTCTCTCCAAATTTAACTTGTTCTTAATACTATATCTCACAGAGTTGTTTTATAAATGTCTGTTTGTTAGTTCTATATTATTTTAGTTTTTTTTTCTCAAATTCCCTGTGGACACAAGAAGACTGGAGGATCAGTTCCACTACAGTAGAATGGGTTGGAGTACAACCCTGTATCTTTGCCTTTAGATGTAACTATAAGACACTTTTATTCATGGAGTGAATTACCATATGCAAAGCATGGATAAAAGGTATGGGCTAGGCCATTTTTTAAAGTAGTTTCTCATGCTATCATAATGAATATTCATTAAATTATAAAAAGTTATAACCCAAAATAAAACCCCTGGCAGAATATCTATTTGGAGATGTAGATCGGTTTAAGAGCTACATATGCTATATATACCCAATATTATCATGAAACTCATGAAGACATTTAGAAGTCATGTCTTTTCTTGTAAAAAACAAAATAATAAGATTTTCAGACATCTTATCATATGTAACAATGTACAAACAGCACAACAAAAAAAGACAGATTGTGGGGGAATCGTCATTAGACTGCAGTAGATACTGCTATCAGTCCAATCTGATTTTGATTCTGATCTGGGCTATGATAATGTCACTTCTTAAATAAACTGCTTCACTCAAAAGCTCCTTCAGAATATTAAGAACTGTTGACATCTGGAGATGGAAGTCTATTTTTCCTCCAAAACCTTTTTGTAGTAAAGACCTATTAAAAAAAAAAAAACAGATCTAATTCCCTAAAGACTTTTCATGAGCAGATGTTGTCTGAATACAAAAGGGGACATTTCCCTAAGCCAATACAAATTTCAGGTAACCAAAAAGTTAAAAATTGTTGCTGTAAAATGTTTTGAGGACTCATTTTTACCTAAATAAATAATTGGGGTGGGACAGGTAGAGGGAGAGAAGTTTCTAAAAGGTCAATAACATATCCAAAGGGTATTTAAACTGACAATCTATTTCCAATGAGAGAGCCACTCAACCACACTGGCTGTGTTCGTTTAGGAAGAAAAATCAGCCTTAACATGAGCATGAAGGCCAAATGCTCAATATGGAAAATTCTATATTTATATCCATGTTCAAATTATTCCTTATATTGTCAGAGTGTGTGAAGAGCTTTTATGTTTAAATACTGACAGTCACCCCTTTTTCAGGTTTTCTAATGCTACGTGCATGTGTGCGCATATAGCACAGCCTGTAGTGAAAAGACTGGGCAAGAAGAGGAGATACAGCCACAGCAATGACAGCAAAGGAGCTGAACTTCTGCTTGTCTCAGCCTTGACACACTTTTCACTTCCCACTTACTTCCCTCTCAATACAGCCTGATTTTTCACTGTGAAATCTGATATAAAAGGAAATGCACCTGAGGAAATGGGTGTATATACACTGAATGACATCTCCATGCCTTTTTAAATTTTCCCATTCCTTTCCACATCCACTGCTGTAATGCAAGGATCTATCATCTGATGAGAATAATGGTGGTGGATGTGGTGGTGTAGGCATTCACTCACTGAGGGGAAATTTACAAAGGACCATTTGTGGGGTTAGGGGCCAGGAGATGTGAGGCCCCTCAGACTACTGATGTTGGAGGTGATCATTGATCTGGAAGGGAGTAAGAATGAGGGAATGTCATAGTAACAACACCCAAAGATGACATTGATGACTGCCCTAAATACACAAAAACACTGGGCATCTATTAAGCTCTTTTTCAGAAACACTGTACACTCTGATAGTCATGGTGCTATAGATGCAAGAACATTCACAGTTCAAAGGAGCATTATCTTGATGTCATGTACTGTGCTCATAAACTCAGTCCACTGAATGGAAAGACATGGAGCCAAAAGTCACTTTCAGCCAATGGCTTAACATGCAATCAAATGTGAATTGTAACTTTGGTCTTTGGTGGGTCTACCATGGGACAACGTGATTTAATTCAATCAATATGTTTAAATATCTACTAGTTTTTTGTTTTGTTTTGTTATGTTTTGTTTTTGAGACAGAGTCTCACTCTGTTGCCCAGGCAGGAGTGCAATGGTGCGATCTAGGCTCACTGCAACCTCTGCCTCCTGGGTTCAAGCGATTCTCCCTGCCTCAGCCTCCCAAGTAGCTGGGATTACAGGTGTCTGCCACCACGCCCAGCTAATTTTTGTATTTCTAGTAGAGAACGGGTTTCATCATGTTGGCCAGGCTGGTCTCAAACTCCTGACCTCAGGCGATCTGCCAGCCTCGGCCTCCCAAAGTGCTGAGATTACAAGTGTGAGCCACCATTCCTGGTCTAAATGTCTACTAGTTTGTGAAGCATTGTAGAAGTGCTTACTAGAGGTACAAAAATTAGTAATTCTTGCATGGTACTACTTGCCATCAAAAAGTCAACAGAACATCTGCAAATGAGACAAATTATGTCCAGTGAATTCTGCCTTGTCATTCAGATCTATATCAACAATAAAAGAAAAACAACTTATGAAAATTCAAAGAATAATTATTTGGGGAGGAGTCAGGGAGAAATCAGTAAGCCCGCAAGAGAAGGACACTACATTTCAGATGTGTCTTGATGGATATACAGATTTTCACCAGGCAATGTGAGGGCAGGAAGTTAATTCTAAGCAGTGGGTAAAACAGGAGATATAGCTGGTTATGGTCCCAGCTACTCAGGAGGCTGAGGCAGGAGGATTGCTTGAGGCCAGGAGTTCGAGGCTGCAGTGACCCATAATGGCACCACTGCACTCCAGCCTGGGCAACAGAGTGAGACTCTGATTCAAAAGAAAAGAAAGAAAGAAAAAAGGAGATATGTTTGGAGACCAGGGAACAGTTCAGTTTAGCCAGATCAAGGTGTAGACCCAGCTGCGTCATGATTTTCGTAGGAGCCTTGAAAATCAAGCTAAGGAATTTGTATTTTTGATTCTATAAGTAATGGAGGGGGGCATTAAAAGATTTTGTGCAGGAGAATCTATGACTCAAGTTAGGTTTCAGTAAATTTAGTTGGTTTTGAGTGGGGAGAAGCAGTTAGTGCAAATAGGATGTAACCCTCATGGCCTAGAAAGGATGCTGAGAACATAATCTTGGTGGTAGAAATGGAAATTGAAGGAAGAGACAGATATAAAATACAGAAAGAACCAACAAGTCTTGGTGACTTATTCATCATGATGAGAATACCATAGAGAAGGAGACTCTTGCTTTTTTTTTTTTTTAACAACATGCCTCAAAAAATGTTGCCACGATAATTGTTTTCAGAAGATAGAGCATGTCTTTTTAGACATACTGACTTTAAGGTGCTGGTAAAACTTTCTTATGAGTCTGACGAGCAGAAGAGGAATGGAGCAGACTATACACTCAAGAGATAACTCCCCATCAAAATAAGAATCAAAGCCACACTTTGATTAGGAAGAGAGTATAGAGGGAGAAGATAATTAAAAGACAACCATGTGAAAGGCTGCACAAAATGGGCAAAAAGAGGAAATAAGTGTCATAAAAGGAGATCTGGCTGGGCGCGGTAGCTCACGCCTGTAATCCTAGCACTTTGGGAGGCCGAGGCAGGAGGATCACTTGAGGTCAGGAGTTCAAAACCAGCCTGACCAACGTGGTGAAACGCCATCTCTACTAAAAATACAAAAAGAAAAAAAAAATTAGTCGGGCATGGTGGCGGGTGCACCCGTGATCCTGGCTACTCGGGAGGCTGAGGCAGGAGAAATGCTTGAACCCAAGAGGCAGAGATTGCAGCGAGCCAAGGTCACGCCACTGCACTCCACCCTGGGCAACAGAATGAGACTCCGTCTCAAAAAAAAAAAAAAAAAAAAAAGAGAGATCTGAGAGAAATCAGAGAAAGGAGAATAATTCAGTGCAAGTGGGAAAGGCTTCATTCATTCAATATCTGTTGTTGAGCAAATATTACAAGTCAGACTTCATGCTCAATACTGGGGATAAAGTGGTGGACAGGACAGAATACTTCTGCTCTCACAGAGCTCACAGTCTTCCAACACATGTTGGTAAACAGCATGAAACATCCCAGTGAGTTCAGGACGACACGAATTGAGAAAAGTCCCTCAGGACCTTTAACCAAATGAATACTTTTGGAATGAAATGGGTGCTTCAATGCCCAAGGGTAAATTAATTTATAATAATGGGTGCAGTTATATAATTTTGAAAGATTTTTCAGACTTGCAAAGGATCCTTGAACAAACAAAATACTCATCTCCCCACAACCCCCTCCCTGCCTCACACGTTAATCTACTTGAAATAGTCGCTAAGAAGAGAGGCTATTAAGTAAAAAAACACATTCTGTTATGTATTATTGAAAAGCAATATTATTCACATGTTCTGGAAAAAGTGAGAACACGAAAAATAAATAAAAGGACAAAAAATAGTAAGAAGGGCTTAATAATTTAAGCCCAGAAATATATCTTCAAAACAATCAACCACTACCTGGCCTACAATTCTCCAGAAATCTTGCACACAGATTTTATATTGCATGGCTCATTAATTTCCAAACCATCCACAGCTTTATTTTATGAGAGGGCATAAGCTTCAGGCCTGGGGAGAGAGGGTGGCTGAATTTCAACACTTTGTCCTATCATTTGTTTAGTACACCTCTTACATTTATATGACATAAAGAAAATAAAATAATGATTGTATGATGAAAAGCTTTTCATGGATTCAGAATAAATGGATTTTTCAATATTACCCTTGTGGAATTACTAATTTGAGTTTGCCTTATTTTTAAAACACATGAAACTTAAGCCAAAGCCACGATACATCCATCAAATGGCAATTCAAAATTGAAGACATTTTTTTACTCTACTATTGAAACATACATTTTCCTCATTTTTAGTTGTAGATTACATCACATAACATCTGCCATCTCTAAGTTAGATGGCACAAATTAAGGACACCAATGAATAATTTTGTAGTTTTTTTTTTCCTCTGACCTTGTTTCTGATTCTCTTTCAAACATAGTTGAATTATCATCTCCCTCAGTCTCTCCACTGTTAGCAGGATTACGTTCTGATTTTATAGCAGGAGTGCAAAATATGGGATTAGACAATGAAATGAAAAATGTATTTTGGTCAGGCTTTGGGTTTAACATGGAAGCTGGCAGGGCAAAAGTGAGCACTCTAATTTGTAAGAAACCTTCTCTACTTGTATGTACTTATGCACAACTCACCCATTTTCTGTCCTCTCTGGCATTAACAATGTCAATTACAGTGATTTACAGGTGGTGTTCATCAGTTAGCATACTAGATGCGTTTACTTGTTGAGAAGAGAGTACGGAACGAACTTTTTAAACTAAATTATTATAAAGTTTCAGAATTGCAACTCGACTCTGTTCTGTCATTTCCAACATTTCCTCTCTACTTTCCATTCATGTAGTTTCATCCTTTGCCTTTCAGCAAACCATTTTTCACAGTGTTCTATCTCTAAGTCAGGTCATAAAATACATACACGTACGCACACAGACTCACACTTCTCTAATTCTTGATTTCTCTATCATCCACCTACATTTCTCTCAGTTAGATCTTCCAGTTAAATTTTGCTTAGATTCCAGCTAAATCATCTTATAAACCTCCATTCCAGAGATATATATTCAAGGAAAAACTGTATCATAGTACAAGATAGTTTGGGAGTTATATAAATAGCCTACTTATTGGAAAGAGAACAAGAGATCGGGACTATTATTTTAAAACAAAAATGGAAGACAGAGTTTAAGCCTTTAAAAATCATCCCTTCTCATCCCAGGATTAGTAAAGACCATCCTATATCTGATCACAAGTAAGCAAAGTACTTATGCATATGTTTGGTGAAAATAGTATTACATATTTGGGGATCATTCTCTAATATTAGCTTTGAAGCAATATCAACAAGAATAAAAAAGATAATCCAAACTATTTTTTTCTTTATTCTTCTCATCATATGACAACTAACTAAAAATTTGTGAATACAATTCAAGAAACAGGTGTCAAATCAATTCTCAGCCAGAAAACTCATCACTTTGGTCTCACCTTAGCCAAGGTATAAAACAACATATTTCTGTTCTCTAAATAAACAGTGAACACATGCTGATTCTGGAGATAGCAGTAAAAGGTTTGCTTTTTTAAATGTATAGTACTCCCCAGGTGTGACTTCATCTTCATTTCCCATTTATAGTGATTATGGCCACCCATGACCCTGTGCATAGTCTAGACATGCTGATTCAATCCCCATCCGGTTGATGGAAGAACAGGTACAGTCAAAGAGCTGTGGTCACTGAGGAGCCAAGCAATGCAAGCCATCCAGATCCTGAGACGACATTCCTGCCATCTGCTCCAGCCTTGAGTTCCCTGGGCTGCCGTGTGTGAATGTGTCTCTAATAGGACAGCGCTAGCCCTCTACCCTGTTTATTCTAAAGAACTGCAAAGACAGAGACCCTACGAACTCAACTCAACACCCCAAAACTACTCAGCCCTCTACATTAAACACGCCACTCAGGAAACATTTGATCTCTTAAAGATTGTAAGCATTTCTCACAAGAGATAATCTACTTATGCTTGGCTCGTAATGAGTGGGCATCTCCAGGCATAAGTGAAAACAGAACTAAACACAGTTACAAGTCAAATGTGGGGCTTTACAGGTGATGTTCATATTATTTTTTCCAGTCCAAAAGGATTAAGACTGTTCTCTTTAAAATTTCATATTCAAGTGAGACTAGTGTCCTCCCGGTTACGATGACCTTAACTATTGGAGTGAGGAAAAGAAAGGGAGGGTGTCCATTTCCATTTCTCATGGCCATAAATTCGAATGATTGACTCAAGTTGTTGAGGTGACTCCATTTCCCTGAGTACTAAAGAAGGCAGCAAGTGGAAACACCTCTTTGCTTGCAAGTTTACAGCCCTCGAGTCCAAGTTTTTCACCCTCTAAACCCAAACTATGCTATAGCCATATGTGACCCCTTAGCTTATGTAATCAGGGAGAGGTCCAGCCCTTTATCACTCTCATGTGCCCCAAAATCACTTCCATTCTCTTTCCGGCTCCTGTAAAATACTCTGTACACATCAAAACCACCTAATAACAAATCGATGCAACCCAAGACGCTTTGTGGAAGGGCATCGTCTCCTATTTCTCTATGGATCCCACCAAACAGCAAAACATTTCTCCCTGCTTTCGCAGAACGCACGTTTCTCTGAAAGCCAAGCTCCTAACACAGTGCCCGATACCTTAACAAGGCTGTACTGTATATAAATTATTTGCAAGTGTCACTGAGGACCATTTTCTCTGAACACACTAAACTGAAGCTAGCCATAAAACAAGCCATACGCTCCTGCTTTAGAATCTGACATGGGCAAGATGCCGCCAGTATATTACCAGGGGACAAAAATACAGTTGTAATGAAGAAACGTGTGGGGGCATGAAGGAAAAGTGGAAGGCGAGGATCAATACTATTTCAGCTCATTAATCCCCAGGTGTTAGGGGAAGGAAGCGTGCGGTCTGGAGTCATCTGGCAGATGCATAAACAACCTCGGAAATTTTCAGAGAAGGCAAAAGTACGCACAGGATCGCAGGGGACCCTGCCACCGGCGAGTTTCAAACACACTTCAAACATCTTTTCTTCCCCGACCTGGATCTTGCATGCACCCCCCTCTCCTTTGCACCCCATTCCTGCCGCTCCCACCTCCCCTTCCCAGTCCCGCCAGGTGACTGTGTCTCATGCAGCGAAGGCAACAAGCGTCCCCAGCCGAGGAAGGGAAGGGGCAGCCGTCTTGGCTCGCGAGGGAAGGAGGGCGGAAGCGGGCGCCCGCTCGCAAGCTTATTGCATCCTACCGCCTGTAGAGCTGGCCTCCTCCAGCTGAGCCGAAATGCTTTCCACCCTCCTCACATTCATGTCTAGGGACGCAGGGTGCAGAAGCGAGACTCGAGAGTCCACCGGCCAGGGGCGTCTGTCCACGGGTCTGCACGGGAGCGCACCGCCGCTCGGCCCGGGGGCGTCCGTGGCGCTGGGAGCGAGAGCTTCGGCGGCGGCTGCGGGCAGGGCGCGCGGAGCGGGCTGCAGGTGCGGGCGGAGGCCGGCGGGGGGCGCCGGGGGCGCTGCGCGGCCCTTGGCGGCGGGGGCGCGCGGGGTGGCGGGGGAGGCCGAGGCGCCGGCAGCTTCGCGCCGGCGGCTGGAAGCGGGCGGGCTGCACGGGCGGCTCGAGTGCGGGGACCCCAGCCCCTCGCCCTCGTGAGCGCCGCCCCTGCCACCTGCTGCCAAGTCACCGGACTGGGGATGCGGGGGGCGGGGTGCGGGGAGAGGAAAGCGCCGCGGGTGGCACGGTGCCTCTGGCGACAGAGTAGATGGACCCGAAAGAGACCCGAGGTGACTTCGGGCTGGGCAGGACACCCCCGGGAGTTGCCAGCGGCTCTCAGCGGGCGCCTCTAGGACCCCTTGTCACTGCGAGCAGCGCCTGCTCTGGGGAGGGGCTCGAAGGCGCCGCGCCTTCTCAACGCGCCGCTGCGTCCCCCAGGGGCTCCAACTTGGACAGCTAGACTGGAAATACTGCTGCACAAAGTTAGGCTGAGTTCGAAGGACACCAGAGAGGAAGCGCAAGGAGATGCCCTTCTCCGGAGCCGGGCAGAGCGCCAGAACTCCTAGACGGGAAACTTTCCCCCATTGAAGCTAGAACCGGTCATGCGACTCGGCTAAGTGTGGGGAAACACTGGCTCTAGACTCCAGGTGAACATCGCAGGGCCGAGGTGCAGAATACCACCTTGGAGAGAGGGGGTGGCATAGACTGGTGGCATTTTGGAGAAGCATCCATGTGGGGGGTTTCATTTGAGATCTCCCAGGCAGGTCAACCAGGAGGTATCGCTCACCACCCGCAAGGTCATTTGCCCTTCTAAAGCACAGTAAGGCCGGGAATAGTTGGGAAGGTAAAGAGAAACCAATAGACCACTTGTGGCCATGGTTACTGTTTGAGAAGTCAAAATTAAAATGCAGATTTCTGTGTCCCCAAGAGTCAAGTGCATGAAGCCTCTCTTTTCAGAAGAAAGGTCAAGTTGACCCGTTCTCCAGGCAAACTGAATTAAAATTCCCTCTCACTCTCAGCTGCAAGGTCAGTTGGCCATGACTTGGGTGGAAGCCATTTCTAAGTGTTTGTGAAACTATTTGCCTTCCCTATGGCTGCTGGATTATTTATACACACTGTCACCAAGTGAAATCTTCCCCCTTTCTCCAAGTAGGTCTCAATTGACACCTTATTGCCCTTCTCCCCACCCCCAAACGCACGAGCGATTTACTTAGTCCTTTGAGCCCTTGTAGCATGTATTTGTATATTTCTTGAGAGCCTTTTACTCTTTTAGTTCATTGTTAAGGAGACAGATGCTGACACCCCATTGTCTGGGTTCAAATCCTAGTTCCACTACTTCATAATCCTGTGGCCTGGTACAAATATCAGCTATAACTGGTACCTACATTATTGTTTTGTTGTGAGGATTTAAGAAAATCAATAGATGCAAAGGGCTTAGAGCCGTGACTGGCATGTAGCAATCACTGTATAAAGACAGGCAACCCTGATTCTTGAAGTTGAGAACAATGTTATATTGACAAAGCAATTAGAAAAGTTCCTTGCACATAGTTGGTCTTCACTAAACATTTGTTTTTTCATTATTCAGCAAACATCTAGTAACTACTGTGTACAAGACACAATTATAGGCACTGGGATACCACAGTGAATACAACAAAGACCCTCAGTTATTGGCTGACTATCTAGAAGGCAGAGAGACTGACAATAAATCAAGGAATCAGAAGTGATCTGCTAGGGAGATCACTTTTATATAGGGGGTCCATAAGGGCTTTATGAAAGAGGCAACATTTAATTGGAATCCTGATGAAAGCGAGGAGCTAGCCATGGGCATCTCAAGGGAAAAAGAACTTCCAAGCAGAGAGAAGAGCAAGAGCTAACATAAGAATAGCATGTTTGCAGGGCAGCCAGGAGGTTGACAGGGCTGAAGTACATTGAGAGAAGGAAAGGGTAACAGGAGAGAGAGTCAGAGAGGATGGGATCATGTGCAGTGTAAATGTTTATTGAATTTTGTCTGCATACTTTTACAGCCAATGCATTCTTCCCACTTGCCAGCTTCCTCATAACAAGTCTTCTCGCTGCCCATTCTATCAGATTCAATCATTCGATTCTGTCGCGTGCCACCTTCTCCCTCTTCTGCAGACTTCTCCTAGCAAACTTCCAACTTACTGACCAACTACTTCTTTCTCTTTTTCTGTAGCTAACACTCTTTCCAGAAACCACCCACAACTTTGAATCACTAATACTTGTCCAACTCCAAATTTTGTCTTCTATATGATGACTTCTAAAGCTACCTGAGCATGCTGGTTTGGATTCTGCAGCCTGGGTTGGAATTCCAGTTCCAACTGTGAACAAGCTGTATGTTTGAGGACTAATAACCTCCCTCAGTTTTCTCACTCTAAAATGAAGAAAATAATAGTGTCAGCCGGGCAAGGTGGCTCATGCCTGTAATCCCAGCACTTTGGGAGGCCGAGGTGAGCGGATCACCTGAGGTCAGGAGTTCGAGACCAGCCTGGCCAACATGGTGAAACCCCAACTCTACTAATAATACAAAAATTAGCCAGGTGTGGTGATGCATGCCTGTAATCCCAGCTACTCAAGAGGCTGAGGCAGGAGAATCACTTGAACCTGGGAGGCGGAGGTTGCAGTAAGCCGAGATCATGCCATTGCACTCCAGCCTGGGTAACAGAGCAAGACTCTGTCTCAAAAAAAAAAAGTAAAGAAAAGAATAGTGTCTACTTAACTATTGGGAAAGATTATATGAGGCAGCATATGTAAAGTGTTTAGGATGGCCCCTGGCACATAGAGTCAGTAAGAGCTGCCATCGTAATAGTTATCACCATTATCATCATCATATTTTGTCATGGTGAACTCAAAGAAGAAATGGCACCACTATATTCTACAACAGGTCTAAGCAACCTTCCCTCACAGTGTGGGAAGTAATACACAACCCCTTTCTCATCTCCAAAATATGCAGAACATTTTGTTGGACCAAACTATCTTTCAAATCTTATCCAAAGAATATCTGCCCATGGTGGCCCTACTAAACGTTTACCCCTTAACTAATTATAAAGAAGGCAACAAAATCGTGTAAAGTAGACACTGTGCTGAAGAAGTTTGTAATATATTAACATATAAATATTGTATTATATAATATAATCAATATATAATATTAATATATTAATATATTTCCAAAATATTTGTATGGGAGTTTAGCTACTACAAATCCCAAGTCCAGACCTTTTTACTCGGATTCTTAGTCATTGCCAAACATCACAGAATAATTATCTTTTTACTGCCACATTTACCGCCATTTTTGATATTTGGGACCGAAAGTCCAGGATTTCTCTGTCTTGCTTGTACCATCTCCTTATTGGCTCTTTAAGTACTTCAACTAGTTAAAGAGAAGAGCTTCATAGGCCACAGCATGCTGTGCCAGCTTCTTATTACTCCTCCGAGGCTGTAGCAACCCTAGCCCGTCTTCCCAACCTCAAGACACATGCACAAAGATTGCCACCTTCTCTGACTAACCCTAGATTACTTTCTGTATAGCACGGATGTGTATTTTTCCCTCAAGGAACCATATTCAAAATTGAGTGCAGAAATAGGAAACTCACCATGTGCCAGCCATGAATCTCAGACTTTATGAACATTATTTCATTTAATCTTTACAAAGCACTGGGAGATAAGCACTGTTATTATCTCTACTTAACTAGTGAAGAAATTAAGCCTCAGAGAAGGGAACTGGTTTGCCAGTTTTATAATAGTAATCAGTATATCTGGGCTTTGAACCCAACCGTCTGACTCAAGAGCCCCCATATTTAATTACTACAGTGTACTGTCACCCTGCACTAGAATTTCGATGCTCTAGACTCTGACATTTCCTAGTTCTGTGTCCTCCGGAAAGTCACTGATCATGTCTAAGCTTCAGTTCCTCTTCTGTAAAAAGGGGAATTTCTGCTTCACAAGGTCATTGTCAGGATCAAGTCAGGGAATGAAAGTGAAAGCTATATATAAACCATGGAATGTTGTAGAAGCATCCAGGATTACTTTTATTATTTCCTGATTTTTTATTGCTTATTACCTTTACTGCTTTGTCTTCTCTGAAAGCCCCTTACATTTTGGCACAATTCTCCCTGGCTCACCAGAACTCAGGCAGTAACAGTAAAACTTCTATTATTTCATAATTGCTGAGCACTTACACTATGCACCTATGCACTGTGTTAAAAACTCTATGTCATTGTATGAATTAATTCTAAGAAAAATCATCATATATACTTATTCTTACCCTGATTTTAAAATGAGACTGAGACTCAGAGAGGTTAAGTAGCCCAAGGACAGCCAGCTGTGAAGAGGTGCAGCTGCGATTTGAACTCACGTTCATCTGATTAAAACACTAGAGCTTTCAATTGCTTCTTGATTGTTCTTAAACTTTAACATGCATAAGAATCATCTAAACAGATTAAAAACTCCTCTGCTCCAGCCTGTGGATGGATTCACTGAGTTTGGTGGGGAGATCTTAGAATGTAATTTATTTTGTAATTAATAGACTTTTAGAGCACTTTTTGGTTTTTTTTAAACAAATTTATTAAAGTATAAATGACATACAATAAACCGCACATAAAGTGTACAATTTAATAAGATTTGACATACAGATACATTCAAGTAACTACAGCACAGTTAAGATAATGAACACATCCTCCACTCACTGAAATTTCATTGATCCCTTTTGTAATCCTTTCCTTTTGACTTTTTGGTTTTCAAAAGAAAAAATGAGCATACAGAGTTCCCATGTACCCTCTCTCCAGTAACCCCTCCTCGAGTTTTCCCTGTTGTTAACATCTGGTATTAGTGTGGTACATTTTTACAATTGAGCCAATGATACATTATTTTTAACTAAAGTCCATAGTTTAGATAGAAGGCCTAATCTTAGAGGAAGAGGTGGCCTTAGAGGAAGAGGAAAAAAAAAGAAATCACTCAGAAGAAAGGCCATGTGAGGACACAGCAGCCGTCTGCAAGCCAGGAAGAGAGCCCTCAGTGTAAATAGAACTCTACTGACACCTTGACCTTGGACTTCCAGCCTGCAGAACTGTGGGAAGGTAAACTTCTGTTGTTTAAACCGCACAGCCTGTAGTATTTTGTTGTGGTAGCCCGAGCGGACTAATACATACCCTAAGATCATACTTTGAGATATCACTACTCTACACTAGAGGCAAGAAAGTGTGGTCTGAAATCCACCAATATCTACATCACCTGTGAGTTTGTCAGGCATTCAGAATCTGGGGCCCTGCCTCAGACCTCCTTAATCACTATCATCATTTTAACAACATCCTCAGGTGGTTCCAGGTAAGCACATTAAAATGTGAGAAGGCTGGGAGTGGTAGCTCATGCCTGTAATCCCAGCACTTTGGGAGGCTGAGGCAGGAGGGCTGATTGAGCTCAGGAGTTTGAGACCGGTCTGGTCAACATAGTAAACCCCATCTCTACAAATAATTCAAAAAAATTGGCCAGGCATAGTGGCTCACACCTGTGGGTAGTGGCACCCAGCTACTCAAGAGGCTGAGAGAGGAGGATCGCCTGAGCCCAGGAGGTCGAGGCTGCAGTGAGCTACGATGGCACCACTGCCCTCCAGCCTGGGTAACAGAGTGAAAAACCCTGCCTTAAAAAAAAAAAAAAAGAAAAAAGAAAAAAAAAATGAGAAGTCCTGCTCGACAGCACACTGGGCACAGCTTTGTGTTTGTTTACTTATATACCTTAGGCTCCCTTGGAGCCATGCAGAGCTCACTGAGCAGAGGAAGAAGCTAGTGTTACAATCAGCTCACTGCACTTTACCCTAATGAGACAATCCAGCTTCATTTTTATGTCAGCCCTACTCACATGAATAGAATCACTTATTATCTCATTAGGTTTCAAGCAGCAAATATCCCTAACCTTGATCATCGGACTACACTTGCAAATTTATTTCTGATTCTTAATCTCTTGTATTATAATAATCAGGTAAAATAATCTTCTTTGAGATCCTAACATTAAAGGAAATATTAATATGCCATAATGAAACAAAAATGAGGTAAACATTTTAGAGCTGCCAAGTTAATTCCAACCTTCCTGTGGGATTTTTATATTCAGTTCCTTAACTGATCTTTACAACTCTGAAAAGTTGACAGCTCAAATTTTATAACCCCCGTTTTGCAGAAGAAGAAACTGAAGCCCATGGAGAGTAAGAGACTTATTTTCACAAGGCACGTGGGATGCACCCAGGTCACAAACCTTCATCGTCTGACATCTTTCAGCACTTGCTTCTATAAGGTTTGCCAAGTTTATAAAAGCTGGAATACTGCCAAATGAAGTGTAAGTCTCTAAGCATCAAAAGTCAGGTTTGCCTTGCAACTTTGTCTTGCAGGATAAGTCCATATTACAGATGTAAAGTTATTATTTCACTTCATTGCAATGACCCTTGACTTGTGGACTTCAGGAAATCCACTGGCTACATTCTGTACATAGCAGGAGAGGTGATTAGAGGATTCGCTTCAGAATGGAGATTTAGTTTAACCAGATAGTTCTGCAAAAACTTAAATATCATTAATGAGGTTAATGCTGAAAAGGTTTTACCTAAATTCCATATCTCTAGGTTCTATACTTGAATATGTTATAATTGGTAGATAGGTTCATTAAATTCCAAATCACTTTATGCCTTTTAATCCTGTATTTTCTTTAATTGCTCATTTTCCTGCATGAAGTCTAAAAATCAGTCCTTGAAAAGTAAGAATTTACTGGTTTGTCTGCTAATAGTTTGAATAAAACTGTTCAAAAGAGATGTTGTTATGACTAAATGAATCAATTTCTAGAATATTCTTTTTTGTTGTTGTTTTTTGAGACAGAGATTTGCTCTTGTTGCCCAGGCTGGAGTGCAATGGTGCGTTCTCTGCTCACTGCAATCTCCACCTCCCAGGTTCAAGCGATTCTCCTGCCTCAGCCTCCCAAGTAGCTGGGATTACAGGTGCCCGCTACCACACCTGGCTAATTTTTTGTGTTTTTAGTAGAGACAGGGTTTCTCCATCTTGGCCAGGCTGGTCTTGAACTCCTGACCTCAGGTGATCCACCCACCTCGGCCTTCCAAAGTGCTGGGATTATAGGAGTGAGCCACTGCACCGGGCCTAGAATATTCTTTTTAACCAAAAGTTGGACATAGCCGAAAACTATTCTAAATGACTATTTTCTTCCAATATCAAATTCAAAGACATTAAGTCTTTGGAAAAGAAAAAAGAAATAGGAGAAATACGTATTTCTGATGTGTGTGTGGCTCAAAGCACTATATTATATTGTTGATAAGGAAGTTAATTATCTTGTTATATTTAAGATTTATTCATTATATTGGTACTTTGGGGAATTAATGTTTGTTTTGTTTTAAAATTCATTAGTAAAATTAAAATTCTTTATACAAATTAGCGGTATTATGGGAAGACTGAGAACCTATTTCTTGAGAGTAAGGTAAAAAAACGAACAAAAATGCCACAGTCTGGGCCTAGAAAATTCAAAACTCGGTCTAACAGTCTGTCAGACTTGAATAGTGAAAGTGCCACATATACACATCAAAAGAAATGAAGAACTTGACACTCAAATTCAGGTGTTAGTTAACAGCCCACCAACAAATGAAGAAAATAATGGAAAAGAAAGACAGACCCTCTAAGTCACAATGCCATTAGATTTTTTAAAGTCCAGAGTCTTTTAGATAGGTGATGTGATAAAATGGTATCAAAGAGAGAAAACCCAACTATGTTAGAAGAGTGAATGCTTACAGAACAAGCACATTTGGATTTTGGGAGAGTTAGGGAACGTGCAATGAAAGATACACCCCTAATCATGGAAGCAGACTCAGTTTTAAGGACACAATCACAATCAATTCGCTGCACTTTACTCTAGTGAGACAACCTTGTTTCACTTTTGTGTCAGTTCTACTCACATGGATAGAACTGTTTATTGTCTCATAGGTTTCAAGTTGTCAATAAGAACTCAGGGATGGTGGTGGTGAGGGGAGTGGATATAAAGAAATAAGATCATAGACTACTGGATAACAAGGTCATCTGATATGAGAAGCCATTTATATTTTATTTCCTTTGTTGGTTTTTGACAACAACCTAAGAATCTTGAATCATTCATACCACATGTCAAGAAGCCAGGCACTGTGTAGGGAAGATGTTAACAGGGGAAAAGAAAGAGTCCCTTCCTTCAAGGAGCCAGCATTCTAGTGGTAGATTTGCACAGGGAAATAAGCAACTTTAGTAAGAAAAATGAATGCTTATATAGCACTCTCTATGTATTTTGTATGTGTTAACTTATCCAATATTCATGTTCCATGAGTCATATGTTAGTTTTTGCTATATAAGAAACCTCCCCCAAACATAATGGCTTAACATAATTATTGGTTTAGCTCACAATTCTGTGGTCTGCCAATGTAGGCTGTGCTCATCTGGGCTCACTCATGCATCTGTGGCCAGCTGGCAGAGATATGGTCATCTTACATGTCATGCAAGTGGTTGGAGTAATGGGTACAACTGGACCATGTCTCTGTCACCATCCAGATGACTAGCCCGTACTTCTTCATTTGATGGTAGCTGCAGAGTTCCCAAGAGCAGCAAGAGGGAGTAGGTGCCATTGTACAGCATTTTGCAAGCCTCTGCCTGGGACACATTTGTTACTGTCCCATTGGCCAAAGCAAGTGACAAGGCCAGCCCAGATTCAAGGGAGGAAGAAAGAGTTTAACTTTGATGGAGGAAATTACAATGGCATATTGGAAAGGGATATGCTATAGTTTGAGTGTTTGCATACCCCCAAATTCATATGTTGAAATCCCAACCCCTAAGGTAATGGTGTTTGAAGGGGGTCTTTTGTGAGTTTACGTGGTAATAAGGGCTCTGCCTTCATAAATGGGATTAATGCCCTTATAAAAAAAGACCAGAGGACTAGCTCATCCCTTCTACCATGTAAGGACACAGCGAGAAGGAACCAACTATGAGCTAGAAATCTGATCTTCACCAGACACTGGATCTGCTGGCACCTTGATCTTGGACTTTTCAATCTCCAGAACTGTGAGAATTAAATTTCTGTTATTTCTGACCTACTCAATGTGTGGTATTTTGTTATAACAGCCTGAAAAATCTAAGGCAAGATAGATACAGAGAAGGGAAGAATTTGTGATCATTTTTTCTATCTACTCCAGGAACTATTAATATCGCCGTGAGGCACAGAGAGGTTAAAGAACTTAAAGCTTAAGTTAAAGCTTATTGAGCTACAAAGTGACAAAGCCAAGATTCAAACAAGGCAGTCTTGCTTCATCACCAAGAAGCTACCCACTATACTATATTGCAAATGCCACAAAGGGCTGATTCCTGTGCTGTGGGAACACATAAGAAAAGCCTTCAATTCAATCTTGGGTATTAGGGAAGCTTTCATAGATGAACCTAATGGCAATTCCAAATCCTAATGGACAAGCATGTATCAACCACTTGAGAAGGAAGAAAGAAGAGGAACATTGTCTTAAAACAGACCACATATGCAAAGTAACAGAGATTGAGAAAGTTTATGGTGCAGAGAGCTGCAAGTAGTTCCCTGGGCTGGAGAGCAAGTTCTGTGGCAGGAGAGGTGAGCAGTGGCCAGACTGTGGCAGTCTTAAAACCAAGCTTTGGACTTAAGTTTTAATCAGAGACATCAGCAGACCACTGAAAAATTTCAGTCCAAGGAATAATAGCTTTAGATTGTGGCTTTAGATTCACCACTCTGGCATTCATGAAAAGAATGGAATCAGGCAACATGGCAAACAGGTGGAGTAATTTCCAAGGGTCATCCAGTGACTAAACAATAAAGTCTGATGGCCTGAACTAAGGTAGAGGCAATGGAGATTTTTAAAAAGACACACTAGAAAGATAATTAGAAGGCAAGACTTGATGACTGGTAAATGTGATGAAGGAGTCAGAATGATGATGCCCGAGTTCTGGCTGAGATGCTGCTTGGATGATGGTACCTTTCCTGAACCATGGAGGTCACAAAGGCATTTCAGAGAAGGAGATGACATCTTCTCATTTGCATATGAAAATGAATTATTCAGTTATGAGATGGGAATTACCCTGGAGTTCCAGAGAGAGACTGGGTTGAAGAAATAGATCCGAATGTCATCAGTTGATATGGTTTGAATTTGTGTCCTCACCCAAATCTCAGGTAAAATTGGAGGAGGGGCCCGGTGGGAGGTGATTGGATCATGGGGCCAGAATCCCCCTTGCTATTCTCATGATAGTGAGTGAGTTCTCACAAGATCTGATGGTTTAAAAGTGTATCGCACTTCCTGTTTCACTCTCTCTCTCTCCTGCCAGCATGTGAAGAAGGCGCTTGTTTCCCCTTTACCTTTCCGCCACGATTGTAAGTTTCCTAAGGCTTCCCAGCCATGCTTCCTATACAGCCTGTGGAATTGTGAGTCAATTAAACCTCTTTTCTTCATATATTAGCCAATCTCAGGTAGTCCTTTATAGCAGTGTGAGAACAGACTAATACACCAGTATACAGAAAAAAGTGGCCATGGAAAGTGTATGTCCATAATACATTGCATTTAATAGGCATTTTTCTGTACCTTGAACAATTTCAAAACACTTTACACTATTTAACTAGTTTAATTTTCACAACAAGTCTATGAGGTAATACTGTTATTATACTCATTTTACAGATGAGAAAATTAAGGCACACAGTTATTAAGGCAAACAGTGGTAGAGCCAGCATTCAAACCTGGGTAATCTGGCTGTAGACCTTATGCTGCTAATCATGAAGTTATACCGCTCCTCTGTACAGAATGAGGAAGGATTCTACTGCAGAATACTGCACAATACAAATACTAACCTTGGCTTACCATGGTGAACGAGGTACAAAAATCCAGCCTTCAAAAAATGTCAGTTGGTAAGAAATGTAGGGCTGTATCATTGTGAGGTGGCTAGGAAAAAATACACACTCATTCATTATGCGCAATCACAAAAAAACACAAAATCGTGAAAATTACATTACATTAACAGATAACACACTAAACTGAAAAAGTCCCAAATAACCCCAAGGCAGAGGGCAGAATCCCTTTTTAATTCCATCCCACTAAACCTATTGCTCCTCCATAGAAAATAGTTATGTTAGTCTGTCCCACTGAAGAACTGGGACGGGGCACAGGATTGGAGCCAATTTTTAAATGAATTTTATCAGAATTCTGGCTATCCCTGTGCCATGAAATCAAGCAAAAAGAATTTTCCAAGGAGGCAGAGGCTTAGTTACAAGAGGTAACAAGATGTCAAGGACACCAAAACCTGAAATAACTTATTGATAGTATTTAGAAATAAGGAGATCAGGCCGGGCACAGTGGCTCACGCCTGTAATCCCAGCACTTTGGGAGGCCGAGGCGGTCGGATCACGAGGTCAGGAGATTGAGACCATCCTGGCTAACACGGTGAAACCCCATCTCTACTAAAAATACAAAAAATAAGCCAGGTGCAGTGGCGGGTGCCTGTAGTCCCAGCTACTCGGGAGGCTGAGGCAGGAGAATGGGGTGAACCTGGGAGGCAGAGCTTGCAGTGAGCTGAGATCGTGCCACTGCACTCCAGCCTGGGTGACAGAGCAAGACTCCATTTCAAAAAAAAATTTTAAAAAAAAATAGGAGATCATTAGTCACCTTCCTACAAAGATTAGCAAGAAATTCCTTGTTCATATATTTAAGATTGCGCTCTGAAAGTTAACATTGTTTTATTTTCCAGGCTATCATTGTGTATAATTGGTATTTCCAGATAATAGTAAGAGCTACCGTTTTTTGAGCACCTATCATATGCCAAGTTCTGTAATTGGCACTTCTTATTATGTCTGACAACTACCTACAATGTAGCAGATTTCTTTTCCATTTGACAAGTGAAGATACCCAGGCTTAGAGCAGTTATCTGAGATCACAAGTCTGATCATTGACAAAACTAACATGCTGCTTCAAAACTCACCAGGTTCACAGGCTTTATTTTTTGTTTTGTTTTGTTTATTCACTACACTCTGCAGTCCCCCTAGTGTTCCTATGACAAAAGAAGGAATGTCATCAATCGTATCTGCTGATTCAAGGATCTCATTTTCATCAATTTTTCCAATGTGGGCTGCCTTCACAATTTTGGCTGGTGTTTCTAAAGCATAGACATTCAAGCATTCTCTGGCTTTGCTTGTGGAGATGTTTGAATAAGTAATAAAAAGGTCAAAAGCTGAAGACAGGATAAGGAGGAAGGAAGGATACTGATGTCTTATTCCTTTCGTTGGAGAAGGCGGGGGCTGGAAAAGGGAGGACAGTGCTTCTTGCCAGTCGCTTTCTTACTGAGGCACAGTTACTGAAACCAGCATTTTATGATGGGGCCAATTCAACTGTCCAAATCCAGTCTCCCATCTAAAACTACTTGGAGGGGAAGTTCATTTACACAGCTAAATCAGGGACTGAGAAGACCTTCCAGAGAGGAGTTCTGAAGTGGATGTCAGCAAATGGAGTCTGGAGCTTTTGCTAACTACAAGATCCCTTTTATCTGACCTCAGTACCTTTTTATCCAGTTCCTGTGCTTACCAGCTAGGGCATTTTGATGGCACTTGAACAGTGGAAGATCTATAGTGAACAAGAGATAACCCCCAGTACGGAGTATTCCTTCTTGCATAATGGAGCTTTTTATGCTGTGTAGACATTGCAAAGCCATGTTTGAAAAGAAATAATAGTCTTATTGCTCGTATCGAGAGATGAGATTAAAAACTAGTATTTGCTGAACACTTAAGTGGCAGGCACTTTTGAAATATATATATTACATGTATTATGTATTACCTCATTGAATACTTATGTGAGGTAAATGCTACCAAATTCTCATTTTCCAGAAGGAAGGACTGAGGCAAGGAAAGTGGAAGTATCTTACCAACGCAGCTAGCTCCACTGAGCAGGTGATTATCCGGAAATGCCAAATAAGTGGATTCAGTTCAATAAAAAAAAGTTCAAAAATATATCAAGGTAAGAATAACCAGTGTGTGGAAGCAGAACATTGATGGGGCCCAAAAGCAAACCAGTACGAGTAGTGGAGAAAGCTAGGCCAGCAGGGAATCCGCACTGGCTCTAAAGTGAGAAGGGTTGGGTTTTTATGTTTGCCAGTCATATTGGTATAACTTTGAACTGATGTTTAACTTCTTTTACCATTAGTTTTCTCATCTGTAATGTGGGAGTAGCAAGGCATCTCTGGGGTGAAATGAGAATTAAGTGTGATGGTATGTGAAAAAGTGCTTAGTAATTTGGACATCATATGTTAGATCTTAGAACAATTCAGCATGATCCATCTGTCCAATGAATTAAAGTTGATGATTATTCTATCATCAAAAGAGTAATGATAATGAGACAGTTTGTGAAGCTAGGTGGGCATGAGAACATAATTTTTTTAATTAATGGAAATTTAGCTAATGGCACATCATCATGGATCAATAACTAAGCAGATGGTAAAAGTAAAACAATCATTATTGTTTTTGGTAACCAACCCAAATGCAATAGTTTTAGAATATTAGAAAGGAGTGCAAACCATGTTTGGGAGCAAAGGTCATTTTCTGATAATGAATAGTAGTGCACAAAAATATGCTGGAGATGAAAAGTATGATGTCAGCATCCTAACAAGTAAATGTGTTAAATGAATGCAAAATTCCTGATTGCCCAGTCTAAAGTAGACAGAGGCACCCTCCCTTTCACTCCATTTTTTTTCTCCATCACAGTGTTTTCTTCCTTTATTATGCATGATTTATCACAAGTTAATTATAAATATTTATCTTTTGTGTATCATATTATTTAGTGGTCATCTCCCAGTATAGACACACAAACAGACACACACACCCACTCCTGTAGTCTCTGGGAGGACTGAAATCGCATTTGGTTTATTGACAAATGAATATCTAATACCAGTGCCTAAAACAAAATATCCACTCAATAAAAGTCTGAGTAAAAGAATGAATGAGTCTTCTGTTTTCTGGGTTATTTCTGCTGCACCTCGAGGCACCATGCATAGACAAGGACACAGTGAACATACAATACTTTGTAAGCTTTACAGAGAACGTTATTGAGACTGATGGGCATACTGATTGTAGAGGGATAATGGTGGGTGGGGAGGGTGTTGTGGAGAGCTGACCTCCTGGAACTATTCAGGGAATGTAAAGAAGCATTAACAGAGATGCCCAGTCCCCAGTAACTCAGCTGTGGCATGCTTAGTTCAACTTGCAAGTACAGGTGCCTCTCCCCAGCACAGCAATATGTGTCCAGGTTTGTTTTTATCGTACTGTTGTCTTGGAGGCATTGCAGACTGTCCTCTCTAAAGAGCCATTGATGGTATTCTCTCTCCTAAAGTTACTGTCTGCTTTGCTGGCAAAGATAGATGCAGATAATTAAGGTTCCCATTTACAGGAAGCCCAGAGGAATGAATAACAAGGACCTGGGTGAAGTTCAGGTGAGAACAATGATGCAATCCAGTCTTGAACTCATGAGCAGTGTCCCTAACACCTGACCTCCTGGCTCACCTGAGATATGCTGGTAGGGAACAGTACCTTCTGACCACTTTCCTGGCCCCTCATAATCTCAATGCTTCCTCTAAAATCTCTTCCTCCCAGGTCCCTAGCCAGGGTATATCTTATATTTTTCCTCTTACTATCTTCTTGTCTCTAAGATTAAAATTTGGTGAATAATCAGGAAGGTTCTGATCACATGGCCTAAATTAGTATCAGCAGGAGGAAAATCAGAACCCTGTTCCTCAAGAGAGGAAGAGATTTTTGTCTCCTGAAATACAACTATGCTAACAGCATTCTTCGAAATTGGATCCTAATGAAAATGTCTGCAATATCTACTGGGAAATTCCATGTTCTCATCCTCATCTCAATAAGCCAAATGACTCTTTATGATCCACCAAAGAAATGCTGCCAATTCTAAATGCTTCCCATGTTTCTATCCACCACTCAGAGGAGGGAATAATTACTAGAACTGTCACCGAAAGGTATAAAAAGACGAGATATCCTCAGAGTTGAAGGTAAATAAGGGTAGGTTTGTCTCAGAAATACTTGGAGAAACAGAAAAAGAGAACAACTAACACCAGACTATGATTTACCAAACATAAGAAAACCTTATACAGACAGAGCTTCATGATGTAGAAAAAAAATTAACTTCCTTTTTGCCTGGCATCTTGTATGAATACATTCAAAAGGCTCTTATGGCTTGTCAAGTGCTAACTCCAGGTCCAGACTCCTGGGTCCCATTAGACACGATCATGTGCATTATCTAACACCTTTCTTTGGGGACCAGAGCTGAAGCTTTGTTTTCTGGGGCTCAAGCTTGCCTCATCCTTGTTTTTCTCCTTTCTTAACCAGTTCTGCGCTGGGATTCAGCATGCCTTGGGCATAAATTCATCTGAGTTACAACAACCAGTTTTAAAGCCTAAGGAAATATCATTTAGAAAAATAGGACAAAAGGAGTTATCAATCTGGATGACAAAACTTTGACAGGTCAGAACCTAGTTGGAACAACTAGGTTATTTCATTTTTGGGAAGCCTTTGTAATTTTTTTCATGACTCTTATTAAAAATAAGTCAATCTCATTGTTTTATATACACATGAGAAAATATATATGTGTATATACATGTATATACATAAAGCATTGAGAAATTGCCTTCATTAACATTTGCTAGGATATGTCTAATATATTTACTTTTAATTTCACTCACAATACTGTTTTCCTTCCCAGAAGAATATTTATTTGTAATTAGGAAATTATAATAAGAAATTTTATAGTTCAGCAAATAAGATTGTAAAGGCAAAGAAAATCAAATAGGAATGAAGGGTTTAGACATTAGCCCTGGAGGGCTGTCTCTGGCCTTGTGTCACTTCACATTCACTTAATATGTGCTTTCTTTGGCTTGTTGATAAGAACACAAGTAAAGACTGCTATAGAAATTATATTCCTCCTTTCCTCACACATGATTGTCATTTAACACTGAAGAGCAAGAAAATAGACCCCGTTTAGAACATCACTTCAGACAAAAAAAAACAACTGAGGCAGCTGAATGTACTCCCTCCTGCCACATGATGACTGGGACAACAGGATGAAAATAGTGCGACACAAATGGAAATGTCAAAGATTAACTTTACATCCTGACATTCCTATCTGAACAATCTTGAGCTAAATTCTCTGTCTTTATGTCAAGGAACACACACTCTCGAGGCATTTTGGTTAGCAGTCTCTCCACCCACCATCCAGATTCTCTTTTTCTGGGATATGTTTAGGTGTTGGAGAGAATCACATGGTTTGCTCCAGAAATCATTCTCAGCTACATCTAGTTATTTTAAATCACTTCCCAACAGCAGACACTGCAGAAAACTTTCAGTGTGTTAAGTCTTCACTGACCAGTTCCTCCTGCTCTTCACCTTTTCCCACCCTGAAGATAAAATATTACAAAGGCAGCTGAGCACTGGAGAGACCAGGGACATGAAGCAACACCATCTCCCACACTCCCCCAAGTGCATCATATCCAGCCTCTGAAAAGGGAAAGTCAAGAAGTCACAAATGACATCTTGAGGTCTTGGTGGGGATGAGTTGTAATATTCAGAAGCTGCACGGAGCTTCTCAGTGATCCTGTAAAAGTTGTCTGTGGGTGGTGGTATTTGGGAATCCTTCCCACTGCAGTCTCCAGAGGCATGAGAGATGGGGCAGAAGTAACAGCCTTTCTCAGAAAACAGATGCCAATGAGTTTTACTCTCCCAGCTCCCCTGGCACTCCGTATAAATCGAGTCCTCAATAAATATTTGCCAAAAACCAAGGCTTTCAACAATCCAAATAGCTTATTCCTTTATCAGTTTACTCTTCATATGAAAATATAATTGATAAGCCCTATTTTTTTGCAAGGTCTTAGCATTGAGTTCAAATATCTACTTTTACAGACAAGGTACCAACATCGCAAAGACTTAGAGCAACTTGACCAAGATGGCCCAGTTAGTTCCAGCTGCAGCCAAGACAATTTGGCAGCTGTTGGACCTTGACCCTCCTTGCCTTCTTCAAGCTCATACCTCCTGTGTCTCTTTTATTCCAGCTCACTGGTCTCCTTTCCAACCTCATGATTTTCCACATGATTCCCTGTGCCAGGAATGCTCTCCTTTCCTCTTTTAAGTTGTTCTTTACCATTCTTCAGGTTTTATTACAAATATCACTTCCTCAGAAAATTCCTGACTGCCTGGGCTAAAGTATATATCTTCTATGTTCTCATTTCTCTTTATCTTTCAGAGTATCTTGTTTCTTTCATGGCCTTTACCACAAATTGCAAATACATATTTTTTGGTGTGTATTCACTTGTTTAATAATTATCTCCTCCCCAACACACACCTGTCATCTCCTAGAAGACAGCACTACATTTTTTTTTCAAATAGGTATGTAGTGCTAGGCTCAGTGTCTAGCACAAAATAGCTACTCAATAAAGATTGGTTGAATAAAAAGTTGGATGATTTTTTTTGTTCCTGGGGTTATCATTTCTGCACAAAACAATGCACAGTTGTATCCCTTCAATAAAAAGATAACTGAGGATGCATTTAGCTTGTCAGCTGATTTGTCTGGATCATTTTGGCATTATAAAAGGTGCAGGTCATCCTGAAAATTTCATTTCTAAGTATTACCACTGATCATCAAAGGAATGAATTAACGATAAAGACATCCAAAAATCAAAATGCCATTGTACGACATCTGTCACCTTGAGGTGACACTTCCTCCAAAGAGGGTAAACAAGGAAGCAAAAGTATTGCAATAATGCAAATGAGCATTTGAATACACACTCCAGAAAACAGCAGTGGACAAAAGTTGGAATTAGCAAATATGACATTTACAGTTCAGATCACACCTCAAAAAGACATAATAATTTATTTTTGATACATCAAATGAAACAACTTAAATTTTTTCACTCTCAATAGTTTCTCCCTTTTGTTTATTGTCATCTTATTCATTTGTCAAGAAAGCCCTTCAAGGACTCTCTAGTGCCTTCAGGATGAAGTCCACCCTCCTGTGAAGGATATGCCTGGCCTCCCATAATCTATCCCCTACCCTTTCCTTTGGAGTCACACTCTAACATGTTATCAACATTGAATGCTGTCAGTTAAGTTATACTGCTAGACTCCTTTATTATTAAGCATTTTTGAATTTCCACAATGTAGAGAGAAATGTTTTATGAGAAACCTCACAATAAAGTGATATGGGCTAAAGAATATTACTAGATATCCTTTAAAACTTACATCCCTACACCCAGATGATGTACGACTCCCAGACTTGAATGGGGAGATGTTCACACATATGGATGATGGAGCTCCACTCCAGAACTGCTGAAATTGTAGGGCTGGAAGCTACTGATTTCAAGCCTTTTCTCCAGAGGGGTAGATGATAAGCTCGGGATCACTGATATTTCAAGAAAAAATACAATTTAATTATTAGGTAGCTGCCATTGTATTTGGACAATAATCTGTGTCAGTTAAAGAATTAAAACAATACAGTCATTTGACTGTTGAACAAAGATATTCAGTTTGGGTAAAAATCCAATCTTTGAGATGAGGAGCAGAATTTAAAAATGAAATGCAATGAAAAGATTAATTTTGCCTTCAATGTGAAGAGTGAGATACTGATGGTTAGATTTTCAACAAAGAAAAGTCAATGAATCTTAAATGAAAATCTATTGTTGGTTAGGCCCTCAGTGTGAGTCAGAGGGTACCTCAAGTTTAGCAGCAAGTTGACCACTAAAGAAACCAGATGAACTCAAGTTCAAACCTCAGCTCTGACTTGTAAGAGGCACATGACTTTAGGTAGCAAACTTAACCCCTATAACACTTTGTTTTCTCATCTGTTCAATAGACGTAATTTCTGTCTCATAGCACTGTTGTAAGAATCAAGCGGTAAAAAATACATAGCATAGAACCTGGCTCATTTAAGAACTCCCAATGCTAAAACAGTCTCATAAAGAAGATGTACATATAAAACCAAAAATGAGCCAATTGCCAAGGCAATCCTTAGGAAAAAGAACAAAGCTGCAGGCATCCTGCTACCCAACTTCAAACTATATTACTCGGTTAGAGTAACCAAAACAGCATGCTACTGGTACAAAAACAAACACATAAACCAATGGAACAGAATAGAGAACCCAGAAATAAGACCACACACCTACAACTATCTGATTTTAACAAAGCTGACAAAAACAAGCAATGGGGAAAGGATTTCCTATTCAGTAAATGGTGCTGGGATAACTGGCTAGCTATATGCAGAAGATTAAAACCAAACCCCTTCCTTATGCTATATTCAAAAATTAACCCAAGATGGATTAAAGACTCAGTGTAAAACGAAAAACATTGAACGCTATCAGTTAAGTTATACTGCTAGACTCCTTTATTATTAAGCATTTTTGAATTTCCACAATGTAGAGAGAAATGTTTTATGAGGAACCTCACAATAAAGTGCTATGGGCTAAAGAATATTACTAGATAAAAACGTTGGAAGACCTAGGCAATACCATCCTGGACATAGGAACAGGCAAAGATTTCATGATGAAGATGCCAAAAGCAATTGCAACAAAAGCAAAAAATTGACAAATGGGATCTAATTAAGCTAAAGAAATTCTGCACAGCAAAAGAAACTATCAACAGAGTAAACAGACAACCTATAGAATGGGAAAAAAATTTTGCAAACTATGAACCCGACAAAGGCCTAATATCCAACATCTGTAAGGAACTTCAACAAATTAACAAGAAAAAAAAAACTCCATTAAAACATAGGCAAAGGACGCAAACAGACACTTCTCAAAAGAAGACCTACATGCAGCCAACAAGAAAATGGAAAAAATCTCAATATCACTGATCATTAAAGAAATGCAAATCAAAACCACAATGAGATACCATCTCATACCAGTCAGAATGGCTATCATTAAAAAA
This sequence comes from Homo sapiens, assembly GCF_000001405.40. NCBI lineage: Eukaryota > Metazoa > Chordata > Mammalia > Primates > Hominidae > Homo > Homo sapiens. Next base: position 21,968,799 of record NC_000004.12, read on the forward strand.
TCAAAAAATAACATGCTGGCAAGGTCTAGAGAAAAAGGAACACTTACACACTGTTGGTGGGAGTGTAAATTAGTTAGTTCAACCATTGTGGAATACAGTGTGGCCATTCCTCAAAGACCTAAAAAAAGAAATACCATTCAACCCAGCAATCCCATTACTGGGTATATTCCCAAAGAAATATAAATTGTTCAATTATAAAAACACATGCACATCTATGTTCATTGCAGCACTCTTCACAGTAGCAAAGACATGTAACCAACCTAAATGCCCATCTATGATAGACTGGATAAAGAAAATCTGGTACGTATACACCATGGAACACTATGCAGCCATTAAAAGGAATGAGATCATGTCCTTTGCAGGGATATGGATGGAGCTGGAGGTCATAATCCTTAACAAACTAATGCAGGAACAGAAAACTAAACACTACGTGTTCTCTCTTATAAGTGGGAACTAAATGATGAGAACACATGAACACATAGAGAGGAATAGCACACACTGGGGCCTATCAGTGGGTGGAGGATGGGAGGAGGGAGAGGATCAAGAAATATAACTAATGGGTACAAGGCTTAATACTTGGGTGATAAAATAATTTGTACAACAAACTCCCATGACACAAGTTTACCTGTGGAACAAACCTGCACATGTACTGCTGAATTTAAACTAAAAGTTAAAAAAAATGTATGATAAGAAATTTAACTGCCTTAGAGAAAATTCTTCCAGTTTGTCATGAGAATTTGTCTGACTTATTCTAAGGCATGCGTTTGTCGTAATGGAATGCGCCCATTATGCCTCAAAATTTTTTTCTTTCATAACAACACAGGAAATCAAATTAATGTTCTTTGGGATATATATGTATATCTAATATATATAATATTATAATATTAAATATATATAATATTTTAAGTGCATGAGAAGTATAAAATTTTTTCTGTCTTTTCTGGTTGTTTGAGGTGACATCTGTGGCTTGCAGTGGACATTTTGTAACAAGCACCTATGATGCACACTGAACTTGTCACTGCCCCTGTGCAGGCCCTAATCCAAAGAAGCATTGTTTAGTTTCCTGAGTACTTGTGACCTAGAAAAAGACATGTTTCTACAGAGGTAGAGAAAAGCTGGCATGGCAAAGCATGCATAGTGTTTAACACTTCTTTCCAGAATTTGCATATGTCCCTCCTGTTCATATCTAATTGGCCAAAACAAGTCACATGGCAACAGAGGTAGACTGGACACATGCAGAGGGAATGGCTCCAACCAGCGAAGTCTCAGATGCCAGAGAGAAAGTCATTTGTTGAGGTTAGTGAGGTTAGTTTCGTAAGGGTTTAAGCATTGAATAGCAGATGAGGATAATGAAAATAAGAGATGACTCTAAAGGCAGTAACATGGAAACACATAAAATTCCTTGTAAAACCTATCAAGAAGTTTGAATTTTATCTTGAAGGCAGTGAAGAAGCAGTTATGGGTTTAAATAGGAAAGTGGCATAACCTAATTTCTACTTTGGAATGATAACTCTGGCTATAGTGTAAAGACTATTTTTTTGTACACCTTGAATTACCAGGAGGGTATCCAAGTGAAGATATACAGAAAATAGTTGTATACACAGGAATGGAAGAAGTCGTTGGGGTACAGACTTTAGAATTTCCAAATGTGTCACCTTGGATCAGATGTGGCCCACAGACTTGATTTGTTTGCCTGCAAGGATGTAAAAGGCTTTGAATTATAAGGTCTTTTGATGGGGCATTTGCTCCTCAGTGGGCTGTGATCCCCACCATTACTTGTCCGATTTCCCTTTCTGGTTTGCACATTTTGTTAACTAACTTGCTCCTGAAGGCATTTGGGTGTGTTACTTCTGATATAGTTAGGGTTGCAGAATAAAATATATGATGCCCAATTAAATTTGAGTGGCTTTTAAAAAATTTCTCGTATTTTTATTTGCCAAAGCTGCCAACATTAAGTACACTTGATAATTTAAGCCATAGCAATGGATGGTATTAGCAAGGACAGTATGTAGGTTAGAAGAAAGAAGAAAGTAGGTTCTAGGCAGTGCCTGGCACATAGAAGAGAGTCAATATTTACCTTTCGTGGATAAGGTCTGAAGGCAAAAGCAGAGAATTATCAACATTTAAGGAATAGTTAAGAGAAATGTGATGGAGAACAGAAGTAGAAAGGAATCCAAGAGTATAGAGTGAATGAAACCAAGAACAAAAAGTACCTTAGGAGAGGTCAACAATGTCACATATTGCAGAGATATTAAACAAGGTAAGAACTGAAATTTTTCCACTAAATTTGTGACAGGAACATGACTGGTGTCCTTGGATGAACATTTTGATAGAGTAGCAAGGGCAAAAACAGTTGTCTTCAACTGAAGAAATGATGAAGAGAATGTGTAGACAGAACATATAACTCTTCAAAGAATCTTAGCCATGTTGGCAGTGAAGGAAGAAGTTATAGCTGAAAATAGACATGAAGTCTAGAAACTTTTGCCTTTCTTTTAGAGATATGGCAAAGAGAAGGAATAATCACTGTAGTTATTTTCTTAAAGAAGCAGACCAATACATGCCCCATAGCACAGCTAGAGATTTGTCCTAGGAAAAGGGATATTGTTGTAGCAGAAACAATGAAAACCTGTGTCCATGCAAGAGTTCTGGTAGCAAGAGCTTGAGAAGAGTTCTATATGAGGACTTCTACATTTTTCCTGAGAAGCAAGAATGAGGTTTTCTGTTGACTTTGGGTATGGTGGGAGCTGGGAAACAGAGAGTGATAAGTAAGAAGGTTCCAGTCATCTGAAGAAGATTTCAATGGTCATGTGGATTTTAGGGAAGGGAGCTGGATTGGAAAAATACAAGAATACTGAGTAGAGTTGAGTGCTCTGTTGGATTAGAGACTACATTCAACCCCAGTGTGCCTTCCAGAGTTCCAACACTCTGCAGGGCTCTGGAACTCCCTCTCTATGGTGACTCAAGCCTTTCCCTAGGGCATTGCTTCAACATGAAAGAAATCTGTATTTACATGCTGTGTCCCTGCATTAACTCTAGATTTTTAAGTAATACTGCTATGGATTAATAGAAATGAGTAGCCTGAGAAGGGAAGAAGGAATTAAATCAGGGACAGCTCTAAACTTTGTGTCTTTCTTGCCTGGGCTCATCTCCTTACATTTTTTAGAGCTAATACATTTGTGTTCAATCAATTTTTAAAGTATTTCTATCTCTGACTCTTTCTCTAGAACATTTAATAAAATATTTAATTCTTCTTCATTTGAAGAGAAATTTACCACTTAGTGAAACAGCTTAAATTTTACATATTCCACATTTTTAGACGATATTGCATTTAGATACTCATTTTTCAACAAATAATTTTTGAATGTCTTTATATGCCCAGTGCTCTTATTACTAAAGGAGAGTATCTGCTCTCAGAAACTTTGAACAAATTCAGTTATTTAAAAGCATCTACCTTTCAAGAAAACCTAGTACATTAAAACTGACTTAAAAATCCAATGCAAAAGCCAAAATGCAAAAACTGAATAAATAGGTAATAAATAAGCCTTTTATAAATGGATTCACGATAGGTTCCTTTAAGCAAGTTCTCCTAGAGTATATGAATACAATTTCATTTAAAGACCCTCAGTTGATCCACAGCCTTTTAAGAAAACATCCATTACATTGAGTGAGATGCCTCTTTGTCTGCCAAGTCACCTCTGTGATTCATACATACAATTTTGTGCATTCATTATAATCCACTTCTCTTATCACCCTTCCGTCAAGGGCACTGGTGAACATAAGGGGAATTTTGTGTGGGTGCTTAAGTGAAGAACATCTCAGTGTTGGTAAACTCTCTCTCCCGTTCAGTTTTCCCGTTGTTCTTGCATTTATTCTATCACAAGCTGCCTTGATGATGTGTTTTATCTGGTGCTTATACTGTGCCTAAGGAGTGATATTGACCATGAAGAATTATTGGAAATATCTTAAGCTCCATGAGTTTAGGAACTTTGTCTCTTTTGCTCAACGTTTTGTCTTATTTATATTTTACAAACAGAGAATATTTATTATGTGCCAGGTACTGTTCTGAAACACACATATGAATTCATCTAACCTCCATGGCAACCCTATAAAGCAGGTAAAATCATAATTTCTTACTAATGAGGAAACTGAAGACAGAGGCTACAGAACTAACGAATGAAAACACTTAGATTTGAACACAGGTAACCTGGCTCTAGATCCTGTGCCTAAAGCCACTATGCTGGACTTCTATCTCATACTTTGATGTCACCCTTGAATTTTTAGAACAAAGCACAATGCCTAGCATATTGTAGATGCTGAATAAATGAACAAATTAATTAATAGAGGCAAAATAATGTGTTACATTTACATGCCCTTTTCACTAAACCACTAGTTCTCTAAGGTCAACATTTTACCTACTTCACACCTCCAGAATATAGCTTCTAATTTCAGAATCTACTCAGTGATTCCTTTGGTCGAACCAATAATTATCGAGTGCCCACCCTGATAAGTGCGCTGGTGATATATCAGTTGATTTACCAACTAGTGTGGGATGAAACTGCCTTATTGAGATGAATGGGGTGTAGTTCTGGGTTTGGTGTGTCAGCTGCTGAGACTGGACATCATTTACCTTCCAGAGCACAACAGTCTGTTTCTGAGTATAGCCCACCCTCAGTATCCCTGGGAGATTGGTTCCAGGAACCCCCTGGGATACTAAAATCCTCAGATGCTCAATTCCCTGATACAAAATTGTGTATTATTTGCATATAAACTATGCACATCTTCCTGTATGTTTAAAATCATCTCTACTTCATTTATGGTACCTCATACCATGTGAATGCTATGTACATAGTTATACTGTATTGTTTGGGGAATAATGACAATAACAAAAAGTCTGTGCATGTTCAATACAGAATATTGTTTTAAATATTTTCAATCTGTGGTGGGTTGAATCATTGGATGCAGAACCCATGGATACGAAGGGCTAACTGTAACTACTAGAATATTCTGAGAATGGATTAAATTCAAAGCAGCCAACCTAACAATGTCTCTGTTACATATCCGTACCTTTTCAGTGATGATTGTCAAGTACTACAATCTTGAAACACAATTTGAATATTATTATGGCTTCTCATGAATGAAGGGGCATTTTCATCTAGAGATTAAGCCCGAAGAAACTGCTACAAAACAATTTGAATTGTAAGATACCAGTACCGGGAGATATAAAGAGAAACACAAAGAGAGGAGTATAAAGGTAGAGGTAGTAATTGCCTTCTCTGCAAAGATAGGCAAATGAAGAGAGCTTCTGTTTTAAAGATTTTTATGGAGAGGAGTATTTCCATGACAACTGAGTACTTAGTTATTCTAATTGTGGGAGAAACAAAGCATCTAAAAAGTCAGGAAATATGTTCCAGGCACACAGAATAAATCTCAGCTAAACTAGGAACATGGATGTTTCTTTAAAAGCAGAGAAAATTCACCACTAGACTTCTTATTTTAACTCAATATAAAAATAAGTGAATATTTATTGAGATTCTCTAACTCATTTCCAATGAGATGTTAACTCTTAATATTGGTTTGAGGTACACAAGGCTCAATACAACCGTAATCTTTGAGTCTTCATCTTAATTATTGAAGATTAAATTAACTGAGGAAAATATGAAGTGTCCCTGACCTGAATCTGACAGGAATGTGACAAAATCATGGACTTTAAATTTAGTGCTAACTGAATGATCTGCTATATCAAAACAGTAATCTCTCTTTACTAAAATACCTTTCTTTACAAAAGACATTATAACCAAAAATCAGTACACTAAGATTTGTTCAAGAAATATTATATATTAGTTAATGTAATCTGAGGTACAGCAAGCTGACTTAAGTCAGGTCTAAGTTTAACCAAAATGTACAGAAAACAATGACTTTTAATGTAAGACTAGTCTAATCCAAATGGACCATTTTCTCTTTGAGGAATTCTATTAAGTGTTGCAAATCATTGCCTTAAAATATGTACTTCCTTTCTCTTTCACCAGAAACATACTTCTTCTGACCTTTTCAGGCATTCTCCACTGCAAGTTGAGAGTGTGTGTTATTGGTAACCCATGTATACAAATGAGGGGGTGATGAATGCATGGGTGTCAGATTTGGAAGACTTTGGTTCAAGCCCCGTTTCAGTCATTTCCTAGCTATTGATCTTGGTGAAATCATTTAACCACTCTAAGCTTCAGTTTTCCCATCTGTTTAAAATGTATAAAAATGTATCCACTCAGATGTTCATACAACAAATTTTATTGTACACCAGGCAAGAGATTAAGCACTAGAGATAAAAAGAAAAATAAGTTATCACTGTTGAGAAGTAAGTCTACTAAATAGAGAAATAGTCTAGTAAAGGAGACAGGTATAAAGCATATGTATTTGATATAGTACGTAATCAATTCTATTTTAAAGATATAAACAAAGCATTAGTTGAGCTTAAAGGATAGGGAGATAACTTCTTGAGGAAGATGAAAACAGTTATTCAGAGTCAGTGATGCTTGAGTTTTCTTACATGACTATGCTGAATGGATGGAAGCAGTAAGGGAGACAGGGAAAGAAAGAATCTGGGATGAAAAAATGTCTATTTTCTCAGGTCTCCAGTTTTTGTACAGCTATGAAGAAATACCCAAGACTGGGTAATTTATAAAGGAAAGGAAGTTTAATGACTCACAGTTCCACATGGCTGGGGAGGCCTCACAATCATGGCAGAAGACAAAGGAGGAGCAAAGGCACATCTTACATGGTGGCAGGCAAGACAGTGTATGCAGGGGAACTGCCCTTTATAAAACTATCAGATCTCATGAGACTTATTCACTATCACGAGAACAGCACAGGAAAATCCCATCCCCATGATTCAATTACCTCCCACTGGATCCCTCTCACAACACTTGTGGATTAGGGGAGCTACAATTCAAGATGAGATTTGGGTGGGGACACAGCCAAGCCATATCACCAGTCTTGAAGGAGAATGACAAAGTTCAGAGAGACTGGGGCATGGTGGCAAGTGGAGGGAGATAGTGACAGGGATGAAGGCATAGGCCACTTTTCAGCTGCTTAATATGCCAGGTTGAGAAATTGGGAATTTTTCCACAGGAAAGTGGGGAAATGAGATAAGTTATTGCAACCAGGATTAACACAATCAGACATTAATTTTTCCTGAAAAATAACAGACTTTTGCCACACTACTTAATTTGAAGCAATGACTGACTCTACTAGTCCTAAAGCATAAGTTTATGCAAAGCCCTCATGATGAATTAGAAGTTGGTTGCAAATAAGGTGAACAACTCATGCCCTGGGACTTTCTCAGTTTTAGAATTAAAAGTCCTTCTTTCTGGGAATCTTCTCAGTCATAGTCAAACTGTGATTGCCAAGGACTCTCCAAGTTTGAGCACTGAAAGTCTTGAACTCTCCAAGTTTGAGCACTGAAAGTCTTGTGTCCCAGGATCCTCTTCTGCTGAGTCCTGAGCAAACTGAGATGGATAAATCACTCTAGTTCTGGTTGTAAAACTGGCAGTAGGAGTGATGGGAACAGATGGGCCCTGGCTGCAGTTCTGTGTCTGAGTCAAGCTGCTGTTAACTACATGCACCAGTGGTGCTTTCCATCGTCTTGGAAAACTGAAGGTGAATACCTAATGAAGAAGAACATGTAACAATTATTTAAAAATTAACATTACTATATACTTCAGAATAAGCCTTCTGATCTAGTCATCCCCTTTTCTTTACATATTCTCAGTAAAGATAAAGGGTAGTCTTTTAGTTTTAGCAAAATAGAATGTTCTCTCTTATACTCTACTTCAAAGAACGTCAGGCAGCAGTGAAGCAGTTGAGGACCTAGTGGTTGAATGTGTCTCAGACAGATGAGGATGCAGAGTGGTATGCGACACTTTCAGCATTAATGGCTTCACTTACTTTGAGCATGAAGATAAATGAATGTTCCTGGCCTGAGCAGACATGATAGAGTAGGCAGACATCAGGAACTAGTGGGAGGGAGGGAAAGATGGAAAAAGAAGAAAAGACGAGAACAATAGTAGTAGATTCATGTGTCCATCCCTTGTGGATTCAGAAAGAGACAAACACGAACAGTGAAGATATGTTTCATAGAATCCTCTGAATTCCAAATAAAATTGACTTCTTTCTGGCAATGAATAGGTGCCTTTTGCAGGTCACAGGACAGAGCTATACACAACTTAAGATTACAAGCAGTGAGCTTCAGAATTTCGAATGACAATACCTCTATCTGTGGGCCCACAAAAGTAGTTGTCTTAGTCTGTTTGGCTTGTAAAACAAATTACCTTAGACTGGATAATTTACAAACAACATAAATTTATTGCTCATAGTTCTGGAGAGTGGAAAGTCCAATATCAAGGTACCAGCAGACTTGGTGTCTGATGAGAGCTTTCTGCCTGCTTCCAAGATGATGCCTTCTTGCTGTCTCCTCGCATGGTGAAAAGGCTGAATGAACTCCCTAGGCTTCTTTTATAAGGGCACTAATCCTACTCATTAGGGCTCCACCCCCATGACCTAATCACCTCCCAAAGGCCCCGCCTCTTAATATTATTGCATTGGGGATTAGATGTAACGTATGAATTTTGGGGGACACAAATATTTAGATGGTAGCAGTAGTTTTATATGAAAACACCAAAAGAACTTCATTCAGTTCAAGGTGGTTTCCCTATAAAGATGTTCCAGCTACAAAAACCACCACAACTGCATTATAAATAGACTCTAATGTGTTTCCAATGTCCAAAGAGAATGAAAAATATAGACTATGCAGTCCATTTGTTCAAGGTGCTCATATAGTACCTTCCTTTAAGGAAAAGGCAAAAACACTTTCATGTCATCAGCTGAGTATGGTTGCCAAGATGGGTTTTCAATTTACTGCCTTGATTAAATAAATAAATAAACAAACAGTACAGTGATCTAAAAGCTAATATTGAAATTTCTAAAGCACTTTCTTTTTATTGTTTCCTGGGGAACTTGCTTTACTTTAGAGGCATGTAGCTGTTCTGTAAACTGAGAGGAAGAATACGCTAGAGGATTTTTTCTAAAATATGCATATTTCCTTTTGTAGAATAGTATTGCCTATTAACAGTTCCATGACTTTAAGTGTTTTACCAATTCATAATGAGTGTATGTGTGTGTGTAAATATTTTAAATTATTCATATGAAAATAGTCTATATTAAGGAATGAGATAATTTTACTTAAAAAGCACAAAACATGAAAAGCTATTAAATATTATTATACCTCAAATACAACAAACAGTAAAAGTAGGTATGATATACTGCCATAATAGTATTATACTTGGTGTTAAAATTATGTCAAGAATTAACACTATTAAGAAAATTCAGAACTAATAAAAAAGAAAAACTTTGTATTAATATAATATGTAATAAAGTACTATTATAGGGAATATTAAATATACAAATTTAGCACTTGCAAAATTCATCCTAGATGACTACTAAAAAGTCTCAACCTCTTGTCATACATTCAGAGAATTTGCATAAAATGTATTTCTCTGGGAAACGAACAAATTTGGGTAGTAATATAGTATGGCCTTCCTATTTAACTCTAGTTTTAAAATACCGCTTGTCACATGGTATGATAGTAAGAGGTATGATCAGAAGCTCTCTGGACCTTCAAGTCTCATAAGATATAATACGTTCATTGTTTCCTGTATTTTGAGGACTACCTACTAATACCTTGAAAGTCCCTTGTGTAGCATGGAGTGCCGTTTGGCACATTGTGATTTAATGATGACAAGAATCCTTATAAAGTGTATTCTAAAAATAAAACTTAAAATATGAGGCCAGTTTTACGAATGTCTTTGTCCCACTAAATGAGTAAATCATCTAATCAATTTAATGCCTATTTGCCTGTCTGCATGATGCATAAATTATTTCAATTATTTGGAAAATGACTTATGTGTGGATATTCACATGATATCTCAGTTTGAATGTATTATAAGTACTGACCCCAACTCCCATGGAGGGTGTTAGAAAATCCTGGTATGTGTCCAAGTAGTGGAGCTGACACCCAGCTTTGTTTGGGCCATGCTTCCTGAAGCTGCAACTTTACACACCATGAGTTCTGCCCCTTCCTCTTTCAGATTTTTAAGGGATTAAAATCCATGACAGGATCCAGGGTCAATTCAGCCTCTACTTTCAAGAGAAATAAGTGTTGTAAAATCGTTGGAAACTGTTAGCTTAAAGAAAGGCGGGAACATATTACAAGCTTCAGTCTTCTAAAGCAATGTCAAATGAAAGAAGGGCTAGACAGATTCTAATTTTTCAAAATCAGAAGTCAGATAAGGCTGGGTATGGTGGCGCATGCCTGTAATCCTAGCATTTTGGGAGGCCGAGGTGGGAGGACTGCCTGAGGCCAAGAGTTCAGGACCAACCTGGCCAACATAGTGAAACATCTCTAAAAAATATATAAAAATAAAAATAAAAGAAGTCAGATCAATGAACAGGAGCTCAATTGAATGGTGCCCATTCTTACTCAGCACTTAGGAATTCTGGCAATGAGACTAATGAGAATGTGTTCCTGGTTTTAGAAAGTTTGCGGACAGTCTATAACAATGTCTGAGTCTGTTCTCCCCTTCATCTCCTAAATTTTTAAAAATTTGATGTATTTTGATTCCTTCAAGGAGTATTAAAGCAACACACCACACAAGTTTATGTGCTTAGCTGTCATGTGTACTTGATGTAAATTATAGGAAGGGCAAAAACTATTGCCTGCAAAGGCTAATGCTGAGGGCTTTGAAGCCACATGCTAAGCACCATTTTGCCAATAATAATAGTCAGGACACCTATTATAACAATTAGATTACTAATCCTAACAAATTGCCTTTGGATCACTACAATTTGCTCACCTGAATCTATTCATTCTTCTTGGGTTTTATGTTAATACTCTATCCAACAATTATTATTACCTGGACTGTTTCTCAGCAACTACCATATCATCCTCCAGATGGGTGTTGTTACAATTCTGGATGAAGAACAGTAGTTCCTATTTTTTGAGACAGAGTCTCACTCTGTCCCCCAGGCTGGAGTGCAGTGGCATGATCTCAGCTCACTGCAAGCTCTGCCTCCCAGGTCACACCATTCTCCTGCCTCAGCCTCCCAAGTAGCTGGGACTACAGGCGCCTGCCACCACGCCTGACTAATTTTTTGTATTTTTAGTACAGACAGGGTTTCACCGTGTTAGCCAGGATGGTCTCAATCTCCTGACCTCATGATCCGCCGGCCTCAGCCTCCCAAAGTGCTGGGATTACAGGTGTGAGCCACCGCTCCTGGCCTCCTATTTTATATTTAAACATAATTATGTGTCTGACAATTACCTGTGCCAAATGAGGTCACATTATGTAAAAGGGTACCTGTAGATGGTTGGATAACTATTTGCCTACCTAAGAACTCCATAATATTAATTTTGAATAGAATGTGGCCCATGAACACATTCTGAAATAATGCTAAATTATAATAGAGCTCAGACCAAATTGTTTGTCTCTGTCAGGAGAAGCGCATTTCCCATGTTGGAGGTGAACAAGGGGGTTGATGTTTGGAGGAAACTTCCTCTCTTTCTCCATATATGGATTTTGGCACATCACCGAGGGGATCATATACCTGTGTAATAAAAAATAACAACACAAATGATAGCTAACATTTACTATGGATCTACAATGTGATAAATCTTGTGCAAAGCAGTTGTGTGCATTCAGAAATTCATGCAACAAACATTTTCTGATTGCCATTTTGTGCCTGACAATGATCTAGGCACTGGAGTGCAATGGTGAATAGGACAAAAATAACAATTGCCTTCATGGAGTAAATGTACTATGGGGAAAACAAGAAATAAACCAGTAATCAAAGGAACACAAAATGTGAGACTGTGAAATGTGCTATGAATAAGGCAAACTGGATGCTGTAGGAAGAAAAAAGGAGGGGGGATATGGCTGGTCAGGAGAAGCCATCCAATATGATGACATGTAGGGTAAAGAGTCAGCTGTGTCAATATCTTCCAGACACAGGGAAGAGCAAAGAAGGCCTAGAGCTCCACACACAGTATTTTGCCATTTATTCCTCAAGCAATCTTAAGACATGAGGATTATCAGTCCCACTGAACAGATGAGAAAACGGAATGTAACGTGACCAAGTTCCTACACGATAAGAAGTGGGAACGATGGTATTTAAATTCCCACCTAATTAAAAATATATTTTTCTTATTCACTTTTTATTTAATAGAAGCATACTGCATATATTATCCTGATTCTGTTTCTTTTTTCTCTTCACAATATATCTTAGGCATCTCCACAAATGAAAGTAGTTAGATTCTATCTTTCTCTCATCTAATATCACTATGAATGTATACACCCATGTTTTAGCTTGCAAATGCTGTCATAGAAACAGACCTGAAATTAGGTGACTCAAAAAACAGAAATTTATTATCGTGTAGTTCTGGAGGCTAGAAGTCTAAAATCAAGGTGATGTCAGTGCTGGTTCCTTCTGAGGGCTGTGAGGGGAGGCCTTGTTCCAGGCGTCTCTCCTAGCTCTGACAGCCTCCAGGATTCCATGGCTTGTAGATGGCTGTCTTCTCCCTGTGTCTCTTCACATCATCTTCCTTCCACATATTTCTCCTTCTGTGTTTAAATTTCCCCATTTTGTAAGGACACAAGTCATATTGGATTCGACATACCCTAACACCTCATTTTAACTTGATTACTTCTTTAAAGGTCCCTTTTCCAAATAGGCTCACATTCTGAGATACTGGAGGTCAGGACTGCAACATACCATTTTTGGAGGACACAATTTAGTCCATAACAATATATATCTACTATTTTACTCAAATGGGGTTATTTTGCATGGTGGGGTGCTTTTGTGGTTTTTGGTTTGTTTACTTGTATCCAATGTAATCTTTGGTTTCTTGTTTCATTCTCTTCTCCAACTATGTATCCACTATGACTACCATAACTATGCTCTAAGGTAATCCATGTTAGCACCTGGTTTATCATTTTCTTACTTATATACACACATACACATGCTATATATATGAACCATATATTTACATGGAGTTTTAGTTTTAGAAAGATAAGATGAAGAGTAGTGTTTAATGTAAATTCATATTTTACAAAGAAATAAAAGAATAAAATGAAGAAATAACGGCTTTGTAAAATATGAATTTACATTAAACACTACTCTTCATCTTGTCTTTCTCATTGAACAATGTCAGTTATAGAAACTTCCTTATGTCAACTCCTATTACTTGATCATGAGAGTGCTATAATATTCTATAATGTATATGTGCTGTCTTAGTGGGTTTGGACTGCTATAACAAAGTACCATAGACTGGATGGCTTACAAACAACAGAAATGTGTTTCTTAGCGTTTGGAAGCCTGGAAGTCTGAGATCAGGGTGTCAGCATGCTTGGGTTCTGGTGAGTGCTCTCTTCCAGGTTGAAAACTGCCAACTCATCACTTTGTCCTCATTAAAAGAGAATGGGAGAGCTCTCTGGAATCCCTTTCCTAAGGGCACTAATCTCAAAATGGGGGCTTCATACTAGTGATTTCATTACCTCTCCAAACCCCACCTTCTAATAACACCCTATTGGGGCTTAGTATTTAAGCATATGAATTTGCAGGGGGAGGGGCAGGACAAAAACACATAGTCGACTACACGCGCCATAACATATTCTACAATTTTCCGTTTGTGTGGCTTTCTCAAGCACTCTGCAATACTCTTCCTCTCATTCAGAGGCATTCATGGTTGATTGCTCCTAAAGATAAGCAATTTCAATGTTGTGTTATGTGACAGCCTAGGAATTCTTTCTAATCCATCTTCAGGAATTAGCCAGCCCTGTCCACAATCAAGCTCAACATAATACGTCACTAAATGTAGCCATTAAATAAAGGGCTTTGGGAATCAGGCTTTTTCCTAGTCTAACTGGTTCATTAAACCATTCAAAGCTAGCTAGTTAGTCTTTCTCTCCATGCTTCTCCATTTCCTCATCTGTGAAATAGAGATAATGGTTGCAGCTACTTCTCAGTGTTGTTGGAAGGACTGATTTCAGGAAGCTTTTTTCAAAGTCCGCAAGATGATTCAATAGTAAGCATTCAATAAATATGATTCATTTTATTTTCATTATTCACGCTTTCTCTTTCTCATTTTGATCAGTTTTATTTCCAAGCTCTAAGAAATAACCCACCAACTATCTTTTTATAAATCTTTAGTGATTTTAGTTAAGTACACAACTTTATAGTTTTCTCATTGTGAATGGTGCCAGCATATTGACTGCACTGCCAAGTTTTATCCCTAAGAAGTTTCCTGTGAGAAGCGAGAGGGAGAGAAGCTGGGAAAGATGGCAGAGTAGACAACTATTGAAGATTCTCCAACACCAACTGTCCATTAACACATGGATACAATGTGTGGCAGAAAATACTGGAATAGAAATTGAAGTATTTAATGATGTTCAAATTAAAAATCTTGGATAATTATCTCGCTGCTTCTTCCGGTGGTATATTGTTATAGATACAGCAACACACATGTACCAAAGAATAAAACAAAGACCTCTAGAATTTAAAAAACAAAATATACTTGCCAAGTAAGAGAGTATAAGCAAAGAAATTTACTGTGTATTTTGCAAAGAGGAAGAAACTGGGGTTTCAATAATTAGGAAGGGATTTTCCTGGTGATCATGCTCATCGAGCATTGAAAGCTTGCACTTGAATGTCACAGAATGAGTCTGAAATGCTTTACTAAACAATTTCCTTTGTTCATTGGTCAAAAAATGTCTTCAGTTTTGTCTAGTAAGAGTCTGGTATACTGAGTCACTTAAAGTTCATGTTAATTTAACCAGTTCAGCTGGTTGGGGTCAGTTATAAGAAAATACAATATTCCATTTTGATACTGCATTAGTAATTGTCCCTATGTTAAAGATATTCATTTTTACAGAAAAAAAAGGAGTCCAGCTTCCAAATGCTCGTAATACCTTATTTGTATGCCATCTTTACTTTTAGATCAATGATGAAAATCCTAAAATATTTAGCATTAAGTTTAGCAATTACTCATAGATTAAAAGCTACATTTGAGATTTTTTAAATTTCCAAATTATTTGGAGTAGAATTGATAATTCTAGATTTGTATTCTAATATTCTAAACCATAACAGTTATAGGAAATGTGATGAAAACATTACTTTCAGTGTTTTTGACACTGTTGAAAATATATACCACATAGTAATTCAAAAGGAAGTCAAAGTTATAAAGCAATGTTATTCAATATCCATGACAGGCAGTAGATTAGGGTAACTTCCTGTGACATGCTTTGTCAAAAGGGAGTGGGTGTAAAATGTGGATGTCCGGGAATAAGAAAAAAAGTTTAAGTTTACAGGCTAAAAGGCTTGCAAAAACCTGCACAGTATTACTTGGGTGATGAATAATCTCCATCAGGTAAAAAATAGTGATGAAGCATTCATAGCAGAACCAATTTCTATATATTTAAAAGTATCATTGGCAACAATAACATTCCCTTAAACCTACATCACAGTATTTTTCATTCAATTAAGTATCTCTGTCAGTCTTTGTGTCTCACTAACCAAATGTGGGCTCTCCTGGGACATAATATATTTTCCTTACATGACTTAGGATGTCCAATGCCAACTGATTACTTAACAGAAGGAGTCATTTCATGCAAGCCTTAGGATAGTACTGCTATTTTGGTCTCTAAAAAAATCACTGAAGATAGGGCTCAAATTTTAGAGGCAACATCATGAGCTTATGTTTTCCCAGTCTTCATTTAGAAATAGAACATTCTAATATTTCATTCTCTGTTGTGTTAGGCCAAGATTCTACCTATAAATATACAAGGAATAGTAGATCCAAAATAACAATGGCCATATACACTTTGCATGATCTTTTGGTTTTGAATATCTCCTGGAGGACACAGTGAACTCCAGCATCTCCATACCTTGTCAGGGTTCTTCTCAATGACTGATGCAGTGGGTGCCAATACGGCTTAAGAGGCTCCTGTGAGAGAGGAAGCCACAGCAGAAGAGGAATAGACAATTCTCTAATTATCATGCACACAAAGAATCACTTTTGTGGCTAGTGTTCCCATATTTAAACATATCTTCCTACTGAGGAGAAGAGGGGTACTGACTTGTTGTGAGGCATCTACATGGATTAAGGGACTGCCTGCAAGTTTGTTACTGTCAGACTATTTCTGAGAGCATGTCCAGTCTCTGAGGACACACGGATGGAGCCTCTTCCTTCTTAAGCACATGTTGGGTTAAAGGGATCCTTTAATAAAACTTCCAAAGCACAGTCTATGAAGAAAAACATGTTACTCTGATTTCAATGAAATTAAGGAATTTTGTGAAGAAGTTAATGGGTGAAAGAAAGGGAGGTGATATGTACAATGCCTTAAACTAATATTTCACTATCTGGAATGAAATTAAGGAATTTTGTGAAGAAGTTAATGCGTGAAAGAAAGGGAGGTGATATGTACAATGCCTTAACTAAGATTTCACTATCTGGAACCTACAGGGAATTCTTATAATCAACTAGAGAAGAAAAAAGGAAACGGACAAGCAGTTTACAGGAAAGAAACCCCAAATGCTCACAAGAATTTGAAAGAACATTCAAAATTGAAATCAGAAAAGGCAAATGAAGACATCGGTGAGATACCCCATTACACCTTTTAAATTGGCCACAATTGGAAAGTTGGATGTTGCCCAGTGCTCACAGGGATGTGGAGACCCTTGTGAGCTGCTTATGAGAAGGATAGCTGGTATAGGATTCTGGAAAGCAATCTGGTACCACCCAGACTAATTTTATGAACACACACACACACACACACACACACTCATCCATTTAACACTATTGTGCTAAATCTTCATCATATTTTTATGATCCAAACTAGGAGTAACAAATGGCACTCCAGAAATGCAGACTAGCAGCAAACTATTCTACTATAGTTTGGAGGATATGTGCTTGTGCATGAGTATGAATGAGGGAGAGAGAAAGAGAGAGAGAGAGAGAACACAAAGTATATTGGATGAAGATAGGGTAGAAATCATGTAATATCAGAGTTTTTTTAATGCATTTGTATACTTTCACAGAAAGCATACATTCTCCACTGGAAATGCCATTGCCCCTTCCTTTAGCTTACATACAAAATTTCACCCTTTCCTACCACCTTCCTGGCCCCTATAGGCATTTGACTTGATATCCCCATTATGCTGTCCTGCTCAAGGTATTCCCTCAAATACCTTGAGAACATTCAAAAAATGAAGGGAGGCCACTGAATAGGCATAATCCTGAATTCATAGAACAAAATGACTCAAGAGAAAAACACAACTCCTTCTTGAGGGAACTATAATTCTACACATTACACATTGCCGAAGCAAACATATGCAAAATGTTTTTTCATTATATTTTGCTTGATTTGGGTTGCTTGAACAGCAAGCTTAAAGAAACTGAAGAGGAAAAGGACAGAACCTAAGAATTCTCTTTTTTTGCTTCACTTTGAGTCATTTGCAGAATGACACATCATAAGAAGATGGGAGCCAATTTTCAAATTTGGATCCCTCAGTCAGCCATCCATCCACAATACTTGGAAAGCCAGCAGCCCCTTCTTGCCAGATTTAAGGGATTTAGTCTGCTAATAAAGGCTTTCCAAATGGACAGATGTATGAACACTGTTTCATGGGCCAGATACTAAAATCAAAACTCTGTCTGCAAAATTCAAGAGCAATGAGATTGTGTTGCAAAGGCTGGTTGGGGTGGGAGGGAGCATATGCAGCTATGGAAGATTACTGCAACAGGCACTATTCAGTCTGTTTCTCTGCAAATGCAGAAACATCTACTTTGTCATCAGAGGCCCTATGGATCTCTACTGTGTGCTTTACACAACCTTATTTCTGCCTGGTAGTAAGGTTATACCTAGACAATGTACTATTAAGTGTTAAGCAAATTTACTTGAGAAGAATTAAATCCAGCATTATCATATTCCTATTTGTGTCCAATTCTCAAATATGCCATTATAAAGTATAGGAGAAATTAGGAAATTTCTCTTAAAGATAAAACAAGAAAAATGTCCAAATTACGGTAAGAGGAGGGCTTTCAAAGTCGTATATTTAAGTAGATAAATGCCAATCTTTAAAACATATTGTTGCCTTTAATACCAACTTCTTGTTAAGCTGTTTATGTCTGCCCATTCGATTAACCTTTATTAAGTGCATCCTGCCTTCCAGGCACTGTGCTAAGTAATGTGTGTGTTTGTATGTGTATGATCACATTTAACGTCACAACAATCCATAAGGGGTATTTGATACATCTTTTGAAATATGATTTATACTTGGGAAACTTTTCCACCAACCATTTCATTATTTTTTAGTCAATTAGTCATGATTTATCTAGAACTAACCACACCTAGGTATATACACAAAAAAGAATCATTTTCACAGACATACCCACACACCCACACAATGTACAAGAGTGTTCCTGGTAGCATTGTTTATCATGGCCCAACCCAGAAGTCACTCAAATGCTGGTTACTATTGGAATAAATTTTGATTTATTAAAATAATGGAACACTACACAACAATGAAAAGGAGCAGACTTCAAGTACCTGTGATACTGCAAACAAATGTCTTAGTCTGCTTGGGCTGCTATAACAAAATGCTATAAATTGGGTAGCTTATTGTGAAAGAAAAATAAATTTTGCGTCCCCCAAATCACTAATCTAAAGGGAAAAGTCAAGCTGGGAACTGCTTAGGGCAAACCTGCCTCCCATTCTATTCAGTCATCTCCCTCTGCTCACTGAGATAGATGCTGCATATCTCATTGCCTCTCTTGGAAAGGCTGATCAGGAACTCAAAAGAATGCATCAACTGTCTCTCACCTACCTGTGACCTGGAAGCCCCTTCCCTGCTTCAAGTTGTCCCACCTTTCTGGGCAGAACCAATGTACATCTTACACATAACAATTAATATCTCATGTCTCCCTAAAATGTATAAAACCAAGTTGTGCCCCAACCACCTTGGGCACATGTCGTCAGGACCTCCTGAGGCTGTGTCAAGGGCATGCTTCATCAATCTTGGCAAAATAATCTTTCTAAATTAACTGAGACCTGTCTCAGATATTTGGGGTTCACATTATAACAGCAGAAATTTATTCCTCACAGTTCTGGAGGTTGGGAAGTCCAAGATCCAAATGCTGCCCTGTTCATTGTGTGATGAGGGCCTTATTCCTGGGCCCTAGATGGCACTTCCAGCTGTGTACTCACATGGCGAAATGTGTGAGAGAGCTTTCCCTGGCCTCTTTTATAAGGGCACTAATCCCACTCATGTGAGTTCCACTCTCATGGCCTCTCATCACCTCCTAAACTCTCCACCTCCTAATCTCATTACCTTGAAGGTAGGATTTCAACATATGAACTTGCAGGGGACAAAATCATTCAGATCGTCACAGTACACCTCACATAAATAATGCTGATTGAAAAAAAGCAAGTGCAAAATGTATGTGCTGTGTGACTCCACTTACAGGCAAAATTAATCAAGGCAGGTGAAAGTCAGGAGAGTGGTTACTCTTGGGGGCATTCAGAACACCTGGAAGCAGGACACGGGAGGAACCTGGGCTGCTGGCAATGATCTGATTTTTATCTGGGTGCTGGTGACATGAGTGTTCACTTTGGGATAATTAGAGCTGTGACTTTCTCTGTGCTTTGTATATCTCAATAAAAATTTTGTGAACATAAAAGTAATCACATATATACAATTAATGATGAGAAATATTTGCTGTATAGTATTCATTCAAGTATTTGCTGTATAATGTTCAAATTAAAACCTGAAAATCTTACTCCATGAATGCCACTTGGTAAATTTATTACTGTATATTGGCAGAGAACATAGAAAGTGGTAAGAATATATTAAGGTTTTAGAGTTAATAGTAGGAGTATTTATTTTTGAACTTCTCTTGTTGTTGGTATAACATTGTGTCATTACTTTTAAATGGGTGAAAGCAATATGCTCTGA
Source organism: Homo sapiens (assembly GCF_000001405.40). NCBI lineage: Eukaryota > Metazoa > Chordata > Mammalia > Primates > Hominidae > Homo > Homo sapiens. Next base: position 21,988,854 of record NC_000004.12, read on the forward strand.
ATAAGATTCCTCTAACTGGCTTGTTCAACACAAACCTCTCTAAAACTCAAGGAGTTTGGGAGCTGACACAAGTGTGCCTTGAAAAGGCCTAACTGCTTCATAAGCCAGTTGTGATTTATAACTGTACAATTACTCTTCTATCATCAATGCTACTTTCAGATCACATAGAATATTAGGAATGTGCCCTGCTTGGGTTATTCGGATGGCAATGATGTCTCAGGACCAAGAGTTGGGGTCAATGACTCCTTCTCTAGCACTAAGCATGAAAACAGAATGGCCACAAGCATGCTCACGTGTCCACATAATAGAACAATTTTTATTATTCATAAAATGGGACTTCCACAGGAGAAGCAAAATCTATAATCACATTATGGAAGGTTTTGTCTTATAACTTTTCCAAAGAGAGGCACACCAAGCCATTTTGAACTCTAAGCTGAAAATTAAAAGCAATGTCCTTTTAAGTTCCCAATATGAGGACACAGGGCAATAATCTGAACACCAGGTGGCAATTTGGTATCCTAACAGTAACACATAGGAAGAACAAGAAATTCTCCAGTTTCCACTGAAAGTGAATATTCATGGGCATACAAGGGCATGCCAGGAAAAAGATCGTGTTTTCCTTCCCCTTTTTGCTGTCTATCTCCTCTTATAATATATTTTCATAGAAAGAAGAGTTCCAGCAGACTGAAATTGAGGAAGATTTCATCCTAAATATAGGGACCTGCTGGTGCCATGTATGGCATTCCTTTCCTTTTTCTTCTACTTATTCTAAGTGTACCCAGTCATAACTTTATACATAAAGATGTCCCAAAGAATCCTACTCCATGAAAATTATGCCTTTCCCTTGACTGATTTCTCATTAGGGTAGCAAGTAAAATAAACCTACTAAACTAGTTTTTGCCAAACTGCAAAATGTATTGGTGGATGATAAAGATGTCCCATGGAAAACAAGGGAAAGAAGCCCATCTTAATTTTAAGAAAAAGTAGAGCCAGTTACAGGAGAGTCTGGGGCAAAGCCCCAGATTTACCCTACCCATTGTATTATTTCTCTTGTCTTGTGTTTGTCCTCCTTTCCCAACTCCTCCTTCTCCTCCTCCTCTTTCCCCTCTTCCTTCATGTCTCCCTCATTCCTTCTCATTCTTTGAAATGCTAAACATACTAACCATATAGGATTATCGCCACCGCAGCATCATATTTGCAAATAATTGACTGCAAGCCCTGAATCCCAACTCTAGACTAATGTTAAAGATTATTATAAAGTGAATATAGTTAATAAGAATATATTATATATTTCAAAATAGCTAGATGAGATGATTTTGAATGTTCTCATCATAGAGAAATGATAAATGTTTGAGATGATGGTATGATAATTATTCTGACTTGATTGTTACACAATGCACACATGTATTAAAACATCACATTGTACTTCATAAATAATTTGAACATGTTGGGAGGTGTGAGAATAGCCTACGCCCAGGAGTTTCAGACCAACCTGGGTAACATAGGGAGACCCCCTTCTCTAAATAAATAAATAAATAAATAAATAAATAAATAAATAAATAAGTTTGGCATGGTCACACATGCCTGTGGTCCCAGCTACTCAGGAGGCTAAGGTGGAAGGATTGCTTGGGCCCAGGAGCTTGAGGCTGCAGTGAGCTGGGATTTTGCCATTGTGCTCCATCCTGGGCAACAGAGTGAGACTCTGTCTCTAAGAAAAAAAAAAGGATTATCTTTTTGGTACTATTTGGTTCTACTCTCTTAGGTTTATGGAAGATATCTTTTTGGGATATAACACAATAAGCTCTGAGTTCATAAAATTTTAATGTTTTTAAACATTAGTTAAGGACCCCCACCCTAAAACACTCTTCTAATTCCCAAAGATGAAAAGAGAGAAAAGCCACACTTTGCCTGATTGATATAGTTTGACGCTGTGTCCCCACCCAAATCTCATGTTAAATTGTAATCCCCATGTATCAGGAGAGGACCCTCATAGGAAATGCTTGGATCATGGGGATGGATTTTCCCCTTTCTGTTCTCATGATGATGAGTTCTCATGAAATCTGATGGTTTAAAAGTGTGTAGCACTTCCTGCTTCGTTCTCTCTCTCTCCTATCACCCTGTGAAGAAGGTGCTTACTTCCCCTTCATTCTTCTGCCACGATTATAAGTTTGTTGAGGTCTCCCAGTCATGCTTCCTGTTGTGGAACTGTGAGTTAATTAAACCTCTTTTCTTCATAAAATACCCAGTCTCAGGTAGTTCTTTATAGCAGTGTGAGAACAAACTAAAACACTGACTTAATCTGTTTTGTGCCGCTATAACAGAATACTACAGACTTAGTTGTTTATATGAACAGACATTTATTGGCTTACAGTTCTGGAGGCTGGAAAGTCCAAGATTAAGGAGTTGACATCCTGCCAGGGCCTTCTTCCTGTGTTATAACAACAGAAGGCATCACATGGCAAGAGAGTGAAAGAGACAGAGAGGGGCCAAAATCCTCACTTTATAAGGAAACTACTCCCTTGATAACAAACCTATTCCTCAATAACAGCATTAATCCATTCATGAGGGCAGAGCAATCGTGGCCTAATCACCTCTTAAAGGTTCCACCTCTTAATACTATTACAATGACAATTAAGTTTCCAACACTGTTTTTTGGGAACACATTCAAACCATAAAGCTGTATGAAATTCCCTTATGTATGTCCCGGACAGTGTGATTGTCATGGGCATGACTGGCATTCTGCAAATAAGACAGTAGATTTAGTACAAAAACCAAATATCATATTACAATTTCAGCATGTTATCCTCCTATCTAAACCTTCTAATTGCCCTTGGAATAAATTCTAAATCGCTGGCAGGTTCTGATGTGTTGCAGAGTCTTGCATGCTGCTCTAACTCTTCTTGTATCTCTCTTTACTGTTCACTATGATTTTCTCTGCTGTCCTTCTTTATGTACCTCAAACATGCCAAGATCTTTCCAACCTTAACAGCTTTGTCTTGGCTGTTCCTTATGCTTCAAAATACCCTACTCCCACCACCACCACATTTTCTTCACAGGTTTGGCTCTTTCTCATCCTTCAAGTCTCATTTTAAAATTCACTTTGGATAAATCTTCACTGGCCACCCTCTCTATAATATTTTTTTCAGAGTTACTTTTTATTATATCATCATCCTTATTAACACTTCTCCTAACCTATAATTGTCTTGCTTTTTATAAAATGTGTTTATTTTTATTTCCTCATACTAAAATATAAACTCCACAATTGCAGGAAATTTTTCTGTTTGTTCACTGCTTTTTCCTCATCACTGAAGAGTGTCTCCCATATTTGGCAGGCAAAAAATTCTTAAAAATCAAATAAAAAATGACTGTAAACTGGCAATTAAAATAGATTTATTTCAAAACGGAAAATTAAAGCTACCTTAGTTTGAAATCGGAGCATTAAAATGTTTACTGGTTAAAGGTGGTAGATTCAAAACAGGTCATTGCTCCTGAACATTCTTTGTGACCTAGGCCTATGGAGAAATAGATATCAAGAGGGAGCCCTTGAGATCCATGCTTTAACAGGCTTCTTCAAGGTTCATACTGACAAGTGTCAGCCAAGTGGAGGAGAGGGCATTATCCCATTTTCAGATGAGTAGAAAAATAGGAATTTAGTTAAATGGTGCAGATTCTGTGAAAAACTGCTTGGCACTTCCTCAACAAGCTAAACATAGAATTATCAGATGACTCAACAATCCCACTCCTAAGTATATGTCCAAAAGAATTAAAAACAAGGACTCAAACAGAAAGTTGCATGCCAATGTTCATTGTATCAGTGTTCACAATCGCCAAAAAGTAGAAACAAACCAAATGTTCATCAACAGATGGATGAATAACAAAATGTGGAATATACAGACAATGGAATTATCTTTATTAGCCATAAAAGGAATGAAATTCTGATACATGCTACAACATGGGTGTACCTTTAGAACATTATGATAAGTGAAATAAGCCAGACATAAAAGGAAAACCATTATATGATTCCACTTATATGAAATATTTAGAATAGAAAAACTAACAGAAACAGAAAGAAGATTAGATATTACCAGGAGCTGGGGAGTTTTTGCTTAATGATTATAGAGTCTCTCTTAGGAATGAAGAAGAAGCCACATGTTCCAAGCCACAGATTGGGAGAAATATTTGTGAAACACATATGTGATAAATGACTGTTAGCCAAATACTCAAAGATTTCTTAAAACTCCGCAATAAAAAAAAATTATAAAATGAGTCTTGTCATCAAATGCTGACAAAAATGTAAACCAACAGGAACTCTCATTTATTGAGAGTACAACCTATCAAAACTAAATCATGAAAAATAGAAAATCTAAATAGACCAGTAACAAGTAAGGAGATTGAAACAATAATCAAATATCCCATTAATGAAAAGCCCAGGACCTGCTGGCTTCATGGGTGAGTTCTACTAAACATTTAAAGAAGAATTAATACCAATCTTTCTTAAACTCTTCCAAAAGATTCAATTAGAGGACACATTTCCAAACTCATTCTGTGAGGCCAGCTTAAGTCTGCTAACAAAATCAGGCAAGAACATTACAAGAAAATAAAACTATAGGCCAAACCATTAATGAACCATAGATGCAAAGATCTTCAACAAATACCAGCAAACTAAATTCAACAGCAGAGTAAAAGGACCATACACCATGACTAAGTGAGATTTATCCCTGGTGTGCAGGAAGGTTTAACATACACAAATCATTAACTGTGAAAAAATGTATTAACAGAATAAAAAATGAAAATCATATGATTATGTCAATAGATGCAGAAAAAGCATTTGACAAAATTCATTACCCTTTTATATAAAAACTTTCAACAAATTTGCTGTAGAAGGAATTTACTAAAGACTATATATAAGCCCACAGATAACATCATAGAGAAAAGCTGAAAGCCCGCTTTCGCCACTTCTATTCAACATACTGATGGAAGCACTAACCAGAGCAATTAGTCAAAAAAAAAAAAAAAAAAATCCAGATGAAAAAGGAAGAATTAAAACTGTCTATTGTTTGCAGATGACATGATCTTATATATAGAAAAACCTAAAGACTCCTTTAAAAAATGTCAGAGCTAACAAACTAATTCAGTTAAGCTATAGGATAAAAAATCACCATAAGAAAATCAGTTGTGTTTCTGTATACTGACAATTAACTATCCAAGAAAGAAATTAAGAAAACAATTTCATTTACAATGGCATCAAAAAGAATAAAATAGGAATAAATTTAACCAAGAAGCTGGAAGATTTGTACATTGAAAACTATAAACATTGATAAGAGAAATTGAAGTAGACATAAATAAATGAAAAGATATTCCGTGTCCACGGATTGGAAAAATTAATATTGTCAAATTATCCACACTACTCAAGGTGATTTACAGACTCAATGTAATCCCTATCAAAATTCCAAATTTTTAACAGAAGTAGAAAAAAAAACTAAAATTCATATGAAACCACAAAACACCACTGAATAACTAAATTGAGCAAGAAGAACAAAGCATGCGGCATCACACTTCCTGATTCCAAATTCTATTTCAAAGCTGTAATAATCAAGACACTGTGATACTAGCATAAAAACAGACACATAGATTAATAGAACAGAATAGAGACCCCAAAAATAAACCTATGATTTTATTGTTGTATTTGGCTGTTCTTGCATTGTTATAAAGAAATACCTGAGACTGGGTAATTTACAAAGAAAAGAGGTTTTCTTGGCTCCCAGTTCTGCAGGCTGTACAAGGATAGTGCCGGCATCTACTTGGCTTCTGGAAAGGCCTCAGAGAGGTTTTACTTGTGGCAGAAGGTGAAGTGGGAGCAGGCACATCACATGGCAAAAGAGAAACAAGAGAGAGTGGCAGGGGGCAGAGCTACACATGATTATACAACTAGATCTCAGGAGAACTTACTCACTATTGTGAGGACAACACCAAGCCATGAGGGAATCCACTCTCACGATCCAATCAGCTTTCACCAGGCTCCACCACCAACATTAGGGATGAAAATTCAACATCAGATTTTGGCAAGTTCAAATATTCAAACTATATCAATCATCAACTAATCTTTGATAAAGGTGTCAAAAATGCACATCAGGGATAGGATAGTCTCTTCAATAAGTGTTGCTGGGAAAACTGGATATCCACATGCAAAAAATTAAAATTGGATCATTATTTTCTGCCATACATAAAAATCAACTCAAAATAGATTAAAGACTTGAACATAAGATCTGAAACCATCAAACTCCTACAAGAAAATACAGAGAGAAATTTTCATAACTTTGGTCTTGGAAATTATTTTTTGATATGACACCGAAAGCACAGGCAAGAAAACAAAAATTAAAAAGTGGGCTTACATCAAACTAAAAAGTTTCTGTACAGGAAAAAAAAGAAATCTATAAAATGAATCGGCAACCTATAAAACGGGAGACAATTGTTGAAAGCATATACTTGATATGAGGTTGATATCTAAAATACATAAGGAATCAATGTAAGTCAACACCTACTAGTCATAATAATAACCTGATAAAAAACGGACAAAGGACCCGAATGGACATTTTCTAAAGAAAATATACAAAATAGCCAATACATGTGTAAAAAAAAATGCTCAACATCATTTATAATCAGGGAAATGCAAATGAAATATTACCTCACACCTGTTAAGATAGCTGCTATAAAAAATTCAAAAAATAACGAGTTGACAAGGACATAAAGAAAAGAGAAGGCATATATACTGCTGGTGGGAACGTCAATTGGTACAAACATTATGGAAAATAATGTAGAGATTCCTCAAAATATTAAAAATAGAACTACCATATGATCCAGCAATCCCACGCCTGGGTATTTCCAAAGGAAATGAAATCAGTAACTCAAAAAAAATAGCTGCACTCCCATGTTCATTGAAGCATTATTCACAATGGCCAGGCCATGAAAACAGCCTAAGTGCTCTTGACAGATGAATGCATAAAGAAAAAGTGACACACACACACACACACATGCATGCAGACACACAAACAGTGGAATGTTATTCTGCCTTAAAAAAGAAGGGCATCCTGCTATTTGAGAGAGCATGGATGAAACTGGAGGACACTTATTTCACTATGCAAAGTGAAATAAGCCCAGACCTGAATGATAACAAATACTGCCTGATCTCATAAATATGTAGGATGAGGCCATTCTTGCATTGCTATAATGAAGTACCCGATACTTGGTAATTTATTTTAAAAATAGTTTTAATTGACTCCCAGTTCTGAGGCTTTACGGGAAGCATGGTACTGGCATCTGCTTGGCTTCTGAGGAGGTCTCAGGAAGCTTACAATCATGGCAGAAAGCAAACGGTGAGCAGACACATCACATGGTCAGAGCAGGAGCAAGAAAGAGTTGGGGAAGGAGGTGCCAAACACTTTTAAACAACCAGATATTGTCAGAACTCACTATCTCACAAAGACAGCACCAAACCATGCAGGATCCACCCCCATGACCTAAATACCTCCCACCAGATCCCACCTCCAACACTGGGGATTGCAATTCAATATGAGATTTGGGTGGGGACAAACATCCAAACTATATCATATGTGGAATCTAAAAATGTCAGACTCATAGAAACAGAAAGTTGAAGGTTTGTTACCAGGGTTTGGGGGGCAGCAGTGGTAGAAATACTGTGATGTTTGTGAAAGGGTTCAAACTTTCAGTTAAAAGATTAATAATTTCTGGAGATCTACTGTACAACATTGTGACTAGGGTTAATATTAATGATGTGGAAGATGGCTGAATAGGAACAACTCCAGTCTACAGCTCCCAGCATGAGCAATGCAGAAGATGGGTGATTTCTGCATTTCCAACTGAGGTACTGGATTCATCTCACTGGGGCTTATAGGACAGTGGGGGCAGGAAAGAGGATGCAGCCCACCGAGCATGAGCCGAAGCGGGGCGAGGCATCGCCTCACCCGGGAAGCACAAGGGGTCAGAGAATTCCCTTTCCTAGCCAAGTGAAATGGTGACGGACGGCACCTGGAAAATCGGATCACTCCCACCCTAATACTGCACTTTTCCAGTGGTCTTAGGAAACAGTACAACAGGAGATTATATCCTGCACCTGGCTCAGAGGGTCCCACACCCACAGAGCCTCATTCATTGCTAGCACAGCAGTCTGAGATCGATCGATCTGCAAGGCAGCAATGAGGCTGGGGGAGGGGCGCCCATCATTGCTGAGGCTTGAGTAGGTAAACAAAGTGGCCAGGAAGCTCAAACTGGGTGGAGCCCACCGCAGCTCAAGGAGGCCTACCTGCCTCTGTAGACTCCACCTCTGGGGACAGGGCATAGCTAAACAAAAGGCAGCAGAAACCTCTGCAGACTTAAATATCCCTGTCAGACAGCTTTGAAGTGAGTAGTGGTTCCCCCAGCACAGAGTTTGAGATCTAAGAACGGACAGACTGCCTCCTCAAGTGGGTCCCTGAACCCCGAGTAGTCTAACTGGGAGGCACCCTCCAGTAGGGGCAGACTGACACCTCATACGGCCGGGTTCCCCTCTGAGACAAAGCTTCCAGTGGAACGATCAGGCAGCAACATTTGCTGTTCAGCAATATTTGCTGTTTTGCAGCCTCCGCTACTGATACCCAGGCAAACAGGGTCTGGGGTGCACCTCCAACAAACTCTAAAAGACCTGCAGCTGAGGGTCCTGACTGTTAGAAGGAAAACTAACAAACAAAAAGGACATCCACACCAAAACCCCATCTGTACATCACCATCATCAAAGACCAAAGGTAGATAAAACCACAAAGATGGGGAAAAAACAGAGCAGAAAAGCTGAAAATTCTAAAAATCACAGCGCCTCTCCTCCTCCAAAGGAACGCAGCTCCTCACCACCAATGGAACAAAGCTGGATGGAGAATGACTTTGAGGAGTTGAGAGAAGAAGGCTTCAGACGATCAAACTTCTCTGAGCTAAAGGAGGAAGTTGGAACCCATCACAAAGAAGCTAAAAACCTTGAAAAAAGATTAGATGAATGGCTAACTAGAATAACCAATGTAGAGAAGTCCTTAAATGACCTGAAGGAGCTGAAAAACATGGCATGAGAACTACATGATGAATGCACAAGCTTCAGTAGCTGATTTGACCAACTGGAGGAAAGGGTATCAGTGATTGAAGATCAAATGAATGAAATGAAGCGAGAAGAGAAGTTTAGAGAAAAAAGAGTAAAAAGAAATGAACAAAGCCTCCAAGAAATATGGGACTAAGTGAAAAGACCAAATCTACATCTGATTGGTGTACCTGAAAGTGACAGGGAGAATGGAACCAAGTTGGAAAACACTCTGCAGGATATTATCCAGGAGAACTTCCCCAACCTAGCAAGGCAGGCCAACATTCAAATTCAGGAAATTCAGAGAACACCTCAAAGATACTCCTCGAGAAGAGCAACTCCAAGACACATAATTGTCAGATTCACTAAGGTTGAAATGAAGGAAAAAATATTAAGGGCAGCCAGAGAGAAAGGTCGGATTACCCACAAAGGGAAGCCCATCAGACTAACAGCGGATATCTCAGCAGAAACTCTACAAGCCAGAAGACAGTGAGGGCCAATATTCAACATTCTTAAAGGAAAGAATTTTCAACCAAGAATTTCATATCCAGCCAAACTAAGCTTCACAAGTGAAGGTGAAATAAAATCCTTTACAGAGAAGCAAATGCTGAGAGATTTTGTCACCACCAGGCCTGCCCTCAAAGAGCTCCTGAAGGAAGCACTAAACATGGAAAGGAACAACCGGTACTGGCCACTGCAAAAACATGCCAAATTGTAAAGACCATTGATGCTAGGAAGACATTGCATCAACTAACGAACAAAATAACCAGCTAACATCATAATGACAGGATCAAATTCACACATAACAATATTAACCTTAAATGTAAATGGGCTAAATGCTCCAATTAAAAGACACAGACTGGCAAATTGGATAAAGAGTCAAGACGCATCAGTGTGCTGTATTCAGGAGACCCATCTCACGTGCAGAGACACAAATAGGCTCAAAATAAAGGGATGGAGGAATATCAACCAAGACAATGGAAAACAAAAAAAGGTAGGGTTTGCAATCCTAGTCTCTGATGAAATAGATTTTAAACCAACAAAGATCAAAAGAGAAAAAGAAGGCTGCTACATAATGGTAAAAGTATCAATTCAACAAGAAGAGCTAACTATCCTAAATATATATGCACCCAATACAGGAGCTCCCAGATTCATAAAGCAAGTCCTTAGACACCTACAAAGAGACTTAGACTCCCACACAATAATGACGGGAGACTTTAACACCCCACTGTCAACATTAGACATATCAACAAGACAGAAAGTTAACAAGGATATCCAGGAATTTAACTCAGCTCTGCACCAAGTGGACCTAATAGACATCTACAGAACTCTCCACCCCAAGTCAACAGAATATACATTGTTCTCAGCACCACATCACACTAATTCCAAAATTGACCACATAGTTGGAAGTAAAGCACTCCTCACCAAATGCAAAAGAACAGAAATTATAACAAACTGTCTCTCAGACCACAGTGCAATCAAACTAGAACTCAGGATTAAGAAACGCACTCAAAACCGCTCAACTACATGGAAACTGAAAAACCTGCTCCTGAATGACTACTAAGTACATAATGAAATGAAGGCAGAAATAAAGATGTTCTTTGAAACCAATGACAACAAACACACAACATACCAGAATCGCTGGGACACATATAAAGCAGTGTGTAGAGGGAAATTTATAGCACTAAATGCCCACAAGAGAAAGCAGGGAAGATCTAAAATTGACACCCTAACATCACAATTAAAAGAACTAGAGAAGCAAGAGCAAACACATTCAAAAGCTAGCAGAAGGCAAGAAATAACTAAGATCAGAGCAGAACTGAAGGAGATAGAGACACAAAAAACCCTTCAAAAAAATCAGTGAATCCAGGAGCTGGTTTTTTGAAAGGATCAACAAAATTGATAGACTGCTAGCAAGACTAATAAAGAAGAAAAGAGAGGAGAATCAAATAGACGCAATAAAAAATGATAAAGGGGATATCACCACCGATCCCACAGAAATACAAACTACCATCAGAGAATACTACAAACACCTCTATGCAAATAAACTAGAAAATCTAGAAGCAATTCCTGGAACATACACCCTCCCAAGACTAAACCAAGAAGAAGTTGAATCCCTGAATAGCGCAATAACAGGCTATGAAATTGAGGCAATAATTAATAGCTTACCAACCAAAAAAAGTCCAGGACCAGACGGATTCATAGCCAAATTATACCAGAGGTACAAGAGGAGCATGTACCATTTCTTCTGAAACTATTCCAATCAATAGTAAAAGAGGGAATCCTCCCTAACTCATTTTATGAGGCCAGCAGCATCCTGATACCAAAGTCTGACAGAGGCACAACAAAAAAAAGAAATTTTATACCTATATCCCTGATGAACATTCATGTAAAAATTCCTAATAAAATAGTGGCAAACTGAATCCAGCAGCACATCCAAAAGCGTATCCACCATGACCAAGTGGGCTTCATCCCTGGGATGCAAGGCTGGTTCAACATACACAAATCAATAAACATAATCCAGTCTATAAACAGAACCAAAGACAAAAACCACATGATTATCTCAATAGATGCAGAAAAGGCCTTTGACAAAATTCAACAACACTTCATGCTAAAAACTCTCAATAAATTACGTATTGACAGGACATATCTCAAAATAATAAGAGCTATTTATGACAAATCCACAGCCAATATCATACTGAATGGGCAAAAACTGGAAGCATTCCCTTTGAAAACTGGCACAAGACAGGCATGCCCTCTCTCACCACTTGTATTCAACATAGTGTTGGAAGTTCTTGCCAGGGCAATCAGGCTGGAGAAAGAAATAAATGGTATTCAATTAGGAAAAGAGGAAGTCAAATTGTCCCTGTTTGTATGATTGTATATTTAGAAAACACCATCGTCTCAGCCCAAATCTCCCTAAGCTGATAAGCAACTTCAGCAAAGTCTCATGATGCAAAATCAATGTGCAAAAATCACAAGCATTCTTATACACCAATAACAGAGAGAGAGCCTAATCATGAGTGAACTCCCATTCGCTATTGCTTCAAAGAGAATAAAACACCTAGGAATCCAACTTACAAGAGATGTGAAGGACCTCTTCAAGGAGAACTACAAACCACTGCTCAATGAAATAAAAGAGGATACAAACAAATGGAAGAACATTCCATGCTCATGGGTAGGAAGAATGAGTATCGTGAAAATGGCCATACTGCCCAAGGTAATTTATAGATTCAATGCCATCCCCATCAAGCTACCAATGACTTTCTTCACAGAATTGGAAAAAACTACTTTAAAGTTCATGTGGAAACAAAAAAGGTCCCACATTGCCAAGACAATCCTAAGCCAAAAGAAGAAAGCTGGAGGCAACATGCTACCTGACTTCAAACTACACTGCAAGGCTATAGTAACCAAAACGGCATGGTACTGGTACCAAAACAGAGATATAGACCAATGGTACAGAACAGAGCCCTCAGAAATAATACCACACATCTACAACCATCTGATCTTTGACAAACCTGACAAAAACAAGAAATGGGGAAACGATTCCATATTTAATAAATGATGCTGGGAAAACTGGCTAGCGTTATGTAGAAAGCTGAAACTGGATCCCTTCCTTACACCTTATACAAAAATTAATTCAAGATGGATTAAAGACTTAAATGTTAGACCTAAAACCATAAAAACCGTAGAAGAAAACCTAGGCAATACCATTCAGGACACAGGCATGGGCAAGGACTTCATGTCTAAAACATCAAAAGCAAGGGCAACAAAAGCCAAAATTGACAAATGGGATCTAATTAAATGAAAGAGCTTCTGCACAGCAAAAGAAACTACCATCAGAGTGATCAGGAAACCTACAGAATGGGAGAAAATTTTTACAATCTACTCACCTGACAAAGGGCAAATATCCAGAATCTACGAAGAACTCAAACAAATTTACAAGAAAAAAAAATCAACCCCATCACAAAGAGGGTGAAGGATATGAACAGACACTTCTCAAAAGAAGACATTTTTGCAGCCAACAGACACATGAAAAAATGTTCATCATCACTGGCCATCAGAGAAATGCAAATCAAAACCACAATGAGATACCATCTCACACCAGTTAGAATGGTGATCATTAAAAAGTCAGGAAACAACAGGTGCTGGAGAGGATGTGGAGAAATAGGAACACTTTTACACTGTTGGTGGGACTGTAAACTAGTTCAACCATTGTGGAAGACAGTGTGGTGATTCCTCAAGGATCTAGAACCAGAAATACCATTTGACCCAGCCATCCCATTACTGGGTATATACCCAAAGGATTATAAATCATGCTGCTATAAAGACACATGCACACGTATGTTCATTGCGGCACTATTCACAATAGCAAATACTTGGAACCAACCCAAATGTCCATCAATGATTGACTGGATTAAGAAAATGTGGCACATATACACCACGGAATACTATGCAGCCATGAAAAATGATGAGTTCATGTCCTTTGTAGGGACATAGATGAAGCTGGAAACCATCATTCTCAGCAAACTATCGCAAGGACAAAAAACCAAACACCACATGTTCTCACTCATAGGTGGGAACTGAACAATGAGAACACTTGGACACAGGAAGGGGATCATCACACACCGGGGCCTGTCATAGGGTGGGGGGAGGGGGAAGGGATAGCATTAAGAGATATACGTAACGTAAATGACAAGTTAATGGGTACAGCACACCAACATGGTGCATGTATACATATGTAACAAACCTGCACGTTGTGCACATGTACCCCGGAAGTTAAAGTATAATAATAATTTAAAAAAATGAAAAGCAAAAAAATAAAGAAAGAAATGGCAAGGATAATACTATAGTTAGCCAGCAATTATGCATGAATTGTTATTACAGAAATTACTTAACTGCTATGGGAAATGTCCTGACTTCAGACAAAATGAAAGCAAATCAGCAGTGTAGGACTTCTGTCAACAAAATGAAGAGAAGAAATTTAAGCTCAGATTCTAAGCAATTTATCAAGATAGACTCTAATTTAAAATATGTCAAACTGAGCACAGAGAAGAACTTTTACAAAATACTCAAGAATTTCAGCTTATTTAAGCATAATATACTCTAGCTCTCCTCCTCTGTTAAAGATTTTTATGAAAAAAATCTTTCGATAAAAGTAATCTTTAAAAAATATATATGTATATATTAATGATGTACTGTATACCCAAAAATTGCCAAGAGAGTAGATCTTCAGTATTCTCACCCCAAAAGGAAAAAGCAACTATGTGATGTGATAGATATGTTAATTAACTTGATTGTGATCACTGTCTCACAATGTATATGTATATTAAAACATCACAATTTATATCTTACATATATAAAATTTTTACTTGTCATTTATTCTTCAGTCAAGCTGGACAAAATTACAGCAAAAATACTTCTTTAGAAATAAAGGAAATTAGCTACAAAATCCCAAAAAGACACAGAAGAAGCTTGAATGCACATTACTACCAGAAATAAGCCAATCTAAAAATGTTACATACTACATGATTACAATTACAGTGTATGACATTCTGGAAAAGGCAAAACTATGGAACCAGTAAAAAGACCAGTGGATCTCAGAGGTTTGGGGGAAAGAAGGAATAAATAAATGGAACACAGTGATTTTTAGGGAAGTGAAGCTATCCTGTGTGATACTATAATGGTGGATACCTATTATCATATATTTGTTAAAACTCATAGAACATACAACACCAAGACTGAAAATTAATGTAAATTATGAACTTTGAGTGATAATGTGTCCATTTTGGTTTATCAATTGAACATATGTACCACTCTGGCACAGGATGTTAATGACAGTGCCTGTGTTTGTGGGGAGGACATATATGGGGACTTTTTGTACTTCCTGTTTGACTTTGCTATGAGTCTTAAACTGTTCCACAAAGTAAAGTCCTGTTATAATTAATTACTGGTTTAAAAAACAACCACAGCTTTGGAAATAGTAGTGACATTTGCACAACATTGTGAATGAAATGAACGCCACAGAACTGTAGACTTAAAAGTGACCACAGTGGCAAATTCAGCAACATTGAGTGAGTTTGCAGCACCCAGAGCTCTGAATGTCAGCACCTTGGATAGGGGATGAGCTCCATATGCCATCTGAAGTTAATAGATATCAGACTTCAGCAAGGGAGGGTCAAAGACATAGGAGCATTAATAGGCTATTACTAAATGCATGAGAGGACCCTGTGGATGCTCAGAAATATCTGGAAAAGAAAGAGTTGCTGCTGCAATTCTGTTTATGATTATTATTATGAATTAATTTATTCCCCATATGAGAAGGAGGCCTAGGGAAATGTGAGTTATGGAAACATGGCAGAATATATAAACTGTAGATTATCTTTCTGCCTAATTCTGAAACCTACTGTACTCAACTCCCTTACTTTTGTTGAGGGCCTTACCATTTTCATAGACCCTCAAATTTAAAACTTTGAAGAAAATTGAGATTCTGCCTTTGCCTCACCCCTCTCATACCCAATCACTCTCTGAGTTTTGCAGATTCTTGCTTTTCAATGTCTCTCACATTTATTTTCTTTTAAACAGCTTGTTTCAGGCTTTTATTACACCTGCTTTGTTTACAGCAAAAGTTTTCACCTGTTTCTAGTTCACATTCTTCCCCTTTAATCTCATCTGTGCATGCTTCTGCCAAATTTGTTTTCCTAACATGCAAGCTTGTCACTTGAGTTCAAGATAGACTTGTCATTCCTGATCACCTGCCAAAGTGCCTCACTCTGGAATTCAAGTTCCTCCACAACGGAGGCATCAGTTTGCAGAGTATTTATTAGACGTCAACACCTGATAATGAAAAAGGATTGAGCAGAGGAATCAGTCAGAAGGTAATACAAGCCTAACAAAACCTTGGCCATCTCATCAGGGAGCTTTCCAGAGAATATTGCCCATTAAGCCTCTCTTTAGGCTTAAATGATCTCACCTTTATAATACTTTCAACCACCCACCTTAGAAATAGTCATGACCTGGGGCAAAGTGATTCTCCACAACTAAGGCAGTCTTTGAAGCAGCTGAGAGGTGGAGGCTGTCTTTTAACCAACTTTCCTGCACCTGGGCATGGATGCAGTAGGATGCAGGTGGAGAACCTTCTTTCTACCATGACAAACTTCCCAGCCTTCTGTCTCTCACATCTCCTTAATGCATATGCTTGGCTCACATCAGTTAGTCTCTTAACACTCCCTAAGTCTCGTGCTATGTTTGCTTACACAATTTTCTTTGATCTTATGAACCCCATGAGCTTCCTTTGTTTCAATGACTTAACATCACTCAATGCCCATCTCAAATATTGCCTTCTATAGAGAACTTTTCTTGAAATTACTAATTGAATATAATCTCACCTCCCCAATTTATTTGATTACACAGCTGATAGTACTGCTTTTAAGCACTGTTATTTTTATTCTCTTCCTTGAACCAACATAAATATTATGCACGTAATACGTTTAATTTACTTTTATAACTCTTAAAGAATCTGACATGGTACTGTGATTTGAGAGACCAAACTAGAACCGCTTTATCAACTAAGACAGATCCTAAGGTTGAGAAAACGAAGTTAGTTATGAGTTGAGGGTTCAGGCCCCACTGGCAGGGCAAATTTCTAAATTCCAGGACCCTAAGCTCCCTAACAATAGGAGCTATCAGACCTCTCCTAATTCTGATTTACAACCAGAGCACTGCAACTCTGATTGGACAGAGGACCTGCCTCACAAACATTATTTCCTGAGTTACTACGGACATTAAGCCAGTTTCAGACAGCTTTGAGAGGCTGCACAGATCGCCCTCATGTCCCATAGCTCACCTTTTGACATAAAGAGGCAAATTCTACCACATTTTAATGCTAAAACGCCACCCCAAAGTGAACATGGGATATATGTTACTTATATGTTTACCCATTGTGCATGGGCTCAGCTCCCCTCAAAAATAGGTATAGCTTCTCCCCCAAATCTGCTAAATATGTATGACTCTATTGAGTAATATGGACTCTGTGAGGCATAAAACTCCGCCTGTCCTCCGCCTCATGGAAGGGAGGGCACACCCAAATAGGTTGCCCTATTTTTTTTCTACCTTTATTTACAGACATATCCAGTTAGTTGTAGGCACAGGTGCTGATGTTGGAGATGCTAGAGTTAAGAGCTTGAGTAAGCCTAGCAGAGGAGGGAGTGAGGGGATGGAAAGATCAGAAATACATATTCCAACAGTGCTCCCAACCTTCATAGAAATGTGGACAGGAAGAGGAAAAAGAAGGGGACAGTGTGTTACTTTTAAATATGGAGAGTAATTTTCTGTTCTGGTTTATGAGCTGACTCTCCACGCAATTATGAGAGAGAAATTTTCCAGAGATTTTTTAGCATGACACCATTATTGGAAGAAGTAAATACTACTTTTAAGGACATTCATTTTGATGTGCAAAATAAGATATATTTATTTGAAAAGCAGTTCTATTACTTAACCACAGTGTTTCTAAAACTAGTGATACTGGACCAATGATATCGGAATCACCTGAGAACTTGTTAGAAATGTAAATTATCAGGTCTACCTACCCCTACACCTGCTAAATTAAAAACTGTGTATTTTAATTGGTCTTCTACAAGATTCTGAGGCTTGCTGAGGTGGAAAACAACTGCGTTAGAACCACATATTTTTCTGCACGATCTTCCTGAATTGTATACATTAAGCTATGTCTAATATGTTTCAGTAAAGCTGGTTTAAAATTAGAAAGTAAGATGACTCCTTGTGCTAATTCTTTTTTTTAAGTATGCAAAGCAATTCTTTTAAATGGAAAAAACATTAATTACAATCCTATAGAAACAGCTGTCTATTGCCCAGGGAGCCTTCTGCTTAGAAAAGTAAAATTTCATACTAAAACAAGTATGCTGTTTATTCAGAGATGAGTACAGGAACCATTTGCTGGTGCATTAGCTACATAAATTACATTTGTTTATAATATTAATCAATCAACCACATTAAATATTTCACCTTCTTGGTAACATTAGAGAAAACCACTTTATCAAAGTAAAAAGTTAGGTAAGGACAGGAAGGTTGGAAAATTACACATAGTACTCAAACTGATGAATTTTCTAAATATTTTTAACATGGAAAGATATATGAGTCAATATGATGCTAGGGACTCATGGGCATATTTTATGAAACTACTTAATAGGTAGAGCTTACACCTAAACCTGTGATATTATTAGATTTCATAAATTAAGTGGATGATGACTGGTCAAATACTCAAACACGTCTCTCTTTACATTGTGACCTAGTTCATCTTTATTTTTTTCCTCTTTCATTTTTAAGACATAACCTATCATGACTGCTTTGTATGTGTAGGGAGCTATGTATTCACAGTTAAAAAATGATGCCTGTTAGATTTTCCATTAGAGTTTTAGTGTTGCTTGCAGAAATAAACCATACTCTTATTGCATTTATATATTTATATGCTTTTCATTCAAACCTAATTTTATGATTTGATACATGTGCATCCAGTCAATCTCATTACATTGAAACAAGACAATTGGAAAGAGACACATATTGCTGAGAGATAATATAAGATACCCAGAATAAAATCTGGGTATAATACTGACTCTGACACTTTTGAGTTCTATGATCTTAGTCAGTGTATTTAATGTTTCTGGTTCCAAGGTTCTCATCTTCTCATCTCTAAATGAAACTAAACATTATATAAAATTCATAGAGCTATCATGAATATGTCAGCAGGCTAATTGTTCTTCATATGGCCCATCTCAGCGACATCCCTCTCTCCATATACAAGGCAGTCACTAAATGCTTGAAGGGGGCAAGTTTCTTTTGGAATCAGTGAAGGAAATGGACTTTTTATATACGTACTCTATAGGCAAAGGACAGACAGAACTAAGCAGTATAGGAACAGAGGGAAGCATGAGGATGTCAAATGTAGGAAGTCCCAGAAACTGTTGGAAAGGCATGTCTCTGGTAACAGGCCATGTATATTGAAAACAAGTTTAAGCAAATTTCTGAAGGGACTGGGAAGTACCAGCTGCCATCTTGGCTATGTGTAACGAATAAATTGCAGTCTCTTTCCTTCTGAGTATTAATATGAAATTCTAGTTCTCCTACTCCACTGCTGTAGCCAAGGTTAAGAACCACAGAGACAGAGTTATAGAGCGCTTTCTTATCTAGGCTCCAAATTTGTACTATGGCTTGCGACAAGGCTGAGTTGTCAGGAGTATGCCAAAGGCTTCAGCTGTGGAAAGGCTGTAAGGCTGTTCAGGAAGAAGAGCTAGACTTTCCCTTTCCATGTCATGGAGACATTGTCCCACGTTGAATATAATGACCCTAGTTCAGGATTCAACCAGCTCTAATAGATCTCTCTTTCCAATAACGAAGTGCTTCCTGGATTCAGATTCAGAAACTCAGCACAGCTATATCTGGCACCTATCATGTCAAAAAATAAATGAGCACAGATGAATACAGGAAGGTTCAGTCAGAAGAATGGAGGAAAAAGACAGCAAAAGTACTTTCTAAATTTTTTTCTAAGCAGTAATCACTTTTACTTTGGGGAACACCACCAACAGGCTAGTATTTTTTAAAGGATATATTTTCCTACAGAAAAGTATTGGACTTTTCCAGGTTAGAAACATCTGAGAACACATTTCTCAGCTTATGACTTCTATACTTTTAAACATAAACATAAATACATTAACATCTATATATTTAAATATAGAGAGGTAGATACACACCTAGTTTTCTTAAAGGATATATTTTCCTAAAGAAATTTATCGGACTTTTCCAGGTTAGGAATATCTGAGAACACATTTCTCAGCTTATGACTTCTATATTTTTAAATAGAAACATAAATACATAAACATCTATATTTAAATATAGAGAGGTAGATACACGCATATGTATATAAGGAGATAGTCATTATTCCATATACTCTGTAGTTCAAGTTGAGGGATAAATGTTTGGAGACTAAAGTCAATCATAATAGTAAATAAATGGACTGAAAGTCTATGTGAGTGAAACGGTGAAATAGTTTGACATAAAAAAGCTGTTACTATTTTTCTGATTATTTGCCACTATGACTGTTGAGACTTAAAAAAAGAAAACAAATAAATCACAAAATTATTTTACATGTTTTAATTCAATGATGGGCTTTAAACAAGATGCATTTGTTAATAGAAAAGGAAGGAATTGTATTATATCATGACTACAGGTAATTTTATATGGTGGTTTTCAGGACATCTTTTGAGTTGAGGAACATACTGTTTATCAATCATTATAAGAATCAAATAACCTTACCACAAGTAAAGTGCTATAAACTGTGTAAAAGACGTAAAGCAAATACTGAAGAAAACATGTTGCAACCCAGATGACAATAGGTTAATTGCATTACCATCTAAAGCACTCATTTAATATAAAAAATGTTGATAACTCAATGGCAAAACGGGCAAAAGACAAGAATAAAGAGCTCACAAAAATGCAATAGTTTATTAACAGATAGACGTAATACAAGAAATCCAAATTAAAACAAAAAGTACTGTACCATTTTTCTTTTATCCTATTGGCAAAGATAAAGTATTAGTCAGCACATAAGAAAATGAGCAGTGTTCTACATGACTAAAAACGAGCATCCAAAAATTTGTCAATACTATCAAAATTGATATGCATATAGACTTCCATCTAGAAATTCTACTTCTAGAAATTCATCCTACATGTTTATACATAAGCACGCACAAAGGTATTTAAAAGAATATTCTTTCCAGCATTGTTACTTAAAATTTAAAAGACCAGAAATAACCTGAATGCTCAATAATAGTAGACTGATCTCATAAATTGTGGTTTATAGTGCAATTAAATACTGTGTGGACATAAAGAAGAATGTTATGCTGAAATAGAATGTTCTCTAAGTTAAATAAATAACAATGTAGTGTGTGTAATATACTGAATTCTGCATCAAATTTTTTAAAAGTCAGTGTATAACATCACTACTACTAAGATATATCTGCATCATGTACCTCTGATATGATGCAGACAGACATGGAATTCTTGACAAAGATATATAAATTTCTAATCACAAGAAACAGAGGAACTCAAATTGATAGACATCTTCCAAAATCACTAACTAGAACTCATTAAAAAAATCAAGGTAATGAAAGATAAGGAAAGACTGAGGAACTGCCCAAGTCTAAAGGAAACTGAGACCCAATAACTAAAATTGTATCCTGGAATAGAAAAAAAGACACTGGCCCAAGAGATTGCTGAAATTTAAATGTTATGTTGTCAACTTATTATTATTATTGACCAGATATTAATTTTTTGGCTGTGATAGTTGTACCATTGTTCTGTAAGTTGTTAGCATGAGAGGAAATAACTAAAATATAATATATACATGAACTATCTGCACTATATTTGTAACTTTACAGTAAATATAAAATTAATTCACAATAAAATTTTAAAGGCTGGGCATGATGGCTTATGCCTGTAATCCCAGCACTTTGCGAGGCCAAGGTGGGTGGCTTGCATGAGCCCAGGAGTTTGAGACCAGCCTGGGTAACATGGCAAAGCCCTTTCTCTACAAAACATACAGAAATTTAGCTGGGCATGGTGGTGCACACCTGTAGTCTCAGCTAGTTGGGTGGCTGAGGTGGTGGGAGGATCACCGGAGCCTAGGAGATGGAGGTTGCAGTGAGCCACTGCACTTCGGCCTAGGCAATACAGCAAGACCCTGACTCAAACAAAATATTTTTAGTCATCACAAGTATTATATATGCACTTATAGGTATAGGATATTTCTGTAGTCACAATAAACTATTGACAATGATAGTATCTGGGAAGTGTATAAGAGGAACTGGGTGTTCTGGGGGAAAAAATGGATACCTCATTTTCATTGTATTTCCCCCACCTGTTTTTTTTTAACAATATGCATATATCCTATATTCAGTAAAATTTAGTAAATCGAGAGTAAAGAAGCAATGATTTAGTCTGTGGACATTACCTTTGCAATATTAAAAATCAGCTTTGATAATATTTTAAGTTTCATCATCAATGATTATTACAAATGCCTTCATAAAGGTATTAAAATGAAAATGCATATAAACTATTGTTCTGTGTGTGTGTGTACATGTATGCCCACATATGGACATATATTCTAAAAAAAAGAGCCTTAAAATTGATATTGTGTAAATAGAACTTTAAAATATGAAGAAAGATAACCTCTGATATTCTTTGTATCATTTTGAGTAAAATTGAAATGAATCCTGCAAGATACAACTTCCTAACGCAGTGAATTCTACTTATTCAAGCTGAAGTCACTGTTGTTTTGAGCGACTTTTGATACTGGTTCACCAACTATGAGTACAAAATCAAATTAGGCCAGCCATGAGAACTCATGCGCCTCTAAGGACATTATGTATACTTGAGGTTTTCCGTTCTGAATTTTCTTCCTAATGTAGAATCTAGTAAAATTCTCTGACATAAATTTTTGTGGAACAAATATATTAACACAATAATATCCTGTGCACTTAAATTATTTGTCTACTTTTAATCATCTAGTTTCAATATAGCCAATATGTGCACTGAGATGTATAAATTTACACAGCAGAGAAAACCCTGCAAAGACAATTTCTGTAATTGAAAAGTTTCGTAGGAAGGTATAAAACAAAGCAGAGATTTTCATTTCATAGCATACTCTTCCTATACTCATTAAGGATGTTTAGGGCTGACTGAGAGTGCTAAATACAACAGGGAGAACTAAGTGTTTCTTTATTAGCATTTATAAAGCTTCCATTTGCTGAAAGTGTGGTTAATTTTGCATTGCACAAAGCCGTCTTTTAAAAAATATATGGTTTCATTACTTTTATCAATGCTAGAAATATAGTGAGGTTTTTTTTTTCTAGTGAATCATAAGCTGTTCCCGGTATTGTTCTCCTCTTGCAATTGATTTTCTAAAAAGTAAGTTTTCAAGATGTATCTTGTTTTGTACATAAGACCAAATCCAAGAGTGTTTTCATATTCTGGGTCACTTGTTGAATGGAGCTGAAGCATTATGAGTAACAAAGGAACAAATGAAGACCTGGAGGAAAGAACAATACCACATTATAGTTGTGCTAGTTAATTGTCTATTTTCTCCAGCAATCACGGGAAGAACATTCTTTGTCATCTTCAGAAATAAAACCTAGCTCGCTCTTTTCATAGTATAAGAACCTTTAAAAGCCTATTGTAAGCTTTTGTAATATGGGTGCTAAGAAATCACAGAATGAAAAACATGAGTTCAATTAATTTTTTCCCAGTCATGAAGTCATCTGCAAAAATCAATTTTGCCCATGACTCCCTTTCTACAGGCTTATTTTTTATTATACTCTGGTTTGGTATGAAACATATGATAAGTTCCTTTATTTTTGTGCATGACATTTATAAAGTGATCAGAAATGGTTGCTGAAGTGCTTTCAAAGCAGAAAAGCTCTTTCGACAAATTCAGAAAATTTATTCTTGCCAGCATGCCCATTTCAAATGTTAAAAATAAGTTTGTGTTCGTTCCAGAAGATCATTGGGTCCAAAGGTGTAATTGCAGCTGTGACATATTATAATTCAGAGGTGGATAGCCTATCAGGATAATAAGATGAAACTCTTTATTAACTCTTTGTGGAGAGTTCTCTTTCTGTATATGTGTTTCTCCTATATTTGCTGCAAATATTTTAAGGAAGCATCAACTTGAGTTTCTTTTACCTAGACACACTTGGGAATAAATGCTTATTTTGATGAGTAGACATCATGTGTTTCAGCTGCACACCTTTAATTACAAGTGAGAATCAGGTGTGGAAAAATATGCCTCTTTCATTCAGGATCTTTAAATTTTTTTTCTTTGAGCTTGAAGAGAACTTATGTCTCTTGAGTCAAGGGCTCTGTCTAAAACCTTTCCGAAATGATCTCATCCATATCCATGGATTCAAATACCATCTAGATGCTGATGACTCCCATTTTAAAATTTATGCCACAAACTATTCTCCCACTCTCCAAATTCTCATTTCAAATTTTCCACTACACAGCTCTACCTGACTGTAACTTGTTCAAGGAGAATTAATATTTATTTTAACCTCACTGTGTATCAAGAGTGATGCCAGTTTCTTTATAGCTTTACATACCTACCTCACTTATTCCTGGGTTACATGCTCTTTGAGGGTAGACGCTGTATGTTTTTACATTGCTATGTCTCCAGTGCTAGATACCATGTCTACTCTACGGTTTTTGCAAATATTTGTAAAATAAATGAATTAATCTTCACAACAAATCTGTGAGTACCTGGAGTTAAGCCAACTGTAAGGTTAAGGGCACAGTCTGCCAGACTTCCAAGTCTGCTCAACACTTCTAACTCCAAGGAGTTAGACTAAAAGTTAGCGGGGAAAGAATACATAAGAACACCATCACTTCTGACACCAGCTGCAAGTTCAGGAGTTTCACCACACCAACCTCATGTTTAATAATTTGCTACAGTCTCACAGAACTCAGTGAAAGCTACTGTACTCACAGATATGGTTTATTAAAGCAAAGGCCACACATGAGAATGAGCCAAAGAAAGAGATGCTTCTGATAGAGCCTAGGAAGTTTTCATATGTGAAGATTTCATTGTTTCCAGGATGCTTTACCTTCTTGCCATTGATGTATGGCAATATGCACAGTTGTTGCCAATCCTGGAAGCTCATTTGAGCCTTAGTGTTCAGAGTGTTCACTGGGGTTCCATTAAGTAGACATGATTGATTGATTGACATAGCATGTGGTCCAAGGGGACCATGTATCAGTCACCTTCTCAGCGTAAACTTCAGGTTTGGTCCTAAGGTCCCAATGTGAATGACAATGACATTCCTATTGCTTGGGAAATTCCAGAGGTTTAGAGGCTACCTCCAAGAAGCCAAGGACAAAGGCCGGACCTCTCCTTGAGCAAGGTCAAGTTCTTTACTAGATACTGATTATATCCATTTTATAGATTAAATAAAAATATTATATACAATAGTTGAGACAACTAGAGTTTGGACATAAGACTGCTTGTTTCTGAAGTCCATCTTCTTTTGAATATATCTGCCCTCTAAAATGCAAATTCTTTTCCCGTATTACTAACCAGTTCCACCTCTTGCATTTTTTATCTTGGTTAATGCCATCAACATATTTTTCATTTCTCAGTGTACAAATATTTGTCTTGTCTTCCTACCTCTCTCTCACTATGACAATCCAATTAGTTGCCAAGTCATATCAATTTAATTTGTTTCAGACATGCTTCTTCAATTTGGCTCTTTCTCTTCACTCTTTGCTGTTAATATGTTAGTCCCAATTTCATCATTCCTGACTTGAATAGTGCCACGTTGCTTTAACTAATCTCTCTGGATTATCCACCCACACCCATTATTTTCTGCTTCATCATCATATTGACCTACAAAAGAAGCAGAGGTGTTCATATCACTATTCTTAAAAATTCTTGCTGGGGCTGGGTGTAGTGGCTCAAGCCTGTAGTCCCAGCATTTTCAGAGGCGGAGGCTGGTGAATCACTTGAGGCCAGGAGTCTGAGAACAGCCTGGCCAACATGATGAAATCCAGTCTCAACTTCCTATTTTTTAAAAATAGAAAAGTAAAAAAAAAGAAAATAAAAGAAGTTGCATTGGGTCCCTGATGCTTGTAAATAAAATACAATCTCTTTAGTATGGCTTACTTGGCCTTGAACAATATAAACCGAAACTAATTCTAACCTCCTCTCCCAACACCATCTCGTGCATATTCTATGATCTCTGTGGACTTTAATCATCCCAATGAGCATAATAGGACCTATCACAATTTCATGTTTCTTTCATTAGTTTTTGCAAGAATTGTCCTTGTCTCCTTCTTTATCTATCACAATCCTTTTAATTAAGATCTAGTTTAAATGTTACCTCATTGGTGACACTTTTACTCATTTCTCCAGACAAAATTATTTGCTCTTACTTCAGAGCTTCCACCATTTATTGTACCCATTTTTGTAATAGCGTTCAACATATATTTTAATTTATTGACTTGCATATGCTTTTAAATATACTTTATACACTTTACGATGACAGAAACTCTGTTTAGCAAATGTTTAGAAAGCTCTGTTTACAAAGCTCTTTATACTTAGTAGGTGATCATCATATAGTTTCTGAATCACATAAACTCTTTGGATGAGGTACCATGTGATGTTTAGCACTGTACTTGCCATGGCTACCACATGGTATGGGCTAAATAAATACCTGTATAAAAACTAAACTGAGTAAATGAATAATGAATACGTGAAGGAATGAATATCCAGTCTCTGGAAATATCATCTAATTGGTCATTGAATCACCCAGGTCATTGAGTTTAATAGACTTAATTTTTTAGATTAAATAATGAAAATAGCTATCCTGAAATAAAATAAAAAACAAGTTTTCAAAATTATTCTAATTCCCTAGGGATCATTCTATGAGTTTTAATAATTTCAATGTAATAAACAGTTATTTTGGGCATACGACATGTCTGGTACCCTTTTGTAGGCACTAAGCAGTTCTCAGAGATAAATAACAGACAAAGCCTCCCTTTAGAAAGCTCAGAGTACAATAGCGATGGGACTTGAGAGGCCATGGAGTGTGGAATTATACCACAAAACATGTTCTAAATAGTGTCAGGATTTGGAGTAGGAGTGATCAAATCCATTTTGAGGGTCAGTCAATGATTTATGCCTTGGGGAGGATAAGGCCACATTGAAAAAGGCAGAGCTGAGAGAAAGAGGCACTCTTACTGAAGATATTACCACATGTGGAGGCAAGGAGTATCAGAGGACAGGTCGTCAGTTTGGCAGTGACATTTGATGTGTGTACATAAAGCGATGTTTCTCCAAGTGTAATCCATGAGACGTCTAGGAGTCCCTGAGACCCTCCCTTTCAGAAAATTCATGAGGTAAAAATCATTCTCATAATAATTCTAAGACAATAATAATTTTAAAAAGTGTTTGCATTTTTACTGATGGTGCAAAAGCAATGGTGAGTAAAACTGATGGTTCATTAATAGAAATTAAGGCCACATCAACAAACTGTATTCGCTCATAACTGTATTCTGCATTGTCATACACGCAAAGAAACAATGAATGACTTTTTCAGTTTCACTTAAGAATGTCCCTAAAGAAGCAGTTAACATTTCTAATTTTACTAAATCCTGATCCTTGAGTACGTGTCTTTTAAATATTCTATTTGACAAAATTGAAAATACGCATAAAGTACTTTTGTCTATAGAAGTAAAACAGTTATCTCAAGGAACAGTACTTGTGTGGTTGTTTGAATTATGAGCTGAAATAGCTACTTTTTTTCATAGAACGTTTGTACTTGAAAAAAGTGACTGACAAACTATTATTATTCAGAGTTTGCCACGTCTGCTAGAGATTTCCCAGTGTTAATGAAGTGAGCATGTTACTTCAAAGAAAACAACTGACAACAAATGTTTCAAATGATAAAAACTGAGCTTTCAAACAAAAGTTAGAATTTTTGAAACTTGTACCTAACATCATGGGCTCGATTACTTCCTATTATTTTCTGATCAGATTAGTGGTTATATTAATGCATGCAATTTTAAAAATGTACCATAAAATATGCTAGCATTTGGAGGATCTTCATAACTCAAGTGAGCCAATTTTTTCCAAATGACCAATGATATTAGAAAGTTATGCATAAATAAAAGATCCAAAATGCAAAACAGATCCACAGATTTTATTTTGTTTATTTATTTTTATTTTTTTGAGAGGGAGTTTAGCTCTTGTTGTCCAGGCTGGAGTTCAATGGCGTGATCTTGGCTCACTGTAACCTCTGCCTCCCAGGTTCAAGCGATTCTCTTGCCCTAGCCTCCTGAGTAGTTGGGATTACAGGCATTCACAACCAAGCCTGGCTAATTTTGTATTTTTAGTAGAGACAGGGTTTCTCCATGTTGGTCAGGCTGGTCTCGAACTCCCAACCTCAGGTGATCAGCCCACCTCAGCCTCCCCAAGTGCTGGGATTACAGGCGTGAGCTACCGCGCCCGGCCAGATCCACAGATTTTAATGTAAAAGAGTAAGAAGAGGTAATATATATATATTTTTCTATTGCATATTGCAACTAACCTCTAAGAAACTACTTTGTCAAGTTTTGGCATACTAGCAAACGGTAATATCAACTGTTTTCTGAAAAGGCTATTAAAATGCTCTTTTTATTTTTCCAACTGTATGTTTTGTAAGACTGAATTTTCTCTATATACTTCAATCAAAATAACATATTGCAGTGAATGGAATGCATAAGCAGATGCAAGAGTCTAACTGTCTTCTATTGAACCAGATATTAAAGAAATTTGCAAAATGGTAAACAATGCTATTATTCTCATTAATGTTTTAAAGATGGAGTTATTTTATTAAAATATGTAGGATATGTTAACATATAGTATTTTACAATTTTTGATGAGTTTTAATAAAGGTTTTAAAATATTTCTATTTTAATCTCTAATATGATAATTAGCAGATATGACACAAGCTCTATTGCATCTTCAATGATTTTTAACAGTGTAAAGGGATCTGAGACCAAAAAGTTTGAGAAGTACTGAGATAAATGAATGCCATAAAGAAATGCCACAAACATTTTCAATTTATCCTATATAAAGAATATTTGCTATATATCAGGCTCCATGGAAGATTCTGTGTTTATAGCAGGGAGATAAAAAACAGACCCAATCTCTCCCCTCATGAAATTAATAATCTGATAATAGTCTGTCACATTATTGTATATTATTAAGTGCGGAGATAATAAAAATTGAGTCTACAGTTACTATTGACTGTCGTAGTTCAAAAATTTGATTAACATGTCAAGATAAACAGAGAGATAAGAAAAAACACTGTAATTATTTCTAGAGATTAATAGAAAACTGTGAATATTTTTTTCATCTATTCATTTTGCAGGAACTATTTAACATTATTTAATTTTAAAATCTGCATTTCAACGCATTTATTTTATTTTAAGGTATAGTTATTATAAGTGGCCCATAGTTGCTTATTTTATGTAATATAATTAATATTTTTAAACTGCAGAAATTTAAAAATATCTACTTACATCTAATGCAATTACTGATAGAATGGATTTTAAATTTATTATCATATTATTTGTTTTTTACTTTTTCCACCTGCTCTGT
Source organism: Homo sapiens (assembly GCF_000001405.40). NCBI lineage: Eukaryota > Metazoa > Chordata > Mammalia > Primates > Hominidae > Homo > Homo sapiens. The sequence goes on from NC_000004.12 coordinate 22,018,175, forward strand.
CTTCCTTTTTCCTATGTTTTGTCCCCATTGAAATTTATTATTTTTCCCTCTCTGTTAGCTTGATTTTTATAATTTTATTCTATCCTTTAGGGGTGATTCTACATCAGGGTTTCTCAACCTCAGCATTATTAACAATTTGAGCCAGAAAATCCTTTGTTATGAGAGTAACTTACCTGTGCATTGTAAGATTTTAGCAGCAGCAGTCACATCACCCTACTTGTGACAATAAAAAAGGTCTCCAGATATTGTCAAACGTCTTCTGGAGGAAGTGTCTCCAGGTATTGTCAAATGTCTTCGGGAGGTCAAAATTATCCTTGGTTGGGAACTATTGCTATAGACTCAGCAAAATTTTAATGTAAATAAGAACATGTAAATAAGAACTTTTTTTCTTTCTTCTGGATATGGAAAGCACTTGCAACATTTATCTCTATTTATTCCTCCTCACAACTATTACAGTATACTTGTTGCTATTTTAATTTTCTATGTATTTCCAATTCCATGATATTATATTGTTTTTCATCATTAGTATTCAATTGCCCACATATTTTCTGTTATGTTGTTCTTCACATCTTCCTGCAAAGCTGATCTTCTTACTATGATTATTTTTATTTTACTAGCAGAATACTTTTATTTTCTCTGGGGTCATATTCTGGTGATAAACTCTCCCTGTTTTTGTTTGCCTAAAAATTCGCTTATTTTACAGTTATTTTTGAAGACTATTTCCACAGAGTATAGGCTTGTAGGTTGACAGGTTCTTGTTTTTGTTTTGACAGTTTGACATTTTATTTCATTGCTATTCTTTATCCATTGTTTGTGTGAAAATCAGATATTAATTTAATTGTTGCTCATTCAAGACATACTTTTTCAGATGCTTTGAAGATTTTGTAATTTCTTTGGTTTTTAGCAGTTTGGCTGTGATGTGCCTTAGTTTGGTTTTCTTTGTATTTATCTGGCTTAAGTTTCATAGTGCATCTTGAATCTGTGGCTTGAAATCTTTTGTCAGTTTGGAAAAATCACAGCTATTTTCTCTTCACATATTTCTCTGACTCCATTTTCTTTCCTCTTCTCCTTCTGGAACTTCAGTTACACGTACATAGATGTTTTCACATTTGTGTGTTTGTGCAATCATTTTGTCTCTCTTTGCTTCATTCTATGTATTTCCATCTGAGCCACCTTCTATCTCCCGATTTCTTTTTTCTGAGCTATATCTAAACTGCCAATAAATCTATTCATTGAATTATTGATTGCAATTATTGTATCTTCTCAATCCATAATTTCCTTTTGATACTTTTATAAAATACTTTTCAGTTCTCTGACAAAATTCCCAATTTTATCTTATTTCTAGAGCATATTAAGCATAGTTATTTTAAACTCTTTATCTGATGACTGCATTATCTGGATTGTCAGTACATCTATTTATATTGTCTAAGCCTTATTTTGATTATTAATCACATTTCTTGTTCTACATATGCCTGTATGATTTTATTTAGGCTCCAGATGCTACCTATAAAAAATTGCCAGGATAATTTGAGGCCTTGGACGATGGTATCTTCTTCCATATTTGGGCTGAGTAATTCTTCACTGCCTTGGTAGCTTTCCAATTGCTTAATGCATTTTTTTGGCACAATTGTTCTTTTTAAATTATACCGGTTGAGGCCAATTTTTGTTTGTTTGTTTGTTTGTTTTGCCAATGCCTTGCACACGATATGACGCCCAAGTGTGCATTGCTGGGATGCAGCTCATGGCATGTGTGACTCATTATGCAAGTTCAAGATTACCCAACTGGGTCTTTTCCATGTTAAACAAGATTAAACCTCTGAGCATGCATTTGGATATTGTAAAAATATCTAATTGCTATAAAAGTTTTGAAATACTCTTAATTTCTCTATTATTTTTTTTTTCTGCATATCTCTAGTAGTCTAGCGACCACATTTTAGTGGCACTGCTATAGAACACACTACACTATTCCAAGAAAAAGTAAGAAAATTCTCTGGTTAAAGGAAGAGATCTAAAATAAGAAAGACCTACTTTGCCTTGAGGAAAAAAAAATTATAGGCTTAAAACCAAATTAACAAAATTTAAATAAATACATGGGCTAATCTTTAAAGGATTTTGCTCTAAAAAAAATTCAGCAAACATTTGCTCAACTATCCCCATGTTGTACAGAGAACACTATGCCTTGAGGATTATTTAAAGCAAACTAGAGAATTTCATTTGCATATGTACTAAAACCTCATTAATTCAAAATCTGATAATTTGCCCAAGTAAATTAATACTGTAAGAAGAATTACAGTGAAGTATTCAAAACCTCTTAAAGAACTAAATTTTCAATCATTCTCAAATACTTTAGAAGCAGCTTTTCTCTTATAGAAATTAAGAATATGCTAATTACTAACTCCATGTATTTTTTTTACAGCAGTAAGTCTCATAGAAGTGGAAGCAATGTCTTGTGAGTTTGTTCTGTTGCATGTTCACACAAAAAATTATTTGAAATAAACAGAACTTTTTTTAATGCTTCCAATAATTTAGCCAAAATTTCTACCTCCCAATTAGTTAAAATTTATAGCTTTAACTAGAATATCACTGTATAAAGAATAAAGCTTTTGGGGCCAGGCACAGTGGCTCACGCCTGTAATCCTGAAACTTTGGGAGGCCCAGGCAGGCAGATCACCTGAGGTTGGGAGTTCGAGACCAGCGTGACCAACATGGAAAAACCCCGTCTCCACTAAAAATACAAAATTAGCCGGGCGTGGTGGCACATGCCTGTAATCCCAGCTACTCAGGAGACTGAGGCAGGAGAATCGCTTGAACCCAGGAGGCGGAGGTTGTGGTGAGCCAAGTTCGCACAATTGGACTCTAGCCTGGGCAACAAGGGCAAAATTCTGTCCCCACCCCATCCCCCAAAAAAAATTTAAAAAGAAAGCTTTTTAGTGGAGTATCTGGGACATCTATTGCTTTTGTTTGATCAGTGTCCATTCCTCTTTATTTTGTAATACAAACCTCATTTTTCTTAGGACTTTCTCTAAATCCAAGTTATTTAGCTATGTGACTAAGTCCAAGTTATTTAGGTAAGTGACTGACTCCAGGAGTGATGTATGAGTTAGAGATAGCTAATCAGAAATTCCCATCTCTCTGACTACAATCACTCGTTCAAAGATAGGCATGTGACCAACAATGAGTCAATGAAAGATACACCCAAGACTTTTGCTGGAACTCAGGAAAGAAGCTTTTTCTGCAGACATTTGCAAAGCAGAAGGTTGTAAGCTTGAGGTGGTATATGAGCAAATATCTACTACTATTGGCAAAGAACAGTTGAAAATTAAGCTAACATTAAGGAAAAGGGGAAAGGAGTGCCAAGAAAAGGAAAAGACCAGTAGCTAATGCTTATTGAGAGGCTGGATGCAACCGGATCCTGAACTAAATTTGTACTATGAGATACCTCTTGTACCTATGGGTCAACAAAATCCACATTATTGTTAAAACAAGTTGTTGGGTCATTCACAAACAAGACTCAACTGATTTTACTGTTTATTTTGTTACGTGTAGAGGGCCACAGCAGGACTGGGAATAAAAAGAAATTCAGTAAATAAAATGCATGCCAAGGAAATTATAATATTGTTGGATGGAAAGAATATTAGTTGTTAAATCCCTAAAGACAAGAACTTTGTCAGTTTATATTTTTCTGAGTGCCCAGCAAAGTAGGCACTAAACAAGTATTAGTTGAATGACTGAATGCACATGTATGTGTATTCACTCATTCATCTGACAAACAATTATTGAGGACCTATTATGCCTCAAGAACTATTCTTGGAGCTAAGAATACAGCACAGAACCAGACAAAGTTGCCTGTTGAAAGGTTTTAAATTCTAGTTGCTATAGACTGAAAGTGTGTGTCCTTCAAAATTTCTATGTTGAAATCCTAGCCTCCAATATGATGGTATTAGGAAGTGGGGCCTTTGGAGGATGCTTAAGTCATGAAGGGAGAGCCCTTATGTATAAGATTAGTGCCCTTATAAAAGAAATCCAGAACCATCTCACCTATTCCACCATGTGAGGGCACAATGAGAAAATGGCCATCTATGAACCAGGAAAGAGGCCCTCACCAGGCAGTGAATCTGCCAGTGCCTTGATCTTGAACTTTCCATCCTCCAGAATTGTGAGAAATAAATTTCTCTTGTTTATAAGCTACTCCACCTATGGCTGTCTTATATTTATTCTGTTTATTTGATGTCTCCTCCAAATGTAAGCTTCTGTGCTTTGCCTTTGTGTGACACAGTATTGGCCAAGACCCTGGAGAATGGAAAACAATTTATCTTTTTGGTTCACTTTGTGTTGCCTATGCTAAGATGTGTTCCAACAAAGCAGGTGTATTGATGGGAAAGGGGAGTTTCAAACTGGCTAATTGTGACAAATTTAATAAAGGGACAATTTACAAACGTGGGCAGTGTGAAAGGTCAAGAAGCAGGACTACATCAATGGCTACGCATTACTATTCTCAAGCCTGAAACTACAAAGAGGGAACAAATCCCAGAACTCAGAAATAGCAGCTGTGATTGCAGAAGCCTTCTTCATAAGAGTTGTGGCCATCAGTAGAACGTACCCAACCCACAACAATCCTGCAGGGAGAAAGTCAGAAGCCAAAAAGGCTCCCCTTCCTCACTTTCTTTCCTCTCTCATATGAAAGACTGGATGACCAATCCCACCGGAAGCCCAATGTCAAGGGAAATAATTGATTTAGCCCACAGAGGTAGCCTTCTTAGAGCATAGTGCTTTGGTAGAGACGGATGAAATGTAATTTATATCTAGTACACTAATAGACAGATGCTTAAAATGGTTGTTGCATGAAATACATATAATAAATAAATATATAGAGATATAAGTTAAATTATATATATTATGAAATATGAACAATAAGACTTCACTATATAACTGAGTGACTGCAAAAGAGTTCACGGATAAAGCACATTTGACTTAACTTGACCTCATCAGGTCTTCGAAAAATCTTTTACAAGGAAATATATAGAAGATTGTGTTCCAAACTGGAAAAATGGCAGCAAGGTCACAAACATACATGGAAGTTTACATTGATCATGCAGTACACCTGCTTGACAGCTTATTAAGCATCTACTTCAATCATTCAGCAGTGATATGATGAATACCAAAAGTAGGGTGGTGACAGTAGGAATGGAAAACAAGGGAATTTATGACAAGGAGACAAGGGAATAGTCAATAAGACTGCTGGGGACACAGGTTGAGGCTGGGGTCTGAAATCTCTGATTTTCCCATATCTCTTCTCCAGGGTCCTGGCCACTATTGTAGCTCATAAAATCCAATATAAAAAAGGACAACATTTGTTTTGGACTCTCCAGAAAAGAGTAGAATGGATAATAGTGGAATCTTCTACATGTAATTTCAACTCTCATTTTCTGGAATTGTCCAACGCTGACTTATCCACTCAATGAAAGGGGAGGAAAATACACCCTGCCATTAAGAAAGCAGAGGATCAGCTGGGCTTGTCAATAGCAAGACTTTCTGAATTGTGTTATGGTTGGGAGTTCAGGAATAGAAGCAGGTGCTGTGTCTCAGCTGCAGTATGTCCAAAATGCCAAAAGGGAGCCAGAGAGACCTTTCTTTTTAAGCTTTTGCAGACCACACTAGAAGCAATAGATAACAGCTCTTTTCACCTAACAGTCATTCATGAAATTCTTTCCTTTATGTGAAACAAGTGAAAGAGTTGAGAGACAGACAAAAGCAATTTATTCTAATGTTTTCTTTCTTCATTGGTTGGAGTTCAAAGATGGACCATCCAGATATGGGTCACCCACAGGGAAGAGAAGACCCAGAATAATGCAAACTATGCAACCTGTGTTCCTGGAATTAACCAATGAGAGAAATGGAAGTGACTAGAAAATATGCATTTTAATTCAATTTAGCAAACGTTTGTTAGTTCCTGATATGGTAAAAGTGCTATTCTAAATTTGGGGATACCTAAGTGAATAGAACATGCTCCTCATGTAGCTAAGGGAAGATATAACTGTCAAAAGGCAAGTTAAACTGAGTTAAACCCTATCATGGAAGGGTAATCAGTCAGAGAAAGGATATAGCAGATATGCATGGAAAAGTCAAAGAATGTAAAATCAGACACCTTAACTTGGAGACCTCATGTGTCATTTAGAAATGTCTTAGCTATTCAGACTGTTATAAAAAAATGTCATAGAGTAGGTGGTTTATAAAAAGCAGAAGTTTATTTCTCACAGTTCTGGAGGCTGGTAAGTCGAAGATCAAGGCAACAGCAGATTTGGTGTCTGGTGAGGGCCAGTTTTCCTGGTTCACAGACAGCCATCTTTTCACTATGTCCTCACATGTCAGAAAGGAGTAGGGGAGCTCTCTGAGGCCTTTATATAAGGGCACTAATCCCCTTTCTGTCAGTTTCCCCTTCATAATCTGATCACTTCTTGCTAACCCCAAAGGTGACAGAACCTTTGGGGAGGTGATTAGGTCTTAAGGGCATAGACCTCATACATAGGATTAGTGCCCTTATGAAAGAGACTCCAGAGAGCTGCCTTGTTCATGCCAATCATGTGAGGATGTGGTGAGAAGATACCATTTATGAGCCAGGGACTAGGGCCTTACTACACTCTGAATTTGCTAGCTCTTTGATCTAGGACTTTCTAACTTCCAGAATCGCATCGTGAAAAATAAATTTCTGTCATTTGTAAGTTTCTCAGTTTATGACATTTTGTTAAACAGCCAAAAAGGACCAAGGCATCTCCTAAAGGCCCCACTGCCAAATATCATTCCATTAGGAATTAGGTTTCAACATATGAATTTGAGGGGACATGAACATTCAGTATATAGAAGAACAAAAGTGTCTTTATCTGTAAATATAATGATCATAGCTATGACTCAAGAAGATTGCAATGACTACATAAGGCAACGTATGGTATTGTTTTGTGTAATTAAAAAACTCTACATAAATGCCAAGTACATCACCCAGTAGGTAGCAGGCACTTAATACATATTGTTAAAGGAAGGAAGAGAGACAGAGAAGTAGGGAGGGAGGTAATAGAACAAGGAAAGGAATAGGAAAAAAGAAGGGATTAGAAGGAGGATGGAGAGAGAAAGTGTTGTAAACTGAATGACAGTTCTCAAAACTACCCAGGTCCTAATCTCTGAAAGCTGTGAAGGTTATCTTGTATAGCAAAAGTAACCTTGCATATATGATTAAAGTGAGGATCTTGAGATGAGGAAATTACCTTGGATTTTCTAGATGATAGGTCCTAAATGCAATCATAAGGGACTAAGAGGGATATAGAGGGAGATTTGATAGAGACAGAAGAGAAGGTGCTGTGACAACCTCAGCAGAAAAAATGAGAGATTAAGGATGCTACACTTCAGTCTTTAAAGATGGATTAAGGGGCCATGAGCCAATATATGCAAGAAATGCAGCTCCAGAAACTAGAAAAGGCAAAGAAATAGATTATTTTGTGGAGTCTCTGGAAGGTGCATAGCCCTGTTGACACACTGGTTTTGGCAAAATGAACCTGATTTCAGAATTTTGGCCTCTGAACTTAAGGGAATAAATTTATATCATTTTAAACCACCAAGTTTTTGGTAATTTGTTACAACAGCAATGGAAAGAGAGAAAAGAAAGAAGAAAGGAAAGAACAAAGGTACCCCTTGGCCCTCTTACCCTTCTCTTTTCTTGCAATTAGGAAATCTCCCATGCCCCTCTCCTATCCTGCTGCCAGCTTTTGGAAAACTATACTCAAGTATTGAGTGACGAGTAAGAAAAATAGTTGGTGCAAAGGTGCTAACCCTCTATGAAGACACAACTCCCTGAAATGGTAATGTGTTATTTCAGGTCATTCATGGCCATTAAATACTTGCTGAAGATTCAGTTGTTTTCCTGATCCTCATCTATAGTGAATTCCTCCTCCTTCTCCTCCTCCTTTTCTGCCAGAGGGGAAAGTAACCATAGTCTCTCTTCTGTGACAGTCTCATCACTTCCTATTGTTTAGCTGATTTAGGTTGCTTATGTTTGCAAGCTCTCTGCTGGGTTTTAAAAAACTATGCTTATCTGGTCTGCTTTGGTTGCTAATGTAAGAATAATGGTCACTATTAGAATCAGAAGTCTGATATAATAATATTTTTCTGCATCTGACAATTACAAATTTACAAATACTTCTGCTGAGAAAATTACATTTTTTTCCAAAATTAATGCAATATATCCACAGATGTAAGCCACAGATCATAAGCCACTGAAACAAGTTCTGAGAACCTAAAACAGAGTGATTACAAATTATCTAGACACATTGTAATAAAACTAATGAAAAATAACAAAAAATCAAAAACATAAAAGCACCAGATGAGATAAAGACATATTCCCTTGAAAGGAACTTAAATAAGACTAACATCTGTCTTCTCACTAGCAATAATGGAAGTCAGAAGTTGATGGAAATATATGCTTAAAATTCTGAAAGAAAATAACTGCCAAGCCAGAATAGTATATTTTTTTAACAAAAGGTAAAATATTTGCATTTCCAGACAAGCAAAACAGAGAGAATCAACAACAGACTCACACCAAAGAAAATATTGGGGAAATTCCTCAGACAAAAGAAAAATGATCTTACATAGATTTTTTAATTTAATGGAAGAAAGAATGGAAAATGATAGAAAAGGTAAATAGGAAATTAAGTATAAGTGAAAAGTAAATATATAAAAATTAACAGCAATGTCTTATGGAGCTTAAAATATGTATTAAATTCCATTTTAACCATAGAACCACAGAACAGGTGGCAGGTATGTGAGATGCACTGGAAAAAATACCTAAGATATTTTGTTGTTTCTTTCATGTAGTGGTAGAATTCCTTTCGCCAGCCCCAAATCTGAGCTGGCCATCTGACTTTCTGTGACAGTAGAATGTAGAGGAAGTAATTTTATATCAGTAGAGTCCAGGCCTCAAAAGACTGAAACATTCCCCTTCACTCTTTTGTAACATTCTTTGTGCAATGTGTGGAAGCTCAGACTGGACTACTGAACAGTGAGAAACTACATGGAGAGAGAGTTCTAGCTAACATCCAACACCAAGTGACTAGACATTTGAATGAGATCAACTTAGACGTTGTGTCTTAGACTCAACTGAGTCACCAGAGGCTTGCCTTCATATGAATCAGCACAGGCAAGGACAGCAGAAGATCCACCCAGCTGAACCCAGCTCAAATTGCAGAATTGTGGACAATAAATCATGGTTATTTTAAGCTATGAAATTTTAGGGCTGTTTAGTATGCATCAATAGATAACCAAACTAATGTATTACATGATCAATTAGATTTTAGCAATAGTTTAACCCATAAAAATTTAGATAATCTTAGCATTTACTTAATATTTTGAGGCATTTTCACATCTTTAATAACATTCTTCAAGAGGGTTGAGGATAAATAGAACTTTTTCAACCTTTACTAGGAGCTAATTTCTAATGTTTACCCTTTAAAAATAAGTTTAAAAGCAACATTACACTATATTCTGCCCATAGAGCAGAGATGTATGCAAAGCCTTGCATATTTTGTGTTTTCTTGATTGTTTGTTTTTTTGTTTTTGTTTTTGTTTTGAGATGGAGTCTCACTCTGTCGCCCAGGCTGCAGTGCGGTGGCATGATCTTGGCTCACTGCAACCTCCGCCTCTTGGGTTCAAGCAATTCTCTGTCTCAACCTCCTGAATAGCTGGGATTGCAGGCACCCACCACCACGCCCGGCTAATTTTCTTTTGCAGCCAAATCAAAATTTAAAACACTACAATACCAAGGTGAAGAAAAGGTAGTTATTTATTCCCTTTTATTGATTTTCCTCATGAATCTCACTTCAATAGTAGTAGGAAATAAAACTTTAATTTTAATTAAGTCAGAGCATAATGGAATAATTTAAAGTCACTTTAGGCTCTTCAGTGTCTTTAAAAAAAATGACTCAATTTTTTTTTCAGACTAACCCCTCTTCTAGCTATTTGCAGCTGCTTCAAGGTGACATTTGCACATAACTTAGTGTTTTTAAAAATCACATTTTAATTTTTCCAGTTAAAAACACAAAAATGAGAGGCTCCTGGTGCCTTGTTGGTCTCTAGTTGTGCTGCCAAGGTGTGGACATTCTGATCCTCCCTGTAGGTACACTGCTGGCATCTGCTAGTTTGTGTAATTCCTGGCCATGCTTATTCAGCTGATTAGGTCCTAGTAGTCTCTGCTGCAGGTTCAGCCTTATCTTCATTCTCACTGGTGCCCCAAAAGACCAATGTAAACCTAAGACTCAGGTACTCCACCTGCAGTTTTGGCTTTGATTAAAGGTTCACCCCATTTAGTGAGTTTGACCCAGCCAGGCTCTAATCATCCTCCAAATGAGCCTTAGGGGAACATCAGAGTTTCTTCCATGATTTGAGAACACTGAGTCAGTCTCTCACTCCATCTCACCATGCAGTTTCCTCAGGTTATTGCAGGGGGGAGCTGAAGATTCATCTCCCAAAGTTTCTATCTAGATGTAGGACAAACTTCCCCTGCTATTAGTTTTCCCACATCTTCTCTAACTTATCTCGCCATCTCAGACTTCAGTCCAAAAAGGGAGACTAAGACACAAGTGGCTCAACTCTTCTTTCAATCTTATCTCCTATATCTCTGCCTATTCACCCAGGAGGACAAGAGTCAAGTTTTCCTCTTCTTTCTGTATGACCAGAGGAGCTCCCTACACTGTAACTTCTTCTTAGACCTACTCCTCGTCTTTTCCTAAGAACATAATGTTAGACAAGGTGTAGGGATAGAGAAACTGGCATGATTAAGGAACCAAATTGCAAGAACACTTGAAAGCATTTTCCTCATATTTGCATTTCAATAAGTAGGTATTGGTCAAGCCTGTTTGGGAAGAGTTCCAGGTTTCAGAACCAAATAACTGTTAAATAAAATTCATAGAAAGCCATTGATTGATTTGGACAGAGCTCTGCACTAGGCCTCAACAAACCAAACCAAAATGGAGTCACTCATGCTAAAATAAAACATCACCAAGACAAAACTAAGTTGTTTATCTGAACTTCTGAGCAATCAGGAGGAAGAGAAATAATAACCAAGTTCCAAAACAGGCCAGTTTTAGTTGGCATAATAAGGACATTTTCTCTGCTTTAACCTTTACAAGGAAAATAACTTTGAAATAACCAAACTGCTTTCTGTTCTTTTTTCTGCTTTCTTCAGTTTTTTTCTCTCTATAAATACTCACTGCCCATGCCCATGTTACAGAGTAGAATTCTCCAACCTCTCCTGATCATGAGGGCTTCCTAATTCACAAACAGTTCTTTTCACAAATAAACTCTGTTAAATTTATTTTGTCAATTTTTTTTTCCACTACATAGGGTTAAACCTCTCTGATCCTATTGTTATCTGTGTGACTTTGGGCAAATTACTAACCTCTGCACATCTCAGTTTCCTCATCTGCAAAATGGAGATAATTACAGTACCTATCTTATGGGGTTGTGGTAAGCATTGAATGAATTAGTGTAGGTAAAGTGTTTGGAAATGAGTCTAACACTGTTTAATCTCTCCTTAATTGCTATATAATTGGACTACAAGTATGTGTAATGTCAGAGATTTGCCCCCAAATTAAAACAAAAGAGTAATTTGATAGTTTGAAGTGATAAATAATATTTCAGGCACTGTTTCTGCCATTGAGTTCTACAAGTTGTTATTGGAGCTTGAGAGAGGCTGAGTTATTTGTTTTTTAGGGTGGTTCCCCGCCCCGCCCCCAGGTTTTGACCTTCCAGTTCACTGGGGCTTGAAATGAATCTGCAGTAAGCTTTATTATTTGCTCTGACTCAGTGTGGGATAATTGTTATTTAAATAGGACTGTAGGTGTGTGCTGGAAGATGTTAGGTGAAGCACCTAGGAAGCAAAAGAGAATAAATAACCCTGCCCTTGAATTGTTTACTGTTCTATTATGGGAGACACAGAAAAAGCAGACTAGAAGTGATTCAGTTCCAAGAGGTAAGTAGCCATTTACAATTTCACTGAGCAGATGCATTTCCATCCAAAAGAATATTCACCAATTAAATCTGAGACTAGGTGATGGTATTCTGGGTTTTTTACTCCCCATTGCCTCCATCTAAATGAACAAAGCAGAACTCAACTATGTGATATCCCAGCGTAGAAAAAAGTAAGATGGATCTCTAGGTACCTAACTTAATTACAGAACCAGGGAGTGATGTAGAAAGGCCCCAGAGAGAAATAATCTCAGAGCTAATAAAAGATGTGTGCTGCATGAGACACCTCTGTTGAATAGGAGTAATCACTGTAACCCAGCGTGGCACCAGGCGTTCAAGCAGATCTGCCTTGGCTGTTTGTGGCGATTGCTCAACAGGGTGAATTAAACAAGCACCTTTGCATGATCATTTCTGCCTTTCAGCATCATGCTCTGCAGAGCTACTCTCCAGAATGACCAACTCTATAGGATTTTATAAAGAGAAGATTTAAAAGAAAGAATAAAAGGGAAAGGATTCTTGACGTCCCAGTTTAGGTAAGCTTGGGTCCAGTGCCCCATAAAAAAATAAAAATAAATCATTAGGCTCTTTTTCAGTGCCATCAATATGGCTTTTCTTTTATTATAGTAAATATCTCTGGGTCAGTATCGTGCCCAGGAATGAGATAAAATAAAACAAAACAAAATCCAAAAAATTATATAACGGTGAATCAACCCAGGACACAGCACCATAAATATCTTCATTTTACAGATGATGAATCTTAGGCGAAAAAGAGACTGCTGGAAAATAAACAGCCTGTATTTAAATTAGTTATATGTAATTTTTTCTCATTAAAATTCAACATTATTTCAGCATAGTTAACATAAAATAGAGGAGAAATATTCAGGCAGCAAAATTAGTCATTGTATCATACACTCTAACATCTCCTTCTGTGATTTCATTTTTACCATAGTGTTTCTGAATGATGCCTGCCTTTTCTGGAGAGTTATTTTCAGTGTATGTTGATTTATGTTGTTTACAATTCTGATTACTTGTTAAGACATCTTTTAAAAGTAGTTTGGTTTATACAGGTCACTGCACAACTGAGATAAGAAAGGAAAATGGTCTGCTAGTCTGTCATAACAATAAAACAAAAAAATTAGATGTGTAGCAAAATGCTTAGAAATTGAGTTGAAAAAATCAGTTCAATTCACTTGCTTATTAATAAAAGGAAATCATTTTTGAAAGCAAATAGCTTGGAGTCATAGAAAATACAGAAAAAGTTGGTATTTGCTTTGATTTTCCTTATGATGCAATAACCATATGTGCAGCCAAGAGAAGGAACTATAAAAAATACAGAAAATCAAAAAAGAAAAAAAAAAAAGCTTGATTTACTTAAGGGGAAATTCATCCTGATTCAGGGAAAAGAGGCAAGATGTGATGAACAGGCCAAATGAAGAATCTTTAGTTTTGTAAGCAGAGATTAGAAATGCTGGAAGCACTATCTATCTTCATAACAACCAAACTGGAATAAGCACTGGTTTCAGTAAAGATTCGGGGTTTGTCTTCCTAGTGGGCATATTTCCAGGAGAACTGAAGCTCTTTCTAAATAAAATGGAATCAGTGCTAAGTCAGATGTAGGAGAAGTTTATATATGAAAAAGATTTTCCAATCCTGCTGTCAAAAAAAGTCGATTCAGAATGTTTGCTTCCATTGTACTTATATATTGATTCCTCATAGAATTTCTTTATATGTTACTCATACCATTCATTTCCTGGAATACCTACCCTCCTAAATTCAACTAAATTTAAAATTACATTTTTGAGGTTTTTTTTATGTTCTAGACACCCATATTATAAAGAGGGAATATAAAAATTAATGACTTATTTCCAGCCTCCAGTATACGTTTCCCATGTTGAACTTCACATCCTCCTTAAATCCCATCTCAATTTCAACGTCTTTTATGAAGCCTTGTAAACTATTCCATGACGAACTTCCCATTTGAAATACCACTGGACCATATAGTTTAGCACTTACTTTTTCTGTGATTTTTTTTTCCCACAACAATATGATTACTCATTTATTCAGTACATAGTGATCATCATGTTTAACTGGGGATCCAACAGTGAAAAAGACAGACAAGGATTCTGCTATCAATGTGTTTGCATTCTAGTATAGGAAGGAAGATAATAAGAAACAAGAAAATTTGAACTAGTGATAGGAACTGTGAAACAAAGTCATGTGGTTGAGAGTGGTGAGAAGGGGAGATATTTGAAGTAAAGACGGTTAACATTCATATAGCACTTCTTTTTTTTGAGATGGAGTCTCGCTCTGTCGCCCAGGCTGGAGTGCAGTGGCGCGATCTCGTCTCACTGCAAGCTCCGCCTCCTGGGTTCAGGCCATTCTCCTGCCTCAGCCTCCGGTGTAGCTGAGACTGCAGGCGCCCGCCATCACGCCCGGCTAATTTTTCTGCATTTTTAGTAGAGACGAGGTTTCACCGTGTTAGGCAGGATGGTCTCAACCTCCTGACCTCGCGATCCGCCCTCCTCGGCCTCCCAAAGTACTGGGATTACAGGTGTGAGCCACCGTTCCCGGCCTAGCACTTCTTATAAGTCAAACAAAATTGTTGCTTTATAAAGGCACTTATTGTTCTTTTATAAAGGCCCACCCTAATCCAGAATAATCTCATCTTGAGATTTCTGACTTGATTACATTTACAAAGACTCTTTTTTCCAAATAAGGTCACATTCACAGGTTCCAGGTAGAGAGTGTCTTTTGCTGGGGCCCATCATGCAACTCACTACAAGGCTTAAACCAAGCTTCTAAAGTGGATACAATTGTTATCCTCTTATTTGTGAAGATGCTCAAGCACAAAAAGAGTAATGTTGTGGGCACATACCTAGCATGCAGTGCAGTTGGGATTTAAACTGAGATACTGGCCGGGCGCAGTGGTTCATGCCTGTAATCCCAGCACTTTGGGAGGCTAGGTAGGTGGATCACCTGAGGTCAGGAGTTCGAGACCAGCCTGGCCAACATGGCGAAACCCTGTCTCTACTAAAAATACAAAAATTAGCTGGGCATGGTGGTGGGTGCCTGTAATCCCAGCTACTCAGGAGGTTGAGGCAGGAGAATCGTTTGAACCTGGGAGGCAGAGGTGGCAGTGAGCTGAGATCATGCCATTGCACCCCAGCCTGGGCAACAAGAGTGAAGTTCCATCTGAAATAAAATTAAATTAAATTAAAATAAAAAATAAAAAAATAAACTGAGATACTGGCTTCATGGCCACTGTGCTTAACCACTGTTCTATATGGTGTCAGATCAAGGCTCTCAAGAAAGAGTTTGAGACCCAAATGATAAAAGAGATTCTCCGGTAGGAGGAACTATAACTTCAAGTATATTTGTTCTATCTTCTCAATCAGATGGTATTAAAGTTCTAAAACATGGCTTCAATTTTCTAGTCACCTCTAACATCAAGAACTGGGGGTCTATGGCCCTCTCCTTCAGTTTGGGAGAGCTTATGACTGCAATCATATAATGTAGTTCAGTGGAAGTGACGTTGGCTATCATGCTGTGAGGAAGCTATACCACGCAGAGAGACCATGTGTGCACATCACAGCTGACAACAGTAGTCTGCAAGTCCTCCCAAGCCAGGTGCCAGACACATGAGTGAACAAGCTTTCAGCTTATTTCAGTCTTTAGCTGTGGGGTCACCTCCAGCTTATGCTTCTTTCCAGAAAGGCCAAGATACTATGCAGCAGAGACAAGCCACAATGTTGTATCATGCCAAAATTGTTGTCCCATGGAATTTGTGAGCATAATAAAATGGCTGTTGTTTTATGTCACTACATTTGGGGTAGTTTGCTATGTAACAAGTAGTTAGCAGACACAGCCATGCCTAAATCACATCCCACAGGGCTAAACACAGAATAGGTATAGTGGAGGAACAACAGAAAACAGGTATTTATCAACAGTTTCCCAGGAGACTGGAAGTAATGCTGTGGCTATTTCAAGCAGGAAGAGAATTCAGATTAGTAAATTAAATGCTTACAAACTTTTGGGAGGACAAGAGAAAAGAGGTCAAAAACTGCTGATGTCCAGGAAGTCAGAAAGGAAAGAAAATCAGGGATGTTGACACGGATGGATTTCTGTGCCTGCAGCACAGAAGCAGGTGTTTTGCAGGGTTTAGCCAGGAAGCTACATCAAATTTCAGGTCCGCTGTCTGCCCCTGTGTCTGCCAGGAGCTGCTGCCAGAGAATAACGGTTTATCTTTCCCTTTCACCTTCCAACTCTTGAATGAGTGCCAGTCATTAGCCAAACCTATTTTGTAAACCAGATCCTGCATACAGGGAGGGTCTCAGTAGGCAGGAATGGTGCTGAGATTCAACAATGCCTGACATCATCTATCCTTTTGGACACTCACCATCCATAAATAAAATTACGCAGATGTTTAAATTTCAGAACAACAAGACAATAATATCATTCTGGTAAATCTGATCTAACTATTCCTCACACAAATAATGCCATACTCATTCTCTCCTAAAGTGAGGAAACCCAGGTTTTATCAGTATCTGTATCCACCTCTGAATGATGTTCTGTTGTTCATTCATTTTCTTATAAATCATAGTTCAGTTAAATTCCTCTTTTGTAGTTTATTGACTAAATTATAAGGTATCTACCACCAACACCTTTTTTTTCTTTTTTTAAATTATTATACTCTAAGTTCTAGGGTACATGTGCACAACATACAGGTTTGTTACATGGGTATACATGTGCCATGTTGGTTTGCTGCACCCATAAACTTGTCATTTACGTTAGGTATTTATCCTAATGGTATCCCTCCCCTAGCCCCCACCCCACGAAAGGCTCTGGTGTGTGATGCTCCTCTCCCTGTGTCCATGTGTTCTCATTGTTCAATTCCCACCTATGAGTGAGAACATGTGGTGTTTGGTTTTCTGTCCTTGCAGTAGTTTGCTCGGAATGATGGTTTCAAGCTTCATCCGTGTCCCTGAAAAGGACATGAACTCATCCTTTTTTATGGCTGCATAGTATTACATGCTGTATATGTGCCACATTTTCTTAATCCAGTCGATCTTTGATGGACATCTGGGTTGGTTCCAAGTCCTTTCTATTGTGAATAGTGCTGCAATAAACATACATGTGCATGTGTCTTTATAGTACCATGATTTATAATCCCTTAGGTATATACCCAGTAATGGGATCGCTGGGTGAAATAGTATTTCTAGTTCCAGATTCTTGAGGAATCGCCACACTATCTTCCACAATGGTTGAACTAATTTACCCTCCCACCAACAGTGTAAAAGTCTTCCTATTTCTCCACATCCTCTCCAGCATCTGTTGTTTCCTGACTTTGTAATGATCACCATTCTAACTGGTGTGAGATGGTATGTCATTGTGGTTTTGATTTGCATTTCTCTGATGACCAGTGATGATGAGCATTTTTTCATGTGTCTGTTGGCTGCATAAATGTCTTCTTTTGAGAAGTGTCTGTTCATATCCTTTGCCCATTTTTTGATGGGGTTGTTTGATTTTTTCTTGAAAATTTAAGTTCTTTCTAGATTCTGGATATTAGCCCTCTGTCAGATGGGTAGACTGCAAAAATTTTCTCCCATTCTGTAGGTTGCCTGTTCACTCTGATGGTAGTTTCTTTTGCTATGCAGAAGCTCTTTAGTTTAATTAGATCCCATTTGTCTATTGTGGCTTTGTTTTCATTGCTTTTGGTGTTTTAGTCATGAAGTCCTTGCCCATGCCTATGTCCTGAGTGGTATTGCCTAAGTTTTCTTCTAGGGTTTTTATGGTTTCAAGTCTAACATTTAAGTCTTTAATCCATCTTGAATTAATTTTTGTATAAGGTATAAGGAAGGGATCCAGTTTCAGCTTTCTACATATGGCTAGCCAGTTTTCCCAGCACCATTTATCAAATAGGGAATCCTTTCCCCATTTCTTGTTTTTGTCAGGTTTATCAAAGATCAGATGGTTGTAGATGTGTGGTGTTATTTCTGAGACCTCTGTTCTGTTCCACTGGTCTATATCTCTGTTTTGGTACCAGTACCATGCTGTTTTGGTTACTGTAGCCTTGTAGTATAGTTTGAAGTCAGGTAGTGTGATGCCTCCAGCTTTGTTCTTTTGGCTTAGGATTCCCTTGGCAATGCAGGCTCTTTTCTGGTTCCATATGAACTTTAAAGTAGTTTTTTCCAATTCTGTGAAGAAAGTCATTGGTAGCTTGATGGGGAGGGCATTGAATCTATAAATTACCTTGGGCAGTATGACCATTTTCACGATACTGATTCTTCCTATCCATGAGCATGGAATGTTCTTCCATTTGTTTGTGTCCTCTTTTATTTCATTGAGCAGCAGTTTGTAGGTCTCCTTGAAGAGATCCTTCATAGCACTTGTAAATTGGATTCCTAGGTATTTTATTCTCTTTGTAGCAATGGTGAATGGGAGTTCACTCATGATTTGGTTCTCTGTTTGTCTGTTATTGGTGTATAGGAATGCTTGTGATTTTTGCACATTGATTTTGTATCCTGAGACTTTACTGAAGTTGCTTATCAGCTTAAGGAGATTTTGGGCTGAGATGATGGGGTTTTCTAAATATAAAATCATGTCATCTGCAAACAGGGACAATTTGACTTCCTCTTTTCCTAATTGAATACTCTTGATTTCTTTCTCCTGCCTGATTGCTCTGGCCAGAACTTCCAACACTATGTTGAACAGGAGTGGTGAGAGAGGGCACCCCTGTGTTGTGCCGGTTTTCAAAGGGAATGCTTCCAGTTTTTGCCCATTCAGTATGATATTGGCTGTGGGTTTGTCATAAATAGCTCTTATTATTTTGAGAAATGTTCCATCAATACCTAGTTTATTGAGAGTTTTCAGCATGAAAGGCTGTTGAATTTTTTCAAAGGCCTTTTGTGCATCTATTGCGATAATCATGTGGTTTTGTCGTTGGTTCTGTTTGTGTGATGAATTATGTCTATTGATTTGTGTATGTTGAACCAGCCTTGCATCCCAGGGATGAAGCCAACTTGATCGTGGTGGATAAGTTTTTGATGTGCTGCTGGATTTGGTTTGCCAGTATTTTATTGAGGATTTTTATGTCAATGTTGGTCAGAGATATTGGTCTAAAATTCTTTTTTTGTTGTGTCTCTGCCAGGCTTCGGTATCAGGATGATGCTGGTCTCATAAAATGAGTTAGGGAGGATTCCCTCTTTTTCTATTGATTGGAAAATTTCAGAAGGAATGGTACCAGCTCCTGTTTGTACCTCTGGTAGAATTAGGCTGTGAATCCGTCTGGTCCTGGTCCATCACTTTTTTTGGTTGGTAGGCTACTAATTATCACCTCCATTTCAGAGCCTGTTATTGTTCTGTTTAGAGATTCAACATCTTCCTGATTCAGTCTTGGGAGGGTGTATATGTCCAGGAATTCATCCATTGCTTCTAAATTTTCTAGTTTATTTGCATAGAGGTGTTTATAGTATTCTCTGATGGTAGTTTGCATTTCTGTGGAATCAGTGGTGTATCCCCTTTATTGTTTTTTATTGCGTCTATTTGATTCTTCTCTCTTTTCTTCTCTATTAGTCTTGCTAGCAGTCTATCAGTTTTGTTGATCTTTTCAAAAAACCAGCTCCTGAATTCATTGATTTTTTGAAGGGTTTTTTGTGTCTCTATTTCCTTCAGTTCTGCTCTGATCTTAGTTATTTCTTGCCTTCTGCTAGCTTTTGAATGTGTTTGCTCTTGCTTCTCTAGTTCTTTTAATTGTGATGTTAGGGTGTCAATTTTAGATCTTTCCTGCTTTCTCTTGTGGGCATTTAGTGCTATAAATTTCCCTCTACACACTGATTTAAATGTGTCCCAGAGATTCTGGTACATTGTGTCTTTCCTCTCATTGGTTTCAAAGAACATCTTTTTTTCTGCCTTCATTTCGTTATTTACCCAGTAGTCATTCAGGAGCAGGTTGTTCAGTTTCCATGTAGTTGTGCAGTTTGGAGTGAGTTTCTTAATCCTGAGTTCTAGTTTGATTGCACTGTGGCCTGAGAGACAGTTCGTTGTGATTTCCGTTCTTTTACATTTGCTGAGGAGTGCTTACTTCCAACTACATGGTCAATTTTGGAATAAGTGCAATGTGGTGCTGAGAACAATGTATACTCTGTTGATTTGGGGTGGAGAGTTCTGTACATGTCTATTAGGTCCACTTGGTGCAGAGCTGAGTTCAATTCCGGGATATCCTTGTTAACTTTCTGTCTCATTAATCTGTCTAATATTGACAGTGGGGTGTTAAGGTTTCCCATTATTATTGTGTGGAAGTCTAAGTCTCTTTGTAGGTCTCTAAGGACTTGCTTTATGAATCTGGGTACTCCTGTATTGGGTGCATATACATTTAGGATAGTTAGCCCTTCCTGCTGAATTGATCCCTTTACCATTATGTGATGCCCTTCTTTTTCTCTTTTGATCTTTGTTGGTTTAAAGTCTGTTTTATCAGAGACTAGGATTGCAACCCCTGCTTTTTTTTTTTTTTACTTTCCATTTGCTTGGTAGATCTTCCTCCATCCCTTTATTTTGAGCCTATGTGTGTCTTTGCATGTGAGATGGGTCTCCTGAATACAGCACACTGATGGGTCTTGACTCTTTATCCAATTTGCCAGTCTGTGTCTTTTATTTGGGGCATTTAGCCCATTTACATTTAAGGTTAATATTGTTATGTGTGAATTTGATCCTGTCATTATGATGTTAGCTGGTTATTTTGCCCATTAATTGATGCAGTTGCTTCATAGCTTCGATGGCCTTTACAATTTGGCATGTTTTTCAATGGCTGGTACTGGTTGTTCTTTCCATGTTTAGTGCTTCCTTCAAGAGCTCTTGTAAGGCAGGCCTGGTGGTGACCAAATTCTCTCAGCATTTGCTTGTCTGTAAAGGATTTTATTTCACCTTCACTTATGAAGCTTAGTTTGGCTGGATATGAAAATCTGGGTTGAAAATTCTTTTCTTTTCTTTTTTTTTTTTTTTTTTTTTTGAGGCAGAATCTCGCTCTGTCCCCCAGGCTGGAGTGCAGTGGCACAATCTTGGCTCACTGCAAGCTCCGCCTCCCAGGTTCCCGCCATTCTCCTGCCTCAGCCTCCTGAGTAGCTGGGACTACAGATGCCTGCCACCACACCCGGCTAATTTTTTTGTATTTTTAGTAGAGACAGGGTTTCACCATGTTAGCCAGGATGGTCTCAATCTTCTGACCTTGTGATCCACCTACCTCAGCCTCTCAAAGTGCTGGAATTACAGGCATGAGCCACCACACCTGGCCGAAAATTCTTTTCTTTAAGAGCGTTGAATATTGGCCTCCACTCTCATCTCGCTTGTAGAGTTTCTGCCAAGAGATCCGCTGTTGTCTGATGGGCTTCCCTTTGTGGATAACTCAAACTTTCTCTCTGGCTGCCCTTAACATATTTTTCTGCATTTCAACCTTGGTGAATCAGACAACTATGAGTCTTGGTGTTGCTCTTCTCAAGGAGTATCTTTGTGGTGTTCTCTGTATTTCCTGAATTTGAATGTTGGCCTGTCTTGCTAGGTTGGGGAATTTTCTCCTGGATAATATCCTGAAGAGTGTTTTCCAACTTGGTTTCACTCTGCCTGTCACTTTCAGGTACACCAATCAAATGTAGATTTGGTCTTTTCACATAATTCCATATTTCTTGGAGAGTTTGTTCATTTCTTTTTTCTCTAAACTTCTCTTCCAGCTTTATTTCATTAATTTGATCTTCAATCACTGATACCCTTTCTTCCACTTGATGGAATTGTCTACTGAACCTTGTGCATGCATCATGTACTTCTCATGCCATGGTTTTCATCTCCATCATGTCATTTAAGGTCTTCTCTACATGTTTATTCTAGTTAGCCATTCGTCTAATCTTTTTTCAAGGTTTGTAGCTTCCTTGCAACGGGTTCAAACATCCTCCTTTAGCTCAGAGAAGTTTGTTTTTACCGACCTTCTGAAGGCTACTTCTGTCACCTCATCAAAGTCATTCTCTGTCCAGCTTTGTTCCATTGCTGACATGGAGCTGTGATCCTTTGGAGAAGAGACGCTCTGGTTTTTAGAATTTTCAGCTTTTCTGCTCTGGTTTCTCCCCATCTTTATGGTTTTATCTACCTTTGATCTTTGATGTTGGTGACCTACAGATGGGGTTTTGATGTGGATGTCCTTTTTGTTAATGTTGATGCTATTCCTTTCTGTTTGTTAGTTTTCCTTCTAACAGTCAGGACCCTCAGCTGCAGGTCTGTTGGAGTTTGCTGGAGGTCCACTCCAGACCCTATTTGCCTGGGTATCACCAGTGGAGACTGCAGAACAGCAAATATTGCAGAACAGCAAATATTGCTGCCTGATCCCTCCTCTGGCAGCTTCGTCCCAGAGGGGCACCTGCCTGTATGAGGTGTCAGTCGGTCCCTACTGGGAGGTGTCTCCTAGTTAGGTTATACTTGGGTCAGGGACCCACTTGAGGAGGCAGTCTGTCTGTTCTCAGAGCTCAAACACCATGCTGGGAGAACCACTGCTCTCTTCAGAGCTGTCAGACAGGGATGTTTAAGTCTACAGAAGTTTCTGCTGCCTTTTGTTCAGCTATAACCTGCCCCCAGAGGTGGAGTCTATAGAATTAGAAAGCCTTGCAGCACTGCGGTGGGGTCTGCCCAGTTCAAACTTCCTGGCCGCTTTGTTTACCTACTCAAGCCTCAGTAATGACGGACACCCTTCCCCCTGCTGGGCTGCTGCCTCACAGATTGATATCAGACTGCTGTGCTAGCAGTGAACAAGGCTCTGTGGGTGTGGGACCCTCTGAAGCAGGCACGGGATATAATCTCCTGTGTGCCATTTGCTAAGACTGTTGGAAAAGTGCAGTATTTGAGCGGGAGTGTCCTGTTTTTTCCAGGTACAGTCTGCCATGGCTTTCCTTGGCTAGGAAAGGGAAATCCCCTGACCTCTTGCACTTCCCTGTTGAGGCAATGCCCCGCCCTGCTTCAGCTTGCCCTCCGTGGGCTGCACCCACTGTCCAACCAGTCCCAATGAGATGAACCAGGTACCTCAGTTGGAAATGTTGAAATCACCCATCTTCTGTGTCGATCACGCTGGAAGCTGCAGACCAGAGCTGTTCCTATTAGGCCATCTACCACCAACACTTTAATATAAGGAGGAAGGGAAAAAGAATTTGGTAAATGTATATTTAACAGTGAAGAAAGAAAATGTGCATAGCTACTGTGTTCTCAATTCTGTAACTGGTTGTTCCATGTTCTCTATTCTCTCAGCCAAAACTTCAGCAGATAATGGCTCTTTACTTGAAATAATAGCCCAAACCTCCATTCTTGAGGGTCTGAAACATTAGTGATCTTGATCACAGAGTTGCTTTAGTCTTCCATCAACTTTGGCCTCTAGACATTTTTGAAGTACTAAGAGGGGTCTCATAAAATTTCCTTCCAATAAATTCCTATTGTGTAGCAGCAACCTTATTTGTCCTTGATAAGCAGAATCAATTACCCTAGAAAATAAAGTAACTTCCTTTCTTAACTGTTAGTTCACTGGTATGAAGAACCCAAATCACTAGCTGACATACACAACTTTTAGTCATTATGATCTTTGTTGTTTACCCAGTGTGCACTTTCTCCTTTAGCAACTAAGACTTCAAAACCAGTAGATCCAAGCATTGCAGGGATGAGAAGTACAACTTTCTAAGTAGACCATTAAGGACAATAATGAGAAACAGCCATTTTTTTCTGCCTTTTTCGTTCCAAGACCTATATATTTTGGCTATAGGTGATCCATAAATTGATCAGAAGGTATAAAAATATATCTCACTGAGTAGGGCAGCTATCCAATTATGCAAGGTATTGTTAGCCGTCTTAGTAATCTATTCTACCAATCAACCTGCTTAGTCGCTTCTGGGTAATTGGGTGAATGTCGAGAATGTGAGTTAGTCAGTTCCAAAGATGTGAGCCAATGCCTCATTTCTTAAGCTGTAAAGCAAAAGCAATGCTGTGTAGGATATTGTGATATCAAATGAGGCACTCAGGATATCCATGGATGGGACTAGGTGCAAAAGCATTGTGGGCAGGGAAAGCAGATCCCTATTCAGAGGGTCTTTCCCAGTGAAAATGAAGGTTAGCCTCCTGGTGGTTGGCTATTACTTGGGGAATCATTTTATACTGGGGACTCAGCATGGTCCTCCACTATTTGCAGGCAGGTAACTCAGGAGCAATCACAAACAGGATAGTTCTTAGTAGGGAAAGTCCTTGTTCTTGAGGCCTTGTATAACCCCTATTCTTGCTGCCATAGCAACTTTATTCATTAGACTGTTGAGCAAGTGTATCACGCCCGTACATTTCTTCCCAGAATTACTTGCTACTCTACCACAAATGTAGTCTTTCAAAATCTCTGATAATCTAAGCAAACAATTATTTGCTGCCCTTGTGTTAGTGTAGTTGATCATTATTTTGGTCATCTCTCCTTCCAGGCAAGTTGAACAACTGCATGCACTGTTTAAAGCTCTTACCCCTGTCCATGAAGGCCACATCAGGGTTTGCTATAATGGTCCCAACACATCATGCATACACATATGTGAAAAAGAAACACTGATAATTTTCTTCCTTCTGGTATCCTGGATAAATTTTAGGAAATAAACCTCATGATAGTCCTTCAGAATAAGTGCTGTATGCTATAATGATCAACCCCAAACCCTCATTAGCTTTGTACAATGAAAGTTTATTACTCACTCCAGAGTCCAACAATATTGGTGTATGTGTGTGTGTGTGTGTGTGTGTGTTGGTGAATAAAAGGGTAGGTTATGCTCCATACAGTCAATAAGAGACACACAACTTTCCATTTGGTGGCACTGACATCTTCTACATGTGACTTCTAAAGTCTCCATGGAAGGAAAAGAGAGTTTTCCTCATGATTTTTATGGAGAACTACATAATTTTTATGAGAATATTGCATGTGTGAGATTCTTATGGGTCTGTGGTAATTGAAAACAATGGCTGCAATAATCTCCTACATCACTATGAATTTCTGTTTGCATGTGATTTTGAAGCTTTTCCCATCCAAAGTTAGAGTTTTATTCTCTTATCCCTTGAATCTTAATTTGGTCCTATGATCTTCTTTGGCCATTGGGTTATCACAAATGTGATGCAAACAGAAGATTGGAAAGTGATTAAACATTGGGGCTTGCTCTCTCTTCTTGTTGGAAACCCCAAACCACCATGTGAAGAAACCCAGGCTAGCTAACTGGAGCAACTACATGGAGAGAGTCTCAATCATCCCATCTGTCCCAGCTGAAGCCTAAACACATAAGTGATGACATCCTAGTCTCTACAGCCCTACTCTAGTTACAAATTTACCTCCAGAGATCATTCAGCTTACTCAGATCTGAAGATCTGGGCAGACTCAATGAATCATGAGCAAATAAAATGATTATGTTGCTTGAAACCATAAAGTTTGGTGTAGTTTGTTATACATTGAAAACTAACTGATACAGGGTCAGAATGGGAAGAGGCTTATATCATCTCTTCCCACATTTCATTAGTCAGAACTCAGTTATATGTCCCAACCTGTTTGCAAGAGAGCTGAGTGGTGTAATTTAACAATAATATCAGGAAGAACAAGACAGAGTTGATAAACACATAGCAAGTTTTCTCCACATGTATGTCCTTTCAGTCACCAGTTATTTGGCAAACTCCTCCTTTTACACATAAAACACATATGTAAGTTCCCTAAGAAAGCACCTAAAGTGCCACTTAAGCTCTGCAAATATCTCAGTACCTAAGATGTCTGGGTGATGTACAGTTATGTTAATCACATTCAGATATATCTTGCTTTGTTTTGGTAACCTATGAATCAAAAAAAGTTATCTTCCCTGCATCCTTCACAGGCATATTCAGAATACTGTGGTGGAGAAGGCACAGATGATGGTAGTAACCTGATGGATCTGGCTTGTACAAGTGCAGAGTATGAGAACCAATTGTGTACACATCTTCCTAACTCCATATTCAATGACATCATGTTGGTAACTTAAAATCAGCAATAGGAGTATATATACTACGGAAAATGGCAAGGGCTATACAACAGGGCTTTTTTTTATCAGAGATCCCATTTTCCAGAATGCTATATTGATGATTGTAATTAACAGACTCATGCAGAAAAAAGAAAAATGGGAGAAGCTGGGCAGTCCATAGAAATGACTAAATATTTTGGCACAGGCACTGTGATATCCCTCTGCCATGTAAGTAGGAAAATTTTGTTGGTTAGGTCACAATTCTGTATTCTGGAACTAACTAACTTACTCTATTTTTCTCAGTATCTTTGCCTTCCTAGAGATTCTTCCGTGTCTTTTATTCCCCTGAGTCACATATTAAGTGTGTGCTATGGTTTCAATATTTGTCTCTTTCAAAACTTATACTGAAGTTTAATTACCATTATAACATTATTAAGAAATGGGACCTTTAGGACGTGATTAGGCCATGAGGACTCTACCCTACAAGTTCTTCCTCCTCTTACTCCCACCCTCTTGCCTTCTGCCGTGTGGTGGTACAGCAGGAAGTCCCTTCCCAGACACCAGCACCTTAATATTGGGCTTGCCAGCCTCCAGAACCATGATCTAATACATTTCTCTTTATTATAAATCACCCTGTCTGTGGCCTTCTGTTATAGCAGCACAAAATGGGCTATGACAGTGAGCATTATAAGGTATGCTCTTCTTGGGGTCTGCACAACTTTCTCAGCCTGCTTACTCCTGGAACAAACTAGGTATCCCAAAACTTGTTTTACAACTCAAATGAAGAAATTTTTAGTCCAGGCTGGTGGAGGTTTTTGGAAATACAATTTGTTCAAAACCTTAATATACTTCCCATGTATTTGCTCCCAATCAGTTTCATATGCTAATAAAACCAAAATCCTTTTTCCTAAACATAGCTCTCAAATCTGTTTTATTTGCCTTCTCACTTGCTGCTTCTTTCTTAATAGAATGGCTTCTATCTTGAGGCTGTCAGGCTACAATGGGCCATAACCTTAATCTGCTATTTGCCCCAGGGCTTGGTACTCATAAAATTTTATTACTAGAATTATTTATCTATTGTGTCTTCTCTATGTGGTATAGAAGCAACTGGTTTTTCCAATTCTTCATGGATTTGCATTTCTGGATTCATTTTACACTCTTTCATTTCTGCTGGCAAGCTAGCCAGTTCTCATCTTTAGTAACTTACACACTGACAAGTTCTTCTCAATACTGTTCCTAGCATTGTGGGAATAGAAGGCATATTGTCTGTCTTCCAACTTATTATACAAAACAGTTTGTTTTGTCACTGTGTAACATGAGCTATCATCCTTCCATCCCCTGTCATGAGTTTCTTTGTCACTTGCTGCCTGACCACCAAATCAAAGACACTTATTTCAAGTATTCATTATGGCAGCACTCTATTTCTGGTATCTATTTCTCTAGGCAGGGAAAACAGTATTGCCTGGTAAAATAGCTAAAACCAAAACCTCAGTGACTTAACACTGTAAAAGTTCATTTTTTTTTTTTTTTTTTGAGATGGAGTCTCGCTCTGTTGCCCCAGGCTGGAGTGCGGTGGCCGTGATCTCGGCTCACTGCAAGCTCTGCCTCCCAGCTTCATGCCATTCTCCTGCCTCACCCTCCTGAGTAGCTGAGACTACAGGTGCCCACCACCATGCCTGGCTAATTTTTTGTATTTTTAATAGAGATGGGGTTTCACCATGTTAGCCAGGATGGTCTCAATCTCCTGACCTTGTGATCTGCCCGCCTTGGCCTCCCAAAGTGCTGGGATTACAGGTGTGAGCCACCGCACCCAGCCTAAAAGTTCATTATTTAATCATTTATTGTCCCATGAGTTTAGAGTAGAAGGATTCTGCTTCATAACACCACTTAGAGACTCAAGATCTCTTCATTTCATTGTGCCACGGTTCAACTTATCAACAACCAGGTTTACCATGAGGGGAGAAAGAGAATGGAGAATTGCATGTGAGAGATTTTTATGGATCAGGCCTGGAAGTAGGATATATCACTGCTGCTCCAATCTGCTGGCCAAAATTCAGTCACAGAGCCAAACCTAATGGAAGGAGGCTGACAAGTCTAGTTTATCTGTTTGCCCAGGGGGAAAATAAAACAGGTGCAATGAACACACAACATTGCTTCTGGTTTAAAGTCAAACAATTGGCTCAATCTCAGTTCTACTACTTACAAGCTCTGCAGCTCTCTGTGGGTGTTTCTCCATTTGTTAAAGAGTGATACTTATACAACAAAATTTCTTTCTTATTGCTAAGGTTTGAATGTTTGTCCCCTCTAAAACTCATGTTGAAAGAGTCTACAAAGGGGAAATATTGAGAGGTGGGACCTTTAAGAAATTCCTGGGTCATAAGACTCTGCCCTCATCAATGGATTTATCTATGCATGGATTCATGGCCTAATGTGTTATCACAGGAGGGGAACTGGTGGCTTTATAGGAAAAGAAAGAGAGACCTGAACTAGCATGTTAGCATTCTCAGCCCCCTCACCATGTCATGCCCTGTGCCACCTTGGGACTCTGCAGAGAGTCCCCACAACAAGAAGGCTCTCACAAGACGCAGCCCCATGACATTGGACTTATCAGCCTCCTAAATGTAAGAAATAAATTGATTTTCTTTATACATTCTCCAGTTTCATGTATTCTGTTATATGCAACAGACAACAGACTAATACATTTATGGATATTTCTCAACCCAGACAAACTATTAATCAGATATGGATAAAATTAAAATATTTTCAGAATAGTAAAAGGGGGTACAGATCACTTTTCATTTTCTTCCTTGCAATTAAGAACAGATATCTGACTACCCGGCCAATGGAATAGGAGAAGTAAAGTCTGTCAGTTCTGAAGGGAAACAATGAAGACTCTCCTGCTCCTTAACCCCTCAGCTCCTTTGACCTTAGGATCCACTTATTTTGTCAATAAAAGTTAGGGGTATGTCTATCATCTTGGGTCCCTAAATTTTATACATTAATATGGGGAATGGAGCCTGTATTAGTCTGTTTTCACACTGCTGATAAAGATATACCAGAGACTGGGCAATTTACAAAGAAAGAAGTTCATTTGATTTACAGTTCCACTTGGGTGGGGAGGCCTCACAATCATGGTGGAAGATGAAAGGCATGTGTCACATGGCAGCAGACAAGAGAGCTTGTGCAGGAAGACTCGCATTTTTAAAACCATCAGATCTCATGAGACTTATTCACTATCAGGAGAACAAGCATGGGAAAGACCTGCCCCATGATTTAATTACTTCCCACTTAGTCCCTTCCACAACACGTGGGAATTCAAGACAAGATTTGGGTGGGGACACAGCCAAATCATATCATTCCATCTCTGGCCCCTCCCAAAATTCATGTCCTCACATTTCAAAACCAATCATGCCTTCCCACCAATCCCTCAAAGTCTTAACTCATTTCAGAATTAACTCAAAAGTCTCTAGTCCAAAGTCTCATCCAAGACAAGGCAAGCCACTTCCACCTATGAGCCCATAAAATCAAAAGCAAGTTAGTTACTTTCTAGATACAATAAGCATACAGGCATTGGGTAAATACAGCCATTACAAATGGGAGAAATTGGCCAAAACAAAGGGGCTACAGGCCCCATGCAAGTCCAAAATCTAGCAGGGCAGTCAAATCTACAAGCTCCAAAATGATCTCCTTTGACTCCACGTCTCGCATCTGAGTCACGCTGACGCAAGAGGCGGGTTCACATGGTCTTGTGCAGCTCCACCCCTATGGCTTTGCAGGGTACAGCCTCCCCCACTCCCTCGGCTGCTTTCACGGGCTGGCGTCGAGTGTCTGCAGCTTTTCCAGTCACGCGGTACAAGCTATAGGTGGATCTACTATTCTGGGGTCTGGAGGACGGTGGCCCACTTCTAACAGTTCCACTAGGTGGATCCCAGTAGGGACTCTGCATGGGGGCTCTGACCCCACATTTCCCCTCTGCACAGCCATAGCAGAGGTTTTCCATGAGGGCCCTGCCCCTGCAGCAAACATGCCTGGGCATCCAGGCATTTCCATACACCCTCTGAACTCTAGGCAGAGGTTCCCAAATCTCAATTCTTGATTTCTGTGCACTTGCAGGCTCAACACCACATAGAAGCTGCCAAGGCTTCAGGCTTTCACTTTCTGAAGCCATGGCTCCAGCTCTA
Source organism: Homo sapiens (assembly GCF_000001405.40). Classification (NCBI taxonomy): domain Eukaryota; kingdom Metazoa; phylum Chordata; class Mammalia; order Primates; family Hominidae; genus Homo; species Homo sapiens. Next base: position 22,048,374 of record NC_000004.12, read on the forward strand.
TGTTGGTCTCTTTCAGCCACAGCTGAAGTGGCTGGGACACAGAGCACGAAGTCCTTAGGCTGCACATGGCAAAGTGACCTTCAGCTTGGCCCATGAAATTATATTTTCTTCCTAGGCCTCCAGGCTAGGAAGGAGGGGCTGCTATGAAGGTCTCTGACATGCCCTAGAGACATTTTCCCCGTTGTCTTGAGGATTAACATTCTGCTACTTATGCAAATTTCTGCAGCTGGCTTGAATTTCTCCTCAGAAAATGTGGTTTTCTCTTCTAGTGCATTGACAGGCTGCAAATTTTCCAAGTTTTTATGCTCTGTTTTCCTTTTAAAACTGAATGCTTTTAACAGCACCCAAGTCACCTCTTGAATGCTTTGCTGCTTAGAAATTTCTTCTGCCAGATACCCTAAATCATCTCTTTTTTTTTTTTTTTTTTTCTTTTTTTTGAGACGGAGTCTCGCTCTGTCGCCCAGGCCGGACTGCGGACTGCAGTGGCGCAATCTCGGCTCACTGCAAGCTCCGCTTCCCGGGTTCACGCCATTCTCCTGCCTCAGCCTCCCGAGTAGCTGGGACTACAGGCGCCCGCCACCGCGCCTGGCTAATTTTTTTGTATTTTTAGTAGAGACGGGGTTTCACCTTGTTAGCCAGGATGGTCTCGATCTCCTGACCTCATGATCCACCCGCCTCGGCCTCCCAAAGTGCTGGGATTACAGGCGTGAGCCACCGCGCCCGGCCTAAATCATCTCTTTCAAGTTCAAAGTTCCACAAATCCCTAGGGCAGGGGCAAAATGCCACCAGTCTCTTTGCTAAAACATAATAAGTGTCACCTTTACTTCAGTGCCCAACAAGTTCCTCATCTCCATCTGAGACCACCTCAGCCTGGACTTTATTGTTCATATTGCTATCAGCATTTTGGACAAAGCCATTCAACAAGCCTCTAGGGAGCTCCAAAGTTTCTCACCCTTTCCTGTCTTCTTCTGAGCCCTCCAAACTGTTCCAACCTCTTCCTATTACCCAGTTCTAAAGCTGCTTCCACATTTTCGGGTATGTTTTCAGCAGCCCCACACTCTACTGATACCAATTTACCGTATTAGTCTGTTTTCATGCTGCTGATAAAGACATACCCAAGACTAGACAATTTACAAAAGAAAGAGGTATATTGAACTTACATTCAATAAATTAATTCAATCATCGTGGAAGGTGAAAGACATGTGTCACATGGTGGCAGACAAGAGAAGAGAGCTTGTGCAAGCACTGTGCCAGCCCACACTGAACACACACCATGAACAAGAAACAGACAAGTGTTGAGTTAAGCAACTAAGATTTGGCAGTTAATTTGTTTACAAAGCCTGGTGGTTCCCAATTAACATTGCCATTACTCCCCAGGGAACATTCAGCAATGTCTGGAAACGGTTTTGGTTACCACAACTGAAGGGATGCTACTGGCATCCAGCAGGTAGAGGCTGGGAGGTGACACTAAATATCCTACAATGCACAGGCCAGATGTCACAACAAAGAATTATCTGGCCCCAATGTCAATGGTGCTGAGTTTGAGAAACCATGATAGCCTACCCTGTCTAACAAACAATATCTCAAAATGTTTTCTGCAGTCCTTTTGGAAAGCTGCTGAAGATGCTCTGCCACAAAGATGCTTTCTGTAAATCAGAAAGTGGGATTCAGAAACCAACAGAATCCTCTCAGAAGAGAGGGAGTTCTCAGGTGAAAGCGAAGGGGCTTCCCCAGAGGCAGCAGGCCTACAGATCAACTGGCTGAGAGTAGAGAAAAGGACAAAGGATTGTGGGAATAAATCCCTCTGGAAAAGACATCATGATATGCTGCTTCATGTGTATGAGTATATTAATAGCAACATTTAAGATCTGTTCAAAAGATTTTGAATTAATGGTATAGATGGAGAAAACTTAGTATTAAAAACAAGGCAATTATCTACTCCAAGCAGAGTTGTACAAGAACGAAATGATACATGGTAACATGCATAACACAATACATGGTAAAATCGTGAGTTATATTTAAATTTTATAATACTAAAACAAGTATATTGATATAACCAGAAGGTATAATAAACCTGTATTGACAAGGTAGGGAGAAAGGAAGTGTATACATGACTGTGGCTATGTGTGGAGGGGTGGAGGGCAGAGGGAAGGTGTTAAACAGTTAAATCCTCCATTCTTTCCTAAGAAGTCAATGAATAGCACTTAAAATGGAAAAAATCACGAAATAGTAATGTAAGCATATTACTTAGATATATGAGAGCGCATGCCAAAAGAAGCAGCTAAAAGCAAATTAAAACTGATTGCTTTTGTAGAGGTGGAAATTGAAAGGAAGGAGTAATTTTGTAAGGATACTTGTTTTTTATTATAAGCTTAACAGGACCACTTAACTTTTTAAACCATGAACATATATTACTTTTGGCAAAAGCAAAATAGTTTTTACAAAAGTGAGGGTGAAATAAATCAATTTTCAGGAATTAAAATGACATAGCCCATTGGAAAGTCTTCCATAATGTGTAAATTTCAGTGTGAATGCTAGTCATGATAACCATTACAGTGGATGCTGAAAAATGTTAATAATTGATGCCAGGCCTCAGCATGCGTGCTGTCACGTATTTGCTCCCCAGCTGGTCATCTGTAGCTATCAGCATGCAGGACCAAGTACCACCATTGCTACCCAATTCCTTATCAAGAAACAAGAAGACATGGTTCCTGCTAATCCTTCAACAAACCTTCCCTTACTGTCTACCATGTAAGAGGCATGAACACTACCCTCAGCACAGTGGTGGGGATGAATGTCCCTGACCACAAGATCTGACCCGTGAGTTCAGATACTTCCTGGCCAAGATGTATTCCAAGTTTGGCCCACTTCCTAAACTCTCTTTTGTTGGGAGCCTGACATAATTTATATAGACAAAGTATTACCAGATTCCTCTCCTATCATCCCAAGCTTCCTGCCAAACTTCCACCTTTCCATCATCTGAATTAATGGGTTGTTTTGTTTATAGAGTTGTCCCTTGGTATCTATTAGAAACTGGTTCCAGGGCCCCCATGGATACCAAAATCTGTGGATGGTCAAGTCCCTGATATCCAATGGTGTAGTATTTTCATTTAACTTCTACATACCCTTTCATATACTTTAAATCATCTCTAGATTATGTGTAATACTTAATAGACTGTAATGCCATATAAATAGTTGTCACACTGTGTTGTTTAGGGAATAATGACAAGAAAAAACATCTGTACATGTTCAGTACCGAGCTATTTTTTTTTCCAAGTATTTTTGATCCCTGGTTGGTTCGAATCCCTGGGATGCACAACCAACAGATTTGGAGGGCTGGCTGTATTTTATTTGGTACTTACTATATTCTGCATATTATAGTTAGCTCTGTATATTATCATTGGTATCTTTCACTCTCTTCTTTAAGATTGGAAATATGTTTAGTTCATGTTGCAACACAACATAACAGATAAGAACATGGGCACTGAAAACAGTATATGTGAGTTTGAATCCAAGCTTTGTTACTTTCTAGCCCAATGTAACCTTGGGAAAGTTACTAACTTCTCTGTGCCTCACTTCCTTTTTCTATTATGAGGTGGAGATAATGAGAGTATTTAACCTTATGCACTTAATAAAATGATCAAAAGAGTTAACAAATGTAATGCTAAAAAGTGTTTCTGACACATAGTAAAGCTATATAACTTATCAATGAATATTAATATCATGGCACATAACAACACTATATGATTGTTACCTCTAGTTGGTTTTAACATTATTATTAGTTCTTAAGTAGGATCAAGCACATACCAGACACTGAAAAAAAATCATATTCATGAATATGATTCAATTGCACAAAACATTCACAGAGACCTGAATTAACTTCTGCCCGCCTCCACTCCTGCCATATGAACCATGGAAAAGTGCAGTTCAAGAAATGCAACTGAGACACTCCCAAAGGAAAGACAGCTCAATCTCTATCCCAGGGTTTCTCAGCATAGCATTGGACAGATTCACCTCTGGGACTTTCTAAAAAGATTCACCCCAAAGAATCTACATGACACACTGTGGGGCAGCCCACCTCTCAAAATTTCAAACAAAGCAAGATGCGTAGGCTTCAGGGATTTCAGCCTTGAATTCATCTCCCCAGGCCCCACTTCTTCCACCCACCCACACTTAGCCTAACTTCTGTCGACTTAACAACTGAAATGTCTCTTCCTTAGAGGACTCAGGAGGTTAATTATGCAGACTTTCTCCCAACATCCATTTTTTTTAATTTTCATTACATTCATCCACTTCTTATGTGTTTGATGACTGTTGCATATCAGCTTTCCAAGGATGGGAACGGATCTGCCTTCTCTCCACTGCACATGAAGCATCTGATTCAGCCCAGGTGGATTATTACAGAGTTTACTAAAAGACACATTTCCTTCAAATGAAGAAATTACAGTCAATTTAATAAAGGAGGCGATTTTCAGGCCAGGCTAATAAACTTTTTACTTTGATTGTGAGACATGATCTCACTCTGTTACCCAGGTGAGTGCAGGGGCATGATCATGGTGCACTGCAGGCTTAACCTCCTGGGCTCCAGCAATCCTCCTACCTCAGCCTCCAAAGTAGCTGGGACCACAGGCATGCACCACCACTCGTGGCTAATTTTTTATTTTTTAAAGAGACAGGGTCTCACTATGTTGCCTAGGCTGGTCTTGAACTGCTGGACGCAAACCATCCTCCCACCCCAGCCTCCCAAAGTGCTGCGATTACAGGTGTGAGCCATTGCAACCAATTGTAAACTTTTAAATTTCATAATTTTTTCTAGAATAGTATGAGACTGAATAATATTTTATTTGCATATAATTAAAATGTGCTGGAGCTTTAGTTTTCAATTCAGTTTGAATTATGTCATTAATAATGGATTGAGATTATTGAAACTTAAATATTTCCCCAACATACTTCAAAATATCCTAGAAAGCCTATTGGCAAATATTTTTCTTATTTCTTGAGTAAACAGTGGATTTTAAAAATGTCAAATTGTTTGACTTCTTTTGATTCCACATATGAGATCACGTAGTATTTGTATTTCTGTGTCTGCTTATTTCACTTAGCATAATGTCCTCTAGGTTTATAGAACAGAGAATAGATTAGTAGTATCCAGAAGCTGGGAGGTGGAAAGTGGGCTGGGAAGTTGGGAGTGGAAGGGGGTTTCAGTCAAAGAGTGTAATGTTTCAGTTATAAAATGAGTATATTCTGGAAATCTAATCTACAGCATGTTGATGATAGTTAATAATAATGTATTGTATACCTGAAACTTGCTAGAAAGTAAATCTTCTTACTGGATATAAAAGATAACTGTGAGATGATGGATATATTCATTAGATTGATAATGGTAATCATTTAGTGAAATATTCAGATATCAAAACACATTGTACTCCTTAAATACAGGCAATTTCAAAAAATGCAAAAGTGCTCAAAGAACAATGGAAGCAGTCTTCATTATCTATGTTTCTAAAATGAAGATCACAAATTCAGTCATGTCTATACAAGATCATATTTAAAGAAAAATAATTGTGTTGATTATATATATCTATATTCTCTGATAGCTTATGATGGTCAAACAACTAGGTGAAAATTAAAAAGTCTGGTCAACTATCACTTAGAAGGATGTTTGTTTCTAATAGTGCCAAATATTGGGATGTTTCAAGACCGCTTAAAGCTTGACATTCAAAAGAAACAAGACCATGACTTTCCTCACCCCCAACACACACCACCCCCACACACACAGACACACACACACACATAGACACACAGATTCACACACAGACACACACCACACACACACAGACACACAGATACACACACACAGACACACACACCACACACACACACACACACACACAGACACATGCACACACCCACCCCAAAGCCTTTTAACTGAATAACATATTCATTCAGGTGCTTTGGTGTCACCAAAGACACAGAACTTTTTTTTCTAAACAAGTATATCATATGCAGTTGTCTACTCTATCATCCTTATATTTTAAGATTTTTTTTCAAAAATGACAACTTGATAGCTTGCATGCTCTCAAAAGAAGAGAACTGTCTTTTCACGGAGTGAATTGAGCACAAATGAAGTATTTGACAAGAAATTGTGGTTTAATTATTACGCTTGCCTACCTGTGGGTACAAGGTAGGTGTGGATTTTATTATATGATCTCTTTTGGCTGATGGGAAAGAAGAAACCAGCCAGAGTACTTTAGTTACAACTAAGGTGCAAGCACAAAATGAAAAGGGAAGTGGGGGCAGAACACAAAAACCTCTTTCATGTGGAAACTGGTCATGTTCACAAGGTACACAAGGTACCCTGGGGAGAAAGTGAAAAACAACACAATTATATGCTGAAACAGTAAGAATTACAGGTTAATTTCATCATCCACAAAATGTGCACAATAATATTCATTATGCAAGAAATATAAAAGAGATTAAGGATAGGGAAAATTCATTGTAATTTAATATAATCATATCATTTTATGATTACAGTGGATATATTTACTACAGAAAATTTGTAAGATACATAAAAATATAATAAATAAAAATCATGAAATGTCACCTGGCAAATGATACTTAATGCACATTTTAATGCATTTATGTTCATATATATATTCATTCACTCAACAAATATTTATTGTGTGCCTACTATATTTCAAGGGGACATGCAAATGAGCAAAAAAAAAAAAAAAGAACTCAGAAAGATAAAACTCCTTCCTCATAGAAAACACATTTTATCGGAAATAGGGATGGTACAGGGTAGTGAGCAGGGGATAGAAAAAAACAAGTGGTAAAAAATAAGCATAATACATATGTGTATCATGCAGTATATTAGGTGATATTATAAATGATGAGTCCTATGGGGGAAGAAAAGCCACATAGTGAAATCTGCTGTGGCCAATTTACCTACAGCCAAGGCACAAAGGAGAGTATCAGTTTCTGTAAGAATTGTTCACAGAAGATCCTTCAAGTCCAAACTAAGAAAAAAACATTATTTACATTTATTGCCAGGCCCATCCCAAACATTCGTGGACCTCAGGTAAAAGTAACATGGAGACTTTATATACTCTATGTCTAAATTCAAAAAGTATAAATCGAGCTGAAAAAATTATAATGGAATATGTCCTATCTCCCCCCTTTGACAAATACAAAACCTGGAAGGCTAGGTGTGACTTTGGAATTCATGAACTCTTTGAAATTCTGTCTCAAAACAGAGTAGAGACAGGCAAGCAGGCCAGGCCTTGATTTACTACTTGTCCTCTTCTCACTCCACCCCATTCTCTCTTGTATTGTGAGGGACTTCAGAAGCAAGCATGTGGACACCCAAGCCCTCCTGTACATGCTTTACCATACTTCCACCCCCGCTTCTGCAAACAGCCACCCTGTGGCCATGGCTCAGGCCTCCATGCGCTCATACAGTTATCCCACCCATCCTGAGAGAAGAGGCCCAGGTAGACTCTGGAACATCAGAATCACCTGACACATATCCCTTGGGGCTAAAGCCTCATAAAAATCACCAAAGGAGTCTGAGGGAGAGGTCACGAAAGATCTGCATTAGGGAAAATCTGTGAGGGATTGCAAATACAAATGAAGCATTTTTTTCCCCTTAAACAACACTTCTGATCTTAAATGTATGGGGAGTTGATATGGTTTGTCTGTGTTCCCATACAAATCTCATCTGACTTATAACTCCCACAATTCCCACGTGGGAAGGTGGTTGAATTACGGGGGCAGGTATTTTCTGTGCTGTTCTTGTGATAGTGATAATGAATCTCATAAGATCTGATGGTTTTAAAAATGTTTTCCTGCAGAAGTTCTCTCTTTGCTGTCATCCACGTAAGACGTGACTTTGCTCCTCCTTGCCTTCCTCTATAATTGTGAGGTCTCCCCAGCAATGTGGAACTATAAATCCATTATCTCTTTTTCTTCCCAGTCTCAGGTATGTCTTTGTTAGCAGCATGAAAATGAACTAATGCAGTAAATTGGTACCAGTAGAGTAGGGCACTGCTGAAAAGTTACCTGAAAATATGGAAGTCACTTTGGAACTGGGTAACAGGCAGAGGTTGGAAGAGTTTGGAGGGCTCAGAAGTAGATAGGAAAATGTGGGAAAGTTTGGAACTTCCTAGAGACTTGTTGAATGACTTTGACAAAAATGCTGATAATGATATGAGCAATAAAGTCTAGGCTGAGGTGGTTTCTGATGGAGATGAGGAACTTGTTGGGAAATGGAGGAAAGGTGACTCTTGTTATGGTTTAGCAAGGAGTCTGGTGGCATGTTGTCCCTGACCTAAAGATTTGTGAAACTTTGAACTTGAGATAGATGATTTAGGGTAACTGGTGGAAGAAATTTCTAAGCAGCAAAGCATTCAAGAGGTGACTTGGGTGATGTTAAAGGCATTCAGTTTTATAAGGGAAGCAGAGCATAAAAGTTCAAAAATTTGCAGCCTGACAATGCAATAGAGAAGAAAATCCCATTTTCTGCGGAGAAATTCAAGCTGGCTACAGAAATTTGCAAAAGTAATAAGGAGCTGATTGTTAATCCCCAAGACAATGGGGAAAATGTCTCCCGGGCATGTCAGAGGTCTTCAGGGCAGCCGCTCCCAGCACAGATCAGAGCCCTAGGAGGGAAAAACGGTTTTGTGGGCCGAGCCCAGGGTCCCCGAGCTGTGTGCAGTCTAGGGACTTGGTGCCCTGTGTCCCAGCCACTCCAGCCATGACTAAAAGGGGCCAAGGTACAGCTTGGGTCGTGGCTTCAGAGGGTGCAAACTCCCAACCTTGGCAGCTTCCACATGGTGTTGAGCCTGCAGGTATACACAAGTCAAGAATTGAGGTTTGGGAACTTCCACCTAGATTTCAGAGGATGTATGGAACCGCCTGGATGTTCAGGCAGAACTCTGATGCAGGGGCGGGGCTCTCATGGAGAAACTCTGCTAGGGCAGTGTGGAAGGGAAATGTGGGGTCTGAGACCCCACACAGTATCCCTACTGGGGCACTGCCTAGTAGAGCTGGGAGAAGAGGGCCAATGTCCTCCAGACCTAATAATGGTAGATCAACCTACAGCATGCACGGTGTGCCTGGAAAAACTGCCGACTCTCAATGCCAGCCCATGAAAACAGCAGGGAGAGAGGCTGTACCCTGCAAAGCCACAGGGGCAGAGCTGCCCAAGACCATGGGAACCCACCTCTTGCGTCAGCGTGACCCAGATGCGAGACATGGAGTCAAAGGAGATAATTTTGGAGCTTTAAGATTTGACTGCCCTGCTGGATCTCAGACTTGCATGGACTTAGTAGCCCCTTTGTTTTGGCAAATTTCTCCCATTTGGAACACCTGCATTTACCCATTGCTTGTACCCCCATTGTATCTAGGAGGTAATTAACTTGCTTTTGATTTTATAGGCTCATAGGCGGAAGGGACTTGCCTTGTCTCAGATGAGACATTGGACTCTGGACTTTTGAGTTAATGCTGAAATGATTTAGAACTTTGAGGGACTGTTGGGAAGGCATGACCGGTTTTGAAATTTGAGGACATGAGATTTGGGAAGGGCTGGGGTGGAATGATATGGTTTGGCTGTGCCACCACTCAAATCTCATCTTTAATTGTAGCTCCCACAATTCCTACATGTCATGGGAGGAACCCGGTGGGAGGTGACTGAATTATGAGGGCAGGTCTTTCCTGCACTGTTCTTGTGATAGTGAATGAGTCTCACAAGATCTGATGGTTTTAAAGTGGGAGTTTTCCTCCACAAACTCTCTCTTTGCCTGCTGCCATCCGTGTAAAATGTGACTTGCCCCTTTTTGCCTTCCATCATGATTGTGAGGCCTCCCCAGTCATGTGGAACTGTAAGTCCATTAACCCTCTTTTTCTTCCTGGTCTTGGGTATGTCTTTATCGGCAGCATGAAAACGAACTAATACAGTGGTTTTCCATACCAAGCAATTCAATTCTTCAAGACCAACTGGGTGTCCAAGCATCCAACTCTCATACTAACTACCCAGTGTTTGCAAAGACCCCACAGTTTTAAGTTTAGTCCCACAATGCTGCTTCCATTTCAGTTGCCAGCCACAAATGGGGTACCTAGACTACCCACTTTTCCACCCAGCTGACTATAAATTCAGGTGTTTCCATGACCAACCCCTTCCTCATGCGTTGGTAATTCCTTAGAATGACTTGAAGAACTCAGGAAATCACTTTACTTACTGTTATCAGTTTATTATGAAGAATACAACTCTTCTATTTCTATGCCAAATGGAAGATATGCATAGGAGAAGGTATGAAGGGAGTGTGTGTACAGAGCTTCCATGCCCTCCCAGAACCTTAAAGTCTTAACTGATCTGGAAGTACTCCAAACCCCATCATTTAGGGGGCTTTATGGAGGTTCCATTAGTAGCCATAATTGATTAAAATCACTGGCCATTGGTAATTGAACTCAATCTCCAGCCCTTCTCCTCAAGGGATTGTGGGGGTGAGGGGGGGATGAAAGTTCTAACCCTCTAAAAATGGCTGGGTCTTTCTGGTGACCACGCCCCATCTTGAATATCTAGGTTTCCCCAGTCACCAGTCATCTCATTAGCATACAAAAAATACTCAGCACTTTGGAGCTTCCAAAGGTTTTAGGAGTTACTGCTAAATAAATAATTTTTTTCTTTCTTTTTTTTTAACTATACCACAGGAAACTCTCTAAAAAGAGCAGTATGAGTACTATGAGAAATGAGCCAATTCTAATCTTCCCTACATGCAGAAGGCACTGTCACAGATGGTGAGCACACAGCCACATAAGGCTATGACCCTTCTCTACTCATCCCCTCTTTGTGTGGTTGTACCTTGAGGAATCAGAAGCTCAGCTGCTGAGCACAAAACAAGATAATCAAAGATGGTGGAAGAAGTCAATTGGATGTCTCCTCCCTAATGGGGTTTCCAGATCTGAAGCAGTGTCAAGCTGATAGAAGGTAAGTAGCCCTATATGTGTTATTAGATCAGAGTTTTGATCATTACACTGATGGCTGGACATTTTAATTACTCAAAGGAGACAGTTCTTAAAACTAAGGAGGAGGAAAAGGCCATGGTACAAAGCTAAATTTTCATCCAGGGGCAGGGAAAGGAACAGCCCTTAGAGCAAATAGAACAAAACAATCGGGGAAAGAACAAAATGGCTTTGTTGGCATTTCACGTTCCCTACGTCAATAAAAATTTACATGACCATTAGGTAGTTGAACTTGTTTCTTTACTGGGATATTATACATCACGACACGTGGGGGCCCAAGATTTATTTGTGCTCTATTGTTTCTAATAGTTGATCCATTAAGAAACTTGATTGTATAATGTTTTACTTATTTACAAAATAAAAATTTGAGGAATAATTTTAGAACAACATAGTTTTGTTAGGTGTCTTCTTTACAAGTACAGACAAAATTCTCTCTGGGATGTATACTATCCTGAGAGCTTTCCTATAAGAGCATATCCTTTGTTATATATCTAATTTGCATAAAGAATATTCTTGGCACTGAGTTCCACATAATACTTCCCTTCAGTGGCATGGTCATTAGAAAGTTTGAATTATAGTTCATGGCCTTGGGCCATGGCCCACTTCTTAGATTGATCATGAGTTGAGCAGATTCCAAGAGTTAACTGCAGGAACAATTCAAACCTTGGTGTCATTTGGTTCTGTCTCCTACGCTTTAGTTGATTGATCTTTCCACCTTCCCATTTAGAAAAGAGGTTTTTGAAAGAGGAAAACATGAGCAGTTATCACAGGATTTTTGAAGTTCATTTTGAATATCCCACCTTTAGTTCTTGGGGAACCTTGTCAGCTCTTTCTTATTTGCTGTTTTCAGCTACTTAATCACTTTTTCCCTGATGAGTCACTCTTCAAAAATGGCAGCTCTCCATGATTGACTGGGACTGTTGGAAAATAGGCCACCTTGCTTTCAAGTATCTTTTATAACATTTTTTTCAGGAATTTAGGCTTTGCTTGCAGAAAATTAAAATTCATTCTATTAAGTATGTCTTCTTCCTCTGACAGCTCATCAATTAGTGACTCTAAGTTCTTGGACAGGTTTAATCAACCCTTCCATGAAGAGGCAGTTTTTAGTTTGGAGTTGACCTCTGAAGCCCAGCTCCTTCTGTTTTTCTGTTTTTCCACGTTCTACTTCTCTGTCTTCTGGGTTCCTGTTTGAGAACATCTCTATTTCCATATATTCTTCGGGAATTTTCATGAGATGATTATCCCTAATCACGTAATCAAATAGTGTCTTTCTCATCTCCCCCTGCACTTCTCTTGTCCTCTACCTAAGGGAAGGTCCTTATAATTGGCTTCATTCTTTCTCTCTCTTTCTTATGCATTTACAAATCTTCAAACTACATAATATTTGTCTTGCTCTAACCAAGTAAAATATAGGAAAAACGTTTGCTTGCTTAGAAAGAAAGACTTTAAGATTAGCATAGATTCAAGTTAGGTCTCAAGTGGGATTAAAGTATATCTGGCCATCTTCAAGTGAACAAAATTATAAACTCCAGGGGGATAGAAATTTCATTTGTTTTGTTCATCAATAATTTATCTCCAGAATCTATTAGAGTATTTGGGGCATAGTATTCATCCAATAGTTATATGTAGAATAAATGACTGCAAGAATAAAAATTGGAAATATGGAAAGAAGCAAAGTAGCTAAGAAGGAAAGAAAATTCTATTTTTGGCTTAAAAAATATTTACATTTATGTCTGGTGGGAAATCAGGATAGAAAGGCAGCATTGAGCATGGTATTAGAACCAGATATTAATACCCAACCCAGCACCACGGACACATGTCCAAGGTGGATGAAGAGAGGAGCTCAGGTAGAGATAAAAAGCTGTTCTTCTGAGTAACTTTGTGGTACACAGAAAGATATGAGGCCAGGCAATAGACTGAGACTCTATCTCTAAAAAACATACATGATGTTTGGTTTTCTTTAATGCCAAGTTGGCAAAGTGGAGCAAAGAGATTTTCTCATTTCCAGAAGAGACATACATGTCTTCAGCACAGTGACTATCAGAAATACAATCTTGCATTAGTTCCTGGAAAGTTTGTGACCTTGGAGAGAATGGAAAAACATACCCTTGACTTGTGCATCAGTTGGGTCAGGCTAGTGCCAGAGTCGAAGAGATATGAGACTATTAGTATCTTATATGAAACACCTCTTGGGACTCCCAGGAAAAAAAACTGGGTTTGAATTTTTAAAAGACAAACTAGAATTCTTATTGTTTGTGGGAAAAAATAAGAGTCAGTAAAATTTGCCTTATTACATTAATGTAGCATTATTATTATCATTAATAAATTAATACAGTAGTTTTTTTTTTTTTTGAGACAGGGTCTCACTCTGTCACCCATGCTGGAGTGCAGTGGCATGATGATGGCTCGCTGCAGCCTTTACCTCTAGTGATCCTCCCACCTCAGCCCCCTAAGTAGCTGAGACTGTAGGTGTGCACCAACACGCCTGGCCAATTTTTGTATTTTTTGTAGAGACAGGGTTTCACCATATTGCTCAGGCTAGTCTCAAACTCCTGGACTCAAGCAATCCACTCACCTCAGCCTCCTAAAATGTTGGGATTACAGGCATGAGCCATCGCACCCAGCAATTCAGTAGTTATTTCTGAATGGCTACCATGACCCAGGCACTATGATAGGTGCTGCAAATAGAATGTCAGCAGAACACAGTTTCCATCTCAAAGGATCTTCCAGCCAGCAGGGCCTAGGCATAAGAAAACAGGCCCTATTATAACTAGGTGTGATATGCATGATGATGTGATACATGCTGACTGCAGAGTATTGGGGTAGCCCATAAGTGAGCCACATGCTTGAGAAGCTTTTGGAAAATCCAGTTATGCAAAGTTTGGAAATAAGACCCAGAAATCAAGAGTTCAGATGAAGGCCAAGCTTCTGGCCATTGAGCCCATGGTCTAAAGTTTTCTTTTTTGAACATGAAGTAATTCCACAGTCATGATTAATTCCTTAAATGCATTTTGTGACCTAAACTTTTATAAGGAATCTCTTCTTTATTAAACTCCTCTTCCAATCAATTTCCCAACTGGAAGCACACCTGCTGCAATAAATTGAATATAGCACTGACTTCTCTTTTCTCCCAAATAGTTCACTTCTTATGTCATGAGCTAGAATGGTAGGGGATGAATTATTAAGCAAATACCAACTATAATTAACCTTGACCTGATGCAAATATATACGTGTGTGTGTGTGTATATATATATATATATATATATATATGTTTGTAAATGTATTTGTAATGTAAACATATATATATATATGTTTGTAAATGTATTGCATAGAGTTGACTAGCAAGGTCAAACAATTCAAGTCTTTTGAGCTAAAATGTGGCTGTGATCAAAACAGAGACACCTCTCACCCCTGGCAGTGCTGAAATCAGAGTAAAAACACTGCAAATGCAATCCTCTCAGTATCAAAGAGCACATTCATTATTCTTGTTGAGCACATGACATACGTCAAACAGGGTGAGTTAAATATTTTTACAAGTCACTCATCAAATAATGAGATTGTTAAGACATCCAGGCAATGCACAAAAGGAGCATGGTTTTCTTTTTAATAATTGATTTGTTCAATCATGAATACCCCGAACAACAGCAGAGAAAAAAAGTGAGAACTCCGGTGCAGAGAAAATAATTAAAAGAAGTCCAATATTGTTAGGTGTTCAGAGAAACACTTAATGAAGGGAAGGAAAGCAGCTTCACACAATTTATACATAATGGCATTATTTCAGATTAAATGATTACTGTAAAGTAATGATGTCTAGTGAAATGTGGGGAATGTAGATCCTCCATGAGGTTTATAAAGAAACTACCAAACTATTTATTTTACCATTTAATATCCCACAGGACATTGCTGAATTACTATGGGGTATAGCTAATTAAGTTCAGAAGAAAACAGACTCAGGATCAAAGGTGCTACTTAAATTCACCTAAGTCAAGGTTATCCATTCTGTCATTTCAACTGAGCCTTAATGTAAACAGTGACTCATGCCTAGAGTCTAAGTCAAAGTGTCTAGAGTCAAAATGTCTAATGAATACCCAATAAAAATGCTTCATATTAGGCTAGATATTGGTATTAAATAAAAGGGTTAAAAGAAATTTAAAACCTATTCTTATGTACTAAGAGGCATCTCCAAATACCTTTATTCATTCATGTCCAATACAATATGTATTACTGTGTATTATACAGTCCTTACTATATGCCAGGTGATCTCCTAAGCACCAGGAATACACAAATATAAAAAATTACATAGTATTCCTCTTCCTGAAGGAGCTGACTCTACTTTATAGTAGAGAGATGAGTGTATGATGACATAAACACAAATGGTAAGTGTTGCAACAGAAAGGCAAAAGTCCAGAGAAGCTTATTCAGGCTCTGTGCTAGGAAGAACTAGGTAAGGCGTCATAGAGAAAGTGATCCTTGAACTTCATTCACCTTGGAAAGCAGAGAATCTGGGGAGAGATTCTCTTTCCAGGAACAGAAAGGAGGCTGAGCAAAGATGCTGTGAGGAGTAGAAATTTGTAGGCAACTGATCCAGTTCCCTTAGAAAGAAAGAATAGTGTATTGTCTAAGAGCAGAGGCTCAGGAGGTGGACATGCCAGTCTTAAATCCCAGCATTCTCACTATCTGTGCAACCTCAGTTACCTCATCTAATCTCTCTGTGCCTCAGTTCCCTGGAAAATGGGGACAGAAGTAGTAAATTGGTAACAGAGTGGTTCTGAGGATTGAAGGAGTTGATGTAGTTGTGCTGAGGTACAGAGTAAGAGCTGTATAAGGGTTGATTCTTATTGTCTATCATTGGGAGTAGAATAATTTCTTTTTGCAGCCTTTCCTGCCAATTTTCTAATTTCTTAGATTAGTATGGGAATCTAAGTTTAGGGAATGTCACAGTGCATTTATTACAAACTGAGCCAAATGATTTGAAGAATCATTATTAGGGATAAAGTGATTATGAAATACAGAAGATACCTGTGAATTTTAAGAGGATGTTATCCAATGTAAAGTGGGTAAATCAAAGAAAATGTGGTTGATCTTACTGAATCTATCATTTTTTGTCAAATATCTACAAAGACTTCTACAGTATGTTAAGAGTCTCAAACACATAGGTAGTCAAGACTAGAAAGACTCTTTCTTCTTCCCTTAGCAAAGTGGGGTATATACATTTTCCCCAGTGTTTTCTAGGATTGGATGAATGGATATCTCAAGTGTCCAAAGCTGAGATGTAAATGCCAACAAATTCACATGCTGCTATGTGTGACTGAGTGTTCATTACTAGCTTTGTTGATAAGCACAGTGCCTGATTTATGTGATAATCAGGATGACAGTTTCCCCTTCCAAACCAGTTTTCAAGGATCATATTGGTTGTTACAGCTCCCATCCCTCCAGGGAGTGGGGAGCATGTACTCACTGACCTCACTGCAGCACGATGGCTGCTATGGGCAAGCTTGTGAGGAGGCTTCAGCTCAATGTGCACATCCAGGGTTTACTTACCCCAACGTATGTGTCCTTTCCATGTTGCTACTCACAGAACACTTGACCAACCAAACGAATTACAAGAACTAGCCAACCTCTTGTACTCGGAAAGGAAATGTTATTCTTGATCTATTCTCTAAAATACACAGATGATTAATTAAAATTCTCTTAGAGTTGCAACATCAAATATTGGAGAAGCCAGACAAGCAACAAAAATATACAAAAAGGTGAGTATTAAACTTAAGTGCTAACCTGCTTACAACGGAACATTTGCCCAGTTCAATTGTGCTTGAAAATACTGTGCAGATCAAACCAAGTGCTCAAACAAAGAAATACATCTGGATTTTAGGCCACCTATTTTCAATTCTTGTAAAGCTTCACACCTTCATTTTGTTTTCTTCTCAATAGTTTTAGTCAATGATCTCTTGCTTGATTCTCCTCCTAACTGTCTACTTGCCTCCCCTAAAGGGACATGGGAAGCCAATTGTATGCCTTGGGAAGGAGTGGGATGATTGTGACCCTGAATCCCTACAGAGAAAGAGAGTAACAGGTAGGAGGGAATGCAATGAACTAGAGTTTGTAGGAACCCCTACTAGCTATGTACCTTGCAAGTCACTTGATCTTACTTCATCCTCGATTTCCTAATCTGTAAAATGGGAATAATATTATGGTCCCTGATTCTCACAAAGGATTTCTGCAAGAGTAATAAAAAGTAATGCGAACATTTTAATTATTATGATGATGCCCAAAGGCAAAGAGGAAGAGGCTCTATTTACTGCATAAACAGCCACAGCTGCAACTCTTAAGACAGAGGTAGGTTTAAAACAATTTTTTTTTACATCACAGAGGACCTGATGAATTACCCTTATATCTTCTCATTGCAATAACAATGCTCCAGTTTCAAAAATTCCAGATTAATAACAACTGTGAGATTTAGTCAGATTCACACATCTCTTAAGTAAAGACTGGCAAGAAGGAAAGTAATATCTTCTTTATTCAACACACATCAATACCTCTCCAAGAATATTACTGGTTTGTTTTTGCATCAGTGTTGGAAAATTTAAAAATGTGTTTAGTTAACAACTTTCTCCTTGGCTTTTCCAAACACATTGCTTTTCAGACACTTTATTTATAGATCATCTTTTAGTTTTCTTTCACTCACTGTGGAATCCTACATTTATTTACACTTGATATATTCCTAGCAGATGTTGCCCACTGTTAAGATCCACATATAACAATTTAAGCAAAATTGAAAGGAGTATATTTAATGGTATTTTTAAGCAGCTATGTATTTCTTTCTTCTAACATAGTAAAATAAACACAGAAATCACACATCTATCATATGGGAAGCTAGTATGAAAACATTAAGAATCTCTATTATTAATACAGGACCATAATGACATGCTAACATTGGGTTATGATATATTCCTACTATACAGATGTATATCAATCTTGTCAATCCCATGCAGGAAGAAAAAAATCACTTCCAGGTATCTTGTACATAAAGTTATAAATTTGGATGACACCTCAAACAATCATTCTGCTTTCAGGTGTGACTATGTCTGAACCATCAAGGTTCATTGGTCTAATCAACTCAGAGATGGCTAATAACCAGTGGGGCCTCCTATGAACCAGAGATTTTGCATTACATTTTCACATAAATGAGTTTGAAATGTTAATACTCCAATTTTCACATTTTCTTGTATTCATGCCTTTTGGCAGTTGACTTCCACACTGTCTGGCTTGGCCATATGACTTCCTTTAGACCATGAAACCTTAACAAATGACAGTGCAGAGTCTTGAAAAAGTGTGAGCATGCCTCTGCACTCTTTTGCACTCTAGCTCTTTCTTGAGAATGAGCCTGGGCTAGCCTACTGGAGGATAATAGAGGACTTAGAGCAGAACTAAATCATTCCAGAAACAGCCTTCCTAGACCAGTCAGCCCCCTGTAAACCTGGGCTACCTGCAGATACAGAAGCAAGCTCTAACCAGTAGAAGCTAGCCCTGATCCAGACCTGTAGACTGGTGAGAGATAACAAATAACTTTTTAAAACACTGGTTTTTTTTCTTTCTGGAGGAAACGGGGCATTGGGTGGAAAGGTATGCAATCACAGGTAACTGCTACAATGAACCTATATAATTTCTTAAAGACAACATGTGAGAGAGAGAGAGATATCTCATATGTATATATATCTCATATCTATATCTATATCTATATCTGTATCTATATCTATATATATAAACCTCCGTGTGTGTGTGTGTGTGTGTGTGTGTGTGTGTGTATAACCTCCATGAACAGAATATTTGAATATTTAAATTTCTGTTCTGTAAAGTTTTTTCTTATCAAAACCTTGATCGTTAACTGGAGTGTCTTTTTCTGTCCTCAGCGAAGATATGGATCAGTGTTTGCCTTACAGAAGTCCTTCAGCAGCCGAAGGCATGATTTAGGAAAGTCACTGAGGGCACTTGAATATTTAGCCACACCTGACCATTTTTAGCTTTTTAGTCTTTCTTTATATTTTACTTTATTTTTAATTTTATTTGTAAACTCTTCACTCTCTTTTGGTGCACTTTCCTAAAATTCATTTCATTTGTTTGTATCCATCTTCATTAAAACAAAATGAAAGACAAGCAAAGCAATCTTTAATAAGAAGCCTAATTGTTTACAACACTATTTTGTATTTGGCATTTCCTGTTCAAAACTTTATAATCACTCATTGTAAATAAAGACTCAGATTTACTCAGGAAATGTACAAAAGTAAGAGTGATGACTTCTAAGTTGATTAGAGACTCAAGATACAAACAAGCTTTTTGAAAAAGTTCAACAGCACACAAGACACAAAACTTAAATAAAAGTAAAAAACAAAACAGAAACATATATTTGATTTTTCTGTTACGCCAATGAGGAAAAGTTGTAAATTTGACAGACAAAAGAAAAAACTTATAGCTTGTTGTTTTTCCTTGCTTCATAGATATAATTATAACTAAATGATCTTCCAAAAATACTATGTCAGTTTACACATTTACCAGTAATATAGGAATATCCTCTTTTCCCACACTCTCAAGAAAGCCAAAAGTGACAGAATACTTAAAATTTAAACATATCTTTTAATAATAACTATTAGTAGTATGGTATATTGTGTATTCCTTAATGTGACAAGTCTTTTACCAAGGAAATAATAATGGAAGTCCCATAAATTTAGGTGTAACACTGTTAGAATACTGTTAAATTCACAGTAAACTGAAAATAAATTACATTCCTAATCATTAATGACTGGTAAGCAAATTATGTTAAATTATGTTATACCTGCAGAGTAAAACATTATATGGTCTTAGTAATAAGGATATTTGCTGATAAGAGAAAATATATACACTAAAAATAATTCAACTTAAAAATATTTAAATTATTATCTCATTTTAGTAAAAGAAAGATATATATAAATAAAAAGCCTAGGCTGGGCGCGGTGGCTTACGTCTGTAATCCTGGCCCTTTGGGAGGCCAAGGTCGGGGGATCTCTTGAACCCAGGAGTTTGAGACCAGCCTGGGCATCATAGGAAAATCTCATCTCTACTAAAAATACAAAAGATTAGCCAGGTCAGGTGGCGGTTCACGTCTGTAGACCCAGCTACTTGGGAAGCTAAGTTGAGAGGATCACCTGAGCCTGGGGAGTTTCGAAGCTGCGGTGAACTGTGATTGCACCACTGTATTACGGTGTGGATGACGGGATAAGACCCCATTTCAAAATAAATAAATAAATAAATTAATTAATTAATAATAAAAAGTCTAGAAAATTATGTGTTAAGTACTGTGTAGATATAAGAGAATCAATTTCTTTGGGTTTTTTTTTTCTTTTGCTTATCTGTGTTTCCTAAGTGATAATAAACATGGGCTATTTATAATTAGAAAAACAAGTGAATTGTTAAGTAAGGAATGGGCAAAGACTTAATCTAACAGAATTTCATTAAAAAGTTCTAGAAATTATTGTTGATTATACACCCAATTTTTATTTAGCCAACAATTATTTATTATATTTTATTTTCCATGTGCCAAGGGATGCAGCATCAGAGAACAAAACTATCTCTTGCCTCATGGAGCACACCTTTTGTGAAAGAAACAGACAAGATGCCCATGAAATAATTATGTATCAGGTGACAATAGTTGCAAGGAAGAAACAATAATCTATGCAAGGAAGAAACAATAATCTATGCAAGGAAAGAGACTAAGGGAAGACACTGCTTCACTGGGGATGACTGAGGAGATGACATTTGAACAGACTGAAGTGAGAAAGCCACATGGATATCTGAGGAAAAAGCTTTCTTGACAGAGAGAATAGCAAGTGCAAAGGCCCTGAGGCAACAGTGTTTTTATTGGACATGAGCACCATGGCTGTCAGATAAAAACAAAGATATTTTAGATTTTAGTAACAGAACAGTAAGGAATGAATATTACTGTATACTCTTTACTGATCAAATTTCCATGAGCATATTGTGTTCAATTCAGTTTTTGGTATCACAGTTTAAAGAACACTGATGAATCCGAGCGAGTCAAGAAAAAAGTACTCAGGATAATGAGGGGGTCTGGAAATGGTGTAACTGGAATAACGGCAGGAAATCTAGTTGCTTAATTGAAGAAAAAGATGACCTGACATGGACACAAGAAGGTGGTCATGTTGTCATGATAAACTCATTTGGTTTGGCTTCAGAAAACAAAACTAGAATGAAAATTATAGAGCAGAGCTTAGCCAAGTATAAGAAAGAAAATTCTAACAACTACACCTTTTCTAAAGATGAACATTAGTAGTGAATCCTAGTCCTGGAGTTAGTCTGGGGTTGAGCACTCCTTGTCACAGGATCCTGTGAGGTTAGTCCCTTCCATCAGGAGGAGCCAGATTGCCACTATTATTTTGCAGATGACACGTCAGTTAGCCCGGGATGATGAAAACTTACTTCCAATGGGTACCACTGGAATTGCCCCCAGTGGGGTAGCATTCTGGTGAGTGTCATTACTGGACCTTTTTTGTTTGTTTGTTTGTTTTTTGAGACAGAGTCTCGCTCTGTCACCGAGGCTGGAGCACAGTGGCGTGATCTTGGCTCACTGCAACCTCCACCTCCCGAGTTCAAGTGATTCTTCTGCCTCAGCCTCACAAGTAGCTGGGATTACAGGTGCACGACACCACGCCCAGTTAATTTTTTGTATCTTTAGTAGAGACAGGGTTTCACCATGTTGGACAGGCTGGTCTCGAATTCCTGACTTCATGATCTGCCCGCCTTGGCCTCCCAAAGTGCTGGGATTACAGGTGTGAGCCACCATGCCTGGCCTATTACTGGACCTTTTACTTGTGGGGTTCATGGAACAATACAGCTGAAATACCACTGGTCACTCTGGAGAAAAGAACTAAATTTACAGAATCCTAGAACCTCAAGTTGGAGCAGGCCTGAGACATCCTTCAGACAAAGACCATTCACGGCTAGAGCTTGAAGAGGGAGGTGGCAACTGTCCTCTCAGCACGTGTGGAATGTGGAGATAGAGGCATCTGGCCTCTAATTCAGTAGCAGATTGTGTTGTTTAACAAATGCTTATCTGAGCAGATGATGGTTCTATTATGATAGGTGTTAATCAAAGCTATTGTCACAGAAGTACAGTCTTTTGTTACAATCTGTTCTTTGATAAATGTGCAAAATATATCATGGGGACTTTTCCTAGAATTAACATTGCCTGAAGTATAAGATGTGAATAAAACATATTAGGGAATGATTTTTTAAAAATATTTTAACAGGGCAGGCACGGTGGCTCACACCTGTAATCCCACACTTTGGGAGGCTGAGGTGGGCAGATCATGATGTCAGGAGTTCGAGACCAGCCTGGCCAATATGGTGAAACCCTGCGTCTACTAAAAATACAAAAATATTAGCCAAGCATGGTGGCGCATACCTGTAGTCCCAGCTACTCAGGAGACTGAGGCAGAAGAATTACTTGAACCCTGGAGGCGGAGGTTGCAGTGAGCTGAGATTGCACCATTGCACTCCAGCCTGGGCAACAGAGTGAGACTCTGTCTCAAAATAAATAAATAAATAAATAAATAAATAAATAAATAAATAAATAAAATATTTTAACAACACACCACACCTGCGCACTCCCATACAAACTATTACTTTATTATTATTTTCCAAGTAATATGGACAGCTTGTGTTCTGCTTGAGGCACAAGATATTCTATTTGGCCCTTGACAAAGTATGTCCCAATCACTATATCCCCATCACCTTGCCCAGGGTCCAAAATAAAATATGTCCTCAAAAAGTGACTGTTAGATGAAAAAATCATTGAGAAAATTACTCATAGATCATACATTATCCCAACACCATTGAGGTTGCTGAGAACATTTTGGAACTCTGCTTTAGAATTTAACATCAATATTATTATTTAAACTTTCTTTAGTAGTTACAAATTTTTATCTTTGAATCCTGTATTTGCAAATAGGCAAGCCTCACTTTTGTAACCTGTAAGGTTACAAAAATTGGTAAAAGTACTTTACAATAAAGAAAATAGAGTAGATTTTAAATAATGGGAATGTGATTCATTAGTGCCTTCTGGAATGGCAGAGAAGGAGCAACTCTCTTTGAAATATAATACACCAGAGTCTATCTCATCTCCACTGCCACTGCTCTGGTGCAACTCTCCTCATCTGCTACCTGAAATATTGCAGTCTCCCCCTTAAAACGTCTTGTTTCTATTCTCTTCTTTCATTCCATAAGTTCAGAGCTCACAAGCAAAACTTTATTTCCTGGCTCTGACATTCACTAGTTGTTTAACCTAAAACCATTATCTAACCTTCCTAAGCCTCACTTTTGTAACCTGTAAGATGGGGATAATATTAGAAACACCAACTTCACGTAATTTCATTAGGATTAGCTGAAGCCATATGAGAAGTGCTAAATGCTGGCCATTAGTATTATGTCATTCCTCTGCTTACATTTTTGAGCAGCTTCTTTATCTATGGTTGAAACTGAAACTCCTTGACATGAACCTCAGGACTCCTCATGACTGGAGCCTGAGTTCCACTCCCCTTTTGAGTCATTCCTCCATCTTGCCATCAACTCTCTCCTTACCCCACAAGTTCTAACAAAGCAGATTACTCACCTCCCTGTTACTTCATAAATTGCTCCAATGACCTGCCTCCTGGAATGTCCTTATCCCATCTCTTTATCTGATGAAGATCTGCTCATCCCTCAAATATCAACTCAAAGATCAGGGCTTCCTGGTGCCTCCATTTTATGCTAATTACTTATTTACGTGTTGGTTACCTCCCTGGACTGTGAGCTGCTCGGGAGGTTATAGATCTTGTTTCCCTCTGTCTCCCCAGTGCTTAGCTCACTCCCTGGAAATAATAGGCTTGCTGAATAAATTTGAAGATTATTCCAAAAGAATGAACTACAGAACTACTCATTTCTGCAGTGGCACATTGCAGATCTTAGAGTCTGTGTAGCCTCTGGGGCTGCCTGACTTCTTAAAGGGAAAGATGCTGACAAAGATGATGTGTTTCAAGCTAGCACCCATTACTAGTTGGTGACATCTGAGGTCTAGATTTTATGTTGACTCTAATTATGGAATCAGACCACCTACATGCCTATTTAGTTTTGAAGGAAATGAGTATAGAGAGGAACAAATGAATAAACATGCTCTTCCTCTGTCTTGGAACCTATCACAGTGGACAGCATTGATGTGTTAGCATGGGTGTATCTTATAAGCACCTTGAGAGCTGAGATGGCCTTACAAATCTAACAAGAATTGAAGGTTTGTCACATAGTAGGTGCTTAGTTCATTCTTACTAGATTGGATTGAAAGATGAACGATATATTTTGAGTGAGGGAACAGGAAAAAGACACCTAAATTGTGAGATGAATATGAAAACTGGAGACTGTCTTTCACACCGAGTGCTGATGAGAACAGGTGATAGACTTGGCAACAGTGATGGGGCTGCGTCAGCTTATTTTTTTGGCATTGTGACTGAAGACACTGGTTGGAGTCATGAGAAATGTTCATCAGACCTTCCTGTGTTCCTTCTGCTCTCAGATATTGCTGTTGCAAAACAGATCTTGAGGTTTCTCTCATCACTATCCACTAGCATGTTAGGGGGAGCTCTTCTGCCTGGTTCTCAGTGCTCCTGCTTCTACATCAGTAAAAATTATGATGATTTTGGAAATCATCATTCTAGTGATTGGTGCAAGGCTTCAGGTTTTGCTCTTATTGACAATTCTGGTGGATTGGTTGAGGAGGCCGGCACTGTGTCAAGGAGGATTTGGAGGCTTCCTCTAGGCTGAGTGGTAAAGAGAACCATGATCAATTATGAGAGAAAAGGAGGTGGCATATATGCCATGTATTTATAACTCTTAGATTAGGTAGTCCAAGCTAATACATTGGCAGAAAGTAATTGAATCAAGACAATCATTTTCAGTCACTTTTAATTGTAGTAACAGACAAGTTCAATATTTCTAGTAACAATGAGTCTGACAACAGATACAGAGTAAAAAGTTTAGACTGTGCTTTTATAAAGAATGGGAGAAAAGAAATTAGAATTTGTATAACTATATGTGTCAGAAATTGTCTTAGTTCTGGGAAAATTGTCAGAATCAAAATGGAGTCGCTTTGTTAAAACCCTGACAGATAGGGCCATGAAGCGGGGGTGTTCTCACACACGTACACATACCTGGTAACAAAAACTATCACCAAAAAAAATGCGCAGATCACAACCTTGCTCAAAGGCCACCACAAATGTCACACAGAAAATACTTATTCGAGGACATCTGGCCAGTGACTGTTGTCCAACCTTGGACTGACACCATCCTTGTTATTAATCTTTATAGCCAAGCACGTCTCAAAACAGCTTACCTAACCCATCTTATCTTTCCTTTAAAAACCTTTGTCTTCCTTTACCTCCCTGAATATGCACATGCATGTTCCCATTGCAATTCCCAATCCTGAATAAATATCATTTTTTTTAGAAAGTCTCCTTTTCTAAAGCCTGTATAGAAAGTGTGTTATTCAGGTTTGACAGTGCTATGAAATAAGTATTTGCATTGCCATTTAACAAATAAGGAAAGTGAGGCTAAAGGGGAATAAGAAACTTTGCCAGGTCCCACAGTTATAAGTGGGCTCTTGTTAGGGTTTGGTCAAGGTGTGTTTGATGATAAAATGACCATGCTCCTTTCACTGTGCCATGTGTGATCCCTACACACATACATATTGACATGGTTTGTCTGTGTCCCTACCCAAATCTCAAGTTGAATTGTATCTCACAGATATCCCACATGTTGTGGGAGGGACCCAGGGGCAGGTAATTGAATCATCGGGGCCAGTCTTTCCTGTGCTATTCTCATGATAGTGACTAAGTCTCACGAGATCTGATGGGTTTATCAGGGGTTTCCACTTTTGCTTCTTCCTCATTTTTCTCCTGCTGCTGATGTAAGAAGTGCCTTTCACCTCCCACCATGATTCTGAGGCCTCCCCAGCCATGTGGAACTATAAGTCCAATTAAACCTTTTTTGTTCCCAGTATGTCTTTATCAGGAGTGTGAAAACAAACTAATACAATAAATTGGTACCAGTAGAGTGGGCTGCTGCTGAAAAGATACCCAAAAATGTGGAAGTGACTTCAGAACTGGGTAACAGGCAGAGGTTGTAGCAGTTTGGAGGGCTCAGAAACTTTGTGGGAAAGTTTAGAACTTTCTAGATACTTGCTGAATGGCTTTGCCCAAAATGCTGACAGTGATATGGACAATAAGGTCCAGTTTGAGGTGGTCTCAAATGGAGATGAGGAATTTGTTGGGAACTGGAGCAAAGGTGACTCTTGCTATGTTTTAGCAAAGAAACTAGTGGCGTTTTGCCCCTGCCCTAGAGATGTGCGGAATTTTGAACTTGAGACAGATGATTTAGGGTATCTGGCAGAAGAAGTTTCTAAGTAGTAAAGTATTCAAAAGATGACTTGGGTGCTGTTAAAGGCATTCAGTTTTATAAGAGAAGCAGAGCATAAAAGTTTGGAAAATTTGCAGCCTGACTATGCCACAGAAAAGAAAAATCCATTTTCTAGGGAGAAATTCAAGCCAGCTGCAGAAATTTGCATAAATAGCAAGGAGCCTAATGTTAATCCCAAAGACCATGTAGAAAATGTCCCTAGGGCATGTAAGAGACCTTCAAGGCAACCCCTCCCATTACAGGCCTGGAGGCCCAGGAGCAAAAAATGGTTTTGTGGGTCAGGCCCAGTGTCCTCATGCTGTGTGCCGCCTAGGGACTTGATTCCCTGTGTCCCAGCCACTCCAGCCATGGCTGAAAGGGGCCAATGTACAGCTTGGGCTGTAGCTTCAGAGGGTGGAAGCTGTCAAGCCTTGGCTATACCAAGCTATACCTTGCAAAACCACAGAAGCAAAGCTGCCCAAGACTATGGGAACCTAACTCTTGCATCAGCTTGACCCTGATGTGAGACATGGAGTAAAAGGAGATCATTTTGGAGCTTTAAAATTTGACTGCCCCACTGGATTTTGAACTTGCATGGGCCCTGTAACCCCTTTATTTGACCAATTTCTCCCATTTGGAATGGCTGTATTTACTGAATACCTGTATCCCCATTTTATCTAGGAAATAACTAGCTTGCTTTTGATTTTATAGGCTTATAGGTGGAAGGGACTTTCTTTGTCTCATATGAGACTTTGGACTGTGGACTTTTGAGTTAATGCTGAAACAAGTTAAAACTTTGGGGGACTGTTGGGAAGGCATGATTGGTTTTGAAATGTGAGGACATGAGATTTGGAGGGGCCAAGGGCAGAATGATATGGTTTGGCTGTGTTACCGCCCAAATCTCAACTTGAATTTTATCTCCCAGTATTCCCACATGTTGTGGGAGGGACCCAGGGGGAGGTAATTGGATCATGGGGGCTTGTCTTTCCCGTGCTATTGTCGTGATAGTGACTAAGTCTCACGATATCTAATGGGTTTATCAGGGGTTTCCACTTCTGCTTCTTCCTCATTTTTCTCTTGCCGCCAATGTAAGAAGTGCCTTTCAGCTCCCACCATGTTTCTGAGGCTTCCCCAGCCATGTGGGACTGTAAGTCCAATTAAACCTCTTTTTGTTCCCAGTTTCAGGTATGTCTTTATCAGCAGCATGTAAGTGAACTAATACACATATGCACATACATGCATGTAAGCCCATACAACTATATATACATGTGTACCAATACACAGATATATACACAAATATATGTATGTGCAATGCAAACTTCATATATTAAGACTGTAATTTTAGAAAATCAAGAATTAAATAATAAAGTTCTGTAAGACAATGACTCAGCACTCTAAAGGTCTTTTCCTTATCATCAGGTCCCTTGGGTCTTAATTCAGATCCTATTGTCTCTTCATTTATATGGCATTCTAACAACTTGTTCATCCTAAATATAGGAAACTTTCTAGAAAATGTTACAAAGACAGGAAAAAAAGTATAGCTGACAATCACCAAAAAAGACAGATAAAAAGTGTGCTATCTTATTGCCCATTACAATAATTATCACAATACTAGTAATGATTGCTTTTTGAGGAAAGATTAACTTGTAATCAGCATAGTCTGTCTGAAAGGCATAAATACATCTGATACATTTAAAAAATATTTTCATGAAATATTGCCTTTTTTTAGGTTTAAGCACTACAGGGTATTCCTCAGTTACATAGAAAATTGATCAGTAGAGAATTCATTCATTATGTAGCTAGGTTAAGTACAGAATTAAAATGAGATACTATTATATAAAACATTTGTAGAATTCTAGTGATAAAATACAAGCATTTTATAAACTCAGAAAAATATGGAGAAGCTTTTTGGGTTGGGAGCTTGGGCCTAGTACTAAAGGTTGCTGTTTTCAAGGTGGCTTTTTTCCCATCATTCAGAATGAAATGCAAAACTAAGAACAGTAGCCAATTCCATAAACTTTCTCACCTTGCATCTTTGGATAAAGGGGAAGTTTCTATTTTAGCTTACTATCAGCTTAAAATTGCAAATAAGTTTGAATGCCACAGCTATTTGGTAGATGGCTGGGTTCCCATGGACACAGAGTGTCAAAAATCACCTCAACAGGAACGAGGGAAGTAAGTAATGAAGGTTATAATCTCAAGGGATGGGAAAGGCAGTTCCTGGAGAGAACTACTTTGCCCAAAGTCATGACATTAAAATGGACCATATGTCTTCCTGTTTGAATGTGTGCATCTATTTTGTCTCTACACTGTCTCTTTTGTTCACCTTGTCACCCTGAGAATCACAATGAATGGTCTAAAAATGGAGAAATCACAAGAGTCCCAACCATAGAAGTCAAAACCAAACCACAAACTGGCTAAATTTGAAACTTATAAAATAAAAAGCAAAATAACTCACCATCAATTGTATAATTAAAGACTCTTTCAGAAAGAAAGCACTCCCTGGCCTGCAGTTTATTCATCCTCCATCCACTGATCTGCCTCAGTTTCCCCCAGTGTGACTGGGACAGCCTGTCTCAAAGAGGCACAACCTGAAAATCAAACATGAGAACATTTTCCCCACTTTCTGTGTAGATGCAGATATCCTCAAAGAGTTACTCTACTGTTACTCGTCCCCCTTCTGTTCCAGGCCAACCACCACACACCCACCAGATACAACACATTGCATCTTCAACAGTGATGACCACTTGTGTATGTTGTTAACTTTTCTCTGGTCATATTAAATCCCTCCTTCTGGGTCCTAGAAAAATGACATTTTTAGTCCTTTTCCTTTTGTACCTAGCCTATCCCTTAGCCTATTTGATGAGTAGAAGATGAAATAACATACAGAAGGATGCCCAGCATGACCAGGAAAATGACTCATCTGGCCAAATAATCTGTCCCATGGAAAACTACTGAGCCTTGCCAAATGTGTATAGACATTAATTCCTAAAATACTACAGGAGCGGTTAGGGGCTTTTCAGGCTCTGGTGTTTAAAAGGTTTCCATGTTATCTTGATCAGGGTTTCTAAGCTTTCAATCCATCCAAGGAGTGGATAAATTTTAAAGTCTTAGGAGCTCCCTCATACTATATGCCAGTTTTTATGTATATTTATATGTTTATTTCTTTAATTGGTGGAATACATCATTTTCCCAAGCATTTTGGGGTTCTAGCCATCAAGTTTTTATTCACTCATTTAACTCATATTAACTGAATTATTTAAATGTGCTAGGTACCATGATAATCACATGGGTATAATAAGAAATAAATCAAACATAATCACTGACCTCACAGAACTTAAAGATCAGCAGAGAAAGAAGACATTTCATAAGAAAGATATTGGGCTTGGCGTGGTGGCTCATGCCTGTAATCCTAGCACTTTGGGAGGCCGAAGGGGGTGGATCACCTGAGTTCAGGAGTTTGAGACCAGCCTAGCCAACATGACAAAAACCCCCTTCTCTACTAAAAATACAAAAATTAGCTGGACGTGGTGGTGACTGCCTATAATCCCAGCTACTCGGGAGGCTGAGGCAGGAGAATCACTTGAACCTGGGAGGTGGAGGTTGCAATGAGCTGAGATCGTGCCACTGCACTCCAGCCTGGGTGAAACGGCAAAACTCCATCTCAAAAAAAAAAAAAAAAAAGATATTAAATAACAAAGACATTCAATAGTGCCATTATTCAACAGTGATGACAGGAACTACAGGGTACTTTGATAACATGTAACATGGGGACATTTTGAGAGATAAGTCTATTATCAGCCATATTAGTAGCTGAAAATATATATCATTGCAGAGGTTTATTGGCCTTACTTTGAAGTGATTTCAGTAAAGGTATATATCAAACTGCCACAAACCTCAACAGCTTGAAACAACAAACATTTATTTCTCCCTCATGCATGTGTCAGTTAGCCGAGCTGGTTTGGTTCTATATCGGTCTAGGAGTCTGCAGATCAACTGGAGTGACTAAGCTGGGGGTTTATGAAATGCATCCTGCAATATGTTCTTTTTTTATTGTTACTATACTTTAAGTTTTAGGGTACATGTGCACAACATGCAGGTTAGTTACATATGTACACATGTGCCATGTTGGTGTGCTGCCCCCATTAACTTGTCATTTAGCATTAGGTATATCTCCTAATGCTATCCCTCCCCTTCTCCCCACCCCACAACAGGCCCCAATGTGTGATGTTCCCCTTCCTGTGTCCAAGTGTTCTCATTGTTCAGTTCCCACCTATGAGTGAGAACATGCGGTGTTTGGTTTTTTGTCCTTGCGATAGTTTGCTGAGAATGATGGTTCATGTCTAAAACACCAAAAGCAATGGCAACAAAAGACAAAATTGACAAATGGGATCTAATTAAACTAAAGAGCTTCTGCACAGCAAAAGAAACTACCATCAGAGTGAACAGGCAACCTACAGAATGGGAGAAAATTTTTGCAATCTACTTATCTGACAAAGGGCTAATATCCAGAATCTACAATGAACTCAAACAAATTTACAAGAAAAAAACAAACAACCCCATCAAAAAGTGGGCAAAGGATATGAACAGACACTTCTCAAAAGAAGACATTTATGCAGCCAACAGACACATGAAAAAATGCTCATCTTCACTGGCCATCAGAGAAATGCAAATCAAAACCACAATGAAATACCATCTCACACCAGTTAGAATGGCGATCATTAAAAAGTCAGTAAACAACAGGTGCTGGAGAGGATGTGAAGAAATAGGAACACTTTTACACTGTTGGTGGGACTGTAAACTAGTTCAACCATTGTGGAAGTCAGTGTGGCAATTCCTCAGGGATCTAGAACTAGAAATACCATTTGACTCAGCAATCCCATTACTGGGTATATACCCAAAGGATTATAAATCATGCTGCTGTAAAGACACATGAACATGTATGTTTATTGCAGCATTATTCACAATAGCAAAGACTTGGAACCAACCCAAATGTCCAACAATGATAGACTGGATTAAGAAAATGTGGCACATATACACCATGGAATACTATGCAGCCATAAAAAATGATGAGTTCATGTCCTTTGTAGGGACATGGATGAAACTGGAAACCTGCAATATGTTCTTCTCACGGCAACTGCAGAAGCAGGAGAGGTAAGATAAGCCCACTGGGTAGCTGACTTCAAGCTGGCTTATGTCACATCCTCTAACATCTCATTGGCCAAAGCAAGACATGTGGCCAAGCCCAAAGTCAAATATGGGGAAATATATTCCATGTGCCATGAGGTCGAAGATATGAATGTAGAATCCTGCTGTTACACAAGGGAGAGAGAAGAATTGGAACCAATAATTCAATCTACTGCATTTGGCTGGAAAAATCCTGATTGTACAACTTACCTATTGCACGGTTGCAATTAAACAGGAATTAACATTCTTAGGAGTAAACATGTTTGAGCATGATTTTTGGTTTCAAGGAACTTAAGTTCCTCAGGGAGATAAAATATCCATAGGGCAGGATGAGGAGGACCTCACTCTCACCTGGGTCGGGTCCTCTGAATTCACTAAGATATTCTCAGCTGTCACATTTCCATGAATATATTCATGTTCATGGAGGAACTGCAGGGCACCCAGCTCAGGGAAGGAAAAAGGAAGCATCTCTTTCATCAAGGTAGAAAGAGATAAGGGTACCAGAAGAGCACAAATAAGGAGCTACACAGAGCTACTGCTTCAGATTGGAGGATGGTGCTATGGAAAGTTCGCAGAGAAGAGATCTTAACCTTGAAACTTGGCTTCTTATTAAACATACAAAGACTGGAAGCAAGGGCATTCAAAATCCTCTGTTGATGTCTAACCAAATTTTCTCCACTCAGATATGAAGTAAGGGAAAGAAAATAAAACTTTTCCTCACACAAAATATTTCCAGTTTAATTAGAGAAAGTCAGAACAAATGCACAAATTCTCCAGCCATGTAAATATAGGAAGCTTCTTAGCCTCTCATTTCCCATGAGGGAGTCTCCTTTTCCTAATAGAATCTTTATTAGCCCATTTGGAATTGGAAGAAGCCTGTTCTGAACAATAAAATCCTAATGCCAGGTTTTTAGCTATGAGGTCCTTAAAGGTAAGCCTGTGTTTTATCAAGTCTTACCTGACTACCAATACCAAGAACCTTAATTTATACAAAACAGATGTAAATAAAAAGGCTTTCCCGACATGAACTGAACGTGAGAGGACATTATAATCCAAGAGAGGGAATTTTAACAGATTTGTGAAGTAGGTACTTAAGGTTGTGAATGGAAGAGGAAAAGGGAATGGTTTTTAAAACCGTTCTATGATCTCATTCTAAGAAGAATTTGAAGAAAGTGGTGTTTGCTGATTACCTAATATGCATCAGACATTGTTCTAAGAACTTCACATCTCTTACCTCATTTGGCCTTCACAGATTCCCTATTACTTATTACCCCCTGCTATATATAAGGAAACTAAATAGGAAGAACTTTCACTGGGTCACAGAAGAAGTGAATGCCTGATTTCCAGGTAAAACTAGTTAGAGATGGTTCTAACCTTCTGTGTATATCTGGCTACCCATAAGGGATGACCATAGCTTTCCAGTCCACATTTTCTGTCTCCTGAAACCTCATAATAACAATAGGAAAGCAAAAACATGGTTTAACATCTAAACTTCCATGGATGAGAAGGGCAGGGACAAAAAAGACAACTATCAGAAAACGGAGTTCTCAAAGGCTCTGGAACTGGCAGTATCAATTACCTCTAAACATGGGAATGAATGATGCAATGAAAAAAAAAGAATTGGTTTAAAATATCAGAAAGAAACAGTCAGATCCTAGATGTCTTTTCCTAATCTGGGCTGCTAGGCATCTTACCTCTCCTTACCTCAGCAATATCTGGAGTTTTATTGTTTGGAGGTGAAATAGCAAAGGGTCTTTAGACTGGGAGGCACCAGGTAAAATGAGGTCAGAAGTACCACAGTGAAAACAGGAGGATGGTGTTAACTTGTCCATGCACGGTGGGTGCTGGAGCCCTTTGTCTTCTTTTCCCACCCCACTCCTGATGCTAGCAGTCAGGTCTTTACCCCACTTTAATCTCCATGTTATACTACTTCTAGTCATAATGATGCAATTACTGAATATTGACATAACCCAAATTCCAGGTAAGTGAATTGAGAGGACAGGGAATAGCAAGGGCATGAATGTGTGGTGAGAGGCAATGAGGAGGGAAATAGTGTGCAAATTTCATCTCATTTTGAAAGTGGGAAGTCAATAGATGATGCCCCAAATTGGGGAGGAAAAAAGAATAAGTCATTCAACATGTTATGTAGGCATTGGATGATAAGGCCAAAATAATCGAAGTGATTGCTATCAAGGCTAGAGACATTAAGTAGAAGCTTGTAGGGAACTGTTGTTGTTTACAACCAATCTTGTAGAACTAGTTAACTCTTCAAACTCTGGGCATGTTGAACTTTTATATAACAATTAAAAAAGAAGAAGAACAAAGTGAGTGGTAGAACTATGCTGTCTCCTACTGGGAAATTCTCACACTGGGAATTACTAATTTCTCTGGGAATGACATTGTAGCTGATACTGTGTGGTAGAAAGCAAGCGCATGGCAGAGCCAGGTTCCAGCCTGCTTCTGCCAACAACTAGCTGTGTGACCTTGGCCACAACACCTTCCTTTATCTCCCTTGGTCTCAGCTTTGTCACCCACACAAAGAGGTATTGAACTAGAAAATCTCACATCTTTTTGATGAGATCCAGCAAAGGAGGAGAGGCCATGCAGCAGGTCAAGAGCCAGTGAAATAGGAGAACCCTGAGACAAAGGAAGGAAATTGCAGCAGATTCCCCCTCTGTCCATCCCTCTGTCTCCACCTACTTCCTTTCCTATCCTCTGTTGTTAGGATCCTAATAATGTCGTGCGGCTGTCCTCCTGGCTTTTCGTGCCCCCTCCAGTGGTGGCCTCCCATTCTGCTCCCCTAGGACTGTATTCACTGCTAGCCCCACCTTTTTGCCAATCCCTCACAGACCCTGGACTTTACCCAGCCTGATTAGACACTTAGAGGTCAGTGATTCTTGATATTGTTGAACCAAAAATACATTTGAGAATCGGATGATGCCCTATCAACCCTTTGAAGAAGAAAAATCACCACATATACTCAAAATTCTGCTTTCAAATACCTCTTGAAGCCCATCGCTGAATTCTATAATCAGACCTTAGAGATTGATGGGTTAATAACGGGAGGGACAGCATTAGGAGATATACCTAACGTAAATGACGAGTTAATGGGTGCAGCACACCAACATGGCACACGTATACATATGTAACCGACCTGCACGTTGTGCACATGTACCCTGGAACTTAAAGTATAATTTTATATATATATATATATATATATATATATATATATATATATATATATATAACAATTAGTACTCTATTTGGTGATTTTTTAAAATTTACAAAACTATTTCACATACGTGATCACACTACGGCTTTTCTCAAAGTAAAATGCAGAAAATCATGGCCATTATAGTTTTATTTTCATCATTGTGTTGGGTACTCTCACACATAGATGCTATTTTTTATTCAACAGTTCAAGCAAGTTTCTGTTATGACCATTTCTGAGAACAGGACAGTTGGGCCCAGACAAAACCATTGAATATGTTAGAGTGAACAATGAGTTAGTTTAATAAACAGACAGAAAGGGGATGGTCTCCCAAAGTCAAGTCTCTTTTTTTTTTCTTTCACATCGTGGTCCAAGATGAGAAGGCAGACTCTGCTTGAGGGAGACATTTAAGCAATCCAGATTCTTTGGCACTATAGAACCCAACATGTGGTCTTCAAGATGGTTCCAGGCACTGATATTTTCAGGCAGTGAGAGGGAAAAGAGAAAGATGTCTAGAGCAAGTATCTTTTAAGTGGGTGAGATGGAAGTTGTACACAGTTACTTCTGCTGACCATTGGTGAGTGTTATAAGCAGAATCATGTTGCTCCAAAATTTATATGTTAATGTACTACCTCCCAGTACCTCATAAAGTGACTGCATTTGGAGATAGAGTCTTCAGAGAGGTAATTAAATTAAAATAAGGTTACTAATGTGGGCTTCAATCTGATATTACTGGTGCTCTTATAAGAAGGAATTTTGGCAGAGATGAACACAGAGGGAAGACCAGATGAAGACAGGGGGGAAAATATTGCCATGTTTAAGCCAAAGAGAGAGGCCTCAGAAGAAACAAATGCTGTTGACACCTTGATCTTGGACTTCTAGTCTTCATAATTGTGAGAAAATAAATGTATGTTTAAGACATCCAGTAGTACTTTGTCATGGTATCTCTGGCAAATTAACACAGGTACATTGGAAACTTGGCCAAATGACCATTTCTAATGAGCTAGGGAGCTGTGTGCCTAGACAGAAGGGAAAAACAGAAACGGTGGCAAACAAGTCTCTATCCACTGTATTAATTTACTTTAGGTCATGTAGCTTTAAGTTGAACAAATATTCAAATCTAGGATTTCTAGCTTAATTTCTAGCATTCTGTTTTCTGTTTTCCCCCCACCAACATGTCATTGAAATGTTGACTCTGGTCTTTGGTGCCTAAATGCATAGTAGAAATAATTTTGAAAAATTTATGAAGAGCTAATAGGAAAAAGATATTTAGGAATCTTAACATCACCATATGCAAATAGGTTTCTTTTCTGCCTCTAGGAATGATCAATTTGCTGTGGGTTCATAAATTTTGTCAGGCCAACAGATCCCACAGCTGCTACAGAAAAATCCTAAATATATATCTCTGTAGAAGGGTAAATTATCTTCTGTGTTGAAGCAGTTTTCCTCTGAACCGTGCTTTTCCCCTTTATGCCATGGTTAGAACCCTTTTCAAGCTTATTGCTGCTGTGATCTTCTGTGCAACTCTATTTTAAGCTGTCTAAGATGGAATGAACTCCTCAGCTATTACTCTTAAGAAAAAAAAGAAAAAGATTTGCACTGTAGTCAATATTGAACCTGGAATTAGAGAATCTCTGTAATACTGTATTTGGAGTTGGGAAAAGAAAAAGAGGACTCTTGAAACCATGGAAGAAAATACTTAATTTCTGAAATAGGTATTGGGGTGGATCTTAGCATGACTATATGTGGATAATATTCTGTGACTTCATGAACATAAACTAGCTATTATAGGTTTCACCAGTAAAGCAAAAACACAGAGGAGCCTTTTCAATATAATTGGAACAACTGGGATGATTAAATTATGCTGGTAGGTTATGTAAGGTATTGCCCTTCTTATTACGTAAGACATAGTTCTCAAACTTGATACCTACAGGAATTCTGGTGGTTAACATAGAGGGTGAAACATGCTCCATTTTAGGGGAAAATTTGTACATCCATTTATCTAATAAATATTCATTACTTAATGACAGCATGCCTTCTTCTATGTACTAAAGAGGGAGTCCTTACCCCTGTGGAGCTCACAAATGACAACAAAAGACACTAAATAAATATATGGTCTGAAGTCAGTTATATATGTTGTCACATATATGTCATATATGTATGAAAACCTCTTTAAGGATTTTTTAATCAGGGAGAGACATGATCAGATTTACTTTCTAAATTTTAGTTTTGGTGTAAGAAGAGAGACCAGGGAAGAGCCCATCACAGTAGTCCATTGACAATGCTGAGTAGGATGAGGGTGGTAAAGGTGAAATAAAAAGATAGGATTCATGGTACATGTGGAAGGCAGACTCTGAAGGATTGCTGAAATCATGAATGAGGAGTGTGAAAAGAAGAAAAGTGCCAAGGAGGATTCATCTTCAGGGCTTAAGCAATTGGATGAATGGTGGTGTGTTTCTGATAGAATGTGCAGTGGGGGTTGTAGCAAGTCAGAGTGTACAACTTATCTGAACCAAAATGGGGCAGCTGTAACTTAGCTCAGAATGATGAAGGCTATTTTCTCTAACACATGTGATAATTACGCTTGTTCTCTTGTTGCAAAGACACTTTTCAACCTAATTCTTCTCTTTCTCTATAATAAACTTCAATGTGGCTGCATGACAGATGCACCTGACAGCAATAACTTAAGCATACCCTGAGAATGACTCTATGGTCTAAGAAGAGTATTGGTTTGGAATTCCAAGGTAAGGAATCTGGGTGTGGCCAACCCAGAGATACAATCCTTATCTGTGAAGGACATCCAACCCCCTGGCCCACCCTTTTCAACACAGGCCATACAAGGGATAGAGTATCGGGGGAACCAGCCCCCAACATTTCAACATAGGTCCTTTCTATTTTCCCTAAGTGTCAGCTGGTCTGAGAAATAAAGAGAAAAGTACAAAGAGAGGTATTTTACAGCTGGGCCTCCAGGGTGACATCACATATTGGCAGGTCTGTGATGTCCCCTGAGCCGCAAAACCAGCAAGTTTTTATTAGGGATTTCAAAAGGAGAGGATGT
Organism: Homo sapiens; assembly: GCF_000001405.40. Classification (NCBI taxonomy): domain Eukaryota; kingdom Metazoa; phylum Chordata; class Mammalia; order Primates; family Hominidae; genus Homo; species Homo sapiens. The sequence continues at coordinate 22,086,323 of NC_000004.12, forward strand.
GTATGAACAGGGAGTAGGTCACAAAGATCACATGCTTCAACGGGCAAAAAAGGAGAACAAAGTTCACATGCTTCTGAGGCCAATAAAGATCATAAGGCAAAGGGCAAAGCAAGATCACAAGGCAAGGGCAAAATTAGAATTACTGATGAGGGTCTATGTTTGGCTGTGCACGTATTGTCTTGATAAACATCTTAAACAACAGAAAACAGGTTCGAGAGCAGATAACTGGTCTGACCTCAAATTCACCAGGGTAGGGTTTTTCCCCACCCTAGTGAGACTGAGCATACTGCAGGAGACCAGGGCGTATTTCAGTCCTTACCTCAACTGTATAAGACAGACACTCCCAGAGCAGCTGTTTATAGACCTCCCCCTAGAAATGCAATTCTTTTCCTAGGGTCTTAATATTTAATATTCCTTGCTAGTAGAAGAATTTAGTGATAGCTCTCCTACTTGCATGCCCATTTATAGGCTCTCTGCAAGAAGAAAAATATGGCTCTATTCTGCCCGACCCTGCAGGCAGTCCGACCTTATGGTTGTCTTCCCTTGTTCCCTAAAATCACTGTTATTCTGTTTGCTTTCAAGGTGCACTGATTTCATACTGTTCAAACACACGTTTTACAATCAATTTGTATAGTTAGATATACTTATAGTGGTCCTGAGGTGACATACATTCTCAGCTTACGAACATAACAGGATTAAGAGATTAAAGACAGGCATAAGAAATTATAAGAGTATTATTTAGGAACTGATAAATGTCCATGAAATCTTCACAATTTATGTTCCTCTGCCGTGGCTCCAGCCAGTCCCTCTGTTCGGGTTCCCTGATTTCCCACAACAATAGAGGCCCTTTGTTTCGGGTTAAATGAGGTTTCTAGGTAGAGGTTGCTAGGTGAAGGGTGTTAAATGAAAACGCTGTATAAACTGCATGCTTTCACAAATGGCAGCTCTTATCCTGTCCAGCTGACTACTACTGGACCTGCCTGGGATGAAGGTCTTCAATAAACCCTACGTTTTGTTCATTGGTTTCTGGTCCCTTCCTTGGTCCCTCAGACATGGTGCCATCCCTATTGTAATCAACTAGGATGTAGATGCCTTTACCCACCAAATCTCTCACCTTCTTTTCTCAAGCCTGTTCTTGATACCTCAGTCTTTTCTGCTGACTTCATTGTGTAGCCTCTGAGTTTTGGCTCTAAACTTAGCAGAGAATGGATAGATGATCTGACCTTTTCCTCTGGTTTCTGTGATCATAGAATTCTCTACGAAAACATTTCAGGATGGTGGTGGATGTTTTGAGACCAGGAGCATTACAACTGCTTTTGGTGGGATCTAACCATGCAGGACGTGGTGCAAATTTCTATCTCTCCAAATGACACTCTTTGTATTTTTTCTCTGTGAACTGGCTAATGGTACAATAAAGCACCATTTCTGTTTGTTTATTTCTAAATTTCAGCTCGAAATTGACAACATAATCTCAGAGATATTACCCATGCAATTATAATAAATCTTGAGATCAATATACCAATAGCATATTTTTCAAAACATGATTACAATTTTGCAAAATTTATTCTGATGGAAGCCTAAGATGTCATCAAACTTCTAGAAGATCTGAAACCATTTAACTAATTTTGAGTAGGCCTTAATACTGAGAGCGAAGCTGGTCCACTTCCTTATTTCTTTCATTGAAATGATAATTAAAGCATCTCCACTCTTAAGTGATTGAACCCATGCTGATTTTCACAGATGTGGTTGAAATAAAATCAGACCAAAAAAAATGTATGGCTTTTTACTGAACTCTTCGAGATTAAATCTACACAACTTTGCCAGCCTAATTAAACATATGTGAATATGTAAACAGCATAGTGAAAACTCTATTTAAATAAAAAGCTCTGAATTCTGAGTTGCAAGTCTGATGAGAGTAATATTACTGAATCAATTTTTTTCTTCATAAAGCTTACTTTTCACATGACCCAGTTCCAGAGAGCTTCGAAATTTATGGTTCAATTTAATTTTATTTAACTATGGTCATTAAAAAGACCACAAATTTGCCATTAATCACTGATTATATTCAATCAGCATTCAAGGTGACTTATGTTTTCTCACTACTTGCTACATTACAATTTGCCAAACAGGTTTCCTGGCACGAAATGGAACACTTATCTGTAAGTAGTTGGAGATTTCAGTTCAAACAGTACTAAGTACTTATTGATTACACTTTCTAATACTTTTTCTCTTAAAGACCCAGATTATTACTGACTACAGATATGTTTATATTTCTAATTCTAGAAGATGAAAATTTTTTCTTGGTGCTGTGGTGACAAAATGGTAAATTCTACAAATGACACCCAAACCGGTTTCATTGTTTGAATCATTCTCTATAAAGAAAACTTTAAATTTCTACTGCGATTTGGCACAATGTTCTTTCAAATCATCTTTTCTTGTGTTGATAAAGGCAACAGCCTGAAGGCAGGGCCCTCATGTCATTCATCTTAATGTCCCCTGTACACTGTGCCTGATTCACAGAAGATAATTCCTCTGTGTAAAGGGATTTTGTATATTCTCTGAGTGAGATATTATATATTATGTTGTAGCAATCATTTTTACCTCTTCCTCCCACCCTATACTAGATGAGATGAAAAGCTCAAAACAATATATTTCAGACCCTTCTATGGCTATGTTTATGGATACAGTGGAAGTTTTACCAATAGGACACAGAAATGCAAGGCTTGAAAGGTGAATGGTGAAGGGGAATAGAACCCCAGGTTACCACCCCAGAACAGGAGATGCCGTGCTCCTCCCCAGTGCAAATGGTGTGAACTTCCATGGCTCCACCCCGGTGCATACTCCTCCCAGTGCACAGGATGATTGGAGATTCTCCAGGGACCTCTTTATACTTCGTTGTCTCAATACCATTAGGTAATATCTTTACTGCAAAAAAGGAGATCCCAAATTCTGATATTATGTCAAATAAACTCCACTGATTCCCAAGCATCTTTATGAGTTAGCATTGCTAGAATTATATTTAAGGTCAAGTTCTCAGACATTGATAGGCACTGTTTGCCAAAGGGAACATGAATCCAAGGAAAAACATGGCACATCTTGTTGGAGCATCCATTGCATTCAGTGCAAAGAAATTTCAAATACAATTTTTCAAACAAAGAGTTACATTATGGAGTAAAAAGCTAAACTAGATGAATTTGTAAGATAAGACATGAGATTTTAATGCAATTTCTTCCCCATTATTTCCCATATACATAGAAAATAAGTGCTCAGGAGTTCCCTTCTGTGACTCCTAAAGAAGATTTAGCTCTTTTGTTTCATGGGTTGAGAGAAGAAGCTTCGCTCATAATCCTGGCCCTTTAGACCCTCAATTTCTTCATTACAAAGTAAGAAACAATGGTGCATGCCCTACCTACCTCAATGAGCTGTTGTGAAATAATACATGAGGCAGCTATAGAAAATGATTACGAATATGAACTCTGAAACTTGATAGCTAGAATTCAAATAACAGCTCTGTCATTTTCTGTCTCTGTACCAGTGGAAAAATTCATTACTTTTGGTTTCAATTTTTTCATCTTAAAAATGGGGATGTTTATGAATAATAATACCTGCCTCATCAAGCTGTTAAGGGAACCCTATGATCTGATGCAAATAAAAGTTCTTAGAATAGCACATGTCACATAAGATCTTATTATTTGTTATTATTAAAAGGTAGAGCCATTTTGAGTGACATCTTTCCTATTAATAATGTTAATAACAAACATATATTAGGTGCTTCTCCAGTGCTAGAGGTCTAATATGCATTATGTCATGAAAAACAACCTTAGGAAATAGGTGCTATTATCAATAGTTTACAAATAAGAAATTTAAAAATGGAAAATGGATAAAAGCTTGCTCTAGGCTGAAAAAAAGAAACAACCAAATAAACAGTGGGCTTGGAACGTGAAAGCTTGATTCTGACTTTGGAACCTGTTCTGTCACCTGACTATGGAATTCAGGTCTTCTTCAGAACAAGCACAGATGGGCAGTGATGAGGAAATGACAGATCACCTATATCAAACACCATATGTCAAACATCAATCTAGACTATGACATATCCCATCTCATTTAACTCTTGGAATAACCACACAGTGTTGAGATTCTTGTGTCTATTTTTTTAGAGATAAAGAAAGAGGTAGGACTAGGATTCCAATCCATGTGTATTTGCCTGTAAATCTCTTGTTATTTCTACTACCATTGTTCTATTAATTTTAATCTGAAAGAATCTGAAAAATCAGTTATCTGCCTCACATGAACCCCTAGAATATAACCTCACATGAGAAGGGATGAAAAATTCACACTACAGAAATTTCAGATGGGCTAAAAGCCAGAAAATGCTATTAGAAAATGACTTGTTTTGACTTTTAAAAAACTAGTTGGAATTTAATGATTGCTAGTTTTTAATGCACATCTTACATATAGAGTTACACCCCTTATTGCGTGACTCAGTGTAAGACGACACTGAATTACTGTTATCACTGCCGTTGAGTTAAATATGACCCAATGCTGTAAATGTGTTCTGCAGTATGTTACACTAAAAGCCTGACTAATCATTTGCTTATGTTTGTTGAATCAAATACAACTAGGCTAAATTCATTCCACTGTCTTCTTTCAAGCTGATAGGGTGGCTTTATCGAGCTACTAAAAGGAGATGAATGAGCAGAGGCTAAAAGAATTCTGATTCTTTTTTCTGTAACAAACATCACACAGTAAACCTTCAAAGGACAGGGGGATCAATTTCTTTCAGTCGTCAGTGAGGACACAATAAGTGACCTGGTCAAGGGAAGAGAGGCCTGAAAATGGCCTCTCTCCTGATGTCTCTCTATTTCAAAAGAGTGGATGATGTCGCTTCTATTTATAAACTCATCTGAAAATGCATGAGCTTTGCAAGGCCTTTTTTTTTCCTTTGTGGCTGCATCTTGAAAGGGCATAAATTAGAATAACAACATCAAATAACCTAATATCTTGGCATCAACAAAGGCAATTTATAGAAACTTGAATTTACTATCAAGCAGTAAAGAAAGGCACATAAAGGGGGCATAGAGGCATCTTGATTTTGTAAGGGGTGAAGGCACTTTGACTAAGCAGAAATCTGTAAATTGCTAGTTGATAGATGACAAGCTGAGGCTGTTAGGAGGGGGAGCCTGGGCTTTGGTGGTGGGTGGACACACCCACTAGTTGTGCCACCTTGTGGAAGCTATTTACCTTTTGAATTTCATTGATCTTATCTATAGAATTGGAGTAATACCTCACAGGATTATTGTAAAGGCTAAACAACTAACATGCTTGAACACCTAGTAGAGTGTCTAACCAATAGCAGTAGATGCTCAATAAATAGTAGCTAGTGGTATTAGTGTCATCACCACACTACCACCATCATCATCATAGTTGTATGCAAGAGATCAGAAACCATTGCCATCAAAGTCTGGTTGCATTAATTTGTCCAAATCTATCACATAGACAAGTTGGTTTTGACGGTTTTCAGTCACTGATTCTTTTAAAAATAAAATCTTGCGAAAACCCTCCAAATATAAACCATGTGACCCAGCTTTAGAGATTGGGCATTGAAAGTATATAATGAGAAAAGGAGAGCAAGAACACATACTTTTACAGGGATTCTGAGCTGGCACCCCCTGCTTCTCTTATATGAAAGCAGATCTAGACTTTCCAGGCTCTTAAAATCCACAGAGACTAAGGATCATCCTAGGTCACCCTGTAAATAGCAATCTTGCTTTAGCTGCGGTCCAGCACTCCCCTGGGAGTTATGAGCTTAAACTAAGCCTCGTCTAAAATTTAGACAGGAGGAAACAGGGGCACCACAAAAAGTTCTTCCCTGCCCTGACACCACCCCATCCCCAGCTTCAAGGGCATGATCTGCTTTTCCTCTAAAATCGAAGAAAGAAAATGAAATAAAGTCGAGAGTGTTCACAGAAAGCAAATAATTATTATTGACAAAATTCAAAGCTGACTTACTAGATTTTAATTACAGGACGTTCCCATCTTCTAATTGACTGTTATACACTTTTAAATTAAGTTTAATCACAGTTAGAGGGGCACACGAAGAGTGCTCAGCACGTGCCAAACATAGTTCTCAATGCATTGTGTGTTTACATAGATAAGGCTCACAGTAACCCTACAAAGTAGGTGGTACAAGTATCCTTGTTTTTACAGAAAAGGCACGGAGAGATTGAGTAACTTGTCTAAGATCACACAGCTAAAAACAGCAGAGTCCATATCAGAACCAAAGTTGATGGGTTGCAAAGTCAGTGCCCTTTATCTGCACTGTCTGCCTCACTAAAGGAGGGAACTCAATGTTATAATAGTATTGAAACTGCAGGCTTCCCTGGGGATCATCTTCAGATTGAATAGACCTGATTTTATTGTATTTTGCTTATTCAGTATTATCTTATTTAGTAAAACTCCTCTAAGTATTTTAAAATCCATAATGGTTTCACTCTTCTTCCCACCATATTCTTTTATAAATGTATTTAAAGATACATAGCTATGGGTCTGTGAGGTAACCTACTACTGTTTAAAAATTGTCCCGCTGGTTAAAAATACATTGAGAATTGTTCTGTTTATTTTAGGAAAAAGTAACTTTGACAATCAGTTTTGAAGATGCTCTAAAACTTCAGGGCATCTGTCATTTCAACAAGATGACTCACAGTTTTAATTAACTATTGATTACGAAAGAAAGTAATATGCTTTAGTCAGACACACTGAGAAAAGTGTTTAGAAATTCTCCTTTCTCAATTAAGCAACTGTTTTCTGATCAGAAAGCACTTGGTTCTTAAATGATTGGTAGAAAAGAGAAAAAGAGAAATTGAGTCATCTTTGTTCATTTTTCCTTTTGTTATGACCTGGAAAATCATATATGGAGTGAAAGGATGGAGGAAAAGAGCAGATTGGAATTTGAAACTACCTTTTCAGTGGGAGATGAACTAGGGCCAAAGGAGGAAGGATGCCTGCTGACAACTGTCATTTCCACAGACTTACTGGAGCAAAACGATGTCTAATGTTAAGAAGAAAAATTGAGTGTCTAGATTTTTTAAGTAGCTCAGAATTCTCGTTTGGGTGATTTTTTAAGGTAGAGCTTGTTTAAAGGCAGAAGATTATAGAACCGGCCAGGGATTTAAGGGGAGCAAATGAGGGTGTCAGGTTTTTGGATTTAGCTGTCCACTGGCTGGAGGAACTGACAAAGCTTACGGTGGCAAAGCCTTTGGCAAATGTAAGTCAAAATAAATTTTCAGCCCAAGACAAAATTATGTTATGTTGAAAACAGTTCGGTTAGCACATCGTTCTTCCATGTGCCCAGGCAACAAAATTTCATGGGATTTTTATTCCCCCTTCTCTTTTATTGTTTTACTTCTATTATGAAGAAAATATAGCTGCTTTATACTGAGATGAAATTTTTAAATGCATTCAATAGTGTGGAAGGACTCAAAGCAATCTTCACAATTCAAAGGTTCTATTGGGAGGTTTAAGACTTAGAGGAAAGTAAAGAAGTAGCCAACTGTACGGAAGAATTTAATCTGTTCTAGGGAAAGAAGTTATCATAGTGCTGTGGGTTTATTAGCTTTATTACTTACTGATCAATAAAAATAGGACAAAAATAAGGAATTTTCTCAATTAAAAAGTTTTCAATATATCAAAGCAGTGCAAAAAATGAAACTGAAAGACATACACATTGCTGATCTTTTACTTCCTATTTTCAAATTTATTATGAATATTTTATGGATTGGAGAGGAGATATAATATCAAATGGTATGAAAAATAAGTCATGATCTAGTATAAAGCAGAAACAGTAAAGGAGATCTCCAACTTAGATTTTGGGTTTCTAACATAGCATAAATTTTTACCAAAGAACATGCAGACAATGTCAGAACAAACCAAACATAATCACCATTATTTCATTTCATTTCTTCACATACAAGGACCCACTGCCAAACCATATTCTCATTTTTACCTTTGAATATTTCCTGGCTTTGACCATACTACAGGTGTTCATTCCCTTAGAATCTGAAGCCATCTGTCTTTGAACATACTGGCTGCTGACAACCCAAAGCTGGGTTCCTGTTGGCTTTGAAGAGTTTACCAGCTTGGAGAGGGAGAGACCTCTTCAAGAAGAGCAAGAGAGCAGAGGAGATGAGACCAACAGTTTGGAAGAAGACATTGTGTTGGGCACATATGCTAGCATGGTTTGGTCCTAGAACTAGCCAGAGGGTTGAAAAACAGAGTGAGAGTTTCATTACCCACCTATGGTTTAGGCCCAATTCCAAATCTTGTAATTCCCTCCCCTTAAATTCCCCCAGCACACTTAACTACATGTTCAAAGAATTATAGACAGCATAGATCAGCATCAAACATAATGACTTTGCCACTTTCCTACTGCTAATGCCAAGTCTTATCACCCGCCTCTCTCTCCTTCCCATCTTGCAGTAGCACTAAAAAAGGGATATCAAAATAACAACTATTAAGGACTACTATTATCCTAAATTCTGGAGTATTACATATGCATGTGAAAAAAATTACCTACTTTACATTGTATCTATATGATCTATGTGAAATCTTCTGAACTATCATAGATAATCTTTTTGAAACCATTTCCATAGTAAGTTCCATACTAAATCTTTCATTATTGTGAAGGTTCTTATTAGAAATGAGCCCTTCCAGGGCAGGAGCCACAGTCTATGTTTTCATCATACTCCCAGGGCCTACCACAGTGTCTTACTACATTCATTCAGCATTCATTTATTGAGTAAATTTTTTCATGAGGCTGAATACTGTACTTGCCAGTGATGGCAGAAATGGTGAAAGAGATAGAAAAGGATCCTGCTTTCATGGAGCTTACATTCTAACTTCCATAGCAGATGTTCAGGCACACAATGAATGGTTTTTCTAATAAATGAATGGTTGAATAAACAAAAGAATAAATGAATGAATAAATAAGTTTGTACAGGGCAAAGATAATCTAAATTTGAATACAGAGTTCACTTTGGTCTGGTTTCCACCAGTCCGTCGTCCAACTCATGAAATGGCCCAATAGAATTAGAAATGTGTGTGTGGGTGGAGTGGGGTAGGGGTAGGGGGGTAGTTATGTGCCTAATATTTCATTCTCAAGACTGGTTGAAATGATAAGATCATTTCTAAGCATTGATACTATCAAACAGCAAATCACCCCAGTAATGTATTTATAAATCAGCATTTTCTAAAGAATGCTTTATAGAATCTAATTCTGCGTATTGTTACTTGATGTTATGCCAAAACAGTTTTGTATGATGAAATAAGGTGGGGAACACTTAGTTAGAGAAGTTTCTTTTTTGGTAGGTCTTAGCAGAACTTTTAGCATGATAATAAGCAGTGTGGTTGCCTCAGATAATGTGTCTTCCAAACTTTAATAGAAAATTCATTTCTGAGAACAATTTAATAAAGCACACTTTGTTTAATATGGATATGAATAAACGTAGTGGAAGTTGCTGCTCTGCCTGGATTCCCTCTTCAGGACCAATGCACTTGTCTCAGTTATTCAGGCTGCTAGAATAAATGACCATAGATTTGCTTAAACAACAGATACTTACTTGTCATAATTCTGGAGGCTGGAAGTCCAAGATAAAGGTGCTGGAAGACTTGTTGTCTGGTGAGAGTCCCCTTCCTGATTGCAGACGGCTGTCTTCTCACTGTATCCTCACCTGGTAGAAAGAGAGAGAGCTCTCTGAAGTCGCTTTTCTAAGGGTATTCAACCCATTCATGAGGGGTCCACCCTCATGACCTAATTACCTCCTCCAAACTCTACCTTCTAATGTCATCACCATTGGGGTTAGGATTGTAACATATGAAATTTTGGAGGAACACGCATTCAATCCATAACAGCATTCATCCTCTGCTCTTGACAATGTTTGTGGCTGAATGATCATAGATGCACCCTCCTGGGCATTGCCCTCAGCTCCAGGGTCCTGCCCCCTGGAGTTTGGCCTGTGGACAATCACGGGGTGATGAAAGGATAAAAGGCTCACTCACCCTTGTCTCAATTTGAGATAGAGCTTAAGGGGCATCCTAGCTCTAGAATTCCCTGTAGAATCAGATAAAGACCCAGCTGCATCCACATTGCAGGTCAGCTTCTCCCTCTGTGCCAACTTGTCTTCTCTACTTCCTTATGGGTATCTCTCTCCCAGAACATTTCCCAGTAAAATATCTCTATGCAATTCCCCATCACCAGGTCTGTTTTTTGGAAATTTAATCAAGACAATGAACGTTATTCCAATTGATCTGTAAGGCTCAGGTGAACTTTGAGCCACTCACTTCAGTGTGACCAAAAGTATGTTTTTGGAAACATTTGATTCATAGATTATTGAGGCTGAAGCAATGTTCCAAGTCATTGAGAAACACTCATTATAAACACCTCTTTTTCTAAAAATCTGTCTCAAGTTTTTGGTCTATACAATTCATTTGCATGATCACCATGGGCAGCATGTGCCATCGTTTCTAACTTTTATTGGCATTACATTTTCATTTAAATTCAAAGTCAACTCTCTCATGTACTCAAGCCATCAGCAACATACTTTCAGACTCATTTTGCCTAACTTTAATGTTAAACCTCTTTATACTGTGTCTTACCCAAAAAGGAGTAATGAATCTGTAAATAAGGAGGAAAACCAAATGTCATTCTCTTAATTTTAGTAATTGTGTTTTGTTGAAATAGCTCTAGTATGAGCTACAAGCTTTCTAAGAAAAACAGTCCTGACTTTAAGCACACTGGACTGTAATCATATACATTTACATACATACACACATATGCACAGTTGTATACACACAAGCATATTAAACAGCTGAAGGGAAGTAACAGATATCCTTGTGAATCCCCTCAGTTTTATTGTTGAAAATATTGAGGTCCATTGTGGAGAAGTGACTTATTTAAGGTCCCATAGAGAGTGGTAGAATGAAATCTGCATCTCCAACTTCCAAAATATAAACTTAAAATGTCAGCCTGTTGTTCAGATGCATGTTGGTGGGGCAGGCAGAATGGCTATTAGCTTCATCCCATACCCAAAATTATTTAGCTGTAAAATCACAATAGAATTGTTTTACACAGCCACATGTCTCATTTGACTTCTAAAAAACTTGATTAAGCACACCTTTTCGAGGATGTAATACATGCATAAAGCTAAGGATACATGTAAACAGGACGGTATAAAAACTACCTTTCAATCTCACCCCACACCAGTGAGCATTATGATTGATTAAATCGTCAGTAAGAGATTCAATCAGCCATCCAGCAGTCTAAAAATCTACAATTCTAAAAAAAATTTAATAATGGAATGTGAACTGAAACAAAACAAAACACACATACGCAGATTGTCCTCACTTTAGCAATTTCATCAGAAAGTGGTTTTTATAAACATATTTTTCTGTGCTCATCTTTTTATAGATTCAATCAGCACTACCTCACAGAAATCATCCACAGAGATTCCATGGCAACAGCCACATTCTGCACAGACACACACACACAAAATCAACATGCTTAAATAATTATAATTCACACCCACTTAAGTCTATTAGATTTGGATTCCAGATACAAAAATAGCTACAATAATTTTTTTGCCAATTAGGAGCAGCTCTATTATTAATGCTTTTGGTAAATTTAAACCATGTGATAATGGAAAATGAAAAAGCAAAACCCCAAAGGGAGGAATAAACAGTTCAGCACTGGTCTAGATCCTGTCACCATCAGCTGATTGTTTTGGGTTCATTTTTCAAGGGAATTTTACCTCAATCACGAGCTACTTAAATGGAGCCTTTATTGGCAGTAAAACAGAATTGGTAGAACATGGGATCAGTACTCTTCCGTCCAAAAAAGTAAATGACTGTTTTAAAATTTCAACCTTTTTCTCTATTAAAATAATATGGCTTTGAAAACCAGTTTCAGAAGAAAATTTCTTGATTTGAGTAATTGTTCAAGAGTCATGTTCCCGAGGTAATCTTGGTTTTACTTGTTGAGCGCCTGAGGGACATGAATATAAAGAAAAATTAAGGCTGGATCCATGTAATGTCAGCCATTAAAATAGAGTAAAAAATTCCAGGCACCATCTTAGGGCAAAGGCTATAAAAAAACTCAAATTACCTGTGGCTTATGGTGGTGTTTTGTCAAATTTTATAATGCTGACCAGTTACAACAGAACTGATCTCAGTTCTCATTCAAAATGGAGATTCCTGGCTCTCACTCCTGTTCCACAGAATTCAAATCTGTAGTGTTCTACTACTGATGAAGCAAGTGATTCTTTGGTAAAACACCAAAGGAGTGAGTCCAGACAGGAAGTACCTACCGACAGCTAGGAGCTGACATGAACTTTTAAAGGAGTAAGATCTGGAAATTCTTTAAGCCTGGTAGTAACATGTAGCTGCTGTGGCTTTGTGATATCGTTCCTGTTAGGAAAATGGGGTATAGTGGGCATGAAAATGCATCTTAAAGATTAAAGACCATAGTCAGCCCCGGGCGTCTTGGCTCATGCCTGTAATCCCAGCACTTTGGGAGGGCGAGGTGGAAGGATCACCTGAGCCCTGGAGGCTGAGGTTGCAGTGAGCCATGATCATGCCATCGCACTCCAGCCTGGGCAACAGAGTGAGACCCTGTCTCAGAAACAAAACAAAACAAAACAAAAAAGGCAATAGTCAGAGAGGGGCAGCAAAGACATGAGTTATCCAAGAGCCACTCAGGAGGCACAACTGTGCATCTACCTGATAACTACCACATTATCATCTGAATCAGAGTGTCTCATTAATAATAACCATAACAATGAAAGCAACGTCAATAATTACAATCCATTTTTATAACTCTTTGCCATTTGCAAAACTTAGTTTATAATGTCCATGGAAATGAGCATGGAAGGATTGAAGGGCAAAACCATAGAAAGTCAGGACAGACCGTTTTATCTTCTTTTGCTGAACTTGACTGTAAACTCCATGAGATTCTGGCCTCTGCCTTCTCAAAAAGTGACTGGTTTATACTAGAGTCTCAATCAATATTTTTAAAATGATTAATAAATGAATGAATAATACAGGACATAAAGAGGATGTAATTTGCAGAGAATGAGAAGAAAGCACTTTCTTAGATAATACCTGACAGTATATTTTTCCCTGTCTAAATCAAGTAACTAAATAAAACCCAGTATATGACAGCAGTGAGAGAGGGAGAACATTCCAGCGCAACTGCAAGAGGGTTTGATGACCATATTTTAGAAGTTGAGAGCAGCAGCTATTGGAGTCAGCATGCTTACATAGAGTTGTTCAGCAACAAATAATGGAAAGAATTAGCAAGATTTGTGAAAATTCAGTTGCCAATCATTTAAATTTAAACACTGGGCCCCTGAAGTCACAGAGACTGCTATAAGGAAGTGATCAGTCCAATGTCAGCTGATAGGACACAGCCTAAAACACTAAAGAGTGGAGAAATATTTCCTTCAGTCACAGATGTCTGAGAATTTCACCAAGACTTTAACAGAGAGTGATTTATCTTCCACACCAGAATTACATTCTCATTAGACCTGCGATTAATGTAGTTTGGGGTGGGTATATGGGAGGTGTTTGTGCGTGAGAAAGAGTGAGTTTCAATACCATTGGGCTAATCAATATTTGGTCATTGTAAAAACTTACTCCTGGTGTTGTTGAAGCTAAATGTACAAATTCAGAGAGCTTCTGGGGCCCTGAGTATACAGAGCATGTGAATAGCTCTCTCTCCCCACTTCCTGCCACAGACACAACACACAGACACCCAAAAGGGCAAGACATTACTCACACTGTTTTCTTTTTTTTAATGTCAGAAGAACTCTGTAAGGTTAGTGTAGGCTTAAGTATTTCATTTTATAAAAGAAGCAATTGAGATACAAAAAATACAGAAAGTTCACAAAGTTAATAAAAGCTAGAGCAGAGATTAAATCCTAGGTCTTCTGATTCAAAGTCACTTTTTAAAAAATACAGAATTGGGTACTGGAATAAGATTAGCTATTTTAATACAGAATTATGTTTTTCCCCCAAATACAGTCTTTAAAATGTCATGCTATAATTTTATAACCATAGTTTGGCAGAGATTCACCATAAAAAGTTCAGATAAATTTCCATTTTATAATTCTGTGTAAAAAAAGGTGAAATCAGAAATGAATACAAACTATTCTAAGTTCAGATTCTATAAATTTTGATGAGTTAAGAAAAAAGATGAAAGAAAAGAAAAAAAGAATGTTGAAAATCTTCATGTGGAACTTCTATTTATAAAGGAAATTTATGTCAATAGAGAACTTAAAACTATTAATCTTTTTATTGGAGACACCTGGCAGAAATCACCTTAACCAAATGATCAAAGTTAACCTCAACTTTAAAGAGACAAACTGGCTTTAGATGTTCCTGGGAGGCTGCTGAGAAGGACACAGCATCACTTCTGTGAAATTCTGCTCAAATATGCATAACCTGAATTTGATCATGAAAAGACATCACACACCCACAATACAAAATAACTGCTGTGTACTTTTCTAATGGTTCAAAACCATGAAAGAGAAAGAAGAGACATAGAAACTGTTACGGATTAAAAGAGACTAAGAAAATGTGATAACTAAATGCAAGAAGTGATCTTGGTTGGCTCTTGAACCATTATAAAAAACACATTAATGGGACCATTGATGGAATTTGAATACAGTCTCTAGATTAGACAGTAGGATTATATCAGTGTTAATTTCCTGATTTTTCTAAATGTACTCTGTTAGTAATAACATTTTGGGAAACTAGAAGATGGATATATAAAAATTTATTATATTAATTTTGCAACTTTAAGTCTAAAATTATCTCAAAAATATTTAAAAATTAAATTTAAAAAATTTAAATGGGCAGATTTCATATTGTGTTCTTACCATGATTTTTTTTAAACAAAATTAAAATATGATCAATCTTAATGCTGCAAAAGGTCTTACGATAAAGCAATTAAATCTCATAGCTGAGTATTGTAACTTGTCCAAGGTTGCAAAGACCTTGAATCTTGGTCACCGGACACTGATATTCTTTCTTTAGTACTGTGTCCTACTTCATCCTCAATTCTCTAAAAACATGAGGACACTGACATCAGCCTGTTCTTAACATTTCATGTCTTTCTCAGAGACAAGGGAGGATGATGTTGACAACAGATGTTGACCATGTGGATGTAACAGGTCAGCGCTTTGCCCTGGAAAGCACTTGTTAACAGCAGCTCAAGAGAGAATACCCAATGAAGCAATTATGTGTGGAGATATCTGAAGGTGAGGGCTTATTATTAATGGGAGATCAAAGATCACAATTTTAAAAATCCACTAAGAATTAAAATACACAGAAAAAATTATAAACAAATAAGGTAAATGAGGGAGTTATAGTGGAGGAATAGTAACCAAGGACTGTGGCTTAAATCAGTGGTTTTTAAACATTTTTGCTCACTTATTCATTAAAAAGATTTTGGGGAAAACTTGCACATCTTTAAGTTGACATCTAAAATTTGCACATCTTTAAGTTGACATCTACAATTTTATCTTTGGCATATAACTAATTGCAAAAGATATAATTTCTGGCAAATTCCAAATAATGGCACTTTTTAATTAAACTGTCAGGTAACTCTGTAATATCTCTCCAAAGCAATATAAACACAACAGCAAGATGAAAGTCATGATCATTTAAGAGATAAAGGCATGCTCTTCTTTTCCAGTTGAAAAGTTCACATTATTTTTATTCATTTTAAACTAATATTTCCATTCTAATTCTCTCACAGAGTTTTATCCTAGAAGAAATTTTCGTACATGAAAGCCCTCCATGATCACCAAATCATGCTTCAATGCCACAAAAATATGTGGGTAAATTGAAAGGTAAATTGTTTTTAAGCATCCAGTGACACTAAGGCTCTAAATATTACATATTTTTCTGGATTGAGTTACAATTATAAATATCATACGGTTTATTTTTTAAAGAAAAATAATTACTCACACAAGAAGTAAGAATGTTATTGGTAAAAATCTCTTAATTAAATGGATGTGGCTGGGGCTTTTCCCTGTATAGTTCACATATCCAAAGATGAAGACTACTCATTAGCATTATCATCAATACTGTTATAAGACAAGGTTCAGCACTAATTCCATTCTTCATTTTTATTTTTTACAGATTTAAGCTTAGAGAAAAATTTGTTCACCTAAATCAATGAATGAGAATGGAGTTTGATTTTAGCAGGTCATTTAATTCTTCAACTCCTTCTGTGTATTTGACAAAAATATTACATAGCAATCACTTTAAAATTATTTCTAATGACCTATCATTAAACTATTTTAAAATATTTGATTTTTAATATTTGATATTTTAAAATATCAAGTATTTGTAATGAACTGTTTAGTTAGATAGTCCTTCAGTAATATTGAATTGAAAAGCTCCTGTCCTGAACAAGCAAATTGTTACCCAGACATGAAAGTCACCCCCTTTTCCACAATGCTACCAGCATTTCCAGTTGCCTCTTGTTTGTGGATAGTGTAATGTTTCCACCCCATTGTAACGCATCAAGGAAATTATCTAGATGTTGAGAGCCAGAAATTTTTGTAAAGTGGGAGAAGACGTGTTATGAAGGGCAAGTGAGATTCCTCAAGACCAGGCTTACTCTCTTTAAGAGCAATTTTGGGGGATGAGGAAGAAGGGAATTACATGTGGAAATTGACGAGCTGGAAATTGATTCCCTTAAAACTATCCATTTCTCAGATACCCCTTGGCAAATTTTGTGTATACCCAGAACTATGCAAATGCCTGGGTCATCTTAGATTATGCTAGGCACAAAGAATTTTCACCAAGACAGCACACAAAATGCAAGCCGCATGGAGGAAGACATTTATGATGGTGTCACTGCATTAAATACATGTCTTCAAATTATGAAACTACTTATCAAAGTGTCTTCAGAGGAAAACTAGACCTTTGAGTTATTCCAAAAAAAAGTGGTTTCCAATGGTACATTTGAAAATATTGCATAAGTCCCCTCTGAGAAGGATTACAACTCACATGAGCACACTTGAGTCTCTGAAAAGTCTTGCAGTCAGGAATACAGTTTAACTTTATTTAACTCAGAGTTTCACAAATATATTTGCCCATGTACCTCTTTTTTATTAACATCTTCCTGAACACACTTTCAGGGTTGCTGAGCTATAGTTTTATTAGATAGAAAGGTTATGTCAAATCCTGACAGTGACCAAAACTTTGATAGTCATCTAATAAATATTTGTTACCCAATTTATGGATCACATGTAAAGGGAATTAGATTGACAAGAAACATTAAATAGAAATTGAGGAGCAGGAATTTTATCATAAAGGAAATCTTCAAACAAACTCATTAAATTTATCAAATAGAAGCTGGTATCATCCTGAAAATAAAAACCAAAGCTATCACCCAGGGAATCATCTCAAGCTCCCACCATTGCTTCCCCTCTGGGAGCCTTGGCTCTGAGGGAGGAGTACATCATGTAAGAACTCTCAATGTGGTCATTGCAACAGCATCATAGAGGAGGAAGCCTTTGGGCCACTGTGACATATGCATAATCCTGTCATCACACAACGGTCATTGGGAGACCTTTTATCTGGGTGGGGGAAATCATTGCTTTTTCTATTCATACAATGAGCATCTAAGGGTATAGCTGACTCTCCTTTGGCAGTCACTTTGCAATAGGGAGAGAGCAGAGATAATGTGCCTCATAAATAACTCTGTTGGGTACGATAAAACAAAGAGAGAACTGCATGGGGTGCAGAAAAGCCTGACACCATCTCTTTTCCATTTGCCAACTGGATAAACTTGAATATTTCTCCAATTTCACTGAGCCCCAGTTTTCCCATTTGCCAAAACGTTACCAACTTAAACATACCAATGGATTATGTGATCCCTTCTTTTTAACTGTGGAAGGGAAAACTGCCTGCTTTTATAAAGAGTACTTCAATATTTTCTTGCCTTAGATGCAAGAAAATAATGTCCCAGTAAGTATTGTCTTTAATTGACTTAATTGCCTAACTGGTTCTGACACCTTCCTTCAGAATATAGCTTTTAAGTAAACAATCAGAATTCTTCAGAAGTAAAAAATTTGACCTTTTCAGCTTAAAAAGATCATAAGGACACAAACAGAAGATATCCTGCATTAAAGAAACAAGGTCAACTTTTATAGTGTTTTACAGTCTGTTATATCTTTGAAGAAAAAGTGTCACAAATTCCAACGTTCATAATCACAAATTTTTTCAGCCAAGTAGAAAGATTTTATAGATTAAGAAAATTTATGTTTTTTTAAATTGATGTATCTATTTGGGCAAATTTAATTGCTTATATCAAAAAACTTATGCAACTGGGAGAAAAGATTTTAGTATTAGCAATGATGAACAGTTATACAATGAAAATTCAGAGAGAAAGTATTCTTTTCATTCTCAGTGAATAAAGAATAAGTTTAATTAACACAGGGAATGTGTTTCTCCCCCACCTTTCTCTAACAGAGATGACAAGAGAAAGAAGACAGAATTAGGTCATTCCCTCTTCATGACTGTGCTGTAACAAGGGACAAAATGAGATAAGCTTATTTTACAAGATAAATAAGTGCCATTTTTCTGTGATTACTTTATATTGCTATGTTTTTCCCTTCCCCATGTCTAAAGTTCTTTTTGTGTGATATTTGTAAATTGGACATGGAGGACTTGCAGCAGTAAGGGTTTCATTTTTCAGTACGTGTTTGCATGAAGTCAAATGCCTTCACCTAATACATTCCAGGGGAAAGCTCTCCCTGTGTTGTGTTTTTATGACACTACCTCAGATCATTTCAAAGTAGTATCCAGAGTCTCAGTGAATATTGTTTTTCATATAACTTTAAAACTCCACAGTCCGACGTTCAATAATAAGCACAGAATAAAATATCAACTATAAGAAGCATGTTGCCAAGAACTTGCAGCCCACCTGAATTATTTTATTGAACGTGACATGGAGGAGAAAGGATGCAGTGATTACCTGATGGATTATGAGCCAGAAACAAGGTGTTCCCTAAGGATTCATAAGTCCTATTCAAAGGAACAATCCAAAGGAAGTGGCTGGCCACTGTGTTTTTCTTGAAGTGTCTCAAGTCTTCATCCAAATGAGAATAGGTCTTCATAAAGATAACAGTACAATTCAATGGACAAAGAACACTGTCACAGAGCCAAACATGTCACATCATGTGCCTAGCAAGAAGTGATGGCAAATTTGTAGCAAGAATACCAAAAATACACTGTACCAAGAGTACAATATCATAACATCATAGTACTATGTTAAAACTGCTAAATGTTTTTGTAAGTCAGAAGATGTGAAATTTCAGTGGTGTCAAATGCTTCAATCTAATAACTGAGGAAAGCATTACGTATAAAATCAAGGATTTTCAAATGCTTATTTGTATCAGTCAGGTTTCTTCAGAGAAACAGAACCAGTAGGATATATAAAGATATAAGATTTATTATAGGAATTAGCTCAGGTGATTCTGGAGACCAAGAAGTCCCACATTACGCCATCTGAAAACTGGAGAACCAGGAAAGCCAGTGGTATATTTCAGTCTGAATCAGAAAGCTTGAGAACCAGGGAGCCAATGGTGTAAATCCTAGTAGAGTGTGAAGGCCCAGGAACCTTGATATTCAATGTCCCAGGGAAAGAGAAAATAGATTTCCCAGTTCAAGAAGCAAGAAATAATGGGCCTTTCCTCTACCTTTTTGTTCTATTGGGCCCTCAACAGAAGAGAAGATGCCTGCCCACATTGGTAGGTACACACCAGTCTTCTTTACTCAGTCCACTAACTCAAATGCTAATCCCTTCTGGAAACTCCCTCATAGACACACCCAGAAATAATGTTTTACCAGCTATCTGGACAACCGTTACCCAGTGAAGTTGACACATACAATTAACCATCACACTTATTTAGTGTTACTTCCGGGAGAACATGCACTGATTCTATATTATCATAGATTTAGAAACCAGTTCTTTTCCTTTTTTCTATTTTCAGGAATTAGTATAACTCCTACTTTACCTAATTTAAAACTTAGGCTCTGTTGTCGGATGAGCTGGACCTGAATGCAAGCTCCACCTCTTACTGAGTGTGATCTAAGGCAATTGACTGCCCTTCTCTACCTCAGTTTATTTTCACCTAAAAAATGCAGATAATAAAACTGCCTCCTTCTTTTTTTTTTATTATACTTTAAGTTTTAGGGTACATGTGCACATTGTGCAGGTTAGTTACATATGTATACATGTGCCATGCTGGTGCGCTGTACCCACTAACTCATCATCTAGCATTAGGTATATCTCCTAATGCTAGATGCTATCCCTCCCCCCTCCCCCCACCCCACAACAGTCCCCAGAGTGTGATATTCCCCTTCCTGTGTCCATGCGATCTCATTGTTCAATTCCCACCTATGAGTGAGAATATGCGGTGTTTGGTTTTTTGTTCTTGTGATAGTTTACTGAGAATGATGATTTCCAATTTCATCCATGTCCCTACAAAGGACATGAACTCATCATTTTTTATGGCTGCATAGTACTCCATGGTGATGGGGAAAGGATTCCCTATTTAATAAATGGTGCTGGGAAAACTGGCTAGCCATATGTAGAAAGCTGAAACTGGATCCCTTCCTTACACCTTATACAAAAATCAATTCAAGATGGATTAAAGACTTAAACGTTAGACCTAAAACCATAAAAACCCTAGAAGAAAACCTAGGCATTACCATTCAGGACATAGGCATGGGCAAGGACTTCATGTCTAAAACACCAAAAGCAATGGCAACAAAAGACAAAATTGACAAATGGGATCTAATTAAACTAAAGAGCTTCTGCACAGCAAAAGAAACTACCATCAGAGTGAACAGGCAACCTACAAAATGGGAGAAAATTTTCGCAACCTACTCATCTGACAAAGGGCTAATATCCAGAATCTACAATGAACTCAAACAAATTTACAAGAAAAAAACAAACAACCCCATCAAAAAGTGGGCGAAGGACATGAACAGACACTTCTCAAAAGAAGACATTTATGCAGCCAAAAAACACATGAAAAAATGCTCATCATCACTGGCCATCAGAGAAATGCAAATCAAAACCACAATGAGTTACCATCTCACACCAGTTAGAATGGTGATCATTAAAAAGTCAGGAAACAACAGGTGCTGGAGAGGATGTGGAGAAATAGGAACACTTTTACACTGTTGGTGGGACTGTAAACTAGTTCAACCATTGTGGAAGTCAGTGTGGCGATTCCTCAGGGATCTAGAACCAGAAATACCATTTGACCCAGCCATCCCATTACTGGGTATATACCCAAAGGACTATAAATCATGCTGCTATAAAGACACATGCACACGTATGTTTATTGCGGCATTATTCACAATAGCAAAGACTTGGAACCAACCCAAATGTCCAACAATGATAGACTGGATTAAGAAAATGTGGCACATAAAGTAAAAATTTATATTAAAATGTCCAACATTGAAGTGGCAGATTTTTTTTTTATCCAGTTTAAAATAGATTCAATTACTGTGTAGACGATGTAATGCCCTCATACCTACACATGTTGTTTTACGGCTCTTTCAAATGCTATCCCACCATTGAATATCCAATCATTTATGCCAGTAATCGCTGTGATTCTTGAACAGAATTGAGATGTGCTTATTAGTTTACCCTTTCAGCTATCTGAATATGGAATGGAAAAAAAATAAATCAAGGTCAGTGCCTGGTATGTTGGGATATAATCTACAGCCTGAATCAAAGAAAGTAAGACATGTAACAGACAATTCTGTGCAATGGAAAGGGCTCTGGACAGCACATTTGAATCCCATTTCCCAGTGGTGGATCAATGGTCAAATCACTTAATCTACCTGGGCCTCAAGTGTCTTAGATATTTACTGCCTAGGATGAAGTTTATGATCCTAGGATTCCTTCTGCTCTGTGGTTTACAAAGGTTAAAAATTGATGGACTATTGACTTAATTCAGACCTATCTTTGTGTGCCTTTGTATATTTTGGCCCAAAATATTGTGAATTAGTTCCAAACACTTAAAAATTGGGAAACATTTCTCAATAATATAGGTTTCCAGCTTCTTGTGGAAAAAAAAATTAAAAATCCAGAAAGAGTAGACTCATATTTCTGGTACTCCACCTTTCAGATGGGACCTGTACTTTCCATATGAGGACAGTTTTTATTTTTCCATATTGTCTCTTGACCTGTGTTATCTATGTGTCCCCTTCTGTCAGATGGTTTTACAATCCTAACTGTCAGGCCTTTATATTTGCAGTTCCTTCTTCATGGAATAACAGACCTCCAGATATTCACCTAATCTGGCTTTATTTTCTTCTGAACAGTTATCATATCTGAAATTATGCTTTTTGTTTGTTTGTTCATGTTTGGTGCTTGCCCCTTACTAGAATAAACCCTTTTCAGAGAGAAAAGACTTTCTCTTGTTCACCAGAGTATTGAGCACATAAAATAATGTTTGGCATATGGTAGGTATCAAATAATTATCCATTGATTTGTTGTTGACTGTGATTCCCTGCCATTCTGGAATTTATATCTTCTATTTGCCAAGCAAAGTGTTTTAGGAACTACTTTTTTATGAGAAATATCAGCCCTCACTGTGAATATGTTTAAAAACAAATGGTGTTGCCTTTCTCTCAATTATTCAGGAAACACATGATTACTGGAGAATGATTAGAAAATATGGAAACGAAAATCACTCATAATCTCATTCAACTGAACTATGTATTTCAAAATGTCGACTTTCTATTTCAATGTTTTTTCAGGAACTATGTGCTTATATTACATGTGCTTAAACTTTCTCAAATACTCTCTGAGAGAATCATTCTCTCCCTCTTCTGCAGTCATTCATACGACAAGAAATTTCCCCAAACCTCCATCTTCTCAGAGAAGCACTGGGGACAAGTAGCTCCTGACACTTCTAGGCCCACACTTGTGCGTTCCAAGGAAAACAGGAAGGATTCATCTGATTGCTAAGATAATGATGGCCTGATAGTCATTGTTTCTTTTTTCTTTTTTTGGCCATGGGACAGCATTCTATGGTCTTAACAGTTGCTGTTGAGAAGCAAGCCCTTGTCATTGGCTCTCCCCATCAATGGTCCCAAGGCCATATGACCTTCCACTTGTGGTCTAACTCAGGAACTGCTCTGCATACTCATCCATCCCCCATGGAGTCCCAAAGCCTAGAGTTATAAAAGGTTATGACAGCCCCCACTTAAGTTGACTTCTCCAATTCGTCTTTAACAATGATAAAGTAATACTGTAATTTATATTTCACATGGCTAGTATATGTATTTCTCTATAGGTTCAGAATGTCGAAGAAAGGATGAGTGGTTTTCTTCACTGCAAATCCCCCGAAATAATCATTTCTACAACCTGATTTTTCTGTAAAAGCAACTTGTCCAACCCGCAGGCCGCATGCAACCCAGGACAGCTTTGAACGCAGCCCAACACAAATTCATAAACTTCTTAAAACATTATAAGATTTTTTTGCAATATTTTTTCTAGTTCATCAGCTATCACTAATATTAATGTATTTTATGTGTTGTCTAAGACAATTCTTTCTCTAATGTGGCCCAGGGAAGCCAAAAGACTGGACACTCCTGTATTAAAGCTTGTTTCATTATTTTGGACACCACCACATTTGAGATGGTTCACTTAATGACAGGCTGGCCACACTACTGATCAATGCTGCTTCCATCTTTAGCAGCAGATGTTGGGACATCTGCTTCCTGAGGAATGCTAAGTGTCTTGATTGCTCAGTAGGAGCAGTAATACCGTGTAGGAGGATGTGGTGGTCTTTGCTTTATTCCTCATTCCATCTACACAAATCCAAATTGGATTGGATTCCATCCAATCCAATTTAATCCATCTGAAGATGAATAGTCTCTTACAAATTATGTTTCAGCACAGATCCAGTGGCTACATAGTCATTTTTAATGATTTTTATTAATTTTAATTTTTTTGCTAATTTCCCTGCAACTATAATCTTACTGTTACATTTATTTTTAATTCTGTTCAGGAATTTGCTTGCAATTTAGACTTGGAGCATGAATATTATTGATTCATTGGTATTATTGATTCAACTCTTCCGCTCACATGAAGTGATTAAACCAAAATAGTCTGAGGATGAGAAACATGACTTAATCTTGCATGGTCACAGAGTGCCTTGAAAAGGCAGCCTGGGGCTATGGGCTGCTTCTTCCTTCCATTATGGGAAATTAATTATTAGAACAAAAATCGGAAATGAAGCAGGTCTTCTCTGATCTAGGCAAATGTTCTCTTGGCGGGGGGGCCCTAATGCATTCCGTATTTTCCCGATTTCACTCCTCATTACACTTTATTATCATCACTGGTTGATTACCTATCTTCCCTTCTTGACCATCAGTTTTGTAAAGGCAGAGAATTTGCCTGACTTACTTAAACCTGGATTCCCAGTGCTACCATGCCTGTAGGTTAATAAATGCTTTAATAAATCCTCTTTAAAATATCTGTTGAATGCCAGTCAACAGATCAGTGCAAGGTGGAAGTGAAAGTTTAGAAAACACGAAATTTGCCACATAAAACACATGAGTTTAGCTTCAAAAATGGCAGCACAAGACTAAAAAGATTGGAGTGGTATCTTTTCTGTGCTCCATGCTCCTAATAGCTCCTTCACGCAATCTCCATCACTCATGAGCAGAGACCAGAAAAGGGACACTCTAGACTGAACAGATGCTACAGTTAGGCAGTTACACATGGAAAAGGAAAGAGAAAACCCAGCAATGTTTTAAAAAAGCAAAAATATTAAATGAATTTGCACATCCAGTAGTATTTTTTATAAAACCAAGACATAACCAACAAAGAATAAATAGTAATACATAAATAATCTAATTTAATAAAAGAGGAGGTAAATGCAGGAGACTAAGAAACAGAAATGGACCTAATCACAAATATTGGAATTTAAAAAATTATTAGGTATATAAATAATGCCCTGTGCTAATAAGTTGAACTGTGCAATGAAATAAATGACTGTGTGTCTGTCAGACAAAGCAGAGGAATGGGGAGATGGGGTGGAAGAAGTCAATACAGACTCATGACACAGAAGGCCTTAATAGATCAAACATTATGAAATACATTCAGAAAGGTTATTGGAGATTTTTCTTCCAAAAACATATGTAAGTTAATGTGATGAGTTCTAAATATTAAATAAATAACTTCAATGCTGTATAAATTATTTCAGAGCATAAACATAGTTGGAAAGATTCCATATTGATTTTCATAAAGACAGTACAACATTGATTTGAAAACCTGGTAAATAAAGATCAATATCATTTATGATTACTTATAACAAAATTATAAGCGAAATGCTAACGAATAAAAATGTTAAATAATATTTACTCAAAAAAGACCTCACCGAAGAGATTTGAATCAAATTGGGGAGAAAATAATATCAAGAGATACCAAAAGGCTAGTTTCAAAAATTTGTCATGCAGCTATGATTTTTTTTAAAAAAAAACCTCTTTGCCCACAATTTTTAAAACCTTAGTATTTACTGTGATGAAAAATACCTACTTCAAATGCTGAATCACTAAAGATATTGCCATTAATCAGAAATAAGAGAAATATGCTTACCATCACTAATATTATTTAAGTCCAGAAGTTTTAACAGTGCATTAAGATTTAAAATTAAAAAGTGAGTTATATAATTGAAAAGGAAACAAAATTATCATTATTTCTAGATATGATTTGTATACTTTGAAAACCCAAGACAATCAACTTAAGTATCATAGAAAAATGTCTTTAGAAATAAATCAGTGAAATGACTTAATCAAAATAAATATATAAAATTCAATGTCTCCACTTCCCTCAGAATAGCTAAAAGTAAAGACTGACTACACCAAGTGTTGCCAAGAATGTGAAGAAACTCAAATTCTTATAAATTGCTGGTAGAAATGTAAACTGACGAAGTCACTTTAGAAAACATTTCATCAGACTTTTAAATGTCACATTTGCTTTACCAAACAACTCATACATTATATTCCTAGATATTTGGCCAAGAAAAAATGAACATCTATGTCAATACAAAGACTTGCATATGAATGTGTATAGCAAAATTATTCATAATAACCAAAGTTAAAAAAAAAGATGTCCACCAACAAGTGAATAAATTAAATGTGGTATACCCATACAATGGAATATTATTCAGCCATAAAAGGAATGAACAACATGGTTGAATCTTAAAATCATTATGCTGAGGAAAGTAATCAGACACAAAAAAGTACATCCTGAATGCTTAATTTATATAAAATCCTAGAAATGTAAATAAATCTATAGTTAAACATAAAGGTAGACTAATAGTTGTCTGAGATAGGGGTGTGGAATAAAATGGGCTGCAAAGGAACAGGAGGAATTTAGGGGCAGTGATGGGAAGGTTTGGTTTTGGTGATAGTTTCATGAGTGTATACACCTGTCAAAACTCTTCAAATAAGTGTGAATTATTGCACATACATTATACATCAGTTAATTTATTTTAAAAATACAATAGAGCCTTCTGGATAAGAAAATCTAAAGATCAAGGCACTCTCACATTGTAGTATATCCTAAAGTTAAAATGTCTAAAGTCTTTTATCTCCTCAAAATGTTTTATTGGCTTTTATTTGCTTATAGACTCTATGCTTCCTTGCAGTAATTAATTACCAAAATGTAAAGATTTGAAGATATTGATACTCATGCAGCAGCAATATGAAAGATCCTGTTTGTTTATCCCCCATTTCCCCATTATGTAGAAAGACAGAGACAAACACACACACACACACACAAACACAGAGAGAGAGAGAGAGAGACAGAGAGAGAGACAGAGAGAAAGGAAGAGACAGAGATTAACTTTGCTGAAATGGCAATGCCCAGCTAGAAACTTGTTTTCCCTAAATTTCCTAGTTGAGGCTTTTAGAAAATTTACTGATTTGATAATAAAGAGGGGCATGCTCAGTTGACACTCACATTTTACCCTTTATATTCTCCCTTTTTTTCTGACTAGATTGAATGAGTGGCCTAGAGGTACAGCAGTCATCTTGTGACCAAGAAGAAGAAAATCAAATGCTAAAGATGGTAGAGCAAAAAGAGAGAAGATATTTGGGTCAGCCCTGGAATACCTATCATATTCTCCTTGCTAGATGGGAAAAGTCAGTCCTTTATAATTTTCATGTACAGGTATACAAGCTCCTCTGACTCCAGCAGGTGTTGAATTGAAATCAATCACATGTTGTTGCTACTGAAATGAGACTTAAATATCAAGTCATTAAGTTTGTCACGATGCAGTTGGTGAAACAGGCCCAGAAAAAGTTAAGTGAGTTTTCTAACAGGAAACAACCCAGAGAGTCAAAGCTGGAATCCAAACCTCTTGATTCTCAGTTCAGCACTATTTCCACTGTTCCTGCTGCCACACTAAGTAAAGGAATAAAATGCTTATTGGTGGCCTACTCTGTGTTAGGTACCGTACTGGATGATATCAGAGGGCAGAACTGTATAAGACCACACTCCTTTCTCATAAAGGGCATACAATCTAGATCAAGAGATAAAACTCCATCAGACTATAAAATATACAAATAGTTTTAAAATACAGCTTGAGAAATTAGTCCCATTACATTTTGTACCACAATAGTATAAGCCCATATCATACATAGTAAGTAATAAAATGTTTGTGTCCCTATTAAGAAAACATCACTTTGGGTAGATATCATCACAGATGTTTGTTTGAAGGAATGTTGTTTGATTTTTCCTGAGGGAAAAATAAGGTTAAGATAAGTAGAAGACAATAGGGAGGACATTCCTAGAAGGCATAAATGCCTTTGGCAAAGACGTGGTGGTGAAAATGACCATGAATAATCTTGGGAAAAATACAAATGAAATAGTTTGACTGTGATGGAATGTTTTGTTATCGAAAATGTGGTAGAGAGCATAGGTTAGAACCAAAAGGTCCTTGAATTACAGGATGAATAATTTTAACTTTATTCTTCAGATAATAATCAATGGATAATAGGTTTTTAACCATGGAATTGACTCAGCAAAATTGTTGAGAAAGATATACTTGATGTCCATAACTTGAGGAAAAGAAATAGAACAGAAAAGATGAAACTAGGCCAGGCACGGTGGCTCATGCCTCTAATCCAAGCATTTTGGGAGGTCAAGAGGGGCAGATCACTTGAAGTCAGGAGTTCGAGACCACCCTGGCCAACATGGCAACCCCATCTCTATGAAAAACAGAAATAATTGCTGGGCATGGTTGTGGGAGCGTGTAATCCTAGCTACTGGGGAGGCTGAAGAACTAATCGCTTGAACCTGGGAGGTGGAGGTTGCAGTGAGCTGAGATCGCTCCACAGCACTCCAGCCTACGTGACAGAGTGAGACTCCATTTCAAAAAAAAAAAAAAAAGAAAAGATGAAACTACATATTTTTTGAAAGGCATATGCAACATGTGGATATATATATACACACACATATATGCATACATTTATATGTTTATAATATGTACATAATATGTATAATATACATATACATAATTCTAAATCATAAGCAAATGAGCAATAAAATATGTTAAGGGTTGTCTATTTCAACACCCAGGACAGTGCCTGGAACACAGTGGGTGCTTAATCAGTGTATGAATAATTCATTCACAAAGTAAATGAATATTAATGTCCAAACCAAAATATTACTGCAGACTCTTTGAGCTAGAGATATTAAGGTATCCACTATAAACCCTTCAAATGTATGTAATCTATATCTCTTCCTAGATAAAAATGTAAGTTTTAAGGATGACTGAAAACTGGTAGTTACCTAGGTAACCCATGAAGTAAAATTCATGAGAATTAAATTCTGATTGTAAGTATTTCCTTTACTGTCTGCCTTTTGAAAAGAGGCAACAGATATAGCATCAAAGCTTCCACTTAAACAAGCAGATCAAAAAGAATAGATGACTTGATTCTGATATATCTAAATATCTACTTATGATTTCAGTCACCTTTCTTTTGAGCCTTTGTTTATTTTTAGAATCACTTTTCAACAGTGACCAAATGAGTTCACAGACTGAGAACTTAGGTGAGATCTATACAACTGCAATTATTTGAGTATTTTTTTAAACTAAAAAAGGCTTAAGGGTTTCTGAATGACTCAGATAATTAGATAAAAATGACTCGCCTGCGCTATCTACTGAACCATATATGCCAAGACATTTAGGTAGTGGCCAACATTTGCTACTCTCTTTATTTAATGTTCAGAGTAGCTATTTCAAAGGAATACTTCTTTGAAAGATGGTCATGTTACCAAATCACCAAAACATCAGGGTAATCAGTGGAAAGTGTCAATCAACCATCTAGATCTGTTGAGATCTGTTGCTTGATTTACAATAAATGTGGCTGATTCTGTTGCTTTTATTCTGGCAATATGGCATCTTGTCAGATAATGGTACTCCCAGGGAGAGACACCAAAAAGAGTGTCTGCTGGATTCCAAAGCTTCTGTTAAAAGGATAAAAATATGTTTCTCTAGATCTTGAGCAACAAAATTGACTTATTTCATGTTTCTCTCCATCAGAATTATTTGTGCCAATACATAATATAGTTTAGTGTTAATTCTTTTGAATTTTAAAAACTCAGCTATTCAATCAAGAGACTATTTTATCCATGTAGAATTTTTATAATCATAGGTTATAAGAACATGAGAGACCATTACGTTGCTTTTAACTAAAGTCAAAATAACCTAGGAAATTCTGTCCTTTGTAGAGTCACAGGGACTGGTCTTCGGCATCCAACTTCAAAAATTAAAAAAAAAAAAAGTATACAAAACATGTGCTATATGCAGCACAGGAGAGTATCCTCTGAGTGAAGGGAACAGATCATTTCCTGAAGAACATTTCCAGGACACAAAGCGAGAAAAGAGGACCTCAATAGATCTAATGGCTTCCTTGACATGACTAAAATTTTTAGGTTAGGGTTCTGGAGAGAAGAAACAGAAACACAGAGAGAGGAGAGAAAGTTCCAGGATCTATAGAGGGTTGTACTCAAATCTTAGGCTGCCGACTGACTACTGGATATGTGTGAGAAACTACTAAACTGAGAGAAAAAAAAACAGTAGAAAAAGGCAGATGAGCAATCAATCTCCAGAATTGACTATGGTGAGAAATAGTTTGTGTTCACAAACCAGCCCTAGTGGAAAGATTTTTAAACACATGGAACATTGAATATAGTTTTGAGAAGAGAATTGCATTGGTGGTGGGGCTAAATCAGCCCTAAATAGCTACCTTTGAACTCACCTAAGAAAGCTGAAAAGAAAGAGTCAAAGGATCAGACTGTTCAAGTAACTTAACTGTGTCCTAGAGCAAAACTGAAAAATATTTAAGTAAATACCAAAAAAAGAGAAATTCAACATGAAAATCTGTGTCCATAATCCATCCAAAAATTACCACACATACAAAATGTATTACAATAGAATTTATAATAAGGAGAAAAATTAAGCAAAATAAATAGCTCACAAATTACAAACATGATGTAATTAGTAAATAAGAATATTAAAATTTTATTCTTATACTTCTTATTTCCAAAAGATAGATAATTGCATGAGCATAATGAAGCAAGAAATAAAAATTTTAAAAACACCCAAATCAAACTTACTGTATCAGGAAATAAAAAATACAATGCCAAAATACACTTTATGGGATTACCAGCACATTAGACAGCGTAGAACAAAAGATTGGTCAATGTGAAGATATAGCAATGAAAACTGTTTTTTAAAAATCCAAGGAAAATAACTGAAAAAAATCAACAAAGCACGAGAGAGATGTGGAAGAATATTAACTAACCACACATATGTGTAACTGTAATAGCAGAGGGGAAAAGGATAAAGAAACAGAAAAAGTATTTGAAAAAATAATGCTAAAAATTTTCCAAATTTGAAAACAATAAACTCACAAATTCAAGAAGCTTAATGAGCCCAAAGCACAAAAAATAGGAAAATAACTACATGAAGACAAATGATAATAAAACTGCTGAAAACCAATAATAAAGAGAAAATATTTGAAAATAGCCAGGAAAAGATACACTGTGAATCAAAGACAAAAAAAAAATGCATCAGTGACAAAAAAAAAAAAAAATATGCATCGGCGGCCCGTGATTCACGTCTGTAGTCCCAGCACCTTGGAAGGCCAAGGCGGGCGGATCACGAGGTCAGGAGATGGAGACCATCCTGGCTAACACGGTGAAACCCCATCTCTACTAAAATACAGAAAAAATTAGCCGGGAGTAGTGGCGGGCGCCTGTAGTCCCAGCTACTCGGGAGGCTGAGGCAGGAGAATGGCGTGAACCTGAGAGGCAGAGCTTGCAGTGAGCCGAGATCGCGCCACTGCACTCCAGCCTGGGCGACAGAGCGAAACTCCGTCTCAAAAAAAAAAAAAAATGCATCGGCATATCATCAGAAATAATGCAACCTAGAACATAGTGGAGTGACACAGAAGAGATAAAAAGAAAATAGAAAAAGTCAACCTAGAATTGTATAAGGATGACTATGTCTTTTTAAAAATAAAGACAAAATAAAGACTTCTTAAGAAAACAGTCATCACTCCTAGACCAGCATTATAAGAAATGTTAAAGGATGTTCTAGCAAAAAGATAATGACAAAAAGAAATTTAGATATTTGCTAAGGAATGAATAAAACCAGAAATCATTAATATGCTGGTAGGTAAACATGAAATATTTTTATTCTATTTAAGAAATGGGATAAAAATAAATTAAAATAAAATTATTTAAAAATAATAACTTGCCAGGCACCGTGGCTCACGCCTGTAATCCCAGCACTTTGGGAGGCTGAGGTGGGTGGATTACTTGAAGTCAGGTTTTCGAGACCAGCCTGGCCATTGTGCTGAAACCCCATCACTACTAAAAATACAAAAATTAGCTGGGCTTGGTAGCGCACCTGTAATCCCAGCTATTCCAGAGACTGAGGCATGAGAATCGCTTGAACCTGGAAGGCGAAGATTGCAATGAGCCAAGATTGTGCCACTGCACTCCAGGCTGGGTGACAGAGTGAGACTCCGTCTCAAAATAATAAGTAAATAAATAAATAATAAAGTAAGTAAATAAAAATAATAATTTATTTTGGAGTTTATTATACACATAAAAAAGTATGCGACAACAATAGCACAAAAACCAGGTAATAAAAACAGAAATATAATACTAGAACATTCTTACGCTGTGCTTGAAGTGGTATAATATTATTTGAAGGTAGACAATAATATGTTAAACATGTATACAATAAAGCATAGAACAACTGCTAAAACAAAACATAACAAACAATAAAAAAGCTCAAAAAAAGTACAACTAGTAAACCAATAAATCAGACACAATTCAATTTAAAAAAACATTCAGTTATTCTAAAATAAGAGATATATTAGTTTCTATTGCAGAATCACACATTAACCCACAACTTATCAGTGCATGCAACTGACATTTATTATCTCACACAGTTTCTGAGGGGCATAAACTCAAAAATGCCTTAGTTGGGTGGTTCTTACTCAGGGTCTCTCAGGAGGTTGCAACTAAGAAAATCACTCTGCCTCCTTCAGCAACACATAAACTAAAAGTGGAACAATACAGAGAAGATTGGCATGGCCACTGCACAAGGGTGACATGCAAATTTGTGAAGCATTTCATATTTTTGGAGTAGGATAACTATAGTTAACAACAATGTATTATACATTTCCAAATAGAAGTGAGGACTTTAAATGTTCTCAATGCATACAAATGACAAATGCTTGTGTTGATGGTTATCTTAAATACCCCGACTTGATCATTACACATTTTATGCATATAATAAAATATTACATGTACTTCACAAATATGTTCAAATATTATGGATCAATACAAATAGAACATAATCAGAGAAAATCATCACTTAGTAATTGATAACACTAGTAGACAGCAAATTAGTAAGAATGTAGAAGATTTGAAAAACAGGATGAACAAACCTGACCTAATTAACATTTATAGAACATTTCACCCAAAATAGTAAATTATACATTCTTTTTATGTGACATAGAATGTTTACGAAGATTAACAATATTTTGTGTCATAAAACAAGTCTCAATAAACCTAAAAGCATGTTCTCTGGCCACAGTGAATTTAAATTAGAAATAAATAACACTAAAAAATGTGGAAGATTCCTAAATATTTGGAAACTAAACAATAAATTTTCAAATAACTCATGGCTCATAGAAGAAATACAAAGGAAATTAGAAAATATTTTAAACTGAGTAAGATGAAAATATGGCATATCAAATGTGTGGGGCATAAGTAGTGGGTAGAAAGATATTTATAACATTAAATGTATATATTTGAAAAGTAGCAAGTCCACCATTAATATCTAAACTACCACTTTAAGAAGCAACAACAAAAAAAGACAGCAAGTTAAGCCCAAAATAAGAAAAATAAAAAGAAATAATAAGGATAAAAGAAGGAATCAATGAAATTTAAAAATAGACTAAAAAAGAGAAAAATCAATAAAACTGAAAGCTGATTCTTTGAGATCAAGAAAATTGAAAAGCCCCCAGCAAGACTGATCAGGCTTGAAAGAAAATATGAGATACAAATTACCATTATCAATGATAAAAAAGGAAACATCACCACAGAACCTAACAAGATATTTTAAATTGTACAGAAATGCTGTAAATAAGTTGAACAAATCAAATAAAATGGACAAATTCCTCAAAAATTAAACCAACATTCATATTGAATTACATGCATACTGAATTTATATTAAATTACATATTCAATGTGTAATTATATATTCAATATGTAGTTTGAGATTCACTATATTAAGAGACTACAAAACAAAAACTACATAAGCATCTCAATAAATGCACAAAAAGTGTTTTACAAAATGCAACATCTAGTCAGATAAAAATTCTCAGCACACTAGTAGAAGAATAAATAGAATGGATTTTCCTTAAACAGATAAAGAAAATCTTTATTAAACTTGTAATTACTATGACACATAATTATGGAAGACTGAATATTTTCCCTCTAAGATTGGGAACAAGGCAAAGATTCCCATTTTATTACTTCTATTAATTTTTTTTCTACAGGTCCTCAAAAGTGCAATAAGACCAGATAAAGAAATAAAAGGTATATGGATTTAAAAGGAAGAAATAAAACTACCTTTAATAACAAATGACATGATTATCAAGTTAGAAAATTCTAGGAATTAATATTAAAAGACACAAAAATAATAAATGAATTTAGCAAAATTCCAGCATATGAAGTTAATATACAACATCCATTATTTTCCTACATACAAAACCAAACAATTGGAAATTATAATAAAATAACACTACTTATAATAGCATCAAAAATAAGAAATACAATAAATTTTGAAAAAAAATGTGCACAGCATATAAACTGAAAACAACAGAACATTTCTGAGAAAAACTAAAGATCTAAATAAATGCAGATACAGTGCTTAAAAGGCATTAAAAGATTCATAGTGTTAAGGTGTCAATTCTCAAACTTACCTATACAGACAACAAAATTGCCATTAAAATTCCAAAAATTTCATTCTAAAATTTATATAGAAATGCAAATAAACTCCAGAATAGCTAAGACAATTTTGAAAAAGAACAAAGTTGGATGACTTTACCTGTTTTCAAGACTTATTATACACTAGAATGTTAAACACACTGTGTTGGTATAAAGACAGACACATAGATCAATGAAACCTCACAGAGTTCAGAAATGAACCCACACCTTTTTTTTTTGAGATGGAGTCTTGCTCTGTCACCCAGGCTGGAGTGCAGTGGCGCGATCTCGACTCACTGCAAGCTCTGCCTCCCGGAACCCACACTTTTATGACTAGTTGATATTTGACAAAGTTTCTAGGGCAATTCAATGAGGGAAAGGATTGTCTTTTCAGGAAAGTGTATGAAAAAATTGAATAACCATAAGCAAAAAAAAAAAAAGAAACAAAAACACAGTAAATTTGGACCCGTGACCCTTACGTCACAACATAAAAATGAACTGGAAATGTATAATAAACTAAATGTAAAATAAAAATCTGTAAAATTTTTTATAACAAAGCACAAAGGAAAGTCTTAGTGATCTCCTATTAGGACATAAAACGCACACACTTTAAAAGAAAAAAAGTCAATAAATTAGACTTCATCAGAATTAAAAATTTTGCTCTTCAGGTGAAAATGAAAGTTCAAACCACAGACTACAAGAAAATATTTGCAACACATATATCTGACAAGGATTTGTATCCAGAAAATACAAAAAACTCCCACGACTCAATAATAAGGAGACAACTTAATTATGTTATTTATCTTATTTGATTCTCACAATAACCCCGTGAAGTGCATCAGTAGCCCCATTTTGGATAATAAAATTATTGCTTAGGAATGTTGTAAGCCTAAGTCACATAGTAAGTGACAAAAGAAGTTTTCAAATCCTGTTCTTTCAGATTCTTAAGCTCAGGTTTTCCTGAGCTTAAGTAGCACCAAAGTACTACTTTTCAGAAAGCTATAGCAACCAGATTACATCAAATGCTTTATAAAAGGAATTGGTATAATTAGGCATCAAGATCCCTCAAAACACACACACATACACACACCAACCACACACACATACCTCCCCCTCACAACCCCAACACAAATACCACACACACACACCACACACACACACACCACATACACTCCCAGACACAAACCCTCCAACACACCACACACACTCACACACACATACCCCCAACATGACAAACACTCCATGCACCACACACATACACCACACACATACATATGCCCCCACACACAACACGCACACCCTCCTATGCACACATCCCCACCCCCATACACCACACATACACACACACACACACACCCCACATCCCCTCCCACACACTCCACACACAGCCCCCCGCCACACACACACACACACACTTCTTCCATAATTTTCAGTTATTTCCTTGGAAGAACCATGGTTAACAGACCTCACTATGAAGAATCTGTTTAAGATCTTCCAAAATTCTTCACTGGCTAAATTGAGGAAAGCTATTCGTGCTGTTTCCCAGTGCTAAATGAAAATGCAAGACCCTCTGTTTAAAAACTGTTAAGAATCTTAGGATAGAAACAGCAGAGTGTTAAACAAAGCATGGTGCCTTCTCAATGCCCTGTGTGTGCTTCTGTCTATAGAGATCAGCACTTGTCCAGGCCTGTAGTACCGGCTCCTCATATGGCTGAGGTGGGAGGGCTGCTTGAGCCCAGAAGTTCTGGGTTGCAGTGAACCATGATCACACTACTAAAGTCCAGCCTGGGTGACAGAGACCCTGTCTTCAGAAAATAAGAAGAAGGATTTTAAAATAGGAAATTGGCACTTGGCGATAACAGATGTAATGTTACTTTGTCATGAGCTATATAAGGCTCTTTCTATGAGATTGTGAACCCATTGAGGGTTTTGGGGATGCAACTGAGTTTGCAACTAATTATGAGATAAGGGAAACATTGGTCAGGCAGACGCACGGATAGAATTACAAATCATCGCCTTTATCAAAGCTAAAGTTGATATTGAGAAACTTGGGAGCATAGAGAGAAGGTCTGATTGCCTGGCTAATGGTAATACACTCTAAAAGAAAAGCTACTCAGGGGGAGGTTACAAGATGGCCAAACAGGAACAGCTCCAGTCTACAGCTCCCAGCGTGAGCGACGCAGAAGACAGGTGATTTCTGCATTTCCAACTGAGGTACCAGGTTCATCTCACTGGGGCTTGTCGGAGAGCGGGTGCAGCCCATGGAGCAGGGCGGGGCATCACCTCACCCAGGAAGCTCAAGGGGTCGGGGAATTCCCTTTCCTAGCCAAGGGAAGCCGTGACAGATGGTATCTGGAAAATCAGGTCACTCCCACCCAAATACTGCGCTTTTCCAACGGTCTTAGCAAATGGCACACCAGGAGATTATATACCGCGCCTGGCTCAGAGGGCTCCACTAGCACAGCAGGCTGAGATCCAACTGTAAGGCGGCAGTGAGGCTGGGGGAGGGGCATCTGCCATTGCTGAGGCTTGAACAGGTAAACAAAGCAGCTGGGAAGCTCGAACTGGGTGGAGCCCACCCCAGCTCAAGGAGGCCTGCCTGCCTCTGTAGACTCCACCTCTGGGGGCAGGGCATAGCTGAACAAAAGGTAGCAGAAACTTCTGCAGACTTAAACTTCCCTGTCTGACAGCTTTGAAGAGAGTAGTGGTTCTCCCAGCACAGAGTTTGAGATCTGAAAATGGACAGACTGCCTCCTCAAGTGGGTCCCTGACCCCTGAGTAGCCTAACTGGGAGACGCCTCCCAGTAGGGGCCGACTGACACCTCATACAGCTGGGTGCCCCTCTGAGACGAAGCTTCCAGAGGAATGGTCAGGCAGCAATATTTGCCATTCTGCAATATTTGCTGTTCTGCAGCCTCTGCTGGTGACACCCAGGCAAACAGCATCTGGAGTGGACCTCCAGCAAACTCCAACAGATCTTCAGCTGAGGGTCCCGACTGTTAGAAGGAAAACTGACAAACAGAAAGGAAATCCACACCAAAACCCCATCCATATGTCACCATCATCAAAAACCAAAGGTAGATAAAACCACAAAGATGGGGAGAAACCAGAGCAGAAAAGCTACAAATTATAAAATCAGAGTGCGTCTTCCCCTCCAAAGGAATGCAGCTCCTCAGCAGCAATGGAACAAAGCTCGATGGAGAATGACTTTAATGAGTTGAGAGAAGAAGGCTTCAGACTATCGGTAATAACAAACTTCTCCGAGCTAAAGGAGGATATTTGAACCCATCGCAAAGAAGCTAAAAACCTTGAAAAAAGATTAGATGAATGGCTAACTAGAATAAACAGTGTACAGAAGACCTTAAATGACCTGATGGAGCTGAAAACCATGGCACGAGAACTATGTGACGCATGCACAAGCTTCAGTAGCTGATTTGATCAAATGGAAGAAAGGGTATCAGTGATTGAAGATCAAATGAATGAAATGCGATGAGAAGAGAAGTTTAGGAAAAAGAGTAAAAAGAAACGAACAAAGCCTCCAGAAATATGGGACTACGTGAAAAGACCGAATCTACGTGTGATTGGTGTACCTGTAAGTGACGGGGAGAATGGAACCAAATTGGAAAACACTCTTCAGGATATCACCCAGGAGAACTTTCCCAACCTAGCAAGGCAGGCCAACATTCAAATTCAGGAAATACAGAGAATGCCACAAAGATACTCCTTGAGAAGAGCAACTCCAAGACACATAATTGTCAGGTTCACCAAAGTTGAAATGAAGGAAAAATGTTAAGGGCAGACAGAGAGAAAGGTCGGTTTACCCACAAAGGGAAGCCCATCAGACTAACAATGGATCTTTTGGCAGAAACTCTACAAGCCAGAAGAGAGTGGGGGCCAATATTCAACATTCTTAAAAGAATTTTCTACCCAGAATTTCATATCCAGCCAAACTAAGCTTCATAAGTGAAGGTGAAATAAAATCCTTTATAGATAAACAAACGCTGAGAGAGTTTGTCACTACCAGACCTGCTTTACAAGAGCTCCTGAAGGAAGCACTAAACATGGAAAGGAACAGACAGTACCAGCCACTGCAAAAACATGACAAATTGTAAAGACCATCAATGCTAGGAAGAAACTGTATCAACTAAATATAACCAGCTAACATCATAATGACAGGATAAAATTTACACATAATAACATCAGAACTCACCCGTAAATGATGAGTTAACGGGTGCAGTACACCAACATGGCACATGTATACATATGTAACAAACCTGTTCGTTGTGCACATGTACCCTAGAACTTAAAGTATAATAAAAAATAAATTAATTAATTAAAATAAAATAAAAGAAAAAGAAAAACTACTCATACTTCATAATTGGCTAAATGCTCCAATTAAAAGACACACACTGGCAAATTGGATAAAGAGTCAAGACCCATCAGTGTGCTGTATTCAGGAGACCCATCTCATGTGCAGAGACACACATAGGCTCAAAATAAAGGGATGGAGGAAGATCTACCAAGCAAATGGAAAACAAAAAAAAAAAGCAGGGGTTGCAATCCTAGTCTCTGATAAAACAGACTTTAAACAAACAAATATCAGAAGAGACAAAGAAGGCCATTACACAATGGTAAAGGGATCAATTCAACAAGAAGAGCTAACTATTCTAAGTATATATGCACCCAATACAGGAGCACCCAGATTCATAAAGCAAGCCCTTAGAGACCTATAAAGAGACTCAGACTCCACACAATAATAATGGGAGACTTTAACACCCCACTGTCAACATTAGACAGATCAACAAGACAGAAAGTTAACAAGGATATCCAGGAATTGAACTCAGCTCTGCACCAAGTGGACCTAATAGACATCTACAGAACTCTCCACCCCAAGTCAACAGAATATACATTCTTCTCAGCACCACATTGCACTTATTCCAAAATTGACCATGTAGTTGGAAGTAAAGCACTCCTCAGCAAATGTAATTGAACAGAAATTATAACTAACTGTCTCTCAGACCACAGTGCAATCAAACTAGAACTCAGGATTAAGAAACTCACTCAAAACCGCTCAACTACATGGAAACTGAACAACCTGCTCCTGAATGACTACTGGGTACATAACGAAATGAAGGCAGAAATAAAGATGTTCTTTGAAACCAATGAGAACAAACACACAACATACCAGAATCTCTGGGACACATTCAAATCAGTGTGTAGAGGGAAATTTATAGCACTAAATGCCCACAAGAGAAAGCAGGAAAGATCTAAAATTGACACCATAACATCACAATTAAAAGAACTAGAGAAGCAAGAGAAAACACATTCAAAAGCTAGCAGAAGGCAAGAAATAACTAAGAACTGAAGGAGATAGAGGCAAAAAAAACCCTTCAAAAAAACCAATGAATCCAAGAGCTGGTTTTTTGAAAAGATCGACAGAATTGATTGACTACTATCAAAACTAAAAAAGAAGAAAAGAAGGAAGAATGAAATAGATGCAATATATAATGATAAAGGGGATATCACCACCAATCCCACAGAAATACAAACTACCATCAGAGAATACTATAAACACCTCTATGCAAATAAACTAGAAAATCTAGAAGAAATGGATAAATTCCTGGACACATATACCCTCCCAAGACTAAATAAGGAAGAAGTTGAATCCCTGAATAGACCAATAACAGGCTCTGAAATGGAGGAAATAATTAATAGCCTACAAACTAAAAAAAGTCCAGGACCAGACTGATTAACAGCCGAATTCCACCAGAGGTACAAAGAGGAGCTGGTACCATTCCTTCTAAAACTGTTCCAATCAATAGAAAAAGGGGGAATCCTCCCTAACTCATTTTATGAGGCCAGCATCATCCTGATACCAAAGCCTGGAAGAGACACAACAAAAAAGAATTTTAGACCAATATCCCTGATGAACATCGATGCAAAAATCCTTGATGCAAAAATCCTCGATAAAATACTGGCAAACTGAATCCAGCAGCACATGAAAACAATTATCCACCACGATCAAGTTGGCTTCATCCCTGGGATGCAAGGCTGGTTCAAGATATGCAAATCAATAAACATATTCCATCATATAAACAGAACCAAAGACAAATCCACATGATTATCTCTATAGATGCAGAAAAGGCCTTTGACAAAATTCAACAGCCCTTCATGCTAAAAACTCTTAATAAACTAGGTATTGATGGGACATATCTCAAAATAATAAGACCTGTTTATGACAAACCCACAGCCAATTTCATACTGAATGGGCAAAAACTGGAAGCATTCCCTTTGAAAACTGGCACAAGACAGGGATGCCCTCTCTCACCACTCCTATTCAACATAGTGTTGGAAGTTCTGGCCAGGGCAATCAGGCAAGAGAAAGAAATAAAGGGTATTCAATTAGGAAAAGAGGAAGTCAAATTGTCCCTGTTTGCAGATGACATGATTGTATATTAAGAAAACCCCATCATCTCAGCCCAAAATCTCCTTAAGCAACTTCAGCAAAGTCTCAGGGTGCAAAATCAATGTGCAAAAATCACAAGCATTCCTATACACCAGTAACACACAAACAGAGAGCCAAATCATTATTGAACTCCCATTCACAATTGCTTCAAAGAAAATAAAATACCTACTTACAAGGGATGTGAAGGACCTCTTCAAGGAGGACTACAAACCACTGCTCAACAAAATGAAAGAGAACACAAACAAATGGAAGAATATTCCATGCTCATGGATAGGAAGAAACAATATCGTGAAAATGGCCATACTGCCCAAGGTAATTTATAGATTCAATGCCATCCCCATCAACCTACAAATGACTTTCTTCACAGAATTGGAAAAACCTACTTTAAAGTTCATATGGAACCAAAAAAGAGCCTGCATTGCCAAGACAATCCTATCCCAAAAGAACAAAGTTGGAGGAAACATGCTACCTGACTTCAAACTATACAAGTCTACAGTAACCAAAACAGCATGGTACTGGTACCAAAACAGAGATATAGACCAATGGAACAGAACAGAGCCCTCAGAAATAATACCAAACATCTACAACCATCTGATCTTTGACAAACCTGACAAAAACAAGAAATGGGGAAAGGATTCCCCATTTAATAAATGGTGCTGGGAAAACTGGTTAGCCATATGTAGAAAGTTGAAACTGGATCCCTTCCTTACACCTTATACAAAAATTAATTCAAGATGGATTAAAGACTTAAATGTTAGACCTAAAACCATAAAAACCCTAGAAGAAAACTTAGGCAATACCATTTAGGACATAGGCATGGGCAAGGACTTCATGACTAAAATACCAAAAGCAATGGCCACAAAAGCCACAATAGACAAATGGGATCTAATTAAACTAAAGAGCTTCTGCACAGCAAAAGAAACTGCCATCAGAGTGAACAGGCAACCTACAGAATGGGAGAAAATTTTTGCAATCTACTCATCTGACAAAGGGCTAATATCCAGAATCTACAATGAACTCAAACAAATTTACAAGAAAAAATCAAACAACCCCATCAAAAAGTCGGCAAAGGATATGAACAGACACTTCTCAAAAGAAGACATTTATTTATGCAGCCAACAGACACATGAAAAAATGCTCATCATCACTGGCCATCAGAGAAATGCAAATCCAAACCACAATGAGATATCATCTCACACCAGTTAGAATGGCGATCATTAAAAAGTCAGGAAACAACAGATGCTGGAGAGGATGTGGAGAAATAGGAACACTTTTACACTGTTGGTGGGACTGTAAACTAGTTCAACCATTGTGGAAGACAGTGTGGTGATTCCTCAAGGATCTAGAACCAGAAATACCATTTGACCCAGCCATCCCATTACTGGGTATATACCCAAAGGATTATAAATCATGCTGCTATAAAGACACATGCACACGTATGTTTATTGTGGCACTATTCACAACAGCAAAGACTTGGAGCCAACCCAAATGTCCAACAATGATAGACTGGATTAAGAAAATGTGGCACATATACACCATGGAATACTATGCAGCCACAAAAAAGGATAAGTTAATGTCCTTTGTAGGGACATGGATGAAGCTGGAAACCATCATTCTGAGCAAACTATTGCAAGGACAGATAACCAAACACCACGTGTTCTCACTCATAGGTGGGAATTGAACAATGAGAACACTTGGACACAGGGTGGGGAACATCACACACTGGGGCCTGTCGTAGGGTGGGGAGAGGGGGGAGGGACAGCATTAGGAGATATAACTAATGTAAATGATGAGTTAACGGGTGCAGCACACCAACATGGCACATGTATACATATGTAACAAACCTGTTCATTGTGCACATGTACCCTAGAACTTAAAGTATAATAAAAAATACATTAATTAATTAAAATAAAAGAAAAGAAAAAGAAAAACTACTCATACTTCAGCGATGGAACTGGAGACCCAACCTGCTCACAGGGGAAAGGCTTTTAAGCCTAAAATTAGAGTGAATGAGAAAGGGTATAGTTTCTCTGCCAGCAGAGAGTCCTCAAAGCAGAATTCTGAAAGAGGGCTACACTGTGTTCAATACTTTGTTTCCTAACTTACCAATTATTGGGGCCCGTCTCCTGCCCTGGGGGAATGACCAGGAAGGATGACACAGGAGGCCAATTGTGTTACTCTAACAGAGGTCGCTGCAAATACAAACAGAAAACAAGGGGTACGTTCTACCCTCCTCCAACAGAGGGCAGCATTCACGGCGTAGACCTTATTCTATCTCCAGTCTCAGCATCATGCTCAAAACGTATTTGTTAATCAAGTTGTTAACTGTCGGGTTGATGACCTCCAAAGAGATACCAGCTTTTAGAGTCAGGCCTGATGTTCCTCTCTAACTTCACGCCCCGAGGCAAGTAATCGAGCCTCTTTGATTTCATCAACTGAAATCCAGATGGTAAATACCTAGCTCACAGGAGCCTGGTGAAGGTTAATGTCTGTCAAGAGCTTATCCCAATGCTGGTGGGAGGGAGAGAGGCGTTCAAAGAGGCGAGCTCCCCTCTTCTTTTTTCTAATAAAACCTGCTCTCAGAAAAAAAAAAACATCTAGTATACATCATTGTCATTTATGCTTCCTCCAATGAATTTTCCTCTCAGGGCTTTTTTTTTCTTCCTGTTTCAGCCCCTTCCCTCAGTGTTATGAAAGGCTAATTCAGTCACTTGTAGTTAGCAGCCAAAGAAAAAGAATTCAGGAGGAGGGTGTCTTTCTGGAAATCAGGTGGAAATCAGGATCTCTCTGGAGTATGCTGTTGTCATTATTTTCAATTCCACCCCCTTCCCACACTCCACGTCTGTTTCATGCTAAATTCTTTTTCTCTGAAGGATTGTCAAGGGGACATATGTCCCTTAGATGGCAAGAGGGATATGAAGGATAATGGGAAATGGGGAAAGAAATAAGAAAGATTCGTGTCCTGATTGCATTGCCTCTAAAAACAAATGAAATGGGAGTCAGGATCTGTGACTTTGCATTGCGAGGTTTAGAGAATTGAAACCTAACATGCTTGCTTTTAATTGCTCCTTAATGGTGTACAGAATTACAAGACATTAAATTACTATAGAGGAGTGCAGACAGAATTACTTTATCTGAGTAAAGTCACCTTTAGCTTTTTAAGTTAGCCATTAGGCAGCCTAAATGCTAGAAGACGCCACAATTACTAGTTTTGTTGAAAGCACAGTGGAATATATTCCTGAAGAGTTAGACCCCACCCTCAGCTAGATATCATGAGAAAAGCAAATGCCAAATACCTGTGCCACTTTGCCTGAGGTGCCTAGTATATATCAACTCTATTGCAAGGAAATCGGTGTAAGAGAAATTAAAGCTGCAAAGGGAACTTGAG
The DNA here is from genome assembly GCF_000001405.40 of Homo sapiens. Classification (NCBI taxonomy): domain Eukaryota; kingdom Metazoa; phylum Chordata; class Mammalia; order Primates; family Hominidae; genus Homo; species Homo sapiens. The sequence continues at coordinate 22,130,798 of NC_000004.12, forward strand.
AGCCACATAGAAGCTGCTTTGTATAGTGGAAATGACACAGCCTTTGGGAACAGGCAGGACTAAAATTGAATCCCAATTCTATTTCCTTGTTGAGAGACCTTGGGCAAATATTTTTCCCATTAAGTAGAACGAATACTGACATGGTTCATGGCTTTTGTAGTGACTGAATGAGCTGCTTCATGGTGGGTGGTACTGCAGACTAGTAAAGTGAGTAGGCTTCCAACCTAGAATGCCTGGTTTTGAATTTTGCTTTGCTGTATGACTAGCAGTGTGACCTCACTTAGTGTGTCTCTTATTTCCTCATTCATAAATAAGACTATTAACGTTACCTATTCTATACAGTTGTGAGAATTAAATGAGCTAACGTATATACAGTAGTGTGGAACTTAAAAAGGACTTAAGAGGCTGGGCACCATGGCTCAGGACTGTAATTTCAGCACTTTGGGAGGCCGAAGAGGGTGGATGGCATGAGGTTAGGGGTTCGAGACCAGCCTGGCCAACATGATGAAACCCTGTCTCTACTAAAAATACAATAATTAGTTGGGCGTGGTGGCACGTGCCTGTAATCACAGCTACTCGAGAGGCTGAGATACGAGAATCACTTGAACCCTGGAGGCGGAGGTTGCAGTGAGCCGAAATCGCGCCATTGCACTCCAGCCTGGGCGACAAGAGCGAAACTCAGTCTCAAAAGAAAAAAAAAGGACTTAAGAGTCATTAACTGTTATGTAAAATACCTACTACTAGAGGGCTGGATTCTTTCTCCTTTTCTTCCTCGTAATTTTATCCATCAGAACAAAGGTTTCACAGCAGTTTAAATGATTTGAGGAGGTCTAAATAAATATTTCTTCCAAAATCATTTCCCCAACAGTCTAAAACAACCATTATGAGTTACTTTGGTTACAGGCACTGTATCCCCCATTATAATAGAAAACACCTAATCTAGAGAGATACATTATTGCACTATTCTTACATCGACATTATCAACTTCTGCAGATTAATTTCATCAATAGAGTTCCAACTGTTCAAAAAGTCCAAGAATGGAGATAAAACCTTGAACAGGTAAGTTTTGAGGAGATCATAGGAAAGGACAGAGAAATGAATGAGCTGGGAGAAATCTGGCTTGGATTTTACAAGGCAGTGGAGGAACCCCTGCATCATCATGGGGAATTGGGGTGATGTCAAATATATGTGGGATTTAACTTTGTATTCTTAAAACAATATATGCCCATTTTCCCCACCCCCCATGTAGGTGGATTGTTTATCTTGGCTATTCTGAATAATGCTGCAGTGAACATGAGGGTGCAGATATCTCTTCAAGATGCTTATTTCATTTCCTTTGGATATATACCCAGAAATGGGATTGCTGGAACATAAGTTGATTCTATTTTTAGTTTTTGAGAAATCTTTATACTGTTTTCCACATTTATTCCCATATTCTCATTTACATTACCACCAACAATATACAAGGATTCTCTTTTCTCCATATCCTTGTCAAAATTCGCTATCTTTTGTCTCTTAAAAAAAATACGCATTCTAACAGGTGTCAGGTAATATTACATTGTGGTCCTGATTTGCATTTCCCTGATGATTAGTGATCTTAAGCATAAAAATAATTAATGTTTCTTGAAAGCCACTTTGTATAAGCCAGACACTATTCGAAGCACTCTGAATGTACTGATTTCTTTAGTCCTGTGAGGTCCTATTATTCCAATTTTATGGTAGAGAAAATTAAGACAAAGAGAAATTAAGCTTGTCTAAGTTCATATAGGTAATAAATGCATGAGCTGGCATTGCAAACCAGGCATTCTTGTTGTTCCCAGTGTCTTCACCATTTACCAGTAAGTTCTATTGCTTCTTCACTAAGATATATTGAAACAAGTGACAGTCCATTTTCTTCCATATTATTCATACTACCTCCCTTTTTTATGCCTTGAGATACAGTTTAGTTGGTACACTGGTACAGTTAGTGGTTTCTTTCATGGCCATGGCATTGATTGTAGTAACTATGAGCAGTTCATGCAAGACTCCAGCACATCCAGGTAAAAAATAGAAAAGAGAGCTCAACACTTTGAGCTAATTACATGCTGAATGTTTTTTTTCTCCTGCTGAGTTGATCGAGTTTTCAACATAACTGCTGCCTATACATAACTGCTGTCTGTTTGCGTGCCAGTGAACGTGAGGTTTTTATTTTCCCTAAGTAATCTACTCCTTGCGTGTCATTGAAAGTGACGTTACAATGAATCTATCAGTTCAAGCAATATTATTATTTTAAAAACACATGGTGATCTGGAGGATTTTGTGGTTTTCAAGTAACCTGTTTTATTAATTAATCATAAGTGTTGTCTGGTGTTGATTAAATTTCCATGGAGAAAGAGATAGCATAGGATATGCTGGATATGTCCAGAATCACACAGTAAAAGCTAAGTCAAATAAAGCCTAATTATATTAGCTAATATTTGAGTACTTTTTATAAATCAGAAATTGACCAGGTGGATTCCTATAGACATTAACTTATTAAATAATCTCAACCTTAAGAGGCTATACTGTTTAGATACACATTCTATGGGAAATGTTGGTTTAGAACTATTATTTAGAATTATTGGTGAGAAACTGAGGTTTAGAATAACTAAATTATTTTCCCTGGATTAAATATATGTTGTGGGACCAGAATCTAAACCAATTATGCTTGGCTGCAGACTGCAAACTCTTAGATTTACTCTAGTCTATCTCTCTAATTATTTGTAGTATGGTTATGAGGATATTTCATATCCCAAATTCTGCCTCAATGGCTCAGTGATCTTCTCTGAGAATAAATTGTGATAATTATAAATCTTAACTACTCCATGAAAGACACCAATGAGAAGAATCATAAAGTAATGTGTAATGCTGAAGTGGGTTCTGCCGAGGTAGGATGCATTATTCATGCTGTTCTCTCACCTTCCTTTGTCCATATATTAAATATGCATTTGCTTTTCAAGATTAAGTTCAAAGTAACTGACAACCTCTTTGATGTTTGTCATAATTCTCCATTTCTTCCTTTTAGTAGAAATTGTACCATTTCTATTGTGAACTGATGTATGCATATATTATGAATCCCATGTACATATATTGTGAACTCAACGTATACAGGCCAATCTTGGCACTGATAACTCTTTATTACAATTCTTTGTTTATCTATCCCTGTTTCTAGACAGCATATTCCTAGAGGAAAGCCACCATACCTCGTTCATTTTTGTGTCTCCAGAACCTAGCACAGTAATAAACATGTATTAGTAATGTATTGTTATTTGTTGAATCAATCCATCAATCTATAAACCGTTAGTGGGAAAACAGACTGCAATAGTGACATATGGGTCGTTTGGCTCTGGAAGAGTGGGTTTAGTGGGTTGTTACATATAAATGTCAATCTAATTATTGTGTACTTTTCAAACACACTATTAGTGTGTATTTTTCAAACACACTAATTCGTAGTGTTTGAAAAATAAAAGACATCATTTTACTTCTTGTCTTTTCAGGCTGTGTGTCCCCCCAAATATCATCTCGAATTGTAATCACCACATGTTGAGGGAGGGACCTACTGGGAGGTGATTGGATCATGGGGGCAGATTTCCCCCTTGCTGTTCACTTGCTAGTGAGTGGGTTCTCACGAAATCTGGTTGTTTGATAAGTGTCTGGTACTTCCTCCTTCTCTCTCTCTCTCCTGCCACCATGTAAGATGTGCCTTCTTTTCCCTTTGCCTTCTGCCATGGTTGTAAGTTTCCTGAGAGCTTCCAACCATGCAGAACTGTGAGTCAATTAAACTTCTTTTGTTTATAAATTACCCAGTCTTAGGTAGTATCTTTTAGCAGTGTGAGAATGGACTAATACAGCTCTGCATGTCAGTTAGATGAGATTTAGTGGAAGAGAGTAAAGTGATGTGATGATATTACTTGGAGAGACTCATGGCAGAAATGCTTGATTGTTTTGAGACAGTGAAGGTGGAGGTTCTAGTGTGTGGTCTGTGAAAATATGGATGTAGTGGGAAGACAGTGACACAGAGGAGTTCCTGCTAGAACAGTCCTGTGGTATTGATGATGGTGTTACTCAGCAGCCCCTGTACCAAAGTCTTGCCTTCAGTAGACACTACCTTGAAGGAAACTGCAAATGATTATTCCAAGTAATTATTTTGCCATTCTGCACAATGGGTGACCCCTGTTGCATTCTCTAATGACAATGGATACTCATTGTGTTTGAAAGATGTGTTTCTTTGATATGTTTTTCTGGTTACAAGGCATCTGTGCTATATTCCCTATCTTCTCCAGCACCATCCCCATGAAATACAATTCTGAAGTTCACTTATTTGTAATAAGATAACCTGTAAAAAAAAAAAAATCCTATTAAACTAACAAGAACGAATTGTATTGTTTCTAACTAGATATCCTAGCAAATAGGTTAATTATTAAAATAAGTGGTTGTCGGTAACACACACTCAAGAAAAGGGAGATCTCAGGTTGGTACTGACCTAATTAAATTTGAAGACAGTGGGTATCCATTGTCATTAGAGAATGTAACAGTGGCTGCCCATTGCACAGAGTGACAGATTGTTACTTGGAATAATCATTTGTGGCTTCCTACAATGCACTGTCCATGGAAGGCAAGGCTACGGCACAGGGGTGCCGAATAACAAACATCATCATGAAGTGTACAGAATAGACTGGTAATTCATAACTGTGTAGGAGGATGTTAAAATTTAAAGCATAAACATGTGGTTTTAAATTCTTAAAATGCAGTCACAGAACTAAGGAGTTTCTATAACTGTCCTAAAAGTACATCGCTCTTATTATAAGAGTACATTACCTCTTATTGCTGCTGATTTGATGGAGACTATAATCAGATCCAAAATGTGATCTTTCAGATTACTGAAATACAATATAGGTTAAATTCTTAGCCAGGCCTCCTACATGAGAATTAGGGTATTGATTGGGAAATAATGACACTCTGAAAATTGGAAGAAGAACATCTGCAATGATTTGGATAACTTTTTATACCTTAAACCTCCCAATTCCGCTGAAACTCCTTTGCTGTCAGAAACCTCCCCTTTTGGAGCTGATTCTTGTCATTAACTCTTATCTAACATCTACCAACTGTCATTGCCTCTAAGCCTAAATGTAGAGGCAGATTCTAGTGTTCCTGGGGTTAAGGAATAAGGTATTACAAAGTCAAACCTGAGATGAGAAGACTTGCACACCAAAACACTCCAAGGTTTTGCTAATACGTGTCAAGAAAAAGCATGGATAATTATGTAAGGACAGATTCTAAGGGAGATACAGTCAGTATTTTAGACTGGGCTTAATTTATTGATATAAATACTTTTGCCCAAAATTCTGCACTCAATGTGCTGGGTGGAGCAACTCATGGTTCTGGTTGTTGGTCTTGTTGGTTGGCTAAAATCTGTATTCAACTGGGGAGTAGACTAAGTGAAATCAAGACATTAGAATTCCTGTGATCATGCAAAAAAAGAAATAAATAGGTTTAAAGACATTGAATTTGTGTAGTTAATCTATTATATGTGAGCCATTTACCCACACTTTATATCCCCCGAGAGATCAAAGAGAACATTCTCTTCACTACAAGACTGGGAAGTACATTGGTGAGCAGAGCACCACCCTCTTAGAAAAGCAGGTGTACTTTGGATAAAGGGAGGAGGCACTGCCATTGAACGGGCCCCCTCATTGTAATCAAAATGATGATATCTCTGGGTGGCACTTAACCAGCTGAGGCAAGATGAAACAGCTAGCAATAATTTGTGGCAGGGCTCAGGAAGTAAAGATGGTAGCTTGACCATCAGGGATCTTTGCATGATGCAGTGGCTATCATCAGGTTAATGGTATTCCCTGGAGCTGTGCAACAAGGTGGTATCATTTCTAGGAATGATAGATATGGTAGTCCACTAAGATTCTAGTTCCTCTGTATGACAAAAGCAAATTCAGTCATGTGTTGCTTAATGATGGGCTGATGTTCTGAAAAATTATGTCCACAGGCAATTTCATCATTGTGTGAACATCCTAGAGTATACTTATACAAACCTAGATGGTGTAGCCTACTACACCCCTAGGCTGTATGGTATAGCCTAGTGTTCCTATGCTTCAAACCTGTGCATCAGGTGACTGTACTGAATACTGCAGGCAATTGGAATGCAAGGGTATTTGTGTATCTAAACATAACTAAATGTAGAAATAAATACAGCATAAAATATGAAAAATGACACACCTGAATAGGGCACTTACCATGAACAGAGCTTGCTGGACTGCAAGTTGCTCTGGGTGAGTCAATGAGTGAGCGGTAAGTGAATATGAAGGCCTATGATATTACTGTATACTACTGTAGACTTTATACACATGGTACACTTAGGTTACACTAAATTTGTAAAAATATTTTTCTTTCTTCAATAACAAATTAAACTTCACTTACTGTAACATTTTTATTTTATACACTTTTTATTTTTTTAACTCTGACTCTTCTGTAATAACACTTAGGTTGAAACACAAACACATTGTACAGCTGTACAAAAATATTTTCTGTTTTCTATCTTTTTTCCATAACACTTTTTTCTATTTTTAAAAATATTGCTTGTTTACTTTTTAAATTTGTGTTAAAAACTAAGACCCAAACACACACATTAGCCTAGGCCTACACAGGGTCAGGGTCATCAATATCACTTTCTTCCATCTCCACATTTTGTTCCACTGGAAGATCTTCAGGGGCAATAACATGCATGAAGCTGTCATATCCTCTATAGCAATGACTTCTTCTGGAAGAAGACCTGCTTCTGAAGGACCACCTGAGGCTGTTTTACAATTTTTTTTAATAAATAGAAGGAGTACACTATAAAATAGTGATAAAAAGCATAGTAAACACGAAAATCAGTAAATAGTAATTTATTATCATTTTCAAGTATTACATACTGTGCCTAATTGTATGTGCTATGCTTTTATATGCCTGGCAGTGCAGTAGGTTTGTTTACACCAGGATCACCTCAAACATGTGAGTAATGTATTGCAATACAACATTACTATGGCTACGGCATCACTAGTAAATAGGAATTTTTCAGCTCTACTATAATTTTATGGGACCATCATTGTGTATGCAGTCTATTGCTGACTGCAATGTTGTTATGTGGCACACGGCTGTAAACAAACAAAACTCTAGTATGTTAAACAAAGGGTAAAGGCTCCTCATTGAATTCCCATATCTTTGTTCATGAACAGTGGTCTAGGTCATGGCAACATATCCTCTCCAAATTGAAAGAAAAGTTGTAGCATTTCACATTTTTTAACCATTAAGAAAGGACAGTATTTGGTAGTCTTTGAATTTTGGAAACATCACACACCTCATGCAGTTGTACTGCTTTCACTTACTGAGTTACTCATATGGCTTACAGGTTCCACAGAGGATTGTGAACTTCAGTTCAAGCAGCTTTGCCCTTCGGCTCTAATGATTTAGTAGATATAATGGTGCCTAAAATGTCTGTGGTTGACAAGAATGTTCTATGGAGCCTATTACGAGCCTTAGAAAGAGAACCACAGTCGGTCTGAGAAAACATCTATGCCCTTTTTGGCAGGTAGTAATTCTTTGTTTTAGAAATAGTTCCTGGCTTGCTATAGGAGCTTTGTAGAGAGTGAACACCTAACAATGAAAAAATATGTAGCTGTGTACCCTAAGCTATCCATCATAAATTATTTTTGCTTGATGAAAGAAAGCATATGATCAGGTGTGCCCAGAAGTATTCTATGGTCAAGTGGTAGCTGAATATACAAGATGTAGCATGAGCAGATCCTTGGAGGTACAAGTTTTAATAATTTTCAAAAATGGCTCTCACTCCCAATATGCCTAGCCCTAAGGTACTGTCACGTCTTCCTTAATCTGCACCTATGCTCTCATGAACAAATCCCAATTACAGACTGACGGACCAAGGAAAAAGCTGACTTGCAGAAGGTTCTTCATAATATGTTGAGCTGAAAGTATAATGTGGTGATACTCAATTGAGGCCCTGAAGGACAATTAAGTAGGAAATGCTCCTAGTTTATAAAACTATGAGCAGTCCATCTCATCTTCCCTGTTCATCGAGGAGTGAAGGCCTGAGATGAGTCTCTACAATTCATGAGTGGTGGCTAAGTGAATTGGCTAGTAACATAGTCTTAGAAAAAAAAAAAAAAAGATTTGAAATTTGATAAGACTTGGAAAAGAAATACGTGGATGAACCACTAGAAATTAGTTCAGAGCATAAGAATATGCATGTCTTTATCAATGTTTACCACAGGGCTCCCACTGTTGGGGAGGAGAGCAGAGGAAGTTCTTACATGTAAGGTTTAAAAAATGTTATCTTCTGTGGATTCATTTAACCTCTTTCCAAAGCCATAGCAGTGATTACTCTAAGTATTCATGAACAAAGTGACCAAGGTGGAAGTATGGGCAATGTTCATGTGTAGAACATGAACTTCTCACCACATCTGACTGATCATGAAGAGCTCATTCTCATTCGTGTCAACAATGACCATTTCTAAGTCTGATATGATATCCCATCCTAGGGTGATGAACCTGCCACATGGTAGCAGAGTGAGAGCACAGGAAATGCAAAGTGTCTTTTTCTTGGTTATACTTTGTTAGCAACATCCTTGGGTTTACTGAGGAGAAACAAATCTTAAAGAACAATGCAATGGACTAGCAAATACATGGCATTGTGTCTCTCATAGAACTAAGGGGTGCAATTAGGCATGGCAACTTGCATTGTTACACATGTTTAATTTGGCCTACTTACAAAAAAAATGGTGTGTATATATATATATATGATCTCTAGGAAACTACGCTCTGTTCATTTGTAGGTCTGAGTGCCCAAGAGAGTAATTCTTTCACTACATTAAATATGGGACTGTCAATGGCCATTTTGAGATCCTTATGTTTCTAGATGGACAGGGCTATTAATCATAATTATGAATGAAAAATTGATCCTATATAATGAGAGTTAGGAAGAATATTCTAGACTATTAGGGATAATTCTAAGTATCTTTTAGTGTTCCCATGTCCAGTGAAAAACGTTAATGTAAGACAAAGCAACCCCATATACACAGTCCATCAAAGGTTCTTATACCTTAGAGTTGCAAGATTCATCCATCCCACCAGGTGAAAAAACCCAACCAGCCAAGGTGTTTGTAAAGAAAAATAAAACATGAAATGCATAGTCAAGGAAGGGCATTATAAGCACCAATGGCCTCATGACCAATTGCAGTACTGAATTTCTTCTTGGTGCTGTATTTTTGGAGTATATTGGTCATGGTTAATTTTATTACTTAGTCTATAAGTTATAAAATGCTAATGCAGGGCTTTGATTCAGTTAAGGTAAGAAAGAACACCAGTCAGTGTTGAATGTCGTGACTGACAAGACATTGCATCTTCCCTCTGGAAAACATACACTGAGTACAATTTTATTTCTGTAAAGGATTTTTCAATCTGTTTAGTGGAGTACTTTGTACTATACTTGTTGTTTGAAACTGTGCACATGGAAAAGAATATATCTAGTCAACATACTGAAAGGGTTGAACTATGGTAGATAAATTAGATCGGCTCACTCACCACTCACTCCTATCCCCATTTAGGATTGTACCATATTGTACCTTATCTGCCTGTATTAGTTCATTCTCACACTGCTATAAAGACATACCTGAGACTGAGTAATTTATATAGAAAAAAGATTTAATCAGCTCATGGTTCTGCAGGCTGTTCAGGCTTCTGCTTCTGGGGAGGTATCAGGAAACTTACAATCATAGAGGAAAGCAAAGGGGAAGGAAGTACGTCTACAAGGCAGGAGCAGGAGGAAGAGAGCGAAGGCGGAGGTGCTACGTATTGGTCAAACAACCAGGTTTCATTAGAACTCTATCAAGAGACAGCACTAGAGGGATAGTGCTAAACCTTTAGAAACCACCCTCATGGTTCAGTCACATCCAATATTGGGAATTACAATTCAACAACAGATTTGGGTGAGAACACAGAGCCAAACCATATCACTGCCTATTCTTTGGAAACCAGAACACATATTTCCCAGTTCTTTTACCGTAAGGGTTCCACGTGTTCCAGTGAGATGATTCTACTCTACAAACCTTGAAACAGGAAAGTGAGCAACATGAGATGGCAGCCTCACCTAAGGAAATGATATTTTCTTGCAACTATAGTGGTAAAGACATCTGGTTCTCTGGAGTAGCACTGATGCAGGTTCTATCCTGGCATAGTAAGTTCCAAGTAGCAGATGTCAGCAGAGGTAGAACTTCTCCTAGAAATGTCTCATGGTGTGGTTGGGTGATACTCCTTTTGTTTTGTTCCTGACTTGGGGGTATGCAAGCCTAATTCCCTGACCTTTCTGAATATTCCACACACTACTAAATATCCTTAAATAATACCCTAGCAAGAGTTTTTCTGTTGTTTGCAATCATGAATCTTGACCAATCCAATAAAATATTTTTACATAAAGGGATTATTTTAATTCATAAATGCTATATTATAATTAAGTATTTTTTTCTTTTTTGAAAAAAGTCGAGATATAATTTTCACACAGTAAAATGCACAGGACTTGGATGAATGGTTCCATGAGTTTTGACAAATGCCTAAACTGTGTAACCCACAACCCTACTCAGATATAAAAATAATTTCATTAGCCAAACAAATCCTCTCATGCCACTTCAAAGTAAATTCTCTTCCTCCAGAGGGTACCCCACTTCTTACTTCTACCACAACAGATCAGTTTTGCCTATTCTAAAATGCCTCATAAATAAAGTTACGCAGTAACTACAACTTTGAATCTGTCTTCTATCATTTAGCATGTTTTGAGATTCAGCCATGTTACTGTATCAGTAGATTATTCAGTTTTATTGCTGCATTGTATGAATATGCCACAGTTTTCTGATTCATTCTCCTTTTAATGAACACCACATTGTTTTCATTTCTTGATTATTGCAAAGCTGCTATAAACATTTTGGCACAAGCCTTTTTATTGATATAAGTTTTCATTTCTCTCAGCTAGATATTTAATAGTAAAAGTGATGGAACATAGATTAGGTGGGTATTTAAGCTTAAAAGAAACTTTCAAACTATTTTCAAGGTGGTTGTACCACCATTGTTCCACCAACAATGTTTGAGAGTCCTAGTTCCTTCATATCCTTAAAAACATTAAGACTCCTCAGTGTTTTTAATGTAATAATTCCAGAAGAAGTACAGAGGTATATCACTGTGGTTTTAATTTTAATTTTCCTGATGATATGGTTTGTGGAAGGCACCTGGTGGGAGGTAATTGAATCATGGGGACGGGTCTTTCCCATGCTGTTCTCATGACAGTGAATAAGTCTCATAAGATCTGATGGTTTTATAAAGAGGAGTTGCCCTGCACAAGCTCTTTTTGCCTGCTGCCATGTAAGACATGACTTTGCTCCTCCTTCACCTTCTGCCATGATTATGAGGCCTCCCCAGCCATATGAAGCTGTGAGTCAATTAAACCTCTTTCCTTTATAAATTACCCAGTCTTGGGTATGTCTTTATTTGCAGTGTGAGCTGACTAATACACCTAATTATTACAATATTGACCACATTTTCATTGTGCTTATTGGCCATTTGTATATTTTCCTTTGAGAACAATTTAAGTATTTTATGTAGTTGAAAGTTGGGTTGTTTGTAGGAGTCCTTTATATTTTGAATATAAGTCCTTTTTCAGATAGATGTATTGCAAATATATTCTCTCAGCCAATGGGGTTTTTATTCATTTTCTTAATGATGTGTTTTGATGAGTTGAAGTTATTAATTTTCATGTAGTTTAGTTTATCAATTTTTTTCCTTTTATACTTACTATTTTCTGTAACCTGTCAAAATGCTTTGCCTATGCCAAGGTCACAAGTATAATCTCCTGGCTTTTCCTAGAAGATTAATGGTTCTAGCTTTTATGTTTATGTATGTGATTCAAACAGAATTTATTTTTGTGTAAAATGTGAGGTAGGCGTCAATGTCTATTTTCTTCCATGTGGCTATCCAGTTGTTCCAGCCACATTTGGTGAACAGTGTTTCTTTGCCCATTGAATTGCTTTGACATCACTGTAGCAAATCAAGTCACTCTGTTTGGGAAGGTCTATTTCTAGCCTTTGTAGTTTTTCACTGGTCTTTTTCTTTACACATATGCCAGCACTACACTTTTTAGATTACTATAGTTTCATAGTAATTCTGGAAATTGGACAATGTAAGTCATAAAATGTTGCTTTTTTTCCAAAATTGTCCAGTTATTTTAGGTTTTTTTCACTCCCATATTATTCTTAAAATTACCTTGTCAATTTCTACCAGAAAGCTTGCTAAGATTTTGATTGAGTTTGACTATATAGAACATTCTGGGGATAATGACATCTTAACACTATTGAATCCTCCAGTCCATTTTTATAATATATTTGCTCATGATTGTCATGTAGTTTTCAGTTTAGAAGTCTTGCATATCTGTCACTATATTTGTTTGTAAGTATTTTGTTTTTGTATTATAATTGCGTTACTTTAAATTTTACTTTCCAATTATTCACTAGTAATAAATAGAAATACAGTATATTTTTGAATCTTGTGATGTTGCTAAATTTACTTAGTTTTATGGTTTATTTATAAATTCCTTGGGATTTTCTACATAGAAAATTATATCAGCTGAGAATGAAGACAGTATATTATTTTTCCCTTCCTAATCCTTATGCCTTTGAGGCAATTTTCTTGCCCTTCACTGGCTAGGATTTGAAGTACAATTTTGAATAGAACTGGTGAGATTAGATGTGTTTGCCTACTTCTAGAACATATGAGAAAGGGGTTAAAAGTTTGACCATTAAGAATTATTTTGGCTAAAAGTTTAGTGAAGAGGCCATTTATCAGATCGAGGAAATTCCTTGTTTCTACTTTGCTGACAGATTGCTATCGTGAATGCGTGCTTCAAACTTTGTCAAATATTCTTGCATCTATCAATATGATCATAAGATTTTTATCTTTTTTTCTGTTACTTTGGTATACTATATGAATTAATTTTTAAAAAAAAATTTCCCATAGGGGATCAGGTGGTGTTTAGTTACATAAATAAGTTTTTTTTTTATTTTTTATTTTGAGGAACACGTGGTGTTTAGTTACATGAATAAGTTCTTTAGTGGTGATTTCTGAGATTTTAGTGCACCCATCACCCAAGCAGTATACACTGTACCCAATTTGTAGTCTTTTATCCCTCACACCCCTCCCACCGTTTCTCCAGAGCCACCAAAGTCCATTGTATCATTCTTACACCTTTGCATACTCATAGCTTAGCTCCCATTTATGAGTGAGAACATAGTATGTTTGGTTTTCCATTCCTGAGTTATTTCACTTAGAATAATGATCTCGAATCCCATCCAGGTAGCTGAGAATGCCATTATTTTTTTCCTTTTTATAGTTGAGTAGTATTCCACGGTATACATAGGCACATTGGTCTGTCACAATTTTGTTATTCATTCATTTATTGATGGGCATTTGGGCTGGTTCCATATTTTTGCAATTGCGAACTGTGCTGCTATAAACATGCATGTGCAAGTATCTTTTTTGTATAATGACTTCTTTTCCTCTGGGTAGATACCCAGTAGTGGGATTGCTGGATCAAATGGTATTTCTACTTTTAGTTCTTTAAGGTATCTCCACACTGTTTTCTATAATGGTTGTACTAGTTTACATTCCCACCAGCAGTGTAAAAGTCTTCCCTTTTCACCACACCCCCACCAACATCTATTATTTTTTATTTTTTGATTATGGCCACTCTTGCAGGAGTAAGGTGGTATCACACTGTGGTTTTTATTTGCATTTCCCTGATAATTAGTGATGTTGAGCATTTTTATAGATATTGCTTGGCCATTTATATATTTTGAGTATTTTTCTTCATGTTCTTAGCCCACTTTTTGATGAGATTGTTTGTTTTTGCTTGCTGATTTGTTTGAGTTTCTTGTAGCTTCAGGATATTAGTCCTTTGTCAGACATGTAGATTGCAAAGATTTTCTCTCACTCCGTGGGTTGTCTGTTTACTCTGCTGATTGTTTCTTTTGCTGTGCAGAAGCTTCTTAGTTTAATTAAGTCCCATGTATTGATCTCTGTTTTTGTTGCATTTGCTTTTGGGTTCTTGGTCATGAAGTCTTTGCCTAAGCCCATGTATAGAAAGGCTTTTCTAATGTTATCTTCTGGAATTTTTATTGTTTCAGGTCTTAGATTTATGTCCTTGATACATCTTGAGTTGATTTTTGTATAAGGTGAGAGATGAGGATCTAGTTTCATTCTTCTACATGTGGCTTGCCAATTATCCAAGCACCATTTGAATAGGGTGTCCTTTCTCCACTATATGTTATTGTTTGCTTTGTTGAAGATCAGTTGGCTGTAAGTAATTGACTTTATTATTGAGTTCTCTATTCTGTTCCATTGGTCTATGTGCCTATTTTTATACCAGTACCATGCTGTTCTGGTGACTATGGCCTTATAGTATAGTTTGAAATCAGGTAATGTCATGTCTCCAGATTTGTTCTTTTTGTGTAGTCTTGCTTTGGCTATGTGGACTCTTTTGGTTCCATATAAATTTTAGGATTGTTTTTTATAATTCTGTGAAGAATGGTGGTGGTATTTTGATGGGAATTGCATTGAATTTGTAGATTGCTTTTGACAGTATGGTCATTTTCACAATATTGATTCTATTCATCCATTAGCATGGGATGTGTTTTCATTTGTTTGTGTCATCTGTGATTTCTTTGAGTGGTGTTTTGTAGTTTTCCTTGTAGAGGCCTTTTGCCTCGTTGGTTAGATATATTCCTAAGTATTTTATTTATTTTATTTTATTTTGTAGCTACTGTAAAAGGGATTGAGTTTTTGATTTGATTCTCCACTTTGTCACTATTGGTGTATAGCAGTCTGCTAATTTGTGTACATTAATTTTGTATCCTGAAACTTTGCTGAATTTCTCACTTCCATGAGCCTTTTGGAGGAGTCTTTAGGGTTTTCTAGGTATGCAATTATATCCTCAGCAAATAGTGACGGTTTGACTAACTGATTTTTGGATGTTGAAACTATCTTACATTCTTGGAATAAACTCTACTTGGTCATGTTTTATTATGATTTTTACATATTACTGATTTCATTTGCTAATATTCTGTCCATCTGTGTTTATGGTGGATGTTGGTAACATGATCATTCTGGCAATGTCTTGTCAGTTTTATTCTGTTTTAATATTTTCTGGAAGTGTTTGGGGAAAAATTAGATTATTTTCTACTTACATGTTTAGTTAAATTCCCCAGTATAGCTATCTAAATGTGACGGTTTCTCTCTGCAAAGTTTACAAATTATGAACTCAATTTCTTTGACAGTTGTAGGGCTATTTAAATTTTCTCTTTTTTCATTGTGTCACTTTCATAGATGTGTGTCTCTCAATAAATTAGTTCCTTGCTTCAACATATACAAAATAACCAATGTGATATATCATATCAACAGAATGAAGGACAAAAACTATATGATCATTTCAGTTAATGCTGAAACAGCATTTGAAAAAATTCAACATCCCTTCATGATTTTAAAAAAACACACAGAAATCATTCTACTGGGGAGGAGCCAAGATGGCCGAATAGAAACAGCTCCGGTCTACAGCTCCCAGCGTGAGCGATGCAGAAGACGGTGATTTCTGCATTTCCATCTGAGGTACGGGGTTCATCTCACTAGGGAGTGCCAGACAGTGGGCGCAGGTCAGTGGGTGCGTGCACAGTGTGTGAGCCGAAGCATGGCGAGGCATTGCCTCACTTGGGAAGCGCAAGGGGTCAGGGAGTTCCCTTTCCGAGTCAAAGAAAGGGGTGATGGATGCACCTGGAAAATCGGGTCACTTCCACCCAAATACTGCACTTTTCCAACCGGCTTAAAAGGTGCACCACGAGATTATATCCCGCACCAGGCTCGGAGGGTCCTACGCCCACGGAGTCTCACTGATTGCTAGCACAGCAGTCTGAGATCAAACTGCAAGGTGGCAGCGAGGCTGGGGGAGGGGCGCCCGCCATTGCCCAGGCTTGCTTAGGTAAACAAAGCAGCTGGGAAGCTCAAACTTGGTGGAGCCCACCACAGCTCAAGGAGGCCTGCCTGCCTCTGTAGGCTCCACCTCTGGGGGCAGGGCACAGACAAACAAAAAGACAGCAGTAACTTCTGCAGACTTAAATGTCCCTGTCTGACAGCTTTGAAGAGAGCAGTGGTTCTCCCAGCACAGAGTTTGAGATCTAAGAACGGACAGACTGCCTCCTCAAGGGGGTCCCTGACCCCTGACCCCCAAGCAGCCTAACTGGGAGGCACCCCCCGAGCAGGGGCACACTGACACCTCACACCTCACACGGCAGGGTATTCCAACAGACCTGCAGCTGAGGGTCCTGTCTGTTAGAAGGAAAACTAACAAACAGAAAGGACATCCACACCAAAAACCCATCTGTACATCACCATCATCAAAGACCAAAAGTAGACAAAACCACAAAGATGGGGAAAAAACAGAACAGAAAAACTAGAAACTCTAAAAGGCAGAGCACCTCTCCTCCTCCAAAGGAACACAGTTCCTCACCAGCAACGGAACAAAGCTGGATGGATAATGACTTTGACGAGCTGAGAGAAGAAGGCTTCAGACGATCAAATTACTCTGAGCTATGGGAGGACATTCAAACCAAAGGCAAAGTTGAAAACTTTGAAAAAAATTTAGAAGAATGTATAACTAGAATAACCAATACAGAGAAGTGCTTAAAGGAGCTGATGGAGCTGAAAACCAAGGCTCGAGAACTACGTGAAGAATGCAGAAGCCTCAGGAGCCGATGCAATCAACTGGAAGAAAGGGTATCAGTGATGGAAGATGAAATGAATAAAATGAAGTGAGAAGGGAAGTTTAGAGAAAAAAGAATAAAAAGAAATGAGCAAAGCCTCCAAGAAATATGGGACTATGTGAAAAGACCAAATCTACGTCGATTGGTGTACCTGAAAGTGATGGGGAGAATGGAACCAAGTTGGAAAACACTCTGCAGGATATTATCCAGAAGAACTTCCCCAATCTAGCAAGGCAGGCCAACGTTCAGATTCAGGAAATACAGAGAATGCCACAAAGATACTCCTCGAGAAGAGCAACTCCAAGACACATAATTGTCAGATTCACCAAAGTTGAAATGAAGGAAAAAATGTTAAGGGCAGCCAGAGAGAAAGGTTGGGTTACCCACAAAGGGAAGCCCATCAGACTAACAGCGGATCTCTCGGCAGAAACCCTACAAGCCAGAAGAGAGTGGGGCCAATATTCAACATTCTTAAAGAAAAGAATTTTCAACCCAGAATTTCATATCCAGCCAAACTAAGCTTCATAAGCGAAGGAGAAATAAAATACTTTACAGAAAGGCAAATGCTGAGAGATTTTGTCACCACCAGGCCTGCCCTCAAAGAGCTCCTGAAGGAAGCACTAAACATGGAAAGGAACAACCGGCACAGGCCACTACAAAAACATGCCAAATTGTAAAGACAATTGATGCTAGGAAGAAATTGCATCAACTAACGAACAAAATAACCAGCTAACATCATAATGACAGGATCAAATTCACACATAACAATATTAACTTTAAATGTAAATGGACTAAATGCTCCAATTAAAAGACACAGACTGGCAAATTGGATAAAGAGTCAAGACCCATCAGTGTGCTATATTCAGGAAACCCATCTCACGTGCAGAGACACACATAGGCTCAAAATAAAAGGATGGAGGAAGATCTACCAAGCAAATGGAAAACAAAAAAAGGCAGAGGTTGCAATCCTAGTCTCTGATAAAACAGACTTTAAACCAACAAAGATCAAAAGAGACAAAGAAGGCCATTACATAATGGTAAAGGGATCAATTCAACAAGAAGAGCTAACTATCCTAAATATATATGCACCCAATACAGGAGCACCAAGATTCATAAAGCAAGTCCTGAGTGACCTACAAAGAGACTTAGACTCCCACACATTAATAATGGGAGACTTTAACACCCCACTGTCAACATTAGACAGATCAACAAGACAGAAAGTCAACAAGGATACCCAGGAATTGAACTGAGCTCTGCACCAAGCGGACCTAATAGACATCTACAGAACTCTCCACCCCAAATCAACAGAATATACATTTTTTTCAGCACCACACCACACCTATTCCAAAATTGACCACATACTTGGAAGTAAAGCTCTCCTCAGCAAATGTAAAAGAACAGAAATTATAACAAACTATCTCTCAGACCACAGTGCAATCAAACTAGAACTCAGGATTAAGAATCTCACTCAAAACCGCTCAACTACATGGAAACTGAACAACCTGCTCCTGAATGACTACTGGGTACATAACAAAATGAAGGCAGAAATAAAGATGTTCTTTGAAACCAATGAGAACAAAGACACAACATACCAGAATCTCTGGGACGCATTCAAAGCAGTGTGTAGAGGGAAATTTACAGCACTAAATGCCCACAAGAGAAAGCGGGAAAGATCCAAAATTGACACCCTTACATCACAATTAAAAGAACTAGAAAAGCAGGAGCAAACACATTCAAAAGCTAGCAGAAGGCAAGAAATAACTAAGATCAGAGCAGAACTGAAGGAAATAGAGACACAAAAAACCCTTCAAAAAATTAATGAATCCAGGAGCTGGTTTTTTGAAAGGATCAACAAAATTGATAGACTGCTAGCAAGACTAATAAAGAAAAAAAGAGAGAAGAATCAAATAGATGCAATAAAAAATGATAAAGGGGATATCACCACTGATCCCACAGAAATACAAACTACCATCAGAGAATACTACAAACACCTCTACGCAAATAAACTAGAAAATCTAGAAGAAATGGATAAATTCCTCGACACATACACTCTCCCAAGACTAAACCAGGAAGAAGTTGAATCTCTGAATAGACCAATAACAGGATCTGAAATTGTGGCAATAATCAATAGCTTACCAACCAAAAAGAGTCCAGGACCAGATGGATTCACAGCCGAATTCTACCAGAGGTACAAGGAGGAACTGGTACCATTCCTTCTGAAACTATTCCAATCAATAGAAAAAGAGGGAATCCTCCCTAATTCTTTTTATGAGGCCAGCATCATTCTGATACCAAAGCCAGGCAGAGACACAACAAAAAAAGAGAATTTTAGACCAATATCCTTGATGAACACTGATGCAAAAATCCTCAATAAAATACGGGCAAAACGAATCCAGCAGCACATCAAAAAGCTTATTCACCATGATCAAGTGGGCTTCATCCCTGGGATGCAAGGCTGGTTCAATATACGCAAATCAATAAATGTAATCCAGCATATAAACAGAACCAAACACAAAAACCACATGATTATCTCAATAGATGCAGAAAAAGCCTTTGACGAAATTCAACAACTCTTCACGCTAAAAACTCTCAATAAATTAGGTATTGATGGGACATATTTCAAAATAATAAGAGCTATCTATGACAAACCCACAGCCAATATCATACTGAATGGGCAAAAACTGGAAGCATTCCCTTTGAAAACTGGCACAAGACAGGGATGCCCTCTCTCACCACTCCTATTCAACATAGTGTTGGAAGTTCTGGCCAGGGCAATTAGGCAGGAGAAGGAAATAAAAGGTATTCAATTAGGAAAAGAGGAAGTCAAATTGTTCCTGTTTGCAGACGACATGATTGTATATCTAGAAAACCCCATCGTCTCAGCCCAAAATCTCCTTAAGCTGATAAGCAACTTCAGCAAAGTCTCAGGATACAAAATCAATGTACAAAAATCACAAGCATTCTTATACACCAACAACAGACAAACAGAGAGCCAACTCATGAGTGAACTCCCATTCACAACTGCTTCAAAGAGAATAAAATACCTAGGAATCCAACTTACAAGGGATGTGAAGGACCTCTTCAAGGAGAACTACAAACCACTGCTCAAGGAAATAAAAGAGGATACAAACAAATGGAAGAACATTCCATGCTCATGGGTAGGAAGAATCAATATCGTGAAAATGGCCATACTGCCCAAGGTAATTTACAGATTCAATGCCATCCCCATCAAGCTACCAATGCCTTTCCTCACAGAACTGGAAAAAACTACTTTAAAGTTCATATGGAACCAGAAAAGAGCCCGCATCGCCAAGTCAATCCTAAGCCAAAAGAACAAAGCTGGAGGCATCACACTACCTGACTTCAAACTATACTACAAGGCTACAGTGACCAAAACAGCATGGTACTGGTACCAAAACAGAGATATAGATCAATGGAACAGAACAGAGCCCTCAGAAATAACGCCACATATCTACAACTATCTGACCTTTGACAAACCTGAGAAAAACAAGCAATGGGGAAAGGATTCCCTATTTAATAAATGGTGCTGGGAAAACTGGCTAGCCATATGTAGAAAGCTGAAACTGGATCCCTTCCTTACACCTTATACAAAAATCAATTCAAGATGGGTTAAAGACTTAAACGTTAGACCTAAAACCATAAAAACCCTAGAAGAAAACCTAGGCATTACCATTCAGGACATAGGCATGGGCAAGGACTTCATGTCTAAAACACCAAAAGCAATGGCAACAAAAGACAAAATTGACAAATGGGATCTAATTAAACTAAAGAGCTTCTGCACAGCAAAAGAAACTACCATGAGAGTGAACAGGCAAACTACAAAATGAGAGAAAATTTTCGCAACCTACTCATCTGACAAAGGGCTAATATCCAGAATCTACAATGAACTCAACCAAATTTACAAGAAAAAAACAAACAACCCCATCAAAAAGTGGGCAAAGGACATGAACAGACACTTCTCAAAGGAAGACATTTATGCAGCCAAAAAACACATGAAAAAATGCTCATCACCACTGGCCATCAGAGAAATGCAAATCAAAACCACAATGAGATACCATCTCACACCAGTTAGAATGGCAATCATTAAAAAGTCAGGAAACAACAGGTGCTGGAGAGGATGTGGAGAAATAGGAACACTTTTACACTGTTGGTGGGACTGTAAACTAGTTCAACCATTGTGGAAGTCAGTGTGGCGATTCCTCAGGGATCTAGAACCAGAAATACCATTTGACCCAGCCATCCCATTCCTGGGTATATACCCAAAGGACTATAAATCATGCTGCTATAAAGACACATGCACACGTATGTTTATTGCAGCATTATTCACAATAGCAAAGACTTGGAACCAACCCAAATGTCCAACAATGATAGACTGGATTAAGAAAATGTGGCACATATACACCATGGAATATTATGCAGCCATAAAAAATGATGAGTTCATGTCCTTTGTAGGGACATGGATGAAATTGGAAATCATCATTCTCAGTAAACTATCGCAAGAACAAAAAAACAAACACCGCATAGTCTCACTCCTAGGTGGGAATTGAACAATGAGATCACATGGACACAGGAAGGGGAATATCACACTCTGGGGACTGTTGTGGGGTGGGGGGAGTGGGGAGGGATAGCATTGGGAGATATACCTAATGCTAGATGACGAGTTAGTGGGTGCAGCGCACCAGCATGGCACATGTATACATATGTAACTAACCTGCACAATGTGCACATGTACCCCAAAACTTAAAGTATAATAAAAAAATAAAAAAGAAAATAAAAAAAAAACACACAAAAAAGCTGAATATAGAAGGAATCTACCTCAACACAATAAAAGCCATATACAACAGAATCACAGCTATTATCATACTGGATGAAGAGAAATTGAATGTCCTTCCTCTAAGAACTGAAACAAGACAAAGATGCATACTTTCACTACTGTTATTCAGCATACTACAGGAAATCCTGGCTAGAGAAATTACAAAAGAGAAATAAATAAAAGGGCATTAAAATCAAAACAAAAGTCAGATTATTATTGTTTGTAGATATGATCTTAAAAAAACCTAAAAACTCTACCAAAAAATTATTAGAACTGATAAACAAATTCAGTAATGTTTAAGATATAAAATCAGCAAATAAAAATCAGTAGCATTTATATATGCCAATGGTAAACAATCTGAAAATGAGATCAAGAAAGTTATTCAATTTACAATAACTACAAGTATAAAATATAATACCCAGAAATAAACTTAACCAAAGAAATGAAAGATCTCTACAATGAAAACTAGAAAACATTGATGGAAAAAAATTGAAGAGGACACAAAAAGTGGAAGATATCCCATGTTCATGGATTGGAAGAATAAATATTGTTAAAATAATCACACTACTCAAAGCATTCTACAGATTCAATGCAATCCCTATCAAAATACCAATGACATTCTTCATAAAAATAATGAAACACTAAAATTTGTGTAAAATCAAAGACCAAAATAGCCAAAGCCATCCCGGGCAAAAAGAATAAAACTGAAGAAATCACATTACCTGACTTCAGATTGTACTACAGAGCTATAGTAACCCAAATATCATGGTATGGGCATAAAAATAGACACATAGATCAATGGAATATAATGGAAAATCCATAAATAAATTCATGCCTCTACAGTTATCTTATTTTCAACAATGATGCCAAGAACATACACTGGAGAAAGGACAGTCTGTCCAAAAAATGGTGCTGGGAAAATTGGGTATCTATATGCAGAAGAAAAAAACTAGACTCCTATCTCTCACCATATACAAAAATCAAATCAAATCAAAATGGATTAAACAGTTAAACCTAAGACCAGAAACTTTGAAACTACTAAAAGAATTGGGGAAGCTCTCCAGGACATTCGCCTGGGCAAAGATTTCTTGAATAATCTCTCAACAGCATGAGCAACCAAAACAAAAATGGATAAATGGGATCACATGAAGTTAAAAATCTTCTACATGGCAAAGGGAATGGTCAAGAAAGTGAAGAGGTAACCCACATAATGGGAGAAAATATATGAAAACTACCCATCTGACAAGGGATTAATAGTCAGAATTTATAAGGACAACAACTCAAAAGGAAAACAATCTAATAATTCAATTTAAAAGTGAGCAAAAGATCTGAATAGACATTTCTCAAAAGAAGACATACAAATGGCCAACAGGTATATAAAAATGTTCAACATAATTAATCTTGCTCTAGTTAAAATGGCTTTTATCCAAAAGACAAGCAAATGCTGGCGAGGATGCTGAGAAAGGGGAACACTTATATACTGTTGATGGTAATGTAAATTAGTATAGCCACTATGAAGAACAGTATAGAGGTTTCACAAAAAACTAAAAATAGAACTACCATATGATCCAGCAATCTCATTGCTCAGTATGTACCCCAAAGTAAAAAATCAGTATATCAAAGAGATATCTGCACTCTCATGTATATTGCAGCATTATTCCAAATAGCCAAGATTTGGAATCGACTCAAGTATCCATCAAAATATGGATAATATTTTAAAAGTGTGGTAAGTGTGGTACATATACACAGTGGAGTATTACTCAGTCATATAAAGGAGATCCTGTCATTTACAACAACATGAATGGAACTGGAGGGCATTATGTTAAGTGAATTAATCCAAGCACAAAAAGACAAATTTTACATGTTCTCACTCATATGTTGGGGCTAAAAATTAAAACAACTGAATTCCTGGAGACAGAGAGTAGAATGGTGGTTACCAGAGACTGGGAAGGGTAGCTAGAGGGTGCAAGGAAGAAGTGGGGATAGCTAATGGGTACAAACATATAGTTAGATAGAATGAATAACATCTAGTATTTGATAGCATGACAAGGTGACTACATAAATCATGATTTATTGTATTTTTTAAAATGACTAAAAGAATGTAATTAGAATGTTCCTAACCCCCAAAATTATAAACGCTTGAGGTAACAGATATCCTAATTACCTTGATATGACTATCATGCATTGTATGCTTGGATCAAAACATTATATTTACCCCATAAATACGCACATCCACTAAAATTACCTAAAACCCCTAAAAGTTAAAATTAAATAAAAGTCAGTTCTTTTACTTTAAATAATTAAACTCATTGTCAGAGTATCTTTCATAATAGTCCATTACCATTTAAATGTCTGCAGGATTTGTAGTGAGGCACATCATTATTGATACTAATAATTGTGCAACTCTTTTAGTCCTTGACAAACTCAAATAGAATTATATTAATTCTTTAAAATTTTCAAGAGTTAGCTTTGATTTTTTTAATCTCTACTTGTACTTGTTTTCTATTTCATTGATTTCTACTTATCTTTATTTTTTCTTCTTTCTGTTCATTTTAGGTTTCATTGACTCATTTAACAAAATTTCTTAAAGCGAATTCATTTCAAACCTTTCTCCTTTTCTTATATAAGCATTTAAACATTTAGCAGTAATTAGTTGTATTGACAAATTTTTATATGTAGTCTGCATTACCACTCACTTGAAATACTTCCTAAATATTTCTGATTTTCTAATGTTATGGTTTGGCTGTGTCCTTACCCAAATCTCATCTTTTAGTTCCCATAATCCCCACGTGTCATAGGAGGGTCCCGGTAGGAGATAATTTAATCATGGGACGGTTACGCTTATGCTGTTCTTGTGATAGTGAGTGAGTTCTCACAAGATCTGATGGTTTTATAAGGAGCTTGTCCCCTTTTTGCTTGACACTTCTCCTTGCTACTGTAATGCAAAGAAGAACATGTTTGCTTTCCCTTCCACCATGACTGTAAGTTTCCTGAGGCCTCCCGAGCCATGCTGAACTGTGAGTCAATTAAATTTAATAAATTACCCAGTCGCGGGTATGTCTTTATTAGCAGCATGAGAATGGACTAATACACCTAAATATCAATTTGGCAAATGATTTACTTTGATGTGTGTTGCTTAATACCCATATATTTGAGAATTTCCTTGATATCTTTATTTCTGATTTACTTTTATTTTGATAAAATATAATCCTTTGTGATTTACTTAGACATTTTTAATAGCCCAGCACATAGTCTATCTTTATAAATGTTCCATGTACACTTGAAACTAATTTTCATTTGGCAATTTTGGGAAGTAGCGTTCAACATACATATATGAGGCTAAGATATTTGATGGTATTGTTCAGTCTTTTTATATTCTTATCAACATTTTTTGTCTATTGTACAAATTAGAAAAAGAGAAGTATTAAAATCATATAGTGTTAAATTATGATTGTGAATACGTCAATTTTAAGCTGTATTTTAGCTGTATACACACATATTTTACCTGTATACACACATAGGAAACAGGGAGTCTTTTCCCTATGGCTTTTCTTCTGTCAGCTTTGTTGAAGATCAGATGGTTGTAGGTGCATGGTCTTATTTCTGAATTCTCTATTCTGTTCCATCGGTCTATGTGCCTGTTTTTGTACTAGTACTATGTTGTTTTGGTTACTGTATCACTAAGGTACAGTTTGAAGTCACGTAACATGATGCCTCTAGCTTTATTCTTTTTGCTTAGGATTGCCTTGGCTATTCAGCCTCCTTTTTTGGTTCCATATGAATTTTAATTTTTTTCTAGTTCTGTGAAGAATGTCATTGGTAGTTTGATAAGAATAGTATTGAACCAGTAAGTTGCTTTGGGCAACATGGCATTTTCATGATATTGATTCTTCCTATCCTTGACCATGGGACATTTTTCTATTTGTTAGTGTTTTGTCTTATTTCTTTGAGCAGTGTTTTATAATTCTCATTGTAGAGATCTTTCACTTTCCTTGTTAGTTGTATTCCTAGGTATTTTATTCCTTCTGTGGCAATTGTGAATAGGATTGCCTTTCTGATTTGGCTCTTGGCTTGTCTGTTTTTTCTTTTTATATATAGGAATGCTAGTAATTTTTGTACATTGATTTTGTATCCTGAAGCTTTGCTGAAGTTACTTTTTAGCTGAAGGAGCTTGCAGGCTGAGACTATGTTATTTTCTAGATATAGAATCATGTTGTCTGCAAACAGAGATAGTTTGACTTCCTCTCTTCTCATTAGGATGCCTTTTCTTTCTTTTGCCTGATTGCTCTGGCTAGGACTTCCAATACTATGTTCTATAGGAGTGGTGAGAGAGGGTTTCCTTGTCTCATTCTGGTTTTCAAGGAGAACGTTTCCAGCTTTTGCCCATTCAGTTTAATGTTGGCTGTGGTTTTATCATAGATGGCACTTATTATTTTGAGCGATGCTCCTTCAATGCCTAGCTTATTGAAGGTTTCTAACATAAAGGAATGTTGAATTTTACAAGAGCCTTTTCTGTGTCTATTAATATAATCATATGGTTTTTGTCTTTAGTTCTGTTTATGTGATGAATCACATTTATTCACTTGTATATGTTGAACCAACGTTGCATCCCAGTAATGAAGCCTACTTGATTGTGGCAGATTAGCATTTTGATGTGCTGCTAGATTTGGTTTGCCAGTATTTTATTGAGGATTTTTGCATAGATGTTCATCAAGGATATTGCCTGAAGTTTTCTCTTTTTGTTGTGTCTCTGTCAGGTTTTGGTATCAGGATGAGGTCGGCCTCATATAATGAGTTGGGGAGGAGTTCCTCCTCGAATTTTTGGGATTGTTTCAGTAGGAATGGTAGCATTTCTTCTTTGTACATCTGGTAGAATTTGGCTCAGGTCCTAGGATTTTTTTGGTTAGGTAGGCTGTTTATTACTGATGCAATTTCAGAGCTATTTGTTGGTCTGCTCAGGGAATCAATTTATTCCTTGTTTAGTCTTGGGAAAATGTATGGGTCCAGGAATTTATCCATCTCTTCCAGGTTTTCTAGTTTGTGTGAATAGAGGTGTTCATAGTTTCTGATGATTGTTTTTATTTCTGGGGCAGTGGTAACATTTTCTTCTTTATTTCTAATTGTGTTTATTTGGATCTTCTCTCTGTTCTACTTTATTAGTCTAGCTAGTGGCCTATTTTAATAATTTTTTAAAGCAAACTCCTGGATTCCTTGATCTTTTGAATGACTTTTTCTGTCTTGATTTCCTTCAGTTCAGCTCTGATTTTGGTTATTTATTCTCTTCTGCTAGCATAGGGATAATTTGTTCTTGCTTCTGTAAATCTTCCAGTTGTTATGTTAGGTGATTAATTTGAGATCTAACTTTGATGTGGGGATTTAGTGCTATGAATTTCCCTCTTAACACTGCCTTAGCTGTGTCCCAGATATTCTGATGTGTTATATGTTTGTTCTCATTGGTTTCAAAGAACTCATTGATCTCTGCCTTAATTTCATTATTTACCCCAAAGTCATTCAGGAGCATTTTGTTTAGTTTCTATGTACTTGCATGATTTTGAGTGATTTTTCTCTTGATTTCTTTTTTTTTAAACATTCCATACTTTCTTTTTTATTATTATTATTATACTTTAAGTTCTAGGATACATGTGCACAACATGCAGCTTTGTTACATATGTATACATGTGCCATGTTGGTGTGCTGCACCCATTAACTCATCATTTACATTAGGTATATCTCCTAATGCTATCCCTCCCCCATCCCAACACCCCATGACAGGCCCCAGTGTGTGATTTTTATTGCCCTATTGTCAAAGAGTGTATTTGATAAGATTTCAGTTCTTTTGCATTTGCTGGGGATTGTCTTATGTTCAGTTTTGTGGTCAGTTTTAGTGCCATGTGCCATGTGGTGATGAGAATAATGTATGGTCTGTTGTTTTGGGATGGAGGTGTATCAGGTCCTTTTGGTTCAATTGTGAGTTCAGGTCTTAAATATCTTTGTTAATTTTCTGTCTCAGTGATCCATCTAATACTTTCAGTGGAGTGTTGAAGTCTCCCAATATTATTGTGTGAGAGTTTATGTCTTTTTCTTGGTCTTCAAGAACTTGCTTTATGAATCTGGGTGCTCCTGTGTTGGGTGCATATATATTCAGAATAATTAGATCTTCTAATTGAATTGAACCATTTACTATTATGTAATGGCTTCTTTGTCTTTTTGATCTTGTTTTGGCTTGAAGTCTGTTTTGTCAGAAATTAGTATGGCAACCCCTGCTTTTTTCTGTTTCTAATTTTCTTGATATATTTTCCTTTATCCCTTTATTATGAGCCTATGGGTGTTATTAAGTGTGAGATGGGTCTCTTGAAGACAGCATACCATTGGGTCTTGCTTTTTCTAATCCAGCATTCTATTCTGTGCCTTTTATGTGGTGCATTTGGCCCACTTACATTCAAGGTTAGTATTGACATGTGTGGATTTGATCCTGCCATTGTGTTGTTAGCTGGTTATTATGTTGGTTTGTTTGTGTAGCTGCTTTTTAATGACACTGGTCTATATGTTTAAAAGTATCTTTTAAATCTCCATTGTTAACTATTTAGTCATGTCTCTTATTTTTTGTTGTCAGAGTTGTTTATTATTTCCCTACGGATTATAATATATATCCTTAATTTATCTATCTGTAATAAAGTAATGCTTTGAAAGTAATGTTATACTATTTAATGTGTAATGTAAGATCCTTACAAAATATACATCATTTTGCACACTTTCCTTTTTTGGTGATTGTCATAGATTTTCTATCTACATTTGCTATAATCTCTACAATCTGTTGTTATTAATATACCTCAAATAATAAAGAGGCTCTTAAAAAATGACAGTCTATTTATCCACATATTTGCTATGTGTGATTTTTTTTTTTTTTTGTATTTGAGTTTCCATCTAGTTCATTTGCCTTTAGTGCAAAAAAGTTTCTTTGACATTTATTATGTGCTGGCCTGTTGATGAAATCATTCTACTTGTATTTGTTTGAAAATATTTTTTATATCATCCTATTTTAGAATGTTTTTAGGAAAATAAATCTAGCATTTAGCATATAGTAAGATAAGAATTGATATGGAGGAGGAATTAGAGTTATGGGAGTATATGGAAAAGGAATATTGCCCTATTTAGAAGGAGTTGAAAAAGGTTTACAGCATAAGTGATACTTAAACTAATGTCTGAAAGATGAAAAGAATTGGGAAGATTGGTGAGTGAGAGAATCAGAGAGGTTAGTTAAGGTGTTTTCAAGCAAAAAGGAATATAATTTACTTAACCAAAATTCTACAGTATATTTTGATTTTTCCCTTTATTCCTTTTTACTATAATTAATCTATTTGCATTTGCAAACTGCAGTATCTTCAAAATTTTATCTGCATATACTTGCAAGATTTACTCATAATAAAACTTCTAGAATTAAATATTTGAAGTAAAAATAATGTACATTTTTTGTCTTTTGATACATACTGATTGGTGAAATTCCTTCCAGAGTGGTTTTATTGACATTTTCATCAGCAGCCTGTGAGAGTAATAGATTTTATATTCTTGAAGCTTAAAACACAATTGTTGAAGCCCCAGCTTCCTCTTTAGTTCCCTTTTCTCCATCATCATCGGGGCCACCTACAGATCCATTTTTCCCAATTCCCAGAAAAAGTCCAGACCTGAGGTGGAGACTACCAGGACTCCTTCAAAGCACCATTCTTGATCTCTGAGATAAATAACCTTTCCTGTCAGGCCAACTCCATTATTTCCCCTGACCTCATGTGCATCCCTTTGTCCTCGCTGTGATAAATTGGTTGGAAACTTAGCTTCTTCTAAAATGAGACTCCTGACTAATTGTTAAACATTTCCATCCTAGGATTGAACACTTGCCTGTGGATTGCATCCTTCTGTCTGGATTCATCCTAGAAATTGCTGTCAAAGTCTTCCAATGCCAATTGTTTCTCTGTCTTTTACAATGTCACCCACCGTGAAACCAAATGTTACTGTTCTCTGTTTACTCATAGGGAAGCCCCCTACAGGACACCTCAAGTTAAAGGACTTAACTTAAACCTACATTTAAAAACAAAACATAACTTTTATATAATAAAAATATTTACAACAATGTCCAAAATTTGTTTTAAATAACTTCAATAATATCAGGGATATGCATGCATATTGAACATAGAATAAAAATTTTAAGACAAAATAAACTTAATTTGAACATAAATTTATTTGTTGTGGTAAAGAATGTCTACTTGCTGCAGGTGAGCTCTCAGAAAAATAAAGCCTCTTTTGCTGAAATTTTTGAATTCACATTTTATAAATGTTCAGAGGTACATGTGCAGGTTTTTTACATAGCTAAAATTGTGTCATGAGGGTTCGTTATAAAGATTATTTTATCACTCAGGTATTAAATCTAGTACTCAGTTATTTTTCCTGATCCTGTCTCCCCTCCCACCCTCCAGCCTTTGACGGGCCCCAGTATGTGTTGTTCTCCTCTATGTGTTCACATGTTCTCATCATTTAGCTCCCACTTATGAGTGAGAACACGTGGTATTTGGTTTTCATTTTCTGTGTTAATTTGCTAAGGATAATGGCCTCCAGCTCCATCCATGTCATGATCAAGAAAGGACATGATCTCATTCTTTTTTATGGCTGCATAGTATTCCATAGTGTGTATATACCACATTTTCTTATCTAATTTGTCATTGATGGACATTTAGGTTGCTTTACTATTGTAAATAGTGCTGCAATGAACATATGCTTGTGTCTTTGTAGTAGAATGATTAATATTCTTGTGGGTATATACCCAGTAATAGGGTTGCTGGGTTGAATGGTATTTCTGTCTTTATGTCTTTGAGGAATCCAACCAATGTCAAACTATGTTACAGGGCTACAGTACCCAAAACAGCATGGTACTGGTACAAAAACAGACACATGGGCCAATGGAACAAAATGTAGAACCCAGAAATAAGACCACAAACCTACAACTACCTAATCTTCACCAACCTGACAAAAATAAGGAATGAGGAAAGGATTCCCTATTCAATAAATGGTGCTGGAATAACTGGCTAGCCATATGCAGAAGATTAAAACTGGACCCCTTTTTTACGGCATATATAAAAATTAACTCAAGATGGATTAAAGACTTAAATGTAAAACCCACAACTATAAAAATCCTGGAAGACAACCTAGGCAATACCATTCAGGACACAGGCATGGGCAAAGATTTCATGACAAAGACATCAAAAGCAATTGTGACAAAAGCCAAAATTGACAAATGGGATCTAATTAAACTAAAGAGCCTCTGCACAGCAAAAGAAACTATCATCAGAATAAACAACCTACTGAGTGGGAGAAAATTTTTGCAAATTAATCATCTGACAAAGGTCTAATATCTAGCCTCTATAAGGAATTAAAACAAATTCACAAGAAACAAAAACCCACAAAAACGTGGGTTTTCATAGACACTTTTCAAAAGAAGACATACATGCTACTAACAATCGAATGAAAAAAAGCTCAACATAACTGATCCTTGGATAAATGTAAATGAAAACCACAGTGAGGTACCACCTCACACCAGTAGGAATGGCTATTACTAAAAAGTCAAAAATTAACAGATGCTGGCAAGGTTGAAGAGAAAAGGGAACACGTATACACTGTTGGTGGGAGTGTAAATTAGTTCAACCATTGTGGAAGATTTGTGCTTTTAGTAAATCTGTCCCTTAATGAAGTTTTTTTTTTTTTTTTGCTAAATACAGTTACATATGTACATGGTGTGTATTTCATTAATCTTTTAGTTGTCCACAGAAAAGATAAGCTGTGTGTGCTTACAGAAATATTAATTCAATGAAACATTCTTATCTTGGGGTTTGAATATCCTCTTCTGATGTGCAGACATTGATCCCAGCTTCCATTCACTCCCATACATACCTTGCCACAGAGCAGTATGGAAGATCTAAAATTTCAATAACAAATAATAGAAAAACATATACCATTTTATATTTTAGTGCCACCACCGCCACACTCACACACACAGACACCTCCATGGGCAGGGTCATCATTAATTTATTCTTATCACAGGTAGCAACCACAAAGTGTGCATTCACGGGATGGAAGCATACCAGCAATCCTCTGTACTGTCTGACAACAGTGCCGGACCAGAGAATATGAAACAGAAACCTCGAATTAGGAGTTTTGTAATTTTCTTGGTTGCTTGACAACCTGAAATGTGAGGTGAACACCTGTATAAACTTCTCTGACCAAGGAGTGTGGAAATGCATCCTGCACCCCTCTTTATATTCCATCAACTTTTGTCACGTATTCTACCCATCCTTTCAAGCCCCATCTTAATTGTTGCCTCCCCCATAAATGTCTTTTCTGATCTCTCATAGCAAATATGAGGAATCTCCCTTCAAGCACTTTTTTCACTGTGATGGTGCTTTACATAAATTGCAATGTAAGATAATAATCAATATGAAAGGGAAATTGGAAAGACTTATTAGATTGAATGGAAGAGGCACATTGCCCAGAGGGAGTTGGAAAAGGTTTTCAGTGTAAGTGATATGTAAACTAATATCTCAAAGATGAAAAGAACAAGGCAGATTGGTGAGTTATTTGTAAACATCAGTTACCTTAATTTCTTAATTGAGTGCGTACCACGCACCGTTCACTGTGCTAAGTATTTTCAATGCTTTTACATGTTTTCTGTACTTTATACTTTTTTCCAATAATAAAAGCCATGATATTATCCTTGACTTATCTCTTCTCTCACATCCCTCTTACAAACAATCAGAAAATCTTTTTGATTTTTTGGTTAAAATAAATCTAGAGTCTAACCCCTTCCCATCACCTTCATTGTTATAATCTCAAATCAAGTCATATTCTTCTGAATGTCTTTTAATCCTTCTCCCTCTTTCACCATTTTCCACACTCCTGCTTTTCCCTACTTTTAGAACTTCACTTCAAATTTAAGTCAGATTAAGTCACTCCTCAGGGAAATCCTTAAATGCTCCCCATTACCCTCAAGTAATACCAAAGTCTTTACAATCATCAACGAAGTCCTACACAATATGATTCTTTTCTCCCATTCCTGATTTCATTTCCTAAAACCCTTCTCATCAGCTTCTCTGTCCCAGACATGCTGGCTTTCTTGTTCTTCCTTCAACTAGCCAAGCTTGCCCCTACCTTAGCATTTTGTATTGGATGTGGTCTCTCCCTAAATTGCTTTTTCCAAGATGTAGGAAATCAATATTCATCACCTCCTTCAGATCTTTGCTTAGCTGGAAATTTCTCTATGAAGCCCACCCTGACTACCATATTTAAAAGTGCAGCCCTCTCCCCAGGCCCTATTCCCAGTTATTTTATTCTGCACTACTCTACTGTTTCCCCCCACCATATCATTCATCAGCTTAACACATATGATAAAATTCACTTCTTTATTAAATCTACTGTTTATCTTCAACCGATTTCCCTCCACTAGGAACTTAGTCATAAGAGGGTACATATCTTTGTCTATTTCATTCACCAATATATATTAAGCATCTAATATAGTCTTTGGCAAAGAACAGGCATTCAGTAAACATTTTCCACTGAATGAATTAAATCACTTAATTATTTCAATAAACCTAGAAGATAGGAAGAATTCTCTTAAACTATTCTAAAAGGGCAATTAATGATGTCATTTCCTCCCAGCAAGTTATTGCCAAAGATTCAAACACAGATTTTGGATCAGACCTTTAATCCTAGCTCCAACTTTATTATGTTTCCTTACAGAACTATCCTGCAACATCTTTAAGAATAGGAATAGTATGTACCCCACAAACTTTTATGTCATCTCCATAATGTATATATTATGTTACACACAGTAAGTGTGCATTTCTCATTTATGTAATTGCCCTTAGCCAGTTTTTCCCAAGAAACAAGGTCTTTTTAGCTTAATGGTCTTCCTACGTTGGCCCGATAACAGTTGCCAAGAGAACATATCATACTTCCCTAGAAAGAGACCCAGAAATTATCTGAGTAAACCAAAGCCCAGAGGGGTCCAGCGGCCTGTGTTATGGCTATACAACTACTTCAAGAAAATATCAGGACACAGACTCTGCCATCATTAATCAAATTTTGTGATTTTATTTTTTTTAATGAGAACATGCTTATTCAATTAGATTGCAACTTTTTGAAGGCAGAGATTGTGTTGTCTCTTCTGAGTGCCTTGTAGTGTATGCATCACAATGTTAGGTACACCAAGGGAATTCATAAATACTTGTTTATGTCCAACAAAGCTGAAGCTAGACTGGTACAAAAAGTAGAACCAACACAATTTACCTGGATGATCAAGTAGAGCTAATGAGAGGAAGTAAGAAATAAAGCAGCCTTTCTAAAACAGTTAATAAGCAATCAATTCCAACTCTAAAAGTCATCATAGTTTCTGAGATGGAGTTGGAAATTAAATAGAATTTGGAAGATTTTTGAATCAATAGTCTCCATGGTTTTCATTTTAATTCAAGAGGGAAAACAACAGCAAGACCTTGAGAAGACTGATAGATTGCTCTTTGATCAATTCTTTCCTTGTTCCAGTTGTAAAAACAAAACCATAAATTTTACTAATTCTTATTTTGGGAAAAAGATTTTCAGGAGCATAGGTGGATGGTGACAGCCCAAGAAATCATGGATTCATCAATGTACAAAGCCCAGAATCACTGCATTAGAGCAATTCTCCCTTTCAGAGTATTGTCCAAAAACTATGGCTCTCACAATGTCAAGCCAAAAACCTATTAAATAATTTAGAATTTTTATCTTTTTTCAAATAACTTTTCCTCCATTTCTGCGAGCAGCTTGAGAATAATAGCATCAATTCTCATGATAGATAAAAAAGACATTGTCCAGTATTACGTAGCTTTTAGCTTAACTTTTTCTTATATTGGATGACTTTTAACTTCTGTAAGATAAATGTTCTAATAAACTTGCTTTGGTCATATGTTAATCTTAAAGGGCTTTCTAATGATACCTGTAGCCATATGCAGATGTTCCTTTTCTAATATGAAAGTTCTACACAATTCCATAGCATGAGCAAGTAAACCAAATTAAATATAAATAAGGTAATGTAGAAAAAAGCATTAAAAGAGACGTCAAAAGAAGCTGGCTGTATCTCAGCCCTACCATTAGTAGGGGCTGGAAGGCCTTTGTGAGAGCAAAGGCATTTAATTCATCCATTTGCATGAATTAAAGCCATGAAAGATCTTCAAATGCCCAGGACCTCTGCATCTGATTTAAACTCATATAAAACGTTGTGTTTGCATCAAACCGAGGTGCCATGTGCTCCTTTCCATCATTCATTAATTTTTTAAAATGTGTATTATGTGCCAATTTGATATAAGACCCTGTGTAAAGTTTGAAGGACACATAGTGATAAACAAGACCAACTTGGGTCACTCTTCTCAGAGAGTGTGCTACTTAGAGTTCTCAGAGAAACAGACCCAATAAGAGGTACGTATGTACATACATATACATACAGTCCACTGCATACAACCTTCTGGTCAACAAAAGACCACATAAATAGCAGTGGTCCCACAAAATTATAATACTGTATTATTTTTTAGAATTGTGATTGTTGTTTATTTTCAACTTTTATTTCAGATACAGTGGGTACATATGCAGATTTGTTACATGGGAATATTGCATGATGCTGAGGGTTAAGGTATAGATCCTCTGGTAATGAGCATAGTGCCTGATGGGAAGTTTTTTTTCTTTCTGTTTTTTTTTTTTTTTTTTTTTTTTTTTTTTTTGAGACAGATTCTTGCTCTGTCGCCCAGGCTGGAGTGCAGTGGCGCGATCTCGGCTCACTGCAAGCTCTGCCTCCCGGGTTCACGCCATTCTCCTGCCTCAGCCTCCTGAGTAGCTGGGACTACAGGCACCCGCCACCACGCCCGGCTAATGTTTTTGTAATTTTTTTTTAGTAGAGACGGGATTTCACCGTGTTAGCCAGGATGGTCTCAATCTCCTGACCACGTGATCCGCCCGCCTCGGCCTCCCAAAGTGCCGGGATTACAGGTGTGAGCCTTCGTGCCCGTTCTCTTTTTTTTTTTTTTTCTCTAGACAGTCTCACTCTGTCACCCAGGCTGGAGTGTAGTGGCCCAATCCCAGCTCACTGCAACCTCCGCCTCGTGAGTTCAAGGAATTCTCCTGCCCCAGTCTCCCGAGTAGCTGGGATTACAGGTGTGTGCCACCACGCCCAGCTAATTTTTGTATTTATAGTAGAGACGGGATTTCACCACATTGGTCAGGCTGGTCTTGAACTCCTGACCTCGTGATCTGCCCCCCTCAGCCTCCCAAAGTACTGGGATTACAGGCATGAACCACCGCACCCAGCCCCAGTGGGAAGTTTTTTAACCCACCATGCCTCCCTCTACCCTCTAGTAGTCCACAGTGTCTACTGTTCCCATATTTATGTCCATGGGTGCTTAATGTTTAGCCCCCACTTACAAGTGAGAATATGTGGTATTTGGTTTCTGTTTCTACATTAATTTGCTTAGGATAATGGCCTCCATCTCCATTCATATTGCTGCAAAGGAAATTATTTCATTCTTTTTATGGCTATATAGTATTTTATGGTGTATATATATCACATTTTCTGTATCCAATCTGTCACTGATGGACACCTAGATTGATTACATGTCTTTGCTATTGTGAATAGTGCAGAAATGAACATATGAGTGCATGTGTCTTTTTGATAGAATGATTTATTTTCTTTTGCGTATATACCCAGTAATGGTACTGCTGAGTCAACTGTTCTAAGTTATTTTAGCTATCTCCAGACTGCTTTCCCCAGTGTCTGGACTAATTTACATTCCCACCAACAGTGCTCCCTTTTCTCTATAACCTCGCCGGTATCTGTTTTGTGTTTTCTTTTGTTTATACTTTTTAATAGTAGCCATTCTGACTGGTGTGGGACAGTATCTCAATGTGGTTTTGATTTGCATTTCCTTGATGGTTAGTGATGCTGAGCATTTTTTCACATTTTTTGGCCAATGTATGTCTCATTTTAAGAAGTGTCTGTTAACGTCCTTTGCCCATTGCCCATTTTTAAATGGGGTTGTTTTTTGTTTGTAGATTTAAATTCCCTGTACATTTTTATTGTACATTTTCCAGTAGATATGTTTAGATACATAAATTCTTATCATTGTGGTACAGTTGCCAACAATAGTTGGTACAGTGACAGGCTGTACAGGTTTGTAGCCTAGAAGCAATAGGCTATAACATATAGCCTAGGTGTGTAATAGGCCATAGCACCTAGGTTTATGTAAGTGCTGTAAACTCCATATTTGTACAATGACAGAATTGCCTAAGAATCCATTTCTCCGAACATATCTCCATCATTACATGATGCATGATTTTTTTGTGTGTGTATACATATGTATATATGTATGTCTATATATGGACATAAATATACAGATTTATATATACACACAGATATGTGTGTGTGTATCTAGAGAGAGAGAAAGAGATTTTGATTGAGATTTATTTTAAAGAATTGGCTCACTTGATTTGAGAAGGCTGGCAAGCCCAAAATTGACAGGGCAAGACCATCAGGCTGGAAACTCTAGGGTAGGAACTCATGTTTCATTCTTGAGGTAAAATTTCTTCCTCCTGAGGGAAACTTCAGTTTTGCTCTTAAAACCTTTCAACTGGTTGGATGCTGCCTATTCACATCATGAATGGTAACCTCCTTTACTTAATGTCAACAAGTTGTAGATGCTAACCACATTCACAGAATACCTTTGCAGCAACACCTAGATTAATGTTTGATTAAATAAGTACTATAGCTTAACAAAATTGACAGATAAAACTAACCATCATGGGAAGCTTACAGTTTTTTGAGAGATAGACATTGAATAGATGATTATACAACATAATATAAATCACATGGTAGTATGAGAAGTAGCAGGGAAGTTAGGCTGGTCTAGGGCCCAAAAGGCTCCCCTGCAGAACTGCCATTCAAGCAGAGACCTAATAGATGAACAGGAGTTGGCCAAGCCGCTAGGAGAAGAATTGCATTTCTGCCATTTTGTTCAAGCTTAAACAAAAGCCCTGACATAAGAAGGGACCTGGCACATTTGAGAAATGGGAGAGAATCTGAGGCAGCTGGAGCCTAATAAGCTTTGCACTTAAATGTCCTTAGTGGACAAAGCAGATTTACGAGGACAGAACTAAAAGCTTTGGTTTCCATTGGATCTAGGCCCCTAACCTAGATGTGATTAAGATATTGGGGAAAATATTATTTTTATTATTCTATTGATTCCATAGTTAATGTGTTCTCCTTGTCTGCTACTAAATGTAGAATAAAATCATAGGTCTCTGAATGTTTTTAGGATCAGGCCCTGCTTTACTGTCTTCACAGAAACTCCTACCACTGCCCTCTTTACTCCTATTCTCCCATCACACCATTACTTCTCAAACTGGCTAGTGTTAGTCCAGTTTCAGGGCCTTGGGAGTCACTCTTTCCTCTGCTCTCATCACCACTCCCCAAGATTTCACACAGGAGGAGCCTTCTCAGCTTTCAGATCTCAAAAATCCCATCCCTCCTCTTTCCATTTTCTTCATAGCAACTCATTGAGATCTGAATCTTATTTGTTTTCTTCTTTTCTTAATTTCCATTTCTACTTGCTAGTATGAAAGGTCCATTAGGTCAAAGATTTTGACATTAAACATTTAATACATATTTACTGAAAATATGAATTTAATATATTCGGTAAACCTTGAGCTTAACTTTATTCATCTAGAATGGATTAATAATGCATGTCTGTCAACTGGACCACCAAGTTATGTAATGGAACATGCATTTAACACACTTATAAATTGTAGAGGACTACAAAAGTGATTCTTCTTGATACAACCAGAGGCTAAACTTTTTCTGGTTGACCTTGTGACTTTTATTTTTTGAATTTTTGGTTTTTTGTTTGGCTTCTTTATCAAGAAATTCACGCCTCCAGTATAGCAAAAGGTCTACAAAGGGATCATGATTTAAACAATGTCCCAGATAAGCCATCATAAGTCAATGTGAGATGAAATAAAACTGCTGTAAAATGGTCTGGTTTCATGGCGGCAGAACCATTCTAGAATTATGCCCAATTTTTAAGGAGAAATGTTTCCAGCCTATAATAGACTGGGTGAGTAAGAACACAAATTTTAGAGTAAGGTGGAGATGGGTTCAGAAGTTAGCTACTTGCTCATTATATGTAAAATGTGTAGATAAAGATGCTTAGCCAAAAATACAAGGCTGTCATGAGGATTAACTGACATATATAAAAGCATGTATGCTAAGTTTGGCACACAGTGAGTACTAAAAAATTATAATTACCATTGCTGCCACAATAACATTTAAAGGATGAGTATAGCATTTTCACACCATTCCAACCATGCTGAAAGACTGCAGGTGATCAGTTTATCTTACACTAGATGAGATCTGAAAGGGAACCATGGAGTTGCGAGCACTGACATAATGAGGGAGGAGTAATGACTTTTAATCTCCAAATAATAGCACAGTAGAAGCTCCCACACTCAATAGCTTTGGGCAGTAGCTCCAGAACTCAGTCTTCCACCATATTTCTTTATGCTTTCATCCCACTAGAGAAGGCACTGGTGAAGACAAATGTGAAGACGGAGCTGAGAGTTGCTCAGCCAAGAATAATAATATCTA
This sequence comes from Homo sapiens, assembly GCF_000001405.40. Taxonomy (NCBI): domain Eukaryota; kingdom Metazoa; phylum Chordata; class Mammalia; order Primates; family Hominidae; genus Homo; species Homo sapiens. The sequence goes on from NC_000004.12 coordinate 22,170,204, forward strand.
CTAGCTTTAACAGTAGGTCAATGCTTCCTTTTTCTTACAGATGCCGAAGCTTACACCTCTGGCTGCAAAAACAAATGGCATGGCAGTTTCATGGCATTTTCCTTCCCTTGATAAAAAGCTGATTCCTTAGTTCCCTCCTTTTTATTGATTTACTTTGTGAACTTCTCTTGAGTTGTGACTCCTTAAAAAATCTAGTCTATATGGAAGACCGTAAAATCAGGGTACCCAGAAAGAGAGGGGAGTATTAGCCTGGCTCCTTTACCTTCCCTAGAGCCTCACTGTAGTGCCTCCACAGGGAGATTGGCCCAGTTCCTCCCCCATCTACTGGTGGATGATTCATGTCCATTCAAGAAGAGAAAAACCACTGCCTTGTGATTCAGCAACAACTGTTTTATTTGTTTGTGTAGCTGGCTATTCATATGCCACAATTTTAATTTAAAAGATAAGGCAAGTTCCTTTTAGTAGAAAGCCAGGGCATCTTGCTAAATGTTGGGCAGGCCAAGCTTCAATAAAATTGAGTACAATTGAGTGTTTTCTATACAATGGAATTTTTCTAGGAGCTGAGGATGCACTTGGGTAATCCTGCCTTTTATCAATGACAGGCCACAAAACAGGCAATTTTTTGTGTGAATTGTTAGAACATGGAGTGATGGGAGCAAAAAGGAGGGCACCTAACTCTAATCATGGGCTGAGGAGGGGAAGGTTATGGATGGCTTCCTGGAAGAAAGAAGAAATCCAACACAGGATATTGAAACCCTTCTTAGCATACAATGCCTGACGGCATGTGAAAATAGGATTTGGAGAAAAAGACAAGAGTGTATGTATTAGTCAATTCTTATGCTGCTCTAAAGAACTGCCCAAACCTGGGTAATTTCTAAAAGACAGAGGTTTAATTGACTTACACTTCCACATTGTCGGAAGACTTCAGGAAACTTACAGTCATGGGGGAAGGCAAAGGAGAGGCAGGCATCTTCTTCACAGGGCAGCAGGATGGAGGGGGTGCAAGCAGGGGAAATGCCAGATGCTAATGAAACCATCAGATCTCATGAGAACTCACTCAGTATCATGAAAACAGCATGGGGTAACTGCTCCTAAGATCCAATTACTTCCACCCGGTCCCGCCCTTGACACAGGGGGATTATGGGGATTACAATTTGTATTAGTCTGTTCTCATGCTGCTAATAAAGACATACCTGAGACTGGGTAATTTATAAAGGAAAGAGATTTAATTGACTCACAGTTCCACATGGCTGGGGAGGCCTCACAATTATGGCCAATCATGGCCGAGGGTGAATGAGGAACAAAGGAACTTCTTACATGACAGCATGCAAAAGAACTTGTGCAGGGAACCTCTCATTTATAAAACCTTCAGATCTCATGAGACTTATTCACTATCACAAGAATAATATGGGGGAAACTGTCCCCATGATTCAATTCTCTCCACCTGGCCCCACCCTTGACACATGGGGATTATTACAATTCAAGATGAGATTTGGGTGAGGACACAGCCAAATCATATACCAATTCAAGGTGAGATTTGGGTGGGGACATAGAGTCAAACCGTATCAGTGTAGAACAAGAGTGGTAGCTAAGTTACTGGGTCACATGGAGAAAAGTATGAGCTTAAACTAGATTCACTTAGATAAGAGGCTAATGTTCATAGATTTTTCCATCTCTGTTTTGATTTTGACGATAGCATGATCAAAAGATAGGACTGATGGAAAGACAGGTATGTAAGGTCATATTACCTGAGATGAAAGTCAGCACTAAATGAAATCCAGTGCCAACAGGGACAGGATGGGAGGTGGGAGCTTTGCAACAGACATCATTACAATTGCCAAAAGCCTAGAAAAAAACTGTTTCCAGACCTCAAGGAGCCAGAGAAAGTGTCAAGGCCATGTGCCACCAGAGCTTCAAGCACCTGCGGAGCCTCTTTAAATCAGGATATCTGACTCAGAAGATACAAAGACAGGGAATGGTTTTTACAAGACTTTAGTTAAAAAGAAAATGAATAGCAGAAAGCTGTCTTAGAGATATTGCTAAATTGAATAAACCTTTCCACTTTTAAATTAGTATTTTATTATATATTATTTTCTTTACCAGAATATACTTATTATTATTTACCATCTTGTTTCAATACAAAATATATTGTTTAGAAAAGTAAAGTGGTTATGGGAAGTTCCCCATTGGATCTGTGCATGGGGAGACCCACACTTTCAGAGGCTCGGGGAATTCTTGATCAGCCCTGAGACCATTTTATTGTAATTATTCTTCTCTTCAGAGGTGGTGTCACCTGAGTGTTCTCAAGACTGTGAAGATAAACTGTTCCATGAAGCAAATACCAAGGGGAATTTTTGATCTAGAGAAATAAGAACAACAGAAAATGTAGCAGCATTAGTTCATTTTCATAGGCTATAAAGAACTGCCTGATGCTGGGTAATTTATAAAGGAAAGAGGTTTAATAGACTCACAGTTTAGCATGGCTGGGAGACCTCAGGAACCTTACAATCATGGTGGAAGGTGAAGAAGATGCAAGACACCTTTTTCACAAGGTGTCAGAAAGGAGAAGTGCTGAGCAAAGGGGGTAGAACCCCTTATAAAGCCTTCAAATCTGGTGAGAACTCTCTCACTATCATGAGAACAGCATGGGAAAACCACCCCCATGATTCATTTCCCCTCACCTGGTCTCTCCCTTGACATGAGGATAACAGGGACTATGGGGATTACAATTCAAGATGAGATTTGGGTGGGGACACAAAACCTAACCATATCAGCAATAAAGGGAATTCTATATATACACATACTTACAAACATATGCACGTACATATACAAATAGACACACACATATGTGCGTGGTACTTAATTTTCTATATCAGTTTTTTAATTAGTTTAGCTCTAAACTTTTACCAGTATGGACAAAAGACATGCTCCTGCATAGGTGTCCTTCTTAAAAAATAATTGATACCTTTGACAGATGGGGATAATAATTGATTAGTCATTAATCAAAATCTTCAAAATAATCCAGGTGTAGGGGTATGCACCCGAATGTCTCAGCTACTTAGGAGGCTGAGACAAAAGGACCACTTGAGCCCAGGAGTTCCAGTCCGGCCTGGGCAACATTGCAAGACCCTCATCTTTAAAAAATAATTCTTAAAACGTTTCTCCAATTTTTTCCCTCTTAACTCTTGACTGATTCTTAAGGGATTCAAGACTCACTTCCAGTCCAGGCAACATCTTTTTTGGAAGTATAAACATTAATCAATTTGCATTTTGTTCTTAATTTTTTCATTGTTGTTGTTGTTATTTTCTTTTGTTTTGGCATTTTATAATGATGGTATTTAGAGGCATGGAAATTCTGGTAATTACAACAACAAACTAGCAAGTAGCTATATCACTAAAATAGCCAGGCTTGCTGTCTGATACAAAAGCAATTATATTATCATCAATCTTTCTGGGAAATAAAGAATATTAGACTTGTTATATAATTGCCCACAGAATGTTAAGGAATTAAAAATAATAAGATTTAACCAGAAAGGGTCTGAATTTTTTCTTAGGGTCTCCTGGTTGATGAGTTATCCTCTTGGTCCTACTTCTCCCCTGCTTTCCACATGTGTGCTTTCAAGCCTCTTAGTATCACAATTTGGTGCTGAACAATTGAATAAAACATAATTTGAGTGGGAATTCCTATTAACATCCAATATTCACTTACAGTCTACTTTCCATTATCTTTCTATTCCCCTCATGTACGGAGTTGATAATGTAATACAACATCTGCAATTATAAGTGTCCATGGTGAATACTACATTTGAAACTCAATAGGCTATTACTGTGAAAATTTGCATGTGGCAATCTGACCAACCAAGGTTTCTGATTGTCTTGAAAATGTGCAGAGAATATAGTTTTAAAAATCTGATTTCACATTTTTTGAGACATATCCCCACACATTCCCCTCTCATTTGATTTTAGAAATGGCTTTGTGGTAAGACAGGAGGGTAATTGTATTCCAAGGAAAGAGCTTATTACAAAGTCTTACGTATTTGGGGCATCATGGTTTCACCAATTTAGAGGTGAGAACAGCTCTTTGAGTTCCATCCCATTGAATAAAATATCCCTAATTAGAGCTAAACTACTTAAAATTCTGTAAAGAAAGTGCCTATTTTAGCATATTTGTAGAAGAAAACTTTTAAAAAGTGCTAAAATTTCTGTGCTTCTTTCCACGAGAAAGATGAATTGGAACAAAAATCAGTTTAGAATCAAGGGGTAGAAAGAAACTTCATAGAAAAAATAAGGCCTGATCTGCTCTCTGAGTTCTCCAGAGCATCCTACTGGCTAAAGCCACTTTGCTTTGCCCTTGGTGGAATGAGATTGAAAAGGCAGCCAAATAAATAAAAGTCTCCTATAGAATTTATAGGTGTCAATAAATGTCAGCCTGAATACTGAACTCAAATTATCATGGTAGATAATGTTCTATGGGAATTTCCCTGCAAAAAAAAAAAAAAAAAAGAGAGAGACAGTGATTTCATATATCTTGAAAACTCTGCCTATTTTATTTATATTAGCAAACAAATGAGCATATACTCTGTACTAGACTCATAGTAAAAAGAAAAATGAAACCTGGATTCACTGCAGAGCCTGCTGACCACCTTAAGCACTCTTCACTTTCATAATGAAACTGAAAAACTTGATAGATCCAACCCACACATGTACACTTAATATATACACAAATCTATCTCCGTCATCTTTCCCTAACTTCAGCCAGAGGCAAATAGTCCATATAGAATACTGTGTCTTGGCTTCTTTCTAAGAAGTAGACACAGGCTTGAGATAGAGATTTAAGCGCTTGAATACCTTCAGCATAAAACAGTGACCAAAAGAAAATGAAGATTTGTTAAATAGATTATAAGATTACAAAATCTCAGTGTTAAAGAAAATTTAGGAATTATCCAATAATTGTATATCCAAATAAGATAGAAGGCATGCCTTAGCCAAAATTAATCATATTATCAGGACTTTTAGAACTCCTACTTCTGGGCAACTATAACAAAATATATCCATCAACTACTAGTTAATTAAATGAAAATAAACTTTGCCGCCAGAAGGCTGGAATCCTTGGCAGTGATCAACTGTATTGATTGGAGTACTTTTCATTAGTTCTTCCTGAGAATGAATGATTAAATTAGTTGATGAAGACAAAGTGCACAGACATGGGTGAATATTTATGGTGAGGAAAAAGCATGTGTGAGTACCTCCTCACTATACCTAGGACAGTCTGTCTTAAATTGACAAGTTTCAGAATGGACTTAGGTTTTCTCTGGGTTTCTATTGCTCAAATTACATGTTTTCAATCGTTTCTGAATACCTACCTTGTGCCACCTCCTCTGCAGTTCCTGTCATTTTCATTTTCACCATTATCCTATCACTTTGGCTCCACTGAAAAATGCCTGGATTCCTTCATTCTACCAAAAAACACTATTACAGTGTGTATTAGTTTGTTTTCACACTGCTGATAAAGACATACCCGAGACTGGGCAATTTACAAACGAAAGAGGTGTAATTGGACTCACAGTTCCAAATGGCTGGGGAGGCCTCACAAACATGGAAGAAGGCAAGGAAGAGCAAGCCACATCTCACATAAATAGCGGCAGGCAAAAAGGGAGCTTGTGCAGGAAAACTCCTGTTTTTAAAATTATCAGATCTCAAGAGACCAATTCACTTTCACAAGAACAGCAGAGGAAAGATGCCCCCATAATTCAATCACCTCCCACCGGGTTCCTCCCATGACATGTGGAAAGTCTGGGAGTTAAAATTCAAGATGAGATTTGGGTGGGGACCCAGTCAAACCATACCATTCTTCCCCTTGTCCCTCCCAAATCTCATGTCCTCACATTTCAAAACCAATCATTATTTCCCAACAGTCCCCCAAAGTCTTAACTCATTTCAGCATTAACTCAAAAGTCCACAGTCCAACGTTTCATCTGAGACAAGGCAAGTCCCTCCTGCCTATGAGCCTGTAAAATCAAAAGCAAGTTAGTTACTTCTTAGATACAATGGGGATACAGGCATTGGGTAAATACAGCCATTCCAAATGGGATAAATTGGCCAAAACAAAGGGACTACAGACCCCACACAAATCCAAAATACAGTGGGGCAGTCAATTTTAAAGCTCCAAAATGATCTCCTTTGACTCCATGTCTCATATCCAGGTCACACTGATGCACGAGGTGGGTTCTCATGGTTTTGGGCAGCCCCATCCCTGTGGCTTTGCAGGATATAGCCCCCCTCCTGGCTACCTTCAAGGATTGGCATTGAGTGTCTGCAGCTTTTCCAGGCACACAGTGCAAGAGGTAGGTGGGTCTACCATTTGGAGTCTGGAGGATGGTGACCCTCTTCTGACAGCTTCATTAGCTGGTGCTCCAGTAGGGACTCTGTGTGGGGGCTCCCACTCCACATTTTCCTTCTGCACTGCCTTAACAAAGGTTCTCCATGAGGGCCCCACCCCTGTATCAAACTTCTGCCTGGGCATCAAGGTATTTCCATACATCTTCTGAAATCTAGGCAGAGGTTCCAAATCTCAGTTCCTGACTTCTGGGCACCCACAGGCTCAACTCCATGTGGAAGCTGCCAAGGCTTGGGGCTTCCACCCTCTGAAGCAACAGCCCAAGATGTACCTTGACCCCTTTTAGCCATGGCTGGAGTGGCTGGGATGTGGAGTACCAAGTCCCTAGACTGCATACAGTAGAGGGACCCTAGCCCTGGCCCATGAAACCATTTTTTCCTCCTAGGTCTCCAGGTCTGTGATCGGACGGGCTGCCACAAAGATCTCTGACATGCCCTGGAGACATTTTCTCCATTGTCTTGGTGATTAACATTCAGCTTCCAATTACTTATGCACTTTTCTGCAGCCAGCTTGAATTTCTCCTCAGAAAATGGGATTTTCTTTGCTATCACATTGTCAGGCTGCAAATTCTTTTAACATTTATATTCTGTTTCTCTTTTAAAACAGAATGCCTTTAACTGCACTGAAGTCACCTCTTGAATGTTTTGCTGCTGAGAAATTTCTTCTGTCAGATTCTCTAAATCATCTCTCTCAAGTTCAAAGTTCCACAAATCTCTAGAAAGGGGATAAAAATGCCACCACTCTCTTTGCTAAAACACAACAAGAGTCACCTTTTCTCCAGTTCCCAACAAGTTCCTAATGTCTATCTGAGACCACCTCAACCTGGACTTTATTGTCCATATCACTATCAGCATTCTGGGCAGAATCATTCAACAAGTCTCTAGGGAGTTCCAAACTATCCCACATTTTCCTGTCTTCTTCTTAGTCCTCCAAAGGGTTCCAACCTCTGCCTGTTACGCAGTTCCAAAGTCACTTCCACATTTTTGGGTATCTTTTCAGCAGCACCCCACTCTCAGTACCAATGTACTGTATTAGCCTGTTTTCACACTTCTGATAAAGACATACCAGTGACTGGACAATTTACAAAAGAAAGAGATTTAATGGGCTTACAGTTCCACATGGCTGGGGAGGCCTCACAAACATGGCACAAGGCAAGGAGGAGCAAGTCACATCTCACATGGATGGTGGCAGGCAAAAAGAGAGCTTGTGCAGGGAAGCTCACATTTTTAAAACCATCAGATCTCTTGAGACTCATTCACTATCATGCGAACAGCACAGGAAAGACCCTCCCCAGTAATTAAACCATTTCCCACTGGGTTCCTCCCACAACACATGGGAATTGTGGGAGTTAGAATTCAAGATGAGATTTCGGTGAGACACAGCCAAACCATATCACAGTGCTTGTTGGTGTAGCAATCATTTGATTAAAGTTGGGAATAACACAACTAAGTTAAAGCAAGGGACAGTGTTGGAAAAATAAGTTTGAATATTAGAGTTTGCTGCCCTAAAACTTTTTACCTATTCCTGTCATGGAGAAAAATTTTGTTGGCCAGGCCCTTCTGCAGGTTTCTGTTTCTTTCCAAGTATCTCGAATTCCTCTCCTAATTCCCATATATCTCCTCTTTCCCAGCCCTTTGAAGACTCTCATTCTTCCCACTTCCATCATCTATAGAGCTGTTGTGAATAACATCAAATTTCCAGAGATGTGGTTATAACTTTCAGACCATCACCAAGGGGAGGGACAACACTTTCTAATACCAAAAACCACCAATATTGTGTTTGTCTTAATAGAAGAGAATTTATCCTTTCTAATAGGAATTTTACCTTTCTCCAAGATCAATAGACTCATATCACTGCTTTATTTTCAAAATAATATATTTTTCCTCCTTTTATTCATCCACCCATTCATTCCATAAAAAGTTATACAGTTCCTACTATATAACCCACTATATTAGGCTTTGAGAAATATAAAAATTGAGGTAAATAAATAGCAAAATCAAATAGTATCAGATCAGTTACTAATTTTTCTTATATCTACAATGGTTAAGAATATCTCAATGAATGGCTCAATTAATTTTGAGTCTTCATATTTCGGATAATGACAAATTGGAGATGGGTTATTTGACTTTAACTGATTCATTTTTAAAGTAATGAATCTTTTGCCTTTAACTAACTACTTTTAAACCTCTTAGATGCCAGGGATAACATTAACAAATCTGAAATATATTATCCCTTCATAACATATGCTCATGTCTAGTAGAGGACACAAACCTATTTTCTCAGATTAGGTCTGTCAGAACAATAAAGCTTTCTGGCCATGTTCTTCTGTTTTATGGGGAACTTTATTATAGACTCAATTCACGTGAATTATTTTCAAATGTTTTGATACTGGTTCCAAACAACCTTCAGAGAGTAGGTACCTGGTAAAAAACCTGAATAACAAATATAATATGCAATACTTAACGAGTATTTCTTCCTGAAGGTGTAACAGTGGGCTTTTGTTTGTTTGTTTCCTTTGATAAATGTATCATTCCAAATGTGCCTTTGTGATCATAACAACCTAAATTGCTTCTTTAGTGGGACAACATAATGACTCTCATTGGTATGGGTGTGTGTGTGTGGTTAGTCATGACCCAAGTGAGGGAAATGTGGTGGGTTGTCAGCTGAGTCAGAGCAAACCCCACAGCCGAGGGAAATTATACTTTATCATAATGATATCTGAACTGAAATGTCCAAGTGTTCATGCCAAGTGGAGTGAATCATTGCTTGGGCATTGCATTCAGAAGTTCCTAAACACCCATTCCTAAGTGGAATACCAAACCTCCCTCATTTCCAGAAATTGTCCATTCTAATGTCATTCTATTATCTTCCATTTCTTTCTATCACATGTCAGGTTAATCTCCTCACAGAAGGTGTTCTCCCTTCTGGAATGATTTCATATATTGTTGTTCCAAAGAGAGTGGAAGAAAGAAAAGCATTTGAATGTAAAATTCTACTTTGGAAATGATTGCTAGAGGGAAAATGGTAGGTAACAGCAAAAAGGAAGCCTTGGCTCAGGCCCCTTAGAGCAATAACTCTTTCTGACTCATTTTCCCTGATAGGCTTTCCCTCAAAATGAAATCAAGACTAGTTCATCTCTAAGTTTAGCAACCCTCCAAGTTCCAATGTGCTTCATTTTGGGATTTTTGGAGCAGAGCTGGCCTTAGCAAACTGTGATGCAGGTAAAATTTGACTTGGGGTGGGTTCATCTCAATATCCTTGGTTTCCTCACTATCCCTTCCTCCTTTGACATCTATTTCCTAAAGCCTTCAAGAGCTGAAATAAATTTAATGGTAGATTTTTCAGACACCTCAGTATTTTATGTTAGGGGCCTTCCAAGAACCAGGCAAAACATATCTGTGAGAACAGAGTTGTCACTACACAAAGGATGGCCACATTTGGAAGAGCTACGCAATGTCTTCACAATATTTTTCTACTCCATCAACTTATTTTTCTTCAATCTATATTTCCCTTATTAGTGATTATCTAAGTTAAGCATGAAAAATCTAACTTTTTTTAAGTGAGTACCAACCATGTCCCAGATACAATGTTTTCTACATGTAATACTCATTTAATCTCTAAAACAACCCTGCAAGTCTAGTGTTATTATGACTATTTTGTAAATAGGGACATTAAAATTCAGATAAATTAATTTTGCTCAAGGAGCTAGGCAGTGTTTTTCCTAACTTAAACCCATGTCTTTCTGACTCCAAAGCTATGCTTTCTTCTATACATCACTTCACCACTATGATAGGCTGAATTGTGTGCCTCCTGCTCAAGATTCCTAAGTTGAAATCCTAACACCCAGCACCTTAGAATGGGAGCTTATTTGGAAATAGGGTCTTCACAGGGGTAATCAAGCTAAAATGAGCTAATCCAGTATGACTGGTATCCTTATAAAAAGGGTTAATTTGAACACAGAGACACACATAGAGAGCAGATGAATGAAGAGACTTAGTGAGAAGACAGCCCCCTACAAGCCAAGGAGAGAGGCCTGGAACAGATTCTTTCCTCACAGCCCTCACAAGGAACCAACTCTGAGGATGCCATGATTCCAAACTTTTAGCCTCCAGAACTGTGAGTGATACACTGCAGTTGTTCAGACCACCCAGCTTGCACTACTTTGTCACACCAGCCCTGGCCAAGTCATGTAACCCCTCGCCCAGGTCTGGAGACTCTTCACAACAGACAAGAAGGATCCATAAGGTGCATGTTACTGTGAGCATCACCAGAACACAAATCATTTTCTCTTCGTATTTACTTAGGACACTTAAAACCTGATTTGGTATTTCTTATACCCTACAACTCATTTTTATTCCACCAGTGCCTTTTGTATCCATCAACTGCAAGTCTTTCCTCCCGTTAAACCTACCTCTTTCAATCACATCTCCTTAAGTCTTATTTTACTATAGAAAAAGAGTGCTAAGAGCAGAAGTCAAACAAAACCCTACTATTCTATTTTGGGGGAAATTCCCACCAAAGTCCTCACTTTAAATTATGATAGTAAATTTCATCACTGTAAAACCAAACTCAAAGACAGAGAATTGTGGCCTATTGGGAGAAAGAAAAGAAGAAGAAAATAAACAAGGCTTTTGAATTACACAGTCTTCAGTCAGAAACTGAGTTTGCCACCTTCTGACTTGGGACCTTAGGCCTATGATTCAAGCGTCCTGAATCTCTGCCATACTCACAGTCCTTTTCTTATTCATAAAATAAGCCTAGGACCTCCTTCACTACATAAAGGAAGTTAAATGTACATTCAATATCTAGTCAATAGGTAGGTAGGTAGATAGACAGGTAGAATGGATAGATAGATAGATAGATAGATAGATAGATAGATAGATAGATAGATAGATGATAGAGACAGATGGGTGGATGGATGGATAGAAAGATAGATAGATAGATAGATAGATAGATAGATAGATAGATAGATAGATAGATAGATAGATAGATGATAGAGACAGATGGGTGGATGGATGGATAGATAGATAGATAGATAGATAGATAGATAGAGAAAAATGATAGATTAGATAGATACATAGATAGATAGATAGATAGATAGATAGATAGATAGATAGATCTCCAGTATTTCCTTTCTTTTTCCATTATCCCCTTATCCCAATTAGTGTTCATTCTGTCTGCAAAAGTCTGTCTTCTAAATAACATGGATCTTGATGGATTAACATGCTTTTTATTTTTCCCCTGAGTGAAGAGATGAAATAGCAGTCATGATGTATAACAGCAATGCAGTTGAATTATTTGGGAATATTTTGCTCCCAGGAGAGGCTGTCTCAGAAGATACTATAAGTGCAATATTCAAGATGAATTTTACCATAAGTCAGAAACCATTAATCTAACATGATTCCTCCCTGCTGTACCTCATTCCTACATCTACTTATTGATTAAATGGGGAAAAAAAGATTGTATTGTACTTGTTCAACAAAACAGAATCATGATAAATGCTGCTGAGTTAACAAGTTCCCAGTGGTATCACAGCAAGCTGGGCATGAAAAATAAGAAATAGGAGAATGCTATCAGTTAAGGCCTTGAGATAAACTTCATTTGGGGCACTTCATTGTCTTTGGTCACCCAGCTGTGTTTTTAAAAGGTCTGTAACAGCAGGATAATAAATTTCACAATTCTACCACTAGCAAAAGACAATACCATAAAATCTATCTTCCCTGGAGAGTGTGATATTCCAAAACATGGTTTGGAATACTATTTTGGTGAAATAGATTGTGTCTGAGTGTTGAATCATGATTAATAAAAAGACATTTAACTCCTGTGGGACCTTCCTATCTGATTAACTGTGTTTGTGTTTTGAGGCATAAAAATTCTGCAAAATGGAAGATTTTGGTTGGAGAGCATGCAAGAGCTAGGAGATTCTCTTGATTATTTCATGGATTTGACTCAATGGACAGCATTATCATTTCAATTTCTTTTGAAATGAGAATAACATTTGCTGTCTTGGCATCGGACTCAAACATCAATGACTATGACCCTTACAAGAAGATTTGGGTACTAAATATTCAAATTTCATGTTTTTATGACAGATATGTTTCTAAAGATAACAATCCCTTCTCCACATGACTAGAAAAGTGAGAAGTCTTTCTTCACAGACTTTCCTTCCTCCCCTGAACTTTCTTAGGTCTTAGGTCTTTCTTTAATCTAATTTCTTAAAGAGGCTGCCTGCTTTAAAATGCCTTTACTGCAGGAAAACTGGGTAACATGAGTCCATTCAAAGGCCCCATTTGGTACTGCCATCTCTTGCTTTGCTGTGATGAGGCTACTGAAAATCTATATAACCTAGTGCTGTATGTCTCTACTGTTGCAATGGGGCCTGGTAGTAGTATCTCAAGGCTTAGTGGGAGAGGAAAGAAAGTCGCTTCTCCTCAGAGTTAAGTTCAGTCTCCATCTTGAGCCAGAATATCTCATGTTATATTTCTCTAATTCCTGCTCTACAAGAGATCCCTGTGGGGGCTCCTGAGTCTTCTTGAAAGAAGATAGTCCATTCTTTCAGCACTCTTTTACTCAGCCAAGGTTGTTCAATGGGCTTCCCAAGGTTCATGATTTAAGTTGCAATCATGCATTTAATCATTTTTCATTTAACATTGTCTTCATCATTGCAGGCTGCTGTACCAAAATGCTATAGAGTATGTGGCTTGTAAACAACAAAAATTTATTCCTTAGAGCTTAGAAGCATGGAAGTGTGAGATGATCAGGGTGCCAGCATGATTGGGTTCTGATGAGGGCTCTCTTCCAGGTTAAACTGCCAATGCTTCACCGCGTGCTCACATGGTGGAAAGAGGGTGAAGATCAATCAACCTGGAGTCCCTTTCATAAAGACAATAGTATCATTCCTGAGAGCTCCACCCTTGTGATTTCATAATCTGCCAAAGGCCTCACCTTCTAATAAAATTGAGGTTTAAGTACTTTGGGGGCAGACAAATGTTTAGTCTATTGCGAGCACCAACCATAAGTAAATCTCTGTTTCGGCTGTTGAGAACCATTCATAAACAGGACAATCAGTTTGTGCTCCTGGAGTTTATTTTATGCCAAAGCATTCTGCTCAACAGAGGATAACTATCTGGGAAGGGCATTCTGTTTCATCCACAAGCTGAGCTAAAACCAACTCCTAACCCAATTCCCAACAACTTAAGCCCAGGCTTTGATGGAAAGCAGCCAGTTTAGGTTTTTTTCCTTCTTGCAAGACGAGCTTCCTTCAGTGTCTTTTCTGCTAGTAAACTCCATTAATGGCTAGACTGCCTGGCTTCAAATTCTAAGGCCATGCCTATCAGCACTTTGGCTTTGGACAAATTACTTAAATTCTTTGTGCCTCAGTTTCCTCATCTACAAAATGGGGATAATATAATAGTGCCTAACTCAGAGTTCTTATGACAGTGCTTGTTCCATAGGAAGTTGGAACATAGGATTATTTTAAATAAAATAAAAAGTGAAGCTCTCTGTGTTAGTCATTATGTTTTCACCATTCTTTTAAATACTTCACATGTATTCAATAATTCAATTTTCAAAATACCCTATAAGGTAAATTCCTCTACAAGAGATGAGGATACAGGCCTAGAAACTTTAAATAGCATGCAAAGGTTATGCAGTTGTTAGGTTCACAAGCTTGTGAGATTGTGATCCCTGGATTCAAATGAAGGCATTCTGGGTTTAATAGCAGAGTTTCTCAAAACATGAAGTTTTTGAGAGAAAAGCTTTTAGGTACTTGACATTCTTTTTTCTGAAGTTAACTGGGCTCCTATGCATATTTTCCAGGCAGTCAAGACACAAATACATGGTAGATCTTTTCCAATGCAGCCTGCTGATGACTTCTATTGGCAGTTTCTATCACTGAACAAGGCTTCAGGTTCCACTTCTTCAGACAGTCTTTGGCAGGCAGAATTCTAATATGCTCCCCAAGATTGTCATGCCCTGGTGTACGCATAATCCTCTCTGTGTTCTATGATTGTAATCAGGACTTGTGAATATGATAGGACATCTCTTCCATGATGATATGTTATACAGCAGAAAGGATTTTGCAGATGTAATTAATTAAAATCCCTAATCAATTGACTTTGAGATAATCAAAAAAGAGATTATCCTTAGGAGATTCGACTTAATCAGCTGAGTCTTTAAAAGAGGTCAGTTATGCAAAGTGAGAGAAATTCTCCCCCTGGCCTTAAAGGAGCACACTGCCACATGGTAGAGAGGGCAATGCAGTTGAGAATAGCTGGTGGGTTTCAAAATCTGAGAACGGCCCCTAGTTAATATATGGTAAAACAGTGAAAACCACACTTATACAGCCATGAAGAACTCCATTTTGCCAGCAACAAAAGAGCTTGGAAGAAGACCCTCAATCTCAGATAAGAATGTAGTCTTTGGAGACACTGAGCAGAGAAACCAGTTGAGTACTGCTCAGAATTCTGACCTACAGAACTGTGAGATAAGAAATGGACATTGTTATCACCTGCTGTTTTTGTAGTAATTAGTTATGCAGCAATAGAAAATGAATGTACACCGGCCGGGCGCAGTGGCTCACGCCTGTAATCCCAGCACTTTGGGAGGCCGAGGAGGGCGGATCACGAGGTCAGGAGATCGAGACCATCCTGGCTAATACGGTTAAACCCAGTCTCTACTAAAAGTACAAAAAAAAAATTAGCCGGGCGTGGTGGCGGGCGCTTGTAGTTGCAGCTACTCGGGAGGCTGAGGCAGGAGAATGGCGTGAACCCGGGAGGTGGAGCTTGCATTGAGCCGAGATTGTGCCACTGCACTCCAGCCTGGGCGACACAGCGAGACTCCATCTCAAAAAAAAAAGAAAAAAGAAAAAAAAGAAAATGAATGCACACCTCATTGCATTATATATTCACATAGATAAGAGAGATTCATCGTGATAAGTCAATTGCATGGAAGGTTTTTCCAAGCTAGACAGTAACATAGCTATCACTTGATCCGATGTTTTTATTATTCAAATGAAAAAGCTAAAAACTAGATGGAGAAAGTTATTTACAAACAGAACACTAGTATCCAAGTGGCTCACATCCAATTTCATTCTGTCTCATGTCTACTGTAGAACATGCCAAGCATAAAACTGAGATCTCAATCCAGGAGCTTTCATTTCTCCATCCATGTTCTACTCCATGGAACCTGAGCTGTTTTCCTGCTGAATTGCTACCAGTGCTGAAAAAATGTACATCTGCCCAAAGAAAGATGTGGAAAAAGCTATATGGATAGATCAGTGTGCTGGCTTAATGACTTCCTGTGTTAAAAGGTGCCATTTGTTCAAGCCACAGGATGGACAGGCAATAGTTAATTTTTATATGTGAATTGGATTTAGATCGTACTCTGGAACACATGCAGTTAACATCCCCAGGCCATCTGTAGGTTGGGCAGAGCAAAAGCTAAAAAGTTGCAGCATATAAAGTATGCTTTCTAATACCTTGGCTTTTGAATAAAGATCAATATTACTCCCAGCCCCCATTTTATGTGAAGAGGCTCATACTGCAGTGTTTATTGGCATAGGCTCTCGAGTCACAGACCTCAGTTTGAGTCCTAGGTTTGAATATCACCTTCTAGGCATATTATCTTAACTCATATGTCTCAGTTTTCTCATCTGTAAAATCAAGATAATGATTGTAACTATCTCATTAGGTTTTGCGTACATTAACTGACTTAATGTGCGTCCTTAGGACAATGTCTAAAACAAGGTCCATACTTATAAATGTTAGCCAGGATTTCTTATGTTTCAGACCCTAAATACTTGATTTGAAAAACAAATATTTAGGCGCATCAATTTGCCAGGTGTTGCTGTTGTGATTTTGGCTTATAAACTCAAACATGCATTTCCTTCAGTTACATTCTATTTTAAATGTAAAAAGATGCATGGTGCTTCACAAGTGCCAATGCTGCTTAATTAAGGAAAAAAAATTGTGCTGGAGTAAAGCAAGTCAGTGATTTCAGATGGCACTCAAAGGAGATTAATAGACAATTTTATACCAACGTTTTTTGACATGTTATTTTTCTTGCTAAAGAGCATCAGTGCGTTGCTCTATGTTTTATTAAAAGGTGGGGGGAAGGTGATGCCAAGATGGTCAGCACAGGAATCACTCATCATTTTCCCCAAAGCTGTGTGTTCTAGAAGTTCTCTGAAATTAAACTGATGATTCTTCACTCTCTGGAAACACAAAGATCTATCTTTATGTACTAAATGAATATGCGATTGCTCCTAGGCAGGGGATAGTGTGTTCATGGAGCTACAAGACTATATTCAAAATATTCAACCTACAAGATAGAACAAGTGTTCCTGTAAAGACTTGCCAGCGCCTGCTGGTAAAATATCAGCCTGTCAATAGTGCAAAAACTCCACTTAAATCCGAACTCAACTTTGCCACTAGAGTTTGATGGGGGATTGGGGTTAGATTTATGCTAAAGTATAGAAAACTATCCACAAACACATGGGCTGGGATGCAGAATGAGGGATGGGGATGCATTTCCCAAGACAAGAGATTCTGACAAGAAATATCATAAATGGCTACTATGAAGGAGTTGGTTAAATTCCACATTTGACATTTGAATGATCGTATAAATGGTTCTAAATTCTTCTGCATGTTGGGAAGTACCCATGAGCCCATTTCCAGATACTAATAAATATATCCATTCTGCATCTGAGCCGTGATAAAACATGAAAGTCAGATGAGATTAAGTAATCAGAGTCTATCACATACAAAGAACCACTGGCTCTCTGCTATTATCATGGGTAATTTCCTACTCTGTGGGTAGCAAATGACACAGAGGAAATGTCACTGTGCTATTGACAAAGGAAACCATGCCTGCTTGGAATCCAGCCTTTCAATTATCCAATGACATTCTGCCTTTTCTGATATGAGCATATGTATATTACCTACCCAGAATGAGGTGTTCAGTAACTTAGGTTTGGAATGAGCCCAAGTTACTTGTGAGCTTCTGTTAAGCTTTATGTGTGCACTAATAGGCAGAAAATAAAGGCAATGTGTCCATATTAATTTGACTATTGCCAAATTTCTGGTTATGACTCAATGGGATTCCCCTGGGTCTGAAAGGTACAGTAGTTAAAACTAGATTGCAGTTGCTATAAAAATACTACAGGAGTTAAAAGGAAAAATATTAGATACTATCTCAACATTTATTTCTTAAGAATGAATGAAATGGGCTGGACGCGGTGGCTCTTGCCTGTAATCCCAGCATTTTGGGAAGCTGAGGCGGGTGGATCACCAGAGGTCGGGAGTTCGAGACCAGCCCGACTAACATGGAGAAACCCCGTCTCTACTAAAAATACAGAATTAGCTGGGCATGGTCGCGCATGCCTGTAATCCCAGCTACTCAGGAGGCTGAGGCAGGAGAATCGCTTGAACCGGGAGGCGGAGGTTGTGATGAGCTGAGATCATACCATTGTGCCCCAGCCTGGGTGACAGAGCCAGACTCTGTCTCAAAAAAAAAAAAATTAATGAATGGCTTCCTCAAATATTCAAACCAATCTTGAGACAAAGACAAAAACAAAACAAAACAAAAAAACTTTTAGTTAATATGATGAAAAGTCTTAGTTAACATGATGAAAATTTTATGATACAAAGATTATGTGCTCCTAACTCAGGCAGGAACCTAACTTAGGCTCCTAACTCATGGCTATATGTTAAAAATAAACTCAAAACTAGACAGTTCTAATCTTCGGTCTTGTAGATACATTTAAAAATCTGGCCTCCATATAATGGTTTTTATAAAGAAGCTGCTTTATATGAATTTATAAGTATCAGTTTATGGGAAGTCATTCCTAAAAGAAAAAAAAATAAGTAAAGCCTTGCCCACAGACTGAAGGAAATATCATCGGGGTTCTGAATGAACGATCTGGCAAAACCCAGAGGAACAATGGAAACGTTTGCTGTTCCATTCTAATCAAACAGCATCAAAGCGGATCTTCATCTTACATCTCAGAGTTTCAGAACTCTTACTTATTTGCCCACATTAGAATGTAAGGTCTGTGGAGAGAAACTGTCAATCTTATTTATTGATAATATCCCTGGTGCTTAAAATAGGACCTGGCATTATTATAGTAAATGCTCAATAAAACAATGAACCTCACTTTGTACTAGGCACTTTTAAAGGCAATTTCCATGTCTTAACTCATTTAATCCTTTCAACCACCCACTGTGTAGACATTGGTCTTATTCTCATTTTATGGGCATGGAAACTGACTTACAGACAGTTTCAATAATGCATCCAACATAATGCATTAGCAAGTAAAAGAAGCCGGGATTTGAATCCAGCTTTGCAGGACCCAGAGATTCCTCTGTGACCACTGCATTCTGATTGAATAAATAGAGAAAAATGACTTGTGGAAAAGATGGGCACTTGAAATAATTTTATATAGAATCTGGACAAAAAAAATAACCTCAGTTGTTTTGACTTTCTATAAAATGGAAGAAACAGGGCAGAGAGCACCAATGTTTATCATCAGTATCATCAAAATCACTCCAGTGCTCTAATAGCTCTTCCAGTCCTGACAGCAAGCTAAATACTTAATTCCCTAATATCTCTCATTGCATCTAATGGATTCTTAGTCATGTGCTGCAGAACAGAAACAATATTGAACCCAGGAACCAGGAGATAATAACTACCATTTAATAAACATGCACATACTCCATGCTAGCCTTGGGATAGATGCTTTCTATACTACCTCATTTAATCTTCCCAAAAACTCTATGAGATTGTTATTATTATTGTTATCAACATGTTAATAGATGATCAAGTTTAGGCCAAAGAACTGCCAAGGGACTTACTTAGTCAAAAATACTGCTGATAAAAGGCAGAGGTGGGACTTGACCTCAAAAATCCCATTAAGAGACAATAATTTGTGACGTCAGGTAGATATGAGATATTTGTTTCTATGAGATACTTATGAAGGTAAGTGAAGTTAAGGAATGTCATCACAAGGTAGAAAAGGGATTTGAATGCAGGTCTACCTGACTTTACAAACCATGGTCTCTCGATGAGATTTTTTTATTTTTATTATTTATTTATTTAATTATTTATTTATTTATTTATTTTGAGATGGAGTTTTGCTCTTGTTGCCCAGGCTGGAGTGCAATGGAGCAATCTTGGCTCACTGCAACCTCTGCTTCTGGGGTTCAAGTGATTCTCCTGCCTCAGCCACTGGAGTAGCTGGGACTACAGGCATGCAACACTATGCCTGGCTAATTTTTTTTTTTTTTTAGTAGAGATGGGGTTTCTCCATGTTGGTCAGGCTGGTCTCAAACTCCTGACCTCAGGTGATCTGCCTGCCTCGGCCTCCCAAAGTGCTGGGATTATAGGCGTGAGCCACTGCGCCCTGCCTCAGTGGGATTTTTGAGCTCAAGTCCCACCTCTGCCTTTTACCAGCAGCATGATTTTTTTGACTGAGTCCCTTGGCAGTTCTCTGGCCTAAGCTTGGTCATCTATTAACATGGCAACAATAATAATAATTTATTATTCAGCCTATCCAGGCTTTCTCAAGGCTGTTGTAAGAAAAATGTATGTAAAATGACTGGTCATTTCCATTAGAAATTTGTGATGTCTCCCCAACTTTACAACACCCCATTCCACAATATTCTACAAAAGAAAACTAATGCAATGGACAAAAATACAAAACTTAAATAAAATATACAATTAAATTGGACTTTTGTTGATTTTCTCATTGAATCATTTTGGGTACATTTACTAAAGCTGGACTTAGCCCCATTTTTTTAGGCCCCACTGCTCATCGTCAGCTCTGGCTGCTATAACAAAATACTAGGTATCTTAAACAACAGACATTTATTTCTCACAGTTCTGGAGGCTGGGAAGTCCAAGATCAAGGTGCTGGCAGATTCGCAGATTCAGTTATTAGTGTGGACTATTCCTGGCTTGCAGACAATGCCTATTCACTGTGTTCTTATGTGGCTATGGCAGAGAGAGGAAGTGCTAGTGTCCATTCCTTTTTCTATAAAGACACTAATCCCATCACAGGGGACTCACTCTCATCTAAAACTAATTGCTTCCCTAAGGCCTCACCTGCTAATACCATTGCATCAGGGTTTAGGGCTTCAATATATGAATCTGGGGAAGGAATACAAACATTTAGTCCCTAACATCACTTTTGCTGATGCTCCGAACTCAGGCCTAATTTGCCTATTTGATAATCCTACACATGGAGATGGTGTTATAAACTGAAGTACTATGTAAAGGTAAAGGATGATCTTTGGTTTGGTTGTTAGTATTACTCTACACAGAGTTGATTTTTCTTCTCAACTAGCTCCTAACTGCTCAAGAGCTCCTTATAATTGCATCCTCCTAGCTCTGTGCTTAAAAATCCCCTGCCCAGGAAAGCTGTCCATGATTCACTAAGACTGGATTAGTCATCCCTCTGGCATGCTCCCATAGTGGTCTCTCCTTCTCCCTGTCATAGTGATATGGACAGGAGTCAGGGAAATATTGGTTAGAAGAGGGTGGTTCTCTGGCAAAGGCCCCAACCTCAAGCCTGAAGACCTGTGGCCCTAAAGGAGGACAGGCATTTCTGGTTTTGCACCCAAAAAGTTGCCTTTTGGCTCACCCCACCACCTCTCCCGCCCCCATATAAACCCTTAGCAGGCACACACACAAGCAGCTGAACATCAGGACCAGCAGACCAGCAACAGTGTAACAATGAGGCAGAGAAAGAGAAAAGAGGAGGGATGTCTGGACACGGAGGGGAGTTTGGCCAGGGGTGGTTGGAGAAAAGCCGAACTCCAGGGGAAGACCACCTTCCCACTCCATCCCCCCTTCTGGCTTCCCATTCATCTCACTGAGAGCCACCTCTACCACTCAATAAAATCTTGCACTCATCCTTCAAGCCTGCATGTGATCCGATTCTTTCAGGACACTGTGCAAGAGCTCAGGATACAGAAGACTGTCACACTGGCCCTCTTCCATTTCAATAAGGCAGAGGGTCCATTGAACTGATTAACACACAAGCCGTCTACAGATAGCAAATCTGAAAGAGCTTTGTAATACATGCCCACCTGGGCTTCAGGAGTTGCAAACACCCACCCCTAGATGCTCCATGGGGCTGGAGCCCAAAAGCACTCACCTCAGCCTCTGCACCTGCCCGTCTGCATGCTCCCACTAGGGGTTTGAGCTGTGGGGCAACCAAGCAGGTAAGTCATACCCCTGTTGCAGGTCCTGTGAGGGGAATCAGGGAATTCTCCCATTTCAATAGCATATTCCAACATTTTGGACATAAAAAATATACAGTAATAGAAGGAAAGGAAATCCCCTACAAATTCCCTCCCTTGATTTTGCTAAAGAATTGGATCAG
Source organism: Homo sapiens (assembly GCF_000001405.40). NCBI lineage: Eukaryota > Metazoa > Chordata > Mammalia > Primates > Hominidae > Homo > Homo sapiens. Next base: position 22,191,983 of record NC_000004.12, read on the forward strand.
ATTCAGTATTCTGGAACCCAGTATTTTGGAACCGAGAAAAGGAAAAGAAATTTAAGGACAAAAGCCCCTGCACACATTTCCCCTGTCTTCACCCAGGTGGCCAGCTAGCACCACTGTGATAATGGCCCTCATAGGGAGTTTGTGGACTTCCCCCCAAGGGAGTGCATTCATAAACGGAACTCAGCAGGCAGCGTTTTTTTTAACAGCCTGGCTATCCGGAATTCATGTGGAAATCAATGAGAGGCAAGTACATCTTAGCACATCTTAATGGCATGCAATCTCACTCAAAAGCCTAAATGAGCAAAGAGACAATTTAATTTCCAGGGTAAAAGATGAGGCTAAGGTGGAACATGCAGGACAAACTCCAGAGGTGCCCTAAGACTGAGCAGGACTAAATGGGAGATCTATTGTTTTCAAGCAGTCACAAAAAAACACAGAAGAGGGAAAATCATTAGCGAGACCCGCCAGTGACCCCATCTGATGCCTGAGTGCCTGCCAGAGGCTGAATGTTAAAATTCTACTGAGAGAAAAGGAAAAGATAGAAGGTCGTGGTTACATAAACCCCTTTCCTAGGAGCTTTCCTAATACAGATGGGGGAGGAGAGAAAGTGACATAGGGAGAAAAAAGGAGCAATACATGGGAATTGGATAATGGGAACTTGTGGGGTCCTTATCTATTGGCATGACACTTCAGTGAGAATGTAAAAGCCTGAGCGTCCCCTTCCCTGGAAGGAAGAAAACTAACAAGAGACATTTTAGGGTTTATGATTATGAGTCTTAGCACCTTACTGTTATTTTTAAAATTATAAATCTAACAGTTAAAGAATATAACTCAGTTCTTTGAAAAATATCCTTTTTTCTGTAACTTTCTAGTCATTTCTTAATCTCCAGAGTCATCACTTCCTACTTTTTCACTCTTTCTTCCAAAATTTGCTACCTGTATTAGTCAGAGTTCACTACAGAAACAGAACAAATGGAGATTTATTATGGAAATTGACTCACACAATTATGGAGGCTGAGAATCCCATAATATGCCATCTGGGGGTTGGAGGTAGAAGAGGTGGCTGCTGCTGTCATAAATCGTGAAGTCCAAAGGCCTGAGATCCAGGAGTTCTGATGTCCAAGTGTGGCAGGCCAGGTCTCACTAACACAGGCCTATGTAAGAGCTGTTTCAGCACTTACTGAGTGGTTAAAGAGTAAAAGCTCTTTTTTGGTTCCATATGAAATTTAGTTTTTTTGTAATTCTGTGAAGAAAGTCAATGATAGCTTGATGGGGATAGCATTGAATCTATAAATTACTTTGGGTAGTATGGCCATTTTCACAATATTGATTCTTCCTATCCATGAGCATGGAATGATTTTTCATTTGTTTGTGTCCTCTCTTATTTCCTTGAGCAGTCATTAGTAGTTCTCCTTGAAGAGGTCCTTCACATCCCTTGTAAATTGTATTCCTAGGTATTTTATTCTCTTTGTAGCAATTGTGAATGGGAGTTCACTCATGATTTGGCTCTGTTTGTCTGTTATTGGTGTATAGAAAGCTTGTGATTTTTGCACATTGATTTTGTGTCCTGCGACTTTGCTGAAGTTGATTATCAGCTTAAGGAGATTTGGGGCTGAGACTATGGGGTTTTCTAAATATACAATAATGTCATGTGCAAACAGAGACAATTTGACTTCCTCTCTTCCTATGTGAATACCCTTTATTTCTTTCTCTTGCCTGATTGCCTTGGCCAGAACTTCCAATACTATGTTGAATAGGAGTGGTGAGAGAGGGCATTTTTGTCTTGTGCCAGTTTTCAAAGGGAATCCTTCCAGCTTTTGCCCATTCTGTATGATATTGGCTGTGGATTTGTCATAAATAGCTCTTATGATTTTGAGATTTGTTCCATCAATACCTAGTTTATTGAGAGTTTTTAGCATGAAGGGATGTTGAATTTTATTGGTGGCCTTTTCTGCATTTATTGAGATAATCATGTGGTTTTTGTCATTGGTTCTGTTTATGTGATGGATTATGTTTATTGATTTGCATATGTTGAACTGGCCTTGCATCACAAGGATGAAGCCGACTTGATTGTGGTGGTTAAGCTTTTTGATGTGCTGCTGGATTTGGTTTGCCAGTATTTTATTGAGGATTTTCGCATCAATGTTCATCAGGGATACTGGCCTGAAATTTCCTTTTTTTGTTTTGTCTCTGCCAGGTTTTGGTATCAGGATGTTGCTGGCCTCATAAAATGAGTTAGGGAGGAGTCCTCTTTTTCTATTGTTTGGAATAGTTTCAGTAGGAATGGTACCAGCTCCTCTTTGTACCTCTGGTAGAATTCGGCTGTGAATCCGTCTGTTCCTGGGCTTTTCTTGGTTGGTAGACTATTAATTACTACCTCAATTTCAGAACTTGTTATTGGTCTATTCAGGGATTCTACTTCTTCCTGGTTTAGTCTTGAGAGAGTGTATGTATCCAGGAATTTATTCATTTGTTCTAGATTTTTCTAGTTTATTTGTGTAGAGGTGTTTATAGTATTCTCCAATGGTAGTTTGTATTTCTGTGGGATCAGTGGTGATATCCCCTTTATCATTTTTCATTGTGTCTCTTGAATTCTTCTCTCTTTTCTTCTTTATTAGTCTGGCTAACGGTCTATCTATTTTGATAATCTTTTCAGAAAGCCAGCTAATAGAACCAGTGGCCTTATACAAAGGCTGGAATGTAACAAAAGCCCACCAAGAATTTTGCCCAGGCCTTTCCTGGGCCTTGAAGGATGACAGGATAATGAAGGAATTCTTAACAGGACCTGTTTAGGATTAAACAAGTTCTATTGAGGGTTTGAATAAACTCCTCAGACCTCTACAAACAAGTTTATTGGGAGTCTGAAGGAACTCCCCAAACCTTTATGATTTAGCAGGAGACAAGATAAGTGTAATCACCCCTGGCACCTGGACCCATTTAGATTAGGTACATTTACTGAGGCTTCAGAGGAAGGTCTTCAGGACTCAGATCTAAGTTATAGATTAGAAGAAGTTAGACTTTTGTCTTTAGATGAATGCACACTTACACGTAAACATATAGCTTAGAAGGAATGTAAGCTCTAAAAACTTTGTAATTTTGAGTTGGCCTGGCAATATTTTCCAGGCCTTCTCCCTCTACCTGGTTACAGAAATAAACTCCCTTCTTCCCCAGTTCATCTGCTTCTCATTATTGGGCTGCGAGAATAAGCAGCATGACCCTCGATTTGGTCTGGGAACACAAGGGCTGGAGAAGATGGATACTACAGCTCAAGGAAGGAAAGAATTCACACTTCTGCTGCCTTTTATTTCTATTCAGTTCCTCAACAGATTGGATGATTCTCATCTATACTGGGGAGGGTGATTTTCTTTACTAAGTCTACTGATTCAAAAGCCAATCTCTTTTGGAAACATTCTCATAGACATAGCCAAAAATAATTTCTTATCAGCTATCTGAGCATCCCTTAGCCCAGTCAAGTTAACACATAAAACTAACCATCACACCACTTAATTTTAAAATAATATATCTTGTTTGGTATTATTTTAATTTAGCAGCTAGAGATATCATCTAATTTTCTCCTACTAAGGAAGACAAAGGTTTTGTTTGCTCGGTGTCCTCTGTGCTAATCATTGCTGTATCCTTCTCTTTGCCTGAGCTGCAAAATGTATCCCAGTAAGGTTAAACACATCAAGGACTTTATCTAATATTTTCTTGAAGATCTCTCTCATGGAGTCCTTCTTTCCTGGGTTCCCTTTGGGCAGCTGCATGCCAGGCATAATGGCCTTCTTTTCTTTTCATCACTGTCTACTTTGGGGGCTCCCTGTATTGTGGATATCATGCTTTACTGTTTATTATTTTTATCTGCCTGTATGTGCAGAGTGAGAGGATGTGTTAGTCACACTGCTGATAAAGACATACCTCAGAATAGGTAAATTATAAAGAAAAAGAAGTTTAATGGACTCACAGTTCCACATGGCTGGGGAAGCCTCACAATCATGGCAGAAGATGAAAGGCACATCTTACATGGTGGCAGACAAGAAAGAATGAGAACCAAGCAAATGGGGAAACCCCTAATAAAACCATCAGATCTTGTGAGACTTATTCACTGCCACAGGAACAGTATGTGGAAAACCATGCTCATGATTTAATTATTTCCCACTGGGTCCCTCCCACAACATTGAGAATTATGGGAGCTAGAATTTAAGATGAGATTTGGGTGGGGACACAGCCAAACCATACCAGAGGCCACGGGCAATAAATTCATTGAGCTCTTGTGTGTCTGAGAGTGTAGTCATTCCTCCCTCAGACTTGATCTACAGTTTGGTTGAGAGTATAATTCCAATTAGAATTCATTTTCCCCAGGACTGAGAAGCATTTTTATGTCGTCTTCTAACTGCCAATGTTGCTACTGAGAAGCTTGATGCTATTCTAATTCCTGCTCATACATGACCTGCTATTTTTTTCCTTGTCTAGCAGTTTTCAAAATTCTTTCTTTAATGCTAATGTTCTGCATTTTCCTGATGATAGGTCTTAGTGTGGGTCTTTTTCTTTTATTCTTCTATATGAGAAGCGGGCCCTTTTAATCTGGAAAAGTACGGCCTTCGATTAAAAGAAATTATTTGTTCTCTGAAGTATTGATTGGAAAATGTGTTGAAAAATCTAGATTCCACTTGCGATACTTTCATAACCTAATCTCAGCATTGAAATTCTATCTATTGGCCCTATTCAATTTGTTAGAGGCCAGCCAATAAATCTGGCTTACATTCAAGGGAAGAAGATTACACAAGCATCTGAGTATGAGGTGGGGGGTCAACAGGCTGCCCTTAGAGACTGCTGACTACATCTTACTTAAAAATAGACAAGAGTCATAGTCTCTTCACTTCATTTGCTTATCAAGAGAATAAACTGTGTTACCTGGTGGCAATATTGTGCCTCAAATCTCATGTAAAGGATTTTCCTGGGGGTCTTTTATAAGAAGAGACCCTTTGTAGGGAGAAATACTCAGTTTTTTTCTATTTCCGTTGTAATCTACAACACATTTTGGGGGGAAGCAAATAGTCAAAATATGCATGTATAAAATATGGTGAAAATTCTGACAGTTTACATAGTTATGAAAGAGATGTTTTCTGTTATTCCCCCAGAACAACAGCTACAACTATTCTATTAGATGACCTCAGCCTACAAACAGTATTAATAAGAAAAACCACTACTAGGAAAATTAAGGTAAAAATTAGGGTAATTAATAATAATTAATTTGGACAAAATATTCATTTGCTTCAGAATTAAGGTGCATAAGGATAAAAGATTACTTCTCCAAAATGATACAAATCAATGAGTCAAAATTTTCCTTCATTTTACCAACAGAGATGTTAATTTTAAAAGTGATTACTCAAACTCAGTTGCAGTTACCTCATTGCTCAAAGAAAAGCCCTAAAACCCAGAAAACTAAAACTAAGGTGTTGTGTTTGAGGCTGTTTCTATAACTGCATTACTTCCAGTGGAGAGAAAAATCAGGTAAATTATTATGTATTTAACACAATCTGGGTGGTTAATTGAGTTTTTCTCACTTTTAAATTGATTGTTGCAACTACAGCACAACTAGCTTTCTTCTCTGAGTTTCCTATATGACCGACTAATTATTAAAAGTCCCCCAACTCTGGACACAAGACATTTTGAGACTTTGGATTTAAATGGGTAATTAAACAGATTATCTAACCACCAGTTGTGTGTTTGTGTGTGTTTTATAAATGTGCTGCACTTTATATTAGTCTTCTTACAAAAAATATTGTAAGTTGGCATTGATTATTACATGCAATATGTGAGCTATTTTCAGCTCAGCTAAAGGTGAGCAAATGTGACATTTATTTGAGTTAGAAATTGGTTGCTCATTATGGGACACTATCCCTGTCATTGCCAATAGCCCAGTGCCCATGATCAAATTCCACTCACCAAATTTGAAAAAAATGACCATTCTTGCAAGCAGCTTTATGGTACAAGGGATATTGATGCCACTATTAAGTTCAGCTTTTCTTATGTTCTAATGGAGTACCTCATTATTCATTGGTGTATTTTCAAACCAATGCTGAAATATTATTCTAAAATACAAATGAGTTAAAGATATATATGTGTCTTTTCTTTATCCAGTCTATCATTCACGAGCATTTGGGTTGGTTCCAAGTCTTTTGCTGTTGTGAATAGTGCTGCAATAAACATACATGTGCATGTGTCTTTATAGTAGAATAATTTATAATCCTTTGGGTATATACTCAGTAATGGAATTGCTGGGTCAAATGGTATTTCTGGTTCTAGATCCTTGAGGAATTGCCACACTGTCTTCCACAATGGTTGAACTAATTTACACTGCTACCAACAGTGTTATTGGAATACTATGCAGCCATAAAAAAGGATGAGTTCATGTCCCTTGCAGGGACATGGATGAAGCTGGAAACCATCATTCTCAGCAAACTAACACAGGAACAGAACACCAAACACCACATGTTCTCACTCATAAGTGGGAGTTAAACAATGAGAACATGTGGACACAGGGAGGGAAACATTACATACCAGGGCCTGTGAGAAGGTTGTGGGGGCTAGGGGAAGGATAGTATTAGGAGAAATATCTAATGTAGATGACGGGTTGATGGGTGCAGCAAACCACTATGGCACATGTATACCTATGTAACAAACCTACACGTTCTGCACATGTATCCCAGAATTTAAAGTATAATAAAAAAAAGTATGTGTGTGTGTATATATATATGTATGTATGTATATGTATATATGTAATTACTTAAAAGAATAAAATTTGTATGTTTAAAAGACAGGCATTGTCCCAAGTCATATTATGTGTCTCCCACCATACAAGACACAATGAGGGAAGGAACAGTGGTAGAAATTATAAGCCAAAAATTCACCATTAAAACACAACAAACACAAGAGAATTCCATAGTAATATAAGCAATTCAATGTCTATTTCCCACATTCATATTCCTTTAGACTGTGAAACCTTGGAAAAACAATTCCTTTGCTATTCTGTGCATCACCAGTGCCTACCACAGTACCTGGAATTTAATAAGTGCTCAAAAGATAGCCAATAGATTGATAAATAACTTAATCAGTGAATTAGTAAATAAATCTTTAAATGAAAGAGATGCAAGGTACAGAGTGCTATGGGAGATAAACGGAGGAAGATAATTCTATAGGGTAGTGAGATGAAGAAACTATGTAAGAGATGGGGGTTACCCAAGCTTTGAAATATTAGAAATATTATTTTCATTGACTACAAAGAAGACAGGAATGAAATTAGCTTGGAGAAAATACCCTTCACTGTCTTGTCCAAATGGTCTTGAAGTCCTAGTCTTTCATGATTTTGTGATCTAATCAGTTCCTTTATAATAAACACAAATAATTGGTGTAGTATAATGGTTAAGATTATGGAATTTGGGGCCAGATGGCTTGGACTGGATTGAAATCTTGCCTTTCCATTTTCTAGCTGTTTGAGTATAACCAGCTTATTTAATTCTTCCTCAATTTTGTCATCTGTATTCTGGAAATACTAACAGAACTCACCAACAGGTTGGCGTAAGAATTAAACGATGAAGCATATGAAAGGGCTTACAGCAGCATCTAGCAAACAGTGAGTACTGAATAGGCATTGGCCATTTTTGGCAGAGACAGCCAGCTCTCCACCAAAATCTGGGCACCTCTTTCCATGCTACAGTGTTGTGACTACAAATGGGGTACACAGTGAAAGATCACAGTTTCCAGCCTTTCTGCATCTCAGTGTGGCCAAGTGACTATTTCTCACTTATGGAATGTGAGTGGAAGTTAGTTGGTTCCTTCCAGGACAGGGCATGAAGAAAGCAAATGCGTCTTCTCCAGGCTCTCTTTTGTTTCTTCTCCCAGATGACGGGGCCCAGCCATAACAAAAATAATTAAACCATGCAATTCATTAAATAATTAAAATATTCATTACACAATAAGGCCCAGAATTATTTACCACTAATAAGAATTAGTAAAAACACTCTCTACCATATTATTAGGGAAACTTCTGAGTTTTCCTCAGGATCACCTTCCACTGGAAATGACCAATGGAATAAAGCTTAGGTGTCTCCTGGCTTTCCTTTCTTACTGAGCAAGATGGGACACAAATGTCAGTGTTTATTTGTGTGCCAGAGTAAGTCTTAAAGTCCACACAACTAGAGAAACACATTCAGTGACAGTCATGGTAAGACAACAAGAATCACAGGACTTTTTCATGAGATGGGGACTTGCTTTGAAAATATTATAACTTTACAAAAACTTGGATTTGTTCTGACCAAAACAGGATATCCTCCAAGCATCCTCCAAGAAAGCTTATCACATAACCAAACAATAAAAAAGTCTCCTATGGTTGGTCAGATCTTAAAGAATACAGATGTATGTCAGGGCTGCCAGCATAAAGTGTCACAGACTGGGCAACTTAAACAACAGAAATTAATTTTCTCACATTTCTAGAGGATGGAAGTCCAAAACTAAGGTGTTAGCAGAATTGTTTTCTTCTGAGGCCCTCTCCTTGGTTTGGAGATGGGTGTATTCTACCTGTGTCTTCATATGGTCATCCCTCTGCACAAGTCTGTGTTGTAACCTCCTCTTCTGATAAAGATACCAGAATCCAGATCCAATACCAGGTTATATTGGATTAGGACTCACTGTAATGATTTTATTTGAATTTAGTTGATTCTTTAAATACCCTATCTCCAAATACAGTCAGGTTCCAAGGACAAGAGATTAGGACTTCAACAGATGAATTTGGGAGTGGGGAGTGGGGGTTGGGAGACCTAGAAATAGGCAAATTCAAAAAATCAACGTACTGCCTCAATCGATAATATTATCTCCAAAATTGCTGATATCCTTCTACTATGTTTTAGACAGTAATGTACCTAATCATCCTCCTTCAGAGTCAGCTAGGGAACTATCACTATCTCTCAATTGTGCCAGTATCTAAATTTATTTTCTAGCTAACATGTCTATTTAAAAAATGCCCTTTTAAGCCCCTTTTAGAAATTGTGAATGCAACCGATAACCTCAAAATAGTGACATTTCTTTGCCAGGGAAAACCTTTGCATAAGTATTCCTGGAACTCACAGAAGTTTCACCTGTCATACTTGACAATATTAATTTTTTTTCTGCCTTAATGAAGGAAGTTGTACATGTCAAGAGGTTTCTTTGCTTTGTTCTGAAATCACAGACATCCTAGAGTCCTAGAAGTGTTATCTACTTCCTTCAAAGTGTGTTATTTCATCTGAGTGAGGTTTTGAATAACAGCCTCTTCAGATGGTTTTGGTTAGCAGAGGATGCAGAATACCAAGATGTCTTCTGCACAGATGTTCTCTGACTTACAAGAGAATTAGTCTTGAGGGGCTTGCTTGAAGTTTGGGCAGAAGTTGCATGTTTTTATGAGAAAAGTAAATCATATTCTAGGACACTCTGAAGGGGTGAAGTCCATTTATGTCTTTGCACAGTTGGCAGCTATGTGAGCACTTAAGAATGAGATAAATCATTCAATTGGAAGCCGTGTAGTCACTTTATGGGTGCTCCTGGCCAACTCTATACGTTTGGCCAGCTCACCACATTGGAAGAGATTAGAGTCAGAAATGGTTGAAAACCTCCCAGTGCTGGAGGAAGCATTTCAGTAGAATGAAGTTGGAAAATGATAAAATCAAGTTCATTTTTTTAGAAGTCTATAGGCACTTGGAAATATTATAAACTTCTGCTGAAAATTACTTCTGCTAGATGGAAAAAGTTTTCTAATTTTTTTCCTGAAAACACAGGTAACAATCAATGATGAAATGCCTAAAAAGATTTCTTCATTGAGTTGAGGACACAGGAAGTGAAATCATGAATTCAACCCCCAAAGAATCTCAAAAATATTCAGTGTTTCAAGAGATAAATTATCCTCCTATAACAAAGAGTATAATGAGAATAAACATTTGGTTTCAGTCAGGGTTTTTGGCACTTATTCCTACAAAAATCAACATCAAAATCAAATGGATATCAAATTTGACCTGCATATTGCTACTTCAACATGCACTCTGTGTCTGAATGTCTCATTAAAATCAAACTAAATGAAACTGGTATTAGCACAATTTAGATCTCTTTCAACTATTTTTCCAAAAAGTTGGCATAACTTTTGTAAGAAAAAATGAGAGTGAAAGAATTACAATTCATAAAAAGTATTTCTAATCTTAATCACGAAATAAAATCTCAATTTATTGCTCTATAAATTTTGTTTCAGGGAGCAGAACTTGGTCCTAATCAAACTGTCAAGTACAGCCATCTGGACTACAGAGTAATATGGGCCAGCGGCTGTTATGTGTCTCCCATTTCCCCGTTTTGGAGCTAGAGTGTTTACTGCATTCATCCTACCCCTGTGCAGTACAGTATAATGGATGGGTGAAGGGCAGTAAAATTGCTTCTTTAATTCACTACATTTTTTAAATTAAGAGGAACTGTGACCAAAGAATCAAACCCAAGGAGCCTTATCTACAAGTGGACCTGATTTAGATGATGAAATCCTTGGCACAAAGCCTTAGACTCATACCCTAATCTTAGTGGACAAGACTTTGGGAAATTTAGGGGAGGGAGAGAGCATATTTTACGAGTGGGAAAATAAAACCAATTTGTGGCCAGAGGGCAGAATATAGTGGTTTTCTCAAACATGCCAAAATTTGTTGACCTTCCCATATAGAGAGGACGAATGCCTGCTTCTTTCAGGACATTCACTCTGGAGGAAGCCAGCTACTGTATAAGATGCCAAGTATCCTGAGAGTACCTATAAAGGCCAAAGGTAGGCATTCTGCAGCACAGCACAGCTGAGTCACCAGCCAATGGCCAAGAACAATCACTAGTTAGTTAGGTGAGCTATCTTGAAAGTCCAGTCTTGTTAAACATTTCAATGTCTCACATCTGACTTCAACTACATAAAAATCTCCAAGTAAAAACAGTCTTTCCCTAATTCCTGACTCACGAAATCATCCATAAAATAAAATGATTCGTTTACGCCACTTAGCTTTAAGGTAATTTTAAACAAAGTATTAGTAACTTTAACAGCAAACCACAGAAGTGAACTCTGGCAAATTTGAAAAGAAAGATAAATTTATTGGAGCAATAAAATGTGGTTCATAGTGTCAAATGCACAGATGTTAGGGTGTGTTCTTGGATGCATGTATCAGAAACTACTCAGCAGTCTCATCTGAGTCCTTCAACTGGAGTGAATGATTACCAGAAAATAAATTTTGTTATTATGTTTGCCTCCCCCAATTCAAGTTTAAAGTCTTCAGTTGGCCAAGCTTTTGGCCATTGTCAACCATTTGGACAGGGAAAGGAACAGTATTTTGATTTGTAATCCCAATGTTGCAGTTACCTATTGCCATTATAATGGTGTATACAGCAATAAGTAGTAAAAACTTACTACTGCATTACTGCTCGTGATCAGCTAGGGAGCTCTGCTAATCTTAGTTGAAATTGCTCATATATCTAGGGGTCAGATGGAGTTGGATGGTCTGTGATAACCTCAGCTTTCTGAATCGCTGCTTCATGTGTCCCTCATCTTGCATCAGACTAGCCCAGCCATGTTCTCACAGTGAAAACAGAGGCACAAGAGAAATGGGGAAATTCCCAAGGTCTCTTGAGACTAAAACCCAGAAGTGGTACGTACCTTCACCCCTACTACATTCTTGAGGGCAAACTCACAATCAAGGGATAGGGAAAATATACTCAATTGCTTCTTTAAGTGTATCTGTTAAGTCACAAGTTGAAGGGCATGGATACAGAAAAGAGTAAAATGCTGAGGTCATCAACACCAATTCCCACCCTCACCAAGGCTGCACTCACTGGGGGAAGGAACTTGTCAATGGGAATTGAAATTACCGAAGAGGAGATATAAGTTAATGTTGAGAAGCCAATTACAACTATAAAGTAAATTTACAATAACATTTTGTGCATGTGTAAGTGTATTTAGGTATTTTTTTAGTAAGAAGTATAAAGTTTTCATCACATTCTTTTCTCAGTTCTAGACTTGGAAAATTGCCTTTCTTCATGGCTCCAATTCTGGTGGCTCCAAGTCAGAAGTCTGCGTGTGAAGACCACTGCCATGGCTGTGCTTATTGATGGAAAATAGCAGCCATGAAGGAACGCTAGCTGCAAATGAGTCTAGAAAATATATGGTTCTTCTTTTACCTTTCCAGCCTCTGGGGTAGACTAAGGTACACAACTCACCATTGTTATTGTCCTGATTATATCAGGTTTTCCCAAGGGAAGCAGGGTGCGGTATAGCCTTATATGCCTGAGGGTGGAGGTTGTGGAAGCTATAAAGGCAAGGGGAAGGTACGATTTTCTAAGAGAACAGGATGGCTTTCTACAGATCCCACATGGCAAGAAAAACATCACCACCACCTTAGAAAAAAGAGTAGAACACACGTTTGTGTCTCACTTCATCTCTGAGTAACATTAAGCATATTTAACCTCACTAAAATACTGGTACTATCCTCAAAGATGTTGGTGAAAAGCTAATGAGATGATGGATATGAAAGCAATTTTTGCAATAATAAAAACGCTACTGAATTCCATTAAGGATCTGAATTTCCAGAGGCAGAGAATATGTCCAGTTCTGTTATTTCCATGCATGGTGCCTGGCCTAGAATTATATGTCAACACATGTTTGCAAATCATACCAACCAGAAGGCACAATTCTAATGTGAATAACAATGTTTAGAAGTCTGAGGATTGAGGAAGAGGAGGAAAGGGGAAAAAAGATGTTATTTTCCAAAAGTCATAACAAAGGAGAGACCTACTTGGCTTCCATGGAAAACTAGACTTCATCTTAACTACAGGAATATTTCTAGGGATTCAATAGCCCTTCCAATGAAGAGTTCTAAAAAATCAGAATATTATTGGCTTTTAAATTTCAGTCACTATTCAAATACTTAAGATTCTTATTCTATGTCTATGCGTTCATTTATTTCATAAGTTTCTGAACCTCATCATCATAAATGACAACTGCAATACCTTTAGAATCAACAAGGCAGTCATATTATCAGTGGATTCATTTGCTGTTTTAAAAGCTGTTATCTGCATCTGAAAGATACCAAAGAATCCCATAAGAGGCAAGGCAATTTTCCTATTGTATATTTTTTTCTAGAATAAGACAACATTCCAAATACAGGGTAGTAAATGGAATGAAGCAAACACTTGCTGAATCACTACTATTTCAGGGACTCTGCTGAGCACTGTACATAAGTTATCCTCATCAACAGGCCTGGGTAGAGTCACACTATCACAGTTACAGCTGTCATCCCTTCTCTCTGAACTGCAAGGTTCTCCTCTCTAAAAAAACGAAAGCTACTGAACCATTCCATAGGGCTATTAAGATAATGTGTACAAAGGTAAAATATAAAACGTGTAAAGCACTTAGCAAATTAAGTGATCTTTAGAATTTTACTTTCTGAAATAGTCTATTGAAATTATAAGACATACATATTTTTAAAATACAAATTTGAATTTCTGAAAATGACTTTCAGTTTAAAGAATTTTCAAGAATTTAACATGGGAAATACTGAGGACATGACAGAAAATTACAAAAGAAAAGCAAATTAGTATGATAAGTGTAAAATAAAGAATTAGAAACATTTCCAGAATATATACTTGAAGTAAGTCCAAGGCTCACCCTACCAATGTCTTTTAAAATTAGCAACAGTTTCTAACAGTATCTTTAGAAGTAAAGGATTTTCACAATAACGTATATGGAAATTTTTACTTTGCTTAAGCTGATAAAGACTCATATTGACTAGATAAAATATCTCTAGAGAAGAAAATCAAATTACACGCATTATAAACTTCAGACTTGCAGGCGACAAAATCAAATCTGGATTCTCTACAAAAATTTCAAATCATAAAGTTGAATTTACAATTACCAAAGTTTTGACACTAGTGTCTCCTTTAAAAAAGACCATATACACAGCAAATGATTTTGCAAAATATGACTTGTCAAGTTCCGAGTGACAGACTCCATATTGGTTATATTCAACAAATGTTTCCAGGTTATGATGCTTATGAAGAAAAAAAAACTTGACTTGCATTGTACAAGGTGGGTGCTATTTCAGATGCAAAAGCAATGACTTTAAATTCGAAGAGAAACAGAAAAAGAAGCTTGCTTATCATAGCTCTAATAAATGGTGATGGGAAAACAAATAATTACTTCAGTAAAAACTTCCAACCATCATCTAGAATATCATCTGAAAAAAAGAAGAAAGCTGAACTTGAGAATGAGTGTTACTAAAGGGTTACTGCTTCACTTCTATTTTGCTTAAGTTTTTCATAATTTATAATTCCACATGATTTGCCAATTTTTATCCTCTTAACCTCCTCCTTGATTAATTCCATCATCTGCGATTTTTCTCTCCTTACAATGTTTGTGAAGTAGAATGTATTCTTCATAGGTCTCCCCTTTCTTTTTTTATATATATTTTTTATTATACTTTAAGTTCTAGGGTACATGTGCATAACGTGCAGGTTGGTTACATATGTATACATGTGCCATTCTGGTGTGCTGCACCAATTAACTCGTCATTTACATTAGGTATATCTCCTAATACTATCCCTCCCCCCTGCCCTCACCCCACAACAGGCCCCAGTGTGTGATGTTCCCCTTCCTGTGTCCAAGTGTTCTCATTGTTCAATTCCCACCTATAAGTGAGAACATGCAGTGTTTGGTTTTTTGTCCTTGTGATAGTTTGCTGAGAATGATGGTTTCCAGCTTCATCCATGTCCCTACAAAGGACATGAACTCATCATTTTTTATGGCTGCATAGCATTCCATGGTGTATACGTGCCACATTTTCTTAATCCAGTCTATCATTGATGGACATTTGGGTTGGTTCCAAGTCTTTGCTATTGTGAATAGTGCAGCAATAAACATATGTGTGCATGTGTCTTTATAGCAGCATGATTTATAATCCTTTGGGAATATACCCAGTAATGGGATGGCTGGGTCAAATGGTATTTCTAGTTCTAGATCCCTGAGGAATCGCCACACTGTCTTCCACAATGGTTGAACTAGTTTACAGTCCCACCAACAGTGTAAAAGTGTTCCTATTTTTCCACATCCTCTCCAGCACCTGTCGTTTCCTGACTTTTTAATGATTGCCATTCTAACTGGTGTGACATGGTGTCTCATTGTGGTTTTGATTTGCATTTCTCTGATGGCCAGTGACGATGAGGATTTTTTCACATGTCTTTTGGCTGCATAAATGTCTTCTTTTGAGAAGTGTCTGTTCATATCCTTCGCCCGCTTGTTGATGGGGTTGTTTTTTTCTTGTAAATTTATTTGAGTTCTTTGTAGATTCTGCATATTAGCCCTTTGTCAGATGAGTAAATTGCAAAAATTTTCTCCCATTCTGTAGGCTGCCTCTTCATTCTGATGGTAGTTTCTTTTGCTGTGCAGAAGCTCTTTAGTTTAATTAGATCCCATTTGTCAATTTTGGCTTTTGTTGCCATTGCTTTGGTGTTTTAGACATGAAGTCCTTGCCCATGCCTATGTCCTGAATGGTATTGCCTCGATTTTCTTCTAGGGTTTTTATGGTTTAGGTCTAACATTTAAGTCTTTAATCCATCTTGAATTAATTTTTGTATAAGGTGTAAGGAAGGGATCCAGTTTCAGCTTTCTCCATATGGCTAGCCAGTTTTCCCAGCACCATTTGTCAAATAGGGAATCCTTTCCCCATTTCTTGTTTTTGTCAGGTTTGTCAAAGATCAGATAGTTGTAGATCTGTGGTATTATTTCTGAGGGCTCTGTTCTGTTCCATTGGTCTATATCTCTGTTTTGGTACCAGTAACCTACCAGAGGTACAAGGAGGAGCTGGTACCATTCCTTCTGAAACTATTCCAATCAATAAAAAAATAGGGAATCCTAACTCATTTTATGAGGTCAGCATCATCCTGATACCAAAGCCTGACAGAGACACAACAAAAAAAGAGAATTTTTAGATCAATATCCTTGATGAACATTGATGCAAAAATCCTCAATAAAATACTGGCAAACCGAATCCAGCAGCACATCAAAAAGCTTACCCACCATGATCAAGTGGGCTTCATCCCTGGATGCAAGGATAGTTCAACATACACAAATCAATAAACGTAATCCAGCATATGAACAGAACCAACGACAAAAACCACATGATTATCTCAATAGATGCAGAAAAGGTCTTTGACAAAATTCAACAGCCCTTCATGCTAAAAACTCTTCATAAATTAGGTATTGATGGGATGTATCTCAAAATAATAAGAGCTATTTATGACAAACCCACAGCCAATATCATACTGAATGGGCAAAAACTGGAAGCATTCCCTTTGAAAACTGGCACAAGACAGGGATGCCCTCTCTCAACACTCCTATTCAACATAGTGTTGGAAGTTCTGGCCAGGGCAATCAGGCAGGATAAAGAAATAAAGGGTATTCAATTAGGAAAAGAGGAAGTCAAATTGTCCCTGTTTGCAGATGGCATGATTGTATATCTAGAAAGCCCCATCATCTCAGCCCAAAATCTCCTTAAGCTGATAAGCAACTTCAGCAAAGTCTCAGGATACAAAATCAATGTGCAAAATCACAAGCATTCTTATACACCAATAATAGACAAACAGAGAGCCAAATCATGAGTGAACTCCCATTCACAATTGCTTCAAAGAGAATAAAATACCTAGGAATCCAACTTACAAGGGACGTGAAGGACCTCTTCAAGGAGAACTACAAACCACTGCTCAAGGAAATAAAAGAGGATACAAACAAATGGAAGAACATTCCATGCTCATGGATAGGAAGAATCAATATCGTGAAAATGGCCTTACTGCCCAAGGTAATTTATAGATTCAATGCCATCCCCATCAAGCAACCAATGACTTTCTTCACAGAATTGGAAAAAACTACTTTAAAGTTCATATGGAACCAAAAAAGATCCCACATTGCCAAGTCAATCCTAAGCCAAAAGAACAAAGCTGGAGGCATCAAGCTACCTGACTTCAAACTATACTACAAGGCTACAGGTTTCCCCTTTCTATAGCAGAAAGAAAGGAATCTACTGCTACAAAGAAAATAAAATAAACATGGAAATATTACAAACCTTCAAAACAAACCCAGTTCTCAACAAAAACAGTCTCTGTTCTCCAAGATCTGACTCCATGCTGACTACCCAAAACCCCAAATAATTCTTTTTTTTCCTTAATTTCTGAGGCAAAAATTCACCAACTTCATTCTTATTTCAACCCAATACCTCCATGAGATAGTTGGAAGTTGATAATGATGTGCTTGTTTGACCTCTACTCAATCCCTCTTCTCTCCGCTACTCTGAATACCATGGGTGGTGATCCCTGGGGACCATGTTTTGAGTCTCACTGCCACCTGCGTTTGGGTGGGAAGCACAGGAGACTTACGGGCAGGAGGAAGAGAAAGCCCATGTATCTTTCCTCTATCTTTTTGCTTTAGGCATTGATAGGGTTTGGCTCGGTGTCTCCAACCAAACCTCAGGTCGAATTGTAATCCCCACGTGTCAGGGTAGGGGACTGGTAGGAGCTCATGGAATCATGGGGGCAGACTTCCCCTTTGCTGTTCTTGTGATAGTGAGTGGATTCTCATGAGATCTGATGGTTTAAAAGTATGTGGCACCTCCCCCTTCACTCCCTCTCTTCTGCTCTGCCATGGGAAGATGTGCCTTGCTTCTCCTTTGCCTTCGCCATGATGGTAAGTTTCCTGAGATCTTCCAGTCATGCTTCCTGTTAAGCCTGTGAAATTGTGAGTCAATTAAACCTCCATTTTTTTCATAAACTACACAGTCTCAGGTAGTTCTTTATAGCAGTGTGAAAACAAACTAATACAGGCATCATCTCCACAGAGGTCCCCTCAGCTCTCTGGCCCCAGCTCCATGGGCCAGTTGCTGCTGAGAAGATAAACATGGTTACTATTTCCACTGGTGGCCCCAGCTCCTCTCTTAGTCCCTCCAACTTGAGGGTTGATGGCAGCTTCCCACAATTGCAAGTCCTACACTTTTATAAGTACCTGTAATTGATTCCTTTCATAATTATTTAGCATGGATTCTTCTGGAAGGCAGAATGTTCCCTGATAAAGACGGGTATGGTGATGATTCTCTCTTCATGAAAAGACTTGAACAGGATTATTAGACTACTTATTAACATTTTTTGTATCTCTGCTTCTGGTGTAAGAATCATTGTAATTATCAGCAAAATCCTAAGACAGTCAGCTCAATGAAGGTGTTACTTCCAGGAAGATCAGATCCATTTCTGGAGGTTTGAACTTCCCACTGGGCGGTATTGGTATCAAAGAATGACTTAGTTAGCCATAGTCTCCAAAAGCACCTAGCTCTGAGATACGTACAATTTAATTACTTTTTTTTTTTTTTTTGGAGATGAAGTCTTGCTCTGTCACCCAGGCTGGAGTGCAGTGGTGTGATCTCGGCTCACTGCAACCTCCGCCTCCGGGTTCAAGCAATTCTCTTGTCTCAGCCTCCCGAGTAACTGGGACTACAGGCACATGCCACCACACCCAGCTAATTTTTTGTATTTTAGTAGAGATGGGGTTTCACCATGTTGCCCAGGCTGGTCTCGAATTCCTGAGCTCAGGCAATCTGCCCGCCTTGGCCTCCCAAAGTGCTAGGATTACAGGCCTGAACCACCACACCTGGCCTGCACAATTTAATTATCTTAATTTCATATAAAGTGTCATGCAAAAGTAGTTTCAAGCTTCACCCTCATGCTTAGCATGAAAGAATACTGTCTCTAAATTATTCCTATATAGCAGTTTTGGAGAAACCCACACATTTGGATGACGAGCAAGGTAGGTGACTACTTACGGAACTTTTGATTTATCCTTTTCCAAAAATTTGTTTCTTTTGGAGCTTCCCTATCACAGTCGATAGCAATTCAATTCTATTACTTCCTCAGTTCCAAATTCCCAGTGTCATCCTTAACACTTTCTTTCTATCACACCCTATATCTAATCCATCATAAGTCTCATAAATAAGACTTCTTACCACCCCAACATAGTCTAATTCATCTTCATCTCCTGCCTGGACAATTGCAGTAGACTCCTGATGATTCCTATGCTTCTATTCTGAACCTTCTGTAATCTATTTTAAACACAGCAGCTATAGAGAACCATTAGCAACTCTATTATCTTATTCTTCCAACTAACACCACCAAGTAGCTCTCAACATTCTCAGGAAAAACTCAAAACTTTATTATAAGATTCACAATACTCTACATAATCTGTCCTCTTCTTTCTGACCCTCTCTGCTACCTCTTCCCTCTTTCTAATTTCATTACAGTAGCATGGGTATCTTTATTGATTCTCAAACATTCAAGCAAGTGCCTGTCCTCTATAATTGCCATGAGAACTCTTCCTCAAATTAATAAAAGGATAGAGATGGAAAAAAGTGTGATTATTCATTAGAACATTGAAGTTGTATAGAAGAAATTTCCAAATGTCCTTGACATCTCTCTCCTCAGCCTTGGATAAGCTCAAATAGCTATAAAAACCTTTCTATCCAAGCTTTACCTTCTCTCCTCTAGTCAGGATCCTGGAACTCCATCTTGGTCCTTCAAAATTTTATCTTCTACTCAGCTTTTATGAGTCAGTTAGCTTAAGTATGACTCCCTGTCTGTCTGCTTGTCTTAATTCCAGCTTGGCCCTGAGATGCTGTCTTTTAACTTCTCTCTGATGCATAATTTTTGTCCTAAGGGCAGGTTACACTCTATCCCCATACTCAGTTCCAGCTCTTCAAATAACGGGGCCATAAATGATAGTCTGGGCCCTCACTTTTTGAACAGAGGTAAAAATAAGAATGAAAACCATGCTATTGAATATACAAATTTAATTAAGAAGAATTTCAGTAGATACCTGAATTCTATCTGTATTGTAGGACTATTTTGTGGAATATCTAAGGAACTTTCTTGTGTTAAACTCCATGGAGAAACAGAATTATATGTCCTTAATTAATATTTCAAGAGCTTTAAAAAAAACATTACCTAAAATCACTGGGACAGGATAACATTATAAACCCTCTAGACTGAAAGAAAAGGTAGCAAAAGCAGGAAAGTCATAATAACATTGAAATATTTATTATCTGCCAGACACAGGTACTTAACATAGAGGAAAAAGAATGTTTCTTTGTGAAAACTAATTCATAGGAAAGAGACACACGGAAGACCAGGTGAGGTTTTCACATCTTCCTCCCCTAGACAATAAGAAATGAGGCCAAAACAGCGTATGTACCTCCAGGATTTTTCTTTCTCTCTCCGTGGTAGAACCCGCGGCGGGTTTTAATGAATTGAGGAAACAATATAAAGTCTGTGTTTCCCTCCTTATTCAAGAAGGAAATACCCCTGAATATAAAGCATTTAACAAAATCTCAGAAAAGAAAGCAGAGCTAAGCTTTGTCACAAAGATAACACAAGGACCCCGTTAGATCCCCCACTTCCTCCAGCTTTTTCAGACGCTGTATTTCTGTATACAGAGCACTATATTTCAGAGAAGGTTAAGACAGTCAGATGAGGAAAAAGGAAGTCAAGATAAACTCAGTCTACTATGTATTAGAAGAGATAGAAGCCTGAATAGAATATTCATGTTTAGCACCAGTAGGTAGAGGGAGAAAGGGAGGGAGTGAGACAGAGAGGAAGGGAAGAGGGAGAAAAAGGTAGGGATGAAGAAAGGAATAGACGGAGAGAAGAGAGGGAGAAACTGAAGAAAAGAAAAGAAATAACTAAAAATGATTGAGTATGGCACACACATTAAAGATTTAAAAGTTGTAACTTTTTTGTGCCTGGAACCTTTGGAAGTCTATGGGTCCTTTTTTTACGATAATATTTTCAAGTGCATAAAATAACATTCATAATATTGTCAAGGAAATCAATGATATTGAAAGTGCAGTTATCAAAATATTAAAACAATAAATCTGGGATACCAGAATATATATGCTTATCTATTAGTCCATTAAAGAACAATATAAAATGGTGTATTACTTCCATCTCACACTACTATAAAGAAATACCCAAGAATGTGTAATTTACACAGGAAAGATGTTTAATTGACTCACAGAGCCCCATGGCTGAGGAGGCCTCAGGAAACTTACAACCATGGCAGAAGCAGAAACAGGAGCCTTTTTCACAAGGCGGCAGGGAGAGAGTGTGAGCATGTGAAGGAAGAACTGTCGAACACTTATAAAGTCATCAGATCTCATGAGAACTCACTCACTGTTAGAACAGCACGGGGAAACCACCCACATGATCCAACTATCTCCCTCAGGTCCCTCCCTTGACACGTGGGGATTATGAGGATAGGAATTCAAGATGAGATTTGGGTGGGGACACGGAGCCAAACCATATCAAAGTAGATATGATAACTACCATAGTTCAAAGTAGCAAGGAACATAAAAACATTTCAATATATCAGCAACTATTATAATGTAATGTGAAAGTCTTTGTGATTTCTATTAGTGACAAGGTCACAGGTACTGCTAGTACTACTGAAGGATGTTGCCTAAATTCTTAATTAGAAGACCTGTTACATTTCAGTTAGAGATTAATGAACTTAAAGATGTAGTTTTTTTATATCCAAGTTCTTATAACCTAAGAATTATATTCAAGATAATGCAGATGGAGGCTTTTGATCAAAGAGTTTTTAAAAATATTACTGTATCCGTTAAAAAGTTCAATATTCAAAAACTTTACTCTTCATTAAAAGAAAAGAAAATACTGCTTTGCTACTTGAAGGGCAACACAGGTCGGTTACCTTGAGGAGTGCCACTATAGGACTAAGTCCTGGATTTCATTACATGGCAGTTTAGATTGCTGTTGCTTGGTGTGATCTTTGTTTTGTTCTGGTTTGTTTGCTATAATCTATAGAATGGGGACAAGACATCTACCTCACAAGGATTGTTATTGTTGCTTCTGGCACATAAAAGTGAATTCTCAAGAAAAGTCCTGGAACACCTGAACACCAAGGAGACCTCTGGACCAGCCAATTTTGTAATAAAACCTGTGCCCCTAGTCACAAGGGATGAAAATGTGAGACTTGATTGAAGCAAATTCATCTGCAGGACTAAAAAATTTTTAAAACATAAGGTTTTAGCAATTTCAGATAGCACTGGACATTTACTTCCTAAATGCTAACATTTTATCTTTTTGGAGAAGTGAATTTTTATAGGGTTTAACTTTTTATTATTATACTTTAAGTTCTGGGGTACATATACAGAACGTGCAGGTTTGTTAGATAGGTATACATACGCCATGGTGATTTGCTGCACCCATAAGCCCGTCTTTGAAACCAATGAGAACAAAGACACACATACCAGAATATCTGGGACACATTTAAAGCAGTGTGTAGAGGGAAATTTATGGCACTAAATGACAACAAGAGAAAGCAGGAAAGATCTAAAATTGACACCCTAACATCATTAAAAGAGCTAGAGAAGCAAGAGC
Source organism: Homo sapiens (assembly GCF_000001405.40). Classification (NCBI taxonomy): domain Eukaryota; kingdom Metazoa; phylum Chordata; class Mammalia; order Primates; family Hominidae; genus Homo; species Homo sapiens. The sequence continues at coordinate 22,214,501 of NC_000004.12, forward strand.
AAACAAATTCAAAAGCTAGCAGAAAACAAGAAATAACTAAGATCAGAGCAAAACTGAAGGAGATAGAGACACAAAAAACCCTTCAAAAATCAATGAATCCAGGAACTGATTTTCTTGAAAAGATCAACAAAATAGATAGACCGCTAGCCAGACCACTGAAGAAGACAGAAAAATCAAATAGACGCAATAAAAAATGATAAAGGGGATATCACCACCGATCCCACAGAAATACAAACTACCATCAGAGAATACTATAAACACGTCTATGGAAATAAACTAGAAAATCTAGAAGAAATGGATAAATTCCTGGACCCATTTAATCTCCCAAGACTAAACCAGGAAGAAGTTGAATTCCTGAATAGACCAATAACAAGTTCTGAAATTGAGGCAGTAATTAATAGCCTACCAACCAAAGAAAGTCCAGGACCAGACAGATTCACAGCCGAATTCTACCAGAGGTTCAGAGGAGCTGGTACCATTCCTTCCAAAACTATTCCAAACAATAGGAAAATAGGGACTCCTCCCTAACTCATTTTATGAGGCCAGCATCATCCTGATAACTTTTTTTGAATAGAAAATTATGTTTAGATTTTGAATACGAATTACTTATATCCAAAAAGATTTTAAAATGCTGACAGAAACACTTAAATTCTAAGGCTGAATGAGTTCCAGTATTCATTAAAATAATGGTAGGAGGAGAGGTGCTGAAAGGACTGCTTTCTTGTGTCTGGAACTATGTACAAGCCTTTTAAAGTTAGGAATGGGGGATAAACCCAAGGGCTTAAGAATAATTCTCCATTTGGCAAGGGAATTTCCTTGAGGCAGGAGACAGTAGCCTGGAGAGTATTAATGGATTTATGAAAGTAGTTACATCATTGTGGTTTGGGAAATGATTTTAAAGCTGAGCAAAATGTGAAATTAATTTTTGATTTTCTTGCCCCAGGTTCCTCTTTAAGTCTCTATCCTACCATTAAAAAAAAAAATTATCTGTGCTTTCCTTTTGCTGGAAACAAGTTGCTCCTCTTTCCAAATATTTGTTCTTTGTTCATTCACATTTAAATTTATTCTTCCAAATATTTATCGAGTCTCTCTCATGTGTCAGACACTGTAATAGGAACTTGGAATACAAAGTGGAATAGAAGATGGTCATTTTTCTCAATGGGCTTAATGGGGCAGATGGTGCACATCAAAAATAATGCCAGTAGAGCAAAGTAGCGCTGCTATGGAATTAGTGAGCATACAGGCTGGAGCATCAGTCCATGGAGAAAGCACAAGGCTCTGCTTGAGAGGTCAGGGAAATTCCTCCCAGAGGGGGAGATGCTTAAGATAATACATGACTGATAGTAGCATTTTACCAGGCACAAAGATGGGAGGGGAAATGGCCTGGGCCAAGTTAAAGAGGCATGACACAGTGGGGTCTTCAGGGCCTTGTAATGAATTCAGGAGGGCTGGTACAGAGCAGGTATCAGGTGCTGCTGAAGAAGGACTTGCTGAATTGGAGAGGAGGTGGATGCTGGGGCCATGTGCACACAACTGAGAAGTTCTCGCTGGAAACACCGTGCATGACAGAGTTCAATCCTTGACTTTGTGGACAGCAGGCCATTGATGAAGTCATTCTGTAAGATAGGTCATTTCTTCAAACTTCAGAAAATAATCCCGACATTATGCCCAAACAAGTGCAACAAGTAATGTGGGACTGAAAGGGAACCAATGCCGCCCAGGATAACCTGGTGTTTAAGAGCTTGTGCTCTAGATTCTGAAGGAGGTGGGTTCAAGGACTGGCTATTAGCAGCTCTGTGGCCCTAAGAATTTATTTAGTGGTTCTGATCCTCAATTTCCTCAGCTATAAAATGAGGATGGTAATAATAGTGCCAATCTCATAAGAAATCTTGGAAGGCCTCATAAGAAATGCTTAGCACGGCACCTGGCAGAGACAGAAACACTCAATAAACATTAGTGATTGCTTTCATTGTCTGTCAAGAAATTGCAAATCACTCAAGTTAAAGCAGAATTCAAGAAGGCTATGTTACAAGCTGGCACTACATATATGATACTTGGTATCAATCATGTTTCTGAAGCTATCAGTGAAGAAAATCTAGACATGGGATTTGGGTTTTCTATCTCTTGTGTGTGCATGCTCTCTCTCTTTCTCTGTCACACACACACACACACACACACACACACACACACACTCTCATACTCCAAACTACTGAGTAGTAAAATGAAGGAAATCCACACCAGTGTGAACTGGATTAATAAAATGCTTATTTTCATAAATTCATAAATTTTCACACATTTGTGTTAACATTTTATTAAATACCTTCTTCAGTATTTCTGTTAAATTGAAACGAAAAGGGTGATATAATGGTTTAGATCTTTTAAATATTTAGTAGCTTTAGTTCATCAAGTTCACTTCAGTTTATTTAATTGACACAATTTTATTTTCCTCTCCTTACATAAAACATCCAACAAATGCATTACCCAAAGTAATTTCATTCCCGGAAGAATATTCATTAAAATGTTTATGAAGTCCTGTGCTTTGATGTAATTTGAACTTTGCTCAAAAGCTTTCAGAGCTAAAGATCCTCTGATTCCAAAGCAGTAAACACTGTAAAACCCATTCCCCACCTTTGCTTCTTAAAGATCAGTTATGCTTTTCCATAGGTGAGAGGTCTGTTGTAACCCCCACCAAATTTCAGATGCAGGTGAATTGGAACGAATACCCTGAGAAGCTGCTCCCAACACTGGCTTCTTGAGGAAAGCTGATCTCTCCCCTGCTCCTTCCTATCTCCTTAATTCTAGCCTATGAGATAGAGTTGGAAGAATTTTTACAAACCTCTTTCAACAAAATGAGGTGAAATTAGGCTGCAGCCAGGTAAGGTGACTGCCCGAAGACATGCAACTTCAGAATGGCCAGGACAAATCCCAGACACCTGCTCTCTGCACTATATAACCATCCTTATATCTCCAACACCTTCTTCCCGCCAGGGAGGCAAAAGCACATCTACTTATATTTCCTTTCATACCACACGTTTATAGACAAACACTAAAGAGCAGGGCTCTTTCTCCCAAGATCAAAATGATACCTTACATTGTCATCGAAAAAAATTGAGTAGCAGATGAAGTAGTTATAACCTGTCACAGGTGGCCAGCATTCAGGGGAAGGATTAAGCAGTGGTTGAGAGCCCAGGCTCCATAACCTGTTAATCAACTCCAATTCCTGAACCGCCCTCTCATTCTTAAAGGAGAATGACACTACTTTCCTGATAGGAATGCTGTAAGGTTTTAACACAATATTTTATGTAAACCCCTTATCCCAAGGGCCGACATGAGCATCATCAACTGTAGCAAATGAATGGTTGCTGATGGTGGTGATTCTAATAGTGGTGGTAGATAAGTTATTGTGGCCACAGAAAAGTAATGGAAGAAATGGAGGCTGTTGGAGTAATCATAGTAGTGACAGTGGTGGCAGTCATAGAGGCAGTAATAATATTGTTATTGTCAGTGATGACAGTATTGTTAACACAGTGATTATGGCTCATGCCTGTAATCACAGCACTTTGGGAGGCCGAGGTGTGCGGATCACAAGGTCAGGATATCGAGACCATCCTGGCTAATATGGTGAAACCCCATCTCTACTAAAAATACAAAAAATTAGCCGGGCATGGTGGTGGGTGCCTGTAGTCCCAGCTACTCGGGAGGCTGAGGCAGGAGAATGGCATGAACCTGGGAGGTGGAGCTTGCAGTGAGCCGAGATAGTGCCACTACATTCCAGCCTGGGTGACAGAGCAAGACTCAGTCTCAAAATAAATAAATAAATAAAAATAAAAAATAATTATTCCTTACTCAATTTAACTTTACTCACTGTCTCTCCTTTTTAATTAATGTAATTTCTCTCAAGACTTCTATCTTCTCCCCTCAAGTTCACCTGACTATGGATTCAGTCCAGTCCATTCTGTTCTATGGGTATTTAATCTCATTTTCTCCGTCAAAAGCAAACTCATAAAACCAGAACAATCAAAGGCCCAGGTTTGCCATCTTTGGCCAAGGGGCTCATCCAGACAGGATGAACTAGGTGGAAGCTGGTTGAAGCCCAGATGACCTCCAATCATGCAAAAGCATTTGTGTGAAAGAGAAGCACTCAACCTTTTTAAGGAAAAGAGGAGAATAGCAACCTGGGTGTATTAGTCTGTTTTCACACTGCTATAAATACCTGAGACTGGGTAATTTGTAAAGGGAAGAGATTTAATTGACTCACGGTTCTGCATGGCTAGAGGGAGGCCTCAGGAAATTTACAATCATGACGGAAGACAAAGGAGAAGCAAATAACTTCTTCACAAGGTGGCTGGAAAGACAGAGAGAGTTAGAAGGGAGAAGAACTTCTTATAAAAGCATCAGATCTCATGAGAACTCACTCACTATTGTGAGAATAGCATGGGAAAAACTGCCCCCGTGATCCAATCACCTCCCACCAACACCCTCCCTCAACACATGGGGATTATGAAGATTACAATTTGAGAAGAGATTTGGGTTGGGACACAGCCAGACCATATCACAGGACTAAAGAAAAGCTTGAGCCACCTCAGGCTAGTTGCTAGGAAGCAGTTTTGCTCTGTTCTGTCAACTTGTATTTGTACATGAAGCAACCCTTCAGGTTAGGAAGTGAAGTGGACATCTCTGCTGCATTGGACACATTGATGACTCCATCCTTGAACGTCATTCCTTGGTCCCCCATGGCATTCTCTTCTCTCCTCTCCCACCTGCCTCGCACTCTTTCTTATATACCTTCTTTATGGTTCTTGGTCTTTGCTCATCTGCTAAATAAATGTTGAAGCTCAGGAGTTTTTTTCTCAACTTCCTCTTTCATCAATTCTTCATTCTAGTTGATCATTTCATAGTTTTAAATTTCTATTATAGAAGATTCTCAAATCTCAATATTTAACCCAAAACCTCATTAAAATTTCAGACTAGCGGATACAGCTGTCCCATGTACACACCTGCCACCTCTGATCTGGATTAGATGGTCTGTTGATAAATGATACACCCAGCTACCTCTATTGTTGCATCTATTCAATGGTGTAAATACCCATAGAAAATGATCCTTAAGTAATGAACTTTATATTACACAAATGAATTGTAGAAAAACATATTATCTCTAGATAGGTGATACATACTCATCAAGCACACTGTTAAGAATTAACTGTGCAGCCAGACTGCTTATCTCCGTCCAGCTCTTCCACCATCCTTGAGACTGCAAGCAATTCTCTGAAACCGTCTGTGCCTCAGTTTTCTCATCTGTAAAATGGTGATGATAATTATTGTTTTCTCATAGAATTGTTGTGACTATTAAATGAATTAATGTATATAAAGTTCTTAGAATCAATGTATATAAAGTTCCCAGCATCTAGTAATCATTGCTACTTATTATTACTATTTCTCTTTCTCTCTCTCTCTCAAACTATTATAACTTTCTCTTGGTAAGGTGAAGTCTTTGACCATCATTTTATTCTTCAATAATTAGGTCAGAAACAGGCCTCATGTTTGAAGTCATCATAGTAATCATAGTGATATGGTTTGGCTCTGTGTCCCCCCACAAATCTCACCTTAAATTGTAATAATCTCCACGTGTTGTGGGAAGGACCCAGTGGGAGGTAATTGAATCATGGGGGTGGGCTTTTCCCCATACTATTTTCATGATAGTGAATAGCTCATGAGATCTGATGGTTTTATAAAGGGGAGATCCCCTGCACATAGCCTCTTGCCTGCTGCCTTGCGAGACGTGCCTTTGCTTCTTCTTTGCCTTCTGCCATGATTGTGAAGCCTCCCCAGCCACGTGGAACTGTGAGTCCATTAAATCTTTTCCTGAATTAAATCACCCAGTCTGGGGTATGTCTTTTATAGCAGTATGAGAACAAACTAATACACATAGCAATACGGTTTGGATGTTGGTCCCCTCTAAATCTCATGTTGAAATGTAATCTTCAATGTTGGAGGCCTGGCAGGAGGTGTTTGGGTCATGAGGGCGGCTCCCTCATGAATGTCTTGGTGCCCTCCTCACAGTAATGAGTGAGGTGAGTTCTCGCTCTGTTAGCTTGTGTGACAGCTGGTTGTTTAAAGGAAACTGGCACCTCCTCCTCTCTCTTTGCTCCCTCCCTCACCATGCAACTTGCCTGCTCCCTGTTCATTTTCCGCCATGACTAAAAGCTTCCTGGGCCTTACCAGAAGCCAAGCAGATGCTGGTGTCATACTTGCACAGCCCGAAGAACCATGAGCCAAATTAACCTTTTTGTTATAAATTACCCAGCCACAAGTATTCCTTTACAGCAAAAAAAACAAACTCATACACATAGTCATCATAGTAATAGCGAATGACTGAATGAATGATCTTGTAAAGAACACACTAAGAGGACCAGGAGACTGACAGAGAATCAGAGGAAGGGGAGAGGGAGAAGAAAAACCAAGATTTGGATGAAGAAAAATAGGTTTTATAGGCCAACACATTCTGACAGGAAGATAATATGGATGACAAATTACTAGAAGGGAATCTTGCTTCAGCATTATCGTGGCTGGCGGCATTGTGCTTGATGAGAAATTTCTTTTTGCATTTTCATCTCCAGAGAAATTACGGCCAGCCCTCATGAATCAGCCTCAAAGTCAGGCTGAACTTTGGGCGCTGCTGTTGCTGAAGAGTTGAGGCCTGCCTTTCCCGCTGCCTGGAGAAAGTGTGGCCTCCTCCTCACAGCGCTGTCCTCCTGGCCTCAGAAGAACCCCTGAGCCTTCCACTTGTCAGAGAAGCCTCGGGGGTCCCTGCCTGAGGTCAGACGGAGCAACTGAGAGAAACGAAGCTTTTGACACATAATCCCTTCACCTCCGAAAATGGAAATTGCAGAGTGATTGTGAGGACAAATGAGATAATTCCTGTGGAAGCATTCTGAGTGCTTTGCAAGGAAGCTCTCATTTTGTGAGACCTTGTGTTTGCTTCTTGTTAAAGAATTTTCTTTTCAAAGTTCTTTTCTGCTGGTTTAGGAATAAAATTAGTATAGACTAATGAGAAAGAACTTTTAATAAACCCTTCCTCAGAGGAATATGAAAGAAGCTCAATTTTTTAATAAAATTAAATTCAAAAACTGGCATCTAAAAATGACTTACAGTGTTTCCTCTCTTCAAGCTATGGTTTCCCTTAGGCAGTCCCCATTATGCTTTAACCAGAGTTTTGTGTTTCCTCCTAAATTTAAAATTTGAGAACATCACATCCCCATTTACAACCCTTCACTGGTTGTCTGCTGGATGTCATCCTGACAATAGGCTGCAAATTTGGCCCAACCTACTTAGTTGAACCCAATTCTCTCTCAACATGCTTGTCTTCAACTCTGAACTCTGTGTTTACTCAACTACTTGCAATTCCCATAAAGGATATTCTCTAGGTTTGATATATTTGGGAAATAAAAACTATAGGATGCCCAGTTAAATCTGAAATCAGATAAACAATGAATGCCTTTTTAGTATAAGTATGCCCCAGGCAGGCTTAATACCTAGGTGATGGGTTGATGGGTGCAGAAAACCACCATGGCATACCTTTACCTATGTAACAAACCTGCACGTCCTACACATGTATCCCAGAACTTAAGAAAAATTAGGCCCCATGCAATATTTGGGACATACTTACATTAAAAATTATCTGTTGTTTATTTAAAGTTCAAATGTTCAAATGTAACAGGGTATTCTGTATTTATCTGGCAAACTCAGCTGCTCTGACCCCACAGACCAGCCTTCAAAACACACCTTAAGTGAACACATCTTTCTTCCTTCTTGGTCCACCTCAGTCTGGTTTTGTGGCTTTTCTCCATCGGCTTACTCATCCCCCTATGTTGACCCTTTCTATAGAACTGACTACACTAGTTGGAATCATCACTTCACTTCTAAAACTCAATCATTAGACTATAAATTCCACAAGGTTAGGGCTTATGTCTCATTCATTGTATCCCCAAATCTTAAAAAAAAAAAGGAACACAATATAGCCCGGTTCAATATTTACTCATTAAATGAATGAAAAGAAATTCGTTGTTTACGAAGCATTTTTCACAACTCAGCATGTTATCTATAGTCATGTGCCACTTAACGACAGGGATATGTTCTGGGAAATGTGTTGTCAGGAAATTGTGTTATTGTACAAACGTCCTAAAGTGTACTTAAGCAAACCTAGATGGCATAGCTTACCACACACCCAGGCTATGTGGTACAGCCTATTGCTCATAAACTACAAACCTGTACAGTATGTGACTGTACTGAATACTATAGGTAATTGAAATGCAAATGGAATATTTGTAAAAATCTAAACATGGAAAAGGTACAGTAAGAATACGGATAAATATACAGATAAATATAGATAAAGATAAAACATGGTACACCTGTATAGGGCACTCACCATAAATAGAACTTGCAGGACTGGAAGTTGCTCTGAGTGAGTCAATGAATGAATGCTGAGTGAACGTGAAGGCCCAGGACACTACTGCACACTACTGCAGACTTTATAAACACTGTACACTTAGACTACACCAAATTTATTTTAAAAATTATTTCTTTCTTCAATAATAAACTAACCTTAACTTGCTGGATGGCCATCATTGCATATATTGTCTATCATTGACCAAAGTGTTATTCGGAGCATGGCTTATTTCTATAGTGTATATATGGAAATGGGCTTTCTGTCCCAAAATAATCCAAGGGGATCCGTTTAAGTATCGGTCCAAGTACATTATAACTGTAATCAAAATCTCCCACCCTATTTCAAATAAACTCACACTTTTCCATGGCTTACAAGTCCCAGTGTAACCTAACTCCTGGCTATAACCTCAGCCTCATCTGTGGCATTCTTCTCCCCAGTCATCGCCCACCCATAGCGCTGACATCCTTGCTGTCCAGGACTGTTCTAATCAAAGCTCTGCCTTGGGGACTTTGCACTTCCCGCTGCCTGGAATCTGTTTTTCAGTATAGGCAGGATTCCCTGCCTCACTGTCTTTAGGCTGGAGCGCTTCCTCATGAGAAAGGCCTTCCCCGGTCTCCCTCTCTAAAGTAGCACCCTTGTCATGATCCATGCCCTCATCCCACTTAAGTTCTCTTTAAAGTACTCATTCTTATGTGATGTTTTACTGTGTTTTATGTACTGGCTTACTTATGCTCTGCTTTTCTTAGTAGAATGTAAGTTCTGTGAGGACAGGGACTTTGTCTTCTCGCTGTATCCCCAGCACCTAGAACAAAGCCTGGAATGTGTAGATGCTTAATGAATACCTGTGGAAGAAGGAAGGAAGGAAGGCAGGCAGGGAGGGAGGGAGGGAGGGAGGGACTGTTTGTACTCTGGAGCCTGAATTTTTTTTTCCCATAAATGGAAGCTTAAAATATATGTGTTACATAGAAAGGACTGTGTTACCTTAAATTTACTCTAAGGTATACATGAGTAAAATTAAAACCTTCCAGAAAGCAAAATCTTCAGAGACGGTTGAGGGGGTCTTTTATTACCTAAGGGCTGTAGTTAGAGAGTGGTGCAGAAGGAATAAAAGCCACAACTGGAAGAGAACGTTGATTAAAAGAGTGGATGATGAAATTAGGGATAAACCATGCTTCCTGTAAATGTTGGTTTACTTTTAACCTGGTATTTTTCCTCTGTGATCACCCCAATCTCCGCTACCAACAGCACTGTGCAGACATCTTTAATTGCCAACCCAACATCCATTCCAACTTTCTGCCTTGTTAATGAAACCCATTTTTGGTGGGGCTGGGGTGGGGACACAATGTGCCCAGCCTTAGTCTATGGATCACGAATTGAGCTAATCCAAGGGTCAGTAAGCATTTTTTGTGAAGGACTACATGGTTAACATTTCAGGATATGTAGGCCATATGATTGTTGCCTCAGCTACTCTGTTCTGTTGTAGTATAAATGCAGTCATAGAAAACATTTATGTAGAAAAATGAGTGTGGCTATGTCCCAGTAAAACTTTATTTACAAAAACAAGCAGTGGGCAGATTTGGCCCATGGATCATAGTTTGCCACACCTTGACCTCAACAATCTTGTTCCCCATATTCTAAGGTTTCCATTAACTAGAAACAGGTGTTGTTGTATTTTTTTTTAACTGAAAATGAGACAGGTAGATCTAATTACTGTGATGAAGGAAAGGCACAGTATAGTTTCAAGAAAAATTTTACTTTCCTGATAAGAGGAGGAGTGACACATTTCTGCTTTCTTTTCTTCTTTCCTGGCTTACCAAAAATATGGCTAGAGCTGCATCAGCCGTTATCACACCATAATGGAAAGGATAAGAGAATAGCTGAGTCTCAGCCCTGACATCACTGCATCCTCGAATCATCAGCAGCCAGCTACCACCAGAGCTCTTGAAATGTGAGAAAAGTAAACGCTTATGTATTAAATCCACCCCAGTTTAGTTTTTGATTACTTTCAGACAGATGTATTCCTAACTGATAAAGACACACACAGAGATGACACTCACACCAGCATACACATTCTCGCCCACAGAGGCACGCACTGGCACGGAGAACAGATGCTGAAGCATAGTCCCCAGAGAGTTAATAGTGATCGCCTCTTTCCCAGGTGTGTGCTGGTCTCTCCTTTATGCTTTCTGTTCTTCCTTATTGTTCTATAATTGTAAATAACTATGAACATTTTTTTTTCATTTTAGGAAGAGAGAGAATAAATTTTAATTGTTTGAGCACTACCTGCTGACATGTTCACAAGAACAACTAAATTATTCCCTAAAAATTCCAGGCCAGTGTATGAAGAAAAAAAAAAGCCAAATTTGAAGATCTGGTGCCCAGGGAGGGGAAGGAAGGAACCAGACAGAATGACCAGTCACGTGGAAGCTAAACTGACAGGGAAAGCAGCTCTGTTGGGAGCCTCCTCACTCAGACCCCTTAGGAGAAAGAGTCAGAGTCCCTCATATTTGGTCCATCTCCATTTCTATTACTGTGCTAGAAAGACACTTGGGGCTTGTTTTAAATCCTGCCTTTTGCATCATGTAATCTGTTATGAATTAAGTTGTGCCTCTATGCCCTGAAAAAAAAAGAGACATATTGAAGTACCAATTCTGAGTGCCTCACAATATGACCTTATTTCAAAAGGGCCATTGCAGCTGTATGGTTTAAGTTAAGATGAGGCCATACTGGAGTAGGGTGGACTCCCAATCCAATATGATGAGTGTCTGTAAGACAGCTGTGTGAAGACTCAGAGACACACAAAGAGAACACCATGTTAACAATGAAGGCAAAAGTTGGAGTTATGCACCTGGAAGCCAAGGAATGCCACAGGTTGTCCACAAACTACTAGAAACTAGGAATAGGCAAGAAAGGATTTCTCTACAGGTTTCAGAGGGAACATGGCCCTGCTAACACCTTGATTTCAGAGTCCCAGCTATCAGAACTGTGAGACAATAAGTTTCTGTTGTTTTTGCCACCCTATTTGTGGTGCTTTGCTCTGGCAGCCCCAGGACACCAATACAGCATCTTTTTTGTTATTCTTTTCCTCAAGGATAACAACAATTGCTAAGCAACTTTCTAAAACACTTAAATCTCCAGAAATTCATTTCATTTTCCAAGCAATCTTGTGACAATGTGCACATGTACCCTAAAACTTAAAGTATAATTTAAAAAAAAAAAAGAAATAGGTTACATTATATGTCTCATATTTTTTTTTAATGAGAAAATTTAGGTACAAAAAAACTCTGCACTATGTCAACTATCTCTCCTATTGCTCTATTTGCTTTTTTGGATCATAGCACTATTTGAATGTATCTTTCTTCATTTGTTTACAAATTTTTGTTTCATTTAATTTCAATGAGGAAAAGAGTTTATCGGTCTGCTTATTGCTGGATCTCTAGTTCTTAGAATAGCGTCTGGCACATGGTTCACAATATACATGTATCAAATCAATGACTGGAAGGATCTAAGAAAGAAGGACGCTTACATCTATTAAACACATTACATCAGGCATTTCCTTTCTGTACTTTTCACATTTTATCCTCCTACTATTTAAGAAAAAAATTGTTATTCATGATTTACATATGGAGAATTAATGCTTAATGGGTGTACATGGTTTGCCAATAACTACACAGCCAAGACTTAGCAAAAATAGTCAGTCTTCACCAAGCAATTCTCAAAAATGGGTTATGGTATTGCAAAATTCCATGGAGTGGAATTTGGCAATATCTACCAAAATGCCTCGAACAATTACCCTTTGATCCAGCAACCACATTCTATAAATATATCTCAAACATACACTAGCAAATAGGAGAAGAGAAGGACCAAAGACTACTTATAGCAGCACTATTTATAATAATAAAAGATGAGAAACAATCTAAGTGTCCAACAAAAGGGGGCTGGTTGAATGAATTTACTCTGAGTAAACTATGGAATATTGTCCAGCTATGAAAAAGAATGAGAAAGATCTCTATATGCTGCCATGAAGTGATCTGCAGGATATTTTAAACAAAAAAGCGAGATAAATTGTATAATAAAAAGAATCATTTTTGTTTAGGTGAAGAGAGACTATAAATAACTATATATGCATATGCATGCATAATTTGTTTATATTTTAAAAATTAAAAATTGATGGATGTAAAACTAAAAAAGTATTTTAAAGACAATGAAGGTCGGGAAAGGAAATAAGCTAGAACTCTCAGAATGCCCCGTGTTTTATTGATTTATTTTTACATAGAGTCATGTAAATGTTTACACATTTAAAAAGTAAAACAAAAACAAAACTATAACCTCCTAAAATAAAACAAAAACAAATAAGTTAGACTGTATTTAAAATTGGTGGCATGACCACTTCATGAAGCACTTTATTTAACACTTTAAAATACAGTATTTTTAGCTCGGTCATTGTGGAAAGCAGTTTGGCAATTTCTCAAAGAACTTAAAACAGAATTACCATCCAATCTAGCAATCCCACTATTGGGTATATACCCCCAAGAATATAAATTGTTCTACCATAAAGACACATGCACACATATGTTCATTCACAATAGCAAAGATATAGAATCAACCTGAGTACCCATTAGCAGTAGACTGGATAAAGAAAATGTGGAATACACAATGGAATACTATGCAGCCATAAAAAAGAACAAGATCATGTCCTTTGCAGCAACGTGGATGAAGCTGGAAGCCATTATCCTAAGCAAACTAACATAGAAACAGAAAACCAAATACCACGTGTTCTCACTTACAAATGAGAGCTGAACATTGAGTACATATGGACACATTGAGTACATATGGATCAATAGACACTGGGGCTGATATGAGGGTAGAGGGTCGGGGGAGGATGAGGATAAAACAAACTACCTATTGGGTGTTATGCTTATTACTTGGGTGATAAAATAATCTGTACAGCAAATCCCCACAACACACAATTTACCTATATAACAAACCTGCACATGTGTCCCTGAATCTAAAATAAAAGTTAAAAATAAACATAAATAAAATAAAATTCAGTATTTTGACTGTACTTTCTTACAGGGATAAAGTCTAAAAACAAAAAACAAAACCTGCAAAGATATCTTAAACCAAGTTCATCAATCTTATTATTAGTAATAATAAAATCAATCAATTGTATTAATGTTAGAAATGAATTTTTTTTTTTTTTTTTGAGACAGAGTCTTGCTCTGTCACCCAGGCTGGAGTGCAGTGGCGCAATCTCGGCTCACTGCAAGTTCTGCCTCCAGGGTTCACACCATTCTCCTGCCTCAGCCTCCCAAGTAGCTGGAACTAAAGGCGCCTGCCACCACGCCCAGCTAATTTTTTTTTTTTTTTTTTTTTTTGTATTTTTAGTAGAGACGGGGTTTCACCATGTTAGCCAGGATGGTCTCGATCTCCCGACCTTGTGATCCACCCGCCTCGGCCTCCCAAAGTGTTGTGATTACAGGCGTGAGCCACCGCGCCCAGCCTGAAAATGTTTAACAAACATATTCAAGAATGAAAATAAAAGTGGTTAAGCGAAAATGGTGTATTGTAACCTTTGGATTGGAAATATGCTGCAAAGTCATAATTTTTCTCTCTGTCTACTGAGATAGCCTTAAAGCAATGACAAGAACAACGCCCAAGTGCCCAAATTGTGTTCTCTAAATACTTGAAATGAACAAAGGATTCTTGGGGAAATGGACAACACACTGTCTGGGCTTAAAATGTACAAATAAACCTTGGATAATTTGTAGTGCCAGAAAACAAAAATGCTATTGTATGCCAGGTACAGTGGTTCACACCTGTAATCCCAGCATTTTGGGAGGCCAAGGCAGGAGGATAGTTTGAGTCCAGGAGTTCAAGACTAGCTCTTGACAAAAAGACACAAGGATCCAACTTAACAGGTTTTTCATTAGTTGCAAATGGGATCATTTAAGTATCAAAAGGAAATGAATGACAGCATGGTGGTTGAAACATGCACATACAACAATCCATTAATTCATAATAATACCAAAAAACTAATTGGTCTTCTTAAATAGTAGCAAACCAATCTTCTCAGTATTCTGTAAATTAGTAAATAAAGGAAAAAACAGGTATTTATCTTGTTTTCTATGTCCAAAATTTATTTTAAGGTAGCTAAATAGTGGATGAAGAAAAGTTATTCTTTAAGGAAGAATTCCAGCTAATAAATACAGAAAGGATGATCTTAAATAATCACCATTTTGTAACCCCTAATGACAACAGATCTAAACAATAATTATCAATGGCTGCTGAAACCATGAAGATGAAAGATGGGTGAAGAATTTATAATAACAGGTGAATCAGGCTGACAATCCCTGCATTCACTTGTATTAATATTAGTTTTCTGTTACTGCTCTAACACCGCAAATTTCGCAGCTTACAACCATGCAAATTTATTATCCCATAGTTCAGAGGTGAAAAGTGTGCGTTAGCTTGACTGATTTCTTTGCTTCAGGTTTTGGAAATCCCAATCAAGGTATCAGCTGGTCTTGGCTCTTAGAATCTGCTTTCAAGTTCATTCAGGTTGTGAGCAGAATGAAGTTCCTTGCAGTGGTAGGACCGAGGTCCCATTTCCATGCTGGCTGTCAGGCTGAGTTCTGCTTAAGTTCTTAGAGGCTTCTCTTGGTTCTTGTACACAGGACCCTATTTTTCACGGCCAGCAACAGCATATCAAATTTTTCTCATGCTTGCAAGCTCTGATTTCCACACCTACCATATTTCTCTTCTGCTGCTTCTGACTTCTGTTGGGAAAGGTTCTCTTCCTTTAAGGAGTCATGTGATTCAATTAAATCCACCTGGGTAATCCCTCCTAATCTTCCTATTTTAAGGACTGTAATCTTAATTACATCTACAAAGTCCCTATTGCCACATAGCATAACATATTCACAGTTCAGAATCAGGCTGCAGATGTCTTTAGAAAGTGGAGTCACTATTTAGCCTACCATACCACTCATCAATTTTAACCTCATTTAAGTGTGATTGATAACTGGCAATCATGTGTCCCCGATGCAATAGGTGGTACATGGTACCATCTTTGAATTATTTTTCCCCATCCTTGCCCCTAAAAAAGGATATAATCAAGCCTCTATGTCTACCTAACAGTTTTACGGTAAATAATGAGGATAAAAAAATGTTTAAATACTACATGATATGATCGGTCAAATCTAATAGAAAATTCTAGGCCGGGAGCGGTGGCTCAAACCTGTAATCCCAACACTTTGGGAGGCCGAGGCGGGTGGATCACGAGGTCAGAAATTCGAGACCAGCCTGGTCAACATAGTGAAACCCCGTCTCTACTAAAAATACAAAAAATTAGCCGGACGTGGTGGCGGTCACCTGCAATCCCAGCTACTCCAGAGGCTGAGGCAGGAGAATGGTTTGAACCCGGGAGGCAGAAGTTGCAGTGAGCCAAGATCACGCCATTGCGCTCCAGCCTGGGCAACAGAGTGAAACTACGTCTCAAAAAAAAAAGAAAAGAAAAAAATTCTACAGGGCAAACATCCAAAACATCCAGGATCTCAACAAATAGGTGTCAGAAAAACAAACAAACAAAAAAACATTAAAAGGATAGAAGAAGGTGGGTGGATATAAAGAGACTTATAAGACATTTTGATCAAATGCAATGGGTCGACTTTTTTTGGATCCTAATCTAATCAACCCAACTGCAAAAATACATTCCTAAGGAAACACTGGGAAAATTTGAACACCTATTGATTTTAGATTGTAATAAAGAATTATTATCAACTTTGTTAATATTGTAGGGTTTTGTGTATGATATTGTGGCGTTTTTAAAAGTTCTTACTTATTAGACATACATACTATTGATGGTAAAGTGATGTGATTTCTAGGATTTATTACAAAATAATCCAGGAAGAGAAAAAATACTGGTAGGAAGACATCAGTGAAACAAGATTGACCAAATCTTAATAATTGTTCAATCTGTGTAATGGATACACAGAGGTCCACCATCCTATTCATTTTACATTTGTATATGTTTGAAATTTTATATAATAAAATATCATAAAGGGGACTCATTTCACTATATTTTAACACCTCTCAAAGTCATTTATATAAACCAGATTTCTACAGAACAATCACATGAAATACTTTGGCCTGGCCTACATAATATATCTCAAATACAACCACATGTTACCACCTCACCACAGCATTGTATATCCTGAATTACTGCAGCAGTCATCCACTGATCTCTGTTTTTACTTTTGCTCTTCTCTTCACTGTTTTCCGTGTAATAGCTGGAATGATCTTTCTAAAATATAAATTATATCATGTGCTTCTTCTATTCAAGATTGCCAATGGATTTCCATTGCATATCAGTAAAATCCAAACTTTTACCAAATCCTATAAGGTCCCATGTAATATAGCCTCCAGCTTGCTCTACAATTTATTTCTTATCTATCATCCTCCTTTCCTAGCTCAATCCTTTCCAACCATGCTGGCCTCCTTGCTGGTTTGTCAAATAAGTAACGCCTGCCACAGGGCCTTTGCTTAGGTTTCCCCTTCCAGGAACAATCTTCCCTTAAATTCTCAAATTTGTTCTTCTAGTTCCTTCAAGGCTTATCTCAAATATTAACATTCAGAGAGTTATTTGACCATTCTTTCCCAAAATCCTTCAATATTTATGTCAAATATTAACACTTCAGAGAGTTATTTGACCATTCTTTCCAAAAGAGCACCCAACAATCCTCTAAATCCCTTTATCCTCCTTGATTCTTCATTGTAGCAAGCACCATTTGTGTTACATTGCCTTTACTTTGTGTCTTCTTCATATGATAAACATAAGCTTCATGAAAACAAACACAGTTTTTTGTTCAAAACTCTATCCCTGACATCTAGAGTAGAGCCTGGTGCTCAAAAATTGATTCTTTAAATAAATATTGAATAAATGAGAATTAGAATGTGATCTCCTTATCCCAAGCCACAGTACTAGGTCATTTTTTCTTCCATTTTTATTATTTCCATTAACGAATATTAAAGGAACATAGAAAATTCTAGGTGTCTACTAAGTAATGGTGACAATGTTAAGACACAAACAACTTTCTAAGTGAACTTAATAGCTGTTCAGAGGTATTAAGCCAGAGAAAATAATTTATCACCTGGGAAATGCTCTAAGGATGGTTTTCTATTAGATATGTTTTAGAATTCTTCAGCTAAATAAGGAAGCTGCAGAAATTCAAGATTTCCATCTTGATTGTGAGGTCAAGCACCCAAATTCCACTTTGATTAGCTAGAGTATGGCAGTAAGATAGAATTTTAAGGTCTACTCATTTAGAAAAGAACTGCTTTCTCCCCTTGATTCACAACTTTAGGCAAATTTCGGACTTTCCTTAAAATGCAAAAACTGCTCATCGCTCAGTTTTCACCCACATCTTGAGTTTTGATTCTTGCTTTGTATTTTCCCTTTGTATAAACCGTCTGTTTATTTTTATCCACAGGCTTGTTACCCAGCTTTTACCTTTTAGCAGTGACATTTTAAGGGAAACCTGAAATTAAACTGCACATTGGCAGAGAATTTGGCAGACATAATATATAAATAACTGTATCCCAGATTGTCTTTAATGCTCTCATTTTTACTTCTCCTCAGGCTGAAGAATTTAAAGCATACATATTCTAGTGGAAATACATATATTTTCATTAATTTTGGTGGTACATGACTTGCAATCACTGAATGACAAGTGTGCACCTAAAATAAGATATATGTCAAAGCAAAGGTTGCTAGAAAAACAGCAGATTTTCAGATGTACTAATAAGAAGTAATGTTTCTGCAGGCCTATAAAGTTTACAAGGGACATTTTTTCTTTTAGTTTTTTTTCATTTTTCATTTTATTTTTTGTAGACACAGGGTTTCACCATGTTGCTCAGACTGGTCTTGAACTCCTGAGCTCCAGCAATCCTCCTGCCTTGGCCTCCTTAAAGTGCTGGGATTGCAGGCATGAGCCACTGCATATAATCTTTTTTTTGAGACAGTATTTCTTTCCCTAGCCTGAGCCCCTGCTAAACTGCACCATTGCCTGCCAGAACTAGAATAGAGTTACTGTTAAAATGTCTAGATTGTATTCCCAATCAATCTGTTCACTTATTACCTGTGTGATTAAGAATGCTCTCTACTTTTATGAAAAAGAAATGACATTTGCATACTTACTTTAATTGAGGTGATGTTTCTAAAAGAGTTCAAGAGAGAACCAACTATACAACAACAACAACAAAACAAAACTGCACACGTTTACTTGTTTCACTCCATTCTGTTAATTACCATGTTTCTTTTCATCACTCCAATAGAAATGCCTATGAAAGCAAACTGTATCTCCCTTTTATCATTTCCAATGCCTGGTCCGTGCTGTATGCACATCTGCAATCTACTGATTTATGGACCTTTCACTAAACCTTAGAATACCACTTCTTTCCAGTTCTTTGGTCTCCAACACCAGCCTCTTAAGATTAGAGTCGCAGTTATAAATGAGGCTTTGTAGCAACCTAAAAATAACCTCACAGCACCCACAAAGAGACTCTTCATCAGTTTCTCCTTCCACTGCAGAAATGACCGCGTCAAAAAGCTCTGTTAGTGAGTGACTGTCGATGTGACAAAGTACACAGCGTTTTTAGTATATATCTTGTTCGAACTGCAAAATATCTTCAGATGCTCACGTAATTCATAGCTGTCTTAGAATGAAGTAGCATCCAAGTAGCATTTACTCTTACAGTTCTATGCCAAACACTCACCTCTTTGCCACGTGAGAGAGTCTTGGCCTTAGCTATTAACACTGTGAAATTAAAACTGCCACGTCCCCATGTTTACTGAGTTCAGAGCATTGTTTTTTGGTATACGTCCCAAAAAAATAAAAATAAAAACAAAACCAAAAACACATGAGACAGTCAAATAATTTTTTTAAATGTTTCACGTTTAAAAATCTTCCTGAAAAGTCACACGTTCATTTGTATATTTAAACCTCAGAATAGACCCGCATTAAAGAAATTTTTTAACTTCATTTAACATAACGATTTGTGGACATTGTTTAATTACTAGGTAATATTAAAGAATTCTTGTTAATGTTGTTAGATGCAAGAATGTCTGTGATGGATGCTATGATGAGCCACCCTGATCCTCCTTCAGAAATAAGATGATTCCCTTCGCAGCTCAGGATACTGCCAGCTGACAGCCACCTGCTATTCGCCTCTCCAGAAATTGCCCTCAAACTGCCCTAGGCCGAAGGACACCTTCCTCAAGATTATGCTCACTTCCTAGTGACAGGATGGTCCATAGGGGAGTATTATGGGAATATTAAAGCCCAGCTTTCTCTTCCAGACCCTGGACAAGTAATAAGCATTCAGCATTGCAGCTTTCCACAGGGATCAGCTGAGTTTTGTTTTGTTTTTTTTTTTAATCAGGAGTCTTGCTGTATCGCCAGTCTGGAGTGCAGTGGCGCGATCTCAGGTCACTGCAACCTCCACTTCCCGGATTCAAGTGATTCTCCTGCCTCAGCCTCCAGAGTAGCTGGGATCACAGGTGCATGCCATCATGCCCCATTAATTTTTATATTTTTAGTAGAGATGGGGTTTCTCCATGTTGGCCAGGCTGATATCGAACTCCTGAGCTCAGGCAATCTGCCTGCCTTGGCCTCCCAAAGTGCTGGGATTACAGGCGTGAGCCACCGCCTGGTCCAAGCCGAGTCTTTTATAGGTATTACCTAGTGGTCCAACTTCTCCCTCGTCCTGGCCTTGTTTCCTGTCATTCCCTCTTGCAGATGCAAATCCTGAAAACCACTCCTAATAAATTTTCTGTCCACTACTCTGCATCTCAGAATTTGCTTCCCAGAGAACGCAACTCACAACAATGGCATGGGGGGGACATATTAGAGATATTCCCTGAAAAAAGTAAGGATGAGACACTATGAGGTCTGAAAATAGCAAAGAAATAAAAGGGGAGAAATAGATGAAAAACGATTGGCGAAATGTGAATAATTGTTGAGACTGAGTGATGAGCACATAAAAGTTCATTGTAACATTATTCTTTTATGTGTGCTTGAAAGTCTCCATTATAAAATATTTTGAAAATATTGTTTCTCAAACTTGCCAGAAAATCATCTTTACAAGTAACACTATTATCATCTTGGGACAAATTCGATGCTCCTTTGTTCCTAACTAGGGCCTAAATGAGCCAGGGAAAGTTTCGCCAATTACTTCCTATGGCACAGAATAATTCTAATCTCTCTGGGTCTGAGTTTTGCAGATGAGCCTCATTAATGCTAATGAAAATGTCACAGGTGCTAATGAACCGCTAGCACTCTTTAACTCCATAGACAACTAGCCAAGGTAGCTGCAGAAGCTTGGAAATCAATTGTTGTCAGATGGTACACCCAACCCTTAGAGGTAACCTAAATGTGCAGAGCTTGTTGGACTGGGAAAATTCCCCCAAGATATAGGAGAGGAAGTAGAATGAGGTCAAAAGCCTCGGGAAAGTAGACCAAGGAAGCAGAGCCAATTAACCATCGGAGCTACCACTCGGACAGTTGGAAACCGAGAGCTGTAATTACTTCTCATTTGCAACATTAGCCTTCCTTGAAATCCTAAGGAGTGGCCTCTGGGCTGCTCTATCAGACTTCGTAAATCAGAAGAGGAACACAGCTCCTTTCCTCTCAGACCCAAATAGCCCAGGATGAATCTGTCACCAACTCACAAATGGACGAAAACTACTATTAATAATGGAGAGCAACCAGTTTTGTTATTTGGGGCTTCTTCCCTTAATTAAGATTCCCTTCTTTGAGTAGCCCGGAGTGTTGGCCTCCTATTCACCAAGCCATCTGCTCTGCCTTCGTTTTTCTCCCCCTCCCAATTCTCCCAGAGGAATTTTTTAAGCTTCAACACATCGGCAGTCCTGCTCTGAACTGAATTTGCATCTCCAACTGAATCTATTTTAAGGTTTCTTTTGTGAACCTAATGGCTATCTCTAGTCACTTTTCCACTTTCAGGGACTGATGGCGTCTCCTCCGAAGACTCCCCAGAGGGCCCAGTTCTCCCCCAGGGCTTCTGTCTGACGCAGGCAGACACTCTCCACTACGGAAACCATCTGGCAAAGCAGCATCTGGTAGAAGTTTTTACCTTTATCCTTTAGGACTCAGAAGAAACTGGTTCGTTCAGAACCTTCTCATTTTCTTTCTCCTCATTGTCACAGATACGCCGCTCACTCAAGAGCACCTTTGGGCCGGGAACTGGGAAGGCTCTCCCTTGTCTCAATTGCTTTCCTGACTTATGTAACCCTCTGTGACCCTGCTCCCTACCTCCCTTCCTTCTGGATGCCTCACTCTCCTCACCCTCCACACTCCAGCCAGCTAGGTTTCACTTCAGGCCACAACACACGAAGCTCATCCCGTTCCTTCCTAGAGACTTCACACTGTGTTCCCTTTCCCTTAAAATATCTTCCCAGCCACTGTTGCATGGTTGGTTCCTTCTTGCCATTCACATTTCAGCCTGAATGCCACCTCCTCAGAGAGAGCTTCCCTGACCACTCATTTTCTTTCTTTTGGTAAAAACATTTTTAGAGACAAGGTTGCTATGTTGCCTATGCTGGACTTGAACTCCTGGGCTCAAGTGATCCTCCTACTTCAGTCTGCTAAGTGGAGACTACAGGTGTGGGCCACTGTACCTGGCTTCACCTGGTTTTAATGGTCTATACAACACTGATTTTTTATTTATTTCCTGTTTTCGTCACTTCCAACAAGTATGGCAGCTCCACAAGACAAGAGACCTCTTCCCCTTCTTGCTCACTGCTTTCCAACTCTTCCTGAAACTATGTCGGGCATTTGGTGGGTGCTTAATAAGTATTTGTGGAATTAATTTTTTATTGCATCCTTATAATAGCCCTAAAGGTGCACATTACTACTCCCTTTCGACAAAGAGTAAAGGGAGGTTCAGAAGTTAAACATCATGCCCAGGTCACCCATGTCTAGTAAGGAACAGGTGCAGGATCCCGGCTGATGGCTAACCCTACCCTCTCTGACAGTCAGCCAGGTCTATGAGACCTTGGGTGAGATATAAGGATGTGTCGAGATTTGTCTCCAAATTCTATAAATGCAGTTTTACTTTGTACCTGGATTGTATGACCTACAAGGCGCCTTAAAAACCATTTAATTTTTTGTCACTTGCACTAAGAAACAAGCCAATCCACAAAGGGAGAATGGCCAAAGGCAAACATGTGGTCAAGGCAGACCTCAAGCTGAGCTCTGCTGATTCCTGTCCATGTCACAAGCCACCATGTATAGCTACACCTGTCGTGCCCTGCCCAGAGGTGCTGGGAGGGGAGGTGGCTGGGGCTGGAAACAAGCAGCTGTGCAAGCCCTGCCCTCCACATGCATGCCCACAGGGGGCGCCATTCTCTGCTTTGCACCTAATGAAGCTGCCTGCCATCTCTTCGTTTACTTGCTTCCTTGAAGAACACTGATAATGTAGAAATAAACTGTTTCCAGTCCCCTGGACACCCGCAGTATTCAGAAGAGTAGCTGAAGGTGCTGCAAAGTTATTCATCTCAGAGGGATGCTGACCCAGGTAGTTGCTGACTCATCATTTCTCTCTTTTATTAATGTATGAATCTAAATATAAAATATTGTAAGCAAGCACCAATCTGAGAGTTCAAAAAGATGAAATATTATTATTCTGAGGGTGCTTGAATTTATGCCCCTTCTGTGTCCAGCATTTTTCTCTCTTTCTCTCTCTTCCTTAAAACACTCCTACCCAAAAACAAAATCCCACTTGTGAATCCTCAATATCTGATGAATAAGAAAATAATTAGAATATGCCGAGAATGTTCCAACTTTAAGGATGCTAGAAAAAAGTCTAGAATAAAATGTTTCAAATTTATCTTTTGGTCGTGGGGGACAGGAGATGATTTTTTTTTTCCTGCCTCTTTCTGTAGTGATTTCCTATAGGAAGCATGTATTACTTTTATGGTAGAGGAGGAAAAAGCCCGTATTTTAGAAAAGAAAGTGAAACAGGAAGGTAAAACTGTAGGTAACAGCTACTGGCCAGGTTCTGGAACCACAAACAGAGTTGGCTGCAGCAAGCTGAACAGGAAAAAGTACTACAAGTTAAAGTTTTTGCCATTCAAAGCAGGAATAAGACTGTGGGTCCTTCCTGTGTGACAGCAGGAGGACAGCAGGACCCGGAGCTGGGAGGAAAAAAAACCCAGACCCAAAAGAGGGAATTCTTTTTATAAGCACCTTTGATTTGGATGGCAGGCACATCATTCTGTTTCAAAAGAAGTGTCGCTGGGCTCTGCCTCAATGCCTTCCGGCAGGTGGCCAGGACCAGCAGACCACTTGCTCGTCACTAGGCTCTGTTTGTTTTCTTTGTGCTGGACTTTGCCTGTCTCCTATCAAATAGCAGGGGAAGGAGTCCGGGAAGCGTTCAGAGATAAACCCCAGAGAAAATCGTGTATCAAAAGGAAATAATAAAGCCTAGAAAGACCCAGGGAAGGAAGGAAAGAAAATGCGTGCTTGAACTTTTAAAGAAATGGGAAAAGTGACTCTTTTGCTTTTGTATTTGTAAATTTTTTCTCTCCTTCCTCCTTACTGCCCCCACCCTCTAAAGAAAAGACTGAAAGCAAAATTCCTCTCACTGAGCTGTGCCCAGGGCTGGCTTCAACTTTTCCAGAGCACCCAAGGTGGCCCAGGTGGGGAAAAGAGGATGTCAGTCAGCTTGGATTTCATTGTCTCCTGAAATCAAGTCTGAGACTCCAGTACCTTCCTGGGGCATCTAGCAACAAAGAAAGCATGTAGGTGTGTTCAAGAAGGCACACTAAGGGGTTTGCTGGAGAAGCAAGTCCAAGCCAGAATTTGCAATCCCAAAGCTAGAAGTAAGGAGTCAGGAAAAGGCAAAGGGGAAAATGCAGGCTTTTTCTTTGGAACAGGGGTTTTCCCTGGACGCAATTGCACAGAGCTGCCTCTCCTTGAGTGCTGGCGCTGTGACACGTGGGTAGCTTCGCTGGAGTTAAAACTAGTTCCAAGGACAGATTCTGTGTTGACTACTGTGGCAGGGTGGTCCAAGTGAGCTTTACATACTTCAGCAAGAGGGCCCTGTAAGAGGGGAAGACAGTGAGGCCCAGAGAGAATGTAAGGGCTTAGGAGACGTATTGATTCATTTCCTTCCATGAGTTTTATGTGTGACTTTGACACATTGGGCCAGGCACCAGAAATACAATGCAATCACCCTTCCCACCCCTGGACTCGCTAATCAAGAAGACAGACATTAATCATATACAAACCCTATACAAACAAGTCAAAATTAAAACTACAGGAATTGATAGGAATTTTTGGGGTTTAGAAGTCTAATTCATTAGAGCCATCTCCTCAGTATCTGCGTTCTGACTTATTGAAAGATGCAAAGCATCTAGGCAGATGGAGACTGACAAAAACTAGCCTGGAGTACAGCATTAGGTGTGCAGCAGCAATGGCTGCCCTGCTATGGTTTTCCTTGGGGAACACTGAGCTGGAGAAGAGACTCTTCCCCAGTATTCTTGCACTGAACAGATGTGGAAAGGAAACAGGGGCCCCAAAAGACCTGCACCAGTGACTATCAGACATCAGCCAGACAACTCACCCCACTTCCTGGGGGCAAAGAGTAAAGGCAAGGCCGGTGGCCAGGACTGTGTAGGGAAAACTCCTCCTCTTGGAGTACGGGGTGGGAATGTGTCTCTCCCCTACTTTCCCTGTGTTTCTGTTTCCTTAACTTTTTGGGCTTGGCCATTGAGTCAATCATCAGCCAGGGCTATGTGGCTGATTGTTTCTTGAGGGCTCAGCAAACTCTCTGCGCCGTCTAGCTCCTGCCTTCATAAGTGCAGAACTCAACACCGACTTCTTCTCTTTGAGTATACGCCATACTCCTGGGTACCTTTAGGGCACTTGAGGCTTTGCCCCACCATCCCCGCCAAAAGGTGACCACTCTGCACCTACTTTCTATTTGATATTGCATCCCAAATGTTATCCATATATTAAGAAAATCTACCACTGTTTATTGGCAAAGCCACTGTTTGGGTGTTGGAAATATAAATCCTTGGCCATAGCTTAGGAGGTTAACATAGCCAGATCCAAACTCAGGCCATGTGCCCCGCTATCCATGTGGATTATCAAAAATCCATAAAGAATGGTTTCTCCCTTGTCCTTCACCACAAATTCTAAATAAAAGCCTCTCCTGGGCACCACTAACACTAGAAGCGCTAACACCAGAAATCTCTGCCACACACATGGAACTTTGTTGTAGCTTCAACTTCTGACTTACAGACTTGGCAGAAAGACATGTAAACGCTAAACATAGCAGTTCTGCCCACTAGTCTCATAAAGAGATGATCTTCGAAAGTATCTCTTTTCCTTATAATCAATTTTTTAAGAATGGTGTCTGCTCTTGGGGCCCTCAGATTTAGTACTGCTGAATGCAGTACTGTAAAATTATGATCTTCATAGTTTTCAAATATTCTCCTCTGTGTGACTCACCATACAGTGTAGCGGTGTGAACTCCAAAAAGTCAGAGCTAATACGCAGAGTAGAAGCGTGAACTCCACACAGCCTGAGCTAACACACAGCATAGTCATGTGAACTCCACATAGCCTGAGCTAACATGTAGGGTAATAGTGTGAACTCCACACAGCCTAAGCTAACATGTAGGGTAATAGCGTGAACTCCACACAGCCTAAGCTAACATGTAGGGTAATAGTGTGAACTCCACACAGCCTGAACTAACACACAAGGTAGTCATGTGAACTCCACGCAGCCTGAGCTAATACACTGTGTAGTAGTGTGAACTATACACAGCCTGAGCTAACATGCAGGGTAGTAGTGTGAACCACACACAGTCTGAGCTAATACACACACACGTTAGTAGTATGCCTGCTAATGAGTGTGAACGGATACACAGAGTGGTATATAAACTGGTAAACAGTATAAATTATACAGTGTAATTGTGTACACAACTACACCGTAAAATAGTTTAAACTATTGCCTCATAAAGTAGGAGGAACTCCCACACACAGGAGTAGGAAGCACCCTCAGTATCACAGAGTGAACTCACACACAGTGCCACCCAGTACCACCCAGTACACCGCAGATCACATGATCTTTGAAACTTTTCTATAGATCCAAAGTTATTCCAAAATAAAATTTTAGGTTAAAGAAAACCTTTTTTTGCACTGTCTTATAGTTTACAAATATTCTTCTCTTCTAGCAGCCTATTACAATCACACTTATGGCCTATTATTCCAAAATGACTGTAGTATAACTTCAAATTTGATTCTGAGCTTCCTCGTTGAGAAGTGTAAGACCAAGCAATTACATAATGCTTAGTATTGAAAAGAAGGAAATATCCTAGTTCCTTAACACAACCAAAGCCTTTCCCAGAAACATAGTCTCAAATAAGCCTTTTTAAATGGGCTATCAAGTGTTGTGAAGAAGAGTGTTCTCAGAAGCATTTTTACAACAAATGTAATCATAAATTTCAAAAGATTCCTTGAAATGACCTTCCATGGAAGCTGAAGTAAGTCTGAACAACAATTCTGAGAAGAGCATTCTGCAAAAAAACGAAACAAGCTCCTGTTAGGTATGTCACTTCCTCGTGGTTCAGCCACTTACAGAGATAGAATACAGATTGCCAGGGAGAGTAGGCAGAATACATGTTCTATACACTACTTCCAGCAGCACCTCTTCCTTCAACAGGGCTTTTGCTTGGAGCTGGAAAGCAGAGAGTTCAAAGTTGACTCTAATTGACTCTAATCTACACAGCAATACCAAGATTGTGAGTAGCTGGTTGGAGACATCTCACTTGAGTTAATATAGTTATTAAACGAACAGACATTTTATAGGATTGTGTACAGGAAAGATAAACCTTTTGAGTAAGCCAGTTGTGGGAAATAACAATCTCACACTAATTAATTGGTAAGGCAGTGAGCAAGTTACTCAGCCTCTTCCAATGAGGAGAATAATAACTACTTTGTAGTGTTCTTGTAAGCAACTAGAAATTTATCTGGCCAATAATGGCTGTAACTTAAAATTATTGCATGATGCTCACCTGCACATTTTAAACTCTTTACAGCTATAATCTTCTTTAAGCTTTAAAACAATCCAATTTTTTTTAGTAGAGAAAATATTTTGATATAAAGTTTTAAAATAGAAAAACCTAATTGACAGTGTTAGAAATTAGCATAGTGATGACTCTTGTGGCTCCAGGGAAGCATGAGAGACTTCCTGAGATTACGGTTGTGTTCTATTTTTTTACCTGGTGTGTTCACTTTGTGGAAATTCATTGAGCTTGACACATGATTTATATACTTTTTTGTCAGCTTTTACTTTATATACAGAGGGTATATGTGCAGATTTGTTACATGGGTATAATGTACTCAGGTAGTGAGCATAATACTCAATAAGTAGTTTTGTGACCATGCCCCACTCCCTCTGTCTGCCCTCTAGTAGTCTGCAGTGTCTATTGCTCCCATGTTTATATCCATGGGTACTCAGTGTTTAACTCCCACTAAAAAGTGAGAACATGCAATGTTTGGTTTTCTGTTCCTGCGTTAATTTGCTTACAATTGTGGCCTCCAGCTTCACCCATGTTGCTACAAAGAACATGATTTCATTCTTTTTTATGGCTGTGTAGTATTCCATGGTGTATATGTGCTGCATTTTCCTTATTCAATCCACCATTGAAAGGCACCCAGGTTGATTCCATGTCTTTGCTATTGTGAATAGTGCTGTGATGAACATACACATGCATGTGTCTTTATGACAGGATGATTTATATTCCTTTGGGTATATACACAATTATGGGATTGCTGGGTCGAATGGTAATTCTGTTTTAAGCTCTTCAAAAAAATCTCCAAGCTGCTTTCCACAATAGCTGACCTAATTTTCATTCCCACCAGCAGTGGATGAGCATTCTCTTTCTGCTCCAACCTTGCCAGCATCTGCTATTTCTTTACTTTTTAGTAATAGCCATTCTTATTGATATGAGATAGTACCTTATTGTGGTTTTAATTTGCATTTCTCTAATGATTGGTGATGTTGAGGACTTTTTTTCCTATGCTTGTTGGCCACATGTATGTTTTCTTTTGAATCATATCCACTTTTTAATGTGGTTGCCTGCTTTTCACTTGTTAATTTATTTAAGCTCCTTATGGAAGCTGGATATTAAACCTTTGTTGAATGCATAGTTTGTGAATATTTTCTGCCATTCTTTAGGTTGTGTATTTACTCTGCTGATCATTTCTTTTTCTGTGCAGAAGCTCCTTAGTGTAATTAGAACCCACTTGTTAATTTTTGGTTTTGTTGCAATCACCTTTGGAGATTTAGCCAAAAATTCTTTCTTTGTCAAGGTTGACGTCAAGAAGACTAGTACCCAGATTTTTTTCTAGAATTTTTATAGGAAGTTCTTACATTTAAATCCATCTTGAGTTTACTTTTGTATATGATGAAAGGTAAAAGTCTAGTTTTATTCTTCTGCATATGGCTAGCCAGTTAACACGGCACCATTTGTTGAATGGGGAGTCCTTTTCCTTGCTTATTTTTGTTGGCCTTATCAATGATCAGAGTGGTTGTGTTTACTATTCTGTTCCATTGGTGTTATGTGTCTGTTTTTATACCAGTACCATGCTGTTTTTGTTACTGCAGCCTTATAGTGTAGTTTGAAGTCAGGTAGTGTGATGCCTCCAGCTTTGTTCTTTTTGCTTAAAATTGCTGTAGATATTTGAGTTCTTTTTGGCTCCATATGCATTTTAGAATAGCGTTTTCTAATTCTGTGAAGGATAATCTTGGTAGTTTGACAGAAATGGCAGTGAATCTGTAAATTGCTTTGGACAGTATGACCATTCTAACAATATTGACTCTTCCAATCCATGAGCATGGGATATTTTTCCACTTATTTGTGTAATCTCTGATTTATTTCAATAGTGTTTAATGTAGTTCTTTGTTGAGATCTTTCACATCCTTGGTTAGCTATATTCCTAGGTATTTCATTTTCTTTGTGGCTACTGTAAATGAGATTGTGTTCTTGTCTTGATTCTCAGCCTGGGCATTATTGGTATGTAGAAATGCTACTTATTTTTGTACATTTATTTTGTATCCTGTAGCCTTACTTAAATCATTTATCAGTTATAGAAGCCTTTTGATGGAGGGTTTGGGGTTTTCTAGGTATAGAATTATGTCATCAGTGAAGATAGTTTGACTTTTCCTGTTTGGGTGCCTTTTATTTCTTTCTCTTGCATGATTGCTCTGGCTAAGACCTCCAGTACTATGTTGAAAAGGAGTGGTGAGAGTGAGCATCCTTGTCTTATTCCAGTTCTCAAGGAGAATGACCACTCAATATTTTCAGTATCTCATTTCTTCAGATGAAAAAACAGAGGCCCAGAAAGTGAAAATAACTCCCTTAAAGGCACAAAGGTAGTACTGCTGAATTCATATACCAGCTCCAACAACTACTAGCTGTGTGACCTTAGGTAAGTTATTTAAATTACATGTGTCTAAATTTCTGTATTCATGAAATGGGGATAACGATATTACCTTCTTAAGGTTTCCTTGAGGATTAACAATAGATGCAATTAATAATACATGTAAAAATAAATGCCACATGTCTAGAACAATGCCTAGCACGCAGTAAGTCCTCAGTGATGGCTAGATTTTTATAGCATGTGAAAAATCAGATGAGAAGGTGTTAAATTTGACACTGTAGAAACAGAGGCAATTACATAAGGAGGGTTTCCTCAGATCAAAAGCTACCTGAGGTTTGACTGGAAGGTAAGTTGCAATAAAACTAGACTTTTCTTGTGGAAGCAGCAGGATATCTTATGTAACGTATGACCAACACTTAATACAGTCTTCAATAGCATATGAATCATATTCACCATCACCAATAAACATTTTTTAGCCCTTATTGAATCACAGCATCAATCGAAGAACTTAGAGACTAGTAGATGTACAATACCAAGGGTCCCCCATTTGCAAGGTTAACGTTACCATTGAAGGTTCTATTTCTGCTTAAATATTATAGGAATGATCATGTACCATTTTCACTATTTCTGTCTTATATTCATTTCACCTATTTTAATATTATAAGTTTTCTCTAGGTTGAGCCAAATTTTAATCAATTCAGGCTCTATTGAACACCTAAAAATGAGTAGCATCCACAATGCCTTTCTGCCTATGTGACCATGACATCAAGAAAATCAAGATACTAAAATAAATGAGAGTTAATAAAAACCGAGTAGTACGCTTACATTTTAAAGAGACCATTGAACTAGGCACTTAATGCATTTGAAGTCCAAATATGGCTGGAATCCCTTCTATACTTCCCTTCAAGTGATGGTTCAACTTTAATTTCTACAAAGGCAGAGTAAACATGATTTCCCAGAGCCAATTATTTGATCTTTGTACTCAGATTAATCATGAGACCAAAATTGTATCATCGCAATAAAATAGCTTCACCATGCCTGTAATATGACATTATGATTCATATTTATACACACACACACACACACAATATATTTGTTTTCGTCCAGGGTTCCTGGCTCATAACTCCCATAGCCTTTGTAACAGCCTTTGTTATAATGATAGGGCACTTTGGGCCTCAGAAGCAGGTCTCAGAAAACAGAATCTTTTTTTTCTGAACTTCTGTCTTCCTTTCACCTACTGTTTTTTTCTCCCCCTCTCTCCAAGATGGGGAGAAATATTACCTCGCCTTTTTGCCTTGGAGCTGGCCATAAGGAAATTCTCTGACCTACTTTGTCTGATTATGGATCATAAGACCCTCATTTCAGAAGAGGTTCTGCCCCATACTCTGGAGGAAGGAATGCTGCATGGAGAGGCCAAGAAGAATCTGAACAGATCTTGTTGGTTTTCTGCATCTATTTGTATTAGATCGTACTCTCCTTGTCCAATCACATTTCCACACAGATGCCCATGCTTCAGTCATGCCTATCCAATGCAAAAGGACATGGTACAGAAAGCTTCTGGGGTAACTGAACACAGGGAGGTTCCTGGAGGGTGGCACACCTGGGAAAGTGTGGAAGCCCCACCACTCCCCCTACCATAACTTGCTCCAGGTATCTCATCATCTGTACCCTTTGTAATATTCTTTGTAATAAACTGGTAAATTTGAATGTTTCTCTGAGTCCTGTGAGCCACTCTAACAAATTAATCAAACCCCAGAAAAGGGTCATGGGATCCCTGATTTATAGCCAGTCAGTCAGAAGCACAGGTCAAACAACCTGGGTCTCAGGCTTGACAGCAGAAGGAAGGAGTGTACTCTTGAGAACTGAGCTCTCAACCTGTGGGATCTGATGCTATCTCCAGGTAAATAGTGTCAGAATTGAATTAGAGCACATACAGCTGGTGTCTGCTGCGCAGCTGATTGCTTGCTTGAGATGTGGGGAAAAACCCACATACATTTGGTCACAAAAGTAGCCTATGTTGATTGCCATCAAGTGAGACAATAGAAATAAAACACAGTTTGTGTCTTTTCCACTGATACTGCCCAACTCAAGGCAATTTTCTTGCTATATTCTTACAAAATCTAAATTGCTATTATATATACTTTTTGACCTTGGTACCTCCAGTCTTTCTTTGGACACAGAATTCCACCGTTCTCAAATTTAAAATATATTCTATTATAAAAGAAAAATTTATCAGAAATACTTGTGACTATTATTTATCAAAGCAATGATTTATTACAGAGATAGCAAATGTGTAACACAGAGACCATCACCCTCTCCTATGTTGCTCCCAGCAGACATGGCAAATCAACCATATTTACTACTCCATTCTGTTGAGTTTGACACCATCTCAGCCTTCAACTGAAATAGCACTATAGTAAGGAACAAAGTGTAGCACAAGATTCATAGAAGAAACTGAGATGTTTTCCATTTTTCATCACCCATTTGCCATCACCCATTTGTTTAATCAAAAGCAGCCTTATGCTATACAGTTGCTTCCCTGTCCTATTGTTCCCTCTGGGCAGGCCCAATCTGTCAGGGCCTGGAGAACAATCCTAGCTGCCAAGAGAGTGCAGATGTACCTTTTATAGTTCAGTATTCTGGGTTCCTCCCAAGCAGCATTATCCGTGTGAACCACACACTAGAACGTGGATATGACACTGCACTATTTATTTCCTGCAATGACTCCAATCTAAGGTCAGCATCAAAAAAGAAATGTCAGCTATACATGGACACTTTCTCCAGAACTCAGAATCAAGTACATCTTTTCATAGTAAGTCAAATCTTTCCCTTTTTGCTAATGGTGAGAAATTCCTCTCAAACTCCCCTCCAGACCTTCCCTCGGCGGGGTGGAGGGGGAACCAGAGAAACCACATGTGGCCCCCATCTCTATTCTTTACTTCAGTAGGAACTGGTTTTCCTCTTCTAATGTTTTTATAATAATATGATACCTCTGAAAATCAGGGCAACAAGGGTGGCATAAGCACTAAGGAAAGGCCATGTGAGGACATGTGAGAAGACTAACTCACTTTGGTCATATTTTTTTCTGTGCCCTCTGTGACTCTCACCTGTATGGTTAACAGTATGCACACTATTTCAGCTAGTCTGTTTTATATCTCTCCCTCCATGAGTCATAATCTGAACATTTTCCCCAAAAACTTCCTATATTGACATCCTTGAAGTTTTCCCCCACTTTCTATATATTAGCATTGCTCTGATCAACACCTGCCACTCATCACAAATAGCTGGTGCTAGAAGGAAGCTGCTGGCCCCTTCCCTTCTTCACTGCCAGCATCCAAAGCTTCCACCCCAAGATCCTTCACTGCCTGCTTCCTGCCCTGGGTTTCCTCTCTTCACTACTGTTCATTTGACTGGCTTCAGACTCACCCATCAGATCATATGTGATGTTGCCCTTGTGTCAACAGGGGCATTCTACTGAGACAATAATGTGTACTTGCCCATAGGACTATGCCAATGGTTGTTTGCAGGGATAATATTTGTAACAGGTGTAATTTAAAAAAAGGAAACACTGTAAGGGTGAGGCAAAGATGCCTAGTTTTTAATTAAGCAAGAGATGTCAGCTTTTGAGCCATCTGGGCCCTACAAAACCCCTAAAGGATAAGACTGTCTCCCCTACTGGTATCCTTCTGGTTCACTCAGCTCTAGCCACATGGGTCTCATTGCAGTTTCCAGAACATGGTACTACCTCTGGGTTTTGCACATGTAATTCCTTCTGACTGGACTGCTTCTACCCTGATTGTCGGCACAGCTTGCTCCATCATTCTTTCATGTCTCTATTCAAATAGAATGAAGGAGTCTCTGATGACCCCATCTAAAACATAAAATTTCATCTCTCCTACTTCTCACTACCCTTTCCTGTTTTACTTTACTCCTTAGCATGTATCACTATTTGTTATAGTACATATTTTAATAATACTTATTGATCTTGCTTATCTGACCATCTCCCGCTCTAGAATGTAAGTCCTAGGAACAGAGAGATTTTGACCCTTTTATTCACTACTGCATGCCAAGTGCCTAGAATGGAGCCTGGCAATTTTGGCTAGTCCATACATATTTGTTGAATGAATGAATAAATGGGCCCATAGTAAAAAGTTGAAGCAGAAAGCAAAAATCTATTAGAATGTGTCTTAGCTTGGGTGGCTGTTACAAAATATCATAGACTGGGTGGCTCAAACAACAGAAATGTATTTCTCACAGTTCTGGAGGCTGAGAATTCCAAATCAAGGGACCTGTAGATTTGGGAGCTGGTGAGGGCTCTCTTCCTTGCTTGCAGATGGCTGCCTTCTCATTGTGTCCTCACATAGCCTTTCTTCAATGCTTACTCCTGAAGGGAGAGAGATCTCTGTCTTCCTCTTCTGATAAGGGCACTAATCCCTTTATGAGGATGCTACCTTCATGACCTAATCTAAAGATAATTAATTCCCAAAGACCCCACCTCCAAATACCATCACATTGGGGATCAGGACTTCAACATATGAATTTTAAGAGGTGGTATGGTTTGGCTCTATGTCCCTACCCAAATCTCAGCTTGAATTGTAATAGTCCCCATATGTCATGGGAGGAAACTGGTGGGAGGCAATTGAATCATGAGGGTGGTTTCCCCCATTCTGTTCTTGTGGTAGTGAATAAGTCTCACAAAACCTGGTGGTTTTATAAATGGGAGCTCCCCTGCACATGTTCTCTTGCCTGCTGCCATGTAAGACATGACTTTGCTCCTTGTTCACCTTCCATCATGATCGTGAGGCCTCTCCAGCCATGTGGAACTGTAAGTCAATTAAAACTCTTTCCTTTTTAAAATACCCAGTATTGGGTATGTCTTTATTAGCAACATGAGAACAGACTAATACAAGATGATCTAAGCATTCATCCCATAACATGATATAAGCTTTATGGGGGCAGAAAGCTTATTTTTATATTTCCTGAGTGGCTGCTATATGCCAGACACTATTCCAGATGTTGGGAATAGTGCCTGGCATATAGCGGCCACTCAGGAAATATTTGTTGAGTGAGAACCAGAGAAATTGTGATATAAGTGCTGAGCTAACATGTAGCATATCATCAAATCACAGAAGTGCTGTTAATATACAGGCTTAAATTTCTATTCAGCAAAATTATACAATCATTTATCAAGATGATTAATTAGAATGTTGGTTTTGTGCTAGTAACACAGACTCAAGTAAACTGGTTTAAATTAGAGGGCCACACATCATAAACCAGACAGATTTTTATTTCCCTCTCACATAATAGTCCAACTGTATAGCAGTTCTACTCTGTCAAGTCTTCAGGGGCCTGGAAATTCTACTTTGTGGCTCTACCATCATTAAAGTGTGATCTTTGTCTCTGGTCCAAAGCAGTTTACTTCCTTATCTGCAAAACAGAGTAGTAGAGGGTAAAGAGAGAAAGAAATGCCATACCCCTTACCTTACAGAGCATATGTAGAAGTTACAGTCATCACTGTTGCTCACATCCCCTTAGCCAGAACCAAACCACATGGTCAGACCTACCCACAAGTTAGGAAGGAAAATGCAGTCGCTATTCTAAGGAGCTATAACTATGGGCTTTCACTATTATAAAAGAAGAGATGAACACATTTAGGTTAGAGCTAGCAGTCTATGCCAGAGTATATATTTTAAAATAATCATTTGAAATTAACCCCGACTTCGTGTAAACAATTGTTGAAGGTGAGTAATACATACACAGGGGGTCATTATACTATTTTCCCTACCTATGTTTATGTTTGAGAATTGCATTGTAAAGCATTCTCAAAAATTTAATTGCATAAGCCTCTATCATGGGATTTTGTTGGTGTTTGAATTAAGTAGGATTTGGCATGGTTCATTATATCATCAAAAGATGGAAAGGGGCTGGGAGATTTACAGGGTTTTGAAGGACTCCTGAGACATTGGACAGCCTATGTGGTACTGGATAGGTTTCCTCTGAGCCAGCTGCCAAAACAAAAGCATAAACAAGAAAATACTGACCTGATAATTCTTTTGAATGTCTCAATCTCTATGTTATTGTGGTGGCTCCAGAAAGCACACAAATGTCTGGAGCAAGGATCCTGTTTCCAAGAGAGGATGTTTGATTCAGGCTATTCCAGGCAATGCCCCATCTTACCTGTGCTCAGGGGGCCACACATTACGGCCATATCACCAGTTCTGCTCCAACCTGCTTCTGGTTATTCTTTATAAAGTATATTGTGCCCAACTTCATAAAGGTAGAATTTTATTTTGTAATTACTCATTTTCTCTCTCAATTTTTGAAAGTCATCCCTAACCATGAAGTGCCTGTTTCACAAGTGGTTCCTGACGTCTTGCTAATGAGACAGCATTTAGGACCTTAAAGCCTCATTGGAGCAACACTTCTTGGAGACTAACTCATTAGCTCTGAGGACTAATCCAGACTCTCCCACTCCTCAGCTTTAAAATCTTGGAAACTCAGGGAAACTGAGGTCTATTTTCTGCACTTATGCAATGAAGATAAGTCCTTCAAAATCAGCCTGTCATGAAGGATGCATCAAAACATAAGTGAAAGTGATCTCTAAATATAAATATAAGGATTCTTTCAAGTTCTTATTCCTTCTTAAACTTAATCTTCTTAAAGCCTTAAGAATATTTTTCCTTAAGTTCTATAGTTTCCCCTGGCTTCATCATACTATCAATAAAGTAATGGTTGCATTCAGAATTCCACACTGTGTTCTCTGTACCCACGCAGCATTATCAGACCTCCAGCTCCCCTTCAAAATCCCTGTAGACTCCTAGAAGTTCTCAGAGGAGCTATGAGTTCATCACTGTGTTTCCCTTTCAGGAATGGGGTGGCCTGTACCATCATTATTCTTGCTTTTCCTTTCTCTAGTCATCTTCAAGACCTCAGAAAGCTGTCACCACAATTAAGGATACCTCTTTATGAGAACTATGGTTGCCAAAGACAAATGTGACAGATACTAATTTACAATTTCTACTCTTACCTTTGGTTCCTGCTTTTACTTCCTTATCACCAGTTCGGCTATTTTACGTGTGTGTGTTATTTGGAAATTAGTCTCTTTTAATTTTCTTTAACCCAGTATACATCATTATTCCAAGACATCAGTCTTAGCTGAGAGTTCTGACTACCTTCACTTCCATAGTGAAGTGAAGACATGCTCTCGCCACCTTAGGTTTACACTCTGCTCTTGGGTCTCAGCACTGGGCTGTGGAACTCTCACTTCTTAGTGGAATTTTGATGAACTGGCTCTTCTGGCTCAATCTTATAACCTTTTCATAGAACACTCCGACAGGAGTCCATGGCACTTGACTGGGAGAATATTTGAGAAAAGGACATTGTACTCCAAAATCTCCTTCCTCTCTGATTCTGTGGCATTATTCTTGAATCAAGCTATCATTTCTCATTTCTTCTTTTCCTCATTATGATTCTTCAGAGGAAGGTGTTTCTGTCTCTTATGCAAATAGACTCCCTCCAACACTTCTTCATGTCCAGGCACGTATGAGTTTTAGGAAAGACATAGCTCTGGACTGATCTGTACCTACCACACTTTATGAGCTCCTGTCCTACAGACTAAATATTTTTGCCCCCAAAACTCATATGTTGATATCCTAATCCCCAATGCAATGGTATTAGGTGGTGGGGCTCTGGGGAGGTAATTAGGTCAAGAGGGTAGATCCCTCGCGATTAGGATTAGTGCCCTTGTAGGAAGAGACATGAGAACTTGCCCTTACTCTCTCTCTGCTCTCTGCCAGGTGAAAACAAAAGGAGAAGATGGCCATCTGCAAACCAGATCCAGACACCGGATCTGCTAGCACCTAGATCTTGGACTTCCCAGTCTCTAGGACTGTGAGAAATATATGTTTGTTGTTTAAGCCACCCATTCTATGGTATTTTTATTAAAGCAGCCCAAACTGACTAAGATATCCAGTCTGTGCAAGTGAAAAATCTCTTCTCCTTACCTTATATGAAAAATGAAATGCCATGGATTAGTGAGTTAGTTCAACTACTCAGATTACCTGAATTTTTCATGTTCCAAGACTTGTAGATTACATCTAGAGACAGAGACAGCATTACTGGAATTTGTACACCACAGGTACAATGTGAACTCTGGACTTGAGAAATTCACCATATGATGATCTTTCATGGGAAAGAATACAAAAATATTGCAATTGACTGTGTTCACTTTTCTTATTACATTTTTTGCTTCTTCTCTTGGTTCTCTGTCTTATTTCTGGATCTTAATAAACTAAAAATAGATTGTTTACTGCTTAAAATTTCTTTGTTTTATGCCTTGAGCTACACAAAGAAAAAACCAGTCAATCAAATATATCAAATCTTCCTATAAAAAGAGATAAAAATATTCAGGATGTTCCAGACATAAGATTATTCTAATTTTTAATCCTGTTTTACAGAAATTAGAGAGTCGGGTCTAAATTTAACTGGGTCTGGCCTGCTTCACCTAGACTCACCATTAACAATGAGAAAGAATTTTTAAATCTCCAATTCCTATCAGTTTCTATTATAAATCAAAAAAGCATTTGCTTAATCCTTATCCCCAAAAGCAGTTTCATTATCATTTCAAACTTAATATAAAGAATTCTGCTTGAAATATTATGTAATTTTAGAAAATTTGATTTTAAAATAAATGGAAATTAAGCAACTTGATAAAATTATGTTTATAAACTATTAATCTATCTTAAAAGAAAATTCAAAAGGATGCTATGCTAATCTTACGAATTTGTCCTAAAAATTGCAGCTGTTTCCTTAAAGAGATGTAGAATAGCAGGTGGCTAGGGAGAAGTCTTTATTAATTTGAAGATATCTTGACCCTGAGTCATCAGCCTTTCAATTTTTCTCTGGAGGAGGAAAGGGTTAATTTATATTATTTCCATTTTTGTCCAGGAAGGACAGGCTCTAGGATCTGAATTGCCAAGTTCAGTGCCAAGGCTGCACAAAATAATGAGAGGCCATATTACAGATTCTTTTATCAGCATCTCAAAAGGCTACATACCCATCAAAATACCACACTAACCCTCCTGAATAGATAAGTATACAGTTTGGTATGAGAGTAAGAAAGTCATTCTCTCCTCAAGCACCTTTTCCAACGTATTTAACTTTGTCCTAATTTCTTTGCAATCTGCTTAGAGCCACAAATTTAAGATAAGGGAGACAGGATACTTAGGGGCTTATCAGCTCTCATTATATCACTCCAGATAGAGAGAGCAGCTTGACATCCCACTCAAGGAAAGGCATGGCAGAGGAGGTCAGAGGACTGAACCCCCTACAAGACTCTTGACCAAGCATTTAGTCTTCTAGTACCATTTATTGAACCCATAGCATTTTGGCATAAGTGATTCTTCATCCTTTGAACAGAGGGTCTGGGCACAGGAAAAGGGGCAAATTCAATCATATTTTAAAGAAATAGCAAAATGGCTGATGTAAATGCTACCTTATCACTAACTACATTAAATTTAAATAAGCACTTGAATCAAAAGAGAGAGTTTGTTAAAATGAATACAAAAACATAATCCAACTATTTGTTGTCTACCAGAGATACACTTTAGATTCAAAGACACAACTACATTGAAATTAAAAGAATATCATTCAAATAATAAGCAAAAAGAGCTGAAGTTTCTATACTAATATCAGACAAAACAGACTTTGAAGGTAAAATTATTTCTAGACACAAAGAAGGACACTTTAGGACAAAAGGATCACCCAATCAGGAAGCTATAATAATTATAAACATATATTCACCTAACAAAAAAGCCTGAAAATACATCAAGCAAAAACTAACATAATTGAAGAGAGAAATAGAAAACTCAACAATATTTGGAGACTTTAATACTCTGCTTTTAACAATAGATTGAACAACTAGGCAAATTATCAACAGGAGTATAAAAGACTTGAACAATGTGATAAACCAATTAGACCTAGCAGACATCTATGGAACAGTTCAGCCAACAATTGCAGAATACACAGTCTTCTCAAGCGCATATAGAACATTCTACAGGTAGACAGTATGTTAGGGTGTAAAGCAAACCTCAATAAATTTAAAAGGATTGAAATTATGCAAAGAATGTTATCTTATCCTAACGGAGTTAAGTTAGCAATCAGTAATTGGAAAAAAAATTGAGAAATTCATAAATATGTGAAAATTGAATAATACAGTCTTAAATAGTCATTGGTCAAAGAAGAAATCACAGGAAAAATTATAAAACGTTTTCATATGAATGAAAACAAAAACACAATATACTAAAACTTATGAAATTCAGCTAAAGCAGTGCTTAGAGATAAATTTATAGCTGTATTTATCTAACATTTAAAAATATTTATTTCAATAGCTTTATGAGTACAAGTGGTTTTTACTTACAATTGATTATATATGTGTATATATGCACAAATATATGTACATATATATGTGAATACACACATACATACACATATATACACACACACCCACAACATTTTTTTAATCCTCTCATTGGCTGATGAGCACTTAGGTTGATTCCACGTCTTTGCAATTGTGAATTGTGCTGCAATAAACACACAAGTGCAGATGCCTTTTTATATGACTTATTTTCCTTGGGTGAATACCCAGTAGAGGGACTGCTGATCAAATGGTAGGTCTATTTTTAGTTCTTTGAGAAATCTCTATACTGTTTTCCGTAGAGGTTGTGCTAATTTACATTCCCATCAATTGTGTTTTAAGCATTCTTTTTTCACCACAACTTCACCAACATCTATAGGTTTTTGACTTTTTAAGAATAGCATTCTGACTTGGGTAAAGTGGCATCTCACTGTGGTTTTAATTTGCATTTTCCTTATGATTAGTGATGTTGAGGATTTTACTATATGTTTGTTGTCCATTCATATATCTTCTTTTGAGAAATATCTGTTCATGTCATTTGCCTAATATATAATGGGATTTGTTTCTTTCTTGCTGATTTGTTTTAGATCCTTGGCAAATTCTGGATGTCAGTCCTTTGCAAGGTATATGGTTGTGAATATTTTCTTTCATTCTTTAGGTTGTTTGTTTACTCTATGGATTATTTATTTTGCTGGCAGAAAAGTTTTAATTTAATTAAGTCCCATTTATTTATTTTTCTTTTTGTTGCATTTGCTTTTGGGATCTTAGTCATAAATTCTTTGTCTAGGCCAATGTCTAGAAGAGTTTTTCCTAACCTTTCTTTTAGAATTTTTATGGATTCAGGTCTTACATTTAAGACTTTAATCTATCTTGCGTTAATTTTTGTCTATGAT
Organism: Homo sapiens; assembly: GCF_000001405.40. Lineage (NCBI taxonomy): Eukaryota > Metazoa > Chordata > Mammalia > Primates > Hominidae > Homo > Homo sapiens. The sequence continues at coordinate 22,255,726 of NC_000004.12, forward strand.
GAGAGATAGGGATCAAGTTTCATTCTTTTTCATGAACACCATTTATGGAATAGAGTGTACCTTCTCCAGTATGTGTTTTTGTGTGTTTTGTCAAGGATCAGTTGGTTGTAGGTATTTGACTTTATTTCTAGGTTCTCTATTCTGTTCCGTTGGTCTATGTGTGTACTTTTATACCTGTGTCATACTGTTTTGGTTACCATAGCCTTCTAGTATAATTTGAAGTTGGGTAGTGTGATGCCTCTGGCTTTGTTCTTTTTGCTTAAGATTTCTTTGGCTATTTTGGCTCCATTTTGCTTTCAGATAAATTTAAGGATATTTTTTCCTTATTCTTTGAAAAACGACATTGGTATTTTGATAGGAATTGTATTGAATCTGTAGATTGTTTTGAGCAGTACAGTCATTTTCACAATATTGATTGGTGCTATCCATGAACATGGAATTTTTTTTCATTTGTTTGTTTCAACTGTGATTTCTTTCAGCAGTGTTTTTTAGTTCTCCTTGTAGAGATTCATCATCACTTTGGTTATGTATATTCCTAGAGATTAATCTTTTGCAGCCATTGTAAATGGGATCGAGTTCTTGATTTGATTCTCAGCTTGGCTGTTATTGGTGTATAGCAATGCTACTGATTTGTATAAGTTGATTTTGTAACCTGAGACTTTACTGAATTCATTAATCAAATCTAGAAGTCTTTTGGAGGAGACTTTGAGGTTTTCAAGGTATAAGATTATATCATCAGCAAACAGAGATAGTTTGACTTACTCTTTTCCAATTTGGATGCCCTTTACTTCTTTCCCTTGCCTTATTATTCTGGCTACCATGTCCAGTTCGGTGTTGAATAGAAGTAGTGAAAGTGGGCATCCTTGTCTGTTCTAGCTCTGAGGGGGAATGCTTTCAACTTTTCTCTATTCAGTATTATGTTAGTTATATGTTTGTCATATATGGCATTTATTATTTTAAGGTATATTCCTTCTATGCCTAGTTTGTTAAAGTTGTTTTATATGAAAACATGCTGAATTTTATCAAATGTTTCTTTCTACATATATTGAAATGATCATATAGTTTTTAATACTGTTTACGTGGTAATCACATTTATTAATGCGTGTATGTTGAACCATCTTTTCATCCCTGGATGAAACACACTTGATTGTGTTGAATTATCGTTTTGATATGGTGTTGGATTTGGATTGCTAGTATTATGTTGAGTATTTTTGCATCTATATTCATCAGGAACATTGGTCTGCACTTTTCTTTCTTTGTTGTGTCCTTTTCTGGCTTTGATATCAGAGTGATACAGGCTTCATAGAATGAATTAGCGAGGACTCCTTCCTTTTCAATATTTTGTAACAGTTTCAGTAGGATTGGTGTAAGTTCTTCTTTGAATATCTGACAGAATTTGGCTGTCAATTCTGGCTTTTTTGTTGTTGTTGGGAGATTTTTTTATTACTGATTCAATCTCGTTACCCATTATTGATCTGTTTAAGATTCCTATTTCTTCCTGATTCAAGCTTGGAGGATTGTATCTTTCCAGGAATTTATCAATTTCCTCTAGATTTTCCAGTTTGTGTGCACAGAGATGTTCTTAGTAATTGTGGGCAATCTTTTGTATTTCTGTGTTATCAGTTGTACTGTTTCCACATTCATTTCTGATTGAGTTTTATTTGAAACTTTCTCTTTTTTGGGTTAACCTAGCTAGTGGTCTATCAATCTGGTTATCTTTTCAAAGAGCCAGCTTTTAATTTCATTCATCCTTTGTATTAATTTTTTGTTTTAATTTTATTTAATTGTGGTCTGATTGTTATTTTTCTTTTTGATAGCTTTGGGTTTGGTTTCTTCTTATTTTTCTAGTTCCTTGAGGTATGATATAAGGTTGTCAATTTGTGATCTTTCTATCTTTTTGATATAGGCATTTATCTCTAGAAACTTCACTCTTAGCACTGCTTTTGCTGTATTCCAGAGATTTTGAGAGATTTATAAACATCAATATAAAATGAAAGATTTCAAATCAATACCCTAACATTCCACCTTAACAAATAATAAAAATAAAAAAGCAAACTAAATTCAAAGCAAGCAGAATAAAGAAAAAATAAACGTTAAATAACTGAAATCAAGAATAGACAAGTAATACAGAAAATCAATAAAACCAGAAGTTGTTTCTTTAAAAAGGCCAACAACATTAATTAGACTAAGAAAAGAAAAAGAAGATTCAAATTGCAAAAATGAGCAATAAAAGTTAGACATCATTACCCGTCTTGCAGAAATAAAAAGGATTAAAAGAGAACACCATGGGCCAGGCGTGGTGGCTCACGCCTGTAATCCCAGCACTTTGAGAGGCCGAGGCAGGTGGATCATGAGGTCAGGAGATCAAGACCATCCTGGCCAACACGGTGAAACCCTGTCTGTACTAAAAATACAAAAAATTAGCCGGGCGTGATGGCAGGCGCCTGTAGTCCCACCTACTCCGAAGGCTGAGGCAGGAGAATGGCGTGAACCTGGGAGGTGGAGTTTGTAGTGAGCCCAGATCACACCACTGCACTCCAGCCTGGGTGACAGAGCGAGACTCCATCTCAAAAAAAAAAAAAAAAAAAGAACACCATGAAAAATTGTATCTGACAAACTAGGTAACCTGGGTAAAACAGAGACATTTATAGAAAGACAGAAACTACCAGAATTGAGTCAAGAAAAAGTGTAAAATCTAATTCAGATTCAAGAAAGTAGCAGACAATCCATTGAATGGGGGAATCTCTTAAAACTCAACTGTAGAAAGTCAAATAACTCAATTAAAAATGGACAAATCAATTGAGTGTATACTTCCTCAAAGAAGATATACAAAAGCCAGTGGTTACATCAAAAATGCTCAACATTATTAATCACTAGGAAAATGTGAATCAAAATCAAAATGAGATATTACTTCACTTTCACTGGAATATATAAAATAAATAATGGACAATAACAAATATCGACTGGGACGCAGAAAAATTTGAACCCTGGTAGAAATGCGAAATGGTACAACCACTGTGGAAAACAGCTTGGCAGTTCCATAAAAAGTTAACCATGGAGGTGCCATATGATCCAAAAATTTATCTTCTAGATATATAAGAAATGAAAACATATATCCCCATAAAACGTTGTATAAAAATATTTATATAGCAACATTATTTATAATAGCCAAAAAGCAAAAGCAATTCAATGTTTATCAACTGATGAAAGAATAAATAAAATGCTGTGTGTTCATACAATGGAATTTTTTTTGCACTAAAAAGGAATGAAGCACTGATACATACTACAACACAAATGAACCTTTAAAATATTATGCTACATGAAAAAATCCAGTCACAAAAGACCGCATGTATAATTACATTTATATAAAATATCCAGAATAGACAAATTCATAGAGACAGAAAGTGGAGGGTCTCAGGGAGAGGGCAATGGAATGATGAAAAATGGATTTTCTTTTCTTTCTTTCTTTCTTTCTTTCTTTTTTTTTTTTTTTTGAGACGGAGTCTTGCTCTGTCACCCAGGCTGGAGTGCAGTGGCACAATCTCGGCTCACTGCAAGCTCTGCCTCCCAGGTTCACACCATTCTCCTGCCTCAGCCTCCCAAGTAGCTCAGACTACAGGCACCCACCACCACACCCGGCTAATTTTTGTATTTTTAGTAGAGACAGGGTTTCACCATGTTAGCCAGATGATCTCGATCTCCTGACCGCATGATCTGCCTGCCTCTGCCTCTCAAACTGCTGGCATTACAGGTGTGAGCCACTGTGCCCGGTTGAGAAATGGATTTTCTCGAGGGGGCAGTAGAAATGCCCTAAAATTAGACAAGTGGTTATGTTTGCACAACTCTCAATATATGAAAACATTTTCATTGTACTTGATAGGATAAAATTCATGATACACATGTTTTATCTCAATAAAGCTACAGAAAAATAATAAGCAATGGACCAGATCTGATCCATGGGTCATAGTTTACAAACTCTTATTTTAGAATGATGCTTAGTATATAATAGTGCTATATGAATGTCTGTTCAGTGAATAAATAAAGTATCCTGTGCCTTCAAAAAAATCACAAGTTGGCGTTACGCAGGCAATGAAGTAAGGCCATGGCACTTCAGGCATTGTGAGAGTATGAATGAAGGCACAGAGGTAAAATTAATGGAGTGTGTATGGAGAACCATGGTTCAGTGTGCACAGACCAATAGTGTAGAATAAGCACTCTCTGGAAAAAAGAGAGGAGAGATAGAAGGAATCACAGGATGAAAGAAAGGCCTTATGCCATGTAGGGAGTAAAGATAGAACACCATTGCAGCAATGATAGGGAGTTGTTGACAATAATGATAGAGATGGAAGAACAATGACAAGGAATTATTACAATGATGATAGGGATAGAAAAGGGAGATGGGCTTAAGAAATATAGAACACATATAAAACCCTGAATAGACCAATAACAAGTTCTGAAATTGAGGCAGTAATTAATAGCCTACCAGCCAAAAAAGCCCTGGACCAGACAGATGCACAGCGGAATTCTACCAGAGGTACAAAGAGGAGCTGGTACCATTCCCACTGAAACTACTCCTAACAATAGAAATAGAGGGACACCTCCCTAACTCATTTCATGAGGCCAGCATCATCCTGATACCAAAACCTGGCAGAGACAGAACAACAACAACGACAAATTTTAGGCCAATATCCCTGATGAAAATCCTCAACAAAATCCTGGCAAACCAAATCCAGCAGCACATCAAAAAGTTTATCCACCAGGATCAAGTCAGCTTCATCCCTGGGACGCAAGTCTGGTTTAACATATGCAAATCAATATACATAATCCATCTCATAAACAAAACCACTGACAAAAACCACACGACTATCTCAATAGATGCAGAAAAGGCCTTTGATAAAATTCAACATTGCTTCATGCTAAAAACTCTCAATAAACTGGTATTGATAGAACATATCTCAAAATAATAAGAGCTATTTATGACAAACCCATACACAATATCATACCGAATGCACAAAAGCTGGAACAATTCCCTGTGAAAACTGGCACAAGACAAAAATGCCCTCTCTCGCCACTCCTATTCAACATAGTATTGGAAGTTCTGGCCAGGGCAATCAGGCAAGAGAAAGAAATAAATGGTATTCATATAGGAAGAGAGGAAGTCAAATTGTCTCTGTTTGCAGATGACATTATTGTATATTTAGAAAACCCCGTCGTCTCAGCCCAAAAACTCCTTAAGCTATTAAGCAACTTCAGCAAATTCTCAGGATACAAAATCAATGTGCAAAAAATCACAAACATTCCTATATACCAATAAGACACAAGCAGAAAGCCAAATCATGAGTGAACTCCCATTCACAATTGCTACAAAGAGAATAAAATACCTAGGAATACAACTTACAAGGGACATGAAGGACCTCTTCAGGGAGAACTATAAACCACCGCTCAAGGAAATAAGGGAGGACACAAACAAATGGAAAAACATTCCATGCTCATAGATAGGAAGAATCAGTATTGTGAAAATGGAGATACTGCCCAAAATAATTTATAGATTTAATGCTATTCCCATCAAGCTACCATTGACTTTCTTCATAGAATTATGAAAAACTACTTCAAATTTCACATGGAACCAAAAAAGAACCTGAATAGCCAAGACAATCCTAAGTAAAAAGAACAAAGCTGGAAGCCTCATGCTACCTGACTTCAAACTATACTACAAGGCTACAGTAACCTAAACAGCATGGTACTGGTGCCAAAACAGATATATAGACCAACGGAACAGAACAGAGATCTCAGAAATAATGCCACAAGTCTACAACAATCTGATCTTCCACAAAACTGACAAAAACAACAGGGAGAGAATTCCCTATTTAAGAAATGGTGCTGGGAAAACTGGCAGAAAATTGGACCCCTTCCTCACAACTTACACAAAAATTAACTCAAGATGGGTTAAAGAATTAAATGTGAAACCTAAAACCATAAAAACCCTAGAAGAAAATGGAGGCAATATCATTCAGGATGTAGGCATGGACAAAGACTTCGTGAGTAAAACACCAAAAGCAATTGCAACAAAAGCCAAAATTGACAACTGGGATCTAATTAAAGAGCTTCTGCACAGCAAAAGAAATGATCATCCTGGTGAATGGGCAACCTACAGAATGGAAGAAAATTTTTACAATCTGTCCATCTGACAAAGGGCTAATATTCAGAATCTACAAGGAACTTATACAAATTTACAAGAAAAATACAAACAACTCCATCAAAAAGTGAGCAAAGGATATGAACAGACACGTCTCAAAAGAAGACATTTACACAGCCAACAAACATATGAAAGAAAGCTCATTATCACTAGTCATTATAGAAATGCAAATCAAAACCACAATGAGATACCATCTCACACCAGTTAGAATGGTGATTATTAAAAAGTCAGGAAACAACAGATGCTGGAGAGGATGTACAGAAATAGGAACACTTTTACACTGTTGGGGGAGGTGTAAATTAGTTCAACCATTGTGGAAGACAGTGTGGCAATTTCTCAAGGATCTAGAACTAGAAATACCATTTGACCCAGCCATCCCATTACTGGGTTTATACCCAAAGGATTATAAATCATTCTACTATAAAGACACAGGCACACATATGTTTATTGCAGCACTATTTACAATAGCAAAGACTTGGAACCAACCCAAATGCCCATCAATGATAGACTGGATAAAGAAAATGTGGCACATATACACCATGGAATACTATACAGCCTTAAAAATGAAAGAGTTCATGTCCTTTTCAGGGACATGGATGAAGCTGGAAACCACCATCCTCAGCAAACTAACACAGGAAGAGAAAACCAAACACTGCATGTTCTCACTCATAAGTGGGAGTTGAACAATGAAAACACATGAACACAAGGAGGGGAACATCACACACGGGCCTGTCGTGGGGGTGAGGGACAAGGGGAGGGAGAGCATTAAGACAAATACCTAATGCATGTGGGGCTTAAAATCTAGATGATTGGTTGATAGGTGCAACAAACCACCATGACACATGTATACGTATGTCACAAACTTGTACATTCTGCACATGTATCCCAGAACTTAAAGTAAAATAAAATAAAAATAAAAATATATAAAAGACAAAAAAGGTTACGTTTGTCGATAGATGAAATTTGAAGAGTAACAGAAAGAGAAGCATCTAGAGAATCCAAGATAACTCCCATCTTCAATTAAAGCCTTTAATCCTTCTTCATTCAGTCTCACAGGAAAAAAAAAATCATATATGAAGTAAAAGATGTACACATGCACCCCAAATGTGTGCTAAGTGTGGGATAAAATAAGAATATTCACATAAAGAAAAAAATCTAAATCAAGGGTATTATTGGCAGGAGGTGGGAGTACAGGGTTATTGTAGGAACTCGAATCTAAATGCCCTGAAATTCCAAGAGTATCATCATGGCTTTGGCTAGAGATTTAGTGTATTCACTCTTGAAGAGAGGAAGAAATACCTGCAAACACACGCACACACACGCAAGGAGCTCAAAGCCCAAATTCTTAATTTATGCCTATCAAGGATCCATAAAGCAATACAAACCTTCCAATCTTCAGATAATTTCTTGCTCCCTGCAGAGGTTGTTCAGCAGTGCTGAGCTGACCTTCAGACGAAAAGCTATTAGGAGGTCCATGAAATGCAATATCAGGAAACCATATGACTTCACAAATGTTTTTGTATGTTTCTCCAGAAATCCTTACTAATTTAGAAATTCTAGTTAATTTCTTTATGTAATTATACATGATTTTGCAATGGACACAGCAGTGATCTATTTGTAATTTTGTTTTTCAATAAATTTAGAGTGAGCAAAAAGAAAACGGATACAATGAAGTATTGTCAGGAAAATTATTGATAGGGCTTGTTCTGCTGTTAATTTTAATTGTCCTAATTAATCTGGGCTCACCCAGACCTGTCTTCTGATTCTGCCATTAATTAGTGGTTTGACCTTAAGCAAGTTAGTTTTTCTTTATCTGTCAAATGAAGGAGTTGAACTAGAGCATCTTCTAAGATTCCTTTCACCTCCAACAATATTTGTATTTCTGAAATAGGAATTAAACTGTTAGTTGTAATCTAACATGTTAAATTTCTTTGCCCCACCATACTAACTATAGTAACTGAATCACTAATAAACTAATCACTAAAAAACAGCCGAGAAAATGTTTCAGTTTAGGTTCCGGGAGAGAGTAAATGGGTATTCAGTTTTTAAACTGCATGCTTCAGAAGTTTTTATAGAATACCTAATAGAAATGTGTTTTCAAAGAAACCTGGATGATTTATTTTTATCAACCTAAAACTGCTCTGCGTGTATCTTCTAGCCCTGTGTAGCCAATGTAGATGTATGTCATGTTGTGAAAGAGTGTCCTTGATTATAGAATCCTGTTCCCAAATTCCACTTATCACATGGTAAATACTCTGCAGTAGTTGTTTGACAAGTGGTATTATTATCTCCATTAAGTGATTCAGTTGGAAGTTATGCTTTCATTACTATATAAATGCATTTAAACAATGACCCATTTGCAAATAGGCATGTCCATAACTATGAGAGTAGATAATACCAATATTGCATTTCCTCTGACTTCAGCCAAGCATAAATGCGACAAATGGGTTTATCGCTCCACTCTCGTGTTCAGCTAAAATTAGAGATTTAAATTTGAATGGTACTAAATGGCTCTCTACCCTCAGGTAGCACTCCCTTGACCATCTGCCAATGTGCACGTTTCCTAATATAGAACACCGCTCTTGCTGGCAAATTCGTTTCCTCAATTTTCCAGAGGCTACAGAAAAACTCAGCAAAGCATAGGCTCTAGCCTCCTCTTAGAAGTAGTAGATACCTTAAACAATGAAAATCATCTGTTTCCTTGAAAAATTAAAATACGATTTGGCATACATATTTTCTTTGGGTAGAGCCTTACCTTGGTAACATGCTCAGTGGTTAACTATTTATTTGAATCATTTGGGAGTGTTTTGAAGACAGATGAGCTTAAATCACATCTTTAAACAAAGCAAAATAAATTTAGACTTCATCAAACATCTGTTAATTTTTGATACATACTGAATCCATTAAGTTAATTCACCTTATGGAGTAACTCACAAGAAGCTCTCAGCACAACACAGAAGACAAGAACATTCAGTTATGCAAATTATTTCCACTTAAACTGTGCCCGGTGAACAACAGAAAGAATAAGTGATTCAAAATGAATGCTAATCACCTTTGCATCTACTGAGCGAGGGCCGACAATGTCAGATTTTCTGCAGGATTTGGAAATGACAGTGTCTTTGAGGGTAGAATCCCTGCCAGGTCATCCATATGATGGAGAACTATTCTTAGTTTCCAGTAGGTCCTCCACTTAAATCTACTTAGTGGGTGACCATTTTCCTTTGCTAGGATATTAGGATGAGTTGAGATAATTAAACAATACCTGATAATTTTTCTCAAAGTATTCAGTTTGGACCAAATTAAAAGTTGGCTGCAATTTATTCCCTTGCACTGTAGCTAAAATCACCTTTGGTCCTTTGTAACTGAGTGGGAGATACTGGTCACTGCTACTTCGCAGCAGCCTCAAGAATCTCTGGGTTAGAAAGAAATCATTCCTGACTTCTTGTGAGATCTCAGATTTTATTAATCATGACCAAGAAGGTGATTCTACAGCTAAAAACTTTGATACCAAGGGTCATAGTGGGCTTTAGTACATCTGAAAAGCTCTGGTGTGCTTAGAGTAGCAAATTCTGGCTCAAGGAGTTCTTTCAGATATTCCAAAGACTGGTTTTGGCCATGTACGATGGCTCATGCCTGTAATCCCAGCACTTTGGGAAGCCAAGGCAGGCAGATGGCTTGAGCCCAGGAGTTCGAGACTAGCCTGGGCAACATACATGGTGAAGACCAGTCTCTACAAAAAAATAAATTAAAACAAAAAAAGACTAGTTTTAATATACTTACACAAAACAAAAAAGCTATCCCCTCCATTCCCTTCCTTTCCCTTGGGTTTTTTTTTTTTAGAGTAGTTTTAATGTATTGAGGACTTACTTTTAAGCCAGATGCTGTATCAAACATTATTTAATTTTCTTTAATCTTCAGAATGACATTATAAAACAGAAAATTTTATATTCATTCTACATTTGAGGAATCTTGGGCTCTGAGAGTTTAAGTTATTTACACCAAAAGCAAGGCTAGAGTTTGGATTTGAATCCTGATCTGAATGACTTCCAAAGTCCACGATGGTTCCAATGTGCTACCCCAGTCCCCACATAGCAGGAATGAGCTATGTTTGCCCTGACCCCAAGGCCGTAAGGTTCCTTCCTCTACCCCTGTTATAGTTCATCCAGGATGCTACAACAACGTACTATAGACTGAGTGGCTTGTAAACAACAAAGATTTATTTCTTACCATTCTGGAGGCTAGAAGTCTCAGATCAGGGTACCAGCATAGCTACTTTCTGGTAAGGGCCCTCTTCTGAGTTGCAGATTTTCTACTTTTTGTGGTATTCTTCCATGGTAGGAAAAGAGCAAGCTAGCTCTCTGGCCTTGTATGCAATCACTAATCCCATTCATGAGGGCTCCACTCTCATGTTCTCATTACCTCCTTAAGGCTTCATCTCCAAGTAGCATTAGGGATTAGACTTTAATATATGAATTTCAAAAGACATAAACATTTATTTCATAACATTGGAGCCAGGATTTGAACCCTGGCCAAATGACTTCTGAAGTCCATGCTGGTTTCAATGGCTACTTCACTGTCTGCCTAGCAAGTTATGATCACCCTGACCCCCAAGGCAGTAAAGTTTTTTTTTTCTACCTCTAGGTTTAGTCTGAAGTTTTAGTCTAGAGTTCAAAACTCACATGCCTTGACCCTTCTCAAAGAATTCTAATTCAGTGAATCTGGGAGCAGGCAGTTATAGTTTCCTAAAGTTCCCCAGTTGGTTCCAATGCATACTTCTAGTAGAGAACCACTGATCATATAATTTAGTGGTCCTATACCATGAAAGTCCATGTATACATTCTTAGACATTGTGAGATCTATAAAAAATTTTCAGTGTTGTCTTCCCATTTCAATAATATTTTTAAAAATTACTGCTGTGTTTTGAATATGGTTTTTCCCCTCTGAAATTCATGTTGAAATTTGATTCCCAATGTAACTGTGTTGAGAAGTGGTGGGACCTTTAAGAAATATTTGTGTCATAAGGGCTTCATCTTCATGAAGGGATTAATACCACTGTTATGGGACTGGGCTAATTCTCAAGAAAGTGAGTTCTCCCTCTTAAGGGTCTGGATTAGTTATGGCTGGGGTGGGTTATTATAAAGTGAGGCTGCCCCTCATGTTTTGCTCCTGTTGCACATGCCAATTCCCCTTTCTGCTTCTCCACCATGTATGATGTGGCATGAAGCCCTTACCAGAGCTGCCGCCATGCCCTTGGAATTTCAGCCTCCAGAACCATGAGCCAAACTTTTATTCTTTATCAATTACCCAGTCTCAGGCATTCTGTTATAGCAACAGAAAACTGACTATTACTCTAAGTCAATTCTGGATATGAATAACCAAGCCCTGCCAGCTGACTTTATCAATTTCTATTTGTTTCAACTTTGTAGCCATTCAACAAATATTTATGTTCCTAACATATGTCATGCAATGTACAATGATAAATAAGACAATAAGCACGTTTCCTGATTAGCAAAATGGTGTTAGAAATAGCAATTATCTCAACTAATTTTCAACAAAGTTTCCAAGAACAAACAATGAGGGAAGGACAATCTCTTTAACAATTGGTGTTGAGAAAACTGGGTATCCATACGCAAAAGAATGAGATTACACCATTATCTCACATCATACTTAAAAATCAACTAAAAATGAAGAGAAATGTAAACATAAGACCAAAAACTATAAAGCTACTAAAAGAAAGCATAGGAGAAAACTCCATGATACTGTCTGGGAAATTATTTCTAAGATAAGACTTCAACAGCTCCACAGGCAACAAAAGTAAAAACAGACAAATGAAACTGCATCAAACTAAAAAGTTTCTGCACAGCAAGGGAAACAATTAACAGTGTGAAGAGACAACCCACAGGAGATTGGAAGAAAATGTTTGCAAACCATACATATGATAAAGGTATAATATATAAAATATATAAGGAACTCAAGCAACTCAATAGCAATATAACAAATAACCCAATTTAAAAATGGGCAAAGAATCTGAGCAGACATTTCTCAAAGAAAGATATGAATAGCCAACAGACAAATGAAAAAAGTGCTCAACATTTCTCTAATCATCAGAGAAATGCAAATTAAAATCCCAATAAAATATCACCTCATGCCGGTTAGCATAGCTATTATCAAAAAAACAGTCAAAAATGATCATGGCGGACCCGAAGCAGGAGTAGATTACAGCTCCGACTTGGACGGACAGAGCAGCATGTGAAGGCTTGCTCCAGAACGACTGCAAGAACAAACCAGGAATCCCAAGAGGACCTACAGACCCTCTGAAGGAAGCTTATATTCCTCCTGCAGGACCTGGGAGACACCCCAAATACTGCAAGTGCCCAAACTACAGAAGTGGAAATGGGATATTCTCCACTCCCGAACATACACTCCCACGGGGTGTGGGGAAACTGAAGGTCTAGTTTGCCGGAGAAGTTTCTGACCTTACCTGGAGCTGAGTCAACTTAGAGAGCTGAGTGAAATGCAGGGGTGGAGGAGGCAGTGGGAAGGGCCCTGGGAGCTTGCTGGGTCCCCAGGCAGGCCATTCCTGCCTGGCACCACAGGGATCCTTTCGGGAGGGTGGCCAGAGGTGCGGGGAGATAACCACAGGGAGTAGGAGGTCTCCAGCTGAACGTTGTAACAATTTGAACCAGGTGAGAGGCCTCCTGGCCAGAACTCAGGGGAGGGTGTAAATCTAGCATGCAGACTCCACAGGTGGGGGAAGAACCAGAGCCCTTTTATCTCACGGCTGGGAGGCGGGCAGCCTGGGACAAGTTCTTAAGCCCTGCTCACCCACTGCCTGGAAATAGACAGTGCTGTTGGGGGTGGCACAATGGGAGTGAGACCAGCCCTTCAGATTGTGTGGGAGTTGGGTGAAGCCTGCGACTGCTCGCTTTCCCCCACTTCCCTGACAACCTGCATGACTCAGCAGAGGCAGCCACAATCATCCTAAGTACACAATCCATTGACCTGGGAACCTCACTTCTATCCCCGACAGCAGCCACAGCAAGGCCTGCCCAAGGAGAGTCTGAGGTCAGACATGCCTATTCCTGCCCCCACCTGATGGTCCTTCCCTACCCACCCTGGTAGCTGAAGACAAAGGGCATATACTCTTGGGAGTTCCAGGGCTCCACCCACCACCAGCTCCTCTCCATACTACCACAGCTGATGCTCTCTGGAAAGTGCCACCTCCCAGCAGGAGACCAACCAGCACAAAAATAGAACATTAAACTACCAAAGCCAAGAACCCTCGCAGAGTCCATTTTACTGCCCTTCCACCTTCACCAGAACAGGTGTTGGTATCCACAGCTGAGAGACCCACAGACAGTTCACATCACAGGACCCTGTGAAGACAACCCCCAGTACGAGCCTGGAGCCTGGTAGATTTACTGGGAGGCTAGACCTAGAAGGGAGACAACAATCACTGCAGTCTGGCTTTCAGGAAGCCACATCCATAGGAAAAAGAGGGGAGTACTACATCAATGGAACACCCTGTGGGATAAAAGAATCTGAACAACAGCCTTCAGCCCTAGACCTTCCCTCTGACAGAGCCTACCCAAATGAGAAGGAACCAGAAAACCAACCCTGGTAATATGTCAAAATAAGGCTCTTTAACAATCCCCCGCCAAAATCACATTAGCTCACCAGCAATGAATCCAAACAAAGAAGAAATTTCTGATTTACCTGAAAAACAATTCAGGAGATAATTATTAAGCTAATCAGGAAAGCACCAGAGAAAGGCAAAGCCCAATGCAATGAAATCCAAAAAATGATACAAGAAATGAAGGGAGAAATATTCAAGAAAATAGATAGCATAAATAAAAAAACAATCAAAACTTCAGGAAACTTTGGATATACTTATAGAAATGTGAAATGCTCTGGAAAGTCTCAGGAATAGAATTGAACAACTGGAAGAAAGAAATTCAGAGCTTGAAGACAGGTCTTTGAATTAACCCAATTCAACAAAGACAAAGAAAAAAGAGTAAGAAAATATGAAGAAAGTCTCTAAGAAGTCTGGGATTATGTTAAATGACCAAACCTAAGAATAATCAGTATTCATTAGGAAGAAGAGAAATCTAAAATTTGGAAAACATATTTGAGGGGATAATTGAGGAAAACTTCCCCAGCCTTGCTGGAGACCTAGATATCTAAATACATGAAGCACAAAGAACACCTGGGAAGTTCATCACAAAAAGGTCATCACCTAGGCACATTGTCGTCAGGTTATCTAAAGTTAAAGTGAAAGAAAGAATCTTAAGAGCTGTGAGGCAAAAGTACCAGGTAACCTATAAAGAAAAACCTATCAGATTAACAGGCGATTTCTCAGCAGAAACCCTACAAGCTAGAGGGGATTTGGGCCCTATCTTCAGCCTCCTCAAACAAAACAATTATCAGCCAAGAATTTTGTATCCAGTGAAACTAAGCATCATGAGCATCATATATGAAGAAAGATACAGTCTTTTTCAAGAGAACAAATGATTAGAGAATTCGCCACTACCATACCACCACTGTAAGAACTGCTGAAAGAAGCTCTAAATATTGAAACAAATCCTGGAAACACATCAAAACAGAACCTCTTTAAAGCATAAATCACACAGGACCTATAAAACAAAAATGCAATTTAAAAAGCAAAAACAAAAAACCCAAGGTACACAGGCAACAAATAGCATGATGAATGGAATGGCACCGCACATCTCAATACTAACACTGAATGTAAATGGCCTAGATGCTCCACTTAAAACACACAGAACTGCAGAATGGATAAGAACTCACCAACCAACTATCTGCAGCCTTCAGGAGACCTAACATATAAGGACTCACATAAATTTAAAGTAAAAGGGTGGAAAAAGACATTTCATGCAAATGGACAGCAAAAGCTAGCAGGGGCAGCTATTCTTATATCAGACAAAACAAACTGTAAAGCAACAGCAGTTAAAAGAGACAAAGAGGGACATTATGTAATGGTAAAAGGTCTTGTCCGATAGGAAAATATCACAATCCTAAAATATATGCACCTAACACTGGAGATCCCAAATTTATAAAACAATTACTAATAGACTTAAGAAATGAGATAGACAGCAACACAATAATAGTGGGGGACTTCAATACTCCACTAACAGAACTAGACAGGTCATCAAGACAGAAAGTTGACAAAGAAACAATGGATTTAAACTATGTCTTGGAACAAATGGACTTAATAGATATATACAGAACATTTCATCCAACAACCACAGAATACACATTCTACTCAACAGTGCATGGAACTTTCTCCAAGATAGGCCATATGATAGCCCATAAAATAAACCTCAATAATTTTAAGAAAATTGAAATTATATCTAGCACTCTTTCAGACCACAGTGGAATAAATCTGGAAATCAACTCCAAAGGGAAGCTTTAAAACCATACAAATACATGGAAATCAAATAAGCTGCTCCTAAATGTTCATTGGGTCAAAATGAAATCAAGATGGAAATTAAAAAATTCTTCAAACCGCATGACAATAATGACACAGCCTATCAAAACCTCTGGGATACAGCAAAGGCAGTGCTAAGAGGAAAGTTCATAGCCCTAAATGGCTATATCAAAAAGACTGAAAGAGCACAAACTGGCATTCTAAGGTCACACCTGAAGGAACTAGAGAAAGAAGAATGAACCAAACCCAAACCCAGCAAAAGAAAGGAAACAACCAAGATCAGAGCAAAACTAAATGAAATTGAAACAAAAAAATATGAAAGATAAATGAAACAAATAGCTGATTCTTTGAAAAGATAAATAAAATTGATAGACCATTAGCAAGATTAACCAAGAAGAGAGAAAAACCAAATAATCTTATTAAGAAACAAAGTGGGGAGGGGGGAGGGATAGAATTAGGAGATATACCTAATGGAAATGAGGAGTTAATGGGTGCAGCACACCAACATGGCACATGTATACATATGTAACAGACCTGCACGTTGTGCACATGTACCCTAGAACTTAAAGTATAATTTAAAAAAAAAAAAAGAAACAAAATGCGAAATTACAACTGACACCACTGAAATACAAAAGATCATTCAAGGCTACTATGAACACCTTTACAGACATAAACTAGAAAACCCAGAAGAGGTGGATAAATTTCTGAAAAAAATATAACCCTCCTAGCTTAAATCAGGAATTAGATACCCTGAGCAGACCAATAACAAGCAGCGAGATTGAAATGGTAATTTAAAAATTACCAACAAAAATAAAAGTCTAGGACCAGACGGATTCACACCAGAACTCGACCAGACGGATTCACACCAGAACTCTACCAGACATTCAAAGAAGAATTGGTACCAATCCTTTTGACACTATTCCACAGGAGAGAGAAAGAGGGAATACTCCCTAATTCATTCTATGAAGCCAGCATCACCCTAATACCAAAATCAAGAAAGGACAAAACAAACAAACAAACAAAAAAAACTACAGACCTATACCCCTGATGAACATAGCCAATATACTTAACAAAATACTAGCTAACCAAATCCAATACATATCAAAAAGATAATCTATCATGATCAAGTGTGTTTCATACCAGGGATGCAAGGATGATTTACCATACACAAGTCAATAAAGGTGATACACCACATAAACAGAATTTAAAACAAAAATCACATGATCATCTCAATAGATGTAGAAAAATCATTTGACAAAATCAAGCATCCCTTTATGATTAAAACTCTCAGCAAAACTGGCATACAAGGGACGTACCTCGATGTAATAAAAGTCATCTATGATAAACCTACAGCAAACATAATACTAAAAGGGGAAAAGTTGAAATCATTCCCTCTGAGAACTGGAACAAGACAACAATGCACACTCTCACCACTCCTCTTCAACATAGTACTGGAAGTCCTAGCCAGAGCAAGCAGACAAGAGAAAAAAATAAAGGGCATCCAAATTGATAAAGGGGAAGTCAGACTTTCACCTTTTGCCGACGATATGATCATTTGCCTCGAAAACCCTAAGGACTCCTCCAGAAAGCTCCTAGAACTGATCAAAGAATTTAACAAAGTTTCCGGATACAAGATTAATGTACACAAATCAGTAGCTCTTCTATACATTAACAATGACCAAGCAGAGAATCAAATCAAGAACTCAACCCCTTTTACAATAGCCACAATAAAATAAAATAAAATAAAATAAAATAATATAAAATAAAATAAAATAAAATAAAATAAAATAAAATACTTAGGAATATACCTAACCAAGTAGGTGAAATAACTCTGAAAGGAAAACAAAACACTGCTCAAAGAAATCATAGATGACACAAAAAAATGGAAACACATCCCATGCTCATGGATGGATAGAATCAATATTGTGAAAATGACTATACTGCCAAAAGCAATCTACAAACTCAATGCAATCTCCATCAAAATACCACCATCATTCTTCACAGAATTAGAAAAAAGATTATAAAATTCATATGGAACCGAAAAGATCCCGCATAGCCAAAGCAAGACTAAGCAAAAAGATCAAATCTGAAAGGCATCACACTACCTGATTTCAAACTATACTATAAGGCCATAGTCACCAAAACAACATGCTACTGGTATAAAAATAGGCACACAGACCAACGGAACAGAATAGAGAACCCAGAAATAAAGTTAAATACTTACAGTCAAATACTTACAGTCAAATACTTACAGTCAAATACAGAGTGTGGATGTTCCTTAAAGAACTAGAAGTAGAACTATCGTTTAATCCAGTGATCCCACTACTTGGTATCTACCCAGAGGAAAAGCTGTAAGTATTTACAACAAAGCAAACTGATCTTCAACAAAGCAAAGAAAAAATCAAGTGGGGAAAGGACATTCTTTTCAACAAATGTTGCTGGGATAATTGGCTAGCCACATGTAGGAGAATGAAACTAGATCCTCATGTCTCACTTTATACAAAAATCAACTCAAGGTGGATTAAGGACTTCTGAAACTATAAAAATTCTAGAAGACAATATTGGGAAATCCCTTCTAGACACTGGCATAGGCAAGGATTTCATGACCAAGAACCCAAAAGCAAATGCAATAAAACCAAAGATAAATAGCTGGGACTTAATTAAACTAAAGAGCTTTTGCACAGCAAAAGGGACAGTCAGCAGAGTAAACAGACAACCCACAGAGTGGGTGAAAATCTTAACAATCTATACATCTGACAAAGGACTAATATCCAGAATCTATAACAAACTCAAACAAATCAGTAAGAAAAAAAACAAATAATCCCATTAAAAAGTGGGCTAAGGACATGAATAGACAATTCTCAAACGAAGATATACAAATGGCCAATAAACATATGAAAAAATGCTCAATCTCACTAATGATCAGGGAAATGCAAATTAAAACCACAACGTGATACCACGTTACTCCTGCAAGAATGGCCATAATAAAAAAAAATCAAAAAACTGTAGATGTTGGTGTGGATGCGGTGATCAGGAAACACTTTGACACAGCTGGTGGAAATGCAAACCAATACAGCCACTGCGGAAAAGAGTGTGGATGTTCCTTAAAGAACTAGAAGTAGAACTATCATTTAATCCAGTGATCCCACTACTTGGTATCTACCCAGAGGAAAAGAAGTCATTATATAAAAAAGATACTTGCACACGCATGTTTATAGCAGCACAATTCACAATTGCAAAACCATGGAACCAACCCAAACGCCCATCAATCAATGAGTGGATAAAGAAACTGTGATTTATATATGTGATGGAATACTATTCAGCCATAAAAAGGAATGAATTAACAGCATTCACGGTGACCTGGATGAGATCGGAGACTATTATTCTAAGTGAAGTAACTCAGGAATGGAAAACCAAACATTGTATGTTCTCACTGATATGTGGGAGCTAAGCTGTGAGGACGCAAAGGCATAAGAATGATACAATAGACTTCGGGGACTTGAGGGGAAAGGGTGGGAGGTGGGGGAGGGATAAAGCCTATAAATAGGGTGCAGTGTATACTGCTCAGGTGATGGGTGCACCAAAATCTCACAGATCACCACTAGAGAACTTACTCATGTAACCAAACACTACCTGAACCCCAATAACTTTTAAATTATACAAAAAATAAAATAAATAAAAACAAAACAAAACAAAATAGTAAGTGTTGGCAAAGATGTAGAGGAAAGGGAAGTCGCATACGCTGTTGGGAATGTAAATTACTACAGCCATTTTGGAAAACAGTATGGAGGTTTCTCAAAAAAGTGAAAAGTAGAATTATCATATGATTCAG
This sequence comes from Homo sapiens, assembly GCF_000001405.40. NCBI lineage: Eukaryota > Metazoa > Chordata > Mammalia > Primates > Hominidae > Homo > Homo sapiens. The sequence continues at coordinate 22,275,199 of NC_000004.12, forward strand.
AAATCCCACTTCTAGGCAAATATCCAAAGGAATTAAAATCAGTAATGTAAGGAGATATCTGCCCTCCCATGTTTATTTCACCAGTATTCACAATAGCCAAGATATGGAAGCAAACTAAGTGTATATCAATGGATAACTGGATAAAGAATATGTGGTATATATACACAATGAAATACTGTACACCTTTTAAAAAGAAGGAAATTCTGTCATTTGCAACAATATGGTTCAAACTACAGTACATTATGCTAAGTGAACTAAGCCAGGCTCAGAAAGACAAGTACTGCATGTGAAATCTAAAAAAGTTGTTCTCATAGAAACAGAGATTAAAAAGTAGTTACCAGATGATGGGGGATGGGGGTGGGGAGGGAGATGTGGGGAAAGGAGAGATGTTGAGAAAGGGTACAAAGTTGCAGTTAGACTAAAGGAATACCTTTAGTGATTTATTGCACTCTATGGTAACCACAGTTAATATATTGCATACTTCAAAATTGCTAAAATATATTTTTAATATTCTAACGAGAAAAGATAATTTGGTGAGGCAATGAATATGCTAGTTTGATTGACTCTTTCTATAATGTACACATAGATTAAAATGTAACATTGTATCCCATAAATATATGCAATCGTTTTTCAATTAAAAATAAAAAGTGACTACTTCAAATGGTTGCTAGATTTTAATAAAATAATATATATGAGGTGCTTAAAGAAGGAGTTAGCATACAGTAAACACACAGGGAATGCTAGATATGGTTGTTGTTATTGTTATGTCTTTATTTTTCAAGTAAATTTTAAAATGTTAATTTTGTATATTACTAAGGACTATAAACAAATATAAAGCAGACCAAAAAGATTGATAGTGGAAGGTGATGGGGGTAAAAGGAAGGCACTGCCTAGTGGTCTGGGAGATCCTCTCTGTGAAAGTGATATTTAATTAGAAGCCTGAATGAAGTGATGGAGCAAGCTACATGACAAGTTGGGAAAAAAAAAATTCCAGATTAAAGGAAGAGCCAGTACAAACATTCCTAGGCAGAACAAACTAAGGTGTTCATAATATTTTACTTGTTCAGCTACAGGAGATCATGTAAGAAACAGAAAGGAATTTTTTGTTTAGATTCAAGTGTACATGTGCAGGTTTGTTACAAGGGTATATTGTGTGATGCTGAGATTTGGGTTCCTATTGATCCTGTCACCCAAATAGTGAACATAGTACCCAACAGATAGTTTTTCAATCCTTCTTCCCCCTCACCCCTACGTTTGGAGTCCCCAGTGTCTATTTCTCCGATCTTTATGTCTGTGTGTACCCAATGTTTAGCTCCCACTTATAAGTGAGAATACATGGTATTTGGTTTTCCGTTTCTGCATTTTCATTCACTTAGGATAATGACCTCCAGCTGAATCCATGTTGCTGCAAAGGACATGACTTCATTCTTTTTTATGAGTGCATAGTATACCATGATATGTAGGTACCACATTTTCTTTATCCAATCCACCATTGCTAGGCATCTTGGTTTGTTTTATGCCCTTGCTAGTGAATAGTGCTGTGATAAACATATGAGTACAGGTGACTTTTGGGTAGAACAGTTTATTTTCCTGTGGATATAGACCCAGTTAAGTTGTTGCTGGGTTGAATAATAGTTCTATTTTTATCCCTTTGAGAAATCTTCCAACTGCTTTCCACAGGGGCTGAACTAATTTGCATTTCCACCAACAGTGTATAAGCATTCTCTTTTTCCTCCAACCTCGCCAACATCTGTTATTTGTTGACTTTTTAACAGTAGCCACATAACAGAACTTTTAATGGGATGTTTCTCAAAAGGCTAAAGATCTTCTCATGGGCTTAATTGTGTACCCTCCAAAATTCACATGTTGAAGTCCTAACCCCTGGTATCTCAGCATGTGATCATATTGGGGACAGGGTCTTTACAGAGGTAATTAAGTTAAAACAAAGTCATTAGGATGTGCCCTAATCCAATATGACTGAAAAGTTGGATACAGATGTGTACAGAGGGAACACAATATAAAGACAATGGGAGAAAATGGCCATTGAAAAGCCAAGGAAAGAGCCTGGGAAGGACCCTTCTCTCATGGCCCTTAGAAGAAACCAACCCTGCTGAAAGTTTGATCTTGAATTTCTAGTCTTCGAAACTGAAACACCCAGTCAATGGTACTTTGTTATGGCAGCCTTAGCAAAAAACAAAAAAAACAAAAAAAAAAAAACACAGATCTCCTCAAGAATAAGAAGAATATTTTTCCCTTTGGATCGGTCTATTCATTCTTCAAATTTAAAAGTTTATCTCTAAAACTTTTTGATCTATTCAAAAAGGTAGTTAGTGTTAACTCAGATTAGATCTTCTAGGACTTTTGCCAAGTAAGTTGGTCCAATGGGAAGAAGTCTAGAAGCAAACTAGTTCTCTTGGAGGTATTTGTATCAGTTAAGGCTCAATTGACATCTTTGAAAGCACCCTGAACAACACAGAATTGATAAGATTTCTCATGAATTGATTTAATGGCAAGAATTAAGATTCTGGATAAAGACTACAGATCAATCTTCTGTTAAGTTTCTAAGCATTTGAATCTCCCTTACCATCGTGAGGTCTCAAGTCTTCTGTTTATAGAACACCCTAAAAGTTGGACAACGTCAGAGCCTACCCTCTAGGCTGTGTGTTCAGTGAGTGCTGCCCAGGAATCTGTATGCAAGAATAAGAAGAGCTACCGTTTTAACAATGAGGAAATTGATGACTAGACTACTCTTCTACCCTTGGAAGTGCCTGATCAGAAAGAGAGGTGAGGCTGGAAGAACTGAGCCACATGTTCAGCAGGACTGGAGGAAGAAAAGCAGGAACAGGACAGAACTAAGAGCTGATAATGGGGAAGTGAGGACTGAAGCCAGACTAAAGCCTCCAACACAGAGGGTCCTGGCTGAGTATGGCTTTAAAAGGTGAGCATGTGATTATGTCAAGTGGAAGACGAATGCTTAAAGGATGAGACTACCTCTGAAAATAGAAATGTTGTAGGGAAAAGATTTGACAGCAATGTAATGAAAGTGGTACCCAAGCAACCAGAAAGAAAAAAACATTTTCACCAAGGATAAGATGTTCCAGCAGGCAATGTTGCCATGGCATTTCAAAGGGCTGGTTGCACCAGAATCTTCACTGTAAATGGAAACGGAGCCATAATCAAGTGGCATTCAAACTGTGGCATACTATAATTAAGTAATTATTTGAACCAATGGTTTTAATAAGTTTCTCTGCACAAAACCAGCATCTCTCTTCAATTCCTGACACATTCATTATAATTAGCTCCTGCTTGACATTTCCTAGCAGAAAGGCTAAACATCCAAAGTTTTCTTTACTTATTTATAAATAATAATATAATGAGTTAAGCTAAAATACTGGAAATGTATCCCTTATTAAAATATAGTCAAACCTCCTTAGAAACAATGAGTCACACATAAAACAAAAATAATAAATTCAGTTCCAGATATGTGCTATGAAGAAAAGAAGATTGGTTAAAGTGAGGGAAAATTGCTGGAAGGATTGTCTGTTTACTTCTCTGAAGTGAGGACATTTGCAAGGAAATCAGAATGATGAGAAGGAACCGGCCCTGATCAGATCAGAAAGAAAATTATTCCAACCAGAAGGAAAAAGAAGTGCAAAGGTCCTGGGGTAGGAATAAACTTTACATGACTGAGGAACAATAAGAGGAGCAGTAAGAGTGAGTTTACTGTGTGAGGCAGCAAGTGGAAGAGATGGGATTAGAGAGGCAGGCAGCGTACAGATTATGTAAGGCCCTGTGGAGTGAAGTAAGGAATCTAGATTTTATTGTAGTAGCAATAAGAGGCTCCTAATGGCTTTTAGCAGGAGGGTGACATTCTCTGATTTGTCTTTACAAAAGTTCCCACTGGCTGCTCTGAGGAGACTATAAAAGCAGCACCAGCCGGGCATGGTGGCTCACGCCTGTAATCCCAGCACTTTGGAAGGCCGAGGTGGGCGGATCACGAAGTCAGGAGATTGAGACCATCCTGGCTAACACGGTGAAACCCTGTCTCTACTAAAAATACAAAAAATTAGCCCAGTTTGGTGGCGGGCGCCTGCAGTCCCAGCTACTCGGGAGGCTGAGGCAGGAGAATGGCATGAACCCAGGAGGCGGAGGTTGCAGTGAGCCGAGATCACACCACTGCACTCCAGCCTGGGTGACAGAGTGAGACTCCGTCTCCAAAAAAAAAAAAAAAAAAAAAAAAAAAAGCAGCACTAAGGTCAGCTAGGAGGCATTATCAAGCCAAATGATGAAAGTGGCTTCATTGCAGATTGTTAGGTAGAGATGATGAGGAGAAATTGCTGATGGATTGACTAAGGGATGTAAGAAAAAGAGGAACCATTGGAGAGTCAAAGAGGAATCCTAGGTTTAGGGCCAAAGACAGTGATGACATTTATAGAGATGAAAAATCTTGGGGAAGAATAGACATGATGGCATGGACTATGAATAGATCTGTTTGTTCATGTTAAGTTTGAGATACTGATTTGGCCTTGACTGAGATATTGAGTAGAGAGTTGAATATGGAGATCTTGTTATCAGGATAGAGTTTTGAGCTAAACCAATAGATTTGGGTTCCCCTGGTGTAAGTATAGTGCACTTTAGAGTCGTGGGTGTGACAGATCCCCATGGGTATAAATTTGATAACTAAGACAAGCTCTGAGTTGCTCTTGCATTCTGAGACCTGATGAAGAGATGAAGCCAGCAAGGCAGTCACGAAGAAGTAACAGTATGATAGAAAAAAAACCCAAAAGCAGGGCATGGTCTACAATTACAACCCATGATAGCAGTTCAGATTAAATAAGGACAAAGAAATGACCATTGGGCTTGGAATTAATTACAGAGGAAGGAAGTAGAGACATTTGAGGGAAGAAGCAGACTATTTCAAAGTTGTGCCTTCAGCAGGGAGCAGAAATAGGCTGGAGGAGTCACTGAGGCCAAGAGAAAGATATTTTCAAGGGCAATATTAATGAATATATAGTAAGCCAATAAAAATAACCCAATGCAGAGAAGTTGATTGATTATATTAATTAGGCTAGGCGAAGTTATTCTGCAGTAACAAATAAAAGACAAAGTCTCATTTTAAGACAATAATATTTTATTGCTCACTCTTGACCATAATCACTAGTGGAAGGGAGCTGGGATGAAGTTGCATTTCCCTGTTTTGGTTTTTATAGCCATTCAACAAGGCTCTTTCCACGTCAACACAACGCCTCTAAGTTCCTTTAAGGGCGAAAGAGAACATGGAGGGCCATTTGGGGGATTGGATGGCCAGGTCTGGAAGGGGTGCACATCACCTCCACCCAAAATCCATTGGCCAGAACTCAGTCATATGGCTCCACTAACACAATAGAGCCATCAATATGGTCTTCCAGTGTGATCAGCAGGGAAATGAAATGAGTTTAATAAATACCTAGCATTGTCACTGCAATAGCCCCTACTTCCTGTCACCAAATACACATTTCATTCTTTCTCCTATGTGTAGAGCATGCTGATGCCTTTCCCAAGGCAGCAACTGAGGGACCCAATCTGCATTGAAACCACCTCAAAGCCTAGGATTTCAGGGTGACCTCTTCATTTACATCTGATGTGGCTCCTTATGGTGCAACACTCCGTGAACTAAAAAGAGAAGTTATCCTCCTCCACTCCCATATACAATGTGCAGTGGTGGGGCAGGGGCAGAATAACCATATATACACTTGCACTCAGAAGAGTGCTTAATTGAAAGATGCTTAGTAAGTAGTCCCTGGTCTGTAGCAATTCTGAAATGCCTCTGGGCCTATGCTGTAAAGTCCTCTACTATAGAAGGGAGAAAAGCCTTTTGAATAAACCCAAATTCTCCTCTCTGAAGGAGAAAATCACTTCTTTTTGTTCTTCATGATCTTAGGTTGCACTCCAAAACACTCTTTCTGCTTTATTATGCGTCTTGGCCACCTCTACAGTGGGTGCTGGAGAGTGTGCCCTCCTTGAGAACTGCACAGCTCACATGGCCCACATCCTGCATGAGAGTTGTTTTAAGACTCACTCAACAGTAATAGGCTTTTTTTATATAAGGCTCAAGAATTATTTGGCAGCAAACTCCCTGAAATAATTAGTAATCTTCTGATTTATTTACTTCTAGTTAGATCCATGTACTGTTAACTATGTTCAACGTTCTTTTGTGAATTTAAAACACAGATATCTTTACTTTTATACTTCCTCATCCCCATGCCTGCCTCTCTCAATCTAATGGCAGCTACCTTGAGGCTACTAGGCATGAGTAGACTGGCTACTTCTCTGCCTCAAAGCTGGTATCTACCTCGAAGCTGAGTCACTCCATTCAATGAAGAAGTCTCACTGGGTCTTTATATCTCAGAGCCTTTTAAAATCACATCTTTTTCTTGGGGTCTAAAAGTACTTGACTTTTTTTAACAGTTCGGGGTCCTGGCTTTTAGACCTTTCTCTTCTTTATTTTTGCTTGGAAACTGTCCAGCTTTTTCCTGAACTCATCTTTTTTTGTACCATATTTCACTGATTTTAAGATGCACATTCATTTCTCATTTTAACGTCTTTGAGATTGGGCTGCATTTCATAATTTTTGCAGGTGTAATGTCAAAGTTTAATTGACTTTTTCTGTCTTTGTTAGTGCAACATAAAATAGATGTATGTCGTATCTGCAGCATATCATAGCCTATTAACTGTAGAAATACTTTGCAAAATGTAGTTTAAAAGTAACCAAATTTGACATTGTTTTTCAATCTCTTCCTCTAGAAATGTAAGCTCTGCAGGCACGTAGCCTTCCAAGTGACCACAGGTGTCGGGTTTACCGAATTTTTGCCACCATATCTGATATGGTTTGGCTGTGCCCCACCAAAATATCATCTTGAATTGTAGTTCCTATAATCCCCATGTGTCAGGGGAGGGATCCAGTGGGAGGTAATTGAATCATGTGAGTGGTTACCCTCATGCTGTTCTCATGGTAGTGAGTGAATTCTCACAAGATCTGATGATTTTATAAAGGGCTTTCCCCTTTGCTCAGCACTTCTCCTTGATGCCACCATGTGCAGAAGGACATGTTTGCTTCTCCTTCCACCATGATTGTAAGTTTCCTGAGGCCTGCCTAGCCATGATGAACTGTGAGTCAATTAAACCTCTTTCCTTTATAAATTACCCAGTTTCAGGTATGTCTTTATTAGCAGTATGAGAACTGACTAATACAGTAAATTGATACCGAGAATGGGGTGCTGCTGTCAAGGTACCCAAAAATGAGGAAGCAATTTTGGAACTGGGTAACAGGCAGAGGTTGTAACAGTTTGGAGGGCCTAGATGACAGGAAGATGTGGAAAGGTTTGGAACTTTCTTAGAGACTTGTTGAGTGGCTTTGACCAAAATGCTGATAGTGATAAGGACAATGAAGTCCAGGCTGAAGTGGTCTCTGATGGAGATGAAGAACATGTTGGGAACTGCAGTAAATGTCACTCTTGCTATGTAAAGGGACTGGAAGCATTTTTCTCCCTGCCCTAAACATCTGTGGATCTTTGAACTTCAGAGAGATGATTTAGGGTCCCTGGCAGAAGACATTTCTAAGCAGTGAAGCATTCAAGAGGAAGCAGAGCATAGAAGTTTGGAAAATTTGCTGCCTGATGATGCAATAGGAAAGAGAAACCCACTTTCTGGGGAGAAATTCAAGCCAGCTGCAGAAATTTGCATAAGTTATCAGGAGCCAAATGTTAATCACCAAGTCAATGGGGACAATGCCTCCAGGACATGTCAGAGAACTTCACAGTAGCCCCTTCCATCACAGGCCTGGAGGCCTAGGATGAAAAAATGGTTTCATGGGTTCCCCTGCTGTATGCAGCTTAGAGCCTTGGTGCTCTATGTCTCAGCCACTCCAGTCATAGCTAAAAGGGGCCAAGGTACAGCTCATGCTATGGTTTCAGAGGTGCGAGCCCCAAGCCCTGGCAGCTTTCAAATGGTGTTGAGTCTGTGGATACACAGAAGTCAAGAATTGAGGTTTGGGAACCTCTGCCTAGATTTCAGAGGATGTATGGAAATGCCTGAAAGCCCAGGCAGAAGATTACTACAGGTATGGAGCCCTCATGGAGACCCTCTGCTAGGGCAGTGCAGAAGGGAAATGTGGGTCAGAGCCCTCACAGAGTCCTCACTGGGGCACTGCCTAGTGGAGCTGTGAGAAAAGGGCCACCATACTCCAGGCCCTAGAATGGTAGATCCACCAACAGCTTGCACCATGTGCCTGGAAAGCTTCAGACACTCAACATCAACCTGTGAAAGCAGCCTGGAGGAGCTTTGCCCTGCAAAGCCACAGGGGCAGAGCTGCCCAAGGCCATGGGAGCCCACCTCTTGCATCAGTGTGACCTGAATGTGAGACATGGAGTCAAAGAAGATTATTTCAGAGCTTTAAGATTTAATTACTGCCTCAATGGATTTCGGATTTGCATGGGGCCTGTAGCCCCATTTTAGCCAATTTCTCCCATTTGGAATGGGTATATTTACCCAATGTCTGTACCTCTATTGTATCTAAGAAGAAACTAACTTGCTTTTGATTTTACAGGCTCATGGGCAGAAGAGACTTGCCTTGTCTCAGATGAGACTTTGGACTTGGCCTTTTTAGTTAATGCTGTAATGAATTAAGACTTTGGAAGACTGTTGAAAGAGGATGATTGTGTTTTGAAATGTGAGGACATGAGATTTGGAAGGCACCAGGGGTAGAATATTATGGTTTGGCTGTGTCCTCACGCAAGTACCATCTTGAATTGTAGTTCCCATAATCCCCACATGTTGTGGAAGTGACCTGGTGGGAGATAATTGAATCATGGGGGTGCTGTTATTGTGGTAGTGAGTGAGTTTTCATGAGCTCTAATGGTTTAATAAGGGGCTTTTCCCTCTTTGCTCAGCACTTCTCCTTCCTGCTGCCATGTGAAGAAGGACGTGAAACATGTCACTGCCATGATTGTAAGTTTCCTGAGGCCTCCCCAGCCATGCTGAACTGTGAGTCAATTAAACCTCTTTCCTTTATAAATTACCCAGTCTCAGGTATGTCTTTATTAGCAGCATGAAAACAGACTAATACAGTAAATTCGTACCACAGACGGTGGACCTTAAACCATCTAGGTTTCTATCTATGTTCTCACCACTTGCCACCCAATTGCTAAGCAAATATCATGGTACCACATCTTAGTCTGGCACAGTGATTTCCTCTACCACCTCTAAGAAGAAGGTATACACATGCTTGTACAGTTTGGTTTAGCCTTTTGCTCCTCACCCCACCCCCATGAGAACAGATGTCTCAAGAAGAATTTTAACTTTCAGTCAAGGGCCCAAGATAAGACACAGGGAGCAGAGCTTAGCAGATGTGTAAGTTAAACCCAGAAGATATAAGGCCTAGGTGGTTGTAGAGTTGATTTTTATGAACCATTTCAACAACAAATAATCTTTGTCTTATGCAAATTGCTTCACAGAATGTAAAATAAAGCTCCAAATTCATTCTACAAAACTAGAGTAACATTGATAACAAAACTAGAGAACAATAGCACAAGAAAAATATATTTAAGCCAATCTCACATAAAAATATGGAATAAAATTTTAGACACATACTAATATAATAAATTTAGCAGTCTGTTTAAAATACACATCATAACTAAGATGGGTTAATCCTAATAATGCAAAAATAATTATACACTAGCAAATCTATCAGTCAGCAGACTAACATGTTTTTTAATATATAATTATTTCAACAAATGTAGAAAAATCATCTGACAAAAATAATTTCATAATGAACATCTTCAAGCCAACTGAAAAAGAAGAAACATTGTTTTTCTTAATAAAAGTCATATACCAAAAACCACACTAAATTTTTTTAATGTGACCAAACTTTAGAATAATATCTTAGAATAAAAGGGTAAGAGAAGTATACAACTAACATTGTTTACATTCAGCAATGTATAAGGCCATAGCCAAGAGAAACAAATAATATAAAAGAAAGGAAAAGTAATAGGAAAGTTTGTGTCAATTTGCAAACAATATAATTGTAGGAATTCCTAGATAATCTACCAACAAACTAATAGAGTAACTAAAATAATTTAGCAAGGTTTCTAGATGCTACATCAGGAAGAAAAATGAACAGCCTTTTTTCCACATGTAATAACAATTAGAAAATATAATACAAAATATTTCATTTATAATATCAAAGAAATTTGTGTGTAGGAATAACTCTAACAAAAGATTTTCAAGACATTGATGAAGAAAATTATAAACCATTACTAAAAAGGAAAAAAAATTTAGAGAAGAGGCTGCTCTAAATAAATAAATAAATACTAAATTCATGAATAGGAAAAGTCAAAACCTTAAAATATAAATCTTTCCCCAAAATTATCTTTAAATGAAATGCAATGCAGCTTTAATCAAATGTTCGCCACAGAACTTTGTTTTGTTGCTTTGTATCATTCTGTTTTTCTATAGACAGCATGGCAAGCCAAGTGTAAATTTCATGTGGAAGATAAGAGATTTTTGAAGAAAGTAAGATAATTGCCTCATCTGATATTATGAATTATTACTAAGTTAAAGTGATTGAGAAAGACCTGATGGGAAGGCCAGTGGAATAAAATAGAAAACACAGAAACAAACTTTTGCCTGTACGACAACAAAAGACAGTATATTAGTTTTCTATTGCTGCCATAACAAACCACCACAAATGTGATGGCTTAAATAGGACAAACTTATTTTTATTACATCTCTACAGGTTACAAGTCCAACATGGATTTCGTGGACTAAAATAAATGTATTGGCAGGATGGTGTTTGTTTCAGGCATCTGTAAGGGTGAATCAGTTTCTTTGTGTGTTCCCACTTCTAGTAGCCTGCCACGTTGTTTGACTCATGGCCCCTTCCTCCATCTTCAGAGCCAGCAACATTGCTTCTCTCTGACCATTCTTCTTCCTCTGACTCTCTTCTTCTGCCTACCTCTTCCACCTTTAAGGATCTTTGTGATTTCACTGGGTTTTTCTGGATAATTTGGGCTAATCTCCATATCTTAATGTCAAGTGATTAGCATTCTTAATTCCATCTGCAATATTAATTACCATTTGCCATGTAACCCAACATATTTACACATTCTGAGGATTGAAATGACTTTGGGAGACTGCTATTCGGCTTACCACAAAAAAAAATTTTTTTTTTAATCAATGAGCACCAGAAGCATTCAAGTTATGTGAAGCCCGAAGCGTATAAAATTTAGCGCAGGTGCTCTCTTTAAGAAAAAGAATACAAAAGTATTTTGCAAAAATTGACAGACATATATGACTCTGTGATCACATTGCTAAACTTATGACCACATTGCTAAATTTATTTTTCAGGGCCATGGAAGGAGTCTATTCAAGTGATGGTCCCTGAAGCTTATGTTTTTTTAACTTTCTAGCAATTCTACCACAAGTAAAAAACAGACTACTTCATACAGGTAAGCTGGAATCATTTGTTAGCTATATGGACTAAGACACAAATGAATTCCTTTGTCACTTCTACCAAAACAAAAAATCTCAGTGGATTAAAAACATACATAAAAAAACAAAGCTTCAAAACATTTAGATGAATAATGAAAAAATATTTTTTAACCTCATGGTAAAATATTTCTTTGAAAAGTCCATATTCTAAAGAAAAAATCGGACCTTTTAATTATATTGTCAATTTTTTCATTAAAATTTTAAACTCTGCTCTGTTCCTCTTAGACTCCACTCAACTGTTTCTGTATTCATCCCAGCTCCTCCCCATCTGCAGTCTGACTTCTGTGGATGCAGCAAGAGTGAGAGGAGAATGTTATATTTTGTCCTCCTAGAAGTAATAACTTTAAGATTGGCTATAAGATAAAGACAGATGGTCTGTGTATAGGAGATGGACACTGAGCACTTCCCATACAACACTGTTCAGTATCCTTCTTGATGGAAGAAACTCAGTCTTACTTTGTAATCATTTTTTCCCCAAGACTGTTGGACAGTACCTGTTCCATGTAGCATATGACCCATATATGACCCATGAAAGAACGTCTTTGGCTGTCCTTGTATAATTTTTGTAACCATGAATTTTTTTATTTAAGAAGAAAAAGACTTGTATGAGTATTAGAAAGCATGGATATTTAGAATCAGAGGGAGAAATTAGTGTGGGAGAAAAGATGACCATTTTCACACATCTTTCCTACAAGGCTGCTATGACAGTTAATTGAGTTTTCAATAATCAGTTTATGTTCAAAGTTTATACTCCTGTATATAAACAGAAATGAACTTAAAACGTGGAAAATAGCATCCAAAGAGTCACATATTTAAAATCCTATAAGAATTTCTGGAGCCAGATTTGGATTTAGACTACAGCAGTGGAGGCTCCTGGGTGTTCGTACTTAACCAGGTTCCATTTCCTCATCTTTGGCTCTTCATTTGCTACAAGTAGGACAGCTTGACTAAAACAGTTGCAGGCACCTTTTTTTCTATGCCTGTGCTATTCTAAATTCTGAGATTGTGCAAAAGAAAAGCAATGAGGACTGGTCCTCAATGTTCCTTTGACTGCCATTGCTTCCAAGTGCCAGAGGGAGTCAGGGAGCTCACAGGCTGTCACAGATGCTCTCCTTAAAAGAAATAGCATGTCAGGTGCCTCCAGTATCTCCTACTTTCAGCCAATTCCTTTGGCAGCTTGCACAAGCACACTGTCACTTGAATTTCTCTAACAGAGACAAGGAAAGGGCCAACTAGGTTTTCCTGAATTGGTATCCTTGCACAAACACTGTCACTTCTCCACGCTTCCTCCATTGGGTGTGAGAGCTGTTTAGGCTACAACAGCTAGCCCTCATTTTTTTTTTTTCAGCTCAAGTTAGGATGTTTTTTTCATTCCTTCAATTATCACACATAAGGAGGAAATGGGAGGTTAAGAAGAAAAGGACATGCATCTAGCATATTCTATTACATTTCATTTTCTCTGAGACCCTCTTTATTCACTTCCCAGGTTCAGGAAACCAGTAGTAAAAGCAGTAGAAATGAGTCTGCATCCCTGCAGCGGCGGTGCCTGCCATTCTGTGTGTGTGTGTGTGTGTGTGTGTATGTATTCTTCCACTTTTAAGTTCAGGATGTGCAGGTTTGTTACATAGGTAAATGTGTGCCATGGTGATTTGCTGCACAGATCATCCCATCACCTAGGTATTAAGCCCAGCAGCCATTAGATATTCTTCCTGATACTGTCCCTCCCCTCTGCCCCCTGCTGACAAGCCTCAGTGTGTGTTGTTTCCCACCATGTATCCAGGTGTTCTCATCAATCAGCTCCCAGTTATAAGTGAGAATATGTGGTGTTTGGTTTTCTGTTCCTGAATTAGTTTGCTGAAGATAATGGCTTCCAGCTCCATCCATGTCCCTGCAAAGGACATGATCTAATTCCTTTATATGGCTGCATAGTATTCCATTGTGTATATCTACCACATTTTCTTTATCCAGTCTATCATTGATGGGCTTTTAAGTTGATTACATGACTTTGCTATTGTGAATAGTGCTGCAGTGAACATATGCATGCATGTATCTTTATAATAGAATGATTTATAATCCTTTGGGTTTATACCTGGTAATGGTATTGCTGGGTCAAATGGTATTTCTGCCTCTAGGTCTTTGAGGAATCACCACACTGTCTTCCACCATGGTTGAAATAATTTCACTCCCACTAACAGTGTAAAAGCATTTCTTTTTCTCCACAACCTCACCAGGACCTGTTGTTTTTTGACTTTTTAATAACAGCCATTCTGACGTGAGATAGTATCTCATTGTGGTTCTGATTTGCATTTCTCTAATGATTAGTTGAGCTTTTTGTTATATGTTTGTTGCCTGCATGAATGTCTTCATTTGAGAAGTGTCCATTCATGTTCTTTGCCTACTTTTTAATGGAGTTGATTGCTTTTTTCTTGTAAAGTTGTTTAAGTTCTTTGTAGACTCTGGGTTTTAGACCTTTGTCAGATGAATAGATGGCAAAAATTTTCTCCCATTCTGTAGGTTGTCTGTTCACTCTGATGATAGTTTATTTTGCTGTGCAGAAACTCTTTAGTTTAATTAGATCCCATTTGTCAATTTTTGCTTTTGTTTCAATTGTTTTTGGCGTTTTTGTTATAAAACTTTTGCCTATGCCTATGTTCTAAATGGTATTCCCTAAATTTTCTTCTAGGGTTTTTATACTTATGGGTTTTACATGTACGTCTTTAATCAATCTTGAGTTAATTTTTGTATAAGGTATAAGGAAGGGGTTCAGTTTCAATTTTCTGCATATGGCTAGCCAGAACTCCCAGCCTCATTTATTAAATAAACAAACATTTGCTTGTTTTTGTCATTTGTTGGAGATCAGATGATTGTAAATATGCAGTCTGATTTCTGAGTTCTGTATCCTGTTTGAATGGTCTATGTGTCTGTTCTTATATCAGTGCCCTTGTGTTTTGGTTACTGTAGCATTGTAGTATAGTTTGAAGTTGGGTAGCATGATGACTCCAGCTTTATTCTTTTTACTTAGAGTTGTCTTGGCTATTGGCTATTCAGTCTCTTTTTTGGTTCCATATGGAATTTAAAATAGTTGTTTTTTAATTTTGTAAAGAATGTCAGTGGTAGTTTAATGGGAATACCATTGAATCTATAAATTGCTTTGGGCAGTATGGCCATTTTCATGATACTGGTTCTTCCTATCCATGACTGTGGGACAGTTTTCCATTTGTCTGTGTCCTCTCTGATTTCTTTGAGTGGTGGTTGGTAGTCCTCCTTGAAGAGGTCCTTCACTTCCCTTGTTAGCTGTACTCCTAGGTATTTTATTCTCTTTGTGGCATTTGTGAATTGGGGTTCATTCATAATTTGGCTCTCTGCTTGCCTGTTTTTGGTGAATAGGAATGCTAGCAACTTTTGCACATTGATTTTGTATCCTGAGATTTTCATGAAGTTGCTTATCAGCTTTAGAAGATTTTGGGTTGAGACAGCAGGGTTTTCTAGAAGTAGGGTAATGTCATCTGCAAATGAAGATAATGTGACTTTCCCTGTTTTTATTTGAATACCCTTTATTTCTTTCTCTTGCCTGATTGTCCTGGCCAGAACTTCAAATACTATGTTAAATAGGAAGGGTGAGAGAGGGGATCCTTGTCTTGTGCCAGTGTTCAAAGAGAATGCTTCCAGCTTTGCCCATTCAATATTATATTGGCTGTGGGTTTGTCATATATGGCTCTTATTACTTTGAGGTATTTTCCTTAAATACCTAGTTCACTGAGTTTTTAACATGAAGGGATGTTGAATTTTATCGAAGGTTTTTTCTGCATCTATTGAGAAAATCACATGGTTTTTACCTGCCAGTCTTATTTCACACCAATCACTCTGCTCTGAGAACCAGTCTCTCAAGTTTTTCATGTTTCCTTCTATGTACTGTATAAATCCAAACTTACCACTTCATTCATCCAACAGATACACTTTCAGGAACTGCCAGGCCCTGCATTAGTGTCTAAAGATATAAAGATGGATGGAATATGGTTTCTTGCCCAGTAGGAGCCTCAGATTTATGAGCAAAATAGTGTAGAACCAATAATAAGTTCAATGCTAGGTAGGCTGTGTGTTAGGGCACACAGCTGGAGCACCTAGCTCAGCCTGGAGAAATTAGAACAGGCTACTAGAAGGAGTGACACCTCAGCTGGGTTTCCAATGGAAAGGAGAAATCCATCTGAGAGGGGAAAAGAGACAGGTACAGTCCAGACAGAGGAAATAATATGTTCAAATGCAGAGTTTCTCAATCTCAGCACTCCTCACGTTTTGGGCCAGATAATTCTTTGCTGGAGTGAGAGGGCATTACATTGTCTGATGTTTGGCAGCATGCTTGGCTTGATCCTTGTTCACTAGGTAAAAGTATCATTCCCTCCCTCAGTTGCAGCAATCATAAATGTCTCCAGACATCTTAAATTTTAATTCTGTGGGACAATATTACCCCAAGTTAAGAGACACTGAACTAAGCATGGGAGGAAGAAGTTGAAGCAGGTTGATAGAGCTACAGGAGGCAAAGAGTATATGGAAGAGAGGATGGGAGATGGAGGAGCAAATAGAAGCCAGATCTTTGAAGGACTTCCATGCCTTTCAGTTCATTTGAAAAACAGAACTAGAAAAATAGTCCCAGAGGACTGTGTTGAGGGTGAAATCAGATTACATGTGTAAATAAATTTGCATAATGCTGCCACATGCAAAAAAAGATTTGTTCTCTCTCTTTCCTGCTTAGTTCCATTGTCCACAATGGAAGCTAGGGTGATCAAATGAAGGGCAGCTAGAGGCTGGAGTTAGGAGTGGGCAGGGCCTCTGAGGAAGGAACAATTAAGCCACAGGCAAAACTGACAACTGTCTAGCTGGATAAGCTCCCGCCTGGACAACGGAAGCTCTCTGTCCTCCATCCCCATGACTCTGCCCTTAACCACTTCGGAGCTTATCTTTCCAAAACACCTGGCTCACCTATGTTAGTCAGGCACACTTCTTTGTTTAATATTTATCTCAATCCAGCAAACAACTACAGTGTTTCTCAGATAGACATGTCAGGTCATGGGAAAGAGGGAATATACATGATAACAGACAGAACCTCTAGGTTTCAGGATTTCCATGTAAAGGGTGGAGAAAATAGCACATCTTGCTCCTCCTCTCAGGAAAACCTTTCCCTTTCTAAGTCCACAAGTTCAGGTCCCAACTCAGGCATCATTTCCTCTCTGAAGTTGTCCTGGTGGCTCCCCGGTCCTGAAAAGAGCTTGAGCTCCCTTTTTCTCTGCAACTCACAGCATTCGTGCACTCCCTCTACCATTGGTCTTAGTGTGTTGTATTGCAACTTATTTTTCCATTCATTTGTTGACTGGTCAAGGATTTTAAGTAACTTGAAGGCAAGCGTCCTATATTTCTCAAATATTTGTTGTATTAATGTGTGAAGAAACAGTGCTCCAATAAAGCATTCCAACTGCCTGTTGAATGTAAGCAAGCAGAGATTTTTTTTGAAGGGCACCTTTGCCCTCTCCACCTGCCAGTGCTTGTGTGTGACTGACGTTCTAGCTAGCACACAACTACTTTCAGTTCTTTGCTCAGATTTTTTAACCACCCTTGTTAGTTTCCTAGGAGTGCCATAACGTCGTAAAATTACCATAGACTTGGTGATGTAAATTTGTGTTGGAAATGTATTCACTTAGTTCTGGAGGACAAAAGTTTGAAATCAGTATCACAGGGCCAAAATCAAGGTGTTGGCAGAACTGTGATCTCTTCAGAGGCTCTAGGGGACATTCTTGTCTCGCCCAGGTTCTGGTGGCTGCTGGCATCTCTGAGCTTGTTGCTGCAGGACTCTAATCTCTGCCTCTAGGATCACACCGCCTCCTACTCTTCTCTGTAAGTCTTCCTCTGTGTTTCTCTTGTAAGCATTATTGCCATTAGATTTAGGGCCCAGATAATTTAGGATGATCACTTCATCTCAACATCCTTAACTTGATTGTATTTGCAAAGACCCTTTGTCTAAATAAGGGCACATTCACAGACTCTGGGGATAAAACGTGGTCATACCTTTTTGGAAGCCACAACTCAACCCACTCTACCACCCTTCACCCATGATGCACTGTTTAGAAATCAAACTAGCTGCAGCCACTTCCTGCATCCTTTTAACCTGTTGGAATCCAGCTTCCTAGAGTTAAAACTAGATAACGTGTATTCTTTTGAGCTTTGTATAGTTACATAACATGTGTTCTTTATAAGTGCTTTTCTTTCCTCAGCATATGTGACAGAAAGACCACTGTGCTAAGTTAAGCATGTGAAGATGGAGTCCTGGGTTTACGCCTTGTTAAGAAATCAACTGCAGTTTCCTTGTATGGAAATCAAGGGCCTTGCATGAGGCCATGGATTGCTTTTCACTTCGTCACCCACATCTCCTCTCATTTAGCCTTTATAAGAAATCTGCAAAGTGGGAGCTCTTTCAATACTGATTCATAGAAATCAGGAAACTGGCTTTCTATGATTAAGCAATTTGCCCATGATCACAAAGCAGATGTGAAAAAGATAAAGGTAATAAGTGGTCTATAAAGATAAGACGTGATGTGCACTTCCACCCAGTCTTTGCTAGTCTCCAAAGTCTCTCATTTGCACTAAACCATGCTAAGCATCTCTTCAACCATATCAGGGATAGAGAACTCTCCATTTTATCCAGAGTTAATCTAACATAAGATTTTATCAGAAATCCAAACTCAAAATACTACAAATGCACACACACACACACACACAAACACACACACACACACACACGCACACATCTATTCACCAAAGATTCTATGAATAATTAAAAATCAGTCTTCATCTGCTTGACACTAAGTGTTGACAGGGCCCTGGACAGAGGCCTGTGTCAGCATTCTTCAGAGACTTCACAGCATTTGACAACTGCTTGTAGCTAAACAAACCCCCTGTCAAGAAGGCCAGTTTTGGTGTAAAAGTTTCTGCAAAGAAAAAAATCTCTTCTCCTAGATTGCTAACCCAGCCTCAACAAGACAGTGACCCGATTATGACTATCTTCTTGTCAGTTGTTACTTTTATCCTGATTTCATGGTTCAGCTGTCAAATAGCCAATCCTAGTTGAAGGCCAAAGCTGCAGTGAGAGAAGAAAGAGAACAGTAATACAAATAGTAAATTAAAAAGGGAGCTGTCTTCATCTGGTGAACAGGTATTCCCTCCTCAGAACACATCTTTTGAAATATTTGGCCCTGTATATTGCATTTGCAAAGTAATAATTCATCTCATCATTTTTAGTTATTGCAAACCTGTGTGAATGTCAGAGATTCTGATTAGCAGAATGCATCAGTATTACCATTCTGAC
Source organism: Homo sapiens (assembly GCF_000001405.40). Lineage (NCBI taxonomy): Eukaryota > Metazoa > Chordata > Mammalia > Primates > Hominidae > Homo > Homo sapiens. Next base: position 22,294,079 of record NC_000004.12, read on the forward strand.
TTAATGTACTCATATCCAGAAAGCCCCAACTCTTAGCACAAAGGTCTAATACTGTCCCAGGACTTAACATCTCAGAGGATGAGAAAGTCAGACTATTAGGGGGTGAGAAGAGGTTGATGAGATAAAGAAGTGGTAGGGAAAGAAAACCTTGTACTCTTCCTAGAGGTTGGAGTGCTGACCCCCAGTACCAGGGCTCATAGATGGGGAACCCCCAAATTAGGCAATTGGGATGTCATTCTTGAGAAAGGCCCATACTGATGGCTCATGCTGACTGAAGGGTGTATGAGGTCTTTGGAAGAAGCTTGTGACCACCCTAAGGTAAAGCTAATCTGTTGCTAATAAATGTCAGATTATGTCTTTAATTTTCTCAAAAGTCTGATGAGGCCAAGGTTATAGGACCAATTTGCATGTAGAACTTTTAACTCCCTCTTTGCCCATGGCCACAGGTATACCCTTAGTCTCCCAGGTTAGGTATCTAAGATCCCTCGGCTTCCTGGTCACAATGATCATTATTGCACCTAGACACCTACTTCAAGCCTTTGTTTGACTATCACCTTCTCAATGAAACTTGAGCTGGTCATGCTATTTTAAATGATAAACTTCCCACCAAGGCACACCTGACATTCCTTACTCTCCTTTTTATTCTATCTGTAGTTACAAACAGCTTCTGATAAGCCCTATGGTTTACTTATATGCTCTATTTTTTTTTTATTTCTTATATCCCCTGCTAGAATGTAAGATCCATGAGGCCAAGGATCTTTGTCAGTTTCATTCATCATAGAATTCAACATCTCCAACACTATCTGGCACATTGTGAGCTCTCAATAAATATTTAATCAGTGAGTAAATGCAGACTTCCACACAAAATGCCAAATACAGAAGAAGCCAATTTGGGGAAGTGGTGACTTAAAAGTAGAGTTGTACTCCAAAGATGATCTTTCTGTTGGCTTGTTTGTTTAGGGTAAAATCTTTTATTTATTTATTGTCACAGAAATCACTGTTGGAATTTCTAGAAAACCAGATTAGATATAGGGGGCAGAAAAAATCAGAAAAATGTTCCCCAGCATGGCTACATTATGCCCTACCTTTGGAGAGTTCTTATTTAGAGACTGTGCGCTGGAGTCAGCTTCCAAAGTTTCAAGTTCTAGGCAACCTACACAATAGGAGAACATTTTTGCAATCTACGCATCTGACAAAGGTTTAATATCCAGAATCTACAAAGAACTTAAACAAATTTACAAGGAAAAAAAACAAGCAACCCCATCAAAATGTGGACAAAGGATATGAACACTCACTCCTCAAAAGAAGACATTTATGCAGCCAACAAACATGAAAAATGCTCATCATCACTGGTCATTAGAGAAATGCAAATCAAAATCACAATGAGATACCATTTCACGCCAGTTAGAATGGCGATCATTAAAAAGTCAGGAAACAACAGATGCTGGCAAGGCTGTGGAGAAATAGTGACAATTTTACACTGCTGGTGGGAGTGTAAATTAGTTCAACCATTGTGGAAGACAGTGTGAAAATTCCTCAAGGATCTAGAACCAGAAATACCATTTGACCCAGCAATCTCATTACTGGGTATATACCCAAAGGATTACAAATCATTCTACTATAAAAACATATGCACACATACATTTATTGCAGCACTATTCACAATAGCAAAGACTTGGAACCAACCCAAATGCCCAACAAAGATAGACTGGATAAAGAAAATATGGCACATGTACACCATGGAATACTATGCAGCCATGAAAACGAATGAGTTCATGTCCTTTGCAGGGACATGGATGAAGCTGGAAACCATCATTCTCAGCAAACTAACACAGGAACAGAAAACCAAACACTGCATGTTCTCACTCATAAGTGGGAATTGAACAATAAGAATACATGGACACAGGGAAGGAAACATCACACACTATGGCCTGTAGGGATGTGAGGGGCAGGGGAGGGAGAGCATTAAGACAAATACCTAATGCATGTGGGGCTTAAAACCTAGATGACAGGTTGATAGGTGCAGCAAACCAACATGGCACGTGTATATAACAAACCTACACATTCTACACATGTATCCCAGAGTTTAAAGTAAAATTTAAAAAAATTAAAAATAAAAATAAAAGTTTCAAGTTCTGACTCTACCACTTTCTTGATCTTGTACACATTATCAAAACTCTGTAGGCCTCAGCCCCCCATTTAAACAGAGGGTAATAATAATATTAGGTTTAAGTAAGATAATCCATGGAAAAGTTCAGCACTATGTCTGGCATATTATATCTCAAAACCAAATTCTATAATACTTTTAATCCATCTTGACCTGGTAGCTTTGAGCCAAAAGAACATACCCACATATATATCAACAAGTAAAGCCAGCCACAAACACCCATGTTCACAACAATCTTCCAGGAATTCCCTCAATTATAGCCAACCAGTTCCTGAATCTGTTCCACCGGGGTCCTAGTTTGTAAATCTAGTTTCCTATTGATATTCATGTTGTATTATGTTGGTATCTCTAGCTACTAATGCTGCCTCAAGAAATCTGACTCAACTCAACTTTCTTGGCTCTCTTGACTTAAACCATGTGTAAGGAGAATATGCAGCCAAAATAGTACAAGATCTGAATCTCAACCTATTGAGCTTAACCTTGGCCTAACCAACTGGCTTGATTCTCCTTGATTAGGTCTTGAATTTTCTCAAGCATAAACCTTTGAAGTTTTTTGTTTGTTTGTTTGTTTGTTTGTTTGTTTGTTTGAGATGGAGTCTCGCTCTGTCATGCAGGCTGAAGTGCTGTGGCATGATCTCTGCTCACTTCAACCTACACCTACTGGGTTCAAGCGATTCTCCTGCCTCAGCCCCCCAAGTAGCTGGGACTACAGGCAAGTGCCACAAAGCCCAGCTAATTTTTTTGTATATTTTAGTAGAGACAGGGTTTCACCATGTTGGCCAGACTGGTCTCCAACTCCTAACCTCAAGTGATCTGCCCGCCTTGGCCTCCCAAGGTGCTGGGATTACAGGCGTGAGCCACAGCGCCCAGCCTCAAGCATAAACCTTTAATATTGAATCCATCACTTACTTTCTTTAATTTTATACAAAATATTTATTCATTTATTCATTACTTCACTCAGTTTTTACTGAGCATTATTTTATGTATTTATTCACTGACATTAGTGCCAGGATAAAAAATTAATATACACAAAAAATACTGCTGTGTAAATTATCCCTATGACTTGCAATATATGCAATGACATGTAATACGTTTTCTAGCATACTCAACATAAACTGGGTGACTGTACATCTTGCTGTCTTTGAATCACAGTAATAAACTATCAAAGCAAAAGACAGACATACTAATTCAGATCAATAGAGCTTAATGTCACTGCAAACTTATTAAATGCTGTGCCACCACTGCCTTTCTCATGAAGGAAGAGTTGCCAAAGAATATTAATAAATTTCCAAAATGAAAAATCTTATATAAGGCCATACCTAACTGAGACATATATCATTCCTTTTACAGTTCAGATTTTCAAATACATAAATGGAACAATAAATTTAGAGGGAAGCTATTCAACATTCAGTGCCTTCAGTTCTTGCTCCAGGCATTCTCTGTTAGCAACAGTATCATCAACGTGATTCCAAAGAATTGAGCTCTAGTTTCTTTTGATCTTTGGGAAAATCCAATTTTAGAACCACAAAAGTGAATTACTCTTTCCTTTTACCATTACCAAATATATATATATATATACCTTATATATATAAAGTCTTTGATTTGATATGATTAAATTATAATCCCTTGTTTTGTTATTGTTCTTGTTCCTTTCAAATTGGATTTTTCTAAAAATCTTGTTCTTTGTGAAATGCTAGCGGAGGTACACAGAGAGCTTTGTAAGTGTTCCTTTCAGCACTCTGGTGACATACGGTTGAACGGACAAGATTGTAGAAGCAGATGACAGAGTCTGCACGCTCGGAGGTAAAGGCATTTAATTATAGTTTTAGTTCAGAGTTTGAATTTCTTGGGGTGCATCCAAGGTTTCTACCTCAGTATCAGCATCTATAAAGCTGGTAAAGCACAACTCTTTACCTCTCTTCTCACAAGAAAATTATTGCTCATATCAATTCCTATTCAGGAGCTCTGGCTCCAAGAAAGCCAGCTACCTGGGAATAATGATGTTTAAAATACAGTTTCAGATCTGGAGATGAAATTTGCCATATTAAACCATCATGATTATTAAATATAGAGCAAAGGCAATATGATAAGACAAGAGCAATATGGGAACCATTCACTGACCACATTGCAAATGTAAAGCATTCTGCAGGTTGCTTTGCATACCTCATTGTGAATTCTCACCACCATCCTATAAAATAAGTATTCTTCTTCCCACCTTTTCTAACAAATAAGCTAAATGAGGTTTATAGAAGTCAAATAATTTGGATATGTTCCCACATATAACAAGTAGCACAGCCTGGGACTAAATACAGCTTCACCTCAAGCTCTTATGAGCAAGCTATAGCTATGAAATTGCCATGAAGTTTAGAAGAATTTAGGGGGAAGGAGTAGGCATCCATACACGTTACAGGTATCCCAACATCTCAAGTGATCACATGGTGACTGTGTGTGTGTGTCTGTAAAACATCAGCTCACTTGCTCCTTTTTTCTCCTGTGTTACTTTTTTCCTAAGTCACAGTAAATATTTAGCCATCTTTGGGCCCTTCCACAAAATATGGGGCTTAGTCCACTGGTCCTAGGTGTTGCTCCTAGTAATAGCTCTTGTTGGATATTAAACAGAGAGCATCACTACACTTCTATGTAATACTTCCTGATGCTCTGATAGCCACAACCCTCTGAAAGCAATGAGACTAACCCTTTTTGAGGCCTTTGTGTCTGTGTTTGATTTTTTGTGTGCTACTAATAAAAACTTAACATTGGAGAATAGTGATTCAGCAGCCAGAGCACTTGCCATTCCTCTCAACACACTGCAGTCTGGTCTAGTTCTGTGCCTCTGCCCATGCTCTTCCCTCTTCTTGAAATGTCTTTTGCTCCTTCTCTGTCTGGTGAAAATTGTATCACTTGCTTTTATTCTTTATGGCCAACATCAAATATCACAACCTCTAGGAAGATTTACTTAAATTACCCAGATAGAAATAATCACTCTGTTTTCTGAGTTTCTATTAATATTTTATACTATATTTTAATATGAATATTTAGCATCTATTTAAACAGAATCAGTTGTGTCCACCTTCTTTATCATACCTCATCACTGTATTCATGCATCTAGCAGAATTTGGCAAATAATAGCAATTCGGTAAGCATTTGTTGGATTGCATTGGCAAACAACTCCATATTTACAAATTTTCAGAGACTAGAACAATGATCATAAACTGAAAAGGATATCTTGGGAAGTAAATGCTGAATTAGATTTAAGTTTCAACTTCTATATAATGATTTTTCTGGAAATAAAATTCTGAAGACATTGACGAAAAAGAGACAGAGACAACTTGGGTGTGGGGTCGGCAGAAGCAAAGGTAAATACTGTGGGGAAAGAGATGGAAATGTCATGCCTGCAACTCAAGTTTTCCTTGGACCAATGTTCTTATCTGTAGCCCTTAACGATATTTAAAAAAACACATTTGGAGAATGCTGGAAACTAAACAAAATGTTTACTAAAGGAATCATCTGAGGCAAGGAGCATGATTTGTCTTTGAAAATAACTTGAGTCTCAGAAAACTGTTGGGAGATCACATCTGAAGGTCATGTAATAAGTTAGAGGCTGAGCCGAAACTGAGAACTTGAGTGTTTTCTTTCACTCCATGTTCTTTGCCTTACTGCATACGCTCTTAAGTGTCAATCAACAACTTTCAATTGGCAGTTAGCTGCAGCTCACCCTTCTCCATCATTATCCCTTTCTATCCCTTTTTCCAGTTCCCTTCACTTTTCTCCCTGAAAACACAATGCAGACTCTTTTAGATTGTCACTTTGTGAAGAAAGAGCACTGTAAACAATGCCAGGTGCTCTGCTTTGCCTTAAATCATTAAACCCTGAGTCTATGGCAGAAAAGTGACTATTGGCAGCAAATTGGTCTTTTCAAATACACCTGTTCACACAGAAAACAGTCACTCCTGGGAGAATCATCCTAAAATATTGACTGTTCTACTTTTCAGTGTTCTCCAAGGTACTGCCATTTAATGCACTTGAATTTAAAAAAAAAAAAAAAAAGACCAACAAAAAGTTCTGTTTTCTAGCAGTATTTCATGTCTACTGCTCTATAGCTCCACAAATTTCAAGTCAATAAAAATATATTGAGCATCTAATATGAGTCATGCCCTGTTGTGAATACTGAAGATTCTCCAGCTTATATGAGATATGGTCCTTGCCATCACTGTGGTCTCGGGAATAGTTAGTTATAATACAGTGGAGGCTGAAGCTATGCATCAAAGAATGAGTAGAGTGGTGCCACAACAAGTTTACAGTTTCCTTCAGCTCATTCAAAGCTGCCAACCTGTCCAGCTACCCTTCTGCCTCTTCCTAAGCAATATCTCCTTGTATTGTTCACAGTAGTTCAAACCTTCACCACACCCTCAAGTCATTAACCCTAACACCTCAGCTTTCATAGTCAGCCAAAATCTTGTCTCTTACCTCTCAGAAAAGTTTAGTAAGTCCCTCAACTTTGGGAATATTGCAATCTCATCTACTCAGTCAGCACAGATTTATCTATACCTTCTTCCCTCTTTATTCTCCACTCTCCCAACTTGTAAAACATGATATTTCTCCTCCCATAGGCATCCCATGTCCTCTTGGGTCTCCAAGACCTCACATCATCAAACAGCTTCCGTCGGTCCCGTCTAGGCAATATTTTCTACCATCCCTGGTTCCTTGCTCTTAGCAGACAGACAGATATGAGTCTCTCTCATTCTCCTGGTACCCAAGTCAGAAACCTAATAGTCATCCTTGCCTCTTCTCCACCTCCACAATCTGTCACCATACCAGAGAGTCAGACTCCTAAGGACATCTTACCCAGTCCCACTTCATAGCCCCTGCTTCAGTTTAAGCCCACATCTTTTCTTACAAGGGTCGTTCCAACAGCCTCCTGACTAGTTCTCTCTGGCTCCATTCTTACTTCTCTCTAATTCAACAGTTACCATGCTTCCACAGAGAACTTTCTAAAATCTGAAACTAATCAAGCCATGACTCTGCTTAACATTTTTTTCATGGGTTCCTTGCCTATAGAACAAAATTAGACTCCTTTGCATAATGTACAAGATTTTTCCAGATCTGCCTCCCACCTATCTGGCTAGCCACTCTGCCTCTCCCACTTGGTCTTCCAGCCTTGTTAAACTTCTCTGTTTCCTCCCACATCCCTGTACTTTCGCTCACGTTCCCCCCTCTGCCTAAAACACATTGTCCCTCCCAAATGCTAGCCATGACAAGTCTTCTTTCTTCAAGAACCTTCAGGAAAATGTTCATGACTTCCATAAGGTCCCTCCCACATGCTCAAATACACTCTAACAGTGTGGTTAGTGATGTTAACTCTTCAGGGAAACCAGAAAGGGCAAGTAAATTTACCTGTCAACTTCCCTTTTTTTTTTTAAGAACTTGGTCTAAACAGATTTAATCCATGTGTTATTTGGGGCTCTGCTTCTTTGAATGTAGCTCTGAATTATGATAACCTCCACTTATTTTCCTATCTGAAATAAAACCGTGTTTGTAGGTAAGTGAATTCTCATGTCAGGAGGAGTTGGTTTGAAAATTCCAGTTGTAAAACACAGCAGATGAAGATAGCTCTGGGGAAAGAGCAGTCAAAGGCAGTCAATCATGAGACCCTGCTTTTCAGTAAGCAAAGTCAGATGCTACCATTGTAGGTCAGCAACAGGCAAACTACAAATCAAGTAAATTATCACATAGGTCATGCCAAGTATTAAGACCTTGATGGAGGTCGAGGTTCCTCATTTCTTGGCAGAAAACATGCACTTGTTTTTCACCAGAAGTAAATAAAACAAAATAGCTCTTTGTTCGGATCATTTAAAAAAATAATCATATGTAAGCCAGCCACTGGTGGCCCCTAATCTAAGGACAGATTCCGATTGTTGTAGAGATGAGCCGACAATAGCACAACTGCATAGTGGTTAAGTGTATGGTCTTGGGAATTCATTTGCCTGGGTTTAAACCCTGGCTCGGCCGCTTCCTGGGTGTGTGGCATGAGGGTGATCATTGATCTCTCTGTGTCTCTGTCCGCTCATCTATAAAAGAGGAATCACAAAAATAGTAGTAATATTTATCACACAACGTTCCCGCTAAGACTAAGTAACATATGCAAAATTTCTGGCCCATGTGAAACGTCCAATATGTGGTATTAGTAGTTATCCCATCATTAAATGACAAAATACTAACAGAAACTATTAAGAGGAATTTTTGCTTATGTTTCAACCATCTCCTAAATCTCACTTGTAACCATAGTTTGTTTGTTTGTTTGATAGTACAGTGGAGCTTCATTCAGGGCTTTGGTTGAGAAGGGGTTTTGACTGATGCAGTCAATTCTATAAACAAAATCATTTTTACTCTCAAATAATTTTTTAAGTAATTTTAATTTCAATGAGGAGATCTCAAATTCCTTCCTACATATTTCAGAAAAGATCCCAGCCCACAATTGTGTTAATTCCATCAGCTTTCCCACTGGAAGGTGGTTAGTTAAGAACCACACAAGTTTTAATGCCACTATTGATATGGTTTGGCTATGTCCCCACACAAATTTCATCTTGAATTGTAACTCCCATAATTCCCGTGTTTCATGAGAGGAACCTGGTGAGAGGTGATTGAATTATGGGGGCGGGTCTTTCCTGCACTGTTCTCATGATAGTAAATGAGTCTCACAAGATCTGATGGCTTTAAAACTGGCAGTTTCCCTGCATAAGCTCTTTTTTTTTTTTTTTGCCTATTGCCATCCATGTAAGATGTGACTTGCTCCTTCTTGCCTTCCACTGTGTTGTGAGGCCTCTCCAGCCATGTAGAACTGTAAGTCCAATAAACCTTTCTTTTGTAAATTGCCCAGTCTTGGGTATGTCTTTATCAGCACTGTGAAAACAGACTAATACAGTAAATCGGTATCAGTAGAGTGGGGCACTGCTGAAAAGATACCTGAAAATGTGGAAGAGACTTTGGAACTGGGTAACAAGCAGAGGTTGGAACAGTTTGGAGGACTCAGAAGAAGACAAGAAAATGTGGGAAAGTTTCGAACTTCCTAGAGACTTGTTGAATGGCTTTGAATAAAATGCTAATAATGATTTGGACAATAAAGTCCAGGCTGAGGTGGTCTCAGATGGAGATGAGGAACTTGTTGGGAACTGTAGTAAAGGTGAGTCTTGTTGTGTTTTAGCAAAGAAACTGGCAGCATTTTGCCCCTGCCCTAGAGATTTGTGGAACTTTGAACTTGAGAGAGATGATTTAGGGTACCAGGCAGAAGAAATTTCTAAGCAGCAAACCATTCAAGAGGTGACTTGGGTGCTGTCAAAGGCATTCAGTTTTAAAAGGAAAACAGAGCATAAAAAATTGGAAAATTTGCAACCTGACAATGCAACAGAAAAGAGATTCCATTTTCTGAGGAGAAATTCAAGCCAGCTACAGAAATTTGCAGAAGTAACAAAGACTCAACTGTTAATCCTAAAGTCAATGGGGAAAATGTATCCATTGCATGTCAGAGGCCTTTGAGGCAGCCCCTCTCATCACAGGCCTAAGAGGAAACAATGGTTTTGGGGGCCAGGCCCAGGGCTGCCCTGCTGTGTGCAGCCTAGGGATTTGGTGTCCTGCATCCCACCTGCTCCAGCTGTGACTAAAAGGGGCCAAGGTACAGCTCAGGCTGTTGCTTCAGAGGGTAGAAGCCACCAAACCTTGACAGCTTCCACATGGTGTTGAGCCTGCAGCTCCACAGAAGTCAACTGAGGTTTGGGAACTTCCACCTAGATTTTAGAGGATATATGGAAATGCCTGGATGCCCAGGCAGAAGTCTGCTTCAGGGGTGGGGCCCTCATGGAGAACATCTGCTCGGGCAGTGCAGAAGGGAAATGTGGGGTGGTAGCCCCCACACAGAATCCCTACTGAGGGAGCTGTGGGAAGAGGGCCACCATCCTCCAGACCCTAGAATGGTAGATCCACTGATAGCTTTCACCTTGTGACTAGAAAAGCCACAGACACTCAATGTCAGCTCATGAAAGCAGCCAGGAGAGGGGCTATACCCTGCAAAGCCACAGGGGTGGAGCTGCCCAAGGCCATTGGATCCCACCTCTAAAATCTATGTGACCTGGATATGAGACATGGAGTCAAAGGAGATCATTTTGGAGCTTTAAGATCTGACTGCCCCACCCCGGAGTTCAGACTTGCATGGAGTCTGTAGCTGTTTATTTTGGTCAATTTATCCCATTTGGAATGACTGTATTTACCTAATGCCTGTACCCGCATTGTATCTAGGAAGTAACTAACCTGCTTTTGATTGTACAGGTTTATAGGCAGAAAGGACTTGGCTTGTCTCAGGTGAGACATTGGACTGTGGACTTTTGTGTTAATACTGAAATGAGTTAAGATTTGGGGGCGCTGTTGGGAAGGCATGATTGGTTTTGAAATGTGAAGATATGAGATTTGGGATGGGCCAGGGCAGAATGATATGGTTTGGCTGTGTCCCCACCCAAATCTCATTTTGCCTACCACCATCCAAGTAAGATGTGACTTGCTCATTTTTTCTTCCACCATGATTGTGAGGCCTCCCCTGTCAGGTGGAACTGTAAGTAAGTCCAATAAACTTCTTTCTTTTATAAATTGCCCAGTCTCAGGTATGTCTTTATCAGCACCATGAAAACCCACTAATACAACCATACTGGGCACTTAAGTCATGGAGAAATTCCCTTACAAAAATTATTATTGCCCAGCCTATGAATAAAGAAAAACATCCTAACCTACCAGAGGTAAAAGTCAGCAGAACTTACCTTGGTGCTTACTTTAAAAACTTAATTGTTGCCCTTAGTACCTGAAGCAAAATTTTACATTTGTCAAAACTGCATAAGGTATTCAAAAGTAATGGGGAAAAAAGGATTTTGGTATTTATTTTGATCTAGTTACTTTAGTTGAAAAAGAAGAATAAGAAGGATGGTTTCAATCTTTTATTTGTTTTATAAAGTTGCATTTTTAACTCATTTACATACTGATACTAAGGAATCTATTACTAATTAAAATATATAGATGAATACTGTCTGGGTTTTAGGGATAAATAGAAGATAGATACACACACATACACACTCAAATATAGTGGTTAGGATGGGATGAAATCAGAGGAAACATTTTCTAGTTACTTTTTGCAAGGGATTAATGGTTTTGAACATGCACAATCCATTCTGTTACCACTGTGTTTTGTATGTTTTGCTCTTTTTATCTGAAATTTGTTTCACTATATTCCCAAAAGAAATAGCCTATGAGATCATGAATTAAAAGAAAATTGTCAAGAGGGTGAGCAATTATTCATGTAGGAACCAGGCATTCGGTTCAATGCTTCACATACACAACCCCAGTTAACCCTAATGTCAGGGGAAACTACTATTATCCCCATTTTGCAGATACAAATTAAATAAGACAGCTAGGAATAGGCACTTTTGGCTTCACGGAGCTGCCTCATTCTATAACATTGTTATTTTTAAATTTCGCGTCAACTCTGACATTTTTTTCTCTTAGCACTCATTTTCTCTTTCCTTATGGGTTTGACTGCTTCTCTGAGACCTTCTCAGAGTCTTCAGGTCTACCCAGAACTTTCTCTCTTTCCCTCTCTCTCTCTGTTACACACACTCACACACCCACACACACACATACATACACATGCACACACTTCTTAAAGTATAGACCTAGAGGTCCTCTTTCATTCATTCAGCCAATATGTATTGAGCACCTACTATTTTCCACACTCCATTCTAGGCATGGGAGATATAAGAAGGCTTCTTAGAGCTTCCACTTTGCAAGGGTAACAGATATAAGCAATACATCAAACAAAAAAACATCTCAATGCAGCCGTAGCTAATGTTCGTACAGAATACAGATTATGAAATAAGAGCATCTAGCATGCAGACCTAACCCTAAAACTGAGGAGAAGATAACTAAAATACTATGTTCTTTGAGAACATATGGCAGAGCAGTGAACATCCCTCTTTGGACAGCTCCACTTGCTTCCTGGAGCGTGACCTACTACTCGCAGCCTTGACCTTGCTTTCCAACTGCCTGAAGCAACTATACATTCTTGCTCCCTGACACCCTGCCCTCCATGCCAGACCTGACCAAACGTTGTCAAAATATCAAAGCAACGGGTTCAACAGGTGGATTCTCACTGTCATGATGTCTCTTCCTATGATAGTTTTTTCACCTATGTGTGCTATCACTCCTATTTTCAACCTATTTTTAGGTGGCATTGGATTTGAGATTCTATCTTAGGTACCTTTCTTTCTCTTGATTACCCTTGCTTTTAAATGTGCCCTATAAAAATAGACATGGGGGAGTTTTACTGTTACAAGTGATTCTCTTAGTTCTTGTTCATTAATTCTCTCAATCAAAAAATATATATATATTTAGGACATCTACTAGGTGCCAGGCATTATGTTACTCATTGGATGTGAAGCTGGGAACAGAACAGGCATGAGTCCTTCCCTCATGGAGCATATATACTAGACAGATTCTTTGTTGATATATAAATACTGATTTCTCAATATTTATTAAGGTTTTTTAAAAAATGCTTGGCTGGGCATGGTGGCTTGTGCCTGTAATCCCAGCACTTTGGGAGGCCAAGATGGGTGGATCACTTGAGGTCAGGAGTTTGAGACTAGCCTGGCCAACATGGCAAAACCCTGTCTCTACTAAAAATACAAAAAATTTAGCTGGGTATGCTGGTGCCAGCCTGTAATCCCAGCTACTCGGGAGGCTGAGGCGGAAGAATCACTTGAGCCTGGGCGGCAGAGATTTCAGTGAGCCAAGATCACACCACTGCACTCCAGCCTGAGTGACAGAGTGAGATTCTGTCTCAATAAATACATAAAAATTAAAATTAAAAAAGTGTATATACATTTTTTTCAGCACCACACCACACCTATTCCAAAATTGACCACATACTTGGAAGTCAAGCTCTCCTCAGCAAATATAAAAGAACAGAAATTATAACAAACTGTCTCTCAGACCACAGTACAATCAAACTAGAACTCAGGATTAAGAAACTCACTCAAAACCGCTCAACTACATGGAAACTGAACAACCTGCTCCTGAATGACTACTGGGTACATAACAAAATGAAGGCAGAAATAAAGATGTTCTTTGAAACCAATGAGAACAAAGACACAACATACCAGAATCTCTGGGACACATTCAAAGCAGTGTGTAGAGGGAAATTTATAGCACTAAATGCCCATAAGAGAAAGCAGGAAAGATCCAAAATTGACACCCTAACATCACAATTAAAAGAACTAGAAAAGCAAGAGCAAACACATTCAAAAGCTAGCAGAAGGCAAGAAATAACTAAGATCAGAGCAGAACTGAAGGAAATAGAGACACAAAAAACCCTTCAAAAAATTAATGAATCCAGGAGCTGGTTTTTTGAAAGGATCAACAAAATTGATAGACCACTAGCAAGACTAATAAAGAAAAAAAGAGAGAAGAATCAAATAGACGCAATAAAAAATGATAAAGGGGATATCACCACCGATCCCACAGAAATACAAACTACCATCAGAGAATACTACAAACACCCCTACACAAATAAACTAGAAAATCTAGAAGAAATGGGTAAATTCCTCGACACATACACCCTCCCAAGACTAAACCAGGAAGAAGTTGAATCTCTGAATAGACCAATAACAGGCTCTGAAATTGTGGCAATAATCAATAGCTTACCAACCAAAAAGAGTCCAGGACCAGAGGGATTCACAGCCGAATTCTACCAGAGGTACAAGGAGGAACTGGTACCATTCCTTCTGAAACTATTCCAATCAATAGAAAAAGAGGGAATCCTCCCTAACTCATTTTATGAGGCCAGCATCATCCTGATACCAAAGCCAGGAAGAGACACAACCAAAAAAGAGAATTTTAGACCAATATCTAAATGGTGATGATGAACATTGATGCAAAAATCCTCAATAAAATACTGGCAAACCGAATCCAGCAACACATCAAAAAGCTTATCCACCATGATCAAGTGGGCTTCATCCCTGGGATGCAAGGCTGGTTCAATATATGCAAATCAATAAAGGTAATCCAGCATATAAACAGAACGAAAGACAAAAACCACATGATTATCTCAATAGATGCAGAAAAGGCCTTTGACAAAGTTCAACAACCCTTCATGCTAAAAACTCTCAATAAATTAGGTATTGATGGGACGTATTTCAAAATAATAAGAGCTATCTATGACAAACCCACAGCCAGTATCATACTGAATGGGAAAAAACTGGAAGCATTGCCTTTGAAAACTGGCACAAGACAGGGATGCCCTCTCTCACCACTCCTATTCAACATAGCGTTGGAAGTTCTGGCCAGGGCAATTAGGCAGGAGAAGGAAATAAAGGGTATTCAATTAGGAAAAGAGGAACTCAAATTCTCCGTTTGCAGATGACATGATTGTATATCTAGAAAACCCCATGGTCTCAGCCCAAAATCTCCTTAAGCTGATAAGCAACTTCAGCAAAGTCTCAGGATACAAAATCAATGTACAAAAATCACAAGCATTCTTATACACCAATAACGGACAAACAGAGAGCCAAATCATGAGTGAACTCCCATTCACAATTGCTTCAAAGAGAATAAAATACCTAGAAATCCAACTTACAAGGGACGTGAAGGACCTCTTCAAGGAGAACTACAAACCACTGCTCAAGGAAATAAAAGAGGATACAAACAAATGGAAGAACATTCCATGCTCATGGGTAGGAATAATCAATATCGTGAAAATGGCCATACTGCCCAAGGTAATTTATAGATTCAATGCCATCCCCATCAAGCTACCAATGACTTTCTTCACAGAATTGGAAAAAACTACTTTAAAGTTCATATGGAACCAAAAAAGAGCCCGCATCGCCAAGTCAATCCTAAGCCAAAAGAACAAAGCTGGAGGCATCACACTACCTGACTTCAAACTATACTACAAGGCTACAGTGACCAAAACAGCATGGTACTGGTACCAAAACAGAGATATAGATCAATGGAACAGAACAGAGCCCTCAGAAATAACGCCACATATCTACAACTATGTGATCTTTGACAAACCTGAGAAAAACAAGCAATGGGGAAGGGATCCCCTATTTAATAAATGGTACTGGGAAAACTGGCTAGCCATAAGTAGAAAGCTGAAACTGGATCCCTTCCTTACACCTTATATAAAAATTAATTCAAGATGGATTAAAGACTTAAACGTTAGACCTAAAACCATAAAAACCCTAGAAGAAAACCTAGGCATTACCATTCAGGACATAGGCATGGGCAAGGACTTCATGTCTAAAACACCAAAAGCAAGGGCAACAAAAGCCAAAATTGACAAATGGGATCTAATTAAATTAAAGAGCTTCTGCACAGCAAAAGAAACTACCATCAGAGTGAACAGGCAACCTACAAGATGGGAGAAAATTCTCACAACCTACTCATCTGACAAAGGGCTAATATGCAGAATCTACAATGAACTCAAACAAATTTACAAGAAAAAAACAAACAACCCCATCAAAAAGTGGGCGAAGGATATGAACACACACTTCTCAAAAGAAGACATTTATGCAGCCAAAAAACACATGAAAAAATGCTCACCATCACTGGCCATTAGAGAAATGCAAATCAAAACCACAATGAGATGCCATCTCACACCAGTTAGAATGGCAATCATTAAAAAGTCAGGAAACAACAGGTGCTGGAGAGGATGTGGAGAAATAGGAACACTTTTACACTGTTGGTGGGACTGTAAACTAGTTCAACCATTGTGGAAGACAGTGTGGCAATTCCTCAGGGATCTAGAACTAGAAATACCATTTGACTCAGCCATCCCATTACTGGGTATATACCCAAAGGACTATAAATCATGCTGCTATAAAGACACATGCACACATATGTTTATTGTGGCACTATTCACAATAGCAAAGACTTGGAACCAACCCAAATGTCCAACAATGATAGACTGGATTAAGAAAATGTGGCACATATACACCATGGAATGCTATGCAGCCATAAAAAATGATGAGTTCATGTCCTTTGTAGGGACATGGATGAAACGGGAAATCATCATTCTCAGTAAACTATCGCAAGGACAAAAAACCAAACACCGCATGTTCTCACTCATAGGTGGGAACTGAACAATGAGAACACACGGACACAGGAAGGGGAACATCACACTCTGGGGACTGTTGTGGGGTGGGCGGAGTGGGGAGGGATAGCATTAGGAGATATACCTAATGCTAAATGACGAGTTAATGTGTGCAGCACACCAGCATGGCACATGTATACATATGTAACTAACCTGCACATTGTGCACATGTACCCTAAAACTTAAAGTATAATAATAATAAAATAAAATTTTTTGAAAAAAAGTGCTTAGCTCTGTGAAAGATGCAGCAGCAGCAGACACAAGCATCCCTGGCTTACAAACCCATGTTCTTATGAGGGAGACAAGATCTAGGCACAGAGAGCAATGCATGAGACTATACTGCTGAAGACAAAAATGGATGTTGAGTGGCCAGAGAACATTTCTCTGAGGAGATGAGATTTGACAAGTGCTTTCAAGGAAAAATAACCTTGGGTAAGTGACTAAAAGAGAGGAAGCCATCCAGGGTGAAAATGACAGAGGGCCACCTGAAAAAATGAGAGAGGACAGCAACAAGACAGGATGACCTAGATGGCAGGCTTACCAGAAATAAAGGAGGTGGAGCCTTACACACTAAGATCAGCTACTGAGAATTCTTTCAACAGATAACGTGAAGCTCCTCTTTTCATGGTAAATGAAGAGTTGTTCTTGGATCCCTTTCTAATCCTTCTTATGCTGGAAACACTATCTTTGAGAAATATATCTGGATTTGAAGGTCAAAGAAATAAGAAGCAGAGAGGCAGATAAGAGGATTATTGGCTTGGTTAAGGTGTGGTGATATCTGTACAAGTGTGTAACTAACAGGACTAGAAGAACAGATTAACCCAGGATATAATACTGCAGTCTGTGTTACCTAATAAATGGAAGAAATGAGGGCATGATGGGACGAAGTATGGGGAAGGGAATGAGGGAGATGAGGGAAAGAAGGATAGACATAAGTGGATATCAAAGGCAATCTCGATTAAGGTGAGGCTTACTGAAATTTGTCGGGTAGTGCAGCTTCTGCATGGAAATGTCCTGTGGTCATTTAAAACCATGGGCATGGTGCTTAGGTAAGAAGGCTAGCCTGGCCATCGGGGTGTCTTTGAAACAGGTGATTATGCAAACTATGAAAACACATGAGCCTGGTGGATGGAAGGGATGACAGACAACCCCAAACTCCCAGAAGCCAAAAAAAGTTAGCAATAGCTACCTACTAAAAAGAGAAAAATAGAATAATTGGACGTCAAATGGATAAGATGGTCAATTATTACATTTAGCTGTAAACTCTTACCTCTGATTAACTGGTCTACCTGTTCTCTTAACCCCTAGCTTTTGACGTGGCTACCACAAGGCCATGCGAAAAACTAGATTGGGTGAGAAGGTAGCATCCTAAATCTGATTTTTGCTACAGGGCTGTCTCATATTGCCTGCCAGAGATCACAGCAGGAGGTTTGGGGAAAAGGTTTGAGAACATAGTCTTGCTAAGTTGCCTCTTTGGAGCCACCTGTTAACTGATTCCATGTGGAGTGCAGAACTCTATCGTACCCCAAATGACTTAATTCTCTGTCATTTAACATTCTAGTCTGTGGAAAGAGAGCCTTGTGAGCAGAGTTATGTTCCCTTCCTTCTCTGATTGCAGATTGGCTAGCTCTGACCTCAGTTCATCTTTTACGTAGAACTTGGCTGAAAAAAGCAACAAGAAATTAAACATGTATATGCAATTATTATTTGTCAACTAAAAGTAAAAGAAAAAATGTAAATCGTCAGAAAACAACGATAGCAAAAAAGCAACGAGAACACATACCAATATTCTGAATATTTTCCTTTTCCCTAAAGCTAAAGGCTTAGTCAGCATGTGATCAGTTTTCAAAGGCATCACTAGTAAAAAAGTTACTGTTTTACCACAGCATACACACATAACAAGAGGCACCAGCTGTCCAACCTGCACATTTGAGTCCCTGCAGCTCATCACCAGTTGCTAAGCCAATATCACATTTTTAGGTTCTGTTAAATCCAGGACTCCGAAGTGTGGAATTTTGAATAAAGGGGGCCAGTAGTTTGGCTGTAGTCACAGAGATCTAAAATAACAATGGCCTAAACAAGATACCACTTTATTTTTGTCTCGCATATAAAATTTCTAACTGCTAAGCCAGCAGAGGCCAGAGCTCCTTTCTGCTTGTTTTTCCTCCAGCTCTAGAACATTGTCCATTCCACACGGTCCAGAACAGTTCACTGTCACAGCCACACTCTTAACAACTGGAAGCTGCACCATCTTTCTTTCTTCTTTTAATAGACTCTATTTTTTAGAGCAGTTTTAGCTTTACAGAAAAAAAATGATGCAGAAAGTGCAGAGAGCTCTTTTATTCATGTCTTATTAGCCAGATCTTAGTAATTTGCTCCCACCTTGCTATAACAGAGACTGAGAAATATGGTTACTATTCTTGGGGGCTTTTTTCCCAGATTTTTTTTAAATCAAAGTTTTATTACAAAGGAGAGAAGAATGGACATTGGAAATAACTAACAGTCTATCACAATAACTGTCACAATTATAGTTATATACTAATGTGTGTGACTATGGTGCCATGTCTCTTTTCCACTGTATTTTAAACTTCATTAGGGCCAAGACTATATCTATTTTTGTTGATTGTGAAATTCCAGCACCAAGAACAGTGCCTGGCATTTAGTAGATATTTTTAAAAATATGTTTAATAAATGAGTTAAAATTGCTTACCTTAGAAAAAAAATATTTGAAGGCAAAAGTAAGGCTGAATCTTGGAGAGCTCTCTCTAAATATCAGACTTAGAAGCTTAGAATTTATTATTTTTATTCTTTATTCCTTATTTCAAAACTCTTCTGTAGAATGCTAATGACTTATGAGGTTTAAAAATATAAAAGAGTAAAAGTGTTTCGTGGCCAAATAATGTAGAAAATACTGCATATTATAACTTTTTGTGACTTTTTAATGTTTGTAATAATTTTAAAACACCAACAAATCCTGCAGTAATAAATCCATTTAATTTACCAGTTCTCAATACTATTGAATCACAATGCCCTTTTTGAAAGAAACATCTCTTAAGCATCTTGTGGAATACTACTGTACCATAGAGTATACACTTTGGGAAATGCTGCATTAGACAAAACTATTGAATGTTTTGGAGCAGAGAGAGTTCACTGTCAACTGGTGTTTTTTGGAAGGATAATCTAGTGGCAGGGAAAGACTGGAGGGAAGATGATTTGGGTAAACAGTTCTAAAAAGGCTAATCAATAGTTTTCTAATGTTTATGCTTTTGAAAGATTGGCAGTAGCAACCTGGATTTCTCCATACCAGGATAACTAAAGCTACAGCAGAAAAAA
The DNA here is from genome assembly GCF_000001405.40 of Homo sapiens. NCBI lineage: Eukaryota > Metazoa > Chordata > Mammalia > Primates > Hominidae > Homo > Homo sapiens. The sequence continues at coordinate 22,313,761 of NC_000004.12, forward strand.
AATTTTAATTACCTCATGTTTGTTGTTGTTTCAGTTAATTATATTTTGAGGTCAACTTGTTTCCTCCTTCAGGATTTTACCAAATAACATTTTAATTTCCCTCAAATCTTTAGGCGATCACTTTTTTAAACTGCTAACTGATTTGCTGCAATATTCTATCACAGGAATAAATGAATAGCCAAATATACACACCATATACTGAACCTTAACAAATTATAAAACTAATGTCAACTCCAAATGTATAATAAGATGCATTATAAAATATTTTTTCTCTTTGTATTTATTTTTAGGTCCCAATCTGCCACAGCTAAGAATATGCACTTTATTTTTGCTATATATCCATGTCTTTTTAATTTCACAATTTAAACTAAGCAACTTTTTCCTTTCTCTTTTCATTTTCTCAATTTTGCTGACTTTGCTTTAAAAAACTATTCTAATCCAAAATTTTTTTCTTTGCTTCATTCATTTACTACACAGGAATCTATTCAAAGACTTTACTGTGTGTAGACACACCTCTAAGTTCATCTACTTAAAAAATTCTATTAACCTCACAATATTATTTAACTGGTATATAAGAGGGAATTGAGGGGGGAGAAATATTATGGAAATCAATCAAACCAAATTTTGTATTGCAAATCTCTTATTCATTATTGTGAATAATCTAAATTTAAAGTGTTTATGCAAAATAGTCTTTAAGGACAATGCAAACTACTATTGAATGTTTTTCTATGATCTTACAAATTCTATCACATTATCAAAACATCTCCAAACATTTCATACATTTTCCTCAAATTACCTTAGTTCTTATGGGAAACCACAATATGTCACCCTAAAATATGCCTGTTTTGCATAGGATTGTTTTGAGTTGAAGGTAATTGAAAAGAGACAGATTCAGGAAAGCTCTCGGCCCTTCCTACTTGCCTAAAAGCAGGACATAAATTTACAAACACAAAAGGTATCCCACCCCACATGCCGATTCTACCAGAGAGAACAAAGTTTAACCACTGAAGACAACTTGAGACCCTTCCCAGGCTATGGATGGCACAGGGGAACCTACATTGACAGGCTCTCCTAACTGGCCTTTATCTGTCATTTATTTGCCTTTCCACAAATTGCCACCCCGAGAGACTCAAAGTCCTTTTCTTTTGCCGTGTCATTTCTCTAAAAATGTACTATTCAGTTTTTTTCCTGCTAACAATTCACAACAGTCGCTGGAAGATGAGGCCATGCGGTGTATTCATTCCTCAGTGCTGTCCCAGGCCCTGGTGTTCACTGTTTCAGTCTCGACTTTTTTGCACTGCCCTGGAAGTCCTGCAGTCAACCTATACTGGAAACCTTGAGTTAAAAACCCAAATTAGTTAAAACTTTAAATTTTCACTTGGGTCTTGGGAGTGACTTTGGGGCTTTATGCATCTGTGGGTGTATATTCCTCTGATATTCCAATAAAAAGTGACAAGTATTCTCGCAGGGGTGTATGTGTGTGTGCATGCGCGAGTGTGTTTTATGACACAGAGCAGATAATAAATACCTTTTGAGAGAGTAAATGAATCTCTTAATTATCTCTTAATTACAGCCTGGATGCCAGAGGAAACATCTGCTCCTTCTAGACAATGCGGGTTGACTTTTCCTTTTGCGAGATAAATTGATAGATAGAAAGATGATAGATAGATAGATAGATAGATGATTGATAGATAGATAGATAGATAGATAGATAGATAGATAGATAGATAGATAGATACAATGTGTGTGTGTCTGATCTTTCAGACTTTGGGTCATCCTGAATTAAAACCTATTTTGGTGCTGATGGAGCTCAGAGAATATTTCTTCTCTCGCCTCTCACTCTCTTTGAGCCATTTGACTCTAGCCTGCTTGCTTTCTTTCACTTCAAAGCAGCATGCAGGAACAGCAGCTCCTCTGGAAGTCAGGGCCTGCTGTTTCATGGACTAATTTATCCTCTTCTGCTTTTCTCTCCAGCTGCTTCCTCCACCTCATGCTCCCTGAGTCACTTTGCCATAGCAGCAAAGGCTCAGGGCATTCTGTGACACTTTCTTCCAGAAGGCCACGCTAGGCTCATGAGTTCACTAAGGGGGTGTCTTCAGCTTAGCAAGTGATGCAGATAACAAACCACAAATGCCAACTCACAGAGGAGGTTTCTGTCCAAGGGCCAGTCATGTTTGGCCCTTCCCACTGAAGGACGTGAGCCATCATTTCCAAAGAACCAACAAGCAGAGGTCCTGACACTTGAGACTGTGAGTTTCAGAGTAAGGAAGAAAAAATACTATGAAAAAAAAAACACACAACCAAGACCCCTGACCTTAGAGCAAATTTCCAGGTGAAAGCAACAGTTCAGAAGCTTTGCTCCTCCCAGGACTCGATGTTATTTCAGTTAGAGATTTATTCTTACTGGCAAGCACCTTAGTGAGAGCTAGATTAGATTGGTTTTTCCTAACACACTGCTACTTTCATCTTCATGGAATCATGGGATGTTGTTTAAGAGGGGAGAGAAGAAAACAACCAGGGAATATGAGCAATTTGAGGAAGGACGTTGGAGAAGTCATAGGTAAGACTACTATGTTACCTTATTAAGGGATGTGGGAAAATAAGAACCTAGACGATTTTAGTCTTGATGAGAAGCCTCTAAGACCCAAGGAGGGTATTGAGAGAGGAAATATTGTATCCTTTCTTTGTCTCTAAAGGGTTTTTAATTTTTTATTTACATCAAATAAATCTTATTTCCCATTTCTTGTTATTTCTATTCACAGTCTCCTTCCCTCACTTCACCCAGGCTATTTATCTCTACCATTTCTCCACTGCCCCAAACATGTCACCTGCTTCTCCAAATGGCACATACTCTCCTTTTCAAGTCTTTACTCAATCACCTTCTCATGAGGCCTTCCGACCCCACGCCCACCTCTGAAAATTCCCTAGGCCTCTTTTCTTTCTTTCTTTTTTTTTTTTTTTTTTTTGAGACGGAGTCTCACTCTGTTGCCAGGCTGGAGTGCAGTGGCGTGATCTCGGCTCACTGCAACCTCCGACTCCCTGGTTCAAGAGATTCTCCTGCCTCAGCCTCCCAAGCAGCTGGGATTATAGGCACGTGCCACCACGCCCAGCTAATTTTTGTATTTTTAGTAGAGACAGGGTTTCACCGTGTTGGCCAGGATGGTCTCGATCTTCTGACTTCGTGATCTGCCCGCCTCGGCCTCCCAAAGTGCTGGGATTACAGGCGTGAGCCACCACACCTGCCTAGGCCTCTTTTCTAACTTACTTATTTCTTTATCACTTATTGTCATCTCACATACATTTTACACATTTTGCTTACTTCCTTTCTGTCCCCATCACTGAAGTGGGGACTTCTATCTGTTTTGTTTGCCTCTATAGCTCCAGAGCCTAGAGAAGTGCCTGGGTCAGAGCAGAGTCCCAGGAAGCATTTGTGGATGGAATACAAGAACAAATGAACAAATGAATTGCAGCCTGGCTGCCAACAGAAACGCTTCGGGATTTGACCTGCTTCTTCCCCCTTCAGACAATGTGGTTTGACTTTTCTTTTATTATGTTTGTTGAAAGCAAAAGTAAATTCTATTAATCCATTATAAAAACAACAGGAGGTTTATTATTTCCATGAGAATCTCATAGTTATACAGATCCAGGTAAGGCTTCATCTAAGACAAGGAATTGTCGGCCGGGCGCAGTGGCTCACGCCTGTAATCCCAGCACTTTGGGAGGCCAAGGCGGGGGGATCACGAGGTCAGGAGATCGAGACCATCCTGGCTAACACGGTGAAACCCCATCTCTACTAAAAATACAAAAAATTAGCCGGGCACGGTGGCGGGCGCCTGTAGTCCCAGCTACTCGGGAGGCTGAGGCAGGAGAGTGGTGCGAACCCGGGAGGTGGAGCTTGCAGTGAGCCGAGATCGCGCCACTGCAGTCCGGCGCCTGGGCAAAAGAGCGATACTCCGTCTCAAAAAAAAAACAAAAAACAAAAAACAAAAAAAAAAAGATAAGGGATTGTCCATCTGGGCATGAGATAAATTCCACCAACTAGCAAGGATCTTCAAGTCACCTGTAAGCACTAAGTCACCTTTCCACCTTAAATTCACTTTTTACAGCAAAGGATGCCTGGTGTTGCCTGCTGTTCCTGCAGCATTGGTTCATATCACAAGTGGGCTCAAGAAAGAATAGAAAATTTGAATCACCATGGTGCCGATATGCATTGCTGCTGTGCAGCACAATCACCTATATAACTTCTGCACCTGCACCCTACCTGTAGGGATTCTGATTTCCTCCTCTGAAGAACATGTAGAGATGATTTTGACACCCACACAGGAGGGAGATCCACTAAGTTAGGGAAGCAATGTATCACTATTCATTGCTTTGCCTGCAATTCCTCCCCATTATCTCTTTACTTTAAAAATCAGCATAATTTCCTTGTGTGCAGGTGTGTGCTTGTGTGTAGGAATGCCAGGCATATGAAGAACAACCTACAACTATTACAGGGAAACTGCCAAGAATAAATGTCAGACTTTTCAAAAATTTTGCTTAGGGTGGGCCCAGTGCCCAGGAAAGTGGGTTGGCCTGGAAAACTACAACCATTTATAATATTCTTTTTATGCGAAAAGACATTCTCCTTTCCAAACAATAAGGTCACAAAATAATTTTTTAAATAAAATTGGTTTATAATTGGAGAGCTGCCTATAAAACTGGAGATTTAAATTTTTAAACACAAGGTAAATCACAGATCAGACTGGCAAAGACATTTTCTGATGGGTATACCAAGCAATCTAGGAACAGTTTACATTAGTTTGATTGAAATATGAACAGAAGATGCAGCTATCAGCTTATGTTTCACAGTTCATAGTAACAGCTCAAGCAATAGTAGCTATATTTTAAGAAAGACAAAGACTAAAGACTGTGGTTAATGTCTGACACAAAAAATGTAAGACATCATGGTGGCAGTTTTAGAAACTGTACTTTATAAAGATTTGCAAATTGTTGCCCCTTTTTGCTACTTAGGCGTTTCTCAAAAGAAGACATTTATGCGGCCAAACATATGAAAAAAAGCTCATCATCACTGGTCATTAGAGAAATGCAAATCAAAACCACAGTGAGATACCATCTCACACCAGTTAGAATGGCGATCATTAAAAAGTCAAGGAACAACAGATGCTGACAAGGCTATGGAGAAAGCGACACTTTTACACTGATGGTGGGAGTGTAAATTAGTTCAACCATTGTGGAAGACAGTGTGGCGATTCCTCAAGGATCTAGAAACAGAAATATCATTTGACCCAGCAATCCTATTACTGGGTATATACCCAAAGGATTATAAATCATTCTACTATAAAAACACATGCACACGTATGTTTATTGCAGCGCTGTTCACAATAGCAAAGACTTGGAACCAACCCAAATGCCCATCAATGATAGACTGGATAAAGAAAATGTGGCACATATACACCATGGAACACTATGCAGCCATAAAAAAGGATGAGTTGATGTCCTTTGCAGGGACATGGATGAAGCTGGAAACAATCATTCTCAGCAAACTAACACAGGAACAGAAAACCACATGTTCTCACTCATAAGTGGGAGTTAAACAATGAGAACACATGGACACAGGGAAGGGAACATCACACACTGGGGCCTGTCGGGGGGTGGAGGGCTAGGGGAGGGATAGCATTAGGAGAAATACCTAATGTAGATGACCAGTTGATGGGTGCAGCAAACCACCATGTCACGTGTATACCTATGTAACAAACCTGCACGTTCTGCACATGTATCTCAGAACTTAAAGTATATATAAAAAAGAGAAATATATTAAAACAAAGAATGACAACAAAATGGAATGGGAGCTGAAGGTAGATGTGTAATCAATAAAGGATTATTCTTAGGATGTGAGAATAATTATTCTTAAGATCTTTGAATGTTTGAGTGCTAACGGGAAATATTCAAGAATGAAGGGAGAATGGATGGTACACAAGAGGAAGTGGAGATTGCATTATGTTTTAACAAGTGAGAGGAGACAGAATCTGGTTCTGAAGTGGCAAGGAGCACATATATTTCACCCATAATAGGAGATGAGGCAATGGATAGGAACACTCTCCATGACATATCATATTTCTCTGTTTTGTAAAATGATCATGTATTCAGCAACATTGCTACAAGATCTTATCAGTATAATAATTTCCTATTTTTTGTAGTTCTTGTTAATTTATGTAGATACTCATGTGTCTGCAAAGAAGGACAGTTTTATACGTTGTCTTCCTTTCCAATTGATAGCCCTCTGTCATAGCGATTAGTACTATCCATCGATATTTTCTTATCTTCCCCCTTCTTGATCTGTATAAGGATTTTACTTTGTAGCTCCCCTGCTCCTCAGTGGGGCTACATGACTATTTCTGAACAATGAAGTTTTGAGCATTTAATTGTAGATGCTACATCTAGCTAAGCTGTTATTTCCCTTAGATACAATGACTGGCATGTTTAAGATTGTGGTTATGCCAACCTCACCTTAGTGATAATGAGCCCAGACCTTCTGCCAATCATGTAGATCATTTAGCATGAGCAAGACACAAATTTCTGTGATTCTTAAACAAGCATAATGCTTGAGTTTTATGAACTGCAACATAAGTGAGCCCATTCTGATTAATATGGTTCTTTTTTTTTTTTAGCTGATTGCATTGTGTCAGGATCTCCAATACCAGGAGGCAGATAATACAAGGTGGGAGTAGAGACTCCTGTATTATTAAGTGGCATTAAGTATTGTTTGTCATAAGCCTTTTATCGATTAAGTAATTTTCAATTTATTTAGAGTCTTCCAGAATTTTTATAATAAATGGAAATTGGATACCATCAAATGTATTTTCTGCACCTATTCAGTTAATGTGGTTTCTCTCCTTTAATCCATTAGTGAAATGAATTTCTGTTATTACACATATTTGAATTCCTCAGGTAAACCCCTGCTTAATCATGATTTAATGTTTATTTACAGTTCAGCACTTAAATTTGTAAGTGGGAAGGGCCTATCATTTTATCATATTATTTTCATTAATATCAATGCCCTTAATTCCACCCTTCTTTTTTATTTGCCTCATCTTGTAACTTCAGCCCAAGTGCAAAGTATTAGGGGTGATGTGGTGGAGTCAGTCATTAAAAAATAATAAAGTCCCAGAGTAAAGAAAAGGAAAGAAAAAGAGGTATGGAAAGACAGGAGCATATTTTTAGGCTGAAGAGATGAAGTGCACAGAGAGAATTAAGGTGCAATGGAAAAAAAACTATTAATGGAGCAAGGCTCCAGAGTAGAGAAATATGATGGTGTCTCAGTCAGTTTGAGCTGCTATTACAAATGACCATAGACTGGGTGGCTTACACATTTATTTCTCACAATTCTGGAAGTCTATCTTCTTCTCTTTCTCCAGCCACTGAACTTAGATTTTCTTTTGGAAAAATGCCTCTCCTATGCTTTTAATTTGTATAATTTTAGAAGAGACACATTTCTGACGCATGGGATGCCTCAGTGACCCAGCCATGTAGCCCAGGCCAACATACAGTAGTTGGCTCCAAGGTAAACATGTCTTTATAGCTGTGGACATTATAATCAATAAGCATCAGTCCTGGAACTATTGCTGAAACATGGGGTAGGAGAAGCTCCTTACTGATGGTGACAAGCTGGCAGAATGTAATTCTGAAGCTGCTAGGAGGCCCAAATGAAGAAAACATGTATGACAAGCCAAAAGAAGAAAGAAAATTCAGGATAAAAAAGGAGAAACATTCTTGATAATGTAATTTGAGTCCTGAGATACATCCATGCTAGAAGATGAACTCCTGAGTTTTCGGATACAACACCAATGAATACCTTTCTCTTTGGAAGTTTGAGTTTGATTTTTGAATCATTAAAGACTCATCATCTTTTTAAATAACCACCCACAACATTCTTCCCACCTACATGCCTCTGAGGCATCTACTGTGTATTGCACTAATTCAGTGTTTATGGCAAAGTGACTTATATGGTCGTTTCCATCATGATATGATTTGGCTGTGTCCCCACCCAAAACACATCTTGAATTGTAGCTCCCATAATTCCCATGTGCGTGAGAGGGACCCAGGGGGAGGCAACTGAATCATGGGGGCAGGTCTTTTCCATGCTGTTCTCGTGATAGTAAGTCTCACGAGATCTGATGGTTTTATAAAGGTGAATTCCCCTGCACATGCTCTCTTGCCTGCTGCCATGTAAGACATGACATTGCCCCTCATTCTCCTTCCATCATATAGTGAGGCCTCCCCAGCCATGTGGAACTGTGAGCCCATTAAACCTCTTTCCTTTATAAATTACCCAGTCTCAGGTATGTCTTTATTAGCAGTGTGAGAACAGGCTAATACATATGGTTATGTACATTTCCTGCCTCTTCATCTAAATGTCAGTATTGGAAGGCAGTCTATTACAGACCTGCAGCCAGACTTCCTGAGGTTTGAATCCTGGCTTCACCACTTACCTGCTAAGTGACCTTAAGCAAAGCACTTCACCTTTTTGTGCTTCTGATTCATTATCTATACAATGGGAATTATAATGGTAACACCTCATAGGGTAATTGTAAGGAGTTAATATATATGAAGCCCTCGGAAAAATATCCAGTACATAATATACATCATACAAGTAAGCCCCATGTAAGTGTGAGCTATTTTTATTACTATAATTATCACAATGATGATTATGATTATTAGTTATAACCCCACTGCCTACTGCTGTGCCCCTCAATTATAGAATGAATCACTCTTAACTATTACATAAGAGGATTTTAATATGTTACTTGTTTTTCTGATCCTACAGTGTTAACAGGGACCAAACGACCAAAGCATAATGAGACAGCCTCTGTCAGCTCAGTTCACAATGCTATAAATGTCCCAAAACTTCCTGCCTCATTCCTGCTATTTCCTTCACCTTTCCATCCATTCCCAGCCTTAATCAATTCCTGCCCTTTTATATTCATCTCTCATGCCCAGCATCCAATGGGCCATCAAACTTAATGATAGAGTTTAATCTCAGCATTTCTCCTTGGTCATGGTTGGGTATTAATCTTCCGTCTTTTATCTGCTTATCTCATCTGCTTCTCTTATCTTACGCTAGTTTCCCTGAATTACCACACCCTGCCCTCCCATGAGGGGATATCAACTAACCCCTTGTCAAAAGACAAAGTTACAATATATTTAGTTTCAGAACTAATTAACTTTATTTGTGATGCATGAATCACAGCACCCTCCATTCTACAAAACAGAATAAGGGATCCCACTGGGAAATGTCAGAACAGTGGGATTTATAAGGTGGGAACAAGAAAACAACAATAGAAAAAACTGATTGGTTAACATCAGGTTACTTCAAGTTCCTTTTTTTTTATAAGGGTTAATGCAGAGGGGACTTCCTTTTTATGCTGGCTCAGCTAGACTGGAATCTGTTTTCAGGAAAAATCAAACAGTCTGTTTAGGAATCTATGTACTTCCTTAAAGTTTCAATTTGATGATGTGACATTTAGCATGAGTGACTCCAATTTAGCTTGGTCTGGTCTATTGGGGCCTAGTGCAGAGGCTCAGTCCGAAACAATGGTTCATAATTTTGCATAACAACCTAAGAAAAGACCATCTACTCTACTGCAAAGCTTTAGGACATACCTTTATCAGGATTTTATATGTAGCTTCCAAGACACAGGAAGTAGCTAGTATTTTGTATTGGAAAAGGACTAAGAATGAACATATATCTTCTCTTAAACTAAAATCTCTCCTCATGTCTGTTTCTTCTATAAGTTTAAGGAGAATTTCTAGGTTTGGTAGCTCCATTCCATGTGAGTGGTACTCAGTCACATGAGTAGGATTAGGATGCTGATGGGGTCACATTAATTGCTTAAAATCTAAGGAAAGTGGGTGGAAGCAAAGGGGGCCAACTAGTTTTCAAGACCTGAGGACCATTGATTTCTATTTAAAGAATACAAGATGTATTTAATCAAGGCCTAGCCAGTTGTGAGAACTTCTCATCATCACCAGTCTCAATACAGAAATAACTGCCGTCATTCAGAATGTTATCTGAAACAAAGTGGAGGATGAAGTTGGCAAAAGGCTCAAAACCCATAAAAACACTTATGATTTAAACATGAGATGTTTCCCTGTGCTAAATTTGGAATGATTTGCTGGTCTACAGTCCTGTTGGAGGAAAGAAAATGCTCAGTTTGGGAAATAAAGGAAGAAAACATATCAATGTTTTGCCCATAATATTGGGAGAAATAGAATTATCTGAACCATATGAATTCAGAAAGTACTCGCATGACAAAAACACATTTACTATATTTAGAATACGACTTAAGAACAGTATTTCAAACTCCCAGAAATTCGCTAGTGGAATTTTTAAAGCAATTTTTAGTTTTTACATAATAAATATATATGGTGTACTTTTATATATGAATACACCCAGAAAATTTTTCTGTATGGCTTGCTACAAAAAGTATTACAGGTTAAATAATAACTCATGAAAGCTTATATAATAACAGAGGGCATGTAATGTTGGTTGCTGATTTTTTTTTCACCCAAAACAAAGTAGGAAGGTGCACATGCCATGTTGAATATTGAAAAAAACTAATGTTTATTTAAGAGGAAATAATGAGCTCACCCATTAGGCCTTGGTGTATAATTTTTTTCTAGGTCAGTTTTCCCAGAAGTAGACCCTGAGATGAAGGTTCATAGGCCAGTGATTTATCAAGTAAATGCTTATTAGTGATCCTAATAAAAGGGTGAAGTAAGCAGGAAAGTGAAGGCGAGGAAGCCAGATAAGAGTGTGACCTCAAGCCTTTCCCACACAGGATAACCTCAGCCTAATCCCAGAGGGGAGCTCTGGAGAGTAAGTTACATCTCAGAGTTGTACTAATTTGTGTCAAGAGAGTTGGGCTTTCAAATTCCCACATAGTCATGGGCTAAGGGTCACACCAGGAGGATGGAAATTCCCATGTGTTCAGTCAAAGGCTTCAGTAGGTTGAAGAAAGTCCTCCAAAAAATTGCTATAGTTTATGAATGACACCAACAAAAGAATGTTAAATCCTGAGGACACACAGGATGTTCATTTATTTATCTAAATAATGCCCTATACCATTATTATTACCTTTCTTATCTTAAAAAAATAATGCCCTATACCATTATTATTACCTTTCTTATCTTAAAAGGTATTATTACCTTTCTTTTCTGGATAAACATATATGTACAATTCAAACACAGGGTATCATCCCAATATGAGTGGATAAGTTTCATTTGCCTATATGAGTCAACTCAAGTTGAAAAGGCTTTACTCTTTTATCCACTATTTTTTATTTATCCAACCATTCAAAAGTATTCATTGATTGACCACTATGGAGAGTCTATTTGACACTGTTGTCAGTATCTTTGGTGTCACAAAAAACTTGCTTTGAATCCTGGCTCCACTGCTTAACAACAATATGACTTACAGAAAATGACTAAGTCCTCTAAGTCTCTGTTTATACAAGTGTAAAATGGGAACAATCATATTAAGGATTCAACCACATAATGCGTGTAACTGACTTTACACAGTGCCTGGCACATGGTAAGTTTTCCATACATGTTAGTTAATATAATAACAATAATGATAATGTTTGAGTCAGAGTGATAACTTCTGTGTATGAAATAGTATACTTGAAAGGAAAACAAGATTGCCCTGCCTTAGAGCTTAATATCTTGGAAGTTAACACCTAAGTAAATATTTAGCAATAGAAAAGATAAATAAGTAATACAACAGAATAATGTATAATTGATGCTGAATGATATACATAAAAAAACAGATACCCCACCACTAAAATCTCCTCCTCACTAATATATTCTCCACAGTTACACTTGTGTTCTGTTTCTAAAATATAGCTTTAATAGTGAGACTCCTCTGTCCGTAAATTGTTGATGGCCCCTTCTCACCTACATAAAAATGTCCAGGCATCAAAGCATTCACCCATGATCTACATGCTCCCCAAACCTCACAATGTACTATAGTCAAATCTTTTATTTCATCCCCCTTCATATTTTACCAGAACTATCCAGAATATGCAATATTTTTTTCTTACTTTAGTGTCACTGCTCAAGTAGTCACTTCAATGTGGAATACCTTTTCTCCAATTCTTACTGTTGAAGTTTTCCATCCTTGGATGTCCATCCCAAGTATCACCTCTTGTACAAAACCTCCCTATCTCTTTCATTCAAATTACCTCTCCCCATCCATGTTCATATGGTACATTATGTGCTTTACACATAATCGGGTACAGCAAATGTTTACAGGAAAAATCGCTTGGAAGAAGAGGTTTGTGCAGAGAGTGGCTGGCCCAAAATGCAAAATGTCAGTCTTTACATTAGACTGGAAGTTTCTTGAGGTCTGAGATGACCTCTAAGATATCAGAAAGAACTTATAAAGGAAGAAGAAACATTAGCATAATTATAATACTATAGAAACGAAAGGAGGATAATTTCAAGGAAATAAACAAGGGGATTTGTATTAGTCCATTTTCGCACTGCTGTAAAGAAATTCCTGAGACTGGGTAATTTATCAAGGAAAGAGGTTTAACTGACTCACAGTTCCACATGGCTGGGGAGGCCTCAGGCAACCTACAATCATGGTGGAAGGGGAAGCAGACACTTCTTACATAGTGGCAGGCTAGAGAGAGAGAGAGAGTGTGTGTGTGTGTGTAGGAGGAACTGTCAAACACTTTTAAACCCATCAGATATCATGAGAACTCACTATCACAAAAACAGCATGAGGGGAAACTTCCCCCATGATCCAATCACCTCCCACCAGGTCCCTCCCTCAATACCTGGAGATTCTGGGGATTACAATTCAAAATGAGATTTGGGTAGAAGACAGAGCCAAACCATATCAGAATTGATGTTACATACTTCAGACAAGTCAAAGAAAATAATGATTGAAAGAGACCTGTACAAGTAAGTTATTGGTTATTTTGGGAAATGCGATTTTCCAAATATACTATACTTATTTACTATACAAATATATTATGATAGAAAGATAGATGAGAGAATAGTGAAAATATAAAACTAGGAGTGGTATACTAGTTGCTCAGGGTACAAATAAGTTATGAGAGACATGGAAGCTGGTGTATGAGATTGAGGAGGTTTTGTCAAGAGGAAGTAATTTTCAAGATTTTTAAAAAGTTATTTTTTGTTAAGGGATAGAGGGAAATGATTCATTTAAGAGAGATATTTAGGTCAGGTGCAGTGGTTCACATTTGTAATCCTAGCAATTTGGAAGGGCTGAGGCAGGTGGATTGCCTGAGCTCAAGAGTTCAATACCAGCCTGAGAAACATGGTGAAATCCCATCTTCACAAAAAATACAAAAATTAGCCAAGCCCGGTAGCTTGCGCCTGTACTCTCAGCTACTTGGGAGGCTGAGGCATGAGGATCAGTTGAGCCCAGGAGGCAGAGGTTGCAGTAATCCAAGATCGTGCCACTGCACTCCAGCCTGGGTAATAAAGTGAGACCCTGTCTCAGAAAAAAAGAGAGAGAGAGAGAGATTTAAAATGCAGGAGGAAAGAATTTGAGAAGGAACGGATTTTTTTTTTTTTTTTAGCTAGACTCAAAACTGATTACAATTAATCAATGTAATTGTATAATTCCTGTAATTTTATAAAAGGAAATTAAAACCATTCAAACACCAACCTGACCTTTCTGTAAGTTAGCATTTCTCCATTATGTAGGTAGACTCATGTATTTGGATTACAATAACAATTGTTTGTCCACTGCTCCATTCTTAGGGAAATTCTCAACTGGTTTTATATAACCTTCTGGAAGGCTGAGGTTCTCCCTTCGAGCTCCCATCCCCATGCAAGATGACGAGATTCCCCACTCTCTGTTAAGGAAGTCTCTAGGTATTCAGGACTGCTAAAGTGCAGCTTGTCTGTCCGTGGAAGACACAGTGGCAGGTGTAACCCTGGAGGGTGTGTTTATCAGAGGTCATTTCCGAAAAAGGGCCTTTCCTTTTCCTCTCGCTTTGAGAATTCCTAGTGTCATCTTTCAGTTCTTTCCCCAGAGAGTCACAGTCTGCTTTTTCTTTTCCCTTTCTCCAGCTCCAAGCCCTCAATCTTGTGGTCTATGGGAAAAGAAACAAAACAAAACATGACCCAAAAATCTGTTTAGCATTTAAGTCAATAATTTCTTTGAATCTTTTTTTCAGCATTGGTGTGGCTGAAGTAGGCAAAAAACTCTCAAGATACTAGTGAGAGGGAAAAAAAAGGGTAGGAAGATACATAGAAAACAAACATTAATGGCCTGAGACATACCCTTGCCAGGTTATTAAACAGATTAATAATAATAAAATGGTTTCACTCTATTTAGTGCTTACTATGTGGGCTTTAAACACTTAACTTTTGTTTTCAAACATGTAACTTATGTAATCATCACAACAGCCCAATGAGAAAGGTGCAATTATTTTTATCATTCTACAGATAAGAAAACCAAAGCGCAGAGAAGTTAAGTATTTTGGCCAAGGTGACACTGGCGAAACGAGAATTTTGAGTCTAAGCTGTCCAGTTCCAATTCTACACTCTTGATCACTACTCCACATTTTAAAGATGTAATGTTCTTAGTTTTGCTGAATTGCTATTTCTCCTAATTAAAACAATAACAACAACACTTCTGGGTATTATTTCAAATATAAATATTATTTTGATAAGATTACCTTGTAGAGAAAGATTATTTCATGTAAGTCAGGGAATTAAAAATCAAGATTCCTTGGCTCCTGTACTGGCCCAGCTACCAAAGCAGAATTACCAATGTCTAGTGAGAATGAAATCATATTGAGAATATTTTCTGTTAGACTCTCAGCAGAGTGATGCTCAGTAACTAGTTAATTGCCCTGATTTATATTGATGATTTACAAAACTGCATATAACTTGCTATGAAAATATGTAGGTGGTCGTTAGATATCTGAAGAAACGTGGAATTGCCGAAATAGATTTGTCTCAGTTGTATGATTTCAATTAAGTTTTTAAATAAGTGCTTTATACATTGCTTGAGTAATCTGAAAATCATCTACAGATATATAGCATATTTATTTCATATGAATTCTCAGGTACGTAATGATAGCTATCTCTGTAAACTTGCTATAAATATTCTGAACATCCAAATAAAATCTTCCAGAGAGAATCATCTATGGACACAAATAGAAATGTTACAGAGGAAAAATAACAAACTAGTAATTACCTTTGGTTTCCCATAGACTTTCTATACAGAATTAATTCCTCCCTTATCTCGGCAGTATCTAAAGCAATAGTTATCAATCTCTAGTTCGTTCATTCAAAGGAGCTAGTTACATCTTTAAAATGTAGATTCTGAGACACCTCCAGGGCTTCTGATTCATTAGGTCTGGAAAGGACCCCAAAGTCTGAAATATATATATATATGTGTGTGTGTGTGGGTGTGTATATATGTGTGTTTGTGTGTGTGTGTGTGATATTTTGGTATTTTATTGATAGGAATAACATTTTGATGACTTTTTCTTTTAAATTTTATTTTAGGTTCAGTGGATGCATGTGCAAGTTTGCTACCTGGGTAAACCACATGACGCTAAGTTTGAGATATGAATGATCACGTCATTCAGATAGTGAGTATAGTACCCAACAGGTAGTTTTTCAATCCTTGCCCCACCCCAACACTCCCTTATCTAGTAGCCACCAGTGTCTATTGTTCCCATCTTTATGTCCATGTGTACTCAATGTTTAGTTCCCATTTATAAATGAGAACATGCATTATTTGGTTTTCTGTTCCTTCATTCATTTGCTTAGGATAATGTCCTCCAGCTGCATCCATGTTGCTGCAAAAGACGTGATTTCCTTCTTTTTCATGGCTGTGTAGTATTCCATGCTATATATGCACCACATTTTCTTTATCCAGTCCCAATCTGTATTTTAAATAATCCCTGTGGGAATTCTGATGCAGATGGTTAGCCCCTCATACTTCAGAAAATACAGATCAGAGGCACATGAAGTCAGAGAAATGTGTGGCTGTTTTTGACATGCATGCTTTGCTCAGATAGCGCTTGGAAAGAAGGCCACTTACCTGGTTTTGTTCACTCTACGGGCCAACAATTGGCTGCATGGTCAACATGTGATTTAAAAATTAAGATACTTCCTTAAACCACTGCTGAAGGAGTCAGTGACTTGAGGTTTCAAAAAACAACACAAAAACTAGTTGAAAAGGACTCAACCTGGAATGTAGAATAAAATATTTATTATTTACTCAACAGTTAATGTAAACAAACATGTATACAGCAAACTCTTAGGAGCTGTTAATTTCTCATTCCTCTTCACAGAATGACTAAAGAAGCTTTAGCGTAGATGAGGTGGGGGTAATGTTTTTGTCCTCTTATTGCACGACTCCTCATTTATTTGACTTGGCTTAATGGGATCTACTGATTCTTATCTTGCCTCACAAATGTGAATGTCAATTCCGGCATGTGGTACACTGTGCTAATTTTAATATTTTTAGACTATTTGTAATTGTTCATAAAGATCTTCATCAATTATACCTCTATATCTTTGGTTACTCATATTTTTATTAGGTACTATACATATCTGCGTGGAATTAAAAACTTGTTTTTCCTCCAACTTGGTGAATATGTTGACCATATCCAGCTGCGACAGATGGGGATGGATATCATCTTTGTTATGACCCAGTGAGGATGATAGAGGCAGCCTTCCCTTTTCACAGGAAGAGCAGGGCTGCCAAATGGAGTGATGTCTAAAACAGTTTCCAAAAATGGCAGGTTTGACAGTTTTTAGCATGTGTCACATAATCCAATGCCCACAATGATGCTGCTATTTAAACATACGACTCCCCTTCATTCTCCCTTCTGTGTGGGTTGCACAAGCTTAGTTAATGTTACTCTGTTGGTTCTTTTGTGATACAGATAGAGTTTCATCAAAATCCACTTGTTGCAGTTGCAGTTTAAGGTGCAAAAGAAAGACATTTATAGTGTTCTTGGAAAGTCTGGAATTTCACAAATTAGATTTTTTTAGGTAGGAATAAACTGTCATAAAAAAATAAATTGTCAACACACCAAGACCTGTATAGAGACAACTGATTATTTTTTTTCCAATTACTTCTTTCAGGGATAATTTAATTTTCTAGGAAAAAGGGATAAATAGCATGATGATATATTTTTTCTTTACATCCTTCATTGCATGATTTTTAATCTGAAACATTTTTAATTCATAAACAGTACAGTGCTAATTGAAAGAGTTAGTTACTCTTATGCTTCTGCGGTAAGCACCTCTGATCTCTAAGGTACCTCGGATAACCAGTGCACAGATACGAACTCTTAAGTAATCTGCAGCACTGGGAACTGGAGTCCACACAGGAAACCCAAAAGCATTCAAGGTCAAACATCTTCAACCCAAAAGTATGGTGTAGGAAGCTTCTGAAGTCAATCAGAAAGAATATCCATATTTCAGCTACGTTAAAAAGTATGAGAGAATCTGTTATCCTAAATGCAAAGAAAACAAAATAAAATCTTGTCTTTGCCTTTAAGACTATGTATTTTAACAACAACAACAAAAGAGTAGAACCACTCTCTGCCTTCTGCTTTAACATAAGTTCAGTCTAGTTACATTCTTATAAAAGAGCTCCAGAAGCAGCTGTATTTTACTTTTCTTTCTCAGACATATATCAGAATTCATATATCAGAGCCTACACAGTCTCCATTTAGAGATACCTAACACTTCTCAAGATTTTAAAGCTTTTGTTGCCTATACAGTCTCCATTTTGGAATATCTTACACTTCTCAAGATTTTAAAGCTTTTGTTTCACCCATTTGTGTGATATTTCGGGGGAGGGGGTAAGTTTTTGCTTTTTCCTTGCAACATTTTTACTCAAAGTCCCAACCAAATTTCTTGTTAAAAGAACCATCCAGCATGTGTATTTTTGATGATTACTTTCAAAGCAAGGAAACACATCAGTGTGATTAAACTGAAAACAAAATAAAGTTGCAGTTTTTTCTAAAATAAATAGGTCCCAAAGCTCAAGTGAATATTGGTTCATCAGTTGTGACAAATGTAAGATATTAACAAAAGGGAAAAGGGCCATGCATGGTGGCTCATGCCTGTAACCCCAGCACTCTAAGAAGCCAAAACATGAGGAATGCCTTGAGGCCAGGAGTTTGAGACCAGTCTGGGCAATGTAGCAAGACCCAATCTTTATTTAAAAATGAAAAAAATACTCAGGCATGGTGGTGCATGCCTGTAGTCCCAACTACTCAGGAGGCTAAGGCAGAAGGATTGCTTGATCCTGGGAGTTCAAGGGTACAATTAGCTGAGATTATGCCACTGTACTCCAGCCTGGGTGACAGAGTGAGACCCTGTTTCTAGAATAAATACATAATTTTTTTAAAGACAAGGGAAATCTGGAGGTATGTATATAGGAACTCTCTATACTATCCTTGCAACTTCTTTGTAATTATAATAAAACTACAGTTATGACCTGCATAATGATGTTTCAGTCAACAGCAGACTGCAAATTATAGGGACAGGAGGCAGCCAAACACCTAGGCAGATTGGAGAGGGTCTCTGGTGAAACCCTACCTCCAAGCCAAAGACAGTTTAAAGTCTTGAAAAACAAGCTACAAGCTAAATCCTCAGACCGGATTGAAAACTTGTCTTCCTGTTTGGCATGCTTTCCTCTGATTGATCCCCTCCCTTCACCTATTGTACATATATCTACTCTTTCCTAATTGGTTTTCTATACTGTATGCCCACCTTGGAGTGGTGTCTTTGCTTTAACCTTTTTTACATACTCACAAACCAATCAGCAGGCACTCCCCATTCTGCATCCATTAAGTGCCCTAGGCCCAGCCACACACCGGGGGGGGGGGGGGGTGGATTTCCCTGGCTTTGGATAGGGGAACCACCCTTCCCCAACTGTATCCCCTCTCCAATGAGAGTTTTCCTTTTGCTTAATAAACTTTTCTTCACTCACACTCCCGCGTCCATGAGCCTAATTCTTCTGGTCATGAGACAAGAACTCAAACCTAGCTGAGCTAAGGAGCAGAAAGACTGTATCACATATATGAAGGTGGCCCTGTAAGATTATAATGGAGCTGAAAATTTCCTATTGCCTAGTGATGTCAGAGCCATGGTACTTGATATGGTTTGAATTTGTGTCCTCACCCAAATATCATGTCAATTTGTAATACTCAATGTTGGAAAAGAGGCCTGGTAGGAGGTGACTGGATCATAGGGTGGATTTCCCCCTTGCTACTCTCAGGATGCTGAGTGAGTTCTCATGCGCTCTGGTTGTTTAAAAGTGTGCATTGCTTCACCCTTTGCTCTCTTCTTCCTCTGACCATGATTCCAGCTCCTGCCTGCTTCTCCTTCACCTTCTGCCATAACTGTAAGTTTCCTGAGGACTCTCTAGCCATGCTTCCTATACAGCCTGTGGAACTGTGAGCCAATGAAACCTTTTTTCTTTATAAATTACTCAGTCTCAGGTATTTCTTTATAGCAGTGCAAGAATGAACTAATACAGTAGTGTTGTAGCATAATGCATTATTCCCATGTTTGTGGTGATGCTGGTGTAAACAAACCTACGGCTTATTATACGGCTGCTAGCTGTATAAAAGTATAGCACATACAATTACATACAGTACGTAATACTTGATAATTATAACAACTATGTTATTGGTTTATATATTTACCATTATTCAAATATAATGATTTGCCATTATTTTAGAGTATACTCCTTCTGCTTAATTTCTTCAAGTTAACCAAAAAATAGCTTCAGGAAGGTATTTCAGGAGGTATTCCAGAAGAAGAGATTGTTATCCTAGGAGGTGACAGCTCAATGAGTGTTATTGCCCCCTGAAGACCTTCCAGTGGGACAAAATGTGGAGGTGAAAGACAGTGATATTGATGATCCTGATGTGGCCTAGGCTAATGCTGTGCTTGTCTAAGTTTTTAACAAAAAAAGTTTGAAAGTTACAGAAAAACTTTAAAAGTTAGAAATAGAAAAAAGCTTCTAGAATGAGGGTATAAAGGGAAAATATTTTTGTATAGCTGTACAATGTGTTTGTGTTTTAAGTTGTATTATTATAAGTGTCAAAAAGCTTTGGAAAATTTAAAAATTCATAAAATAAAAATGTTACCATAAGCTAAGGTTACTTTATTGTTAAAGAAAGAAAACATGTTCAATTAAATTTAGTGTAGCCTAAGTGTATAGTGTTTATAACGTCTACAGTAGTATATGGTAATGTCCTAGGTGTTCAAATTCATTCATCACCCACCACTCACTGACCCAGAGCAAGTTCAGTCCTGCAAGCTCCATTCACGGTAAGTACCCTATACAAGTATGCCATTTTTTATCTTATATACCATATTTTTACTGTACCTTTTCTATGTTTAGATCTGCTTAGATACACGCACACTTCCCATTGTGTTCCAATTGCTACAGTATTCGGTACAGCAATATGCTGTACAGATTTGTAGCTGAGGACAAATAGGCTATACCACAGCTTAGGTGTGTAGTAGGCTGTAACATCTAGGTTTGTGTGAGTAAACTCTGATGTTTGCACAATGACAAAATTGCCTCATGATGAGTTTCTCAGAACATATCCCTGTTATTAAGCAATGCATGATTGCATTTAAAAATATACATTTAAAGCTTAAGGTACAAAGAGCAGAGATAAAAGGTGAAAATTACATGAACCTTTGAAGATTATCTAGTCTAAACAACTGCTGAGTGTCAGAATGTTTTCATCAACATCACCCATAAGGATTATCTAGTCTAGATACCCTTGAATTATATTTCATCAGAAAAATCTTTAAGCCAAGGAAACCCAATAAATATATTTTGGGGACTCCTCTAAGAGAAAGTTACCCCCTTTTTTAAGTCCAAATCTCTCTCTCTGTGTGGATTCCATTTTAGAGACATTCTTGGGTTCCTAGTAAGCCTTTAGCTCCTCAAGGACTGGGACTCTTCAATCTTTGTACTCTCTACTCAATACATGTTCAATATGAAACAAATTGAATTCCTTGCAGTAGTTCGCTCAGGCTGCTGTTCTGTGTGGGAAATGCGTGAGGGGAGAAGAAAAGACACACCCACAATACCTTTAAGGGTAAACAAGCTTTGTCCCACATAAATGACAATGCAGATATAATAAGCAAATGATATAATAAACAAATTAATATAACAAGCCAATTGCAATGGGAAGGAGAGAAGGGAAAAGATATATATATATATAGTTATACTCACCAGACCATGGAGGATTCACCACCAGACTGGGAAGCAACAGCCTGGGCTCCAGAGTCAGCCACTCAAACGTGCACAGATGAGGAGAGGTCTCATGAAGCTTCGGTGCAGTCTGGGACTCTAGCTCTTTCTGTAATGAGTTGTTTGACATAAGGCCCAGTCACGAGGGCCCTTCACGACAAGGCTCAAGGAACACAAAAAGGTCAACTTGTTTTTACGATTGTCTATTGTTTTTCAATAACTAACATATAGGAATAGATTAAAATAGACATTTCTCCAAAACAGCACTGGATGAAGGCCTCAAGGAGCTCACACAGCCTGTTCCAGGACTTGGTGACCATTGTTTGTGGCCATGTTCAATTGAGTTCACATTTAATATTTAACTTTTCCTCCACATTTGGCCTCAAATTGATACTCAATTGTAGGAAAATACCCTTACAGATACATGGGAAAGACACAGTTGATATAGATTACAGATACAGGAGAATTAAAAGCACAACTAATAAAAACCACACCCACCATGGCTTTGCAAGGAGAGTCATATTGTGAGAATTGTCATGGACATACACATAACATTCAATATGCAGTAAAGCCCAGACCGCTCATTGGGCGTATCTAATGCCATTCCGTTTTTCTTTTTTTTCCAAGTAAATTTTTTATTATTATTATACTTTAAATTCTAGGGTACATGTGCACAACATGCAGGTTTGTTAATGTGCCATGTTGGTGTGTTGCACCCATTAACTTGTCATTTACATTACGTATATCTCCTAATGCTATCCCTCTCCCTTCCCCCCATCCCACAACAGGCCACGGTGTATGATGTTCCCCTTCCTGTGTCCAAGTGTTCTCATTGTTCAATTCCCACCTATAAGTGAGAACTTGTGGTGTTTGGTTTTTTGTCCTTACAACAGTTTGCTGAGAATGATGGTTTCCAGCTTCATCCATGTCCCTACAAGGGACATGAACTCATTCTTTTTTATGGCTGCATAGTATTCCATGGTGTACATGTGCCACATTTTCTTAATCCAGTCTATCATTGATGGACATTTGGGTTGGTTCCAAGTCTGCTATTGTGAATAGCACTGCAATAAACATACGTGTGCATGTGTCTTTACAGCAGCATGATTTATAATCCTTTGGGTATATACCCAGTAATGGGATGGCTGGGTCAAATGGTATTTCTAGTTCTAGATCCCTGAGGAATTGCCACACTGTCTTCTACAATGGTTGAACTAGTTTACTGTCCCACCAACAGTGTAGAAGTGTTCCTATTTCTCCACGTCCTCTCCAGCACATGTTGTTTCCTGACTTTTTAATGATCGCCATTCTAACTGGTGTGAGATGGCATCTCATTGTGGTTTTGATTTGCATTTCTCTAATGGCCAGTGATGATGAGCATTTTTTCATGTGTCTGTTGGCTGCATAAATGTCTTCTTTTGAGAAGTGTCTGTTCATATCCTTTGCCCACTTTTTGATGGGGTTGTTTGTTTTTTTCTTGTAAATTTGTTTGAGGTCTTTGTACACCTTATACAAAAATTAATTCAAGATGGATTAAAGACTTAAATGTTAGACCTAAAATCATAAAAACCCTAGAAGAAAACCTAGGCATTATCATTCAGGACATAGGCATGGGCAAGGACTTCATGTCTAAAACACCAAAAGCAATGGCAACAAAAGCCAAAATTGACAAATGGGATCTAATTAAACTAAAGAGCTTCTGCACAGCAGAAGAAACTATCATCAGAGTGAACGGGCAACCTACAGAATGGGAAAAAATTTTTGCAATCTACTCATCTGACAAAGGGCTAATGCCATTCCATTTTTCAATACAACAGTACGCAGTTGAGCAAATTTATCTGATAACAACATAAGTTCAGTACCACTGTCATTAAGAGCTTTATTTTACATGTAAGCTTAATATTTTATTTCTGTAGCAGGATCGTACCAGCGGCAGGGGCGAACACTGTGATAGGGTACCACCACCAGAGGGCCCGGTGCATTTGTAACCAGTGATGTTTGTAAGCATTTAGATTACTGGGGAGGGGAAAATCATCCCGGATGGTGAATGAAATTAATGGCCTCCCCCAAGTGCATCTCCCCCTCCAGTATGGGGGCAGCTATCACCACCCATAGAATCCACATACCCAGAGGGCTCCCCAGAGAACAGGAAAAGTTCTCCTATAATTGTATTGCTGTAATGTGTAATTTAAGTAACAAAGGTGCTGTGTTTCATTTGGGCTTGGGCAAAAATAGACTGTTTGGTCTGGTTAAAAGAAGTCCAGGTTATTATCCCACCCCCATTGGTATTGGCATATCCATTCGGAAATGTTAGCAAGGACGATTCTCCAAGGTAGCCCATTTCTGGCGGCCTCTGGCAACTCGACACATAGCCAGCACTGACTGCAGTTGGCTTCTGTTGTCGCAGTGGCTACCCAAGTGATGAACTCATTCTCGGCCTCAGACATGATGACCCAAGTACTGATTACTAGCAGACAGGTTATTCTCTGTAATAATAAAAATAGAGGGGAACATGATACTGTTTTTCATCTTTAGGAAATTGTGCTATGCCTTCATTTTCTGCTCCCATAGCTACAAGGTCACCAGCCTTAGGGGCAGAATCTGATGGACACTGTACCCATATTTTGGCTCCAGGATTATAAGTTGCCCTCTCTGGTGGACCCGAATTCTCCAGTTCTATATGTTGTTTCTATTGGGGCAGAAATTTCCTCAGTGGTTGACAAGGTACCACTAACAATTTAGCAACCCGCAGCTGCAGTTGTATAGCAAAAGAATCTGGAGTGGTATTGTATAAAATGACCTTTAACTCTCCCTGGTAATCACTATCAATTATACCACCATAGATTATAATGCCTCCCATTGCAAGGCTTGAACATGTTGTAATCCATTTATCTGCATTCGAATTTGCAGTTACGGTGGAAATTTTGGCCTGTTGATCTGCTTGCTGATTAAATAGTCTGTTAAGAATAAGCAGAGACGCATGAGCATCAACATGGAAAACAGCGCTAATGGTAGTGTGTGCCAGGATTCAGACATCTCCCCAGTATTGTTTTCCCCAAACCTCTTCATTCCCAATTAACCATTTGTTTCATCCCAAGTAGTAAGACCATTTGCTACTGACCAAGAGTTGGTATACAGGTGACAAATCCCTCTGGCCTCCTCCTGAATAGCTTGGAGGATGGCTACCAATTCAGCCAGCTGGTTGCTCCCACCGTTTCCTTCATCAGAACCAGTGAGTTTTGGGGGAACTCATGACCCAAATCATAATCATAAAGACATCATGGTTGAAGCAGAGGTGCTCCGTTTCCAGCGAAGCCCAATAGCAAGCTAACGGTTGATTCTTGAAAGGGGTATAAGCTTTGCTGGTCTCTGGCAGTTTCCAGATCCAAACCACAAAGGTACCCTCTTCCCATCTTGTTTCTGCCTAAGGCTCCAATTAGCCTGTTGTTGTAGTTCTACTGGCCCATCCTGTATGGGCCGTAGATTTCAGACCAGTTGCACTGCTTGTTTAGCTTGTTCAAAAGCCATGCTCTCTTTCTCTCCCCAGTGAAAGTCGTAGCGTTTTCTAGTGACTGCATGCAGAGGTTCTAAAATGTTACCCAAGTGGGACTATGATGTCTCCAGAATCCAAACAAGGCAATAAATTTCTGGGCCACCTTCTTAGTGGTAGGGGTTGCAAATTCTAGTATTTTAGCCTTAGCCTTTGTTAAAATGGACTATTTCCTTTATTCCATAGGATGCCAAGGAATTTTACAGTTTGTGCAGGTCCTTGAATTTTACTAGGGTTAATTTCCTGGCCTTCAGATAGGAGATGGATTTTTACCTGCTCCAAACCCTGGCTGACTAGTTCTTCAGTTTTACCCTAACCATGCCATTCAGATAGCTGCTTTTTTCAGCAATAAGCTGATAGCTTTGAGCCTAATCAGTCAAGACATAGGCCTGGCATTGGGCCAGGGCCAGTCTGGAAGTCAGATTAGCATTTTCCTTTTCCAGCTTACATTTCTCTTGAAGCAACCAGTCCCTATCTTGACACATTAAATTATAAGCAGTAAGCAAGCACCATCTATGCCGGGAAATTCCCTCAGCATCCCCTTTACCAACTGGGATTCCCTGCAGCACTTCACGCACTCAAATGTTGAAATCGCACTGATTTAGATTCCCAATTATCACAAAAGCCAGTTCCCCTGGGCCATTCAATCACCAAGAAGGAAAACTGAGGGAGTTCCCATCCCAGGATGGGGGAAGACCCTGAGTTCCCAGCCCAGACCCTGCAGCTAAAAAATGGCATGCTTTTGCTATGAAATCCTGTTCGTGACGCCAAAAATGTTCTATGCGGGAAACGCATGAGGGGAGAAGAAAAGACACACACACGATACCTTTAAGGGTAAACAAGCTTTGTCCCAAGTAAATGGCAATTCAGATATAATAAGCAAATGATAGAATAAGCAAATTAATATAATAAGCAAATTGCAATGGGAAGGGGAGAAGGGAAATCAGATATATATATATATTTACACTCACCAGAATATGGAAGATTCACCACCAGACTGGGAAGCAACAGCCTTGGCTCCTGAGTTGGCCACTCATCCGTGCAGACGAGGAGAGGTCTCATGAAGCTTCGGCACAGTCTGGGACTCTAGCTCTTTTTGTAACGAGTTGTTTGGCATGAGGCCCAGTCATGAGGGCCCTTCATGACTGGGCTCAAGGAACACAAAAAGATCAACTTGTTTTTGCCAGTGTCTATTGTTCTTCAATAACTAAAGTATGAGAATAGATTGAAATAGAGATTTCTCCAAAACAGCACTGGATAAACGCCTCAAGAAGCTCACACAACCTGTGCCGGGACTTGGTGACCGTTGTTTGTGCCCACGTTCAATTGAGTTCAAATATAATATTTTAACTCTTCCTCCACAGCTGCCATAATAAAGTATCAAAGACTGTGTGGCTTAAACAACAAAAATACAGTTGACCCTTGAATAATTTGGTGGTTAGGGGCACCAAACCCCCGTGCAGTCAAAAATCTACATGTAACTTTTGGCCTTCCCAACACTTAACTACTAAAAGCCTACTGTTGACCAGAAGCATTACTGATAACATAAACAGTTGATTTACACATATTTTGTATGTTACATGTATTATATGCTATGTTCTTACAATAAAGTAAGGTAGAGAAAAGAAAGTGTTATTAAGAAAAATCATAAGGAAGATAAATATGTTTACTATTGATTAATTGGAAGATTGGAAGTGGATCATCCTAAACGTCTTCATCCTCACTGCCTTCATGTTGAGGAGGCTGAGAAGGAGGAGAACGAGGAGGAGGAGGGAATAGTCTTGCTGTCTCAGGGATGGCAGAGGCAGAAGAAAATCCAGATAAAAATGGATCCACACTGTTCAAACCTGTATACACACACACACACACACACACACACACACACATAGAGGATCTGTATACATGATCCATCATGGATCATGTATATATATACACACACACCTTATTAGTCCTGTCCCTCTAGAGAACCCTGATTAACACAGATTTTGGTATCAGGAGTGGTTCTAGAGGAAAAAAATTTTAAGGATGAAGTTCTTTAGTTGGTCTGGGGGTTTCTGGAGTTGGTTGCTTAATATGACTAGACCCCAAAATGCTAAGGACTCTACTTCTACTAGTATGGAGAACACGGAGAGTCTTTGGCATGAATTGTTTAGACAGTTAAGCAAAATAAATGCATTTGATACTTCTGATTCACCACTCATGACAGGCAAGGAATTTAGTGATTCTATATATAATATCTTTGACCATATGTGGGAACCAAGGAATATAATGAAGTTGGTTGGTTGGTTGCTCCTAAGTTCACTAGCCAAAGTGATGAAAGGAAACATTTAACTCCGAGATTCTGTCTCTCAGCTCCAGAAGCCCATACTGACCCTCAAATCTTTTAATATTGCCCTGAGTGAGAGTCTTACCTCCTGTAGGGAAAGAGCTGAAATTGTGGAAAATCAGAACAAGCTCTTATCCTGTGAATGGCTGACCTGCAATAAAAGATGCATGCACAGACTTGTCAGGTGTCTACTGTTAAGGTGACGGCATTGATTGAAAAAAAATGGGACTCTGCAACTTGGAATGGGGACATGTGGGAGGACCCTGATGAGGCCAGAAGCACTCAGCTCCTAAATTCTGATGAGCCTTTTTTTGCCAGGGAAACAGCCTCCCACCCACACCACCTCCCCTCCCCTCCCCAACCCAGCCTTTCCACCTTTGTTTGAGATAAACCCTTCACTTCCTGACACAACAGTGATGGCCTCCCCTGAGGCAGTTGCCAGGCAAAACAATGTTGATTCTCCTCAAGACCCACCCCCAACACCCCTGTTTGCTTCTAGACCTATAACTAAAGTCCTGACAGGCCCCTAAAGGTGAGGTTCAGAGTGTGACCCACGAGGCAGTGTGCTACATGCCAAAAGAACTGCTTGAGTTTTCTAATTTATATAAGCAGAAATCTGGAGAACAGGAATGGGAATGGTATTAAGGGTGTGGGATAATGGTGGAAAGACATAAAGTTAGATCAGGCTGAATTTATTGACATGGGCCTACTAAACAGGGATTCTGCATTTAATGTTGTAGCTCAGGGAGTTAAAAAAGGTTCCAATAGTTGATTTGCTCGATTAGCTGAAACATGGATCAAAAGATGGCCCACTGTGAGTGAGTTGGAAATGCCTGATCTTCCTCGGTTTAATGTAGAGGAAGGGATCCAAAGGCTTAGGGAGAGTGAAGTGCCGGAGTGGATTAGTCACTTTAGATCTACTCATCCCAACTGGGAGGGTCCAGAAGATATACCCTTCACCAATACTTTGCAAAATAGATTTGTGAGGGAAGCACCTGCATCCTTGAAGAGCTCTGTGATTGCTCTTTTCTGTATGCCAGATCTTATAGTGGGAACTGCAGTCACTCAACTACAAAATTTAAATGCAGTGGGAATAATTGGATCGTGGGGTGGCAGGAGCCAAGTGGCAGCACTCAACCATGAAAGGCAAGGTAGGCATAGCTACCGTAATGGACAGCAGAGGCAAAGCAGCAAACAGAATAGTCTGATATACATATATATATATATATATATACATCAGAGGGAGGGATAGCATTAGGAGAAATACCTAATGTAGATCACAGGTTGATAGGTGCAGCAAACCACCATGGCACGTGTATACCTATGTAACAAACCTGCACGTTCTGCACATGTACCCCAGAACCTAAAGTACAATAATAAAAAAAGCCCAAATCCAAATTCTAGTTAATCACTGGGCTTTGTCTCTGCCTTATCTTGTAAATGTGGGTGAGTCTGAAAGTTTGTGGAACTTTCCTTTAAAAAAAATAATAAATTTACCTGACTCTGATTTTTCTTGAATTTTTCTACTTCTCAGAATTCCTCAAAGAATGTCCACAGCCATTTGACAGTTTCATTCACAATTTGTCTTAGCACCCTAGGTTGCAAGTCACTGCAGCCAAAAGGTTATAATTATAACAGTGAGTTGCTGCCAGCTGCTTTCTTGTAATCTTTTCACCCATCTGAATGTGTCACTCTTATCCAAGTTCATGCCATGTTAGAGCCTATGTTGTCTATGCAGACTTCACCTGCAATTAGTCCAATGCATGAAAGTTCTAACTCTAAAATTCCCAGCCTCTAACTATTGGATAACTCTGTTTTACATCAAGGCATGCATTCATTAATTTATTTAGACTCTTACCAAATACTGACTAACCAGGGACACTCAGACACTTACTAAAGGGTTAACACTTATCAAAGGTCTTAAATATGTGTTCATTCTTTGTACATATGAAGCCTTTGATCCTCACAACAGCCTTATGAGGTATATTTCATTATTATTGTGTCCACTTTTAGATTATTAAAATGATACTCCAAAAGGTTAAATACTTTTAATTATCACAAGATGAACAAGGCATGATCCCAACACTCCAATTCACAATCCAATCATCTCTGAGCCTATGAAGTCTAAGTCATCAGTCCAAACAACCTTAACTGATACACTAATGAAGAGCTTCCTGAAATTGGGGTTAACCAAAAGCAGATCAGATGGTGCAAATTGTTAGGGAAATCAGGTAGCAAAGACAGAATATAGAGGAAGGGAATGAGAAATGTATCCATGAACTAAGGGCGTTATCCTTTACAATATTAGAGCTTGAATTATGTCCTCCAAAAAAAAACAAAATCTTAACCCCTGTTGCCTGAAGATAAGACCCTGTTTGGAAATGTAAAAGGGTCTTTGCAGATGTAATCCAGATAAGATGAGGTCATAATAGATTAGGGTGGTTCCCAATCTGATATGACTGGTGTCCTTATGAAAAGAGAAAGCAGAGACATAGGAAGGAGAATACTGTGTGAAGATGGAGATGCACAGCGGGAGGATAACCATGGGAAGATAGAGACGGAGACTGTGGTGATACTGTCACAGCCAAGGGATGCCTCGGGCAACAAGAAGTTGAAGGAGGCAAGGAAAGATCCTGTCCTCAAGACTTTAGAGGGAGTATGGCCTTGATGACACCTTGATTTCAGACACCTAGCTTCGGGAAAAATGAGAGAATAAATTTCTGTTGCTTTAAGCCATCAAGTTTGTGGTACTTTGTTATGTCAGCCGTATGAAACTAATATAGCATTCAAGGCCAATTTAAATGCCACATCCCTGGTGAATATATTACTGGACACTTATCAACTTAGAATGAATCACTCTCTCTGTGGTAGACCCATAGGACTTGATTCAAACTTGATTTGACATGTCCATCATATAGTATGCACATTTATTCACTAGCTTGAAACTGCCTTTAACTCTTGGGCCTACATAGCACATTGCCTTATATATTAGCAGTAGCTCAATGAACATTTTTTGATTGGAATTATTGACCTGAATTATCTCAGAGAAGAAAAGGAAGAATGTATAGACTAAACAGTTGTAGCCAAATTTTTTTTAAATAGCATAAGTTTAGTGTTCAATAGCTCAGAACTTAAGTTGCTATTATATTAATTTTAAATTTCTCTTTATTATAAAATGTAATCACTTGAGTTTAGAGACGAAGCCAAAAATGAAAAATTTCCATGCACCACCAACTTGAAACTATAGTGGAAGTGGATTGGCATTAGCTTTTCTAGTACTGAAGAATTTTAGGAAATGTGAGGATTCCACCAATCCAGGCATCATTCTATTAAGAATCGTTTTTCTCTTCTTCATAAAATGGGAAAGAAAACATTGTTATTTTAAGCTAATTATTTTGTATATAATTTCTGGTTGATTAAGGCTTACCACTAGTACTAGAATAGCAAATCTTTGGTAAGGAAAGCTATAATTGAAACAAAAAAGTTAACTCTGTAAACTACAACAGTATCTAATAGCAACTTTTCACACCTCATAGAGCAGCCCTCTGCCTTCAAGGTAACGTTTCTATCCCTCTCCTTCTGCCACCTGAATGTGCCCCGCAGGGGGCAGGGAATAATTTCAATGTGATCCTGTGAAAGATAATTTGATGCATTCCAAAGCCATATAGAAGTAAACTTTGCATTATTTTTTATTTGCTTCATAAAGCATCCCACCTTTTCCTCTAAAATTGAATTCACCATTTATACTACTCTTATTGAAATTGCCATTTAGGGAAATTATAATTAAGAATCTCCTTTCTCCCTCATCAAAATGTTAACTCCCGAAGGATAAGAACCGTATTTTATAACTCTGTATCCCATGTAGGATCATTTCTGGCACATTTTGAGTATTAATTGAGTACTTATTCCATTAATACTGGCTAAATTTAATTTAGGATACTTGTGTCATGGCCCTATTCCATTAACACATATAAACTAAACATTTACAAGCATAGTCCAATTAGAGAGAAATCCTGACTCAAAAATTATATACATTACAATCACAAACTGAGTTTACATATCACAGATTTCTTTACAAGTTTATAACCTCTCCAGATGGGTTATAGAATTGAGCAAAGAGACTCCACACACCTCTCTACTATAATTTCCCAGTTTATTTAGCCAAAAACACAAGAATAAAAGGAAGAAATGTTCTAACCTGAAGAATGACAAATTTACCCACATTGACTTTCACTAGTTGCTAATGTGGCACTGAGTTACAGCACAGGCTACATGGCTGAAAAAGAGAATGAAACCATGGCTCAAACAAGACAGAAGTTCACAATTCTCTCATGTTACAGCCCAGAGTTGACAGGTGGTCCGCAGTAGGTAGGAAGCCATACTCCCCCAAAACCATACTGGAGAATGGACACTGGAAGACAATTAGAAATCTCTAATTAGCAATCACTAATCTGTAACTAATTACCAATTAGTTTCTTTCAGTGTTACTCTCTACCCAGGAAGGAAAGAGTTGAGAAAATAGGCAAATATTTGCTAACTTCCTAAGTCTTACTGTCAGAATATACACCACGATTCTTACAAAACTTATGCTAACAATTTGTTATTCTTTCGATTTAAGTAAGCTTTACAAATATTGAGGTGTCTTGTTTCTTGAACCAAGTTTTCAACAAGCACAGTATCATGTTCCTCTAAGGAGAAAAAAGGCCCAAATGTCTCAGAGTAATACCTCTGCCCACCTCTTCATTGTTCAAGGAAGCCATATCCCCACATTCACTCTTCTTCACAGTTACTTGTATTAATTAATTTTGCTGCATAAAGAAAATCCCAAAACTTAATAGCTTATTATTTTTTATGGCTCTCTGAGTTTGCTGAGGACTTTCTCTGTTCTGTGCCAGCACTGCTGGAGCTAGGCGGTCTACAATGGACTCATTCATAGATCTCATGGTTGGCAGGCTAGTTAGTATGATAAGGACACCCACTGAGACAGCTGCCTCTGATCCACATGATCTCATATTTCATATGCTTCTCTCCATAGTGGTCCAGGGTTCCAAAGAGAAGCAAGAGAGAGTAAACTCCATGAACAAGTAACTTTCAAACCTCTGTTTGTATCAACTTTGCTAATGACCCATTGGCAAAAGAAAGTCACATGATTATTCTTAAATTCAAGAGGTAGAGAAGCAGACCCCAACTTTTGAGGGGAAGGGCTTAAAATATTATGACTATTTTGGCAAACAGTGACTGTCCACCTCCTAGCCACAATCACTTCCAATAATCCCAAATGGAAAATATGCAGACCCACTTCCAAGGCCCCAAGAAATCTTGTCCAATTATAATGTCAGGCTCAACGCCCATAATCTCATAATCTGTATCAAGCCCAGATGCAGATGGGGCTACTTAGCCACAGATCAACAAGAGCAGATCTTCTTGATCTGAAAAGATGAGTTATCTATCTCCCTTCAAAAAACATACACTGGTGAGACAAAAACAGGTTAACCACAATGCATACTCCCATTCAAAGAAAGGAAAGGCAGGAGGCAAATAGTAGTCATCAGCTGATATGGCTTGGATCTGTGCCCCCACCAGACCGCATGTTAAATTGTAATCCCCATTGTTGGAGATGGGGCCTGGTGGAAGGTGATTGAATCACCTGGGGCTGGTTTCTCATGAATGGTTTAACACCATCTCCTTCATGCCATTATCATGTTCGTGAATTAATTCTCATGAGATTTGGTTGGTAAATAGTGTGCGACACCTCCCCCATCCCCCTTTTTTGCGCCTGCTCTGGCCATGCAACATACCTGCTTCTCCTTCACCTTCTGCCATGATTGTAAGTTTCCCGAGGGCTCCCCAGAAGCCAAGCAGATGCCAGCGTCATGACTGCTGTACAGCCTGCAGAACATGAGCCAATTAAAATGCTTTTCTTTATAAAATACATAGTCTCAGGTATTTCTTTACAGTAATGCAAGAATGGTCTAATATACCAGACTATATCAATCGTGAAATCCAGGCAAGTATATGTCATCAGGGAGCAGGAAATATTCCTTGATTGTGATGATCAGGACTCAGTTCCTCTCCCTGGGAATGGTTACCCTCTGCTCCACCCTCAGAGCTCATCTGCTCCCTCTGCAGCATTCTTTCTTTTCAATAAAAAATGTCCCACATTCACAGCAGACTGCTCCTCAGCCTTCCTCCTGATCATAGAAAGTTGGGATCCCAAAGGTCTTTTTTCATTTCACTGTTTCTGTCCCTTTTGGTTCAAGCTGGCAGTGCTTGTATTGGCATACTTCTCTCTAAAATTATATGAGTGTCCTGTGAAACTTATTTGGGCTTACTCTATACTCCAAAAGCCACATCTGCAATTATCTCAGACAGGCCTGTGTATTGCACCACATATCAGGTAATTGACCAGTGCTAAATCTGACCCTTTGTTTTGTTTCTGGTTCTGATTCTGATGGTTTCCGGTTGATTGCGCACATATCAGTGGCAGCAGCGTAAAAAGTGGGTTTTAATATGGTCATTTTATTAAGAAATTTCTGATGAGCTTGAGGTGTCAGGAATGGGCAGGATAGGAAATATAGAATCTGGCATACTTATTAGCCTTTTTGTTTTTGTGTTTATGTGTTTTATTCGCATCTGTAGTAATATGGGACACTTCACCTCTAAAGATTCTTCTTTGTTTATCCGATAACTCTGACGTTTAAGTATTTACTTATTAGGAACCCAATATTGTCAAAATCTGTGAAAATGGAATTTCCATAATGAAAATGAAAAGAAACCAAATGCTTAGCTAGCTTTCTTTGATTTCTCTAAATGAATGAATAATTCCAAAGTAATGTCCCAAGACTCTTTAGGGCTAAAGAGAGGAGAGAGAAGAAATTTACATCATTTTGCATTGGACAAATTGAATCAGAAAAAAAGGTTTTCTAAGAGCCATGTAAGCCAAGAATTAATAGTTCCTCAAAATATAATCAGACTCAGTCTTTAGAAAATGATAAAAACCAATGACATTATTATAATATGTATGGACAATGAAAAAATGTTCTGCCAAATTCAGAAGAGAGTAAGAAATTATACAGATCCTCAACAACGATGCTTGACTGATCAAATGATGCTTAATTACATGGTTTTATGTTGCTAATTGAGAAACATTCTTATTAGCTACTGAAGCCTCTATTTCAACCATCAGTTCTCTAGATCTTTTGCAATCATTTCCTTTAATTTGTAAGAGTGATAAAATTTCTATCTTATTAATAGAAAATATATTTGAGCAAACAGTTTTATATGCCTTGGTTACCTCTGGGGGAATTAATAAACCATGTTATAAGTTATCTTAAAATCTAATGGAGTGGAGGACATTACTCCCAGTTGTAAAGGAGTAACTAAGATAGACTTGTCCACCCATCATAAAGAACTAGAAAAATGGACTACATATGTGAAACAACTGTTTTTGCTAATTGGAACATATATTTCAAAGAACTATGATCCCTAAGTTAAGATAAATAATCAAAATGGACAATACAATCACTCTGGCTTTCTTCCTGCTGGTACTTTACAATCCATGCTGGAAGAAAGAACCCGGGCAGAGCATAGGAGAGTCACTAAGTTTGTGAAGGGAAGATTGGAATTCAGGGACGCTCATGTGGTTGGAATCTGTAGGAAAGAACCAGAGATGAGGGGACTAGGCAAGGAAAGAGCTCCAGGAATCTGATAGGGATCTGCTCCAAACTATAACTTAATGCTAAGCTGTGCTTGCATGGGGTAAAATTTCACAATGTCAGGAAAGGACGATTAGAAACTATAAATGAGACAATTCTCAGAGCTCACAAAGGAATGAGAGACTTCTGAGTTTCAACAAACTATTGTTGGAGAGGCTGCATTGCCCACCTGCGACATTCCCTACCAAGAGTAGAGACTTGAGCGGTATCATTTCTAAATGATAAAGTAGCCTTGCAGTAAAGGCTACACTAGACATGCCCTTTAAAACAGGCCTCTAAAATATCAAGCAAATCTGCAAGTAATTTAACTCCCTTCCAGAAAAAATGCCAGTGCTCCTTAAGAAAACTCAACAACATAAAAGTCAACACTCAATAACAAGAATCAAAACATGTGGTATTAAGTAAACTAATAATAATAATAATAGACTGAAAAGCTGGAAAATGGAACCCAGTATCCAGGAAGAAAAAAGTCATTAAAAAATGTTTTAGGCTGGGCGCTGTGGCTCACACCAGTAATCCCAGCACTTTGGGAGGCTGAGGCAGGTGGATCCTCTGAGGTCAGGAGTTTGAGACCAGCCTGACCAACATGGTGAAACCCTGTCTCTACCAAAAATACAAAAATTAGCCAGATGTGGGGGTGTATGCCTATAGTCCCAGCTACTTGGGAGGTTGAGGCAAGAGAATCACTTGAACCCGGGAGGCAGAGGTTGCAGTGTGAGCCATGATTGCACCACTACACTCCAGCCTGGGTGACAGAGTGAGGTTGTCTGAATAAAAAGTTTTAAAACCTAGAAATGATGATCCTCTGGTAGTTCATGAGCATGATGATTGGGTGTT
The DNA here is from genome assembly GCF_000001405.40 of Homo sapiens. NCBI lineage: Eukaryota > Metazoa > Chordata > Mammalia > Primates > Hominidae > Homo > Homo sapiens. Next base: position 22,349,487 of record NC_000004.12, read on the forward strand.
TCACGCACATGTGTGAGATGTGCCGTACTTGAAACTTGTTACCATGTCTGCACAATGGGCATCTGACCTGAAAAAAAAAACTAGAAATGAATTTTATGATGAAATTATCAAACAAGGATTTAAAAGAGCTATTGTTAATATGATGAATATTTAATTTTAAATAAAAACATACACATAATACAAAATACAGATAAGAAAATCAAGTCTTAAAGATGAAAAATACAATACTTAAGATAAAAATTATCCTGGATTGACTTAGTATAAATCAGATACTGCAGAAGATCAGTAAACTTGAAGATAGAGTAATAGAAACTACACAAACTAAGGCACAGAAAGAAAAATAGATGAAAGAAAAATACACAGAGGCCAGGCATAATGGCTCTTGCCTATAACCCTAACACTTTGGGAGGCTGAGCCAGGCAGACTGCTTGAGCCCAGGAGTTTGAGACTAGCCTTAGCAACATGGTGAAACCCCATCTCTATTATCCAGGTGAGGTGGCATGTGCCTATACTCAGCTACACAGGAGGCTGAGGTGGGAGGATCTCTTGAGCTCAGGTGGCAGAGGTTGCAGTGAACCAAGATGTCTCCACTGCACTCCAGCCTGGGTGACAAAGTGAGACTCTGTCTCAAAAAACAAAAGAAACAAACAGACAAAAAAAACTTCAGTGGTTTTTGGACAACATTAGGCTTCACTTACATGAAAAAGAAAAATATTCAAAGGAATAAGGTTGTATATTTTATAAATTTGATGAAAACAACATACAAATCCCCCCGCCAAAAAAAACCACGAAGAAAAACACACCAAACACATTATAACGAAATTACTGAAGACCAAGAACAAAAAGAAAATTTTTAAAGTAATCAGAGAGGAAAAAAGAGACATCATATATAGTAGAAAAATGTAGAGAATTATTAGTGTTCTCATCAGAAAAATGCAAGCCATAAGACAATGTAGCAAAAGCATTTAAGTCCTGGGAAAAAAGTTAACCTAGAAATTTGTATTAAATAAAAATGTCCTTCAAAACTAAAGACAAAATACTTTTTCAAAGAAATCAATAAAAGAATTAAATTCTAAGGGTTTTTGCTGGAACTATAAAAAATATTAAAAGGTTTTCAGGTTGGAGAAGAATACTAGATAGAAACCTGGATCTACATAAAGGAATACAAAATGGTGAAAATGGTTAATATATGGGTAAAATTTGAAACTTTTTCTTGTTTTTAAATTTGTTTAAAAGATATTTTGTTTTGTAAGGAAAAAATAACAGCAATGAACTGTGTGGTTTATAATATAGAGAGAAGTAAAGTATATCTAGAAATAGAACCAAATATAGAAGTGGGTAATGGAATAGAATATTGTTGCAAGGTTCCTCCATTGTCAATGAAGTAGTGTTATGTCATCAGAATGCCATAAGAAATTAGAGGGGGTAGCTGAGATGGCCAACTAAAAGCAGCTAGTGTGCACTGCTGTCATGGAGAGGAATGGAACCTCCTCAACACAGGGGAACCTCCCCAGTCCAGGGAAGTGGTGAGTAAATATGCAACCCCAGGAACCCATGCTTCTCCCACAGATCTTTGCAACCCTCAGGTGAGTAGATACCCTCATGAACCCATTCCACCAGGCCTTCAGTCTGACACACAGACCTACATGGAATCCCAGCAGATCATGGAATCTCTGCTCAGTCACATGCAGAGACCTGGGAGCCTTAGATACCTGGGCTTTCCGGGCTTCCTCGCAAAGGAGCTGAAACTCTGGCAAAGCAGGAGGTCAGGGCTCCATACACACCATTAGAAAAGGGGCAGAATCCAGTGGGCTGAGAAGCAATAGTCTATGGGCCCTGCTTCCATGGCACCTCACAGGATAAGACCCACTGGCTTGGAACTCCATTCAGCCACTGGTAGCAGTGTTACACTTCCCTGAAAAAGAGCTCCCAGCAGCAAGGCCAGCCACTACCTTTGCTGTTTGGCTGACTTCACCGTTTTAGCCTTCAGGCTTTGGAGAGTCTGAGGTGACTGGGGCCTGAAGTGGGCCCCCAGCACAGCACAGTGGCTATATGCAAACATGGCCTGCTTTTTTTTAAGCAAGCCTCCAGCCCTGTTCCTCTTCACTGGGCAGGACCTTCCAACTGGGGTCTCCAGCTACCCTCATCAGTGTTCTCCAGCAGACAGAGTTTTGAAACCTCCCTGGGACAGAGCTCCCAGAGGGAGGGGCAGGACACCATCTTTGCTGTTTCATAGTCTTTACTGTTGATAACTCCAGGTACTGGAAAATCCAAGGTGACTAGAGACTGGAGTAGACCCCCAGCATACTACAGTAGCTCCTCGGAAAAGTGACCAGACTGTTACATAGGTGCTTGTCCCCATAGCTCCTCACCGGGCAGGTCCTCCAAGCCTAGGCCTCCGACCACCCTCTGCCAGGCTATTGAGCCAGTAGCAGCTATGCAACAACCTGGAGAGAGCTGCTGAGGGCAACTGAAAGCCTCTCTGCCCTCTGCAGTGGAACTGCATTTACTACCCTAGGACTCATTAAGACGCAAAAACCCTAAGTGCCTTATCCATACCTTCAACAAGCTGCAGTTGACCCAAGGAGAGGAAACCAGTCCATCTCCCACAGGTTCTGCACACCCCCACCCCAGCTTGCTCATAACCAGACAAGGAACCCTTGGCTTGTGCCCACACACAGATCCCCCATCCTGGGATGATTGCACTGAACAGTTGTTGACCTGCACCTTTCTGGGGTGGAGCCCTCAGGAGACAAACAAAAGACCCTTGGCCACAAGGACTACTAAGGTCCCTTCCTCTGTTGCCTCCAAGTAGGGGGAGAAACATAAACCCTGAGATGGCCTTAGTGCTGCAGTGGGCAGTGCAGGAGTGACAAACTGAAATCTACAGCCAGCATTCAATGGGGAGAGCAGCCCAAACTTTCAGAGCATTGAGAGGGAACCCAGTTGCAACTGTGAGGAAACACAGGGGAGCCACATAACCAAACAAGAGTCTACCAAGTGACCAATAAGCCAAAGTACCATCTACTGGATCACACCCCAAAGCTTCAACACCAAAATACCTTGCTAACATACCCCCTTGTGAGACCAAAGACAAGAAGTCTGCTTCAAATAAAGACTCTGCACAAAGCACGGTACTGAGAAAACATCCAGTAAAGAAGTTCACTGACTGTACTCAACCAATGCAAGAACTCTGATAACTCAAATGGCCAGAGTGTCATATGTCCTCCAAACAACCTTACTGGTTCTCCAACAAGAGTTCTTGACCAGGCTTAGCTAGCTGCAATGACAGAAACAGAATTTGGAATATGAATAGAAACAAAGATCATTGAGGTTCACAAGTATGGCAAAACTGAAATCAAGAAAACTAAGAATCACAATAAACACTACCACAGCTGGAAGATGAAACAGCCAGTATGAAAAGGAACCTAATGAATCTGGCAAAGCTGAAAAACACAATACAAGAATTTCACAATGCAATCATAAGTACTAACAGTAGAATAGACCAAGGTGAGGAAAAAAATCTCAGAACTTAAAGCCTGGCTCTCTGAAATAAGAAGTAAAACAAAAATAAATAAAAAATAATTGAGAGGATTGACTAAAACCTCCAAGAATTATGGGACTATGTAAAGAGGCCAAATCTATGAGTCACTGACATCCCTGGAAGGGATAGGAAAAAAGCAAAAAACTTGAACAACATATTTCAATATATTGTCCATGAACATATTCCCAACTTTGTCAGAGAGGCCAATAATCAAATTAAGAAAATACAGAGAACTCCTGCAAGGTTCTACACAAGAAGATAATCTTGAAGACACATAATCATCAGATTTTCTAAGGTTGAAATGAAAGAAAAAGAGCAGGTCCCCTATAAAGGGAACCCCATCAGGCTAGCAGTGGACCTCTCAGCTGAAACTCTACAAGCCAGAGGAGATTGGAGAACTACATTTCACATTCTTAAAGGAAAAAACTTCAGCCAAGAATTTCATATCCAGCAAAACTAAGTTTCATAAGCAAACGAGAAATAAGAACTGTTTCAGATAAGCAAATGTTGAGGGAGTTTATTACCACCAAATCTGCCTTACAAGAGATCTTGAAAGGAGGATTAAATATAGAAAGAAAAATTATGATCAGCTAATACAAAATTACACTTAAATGCAAAGACCAGTGACACTGTAGAGCAACCACACAAACAAGCCAGCACAGTAATTAGCTAACAAGACAATGACAGGATTAAATCCACACATATCAATACTAACCTTAAATGTAAGTGGGCTAAGTACCCCATGAAAAAGGCACAGAGTGGCAGGTTGGAGTAAAAAAAAACATGCAAGACTCAATGTTATGCTGTCTTCAAGAAACTCATGACACAAATATGTTCAAAATAAAGGAATGGAGGAAAATCTACCAAGCAAATGAAAAACAGAAAAAAGCAGGGGTTACAATCCTAATTTCTAACAAAACAGACTTTAAACCAACAAATATCAAAAAAGACAAAGAAGGGCATTACATAATGATAAAGAGTTCAATTCGACAAGACATAACTATCTTAAATATATATGCATCCAACATGGAAGCACACAGATTCATAAAGCAAATTCTTAGAGTCTTGCAAAGAGACATAGACTCCCACAAAATAATAATGGGACGCTTCAACTGCCACTGGCAGTATTAGACAGATCATCAAGGCATAAAATTAACAATACCAGTGATCATTAGAGAAATGCAAATCAAAACCACAATGAGACACCATCTTACACCAATGAATAATAACAAATGCTGGTGAGGTTGTGGAGAAAAGGGAACACTTATACACTGTTGATGGGAGTATAAATCATTCAACCATTGCAGAAAGCAGTTTGGCAATTCCTCAAATTGCTAAAGGAGAACTACCATTTGACCAAGCAATCCCATCACTGGGTACATACCCAGAGGAATATAAATCATTCTACCATAAAAACACATGCACTCAAATGTTCATTGCAGCACTATTCACAATAGCAAAGACATGAAATCAACCTAAATGCCCAACAATGACAGATCAGATAAAGCAACTGTGGTGCATATACACCATGGAATACTATGCAGTCATAAAAAAAAAACAAGATCTTGTCTTTTGTGCAAACATGGATGGAGCTGGAGGCTATCATCTTTAACAAGCTAACACAGGAACAGAAAACCATATACCACATGTTCTCACAAGTGGGAGCTAAATGATGAGAACTTGTGAACACAAAGAAGAGAACAACAGACACTGGGGTTTACTTGAGAGTAGAGGGTGGTTGAAAGGAGAGAAGCAGAAAAAATAACTAATGGGTACTAGGCTTAATACCTGGGTGATGAAATAGTCTGTACGGCAAACCCCTGTGACATGAGTTTACCTATATAACAAATACTCTCAAACCTAAAATAAAAGTTAAAAAAAAGAAAGAAATTAGATATGTATTTTGCAAACCCTGAGATATCCACTAGAAAAAAGAAAAAAGATCAAACAGACCAATAGTGAAGATAAAAAGAAATATTAAAAATACCCTATCAAAAAAAGAGCCAGGAATAATGGTAAGAAGGAACAAACTAGAAATGGGACAACAGAAAACAAACAGTAAGATTTTAACCCAGCAATATTAATAATATTAAATTATAAACTACTCCAACAAAAGGCAGTGATTTTCAGACTGTATTTTTTATAAAGCAAGATTCAACTATATGTGATATATTTGAAGAATTCATTTTAAATACACAAAGATGGGTTAAAATAAAAAGATGGAAAAAGGGATATATGAAAAATTTAATAATAAGAAAACTGGGGCCGGGTGCAGTGGCTCACACCTGTAATCCCAGCTCTTTAGGAGGCCGAGGCGGGCAGATCACAAGGTCAAGAGATTGAGACCATCCTGGCCAACATTGTGAAACCGCGTCTCTACTAAAAATATAAAAATTAGCCAGACATGGTGGCATGTGCCTATAGTCTCAGCTACTTAGGAGGCTGAGGCAGAAGAATCGCTTGAATCCGGGAGACAGACACTGCAGTGAGCCGAGATCCTGCCACTGCACTCCAGCCTGGGTGACAGACAGAACTCTGTCAAAAAAAAAAAAAAAGAAAAGAAAACTGGAAAGGCTATATTAATAGAAGTCAAATAGACTTTGATACAAGAAATATTACCAATAATGAAGTCAAATATTTTTAAATAATAAAATTATTAATTCATAACAGACCCAACAGTCCTAAGTTTGCATGCATGTAGTTGCAAGATTTCAAATACATTAATAAGGAAAACAACATAACAGAAAGGAGAAGTAGATAGAAAATTTTGATTAAAGCTTTCTCTTAGCAACTGAGAGAAAAAGTAGACAGAAACCAACAAGGGTACAGACATCTTGAACAACACTGAAAATCTAACCCAATTTACCTTTACAGAACACCACATCCAGCAACAGTATAATGCGCATTCTCTACCATGCTTATAAAATATTCAAGGTAGATCACATGCTCAGCATAAAATAAGTTTCAAATTTGACAGGATTAAGGGCATACAAAGTATGTTCTCTAATGCAAAAGAAACTAAATTAGAATTTAATAACAATAGTCATATCTAGAAAATCTCCTAAGACACTTCTAGGCAATGCAAGGGTCAGACAAGAAATGACAAGGAAAATTAGAAAATATTTCAAAATGGCTGACAATTTTTTTAAATTTTAGGGATGAAGCTAACACAGAACTTTGAAGACAATGTATAGCTCTAAATGCTTATCCTAGGTAAAAAGAAAGACCTAATACCAATGAACAAAGTTTCCACCTTAAGAATAGAACGAGGAGGGGGACAAGATGGCTGACTGGATGCAGCCAAAAAGTTCTGCTCCCACCCAGAGGGATCAGATTATTAAGTAAACCACCATAATTTGGGCAGATCTTCAGAAAGAAAATGCCAAAAGTGGGTGGAGAGGCAAGACTAAAGCCAAGGCTGAAGAGGGAGGTCGCGGGGAACCCTGCACCGGATACCTTAACCCAGGGAATGGTTCCTGACTTTGTCGACTGGGAAAGGGGTGAGTGAGGGAATTGAGGAATGGCTCTCTCTCAGAATGGACCTCTGGGATCCTAGCTATAGGGGACCTCATGTCCCCATGGATGCATGAACTGGCAGGGGATGTCCTCGGGGAGCAAGCAAAGACTGCCAGGCCTTCAGACAGCACAAAGTATAGGAGCTTTTGTGTGCTGGGCAGTTCTAGGGAATGTGGCCATAGACACTCATCCCCCAGGGCTCCCCACACCCCTCCAGGAGGCACGGGCCCCAGCTGACCTTCCAGCCACGAAAGAGTGGGCAGCTTCCCCATGGGACTGAAGTATGTCTGCTCTACAGGCCCTCCTGCTCGTTGGCCCCTCCCAGGGTCCATACCAAGCTGTGCTGCATAAGCTGGTGCACAGTGCAGCCCCTGCAGCCCAGTATTGCTGCACCTGAGCACTTTCCTGGCAACCCAGGAATACATCAGATCCAGAATCCCAACCCGAGCTGCAGGACATCCCAGTGCCCCAGGGCTGCAACATGCAGCTCAGGAGTATGGAGCTGAGATCTGTGGCCGGCCCTCAAGCAGAGAAGCAGCCCCCACCATCAGAGCAGTGAGAGGGGTGAGAAGCATGTGTTCCTGGGCGGGGGCAGTAGTGGTGCATGCCATCCTCTGCAGGGCCAGTCCAGAAAGATGTGGAATATATCCCTGCCAGCCTCTGCCTGAGGGGATACTGCAGCCTGGAACACCTAAGAAAAGAAATGCAGGTGCAGCACCATTGATCCTTGGGGACTTCCCCAAAGCCCAGAGAGGACCTGGTGAGGAGGCCATTTGTCTCCTCTGCCTACCACAGAGCAGGACTGAAAACAAGAGGAAGTACAAAAACGACATGGCTGGGTATTAACCTAGCTACCAGCCATTGCTCTTAAGCACCATCTACTGGCTAACAGCCTAAACTATAATACCAAAAATTATGCCTATGAAACCAAGCTCACGAATTCACCCACCCAGGTGGCTGGCAAGATGGCCGAATAGAAACAGCTCCAATCTGCAGCTCCCAGCAAGATCAATGCAGAAGGTGGGAGATTTCTGCATTTCCAACTGAGGTACCGGGCTCATCTCATTGGGACTGGTTAGACAGTGGGTGCAGCCCACAGGGGGCAAGCCGAAGCAGGGTGAGGGCTTCCCTCACTTGGGAAGTGCAAGGGGTCAAGGAACTCCCTCCCCTAGCTGAGGGAAGCCGTGAAGGACTGTGCTAGGAGGAACAGTGCATTCCAGCCCAGATACTATGCTTTCATCATAGTGTTCGCAACCCACAGACCAGGAGATTCCCTCAGGTGCGTATGCCACCAGGGCCCTGGGTTTCAAGCACAAAACTGGGAAGCCATTTGGGCAGACACTGAGCTAGCAGTTTTCCCCTAACAGTGCAAACAAAGCTGCCCGGAAGTTCGAACTGGGCAGAGCTCACCGCAGCTCGGCAAAGCCGCTTTAGCCAACTGCCTCTCTAGATTCCTCCTCTCTGGGCAGGGCATCTCTGAAAGAAAGGCATTAGCCCCAGTCAAGAGCTTATAGATAAAACTCCCATCTCCCTAGGACAGAGTACCTGGGGGAAGGGGCAGCTGTGGGCACAGCTTCAGCTGACTTAAACGTTCCTGCCTGCTGACTCTGAATAGAGCAGCAGATCTCCCAACACAACTCTGGAGCTCTGCTAAAGGATAGACTGCCTCCTCAAGTGGGTCCCTGACCCCCATGCCTCCTGACTGGGAGACACTTCCCAGCAGGGGTCAACAGACACCTCATATAGGAGAGCTCCGGCTGGCATCTGGCGGGTGCCCCTCTGGGAGGAAGCTTCCAGAGGAAGGAACAGGCAGCAATCCTTGCTGTTCTGCAGCCTCCACTGGTGATACCCAGGTGAAAAGGGGCTGGAGTGGACCTCCAGCAAACTCTAGCAGACCTGCAGAAGAGAGGTCTATTAGAAGGAAAATTAACAAACAGAAAGGAATAGCATCAACATCAACAAAAAGGACGTCTGCACAAAAACCTCATCTGAAAGTCACCAAAATCAAAGACCAAAGGTAGATAAATCCACGAAGATGAGGAAAAACCAGCGCAAAAAGGCTGAAAATTCCAAAAACCAGAATGCCTCTTCTCCAAAGGATCACAACTCCTCGCCAGGAAGGAAACAAAACTGGATGGAGAATGAGTTTGACAAATTGACAAAAGTAGGCTTCAGAAGGTGGGCAATAACAAATTCCTCCAAGCTAAAGGAGCATGTTATAACCCAATGCAAGAGAACTAAGAACTTTGAAAAAATGTTAGAAGAATTGCTATCTAGAGTAACCAGTTTAGAGAAGAACATAAATGACCTGATGGAACTGAAAAACACAGCACAAGAGCTTCGTGAAGCATACACAAAGTATCAGTAGCTGAATCGAACAACCAGAAAAAAACATATATATATCAGAGATTGAAGATCAACTTAATGAAATAAAGTGTGAAGAAAAGATTAGAGAAAAAAGAATGAAAAGGAATGAAGAAAGCATCCAAGAAATATGGGACTCTGTGAAAAGACCAAACCTGTGTTTGATTGGTATACCAGAAAGTGACAGGGAGAATGGAACCAAGTTGGAAAACACTCTTCAGGATATTATCCAGGAGAACTTCCCCAATCTAGCAAGACAGGCCAACATTCAAATTCAGAAAATACAGACAACACCACAAAGATACTCCTTGAGAAGAGCAAAAACTAAAGAGTTTCTACACAGTGAAAGAAACCACCTACGGAGGAAGTAGACAACCTACAAATTATGAGAAAACATTCACAAACTATGCGTCTGACAAAGCTCTATCCAGAATCTGTAAGGAACTTAAATCAACAAGCAAAACAAATAACCCCATTAAAAAATGGGCAAATAACATGAACAGACACTTCTCAAAAGAAGAGATATACAAGCAGCCAACAAACATATGAAAAATGCTCATCAACACTAATCAGAGAAATGCGAATCAAAACCACTATCAGATACCTTCTCATACCAGCCAGAATGGCTGTTATTAAAAAAAAAATCTCAAAAAATAACAGATGCTGAGGCTGATGAGAAAAGAGAATGCTTATACACTGTTGGTGAAAATGCAAATGAGTTCAGCCACTGTGGAAAGCAGTTTGGAGATTTCTCAAAGAATTTAAAACAGAGCTGCCATTTGACCTAGCAAACTCATTACTGGGAATATACCCAAAAGAATTTAGATCATTATACCAAAAAGACACATGCATTCATATGTTCATTGCCATGCTATTCACTATAGAAAAAAACATGGAATAGACCCTAGGTGCCCATCAATGGTGGATTGTATTAAGAAAATGTGGAACATATACACCATGAATACTACACAGCCATAAAAAAGAATGAAATCATGTCCATTGCAGCAACATGGATGGAGCTGGAGAGCATAATCCTAAAGGAATTAATGCAGGAACAGGAAACCAAATGAATATTCTCGCTTATTGGGAGCTAAACATTGATTTTCCAAGGACATAACCATGAGAGCAATAGACACTATAGATTACTAGACTAGAGAGGGAGGGAGGATGGGTGTGAGTTGAAAAACTACCTATTTGGTATTATGTTCACTATCTGGGTGTAATATATGCATGTAACAATCCTTCACATGTACTTCCTGTATCAAAAATCAAGGCTGAAATTTTTTAAAAATCTATCATACATATAAATACACACACACATTAAAAAAAGAATAGAATGAAATGGCTTCAACTTGATAAAGAGCATCTAAAAAGAACAATTTAAAACTGTCATTATTTGTAGGCAACATGATCATGTACACAGAAAAGAATGTACAAGAAATTTATGATAATAGTTAAGTAAATTTGCAGGGCAATCAATATTTATGTAAATTTATTGTTTTCCTGTATTTTATCCTGCTGCTTTTCTTGTTAATCCTGTTGTACTTTCTTCCACTTCCAGTTCCCAACTGTTAATTTGTTATCCAGTCTCCTCATGCACCATATTGAAAACAGAGCCTTCAGTTAATCATAACTCAGAAACCCATAGCAAATTGTAAAAATGGCCACATCATAAAGTCTTCTCATCCTGTATGCACACTCATTTATGACTTTACAGTTCTTCCCATCAAGAGATGAAGTCTATTCTTTACTCCTTGAATTTGGGCTTAGCTATGTGACTTACTTTAGTGGATGGGACATTAGCAATGTGTCAGGAGCAAATGCTTGAAAAGTGCTTGTGCATTGGAGTTTACTCTCTGGATGGTCTTTGGAAGCCTGGGACTACCATAGGAAAAAATTCAAAACCAGCCTGCTGATAAGAGAACACGTGGAGCAAAGATAGCATCTCAGCTGAAGCTCTCCTAGACCCTCCAGCCACAACCAAGAAATAAGCCAGCTAACCCTAGACATCAGCCACGCCATCTCAGACCAGAAGAAATGTCCACCTGATTAAGAGAACAGTGAGAAATTCTTATTTTAAGCCACTAAATCTTGGTAGGGGTTAGCACACAGTAATAGCTAACTGATACATGTTCCTTCTGCTTTCATTTCAGTACTGAGAGCAATTCACATGCACATAACTCACTTCAAAGTCCCATGGACCCAGCAGGTTTGGGAATTTAGATGCTAATAAATGGTAATGATGTTTGTCCCAATAGTTAAGTTGTAAGTCATCTTTATTTTTTAAAGACATCGATGGATAAAATTAGAAGTGAAAATCACATTATGTCTAAGTTTAATTTAAAACGAGCTTTACAAGAATAAAGGAAAGGAAGAAAGAAAGAAAAAGAGGAAGGGAGGGAGAAAATAGATAAAGTAGGACACAATGTTGATAATATAGAACATTAATAGATGGTGTATTTGTCTGTTCAGGCTGCTATAACAAAATACCATAGACTGGGTGGCTTAAGCAACAAAAATTTATTTTCTCACAGTTCTGGAGGCTGGAAGTATGAGATCAGGGTGCTAGAATGGGTAGGTCTGGTGAGTGCGCCTTGCAGGTAGGTGGCCAACTTTTGTGTGCTCAGAAGGCTTTTCTTCTTGTGTGCAAATTGGAGAGATAGAAATCTGTGTCTCTCTTTCTCTCTCTCTCTCCTTCTCTCTGTCTCTCGCTCTCTCTTTTTCTTATAAGGCCACAAATCCTATTGGATTAGGACCCTACCCTAATGAACCCATCATCTTTAATTACCTCCTAAAAGCCCTAACTCCAAAAACGTCACATAGTGGGTTATGACTTCAACATATGAGTCTGGGGGAGAAACAATTAAGTCCATAGTAGAAGAAAATTCATTGTCCTAGTCTAATTTTTTAGATATTTGAAAACATTCATAGAATTTAAAAGCATAACTATATTTTATCTTCTACTCTCTTGTTTATGCAGTAAGAGACAAAAATTCTCCCTAGAAGAAAATTCTGGAAAGCTCCATGATCCCTTTATACCATTAAAAATTCTTGATTAAGTAATTAGAAAGTCCAGTTCAAGATAATAAAGTTGTAAGTTTGCTTTAATATCAAGTCTTCTCCTATCTTCCAGACTGCTGGAACTGCTATGATTCAAAGCCTTGGTGACAGTCAGTTTCTCCATTTCTACACCTTATCTTCCATATCAATCTAAAGGTGGCTTTATCCTCTATGAGGACTTACATGTTGGAAAAATGAGTGGAGGTATCATTAAGTTGCCCTTGAGCTTTCTGGGACCCACTCTGTTCCATTTCCCTTGACATAGACAAGGCCATTATTGGCCTTCATCTCTGAGTTCTGCCAACAAAGCATCAGCCTATGTATTCTCTGTTACTTCAGTAACAAATTATCATATCACACACTTATTATTATAGTTCTGGAGGTCAGATACATGAAATCAGTTACCTACTTCAGAAGGCTCTGGTGAAATGGAGACAGCCTGTTTCCTACCTTTTCCAGCTTCTAGAGACTGTCTGCATTCCTTGGTTCCTGCCACGTCACTCTGACCACTGCTTCCATCGTCACATCTCCTTCTCTGACTCTGACCCTCCTCCCTCCCTTTCAAAAAGACCCTGGCAATTACGTTAGGCCCACCTGGATTATCCAGGATAGTCTCCCCATATCAAGGTCCTTAACTGAATCACATTTGCAAAGTCTCATTTGCCACGTGAGGTAACATATTCACTGATTCTGTGGATTAAGACATAGGTATCTTTGGGGGACTGGCATTATGCCCACCACATCCTGTCTCTCTGTACATTTCTTGGGAGTAGGTAAGTTATTACTTATTAAGTTATATATTACTTATTATGTCTCAGTTTCAAAAAAAAAAAAGAAAAACATAGCAGCCTTTCTAGGTCTCCTCATGGAAATCCCTCCCACTAGGTTGGAGGCACAGAAGGCAGCACACCCCTCTCCTTCTCCAAATATGGCAATAGCTTCTGCAAAGATCTGTCTTCCCCAGTCCCCTTCTCAAAAGTCTGTGTGACCTCTTCTTTTATCCTTAGCATGTCAGATGTATCTAGTATTTTGGAACAGTTCCCTTTACATTTTTTTCATAAAATTTGCATGTGATGCTTTCACACCATTTGGTGCCCTGATACTCATGGAATTGATACCTCAGTTGACACTGAAGCAGGGAGAGTTGCATTCCAACATTCTGCCCATAACTATTTCCCTAAAGTAGAAATATGAAATTATAAATGGTTCTTCATGAATCGCTAAATTCTTAAAGCATGTCTTTTATGTCATGACAGAATGTATCTGATGAGTCAAAAGGAATTTCAATATTCAAAGGTGACTATTAAATGAGTAACATTCTATAGAACGCAAAACTATTTTTAGAAGAATATTTTTGCTTCTGAATAGCTTTTCAGTCACAGTTACACTGCTCCTTCTTGAATTAAGAACTATCACTCAACCAATCTCCTGTTCATATGAAAGAGAATAATTTTAGCTGGAGAGCAAACCTCACCTGCAAAATGTTAAATGCAGATATGTGAGATTGGCATACTCTATTTTGCTGAAAGAAATATATTACTTCATTCTTAAATGTCTCTCTACTAGTATAATGGATGGTTAAAATAACTTTTAAAATCTATAAATTTATGATGAAATAAATTGTATTCACATTTTTATTCCAACGGCAAGAATGAATTAGAGTGTTTATCTAAATTATAGAATTATGGCATTTCATGATCAGATCTGGAGTATTTCTTCCATCAAACATTGAAATTAAACATCTCTGAGAACATGCAAAAAATGAAATGGAGGCTCTCTTGGTGTATTAGTTTAAATTCTTTTTGGATGCAAGTAACAGAAATCAACTCTAGCTTCCACAACAAAACAAAAAAAGGTGGAGTGGGAGGAAGGGATTCAATGAGAGAATGTTAAACCTAAGCACTAAAAGACCTTGGGGCTTTTTTGTCTCTTTACCCTCTGTTTTTCTCTATCATCCTCTCTGGCTGCAGTGTTACGTAGGAGAATTTATCACTGCCAAACCTTTCCAAGTCTCACATGCAATGACACACATAGGCTCAAAATAAGGGGAGGGAGAAAAATCTACGAAGCAAATGGAAAGCAGAAAAAAGCAGGAGTTCTATTTTAGTTTCTGACAAAACAGGCTTTAAACCAACAAAGATCAAAAAAGACTGTGATTACATACTGGGAAATGGTTTAATTCACCAAGAAGAGTTCCTAAATTACCAATTCAGCCAATAGAAAATAACAACTTTTTCTTAGTTCAAGTTCCCAGGGAAGAGACTACCTACCCTGGTTGGAGTCAGGTACCCATTCCTGGATAGCTGACCATGGCCACGTGATCACACTGCATGATGGTTACTCCTGCTGTATCCATGCTGTATCCTGCTGTAAGATGAAAGGGTACAAGAGAGACAACTATAGCAGCCCATTCCAAAAAAGTGTTTGGATAGACCAGTGCTGAATACCTAAGAGGCTGTTCACATCTGGGCATATAAATACCACAGAAGTCATTGAAAGTGTCTGTTTTCAGGGTTGTATTATGTTTGCTTCTTCTATGTCCAAAAGTGGCACCTAGAAAGGTCACTTTTTATATTATCATCTCTGGTTGTAAAAACCAGAAAATGCAGGCAGTATGAGGTTAACCACCAAATCCAAGTGGTCGTAAACTTACAGAAGAGACAAATCAAAGCCCAAGTCATGACTTATAAACTATCCAGGGCTCTACCCCTAAACCTGGGTTAATTTTTTCCTGTGGATGTGGCTATTTGAGGGACTCAGCTTTATTTACTCATCTCAGCTGCAACTCTTTGCTTCTGTATGCATCCTTTGGCCTGTCCTGTATGGTCATTAAGAGACAAGGCCTTTAGTTCACAAAACCCTCCAGGTTACCATGGTGCCAACTTATCAGTTTAAACCTGAAGTCAATAAAGTGTATGGAAATCTCATATAAACACCACTTATTAAATACGGTTTGCATTTAATGTCAGGAACTTTAAATTGTAATAAAGTCTCAAATCATTTTACCCTTTTATCCTGTTTTTACTTGTTGGTTATAATCATTCTAAAGATACAGGGTTTTCTTTGGCTTTTCATGAAGCTAAACTATTTCAGGGATTGCTGCATGTGAGGAGATAATCTAAATCTCATGTCTTCAGGAACATGGCTAGGACTGTTCTACAGTAAGATATTCCCCTAGGATTTTTGCCTACACTGAGACAAATGTACATTATAATGTATACTCAAATGAGAGCACATTCAAGAATCTTCACCAAATGGGATTCACTTCCAAAATCACTAATGTCATGAAATAAGAAGAAAAAACTACCAGAATGAGGAGTTATAACATATAAGCAAAAGCCAGCATGGTGGCTCATGACTGTAATCCCAGAATTTTGGGAGTCCAAGGCAGGACGATTACTAGAGGCATGGAGTTTGAGACCAACCTAGGCAACATAGCAAGACCCTATCTCTACAAAAAAATTTAAAAATTACCCAGGGGCAGTAGCATATGCCTGTAGTCCCAACTACTCAGGAGGCTAAGGTGGGAGGATCACTTGAGCCCAGGATGTTGAGGCTGCAGGCAGTTGTGATCACACCACTGCACTCCAGCCTGGGTGACAGAGCAAGACCCTGTCTCAAAAAATAATATGTGCAAATATGTATGTATACACACACACACACACACACACACTATATATATATATATTATATATAGATGGTAAGGGAATCTTTGGAAGGTGAGTAAAAACAGAAATTATGAACAAATTTAAAAAACAGTTTCTCACTGAACTTTAAGGTAAACAGAAGTAGTCTAAACAATGTTCAGAGGGCAACATATAGCTTTAGATATATATATTTGAAAAGGAAAATTATATATATATATATATATATATATATATATATATATATATATTTACAAAGGAAAATAATTAAAAACCTACTTTAAGAAATTAGAAAAAAACAAAAATTTAAACTCCAAAAAATGGAAAGAAGGAAATAAGAGCAAAAGGCAGTAATGGTAGAAAGCAAGCATTCCATAAAGGCCATCAACAATGCCAGCATCGCTTTTCTAAAAAGGTTAATAAAAGTAACAATTCCTTAACAATATTCAATTTTTTAAATGAAGAACAGAACAAAACAGCATTATGAGGGATGAAAAAAGTGACATTGTCACACACTTTTAAAAGAAGAAAGAATATTATAAATAATTTTACAACAATAAATTAACTTGGATAAAACATATTTCTTAAGAAAATAATATAACTTTCCATGACTGAACAACAAAATATAGGAAATATTTAATAGCTCGGTATCTATGAGGAAATTGAGGCTTTAAGTGAAAAGTAGCCATGAAAGAAAACTTGAGGCCCAGATGACTTCACTTAAAACTTTTCCAAATACTTAAGGAATAAATAATACCAATCTTACAAACACTCCTCCTGAGAATAGAGAATGACTAAAGCATCACAATTTATTTAATGGAGCCAGTATATTAATTGACCTAAAACCTAATAAGGAATTAAAAGAAAATTATAGACCAACTTCTTCCATAAATGTAAATAAAAAATTTTAAAAATACACAAGCAAATCAAATCCAGTGATACATAGGAAGGATAATATTTTATGATCAAACTGTTTATTCCAGGAATGCAAGGTTAAACATTCAACTTTCACTCAATGTGCTTGACAATAGTAACAGTAAAATAGGAAAAAAAACATTTTAATAAATACAGAAAAGGCACTTAATAAAATCTAAATTCCATTCATAGTAAAAACTAAGCAAACTAAGGATAAGAAAATTTTCCTAATATCATAAAAGGTATCTATAAAACACCTAACTCTAATATATTAAAAGGAGAAATAAAGGATGACTATTGAGGCAAAAATCTTGATCAAAATACCAGTTAAAGCATATTGAACTGATTTGACACCAAAACAACTGAGATTTATTCCTGTAATACAAGGATAGTTCAACATATGCAAATTAATGTCATAGTAACAGAATGAAAGAAAATAATGTTGTCATCTCAATTGATACAAAAAAAGTATTTAACAAAATTCAGCACTTTTTCATGATATATACTATCAACACACTAAGAACAGAAGGAAAGTATCTCAACATAATAAAGACCATATGTACAAAGCCCACAGCTAACATCATAGTGAATTGTAAAAGAATTAAAAACTTTTCCTCTAAGATCAGGAACAAGACAAAGATTCTTGCTTTCACCACTTCTATTCAACGTAATACTGGCAGTCCTAGCCAGAGCAATTAGGCAAGAAATAAAAGGTATACAAATTGGAAAGGAAGTAAAATTACCTCTATTCAAAGATGACATGACTGTACATGGGGAAAACTCTAAATGAAATCAGCAAAGCTGCAAGGTACAAAATCAACATGCAAAAATCAGTTGCATTTCTATATGCTAACAATGAATAATCTGAAGAGAAAATTAAGAGAGCAATCCCATTTATACTAACATCAAAAACAATAAAATAATTAGAAATAAATTTAACCAAGGAAGTGAAAGATTTGTACACTGAAAACTGTACCACATTGATGAAAGAAACTAAAGATGACACAGATAAACATGGAAAGACATCCCTGTTAATGGATTGGAAGACTTAACATTGTTAAGATGTCATCGTTACCCAGTGATCTCTAGACTGAATGTAATTCATATCAAAATCCCAGCAGCATTTTTTATAAAAAAGAGAAAACCCCTTCCTAAAATTCATATGGAATCTCAAGGGACTCCAAATAGCCTAAGCGATTGTTATTTGCTGAACTGTGACCACCCACAATTTGTATATTAAAGCCCTAAATCTCAGTACCTCAGAATATGACTGTATTTGGAGACAGAAACTTTAAAAGTGTGATTAAGTTAAAATGATGCCTTTAGTGTGGGCTCTAATACAATCAGAATTGTGTCCTTATAAAAAGATAAAAACTTGATACATTGAAGGACACCAGAGATGTGAGTCTACAGAGGAAAGGCCATGTGAGAACAAAGCAAGAAGGTGGTCATTTGCAAGTAAAGACAGAGGCCTCTGCAGCCAACAAGCCTGCCCACCTTGAACTTAAACTTCTGGCCTGAGCTGAGAAAATAAATGTCTGTGGGTTAAGCCACGGAGTCTGTGATATTTTGTTATGGCAGCCTTAGCAAACTAATACAGCAATCTTGAAAAAGAAGAACAAAGTTGGAGGTCTCACACTTTCTTATTTCAAAACTTATTACAGTACTACAGTAATCAAAATAATGTGATACCGCCAGAAAGTCAGACATAGAACTTTCTTACCTCAGTCAAACTACAAAAAATAATTTAAGGCAGATTAAAGTTCTAAATGTGAGTGCTAAAACAATCAAGCTTCTAGAATGAAATACAGAGAATAACATCATAATCTTGTGGTAGACAACGATTTTTTAAACATAAGACATTAAATGCTAACCATAAGATAAAAGATTGATATACTGAACTTCATTAAAATTAAGAACTTTTATTCAACAAAATACATTAAGAGATTTAAAAGGCAAGCCTGAGACTGGAATAAATATTTAAAACTGATATATCTGACAAAGGCCTTTTATAAGAAAAAAGACTGACAACTCAATTTTTTTAACAAGCCTTGAACAAGCACCGAACAAAATATCCAAATGACCAATGAGCATTTGAAAAGGTACACAACATCATTAACCATCAAGAAAATGCAAGTTACAACCAATGAAATATTATTCTGCCTCTACCAGATGGCTAATACTGGTGACGATGTGGAGTAGCTAGAATTCATACATTGCTGATGTGAGTGGTTTAACTATTTTAAACAAGTAGATGTTCTATGATCTCAGCATATATCCAAGAGAAATGAGTCCTTATGTCCACCAACAGACAAATGTAAGAATGTTCAATATACAAGAATGGAAGTTTTGATAGTCAAATATTAGAATATCACAATAGAAAAAGAATGAATTCCTGCTAAACACAGTACGGATAAATATCATAGTGTTGAACAAAAGAAAACAAACACAAAAAAGATGTAAGATATACAGAGTACTATTCTACCTGTAAAGTGTGCAAACAAAAAGTAAGCTAACATATGGTGATGGAGGTTAGAATGGTGGTGACCTTTGGGGAACATATTGACTAGAGGGGGTCACAAGGGAGCTTGCTGGAGCACTGGCGATATTCTACACCTGATATAGGTGGTACTTAAATGATTGTTAACATATGTGACAGTTCAGCAAGCCATACACATAACATATGTGCATTTTACTGTATATTAAATAATAAAACACAATTTTAAGAAACAGCTCCAAGGCCATTTATTTGCTACAAATTTAATAAATTGTAATTATAAGTTCAATGTTGCAACATTACTATGACCAAGTCAAACTTTTAGAAAATGAGCATGCCAATACAATCATTTCTAATATAAATATTATAGGCCATTATAATAGATACTACTTTTTTATTTACTTACTGAATTCTTTGCAAATATACATCAAAATGTTGACTGTGTTAGTGGCCACAAAAAATAAATACCTAGGAATAAATTTAACTAAGGAGGTAAAAGATCTCTACAAGAAAAACTATAAAATACTGATGAAAAATATTGAAGAGGACACACCACACAAAAAAAACTGGAAGGCATGCTATGTTCTTGGACTGAAAAAATTAGTTAATTAAAATGACCATAGTGATAGGGACAGGAGGCAGGAAAATTCTGGGCAGAAGAGGGCAAGTCCCCAGTGAGGGCCATAACCTCAAGCTGAAAAACCTGGAACCGCAGCCCAAAGTGAAAATGTACATCCCTGCTTTCCCACTTGAATGTTACCTTTTCAAAAACCATCCATGGCCCACCCTGTCCCCCATCCTGTGCCTACAAAATCCCCAGAACTCAGCCAGCAGTGAGGAGAAGCAGCAGAATATCAGAGTCTATGGCTGGATGTCAGAGAGAAGCAGCTTGCCTTCAGGACAGCTTGATGGCGTAGCTTCAGAAAGGAGTCCAGCCAGGACCGCCAGACTTCAGGGGAAGATTATCTTCCTGCTCCATCCCCTTTTTGGCTCCCCTTCCCGCTGAAAAAGCCACTTTCAACAGCAATAAAATCCCTCGCATTTACCATCTTCAATTTGTTCTTGCAACCTCATTCCTCCTGGACGCCTGACAAAAACTCAGGTACCCTGAGTGCAGGTGCAAAAGGCTATCACACTAATCCTCCACTGAGCTGTTAACACTTAAGCTGTCCACAGATGGCAGAACTAAAAGGGTAGCCTAACACTTCCTCTGGGGTTTCAGGGGTCAAAAGCACTGCCCCCAGGCACTGCCGCAGGACCAGTACAGGGTCTGCTCCTGCTGGCACCCAAAAGCCCTCACCCCAGCCCCTGCACTCACTCACCAGCACTCCCCACTAGCAAGGGGTGGAGCAGCCACTGAGTGGAGCTCACCCCTGCTGGTGCCAAAGTGGCCAGCTAGTTCCAGCACCTGTGCACTCCAGGTCCCACCTACGAGGGGGTCAGGGAAATATCCTGCTTCAATACTACCCAACGCAATCTACAGATTCAATCCAATCCCAATCAAAACACCAATAACACTCTTCACAGAAAATTTTTTTTAAATCCTAAAATTTGTATGGAACCAAAAAAGAGCCCAAATAACCAAAGCAATCCTGAGTAAACAGAACAAAGCTGGAGGTGTCACACTACCTGACCTCAAAATATATTACAAGACTATAGTAATCAAAACAACATAGTATTGGTATAAAATTAGACACATAGACCAATGAAACAGAATAGAGCTTCCAGAAATAAATTTATTTATTTACAGTCAACTGATATTTGACAAATGTGCCAACAACATTTATTGAGGAAAGGACAGTCTCCTCAATATATGGTTCTGGTAAAACTGGTATACATATGCACAAGAATGAAACTAGGTCCCTATCTCTCCCATTAATACAAAAATCAACTCAAAATGGATTAAAGACTTAAATGTAAGACCCCAAACTATGAATCTATTATAAGAAAACTTAGAGGAAACACTTCAGGACATTGGTCTGAGATAAGACATTATAAATAAGACTTCAAAAGCACAGGCAAAAGAAGCAAAAATAGACAAATGGGATTAAATCAAACTGAAAGCTTTTGCACATCAAAGGAAACAACCAACAGAGTGAAAAGGCAAACTACAGAATGGAAGAAAATATTAGCAAACTACTCATCTGACAAGGAGTTAATATCTAGAATATCTAAGAATATATAAGAAACTCAAAAAAAATCTGATTCAAAAAACTGGACAAATGAACTGAATAGATATTTCTTAGAAGAAGATATAGAAACGACTAATAAGCATATGAAAAATGCTCAACATCAACATCACTAATCAGGGCAATGAAAATCAAAACCACAATGAAGTATCATTTCACCTTAGAACGGTTATTATCAAAAAGACAAAACATAACAAATGCTGGCAAGGATGCCAAGAAAAGGGAACTCTTATAAAATGTTGGTGGGAGTGTAAACTAGTACAGCTATTATGGAGAACAGTATAAAGATTCCTCAAAAAACTACAAATAGAAGTACCATATGAGCCAGCAATCCCACTACTGGGTATATCTCCTAATTTGGATTTGTGTCCCCTCCCAAATCTCACCTCAAATGGTAATCTCTCGTGTTGGAGGAGGGGCCTGTGTAGGAGGTGATTGGATCATGGGGGAGGATTTCCCCCTTGTTATTCTCATGATAGTGAGTTCTCATGAGATCTGTATTTCTCTGTTTAAAAAAGTTTGTAGCACCTCCCCCTTCTCTCTCTTCCTCCTGCTCTGGCCAGGTGAAGACGTTCCTCCTTCCTCTTACCTTTCCACCATGATTGTTAGCTTCCTGAGGTCTCCCCAGCAATGCTTTCTGTACAATCTTTGGAACTGTGAGTCAATTAAACCTCTTTTCTTTATAAACTACCCAATCTCAGACAGTTTTTTATAGCAATGTGAGAATGAACTCATGCATATCCAAAAGAAAGGAAATGAGTATATCGAAGAAATATCTGCAACCCCATGTTTATTGCAGCACTACTCACACAATAGCCAAAATATGAAATCAACCTAAGTGCTCATTAACATATAAATCAATAAAATATATACACATGGAACACTATTCAGCCATAAAAAAGAATGAAATCATGTCATTCACAGCAATATGGATGAGCCTGGAGGACATTATGTTGGGTAAAATAAACCAGGAACAGAAAGATCAATATCTCATGTTTCACTCATATGCCATAGCTAGGAAAGTTGATCTCAAAGAAGTAGAGTATAGAATAGTAATTACTAGAGGATGGGAAGGGTCGGGGTGGGGGAACAGGGAAATACTGGTTAAAAGATACAAAATTACAGCTACATAGAAGAAATAAGTTGTGCTGTTCTATACCACTGTAGGGTGACTATAGTTAACAATAATGTATTATATATTTTTCAAATAGCTAGAAAACAGGACTTTGAATGTTTCCCAAAATAAACAAATGATAAATGTTTGAGGTGATGGATGTGCTAAATTACTTTCATTTGATAAATGTTTGAGGTGATGAATACTGTATGCATCAAAACATCATTATGCACCCCATAAATGTGTACAATTAGTATGTGTCAATTTTTTTAATGTTGACTGTGTTAGGGTTCTCTAGAGAAAAAGAATAGTAGTTAGATACAGACACATCGATGGAGACATAGAAGAGATTATAAGAATGTAGCGCATATGACTATGAAGGCTGAGAAGTCCTACAGTCTGCCCTCTGTAAGCTAGAAACCCAGAAAAGCTGGTGGTGTCATAATGAGTAGTAGTGATGAGTGTAATAATGAGTCTATGTCACTTTTGTTATAGCCACCCAGGGTGACTAAGACATTGACCATCATATAATTTTCAAACTGACTTGAAATCTAACATTTCTGGTTAGAACCAACAATCGATCTGTGCTTACATTATTCATAATGACAGACTAGATAGGAATAAAGCTCACTGTTGTACATACTGGGAATCTATCCTGTGGCAGTGTTTATTTATGGACTGAACTATCTCCCTTTCCTTCCTATACACATAGCTAGACTATATTTCCTAACTTCCTTTGCAATTAGGCATGGCCACAACTGCATTCTGGGCAATGGACTGTGGATACAAATGACAAAAGCCATCTCCAGGCATGATCCATAAAACCCTCCCATGTGCTAACCTCTATTGTCTGAGTAACGACCTAGAGGACAGAGCCACATAATGGCAGACGCCTGCGTGAGGAGAGCCCCTGAGGAGAGCTGCCAGCTTAGTAACATACATGCCAGATGATTATTCAGTGAGAAACTTTTGTGTTAAGCTTCAGAAATACTGCATTTTTTAAAAAATAGTAGTTTACCCAGACTCAACATGAAAGTTTTTTCTATAGCAATAAAAATTGTCAATCATGGTTGACCACTAAATTAACATCTTTATTCAGTTGTATAAAGGAGTGGATGTCGGTAACAAAATATCCTATTTAGTAGTGAAGCTCACAGTTTTCCTGCTGAATCTGTTCCTCAACATAGTCTTCAACCTAACTTGGTACCGTTGTCGGGGCGTATAAACCAGAGCAACTCCATCTTAAAGAGGAGCTGGGTAAAATGAGGCTGAAACCTACTGGGCTGCATTCCCAGATGGTTAAGGCATTCTAAGTCACAGGATGAGACGGGAGGTCAGCACAAAATACAGGTCAAAAAGACCTTGCTGATAAAACAGTTTGCAGTAAAGGAGCCAGCCAAAATCCACCAAAACCAAAATGGTCACGAGAGTGATCTCCGGTTGTCCTCACTGCTACAATCCCACCAGAGCCCTGACAGTTTACAAATGCCATGGCAATGTCAGGAAGTTACCCTATATGGTCTAAAAAGGGGAGGCATGAATAATCCACCCTTTGTTCAGTTTATTGTCAGAAAATAACCATAAAAACAGGCAACCAGCCCCCCTCAGGACTGCTCTGTCTATGGAGTAACATTCTTTTATTCCTTTACTTTCTTAATAAACTTGCCTTCACTTTGAACTGCAGACTTGCCCTGAATTCTTTCTTGTGTGAGATCCTAGAACCCTCTCTTGGGGTCTGGATCAGGACCCCTTTCTGGTAATGTATTTCTGGTAACCACAGAAGGGACTATAGTGCAGAAACCCGGACCCAACAGCTCCATTTGGGTAAGTGTTCGGATCCTGCAACATATTTCTGGTGAACCACAGAAGAGACGATATTGAGGAGACCCCTGACCCAAAGGAAGTAGACTGCAGCACTAATTGGACGACTTTGGGTAAGTGGTTGGGTACCCGGGTAAAGAATGGGATTGGGTTAGAGGCCCAACTTAGGGAAGTTAGAGACTCTCCTAAAACAGAGTGGGTTAAATGCTCCTCTCAATAAAAGGCAAGGACGCTTGACCAACCTTGGGTTAGAGGCACAACTTTGGAGGGTTAGAGTCTCTTCTAAGATTTAGGGGGTTAGAGGCCCCTCTCAGTAAAGTCCACCTTGGTTAACAACAGGTTTGGCACTACCAGATGTTAACTGCTATTCTCTTTGGATTAATCTGCCTTGTACTCTTTGCTAATGGCTGTGGGTGACAGGGTTAGGCATGTACAGGATCGTGGGACATGGGAAGCTTTTTCTTCCCTAAAAGGGGAAAGTTGAGAGCTAATAGGATTGCTGGAAAAGATCCCTTTGCTACCAAGAAGCAGCCACCTGAACTTTTCAGTGTCGCTGCAATGGGTGGGTCTTTCTCTGGCCTCCCTGAGCATTTCACCTGTCCCACCCTACTAGAGGCAATAATTTTCCTTCTCTCCTTTCCCGTCTTTTTTGTTATTCAGGGCAACCATCTTGCCTAGAGACCACGTGCTGAAACTCCAAGTCGGAGGTTGGATTAAAGATGAAGGGGCCCATGTGGGGCAAATGTAAGCCTTGCCAGTTTGATATTGGGTACTAAGCAGAGTGGCTAATGTCTATGTTTTATCACACGTATTTTGCTCTGGCCAGAACAAAAAAAAATAACGATTTTCCTTTACAATGTGGCTTGGCCCCCAAGGCGATGGTGCCACAAGCTGGATCATTAGTGCTGGTCAGGGAAAGGGAACCCAGAAGCCTGGCATGCCGGCAGAAGGGTAAGAATTTCTTACCAGATTTCTGGCTTCTATCTTTCTATGCAAATGGTTGAACGAATAGAAAAAAAAATTCAGAGTTTATCTCCTCTGAGAAGTTTGTAATTAGTGTGAAAAAGAATTCTAAGGCTAGTCTTAAGCTGGTGTATTTCGTGCCATGAATTAATTTTTCTGTGTTGAGGGGTACTTCAGGATAAAACATGGGCTTAGAATACCTGTAAGCCTGCTTTTCAAGATGACCCAGCAAGCTCATCAGTAACAAACTTGGCTGCAGGTCCCTGAAACAAATAAAAAACTAAATGAGGGCGGACGCGGTGGTTCATGCCTGTAATCCCAGCGCTTTGGGAGGCCGAGATGGGAGGATCATGAGGTCAGGCGTTCGAGACCAGCCTGGCCAACATGGTGAAACCCCGTCTCTACTAAAAATACAAAAATTAGCCAGGTGTGGTGGGTGGGTGCCTGTAATCCCAGCTACTTGGGAGGCTGAGGCAGGAGAATTGCTTGAACCTGGGACGCGGAGGTTGCAGTGAGCTGAGACCACGCCACTGCACTCCAGCTTGGACAACAGCTCAAGAGTCCGTCTCAAAAAAAGAAAGAAAGAAAAAAAAAAAGAACTGGATGAAGTCTCCACCTTCTTTTAAGTCCTTGGGAGCTTGACCTTTTAACCACGTGGAAGTACATTCTCTTGGTCTTCGCCTTCTAAGAAACAGAAATTTTAGGGTTTATGTCATAGTTAGCTCTAAAAATCATATGACATAGTTAAAAAGTCTTTGCAAGCTCAAAATTAACTACCCTAGACTTCTTCTGGGAAAGGGAATAGAGACTGCCCCGTCCTGTAATTCAGTAGCTAGGGTTCTGCACTTTAACAGTGGCGGTCCGGGTTCAATTCCCCACCTAGAAAGTAAGTCATTTCTGGTTTAATATCTGTGTGACTTTGTCTATTCTCTTCCCCTCTGAGGACTGTCTTAAATTTTCCTTTCTCTAAGCACCTAGGAGGTTATCTTTGGTAAAGTTCAGAAGCTAGAAATATTGGCCACTTGGCAAGGCTAAAGTCGGGTAATAACAGATCTGAAACAATTTCTTTTTTAAAGAGCACTATGGTTAAAAGTTAGCTTAATTAAAAGTGGATAAACTATAGATATATTTAAAAGGCCTTTATGTTTTCCTCTTCTTGGAACTTGTTTTCCTGAAAAAGGTCTTTTTCTTCTCAGTCGACTGAATGGTTTTTCTCTTTTTTTGTTTGTTGGTTTTGTCTTGCCACTCAATGCATACATGAGAAGCTCTAAGGTAACTTCTGGTAGCCTGGGACTCCTTGGGAAAAACAGAGGAGGCACCACAGACCCCATTTTGAGAAAAAAAAAAAACTTGTTTTCCTCATGAAACCTGAGGAATTAAAAACAGATAGCTCCCTCTCAAAATCAAAGGCTGTGTTCTGTTTTGCATTGTGTTATCTGACGGTTTTGAGTTTTGGGGGTATCAAAAATTACTTTGCATTATGAGAGAGCTTTGGTATGTAACAACTAGGTAGGAAATATACTTTAAGGGATGACTAATAGTAGTTATGGAGGAATACTTAACTCTTTGCACGCTTGGATCAGAGAAGCATGCTCTTGGCCACCTGGAAGATAAGGAAACATCCCCAACCCCTGCTGGGAGATGAGACTCCCATGAGGGATGGGCTGATTACAAAATGGGCTGATTAGCTTTGGGTTGCCTTGCAATGAAATGCAGGGTAGAAGCACTGCACTGTCTTCCCCCATAGAATTCTCTCCTTTTGGGGATCCAGGATCCAGTGTAAAATGGCACCCTTAATTTTAGGGATCTGTCTTTGCCTTCAGCTGCTTATTTGCTACTTATTTGGCCCTAGAAACACATGCTTTCCTGGCCCTGTTGCTCCAAGGGCTCCACCCTGAAGCCAGTAATACAATTAAGAAACTGGCAAATAAAGAATCTTACAAGTGGTAAATCTTCTGTCTATTTATGTGTTGTATGTTTATATGTAAAAGGGCTCTAATTAATTGGCTTTAAAAATAAGCACTTAAATATTTTGTCAGAAAAATAGAAACTTTAATGCCTTTTTGTTCATATGACTTTAGTAATCTTTTGAAAAATAAAGACGGTTTTAAATATTATCGGTAAAATGACTTGAAAATGTAGACATTTGGTCTAAATTAAGGTCAAATATCAGATTTGTTAAATGCTTTAAGGTCAAACTGAGTTTGACCATCTTGAGTTAATTTTTGTATAAGGTGTAAGGAAGGGGTCCAGTTTCAGTTTTCTGCATATGGCTAGCTAGTTTTCCCAACACCATTTATTAAATAGGGAATCCTTTCCCCATTGCTTGTTTTTATCAAGTTTGTCGAAGATCAGATGGTTGTAGATGTGTGGCATTATTTCTGAGGTAACTATTCTTTTCCATTGGTCTATATATCTGTTTTGGTACCAGCACCATGCTATTTTGGTTACTGCAGCCTTGTAATATAGTTTGTAGTCAGGTAGCGTGATGCCTCCAGCTTTGATCTTTTTGCTTAGGATTGTCTTGGCTATAGGGGCATTTTTTGGTTCCATATGAAGTTTAAAGTAGTTTTTTCTAATTCTCTGAAGAAAGTCAATGGTAGTTTGATGGGAATAGCATTGAATTTATAAATTACTTTAGGCAGTATGGTTATTTTCATGATACTGATTCTTCCTATCCATGTTTTTTCCATTTGTTTGTGTCCTCTTATTTGCTTGAGCAGTGGTTTGTTGTTCTTCTTGAAGAGGTCCTTCACATCCCTTGTAAGTTGGATTCCTAGGTATTTTATTCACTTTGTAGCAACTGTGAATGGGAGTTCACTCATGATTTGGCTGCTTGTCTGTTATTGGTGTATAGGAATGCTTGTGATTTTTGCACACTGGTTTTGTATCCTGAGGCTTTGCTGAAGTTGCTTATTAGCTTAAGAAACAATGGGGTCTTCTAAATATACAATTGTGTCATCTGCAAACAGAGAAAATTTGACTTCCTGTCTTCCTGTTTGAATACACTGTCTTTCTTTCTCTTGCCTGACTGTCCTGGCCAGAACTTCCAGCACTATGTTGAATAGGAGTGGTGAGAGAGGGCATCCTTGCCTTGTGCCAGTTTTCCAAGGGAATGCTTCCAGCTATTGCCCATTCAGTATGATATTGGCTGTGGGTTTGTCACAAACAGTTCTTATTTTGAGATACATTCCATCAATACCTAGTTTATTGAGAGTTTTTAGCATTAAGTGTTTAATTTTATCAAAGGTCTTTTCTGCATCTATTGAGATAATCATGTGGTTTTTGCCATTGGTTCTGTTTATGTGATGGATTACGTTGACTGATTTGCGTATGTTGAACAAGGCTTGCATCCCAGGGATGAAGCCAAGTTGATAGTGGTGGATAAGCTTTTTGATGTGCTGCTGGATTAGGTTTGCCAGTATTTTATTGAAGATTTTTGCATTGATGTTCATCAGGGATATTCGCCTGAAATTTTCTTTTTTTGTTGTGTCTCTGCCAGGTTTTGGTGTCAGGAAGATGGTAGCCTCATAAAATACATTAGGGAGGAGTTCCTCTTTTTCTATTGTTTGGAATATTTTCAGAAGGAATGGTAGGTACCAGCTCCTCTTTGTACCTCTGGTAGAATCTGGCTGTGAATCCCTCTGGTCCTGGGCTATTTTTGGTTGGTAGGCTATTAATTACTGCCTCAATTTTAGAACTTGTTATTGGTCTATTCAGGGATTCGACTTCTTCCTGGTTCAGTCTTGGGAGGGTTTGAATTTATCCATTTCTTCTAGATCTTCTAGTTCATTTGTGTAGAGGTGTTTATAGTATTCTCTGATTGTAGTTTGTATTTCAGTGGGATCAGTGGTGATCTCCCCTTCATCATGTTTTATTGTGTCTATTTGATTCTTCTCTCTTTTCTTCATTATTAGTCTGGCTATCAGTCTATCTGTTTTGTTAATCTTTTCAAAAAACCAGCTCCTGGATTCCCTGATTTTTGAAGGGGTTTTCATGTCTCTATCTCCTTCAGTTCTGCTCTGATCTTAGTTATTTCTTGTCTTCTGCTTGCTTTTGAATTTGTTTGCTCTTCTTCTCTAGTTCTTTTAATCGTGATGTTAGGGTGTCGATTTTAGATTTTTCCGGCTTTCTCCTGTGGGCATTTAGTGCTATAAATTTCCCTCTAAACACTGCTTTAGTTCTGTCCCAGAGATTCTGGTACATTGTGTCTTTGTTCTCATTGGTTTCAAAGAATTTATTTATTTCTGCCTTAATTTTGTTATTTACCCAGTAGTCATTCAGGAGCAGGTTGTTCAGTTTCCATGCAGTTGTGCAGTTTTGAGTAAGTTTCTTAATCCTGAGTTCTAATTTGATTGCACTGTTCTTAGAGACCTACAAAGAGACTTAGACTCCCACAAAATAATAGTGGGAGACTTTAACATCCCACCCTCAATATTAGGCAGATCAAAGAGACAGAAATTTGACAAGGATATTCAGGACTTGAACTCAGCTCCGGACCAAGCAGACCTCATAGACATTTACAGAACTCTCCACCCCAAATAAACAGAATATACATTCTTCTCACCACATCACACTTATTCTAAAATTGACCACATAATTGGAAGTAAAATACTCCTCAGCAAATGCGAAAGATGGAAATCATAACAATTTACCTACTTTAAAGCCATTAGATTCCAGATAAGGCCTGGGGACATGTGGACTTAGCCACGTCCCCTAGCTATGCTGGAGCATCAGTTTCTTATCTGCAGTTCTGCCTGGTGTGTCCTAGGCTAGACACCACACCTAGTACACAATTAAAATTTCTTACTAACCAGGGTTTTCACCAAAAGTAAAAGTTGCTAAAAGTTAACATTGTAACATGTAATTGAGACTATCGAAGAAACAGTTTTACATGCAAGGTGTGTAAGGAAAGTAAAATGTACTTTTGGTAAATATTATAAGAAGGCATGAGAATGTGGATTTTTTGCCCAAAAGGTTAAAGAATTGTTTTAAGTTAGAATAAAGCTAACGGTTTGAACAGTTGTGGAAGGTTTGAAAAAATTAATTGTGAGAGATTCTGTGTGCAAACATATTGGCTAAAGTTAAAGGGGTATTATTCAGTTTTTCTAAAAATTAAACATTGGAATAAAAGCACCACAGGTTTTTCTTAGAGCACTAATCTGCTCTTTCACAAAAATAAAGGGTTATAAAAGTTTTATAAGAATCTTATCTTACAGTTAAACATTAAAATTGGGTAAATATGTCCATACGATTTTATTAAAACGGGTTTCAAATTAATAGTACATTAATGTAAAGGTAAAATTTGGCTTATTTGGTATAAAAATCATACAGGAAGCATTATCAAATGTGAAATAGTGCTTTGCTTTCTTTGGACTATAGTTACATAAATGTGTTATTGGTATATGTTCCAAAGCTATGGGAAACTCCTATAATTCTAATATGGTTTAATGTGTTAATTGTTATGTAAAATTTTGTGTGCCACAGAAGTAACCAAATTTCCTTATCAATTGTGGCTTTAATAGTGGCTGTCCTAAAACTTCCAGAATCGTTCACAGACAATTGTTGTTTTAATCTCTTTAGAAGGTGGTTTATAATCAACTATAGAACTCTAGCAGGTGTTCTTAAATGCAGGTTTTCTGATAACTTTGTAGATTGTGACATCAGAATAAAGGAAAAAGCTTTCAGAACCCTCACAAGGAGCTGAAATGTTCATAACTATCAAATAGAAGTTAACTACATGGACTAAACTGAAGAAGTGTAATCTTTTTAACTTTGCTTAAAATGCTGCTGATCCTTTGTTTTGCTTTTCAGAGTTAAGAATACTTTTCTTTTGAGTTATTTACAGCTTTCAGCAATTGAGTAAAATACCCTCCTGTGAACAAAATTTGGAGCATTATTTGTTTCTCTCTCTATGATTTCTCCAAAATTTGGAAACTGTGAGTATTCTTAATTTATGGCTATATAGTTATTTGCATAAGTGCAATAACAATCTGTTTTCTTTTGTAACCGGACACAATTGGAGAAATTGGTTTTTACCAAGGCTTCGACTGGAATGGTGTGTTTTCCTTTAAGGAATCAAACCTGACTTGTAGAGCCAATAAAAGCCCTCTGGGGAACTGGCCTCATACCTCGCCTATATAGTCCCTGTATAGGGTTTCTGAACTATGGTAAAGAATGTCACTTTCTTACAGGCCTAGGAGCCCAAAGTTATCTTGGGACCTCAAAAAGAAAGGAATTTACCCAACTTATAGGTATTTGAGGATACAAACTCATGGAGGGGCTCGGCTTTAAAAAAGTCTTATCTGAGATTCCTTATGAAACAGAGTTCCTTTAAAGCCAATTAAAAAGTCTATGTGAAAAATAATTATTCTTGCTGCACTTTATACAAATAATCAGGCCAATTATAATAAAGTAAATCAGTCTTACCATCAATTGTCTTTAGTAAAAATAGGAAACTGGAGAGAGAAATAGTATGTTTCAAGAACTATGGTAAACTTGTTATTAAATTCTAGTCTCATCTGTTGTTTTAAGTTTGTTTCTGCAATTTAGGCTAATCCTGCTTATTCCTGTGAACCAACCAGTGATCTCTGACTGCTGCTCAGAAGAAACAAGAAGGATGGGTAATATAAAAATCTGGATTAGTATTCTAATGCTGGGCACATTACAATCAGCTAACAACCCCATACCAGCTTAGTTCCAACAGTTGCCCAGTTCATAAAAAGCCTTCTAATTTAGTTTACTTGGAATAACTTTATTTTGCTTTACTTTTATGGAATATATTGCTGTTCTACTCTTCGTGCAGGAATACAGGACAAGCTTACTGAATGTTTTAAATTGAACACTTATTAATCTTCCAGATAACACCTCTTGTCGAAACTCGAGTCGTAAACGGCCCTCGCCATACTGATGCTTTCTGATTGAGCTTCTGTCTACCCTGAACACAAGAGACCCTAATAGTTAGGCAGGAATATCATCATTCCTATTCAGCCTGAAGAAGTTACAGAAGATGAATCTTTGTCCATCTGCAACCCTTAGGATTAAGGGTTCTGTTATAAAAGGGAGGGTGGAAATGTCAGAGGCATGTAAACCAGAGCAACTCCAACTTAAATAGGAGATGGGTGAAATGAGGCTGAAACCTACTGGGCTGCATTCCCAGACAGTTAAGGTATTCTAAGTCACAGGATGAGATAGGAGTTCAGCACAAAATACAGGTCAAAAAGACCTTGCTGATAAACAGTTTGCAGTAAAGGAGCCAGCCAAAACCCACTAAAACCAAAATGGCCAAAAGAGTGACCTCTGGTTGTCCTCACTGCTACACTCCCACCAGCACCGTAACAAGTTTACAAATGCCATGGCAACGTCAGGAAGTTACCCTATATAGTCTAAAAAGGGGAAGCATGAATAATCCACCCCTTGTTTAGCATACCATCAAAAAACAACCATAAAAATGGGCACCAGCAGCCCTCGGGGCTGCTCTATGGAGTAGCCAATTCCTTTATTTACTTTCTTAATAAAGTTGCTTTCACTTTGCACTGTGGACTTGCCCTGAATTCTTTCTTGCACGAGATCCAAGAACCCTCTCTTGGGGTCTGGATCAGGACCGCTTTCGGGTAACACTGTGAACTCAAAACATCTGAGACAAGTCTCAGTCAATTTAGAAAGTTTATTTTGCCAAGGTTAAGGACATGCCCATAACACAGCCTCAGGAGGTCCTGATGACATGTGCTCAAGGTGGTAGGGGTACAGCTTGGATTTTTACATTTTAGGGAGATATGAGACATCAATCAGTATGTGTAACATGTACACTGGTTTGGTCTGAAAAGGTGGTACAACTCGGTCTGGAAAGCCAGGAGGGGGCTTCCAGATCATAGGTAGATAAGAGACAAACTATTGCATTCTTTTGAATTTCTGATTACCTTTTCATCGAATACACAATTTATAGTCACTTATGCCTTAGTCTGGCTTAGTGAAACAACAGGGCAAAGGAAGCAATCAGATACGCATTTGTCTCACATGAGCAGAGGGATGACTTTGAGTTCTGTTTGTCCTTTGTCCACAAGGAACTTCCTGGTGGGCACATTGTGAGGAAGTATGTAGCTTTTTTTTTTTTTTTTTTATCTTCATAGCTATCTTATTTTAGGAATAGAATGGGAGTCAGGTTTGCCCAGTGCAGTTCCCATTGGCTTGACCTTTTCCTTTGGCTTAGTGATTTGGGGGTCCTGAGATCAATTTCCATTCACAGTACTCATGACCAAATCCAGCTTTGCAAGCAACCATGTCTTGCAAATATAGGTCCTGATTAGAACATCAAAATTTATCCATAAAAGCAAACCTTCATCAGTATTATATGCCAAAACAGGGTGAACACAATGATTACAAAATTGAAGATGTGATTAGCTGGATTCTTTGGAATGCATCTGAAGAGTCTTCTGAAAACATTTTGAACTTTTTGAAAATACCTGATAAAGGTCTTCTTAAACCAGATGGCAGCAGTAAATAATGGATTACATATACATACACACACACAGTCTCTTTTCTCCTACCATTTTGTAAATATGATGCAATTAGGTTAATATGTGTTTTAAGCAGCATCAAACAAGTTTGTTGAACAGAAGACTAGTGAGATTTGGGCCAGGAAGTAATTCTAAGCATTGAACTTTATCAGAGAACGTAGTGGTCCACCTCCATCAATGACTCTATAAATGTAAGCTTCTTAATACTATGGTCCTGTAAATTCACATTCAGTATCTACTTCTAAGCCTCTGGCATCCCCAGTGAAAGGAGGCTGAAGAAAAAGCTTTATCCAAAGGCTGCCTGGGGCCTCACATAATACAAAGCTGGGTCGGGTCTACAAAAAAGGTGGAAAGACCACGTTTATCAGCCAACAACAACTAAGTTAACACACACTGTACATGTTCATCAATCAGTATCCCCCGTAGCCCAGTTATGACCACTGCTTAGGAGCTTCTCATGGCCAATAAAAGACATGGCTGTGAAATGATCTGAGTAGGTCAGAAGGATTCAAGAGAGTTCATACCAAAACTAAACAAACAAACAAAAAGCAGAATTTCATTGGTTACAATCTCACCTTTGTCTAAGACCTAGCAACATGCAGTCACATTTTTAGCACTGGCAGATTACAAACAATGAAAAATTTCTCCTTCAGGAGAAATTGCCTTGTTTATACAAATAAATCTATTGATTTTATTTTGAATTTATTATTGCTTATATTTCAATATAATATATTGAATAATATATTATATATTATTCAATAATATATTATATATTCAATATATTCAATAATATATTATATATATAATAAATATAATTTATTATTGCTTATATTTCAATATAAGCAATAATCCATGGACAGCATTAATACAAGTGTTAAGAAAAATATAACAAAATTAGCAAAAGTGACAGAATGACTCAAATTTGGAAAACATCATTAAGTGATTATGAACAATCAAATCACCTCTCAGATAAAAGCACTGGAGTCAATATTAAAATAACTAAATGATTACTGGAATCCAAAAAGAAAAACAGAATTAAGATTTGTTTTAAATTTTGGATTGCTGTTGTATGCCTCACTTACCTTGATGATTTAGTTTAATTCCTGCATCAGATGTTTTCAGTTAATGTTTTTACTTCCTAATTTTGTATGTTCTCAACCAACTTCAGTTTGGGCATTCTGAACTCAATACTTGAAACATGTAAGTCTGTTCTAACATTGTTGCTTCTCTATAATGAGACCTATGTATAGATTCCAATCAGCAACTAAACCTAAGTTGCCATCTGTATATATTACTAATATAAATATATTGAACATACATATAGTTACATTGTTACATTTATCCAAAATATCCTGAGATTTAAAAATCAGTTGCCACCTATTAATGACCTGAAATATTAATATACATGTACGTTAGTATATAAATCTAGTCACAAAAATAGTCATACACAAATCTAATTTCTAACTGTTACCTAAAAAGCAGGTTAGTATATAACATTATATATGTAATCTGTAGATATAATGTTTACATTAAGAAAACAACTTTTGGCTGGGCTCAATGGCTCGTATCTATAATCTCAACAGTTTGGGAAGCAAGGGTTGGAGGATCACTTGAGGCCAGGAGTTTGAGACCAGTCAGGGCAACACAGTGAGACCCATCTCTACAAAAATAAAAAGAAAAACAGCCGGGCTACTGGCTTGTTCTTGTAGTTCCAGCTACTCAGGAGGCTGAGGTGGGAGGATGGCTTGACCCCAAGAGCTCGAGGTTACAGTGAACTATGATCCCCACTGCACTTCAGCCTGGGCAACAGAGTGAGACCTCAACTCTAAAAACAAAACAAAACAAAACAAAACAACTGTCATGAAATAAAAGAATCATAACTGTTTCCTTAAGCAGAATATAACCAACTATACCTTATTATGAAACTAAAACTCAAAACAACTAAGATAAGAATAAAGTCTGATACAATTTTATAGATAATAAACACCGTAAAAGCAATGAAATGTGTTGCCAAGCACGGCGGCCTCAGCATTGGCAAACATGGTTCTAGCCGTGGGCATGGTATAACCTGCCAGCATGTCCAGCAAGCCAGAAATTCTTTGGATCTTAGTTGTCAAATTTTTTAAATTAGGAAAATGATCATGCTGATCTCTAAGAAAACTGAAACATCTGTTAGCAGTTTACAATTCTATGAAAAATAGAGAATCTCAGCTATAAATCATAAACGACAAAGGTGGGAGGAATACAATATATTACTCACTTCCTATATACAAATATCAAAACTCTAATTGAAATACTAAGGATGAGTAAGTGATCGCTCATCACTCTCCACGCTATGAGTAACAAAATCCCCTTGAACATTTTTAGCAGAATCTCCATCTTCTTCCAAGTGTTTGATTTCTTTTCCAGTCCTTCCCCACCGCCAGCACCTGTTCTGTTACCTAAAATAAGGCATGTTTAAATGAATAAATGCTTGCTGAATGGGCAACATCTTCCAGGAAGGAAAATTCCTCACTTCCTATGCAGAGGCAGGAAAAAGAAGAACAAGAAAGTTATCTCCCTAGGTACAGCTGACCAGCAGGTCAAACAGGTTAAACACCGAGCAAACAAAAAAATAGTGATAAATAAGAATTATTCACTCCATTTCTTATTAGCTTATCTTTGTCATTTCCAAACACCATCTTGTACATAATATATCAATTTACCAGGAGACCATAAACCAGGAAATATAGCCAAATCTATCCACTGGCTGCTTTATTTCCCCCACCATAAAATAACATCTCTAAAACTCAAACCTAAAAGGCTTAAGTAGAACTATCGGTTTTATTATTGTCAAGCAAAATAACATTTCTAATGCAGTAACCCAGTGAAAAGTGAACATTTACACTAGAATGGGTAATCTCAGGATGGCTCAGAGAATTGTTCTCTGTACATAAGCAGTTAATCTCTCAGAATTTGAAGTTTATTAAGCTAAACGGCTTGATTCTTTTTTGCATTTCTCGAATATGTACTTTTGAATCCAATCTGATTCAAACCTTTAGACTTCCGCTGAAAAGAGATCAAAGTTGTGTCAATTTTGCAGACATTGTCTTGCATACGAGAGAACTGAGAACCACAGTGAGACTCAGGACAGGAGATGGGTTAGACTGCAGTGTAGCAAAGACCAGTGAGCGAGAACTTTTGCAGTAGAGCTGTTTTTAGAATTCCGGAATGGGATTTAATCAGTACTTCAGCATGAATCTAAGGAACTTTATCTGTTTAAGTACAAAATAAAAGTCAACATAAGAGCCAATATTGAAGAATGTGAACCTTAAGTGGTAGCTCTTCATTTGCATTCAAGAATAACTTTCGTGCAGCAATCACCCCCACCTGGCCACACCAAAAAGAGTAAGAAACTTAAGACCGAATATAAAGCAATGAAAAGGCCACGACCATGTTGAAAATAGTATTAATAGGATCCAAGGAATAACGCAAAAGTAAGGCAACGTAGGAAGTTTTTTAGGCATTTCCATTTTCAAAAAACATCCTGAGAGATCCTTTTAAAACCTGGTAATATTTAAAACTAGACTTATAAAATACAGCAACCCAAAAATCACTTTGATTTATGTGCCAAAATCAATACACTTAACCATGCAATATATATATATAACTGACTTATGTGTAACTCTAATTAAAATACCCCAAACCACTAATTTCATTAAAATAGAACTAAATGCTTATATTGTAAAATATAAAAATAACAGATCGACACAATAACAAACACCTATTTATTATATTAAATACAAGCCTGAAATATTAAGTACAAATTACAGATTCCAAGAAATTACATTTCACATCCCAAAATGTCCTGTTGGTGCTTTGACAACTAAAACAATGTTTTAGAAAGATTTTGTTTCAGATCCTAAAAAATAGCAACAATTTGGGGATAAAAATAAGTAAAATCCAAAACTTCAAAGTTTATTCCAAATTCTTTTGAATCCCTATGGT
This sequence comes from Homo sapiens, assembly GCF_000001405.40. NCBI lineage: Eukaryota > Metazoa > Chordata > Mammalia > Primates > Hominidae > Homo > Homo sapiens. Next base: position 22,387,617 of record NC_000004.12, read on the forward strand.
GGCTGTAAACAGTTTTTAAATGCTCATAGCTTCAAGGAATGTGAGTATCACAGTTTATATGAATTTCTGCCTAGGAAGCCCAGCAATGTTACACAGTAGTTTCGTGTTTCCATAATCCAGTCCTAACATTGCCAGTGCTATCGGTACCGAGCAAGGGTCCCTCCTGCCCATTGCTTTTAATTGGTCCATTCTGAATGGCCAAGTTGAGGCCATAAGATTTTTGCTGATTTTCAAGTTCAACCACAGCTGGCTTCCTTAACGCATCTTTTTTACTAGTGGTTGAAACTGGCTTTTCAAAATTTCTGCTACTTTTGGGAAGTGTGCTACAAGCATCGCTGCTGTCTTGCTGGGGTGGGTTGTACTGTCTCTCTCTGTAGGCTAAATAAGCTCTTCGGCTCCTCGAGTGTCCTTCGTTATTGCCCAGCCGGCTTTTAGGTAAGCCGTTCTGCACGCTTCCTTCCACGCTCGTTGGGACATCGTAGGCATATTCTCTCAGGACTGTGAGTCGGCTTGCCCGGTGTCCTTTACTTCTGTTTTTATGGTGGCGGCTTGAGTGCACATTTGTTCGAAACTGAACTTCTAAAGGCGCCACGTGCATTTTAATATCATTGTCCATTGAATGTTCTGTCAGACTATTATCAAGCTGAGGGGTGGAGTTCAAAGGTAAAGAATTGGCATGGCACTGAGCTGCAGCCGCCTGCAAGTTTGTTAATTTGCAGCCCTGGGAGGAATTTTTGAAGCTTGAAGCACTTTTGTTTGTGCATGAAGACTCCGCACTGCTATTGGGGCATTTGGGTGCCTCTCCATTCGTCCCATTAGAGTTGGGGGGCTGGACGTTGACTTGCACTGAATACGAGCTCCGTCCTGGGCAGCAAGTCATGATCCACGCAAGTCTAACATCCTCCCTATTAACACAATGGTGGACCACGAAGAACGCACTGAAGCTTAAACTTGTGGCTCCAAAAACGAAGCTAAAAACCAAGTCCAAAGGGTAATACAAAGAAACAGCCAAAGCCCCAAACATCCACAGTGCAACATATAAGAGCAAAGTAAGGCTGGCCCCCAAGAGCTGAGAATGAAAAGTGTGCTCATTTTCCAAGGCTGATGTAGAAATCAGAGACAAAGACATTGAATCCTGATGATTTATTTCGCCATTTTCATTGGCTGCCAATCTCTGTTGCTCCTCCGTGGGCTCCTTAAGCTCATATTTGCGCTCAGGGTGTCTTTTCAACTGAATAAATATGCTCAGAAAGTACATGCAGTTTACAAAAGTGATGAAGCTGGCTGGCCCATAGAAGGCTCCCAAGGAGGGTTCCCATGCCATCCAGCAACTGGAAAAGAAAATGGTAAACCAGATCGATGCTACATGTTTCAACAAATTATCTACGAAATTGCAATCACCTGTAATGCCTAGAAAATACTTAAAAGAGAAACAACTGGGTCAAGTACACAGAGAATATAAAATACTCACTAGGGTGCGTTTGGCCGACTGCCGTAATTCTTAATGTTCGCTGCTGCAGTTATGCCGCAAACAATGATGGGGATACCACCACCAATCAGGTAAAATCTAGAAGGAGGAATCACAGGAAAAACCACTCATCATTCCATTTCTTAACATGTATCTCTCATAATGTCTCAGTACTTCAAAAGTCATTCCCTGAAGATTAATTATTATCTTTATTCCAATAATAAGCTGAGAGTTAAGTTGGGAGGCTGATTTATTAGCAGTAATGTGTTTTTATTTTGTTTTTTAGATTTCTTGTTTTAAAGCACAAGGTCTAGTAAGTTTCTGAGTAGAGGAAAGCTGATCGGCTTCTGCCACCTTGTGGACAGGCAAAGTAACACTCTGAGCCTGCTGGTAGGATTTCAGCTTACTTACTCTTACTTTTTTTTTTTTTTGTAGCAGGAACTGGCTTCTTTTAGATTCAGCCGGTGAACTGAAAAGTGCCTTAGTTCACACAAGAAATGTAATGACATATTAATTACTGACTAATGTTCAGCTCAACCTGCATGTCCCAGGACTGCCCACTGCTGTGTATCTCATCGCCAGTCCACTGAGATTAAGGTAAGGAAGGTATCTGGATCCCAGCAGCTTCACAGAGTGCAGAGGCCCTACCTGACCCCTTTTCCAAAGAGAGGTGGGGACAGCAAGGGAAATGATGGTGCAATAAAAACTGATTGAAACAGAGCAGTGACTGGTCCTACAAAGAAAAACTCTGTGCTCATCTCTGAGCTCCTTGATCTCTCTGAAAATAAATTTCCATTCTGGGTAAGTCAGAATCTTAATTTTGCGTTTGCTCCTTCCTGAGACATGGCCCCAAATCTTGCACTGGGTGGATAAAGGCAATATCTCTGATACATTTGTCCATATATTGTTTCTTCCTTGTACCTAGTTACTAAAATCCTTTAACATGATGTTAGTACTGCTGAAAACTAATTACCCTATAAAACTATAATTCTGCCTTCTATTCCACAGATTAGAGAGATGCCAATAATACGTGACCTTCCCCTTCTTCCTGCTGTACTAATTCACATCTGCTTCTTACCTGAAAAGAAAGTATTATTTCCAAAATTAATCTTGGGTCCTATCACCCTCTCTGTCTTCTTTCAACGCCCCCTACCCCCGTTCTTGTTATCAAATAACCCTATTTTGCATCTTTAAAATCTTCTCTATTGCTTATTTCTAGCATGCTTCTCTACTGCTTATATATATATATATATAAAATACATATTATATATATATAATACGTATTATATATATATAATACGTATTATATATATATATAAAATACGTATTATATATATATAATACGTATTATATATATATATAAAATACGTATTATATATATATTCAAGTTTCCCCATCTTCTAAAACTTTCCTTGAACTACCACTTCTTTTCTCTCTTCCTTCTGCCAACGCTGGTACCACCACTTTCTCGCCTTTATCACCTTATTGTCAGCTGTACCCACTCACCACCATGATGCTAAAAATGTCCTCTCTGGGGTCAGAAGAATCTCACTGGCAAATCTCGTGTCCCACCCTCCAGGTAGGCAGCAGTGTTGCTCAGGCTTCCATAAGCTCAAGGATATGGGGGAAGCAGGGCTAGAGGGCGGAGCTTGAGCTGTCTAATGCAAAGAGGATACTTGTGTGTCATTTGGGGACTGCAGAGAGTTTGAAGCACCAGCTGCCTTTTCCTTAACTCTTTATCTTTCTTCTCAGAACCTTATAGGAATGAACAGCTGCTTAAGGTTAAGATTCCCAAGTTTCTAAGCCAAACACCATCATCTCTCATTTCTCTTAATAGAAGTGAGGGAGGTGTCAAATCTCATCCTACAACATAACTCTGGGGCCACGGAGCACCCCTGCTGCTCCTTGTCAAACACAGAACCACTCTCCCACAAATCATCCATGTTCTCGGGTGTTCTCTTTCTGCAGCCAAAAATCCAGTGACTTTTTCCACGGCCCATCTATTAAACATTAATAAGGTCCAAGTATCGTTCTTTTCTTAACTAACTTCTCCCTGGGAGTTCCTATTCATTATCATGGCTTCAGTGACCACATAAGGAAATGTCTCCTGCTCCTCCTAGACAATCTCTAGCTTGTCCTCTCTGCTGAGCCCTGGACTTCTAAAAAATGTAAACATTCCACAAGAAAGTACTGAGGAGCCTGCCACCCCATTTCCCCTCTCCATGTCTCCCCCGCCCACCTGCCATTTCTGCTTTTCCTATCTTATTTCTCAGTTGATGGAAACACCCTCCGTCAAGGCACGCTAGCTAGCTAGAATAGACAACTTGCAGCCATCTTCAAATTTCTCTCCCTCACACAACTCTCTTAAATCCAGCTGGACATCAATCCTAGAGAAACTGCCTCAAGCCTCTCAAACTTGTGTCCTCTTCTGTGTTCTCCCTGACACTGTTCTGGTCTTCATGGGGGCTGCCCTAATAACCTCAGCAGAATTCCTTGTTCTTAGGAATTCTGATTTATACTCCATACTAGAGCCATAGCTATCCTTCTAAAATGACACCATGTCAGGCCACTCCCTTAGTTAAAAATCTTCAGTGGCTGCCCACATTTTAAATAGGACACACAAAGGCCTCAAAGCCAACTTTCATCCTGAATTCCTGCTACTTGACACCAAACATCTGAGGCTCCAGCCAAACTGCATTCCTCAAGGTTTCCTCAGCTCACTCTTCACTTCTACACTTTGTCATGATCACAGTAAAGTTCACGCCAGTGGTCCAGCATTTCCTAACAACCCCCCGCCCCCAAAATTAATGGCTTCTTTCTTTACATTTTCAAAGAACCTATCTCCACTATGCTTCTCACACAGCGCAGTCAGTGCTCATGCCTTTCTCCTCCTGCAGACTATAAACTCCCAAAGGGCAAGGGAGTCTTCTGTAAATCCCTGGCCCAGGGCCAGTGACATATCAGGCATTCAACAAGCTTGGTCATCACTGATAGATTTTATTCATCCAGCATGATAATCCATTTACCACTTTTCATATTATAATGGATAGGAAAAACACACAAGTCTTCTTGTCCTTTGCATAGAATAATTAAACTGATACATACTTGAGTATGACATAAGACCTCAAGGAAATAAAAACAGCTGACAGTTTCATAGAGCCGATTATATGGCCAATCCCCTCTTAAGTGCTTTGCCCATTTACTCATTTATTCCTCACAACTCGAGGATGGGAGAATCAGCCCCACTTTTGAGATGATCTTGGAAGGCTCAGAGAGGGTACAGAAGTTGTCTGAGGACTCGCAGCGGGAAGGATGCCTGAGCCATTTTCAAAACCAGGCAGTCCTGCATACAAGTCCGTTCTTTTACTTCCCAAAATTCACTCAGCAATTTTGTTATAATTTATGATTATGCTTCAATGAAAGCAAACAAAACAATTAATACAACAAAGATATGAGATACCTGAGCATTGGTCTTGGTGGAGGTGGTGGTTCATCAGGATCCTGGCATCTTTTAGCTTTTTTAGTGACTTGTTTGTAGATATTTCGAGCTGTCACTCCTACCCATAGTACTGTGGCAAGGGTGGAATAGTGAAGAATTATCCCAACCTACAAGGAAGATCAAAGAATAAATAAAAGAAAAAAAATGTTCCTACTAAGGCTTACCTCAAAATTGGTAAGTAACTCAGAAGTCTGATTTGAAAGCAGCAGGAAGGCCTATCCTAATAATCAACTCTGTTGCCTGCTAAGGCAACACTGTGTTCTAATAGACATGTGACAGGGAATCACAATCCTCAAATACACAAACCAACAATTGGCTCTAGGAAGCCCACAAACTACCATTTATACCAAAGACGACCCTTAATACAGGACAGAACTGGCTCCCAGACATTAAACCAAAAGTGTGTTTTTCATAGATGTGACATTATACATTAGAGTTCATTTTCTTTTTTTTTTTTTTTTGGGACAGAGCCTCGCTCTGTCACCCAGGATAGAGTGCTGCAGTGTGATCTCGGCTCACTGCAACCTCTGCCTCCTGGGTTCAAGTGATTCTCCTGCCTCAGCCTCCTGAGTAGCTGGGACTACAGGTACGCACCACCACGCCTGGCTAATTTTTGTATTTTTAGTAGAGAGAGGGTTTTGCCATGTTGGCCAGGCTGGTCTCCAACTCCTGACCTCAGGTGATCCATCCACCTCAGCCTCCAAAAGTGCTGGGATTACAGGCATGAGCCACCATGCCCGGCCTAGAGTCCATTTTCTAACATTCTTTTTAAGGAGGAATATACAGAGGGCACAGGTTAACTACAGGGTGAAGGCCACAGCACACACAGAATAAGTTCCAGAGTAAGAGACCTGAGATATGATTCAGAGCTTTTATACACTGTAACAATCACAAAGCAATATAATAATATATTGATGGTTAAGAGGGTGAACTCAGAAATGAAATTTTCCTTGATTTTTAAACTGGTATTCACCTCTTACCTGCTGGGTGATCTGAGCAAAGTCACGTAAGACCTAAAGTGCTGGCTTCCTCACTTGGGAACCAAGAGTAATATAAAAGTACTGTGAGGTTAAGTAAGATGGTCCACATTAAGCATTTAGCAAATCGCCTAGTGTGTGACAAGCAATTAGTAGAAATCACTATATTATTACTTATTAAGAATGTGATTTTGAGGAAATAATGCGACCTCTCTGAAATTAACTTTCCTCAATTTAATAGTAGAAAATTATCAATCGCCACCTCTAGGGGTTTCGTAGGAATTGAATGGACACAATTCATGGGATATAATAGGTGCTCAGTAAGTATAGGATAACTGCAATATATGCAAATGATACACTTACAGTTTCTATTTATCACATGACCTATACATGAAGCAACTCTAGTTGAGGATGAAATTCTAGATGAAGATGTGAGGAAATGAGAGAAGCTTAAATTTTAGTTTAAGAAAAGTAAATGTCATATGTCACTGGAGTATCAAGGACATAATCCAGCTTTCTTAACCAGTAACTTGCTTTTTTTTAATCACTGCTTTTTTATATAATTATGAAATTCCAAGAAAAAATCTGTCATTCTAAAGGGATGCCTCTCCAACCTCAAGAAAATCAAAGGTCGATAATAAAATTATGGACCACTGTCCAGAGTTTATTTTAATGAGAACCAATCTGCAGCAAACACTTGGTGACCTGAAAGCCCAAATCTTCTTTTGCAGGAGAAAGCCAGGGTGGCCCCTCTCCAGATAAACCTTGCAGTGGCTCTGAGGTGCTGGGAGGTGGGATCAAGTTTGGCCCAACTACAAACGTCAGAAATGATCGTCTTAAAAAGAAAAGTGGCTTCATGGTTCCCATTAGTTTTGCTGACTGCGCTGTGAAAGCAAAATTTATAGACAGAAGTGGAACAGAAAGCATAAAATAACCCTTTTGAGCTATCAAGTCACACCAAATACTGTAAGTAAAAATAGTATAAATGAATTTGATGCATAGAAACCAATAAATTCAAAACAAATCAGATGCTGACTCAAAATGGTCAACTCTACTATTGCTGGAGGTGTCTCTGACACAAAGGTCAAAAGAATGAGGTAGGGCTCTAAAATACAAAAGTAAAAATACAGGTTAAAGGCAACTCCCACATAGGAGGTGTCAAACAAAGAATTTTCTACAGGGGACAAAACACATCTTTAGGCACTGAAGTGTTTTCTATGGCATTTCTAAATTTCCAGAGGAGGTTTACTCTTAAAGATACTGAAGCCTGATTATTACCAATAGTGGAATTTTAGGGGTATGATGACATCTGCTAACACAGTCAGGAAAGCAAATCACTAAATATTCTACAAATTTCAGAAAAAATGAGTGATTAAAATCTAGTAGGAAAGATTTTTTAATCTTTTGGAATGTAGTACTTCCTACTGTATTCTCCATCTCACACTTTGTCTACATGAAATACAACCTTGCTATCACATTTTCTTCCAAATAAATCAGAGATGTACATGGCAATTCTGTAAATTATCTAGAAGTAATCTAATTCATAAGGCATGTAAATAATTACTATTATTAACTAATGTTAAATGCAGTAGATTATTACTCAAGAAAGCCACCTTACCTCGGGACACTAATTTCCAAAGTTGTAAAATGGGTATAAAATAATTATCCTAAAAAGTTCCACTCTATGTATTTGTTATCTAACTGTAAACTCTCACATACTAGAGTTCATTTAACAACCAATACGCCTACAGCAGTGCATTATGCATAACAATTGTGCCAAAAAATAAACTTTATGATGAATACAAGCATATAGATGATGAATATGTAAACAATTAAAATATTAACAGCTTCCATTAATAAATGCCTGCTATGTATCCAAAAACATATTCTTGCATGTGATTTCACTTTATCCTTTTATCATCACCATTAGGTCAGTGTTAATCTTGAGATATGAAAACAGAGACTAAGACTGAGAGAAGTCACCCACTAGAGATTACACAGTCAATAGTACGGCTGTCATTCAAACTGAAGTTAGATGGTTCCAAAGCCCTTGCCCTTTCTTCTCCCCTACGGTGTCCACTACTAAGTACTAAAGCAGAGTGATGGGGGCTGAGAGGCACTCGGAATCAAACGGACTAGCATTTGAATCATGCCTCTGCCACCTAATGGTCCTAGTGACTTAGGGAAGTTATTTCAGTTGTCTATGATTCAGTTTATATAGTTATAAAATACACAAAGAAAAACTACCTCCTAGGGTTAATATGAAGGTTAAGACATAAAACATGCACAGTAGTTGACAAGTAGAATGGTCTTAATATTCACTGATCAGATTTTTCCAAATACATCTCTTGTGCCATTGCAGCAATCCTCTAAATAACAGATCTCAAGGGCACCTAACAAGGGTGGGTGGCACTACATTTAATAAATTCAATCATGGATTGGTGGAGCAACAAGGTATCTTAGATAAGATCCAGCTGAATCCTTTTATGGCAGAGCTAAGAAAACCAAGGACCAAAAAATTAACAACCAATTATTTGGCAGTGTATCATGAACCAGAACACAGATCCCTTCCAGACTTGAGTCAACGGCCCTTGCACTTCGTCACTCAACTTCTTAGTTCTCCTTCAGCACCTTTAGCAAAAGAGAGTTAAAGGCCGTAGAAAGCACCTAAGGTCCTACCTGAAATGAATTTAGAAACCAGAGTGAGAAGTACCTGGCTGGTAGCACCTTTAATAACTTCAAGCAATCACTGTGAGGGAAGAAACTACATTACAACCCATTTATACTGTTCATAAAATATGTAAGCTCGCAAAGGGAATAATAAAGACAAACTGCACATAAAAACATGTACACATGAGGGCTCAGGTTGTCAGAGGTAAGAACCTTAACAATCATTTAACTTAACTAGCCTGACCCATTTTATAGAAGAAACGTTAAGCCCCTACTAGGTTAAGGGACTATTCACATAAGCTGTTCTGGCAGGACACAAAATTAGAACCCAGCTACTAGGATCTGGAATCCTAGACTAGTCCTTTTTGCATTCTACCACTCTGCTCTCGGCCGGTGATTACCTGAATTGAGTATTACAGTGACAAAGTGAAGCAAAGAATGTCTGAGTCAGAAATATAAGAATGATGCTATGTCTTTCATCAAAGGGAAACACATTATAAACATAGAAGAGAACGACAATGAAACGTCTAGACTTGCCTTTCCCTTTTGTAAACCTTTAATGGCATTTGTTCTTGAAGCCCTAAAAACTCATTGCAATTCCTCTCTTTTTCCATTTAGAAATGGTAGAAAATTCCACTCAGGACAATGAAAGGCAGTCATCTTTACAACAGCGTCTTTCCATTCATTTCCTTAGTGAAATAAATTTATGTGTCTGCTTCAAGAAATCAATGAATACTTTTAGACACAATGAAGACCTTTATTGCCACTGTGTGCTGAGTACTCTCCTAATAGAGTCAAAATGGCTCCAGGTTTGAATGCCTTCTAATGTGCAGACAGAGGCTTCTTTTTGTTCATTCACCCAGTAAACATTTGCCCAGCATCTATTATGGGTCAGGCCTTGTACTGATCCCTGGATAAGCACCAGTGAATCAACTACTGTAATTCTTTTTTTTTTTTTTTTTTTTTTTTTGAGATGGAGTCTCGCTCTGTCATCAGGCAGGAGTGCAGTGGTGCAATCTCGGCTCACTGCAACCTCTGCCTCCCAGATTCAAACAATTCTCCTGCCTCAGCCTCCTGATTACCTGGGACTACAGGCGAGCGCTACTACGCTCAGCTAATTTTTGTACTTTTAGCGGAGATGGGGTTTCACCATGTTGGCCAGAATGGTCTCGATCTCTTGACCTCGTGATCCGCCTGCCTCAGCCTCCCAAAGTTCAACTACTATAATTCTTATGCTTGTAGAGCTTGGAGTCCAGGGAGAGCTTAGAGTTCAGAGATAGTTAAACAGTAAATCATAAAGTTTCATAGGCAGTATGGAATTTTAGTAAGGACCTGATATGATTTAGTTGTGTCCCCACCCAAATCTTGAATTGTAGCTCCCATAATTCCTATCTGTCATGGGAGGGACCCAGTGGGAGGTAACTGAATCATGAGGGTGGGTCTTTCCTGAGCTGTTCTTGCGAAAGTGAATAACTTTCATGAGATCTGATGGTTTTATAAAGGGGATTTCCCCTGCACATGCGCTCTCTTGCCTGCTGCCACGAAAGACATGACTTTGCTCTTCCTTTGCCTTCCACCATGATTGTGAGGTCTCCCCAGCCATGTGGAACTGTGGGTCAATTAAACCTCTTTCCTTTATAAATTACCCAGTCTCGGGTATGTCTTTATTAGCAGCATGAAAACAGAATAATACAGGTCCACAGAATAACACTGGGGGATACAGGAACAGAATCTCCGAAACAGTAACAATAAAGTGAGACCTGCAAGGTAAGTGGGAGTCAGCGACATGAAGAAGAGGAGAAAGACTGAGAACACAGAGGAGCTATCTTCTACACATGGATGTAGTTGATCTGAGACCCATCATCTGACTTCTTGTAGGCAGTTTGTTTACAGATGTGTAGTAACAGCCTAAAACAAAAATATATCACACAGATGAGAGGTAATTTCATCAATAATACTAATATAATAGTGGTAACAGGTAACATTTATTGAACAGTTAGTATATGCCTGGTACTCTTGAGATGCTTGAGTCATTTAATCCTCTCAACAATTGTTACACACACACATTTTAAATTGGATCTCAGGTATACAATATTGGATTAATCATAAGCCACAGTATCATCTCACAGTCTAATGAGTGGGCCCAGCACAACCTGCCTTTATTTAGTTACTGTTAATAGTATGATAAGTACATAAGAATCTACCAGCAAGACACAAGGTAGGACCTTGTCAATAATCTGTTATCTAATCATATGACCCCCTCATCACAGGTAACTATCACCCTATTATATCCTCTGTATCATCACCCTACAACCTCTGTTCATCACTCCCTTGCTTTCTCTTTTATAGTTTTATTGCACCTATTTTTTGTTAAAGTGGGCTGTTTATTTTAGTGATTTTTACCTTTATTAAAAAAAAACAAATGGTGAATGTTAATTTATCGGACTTACTTTTCAACTTTTCACTTAAAACTAATTTGTGCTTTTCTGCATTGCTATAATTCATTGGTTCTGACTCTTGTATAATAACACAGGGTTTGTTAGTTCACTCTCTCTGTGCTGGGCATTTGGGTTGCTTCCAGGTTTTTGATATTGTGCATAGTGCTGCAATGAATATTCATATCCATGCTCATATTCACGTGCACACAGGCAAGGTTACTCTGAGTACAGGAGTGGGGCTGCTGGGTTCCAGGGTACATGAACATGTAACTATAGAAGGCAATGCCTCCCAGGGGACGTCCGCTTACATTCCCACCAACTATGTAAAAGGATCCTGTGGGTCCACATGTTCATCAAGACTTGGCATTGTCAGGCTTAACTTCTGCTGATGGAAAAGGCATAAAATGGTAACTAATTGTCTTCATTGGCATCTCCATGACCCCCATGCTGTTGAACATTTCTGCACACATGTGCTGAACCCGTGTGTTCGCTCTTCTACGACATGCTCATCCATTCTCCTGCTACTTTTTCTTCTGACTTGTTGTGATGTTCTCACTGATTATAGTTACTGATATATTTTTTACTCAAATGCTCTGTTAGTTGTGTGGATTGTAAACAGATTCCTCCAATTTGTAACTTACCTTTTCAGCTTCTTTAAGGGCTCTTGATAAATACAAGTTCTTATTTTTAGTCAAAATTATTTTTTTTCTAGTGGATGCCTTTCACTGTCTTATTGGCCTTCCTTATCTTAAGGTCTCCAACTTTTTTTTAAAGGGTTTTAAGATTTTGGTTTGGATATGTAAGTCTTTAAACCACCTAGAGTTGACTTTTTTTTTTAATGTGGCATGAGGCATTAAAGACCCAGTTTAATCTTTTTTCAAATGGATTTTCTCCAGCTCCATTTACTGAATGGTGGTCTCTCTTCCCCAGCTGACAAGGCACATCATCCCCTCTGTTGTACATCAAAGTTCCCATGGGTCTGCCTCTGGACTCTCCATTCTATCCCATTGGCCAATTTATCTCTGCCTACTGCTAATACCACACTGGTTTCATTTCCATAGCCTCATAAACCCTGATGACTAGAAGACAGTCTTCTGGCTCTGCTCCTCTTTTTTATTAGTGTCTTGTCTTTCTTTGGTCATTTATTTTCACATAAATTTAAAAATCATCTTATTGAGTTTCATAAAAAATTCTACAGATTAATCTTAAAAGGAATGGTCATCTGGCTAATATTAAGTCTTCCTATCCTTTGACCTATTATATCTTTCCATTTATTTAGGTCTTCTTTAATACACATTTTAATTTTACCCATAAATCTTGAACATTTTTCATTATTTCTAGATACTTGATAGTCTTTGACACCATGTAAATGCTACCTTCTCATTATGTTTTCTCATAGTTGTATTTCTGCACACTAGCAGTTCGTCTCTGCTAAACGTTCCTATTAATTCTAATAACTTGTGTACATAATCATATCATCCAACAACTCGATTATCATTCCCAATTTATAGGTGAGAAAACTGAGACACAGAAGGGTTAGACATTAAAATCAAAATCTCAAAGAGATACCTGCACTCTTGTGTTCCCTGAAGCATTACTCACAGTAGCCAAGAGATAGAAACAACTTGTATGTCCATCAACAACAAATAGATAAAGAAAATGTGGTCTCTACATACAATGGAATATTATTCAGCCATAAAAAAGAGGAAAATCATATTCACCAACATAGATGAACGTTGAAACATTATGCTAAATGAAATAAGTAAGTCAATGAAGGACAAATACTGCATGATTCCACTTATATGAGGTATCTGAAGTAGTCACAACTCATAGAAGCCAAGAAGAAAATGGTGACTGCCATAAGATTGGAGGAGAAGAAAAAAGGGGTCGTTGTTCAATGCATACCGAGTTTCAATTATACAAGATGAAAAGTTCTAGGTATCTGCTGTACAATGTTGTGCTTACAGGTAACAATACTGTACTGTACAGTGAACAATTTGTTTACAGAGATCACATGTTATATATTTTTTTAATTACAGTTTTAAAAGCAAACAAAAGAAAAAAAAAAGGTTAAACAGATTGCCCATAGAAACACAGCCGATAAATGGTAAAGTGAAATCCAAATCCAGGCAGCCTGAACTTTCAATTACTACGTTATACTTCTTGCTATCATGCATGTGAAAAAAATATACAAACAAAGAAATAAAATGTTACGTATTTTCTATTCATAGATTGAAGAATTTCCATTTTTATATTTATGCTGCAAGAAGACTATTCACTAAGCCTACATATGTAATAATTTATTGGAAACAAAGAGTAAGATATTTTTAAATTCTTCATATTTATCTAACCTAGTGTCATTTTTATATCTTTATGATTAACTCTTTTTCTAATTTTTGTTTTCATCAACACATAAAATAATTTTTAAAATTCTACTATCAGAAAATGTCACTTCTCTTTCAGCCAAAGTCAGAATTTCATACATTTTAAAAATAAGTAACAGGCATTGTAATAATAGCCATAACGTGTAACACTAAATTCCCAATGATAAAGGGATGAGCTGTTTAAGTTATATATTCAGTTGCAAAATGGTAATTTAAAACAGGAAGTAAACTGGCAGATTGTTTAAGTGACAGACAATAAATTTAACTTTAATCAGTTAAAGAAAAGGTATTAAAGAATGATTTTTTCTTTTTATAGTTAATGAAATTATCTTCTAATACCAGTAATTTTTTCCATTTCGGTTTTTCACTCTGACTTACTGCTTGGCAGATGCTGGCATTCCTAGTCTGGGTTATTCCTCCCACAAAGACCACACAGGTTAGGAAAATATGAAAGCACAAGTTCACAAGCATGTGCCAGCTCTTGAGGCTGATTCTAATCAAACTGTTTAAAAAAGAGAGAAAATATTAATATTCAGGCTAGTACATAAGGAGAAAACTATGATGTTCATCTTAATTCCAACTTCATCAAAGGTAAAAGTTAAATATTTGATATTTAAACATTTAACAAACATATACTACCAGACACACACACACATACACACACGCACAGATCTGAGACATCATTTAACTCGATCTCGTTTCTTAACATTTAACTTTATGCACTTAAAAACAAAAAGCCATTTATAGAACCACTGCACCCACTAAATGCTAAAGAAATTCTCCACAATAAGAAACGCATGGGCTTTTGTTACTACGATGTCTTAAGATGACTGGATTACCTGCTTGGCCACCTAGAGATTTCTGCAAGATGCCAATGGGTCTTTTTTTGACCCACTGGCGCAGGTCTAAACACTCAATGCATTTCTTCCTGGACTTTCATAATAAAATGTTGAAGTCTTTCTTTTTAGTAATATATATCAAAATCTCCTTTTGTTTCTTAACTAAATGTCAAGAAATGCCATATATGTCTAGCTTAAACAGGAAGACACATTCTAGCAAAACGTTTTGTAAAGCGAATTTCTGCTTAGCGTATCCTTTTAGTTCATTATTTCCCACCACAAAATAAAAGTTTCTATAGCTTTGCCTCCGATTAACAAACAACATATCCCACGCTTAAATGCCACAAATTTTCTTAAAAATGTCATCTATAAAATAAAGAATATCATAATAGGCAAAAAGTCATAAAATAAGAGTAATAGTACAGTCTGATACTTAGAGACACCCCTTTAGGTACCTCTGCAGGTAAGAAACTTCCGCCTCACTTTACCTCCTATTGCGCCTGTGACCCGCCCCACAGTGTCCAATACCTATTGCCCATATTCTTTTCTAGATACAAACCCAGCAAACTGACTGGATGCTGTAAAAACAGAATTTATCATCTCAAATACTAATTATTTATGTTTCTAATGGCATGAAATGAAGGCATGTATATATTCTAAAGTCATCATCCTTACTTTGGAAATACAGGATGATAACAAACTCAATTTTATCCTAATTAAATGTGAAATAAAGTCCTTCAAATCAAAGTCCGCAGATCTATTTTGTCGAGATGTATTTCTTACCTGTGATGGTATATGTAACTGACAATGACGGCTAAGAGACATAAGAGGAGAATGATAGCGGTAGTATAAACCACAGGATGCAGGAGGCTGGCCGCCTGGGTGTATAGTTCAGATCCCGTCAAATCCTGAGGGCAAAAAGAAAGATCCATTCTAGCAGTACTTCTCTCCACATTTAACTACTGAGATTTTTTTGAGTGACGAAAACACATCAATAAACAAAAACTCTGGCCCTTATGTCTCTTTATTTTATTCAGACTAATGTTTCACGCTATTTTCCTAACATGTTACTTTGCTTTCCTAACTTCTATGGTGTTAACTGCTTACGGCATACCCTCATTTTACACTGGACCATCTATTTTATAAATTGAAATATTGACTCTGCTATGAGGGTAAAAGAGAAATCAGCCCCCTACATTTAGGCAATTCAGAAAGCATAACCAGAATTCATCCTTTTCAATGCCCTTTAAGCCCAGTTATCACTCTGCATAATCACTAGCTGATCAGACACAATGAGAGCAGTATCTCTGAGGCTACAAAGCCCAAAGACACCTAACTATCCGTAGCCAAGTTCAACTTCAAGTTCCTCAAATACAAACGGACCAAACACTGCATAGGGCATTGGAGACATAACGGTAAGACATGGTTCCTGTCCCTGAAGAGGTGAAAATCACAGGGGAGACACATGTACAATCAGATCATAACAATGTTTGATGAAGATAAGTCAAGCACAATTACGGCAGCAGAGAGGAAGAGCCCTGTAAGAGCTCAAAAATCAGTAAATGGCTGAGCACAGTGGCTCGCACCTGTAATCCCAGCACTTTAGGAGGCTGAGGTGGGCAGGCTTGAGCTCAGGAGTTCGAGACCACCCTGGGCAACACAGGGAGTTTGCATCTCCACAAAAGATATATTTTAAAAACTTAGCCAGGCCTGGTGGTGTGCGCCTGTAGTTCCAGCTACTCGGTAGGCTGAGGTTGGGAGGATCACTTGAGTCCAGGAGGTCAAGGCTGCAGTTAGCTAAGATAGCACCACTGCACTCCAGCCTGGGCCACATAGTGAGAACCTTTCTCAAAAGAAAAATAATTTAAAAAAATAAATAAGCAATAACAGCACGTCACTTATAGAACATTAGACATTGACTGTGAACAATCTAGGCACTGACTGTGTCCAGCACCATAACTGTATGAGGTAAGTATGTTATTAGCCCCATTTTATATGTTAAAAAACTGAGGCACAGAAAATTATGTGCCTTAAGGATTAGATTCAAAGGAGCTTGGCTGCCAAGTCCTTGCTCCCAAAAACAATGCAGACACTGCCTCTCCGAAATGAAAACAATGGGCATCTTAATGCTACTCTCTTTATAAAAGACCAAAGCAAGTTGGAAAGACACCTCTACCCTGGCCACCATGCCAGATAACCTGGGTTGTAAGAACCACATCCCTTCACTAAATTCTCTTTCTGCACTGACTCTTATAGCTAAAAAGTGACTACTGAATAAGCGAAGGAGCCCACAGTGGATATACCTCCAATTAGGAAGCTGTTATTAATAAAATATCTGAAACAAGAAAAGCTAGATTAAAAAAAAGAAAGGAAGAGAATAAGTGACAACCAGACAAGGAAATGGAAGATGACCTCAATAGAGTAGGAAGGGAAGGGGCAAATTTTCCCAAGGTAGAATCATAAGTTCACAATCTACAATTACAGATCTAAAAAGATGGTATCAGGATGCCTAACAAACTCCTCACCTTGTCAAATGATGAACAGTTAATGACAAAAACCACAGTAAGTGGGAAGCAGAGATGAGAACAGAGGAAACTGAATTCCAGCTAGACTACTCAACTATACTATGATGAGCCTCTAACTTACAATTCACCCATTTACTTGACAAATATTGAGTGCCGGCCATGGTCAGGCACAGTACCAAGTAATGGATATACAGGGATAGACAGAACACAGTTCCAACCCTTGGAGGCCCTGCAGTCTGTAAATTAAGTACACAAAAGGGAAAAGACCAGAGAAAAGCGTGTCAGGACCAATTCTGAGCAATTTGCCTTTGTGAGATGCCCGTAACACTAGCCTGTAATACATGGCCTCAAAATAGTTGCACTCTGTTAAAAGTCCAGAATATTAGTAGGGAAATTCAAAGAAATGTTGGGATAATGAAAACCAGTTAGATGCTAGTGAGAAGAGACATATTTTCCTCCAAATTCAATGAAAAGCTTCTATTCCAGTACAGAACTAATAACTGAGGATAAACTTTCAATATCTAGTTTAGCTTCTCAAGTCCTTTTGTAGCAGTGCCTGCTTTAGATTACTGCAGGAAATGTTCAATAACATGTTGCCACTTACCAGCTATAAGACTTGAGGCAGTTACCTCACTGTAAAATGGAGGCTCCTCTAATCATCTTAGGGGGGTTGGAGAAGGGGTAGAAGAAAGGTGGTAAAAGTGCATCCCATAGCCCTTGGCAGAAAGTAACAATATGGGGAGCTGGATACCATCGAATAAAACATTCGACTAAAAGCCGATTTAGTTCTCAAAATATACTCTATATGGCATTCAAGTTTAGAAGAAATCAGTTATTTTTGGCCAGGCACAGTGACTCATGCCTAGAATTTCAGAGTTTTGGGAGGCCCAAGGCAGGAGGATTGCTTGAGGCCAGGAGCTTGAAACCAGCCTGAGCAACACAGTGAGATCCCATTTCTGCAAAAAATAAAAATAAAAACATTAATGGGGCATGATGGCGCGTGCCTGTAACCCCAGCTACTTGGGAGGCTGAAGTGGGAGGATCACTTGAGCCAGGGAGTTTGAGGCTGCAGTGAGCTGAGATTGCGCCACTGCACTCCAGCCTGGGCAACAGAGCAAACCCCTATTTCTAAAAAAAAAAAAAAAAATTAAATTAAAATTAAAAGGAAACTGCTATTTTTCAAAAGTCAAACAAATGTGACACAGAATGAAAAAGAAACTAGATGTTGAAACAGAGGGCAACAATGACTGAACAAAGGCATGAGTACCTCTGTCACTGGTCGCACAGGGCACTGCTTCCACAGGGGCATTTTGTTCTCAACATGTTTTTATTGACACATAATTGTATATATTTATGGCATACATGTAGTATTTTGATCCGTACATATAACGTGTAATGACCAAATCAAATTGGGAAATATGAAATATGCAATAAATATGCAATAGATTTTTGATAACTATAGTCACTCTGCCATGCTATCAAACACCAGAATTTATTCCATCTGTACTTGGTTGTACTCATTAACCAACCTTACTTCACCCCCTCTTCCTAGACCCTTCCCTTCCCAGCCTCTGGTATTTTCCATTCTCCTTTCTACCTCCATGAGATCAACTTTTTCAGCTCCCACATATGAGTGAAAACATGCACTATTTGTCATTCTGTACCTGGCTTATTCCACTTAACAAAATAACTTCCAGGCTCATCCATGTTGCTGCAAATGACAAGATTTCATTCTTTTTTTATGACTGAATAGTACTCCTTGGTGTATATATACCATATTTTCTTTACCCATTTGTCTGTTGATGGACTGATGGACACTTAACGTTGATTGTTTATCTTGGCTATCGTGAATAGTGCTGCAGTAAATGTGAGCGCAGGTATCTCTTCAATATACTGATTTCCTTTCTTCTGAATATATACTCAGCAGTGAAATTGCTGGATCATACGGTAGCTCTATTTTTAGTTTTTCAAGAAACTTACAAACTACTTTCTATAATTATTGTACTAATTTACATTCCCACCAACAATGTATAAGAGTTCTCTTCTCCACATTCTGTTATTTTTTGTCTTTTTGATACAAACCACTTAACTGGGGTAAGGTATCTTATTGTGGTTTTGATTTGTATTTTCCTGATGACTAGTGATTGTGAGATTTTTTCATACACCTGTTGGTCATTTGTATGTCTTCTTTTCAGAGTATCTAGTCCGATCGTTTGCCCATTTCTTAAATCAAAAATTTTTTATGTTGAGTTGTTTCAGTTCCTTATTATTCTGTTATTAATCCCACAAGAGCATTTTTGACCTGCCCACACGCAAAGAGGTCTCCTGCCGAAAAATGAACCTAGGGAAAAGCATAGTATAAAGGGCCAGATAGTAAACATTGTAGACTTTGGGGGCCAAGAGGCAAATTAAAGCTGTTATGCAGGTAGTATTAACCATGTAAAACAGAACCACTAAAAAAATTAAAAGCCATTATTAGCTTTCCCACCTTAAAAAAAAAATATTAAAAGCCATTATTAGCTTTCCCACCTTTAAAAAAATCTGGCTAGATTGGGCAATACAAAAGAATATAAGGCCGGGCGCAGTGGCTAACGCCTGTAATCCCAGCACTTTGGGAGGCCGAGGCGGGTGGATCACAAGGTCAGGAGATCGAGACCATCCTAGCTAACACAGTGAAACCCCGTCTCTACTAAAAATACAAAAAATTAGCCAGGCGTGGTGGTGGGTGCCTGTAGTCCCAGCTACGCAGGAGGCTGAGGCAGAAGAATGGCGTGAACCTGGAAGGCGGAGCTTGCAGTGAGCCGAGATCAAGCCACTGCCCTCCAGCCTGGGCGACAGAGCAAGACTCCGCCTCAAAAAGAAAAAGAATATAAAAATATTTACGGCAATTGAGAATTTTAGAATACCAGGATAGTAAACAAGTTAAAGCTCTACAATGAGAGAGAGAAAGCAGAAACCTGAATCAAATTATTTTCAATTATGGTAGTAAATAAATATAGGCTTTATGATAACAAAAACATTACTAAACACACTATATAAAAATGGTGGTATGAGACACCTTTGAGTAGAAAAAGTAAAACTGTTGCTCACATTTGCAACACAGTAATAAATAAAATAGAAAATGACTCTGCCCTCCAGCAACCACATGACCACAGTCCATCACTAAATAGTAATCTTAGTTCCTCTTCTACTCAGTACAAACTTTAATAACTAAGCCAAGAAATGAAAAATAAAGTTCTCCACAGAAGTTAGCTGAACTAATACAGAGAAATTAAACATCAAATGTGTGTTAAAAAATCACAAAGATGATCATTACTAAGGATTCAAATCAATGGAAAAAGTTTTTAGAACTGTTTACTTGTCAGAGATTCATATATTTACAAGTGTTACTTCAGGCCTCAGAATTACTGAATATAAAATCAGTGGACATTTTCCATAATTATCACTGTATCAATAAGAATAATTAAAATAAGCAATTGTCTAAGTACCAGGATCTGAACAATGGAAAGGAATCCAAAGAAAATATATCAGGGCATCCTGTGTGTAAGGGAATAAAGAATTATAATAAGAGTTTACCATTAAAATTTTAAAATAGATTGAAATCAGAAATGTAAAAAAACAAAAATGTTAAAAGACGACTATGACTTACTTCTATGTTGCTTTTTCCCCACTAAGGAACAAAGAATACAAATTTAAAGATTTTATTCTCCCTACCTCACATCATCAACAAAAAATCAATTCCAGTCAAATTACAGAACTAAATATAAAAGGTAAAACATATTAAAGCTTCTGAAGAGAACAAAAAAGAAGATCTTCATAATCTTGGGGTAGAAAAATTTCTTAAACAGCATTAACTAAAACAACAACAACAACCAAGAAATTGTACTTCAGAAAATTTAAGAAACTCTGTTCATAAAAAGACAATATTGAGGAAAAAAAAAGGCATGAACTGGGAGAAGATGTATGCAACACATAAATCCAACAGGGAGCTCATATTCAGTACCCATATTAAGAAGTCCTATAAATAATTAAGAAAATGAAAGACAACAAAATTAAAAATAGGCAAGACTTGAGCAGGAACGTCAGGAAAAGGGGATATCCAAACTGCCAATAAAAAGCTAAAGAAGTGCTCAACATCAATAGTCACCAGAGAAATGCAAATTAAAACTAGAATGATACATCACAACACTACCACCAGAAGACTAAAACTGAAGATTGACAATTCCAAGCATGGTCAAAATGTAGAGCACCTGGAACTCTCATTACTGTTGAGACTGTAAACCAACATAACCACTTTGGTCAACTGCATGGCTTTAGCTACTTAAAGCTAAACACATGGAAAGCCTACAATCTAGCAATTTCACTCCTGAGTGTACATGTCCATCATAAAACATATACATGAGTACTCACAGCAGCTTTTTCTTGACACCCAAAACCTAGAAACAGAAATGGCTATCAATGATAAAATGAACAAACTTTGGCATATTGATACAATGGACTGCTACACTGCAATGGAAAAGAATAAACTGCTGCTAAATGCAAAAATGAAGATAAATTCCAACCATGTAATGACAGGAAAGAACCTGACACAAGTGTACATACTACACAACTAAAGTCTAAAAACAGGCCAAACCTATCTATAGTGAGAGACATCAAAAGGGTGGTTCCTGGAGATGGTGGCAGGAACTGACTAGAGAGAAACACAGGAGCACTGTCCAGCACTCTACTACAAATCTTGTTCTTATACATTCTTTTGTAAAAATATAACCAATATTTGTGCACTTTGCTCAATACCTCAATTTAAACCAGTTGGTCCCTTTGATTATCAATTCCACTTTGGAGAATTTGTCTCACAGATGCTCAATTAAATGTGCAAAATGACACTGTACAAACCACTAGAAACAAACACAATAGAGAAATATCTAAATAAATTATGGTAGAAACATAATATTCAGAGATAAGAAAGAATGAGGAAACTCGTATATTGAGAGGATTTCAGAAAGGAGACTTAGCAGAGGGATTATTAACACAGATCCCAAAATGAGACTGTGAATTCAAATCCCAATACCAGCACTAGCTTTGTGAGCATGGCATTTAACCTCTCTCTGCCTCAGTTTCCACATCTGTACAGTGGGGGTGATGACAGTACTATTTCTCATGAGGCTGTTATAAGAGCTGAGTAACTGAATGTATATAAAGACATCAGAGGAGTGGCTGACACATAAGTGCTTAATAAAGATTGGCCACCACTACCACCATCACCATCCTCTTCTTTAAGATACATTATCACCATCATAGTTAAGAAATGTTGCTCTACAGAAAAAAGCACGGTTTAGAACAGTGTGTGTAGTATGCAACCTTTGTGCAAAAATGCAAAAAAATAGGAACATATACTCATTTTTGTTTCCATAAACACGAGGGTCTCCTCAACAATACGCGAGAAACAAACAGTAGTTACTTATCAGTGTGATACGAGAGATAGGTAGGACTTCCAGCTTTCACTGTATGTTAATGTGTAGAAATAAATAAAACATTACATCCATGTGAGTATAGTACTTATTTTAAAATTATTTAAACAAAAACATCACTAGCATTTATGTTCAATTATAGAGTAAATGATATCAAAGTTGCTTTGAATACCATTTTAATCTATAAAATGACATATTAAGATGGTATTCAGCATGTTTTATATAAACAAATGTAAAAGAATCACTAGAAAAAGAAAATTAATGAATGCTCTCTAGTTTCATATTTTTAGGTGAACACAACAAAAGAGGAATCAATGTATATAAATTAGCTTATCTTCACCACTAGTGATTAAAGTATTAAGCACTACATAGTTTGAACCTAATCATAACCCTACTTTCTATTCAGTTTTCTTTCTTTGTTTTTTCCTACAGACACCAGCTCCTGTGAATCTTCCTGCCCCACCTGGCTATTCCAGATCATATCATTCAAGCAAACCTAATTTCTGCTTAATTTTTTTTTCTGGCTCCCAATGAGACCTTAGTAAATAACTGGTATAGCAGGATGTATACTCAGATTTATGAACAAGTATATTCTTTATGTCGCATTTTTTAAAAATTCAAAACTCTTAAAATCAGATAAAGGAAAGTTTTATGGACTATATCCCAAGATAGGAATTTAGACTTACTATATAAAAGGATATATTAAGATGGTATTCAAGAGACATAGGATTTTATCAATTTTTAAAAGCTTAATATAAGGAAAAAAGACACTGCTTTCTAATTTGCTTTCTAATTTTTTAAAAACAATTTTTTCAATCCTAAACATAACTTTACCTAAAAGTGGGTATAATTTCATTAACTTTTTCTTTATGTTTAATTAGCAACTAACTCCCATGCAGTAACTTTAATTTTGTCAACAATTTCAAATACATTTCTCTTTGCTGCCTCTAGATGGCACAATTACATTTAAGAAAAGGAAAAAGTCTTTGAAAATAAATAGAAAAAAAATCTTAGTACTACAGTATTTTAACTTTAAAGAATTGTGTATTACATTTTTTTAAGAGATTAAAAGTCTGAAAGATAAAAGAATAGCTTATTCCTTCCAGAAAAGGATTATACTAATTTAATAGTTTTGAAGAACAGCTAGGAAGTTCACAAATAGATGCTTTAAACTGGTATTAGACTAAATAAAAATAAAAGTTTCACATGGTGCAATATCACAGCGAAGGCTTATAAAATGCATTTTTGTGTATGTTTTGTGTTTCATTTATTTTGCTCAATTTTTTCTTGTTAACTTATAAATTTCTGACAATGTTGAATATTATTTCTCATCAGTACATCACAGTTTATTTTATATTCAAAACTGAATGAGAAAACACTTTCAAAATGGAAGAGAAAATGCCACATACTTTAACGCTTCATGCTTTAATTTAAAAGGTGGCAGTGGCTCATGCCTATAATCCCAGCACTTTCCGAGCTTGAGGCAGGCAGATCACTTGAGTCCAGGAGATCAAGACCAGCCTGGGAAACATGGCAAAACCCAGTCTCTACTAAAAATACAAAAATTAGCCGGGTTTGGTGGTGCCTGCCTGTAATCCCAGCTACTCAGGAGGATGAGGTAAGAGAATCACCTGAGCCTGGGAGGTAGAGGCTGCAGTGAGGCGAGATTGCACCACTGCACTCCAGCCTGGGCAACCTGAGTGAGACTCTGTCTCAAAAAAACAAAAAATAAATATAAGTTGACTACACAATAATAAAATGTGAACTTATAGAAACCAGACTCATGCTTACAGAAATCAAGACATCTTCCATTTACAAAGAGAATCAGAATCATAAACTGTCAACACTAAAGTTAATCCCAATTGAATAAAGGTCCTTTATATATACAAATATACAAATATAGCCGAGTCTATAAACATACATGTTTAAATATGTTGCTTGCACTTGTATAAAATGCTCAATTATGTCAATGAAAAGATAATCCCTTTACTCTGATAAATAATCTATTCACCTTTCTGCTTGCTTGACCTGTGTACCAGGTAAGGTATAAGTTGAATTGAAACAACAACAACAACAAAAAAAAACATACAAGAGTCAAAGAAAATTATTTATAATTCAGGTTTACTTCAAGATCATTTCTAGTGCTAAATGCTATTTTTTTAAGAAAAGAAAAATTCATGAAATGTAAAATATATCATGTTTCAAGGTATTTAGCACTTTGATAAAACATTTTCTAGAAAACAGATTTACAGCTGGAATCAGAAATAACATAGAAGTTCCTCACACCCAGAGTAACCTCAAACCATTTCTGGGAAATGTCTTTCACACTCGTCAGTAATTCCTTCCACCGTACTCTAAATATACTCCTTGATGTCAGTATTTATAATAATTACAATATAAAATAAGAACTAGCATGGTTTATTTCATAATTATCTGCTCAGACGTCAGATTCACTTAAAGACCTCATTAATAAAAACACTTGCTCCTGTACATTAATAACTGTTATTTTACCCCCCAAAAATTACAGGTTGAGTATCCCTAACCCAAGAATCCTAAATCCAAAATGCTCCAAAATCTAAAACTTTTCAAAGAAAATGCTCCTTGGAGGATTTCAGATTTTTGGATTAGGAATGATGAACTGGTAAGTGATAATGCAAATATTCCAAAATCTGAAAAAATCCAAAATCCAAAACATTTTTAGTCCCAAGCATCTCAGATAAGAGATAAGACTCAACCTGTAATTAGTGTTAACAACGGCAAATAACAGAAAACAACACTAGACTGGCATTAAAACTGAAAAGACATTCTTTGTGTCAATACTGTCACTTGCAATGACAAAAATGAAATTATCATGATTAATTCTAAATTTAAATAGAGTCTAACAATTACGACATGTAGTGGGAAACAGCGCTAGATTGCAAAGTAGGAAAATGTTCTTTCACTACTCACTGTGTATCCTTCGGCAAATGAAATCACTCTTTCTGGGCAGAGGGAATCTGCATCAACAGTCTCTCCAAGTTTTAAGGTCAAAGACTAACTGAACTGATTGACTTATAAAGTTGATTTAAAATTCCTATATACCAAACTCAATCCCATACATTTCACTTGGTAGTAACTTAATTTCCCTTTAAAATCAAAATTAGAACACATATCATCTCATATAATCAAAGGGAGCAAATTATGTTAAAAGTAAAAAAAAAAAAAAAACAAAAAACAAAAAAACACTTCATTTGAGCTTAATTATGCATAGCAA
Organism: Homo sapiens; assembly: GCF_000001405.40. Taxonomy (NCBI): domain Eukaryota; kingdom Metazoa; phylum Chordata; class Mammalia; order Primates; family Hominidae; genus Homo; species Homo sapiens. The sequence continues at coordinate 22,413,138 of NC_000004.12, forward strand.
AAATGTAGAATAGTGTTTATGCATAAAGTTAACAACTGCCATACCATTAAAACTGCATAGTTACTAAGGGAGTAGCACTGAATCGTAGTGATATTTTCATCTGAATAGAGTATATGGCACCCATCTGACTTCCAGCCTCCTTGTCCGTTCAGCAAATCGAAATCCCACCGGGCTGCAACAGCATCTGCTCCATGTGCAATTCGACGCAGTGTCACATTAACAGGGATGTGGTGGGTATCTACATTCACACCATCTGGAGAAAATGGGAAATAAAAATATTTCTGAAACAAACTTCATAACCAATTATAAATGTCAACTTCTACAGTAATGGGTACTCTGCAAGATCTTTCTTCACTAGTGACTCATTAAAACGAGAAAACACTAAAATAAGCATTTTTAGGAACAGTCAACTACAAGGCCTTATTGTCCACTGACTACAGGATAACATATGCCACATACAAACCTATTTTGGTGAGAATCACAGGGGTAACCACAGTACGTCGTTTTCCATCATCAGCCAAATTTGTTGAATTTCCAGTGGCTGGAAAAAGCTTTCCATTGCGGAATGCAATGAGTTGAAGCTTGTAAAGAGAGTCATCAGTTGGTCTGAGTTCTCTTTTTTGCTTTGGTGAGAAAAGGGAAGGAGGAAGCTGAATAGAAGCCTCCACAATAGTATTCTGAAAAAATATATATACATAAAAAAAGCTCACTACATTAGTACATAGAAACCAGAAAAAAATATGTCAGATAGTTACAAAAGTGGTATAATTAGGTTGACTTCATTTTTTAAATTGGATATACAAAATTTAACAGTTAAAAAAATCATCAGTCAAGCGAAATGTCAACACCACATAACATAGATTAAAAGAAGTATAAAACAGAAATGCAAACTTTAAAGAGTTAAATAAGTAAACAAGAAAAGTGTTTCAAATTAACAAAGTTAATTTTCCCATGATATTATATGTTGAAGTAGATAGCATTAAACAGATCAAGGATCTCAATGATCAGGCTGTATCAATTTTACAATGATAAAATATGATAAAGAAGCACAAATGTAGCATATCATAAATATGAGTATAATTAATTTGGGCTTATGGAACTTTAAGGTGATTTATGATGAATTCAAACCTCCACACAACAAAAGAATGAAATTATACAAACATAATAGAGGTTTAGATTCAGTACACTTAGCAGAAATTTCCTTGAGACTAGGAAACACATTTAGAAAAAAAAAATAATAACACATAGGAACAACTGAAAATGCTGACTGATCACTGAATTTTTTCAGATTTCTTTATTGAGGATTTTTAAATAACAAATTATTCAGCATTCAGTAAAAAATATATATATACCAAAGAAGTGAACAATTAACCATCTAAAAACATTCCATAGTTGAAGAATTTATTGTACAATCTTTTTCTTGGCTTCTAACCTCTCTTCTTCTAATTCCATATTCACCGGAATTTCCCCTTAAGAAACAAATCGAATCATGTTATTCCAGTTTAAATAACACCTTGGTTTTGCAATGTTTAATACTAAGCCCAAATCCTAAGTTCACCATATAATTTGATGAAAATCTATTGCTCAGATGTATCCCCTGAATGCTCCTATAGCACAACCTAAAACACAGCTACACTGAGTTATCAATTTAAGTTCTCCTATATTCTTTTTATGCCACCATGCTCACTGCACAGACCAGCATCTCTACCTGAAATGCTCCACTATTCTTTCATCTCACAAACTTTTGAATTGGTGTAACGGAAAGTGGATTAGAATGAAAAACGTTGGCAGCCAGGGGGAAGACTTTATACAGAGTCCTTGAAACAGGGCTTTTTTGGACAGTTAATTGCATCTCCTCAGTATATTGCATCTTCAGATTAGCTGCTTCCTCTTCTGGACTCACACAACACTCTGCACACATTAGTCATAATACACACTTGCAGTCCCCCATGATGTAGCTCACTGTCTGCTCCTCAAGCCAGAGTATGAGGATTTGGGGTGCAGTCAATCTCACTCACTTTTTGAAACCTCTATGTTAATAGTTCCTACCACTTGCATTTGATCAAAATAATCCACTGTTTGTGAAATGAACAATGTCTGTATGGCATGTTTATTTTAAAAACAATTCTACTTAAGCAAATGATTGACTTTAGAATTAATGATGTTAGATCACAGCAGATACCCATAAATATCTTTTCAATGTAAGTATTTTAGATGTTTGTATATTACTTTTAAATTGAAGATGCCAAGAAAATATTTAGTAGAAATATTTTGAGAAGACGCATAAAAAGGTTCCTGCTATTCTCACTCACAAATATAATCTAATGTGAAAAATATTATAAATTTATTCACTAATCTAGATTTCCATTAAGTACACAAATTTCTCCTAAGTACATAATGACACATGCAAAGAGAGAAAACAGATTAGTTAAAAGTTCAAAATCGTGATAAAGTATTACATAATGCACATTTATTAAAACTCAAGTACTATAAAATTCATAAAATAATATCGTTATACACACAAAATGACTTGAAAACAAAGCATGGCTCTTTGGGGAAGTATTAGTAACGATAAATCAAATTGATTTAAAACAAATCATTTACATTTTTTAAAAGAAAGTTAAAATAGGGAATAACATCTATACTTTCTAGAAGTTAGAAAAGGTCTCCTACACAAGTTTAAATCTGTAGAACCAATTAAAAAAAAAACAATGTACAAAAAACCAGGAGTATGGACATATTACTGGGTAACCAGAGCTATATACTCATGGCTGTTACATATTTAAGGCTTCTAAAATATCCTTCCAAGTCCAATACAAACATTACTAAATAATAACTGCAGGTTCCCTGAGATATAGAGAGTGGCCTAGGGTGCCGATAAGGTAAACTTCAGCCGTATCAATAATGTTTAGACTTTTATACTAACAATGGAATACTTGTGTATTTAATTTCTTTAAAAGAAATGTTGATCATTATTTACAGAAAGGTTGTAAATCTATTAGTCACCGCAAAACACTTACTTCATTTGGTGCATTTATCATGAATATACCTTCTTCCACCTGGCCCGAGGGTGGCAAGCACAAAGTTTGTAAGTTCATTTAACCATACATTTATTTTAAAATATATGGATTATATCAATGGAAACAGATAACAAACACACGAATGAGAGGTAATAAAGTAGAAAAATCTCTCTTAAGATCCTTTGGGAAAAACAAGTTTTCGGTTTCCAGTATTTACTATTGAAAAATCATATACCATGTAGAGAACATGAGATCTGAAATAAAGGATTTGGGTTCCAGCCTCACCACTTAGCAGCTGGTTAACACTGCACGACTTTGTTTAACCTCTCTGAGTCTCATCTGTCAAACACAGCTAATCATCTTTGTAACAAATGGTTGTGAGGACCAGATGGGATCAGGACCATGACAAGCACAAAAGTCTAGGGAACTGTCGGTGGTATTTTTTACTGTTGTTACTGCAGCACAGTGGAAGATGGTTATCTGGGGACTGGGGGAGAGGAAATGCCTTAACTAAATTGCCAAGAATAATCTAGAACGTCATCATGTTTTGACTTCTACCATTCAGTTTCAGTGTTCATTTTAACACTAAAAATTGATGAAATATGAACACACAAGAAATGACTGTTACCACACAGCTGCTTTTTTTTGCTAAATTCATCTATATTTCACTATTTACAATGACACTAAGCTAAAAGGAAAATGATAAGCATAATGGAGGTTAATTCCAATACTTTCACTACATCTTAACATCTTTCCTTATCAAAAAATCTGGACTTCCTCCACTATGTAGTTAATAAAATTTTCAGAAATCTTTATGGGTTAAAATCTACAGTATTCTAACATGAAAATCAGAATGAGCCAAAGAAACATCTGATTCAAAACAATAAAATACTAATTTATCTATGTTTTCTTGACCACTTACTTGACTTTAAACAGACAGATGCTATAATATCTCCTAATTATTTTCTTGTGTATAATTATTAACTGCATACCACCTTTTGAGTTTCTCACTGAAGATTAACAGCAATTACATTTGACTTTAGAATTAATTTTTTAACTGACTTTGTTTGCTAATTAAGTTTGGCTGTTAATTTTATTCGACATTTATTGAATGTTTAGTTACTCTGGGCTTGGAACTATGCAGAGCCTGGAGACATAAAATGCAATAAATAAGCTGTGGTCCCTGTCCCCCAAAATTCATAGTCTAACAAAGGAGAGATAACAACAGCAACAAAACAGTAAGAGCTAATACTTACTGAGTGCTTACTCTGTGCCAGGCACTGTGGTGAATGTCTACATATTTACCTCACTTAATCCTCTCAACAACCCTTCGAGTTAAGGACCATTTCATAATCTGCATAACAGCCGAGAAACTGACATTCAGAAAGGTTAAGGTAGTTGCCCACATTTGCACAGCTGTTAAGTTGGGGAGAGAACCTGAACCCAGACTGTCTGGCTACAGAGAGACCACAGTCTTAGTCACTGTATCATATGGCCTCTCATTGCAGCTCGCTCCACCACTGTATCACCTTATAATTATTCTGAAGAATGAACAAAGCACAACGGGATTAACAGGCAATGGTTAATTCTGTCTGAAGAAGAGAAGGAAGAATCCAAAGGCAGTTTTAAAGGGAGAGTAGCAGGAATTTCACCAAGCAGGGATGGACTGGAAAAGTGCAAAAACGAAGGCAGGAAGCAAGAAGATGCATAATGACTAGCCTGAAAAATTCATGAGACTTCAGCTGGACTGAAGCTCTAGATGTCTGGGATGTGTAAAGAAAAACTGATTTCTAAATTCTAGTCAGGTGAAGTATAAAGAATTAATTATTTCTCCTTTTTGGCTACATTACACCTGAACTCAAAACACCAGCTTATTTCCAAAGCCCTCAGTAAAAGTAAAGTAGTTTACTGAAAACAGATACTATTTTGTTATGCTAACATATCTGAGTTATGGTATCCACAGTGAAAGGAAACATTTCATTGAGAAAAAATTGGAAGAGATTTGATAGATGCTGTCAGTAAGAGACAAGTATCAGGCAGCTCTGTCACCAACTGGTGACCAACTGAAGCCAGGTATGAAGTCACTGGTGATTCCAGCACTAGGCCTGCCCTCAGGCAACCAAGAAACCCATCTTGATTCTCAGGCTCCCAAATGTGACAGGCAATGAGAGAGAGATGAACAAGGCATTATGGGAAAAACGGGAAGAAAAATAAAGGAGACAAGGGTGGGAGTGGAGAACTGAATGAGATTAGGCAAAATTTCTTGGAGTGACATTTCTGCTGGGTGTTATCACCAAGGAGCTGGGAAGGGAGGGGAGGAGTAGGGATTCGAGTAGGAGAATTAGCACAAGCCTGCTTGAGAATGACCAGGTAGTAGGGAGAGGAACCAAGGAAAGTTTGCTGTTGCTGGATAAAAGGGAGAGGTGGGAAGTACTGTGGAGAGAGAGGGAAGACGTCAAATGATAAAGCTACTGAACAGTCTCTGGAGAGACATGAGACATTTATGAAGGGGTGCACAAGGTCAATTTCCATTTGGGGAGGATCCAGGTAGAATGCCCACAACATTAACAACCTGAAATGGCACAGGCATTGACAATCAGAACAGCCTGCACAGAAGGGAAGGCTCCCAGAGGCCTCCTGTTCTGCAGGCACCAGGCCTTCAGGTGTGAAATGGTGAAAAGAGAGGTCTGGGTGGTGGTCCCAACAGAAGAAGCAGGAGGGCTGAGGAAGCACTCAGAGAACTGGGGCAGCAGCTATTTGCTAAATAGTAAGGAAGTATTTCAATATTTTACTAAGTGGCATCGTTGTAGTGATACATGTTAGCTGAAGAGCCAGCCTAGAGACACAGAGACTCAAAGTTACCGTGGTTTGTGCAATACAGGATGGGAGTCCGAAGCAGGCTGAGGAGGGAGTATAGAGGGAAGGACAGAGATTCTGAAATATGCAGGAAGCAAATCAAGGAGGCACCTACTGCTAAATAATGACTGCCTCTTTATGGGTTTAACTTCACACACCAGCATATGCTCCCATTTAAAGGCAGTGCAATCAGTTTCTGGATGTTCAGGTTTTCTAGTTAGTATATTCAAGGGATTAAAAAAAAAAAGGATGCAAAGAAAGAGCAAAAACTGCCCTAGTATAAAATGTAAAATGTAAAGTTAGTTTTTTGTTCAAGCGCTAAAGCTTAACCACATTTTATGCCATTAACATTAGAATTTTTAACTAATTTTCTGTCACGAGGGATATGTTCCTTTTTCATTCAGTTTAATCGTGTCCACCTATGAAGCATGAATAATAGTGTAATGTGTCCTTGCTCTCTGGCCACAGGATGATCTTAAAAGGATAGAATGGCATGAAATTGACAAATCTGAGTGTCCATCTAAAGCCTTCTACTTTAGCAAGTAGAAACTCTCCTTACCCAGAGGGGTAGGTTGTGAAATTGATGAAATGTAGGGTTTCGTCATTTTTAATCCCTTTCTACCAACTGTGATCATCTAAGACAGAAGTGTTCATCAATTTTAAGTATTCCTCAAAAAACACACCTTTCTCTCATGGGTTTCTCTGTGTTGCTGTTTCTAGTCTTTTATAGTATGTTTGTGGTTTTTTTGTTTTGTTTTGTTTTTTTCCCCAATATAAGACACAATAAGGAAAGTTGAGCAGGTCCAAAGGAGTGTGGCACAGTGCATCAAATACTCTCTTAGCGCCAATATTAACAGGCAAATCTTGCCAATTTTCCTCTGAGTATAGGGTATCAAGTAAATATATTATTATCAGACATTTTGACCTAGTTGAGATTTTCTTGGGCAGTTGGGATTTTCTAAATTTAGCCAATTGGCTCTCTTTAATGGTGGTCACCAAGAAAAAGTATACAAAAATACACTAATTCGTTCATTCATTCAATATTTATTGAGTGCTCACACTAAACCAGAACACCTAACACCTGTTGGATCAGTTATTATGCAGCCATTAAAATGACTGGAATATTGTTTGTGATATTATTGAGGGACAAGACAGAAATAAAGTACTGTGAGATTAAAAACCGCAGAGAATACAATTACACATGCCCACAGAAAGCTAAGTGAAAAAAATGTGGTTCCATTAGGGTGCTGGAGTTGTGCCTCCTCTATTTGCTTCAATACAGTGTAGTCAAATATATCTAAAGCACCAATTTTAAAAATCAGTAAAAATGCTTTCATTTTGCTTGCTTCAATGAAATACTTTTTTTAAAAAAAGATATATGACATATTTGTGTTTTCTGCCAAAAATTTTGATATACAGCTTGCTTGATTAAACACCTGGTCTCAGGGTTGACTTCTCCACTAGGCTTGGCAGGCGCAGTGCCAAAGGCTCATGATACTTTTAGGGGCCCATGAAAACATCTTATTGTCTTAAAATCAGGAGCAAAAAAACAAATAAATAAACTTTTAAGTCAAATAAGATTTTTTCACATGTAACAATAGTATATTTGCATTTATACCACTGCAGTTATAAAATGTAATTTCTGATATTTTTATGTGAAGAAAGGGAATCAAAGGCAAAAATGCCTAGGGCCCTTGAAAGTCGTAATGCAGTTCTTCCTGGTTAGTTTTCTTTAAAACAGTAGCAAAAGCAATAATACCTATCTTCCTGCAAAAAAAAAATCTTTTAATAAGGTTATTTTGCGAAGCAGAACATTTGGAGCATTCTAATTTAACTGTAAATAGTCTTAAATGATTGCAGAATGTAACATACCTTTAGTGCCAGACTCGAAAATGTATTTGAAACATTGCACTTAAAGCTCAGCTGCTTATCCAGGTTTCCCTCTGGATCCCGCCTCCCATAATCCGAAAGTCCTGTACGATCAGAGGCTGCCACTTTCTGGAACACGGTACAGGTCATCCCCGTGAAGCCAGTAGACTTGATGACATAAGCTTCCAGAGCAATATTGGGTGAATACTTGAAAAGTCAATCAAACAGGAGTTATGAACGATTTATAGCACAAAGGAAAAGCACTTTCAAAGACTTTTCAAACACAAAACACTATGCATTAGCCAAACCAGAAAGCCCAGGTTCTTCCTAAACAAAATCACTGTGTAGATAACTGGCAGAATAAAAAAAAAAAAAGAAAGACAGACCCTGGAATGAAAAGGATGTCCTAAAATGGAAGGGAGACCAAAAAAAAGGAAAAGAAGAAGTCATGAAGTACAGAAGATCAGGTCTAAGAAGTCAATTAAAAATAATTTAAGGAGCACTTCGAAGGAAACAACAAGCTAAAAATGGAAGCATCCTGAAAAAAAATTCAGCTAGAGAAATCAGTGGACCCTCTAAATGCTCATCTTACAGGAAGAATGAGAGCTAAATATTAGTTTGGGAAATGCACTCGACACATCTGGCCATATTTACCTATTTCTTTCACAGGAAGATCATTAACTCTTTGCATTAAGTTTCACCAATAAAAGCTTTACACACTCTCCAAAGCTGTTTCTTCAGAAAAGGAAGACAGATGTTAATTTAAATAGTAGGAAATGGACAGATTTAAAAATCAAATTAGCCTGGTCAACATGGTGAAGCTCCATCTCTACTAAAAATACAAAAAATTAGCCTGGCATGGTGGCACACACCTGTAGTCCTAGCGACTCAGGAGGCTGTGGGAAGAGAATTGCTTGAACTTAGGGAGGCAGAGGTTGCAGTGAGCCAAGATTGTGCCACAGCACTCCAGCCTGGACAACAGAGCAAGACTCAGTCTCCAAAAAAAAAAAAAAAAAAAAAAAAAGCAAATTAGGTCAGAAAAATCATCTGAAAAGCAAATTAGGTCAGAAAAATCATCTGAAAAATATGGCACCTGCCCTAGAGTTTTAAAGGAATTCAGGAACAAAAGTGAACCAAGGGGAACCACCAAAACATACAACCTGTCAATACAGACAGCCACCAGGCCCACTCGCTGGAGGACAGAGTGGGCGTGAGAAGTGACAAGGAGCCACACCTTCACATCCAGCAGAGTGACAGGATTTACCGTAAATTCTAGGGACAACATGGCATCTCCCTCCTTTAAGGATGATTAAGTATATGCCTATCCCACAGGCAAGGCACCATTCTACGTATCACATATGGATGTCTTTTTCTTTAAAGTATGAAATTTTGATGCACGATGCTTACAATCTATTAGGAAATAAGATACAAATTTAAAAATACAAAAAGTAAAGTAAAATTTGGCAAGTCTTATGCATGTGAGAGAAAATAATTAGTGGTTCCCAAACTTTTCAAGCATAAAGAATCTTTGTATTAGTTTTTGCCTCACAATGTAAACACAGTGAAAAGTCTTTTTAATTCAACTTATTTGTTAATAATGTGTATTCTAATTTTTTGCTAGTCAAAGACACATGTAAACAACCACCAGATCTTCTGACAAGCAGCAGTCATTAGGCCCAACACATGAAACCTTGGTTGAAAGAAATCTGTCATTTTGAGGCACCTGTGAAGCCATATCATTTTACTTATTATACATAGATGTATCATCTCCTGGAACTTTGTTTACACATAGAGATGGTATGCAAATTCCTACTATGACCTTTATTGTACCCTTGGGTTGTCAGAAAAACGAATGCAGTTCAGAGAAAGGGGGGAAGTTCTTTCAGCTGATTAATAAGCATGGCTAAAGGATGAGATTTAAAATGGATCTAAATGGCGGAGGTGGACATAAATATGACAAGCTAGTCTCAACTGAGGTCATGAATCTGAGAGGGAAACTCCACTGACTTACATTACAAACACAGTGACCTAGCCAGGTGCGGTGGCTCACGCCTGTAATCCCAGCACTTTTGGGAGGCTGAGGCGGGTGGATAGCTTGAGATCAGGAGTTCGAGATCAGCCTGGCCAACGTAATGTAACCCCGTCTCTACTAAAAATACAAAAATTAGCCACACATAGTGGTGCTTGCCTATAATCCCAGCTACTTAGGAGGCTGAGGCATGATACTGCTTGAACACGGGTGGCGGAGGCTGCAGTGAGCCAAGATAACACCACTGCACTCCAGCCCGGGTGACAGAGCAAAACTCCATCCCCCCAAAAATAAATAAATAAATATTGAAAAAAAAAGAAACCACAGCAACAAAAAACAAAGACAGTAGCCATGCTGAGACTCCATTTATTATTCCAAAAAGAAAATACTAAACTTAATTGAGCAAAGGGAGCAATAAAACATGGTAACATCTAAAAAAGGTCTCAGAGATCAACAGGAAAATAGCAATCTTGAATTGTGTAAAATCACAGGAGGAAGTGTAGAATATTCTACACTATGTCAGCCCAGTAAAATAATTAGGAAATGAAAATCATGGACCAGATCAAACTATGATTGCTAAGGAAATATCACATTATTTACTGTATTCACCACCTTTTTAGGACGAAAAAGTAAGCAGTATATCAAGAAATTTACAACTGTTCAATTTATCATAAATAAAATTTAATACTATGTAATTGAGTGATCATTATTTATTAATAAGTCATTATCCCAAGAGTGGGATTGACTGAAAATGCCAATAGCTTCACAAGTGTTGGAAGGCATCCCAGTTCTCTTCTGAGATTGAAACCTGGGCAAACAATCAGATATTCTCTCAAAATATCCTTCAGGGCCCAGAACAGAGTATTAGGCTCAGATGGACTATGGGTATGTGCCAGTGGGGCAATACAATAGTGTTCTTATTTTCCATTGCAGAAACACTTTCGGTGGATTAGATGGTGATAAACATTCAAATTAAAGATTAAGAAAGTATTTTCCAGTTCCCAAGAAAACATTACTCAAAAGCAAAATTAACTTATAAAATGTTAGAAGAAATTCTGTAATAACTTATAAAATGTTATAACTTATAAAATGTTAAGAAGAAATTCTGTAATAACTTATAAAATGTTATAACTTATAAAATGTTAAGAAGAAATTCTGTAATAATCAGCAGTAAGAGAAGATATCCACCCCATAATGGAGAAGACACCTATCTCTTTCGGGTGAGAGCTGTGTGAAATGCACTTTTTTTCTCAGGAGTCTATGATAATGTTACACTTACTGTTGAATAAACGTGAGCTCCACCGGCTAGCCGGTAGGTAGCAATGCGCTGAAGACACTGCACAATCCTACTGCAGGCTTTAGCTTCCCTCTGCGCCAGCCACAGGACACGTTCATCAGCCAACATGATGTTACTTGCAATGTCAACCATCACGTCACCTAGCTAGCAGGGGTTCAGGAGAAAAAAGAAAGATCTTTAAAACCACCATAAACTATTTCGTAGAATCAAAATCCTAATGGACAGTGAGATTGGCCTTCAGTCTCAAATTCCACATGAGAACCCAACAGGCACTTTACTTGTTTCTCATGAAAACATCTTCAGATATGAACAGTTATTTCAAGTATAGCCATTTGGTGGTATTTAGCTCAAAAGAGCATATGTAAGTGGCCACCACATCACTGGTGAAAAGACTGCCAGGTGTTATCTCAAATGGAGGAAAAGAAAGGCAATTAGATTAATTAAAGAGAAGGAAAGGATGTCACACAATACCAGAATAAAAAGATCTTGACTGTTCATCTAGAAAACCATTTATAAACACTTCCTTTTTGTGCATGCATTAGCTTAAATCAAACTATTATTATTAAGAAATACACACCGCCAGCAGGGCGTGGTGGCTCACACCTGTAATCCCAGCACTTTGGGAGGCCGAGGTGGGTGGATCATTTGAGGTCAAGAGTTCGAGACCATCCTAACCAACATGGTGAAACCCCATATCTACTAAAAATACAAAACAAATTAGCTGGGCATGGTGGCCCATGCCTATAGTCCCAGCTACTTGGGAGGCTGAGGCAGGAGAATCACTTGAAGCTGGGAGGCAGACACTGCAGTGAGCCGAGATCGTGCCACTGCACTCTAGCCTGGACAACAGAGTGAGACACTCTTAAAAAAAAAAAAAAAAAGGCAGGCAGGCAGGCATACTACCCACCTCTTTAGTCTCTGCTCATATTCAACAATGCAGGGATGCCTAGCTACTGCTACGTCCTTGTATGTGTTGTATGATCTCACCCCCATCCCCTTGCACACGTGGTTTCCTATACCTAGAATGAACTGCATCTTCCCTTCCTCCCAACTCAATGAATGCTTTTAAGATCTAATACAATAAAATAAATGCACTCTTCCACTGTTTGTTTTACTTGTTTCATTTACTGGATTCTTTTTATTCGCTCACTTCGTAACTTACAGATGTAAACATCTGTCAGGAAATGCCACTGAAAAGTCAACCAACTATTGTTTACTATAACTCATACGTCTCACCTGAGAGAAATAAATTGAACCGTCTAGGGCTAATGAGACGTACTGGTGTCAAGAGGATTTTGTATTGAGCAAAACGTTTATAAGAGGGAGACATGCAGCAGAAGGAGCAACAAAAACATTCCAGAGGTAGGATCAGACAATTTGCAAGCTGGCTGGACCTCTAATCAAGTAGTAAGCATTAAAAGGCGTTAAGTCCCAGTGCAAAGCCAGAAAGCCGGGTCTGTCTTAAGAGATGTCTTTTGATCATCCCAGAAGATCTCCGCTGAGATTTCAATCCCGTTTTGTATCCAATACACTTCACACAACGTATAATTATGGGGGCTGAAGAGGGTTTGGAAGAAGTTCAGTCCATCCCACCCTGGTTCACTTTACAAAAAAGTCAGGCCTTTGGAAATCCACCAGATCCCAACCCTGGAACCACGGGGTGAAGCAACCACAGTAAATACATAGATGAGAACAGGACTTCAAATGCTGACCGTGAGTACCTAGCCTGAACACTTCACCTCTTGGTATCTCCACTTCCCTTCTTCGTAACTACAGATAATAATAGTCCTGTCTTTCTGAATGTTGTGGAGATTAAGTTCCAATAATAAATACAAGGTTCCTAAAACCGTGCCTGGCACATGGCAAGCACTCAAAAAATGTTGGCGCTTTTACTGTTTTAATCCCGAAATTGGCCTCTCTTTTAAGATGATAGACTCTAGAGGTAGTAGAAGGGTTGTATTTGTATGTCTGTGTTCACGTAAAAATAGGACCAATGCATCCAACTAAACTGCCACTTGACCCTCTGTAAAGTCCCACTCTCCCCAGCTTGATCCTATTAAAATAAGTTTTCTGACTTTTTACTGCCCTTACCATAATGTATCACAACTTTTTCCTTATTTTACCTCCAATGTAAACATCTTGAGGGTAGAGACAACAAAATGTCTTACGTTTATATCCTTATTCACTAGTACAAGAGCTGATGCAGAAGCCAACAGTTATCAATGTCCATGTATCCGATATGTATCAATATTCATTTTAAATGTTCATGATTACTGTTCACTGACTATTTATTGAGGGCCAATGTGAGCCAGACACTGGTGCAACAGCAGCAAAAGAAAGAAACAAGCTCTATCTTCAACCTTATAGTCTGGTGAAGAAAATGCAAAACAAGCATATAAATCCATTTTTAAAAAGTGATTTAGATTGTGATAACTGCTACAAGGGAAATATGCAGAGAAATATAGGATACAGAATAATGAAATTTAATCCAAACACCCTATTTTAATGAACTAACACATTCTCAAGGGGTACTTCCCCCCAAACCGAAGATATTAACAAGATCAAATGACAAATAATTAAGAAGAGCCTGTAATCAAGCTCTGCAGAATCCTCAGTTGGTTCATTTTTTTATGATTCATTGGAACATTAGCATCCTAGTTCATGTTCCTACTAACAGACAGATATGGGGGTGAATGTCATTCTACTAGAAGCCCTTACTTCTGGAGTTATAAAGAAGGGTATTGACTCTTGCTATGTCAGTTACTGAATCTGTCAATCAGCCGTTTATACAGATGCTAAACTAGTAAGTCCAAAGTCTTAATGGGAATTCACAGTAGTTGGAATAACTTAGTTAAGATTTTGTCTATTATTCTGACTTACTGTTATTTGAAGATTTTATGCAAAAATAAAAGAGGTAAAAGAGATAACATGGTGAAATATGCTTTATGGCTAACAAAAATATTAATAAAATTCCCACTGGATGCAAAACTTTAAAATACACAAAAATATTGATTTTATTGTAAGGCACCACTGAAATATAGGCAGTGCTTACAGATTAGCAAAGTTACAACTAAACTTATTGTTTAATACTTCTCTGAAGTTTTAAATGTAGGAATTTTATAGGGACCTGACATGAGATCTGATGGGCACGTCATCTTTCTTGAAAAATTCATCATTATTACATGATCAAAGAACTACTGCTATGCCCTGCTAGATAATGCCAGTAAAGAAATTAACTTGTGTTAATAATTATAAAAAAAAAAACAACAAATATCTCTAAGAAGGTACAGGACGAACAACAGTAATTGCTTTAGTTGAGAACAAGCTATTTTTCTCATTATTTCACTCCAAATGGCTAAGAATGGAGGAAAGGGATTTGTTGCCAAAATATTCCCTAGAGCAGATAATCAGAAAATGTTATATGCTTCTGTAGCTTGGTTACAGAAGTAGCTCTGAATATGTCACAGTGGCAAAAAGTGACACAAAAGGGGTAACAATGCATGAAAAATTACACTGGATTAAAAAAAGTATTCCTGAAATTTGACACACAAAGCTCATTTAAAAACTGCAACCAGTGTAAGGAGCATGCATCAGATTTCTCCTTGGCCTCATTCCCCGAAGGCCACTCCAGCCACAAAAGGGTCAGAAGGACTCCTCCACCTGTTCTTGCACCTGTCACACTAAAGTGGGAGGAACAACCGAAAGCATGAGCAAATGGACTTTATCGAAGATAAAATGGGGAAGAAACAAATGCACCACATTAATGGCAATGAAAGTGCTCAATGTCAAATGTTGTAAGAGACAGGATATTTCAAGTTCTTAATATACAAATGGCTTGGAAGTTTTATCAAAATTAGGTCAAAAACATCTGCTAATTTAATACATTTCTGATGTTATCATATTAATATACAAGATAATACGTAAACTAAACTTGATGATATTTAATGTATAGTCTTTAACACTGAAGACATAATATCTATGTGACTTGGAGTTAAATACTCCTAGGTTGAGATCTCAAGTCTGTCACAAGTTTAGATGTCCCTGAGCAAATCAGCCTCTGTGAGACTCAGTTTACTCATTTGTAAAATGGGACCAAGAACTCTACAAGTGCTCAGAACATCTCAGTCCATGGTAAAATAAGAAAAAAAAAAAGCAGAAGACAAATATCTTCACATACCCAGTAAAAATATAAATTAAGCAATTCATGGAGTTTTTGAGAAAGGCCAAGTGATCTAGGCCGTTCCATATTTACATTTTCAATCATCGAGTAGCAAAAGAATACTTTTGTTCATTCTAACAACCAGAAAAGCAAGAATTAACAGACACATGCATAGGTGGAGCAATGGTTTTGGAGATGACAAATAGAGGAACCTACATTATCATCATTGCAGCAGCTGATCCTATTAAGCTCAAGTAGTCTTCACGATGTTCTCCTAGTTCCAAATTTAGTACACTACTGAGATCATACCTATTTCAAGGTATGTTATTACACTGATTAATGATGGAACTGCTGCATTCTGAAAGTCAAGTTTTAAAAGTGTATTTGTCACTCTTAACTCACATCTGGCTTTACGTGCCACAGGATACCTCTGCAGACTTCTCAGCAGGTTGCTTAGGTAAGCATTTGCTATTCAACAAGAGTCTGACTGCAATCATCATCAGGGTTATGGCAAAGGTTAAAGCTCTGATTTTACTGAGGTATAGGAGTAAAGAGAATGATGAGGATGAGGGTAACAGTGGAGGAACTGAAGAAATGGGTGGAAGGGGAAAAGAGGTCAAGAAGATTATTGCACATAAGGCATGGCAGGAGTTCTCAGATCATGTAATAATCATAATTCTTCAGGAGAGATGATGTGTCTACCATCAGGTCTCATGCTTGATCCTCATAAAGTCCACACATTCAAAACTTTAAAAAAAACTGAACAATAAATTTAGTTGTAATTGTGCTAATCTGTAAATATTAAATATATTAAAAGATAAAACATGCCAAAATACTGATTCTACCCTAAGGTGTTACTGAAATAAATGAGATTACAAACACGTACGTGCACTTCCTTTTCTAGAAGTACAGAGGACTGAGTACTCTGGAGAACTCTCCAGCAGAAAGTGAAAAAATGCTGAAAGGAAAACAGTTATCTTTGTTAATGCATCACTGAGAAGTAGGAAAATAGATCCTCCTCCAAAACCCAGTCACCAAAGAACAGCAGAAATCCAAAGAGCTCTGAGGTTGAACTCTGATGACCACGAGGTATGTTTTGACTTCCACACAGGGCCTAGGCCATGCCAACACAGGGTACCAGGAAAAGACCCCCTGTTACAAAGCTAGAAACTCAAAGGACACCACCTCCAGCATCAGGCCTAGCCAGCAATCACTCAGCTTCATGGAAGGAGAGCCAGGAAACGTGCCTGTTTTGACCTGGGCAAGAGGTAGAAGGAGGTTAAAAAAAAAAAATTATTCTCTGACAATTTGGAAACACAAGTTGACCTTCAAACAGGTCCTTTATACTACTTTCGTGTTCTTAAAAACCTCAAGCTAAAAATTAATTTTAAAATGAGTCCCCCTACACTGGCACTCGGCAGAAGCAAGCAAATATCACAGTTAAGGATACATTAGACCTTTCTCATTAATGCTCCCAACCAACCAACACTTATTGATATGGTTTGGCTGTGTCCCCACCAAAATCTCATCTTGAATTGTAACTCCCACAATTCCCAAGTGTTGTGAGAGGGACCCAGTGGGAGATAATTGAATCATGGGGGCAGGTCTTTGTCATGCTGTTTTTGTGATAGTAAGTCTCACGATATCTGATGGTATTATAAAGAGAAGCTTCCCTGCACAAGTGCTCTCTCTTTGCCTGCCACCATCCATGTAAGGCATGACTTGCTCCTCCATGACCTCTGCCATGATTGTGAGGCCTCTCCAGCCATGTGGAACTTTAAGTCCATTAAACCACTTTTTCTTCCCAGTCTCAGGTATGTCTTTATTAGTAGCATGAAAATGGACTAATACAGTAAATTGGTACCAATAGAGTGAGGCGATGCTGAAAAGATACCCAAAAATGTGGAAGCAACTTTGGAACTGGGTAACAAATAGGCGTTGGAACAGTCTGAGGGCTCAGAAGAAGACAGGAAAATGTGGGAAACTTTGGAACTTCCTAGAGGCTTGTAGGTCCAGGCTGAGGTGGTCTGGGATGGAGATGAGGAACTTGGGAACTAGAGCAAAGGTGACTCTTGTTTCATCTTAGCAAAGAGACTGGCAGCATTCTGCCCCTGCTCTAGAGATTTGTGGAAATTTGAACTTGAGAGAGATGATTTAGGGTATCTGACAGAAGAAATTTCTAAGCAGCAAAGCATTCAAGAGGTGACTTGAGTGCCGTAAAGGGCATTCCATTTTATAAGAAAAGCAGAGCACAGAAGTTTGGAAAATTTGCACCTTGACAATGTGATAGAAAAAAAAAAATCCCATTTTCTGTGGAGAAATTCCAGCGGGCTGCAGAAATTTGCATAAGTAACAAGGAGCTGAATGTTAATCCCAAAGACAATGGTGAAATGTCTCCAGGGCATGTCAGAGGTCTTCACCGCAGCCCCTCCCATCACAGGCCTGTGATGGTTTCATAGGCTGGGCCCAGGGTCCATGTGCTGTGTGCAGTCTAGGGACTTGGTGTCTAGCAGCTGTATCCCAGCTGCTCCAGCCATGACTAAAAGGGGCCAAGGTACAGCTTGGGCTGCTGCTTCACAGGGGGCAACCCCCAAGCCTTGGCAGCTTCCACGTGGTGTTGAGATTGTGGGTGCACAGAAGTCAAGAACTGAGGTTTGGAAACCTCTGCCTAGATTTCAGAGGATGTATGGAAATTCCTGAATCGTCAGGCAGAAGTTTGCTGCAGGGGTAGGGCTCTCATGGAGAACCTCAGCTAGGGGAGTGCAGAAGGGAAATGTGGGGTCAGAGCGCCCACACAGAGTCCCTACTGGGGCACCAACTAGTGGAGCTGTGAGAAAAAGGCCACCGTCCTCCAGACCCCAGAATGATAGATCCACCAACAGCTTGCACTGTGTGCCTGGAAAAGCCTTGTACTAATTCTTATATATATATTATATATAACAATATTGTACAAGGGTACAATAAAGCCACAGACACTCAATGCCAGCCTGTGAAAGCACCTGGGAGGGAGCTGTACCCTGCAAAGCCACAAGGGCAGAGCTGCCCAAGACCATGGGAACCCACCTCTTGCATCAGTGTGACCTGGATGTGAGACATGGAGTCAAAGGAGATCATTTTGGAGCTTTAAGATTTGACTGCTCCGCTGTTGTGTGAATAAGTCTCACAAAATCTGATGGTTTTATAAGGGGTTTTATAAGAGGTTTCCCTTTTCACTTGGCTCTCATTCTCTCTTTGCCTGCTGCCATGTAAGACATGACTTTGCTCCTCCTTTGCCTTCTGCCATGATTGTGAGGCCTCCCCAGATGTGCTGAACTGTGAGTCAATTAAACCTCTTTCCTTTATAAATTACCCACTCTCGGGTATGTCATTTTTAGCAGAGTGAAAACTAACACAATGGGTAAATAATTGTCTTGTTTTTATTAATCTTTCTTAAATATGTGTATGGCTCATACTTATTTCAATGTTTAATATTAGAAATGTTTGGGGTCTTTATTTGGAAGTTTGGTGACATTTTTGTGACCAGAAATGATCTCTAGGGATTTTATAAGTTTTACTTACATCAATTAGCATATGGTCAATTTGGTTTCATTACATATCATTTCAGTTAAAGTTGCAGTTTCCAAGAACCTATAGATGACCTTAAGTGAGGGCTTGCTGTATTGAAAACTGTTGAAGCCAAGCAGAGGTACAGCATAGGTATTAATGATAATATTCTCCTATCCTTTTGAATTTTCCAAGAAAAAGTTCTTAAAAAGTTAAAACCCCCCACCTAAAAAAAAATTAAAGCAACAATAGAAAATGGAGCTGTTACAGGGGTTCTCAAAGCCAGTATCAAAGTCATGCTGCCTGAAACATCACCTGAAACTGACTAGAAATTCAAATTCTCTGAACCCATTTCAGACCTGCTGAAATGGCAACTGGGAATGGCAGGGAGGGGGAACTCAGGCAGCAATCACTGCGTATAACAAATCCAGCAAGTGATTCTGATGTGTGGTGAAGTTCTACGAACAAAGTCCTAGAAAAGCTTAATAATACAGAAAAGTCTGGCAAGTAAGATCAAGAAAAAAAAGAATACAAAATAATCATAATTGTCAATACAGAAGCGATGACACTTTAAAATCAATGAAAAAGCCATATATTTGTAAAAATCTATATATAAACTAGTGTAAGGCGCATATCGCACTCACATATTTTAAAATAAGAGACAATAAGGGTGCCAGAAAGCATCATCAGATCTAATCTTTATATTTAACTTTCCCATCTTATAAAATATGCATATTGTTTTCATAAGAAAAATCACTTTAGTAAATACATAACAGACACTTCTGTTGCCTGACAAGACAACCTTTAACTGTTTTTAAAAGGATCCACTAAATATATCACTTAGATCTGGCAGTTTGAGAGCTTTTAATGCCTATCCTGAGACAACAAAGTGCCAGCTTGTGTTGGCCAGGCTCAATCACAGATTAAAAAGCAATTCCCCCACAATACTTTTGTTATGAAATCACTCATAAAAGAATAACTTTCAGACATAATACAAAAATCAATTTAATTAATTATTTCTCTATCTAAGCTAGGTGCATTTTAGGATAACTTGGCATAATTTTATGCTGTGGTAATTAACTTAAAATGAAGCCCTCAAGCCTCCTAGTTTTTTTCACTACACTAATAAATGGTGAAAGCTATGGCCTGTGGTTCAAATTGCCAAAGAACTGTATGTCAGTCACTGCATCACACGCAATATTATCACATTTATATCTCAATTATTCAATCCTGAATATTTTCCTGTTTCTCGTGCTGACAGTTAGTAAGTTGCCATCACTTGCTTCCGAAGATAACATAACTTTTCCGTCCTATGTTAACCAGTAAAAGTGACAGCAATCTTCTTCACACTAAATTTTTACAGAACTAACTGATGCACTCATGATTATTTAAAAGGACTTCCTTCTTAGCTTCTGAGGTCATAAAAATGTTATATTTCATAACCTAATAAAATGATATCCAAGCTTTGCAACTATTTTGCAAAACTGTTCGCCTGTATTTGTGCACATACACTTTTCAAATTATACAGAGAAAATAGCATCCCCATTTGAAAAATGAAGAATAAGCCCATGGTTAATTAATAACTAATGAAACCATGTCTACTTCCAGTTCAGTACAATGCTTCCACCTAAGAACCCGTCAACGCAGCCGACCACTCTTCCACAGGCTGGCAAACAGTTCAACATACACCTCTGGACACCACGTTGCTCAAGTTGGGAGGTGAGCAAAACAGGTTCACATCATAAACATGTATTCTTCGATGGCGAATGTTCTTCCATGTCCACATTCCAAATGTCATTACAATTATTCTAGTAACTAGAAACATCCCACTCCCGGAAATGACTGCTAATCCTGTGGGCACCAACCCTGTCATCTTAAGCAACAATGGAGCACAATATAATCACAGAGCCAGAACCCAAACGGCCTCTCCCAGTGCAAGGAAAATTCACTGCAGGAAAGTGGGCTGTGCCCTGGAGACACAATCAAGTATCAGGAGCAGTTATTAGAAAAAATCATGGCCCCTGAAGTTCAGAAAACAAATGAAATGTTATCCCGCTGACAAGTGAGGTGGCCTATTTGCCTAAGTCCCGTTTATATACATGTATCTATTTTCCTTCCTTTAATAACTACATCCTATCAAGTAAAGTGCCTAATGCACTAGGGCCACAGTTTCAAAAACTTATTACCACATTGCAAGTACTAATTCTTATATATATATTATATATAACAATATATCTATATTAGATACATAAATATGTAATATACATTAGATATATCTAAATATATATTATATAATATATTAGAATATATATGTGATATATAAGTGTGTGTATATATAATTGATATATAAAAATATATTAGAATGATTCAGGAAAATAAGGCTTATTATTTACATTTTAGCAATATTAATGGATCTGAGAAGTTCTACATAAAGAAATACGCAGGTTTTGTTTAGCCCAGTGTTTTCCTCACAGTTGTGTACAGAGCACTTTTAGAGTTCCAAGTCAGGGCCACATTGTATGGGAAGGTGAATGTGATGCTACAGAAAACTCTTATGGATGAGTCAGGGATCTTGGGTTCTCTTTCCAGGCGTGCCCTAACCTAAGCGTGGGCTTCAGTTTACAACTTGCTTGAGGTTCCCTCTACCTCTATAATTAATTTCTTTATAAGTGATTATATCACAAAAGAAATTGTACATATAAAGTTCTCACGAAGCTTTAAACGTAAAGTTTAAGAACACAATAATTCTGCCCCTTGAAAATTATTCAAAACATTAATTTGCTGCTCATTCATTCTGTAAACTGTGCTTGTCAATTTTTTTCCCCTAAAAGATATCATGTGGACAAGCATATCATGGTTTCAATGTGGTCCCGTTAAGTTAAAATACGCCACTTTTAGAATTCACTGCATTTTTTAAAACTTGTATAGTCCAATCATTTTGAATTTCAAAAAAGTGCCTAAACAGCCTCTCATTTCTCTAGGACATTACAAGGACAATTAAAAGGAATTTACTACAAGATCTGGGTGACTAAAACTCCCGTTACAAAAGATGAGCACGAGGATATGTGGAGAAGAGAAATCCAGCAGGCTGAGCTAAGCAGCTCTGCCTAAGCCACAACGTGGAGGCAGAACACTGCTTTTACTGCTTTCTCACCAGCGACCTCTGCTGTATCTCTGGACCTTAACGTCCAAGAACTGAGAGTTCACCTCTCCCGGTCCCAGCAGCAAACAGGTCATAAGAGAAGAGGCAGAAGTATCTCAATAAAATTCTGGAAATTTAAAAGCATGCTTTTAGCTCAAATATGATAAACATAAACAGGCCTTAAAATACATAGATTGAACTCTGTCACACTACCATTTGTTGACACTGTATGCTACAAATCTGAATTTAGAGAAGTACCTCTTTTGATTTTTCCTCCTTGGTAAATCTTCCAAATTTTTCAATCATTTCTGCCACAAATATAACATCCATTTTGTCAGAAAAGTTGGCTGCTTCCACAGTGTAAGCCAGTAACTGTCGAGCTGTTGCCACGGCATTGGTAAGATTGAGGGGCATCTACATTTCAAAGGCAAAAATGATCAACAAAACAGTCATTAGCAAAATGATCAACACAATCCTGACATTTTAACTTTGCATTTCAAAACAGCAACGAATTAAAAACTTTATTATTTACTCATCATGGCCTTCTTAAAATGCTTTACAAACCCAAGAAAACTGGAATTTTAATGGAAACTCACTGGAGGGAAATTTTTTCAAGCTTGGAGTGAAATACAATAATACATAAAAATACATGAGGTTAACATGTTGCACCATCTATCTCTTCTCTGCCTATCCAAATTCTACACATACCTCAACTCCAATTGCTTAATAAAGCCTTTCCTGAGTATTCCTGCTGGGAATGATCAATACCTCCCTTGGAGCTCCTACTGCACAAGAGTACGAACTACTTATTTGGCACTTATCTTTATTGCCATGCACTGCCAGTAATGTTTTACATGTGTTTATCTACTGACTCTAACACGGACTTAGCACCTAACATTGCAAAAGGATTTTTACCAGGTGCTAAGGGGCAAAAGAAAATACATTACACAAAAGCCATCTTCCACTTGCTTATAGTCTGGTAAGTTTTAAAAAGATGCATAGAAGCAAAGATAACAAAAAGCACATGAGTAGTTCAAGTATTCTAAGCAATCGCTTTCAACAAAGTGATTATAAAATGAATCCAAGAGGTGGCTTTCAATGTGAACTCGAAGGATGGTTAGGATTCTGTCTGGTGGATACAGATTAAAAAAAAGATATTCAAACAAAGGCACAAAGGGAGATGGTGACTGCAAAGGAAGGATTCTATAGAGGGCCTTGACTAGTGATTAAGATGGACCTGATCCTGAAGACAGTTAAGTCAACTAAAGTAAAAACACAAAATCCTTATGTTTTGCCTAGTATTAAAAAAAAAAAAAAAACTTATGTATTTGGTTTGAATACCATGTTTTCTCCACAACCCAAGTAAACATGAAGACTTTCTAGTTACCTGATTAAACATATAAAGAACTCTAGTGACATCATTTGCATACTGACAGCGAGAATAATCATCATCTGCCCAAAAGCCACCTCTATCACATCTGCGCCAAGCTTTTCTCTCATCCTGTGGGTTTCCGGGATATATCCCACTGCCATGGGTGTTCCGCGTACACTGCAGATATGCAGTAATGCCTGCCAATGTTCTGGGCCATCTAGAGATGAAGACAAAATAGTACAAGAAAATCTAAATGACACGGGTACATCAAGAATAACAACAGCAGAGAAAAAAATCAAAGATGAAGATGTGTCATGTCAATACAACCCTGACACGGGTCATCAAAACTGGGCTGGGAGAAACCTTTGTTATTTGAACTCTATGTCTCCAAAACTGAGAATGAAATTCAACATGTTTAATACAAGTTACCATGGATGCTCATCACAGGAACCACTAAATGACAGTATCAGTCACACCAAAACAGAATTCATTACAAAAACCACATAAATAGATCAAGCAACACTAAACTAAATCTTATTAATGCAGTGGGAATTTAATTGCATAATATCTTAAGGAGTGTCAAAGACAAATAATTCATTGATCTATAAACATTTAATTGCTCTATTTTTAAAAATGTAAAGCACTCAAAACTATGAGAATATAGAAAATCTACCATAAATAGTAAATATCATATTAGGATTATTTGATAAAAGATGTTGAATGTAACAAAATTACCAAATATCATATATTTCACTTAAAAGCATGTACTATAAATATTATAGATCAATACCTAATCTACATAAAAGACTTATCCATTGGCAATAATAAATGTTGATTTCCATATATTGATGTCAAGAATAACTTTTTTAAAAAGAGCAATGGCAAACTAGCTGAGATAAAGATGTTATTATTGCTTCTTTACTTTGGATTTAAAAGATTAACACCAAAGGGTTTTCCCACCCTTGAAACACTGAGGTTAGAGACAGGAGGTAACAACTGAACCCATTAGAGACAATGCAAACTGGGTAATAAACAATCTTTATGCTGCTTCAAAGAATAACATATTTCCCTTTGTTCATATCAACTATAAACTCATTTTTTAAATCCCTGAACATAAATAAGATCAAGTAAATAAGATATTTAAAGATGTCTTAAAGCACCTTTGAAAGTAAAGAGAGTTTAAGGTAAAAGCTGTCATCTCTTGCAAATCCTAAACTTTCTACTAAAATAAAAAAATAAATAAATAACTCCCTTTGCTTAGATTAACAAACCCCACCTGGGATTCCATGGCTCCCCAAGTTTCAGGCTACCCAACAGCTTTCATTTCCCAAAGTCCTTCTTGCTTGATTTCCAGAAGAACTGAACAAGGGGAGAAAATTAGATAGGTGTTTCTTCTAATTCTGATGCCTACTGAACTGCCAGTAGTGAAAAGTACCTTAGCAATATAAAACCTTCCAAGGTTCATCTATAAAAGAGCCACTGGGGGGAAAAAAAACAGAAAATACCTTACTTAACCTGTTTGAATTTTGTACTCTTTTACCAGAATATCTCCAATGTTTCCCTAAGGCAATGGCTCTTACACAACAAAACCATTTGTTAAAAATGACTCTACTTTCAGAGATTCTTCAATCAACAGGTCTGAGATAAAGTTCAAGCACCCCTTTTGTTCATCTCCATATGTGATTCTGAAATCATTATTCTAAAGGGTAGTCCTCAGACATGTGCAGTTCTCAAATTTTGTTACTCAGGACAGGAAACCAATAATGTGTCTTAGACAACAGAAGGATCTGGGACAAATTAAACTTTTCCCCGTATTTTCCACAACACTGACCTGAAGTCACCTTTGTTGTTTACCACCCTCTCTGGAGGACAGTACTGTGCAGAACTCTCTAATACCACAATATCCACAGTCCTCGTATTATTCCCACGTTTGGTCTGGACATGACAGCCCCAATTTCCAGTAGATCCAGCCTGAATATTAGAAATGGTTAGGGCACTGCATAAAGAAAGATTTTAAAAAGAGAGAAAATATAATTAGGCAAAAAAGGAGACAATAATGGGTCTCAATCATTAATTTAGCAAATATTTTTGAATGCATATTGTGGGGTAAGCACTTGCTATATAAAAATGAATTTAAAAAATGATTCCTTCCTTTAAATCCTTCAATCTCAAGGCAAAAAAGGAAAGAGATCTTTAAAATACACAATCAGGGCAATAAGAGACATATGAATCAAATGCAATGCTATACGACGCATGAGAATTCTCCTTGCAGAAATAGGGAGAGCAGAACACTTTACAGAACAGGAATGGCAAGTAATCCCAGCACTCTGGGAGACAGAGGCGGGTGGCAGGAGTTCAAGACCAGCCCAGCCTTCAAGATCAGCCTGGCGAAACCCTGTCTACACTAAAAATATTTTTAAAAGTTAGCCGGGTGTTGTGGCAGACACTTGTAATCCCAGCTGCTTGGGAGGCTGAGTGAGGCTGGAGGATGGCTTGAACCCAGGAGGCGGAGGTTGCAGTGAGCCAAGAGAGCACCACTGCACTCCAGCCTGGGTGACAGAGCAAGTCTCTGTTTCATACACACAAAAAAAGAACAGGAATGGCAAGCCCAAAGGCAGAAACATCGTCGTACATTCTTTAGCAAAACTTAGAGAAGTTTCCAAGTCACATCTCCCTTCTCACAGATTCTGAAGAAAATATTCAAACATGAAAAAAGAAGATTATTACGAATTTACATAATTAAGAAAATGTTTAAGGTAAAATATAAAGGGTTACACTAGAAACAAACCAGTTACCTCCCTAAAAAGATTTAGTAAATTACCAATTAATACTTTCACAAAAGGTTTCTGTGTTAAGGTATATTTCAATTCATAAAACAGCTGTGTTTCTAAATGGCTGTCAGTAAATCCAATTTCCAAGATGAAATCATAATTCTCTAATATAAAACCTATTAATTAAGGAGCAAATGTCAGAGCCTTCAATTAACCTTTATTTCCCCCACAGGACCCAGTATGCGTTGCTGTTATGTAGACACAAATGATAAGAAATAATTAGACAGAAAGTATGTATCATTTTAATTAACTTACAAAATTATGTCTTAAAGTAAATACACATTTGTCCGATCTCCTAAATCATTGACGGCTACAGCAAATGTTCTAATAAAGGCTCAAGACACTTTTATATTATGAATCATCAAAGAAAATGTTGTCTTTACTAAGTTAGAAAAATAAACATACTGTAATTAATATTTTTAAAATAGAGTGACACAAAAAAGAGTTTGACATTAAATTTAACTTTGTCCAACATTCTACTTTATAAGGCTTTACTGAACTAGGAAGAAGTATATTTCGTCAATGAAAATCATTCCTTAATCCAGAAGTTCCCAAACACTGTCTTACTTCACTGACATAGTAACTTTGTCATGGTGCCCCACCCCAGCTCAAAAAAATACCGATGGTGGTTTCTATTACTAAATTAAATCCCCCAAATGTCTATCTATATTCAAATACTTTAGTAGCCATTTGAAAAAAGTAACACACATAAATTTGAAATAAAATTTTTATTGTATTCTTAAATAACAACTACTTCTTAATGAGATATGTGTGCCTGCTAGACACTCTAAAATTAATCTAACCTCAGATTCGGATCAGACAATGATGCTCATTTCTTGTTCTACAATGACTTTTACACGTAGCACTTGCTTTGTACCACAGTAACTGTCCAAAGTCCAGCATCCCAAACACTATAATGGAGTGTTTCTAGTTTTCTTACTACTTTTTTCCCCTTCAATCTCCAAATCTGCAAATGTTTCCTGGATAACTTTTAGCAATACTTTTAATATCTAAAACCAATCACTGGAATAACATTTCCAGGAATCCTCAAGGCAGCAGATTTGGAGATTTAAAAAGAAAGAAGTAGCTTCAATTTCAACTCCTAAGAAAAATGCTGTTTCTTACTGATGAAGAATCAAAGACATGGGGAGATCAATGAAAAATCAATAGGAATCTCAGATTAACCAATGCAATAACCACATATTTCTTTCTTTTATTATTCTGGGGCAAAATCTAGGTAAAGAACTGTCTCAGGCTTCACATGAAAGATTTTCACTTTAGTCACATGTCCCTACCAAAAAAAATGTTAGGTTAACTTGTTATCCTTAGAATTAACTTTTTTTGCATTGCTAAACATAATTTAAATTTAAGCATGACTTGCAGAAATAGATTTATACAGTAAATCTACTTATTTTATAGTCAAATAATTTAGAGTTCTAAATTAATCAAAGCTCTTCTACATAGAAAATGGTTCTACTTTTAAAACTTTACTATTGAATTATACATCAATTATTGTCTGTTTATACAATAAACTGCTTAGTGTACAATGTGATGAATTCTGACATATGTATAGGCATGTGAAATTATCGCTACAGTAAAACTAGTGTAACAATGAATATATCATTTCGAACGATTAATCGTATCTCCTAATAAGGGAATTCTGCTTCTAGCAATCACTGAGTAGCTCATATTAAATCACCCTTCCCACAGCTAACAATTATATGCCCCTGACAAATTATAAAATGACAATCATTTGAACATATGAAGATTGATCAAAAGCAGGCAATAACTGAACAGGAGTTGATATGAGAAACAAGGGTTTTTGGCACTGGGAAGTAACTAGATTTTTTTTTAATGGCTTTTGCCCAAGGGTAGGCCTCACTCAAATAGAAACTCACAATCTTATTGGCTTAAAAAATCAGAAGACAGAGGTAGAAAGAAGTCAGGCTGGAAGCCCAAACTTCTATGTATAAAATGCACCAAGATCTCTTACTGATCCTGAACTACACTTGCAGGTAGAGAGCAGAAACCAAGACTTTAGCTTCTGCCTACCAGAGGGGACAGAGCTAGGAGTTAGTTCAGCCAAGCTAACTGCCTGACCAAACAAAAGTTAGCTCACTTTAGGAGAATATAACAGAATCCAGAGTCAGAGGTCGGCAGACTTTTTCTTCAATGGCCAGACAGTACATATTTTAGGCTTTGCTGGCTACGAAGCAATATTAAGAATATTATGCAGGGAATTATGTAACCATCTGAAATGTAACCATTTAAAAATATAAATAACATTCTTAGTTTATGGGCTCCGTGGGCCAGATTTGGTTCATAGACTGTACCTAGCCAGCTTCTCCTCCACAGCAAATCATTCATAACGTCCAGTCTATAATCCAAAACTGTCAGACCTATAAACAATACTTTTTTAAAAAGAAGAAAATATGAACCATATTTAAAAGAAAAGCAGCCAGTAGCAATAACCACAAGATTGCCCACATGTTGGAATTAGCAGGAAAGGATTTAAAGCATCTACTCTAAATGTTGGAAGATATAAATGAAAATATGCTTCTAGTAGACATGAAATCTCAAGAAAAATTATAAAATAGCCAACTGCATAAGTCTTGAATCTCAACTCAGAGAACCCCTGAGATTTGAATGTCAACTCAGAACCTTTAGTTTTTCAGTAATCTTTCATAGCACCCCTGTGAGTTTGCTGTGATGTTACCCTAGGAGGACCTGGCAGAGAGTCTGAAAACTGCAGCTCTACTGAAAT
Organism: Homo sapiens; assembly: GCF_000001405.40. Taxonomy (NCBI): domain Eukaryota; kingdom Metazoa; phylum Chordata; class Mammalia; order Primates; family Hominidae; genus Homo; species Homo sapiens. Next base: position 22,442,020 of record NC_000004.12, read on the forward strand.
AAAAATATAAGCCAAGTTCTAGGTAGGTGGAAAGAAAGAAGAAAGGGAGTGGAAAACTCAATGTCTAAAGGTAAAAATTTTACCAAAGTAAAATATCTGGTAAGTGATAATATCATATATATTCTTAGTCTATTATACTTTATAAAGTATTTTTACTTTTAATTATTTTGGTATTCACACCAATTATGAGGTTGATAGTTCAGATGTTATATTCTTTTATACTAGTAGGTGGAGAAGATAAGTACCTTAAAATATTGTATCAGTCAATATTTTGACTAGAGTCAATATCAGGTGATTACTAAAAGAGAAAATGTAAGCTTAGCAGCAGGAAATAGTTGGAAATTAGGTTTAGCACTAAAAGTTTACATTTTTCCTCCAAAAACTTTAAAAAAGTCTTCAATTTCTAAAGTTTCTTTGAAATTAAGTCTTTTCTTTAAAAACTGGATGAAAAGATGGCTATTTAATTTTAGAAGATGAATAAGAACCAGGAAAAGGAAATGCCAGATGTTTGCATTTTTAAATACAAGAAGATGAAATATTAATTCAAATTCCACTAAACATTACACCTCCAAAAGGATAAATAAAATACACAGGCACAATTCTTCATTCAAAAAAAAAAAAAAAGTTTACCTTGCAATCAAGGAGCAGTTGTGAATCATGTTCTTTTCAACAAAAATACCTTGCGATTCATCGGTTTCAACTATTCTCCCATCCTGATACCACAACACTTGCATGTCCTGATCAATATATGAAGCCATGCACTGGAAAGGAAGGCTGTCTCCTTCAAACACAACTTGGCGATGAGATGGAGTCATGTAGAAAGACGGCAATTCAAGCGGAGGGTCTAGAGACAATCAAACAAAGATTCAGTAAACAAATATAATTTCCAAACACCATAATTAAAAGTTACAGAAATTCTAGGTAAAATAATAAAAACAGAACAACAAATATTCCTCAATAATCAGCATGCTACTGCTAGTATCAACCAGGCTGCTACTGAGTTTAGTGATAACAGATTAAAACAAAATTAAAAAGAAACAATTTCATAACCAGTTCTGACATTTAGAGTTATTCCTCTTCAGTGGCATCCTAAGAGTATCAGATGATTACAGAAATGAACTAAAAGAACAAGCTGTGCTCTAGAAAATGGCATCAGTGATAAGTAAATGTTGATATTTACAACTTTAAAATACACTTTGGAGACTGCAATACCTTTGATTACAACACGAGTTTTTGGCTGTAAAACTAATGCATGTTCACTCCAGAAAAATCAGAACATTTAAAGAAAACAGAAAAAAACAGTATGTTAAGATCCCATATACCGTAAACAGTTTTTAATCAGTTTTTTCCTTTCAGTCAGAAAAATAAAATATTTTAAATATATGTACAAAAATGTACACAAATGACACTAGTTCATTAAAAGACTTCTAAATATGTAGTCCATTTTTCTAACATGACAATTCTACTTTTAGTAGTACTGTATCCTAAAGAATAATAGAAAATATGCAAAAATGCATACAAAGAAATTAGTCCTTCCATTATTTATGAAGCAAGAAATTATTAACGAGCTAAATATGCTGTAATAGAGAAGTTGTTAAACTATGGCTTCATCTATACAATGAATTGATATGCATCTATTTTAAATGAGAAAATACATTTACATTAATTCAACTTAAAAAAGGTTATAAAATATCATTAGAGTGTAACGATATTTTGGTTAAAAAATAGAAAAAAGTCGTAGAAGATGATACAAAAAGGTCTTAACACTAGCTATTTTCAGTCATGAACATAAACATGGTCTTTGTTTCTCTGCTTCTTTTATTTATTTGCACAAATCTTAATTTTCATTCAGTGAGCATATTTTACTTGTGATACAACAATAATAATAAAGAGAAAAGGAAAAAAATATGATAGCTTATTTCCAAACAAAGACTAAACTGGGACCTCCCCCCATCACTTTAGGACTGTTTTTGTTTTATGGGGTTGTGTGTGTAGGTGTGCTTTTTTGTTTTTTGTTTTTGTTTTTGTTTCTTTTTCATTTAACACGTGGCAAATATGTTATTTCCCTCCTTTCCCCAGATATTCTTCAAAATCATGATTTTCAATAGCTGCATTCACTGAATGGATATGTCACAAGTAATTAAACCAATCCCCTATTTTTGAGAATTTAGGATATGCTTATACACAGAGTCTGAAGATTTACATACAAAGCTGATCATTTCCTAAGAATTAACTATAAGATACAGAATTACTAGATCTAACTGTATCAGTTATTTTTTTTTTGAGATGGAGTTTCACTTTTGTCACCCAGGCTGTAGTGCAATGGCACGATCTCGGCTCACTGAAACCTCCACCTCCTGGGTTTAAGCAATTCTCCTGCCTCAGCCTCTCGAGTAGCTGAAATTACAGTCACCTGCCACCATGCTCAGCTAATTTTTGTATTTTTAGTAGAGACAGGGTTTCACCATGTTAGCCAGGCTAGTCTCAAACTCCTGACCTCAAGTGATCCACTGGGATTACAGGTGTGAGCCACCGCGCCCTGCCTGTATCAGTCTTTTAAGAACACTGAAACATGTTGCTTCAAAAAGGCTGTATCGTTCACATTCCCACCCACACACAGGATGTGGGCATCCTGAGATTGTGTTACTACAGACAAATTCACGAGTTGCCAACTGATGGAAAATCTGAAAATCTATTCTTTGAAATTGGTTTGCATAAAGAAAGCTGATGTGAACCTAAAAACAGCTACCTTAAAGACAACTGAAAAAAAAAAGGTCATTTAATCTAGCTGGCTTAATCGTTGGCATAAACTAAATATTATCAAATCCATAATGATTACTGGCTGCATACTAGTTCTGTCCAAGTATAAAGAGAATCTTACAATTTGTCAAGAAAAACATGGTAGCAAGTCAAAATATGGTAAATGCTTTCTCAGTTTGGATTTCTCCCTTACCGCATGTCAACAGCTCCTGCTTCACGCCTGTGACTGGTTGGGCCTGCAGTGACTTAGGATAAACACACCTGGTATCCCGTACCGTGATGTTCTTCTCCTTTACCCAGCGATGCATCCACAGTATGTTACAGTCACACAAAAGATACTCAGTCTGGAATTCCCTGTAACATGCAAATACAACTTAGAGATTATAGTGAATAAAATTAAATAGCACTTTTGTTTTATATTGGGTTACATTTCTGGTGGCAAGCACAATACTGTTCACCCATACCATGCCTAAAGTACATTTCATCAACTAGCTACAGTTTCTCTCCAAGGAGCTGAATTGCAGAGTGTTGGACCCCAACACTGTTCTTGCTGATCCCGGGTTTCTGCTTTGGATGAAATTTTGTAGGCAAACAAAGACTCTTTGGCAGATATCCCTCTTCTATGCAACAAGCCACTGAACACCAGAGTTCTGGAATACCAAATCCCATTCCTTTTTGTCTATCGAACTTCTACCCATTTATCATGCAGTGTGTGGCATTAATATTGAATCTTGAAGCCATCCCCAATTTTCCACCATCATTGCCACATTCTTGGCCTAAATGCCTACCAACTCTGCTGATTCTGGCAATCAAACAGCAACCTAAAGCAATACAGATTGTTTTATGGCTATATTCTGTATGTCTAACTAGACTGTGAACTTCCCTAGGGTAGGGACTGTTTCTGACCCCTCCTGCTATGTGCCAAGTGACACTATAGATATTTACAAATGTAAGAGATAAAGACCCAACAAATCAAAAGCATACAAATAAGAATACCTCAGCTTTGATATAAAAGATAGTAAAGAAATGTCTTTATATGAGGCAAAAAGCTTTATAATTTGGCACTTGGGTGCAAGAAGAAGAAAGGATAAACAAAGCTGAGATATAAGCACAAAATCTCTTAAATACTATAATTACTAAGCACTGACTATTCATGTGCCACACATTTGCTAAGTCCAGCTAATAACAATGAATGCAGGACCCTGTTCATGCCAACATGGAGGGCATCATATAATAGAAGAATCAAAATGTAAACATAACTAAAATAGAATGCAACATGTTCTATAAAAATAAATCAACAAAGTGCAATAATGTTTAAGTGTGTGTGCTTCTAACACAGCTAGAGTGTTGGCTCAGGGTTCACCTCAGTAGTTTTGGCAAAAAAGAATAAGGAAAAAAGAAAAAGGATCTGATGTAATACAGCACAGAAAATAAATTTAAATAATACCAGAAGGAGGACGTGACAGACTCCTAATTCCTAAGCACCACTTTATGGTCAGTTCCTAACACTACCAGGTAAAAACACTGGCAATTTCCCCCATTTGGGGGATGAAAATACTTCCCACGTTCCTGCTACCCAGGGTCTCAAAAGCCAGACTAGCTTTTGTCTTTTTTATTTCCTAATCTTTGCAGAAATGGTTGACCTGAGCCCACTAAATAAGCCAAAAGGAGATGTTTCTGCTCAAAGGTAGTCTTCTGGATAAGAATGGTAAGGGTGCCAAAAAGAGAAACAAGATGGAGTATGGAGTGTGAGCCAAAGTGACTCCAGAAGTACACACACATGCCTGCTATGATGGTGAGGAGCTGGTTGGGGCTCCTAATAGCTATTAGCTACATCCCAAGGAAGACTCCTAAATGAGATTTAAATGACGGGTGCAGGAAAGGAACAGAGATGAGAGGAGAAGTCAGAGTACAGGGAAGAGAGGAATCAGGAGAGAAAAACTCTTTCCCTGGAAGAAAGACACTCAATCCCATAAATTACTCACAATGAAAACCTGAACAACATTATATTTAACTGTAATTCCAATAAGCTTAGGATAATTTATAGTCTGAGATATGTTAAGGTTTATCTGAAAATAGTTACTTTCAAAATAACTTCTATGCAATCTCTCAGTTAACAAAACTGGGGGAAAAAAAATCAACCAATTCTAAAGCTACAAGAAACTGTAAATCAGAACTTAAACTGATTTCATAAAGTAAGCATTCTAAATGAATATCCCTAGAAACATCAGTAATAAGCTGTAAGTTTGATTTTAAGTGGGGGGGGGGGTTTACAGGATAAAATTAAATTCCTAAAGTATAAAATATTCTTACAAATTCTTCATAGGAAGGGTTATTTTATACTTTGGAAATTTAATTAGTCAAACAAGGCAACATTTTATGATTTGAAAAAAAAGTCAAAAAGAAACAATTACCAGTTTACTTACTCTAAATATAGATTAGAGTAATATGGTATCCTAAGGAGAAAACAGTTGTCCTAGTCTAAACCACATTATTCAGGGTTACTGTATGTTTTTCAATGTGAATGCAAGCTCTCAAGTGAGACTCTACCTTGACAAGATTGTCCTCACAAAGTCTCTGAAACCACATAATAAATGTTTTTAATTTTCAAAAAGACATGAAAATCAAAAAAAAAAAGAGAGAAAAAAATTCTTACTTACAAAGACCGTAATGACGCAAGATAATCAAAAGTTCCTTGAGATAATGAAGAAAACAAATTCCCCGAAAGGTTTCTGAAAGACAGAAAACAATTTCACTTTTAAAAATACAATTATCTATCATTTTATCCTATTTCATATTTTCTAAAGCATCCTACAGTCATTAAATAATGTTGTAAAGAACTCATGAAAGTTTCAATGCTTATAAAGAGGGAGCGATTAGAAAACACTTCCTCCAAGGGTGAAGAAGAAAATTATGCTTCACCTTACACAAAGTAGTAAATACAATTATTAAAAGCATATTAAAGCTAGATAAGAATTTTTCTGTCAAATATCAGGTGAACCTAAAAGGTACCCTAACTGAATTCCCACTAGAATTACTCGAAGGGTTCACTCACATCTAATTTAAGAAAGCAGCAAATAAAAATGTAAAAACAAATAGAAAATAAATAATTAAAACTTTAAAAAATAACAAAAGGAAAAGGATGGCCTCAATGATCAGCAGCAGTAGCATACTAAACATGACTGAAAATATGAGGGGAGCGGGATGAGTTCAGGGCTTAAAATGAGAGACTGGGGATATAATTCCACGTTGCTCTTGGGCACATCAGTTCTCTAGTCTATCCTGTGTTAGCAGGCTTCAATACATAACCTGAGTCTCGCAGCGTTTTGAATGAATGGAACTCAGAAACCCCTATTCTACAATGTGAGTGGTTTGTTACACCCAAAACGATTTGACCGAATTATTTCTTTCATACCGGACGATGAGCTCTAGAGCTCGGGGGAGGACGGCCTGTGTGTGTACGCACTTCCGTGTACAGCCAGTAACATGCTGGAATATAAATGGTGCTCAATAATTGCCCATTGCTCAGGATGTACACCTCAACTTCAGGGGACTTCTAATGCTAAAATGAGACTGAGCACTCTGGAAAAATCGCATATGCTCAACCTCCACAAGATCTGTTCTATGCCTGTTATGGTATCAAGAACAGTCAGAATTTAGACCTAAAGTTCTAGAAATGAGGTGGGGGTGGAACACAGCAGAGGATGGGATAGAAATCCAGAGTCCTGCAACTTAGTCCTGCAACTTCTCCTCTGGAATCTGGGCTGAATTCTTCACATGTGAGAGAGAGTGACCATTGGGCAGATGCATTTCCAAGTGGAGTTGGAGAAGAGAACTGATCAGGAAGAGGTCAGCTGTTCCTGGGACACCTGTAGCAACATATTCCTGGATGGGAAGACCTGATATCACACAATGGCCAACACTTTACAAATTAACCTCCAATGACCTTCAGCAAGAACAACACTGGATTGGTTTTTATATTTTATAATTTTTTTGTAAGAAAAAGGCTGGATTCAGTGATTCTCACAGAATAAGTACCTAGGAACTTAAACAGAAAAGAGTATTTGCAAATTGAAAGGAGGAAAGGGAAGTCTTTTATTTTTGGCCTATCAGAGCAGATACCAAATGTGAATTGTGAGAAAGGTGTGCCCATGGCAGTATACATCACAATAACATTTTAAGAAAATAAAAAAGATAAAAATCATTTTGGCCGGGTGCAGTGGCTCACGCCTATAATCTCAGCAATTTGGGAGGGCTGAGGTGGGTGGATCACCTGAGGTCGGGAGTTTGAGACCAGCCTGGCCAAAATGGTGAAACTCCGTCTCTACTAAAACTACAAAATTAGCTGGGTGTGGTGGTGTGTGCTTGTCATCCCAGCTACTCAGGAAGCTGAGACACGAGAATGACTTGAACCCGGAAGGCAGAGGCTGCAGTGAGCCAGGACTGCAGCACTGCACTCCAACCTGAGCAACAGAGTGAGACCCCGTCTCAAAAAAAAAAAAAATTTTTTTTAAGAAAGTAACTTAGATGCAATTACAATCAACAACTGTGTATGTTATGAAGCTATCCCATTTTAAATATATGATTACTGAAATATGTTTAAAATAATGAATGCTACAAGACAAGACATGGTAGGTAAAACTGAAGTGCTAAGACAGGGTAATGGGTACACACACATTCCTTATATGTACAATTGTCTCCGATTTTCTTTAAATGTTTGCAAGATTCCATAACAGTAAGTTAGAAATAAATATCTATCCTACAAATGTAGGACTTCAAAGAATTGGGCCAGGTGCAGTGGCCCACACTTGTAATCCAGCACTTTGGGAGGCCAAGGTGGGCAGATTGCCTGTGGTGAGAAGTTTGAGACCAGCCTGGCCAACAGGTGAAACCCCGTCTCTACTAAAAATACAAAAATTAGCCAGGTGTGATGGTGTGTGCCTATAGTCCCTGCTACTTGGGAGGCTAAGGTGGTGACACCTTAAGCCTAAGGCTAAGCGGAGGTGACAGTGAACCAAGATGGTACCACTGCACTCCAGCCTGGGTAACAGAGTGAAACTCTGTCTCAAAAAAAAAAAAAAATGAATTGCATCTTACAGCAACCACTAGGTTCTAATATGCATATTATTAGATATTTCCCTTGGAAATCGCAAAGGAAGGGATCACATTAGAGAAGGACATGCCATCTTCTTAGTAAATCCCAACGCAAACCAATTTTTCCTTGAGTGTTGGAACAGATTGCCATTTGTATGGCTGAACACAAGTGAAGTAATTAGCTTGGATTTGGGGGGACATAAGCAATGACACATATTTTACAACATTACAATCGCAGTCTAGCTCTGAGATGCTCACTAAATAAATACATAAATAAATAAAACTAAGAGGGAGTTGAGAATGACCAGAACAAAGTCACTGCTCCTGTATCACAATAAGCTCATAGAATGGAGCAGCAGGTAAGTTACCCACCCACCCCCATCCTTTATGCTTCTTTTTTTTTTTTTTGAGACAAGTCTCACTCTGTTGCCCAGGCTGGAGAGCAGTGGATGGAGTACAGTGGCTCACTGCAATCTCTGCCTCCCAGGTTCAAGTGATTCTCATGCCTCAGCCTCCGGAGTAGCTGGGATTACAGGTACATGCCACCAGGCCTGGCTAATTTTTGTATTTTTAGTAGGGACGAGGTTTCATCATGTTAGCCAGGCTGGTCTCGAACTCCTGACCTCAAGTGATCCGCTTGCCTCAGCCTCCAAAGTGCTGGGATTACGGGCGTGAGCCACTGTGCCCAGCCATTGTTGTTTCTTACTCTCACTTAATTTGACTTTATTTACTTATTTTATGCTAAATAGATAACATTTGAATTCCTAAGAGCTGCATGTGTATATGATACATCATCTATTATACAGAAGCCTTTATCAGGGCAGATTTGGTAAAGGAAGGGGAAATGCAATTAAATGCAATCTCCATCTACAGAGGAATGACTAAGTTACAATCTGTTCTATAACTAGAATATTCTGTAGCCACTGACAAGCATGAACTAAATCAACATGTACTCTATTAAAAACATGTTAATATGTTGGTAAATTATTTTTAAACTGAGTTGCCAGGTACAGAGCATTTTTAAAGCTCTGTGTGTGTGTCTATGCATTTCTGGATATAACAGAAAAAAAAAAAAAAAATATATATATATATATATATACACCAGATCATTAATACAAGTTATCTCAGGATGATGTGACTGAAATGATGAAAGGAAATCTAATTTTTCCTTCATATGATTTTATTACTCAGTAACAACCACCTTTTTTGTATAAAGGAAGTTCTTTATACAAACATATATATATAAGTTGTATGTATGTATTTATATACAAATATATACACATGTTTTCATATAAAGGAAATTGTAAAGGGAAGTTCTTATAAATACATATATTTCTGATAGGGAAATATTAAAGGTATAACTCTTGAGGAAAAAATACAGGTATTAGATTGATCATAAAGAACAATTTGAAAAAATTTTGATCTGTAGATCTCCTGACAGATTTTGGTCTGCAGATCTCCTGACATTTCTCTGCAAATTAACTTCCTAAGTGAAGGACACAGGCTTCACAGAAGTCCATTATTGGCTCCCCGTTTGGTCTGCCAGTTATGTCCACTGTTACAGTGGGACAGAGTGAGAACCTTTGCAAGTAGGACTATACTTCTCTGAGACAGTTCAAGAGAACTTCTCCATCAGCAAAGGCAGAGATCAATATATAGAATTAATCAACTTTACACCCCCACTCCACCCATGTCTACTAAGGCCTCTGACACACTTAAAGAAAGGGTTGTTTTTTCTAAAAAAAAAAAAAATTATTAAATTTCCAAAGCCAAGACTTGATCAAAAATGATGAGAAATCTGGCTGAGAATGCCTAGGCTGTCCGCCAAGGTCTCATCATCCCTTAGCCAAGGAAGTTTGAGGTCCCCATTTGAAGAGTTACCAGAGGAAACGGCTAGAACAGTGATCCACTCTAGAATTCCTTCTTTTTGTATACCTTCTCTTTCAGGTGGGAAACAGTAAGAGGAAGATCTCTGATTCCTAATCTAAGAAATGTATTACATGCTCCATTCCTAATCATATTCTCTTTTCTACTCATTGGACTGAGAAAATGCTATTCTCCATATCTGAAATATGAGCTGTTATCATCCTTCACAACTGGCATATGGCCTGGCTCAAGAGCTCAAAAATCTGGGGACAGTAGCAGCCCATGCAAAACATTTAAAGTTTCCTGATCCACAGCTCTAGACCTGTGCCAACCCAAATTACGATAAGCAATGTCACTGCAACACAATGTTGAATGGTAAGAAGTTTCCTTAATTGCCACGTTGTCTTTAAAAGGTATTTAAAAGATGTAGGCCAGGTATACTGCTATATATGCCACAGACTGTTCCATTTAGAAAATCCACAATAGGAATGATAGACAGTGGAAAATCACATGCATGAGGGGGTAGGAAGAGGGTGGATGATGAGATTAATGGGTATAATGTACATGATTCAGGTGATGGATACCTAAAAGCCCTGACTTGACCACCATGCAATCTATGCCTGTAACAAAACTGCACCTGTACCCCAGAAATCTATATACAAATACAAATAAATCAAATTTAAAGGCCACTATAATCTATTATTACATGAACTATAAGATCATCTCAATCAAATCTCAAAGTGGGAAGCTTGGCAATATTATTTTTATGTTTTCATGTTTTACTTGGATGATGTTCATTGTGTTCCATGATGTATACATTCTCATAACAGGTATAAGATAACTGGTAAAAATGTAAGAGACAACCCAAGTTCTAAACCTACCAAACATTTTAGTTCTTGACGAAGAAGGCAAAGGAAATACTAAGAAAATAGCAACCTGCCCTAACAGAAGCTCTGTCTCACCCAGCTCTTTTGCCTAAAGAACATTTGCTGATGTGTCAAATCCCTAGGCCAAAGCTAGAAATCAATCTAAAACTAAAATCAACAAAATAGTAGGCTCCACTTTACTATTTTGTTTTTCATTACTTCAGTCATAGCTGTCCAAAAACATAACAAAAGCCTACTTCACAGATGTATGGTTTTGTCAATTCTAACGCAGTCCTCTAAAGTAAAAATACAGCCAGGCGTGGTGGCTCACGCCTGTAATCCCAGCACTTTGGGAGTCTGGGTTGAGTGGATCACGAGGTCAGGAGTCTAAGACCAGCCTGGCCAAGATGGCAAAACCCCATCTCTACTAAAAATACAAAAAAAAAATTAGCCGGGCGTGGTGGCGGGCACCTGTAATCCCAGCTACTCGCAAGGCTGAGGCAGAGAATGGCGTGAACCCGGGAGGTGGAGGTTGCAGTGAGCCGAGATTGTGCCACTGCACTCCAGCCTGGGCGACAGAGCGAGACTCCATCTCAAAAAAAAAAAAAAAAAGAAAGAAAAAGTAAAAATACAAAAAGCTCAAGAAGAGATTTTAAAAAGCACTGAGATAGAAATGTTTGCAGGGCAATTACAAAGGAGTTAAGAAGCAGTTAATTTAACTAACTTAAGTCATGAGTAAAGCTGCACACCAAATCAGTCTTTTATTTAAAAACAAAAATCAGGCCATATACCTTTCCCTGAAAACAAAAGGACACACTGAAAACAGCTACAAATTTCCTATGCAGCACGAACATTCTGTTCTACTCTAATAATTGATTTGAAATCTCTTCCCTTACTGTATAGATGAAAGAATCTCTTCATTTAAGCCCCTAATTGGTTTTTCAAAGGTAACTTGAAATACAAGAAACATTCTAAAAAGCTACAGGGAGAAAGAACCACAAGTAGACAACCCTTAACACTGACCTTCCACTCCACATCTAGCATTTCATGCGGAACCCTATTCCCAGACTACTTGTCTCTAAAACATGATTTCATGCCATTTTCCAACATAAATGTCTTTCAGTGGCTTCCTATTGTTTAGTCAGTTCTAAGCCCCTATCTGCTTTTCATACATTTCAAAATAAAGCTGTATTATAAGTAATCAGCCTTATGTCTAATTACTCCCAAACAAAACTTCTTTATTACTTTTTTTTTTATTTTTTTGAGACAGAGTCTTGCTCTGTCACCCACAGCTGGAGTGCAGTGGCGTAATCTTGGCTCACTGCAACCTCTGCAACGTCTGCCTCCTGGGTTCAAGCAATTCTCGTGACTCAGCCTCCCGAGTAGCTGGGACTACAGGCATGTGCCACCACGCCCAGCTAATTTTTGTATTTTTAGTAGAGATGGGGTTTTACCATGTTAGCCAGGCTGGTCTCAAACTCGTGACCTCAACTGATCTGTCTGCCTCGGCCTCGCAAAGTGCTGGGATTACAGGCGTGAGCCACTGTTCCTAGCTTAAAACTTCTTTATTTTTTTAAAAAAGATATAAACATACTTGATGGCTTATACAAAGTTCTTCTACATTTATATTCTATATAAATTATAATAAACAAATATAGATAACTTAAATTTTAAATAATCATTATAACTTTGAGCTACTATTAATCCTACTTTGTAGACGAAAAACAGAAAAGTTCAGAAAAGTCAAACAATTCACCCCAGATCACATGGTCAGAGGCACAATTCAAATGTTTATTTTCCTCCAAGGCCACCAGCCTTCCCCTTGACAAATGGCCTTGTTCTCATTCCCACCTTCATGTATCATTAGTTTGGCTTCTTTTCCTTTCTCACTATCCAGATCTCTGCAAATCTTCTGGGCCATCAGCTCACATTTTACTATTTCCTAGAAATTTTCCCAGACTAGCAAAGCTTTTGATCATACTGCTCAGCATGAACGTGCTCTCTGTTGCATGTACTACACTGTGTTATTTGGTGTGTGTGTGTGGTGTACATGCACATGTGTCCGTGTGTGGTGTGGTAAGGTAGCATTATATTCTGAGGAGATTACATCCCCATGATTAAATTGTGAGCTCCTTGTCCCCTATGGCTTCTATAACCCCTACAGTTGCTACTTATAATTAAATACATAAGTTTCATACATATTTAGGTACTGGCTCAAATGCTTCCTTATCTTTTAATGGGAAAGAAAAGATATACTTACAGCCGAACCAGATTGGTGAGTCCTCGAAATATGTCTGCATTCAGACATCCTATTCGATTGTTTGTCAGATCCCTAAGGAGAAGGGTGGAAAAGTGTCTTCAATTAGTTCTCTTGGTTAAAGAAGGTCTCATGCATTCAGTATTCAAGAACAGCACCCAGGTATCGCACAAGACCTTTATTCTAGCAACTTTGAGATATTTACTGTACGCAAATGAGATAAGGATAGCAGTGAGGCTGAAAATGATCCTTGCTTTCACTTACTGCTGGCACGCACAGACTCAATGCTGCTCAATTATAGTGCCCTCTATATTTCAAGCACTTACTCTTGCAAAATTACTCAAGATAAAACTGGAGTAGTAAAAATGAGACTCAAACTATTTTGCTGCCTGCAATACAATTCCTTAGATGACCTACACAGTTAATTATGCTGGGGCAGTTGGAGAACTGAGCCCAAACTCAGCCAGTAAATGACAGATAATGGATAAAAGGGCAAAATATTACAATGATGGAACTTTCATTTCCTCGGAAACATCTGAAAATACCACTTTCTGACTTCATTCCTTAAATACTCAGAAGTTTCAACTATAATGAAAAAAAAAACTGTGTTAGCTTTTAGTTTACAGATCTATCATTCAGACTCCTAGCCAAATTACTTTAACAATATCTATGATATGGCCCAATTATTTTTGCAATCACTCCTCATTTCTATTTCCTATTAAATATTACCTTCTAAATATTTTTTACTTCTCCTCAATGAAACCTTTTTCTTTTTACCTATGTAAAAGTTTTAGTTAATATTTTGTTCTATCCCTCTTTATTTACTTTGCTTGACATCAAGGACAATGAACACAATTTTATTTTTACATTTAATCAGACACCTGCACTGGTTTAAAAGTAAAAACTTTATGTTGGGAGATAACCACTGACAATATCTGTAACTTACACCTGGCATGGCATGACTCGCATCATTGTTTTCAGTGGACTTAGCCCTATGCAAGAAAACCCTAAAACAATGAATCTTAAGTTTTATTAGTTGCTAGACTTGGAATAATTCATCACACTTTGAATTCTGACAGAATAATTAGAATAAGCTCCCTAAGTCAAACTTTCAAAAATATTTTCATCATATTGCCTCCAATGTCCCTATTATTCTCTGTCATAGAGAGGTACGCATTCTTCGAGTTACTCTTCAGTAAGGCGATCTGCACCATCCATTTCAAACTAAAAGTATTGGATTCCAAACTGTGTACTTGGTCATGTAGTAGTCTCACCAGAAATTCTAAGAACATAATGTTTGAATCAGGTACCTAACTCGTTTGTTTTTTTTCCTTGACTATTTCAAAAGTTAAAATGAGATGGTTTAATTTTAGGTGTCAACTTCGCTGGATTGAGAGGCCTCAATGGCTGGTGAAGCATTGGTTTGGGTGTGTCTGTGAGGGCGTTTCCAGGGGAGATTGGTGCGGGAGTCAGTGGACAGAGACAGGAAGGACCTGCCCTCAGTATGGGTGGGCACCATCCAGTCAGCTGGGGCCCTGCTGGGACAAACAGGCAAAAGAGAGGGCTTGTCTCTCTCTGCTCTCTCTCTCCCCTTCCACAGCAGGATGTCTTCTCCTCCTGTTGTTGGACATCAGGCTACAGGTTCTTTGTCTTTTGGACTCTGGAACTTGCATCAGTGGGCTTCCTGGGGCTTTCATGCCTTCGGCCTTGGACTGGGGACTGCAAGGTCAGCTTCTCCAGTTCTAAGGCTTCCAGACTTTGATTGAGCTATGCTACAGGATTCATAGGCCCTCCAGCTTACAGAAAGCCTATTGTGGGACCTCTCTCCCTCTGTGATCATGTAAGCCAATTCCCCCTAATAAATCCCCTCTCATACATCCTACTGGTCCTCTCTCTCTGGAGAGGCCTAATACAGCACCTTAGGTAATCCTAATTTCAATAATTTCATAGTTCTGCCTTCCCTCTGTTATGGCAACATTTGATAAAAGAATCTTAAGCAATATAAGTCTTTATCTGTCCTCGTTTTTCTGTAGCTCCTAAGTATTTAATCACGTGGGACTTTTTCTTTTAAATCCCAGTTGATTTTCCTTTTAATTCTGGGTTTCACTGTTAACAAAAATTAGGCATCTTCTTGTAAATTGTTGCATAAACAAGCATATCTAGGCTCTATTTATAATCTTGTCTCAATTCTGAGCTTTAAGTGGTGCAATCACCATTGATTCTCTGGGAAACAATTTCATTACAGCTATACCTACTTAAAATGGTATTTAGATATTGATAATGGGTTGTTATTTGGATTGAGAATCAACTTAAATTCGTTGATAAAACAAGAGAAACTGATGGATCTAGGGTTCACCTACTTCTGATAGTATATTCTTCAGAAAGCCACTTCAACTTCCTAAATCAAATTATTTATAAACTAAAGGCAAAGGCATGGTTTAATAACAAAAATACTTTATGTGTTCTTGTTAAGGGAGATGCACAACTGAAATTAATGACTTAAGAACCCATAAGAAAAACGGTCTGTATCTATGAGCAACTAGCAAACATCACTACTGTCAAATATCTTTATATCCCGTTGAGTTTACATACAGGACTTCTTCAGCTTGCAAGCTGTGTACCCTAAGTTAATTATAAGTCATCTGTTTGGAATTAAGAATGTATCTTCTAGTGGGAAGAATATTATAAATGGCAATTACCTTCCTAAGCAAGAACACAAGAGACTACTTAACGTGTAACACAGTGAAAGACTACTAAGGCAATGCCTGGTACAATATCAGTAATTATATTAAATACTCCTGAATGAGAATTTTTAAAATTCATTTTGGATGGCAGTGCTTGAGAGATTATTTACTGAAAGATAAATAACTAGATGGAGAATCTAAGATAGTCTGCAGAATCTAAAACATACTGAAGAAACTGCTTTTTATTAACAATAGGTTTTCTTCAAAGTATATCTCAGCATAGAGATAAAATCAGCATTAAGATAGTCTGCAGTATCTAAAACATACTGAAGAAACTGCTTTTTATTAACAATAGGTTTTCTTCAAACTATATCTCAGCATAGAGATAAAATCAGCATTAATATTTTTATTACCTAAAAGCTGTGACTACAACAGTGTGGAACACAGAGGGAGGGGATAAGAAAAGGACCTGACAGTATTATTTCACATTCCTCCCATTGAGGGAAAAAAATAGATTGCAGGGAAAAATATTCTAAAAGTTCTCATACTTTCACATCAGAATCACTGGGAGGGATGGTTGAAATAAAAATCATTCAGCATCAGCCCGAGTTTCTGATAGGGTAGATCTTAGCCCCTACACTTTTGCTTTCTACTTGAGGACTCATGTTCCTAGGCATGGGTGCAAAACTGACTCCAGCACAGACAGAAGCACAAAGAAAGTGAGTCACTGCTATAAATCATGCTCACCTGCTGCTGCCCCTCAACTCCCTAATGACCTGTGTCTGGAGGTGCAGCCTGTTTACGGTCATGCTCCATATCCCCTGCCTGTGTCTGGATAGCTGAGTCCTAACAACTTCCAAGACTCTTAGCAGCTAAACTCTAGCTACTGCTTCATCTCTTTGTAAATGTATTTCAATTCCATATCCAGACTCTTGGTCGGTGTTCGTAATTCCATTAGACTGCAAACTCCTCGAGAGCTTCCTGATTTACCTGTGTGTCTCCAGACCCTTGCTCACAGTTGGGCTCACAGGATGAACTTCATGAATTTTTGTTGAACTGAACTGACACCGATCACCACCTTATCATTTTGATTACGCTGCTACACCTGGTTGATAGTCCTTTTACTGAACTCTAAACCTGGCTTGGTCCCATGCAATCTGATGCCTAATGTCTACCCTCCTATAATGCTTACCTTCCTTACCTAGAACTCCAATCTCCACTACCACCTACCCCAGACCAGCCAGCTTTTCTAACTTGTTCCATTAAAAGTCTTCACTAGAAAATAATAAAGTGCAGAATGGGCAGAAGAGAAGAAAACTGATTAGTAGCAAGATCTCCTCCAGATGGCCCTGAGTTTCTAATGAGCGCAGACAGACTGATAAACACAGGAGACCACCACTCACCCCCAGCAAAAACTATGGTAGGAAATTCCCTACTGATTCAAATTGTAACTAATTTTAAAAGACAAAGAGAAAATCCTTTAACTCCTACCTTTCTTAATCTTACAGAATTCTGACCCTTAAGGCTGCCTGAGAGAGAAAAATAGGAGGAAAGCTACAGACGATAGGTTTTTAGATGAAAGATATTTTACTTGCAAAAGCAATAAAAAAAAATCTTTTGCAAAAAAGAGCATGACCAATTTTTACAATTGGATTTTACAATAAAAAGGAATAGGTTTTGCAAATACTGCACGTTCTCACTTCTAAGCGGGAGGTAAATGATGAGAACACATGGATACATAGAGGGAACAACACACACTGGGGCCTTTTGGAGGGAGGAGGGTGGAAGGAGGGAGAGGATCAAGAAAAACAACTAATGAGTACTAGGCTTAATACCTGGGTGATGAAATAATCTGTGTAACAAACCCCCATGGCACAAGTTTACCTACGCAACAAACCTGCACTTGTACCCCTGAACTAAAAAGTTAAAAAAAAAAATAAAGAAATAGGTTTTAAACGACTAAATAAGACAGACGATGTCAAAAGTATTAAGATGGAAAGTCAATGTCAACATTTAAGTCATGGCATAATTAAACTAAAAGCAGCCATACCCAGTGTTATGATGCAAATACTACAGAAAACCAGTAAGACATAAAAAAAATACCCACACACACTGGAGGCGGAAAAAAAAAGAAAACTTAAAGAAGTATATAAGAACCCCAAAAAACAAGACACAGAGCCCACCAAAAGGATGACTATAAGGAAAATAAAACCATGGATCTGGTCTCTCTCCCTGATCTTTTGTCCCTGGTCTCCCTACATTTATGTGGTTTCTCCTTATTGCTATCAGGAATACTCTGAAATACAAATCTGATCACGTCAATTCCATAATAAAAAAGTTCTGGTAGCCCCGCACTGTCAAAAGAACAGATTAAACATTTTTAATATAGCAGGTCTTCAAAATCCCAGTCCCTGACCGGCCTGATCTCCCAATATTCTTTTCCCTCTTTCTACTTTCTGCTCTGATCAAAGAACTAAACTACTGTCCCAAGAGATACATTCTTGCACACCTGCGCCCACCCTGTTTGGAAGGCCTTTTTAATACATATTCATTCCTTGGGAGAAAGTTCAAATCTAAACACGTCAGTGGCTCTCATGGCAGGCTGTTCCCATTGCAGGTGCTCTCTCCTTTCCCTAGCAGGTTCTGTTTATGATCTAACCTGTTACAGCGCCTGTGTGTGCGTTCAGACGTATTTTCACTAACGACTGAAGGGTAGCAGAACATGCCACCCAAAACATGTCATGTTGGCATAAGGATTATTTCCAGCTACAGGCAATTGAAAAGCAGATAGATACAAGAAAAGTTCTCTGCTCTACCCTATCTGACTAAAAGCAGGACATAAATTTACAAAGGTGTCCCTCCTCCCCTCTCCACCAGAAAGGACAAAAGTTCCTCCCAGGAGAGGGCTTTGGACCCTTATCAGCCTAGACAAGGCACCAAAGGAATCTACATAACAAACATTACTAACTGGACTTTATCTACCATTAGTCTCCAATATATTTGCCTTCCCACAATTTGCTTTCCCTTAAGAGACTCAAGGTCCTTTTCCTTTGTCTTGTCACTTCTCTAAAAATGTATTGCTCCTTGTTGAAATGCTACATAAGCCAGAGTTCTAAGCCACCTCTTTTGAGAATTACTCTTTTCCTGAGTTTTCTCAATAAACTTGTTTTTCTCCTGTTAATCTGTCTTTTGTTAGAGGTCCAAGCTGAGAAATTAGAAGGGTAGAGGGAAAATTATTTTTCTTCCCCTACATTATCTATCCTCCCCACCCCAAGGGTCTGCAAGATCTTCCGAAGAAGTCAGGGCATGGTAAGTGGCAAGTGCTCAGTAAACGCTTTCAGAAAGCATAAAGGATGGAGAGACAGTCCTCATGGCTTTTGTGTAGAGCCGCTTCTCAAATGTGGGCCTGCTCAGACAGCAACTGTGAAAGGAGCTTCGTATAGGAGATAGGGGAGTTGTTTAGCTTCAGAAGCAATAAAAACTGGTCCTTAGGTTTTAAAATTGTAATATATAGATACACATGAAAATAGCAAGACTTTAAATCATTACTTAAAAGGTACCTCTGTTTATATGGCATTTACAACAGACACAGTTTGAATGGATTCATAATTTGAAAATCGTCTACAGATTATGTGCGCCGGCAAAGCCGACATGGTAATGATTTTAGTAGCATAAGAGTAACACAGCCATCCACCACCAAACAAATCAAACCACTGTGCAAATCAACCACCTTCTCAGCTACTTATATAAAATACTCTTTGTTTTTCTTTCTTTTTGTTTTATTGAGACAGAGTCTCGCTCTGTCTTGCAGTGGCACAATCTCAGCTCATTGTAGTCTCCCATTCCCAGGTTCCAGTGATTCTCCTGCCTCAGCCTCCCAGGTAGCTGGGACTACAGGCACACACCACCATGCCAGCTCATTTTCGTATTTTTAGTAGAGACGGGGTTTCACCACCTTGGCCAGGCTGGTCTTGAATTCCTGACCTCAGGTGATCCACCCGCCTCAGCCTCCCAAAGTGCTGGGAATACAGGCGTGAGCCACTGTGCCCAGCCTCTTTCTGTATCAGGGACCTGGCCAGGTAAAGCTCAAAAAATTATTAAATGTCCATTTTTCATCATGTTAAAGTAAGTTGACAGCTATTTATATAAGCAACAATTCAAACTCGTAAGCAAGCAATTCAAACACTTACAATCTTTTTAGAGATGACAGTCCCCAGAAGGCACCTGGATCTATACTACTAATAAGATTGTTTCGGAGGTCCCTGTTAAAAATAAAATAAAAGTTATTCACATATCAACACTGCAACAAGTATTCAGGCACAATACACTTACCTGCTATACAAAAAAAACAAAAGTATAATAATAAGAGGAGGAAACTGAAGCCAAAAGGGTTAAGCCAAGATCAACCCAGTAGTAAAAGGGAGAGTCAGAATGCAAATTTGACAAATCTGGCTCCAAAGCCTTTTGGTTTGGTCAATAAAATAATAAAAATATACGTCATAAAAGAAATATGTGACCTAATATTATTCAACTTCACAATTATCACTGAACTACAATCATATACATTATTTCTATAATTTCTTCTTTAGTATGCCATACTTTGAATATCAAAGTAAATCTAATTACAATTGTGACAAACATCATTCAGTTGAATTTTAAAAAACCATCTTCAAAAATATACACTCTAAAATTCATGTCTTTTGGTTGTTCATATATTTTCCCTTCCCTGGCCTTCTATATTTAGGTTTTTGGGGTTTTTTGTTGTTGTTGTTGTTGTTGTCATTTGAGACGGAGTCTTGCTCTGTCACCCAGGCTGGAGTGCAGTGGCGTGATCCTGACTCACTGCAACCTCCACCTCCCAGGCTCAAGCAATTCTCGTGCCTCAGCCTCCTGAGTAGAGAGGGTTACAGGCGCCTGTCACCATACCCGGCTAATTTTTTGTATTTTTAGTAGAGACAGGGTTTTGCCATGTTGGCCAGGCTGATCTCAAACTCCTGACCTCAAGCAATCTGCCTGCCTCAGTCTTTCAAAGTGCTGGGATTACAGGCATGAGCCACTGCACTCAGCCTACGGTTAGGTTTTCTATGAGGTGAGGATATAAAATAAATGTGTGATAAAACACAATATATAGCTCAAAGCAAAGATGCACAAGCTTCCTACCATGTGGTATTTGATAGCAATCACCATTTATCCTATTCTTCTCAAGTATGCTGGCACGTCCATGCAAGAGCACTACCACTTGGGGGTGGGAGGCAGCAGTGAATGTCTCAGCCACATCCCTCTACTCCTGTGGTTTTGCAGACACACTATGGCTACAGCTCCCCTCCTGGTGGCTGGGCTCAGCTGGGGACTCGCCAGTTGCCTATACAAGTGTTTGGCTAGACCTCTGTGGAGAGCTGACAGTCTAAATACAGTCCCCTTCCCTAGACCACACTCTTGCCAGTGGCAGGCCCACACTTCCGCTTTATGGGACACCCTCAGCTGGGTCTGTTTGTCAAGACTCACCTACAACCTTGTCTACTGAAGCCAGAGTGGCCTCTGCTCATCTCCCAGGGAAGCTGAAGCCATATGGAGAACTGAAACGCTTTTCAGTTTTTCTTCTGACATCCTTACATAACAGTGGCAACCTTGCCCATTCTTTATACAGCCACGTGTAAGCTTCCAACACTATTCTTCATTTAAGGATGCACATGACATTGGTGAAACCAAACAGACATGTAGAGAAATGCTCAGTACAAGCCAAAGTAACCAGTACCTCCAGGGTTCCTTAGTCCCTTACTTACTTGAAATGTACAAGACCTTCCTGGAAGTAGACCCTGGACCACTGGCGCCACCTGTCAGCACAACACTGTGCTAGGCTCTTTAATAACAATTGCTCCGTCATGGCCATGCTCACCCGTGCCCAGGCAGTCTAAATTATTTAGAGGAAAATCCTCAGTTTGCCTTCTCCATCCTCTCCAAATCAGAAAGCAGCGGGCATCCCTTCTCTACCTATGCTCCAAGGAAGTCTGGCTGCAATGAGCACAGATTCACGTGTTTTCTTCCATCCAATCACAGGCACATTCAACGTTACTGTCCCACCAGCTAATGAAAGTGAACTGCTATACATGGCATGCCTCATAACATGTGAGTTTTCTCTCAGGCTCATTCTAGCAATATAGAAAAAGTTACAACATCAAAGTTGGTTACTAGTTGGATTCCCCAGAAATTTCACAAAAGCATCCTGAGGAGGTTGGCCCTTTGCTCAGCAGCAGTGGTTGTCATTCATTTACCGTAAGCCCAGCATTTTTGATGTGTCAGTGGCACTGTGGCTTCCAAGCTATGTGTGCTGTTTAACACCTGGTGATAGAGACTGGACTAGAAATTCTCAAGAACGTTGCTCTGGAAATGCAACCTGTGAATCCTGGGATCACTGTGACCTCCAGCAAATTCTATGGTCTTTCTTGCATCTAATCCTCATTTTAACACACAGGCACTCCTCAGTAGCTAAGGTTGGGACTGCAATTCTACCACCTCCCCACAATCAGAGCCAGGTTTTTCTAAATAAAACCAAACTCCCTGCAACCACCACCCCCAATACTTCACAATATTTTAAAAAACAAAATGATTATTAAACACCAGTATAAAATCTATGCTCTGATTACCATCACTGGGTAGGTATTTCATTAATCAGAATTCTGAAAACTTCATATTCCACAAGAAGAAAACAGCTTTGTCAATGCTGGTAACTACCCTAACTTTTTGGGGTTTTGCACCCTGGCCTCTAAGACATTTTCTAAATAAAGTATCTGAAAAGATCTGAAAAAGTCAGGAAGCTTCACGAAATACATTTAAATGGTCAGAAAAGGTCTTAGTAGTCAGGTAAACTCACAAATCCCATCCTTCTCTCTTCCAACCAGTGTTTAAGTTCTCCTCTTAACTTGGAGTAAAAAGACGGTCCCTGGTGTAGCAATTTCAACAGAAAGAGGAATATTATGCAGAGGATAAGTTCCCTGCTGTGAATGCCATGGCCCCAGCATCCCTTATCTCCAGGCACCTGCTGCAGTAGACACTGACAGCATGGCAGCGCTCACGCCTGCAGTCCCTCTACCTGCAACTCTTCCCCATGCAGCTTTCTCTTGGGCACCTCCTGAGAGTCAACCCATGAAGGTCAGAGGTAAAGGGCATGAATGGCCATAGGAAGAGTCCTCACCTGGAATGAAAACAGGATATCCCAGGGGGCTGGGGGGTCTGAGTGTGCTCCTTGCTGGCTCCCAGCAGTCCCCAGTATCAGCTGCCTGCCGCAGGAGCTGCCTGGGAAGACACTGCCCTAACGGCTGCCCTTGCGTCTCATGGTCCAGTACCAAATATGAGGGCTGTTGGGCAAACCTCCCAACCAAATCACTACACTGAAAGCTCACCTGGGGACCTGCTTCTGGGGAAATCAGCCTGGTAATGTGAACCAGCCGGTACCCAGGCCAAGCAGAGACCTAAGGAAACTCTGCCCACTCCATTCTGAGGACAAATAGTGAAAGGTGTAGACCAGAAGCCATTCAAAAATTCCAAACTTCTACAATGAGTGAAGGTGGGAAAGGTTTGCAACTATCAAGGATTCCAAAATTTAATAACACTATAATTATTGCTATCAATTATTTAATGTTTAATTTTCTTTTGGTTGGGGGAGCAGCCTTCTCCATTGCTTTAAGATGGAAACACCTCTACTTCTCCATATGGTACAGGTAGTACCCCCAAATTTTCAACACCATCCCTTCAGGCATGACACCTGACCAACCTTGTGCAGATTTTTCAAATACTCTGGTCTTAGCAATTATACGACTTTGGTCTAACTAAACCTAGGACTTGTGGGAGAGGGAGGGATGAGCATAGACATTCCCACTGGTTTGATAAGAGGTCAAGATCTGAGTCTGGAGCTGCTAACGGCCCTGTTGCTACAATCTGAAGAAGCCAACAGATGGGAAACGAGAAAAATGGTGAGCCCCTGGATCCAGCCAAGCCTGAAATCCACCTCTAACTCTGGGCTGTTTGGATGCACAAACCAGTAAATATAGTGAGTTGGTGTCTATCACTTATCAGACCATTAAGACCTTATAATCACCCTAGGAGGCAGTGTCATTGTTTCAGATGAGGAAACTCATGCACATAAAGATTAAGAAATTCGGCCAAGTTGTTGATTTTAATAAGTGGCCAGGATTTAAGTGTATCTTTCTGACTGACACAGTGGAGATTTACTAAAGGAACCAAGTAAATTTATAGCTAAAATAATAGGAAAACAGGTAAACCAAACACACTGAAAAGTTGGCCATGATCAAGTTGAGTTGCTGGAGATAACTTTCTTTCAACTTCTCCATATGTTTGAAAAACTAAGTTATTTTATGTGGTAACCCCCACCCTTCCAATTAGGCCTCAAAGTCACTGCCTCTCTGTCCTGGTCATCATCATCACCCTAGCCCAGGTTGTAAACCACACAAGTTCTCACCTGTGTCCGATTCTCCATTTGAAGTGATCTTTTTAAACACAGACCTGATCAAGACTTTGCTCTGATTTAAACCTCAAAAAGATCCACAGTCCCTCAGAAGGAAGTTCAGGTGCGTTAAGGTAACTTCCAAGGATACCCGTGGTCCCAGCCTTGCCCACCTTTCCTTCACCAACTCTCACTTCCCATCTGCTCAACACCTTCCCTTAACACTCACCCTGTCTCTCTTCATTTATACCAGTCATACTGCAAGATGTTTCTAGAAAGGGTATTTCCTCTCACCTCTAGACCTCTGCACTTGGGATTCCCTGTCCTGAACGCATCTCAATCTCCAACTCACAACTTCACCTCCATCCCTCTTCACCCACGTATCCTTGAGGCCTTGGGTGAAACTCCATTCCTTCCTCCAGAAAAATACCTGTGAATGCTGGGCGCATTGGCTCACGCCTATAATCCCAGCACTTTGGGAGGCCGAGGCAGGTGGATCACCTGAGATCAGGAGTTCGAGAACAGCCTGGCCAACATGGTGAAACCCCGTCTCTACTAAAAATACAAAAATTAGCCAGGCGTGATGGCGCACACCTGTAGTCCCAGCTACTCAGGAGGCTGAGGCTTGAACCCAGGAGGCAGAGGCTGCAGTGCCGAGATCACACCACCGCACTCCAGCTTGGCGACAGATCAAGACTCCGTCTCAAAAAAAAAAACTTGTGAACAACAGCACTCTGCGCCCTGTCCTGTGGCATCTCTTATCACGCTGTACCAAGTGCACCTCAGTTACTTCAACTGTCCTCACTGAGAGACCACAGGTTCCACAAGAGCAGGCTCTGCTCCACTCAGCGAGGGGGTGACACACAATATAGAGTGTGTGGATGGATATGTTCATGGACGAAAGAATACACCAAGGCTAGGAGACAGAATTACATTAACCTTTCTATAAAAATATTTTTAGTAAGTTATGGTTGGCTACAAAATTACAAGGCTGTTCATAAAGCCAGATAACGTGGAGAATGCGGTATCTCATTACTAATCATTTCCATTTCTCCATAAAAGTAGACAGTCATGACATCTGTAGTTGACCTTCGAATAATTCACCAAACATATGTAAGCATATTCCAATATAGAAGAAAAAACGATGGCATATTCTTAATAATTACTGAATTGTTGAACTGGGTAAGTAAATTGGTAATATGAAAGATTATGGCATTGCCCTTTCAATTCTTCCGTATGTTTAAAATTCTTCATAATCAAATGTTTGATCCCCAGCATTTTAAGTCCCAGGAGGTACAGTTAATCATCAGGACTTACTTATTAGTTCCTATCTCCCTCCCTGCAACTCCCCAACTGACCCTCATTTCAACAAGATAAGATTATTTTATGAAAAAATTCAACCTGTATGTTTTTGACTTGTTTTGCATAAGCTAAAAAGCTCTGTAAATAGAAATATATAATGTCAGTTCCATTTTTTAAAAACACACGTTTCCCTTTTCAGATTTTAAACAGCATCTACAACAGGAACTGAGTTAGTTAGCTAAAGCAGTACATCAATTTGGAGTCAATGATGAACTGCATATGTTTCTACAAAATACCTCTCATGAATAACTGAGCACTGTAATATGATTTAAAGATGTACGTTTTCTTTAATAAAAAATTCTTGACATATTATATAACATTTAATAATAGCCATATTAATCAAGCATTGCCAAAAGATATTTATAGTCAGATTCTCTCATTTAACATCCCCTTTTTCCCCCACCAACCCACAGCTTCCCTAGTAAACAGGAGTCTGACTTCAGGATGTATGGCTAAATCTGAATACATTGGATCATTAAAGCATAAATGAAAAAAGCACAATAATTGCTTAAATAGAACTAAAGGAATATTTTAAGTTCTTGGTAAAAGAACTACCTCCTATAGGAAAGAACATGAAGTATACCAGGTAAGATGCCTTTAACTACAAGTATCAGAACCCTCAACTCAAAATGGCTTGAACAATCACAAAAGTAATTATCTGGCATTACAGGAAATCAAGAAGTCAGGCCTTTGTGGTTGGTTCCACGCATCTCTCAGATCCACCATCCTCAGAATGTAACTGTGCCTTCAGGCTGAGCCTATGGTATCCCAGGTTCAGAAATCACCTCCAACCACAAAGTCATAAAAAGGAACAGACTTTCTTCTCGTACCTCTCCTTAAAAGCTAGGAAATCTTTCTCCAAACCCCACAGCAGGCTGCTCTGCTCCTCATCTCTTATTGACTAGGACAGACTCTGTCAATAGCTGGAAGAGATGCTGAATTACCTTAGCGGCCTAGGGGTAGGATTAACATTGGAAAGTCAAACACACTGACCAGTAGGCAACTGTAGTGTCAGCAGTGAAGAGAATATGGGGGAGGTATGTCACTAAATACTGGTAACAAAATATATAGCACAATACAAGAATGTCAATTCCATAAAACGAAGACAGAGATGGGACTCGGTGCGGTGGTTCACACATCTGTAATCCCAGCACTTTGGGAGGCTGAGGCGGACAGATCACTTGAGGTCAGGAGTTTGAGACCAGCCTGGCCAACGTGGTGAAACCCCATCTCTACCCAAAATACAAAAATTAGCTGGGTGTGGTGGCACACACCTGTAATCCCAGCTGCTTGGGTGGCTGAGACAGGAGAATCGCTTGAACTTGGGAGGTGGAAGTTGCAGGAAGCCAAGATCATGCCACCACACTCCAGCTTGGGCAACAGAGTAAGACTCTGTCTCAAAAAAAAAAAAAAGATAGAGATGGAAGAAGGAAGGAAGGAAGGCTATAGACTAGTGAACACATGGATGATGGATATAAAAGTCTCAGTGCTAAAAACAATCTAAAAAAGGTATCTATCAAAAAACCAAGAGGAAAATTTATAGGAAGTATAAATTTTAGATAATTCCATCTTCTAATAATAATGTTTTTTAGCAAGTAGGCCAACAGGGACTATTATTATGCAAGTTTAGCAGCCTAACAGTATGAGACCTATAAGATCAAGGATCCAAAACATCAATTACCTGGGGAAAAAAAAAGACCCCTTGGTTGATGTGACAGAAGGGCCTATGTACTCTTCCTGCAGATGTCTGCTCACTTCCCTCCCTCACCTCCCTCTGTTCTGTGCTTTCCTCCTGGAGGAGGTGTCCCTGCACACTCTACTGAAAACCGAGGACACCCTCAACCCACAGAGAGCCCCCTCCTAATTGGTTTTGCTCCATGGCACTTACCACAATCTATCATCTTCTTTACTTGTCTGAATCGTTTCATTTATTGTCTATTTTCTCAATCACTAGACTGTTAAGTTACATGAGGCAGAGAGTGTACACTACTTGTCTTCTTCACTTGAAAAATGTCCAACACACAGTAACTCTCAATCACTTCATTGAATGAATGAATCCTCACTGTATTTATCGGACCAACTGGTGCTTGACCCACACCCACTTCTTCCCACACTATGCTTTCTCCTAGACAATCTCATCACCATCTACAGCTTTAAGTCCCTAGACTCAAATTTGTAACTCTAGCCCAAACATACCACTTCTTTGAGTTCTCAATGTCTCCATGTGGAAGCCTAACAGCCATCTCAAAAGTCAACCTATCCCACATTCAGTGTGGCACAGGATACCGTAATCTCTGCCTTCACAAAACCCCAGGGGATTCTGATGCACATGAAGTTTGATAACCATGGTCTAGTCTAGGGCACTGGTCTCTAAACAGAGTATGAGCTTTAAATTACCTGAGACCTGACACGGCTCCCTGCTTCCACCCCATCCCAAACCATCTCATCCAGCATGAGCAAGGTTCTGTCTTCAAAGTCTTTCTAAATTTCATCCCATTCCACCACAAACTCGCAGACATTCACAGTGCTGGCACTCCCAAACTTGGTATCCTCTTACACATTTTCTTTATCCACAGTACTTGAGATTTGCTTACTATGTATATCCTATGTTTCTCCCCATTACTGCATATGTTCCATAAACCCCAAGCCTAGCACAGTGTGCGCACCTTAAATGTTTGTTGAATAAATTTAAATCAGCTACATGGAAAAGACTCATTACCTGTTGAGGCAATACTTGCACCAAACCTTCATATTAAGCTAACCATCTTTTTACGATTTTAATTAATATGATACAATACATATGCATCAGTTATCTACTGCATAGACTTCTAAAATAAAGCAAACTATGTTCAAAAAGGTGAACCAAAACTAGAAAACTAGCTTCCAAGACACCATCAGGATTTAGTTACTTTGTCATAAAAAATAAAACCCCAAATCCAAGCTCCTAAATTAAAAAAAAAAAAAAAATCAACCTAAATATTCCTATGAAAATAAAGCACACACACACACTGCTATCTTCCTACATGGGGCAAGATCAGAAACAAACAATGGGTCATGTTCATTAGTTCAACGGAGCCAGCTCTTACTATCTCAGCCCACTCTCCCCACCTTACCCTACAAAATCCTAACCTTTATTCTGTATGACTTGGCTCCTATAATTTCAAGGCCACAGCTTTGAAATTCTGACCTTGGTGTGAGTAATTCCTTGTTCTGCCAACCGTCTTTTACACCATACCCTATCTGCTGTATTTTCAAGTCGTCCGGTTATTCTGTTCTCATCTTCAGGACTCTCTAACTAGGCAAATCTGAATGGCAAACATGTTATTTGGCCAGTTGTGTCTCTTAGGTGGAATTCTCCCAGACAAGGGTGAAAATAATGGCTTTACTCAGGGGGTGACCCCAGAATGCACCAGCAGAAAAGTGGGAAGTGAGAAAAGAGAATGATGTCCAACAAGGTGAGCTGCTGAAGACGTTACCACTGAGGTACCTGAGACTCAGTCCCTGGGGACTCTGAGGCCAGTGGAGAAAGCACCTCAGGGCGGCCCCACCTGACAGGTGAGGCAGGCAGGGTAGTTATCCACCATCTGCTATCGGTCGCTGGTTGAGGGTTGCTGAAAGCAGGAGTGGGTGGATGGGGTGGCTTCCACCCCAGTACCGGAGCCAAGAATGTTCTCAGGCTTTCATTTGGAAGACATAGGAGAGACGCACAGGAACAGTCAGTGCTGAAGGAATAAAGTCTGCTCCTCCAGAGGAGCAGGGAGCACCGAGTGTCTCCCTCCCAGGGCCAGAGCAGAGCAGCTAAGAGCCCAGCCTTTATTATCCTTAGCAAACTAACACAGGAACAGAAAACCAACTACCTTATGTTCCCACTTATAAGGGGGAGCTAAATGATAAGAACTTATGAACACAAAGAAGGAAACAACAGAGGCTGGGGCCTACTTGAGCGGGGAAGATGGGAGGAGGGAGAGAAGCAGAATAGATAACTTTTGGGTACTGGGCTTAATACCTGAGTGATGAAATAATAGGTACAACAAACCCTCATGACACGTAACAAACCTCTTTAAAATAAAATAAAAGAAGTATAAATGGGTAAAAAAGAGCCCAGCCCTTTCATCACTTTTTCTTTCTTTCTAAAGTGGGCTGCTCTCCCACAAAAACAGCATGGGAGGCAGGTCCCAACTGGGCATGCATGCCCCCGCCACACACTGTCAGACTGAGGCCAGGACTCCGGTCTGGACCTTGATGTGTGTGTACTTTGGATGTGCTGAGCTTAGGGGCAGTGTAGATAAAGATGTTCTCTAACACAAGAGGCCCAGGTCCCAGGGTCAACACTCGGTTTTCACACTGAAGTCCCCACTAATAAAATGGTCTTTCAAAGTCCCTTATCTGTATATTTATCTCTGTGGTCCCAACAAAGGAGTGAGGAAGTATTTTGGGATTCGTGAATAAACATACCCCTGGCTGAAAACAATCACAGCACCTTGGTATCACCCAAAATGGCTAATTAATTTGTTTCTAACATGTACAGAGATTTGTTAGCTTTAAATGGCTGAAAATAAGGTCAAAGACAAGGGAAATTAAGAAATAGATGCAAAAAGGGTAGTAATTCACACCACAGCACAGAACATTAGCTATGCTGTCTATACTTTTTATGGTGTGCATGAACAGCCACATCAATCTTAGGTGCCAAAAATAAAATGTGTTTCTAAACACAACAGACACTATTTATAAACTACGAGTGCCTGCCATCCTTCCTTTTGGAAAGGGAAGACCACACTAATGCCTTTCATTATCAACTAAGCACATACTAAATGCCTGACACTGTGTTATATGCAAATGGTATCTGTCAACCCAGTAACTTTTCTTTGCAGGGAACAGAAAACATAATAGGAATGTACTGTCTCACACAATGATTCAAGGCAGTCTTGCTTCGACAGGTCCTCCCAGGCTTCCTGTCTGCTTTCCTGATAGTCCCAAATGTCCATTCCTGAACCAGCAGTGACCATGGAATGTGTATGAAGGACCGCCCTTAGCTTAGGCAGGCCTAAAGCCAAGGGTGTGATCAGCATACACTAAAGCACATGGACGACATGGAACATGATAGGAATATTGAAATAAAGTGCTACTACCGTGCCAAGAACATTTAAAAATATTCCTGTGTGTTTCTGTATATATATATATACACACAAACACACACACACACGTATATAACCTAACTTAAAGACATCTGATCTAAATGAAAAGAACAGAGACACGCATAAAGAAATGAAGAACACTAGATCATATATATTTACATACACATCAGGAACCTAAGTAATGAAGTCCTGTGCGAGTTCAATCACAGGAGAAGCCTCTAAGGTGAAAGAGTCAAGAAAAGGCCACGCAGAGAAGTGGAGAAAGTGAAGCTGAGCAAAGAGAATTGAGAAAAATGAGGACAGTGTGTTATTCCACAGAAACGGAGACATCTTACAGTGTAGCTCCCTTATGTATTGTGAAATTTTATCCTAAATGCATGAGTTAACAGGGTATTTGAAATGTGATCCCGGTACAGCGTTCAGAATACAAGTAAATTAAATGTCCATTATCTGAAACTCACCAAAGCAAAAATGAGTGCTACCTGTAACACATCATAAGCAAAACTAGACCTAATTGCTAAGAAAAATATATATTTACAAATATATCACATTTAAAGACATCTGAATAAAATATCAAAGTTTATACTAGTGTTTTTCCCCTTGACATCACATCCTCGCTTCTGTTTTCGCCATGTGACATGCAAGTTTGGCCTTCCACCATGATTGTAAGCTTCCTGAGGCCTCCTTAGAAGCCGAGCAGATGCCAGCTCCATGCTTCCTGTACAGCCTGCGGAATCGTAAACCAATTAAACTTCTTTTCTTTATAAATTACCCCAGTATCAGGTATTTCTCTATAGCAATGCAAGAATGGCCTAACATGGCATACATATTTCAGGATATAGAATTTCAACACAGCATCAATGCTTTAAACTAGCATACTTAAAGTCAACAAAGTATGGTCCATGACCTCTGGTATAAGTAAAGATTTACTGGAAGACATCCACGTCGATTCATTTATCATTCCTAAGTATTGTCTTATGCAATACTCATTGGCTTATTATCTAAGGCTGCATTCACACTTCAACGGCAGAGGTGAGTCACTTGTGGCCAGCTGTGAAAACGCAATTTACTTACTATCTGGCCCTTTACAGAATTTAGTTACTTCTTTTTTAAAATAAAGTTCTTAAAATTTTTCATTAAAAAATGTTAGAAAAACTCAATTTTTATTTTGAATAGCTGGGAATTTAGTCACAGATTTACAATGAAGATTTACAATGAAAATGCATTAAACAAAATAATAATGAGATGATAATTAAAGAATACTCACAATCTTTCAAGGAGACTTAACCCAGAAAATGAGCCATTCTTCAGCTCGGATATCTTATTGTTACTCAGAATCCTAAAAAATACCAAAAAAATAATAAGTTGCCTAATATACACTACCAATATCAAAGTAATTTAGCTTATTATGTTTAAACCTATGAGAAATTCTAAGACATCATTTATTAGCCAGAATGTTTGAGATGGCTGAAAAAAAGTGAGTGTCTTCCCCTTTCTCTGAGAAACCAACTATTTAAAGTAGTTTACTCATGCATCTTGTCACATCTAAATTATTTCTATCACACATAATCAAAACTTTAAGAGAGAAAAGTCAATATGTAATAGCTCTAAGTTCAACATAAGCATAAACAATACCATAGCATGTACATTTATATAATTAATCATATTATGCAAGTTGAATACACATTTTTAAAATGGAAACTTAGCAGAAAAATGCATAACCTATGATCTTGTAAAATACTGACTTTATAAAGAAATAAGGTATCTTCTAGACATCATTTCAATAAGACTGAATACTATTTGTAATTTAACAATATACAAATCTACTGTCCATTTGTGTAAAAATATGCTTTTCACATGCACTCACAGACAAACACAGGCAGCTGAATCATAATATATCTCATGCTTTTGGGCAATGTTTATCAAAATTAAATTGAAAACAAAAACTGACTCAAAGAAGTCATAGTTGCGCCTATCCCAAAGGTCGGACTTGCCTGAGAAGAGACTTCATATTATCTGGCACTCTTTCTAGGCTTTGTAACTTTATGTAGCTTTTGGAGCCTGAATATCAATAATGAGCATCCATGAATGAGGTGAAAATGCTAGTTATCTGAATTGGGGAGTGGGAATATCAAGGTAAGAAAATGAGAAAACCAAGGCACAAAAGAGTTAAGTAAAGGGCCCAAGATTACACTAGCCAATGGCAGACCCAGATTTTGTACCCAGGAGTTCCTACTCCAAACGCCAAGTTCTTCAACATACACTAATGTTGGTCACGAGGCACACTACAGGCATCTGGGACAGAAAATTCTCCATCACACACAGCATTGCATAACTTTCAGGGGCACCCTTCACAATGGGTACAGTGTGAGCTAGTGTTTTTTGAGACAATGCAACACAGCACTTCTTTGTATATACAAATGTAAATGGAGCATACCTCTGGATCAGAAGATTTTAGGTATTATTATTTTGTCTAAAAACAACTTGGATTCCTGGTATTAATACAAAACAGCCATTTGGCATCTGATTTTCTTTTATCTAAGTGAAATTTTAAAATCCCTGCAGATTAACATATCAGAGCCTTTTCTTTTAGGAATTCCTAAAGTGAAGCATAACTGGGTTTCGACTCCAGCTCTATCCCTTTCAAGTTATGTTGACTTTAGGCGAGTCACACTTCCTCTCAGTAACAGAGTTCCATTATTGATAAAATGGGAAGAATAAAATCTACCTCACGAACAGTAGAAGGAATTAGAAAAACCATGACATACTCAATGAGTATCCATTAAGTTTCAAATTCTGTTTCCTTGGTTCTAAGACACAGATCCTCCCTCATTTCAATGTTTTCTGACGTGTCAACTCAAGAATGGAAAACCAAACATGGTATGTTATCACTCCCAAGTGGGAGTTAAGCTACGAGAATGCAAAGGCATAAGAATGACACAATGAGGCCGGGGGCGGCGGCTCACGGTTCCCAGCACTTTGGGAGGCCGAGGCGGGTGGATTATGAGGTCAGGAGATCGAGACCATCCTGGCTAAAACGGTGAAACCCCGTCTCCACTAAATATACAAAAAATTAGCCGGGCGTAGTGGTGGGCACCTATATTCCCAGCTACTCGGGAGGCTGACGCAGGAGAATGGCGTGAACCCAGGGGGTGGAGCTTGCAGTGAGCCGAGATCGTGCCACTGCACTCCAGCCTGGGCAACAGAGCGAGACTCCGTCTCGGAAAAAAAAATAAATAAATAAAAAAAAAAGAATGACACATTGGACTTCGAGGAAAGGGTGGGATGCGGATGAGGGATAAGACTACACACTGGGTGCAGTGTATACTGCTCGGGTGATGGGTGCACCAAAATATCAGAAATCACCACTAAAGACCTTATTCATGTAACCAAACACCACCTGTTCCCCCAAAATCTACTGAAAGAAACAAATTTTTTAAAAAATGTTTTCTGAAGTCCAGATGTATCTTACAATCCAAGTATATTACTGGATTGTATTCTGTCCCTCCACCACCCGACAAAGCTATTTGTTAGTTACTAAAGCAAGGATAAGTCTTCAATCATTGGAATGAAGAAAACATGGTGACCAAAAACATTCCGATTAAAATACAATTTCCTCTCATCAAAACCACAAAGGATTTGTTGTTGTTGTTTTTAAAAAGCAGTTAGCACAGGCAAAACAGAATTGAGACTCACATATGGACTCAAAGCTCACTTCCGGAACAAGATTTCCCAAGCAGCCCGGCAGAGCATACCAAGAGCCTATGACCCTAGCTATCCCAAACAGTATCCATCCTGAGCCGGCACTCACCAAACTGACAAAAGGTATTTCCAGCGACTTTATGTCAGCATGATGTAAAACAGACAAAAATCGGAAACTCCCAAAGAGGTCAGTTATAAGAAGAGTTAAACAAATTATAATACATCCAAACAACAAAATTGTATGCCTCCAATAAAAATGATTCTTTCAAAGGAAACCTGATGAAGAGAAAAATGCTTACAAGCTTTTAAAAAGCAAACATCAAAACTGATATCCTTGATTGACAATATATTTCTGACTCTGTATAGTCAAAAATAATAATAATTGGGAAGAAAACATCAAAATGATCGCTATTTTAGTGATGAGGTTTCTATTAATTTATTCTTTTTGGGTTTTTCTGTTTTGGGTTTTTTTTTTTTTAGACGTAGTCTTGCTCTTGCTGCCCAGGTTGGAATACAGTGGCACGATCTCAATTCACTACAATCTACGCCTCCAGGGTTCAAGTGATTCTTGTGCCTCAGCCTCCCAAGTAGCTGGGAGTATAAGTGCCCACCACCATACCCAGCTAATTTTTGTATTTTTAGTAGAGACAGGGTTTCACCATGATGGCCAGGCTGGTTTCGAACTCCTGACCTCAGATGATCCGCCCACCTCGGCCTCCCAAAGTGCTGGGTTTACAGGTGTGAGACACCACACCTGGCCAATTTATCTTTTATTCTTTATAATCCTGCAATATCTTTCGAAATCTCTAAAATAAGACTTTTATTTTTTTAAGTATTTTTCCTCCTGGTAATAAATATAAGAATCTTAATTGCTAAGTACAGCTTGAGGTTGAGTTTATTTTGAGTGTATCTTAGAAATAAAAACAAGTAAATAATTTATGCTTTGAGATTAAAGAGCCACATTTATTTATTTATATTCAATAAATGTTTATATAGTGACTGACGTTAGAAACTTCACAGGCACTAAAAGTAGTGCAAATAACAATGGTGCTGTATTCAGAGTCTAGGGTTTTAACTGCGACCCCACAAGGAATAAATGATTCAGTTTGTGTGACAGTCACTTCACTTTTCTAGGTAGACTTCAACTTCATTTTTAAGACAAAGAAAAAATTAGAGTGATTATCGAGATCCTTTCCAGCTAGTTTTAATTTTCTATATTTAATTACTATGTTTTAATGAGCAAAGCTGTCAAACTTTGCAGTCACTAAGAATTTAAAATAAACCAAAGAACAGGGAAATGAAAACTACACAACGACCAAGCTCAGTGACATTAGTGTTCTGTTTCTGAGTAAAGAATGAAACCCAAACATGAGTAGCTTATAAAACACGGCCAGGGTAGTGGCTGAATTACACTCACTGCAATTCCAGAATGCTTCGGCCAAAGGACTGTCATTTCCTCAGTCATAAAAGCTTTAGTACGAGAAATGATAGATTTTATTGAGGAAAGTAAAAAGGAAGACATTTCATCACACTTAAAACGTTATAACTGTAACCTTAAAAATACAGTTTACAACCTCAAGTTAATGTATTCAGTCTACACATTATTTGATGTGTTTAAGGATTTTGTGCAAGAAAACAGAATCAGTATGAATAAATCTACTCTGCAGACAGCTTTTACACTCAATTTTGAAATAGGGGACTGTGGAACTAGCAAATGCATAATATCATGTATTATTATAAACCTAAAACCCATTCATAATCAATATTTTTGCTGACATCTTTGAAATTTCAAACTTTCTAGGAGGTAAGTAAATGAAAAATATAAAACTTGAGCGAAGTCATAAAGCTTATATACACCCATTTCTGTTCTATACTAATGATGTTACCGCCACATGATCTATGGACGATGCTTAGGAACGCTACTTGGAGCTCTCGCCTCTTGAATTTCAACGCCATTAAGGAAGTCCTTGATGTCTACTGCTACCATTTAACACAGTACCAAGTTTTAGTTTGGTACATCGCTTATGCTGGAATACAAAAACAGGAGTGAGACTTACTATACATATTTTTTTAAAAAATCAAAAAGTTTATGGAGCAGAAGAAATAAAAATTAAGTAGTTTTAGAAGTTCTCAGTTGCTTGCTATTGCAAGTCCCAGAATGGAGTGAATCATGGAAAACTGTTGACAACACTCACACCTTGTATATCAGAAGGCACAAAATGATTATCCTTTTGAGAGAAATTTAAAAATATATTTCAAGAGTACTAAATATTCAGATCAAATGTGTTGGAGCTATAATTTGGGGCATCAACCATTGTAGGGAAAAATCAGATAAACAATCAAATAGGGTTATTGTGGCAGGTTGAATGGCTGAAGTGGTTTGAAAGGCATCTCCCGGAACCTGTGAATGTGAAACTGTGAACGTGACCTTGTTTAGAAAAAAAGTGTTTGTGGTTGTAATTAAGTTAAGGTTCTAGAGAGGAGAGCATCCTGAGTTAGGGTAGGCCCTAAATCCAATGCAAGTGTCCTTAAAAGGAAAGAAGAGAAGACAGAGTTCAAGGCTCTATGAAGATGAAGGCAGAGATGAGCCTCAGAAAGAGACAGAAGTTTAAGAAAAGCAGATTTACAAGCCATAATAACTAAGGATTTCCCAGAACTAAGGAAAAGAGCAAATAGGAAATTTGAAAATGTAGCACATTTAAAAATTTCTTTTTGATTGTTTTTAAATCCATAAGCAATGTTAAAAGATAAACAATAAATATTTATAATTCCTATTAAAGGCAAAGGACTAATTTTCTAAACATACAAAGAATTCTCTAAAAAAAAACTAAGAAACAAAAAACCTCCCCAATAGATGCGGCCCACAAACACATGAAAAAAAGCTCATCATCAATGGTCATTAGAGAAATGCAAATCAAAACCACAATGAGACACCATCTCACACCAGTTAGAATGGTGATCATTAAAAAGTCAGGGGCTGGGCACGGTGGCTCACGCCTGTAATCCCAGCACTTTGGGAGGCCGAGGCGGGCGGATCATGAGGTCAGGAGATGAAGACCATCCTGGCTAACACAGTGAAACACCATCTCTACTAAAAATATAAAAAATTAGCTAGGTGTGGTGGAGGGCACCCGTAGTCCCAGCTAAGCAGGAGGCTGAGGCAGGGGAATGGCGTGAACCCGGGAGGCGGAGCTTGCAGTGAGCCGAGATCACGCCACTGCACTCCAGCCTGGGCGACAGAGCGAGACTCTGTCTCAAATAAAAAAAAAAAAAAAGAAGTCAGGAAACAACAGATGCTGGAGAGGATGTGGAGAAATAGGAATGCCTTTACACTGTTGAAGGGAGTGTAAATTACTTCAACCATTGTAGAAGACAGCATGGCGATTCCTCAAGGACCTAGAACCAGAAATATCATTTGACCCAGCAATCCCATTACTGGGTATATACCCAAAGAATTATAAATCATTCTACTATAGAGACACATGCACACGTATGTTTACTGCAGCACTATTCACAACAGCAAAGACTTGGAACCAACCCAAATGCCCATCAATGATAGACTGGATAAGAAAATGTGGCACATGTACACCATGGAATACTATGCAGCCATAAAAAAGGATGAGGTCATGTCCTTTGCAGGGACATGGATGAAGCTGGAAACCATCATTCCCAACAAACTAACACAGGAACAGAAAACCAAATACCTCACGTTCTCACTTATAAGTGGGAGTTGAACAATGAAAACACATGGACACAGGGAGGGGAACATAACACACAGGGGCCTGTCACGGGGTGGAGGGCTAGAGGAGGGAGAGCATTAGGAGAAATACCTACTGTAGATGACGGGTTGATGGGTGCAGCAAACCACCATGGCACATGTATACCTATGTAACAAAACTGCACGTCCTGCACATGTATCTCAGCACTTAAAGTATTTAAAAATCTTTTGCCAAACAAAGAAGAAAGAAAAATCGGCAAAAGGCTTGAACAGATAGTTCAGGAAAAATAAACACCAATGGATCACAATCAAATAAAGGGATGTACGACAACCTTAGTCATGAGGGAAACACAAATTAAAACGAGATGTCACAAATAACTTTTCACAGTGGGGGAAAAATGTGATCACACATTTTATATTCTGAGGGACACAGCCACTCAATATTTTGCTATAAATCAGTACAATCAGCTGGGCATGGTAGCTTAACTCCCGTAGTCCCAGCTACTCAGGAGGTGAAGGTGGGAGGATTGCTTGAGCCCAGAAGTTCAATATCAGCGTGGGTGATATACATAGCAAGACCCGGTCACTTAAAAACAAACAAAACAAAAAAAATCAAAACAAAACTATGGAGGGTAAAAGTATAAACATATATACACTATTTCATCCATTTATTCCTCTTCTAAAAATTTACCCTAAAGACATACTTGCACTTGTACAAAATATATTACATATTACATCTTATATAATTATATACTTATACAGCAAAATTATTCATTGCACTACTGTCTGTAAAAGCTAATTGCTGTATACTTACGTTGGTTCCAATAATAGGGGACTTTATGGAATTCTTTTGTCTATCTACAAAATGAAATACCAGAAAGATGCAGTGTTGTAGGACTCAGGGAGAGGAAGCACTTTAGGTATTCACACAGAAAGATCAAGGCATATATTTACATATTTAAAATTTCCACTCTTTGAGGCCCTAGTATGCCTGTAATCCCAGTGCTTTGGAAGGCCAAGGAGGAGGATCGCTTGAGCCCAGGAGTTTGAGTTTATAGTGAGCTATGATCTGGCTACTGCACTCCAGCCTGGGTGACAGAGCAAGACCCAGTCTCAAAACAATAAAAATTTCCACACCTTGACATTTCTGATTTGCCATTTTACAAATTGTACTAATGTAAATTGACACTGTGTTAGATTTGGCCTGTATAATAATATGTGTTATTGCTACAACATTGTTTATCAAGTACAAGAAAAAGAGATAAGAAAGGAAGGTTGGCTAGATTTTGGGCCAGGTGAGTCACTAACTTCAATTGGTACACATCCTAAAGTTTTAGAGCCACCTGTGATAAGCAAAAATCAGGAATGTTAACTCCTCAAAAATAAATTTTCAGTGCTTTCCTTCATTTACCCCAGTCATGAAAACTGGTGACTCCCAACATTCTTCAAAGTTCTAGTTCAAAAGCAAAAAAACCCAGCCAGCCACTGGTTTTCTTTAAAGCCTACGACCTCTAAGAACAGTGTTTAAATTTTTAAATGCATGAAAAACAATCAGAACAATACCTCATGACACATGAAACTTGTATGAAATTCAAATTTCAATGCCCTTAAAGGTTTGTTGAAAACAACCATGCCCATTTGTTTACATATTGTTGATGGCTGCTTTTTATTTTTATTTGTATGTTTTTGTGAAAGTTTTACAGAGTAAAACAGACGTGTACAAAGGATTTCCTCTTTCAGAAGATACCTCCTACAATAATTTTAATAGGACCAAGAGTTACCAAATATTGAGGATGTGCTAGGACAGCAGAGTTGAGTAGTGGCAACAGACATTCTGGTCTGTAAAACCTAAAATATTTACTAATTGATCTTTTACAGAAAAAGTTTGCCAACTTCTGTTTTACTCTGTCTCAGCTTATTCTGTTTTCAGATAAATGCAAATCAAACGCCATTTTCTAAAATAATTCTTCCTAGCAAAAATGAGAGTATCTACTGAATCTCAAAATTCTCCATCCATTTGATAATTCTTCATATTAAAATTACATTTAATCCCACATGGCATCAGCAATTAAATCAATTTTGTCATAAGCATGGTTAGTTACTTGGTTCATCAATGTCTCTTCCTTTGATTGGATGCATTGACTCATTCATTCATTTTTGCAGAAAATAATTCTGGGTGGTATGCTTTAGCTCTTGTGTGTCAAGAAATGTTTTGCCTTCACTCTATTCACCTTGTTGTAACACTTCTCATTATTTGAAATCACTCTGTTCAGGCATTTGTGTATCTACCATTTCTCTCACAACAAAGTAAAATACATAAAGTATAAAAATCTTTTCCAATTTGACCATAATTGCATCCTCACAAAAAAAGAACATAATGGTGAATATCTGAGTGATCATATTGTGCAGTGAATATACTCAATCATTCTTCACCAGCACCCTGTGATACAGCTGGGTTCAGTGGCTTATACCTATAATCCCAGCAATTTGGGAGGCTGAGGCAGGAGGACTGCTTGAGCCCAGGAGTTAGAGACCAGCCTGGGCAACACAGTGAGACCCCAACTCTTAAAAAAAAAAAAAAAGTAAAGACAACAGCCAGGCATGGTAGTGTGAGCATGTAGTCCTGGCTCCTTGGAGGACTGAGTGGAGAGGATTGCTCAAGCCCAGGGGGTTGAGGCTGCAGTGAGCTATGATAGTTCCACTGCACTCCAGCCTGGGCCACAGAGGAAGACCCTGTCTCAAACAAAACAAAACAAAACCCATGATGTAGATATTATTATTTTCTTCAAAACAATTACCAAAAATTTGCAAGGCAAAAGAAATTAGCTAACTTGCTGAGGTTCACACACAGACTAAATGGCAGAGTTAACATTCCAGCAGTGTCAAGTATGAGTGACTGTTGCAGCCACATGCTCCTACTCAGCTGTCTTTCTAAAAGAGGGCCTTGGGGCAGGAGAGCAGTTAGCTGAGGGCCCCCAGCCACAGACGTCTAGAGGATCTGCCTCCGTCAATTTTCAAGCAGAGTCATGCACTTTGCAGGCAGTCCCCAGCCAATGACTGAGCACAGCAGTGGTAGCGGGGCTCTGCATTTCTACCCAGCAGACTTCTGGTGGGCAATCTCTACCAGAGCTTTGCAAAGGGCTGGCCAAGCCTTCCTCATAGCTGTGACACAGTCTCAGACCTTTCCTTCCCCTCTCCTTTCACAGGTGCTAGACCTGCAATTCCCATCTGAAGACTTCTTATGCCTGCTTCTGTTTTCTCTCTTTATTTTTCATAGTAATTCCCCCTAGTAAACATCTTTAACTCCTAGCTCCACTCTGGCATGTGCTTCCCTCTGGCATGTGCTTCCCAGGAGACCCAACAGAAAAGGTCCCACAACATCTGTGCAATGAATTAATGAAGTAAAAAATAAAACTGGGTTTAAGTTTCTATGTTCAAAGATCTTCCCTGAGGACATAATGACATAGCACCTATAATTAATGGCATGCAGTGGTACAGATCAGAAATATAAATCTCAGTCCCAGCCTTATTCCTGCTTAAGTCTTATGGGATTCTTTCTGGAAATCAAAAATTCTACCAGAGTATGTCTAGTACTCTTCCTTCTCTTCATACTGCAATAAAAGTGTCCTAAGATACTTTTTCTACATGTTAGACCTTCTAAA
Organism: Homo sapiens; assembly: GCF_000001405.40. NCBI lineage: Eukaryota > Metazoa > Chordata > Mammalia > Primates > Hominidae > Homo > Homo sapiens. The sequence continues at coordinate 22,483,587 of NC_000004.12, forward strand.
CTTAAAACCATCTTAAAACTGATAGCAAAAGAATCTTCCAGCTGTTAGAAAAAGGAGGAAGTTAAGCATTTATCAGTGGTTGTCATTGTTGGCACACACACAAACTGTGGTTGAATTTTAAGTCTGGATCCTTAATTATGGCTTAATGTTTATACATTAAGGTTTCACTATGATGCAGCACTGAAATAAACAGTTGTGTAATAGAAGATTGCATATGCTACGACAGTCAGCATAATTAAAGGCAGAGAAATATCAAATCTCTCAGAATTTGAAGTTGAGGAGAGGCTGGAGGGATTCATTCATGTGTCATAGAGAACTATCATTCAAGCAGGTCACAACTGGTAAGCTGCCAGCTAACTTATAAGAAAAACAGTTAAACTTCCAATGATGCATGATTACATTTTTTTTAAAGCTGTTAAATGAACCCCAAGTAAAAAAATGCAAAACCTAACACAGGCATCCAAATTATATTATCACAACCTAAAGATGCTAAAGAAAAAGTCAAGATTACTTTTATGAAAAACTGTGCAATTACAATGCACGCAATATACCCTAAAATGATTTTAAATATATTTTCCATGCATATATAAAAAGAAAAAATAAAGGGGTAAAATGCTAGTAATATGGGAAAATCAGGTAAATCTGGGTAAAAAATATACAGAGGTTCTACCCATTATTCTTATTCTTTTAATAGTCATGTAAGTTTGAAATTATTTTCAAATAAAAAGTGTAAGCAGGCCAGGTGCAGTGGCTCATGCCTATAATCCCAGCAGTTTGGGAGGCCAAGGCGGGTGGATCACTTGAGGTCAGGAGTTTGAGACCAGCCTGACCAACATGGTGAAACCCCGTCTCTACTAAGAATACAAAAATTATCCGGGCGTGTTGGTGCATGCCTGTAATCCCAGCTACTAGGAAGGCTGAAGCAAGAGAATCGCTTGAGCCCTGAGGGTGGAGGTTGCCGTGAGCTGAGATCACGCCACTGCACTCTAGCCTAGGCGATAGAGTGAGACCCTGTTTCCAAAAAAAAAAAAAAAAGCGTAAGCAGCTTTGTACTAAAATGATACCATGCAGAATACAAATGGTTAAGTGATTCAGCATGAGAAGGCTGGGGGTGACAGAGGTGCTAAGGAAGTGGCATTTCACTGGGTGGGAAAAAAATATGTACACGTTTAGAGAAACCAGCTCTTAAGAATAATTAGATCTCTGGCTCCCTCGCTGAAAAGTTGTTTGGAAATAAGCATCTGACTGTTGATGGCATCCTTGAATCAAAGAATTGTTTAGGCTGCCTTTTTTTTTTCTCCATCTGCTCCTTAGCCAGATATTCCATCTCTTAGTTCCAACCTTCACATTTCTTAATTCTGCTTCAAAATTCTCATCTTAATAACGTTCTGCTTTGAATTGTGGAATAAATCCTCTGCTTAATTTTCCAGAAGACTAATTTTCTTAAGTCCTTGGTTGTTTCCATTTCTCCCTTCAGCCCACCTACTGACCCCACACCAGCACTTTTTTTTTTGAGACAGGGTCTCGCTCTGTCACCCACGCCGGCGTGAAGTGGTGCCATCTCGGCTCACTGAAACCTCCACCTCCTGGGTTCAAGCAATTCTCCTGCTTCAGCCTCCTGAATAGCTAGGATCATAGACATGGGCCACCATACTTGACAGTTTTGTTATGTTGGCCAGGCTGGTCTCGAACTCCTGGCCTCAAGTGATCCACCCGCCTTGGCCTCCCAAAGTGCTAGGATTACAGGTGTGAGCCACCATACCCGGCCCACACCAGAGCTTTTTAACATTATAATCCCACACTTAACTTGTAAGAACTCCTCCTTTGCTCAACCTTTCCCATTAGATGCTTTTTTTTTTCTTTAATCAGTTGCTCTGCTCTTGGATCTGAGACTATGAATTAGAATTTTCCTGTGTTAACTTTTCCCCAGTGGTTCCATGGGACTGGTTTGGTGGCCTCTCATTCTGTTGATTTCTTCTCAAATGTCTGATGATCCTTCTTGGTTGCTGGCTCATATTTACAAATGTGGGGCTAGAACGCTCACTATTAGTTGCTGCAGAGGATTTCTTTAGCACACATGAAAATAATGGGTAATGAACTGCCTTTACTTTTAGGTTCAGAAACCTCATATCCGTGGAGATGGAGACACAAAAGATACCTGGCACCTGCTACAACTTCTCCCTCCTGCTATACAGTCGCCCACTATATTCTGCCTTGGCAAATCTCCCAGATTATTTAAAACTAAGCTAAATGGCCTTGTTGCAGAAGCAAACTGGACCACTATCCCCTCAGAGCCAGACTGAGAGCAGAACTGGAGCAGCTGTTTCAGGTTATTAATTCCTGGCCAGGCGCTCTCATTAGTCACTTTTGTTGCCACCCCCTATGGTTTCAGTTCTTGGGAATCATCCAGGATGCTGTTAAGAAAATCCATTTTTCTAGTTATTCCCACTTCTGTCTCTATTGGGTTGTAAGTTCCTACTTCCTTTGCTGTGGAGTTTCGCCATCAATCTGATCCCATCTGCTTTATTTATTCCACAACGTCCTCAATGCTTCCGGGGTCTCTGGAGCAACTTTCTCATTTTGCAGCCCTGTTATGGATCTTTCCATATTTTTATGCTTCTTCTATTATTTTCAACAGAATTTTGAAAGGAAAGGAGAAAAAGTAAACAGACGCAGCTCACTGTATATCTACTTAAGGGGCCATAAAGGGGTCATTTCCTAAAAGTAGAGCCTCCAACCTCTTTTACATGTCCTCTCTGGATGCTAAGTGATTCATGGACGGCTTGGTTTCTAGCCCATCTTTTCCCCGTCGTCCAGGGAAAGCTACAACTCATAGAAAAAGCTTGACCATTATTACTTTTAATCACAAGGGTATCTGCGTAAAACAAGAAAACCTCATACATCAACCAAAATCTAAAGTCCCAGGTCCTCTGTAAAACAGTCAGATGTCCCTGACCACAACCCTTCTTAAAGTGCCATACTCATCCTGCTCCAACAACTCAAAGAAAGGGAGGCAGATGCAGGGGAACCTCCAAGGGGTGAGGATGTGGTTCAGTGCCCTGGCTGGCAACTCTAACCTATTTTGTATTTAGGGTCATTTTTCCAGTCTCTGCCCTCCCTCAATAATTACCGAGCATTTAATAGTAATCACAGAAGGCAAACTCCGGAATACAAAATACTAGAATTTGAATCTTAACACCAGGATTTGGCTTCATGACTTTGGACAAGTTCTTAACCTCTTAGTTACTTAATGCCTCATCTGTATATCATCCCAGGCCTTTCTAAGAGACAATACAAGGCTTGTGTAAATATATATGAGAATGTGTGGTGAAGCACTTAAAGCAGGCCCTATGACTGCTTTCTAAGATCCATGCAATTGGACATCACAGCTAGAGAATGATAAAGCTGATAGTGGACGTTTTCATTATCAGCATCTTCTGGTTGAATACCAACCAGGCTGGGCTATTGTGCTCTCTCCTGAAAAGGTCAACAGCATCTGCTCCACCACACCAGTCTCCCCCAACTGTTAACGCCTCTGGGGTTCATAAACATTCCTCTAACATGTTTTCACTAACATGGTAAAATAACTCAAACCTACAACTTCACAGATATTGTTTAGATAAGTATTTTTAAATGAGCAAAATTTAAATTGAGACAATATATTCTAAATCAGAGGTCCTCAACCTTTTTAGCTCCAGGAATTGGTTTCACAGAAGACAATTTTTCCATGGATGGGGGAAACAGGGATGATTTCAAAGGCATTAGATTCTCATAAAGAGCATGCAACCTAGCTCCTTCGCATGTGCAATTCACAATAGGGTTCATACTCCTGTGAGAATTCTTAACGCTCAGCTGATCTGACAGGTGGTGGAGCTCAGGCAGTAATGCTTGCTCACCCGCCACTCAACTCCTGCTGTACAGCCCCCATTCCTAACAGGCCATGGACTAGTACCGGTCCAAGGTCTGGGGGTTGGTGACCCTTGGTCTAAATAACAGTATAAGTGGTATCTAATGACAAAGCAGGATGACGGCACACTGCACTCATCTAAAGTTGGAAACACTACACCATTGTCACCAACAAGAGAGCCACAGAGCAGGACAAGAGTTTGAATACATAGCCTCTCCAAAAAGCTCTTTGGCCAAATGCATTCGGCAAGCACTACCTGCCAAATAAAACCATTCTAAATTGAAGATGCTTACTCAAATTTGTGTTGTTAAATATTTCTCCAATTTATCTAACCAAGAAACTCTCTGAAGTGATAACACTACAATGGCCCGCCAAACCCACTTTACAGAATGTTGAATTACAGCTGCCAGGCGCCTGGGAAGCAAAAGGCAAAAGTGTGGCGGGTGAAGCCAGAGCTTGGGGTGCCGGATGTTGGGGTGCCGGATGTCAGGGTACCCAGATCTGAATCCATGCTGCTACCTGACACTAGTATAAACGTAAGTGACAAGTGATCCCTGCTCTGACCTTCAGTGCCGGAATCCATAGACAGGGATAATGGTGCTGATCTGTTTAGAGCAGGGGTCAGCAAACTGTAGCCTGTAAACTGCTTTTATAAACAAGGTTTTATTGGAACCCAGCCACATTCACTCATCTGTGAATTGTTTCATGGCTGCTTTCACATGTATAGGGTTGTGTAGTTGCAACGGAAACTGTACACCTAAAATACTTACTAGCCAGGCCTAGACAGCAGGAGTTTGCCTACCCTTGGTGCAGAACATTGGTTCTCAACTCTGACTGCACATCAAAATAATTTATGAAGCTTTAAAAAAAAAAAAAAGTCAAAGCCTTGGCACCCCCTGAATCAACAGACAAAATCTTAGGCTGTGGAGATCTGACATCATTTAACTCCCCAGATGAGCTCAGTTGGTGCCTACAGCACCAGGCTTCAGGGGGCTGGGACCACCCCTGAGCCTCGTACAATTCACAGGCTAACAAGAGCTGTAAGGGGTTAACCCAACGCAAGCGTGAAGAGGGCCATGGGAGGCAGAGAAAAGCATGGCTACTTCGGGGATCTAGAGGCCAAAGAAAACGTGGGAACAATCCAGAAGTCTGCTTTTAAGGACATGGGGCTATCAGAGGGGACAGAAAGTAACAGTACAGAAATACAAAAGCAGACAGACCTGAGTCAACCTAAGAAGATTCAATAACAGCACAGAAAATTTAAAATTTGGGGAAAACATAATTTTACTTTAATTCAGTAAACAAAAGCCACTACTGGGAAGCAAATCATGAAGACTCCTACAGTATATGCAAGTAATACAAGTCCCCTGGGAGAAAAAAAGGAGAAGAGTGGCAATAATTAAAGAAATAAAAGGAAATGCCTCCATAGAAAGTAGAATAGAGGTTATAGGGACTGAGGGAGGGAGAAATTGGGGAGATATTATTTAACAGGCACAGAGTTTATGTTGGGAATTGTGTTAGTCCATTTTCATGCTGCTGATAAAGACATATTTGAGACTGGGTAATTTATAAAGGAAAAGAGATTTAATGGACTCACAGTTCCACATGGCTGGGGAGGCCTCATAATCATGGTGGAAGGTGAAAGGCACATCCTACATGGCAGCAGGCAAGAGAGAATGAGAGCCAAGCAACACGGGAAGCCCCTCATAAAACCGTCAGATCTCATGAGACTTATTCACTACCATGAGAACAGTTATGGAGGAAACAGCTGATGATTTAATTATCTCCCACCAGGTCCCTCCCATAACACGTGAAAATTATGGGAGCTATACTTAAAGATGAGATTTCGGTGGGAATATAGCCAAACCATATCAGGAATGATGAAAATATTTTGGGTATAGATCATGATGGTTACACCACAGGCAACTGTCTTTAATGGCACTAAATTGTACACTAATAGTTAAAATGATAAACATGTATGTTTCCCCACAACAAAAACATAATGTATAAATATAAATATGTACATGAGCAAAAAAAATAACGAAAAGGAAATATCTTTCATTTGAAGAGAGACTTGTAAGACTAACTACAAGCCAGGGAAACTGATGAAAAAGATGCATAGCTGGACACATTCTACTAAAATTTCCAAATTCCATAATAGAGAAATGATCCTTCAAGTTTCCAAACAGACATGAAAACTTGTGGGTATTTCCATCACTCGGTTTCAATATCTTTCCTACAGATTTGGTGAATGGGGGAGAGTTCAGTATATTCTGCCTTCCCAAACCATCTACAATAGTACTTCTAACTTCAATCTCTGCAAGGTTAACAATTATTCAAAATGAGACAGCAAGTCAAACATATCAACAGGTAGCATATACTATAAGGTCACAATACAATTTATCATCAAACACACTGGAGGATAAAAAGAGTTGCCATTAATAATTACACTGAGACAACAGATTCCAACCTGGGCTCGTGGTTACCCTTAACTCCTGAAACGGTTCAATAAATAAGATTCAAGTTTCCAGGCATTCTTATCAAAGATCTGACATTTTAAAAAATAAAGGAGGCCTGATTTTTTTTCTATTTTCAATTCTTTATTTAGCAGTGTCATAAATAAAAAGGAAATAACCTATTTTTCTGCCTTAGCATTAAACTGTAAGTTTACATGAAATTAAATAGCATTTCGTTAAGAAAAATTGAAGCGTTTTTAATGCCATAGTAGATATCTTTCAAAAATGCCTAAAAATGAAAAACTGTTTATTAAATAACACTTCACCTTATCTTATGAACACATTAGCTGCAAGAGAAAAGACAACCCATTTTTTAAGGTGTCTGTATATCAATAAAGAACACTGGACACTTAATATTTATGAATATAATAAAAGCCATTTTATTTGGCATTTTAATCTAATTGAAAGCTTTCTACTGGGACCATCCTGAGGTTCTTATAGGAGTCTGAGTCTCTGATTTTTTTTCAGCCAAAATTCTTGATGTCGGACCTATTACTCATTATTTCAGAATATATTTGAGCAACTATTGTGTCCTGGGAGTGAGAGCAGAAATACAAAAACAGACCTCAAAGACTAATATTACACAAGTGTACACTAAGTGTTAAGTGCTACAAGAGGGATATGTAACTGAATCCTAGGGAATACAGAATTTCAATGTTGCTGAAAAGTAAGATGATTGGGGAAACATTTCTGAACTTTGCTGTAAAAAGAAAAACAAACAATACTAGTGGAAATTTAAAGGGCAGACAAAGAAGGGGAAAATCATTTAAAGTGAGATAACCTTGCAAAGATCTGTATTTGTTTTCTATTGCTGTGTAACAAGTTACCACTAACTGAGCTGCATAAATCCACACCTGTTTATTAGCTCACAGCTCTGTAGGTCGGAAGTCCAGGCACAGGGAGTGAGCAGATCCTCTAGTCAGGTGTAAATGGCCCCAGAGAACCGAGATACCAATAGTGAGGGTGTTCCTGAGTTCATGAATGGATCAAGGGAGGGAGGGAGAAGGCAAACAAGTGGTCAGAAAAAGACAGGCAGGCAGACGTTCTGGGTGTCCAGCTGAAAACATCCAGGAAAAAAACTGGAAAACAATGTGTGCCACATTAAATAAGCTCTTTCTGCCTGCAGCCAGCCCTCTGAGAGCAATGAGCACAAGGTCCTCCTATCAATGGTAAACTTTGTTTAAATGTAAGGCTGTTAAAATTCACGAGAAGAGTAATAAAACTCCAGGGCAGAAGTCAAGAAACTTGCCAGGTGCCAGACGGCAAATACTTTGGGCTTTGCAGGCCAAGAGGCAAGATCCATAATATGATGTAGGTACTTATATAATGAGAGGATACAAATAATCACACAAGTTTTTATTGACAAAAATCAAAATATAACAATTGGGTATAATTTTTTCTAATACTTGGCAAAGATACTCTCGACCAAACCTTTAGTCAGGTTCCCTTGAGCCCTCTTCTCAAGGGGGCCTCTACTTTAGCCTTCAGTGTCTGTCCCTTCAGAGTTGTAGCAAGAATCCTCCGAAGTCAGTTTAGAGAGAATGCTCCCACCCACGATATCTGGTCAAACCCCTCTCTTCCAACATCCACCAAGTGATATCTGATCATCCCGTACTGCCTTCAACAAGAATCCTCAGGGTCCTTTAAGCGAGAATCTCGCTACCCTTGATGTCTTCCTCTTAGTAATTTCCCATCCACTGACTCTCCAACCTCTTCAGCTATAAACCTCCACTTGTTCTTGTTGTATCTGGAGTTGAGCCCAATCTTTGTCCCATACTGTGACGGTCTTGAAACCCATCACAACAGTCTTAAACAAAGTCTTCCTTACCATTTTAACAAGTATGAGAATAATTTTTTCTTTAACACACTGGTCAACTATGAGAAGAACGGATTTCTTTCTGTTGGGGGAATAACATTTGACTTAATCAGAGTTCCCAATCGTCAGATCAATTGCAAATGTATAAAGCTACTCTTAGCTACATAAAAGCAGGCACGGTTGGGATTTTTGGTCCTTGCTCTTTAGAATGCACAAGGGAGAGAAAATAATATTGCTAAGAAATCCTAATACACATATTCCTTCCAATACACTGCCCATGTTACAGCACCACAGTAGCACTGGAAAAATTGCATTTGGTGTCTCAGGAGGGAATGCAGGAATGCGGAGGCGAAAAAGCACATCAAGGGAGAAAGTCCATCCCAACCAGCGCTTCGTCTCCTCCTATTTCCTTAGGACTAGTTCCATTAAAAAAAGAGAATACTGGAAATAGACAGATCTTAAACAACAGAAACCTACTGCCTAGATAAATCCAGGCCTGGTTGGAACTTTTAATAGTTTGCACAATGGTTTTTAAACTTGACTGTAACTCACCGTTTTCCTTCAATAACCCAATATACATAGATATTGGATATTTTTCATTCATGTATTTAATTACAAAGATTTACTGAGTGCCTACTTGAATGCTTGATAGCATTCAGGGTGATGGGGAAAACAGAACAAAATAAAGAGTCCTGCCCTTATAGAGTTTATGTACTAGTGGGTGGAAGAAAAAATAAATAAGCAAAACACAGAATATGTTAGCTGTTGAAAATTTCTATGGAGAAAAATAACATAAGAAACAGAGACATAACATAAGAAACAGTGGAGGTGTAGCTGGGTGGATTTCTCTTTTAAAGAGTGTGGTAAATGACATTCTCACTGAAAAGATGGCTTTTTTCTAAATGATTTTTATTTTACAGTAACAGTAGGCATACAATGTAATGAATTAGAAAACAAAGACTAGCCAAACCAAGAAAATAAAAGCATATCCCCATCATCTAGAGATGACCATTTTAACACCTTAATAAAGCTCATTTCCAACACTGTCACCCACATATATTTACAAGTGTGCATTTTGCACACACAAGATGAGATTACACTGTAGATACTACTGTTACCAGCTTTTTAAGCTGTTGATCTCCACCTTTCTTTTTTTAAGAGACAGGGTTTCACTCTGTCACCCAGGTGGAGTGCAGAGGCACAATCACAGCTCACTGCAACCTCCAATCCCTGTGATCAAGAAATCCTCCCATCCCTGTCTCTCAAGTAGCTGGGACCACAAGTGTACACCACCACACACAGCTAGTTTTTGTATTTCTTCGTAGAGATGGGGTCTTGCTATGTTGCCCAGGCTGGTCCCAAACTCCTGGCCTCATGAGATCCTTCTGATTCAGCTTCCCAAAGCACTGGGATTACAGGCATGAGCCACTGTGCCCAGCCTCCACCTTTCCATTTCGGTATCTTTTTAATCTCATCTAACACTCAGGCAATAATTAAGTTTCTAAAAGAAGACCTCCAAAGATCTTTCAAAAAGATCCTTCATAGATGGTTTATCCAAACCAGTATCTAAGACTACAAGTGTATCTTGAGTGTGTCCCTTGCAACATAACAGTACCATCCAACCTCTTTTTGTTAGACAAAAAATAATAATAATAATGACTGGGTCTTTGTGGTGCTGTTTTGATAGTTTCTCTGCTCTCCTGGCAATACCTGCAGACTGGCATTAGATCCAAAGCAGAGACTCCCAACCTTTTTGTGCATTGGGCTATGTTACCAGTCTGGTAAAGCACTAGGACTTTTTACCGAAGGTGGGGCCTAGCAATCTGTTTTAACAAGCCTTCCCGGAGGAGTCAATGTGTACTCATTTTGTCAGAGGCACGTGAACCAGAGCAAGTCCATCTTGAATAGGAGCTAGGCAAAATGAGGCTAAGACCTATTGGGCTGCATTCCCAAACAGTTAGGCATTCTAAGTCATAGGATAAAAAAGGTCGGCATAAGATACAGGTCATAAAAAACCTCGCTAATAAAACAGGTTGCAGTAAAAAAGCCAGCCAAAATCCATCAAAACCAAGGTGGCCACAAGAGTAAACTCTGGTGGGCCAGGCGCGGTGGCTCACACCTATAATCCCAGCACTTTGGGAGGCCGAGGCGGGTGGATCACAAGGTCAGGGGTTCGAGACCAGCCTGACCAACATGGTGAAACCCCGTCTCTACTAAAAATACAAAAAAATTAGCTGGGCGTGGAGGCGGGTGCCTGTAATCCCAGCTACTCAGGAGGCTGAGGCAGGAGAATTGCTTAAACCTGGGAGGCGGAGGTTGCAGTGAGCCGAGATCGCACCACTGCACTCCAGCCTGGGCGACAGAGCAAGACTCTGTCTCAGAAAAAAAAAAAAAATAAGAGTAACCTTTGGTAGTCCTCAATGCTACACTCCCACCAGCGCCATGACAGTTTACAGATGCCATGGCAACATGAGGAAGTTACTCTATATGGTCTAAAAAGGGGAGGCATGAATAATCCATCCCTTGTTTAGCATATCATCAAGAAATAACCATAAAAATGGGCAACCAGCAGCCCTTGGGGCTGCTCTGTCTATGGAGTAGCCATTCTTTTATTTCTTAACTTTCTTAATAAACTTGCTTTCACTTTACTCCACGGACTCATCCTAAATTTTTTCTTGCACGAGCTCTATGAACCCTCTCTTGGGGTCTGGATTGGGACCTCTTTCCTGTAACAATTTGAGAACCTCCTGAGTAACATATGCTATATCCTACAATCAAGAAAACTACTACACATATTATCCTAAATAAAACTACTACAAATTACTATAAACTGAGTGGAGTTTTACATTTTTTTAGTTCTTTTTGTTAGAACACTAAAGTTATACAGTCAAAATCTTCAATTCTAATTAAATCTTCTGTGTGTTTCATTTTCAACTTAAAAGATTATTTTTAGTTATTTTTAACTAAATAATACATTTACAGAAGTCAAAGGTGAAAACTATATACAAAGAGAACCAACTTATTTCAGTAGACCCCCCTTATATGTGGGGCATACTTCCAAGACCCCTAGTGGATACTTAAAACCGTGGATAGTAGCAAACTCTACATACACTGCTTTTTCCTGTATATGCATACCTATAATAAAGTTTAACGTATAAATCAGGTACAGTAGGAGATTAAAAACAATAACTAAATAACAAAATAGAACAATTATAACAATGTACTGTAATAAAAATTATGTGAATGTGGTTTCTCTCTCTCTCAAAATATCCTATTGTACTCTCTTCACCCTTCTTATGATCCATCCATCTAATAACCAAGCCAGCTACTAAGTGACTAACAGGCAGGTAGCAGAGACAGCATGGATACCTTGGACAAAGGTCTGATTCAAGTTCCAGGCAGGATGGAGCAGGACAGCACAAGACTTCTTCCCGCTACTCAGAATGGTACACAATCTAAAACTTATGGCTGCGCACAGTGGCGCACACCTATAATCCCAGCACATTGAGAGTCGGATCGCAGGGCCCAGGAGCCTGGGATCAGCCTGGGCAATCTGGTGAAACCCCATCTCTAGAAAAAATAAATAAGTAAAACTTATGAACTATTTATTTCTGGAATTTTCCATTTAACTGAAACCACAGAAAGCAAAACCATGAATAAGGTGGGGGACTACCATTTTGGAAATAGACAAAAAAGGAAAACAAACAAGGACTTATCTTGGCCTTCCTGGATAAAGTGACTTCCAGAAAGCAAAGTAATTGATCAGGAGTAAATTTCTTTTATAAAAGTATCAAAGTTATAGGCCGGGCGTGGTGGCTCACGCCTGTAATCCCAGCACTTTGGGAGGCCAGGGCGGGTGGATGACGAGGTCAGGAGATCGAGATCATCCTGGCTAACACGGTGAAACCCCGTCGCTACTAAAAATACAAAAAAATTAGCCGGGCGTGGTGGCCGGCACCTGTAGTCCCAGCTACTCAGGAGGCTGAGGCAGGAGAATGGCGTGAACCCGAGAGGCGGAGCTTGCAGTGAACAGAGATCACGCCACTACACTGCAGCCTGGGGGACAGAGCAAGACTCCGTCTCAAAAAAAAAAAAAGTATCAGAGTTAATACATGAAAAAATAATGATACAATTAGAGTATCATCATTCTGCAACACTAATAATATAATTGATTTAGGCAATGATACCAACAGCTGTTAAACATCATTTTTTTAAAAAAAGATATTATATATTCCATTAATGTAAGTATATACATCACCTTCTTGCCAGAGTCACACTTGAATCTCAGAAGTGAAAAGCGGTACCTCAAAATAATTTATATCTGTCAATGTGAATTTGTGTTCCCTTTCTGTGAAGATCCGGAAATCTCCTTTGACCTTTACAACACATTGGTTATGAGGACAGGCTCTGGAGTTGGGCTGACTCGGCTCAAGTCCTGGTTCCATCACTTAAGTATGGGTGACCTCAGGGAACTTAATGAGCTTCTGTGCCTCACTTCCTCAAGCACAAATTAGGGATAATCATAATGATCTCATTAGGGAACTATGAAAAGCAACCAACACAACATTTAAAACACTTACCACAGGATCTGGCACACTCGGCAAACATTACCTATTATTATTTTACCACATTTTCAATGGATCATCTGTCTTTTCTTACTAATTTACATCAGTTCTTAATACCTAGCAACCAGCATTTTTCCTCAATACAGTCCGTGGTCCAAATCCTGGGAACCGCTATTAGAATATACTGGGAGAGCACACTTTGGAAATTATGACTCAAGGGTGAAATTGCTTAATATTAAGTATAGAATCTAAATAATTCTACCAGTAAGAAATCTTGAGACCTTTTGTAAATATAAGTGGCTGAGCCAATGTTAAAGTAGGTATTGGAAACTCTACTTCAAACGGTGAGGAACCCTGATATATACAAAAGGCCATTATGAGTCCAATGCTGGACAACCAAAGAAACAATTAATACACATATATAAACAGAGTGTTGGGCTTCCGGGGCCACTGGCAAATGATGGCACATGTGCCACCACCCCCCATACCATGCCCATGACAGATCATTATTCAGTCCTGTCATTTCCCTGATAAGCTCACAAAGCACTTCCAATACTTACTCCCAATTTATGGGGGCAGCCATTCAAGAAATTAACTGGCACCACTGGTTCTACCGCAGAAACCATCAAAGGCAACTATGATCCAAATGTACTTTTATAACTTTTGGGGCGAATCATAACCAAAAACAAGCCTGCCCACTTAGAGAGAGTTAGGTGGGGAACAGAGGGAGACAACAGAGGGTTGACAGGGAATCAGCCAGAACACTGGTGTCAAAGGATTCTGTAATAAATATGTGGTAATACAGGCAAAGCCATAGAAGGTGGGGGGAAATGCAGGCAAGAAAAATAACACTGTGATATAATAAAGAATCTGCACACTGTCCATAAAGTCTGGAAATTAACTTTTTTTAAAAAGTGTGTATGTGTGTGTATTTGTATACACAGTCATCAAGGACATCTTCACTATAAAAAAAAAAAGTCTCTGTTTCTGACATGACACCCTGCAGGTTCACCTGGTACTCAGAAATTCAGAGAAGCAGGCTGGTCTACTCACGGAGTTGGGGTTTAAAAGCCTATATTCCTATAGCAGAGGAAGGAATAAGAGACATGCAAAGGGGCAACCAGAGTTCACCTATTAAAAGAGCTCCAGTGAGGCCGGGCACGGTGGCTCACGCCAGTAATCCCATTTTCGGAAGCCAAGGCGGGAAGATCACCTGAGGTCAGGAGTTCCAGACCAGCCCGGCCAACATGGTGAAACCCTGTCTCTACTAAAATCCAAAAAAATTGGCCAGGCATGGTGGCGGGCGCCTATAATCCCAGCTACTTGAGGCGTACGTTACAGTGAGCCAAGATCGCATCATTGCTGTCTCAAAAAAAAAAAAAAAAAAAAAAAGGGATCAAGTGTTCAGGCCGGGTGTGGTAGCTCATGCCTATAATCCCAGCGCTTTGGGAGGCTGAGGTGGGGGATTGTTTGAGCCCAGGAGCTCAAGGCTACAGTGAGCTATGATCAAACCACTTCACTCCAGCCTGGGCAATAGAAAAAGACCCCATCTAAAAAAAAAAAAAAAAGGCCGGGGACAGTGGCTCACAGCTGTAATCCCAACCCTTTGGCAGGCCGAGGCAAGCGGATCATCTGGGGTCGGGAGTTCAAGACCAGCCAGGCCAAAGTGGTGAACCCCATCTCTACTAAAAAATACAAAAATTAGCCGGGCGTGCTGGCAGGAGCCTGTAATCCCAGATACTCAGGAGGCTGGGTGGGGCAGGAGAATTGCTTGAACCCAGAAGGCAGAGGTTGCACAGTGAGCCGAGATCATGCCATTGCACTACAGCCTGGGCAACAAAAGCGAAACGAGTTTCACAAACAAAAAATAAATAAATAAATAAAAATCAAGTGTTCAGATCCTAAAGACAGGAACTCAGGGACAAAAAAAGAAAACCAGTTAACATGGCCGGGTGCAGTGGCTCACACCTGTAATCCCAGCACTTTGGGAGGCCAAGTTGGGTGGATCACCTGAGGTCAGGAGTTCAAGACCAGCCAGACCAACTTGGTGAAACCTCGTCTCTACTAAAAATACAAAATTAGCAGGGCATGGTGGCGGGCGCCTGTAATCCTAGCTACTCGGGAAGCTGAGGGAGAAGAATCACTTGAACCAGGAAGGCGGAGGTTGTAGTAAGCCGAGATTGTGCCACTGCAATCCAGCCTAAGCAATGAGCCACACACCGTCCCAAAAAAGAAAAAAGGAGGGCCAGGCGCGGTGGCTCACGCCTGTAATCCCAGCACTTTGGGAGGCCAAGGTGGGCGGATCACAAGGTCAGGAGTTTGAGACCAGCCTGACCAACATGGTGAAACCCCGTCTCTACTAAAAATACAAAAATTAGCCAGGCGTGGTGGTGCATGCCTGTAATCCCAGCTACTCAGGAGGCTGAGGCAGGAGAATTGCTTGAACCCGGCAGGTAGAGGTTTCAGTGAGCAGAGATCACACCACTGCGCTCCAGCTTGGGCGACACAGCGAGACTCGTCTCAAAAAAAAAACAAAAAAAACAAAAAAACACAGAGAATCAGTTAACAAAAAGACAGCTCAAGATCCCAACACAGGCATTAGCCCTAGGGGAAAGAGGGCAGGTCTCAGCTTGTAAGTGAGGGGCAATTAGTAGTGAGAAAAGGCAAGCAAAGATCATGAAGCAGGCAGGCCTGAGGCTTAAGTACAAGTAGCCCCAATGCCCCCCTTCCCCGAACAAGTAAACAACCCTCACCCTTGCTATTATAATGCAATATAATGGTACAATCAGCCAATTCTAATAAAGCCACTGGAACTTCATTAAATGTGCATGTAACTTCTGTGGCTTTGAAAAATACACGTTAGCAATGTTGTTAGGTTTGGTTTCATATGTAAAATCATAGAACTTTAGCAGTTAAAGAATCAGTAAAGACAGCCTAGTTCAAAAACCTCGTTTTACTAGTCAGGAAAGTGAAGGCCAGAAATGTTGTGATTTGCTAGGTGACACGATTCTACTTGGCAGCAAAACCAATGCGAATCCCCACTTCCATTCACAGTCTCATGCTATTTCCCTTTATCCTCCATTCTGATCACCTCTATTAAATAAGGTGTAGGAATGACAGTTCCCTGCTCACCTAGTAACAGCATGACATGTAGACAGAACTAGAGTGTTATGAATTCATGTCACTTCAGATGGAGGCCTCCCAAAAATGCATCTACTCCCCCTATGATGTTCTTATTCATCTTAACATGGCAGCTGTTTGAGATAGGGTCATTTATTATTCCAGGATAAAATTTTCAATCTCAAGAATGCAGCAGATAAGCAAAGAAAGACCGTATAATAAATGGATGATGTTACAAACCTAAGTATAAATGCCATTGGTCATTTCCACAACCACTTAATGAGAGTAAAATGGGATGTTAAAATTCTTTCCTTCAACAGTTGTTAGTTACTTGGACATAATATGCACTAGGTAAAAATTCTCAGTTACAGGTTGCATAGCCCTCATTCTAAATGTCTGGGACCAAAAGTGTTTCTGATTTCGCCTTTTTTCAGAATTTGGAATATTTGCATTATACTTACAGGTTGAGCATCCCGAACCCAAAAATCTAAAATCCAAAATGCTCCAAAGAGCATTTCCTATGAGCATCATGTCAATCCCAAGAAGTTTTGGATTTTGGAGCATTTTGGATTTCACATTTTCATATTTGAGATGGTCGACCTGCACTTTGCTTTTCCCGTCTGTCAGTCATCGCTGAAGGAATGCTTCCATGTAAACAAGTTTTCTGTAACAACTGTTCTACAAAGGCTTACCCCAACACCACTACCAAAGAAAGCACTTAAGGTGTCACTTTCATGAAAATAACAATAGTTAGAATTGAAGGCCAGAAGCCAGGCCCAGCAGCCTATGTGTAACCTGAGAAGATAATTTACTTGTCCAGGCTTCAGTTGGCACTCCTGTAAAATGTAGACAATACGGAGCTCATAAAGCTGTTTTAGCAATCAGGTGAGAGGTTATGCGGGGAGCATTTGGCACAGCACCTAGAACACGATCAACATTCCAACGTTGGTTGTTATTAGAACTTTCAAATCAGTTAAGGACACTTGCAACACGGTTCTGAAAGTCAAAGAGCTCTACAGACACCTGAAGTTTCTCTAGTCATGGGAGTTCACGAATATTACCAAACCAGTTTTAGGAGGAAGTTAAACTAGCAGCAGAAATAAATCTCTCCTTTAAAAAAGCAAGACAATAACAACAACAACAGGTTTTTTTACTCTGTTGTGATGGTTAACATTACTTGTGAATGTAAAGTAAGAGGTGCCCAGATAGCTGGTAAACCATTATTTCAGGGTGTGTCTATGAGGGCATTTCCAGAAGAGATTAGCACTTAAATTGATAACTGAGTAAAGTAGATGATCCTCCCTAATCCACTTTGGGGAAGACCAAAGTAGACTGGTCCTCTTTAAGTAGACTGCCTACTTTAAGTGGGCATCTTCCAATACACTGAGGGCCTGAATAAACAAAGAGGCAGCAGGGCAAATTCGCTCTGTGCTAGAGCTGAGACACTCGTCTCCTGCCCCTAGACATCCGGCCTTAAGTTCTTAAGCTTTCAGACCCAGCCCAGGACTAACACCCTCCCGTCCACCTGATTCTCAGACTCTCAGACCTTTGAACCTAGACTGAAACACATCACCAGCTGTCCTGGTTCTCCAGGCTACAGATCATGGGACTTCCTTATAACCATGTGAGCCAACACCTACAAGAACTCTCCTCTTAAATCTATCTCTTCATCTAGCCTATGGGTTCTGTTTCTCTAGAAAATCTTAATATACCTTTATATTAGGTAACTCTACAGGGGTTCCATCAAAACAAGAAACAGGTCTATGAAATTAATTTCATGAGAAGGCTAAAGACAAGTGTTTTCTGAAATCCCATTTTCTTGAAGGAGAACAATGAGAAAGGCCAGGATCTTCAGTTTTACTTTACTATCCAGCAACATCCCAACAAAAAAATAAAGGCATCACTAGAAAATAAACTCTGGGTCAGAATAAACTGCAACCATTAAGGCTTATCAGTTTCATAGACCAGCAAAATATCACAGAAATTAAAGAGCAAGAAAGAACCTGAATGAGTCATGTTATACTCACCTCCCAAAACTCTCTTACCAGTCACGGAGGGAGCCTGTTATTCATTGACTGCAGGTCCTGGGGACTCCCCACGTTTCCTTTCCATTGTAAAGCTGCCACCACCTACACTCCCCTCTGGATATACTAAGACTTAGTATAAAAGGTCTAAACAATTTCCCCTCTTATTTTTTGCTCCACACAGTAACAGAACAATTCCAATGTAAAAAGTTTTATAATCACAAAAAAATGGGAAAAGATGAAAAAAAAAAACTAATATGAGAACTAAGAATATTATAAAACTTTAAAAAAAAAGTATTACAAAGTTTCTGTCTGTGGTTGCTAACGTCTAGCTAAGCTGATGGACAAGTTTTTCAACTTTATCCCTGAGGGAAGAACTCGAATGTGTAATTTTTTTTTTCCCCATCAAGGAGCTCTGAAAAGTAAATCCTAGTAGAACAGTTCACTAAGGTTCTTTAAGTAGGCAATAATCTCAAGCGATCTCCATTTCTCATAGGTTCAGACTGGATGACACCTATTTCCAGGAGCCTTATCTCAAAAAGCATAGCATCCCCTAGGAGGTACTACCCTTCCTGTATCTATTTTGGCAGGGAAACCATGCAGCCAAGCTAGCCAGGTACTCCTGAGAGCGACAGCCAACCCAAACCACGTAAGGGTGAAAGAATGGTTTAAGTAGTAAATACAGTTGCCAAATGCAATAATTAGTAAGTATGAAACCAGGTGTGTCCATCAAGCTAAAGGACCAGAAGAGGAAGAAGTATGTAGTGATGGACTTTAAAATGGTCTAATCTAGGCAGACTTCAGTAAGAGCATGGGACAGAAGATGGCGGTATATAGGCCACATATAGGGTGGAATGCTGGAAATGATGACAGGCATTGAGATATATCACATGCAGAATGGCAGATATATCATATGCTAGACAGCAATAGGCTGAAACTGAAATAAGAGGTAAGGAAATGAAGAGGATGGATTCAAGCTAGTTTTCAAGAAGTTCACTTAAGAAAGAGTGGTCATTCAATCATGGTGCTACAAGGGAGTATTCTGGGGAGAGGAGCTTTTTTAACAGAGGAAGAAAGGAAGTGGCTATGTGCAACAAGGAGAAACATCACAAACTGGGAGAGAACTTCAAAACAGAAAAAAGAAAAGCAATGGCTCCTCAAGAGGTAGGTGGGAACTGGATCAAGAAATGAAAAAAAAAAATCTGGGTGAAAGACACTTTTTACTATCAGATGAAGAGTGGGAGTTTAAGCCTTGACCTTGTATGTTTGTTATGTTGCTTTGAAGAGTCTCAAGTTTATCCATGACAGATTCATCCTGCATAAGACTAATGCAAGATTCTGACCAGTCCTACTTAAGGGAAAAAAAAAAAAAAAAAAAACAGTAAGAAAAATGAGACCTCTTTGTACAAAGATTTACTGAGTGCTTACATGCTAGACTCTAGGGATGCAGAGATAAATATGGCCATCAAGAGTCTACAATCTAGTAGGAGAACTAGGGTTGTAAATAAATAATTCCAAAACAGTATGACAGCTGTCACAATGCAAGCAAACAGGAGGTAGGAGGTGGTCCTAAGGAATGAAGAGCCAGCCTAACACTGTCCACTGGGGTAGACTGCACTTCCAGGTTACTGGAAAGACTTTAGAATTCTAACTGCATCTTAGGCACAAAGGATGAGTTTACATTTGGTCTCATTTAAAACAAATAAACAAACAGCAGGTTAAAAATAATAATAAATCTAATAGAAAGTTTATCCATCTTAAACACTGCCCTGGAGATGAATACACCAGTAGTCAATCTCTCTTTGCCTTTCTCATAAGAAAAGAATCAGGAAGAATTGCACAATAAAACAAAGAATG
Source organism: Homo sapiens (assembly GCF_000001405.40). Lineage (NCBI taxonomy): Eukaryota > Metazoa > Chordata > Mammalia > Primates > Hominidae > Homo > Homo sapiens. The sequence continues at coordinate 22,503,392 of NC_000004.12, forward strand.
CTTTTAAGTCTTATCTTGATGGGAAATGAATTAATTACTCAGATCCAAGCAGGCTTAAAGAAAGAACATTTCAACAACTATGTTAAAGAACCTGCATTACAGTTATATCTCCATACTTGCTCTTTCTTTCAATTAACTAGAAGGAGGCACAACCTGCTTTCTACTATTCCACCCACAATACAAGGCCATGGCAGCACTGGCTGTTAAATGCCTGTCACTATACTAGGTACTATGGATACATGAGGAAACTGACACCTCAATAGAACTGACATTCTAGATAGGACCAGGTCACATACTTGGAACCATGTATTCTAACTGAGAAATGTCCTCATATTGGGAGTGAATTTAATTCACGAACATTTACCGATCGCATTTACTAATCACATACTGTGTATGATGTTTACAGTACTTGGGGAGAGGGCAGAGAATGGTACTGAGACTGGGGAGCTTAGACAACTTAAGGGAACCTCTATGTCTCCCTAGTCTTGGTAGGGGCACATTTATTCTTCTTGTGTGGAGACATCTTAGCCTTCAAGAACAATTCTTGAACATGAGGGGCGCAGCACTTTAACATACAGAGTTAGCAATTTTGACAAAAGATTTTCTCATGCTTATCACAGCCCTGTCTTCAGACAGAATCATAAAAAGGGCTTAATAAAAATTCTAAATAGAATGAAGCCTAAATTGTCCATGGTGAGGGTGATGGATAATTTAGCCTTCTGTGTGTGTGATACCCAATTCTACACACCTGCCCCCAACCATGGTGAGTACTCAAGAAAAAAAGATTGCAAATATGCACAATTCAAATATTATGCAATTTAAACTTCAGAAGGCAAAATAGGGGAAAGAAAAAAAAAGACAAAAAATGTAAGTTTTAAAAACTTTATTTAAATTAAGAACCAAGAATGTCAGTCATCTGAAATGATGAGGCGCTAAAAGAAACTACCAAATGCCTGATACCCAAGTTGGTTCAGTTTCGCAGCCTGACAACAAAGCTGTGTGTCCTGACAAAGAAAATCTCGCGTCTCTCCAAGGTGCCTGTCAATAGCAGGCCCTCAAATACTGTTGGACAGATGCTTGCTGCTGTTAGCCCTCTCATTTTATTCATTCAACTCCACAGTACATCTCTAAAACCTTATTGTCCTTACCCTTGGCTTCAGCACGCCACTCTCTGCTTTACCAATAGTCGTTTTTCCTGGCTTCTATGAATAAGGCCCTGTCCTGAAGCTCTCAGCTCTCTGTCCTAGAAATGTCTCTTGATTTCATCGTCTTTCCTCTGCTTGTACCAGCCCCTCCCTCTCACATGAGGTAGCTGCCCTCAACTGGCTCCTGTACTCTTTCTTCTACCTTCTTTTTTTGTGGCAGATGACAGATGGTGACTAGGATTAACCCTTCAGGTCGCTGGGCTACTAAGCAGCAGGTTCTCAACCCAAGTGTTACCAGAACCACCCAACGAGGCTCCGAAAAATACCAATGTCCAGGCCCCATCCCTGAACAATACATCAGAACATGAAGTCTGTGGTCCAAGCATCTGAACTTTTAATGCTTTCTGTTGATTCAAACGCAAGGTTGAAAACCTCAACCGCAAACTGACCAACCAGGTTACAGGAAGGTAGGGTAACTACTCCTCTGATGCTGGGACTTGGATGGATGCAAGCCTAGTGCAAAGCGCTCTGGCCAGGAGCATCCTTCACCATTTCACTCCAGTGCACACATCATCATTGTCTATCTGTGTCATGGCATGAAAAATCTTGGCTAGAACTGCCATAAATAATGCAGATGACTGTGTGAGTCACTTAGCAAGTCTAAGACATTCTAGGTGGAAAAAAGGTTTTGTGCCCAGCAGTGGGACATGGGAAAAAAAGCAATGATGGTCACAGAGCAAAAAGACCCACCAGTCCCTTTGGCAAGGTTGTTCTTAAAACCGTCTTGCAAATTCTCCTTTAGAAACTCCCGTTGCCCATTTAGAATTTCTGAAATTCTGGCCAGGCACTGTGGCTCATGCCTGTAATCCCAGTGCTTTGGGCAGCTGAGGTGGGCGGATCATTTGAGGGAAACCAACCTGGCCAAGATGATGAAACCACATCTCTACTAAAAATACAAAAATTAGCTAGGCATGGTGGTGGGCGCCTGTAATCCCAGCTACTCGAGAGGCTAAGGCAGGAGAACGGTTTGAGCCCGGGAGACGGAGGTTGCAGTGAGCAGACATCGCGCCACTGCACTCCAAGCTGGGCGACAGAGCGAGACTCTGTCTCAAAAAAAAAAAAAAAAGAATTTCTAAAATTCCACGGTTATCCCCCTGCTGTTTTAGCAGAGTATAACAATAGAGGAAGATGCAGATTAAATCACATCAAAAAGAGCTACAGGGTCACATCTAACCGAGGGGAGGTATGACAGATATTGAACAGCTAGAAGGCAAGAGGTGAAGCTCTAGGAAGAGGTACAAGACTAAGATAAAACTGGTCTAGTAGACCAAAAGAAAAGTCAAGCCCAGAGATAAGAAGTCACATACATCCACAACCAGGGGTGGCACTGAATATTTGCTAAATGAATGCAAAAGCAAGTTTAGGATACAAATTTAGGAAACTAGGATACAAATTATCAAGAATGCAACTGGAGAAGAGTAAATACCAAAAGTGAAAGTTTCGGTCTTTGGCCAGCCCATACTGTATGCAGGAAGGCACAGATTTACCCTGGGACTCACCCCCTGCAGACAAAAAAGAACAAAAAAACCAGGGGTGCTGAAGATGGGGGGAGAAGCAGGAAGGTGCTGGAGTATTTTTCTATCAATCTCTTAAACCTTCCATTTTTACCCTTCAGGCCCTGAACAGGAAAGATCTGAGGACAAGAAATGCTTTGCTGGATGAAAAGCAAAATAAGGCCGGGCACAGTGGCTCATGCCTGTAATCCCAGCACTTTGGGAGGCCAAGGTGCACCAATCACTTGAAGTCAGGAGTTCAAGACCAACCTAGCCAATGTGGAGAAAACCCATCTCTAGCAAAAATACAAAACTTAGCCAGGCATGGTGGTGCGTGTCTGTGGTCCCAGCTACTCGGGAAGCTGAGGCACAAGAATCACTTGAGACAGGGAGGCAGAGGTTACACTGAGCCAAGATCGCACCACTGCACTCCAGCCTGGGTGACAGAGTGAGACCCTATCTCAAAAACAAACAAACAAACAAACCAAGGCAAAAGCAAAGCTTAGTATCTGCAATGTGCTCAGTGTGGTACTAAAAGTGGCCAATACAGACATGTGCCTTCTGGGAGGCACCTACCTCATCTCTGTCCCACTCTACCCGCTACACATAGGTAATTCCCTTACTAGACATGCAACATTTCTGAAACTTTAGTCAAGACGGAAAAAAAAAAATCCTTGGGAGGAATAGTGTACTTTTGTAAAGCTCCCTCTTCAGACTAAAATTGTGTGTATTTGAACATAAATGTAAGCTAAACTGTACATCAAGCATTAAAATTATATTGTTTTACATTAAAAACTTATTGAGCAAGTTTGCATTTATAGCTTCCTAATCTTTGCAAAAACTGAGTTAATAAGCTACTAATACTCGGCCAGGTGCAGTGGCTCACAGTTGTAATCCCAGCACTTTGGGAGGTCAAGGCGGGCGGATCACGAGGTCAGGAGCTGGAGAGTATCCTTGCTAACACGATGAAACCCCATCTCTACTAAAAATTAAAAAAAAAATTAGCCGGGCATGGTGGCGGGTGACTGTAGTCCCAGCTACTCAGGAGGCTGAAGCAGGGGAATGGCGTGAACCCAGGTGGTGGAGCTTGCAGTGAGCCGAGATCGCGCCACTGCACTCCAGCCTGGGCAACAGAGCAAGATTCCATCTCAAAAAAAATAAAATAAATAAAATAAGCTACCAATACTCAAAGAACTCTGTATTCTAATCTTTGTTTATAAGAAAAATGTCGACACAATAAATTAGCTCTGTTCTCTAGAGTTAAGATTCCTCCAGAGCATCAAGCCAGTAAACTACTGCTTCCTGAGAGGCAGCTGAATGGAAAAATAAGTCACTGAATAGTCTTCTAAGAAACTACATCCCGTGTCATTTTCTGAGTTACTTTCAGGAGTTTTTACTTCTGTCTTTGTCTGTTTTTTAAACCATCTTTACAGGCTCCTGGGAACAGAAGCTGGAGCTGCACTGGGAGCAACCTCACCAAACATTATCATATTCGTTTGTTTTGGGACTTGGTATCCTGCCAAACCCACCAACTTCTCCTGGTGCTGGAGGACTCCAAGCAGGCAAGAAACAACAGGATTTTGAGGCTGGGTGATAAGCAACCCTGTCATCATATCAGAAAAGCTTACAACTTGCATTCATGGACCAAATGCCAAACTGTGCCCCCAATCCTGCAAGATTTCTGAGCAATATTCCCGGTAGGAATTCAAGCCACTTCCCAACACAGTCTATGCGTGTGTGTTTGCCACACACATAAGATCAAGGAGATCACATGTGACTGCAGATAGATTGAATATACCCATCCTTGAATCAGGGATCCCACAGCTATGAACCTAATAAACTAAATAAAGACATGTTCTCATTTGCTATAATAAGGTAAACATACGAATTTGCATCCGTCTTCTATCCCCAACTTTTCCTGCTCTTCCACCACGTAGTCGTATCTCTGTTAGCATTACTCTTGCCCATAAAGAACAATTACGTACCCACCCATACTCGAGGCGCTGTGCGAAGACAAGTCAGAGTCCTTGCTTTCAAGGGTATATGCATTCTGAGAGAAGCACCAGTATCATAGAAAGTGACACAAGAGCACAAACACTAATAGCTACCTGGGTTCAGGGATGGAAGGATCAAAATGCCAGAACAGTGAAGAGTTCGTAGCAGCTGAGTTGGGTATTAAAGAATATCCCAGAATTTCCCAGACTGGGCTTCCAAGGCAAGGGTGTCAGCAAAGGCACACAGGAAGCAAAATATAAACTGCTCAGGGGACACTGAGATGTAGACTTTGGTGAAGCAAATAATTTGTATAAAAGACTGACCCTTGGATGAAAGCATCATGTCTTATTTTAACCCTGAAACACTGGCCACTGTGTTTACAACGTAACACTGCCTCAACCGATGTCCATGGAAAAAGTAATCTGTGCTGGGTATTGAGAAATCAGGCTGCAGATGTATGTAAGATTTTGCATTCAAAGATAACAATCTTACTCTTGATCCAATGGCTCTGCTGGTGAGAATTCAGGCTGTGGCGTCTTGCTGGCCTACAGATTATAATCACTTTGCTCCTCTCTCCCTTGGCTGCACTCATCTGGCAAAGAAGCAACCTGGCCACACCCAAGGAGTCCCATCACTAGGCTGAATCCAGGTGGAGAAAAACAATTGCACTGACCATCTCCCTTTGAATCTGATCAGAAGGCAAAACTGCAAAAAGATCCTCCCTGCTGACTTTTCTGCAATCCCCAGTAGGTTCACATTCCAAAAGAACATTTCTCTTCTCTTTCCCCTTCCTCTTGGCCCATTTTCCCCTTGCCCTGCCTAGATATCTTTGAGAAAATAGAAGCAACGGGGCCAAAATTCCCTCTTCGTCCCACCTGCGCCCCACTGCCCTCACGCCTGCCTTGACACCCATGTTCCACCCTTTCTCCCAAGACAAGGTATTGTGCTGAACCCCTACCCACTCCAGATGGGATTGCACCAGGTTCAAGAAGAAGAAACCCAGAGCTAGTGAACAGAACATGGAGTTTCACTGAGGGCTTACATGCAGGGGAGAGAGTTCAGTGCTGGCGGGCTGGACAGGAGAACTGCATGCCCCAGCAGAGAAACTCACAACTTGCAAAAAGCATGCAGTTCACAGCCGGGAGTGGTGGCTCATGCCTGTAGTCCCAGCACTTTGGGAGGCCGAGGCGGGCAGATCACGAGGTCAGCAGTTCAAGACCAGCCTAGCCAACATGGTGAAACCCCATCTCTACTAAAGATCCAAAAAAATTAGCTGGGCGTGGTGGCGTGCACCTGTAATCCCAGCTACTCGGGGCGCTGAGGCAGGAGAATCGCTTGAACCTGGGAGGCGGAGGCTGCAGTGAGCCAAGATCGCCCCACTGCACTCCAGCCTGGGAAACAGGGCGAGACTCCATCTCAAAAAAAAAGAAAAGAAAAGAAAAAAAAAAAGCATGCAGTTCACTCAGCATCTTCACTTAGCACCTTCCCCCGTAGGTAGGGATAACTACTCCTCTGATGCTAGGACTGTTTCGTCTCCACCTGGCAACCTTCAATTAACCCTAAAGGACCTTGATCCCCCATATGGCCCATGCTCCATGGGACAAGATGGAGACTCAGGTGTTCCTCATAGATAAGAAATGACTTGGCCGGGCGCGGTGGCTCACGCCTGTAATCCCAGCACTTTGGGAGGCCGAGGCGGGCGGATCACGAGGTCAGGAGATCGAGACCATCCTGGCTAACACGGTGAAACCCCGTCTCTACTAAAAATACAAAAAATTAGCCCGGCGTGGTAGCGGGCGCCTGTAGTCCCAGCTACTCGGGAGGCTGAGGCAGGAGAATGGCGTGAACCCGGGAGGCGGAGCTTGCAGTGAGCCGAGATCGCGCCACTGCACTCCAGCCTGGGCGACAGAGCGAGACTCCGTCTCAAAAAAAAAAAAAAAAAAAGAAATGACTTTCTGGGTGGGCCACTCCCAGGCTCCCAAGCTTAGAACTCCAAACCACATTCCACATTCAGATACGTCTGCCATACAGTCATTCTCAGACTACACTTAAGTTATTGCTATCTGGTGCACTGACTACACATGTAGAGAATGAACTTCCCTGCTGCCATCAGAAGCCAAACCCTTCATCTGTGCTCCCATCCCACTTCTCTTTTCAGGCCACCCAAATTGGCTTATTCACCTGTGATGCATGGACACTGCTCACGGAGGGCACCAGACTCCTGGCCATCAAATCCAGTGCTGTTTATTCCTTGGTCTTTCTAGCTTAATCTCTCAACACCTCAACTGGGAAGGCCATTCCAGCCTTGACACATAAACTTCTCTTAGCTTCCAGGATGAGATTCTCCCCTGGTGCTCCCCACAGCCTCTGCAGAGGCTCCTTCTCAGCCTCCTGTTCATGTTCCTCTATGTTCTAGTGTGGTTCTGCCTGGGTCACCTCCTCTCCCCTCTGTGCACTCTCTCCTAACTGACCCCAACCAGGCCTGTGTTTGAAATACCACATACGGGCCGGGCCGATGGTTCCAAAAGCTCTCTCCACTATTCGTCCGATACCGTCTCTCCACTTCAAGTGGGCCAGCCACCACCTGCCACCCTTCCTCCCGAATGCCTTCTCCCCACTCAATCCAATCCTTCCCTTCCTTTAGGCCATGCTCAAGTCCTAACTTCTCCAGGAAAATAAAATACCTTCCAAGGACTCCCCAGCCACACTGATCTCTCCCCTGTTTGGGCTTCCTGAAGCACTGAAACAGTCTCCAGCACAGGATTTATTACTTAATGAGGGATAGTCTTTTAATTGTTCCCTAAATGTCTGCTTCCTATTGTGCAAATCCTTCCTCCTAACTAGATTTAAGTCTCTGAACAATACGAGCATTTCTTTTCTTGTACTTTGTACTGAGCCACACTGGTGATGTCCAAAATAATTATTAGTTCTTTGATAACAAACATGAAGAACCAAAACTCTACACACTATTTTAGTGTGTTAGTCTGAGAAAAACCTGGAGGTTATCTGACAAATTACAAGTAATTTTTGTTTTATATTTTTATTTGTCTAGAGTCACCAAGTAGCATCACGAGGAACCCACATTTAGAAAGGCAGTGATAAATTTGTAAAACTTTCCATCAATGAAATCCTCAGAACTTTCAAAACTTACATTATTGAGCAAGATTTAATATAAATCACAGAAATACAGTAAATAAGTATATTTTCAACAAAAACACTAAATGTAGGTAAATTTTTGTTCAATTTCTGTGTTATAATAATAGAAGCGGTTTAATCCCTCAATACAAAAGTCTACCTGAGACACGGGGAACACACAGTTAAGCCTAGGATTTCTGCCAGACCTTTCTTTAAGCATAGCTACAGAAACAAGTGGTGTTCATCAATACTGTTGAAGGATCTGACTTTTAGGCTATGATGAAGACCAGTTCATCCATTAAATAGAAATGGCTTTATTTTTCATGATTTAAAAAAAAATTATATCCCATCTTTGCCATTCTCCCAGTTCCCATCAGTTAATTTTCCTCTCTGTGGCCACATCACGACTCAGCTGAAAACACCTGGCCACACCTAAGTGATAAAGGCTCAAACCAGGGAGCCTGGCCATCCTCGACTCAGCCCCTACAGACTCCTCTGACCACCCTGGGCACCAGACACTTACCTTTGACATTCCGGTAACACCAACTGCACAGCAGCATAACCAGATACTGTCCTCTCCAAACCCGTGGGCACCTGGGGTCCCCCACTTCCAACCTATCATTTCCTCCCCTTGTTCCCTCACCGTTTTCTTCACAGTTATATTTTTCTTTCTTTCTTTTTTTTTTTTTTTTTTTGAGACAGAGTCTCACTCTGTCACCCAGGCTGAAGTGCAGTGGCACGATCTTCACTCACTGCAACCTCCGCCTCCCGGGTTCAAGCGATTCTCCTGCCTGCCTCAGTCTCCCTAGTAGCTGGGATTACAGGTGCAAGCCACCACATCCAGCTAATATCTGTATTTTTAGTAGAGATGGGGTTTCATCATGTTGGTCAGGCTGGTCTCGAACTCCCGGTCTCAAGTGATCTGCCCATCTCAACCTCCCAAAGTACTGCGATTACAGGTGTGAGCCACTGCGCCCGCCCCACAGTGATCTTTTTCCTCTTTCCAGAATTGGCTCAGGATCCTCAATCCCACTAGGATTGAGGGAGAAGGAGGCCCTGGTTGCCCTCCTCTGGGTTTCTTTTGCTACATGTGCACCCTGGTAATAGAGCATTGACCATACTGTTCTGAGACTTAGTCATGAATTTTTCTCCCCAAATATCTGTAATTTCCTGGAGAAGAAAGAGCATGTTTTTATTTGTATTCTGTCATGAGCTGGACAGTGTTTCATAGAAAGAAATGTCCAAGTCCTGACCTTTTAACGTGATCTTACTTGTAAACAGGGTCTTTGCAGATGTATTTAATTAAAGGATCTTGGGATGAGATCATCCTGGACCTAGGGTGGACCCTAAATTCAGTAACTGGTATCCTTATAAGAGAAAGGAGAGGACTTGAGACACACAGACACACAGGGAGAAGGCCAATGGAAGGCAGATGCGGAGACTTAAGTGATGCTGCCCCAAGCCAAGGAAAACCAGAAGATGAGAGACGCAAGCATGAATTCTTCCTAAAGTCCTCAGAGAGAGCATGGCCCTGCTAATAGATTGATTTGGGGTTTGTGGCCTCCAGAACTATGAGCGAATAAATTTGTTGTTTCAAGCCACCAAGCCTGTAGTAATCTGCAGCAGCCCTAGGCACTAACACACAGTCCAAACTTCAACACGCTACCTACTACCTAGAGGCCACTCAACAAAAACTGTGCTCAACTAAGATGAAGGCAAGGTGAGGAATGAGAAAGCATCTGAACTGCAGGACAGGAATCTGGGACGTGGACTCTGATGCTACTATGAGAATTCTGGTGAGCAAGTCCCTTATCTACAGTAACTCTAACTCTTTCCCCAGTAAAATGAGGAAACTGGCCCATAAGACCCCTCTACAGGGGGCCTCATATACCTTGAACCCTCTTCAGCCAGAACAACTTTCCTCTTTTTTTTTTTTTTTTTTTGAGATGGAGTTTCATTCTTGTTACCCAGGCTGGAGCGCAATGGTGCCTTCTTGTCTCACTGCAAACTCCTTCTCCTTGGGTTCAAGCAATTCTCCTGCCTCAGCCTCCCGAGTAGCGACTAGCTGGGATTACAGGTGCACGCCACCACGCCCAGCTAATTTTCTGTATTTTTAGTAGAGATGGGGCTTTAAGCATGTTGGCCAGGCTGGTCTCGAACTCCTGACCTCAGGTGATCCACCCACTTCCACCTCTCAAAGTACTAGGATTACAGGCATGAGCCACCACAACCAGCAGAACAGCTTTAATTGATCCTTAATTGTATCTTCTTCCCATTCACTAAACAAATTTTTTTTTTCTTTTTTTTTTTGAATGGGAGTCTCACTCTGTTACATAGGCTGGAGTGCAGTGGTGCGATTTCGGCTCACTGCAATCTCCACCTCTCGGGTTCAAGTGATTCTCCTGCCTCAGCCTTCCAAGTAGCTGGAATGACAGGCATACGCCACTACGCCTGGCTAATTTTTGTATTTTTAGTAGAGACAGGGTTTCGTCAAGTTGGCCAGGCTGGTCTTGAACTCCTGACCTCAAGGGATCCACCCGCTTTGACCTCACAAAGCCCTGGGATTACAGGTGTGAGCCCACCATGCCCAACCTTAACTTTATTTTCATCTAAAAAGCTTTCAGGCAAAAAAAAAAAAAAAAAAAAAAAAAAAAACTGGATTGAAATGACATTTCATAGTTACTTATATTTTAACCAGTTTCTAAAAATTGTAGAAAAATAGTTTAATTGGTAATATGCTGAAAATCAATTTACCACCATATCCCCTATTTTTTTCTGCAACGCAAAATCAACAATTTACTAGTAGTTGACCTAATCCAGCTGAAATTGTGGACACTTTTAGGTCAGAAAAACTGGACCTAAACATGAGTCAACGTAAATGTCACTCATTGACCCAAAACCTAAATGTTTATAACATAACTGCATGATGACTAATTTTTGCAGAGTAACAAAGAAAATCTCCTCCAACATTGGGATTTTCTCCATTTGGACTGTAATTAAAGTCCCATACCGAAAATTTCCACTTCAAAGAATCTGACTAAGAAATAAATAAATATAACTGCTGCCACCACCACATGGTAACGTGTTAGTAACGGAGTCAAATAAAACAAAAACTCTTTCATCCATCTTCATGCCTCCATAAATAGACACATAGACACAATTTTCATGGTTAAACGTTTCCTAATTCAAAAAATGGAAATGAAGGTAAACAAAAGTGTTAGTAATGAAATGTATACCTGGCCTACCTGTGTATACTCCTGCTGAATTTGGGTTACATTTAAAACCATACTTTAAGTGTTTTCATAGATCATGCTGCGGTCCTTGCATTCATGTTTGTATAGTGGCTGCCTTGATTCTTTTTTTAGGAAACCAACCAAAACAACATAGAGGAACCCCGAGCCAAGGGACTCACATTTCAGTTGAACAAAATACCCATGAGAAACACTTAGACTCAAAACTTTCCAAACCAATTCATCCTTCTGAAAACAAACTCGACAGTCACTGGGGCCAACTGTTCAGCTAGAATTGGCAAAACTACGTTTGCAAAACTGAACCGTGAATCCCAGCACAAGTGAGTTACCAAAATTTTTCCTTCCAGGTGGAAACTCAATCCGAAAATCAAAAATCCCTCGAGTTGGAAGGCTCAATAAACCCACGGTTTTCAGTTCCAATGTTCCTGGCTTTTAAATATAAGCCCTCACAGACACGAAAACGGGACTGCAAGGTACATAAACAGATTGATCTGAAATGTTTCCAGCCCTTAATAACAACTCTATCTTAAAAGGTGCTCTTTAACTGTAATAAAACTAAGATAGCAAAAGGCAAAGGAAGCGTCTTGGGGTTTGGGCTCGCACACAGTCCTTGTGTTTTGCAAACTCTACCACGTAAGTGTAACTTAATTTGCAAAGAAGCAGAAGGACTGGCGCTTGCAATCAAGCATTGTGTTTTCTGGAAACCCAAGCCCAGGATGAATGAGCTTTAACTCTGTTGACTGCGTGTTTACTTGCATCCTCACGTGGCACCGCGCAGCCCAAAAGCGCTGCGCCGGGGACAGCGCGGGGAGCGCCTGAGAACCCGAAAACTTTACTTTGCAAACTAGTGGAGCTGGGAGGCAGCTCGGACGCAGATTCCCTTGCCTTTCCCTGAACTGCACCCATGCCAAGCACACGAGGTCTTTCCTAGCACCGCCCCCTGCCTACAGCTCCACACAAAGGCGCGTGGGTGCCGGCTGGACCCTGCTCCAAAGTTGAGCGGAGAGATAAGAAAGAGCCGAGCGGGAGAGGACCCAGCGTCGCGGGAGATACTCACAGGGTGACCGTGCGGTTGGGCAGAGTATCTGGGGGCAGGACCTGCGCGAGTTCCAGGCTGCTGCACACCACCTTGCCCTCGGCGGCGCCCGCCGCCCTGCCAGCCCCTCGGGGCCGCCCATCGTGCTTGCAGCCGGCGGGCAGCGCCGCGGCGCCGCCGCCGCCGCCGCCTCCCAGCAGCGCGAGCAGCGCTAACAGCGAGAGCGGCAGCAACAGCGGCGGCTGCGCGCGGCCCCGCCGGCGTCCGGGTGGCTCCATGCTGCGGGCCGGGGCCTGCGGGGCGAGCGGCGGCGCACTGGCCTAGCGGGCCGCCCCGGAGCCCGGGCGGGCAGGAGCGCGGCGCGGGCCCAGCGGCGACCGGAGCCTTATGGCGGCCGGAGGACGGGCCTTCCCCGGCGCGGACATGCTCCTTTGTCCGCTGCGGCTGCGCTGGGCCTCTAGGGAGCCGGGGGTCACGGCCGCATGGGTCCCAGCGCCGCTCTACCGCCCGGCGCGAGCACCGCCTCCTCCTCCTCCTCTGCCGCCGCCGCCGCCGCCACTGCCTCCTCCCCTGGCCAGGACCCGCGCGCGGCGGCTCCTCCCCGCCCGCCGCCGGCGGCCGCCCCCGCCCCTTCCCCTCCTCTTTCCCGGCTCTCCTGCTCTCCCCGTGTCTGCAGCTGCCCGGGACCTCGGGGAGGAGGCGCGCGCTCCCGGGACCTGCCGAGCCCGACTCCGACCCGGTGCGCGCCCGGGCCTCGGCCTCCGGGCAGGAGTTGTGGGGAGCCCGCGGGAAGGCAGTAACTCGTAGAGAGAACGGAGGAAAGTTCGAGTCCGAACGGAGGAAAGTTCGAGTCCAAACTCCACCCGCGGTGGCCACTCTCCTGCTCGTTTCCCTTCGCCGCCACCGCGCTCGCACCGCGGGCACAGGACAAAGCAGTCTTGTGCGCTCCTGGAGACTGCCCATGTGGCCCAAGGAGCCTGGCCCGGAGGATGGAGTAGGGACGAGAGTAGGGAATTTCCCTGACCAACCCTATGGGAAAAGTACCCAAAACCAAGTGTTTCGGAAGGAATCGCCTTCTCACCTCATTATGGTAGTCTTATTTGTCCCAAATACACTGGAGCCAGTAAACAGGTTCCTCTTCAATACAGTGAACAATCTGAAGCTGTTTCTGGCCTTCAGCAACAACAGCGATGGTCTCTAAAGGATGCATCTGGACCTCACTAGAAAGGCAGCCTTTTGAAAGAAATTCGACAGGCAAAGATACTTGAGATGTTCACCAGTTCGAGCAATAATGAGCAAACCCTCCAAGAAACCCCAACAGAATTGATTACTCTGACTTCCAGCCTCGCCCTAACATTTGCAAGCCCAGGGCTTACCTACCCTATGTTTAAAATTTTACAAGGACTATATCATGCTAATAAAATATATTCTGTGCTCCTGCCTTGAGAAATTACCTTCATAACAACCTGGAAGGTTTGTAAGCAGGATTCTCAGACACCTTGGAGTTTCTCCCTGAAACATGGCAGGTGGGAAAGAGTCAGATCCAAACCTTTGGCCTGTACACCTTCACCGTCTTTGCTTCCTGTGCCCAGCTATCTTCAAGGACAAGAGGGGATTTTTTGTACCTGTGTGTGAACACCGCAGCCCACAAAACCAAGTTCTGTTCACACTTTCTAACAGCCACCCTCTGTCTGCGTCTGGATCTCAGGTGTGCCTATACCAGTTGTTGGGTCCTTCATTGGGAGGACAGTTCTCAGAAGAAGCTAGCTCAGGGCCAAGAAGTGGCTTTGGTAATACCAGTCAGGGAATTCCAGGGTCCTGGGTCTTGGGGACATAGTGGGTACCCAGGCTTTGGGTGCTGGCCTGGAGATTTTTCACCCCATAAGAAGAGTCAGGTTGGTGTCCTCTAAAATGGAGGGCCTAGAACACGGTTTTTCTTGCTTGGGTCTAAGGACACTACTGCCTCTGGCCCCTACAAAATTTATCTTAGGGACCAATTTGCAGGAATCTGTTTATCTGGCTAGAGCTTTCTCAATGGGAAGTAAATAAATGGTCTCCATTTATCATTTATCAGTGTTGTATTAAATTTGAATAGCAGTTCATTTGACCAACCCAACCATGTCCAGTGCTGTCTAATAATACATTCTGTGATTGTATAGCTGTTCTAGTTCTTTGCTGTCTAATATGGTGGCCAACTGTGGCTACATAGTGTGTGGAATGTAGATAGTGTGCAATAAGAATTAAATTTTTCATTTCATTTTAATTAATTTACATTTGAATTTAAATGCCCAGTGGCTACCCTGTTGGTGTTGAACAACATAAGCCCAGACACTATGATGGGAAGAAAAAGTGGGAGATTATCTGCACCATTAAGTGACTTCGGATCTATAAATAACCTTAGCAGGCACACTGGTGCCTCTGTGTTAAGGTGGGTGAAATGGATCACATTTCTCTTGAATTTATCTGAAGAATTATTATTCCCTAACAAAATAATGATCTGTTTTTTGATTAAGATAAAACCTTACTACAGATTGAGCATTGAGCATCCCTAATCCAAAAATCCAAAACCTGAAATGCTCCAAAATCCAAAACTTTTTGAGTTCCGACAAGTAATACCTCAAGTGCAAAATTCCACACCTGGTCACATGTGATGGGTCACCATCAAAATGCAGACACACTATGCAGTTTACTAGCATCCCCAAGGGAAAAAAGCCCCTCCCAGCCCTTTTCTGCTGCTATATATCTTTTCAGGGCATGCCTAAATTCCCCCATGCAAGCGTGCCCCCCAAAGGTAATCAAATGGCATGCATGCAGGCTGGATTTGCCAACGACAAGTTCCCCACAATGCCCACACTGGGCCTTCATCTACGTGCATTACTCACTGTGGGTTTGCTTTTTTGTTGTTTTTTGGTTTTTGTTTTCCTTTTCTTTGCTCTGTGGTGTAAAGCTATTGTTAGTATAAAGAAATATCAGGCCGGGTGCAGTGGCTCACACCTGTACTTCCAGCACTTTGGGAGGCCAAGGCGGGCGGATCACGAGGTCAGGAGTTTGAGACCAGCCTGGCCAACATAGTGAAACCCCGTCTCTACTAAAAATACAAAAAAATCAGCCAGGTGTGGTGGCGGGCACCTGTAATCCCAGCTACTTGGGAGGCTGAGGCAGGAAAATCGCTTGAACCAGGGAGGTGGAGGTTGCAGTGAGCCGAGATCGTGCCACTGCACTCCAGCCTGTGTGACAGCGCAAGACTCCATCTCCAAAAAAAAAAAAAAAAACAAAAGAAAAAAAAAAAGAAATATCAAAGAAGCCTGAAGTTAATCTGTGGTTATCAGTGATAAAAAGAGGAAGCATTTATTATGTTTATGCAACAGAGTCCAGCTGTTAGAGAAACTGGACAGTGGTATGGGTATGAGATTTGTTACAGAAAAGTATGGTGACAGAATGACCGCCATGTATAATCTGAAGAAACAGAAGGATAAATTGAAGATCTATGCTAAAAGCGATAAACACAAGTAAATGAAAAATAGAAAAACACTGTATGATGCAAAATATGAAGATCTCAATTGTGCACTGAAAAAGTGGATCCATCGGCATCACAGTGACCACATGCCACTTAATGGTATGCTGATCATGAAACAAGCAAAGATCTATCACAATGAATTTGAAATTGAAAGGAACTGTGACTATTCAACAGGCTGGTTGCAGATATTTAAGCAAAGACACAGCACTAAATGTTTAAGGATTTGTGGTGATAAAGCATCTGCAGATCAGAAAGCTGTGGAAAAAGTCATTAATGAGTTTGCCCATATCATCGCTGATGAAAACTGGATACCAGAGCACGTCTATAATGCTGACGAAACATCACTATTTTGGCATCATTGCCCCAGAAAGACACTGACGGTGGCAGATGAGACAGCCTCTATAGGAATTAAAAATGCCAAGGACAGAATAGCTGTGCTGGGATGTGCTAATGTTGCAGGCACGCATAAGTGTAAACTTGCTGTGATAGGCAAAGGTTTGTCCTCTCTTTTTTTCAAGGAGTGAATTTCTTATCAGTCCATTATTCTGCTAACAAAAAGGCATGGATGACCAAGGACATCTTTTCTGATTGATTTCACAAACATTTTGTACCAGAGGCATACAGTCACTGCAGGAAAGCTGAACTGGATGACGACTACAAGATTTTATATTCCTTGACAACTGTTCTGCTTATTCTCCAGCTGAAATTCTTATCAAAAATCATGTTTATGCCATGTACTTCCCCACAAATGTGACTTTATTGATTCAGCTATGTGACCAGGATATCCTTAAAGCATTGAAGGATAAATATAAAAATACTTTCTTGAACAGCATGCTAGCAGCAATAAACAGAAGAATGGGCGTGGAGGTTTTCAAAAAAAGTTTAGTATGAGGCCGAATGCAGTGGCTCATGCCTGTAATCCCAGCACTTTGGGAGGCCGAGGCAGGTGGATCACCTGAGGTCAGGAGTTCAGGACCAGCCTGGCTAACATGGTGAAATCCTGTCTGTACTAAAAAATACAAAAATTAGCCAGGCATGGTGGCGGGCACCTGTAATCCCAGCTACTCCGGAAGCTGAGACAGGAGAATTGCTTGAACCTGGAAGGCGGAGGTTGCAGTGAGCTGAGATCACGCCATTGCACTCTGGCCTGGGTGACAAGAGCGAAACTCCATCTCAAAAAAAAAAAAAAAATTTTAGTCTGCAGGATGCCATATATGCTGTTGCCTATGCTTGGAACATAGTGACTATAGACAAAGTTGTGCATGCCTGGCACAATCTCTGGCCTGCAACTATGTTCAGTGATGATAAACAAGGTAGTGACTTTGAAGGATTGTGTATGTCAAGTGAGAAAAAAAATAACGGCTGATCTACTCACACATGCAAAAAATATACCCCCAATGTCTGTCTGTCTGTAAGCTGGAAGAAGTGAATATCAAACAATGTTTATCATGGATAATGAGGCTCCAGTTGTTCATTCGCTGACCAATGATGAAGTAGCTGAAATGGTTTTGAATCAAGTTGATCGTGATAATCAGTGACAATGAAGATGATGTTAACACTACAGAGAAAGTGCCTATAAATGACATGGTGAAAATTTGTGATGGGCTTACTGAAGGACTAAAGCAATGTTCATTCATAACAGAACAAGAAATAATGTTGGTTTATATAATCAAAGAGGGACTTCTAAGACAAAAACAGTTGGTAATGGGGCAGATGACTGGAGAAAACATTTTAAAAAGGCATCCAGCTGAATGCCTCAGAGGACCCACTTTCTAGTCCTTCAACTATTTCTAAGATTTCTTCTTATCTAAAAAAATAAAATACAGTGTACAGTAACTATATAATTAAAACACAGCATCATAGGTGGAGACTGAACACTGCTATTGCTTGTTGTTGTTATTCTTTAACAGCTGATGGAGGTATTCTGGGGGTGCTACTCTGCTGCTTAGTTACCCCGAACACTTTATTTTTTCACTGCATTAATGGTATGTCATGTTTTCTACTGTTAAGTACTTATGTGTGAATAAATGTAAGAAAATGATTATTTATCAGTAGCATATACATTCAGAGTCAGGAATGATGGTGATGCCAAACAACCACAGATTATCCACGTGGGTGGCTGAGCCAGGGACACCTTTGCTCTTTGATGGTTTGATAGACACAAACTTTGTTTCCTGCATAAAATTATTTAAAATATTGTATAAAATTACCTTCAGGCTATGTGAATAAGGTATACATGAAACATAAATAAATTTTGTTTTTAGACCTGGGTCCCATCCCCAGAATATCTCATTATATATATGCAAATATTCCAAAATCCAACATAAAAACACTTCTGGCCAGCTATGGTGGCTCATTTCTGTAATCCCAGCACTTTGGGAGGTCAAGGTAGGAGGAGCTCTTGAGGCCAGGAGTTCAAGGCTGCAATGAGCTATGACATCACCACTGTACTCCAGCCTGGTGAAAAAAGCAAGACCATGTCTCAAAAACAAAACAAAACAAAACTTTTGATCCCAAGAATTTGAGATAAGGTGTGCAACCTATATAGCAATATATAGTTTTTAATAACCATAAAAACCATTTATATTGATGTAGCCAGAAATAGTCATGTGAAGTTAAAGTATGGGAATATTTTGAAGTCTATATTTGAAGTAAGTTAATGTGTCTATTTTGAAATGTTTACCACTAATACTAATATCAATTTGGTATATATCCTCTTTTTACTTCATTGTAATTGGAAAAGTTATTAAAAAGTACAGAATTTTCAGAAAAAAAGAGATATCCAAGTGGTACCATGAATCCAGGGATTAATATGGAGAAAATGTTTTTTATTATAGGGATAATTTCAGCCACTGTTGCACAGAAATCACTCATACTATCTTTGAAAAAAACAAAAGGTCTTTATAGATCATATACACTAGTATATTAAAGCTGGAACTAACTTGAGAAAGTATATTTTTCAGCACTGTAGTCATTCAAATGCCCAGAACCCTGAGTTATTATTATATCCCAGCGTGGGTTTATGAGGACATGACAAATAATCCTTTCTACACTTACAAAGGTCTCAGAGGATGACACTTTCTGAAACTGTCTCTTACCCCTCAGTCACACCAACATCTAAGCTTGAATTAAGCTACCCTAGCCCAGACAGCCTCTTGCCAAACAGGTCTATCTACTGGTGATCCTCCCTCAGGCCTCAAGAGCATCACACCATTTGCAGCTGAAGAAATTAATAGGTCCTTTGAAAGTTCTCACTGTGTTTGTAATTGTTCTACTTTAGAATGTGCTATAGAAATCACTTGTTAACCATACTCAGGCATATATTGTCCAGCAGAACTGTATTGCATCAACTGTTGCTTTAAGGATGGTAGATGGACCACATTCCAATGATTCTGTGCGGTGAATCCTGTCTTGCTGTGTTATGTAAGGCTCGTAGGAGAGTCAAGAGAAATACACAAATATGCTTTGTTTTTCTTCTTAATAGAGAAACTGTATTAACTCTGTGTAGGTATGTGTGTAAATATATATATTTATATGTGTAAACAATGAGTATGTATATATGTAAGTATACATGTTTATATAAAATATATGTGTATCCAGATGTATTATTAACGATTTTTTTCACGTCTGTCTTTCTTCTCTACCAGACTATGAGCTTCTGAGAGCTTTTCTTTACCTGCTTCTTAAATCACTCCGTCCCACCTTCCATTATTCCCTATTACATTACTCTAGAATCTAGACTTATTATCTAGATGGAATCTTGATAATCTTCACAGCTTGTCCAAACCTGCACATAGCTTATTTTCTAATTTGTTTACATTTTTATGTTGTTAGCCTCCCCCACTAATATCAGCTCTATGATGCTCTTATTTACTTTTTATGACACACACTGTTGGTAGCTGCCACAGAGTCATTCTCAAACTTTTTCTCACTTAGAGCTGGGTAATCACTTTCCCACCTTCTGTTAGTGGTCATATGGCCCAGTTGTAGCCAAGAAGAATTAAAGGCTATGCTGTTCAATATGGTAGATGTGAACCCGGAATATCTGAGACAGGTCTCAGTTAATTTAGAAAGTTTATTTTGCCAAGGTTGAGGACATGTGCCTGTGACACAGCCTCAGGAGGTCCTGACGACACGTGCCCAAGGTGGTCGGGGCACAGCTTGGTTTTACACATTTTAAGCAGGGAGGGGGTTTCCAGGTCACAGGTAGGTGAGAGACAAATGGTTGCATTCTTTTGAGTTTCTGATTAGCGTCTCCAAAGGAGGCAATCAGATATGCATTTATCTTGGTGAGCAGTGCGATGACTTTGAATAGACTGGAAGGCAGGTTTGCCCTAAGCGGTTCCCAGCTTGACTTTTCCCTTTAGCTTAGTGATTCTGGGGTCCCAAGATTTATTTTCCTTTCACATAGCCTCTAGACACATGTAGGTAACTAAATTTATTTATGTATTTATTTTTTGAGACAGGATCTCGATCTGTCACCCTGGCCAGAGTGAAGTGGTGGGATCATAACTCACTGTGGTCTCAAACTCCTGGGCTCAAGCAATCCTCTCGCCTCAACCTGCTGAGTAGCTAGGAAAATGGGCACACGCCACCATGACCAGCTAACTCTTTTTTTTAAGGGATGGGGGTCTTATGTTGCCCAGGATGGTCTCAAACTCCTGAACTCAAGCAATCCTCCTGCATTGGCCTTCCAAAGTGCTGGGATTACAGGCTTAAGCCACTCTGCCTAGGTATAAATTTTAATTTTAATTAATTAAAATGAAATGAAATAAAACTAAACATTCAGTTCTTTTTTTTTTTTTTTTTTTTTTTTTTTTTTTTTAGACGGAGTCTTGCTCTTTCGCCCAGGCCGGAGTGCAGTGGCGCGATCTCATCTCACTGCAAGCTCCTCCTCCCGGGTTCACGCCATTCTCCTGCCTCAGCCTCCCAAGTAGCTGGGACTACAGGTGCCTGCCACCGTGCCCGGCTAATTTTTTGTATTTTTAGTAGAGACGGGGCTTCACCGTGTTAACCAGGATGGTCTCAATCTCCTGACCTCGTGATCCGCCCGCCTCAGCCTCCCAAAGTGCTGGGATTACAGGCGTGAGGCACTGCGCCCGACCACATTCAGTTCTTTAGGCAGTCTAGCCATACTCAAGTGCTCACAAGCTACATGCCACTGGTGGATACCATTTTTGATAACACAGACTATAGCATAGTTCCAACATCTTAGAAAGTTATTCTGGTTGACACCAATGTGAGGGGAAGTTGACTGAGAAGCTGCAGGATGGAGTGGTGTGTGTTTGTGTGTGTGTGTGTGATGAAAAGAGGCTTCCATGAGAAGACCTCTCTCTCACCACACCCATTCTTCAAGCTTTGGACATGGTCTTGTGAGAACATTGTCTTGTGAGGCCTGGAGCTGAAGCAGGTATTTTGTGACCACCAGACAAACAGCCTAAAGGAAAAGTCCAACATAATAAAAGGGAACGGAAGGACAGAAACCATCTAGGTCCCTGAGGTCATAGTTGAACTGCCAGTCAACTCTCTGGATTTATTTATCAATAACGAGTATTCCCAGGTTTAAGCCACTCCTATTATGGTTTTCTAGGGCCAAGGACAGTGCCTGACACACAGAGAGAACTCAAAAACACTTGATTCATGTAGTTAAATTTTATTCATTTTTATGTTCTAAACATCACAGTTCCTTGTGTATATTGGCTAAGGACTAAAAGTTTTGTTAGAAATGAATATTTTGAATAACTAGGCATAGACTCCCAGCTAAAGTCAAATAACTTGAGATGATTGACTAAAGTTCAGTCTTCTGTAGTCAAATGGAAATCTGTAATGTTACGATGAAATTAACAGCAGAACAGCAATTTTTAGCACTTGAAAAGTCTCAATGACACCTCTATAAGCCCTGTTAATAACAGACATTCTCTGTTTATTTTTGCATCATTTAATGTTAATTTGTTAATTTTGACAGCTGTAGTTTATATTTTTGGGCATTACATAGCATGTGCTATCATATGAGCTTGGTCATTATTCAGGATCCGGATAGGAACAGCAGTAGTATCTCAAATAACCTCCAGCTTCTTTAGACAGCATTGGCTCCTGTTCTGTCTTACTAGTTGCTAGAAATAGTGACGTTTGGCAAGTCGCTATATCTCATCTTTCAAAATGAAAGCTTGAACTGGAATCAGTTTTAAAGTGCTATGATTTTTATCCTGCTGAACCATGAATTCTTCTTTTGTTTGTCTGCTGCAGCCAGACTATTATTGGAATGTATTCCGATAATAGTGACAGTTAAATGCTCTCTTTAGATGCTCAAATACCTTTCTGAAATGGTATATTCTTTACCCACTCCAGTGTAATTACCATCAATTGTAAATATAAGGAAGAAATATGAGGCAAAAATTGACCAGCACTGCCATGTGGGGAATTACTTTCATGCAATGGTAGTTTCCAGGTATACAACCAGGCAGGTGAGCACAGATGTCATCGAATAGGAAGGTTCACAGTTCAAATTAAGATGCTCAAATCACACAGTTTATTACATCAATCTAAAACATACAGTGAGAAGCAAAGGAAAGAGGGTAGATTAATCCTTGAAGGATAGGGTACAAACAGATGAAAGGTCATGTCACCTGAATATCACACAATGCTCACATGAACTGCCTGGATTAATTCACCTTTTTGTCTTTCTCTTGCCAAACTCAGCCACACCAGCTTTACCCACTGACGGTGTGATTGCAAAAACCAGGGTGGAGGTCTAAGAACAAAGTGGCCCAACAGATGTAAAATACATGGGGCCAGTTGCTTTATTAGAGAGATGCAAGGGCAATGATGCCGGGCCACAATTATAACTTGCCAAATAGCCCAGTAAGCATTTAAGTACTTTACTATTCCTCTTGGACAGAGGATATATGCGGCCAGACTGTATGTCACCAATGGGTGGCTTATTTTCAGTGCAATAAATATTGAGTGCCTCATATGCCTCATATGCATATTTCATGAATCAATGAATATTTGGTGCATACTCAGTCCTTCTATTCTTTACTATGTTTAAGTGATTTTCTTATTTGTTCCACTGTTTTTGCCAGTTTACCACATAAGTACTCAACTTACTTTTTCTATGTGTCATAAGCTATTGGCTTCTATACTTAGTATTATATATTCTCCTTCCTTTCGCCTCTTATTTTCCATAGCAGAATTAAATATTCCTAAATAATACTGATAACATATTACATGAAAAAAGAAAGAACAGAGTTAGGGAGAAATTTAAAAATATAGCCCACACTAGAAATATAGCTAGTTTCCCCCCAAAGCATTATTTTCTGAGTATCTATTGTCCAAAGATAATTACAATCTGCCTTTTCATTTTGGCTATCTATGTTATTATCAGATTTTGTCCTGATAATACCAACTATAATGAAGATCATCTGTCAGCCAACTAATAACTATTAATGATAGGCTCAGTAGCAGATTTGCCAATCGTGAAATTTCATCAAAATCTTTTTTCTTAAGCAAGGGAAAAAAATTCTACTTCCTTTGTGTCAGTTAACATACCAAAATCCATTTGTTGAGCCAAGCAGAATGAGAAGGGATATTTGAAATTATGTCTTTCTTAACAAACTAATTATAGTGGTAGTCTTGAATCTACCTCTGAACCAGTATGTTGATAACACAAATAACTTCCTGTTATTTGGACTTCTACATTTATTTTTTAATACTTTGTTATATCACTTAGAGGCCTCAAACATTATTACATTATAAATAATTTGGTTGTATAAATTAGTGAAATATAAAAAATTTTAATTTAAGGCTGGGCGCGGTGGCTCATGCCTGTAATCCCCACACTGGGAGGCCAAGGCAGGTGGATCACCTGATGTCAGGAGTTCAAAACCAGCCTGACCAAGATGGTGAAACCTCGTCTCTACTAAAAATACAAAAAATTAGCCGGGCGTGGTGGTGGGCGCCTGTAATCCCAGCTACTTGGGAGGCTGAGGCGGAGAATTGCTTGAACCCGTGAGGCAGCAGTTGCAGTGAGCCGAGATCGCGCCACTGCACTCCAGCCCGGGTGACAGAGTGAGACTCCATCTAAAAAAAAAAAAATTAACGTAAATACATTATTTTACTCATTACACGAACATTTTTAGTACTTTGGTAATATGATTATTTTAGTTGATATGTCAATAAATCAAAACACATTATATTTTTGTATAACTCCAAGAATGCTAAATTTAAACGAAAGTACTCAATAAGCATTGAGTGCCTCATATATATTTAGTGAATCAGAAATATTTGGTATACATTCAGTCCTCCTATTCTTTACTACATATAAGTAATTTTCTCGTTTGTTCCACCATTTTCATCTGTTCACTACATAGACAGGAAAAACAATTGATTTTGAAGTCAGGAAATCTGGATTAACATATTGACTCCAGCTTTAGCTGGCTTACCTTGGGCAAATTACTTAACTTCTTGATACCTAGTTTTCTTCATTTTCTGTGAGGGTTCAATTAAATTACATTAAAAACAATTTTTAAGAGATAGGTCTCACTCTGTCACCCAGGCTGGGGTGCAGTGGCATGATCATAGCTCATTACAGCCTGTACTTCCTAGGTTCAAGTGATCCTCCCACCTCAGCTTCCTGAGTAGCTAGGACTACAGGTGTGCGCCGCCATGCCTAATTTCTTATTTTCTGTAGAGATGGGGTCTCGCTCTGTTGCCCAGGCTGGTCTCAAATGCCTGGTCTCATGTGATCCTCCTGCCTCAGCCTCCCAAAGTGCTGGGATTACATGCCACTGTGAGCCACTGTACCTGATCTAATTGAATGTAACTTTGAAAACATGACTTTCACATAACAGATGCCTAATAAAGATTGGATGAATATGAATCTAGCCCATTGCCTCATATTCCAGATGAAGAAACTGAAACCAAGAGAGGTAAAATGAATGTGTCTAAGGTTATATCCTTGGTTCATGTAAAAGTTTGAACCACAACTCTGGGTTGTGGTGTAATTCCATTCCCTTATTAACCTGTAATCAGATTTTCTTATAAGTCTAGTAAAACATTATGATTTAGATAAGTCACTCACTAAATTTGTTTCCCTACCTGCAAAATTGAAGGGTAATAATTGTCCCCCTACATTCCAGCAATATTAGAAAGGTGAAGAGATAACGCATGGGAGAAACCACAGGGAAAAACATTCTATGTAGCCATATCATTATAAACATAAATTTGAAAAGCATTTAATCTTTAGTAACACTACATTGCAATTACATATATCAGTTTTTTCATCTCTAGATCTCTAAATCCCAACAATGTGAGTGCTGTGAACATTCTTAGACAACAATTCCACCAGCAAGGCAAAGTGGAGAATTGAGTCAATCATACAGAAAAGTCAGGAGAAGGCAAGCCCATATTCTTCACATTTTCTGAGTTTTACAGTACTACTTGTCCAATGAAGTACCTCGATTATCCTCATCCCTTTGTAAGTGAATATCCATCCTTCTGCAGATTAATATACATATATTCTAAGTTCAGCTCAATAAAAGCTTCAGAATGTATGTTGCATGAGAGAGGAAAGCTTTTGTCTTGTTTATTACTGTATTTTCAGGCACTTTCAGTGCCTGGCATGCAATAGACAGTCCATAAATATTTACTGAAAGAGTGAATAAGCAAAAGAATGGATAGTATTTCTCCATTCATCAATTTGAAGGAAACCTCTTAATTATGTAAGCATAAAAAATATAAAGCAAAAAGGTACCCATTGCCTTGAGGGGGTCTTTTTTTTTTTTTTAATAGGTTGACTAAAACTGTTCTTTTTTTTTTTTTTGAGACGGTGTCTTGCTCTGTCACCCAGGCTGGAGTGCAGTGGCGTGATCTCGGCTCACTGCAACCTCCGTCTCCCAGGTTCAAGCAATTCTTCTGCCTCAGCCTCCCAAGTAGCTGGGATTACAGGAATGCGCCACCACGCCCAGCTAATTTTTGTATTTTTAGTAAAAACGGGGTTTTGCCATGTTGGTCAGGCTGACCTCGAACTCCTGACCTCAGGTGATCCACCCACAGCCTCCCAAAGTGCTGGGATTACAGGTATGAGTCACCCCGCCTGGCCTAAAACTGTTCTTTTAAACATCTTTTTAACTTTAGCACAGTCATATGCTCTAACTAAAAAATAATAATAATCTCATACCCTTGCTGAAAATTCCAGACTATTTATAATACTGCCTATTCGACATTGCCTCTTGAATGTTTAAAATGGTCCTCAGACTCAATGTCTCCCAACAGCATCACGATCCTCCCCTGTAAAGCAGTCTTCCTCCAGGATTTCCTATCGTGGTGAAAGGGGTAGGGGAAGTGTCATGTGAGTAAACTTATAGGGGCAAAGGAGATTCTTGGTAGAAGGGATGGAGACTCTGAAGACCAAGACCCTTCTGACATACAGTAGCATTATGTTTCCCTTAAGTAGTCTTGAGGTAGTTCTATTGTGAGTAAATAACGTTTTAGCTGCACTCTGGGAGAGGGAACAGCTTGTGGAAGGATCTTGTAGCTAGAAAGAAAATGGAACATTTGGGAAAATGAGAAAAGACCAGGGCAGTGAAGCACAGGGAAAGAGTGCTATCCAATAAGACTGGTGATATAGAAAAAACTAAGCTCCAGGGAGGCTTATGGCTTTGTTTATTAAGAATGATGTTTTTGGCCAGGCATGGTGACTTATGCCTGTAATCCCAGCACTTTGGGAGGCTGAGGCTGGTGGATCACCTGAGGTCAGGAGGTTGAGACCAGCCTGGCTAACATGGTGAAACCCCGTCTCTACTAAAAATACAAAAAATAGCCAGGCATGATGGCATGCGCCTGTAATTCCCAGCTACTTGGGAGGCTGAGGCAGGAGAATGTCTTGAACCCGGGAGGTGGAGGTTGCAGTGAGCCGAGATCATGCCATTGCACTCCAGCCTGGGCAACAGAGCAAGACTACATCTCAAAAAAAAAAAAAAAAAAGAATATTTTTCACTTTAGTAAAGGTTGGAAGCCATTGAAGGATTTAAAGCAAAGGAAAGAAGACAATAAAAGTTGCATTTTTATATGCCTCTTTCGACTCCTGTGTTGAGATTGGAAGGTGATGAGAGACTGCACAATAATATATTCTGGGAAACCATCAGGAGTCTGTAGCCGTAGATCAGAGATTCAAGCAGCTTCAACTAGAAAGATGGGAATGGACATGAAAAGAAGTGAAAGTGATGACACAGTATTTAAGAAACAAGACTCATTTTCTTGATCGTTTGGATAGAAGACATAAGGGAGGGAAAATGTGAAAAATTACTCCGTTTTTTTCCCTGAGTGGATGTGGATGCCATCCATTCACCATAGCATGATGCTGTTGGGAGATGTTGAGTCTGAGGTCCATTTTAAACATTCAAGAGGCAATGTTGAATAGGTAGTGTTATAAATAGTCTGGAGTTTTCAGCAAGGGTGAGAGATTACTATTATTTTTAGTTAGAGCACATAAACTTTATTTGAAACCATATGTGTGGATGGGATTCCCTAGGTAGAAAAATTAGAGGAGAAAGGAAAAAGGATAAGGTAGCACTTATCCTAAAGAAAGCCCACTTTTTTATTTTTATTTTTATTATTTTTTTGAGATGGAATCTCACTCTGTTACCCAGGCTGGAGTGCAATGGCATGATCTCAGCTCACTG
Source organism: Homo sapiens (assembly GCF_000001405.40). NCBI lineage: Eukaryota > Metazoa > Chordata > Mammalia > Primates > Hominidae > Homo > Homo sapiens. Next base: position 22,530,705 of record NC_000004.12, read on the forward strand.
CAACCTCCGCCTTCCCGGTTCAAGCAATTCTCCTGTCTCAGCCCCCCGAGTAACTGGGATTACAGGCGCCCGCCACCACGCCCAGCTAATTTTTATATTTTTAGGTTTCGCCATATTACCCAGGCTGGTCTCAAACTCCTGGCCTCAAGTGATCCTCCTGCCTTGGCCTCCCAAAATGCTGGGATTACAGGCATGATCCACTGCACCCTGCCAAGAAAGCCCACTTTTAAATGCTGGGAGAGGAGAAGGAAATGCAGAGATGGAATAAGAGAAGGTGTTGACAGCAGAGAAAGAATGACAAGAGAACACAGAATGAAACCTAAGTGTGGCATTTCCTTACGAATAACATAGTCAGAAACTAGTGATAAATCCCTGTGATCATTTGATGTTTTCTTCCCTTGCCAAGTTAATGAGAGCACTTACTGTCAAGCAAGATTTCAAAAAACCTTTGTTTATCAAGAACACTATGTATTTTAAATTAACCCCGCTTAAATTGCCTTCAGAAACACCAAAGGAGTTAAACACCAATTTAAACACAAAAGGGGAAGAAAAGGCCAACACGAAAAGCACAAAATCCCCTGTCCTCCATGCCATGCCCAGCTACACTCTGTCCTCCCCACCTCCATCCCCATCTCTGAGCAAATATATCCTTTTACCATTGGTGGCGCAGCTTTTTGTGCAATTGCCTCTGAGTTTTACTAGTAAGTATCGGAATTCCAGCTGACTCCTCTTCAGCTGTTCCAAGAGTCAAAAGAGAATAATTATTTTCTTTGTGTCTCTGCTCAGTTCTCAGGAGACAGAACTAAAAATTTCTTGCCAGATGGCAACTGAGGATGCACTTCTGAGGATTTTACTGTCATCAAGTTATAATGGCGGGATGCCTGAGAAGTCAATCACTGAATCAGGGCCAACTTTTGCCCATTTGTGGCCCTTAAAGATAAATATTTAGTCTAATTTTTACAAGGTCTCTAGCAAAAGCTTCCTCTTTGGGCAAAAATAGATAAAAGTATTAGGGCAGACTTTCAGAGAGAATTTTTATTTGTCTCCAGAACATTAGAGTAGAGGTTGGTAATCTTTTTCTGTAAAGGACCAGATGGTAAATACATTAGCTTTTGCTGGCTAACACAACAGTCTCAGTTGCAACTACTACGGTGAAAGCAGCAATAGACAATACATGAAAGAATGCAACTGTGTTTCAATTAAACCTTATTTATAGCCATGGAAATTGGAGTTTCATATAATTTTCATGTGAAATTATAATTTTATATGATTTTCATGTTGTTATTCTTTTGATTTACTCCCTATGCACTTAAAAAATGCATAAACCATTGGAACTTGTGGACTTCATAAAAACAGATGGTGGATTGACCCCTGCCCTACAGGAAGACCATCATGACAGCTTTTCTCCTGAGTTGTCACCACTTGCTTCACTCCCCTAATAAGTAATTCAGAAAATTCAATTCCAGTTGTTGAAAATGAAAATGTTAAACCTTAGGGATAAAAAAATCCCTAGCAATATTAGAGTTCAGTTTCTCCAGCATTCTTATTTAAGGCAATCTTAGTAGTCTGCACCATCTGAGGACAGCCATTTGCTTGTGGTTTATAAGACGTAATGGTGACAGCTCAGGTAAGGCTCCCAACTACAAATTCTCACAACTCAAGCTGAGGTTGAATCAGAACTGTTGTCAGTAAAGATGGTGTCTGTCAATCTTTGGGCTGCAAAAACTAGGACAGAGCTGTGATTGTTGCTGCAGATGTTTGAAATGTAATTAAAAGCACTTAGAGCCATTTTGAGAGGGAATCTAACCCAAGAAGTTCTTTTGGTATCAGCCTGTAAAGTCAGTATGAATTCTTGAAATTCATTTTGAATGCTCAGGAGCCCTTAGCCTGAAATGACCTTGGGCCAATAATGTCTAGTAGGATAGAATGTGATACAACTTTTTTACAGTTATTTCACTCTCTGTATTTGTTCCTGGCTGACCATCATAAATTTAAATATTGGTGGGAATGCCTCAAGCCCTCATATTGAACAGGTAACCTCAACTTGCACCATCTACAAGAAACACAATTCTGGTAAAAATGTAAAGATAAGGATGAGAACCAACTCCCTTGGGAGTGTTTCTCCATTGGCAAATGGATTTAATTCACATCTTAAAGTTTCATAACAGGAATATATTCCAACAAGAGTCTGCATGTTTTCAGAATTTTTAGAAGTTTTTCCTTGCAAACAGGCTGCCACAACCATTGTTGCTAAGAGATAGCACTAGGGCAATGATTTGTTCCTCTCTAGTAATAGGGACACTCATTTTACCAGTAAAGTTATCCAACACATTCAACAAGTGCATTTAGTCACAAAAATTGCATCATCTGTACCCTCTTTAATCCTCTGGAAAAACAGAGTGAGCCAACCAGCCAAACCACTTAGATTCACCTAGGAACGTTAACTGCCTACTCAGAGTCTTGACTTGAGCCCTGATGATCCCTCATTCCTGCCTCTACAGTCAACATTGATTATTCTCTTATGAAATAATTACTGGCAAGCCAGGGGGGATCTATACTCTTTTTGATTTTATGAGACTCTTATTTGATTCCATCCAATATACATAAGTATTGCCAGGTTTTATTAAATCCACTTTTGTTTATCACCAGCAGGTCAATTATGTCTTTCCCCTAGACACCCCACCACAGCCCTTACATGAATTTTAGGTTAGAGACCTAGTCTTCTGGAAAAAAAAATCTTGAATCCAGGTTGAAAAGACCTAACTCTGCCCTCCTAACCACCAACACTGCTGCAAAGCTATAAAGAATACCATCTTGGATAGATTTAAACACCAAAACTGAAACTGATTTGACAATGGTATAAATTTGGACATTCCTCATTGCCCTGTGTAGTTATTTAAGAATAAGCTTATGGTTGTCTTTTTTTTTCTTTCTTTTTTTTTTTTTTGGAGATGAAGTCTCTCTGTGTTGCCCAGGCTGGAGTGCAGTGGCACCATCTTGGCTCACTGCAACCTCTGCCTACCAGGTTCAAGCGATCCTCCTGCCTCAGCCCTCCTGGTAGCTGGGATTACAAGCAGGCACCACCATGCCCAGCTAATTTTTTTGTATTTTTAGGAGAGACAGGGTTTTGCCATGTTGGCCAGGCTGATCTCAAACTCCTGACCTCAGGTGATCTGCCTCCCTCATCCTCCCAAAGGGATTACAAGCTGGGATTACAAGTGTGAGCCACTGTGCCCAGCTTTATGGTTGTCTTAAACAAGAGGGAGGGAGGTGTGATAAGGTGTGATGGTTAATTTTATGTGTCATTGTAACTGGGTTACAAATGCCCGGATTGCTGGTAAAACATTATTTCTCAGGATGTCTGTGAGGGTGTTTCCAGAAGAGGCTAGCATTTGAACTGATAGATTAAGTAAAGAAGATCACCCCCACCCATGTTGGTGAATATCATCCAATCTGTTGCGGGCCCAAAGAGAAAAAAAAAAGACAGAAGAAGGACAAATTTTCTCTCCCAACTTGAGCTGGGCCATCCATCTTCTCCTGCCCTCAGATACCTGGTTCTCACCTCTTCAGGCTTGGATTGGAACTATAACACCAGCTTTCCTGGGTAATGTCACAGAAGGAGAACAGATCTGGCTTGCAGAAAACAGATCATGGGACTTCTCAGCTTTCATAATCACATGAGACAAGCCCAGTAAATATCTCGTTTTGTCTCTCTCTCTCTTCTGTTCTATTCTATTGGTTCTGTTTCTTTGGAGAAACCTGACTAATACACAAGGCCAAATGTGAGGCCAAACATATAACTTTCTCCCATTTTCTCAACCTGCTGACAAGGCCAGACATGTACCCTTCACCTTTTCCCCTTAGCCAGCTTCTCATTCTTTGTCTCATGAGTGATTAGCTAAGATTAAAATTGTATCTGTCCTGAAATTAACCACAGAAAGAAAAGTGTCCTCTTTAGCTAGTTAACTAAGCCTCTCCTGATTGCAAAACAATTTCAACTGTAAGTTACTTGTACCTTGTCTAAGACCCCCATAAAAGCCTAAGGGAAAACCACCCTGCTGAGAAACTCTGATTCTTGAGATCTAGGGTGTACTCCCTATTGCAACAGTAAGAATAAAATCAATCTCCTTACTTGATAAGCTTGTGTCTTTGACAGATCTAAGGCAGGTAGAAAGGGACATTTCCATCTTCCTTTTGGAATTACTTTACTGGGTTTGGTCTCCAACAAGTCCAGTCATGTGTAAGAGTATATTTCTAGGTAGTGAGAAGAATTACCTTAGCTTGATTGAGGCAGATCTGGAACTAGGTATGGAACTAGTAAGAAAGAAGTTCTACAAGGACCTCCCAGTGGAAGATAAATAAAGTATATAATTGCTATGGTTTGAATGTGTCCACTCCAAAATTCATGTTGAAACTTAATCCCCTTTGTGGTAGTATTAACAGGTGGACCCTTAGGGAAGTGATTATGTCACAAGAGCTCTACTCTCATGAATATATTAGTGCCTTATAAAAGTGCTGGAGGAAACTAGCTCAGAACCCCTTTGCCTTCTGCCAAGTGAGGACAAAACATTCAGTGCATCATCCTGGAAGCAAAGACTGGATCCTCACTAGATACCAAACCATGATCTTGGACTTTCCAACCTCAATCACAGTGAACAATGAATTTATGTTCTTTATAAATTACTCAGTTTCAGATATTTTGAGCACAAATGGACTAAGAAAATAGCATAAAGTTGATCATTTTGTAGCAAGTTACTTTTGGTATTTCTTTCTCTTTTTGTACCTTTTAGCCTTCAGTACTCAGTAAATTACTTTCAGTCTTTCAGTCTGGTTCCAGCTGCACCATGAAGTATTAAGAGGAGAGTCCTGTGTTCCTTCCCAGAAGAAAACGTCAAGGAGGGAGCCACACCTTCTTTAGGTAGCAGAGAAAATTAATGAAAAATCTCTTAATACAAGACCAAGGTCTTTGAGGTCTGACTCTCTCTTTCACCAGATATTCTTCCTGAATTGACAATTTCTAAGCTGAAACACTAACAACTTTAAGAAAGCATAACATTTTCTCTCACTTCACAGGCAGGTAGAACATGTATATTGTGAGCCTTCTTTTGAGTAGGGGTGAACACTAGCCATATAATGACATAAGATATAATGAAATAAGAAAGCAATATTGGAAATTTAACTCTTTGGTTTTTCACCTCACTTATATAACTAGTATATTACAATGATTTAGGACCTCCCAAATGTCTCTGTAATTCATCTTCTGCCGATAACATAAATACAGTGTAGACACATGGACTTAAAGCTAAGAAGCAGGCCAGGCGTGGTGGCTCACACCTGTAATCCCAGCACTTTGGGAGGCCAAGGTAGGAGGATCACAAAGTCAGGAGTTCCAGGCCAGCTTGGCCAACATGGTGAAACCCTGTCTCTACTAAAAATACAAAAATTAGCCAGGTGTGGTGGTGCATGCCTGTAATCCCAGCTACTTAGGAGGCTGAGGCAGGAGAATCACTTGAACACAGGAGGGAGAGTTTGCAGTGAGCTGAGATCATACCACTGCACTCCAGCCTGGGCAACATAGTGAGACTCTGTCCCAAAAATAAATAAATAAATAAAATAAATAAAGTTAAGAAGCAGAAGTATTAAACTCTAAGGCTTCTAAACTCTTGCTCTCAGGGAGGATGTTTAATAGTGTTAATATCCACAACACATTTTAGAATTACCACAAAATACAGAGAAAGAAAAGAAATTCCTGAGTTCTAAGTAACTAGGAGTATGCATTATGTGGAAAGAATAGATGAAAGACCTTCCATTTTTACTGGAGATTATGATGTGTCTGCATCAATAATGTAAACTTTGAACAATTAGAGATGCAGAGACTGGAAATAATTCTCTACAAGACTGAAAGTTCTCTGAAGCTGGTAATAAGCCTCTGATTAATGATGAGAGAATGAAGTAGGGCCACACCTCAGAAGATACAAGAAAGAAGATTGGCAGAACTCATAAATGAAGAAGAGAAAAGATATCCAATGGATCATTTTTAGAGACGCTTTTTTTTTTGTTTCGAGATAGGGTCTGGCTCTGTCCCCCAGGTTGGAGTGCGGTGGTGCAATCACAGTTCACTGCAGCCTCGAATTCCTGGGCTCAAGTGATCCCCTCACATCAGCCTCTGGAGTAGCTGGTACTATAGGCTCGGGCCATCACACCTGGCTAATTTTTTTTTTCTCTTATGAAGAGATAGTATCTCACTGTGTTGCTCAGATTGGTCTTGTACTCCTGGATTCAAGTGATCTTCCCACCTCAGCCTCCTGAAGTGCCGGTATTACAGCATGAGCCCCTATGTCCAGCTCAGAGATGCTTTACTAGCATCTTAATCACAAACCTGCTGGATCATCTAAACACTGTCTATGCTACATCATTTTAAAAATAAATGTATAGAGAGATTATCTATAAACATATGTATATATCTTGTCTATGTTATATAATTTATCTACCTATCTGCAGATTATTCAATGATAACCATTCTGATTTGAATACGAAGGTCAAGAACTGAACCCACCAGCCCTCCCTCACAGCTTGGACACTGAGGAGCAGAAATGCCTGCTCCTCTCACTCCCCCCATAGTTAACTGTTTCTCTTAACATGACTTTATTTTCCCATTGTCTTCATTGGTATGTCTTCATTCCCCAATTACCCATCAATTCTTCACTGAAAATCATCAACAGATGGTTTGCACTCTATGATTCTTCGAATGTCTCACCTTGCTGTTTTCAGCAATCCTGGGCTTTTGTATCTTAATCTTTACACAATTCTAACCAAGCTTCCTTGCACTGAAAGACCTACCTTGAACTAAACTGATTCTCAATAAATTCTGACTTTGCTTCCCTACTGAGACATTACCAAAGCTATGCAGAATGGTATTCTCCCTTAATATAGTGAACAATATACTTAGCTTCATCTTATCAAAAGGTTATGTAATATTTGAATAGCTGGCTTTCTACAAGATCTTTTTTAGTTGTTTTTCATAGAGCAAAATTACACATCTAGATTTCAAGAACATTTATAAATGGCCAATTTGTGCTGTCCTCTTTAAAAGATAAATTGTAACTTTATTTAGAAGACAGCTTTCAACAGCAATCGCTATATTATCATGGTAATCTTGAGAAGTATATAATGGTCTTAGTAACTTTGCTATAAAATCTTGCAAGGAGATATGGCAGGTGGGATATTTATTATTTTTGTTGGCACATCATGACTGAGGTTTCTTCTTTCTTGCCCTCATATCATTTATTATGTGGACTCTGTCTTATTCCTGGCCCTCTGGGGATTTGCTGCTGGGTGAAGAATGGAGATCACCTGATACCACAAGACATACACTGCTATGACAGTGCCTGAACTCCTTTCCTAATGGCTTTTGAACAGCATATTCTCTCAAAGTAATCCTTCCTTTGACAGAAAATGTATTATACAATGTCATTCCTACAAGCAGAGAATTAGTATAAATATCTGAGTTTGAGCCCAATTACAGGTTTGCCAGTACTAAAGAGTATGCAGCTTCTATGTACTCATAGTATATAGGAGCTCATATCCTATTGGTTTATGTGCCCTAACTCTGTGTTAAAAGCACCTGTAATATTTAGAACTAAAATCATATATTGTCTGCAATTTATTTCAAACAGTCTGGTGGGGGTTAGGGGAAGAAGATTTATAGATGAAACAAGATTAGCCTTGAGGTAGATAATTTTGAAGCCAGGTGATGGATGGATAGGGTTTTAGTACATTGTTTACTCTACTTTTGCATATGTTTGAAATTTTTCATAATATAAAGTGGAAAAAACTCCACATATTCAGTTTGGAAGTTGGTTCTAACAGTTGTATTTGTTAGCAATCGTTTTGGTTCTTTCAAAGGGTCAAATCTGTTATAGTCAAGAGGTATAGGCCCAGTGTGATGGCTCATGCCTGTAATCCCAGCACTTTGGGAGGCGGAGGCGGGGTGGATCTCTTGAGTCCAGGAGTTTGAGATCAGCCTGGGCAACAGGGTAAAAACCCATTTCTACAAAAAAGTTCCTAAAAAATCATCCAGGGACGGTAGTGCATGCCTGTATTCCCAGCTAATAGGGAGGCTGGGGTGGGAGGATCGTTTGAGCTCAGGAGGCGGAGGTTGCAGTGAGCCAAGATCACACCACTCCATTCTAGCCTGGTGACAAAGTGAGACCTTAAAACAAAAACAAAACAAAAGAAAACGAAACACCATTAGGGAGCTTGGAATGATTTGAAATCAGTGCTGAAGCTCTAGGAAGAAAAGTAAGTAACAAAAGAGAACATTATGGGGCTATCAAAGTATTTTGCTAAATTTCAATTTATGAAAAAGGAATGAGTATACCTCAAAGATTTCAAGATTTTATCTAGTCTCCCAGTGTTAGGCGAAGAACTAGTTTTGATTCATTTTTATAACATGAGATAGAATCCCTCAAGATGTTCAACTGAAAGAACATTACATAATAGTTTATAGTAAAGCAGAGGTATGCAATTTTTTTCTGAAAAGGCCCAGATATTCAATATTTTCAGCTTTGCAAACCATATGGTTTCTGTTGCAACTGCTCAATTTTTCCATTATAGCACAAAAGTAGCAAATAGACAATAAGTAAGTAAATGAGCCTGGCTGTGTTCCGATGAAACTGTATTCATAAAAATGGGCAACAAGCCACATGAAGTTTTTCGGTTCTTTTATCAGAGTATGGACTGTGGAATCAGACAGAACTGTGTTTGTATCCTGACTTTCCTATTTGTTAGCTATGTGACCTTGGGCAAGTCACTTGATCACTTTGAACTCTAGTTTTTTCACTTATAAAGTGGGGAATTATAATATCTGCCTCATATGGCTGTTGAGAAGAATATGTAAGATGGTGCATGTGAAGCACTTAGCTAAGTGGTTGGTGACAAGGATTATTAACTATTATTAGTCAATGCTTTTTTGGCTACTATGTAATTTATTACTTATATAGTTACATGCATTTTACCATTTTCTTAGCAGACAGCACTAAGAGCTTTTGACATTTAAGAAACTGAGATTCAAGTGTAAAATATCTATGCAGAATTATCCCAATACACTGGTTTTATCACCATCACCATTGTCATTGTCACCTTGTTGAGGTTCTAGTTGATCTACCTGATAATACTTTTTCTCTGCTTCTGTCTCCAAAATTGACCCCTAATAAAGACACAGGAGTCAGGCTTAGATGGAAATTAGGATATCAGCTTTACTCCTGATAAAACAGAACTGAGGAATGTGGTTTAACCCATGGCCACCAGGGTTTTCAGATATCCTCCTACATTAGATGATTTTACCTACTCAGTCATAGGCAGTGTTGGACAACCATGTTCCTCCCTTTTGCATGAATCAAATCTGACACAATAAGCTTTGTGCTTGGCAAAAAAAAAAAGGTGACATGAATGCATGTATCCTTCCTGTAAGCTGGCTGCAAAAGGAAAGAGAAAAGAGTCTGAGCTGGACAGACCCAACTTTCTTCTCCCATGTTTACAAATAAGATAAATAAGAGGAGTAGGAAGAGAATTCATGTGTGTTACTATAGCTAAAGTCACTCTCCAAGAGAATACAGAGATAGAGAAATGGAGGATTTCCACCGGTCTCTAATACTAAGTCAACCATGTGCTGGGAATGGTGCAAGGAGCTTTATTTTGATTAGCCTGTGGGATCTTTACAACAGCCCTTTGAGGCAGACTTATGAATAAACAGCCTTAGAGAGGGAGTGATGTATCTTCTCCAAGGTTGTTGCCCAGGAAGAAAGTATTAGAGCCAGGATTCAAATCCATGTTCAGTTCCTTGACTCCAAAGCTCAGGGAGCTCTTGCTGCCAAACCTGTGCCTTCTGAAAATAAAACAAACAACAAACCAAATGCAAACCAACAGGAAAGGCAATGAGTTCAATTTAGACCTTGTGTTTGTGAGCCCACATTGATGCAGAACTATCAGTACTTTATTTTCCAGATGTTTACAATGTATTTGCTTAATACATCCTCTCTTGGATTTTGTCTGAGATCTATGGCTGTTGCTTTTAAAAAAAATCTGTATTTTATTTTTTTAAAAAACAGAGCAACATAGAGCTACCTTTAATTTTCTGACTTCTACACTAATCTTCATACCAAATAGCAGTGCTGAGATTCCATCTACAAATTCCTTCAGCTTCTGAGGATGTAATTTGCTTGGTCTTAGAGACTTAAATTCAGAGTGGCTAAGTTCCCTTTTTACTATCTTTTCAGCTATCTTGGGCTAGGATTCCTTTTTTTTTTTTTTTTTTCCTTAAATTGGACCTTTCTAACTTGAAGGAGACCAAATAGAAATATTTTAGTATTCTCTCACCTGTTAACATTTTTTTTTTTTTTGAGATGGAGTCTCACTGTGTCACCCAGGCTGGAGTGCAATGGCGTAACCTCAGCTCACTGCAACCTCTGCCTCCTGGGTTCAAGTGATTCTCCTGCCTCAGCCTCCTGAGTAGCTGGGATTACAGGCATCTGCCACCACACCCGGCTAATTTTTGTATTTTTATTAGAGACGAGGTTTCACCATGTTGGCCAGGCTGGTGTCGAACTCCTGACCTCAGGTGATCTGCCTGCCTCGCCCTCCCAAAGTGCTGGGATTACAGGCGTGAGCCACCATGCTGGGTCCATTGTTATCCTTGAAAAGCAGGCCTATTCCATGATTTATTTTCTTGCTCCAAACAGTTGAAAAATCCTTATCATCTTTAATGTCTTTAGATACCTAATTCACTTAGCTTTTTGCCTTTCTGGGTATTGTTAGAGGTTCCTATTACTCTCTTATATTCAGCTTCCAGTGTTAAGACATTACATCATAGGATGGATGCAACAGTAATCCCCTATAGGGCCATATAGCATACCTTTCAATCTGTTCTCAATACATAGCATGGGTATTGAAAGGCAATTTGAATCAAATTGTTAGGTTCCATTTAAAAAATGAGTAAGATATTCTGATATTTCGATAAAATTATGTCCTTTTCGATAGCCATACATTTAGAAGTTCTATTAAAACAACCAACAAGATTACCTTACAAGGTTTTTTTTTATATGCTTTTAATTCTCTTGCTTTCCCAATTGCTAAAATTTTTTTAAAATGTGGAATCTGTTGTATTGCTAGATAATGCTAGTTTTAGCAAAGACCAGTTATAAAAAATTTGGTGTGTTTTAGGGAATTTGGTTTGGATTGCTCTTCAAATACAAAATTGAAGCTACTGACCCGCCATTAGTAGGATACAAAATTTGAGTTATTTCCCCTGTGTTGGTGATGGATTGTGCTGCCTGAGCCACTGGCACTCCCTTTCACATTAGCCATTGTGACTAATCGCAGGCATTTGCAAGATGATTAGCCAAGATTAGGGGTACAGTCTGTGATTATGAAACAGATTTTTTTCTTTATGTGAAAAATTACTAGTTTATAATACCATTAAATTATAATTTTGCTCCATATTCTAGCCAATGATGGGTTGTTAATAGCAAGTTATATTCTTATGACTATTTATGTGCTGTTTGCTAAGACAGTTCCTGAGTAGAACCCTGTCCCATCCTCATTTTTCTCTCCTTAAATGTTTACAACTGTCAAATGTACCAATTTCACTGCTAAAGAAACAGTAGTTCATTTATTTATTCAACAAATGTTTATTGAACATTTACACGTTAAGCTCTGTTCTAGCACTGGGGATACAGCAGCAAACACATCAGTCTTTTCCTTCCTTGAGCTTTTATTTTGTTAGGGGGAAAATAATACACATAATTACTTATAATATATATGTATATAGGTAAAGGCATAAGTAGATATAATAAATAGAGAGAAGAATATATTAGGGAAGGTAAAAGGGCCAGGGAGGAAAATTGTTTATACTTTATAAGGTGATTAGGGAAGGTCTTACTGATAAGGAGACATTTGAGCAGAGATCAAAGAGTGAAGGAACAAACCATGTGGATATAAAGAGAAAAGTTTTCAAGCAGATGAAAAAGCAAGTACAAAGACTCTAAATAAGGGAGCATGCTTACAGGTTCAAGAACATCCAAAAGGTCCACGTGAAACAAAAACACAAGAGTGAGAATCACAGGAGATCAAGTCAGAGAACTAATGGCGGCCTGATCAAATATGACCTCAATGCCTAGCACAGGATTTTGGCTTTTGCCCCAAGTGAGATTGAAAGCTATTGCTTGATTTTAGGTAGAGGAGCAGCTTGATCTGACTTTTACAGTCCTTTTGGCTGCATTTAACGTTAGACTTTAGCGAGATACATTAGTTAACTATTACTATGTAACAAATTGCATCAGTATTCAGCAACTTAACACAACATCCATTTTTGTGGGTCAGAAATTGAGCATGGCTTTGCTGGGTCATCTGCTTAAGGGTCTTCACAAATTTGTAATCAAGGTGTTGACTGGGGCCTCAGAAATGCCAAGGTTCAACTGGGGCAGAATTTGCCACCAACCTCATTCAGTAGTCAGCAGGGTTCAGTTCTTCAAGGGTTGTTGGGCTGAGGGCCTTAGCTCCTTGTTGGCTAATGGCCAGAGGCCACTCTCAATTCTTACCCAGTAGTCCTCTTCATCAGGACAAGCAAGTATGAAGAGCCAGAGAGGAAATCTCAGTAAGATAAAAGTCAGTGTCTTTTGTAACCTAATCATAGAAGTAATATTCTGTCACTTTTACTGTGTTTGTTTCATTAAAAACCAATCATGGAAACAACTGAATTGTCCATTGATGGATGAATGAATAAAGAGGCTGTGGTATACATATACAATGGAATATTATCAGTCTTTAAAAAGAAGCAGTAGGCTGAGGCAGGAGAATCGCTTGAACCTGGGAGGCAGAGGTTGCGGTGAGCCAAGATCATGCCATTGCACTCTAGCCTGGGCAACAAGAATGAAACTCCATCTCAAAAAAATAAAAATAAAAAAATAAAAAAGAAGGAGTAAAAATGAATGATATCATAGCTTTTGCAGCAATATGAATGGAACTGGAGGCCATTATTTTAAGTGAAACAACTCAGAAACATAAAGTCAAATATCACATTTTCTCCCTTGTATGTGGGAGCCAAATAACGTGTATAATTGGACATACAGTGGAATAATAGGCATTGCAGACTCTGAAGGATAGGAGGGTGAGGGGGTGGTGATGGATGAGAAATTAATTAATAGGTGCAAGGTACAGTATTCTGGTGATGGTTACATTAAAAGCCCAGACTACATTACTACACAACATATTCACATAACAAAACTGCATTTGTCTCCTTACATTGATACAAATAAAATTTTTAAAAAAGAGAGAAAAAAGAACAAGATTCTTCCATTTGCCACAACATGGATGGAACTGGAGGATATTATACTAGGTGAATTAAGCCAGACACAGAAAGAAAAATACTGCATTATCTCACTTATACACAGAATCTAAAAAAAAAAAAAAAGGTCAAAACCACAGAGATAGAGTGTTTGCTATGGGTGGTGGGAGTGGAGAGGAAATGGGGAGATATAGGTAAAAGGATAGAATGTTGTAAATTTATAGGATAAGCAAATATAGAGATCTAATGTACAACATGGGGACTACAGTTAATGTTGTATTTGGGATATTTGCTGTGTGGATTTTAGGTGCTTATGACACACACAAAGGAAATTTAACTATGTGAGATGAGAGATAGGTTGATTTGCTTGACTATAGCAATCATTTTGCTATGTGTATGTATGTATATATCAAAACATCATGTTGCCCCTCTTAAATATATGCTTTTTTAAAAAAAGTAAGTCATTATGTCCAGCCTACATTCAAGGGGAGGAGATTATATAAAGGCATGGGTACCAGGAGGCAGAATTATTGGGATCCATGTCAGAAGCAAGGAGGCAAGGAAAGACACAAGGAAACAATTTAGAGTGTTACTAATATATTGTTAGAGCTATTGATGTTTCCTTGGCTTTGTATATGTGGAATGCTAGTGGCTAAACTGTTCCTAAAGCTCTGCTTCCTGTGCAGATTCTGGATGTATTTTGAAGTTCAAACTAATAATATTTAGTGAGGTATTGGATATAGATGTGAGAAGAAGAATAGTCGCAAGAGTAACTGTGGCATTTGGTATAAGCCACTGGAAGAATGAAATTGCTGTTTTCTGAAATGGCAAAAACTTGCAGGAAAATATTTTGTCAAGGATAGGAAGGAATCAAGTCTTAGGTTTTAACATGTTGACTTTGAGTTGCATTTTTGATGCCCAAGTAGAGGAGATGACTTGGTGCTTGGATATATAAGCCTAAGTCTAAGGTAAAAGGTTTGGCTATAAATAAAAATTTGAGAATCATTATTATTTATATTGCATTTAATGCCATTATGCTAGATTGAATCAAAGCGTATGCCAGAACTTCTAGAGACTGTGGTAAAATGAAAAAGAATATTTTTGTGAGAGATTCATGGATGAAGACCAGTTAACCCTGTATGGTTTAATTATTTATGTCCCCTCCTGTATTAGTACATTTTCACCCTGCTATAAAGACATACCTCAGACTGGGTAATTTATAAAGAAAAGAGGTTTAATTGACTCACAGTTCTGCATGGCTGGGGAGGCCTCAAGAAACTTATAATCATGGTGGAAGGGGAAGAGGCACATCTTACATGGTGGCATGTGAGAGAGAATGCAAAAAAGCAGGGAAACCTGCCTTATAAAACTCTCAGATCTTGTGAGAACTCACTCACTATCACTAGAACAGCATGGGGAACCATTCTCATGATCCAATCACTGCCCATTTGGTCCCTCCCTTGACATGTGAGGATGATGGGGATTTCAATTATAGATGAGATTTAGATGGGGACACAGAGACAAACCATATTATTCCACTCCTCATTTCTCCAAAATTTCACATCCTCACATTTCAAAACACAATCATGTCTTCTCAACTGTCCTCCAAAGTCTTAACTCATTTCAGCATTAACTCAAAAGTCCACAGTCCAAAGTCTCATCTGAGAGAAAGCAAGTCCTTTCTGCCTAGGAGCCTGTAAAATCAGAAGCAAGTTAGTTAATTCCAAGATACAGTGGGGGTAGAGGCATTGGATAAATGCTCCCATTCCAAATGAGAGGAATAGTCTAAAACAAAGGGGCTACAAGCCCCATGCAAGTCCAAAATACAGTGGCACAGTCATTAAATCTTAGAGCTCCTAAATAATCTCCTTTGAGTCCATGCCTCACATCCAGGTCACGGTGATGCAGGAAGTGGGTTCCCACAGTCTTGGGCAGCTACATCCCTGTGGCTTTGCAGGGTACAGCCCTCTCCTGGCTGGCATTGAGTGTCTCCAATTTTTCCATGTGCATTCTGCGGTCTGGAGGACAGTGGCCCTCTTCTGACAGCTCCACTAGAAAGTGCCCCAGTTGGGACACTGTGTGGGGGCTCCAACCCCACATTTCCCTTCCACACTGCCCTAGCAGGGGTTCTCCATGAGTGCTCCACCCTTGCAGCAAACTTCTGCCTGGACATCCAGGCATTTCCATACATCCTCTGAAATCTAGGTTGAGGTTTCCAAACCTCAATTCTGACTTCTATGCACTGGCAGGCCTAACACTACATGGAAGCCACCAAGACTTGGGACTTTCACCCTCTGAAACAATGGCCTGAGTGGTACTTTGACCTCTTTTAGCCATGGCTGTTATGCAGGTGCCAAGTCCCAAGGCTGCACAGAGCAGCAATGGGGCCCTGGGTCTGGGCCCATGAAACCATTTTTCCCTCCTAGCCCTTCAGGTCTGTGATGGGAGGGTGTGCTGTGAAGGTCTCTGACATGCCCTCGAGACATTTTCCCCGTTGTCTTGGTGATTAACATTCTGCTCCTCATAACTTATGCAAATTTCTACAGCTGGCCTGAATTCCTCCTAGAAAACGTGTTTCTCTTTTCTATGACCTCATCAGGCTGCAAATATTTCAAACTTTTATCCTCCTCTTCCCTTTTAAACTTAAGTTTAAATTTCAGATCATCTCAAGTTGCAAGTTGAAAGTTCCACAGATTTCTAGGACAGGGCAAAATGCTGCCAATCTCTTTGCTAAAGATAGCAAGAGTGACCTTTGCTCTGGTTCCCAACAAGTTCTTCATCATGATCTGAGACCATCTCAATCTTGACTTCATTGTCTATATCACCATGAGCATTTTGGTCAAAACCATTCAACAACTCTCTAGGAAGTTCCAAATTTTCCCACATCTTCCTCTCTTTTCTGAGCCCTCCAAACTGTTCCAACCTCTGCCTGTTACTCAGTTCCAATGTCACGTCCACATTTTCATGTATCTTTATAGCAGTACCCCACTCTTGGTACCAATGTATTGTATTAGTTCATTTTCACACTGCTACAAAGACATACCCAAGACTGAGTAATTTATAAAGAAAATAGGCTTAATTGACACACAGTCCTGCATGGCTGATGAGGCTTCAAGAAACTTACAATCATGGTGGAAGGAGAAGAAGCATGTCTTACATGGTGGCAGGCAAGAGAGGGCAAGCAACCACAGGGAAAACTGCCTTATAAAGCCATCAGATTTCATGAGAACTCACTCACTATCACTAGAACAGCAAAGAGAAAACCACCCCCATGATCTAACAACCTCCCATCTTGTCCCTCCCTCCACACGTGGGGATTGTGGGGATTATTATACAATTCAGGATGATATTTGGGTGGGGACACAGAGCCAAACCGTTTTATTGCCAAAATTCAAATTCCAAATTCCAAGGTGATGATCTTGAAATGTGGGGCCTTTAGAAGGAGTTTACATAATGAGAGTGGAGCCCTAATGAATGGGATTAGTGTTCTTATAAAAGAGACCTGAGGGAGCTTGTTTGCCCCTTCCACCATGTGAAGAGACAGCAAAAAGACACCATCTATGAGAAAGTGATCCTCACCAGATACCTAATCTATTGGCACCTTGGTTTTTGATTTGCTAAGCCTCCAAAATTGTTATACATAAATTTCTGCTATTTATAAGCTACCTAGTTTATGCTATTTTATTGTAGCACATAGAATAGATTAAGAGAGCAGTCAACTTTTTGTCTCTAACAAGAACAACTTTTTGCATTATGCAAATCAGTTAAGTTTCTTATAGTCCTGACCTTCCAGAACAAAATTCTGGCTCCATCTACAGGAGGACAAATCTTCAAATAATCTTGGCCAACTCCACTCTTTCCCCTCTTGCTTGCAATCTTGTGCAGAATATACAGAGAATGCAACATCCTGAGATAAGAAAAAAATGTCTAGAACAATCTGGGCTGTGTTCTGATTCTTTCCAGAATGGGATGTTCTGCAGTTCTTGTGCTCCATCATCCCTGTGCTGCCCAGGGTGTAAAACCCAGAGCAGAGTGCTTGAGGGAATCCTTAGCTATAAGTCATGCGCAGACAAGACTCCATCCAACCCTATGCAACTTTCTGGAGCCTTGGGGAATGGGCTTGCCATAGATCCTAGGCTTCTGTTGATTCTTGTTGCCTATTTGTGAGTAATACATTTGCTTTTCCTGACATGTGTAAGTATTCTATCTCACTGGATACATACCTTGGGAACTGGGTTTATGCAAAACCTCTTGCCAGACTTAGGAATCTTTGTATTGCCTTTCCATTTTTTTTCTAGTCAATATTTATCGAAACCAAGAATTTGGGTTGCTGAAAGGCAAAAGCAAGCCTATGTTAATACAAAGTGAAACTTTTGCAATTACAGGTCTTTCTTAAAAGAACTTCACAGATAAATCTTTTTTTTTTTTTTTTTTTTTTGAGACAGAGTTTCACTCTTGTTGCCCACTGGAGTGCAATGGCATGATCTTGGCTCACAGCAACCTCCACTTCCCAGGTTCAAGCGATTCTCTTGCCTCAGCCTCCCGAGTAGCTGAGATTACAGGCATGCACCACCACGCCCGGCTAATTTTGTATTTTTAGTAGAGATGGGGTTTCTCCATGTTGGTCAGGCTGGTCTCAAGCTCCCAACCTCAGGTGATCCAACTGCCTCAGCCTCTCAAAGTGCAGGGATTACAGGCGCGAGCCTCCGCGCCCAGCAGATAATTCATTTTTTAAAGGCAAGGTTCAGTTCGTGGAATACATTTTTCTAGCTCTTTCTTCACTCGTTGATGAATCTCATTTATTATTTTTACCTCAAAAGTCATTTATATACTGTCAAGCTCCAAAATCTATATTTTAAACCTCAAACTTCTTTCCACAAGTTTCTGTTCCTTAATTTTACCTGTCCTCTGGCCATCTTGACCTAGAGTCCTAGAGAGATTGGAAGTGAATTCATGCTGATTTCCAAGAACCTATTCTGTCCCTTTAAGTTTATGGCCTCATGATCTATGTAGCTTCCTAAGTCAAAAATTTAGGGGGCATCCCAAGATTTCCTTCTCTCTCATGCTCTGAATATTAATGATAATAAAATTAATGACATAAAGGAGATTTATAAATATTATATCTAATTGTCACAATAACCTCATTGTATAGCTATGATTATATCTTATTAATAAGAAGGGGGAAATAATTTGTCCCAGATCAAAAAGCAAATTAATGACAAAACCTAGAGTTGAGCTAACTCTTCCAGGCTGCAAATTCAGCACTCTTTCTACTTTTCAATGTTGCTTCTTCAATCGTTCATTAATCTTGTCAGTTCTATATTCAGAAGCATCTCTGCATTTCAATCTCTCCTTTTCTAAGGTGTTGTCAAGAACTTAATCCAGAACTTGATTATTTCTCACCTGGACTATTAAAACCTTGTCCTATCTGGTCTCCATTCTTACTGCAGTTTGTAGTTAAAGGGTCATATCAGAGTCATTCTACCAAAAAACAAAAACGATTATACCATTCCATTTCTTTTATTGTTTTGTTTTGTTTTTTGAGATGGATTTCACTCTCGCTGCCCAGGCTGGAGTGCAATGGTGTGATCTCGGCTCACTGCAACCTCCACCTCCTGGGTTCAAGCGATTCTCCTGCCTCAGACTCTCGAGTAGCTGGGTTTACAGGCATGTACCACCAGGCCCAGCTAATTTTGTATTTTTAAGAGAGATGGGGTTTCTCCTTGTTGGTCAGGCTGGTCTCGAACTCCTGACCTCAAGTGATCTGCCTGCCTCGGCATCCTAAAGTTCTGGGATTACAGGCGTGAGCCACTGCGCACGGCCCATTCCATTTCTTATATAGCTTTTTTTTTTTTTTTTTTTTTTTTTTTTTTTTTTTTTTTTTTACTTTCACTGCATGCAAAATCAGGTGCAAGACTTAATTTAATATTTTATTTTCACATTTAAGATCCTTTTCAAATTCTACCCAAATCCAAGTTCAAAAGCCACCATGCACCCTTTGTTCCAGAAATTCCAAACTTTTTTTTTCATTGCCTGACTGATTTTGTTTTTCTAAAATGTTCTGCCCTCTCCTCTAACTATAAAAGCCTTTCTCAGGCTTTAAGGTCAATTTATTTTTAATTTAATTTAATTTTATTTTATTTTATCTTTTGAGATGGACTATCGCCCTGTCGCCCAGTTTGGAGTGCAGTGGCATGATCTTGGCTCACTGCAACCTCCACCTCCCGGGTTTAAGTGATTCTCCTGCCTCAGCCTCCTGAGTAGCTGGGATTACAGGCATGTGCCACCACACCTGGCTAATTTCACATTTTTAGTAGAGATGGGGTTTCACCATTTTGGCCAGGCTGGTCTCGAACTCCTGACCTCAGGTGATCCACCTGCCTTGGTCTCCCAAAGTGCTGGGATTACACGCATGTGCCACCATGTTCAACCTAAGATCTAATTCAAATGGTTCTTCCTCTGTATGGCTTATATATATTTAGCTAAAGCTAATTTCTCTTTCTCCTGGGCCCTCAGAACTAATTTCTGTTTACATCTCTCCTTCTCACAGTAGAGATTTTTTTAAATAATTTTTTTTACGTTTCAAAATGTGATTTTAAAAGTTGGGAAATTCATCAGTTCTATAGTGGTAAGTACAGTTATTACAAAATGTGATGCTGTGTATTGGGACACTGTATATTTGAGTCCATGAAATATTTGAAAATTTTGTCCTAAAATGAATTCTTTATGTAGAATATTTTGGGCAGCACCCAAGTAATCTGGAAAAATGAATACTGTATAGAGATGTATCCTCTTGACCTTTCTTGGTTTGGTATATTAGTTTGTTGACGCTGCCATAACAAAATGCCACAAACTGGGTAGCTTAGATAACAGAAATTAATTTTCTCACTGTTCTGGAGGCTGGAAGTCCAAGATCAAAGAGTTAGCAGGTTTGGCTTCTTCTGAGGCCTCTCTTCTTGGCTTGCAGACAGCCGCCTTGTCTCTATTCCTCACATGGCCTTTCCTCTGTGCACGTGCATCTCTAGTTTCTCTTTTTTTATGTCCAGATTTGCTCTTCAGACAAGGACATCGGTCAGATAGTATTAGGGTCCACCCTCATGACCTCATTTAACCTTCGATATCTCTTTAAAGCTATATCTCCAAATACAGTCACATTCTGAGGTACTGGGGGTTCATGCTTCAACATGCGAATTTTGGGGAAGGAGTGAGGCAAAATGGTGCACATAACAGGATTGTATGAAAGTATAATATCTCACATAATATTCAGTTTTCAAAAATTTAATTGTTCAGTAAATCACTTAAAGTCATCAATGGGTTCTTGGGAACAGTGAGTTTAAGCAAAATGACGTATCACAAAGCCAGTTTTGCTATAGGCCAGGTGATTAAGCTTTTATGGCATATTTCTGGTCACAAAAACATCACCAAAGTTCTAAATAAAGACCAAAAGACTTCTAATAGTAAACATTAAAATAAATATGTGCTATGTACATACTTAAGAAAGATTAATAAAAACAAGTATGATTATTATTTACCCAATTTTTATCTCAGATTAGGGCTGCTGGTGCCTGGAGCCTGTCTAGGCAGCTCAGAGTACAAGGCAGGAACCAGCCCTGGACAGGACACCATCCCATCACAGGGCACACTCACACACACCCATATCTACCCTCACTCAGACTGGAACCATTTAGACATGCCAAGTTACCCAATGTTCACAGCTTTGAGATGTGGGAGGAAACCAGAGTGACTGGAGAAAACCCACAAACGTAGGGAGAATGTGCAAACTACATGTAGACAGTGGTCATGGCCAGGAAGAGATTTTTTTTAATCTGTGTTAAAATGAAATGTTGTTGAATGAAACAATGATATCTGAGGGGTTGTGTTTTGTTCTGATATAGTGTGGTTAATATTATCTAACATTATAACATTATTTTAGTGGCAAATATGAATTTGTATGACATAAAAATAATAAATATTTGTATATATTCAGTGGCTTCTTAATTCTATGTTTGATTTATTTATAATTAAAATAAGGACACTGATTATATAAATTAAGTCTTATATTTGATTCTGAGTCAAACAATATTTTGGGCAAAGTCTTAACAGCTCACATTTATTTACATGAATTGTTTCCTGTTAATCATATGCAATTATAAGATGCAAGGTACATCACTGATTTCCCCTCAGAAAATTTTGAAGATTTTAATTGGTTTTATTACTTATGATTGCCTAACAAATTACTCCAGATATTAGGCCTAAAGATAACAAACATTTGTTATCTCACACAGTTTCTGAGAGTCAGAAATCTGGGATCAGCTTAGGCGGGTGGTTTTGGCTCAGAGTTACTCATTTCACTGCTAAGATATCAGACCTAGGGTCATCTGTAGGTTTGACAGAGGCTGGAAGATCCACTTCCAAACAGCTCACTCAAGAAGCTGTTGGTTGGATGCCTTGTTCTTCAGAGCTGATGGCAGGAGGTCTCAGGGCCATAAGAACCTCTCCACAGAGTTGCTTGAGTATCAGCTCAACATGTCAGTTAACATCCTTCAGAGCATGTGATCCAAGACAGAGCAGGCAGAAAGCCACAATGCCTTGGAAGTGTAGTCTAGCCTTGGAAGTCACACACCATCATTCCACAGTATTCTACTTGCTAGAAGTTAGTCACTAAGGTCAGGCTTGCACAAGTAGAAGGGAATTAAACTCCAACTTTCAAAGAAAGAAGAATTGAAGCCTTTGTAGAAATATTTAAATCTAGCACACTGTTCTTGAGCAAGATAATACTAATTAAGAGGATATCTTAGTCTGTTTGGACTGCTGTAACAAAATACCTTAAGCCGAGTGGCTTATAAACAACCAAATTTTATTTCTTACAGTTCTGGAGTCTGGGAAGTCCAAGATCAAGGTACTGTCAGATCAAGTTACTGTCAACCCTCTGGTGAGGGTTGACTTCCTGGCTCATAGATAGCACCTTCTCACAGTGACCTCACTTGAGTGAGGTCCCCTTGTGGTAATGAGTGAATTCCAGCTCTGTTAGTTCCTCAAAATCTCTCTGGGAAATCTTTTGTAAGGACGCTAACCTCATCATGAGGTCTCTTCTCCCACGACCTAACCACCTCCCAAAGGCCCTACTTTCAAATGTAGGATTTCAACATATGAGTTTTGGTGAAGGGGTACGCAAACATTTGGACCACAGCAGAGGATCACTTAAATTTATATACCGAAAATCTTGGTAAAAGAATCCAGAGCATGAGCTATTAACATGGGAAGAAAATGTTATATATTATAAATTTAAGAGGAATTTGTAGCCCCCCAAAAGAGCACTGTAAAATAAAGATAATCAATTCCTGTGGTTTGAAGCCACTGTCTGTGCTAATTTGTTACAGTAACCTTAGGAAAGTCCCACAGTACCTTTGCAAGAAAACAGAGTATAAGAGGACTGAGGCACTTTCAATTAACATAGTGAACATGGGAACTGTAATTCAAAGAACTATGAGGCTTAGAACATATGGAATTATTACTAGATGGGCCATGAAGGTTGCATTTGCTATTTCCGCTGTTTCTCTCCAACACCTGGCAGACAGGTTGTTGTCACTGTCAAAGACGCAGTGCCAATCCAAGTTCATTTTCATCATGGGTGTGGGCAGCCAATAAGACTTTATATCAATATATATCTGCAGCCAGAGTCTATGTAAAGGAATTCCAATGAAATACCTGCCTTGCACCCAGCTGGCTTAACCTATGAACCTCCATAGCTGTATGGTACAACAGCCCATGATCTTAGGTAAACACAGATCATTCAATGTCTGCTCTGCATAATGAGCCAGAGACTCATGGTCAATGAGTCCAATCACGTTACAATCACCACCAAAACAAGGTACAAATCAAATATGACCTTCCAGTTGTCCAAACTAGAAGGAAATAGGCTTACCCCTAACATTTGTGGGCTCTGGAGAACAGTGCAAATGGAGGTCTATTTACCATAGCCCTAAATATCTGAAGCTTATAAATACAAATTAACAAACTGTTATATAAAAGATATACTAATTGCTTGCTTTGAAAAATACACCTTCACAATAGAAAACATGAACGTATGTGTAAAACTATGGTTTTTATATGATTGGCAGCAAAATAATGAAGATGACTCAATTTAATTATTAATTGCATATGCCTCAGTGTCTTCTTGATAAAATAACGATGTTTGGATGAGTGATAAAATATAAATTTGTAAATTTTTATGTATATGTTTCCTAAATTTTTTTTTCTTTTCTCCATTTCAGGAGCATCAACAATTATATGACAATGAATATTTTCCCATTTTATACTCCACTGATAGCAATTATCTAAAAGGTAAAAATTTCCATTTTATTCTAAATAAATGCATTTCAATGTTTTCATTAAAATACAAATTAAATGTAAGATATCAAAAAGTCAAAATTATTTTCAAAAACTTATTTCTATCTTAGGTTACTTAAAATATAAATATGAATAACAGACACAAAAAGTTTAATTCAAAATTACTCATTAAACCTGAAATTCATTTATTTTTAAATACATTTACAAAAATGAAACTATTCACATTCCTTGTATTCCTCATCCATCAAATTGCTAATGTAAAGGTTGTCATTAAGCTTCACACATGTTATGTCTGAGATAACATAATACAAATTCGAGATAATATTAATAACTATTACAAAATATCCACCAACTGCCATGTGCAATATTGTAAATATCATGCTAATGAATTCCTGAATACCTCCTGAACCACATCTTGACATACTGACAGTAAAAGATACTTAAGCCTGAGTCTGTGGCATTTATGTTACCTGAGAGAAAGGATCTGGTAGATTAATTTGTTGATGCTGATAAAGCATTTCCACCGTTCAAATCCTTCCTGCACTCTGAAACATTATCAGTGCTTTCAATGCCCCCAAAGAAAACCCTTATGCAATAACAATCACTCCCCATTCCCCTGCTCCAATTCACCCCAGCCCTAAAAACATAGTTCATTTTCTGTCCTTACAGATTTATCTATTCTGGACATTTCACATGACTAGAATTAGACAATACATGACCTTTTGTGTCTGGTTTCTTTCACTTACCATGTTTACAAGATTCCTCTATGTTGTAGCATGTACAAATCCATTTCCATTTATTGTTGAATAATATTCTATTGTATGGATACATTTATACATTCATCAGTTGATGTAAATTTTATTGTTTTCTTTACATTTATACATTCATCAGTTGATGTAAATTTTATTGTTTTCATTTCTGGCTATTATGAGTAACACTGCTATGAACACTTGTGTACAAATTTTTGTATGAATGTACAAAGGAGTAGAACTCTAGGTCATGTGGTAACTCTATGTTGAAAATTTTGAAGAGTACCAAACTGTTTTCTACAGGAATGGCACCGTTAGGCATTCTCAATAGCAATGTGTGAGGGTTACAATATCTTCACATCTCTAACACTTGTTATTGTCTTTTGTTTTTATTATAGCCATCTTTGTGTGTATGAGACGATTTTGATTAGCATTTTCCTAATGGTTAATGATGTTGCTATGGTTTGAATATTTTCGCCAAACTCGTGGAAATTTAATTGCCATTATGAAGGTATTAAGAGGTGGAACTCTTAAGAGATTATTAGACTTTGAGAGCTCTGAATGGATTAATGTTAATATTGAGGGATTGGGTTTGTTATTATGAGAGTGGGTTGTTATAAAAGCAGGTTCAGCTCTCTCTTGCTCTTGCACACTCTTTTGCCTTTCAAACTTCTGCCATGGATGATGCAGCAAGAAGGCTCTCACCACATGCTGGCGCCTGGATATTGGACTTAGTTCTTCCAGAACTGTCGAAAGTAATTTTAAAAAAGTAAATTACCCAACCTGTAGTATTCTGTTATAGGAATACAAAATGGACAGAGACAGAAAATTGGTACCAAAGGGTGGGCGTTGCTATAACAAATACCCCAAAATGTAGAAAGGGCTTTGGAACTGGGTAACAGGTAGAGGCTGAAAGAATTTGAAGGAGCAGACTAGAAAAAGCATAGATTGCTATGAATGGAGCATTAAGAGCAATTCTGGTGAGGGCTTGGAGGAAAAGAAAGGCTTAGGAAACATTTGAAACTTTTTAAAGATCAGTTAAGTGGTCATGATGAGAATATTGGTAAAAATATGGACAGTAAAGGCCAGTCTGATGAGGTCTCAGGGAGAAATGAGGAATTGAAAACTGAATAAGGCTATCTTTATTATAAAGTCTCATAGGACTTGGTTGAATTGTTCCATGCTTGAGGGCTTTATGGTAGATAGAATTAAGAAGTGATAAACTGGGATATCTGGCAGAAGAAATATTTAAGCAAAATATTGAAGGAGCTGCACGCATTTTGACTGCATATAGTAAGATGCAAGCAGAGAAAAATTATTTAAAGATGGAATTTATAATTAAAAGAGAAGCAGAACAGAAAGATTTGGAAAATTCACAGCCTAGCCATGTAAAGAGTAAAAAGGTGTGTTTATGACAGGAAACCAGGGTGTGGCCAAGTGACTGTTTGCTAAAGAGATTAGCAAGGTTAGAAGAGAGCCAAGTACTACTCATAAAATAATAGAAAAATGACTCTGAAGGCATTTTAGAGATCTTGGATGCAGGTTAGAACCTCAAGGGCAAGGTTTCTAGAGAGGTCAGGTTGGACTTCAGCATTTGCTGCCCAGGGCTGGTTTGGAGATGGCTCAACCATGCCCAGGTATGGCTCATGCCACAGCTCCAAAGGCTTCAGGCTATAAACCTTGGCAGTGTCCATATGGTGCTGGCTCTAAAGACACAGAGTTCATGAGCTGTGGCACCATGACAGCCTCCACCTAGATTTCAGAGAATATTAAGGACAGCTTGGGGGCCCAGGCAGAGACTTGCCACAAAGATAGAGCCACTGCAGAAAGCCTACACTAGGACAATGCCTAGTGGAGCCCTGGAGCAGTGCCAGGGCAGCCCCCAAGACCACAGAACTGTAGCGCTATCGCCATGCAACACTTGCCTAGGAGAGCTGCATACAGAGACTCCAACCTGTGGGAGCTGCTGGGTGCACTGTGCACAAAACCATAGGGATACGGTTGCTTGAGGCCACAGGGGCCCAACTTTCAACTTAATGAGCCCAGAAGGCAGGACACAGAGTCCAAGAAAAATCATTCTGGAGTTCTGAAGTTTAATGCCGTTTTCCTTATTGGGATTTGGAACTCATTTGGGGCCTGTTATTCTTTTTTTTTTTTGAGACAGAGTCTCGCTCTGTTGCCCAGGCTGGAGTGCAGTGGCGCAATCGCGGCTCACTGCAACCTCCGCCTCCCCAGTTCAAGCGATTCCTGTACCTCAGCCTCCTGGTTACTCCTTAAATTGCCTATATCTTCCTTTTTCAATTGGAATGTCTGTCCTATGCCTGTCCCACCACTGTATTTACGAAAAATGTATTATACCAATTTCACAGGCTCACAGCTGAAGAGAAATCTGCCTCAGAATGAATTGTCTTGAGTTTCATCCATATCTGATTTAGATGAGACTCTAGACTTTGAACTTTTAAGCTGATGTTTGAACAAGGTAAGACTTTTAGGGTTATTGGGATGTGATGAATGTATTTTTTTATGTGAGAAAGACATGAGTTTTAGAAGTCGAGGGGCAGAATGATATGACTTGAATGTCCCCTTCAAAACTTATGTTGGAATTTAATTGCCTTTGTCATAGTATTAAGTGGTGGGACCATTAGCTTCCCATTAGTCCAGGAGAGCTCTGCCCTTATCATGGGAGTGAGTTTCTTATTTTGAGAGCAGGTTTTTATAAAAGTACGTTTGGCCCCCTCTTGTTTGCTTGCTTTCTTGCTGTCTTACTCTTCCACCTTCTGCCACGGAATGATGCAGCACAAAGGCCCTCACCAGATGCTGGTGCCATGCTCTTGGACTTCTCAGCCTCCGGAACTATTAGGCAAATACATTTCTCTTCCTTTTAAATTAGCTAGTCTGTGGCATTTTATTATAGAAACATAAAATAAGCTAAGATGATGATCATTTTTTTTATATGCTTATTGGCCACTTGCATATCTTCCTTGGGAAAAAGCCTATTCAGATCTTTTTCTCATTTTTAAATTGGGTTATTTATCTTTTTATTATTGAGTTCTAAGAGTTCTTTACTGGATATGAGTTCTTTCTCAGGTATATGATTTGGATATATTTTCTCCCATTTTGTGGGTTGTCTTTCACTTTCCTGATTATAATGTTTCTGGTAAAACAGTTTTTAATTTTGTTAAAGTTTATATGGTGTTTAATTTTATATGTCAATTTTACTGGGTTATAGGGTGCCATTATTTGGTCAAACATTATTCTGGGTGTATCTGTGAGAATGTTTTTGGATGAGATTTATATTTGAATTTATAGACCGAGTAAAACAGATTGCCCTCCCTAATGTGGGGGGACCCTCGCTCAATCAGCTGAAGGCCAAACTAAAACAAACTGGCTGATTCTAAGAGGGGACCCACCTCTCCTCCCTGGCTGATTGAGCAATGATGTTGGTCTTTTCCTGCCTTTGCACTTGAACTGGAACATCAGCTTTCTTGAGACTCAAGCTTGCTGGTTTTCAGACTGGAATTTATACCAATGACTCTCCTGGGTTTTCAGCTTGGGAACTGCAGATCTTGAAACTTCTCAGCTTCCATAATCATGTCGGCCAATTCACTATAATTAATCTCTTTCTACATGCATCCTGTTGGTTCTGATTCTTTGGATAACCCTGACTTATACAATATAACTTATTTTTTCTTTTGTTATTTATAATTTTGGTGTCATATCTAACAGGCTTTGCATAACCCACAGTCATGAAGATTTATGCCTATATGTTCTTCTAAGTGTTTTATAATTTTAGCTCTTATATTAGGATTATGGTCCTTTTTGGACTAATTTTTGTGTATACTGTGAGAAATGATTCCAACTTTATTCTTTATATGTAGATATCTAGTTTTACCAGCATCATTGATTCATAACACTTCTTACTGCCCATTGAATTGTCTTGGCACCCTTGTCGAAAATCAATTGACCGTAAATATGGGTATTTATTTCTGGACTCTCTATTCTATTCCAAGAACTTATGTGTCTACTGTTATATTACCACACCGTCTTGATGACTATAGCTTTGTAGTAAGTTTGAATTTGAGAAGTGTGAGTGTTAGCATTCAATCCTCCAACGGTAAGTATGATGGTAGCTGTGTTTTTTTGTAGATGCCCTTTAAGTTGAGAAGGTTTCTCTCTATTCCTAGTTTGTGGATACTCTTTATCAAAATGTTGTTGGTTTTGTCAATGCTTTTCCTACCTCTGTGGAGATAATCTTGTCCTTTATTGTATTCATGTGGATGGTGTAGTACGTTAATTAACTTTTGGATGTTTCGTTAACTTTGCATTCTGAGGCAAATCTTGTTTTAAAATTATGAATCAGTGCTCTTTTGACACATAATGCTGAAATATATTAATAATGCCAGATAGCTTGTTATAACGTTGTGGAACCAATTCTATGATGCTTGGATTTTTGAGGTTTTTCAATCTGAAGACTGGATATACCTTAATATTCCAACTGTGAATTGAGATTTACTTTCCTACTTGTGTTCCCATTTTCATTTTCTTTTACTCATGTAGCAGTGAAATTTTCAACTCATATGAAAACATGATGAGAATTATAAGCCCCAAAGTTAAAAATAGAAATCACACAAAAGTTGGCCTACTGCATTAGTTTGCTAAGGCTGCTATAGCAAAGTACCACAAACTGAGTGGCTTAAACAAAAGAAATGTATTGTCTCACATTTCTGGAGGTCAAAAGTCTGAGATCAAGATGCTAACAGGGTAGGTTCCTTCTCAGGGTTGTGAGAAAGAATCTGTTTCATGCCTCTTCCTTATCTGCTGGTGGTTTGCAGGCTATCTTTGGTATTCTTCAGCTTACAGAAGCTTCACTCCATATCTGTCTCCAGCTTCACATGGTGTTTTCTGTGCCCAAATTCTCCTTTTTATGAGGACACCAGAGGATGTTGGATTAGAGCTCACTTTAATGACTTCATTTTAACTTGACTGTCTCCATAAAGACTCTGTCTTCAAATAAGGCCACTTTCTGAGTTCCTCAAGGTTAGGACTTCAACATATGAATTCAACCCAAACAGGTACCCTTTGAGAAGTGAATCAAATTATTTTCTGTAGCTTCCAGGTAAACCCTTGAAAGAAGCTTTAAAATAACAAACTTGAAAATGATATTTCCATATTTACAGTATTTAATTCTTATTAATGAAATAAGGTAAAATACTAATTTTTGCATATTGGAAATTTTTTGTTTGATGCTAGAAACAGTCTGGATAAGAACTAACTGTCACATATTCTAACACCCATTATTCTTTATTATGGTTAGGAAAGATAATTCTACGAAGAAAACGCTTAAAATAATGGAATTCTAGGGGATGTCAGGTGTATTCGCTGTGGTTTGAGTAAGTAAACTTTTGTTGTATTGGGAGAGAAAGAAAGAAAAAGGAAAGGAAAGTGAAAAGGTGGGAGAGACAGAATGAACAAGAGCAGTAGACAAAGTAGAGAAAGAAGAGAAAGAGACAGCAACTCTGATAGATTAATTCTTCACTGGTGATATGACTGTCAGAGACAAATGGTTTAGAATTACCATAGATTTTAAAGTCAGATTCAAACAAAATTCTAATAAGTCTCTGTTCTGCATGGATAATGCTTTTAAGATGATACGATTTTTTTTTTCCATTTTACGTTTTAGGGTGCTGTCAGAAGGATTCAAATCTTTTGCATCTATTTCCACAATTTACATATTCAACTATACTGACATTTACCTAAATGTTTTATCTTCTTCCTCCCATTAAACAAATCATGTTTGAGCTTTGCAAGTAGAAATCCAAGTTTTGCAATGCAAACATAAGCTGAGTAAATACCAAATAATTATTAGACAACTTGTTTGGAAATTTAAAAAACTAGGGCAGTAACTTAATATTCCAATTATGAACAACTACATAACTGAGAGCTTTTTATTGTTCTAATAATGTGTATGTAAACTAATTATATGGGCTAATCTTCTAAATAAGATTAATTGTGATTTATGGAACATTAATTTAAATGGTTGTCCAAAGCCTGATATTCTCGAGTCCATTTTTTAAAATATAACTCTTTTAAGAAATGAAAATACGTTAGACTATGTAAATTTACTTAATTTAAAAATTGTAGTTAGTAGCTTCTTGAAATGACTTTGAAATAATGTATTCCCAAGCTTTGCTTTTAATAGATACATTAAAAGTTGTTTTTATCTTGTCACTCTTAAGCAATGGCATTACCTGGTCATAACAGAAATTATACATTTATTTAAAAGAAAATCTCCATTGAAAATGACATTTTCAGAGGTTCACAAAGATCAGAGAGCTAATATCAGTCTTCAGGGCTTGCACATATTAGGAATGCATAAATGGATAATTTGCAAAACAATGAGTAAATCTAGGATATATACAACATATACATTAAAAATTATAAACAAATTAAGGTTGTTTTTGAAAATATTCCTCATTCCTCACAGATTTTTAAATAGTAAAATTTGAGGCTTCAGGGCAATAACTCAGGGTAATAATAGGTTTATGAATCTTATTATATCTTTTAAGCTTACAATTTGACTTAAATTTTTAGTGCAATAAATCTTGTAGACCATGAAATTAATTTTTCTTTCTTTTCTTTTTTTTTCTTCTTGTATGCACAGCAGAGTGTCTAGTTAGAAATCAGTGCTTCTTGCTGGAGAATGAAAGATGAAGGAAGACATACGATATTCAATATGTATTAGCTGATTATTTTTCATCTGCATAAGAACACAATGTTGTAAATAGAGCAAGGATGCTTTTCATATATTCTGATGGACCCCAAACATTAAGTTTTAGTGCATATTTATTGTATGCTTATAATATTTTCTTTTATATAACAAGAATTAGCTACTCTAGCATTGAGATCTGAATTAGGGATTTTTTGGGGGGCTATTTTTTCCACGAGTTTGGAAATTTGTTTTGCTCTGGCATTATAAACCCAGCTTTCTGAGCTTAGATTTCCATCTCTATATGTTAAAGTCCTGAAGTCCAGTGGAATTGTATTTGGAGTTACAGCCTTTAGAGTGATAATTAAAGTTCAATAATGTCATAAGTCTGGGGCCCTAATGCAATATTACTGATGGCCTTAAAAAGGTCCTAGATATGTGTATACACAGAAAGAAAGCCATGTGAGGACACAGTCAGAAGGTGGTGATCTGCAAGCCAGGGAGAGAGGCCTTAAGAGAAACCAAACCTGCTAAGAGGTTTTTGTTTGTTTGTTTGTTTGTTTTTGAGATGGAGTCTTGCTCTGTTGTCCAGGCTGGAGTGCAGTGGCATGATCTCCTCTCCACCTCCTGGGTTCAAGGAGATTACAGGCACCTGCCACCATGCCTGGCTAATTTTTATATTTTTAGTAGAGATGCGGTTTTACCATGTTGGTCAGGCTGGACTTGAATTCCTGACCTCAAGTGATCCACCCACCTTAGCCTCCCAAAGTGCTGGGATTACAGGTGTGAGCCATAATGCTCAGCTGAAACCTGCTAACATCTTGATCTTGAATTTCTAGCCTCTAGAACTGTGAGAAAATAAATGTCTGTTGTTTAAGCTATCCAGCCTATGGTATTTTATTATGGCAGCCTTAGGAAACTAATACAGGGACACTTTATTTATATATATATATACATATAAATATTTTATTTTATATATATATGTATGCACAGGGTCAACCGGTCTAACCTTTATTACTTGGAATCTTGGAGGAGGTGACAGAAAACATATTTAAAGAAATAATGGCTGAAATAGTCTAAATATGATGAATAGTATAACCACACAGCTACAAAAGACTCAATGACCCCCAAGAAACATAAAAACACTCCATCAACTCCCTTATACCAAGGCACATCATATTCAAATTGCTGAAAACTAGTGGTAAAGGGAAAATCCTAAAAGCAGTACAAGCATAAAAGACACAGTCTATTCAATAGAGCAAAAATAAGAGTTATTAAAGTTTTATCATCAGCAACCATGCAAGGTAGAAGAAAATAAATTGGCATCTTTAAAGCATTGACAGAAAATTTCAAACTAGAAGTCTATATTTAATGAAAATATCCTTCAAAAGTGAAGGCAAATAAAATTATTTTTGAATAAGCAAAGCTGAAAGGATTCATTACAGACAAATCTGCACTAAAAGAAATATTAAATTACCCATTTTTTTAGGTGAAAGAAAAAATGGTATCTAATAGAAATTAGGATCTAAACAGAGAAATAAACAGCACTGAAAGAGATAAATATGCAAGTAAACAAATACTTTTTCTAATTTTAAAATTTCTGTAAAATATAATCAACTATTTAAAGGGTAACAACATATTATGGGGTATAGAATGTATGTAGAATTATTATTTTTCTGTACATAGCACAACATTCAAAAATGTATATAGATTTTAATATATGACTAAGGTATGACAACAATAGCACAAAATGTGGAACTGGGGGAAATAGAAGTATATCATTTTAAGAGTTTTTCACTATATGTGAGAGTAATATAGTATTATTTGAAGTTGAGTTGCAATAAACATGCTCATTTAAAACCCTATAGCAACCATTAAAAAATAAAACAAGGAGATAGTTATTAATTAAAAAGCCTACAGTGGAGATAAAATGGAATATGAAAACATGGGAGAAAATTTTTACAATCTACCCATCTGACAAAGGTCTAATATCCAGGATTTACATGAAACTTACATATATTTAAGAGAAAAAACCCCATCAAAAAGTGGGCAAAGTATATGAACAGACACTTCTCAAAAGATGACAGTTATACGGCCAAGAAACATACAAAAAAAGCTCAACATCACTGATTATCAGAGAAATGCAAATCAAAACCACAATGAGGTACCATCTCACACCAGTGAGAATGGCAATTATTAAAAAGTGAGGAAACAATCGATGCTGGCAAGGCTGTGGAGAAATAGGAACACTTTTATTTACACTTTTGGTGGGAATGTAAATTAGTTCAACCATTGTGGGAGACAGTATGGTGATTCCTCAAAGATCTAGAGCCAGAAATGCTATTTGACCCAGCAATCCCATTACTAGGTACATACACAAAGGATTACAAATTATTCTACTATAAAGACACATGCACATGTATGTTTATTGCAGCACTATTTACAATAGCAAAGACGTGGAACCAGTCCAAAAGCCCATCATTGATAGACTGGATAAAGAAAATGTGGTCCATATACACCACGGAATACTATGCAGCCATAAAAAGGAAAGAGATCATGTCCTTTGCAGGGACATAGATGAAGCTGTAAGCCATCATCCTCAGAAAACTAACACAGGAACAGAAAACCAAACACCACATGTTCTCACTCATAAGTGGGAGTTGAACATTAAGAACACATGGACACAGAGAGGGGAACAGAATATACCAGGGCCTGTTGAGGGGGTGGAGGGTGAGGGGAGGGAACTTAGAGGACAAGTCAATAGGTACAGCAAACCATTATGGCACACGTATACCTATGTAACAAGCCTGCACACTCTGCACATGTATCCCGTTTTTTTTTTAGAAGAAATAAAGAAAAAAAAAATGTACATAATAAAAAAAGAAAATATACAAAATATCAAATGAAGTTAGGGAAAAAGGATAAAATGAGTAAAAAACAGATGAATAAAGGAAAACACAAATAAAAAAGCAGTAAATATAAACCAAACCATATGAATACTTACATTATATGTAAATCTTCAATACACTCCAACTGTAAGATATCAATTATAAGACTAGATGAAGAAAACAAGACCTGATTTTATGGTGTCTATGAGAAACTCAGTTTCCATATAAAGACATATATAAATTTAAAGGAAACAGATGAACAAAAGATATGCCACGCAAACACTAAGATTAGAAAACAGAAGCATGTATGTGAATATCACGTAAAATAGATTTCAGAACAAGGAATACTACCAGGCATGAAGAGTGACAGTTTATAATGATAATACATGGATTAACCCATCAAAAAGACATAAAAATCCTCAATGAATATATATCAATAAGGGAGCTTTAAATTTCATACAGTAATAACTATCAGAAGTGAAAAGAGAAATAGAGAAATCCACAATTATAACTGGAGGTTCCAAGGATCTACTTCTACTAGTTGATGGAGCAAGAAGGCAGAAAATCAGGAAGGATAGAGAAGACTTCAATTGTTAATTACTGTTGACCAAATTAAACTAGTGGATATCTGTGGAAGACTTCATCCAACAAAATCAAAACACAAATGTTTTTTGAATACACACAAAACAGTCACTAAAATGCGTCATAAGCTGGTTCATAAAGCAGGTGTGAATACATCTTAAAGAACTGAAATTATACATTGTAACATAATGGAAAATAAATATTTAGTCATTGTCCTCAGTTCCTGGCACATAGCTCCTAAAATTCTTGGAATCTTTAGAATGATAAGAGTGTCTTTAGTATGTGAATGAGATGATTGGTGGTTGGGAACATCTAGATAGCTCCAGGATGGTGGCGGGTCACCAGAAAGACCAAAGCATGATTAGAGATTTGGAACTTCGAGCTCCACACCCTGACATCAGGGAAGGGAGATGGCTTGGAGGTTGAGTTAATCATCAATGTTCAATTATTTAACCAATCATGCCTACGTAATGAAACCTCCACAAAACCCCTAAGTGATGTGGTTTTGAGAGCATCCAGGTTGGTGAACTTATCCAGGTGCTAGGATGGTGGCATGCCCAGAGAGGGCATGGAAGCTCTGGGCCACACCCCACACCCTCTATACATTGTCCTATGCATGTCTTCCATTTTGCCCTTTCTGAGTTATATTCTTTACAATAAACTGGTAATACTAAGTGAAGTGTTTTCTTGAAGTCTGTGAGCTGTTCAAATAAATTATCAAATCCAAAGAGGGGTTCATAGGACCCCCTGGTTTATAGCTGGCTGCTCAAAAGTATAGGAGGATCAGGATTTCAACTGGTGTCTGTAGTGGGGGCAGTCTTGTGGGGTCTGCCTTAACTCTGGGTGTATAAAGTCAGAATTGAATTAAATTGTAGGATACCTAGTTGGTGCCTAGAGAGTTGGAGAATTGGTTGGTGTGGGGCGGATATTCAGTGTCAGAAGTATTGTGAGTAAAAGAGTTCATACATATTATCTTCCCTTACCACACAAAATTAAATTAGAAGCCAATAACAGAAGACATCCGGAAAATCCCCAAATATGGAAATTCAGCCCATGGGTTAAATAATAAATCACAAGAAAAATTAGAAAATTTTTTAGTGAAATGAAAAAAATGTATTAAAAATTGTGACTGGCATGGTGACTCATGCCTATAATCCCAGCACTTTGGGAGACACAGGCAGGAGGATTACTTGAGCTCAGGAGTTCAAGACCAGCCTGCACAACATGACAAAAACCCATCTCTACAAAAAAATCCAAAAATTAGCTGGACGTGGTGGTGTGTGCCTGTAGTCCCAGTTACTAAGGAGGGTAAAGTGAGAAAATCGCGAAAGCCCAGGATGTTGAGGCTACAGTGAGCTGAGATTGTGCCAATACACTCCAGCCTAGGCAATGGAATAAGACCCTTTCTCAAAAAAAAAAAAAAGAAAAGAAAAGAAAAAGAGAAAAGTGTATATGCAAAGAAGTTAGAATAGCCAAAAAGCATTTTGAGAAAGAACAACATTGTAGGACTTAACATTATCCAATGTCAAGATTTACTATAGTAATCAAGGCAATGCCGTTCTAACATTAGAATGTAAAAATACATTAATCGAATAGAATAGAGAGTTCAGAAATATGTAAACACACACAGACACACACACACATAAGTTTAATCAATTTTCAATGAGGTGCCAAGGAATTAAGGGGGAGGAATAGTCTTCTCAACAAATGGTGCTAGAATAACCAGATATCCATAAGAAAAGAAGTGAAACACAACCTTTATATCATACCATACACAAAAATTTACTTGAAATGAAACATAAAATATAAAGTTATCAATATAAATAAAGTGAACATTTACATATAAAGCCATAAAACTAAAATCATAGGAGAAAAACTTCCTGGTCTTGGGATAGGCAAAATATTTTAGGTAGGCCACAAAAATCATGAATTACAGAAGAAAAAACACCTGGGAAATTAATTGGGCTTCATAAAAATGGAATATTTTGTTCTTTGAAAGATAACGTTAAGAAAATAAAAGGCCATGAACTGGCAGAAAATATTTCCAATGCATAGACAGTCATGTGCTGCATAATAACATCTTGATCAGTGGACTGCATATATGATACTGGTCTCATAAGATAATAATGAAACTGAGGCCAGGCGTGGTGGCTCACGCCTGTAATCCCAGCACTTTGGGAGGCTTAGGTGAGTGGCTCACAAGGTCAGGAGTTCGAGACCAGCCTGGCCAACATAGTGAAACCCTGTCTCTACTAAAAATACAAAAAATTAGCCAGGCATGGTGGTAGGTGCCTGTAGTCCCAGCTACTCAGGAGGCTGAGGGATGAGAATCGCTTGAACCTGGGAGGCGCAGGTTTCAGTGAGTTGAGATCGTGCCACTGCACTCCAGCCTGGGCAACAGAGCTAGACTTCATCTCAAATAATAATAATAATAATGAAAATGAAAAGTCTCAAATAATAATAATAATAATGAAAATGAAAAATTACTGTCACCTAGTGAGATATCATAGCAGTCATAACATCATAGCTCAAGTCATACCTTTATGTTTAGCTGTGTTTAGATAAACAAATACTTATCATTGAAATATGATTGCTTACAGTATTCAGTACAGTAACATGTTGTACAGGTTTATAGCCTAGGAGCAACAAGCTATTCATGTCCTTTGCTCACTTTTTAATGGGAATATTATTATTATTATTTACTGTTGAGTTGTTTGAGTTCCTTGTATATTCTGGATATCCTTTGCGATGCAGAAGTTTTTTAGTTTAATATACTCCCATTTGCCTATTTGGCTTTTGTTGCTTGTGCTTTTGAGGTTTTAGCTATAAATAGTTAACTAGACCAACGTCCTTAAGTGTTTCTCTCATACTTTCTTCTTATAGACTTAAAATTTTGAGGTTTACATTTAAGTATTTAATCCATCTTCAGTAGATTTTTGTGTATGGTGAGAGACGGGAGTAGAGTTTCATTCTTTTGCATGTAGATATCCAATTTTCCCAGTGCCATTTATTGAAAAGGTATCATTTCCTCAGTATATGTTCTTGGCACTTTTGTTGAAAATCTGTTGGCTGTAAATATGTAGATTTATTTCTGGGTTCTCTATTCTGTTTCATGGTCTCTGTGTCTGTTTTTATACCAGTACCATGCTGTTTTGGTTATTATAGCCTTTTATATATTTTGAAGTCAGGTAGTTTGATGCCTTCAGCTTTGTACTTTATGCTCTGGATTGCTTTGACCATTTGGGCTCTTTTGTGGTTCCACACAAATTTCAGGACTGTTTTTTTCTATTTCTATGAAAAATAATGATAAATACAATAATTCCTTTGGGTAGTGTGGTCATTTTAATGATTTTAACTCTTCTGATTCATGAGCATGGGATGTCTT
The DNA here is from genome assembly GCF_000001405.40 of Homo sapiens. NCBI lineage: Eukaryota > Metazoa > Chordata > Mammalia > Primates > Hominidae > Homo > Homo sapiens. Next base: position 22,568,707 of record NC_000004.12, read on the forward strand.
CCCATTTGTTTGTGTTCTCTTCAATTTCTTTCATTAGTATTTTGTAGTTTTCCTTGTAGAAAGGTCTTTCACCTCCTTGGTTAAATTTATTCCCAGGTATTTTATTTTTATTTTTATAGCTATCATAAATAACATTGCCTTCTTAATTTATGTTTTCTTCTTTTTCTTTTTTTGAGACCCAGATTTGCTCTTGTTGCCCAGGCTGGAGTGCAGGGGCACAATCTTGGCTCACTGGAACCCCCACCTCCCAGGTTCAAGCAATTCTCCTGCCTCAGGCTCCTGAGTAGCTGGGATTACAGGTGCCTGCCACCATGCCCGACTAATTTTTTGTATTTTTAGTAAAGACGGGGCTTCACTATGTTGGCCAAGCTAGTCTCAAACTCCTGACCTCAGGTGATCCACTTGCCTTGGCCTCTCAAAGTGCTGGGATTACAGGCGTGAGCCACTGCACCCAGCCTGCCTTCTTAATTTCTTTCTCAGCCAGTTCATTGTTTGTGTATAGAAATACTGATTTTTGTATGTTGATTTTGTATCCTGAAAATTTACTAAGTTTATGTATTTTGTCTAAGAGTTTTTTGGTTGGATCTTTAGTTTTTTCTAGATAAAAGATTATGTCAGCTGCAAAAAGGGACAATTTGAGTTTATTGTTTACCATTACTGCTGGTATTCTGTGGTGATAGCATTTAAATCCTTTTATAGACAAGTGTTTAATATTGTTGTTTGTTAGTTTTCCATACTGGTAGCATTTGAGTCCTTTCTCTTTGTATTTTTGTGTTTGCTCTGTGATGGGCTTTTTATTTTTGTGTGTTTTCATGATAATAGATATTGTATTTTTGCTTATAGGTGTAGAATTCCCTTAAACATTTATTATAGGATCAGTCTAGTGGTAATGAATTCCTACAGCTTTTGCTTTTTTGGGAAAGAAGGATTTTATTTCTCCTTCATTCATAAATGATAACTTTGCTGAGTATAGTATCCTTGACTGACAGGTTTTTTTTTTTTTTTTTCCTTTCAGCGCTTTGAATACAACACACCATTTTATCCTGGCTTGTAAGGTTTCTGAGGAGAAATCTGCTGTTAGACTGATGGTAGTTTCCTTATAAGTAAGTAGATAACTTTCTCTTATTGTTTTTAGAATTCTCTTATCTTTGACTATAATGTGCCATGAATAAGACCTTTCTGAATTGTATTTGTTTGGAGATCTCTGAGCTTCTTGTATCTGGATATCCAAATTTCTTGCTAGACTTAGAAAGTTTTCAGCTATTAACACGTTAAATAATTTTTCCATCCCCTCTGTTTCTTTTTTGCCTTCTTGGACTCTGGAAATTTGAACATTTGCTTATTTTATGGTATCCCATATCTCCTATAGGTTTTGTTCATTCTTTATAGTTTTTTAAAATTTTTGTCTGACTATGCTATTTCAGAAGACCCGTCTTCAAGTTTTGAAATGTTTTCTTCTGCTTGATTTACCCTATTATTGGAACTTTTGAATGTATTTTGTATATCACTTAATAAATTCTTCAGTTCCAATTTTTTTTCTAGTTTTTAAAAATAATATATATCTTTTTGGTAACTTTCTCATTCATTTCCTGAATTATTTTTCTTATTTCTTTGTATTGGTTTTCTGAATTCTCTTGGATTTCACTGAGCTTCTCTAATATTATTTTGAATTCTTCTGGGATTTCAAAATTGTTTTTTGATTGGGTCCTGTTGCTGAAGAATTATTGTGTTCCTTTGGAGGCATCTTATTTCTTTGTTTTAAAAATATTTCCTGTGTCCCTACATTGATATCTGCACATTTGGTGTAACAGTTGCTTCTTTCAATTTTCTGATTTTGCTATCATAGGGCAGGACTTTTTTCCTGAAGATATATCTCTGGTGTTGATTGGGTAGGGTACTTGGCTTTGATTCTGGATATGTGCAGTGATGTAGTCTCCATATGATTTCTTAGCTGTAAAAAGCATCAATAATGTCTGTAATTTCCTCAGTGGCTTCGAGTGTGGTGGTTAGTGGAGGCTGTAGTGAAGTTTTGCTGGGGACTTGGACACCAGGTGGGCCTCTCCTTGGGCCCCAGTGGTGGTAGCAGTGGGCCACACATTCTTGTCTTTGGGTCCAAGTGTGTTGTATACTGCCACTAGTGTTCCAAGTTCAAACTGATTCTTGTGGCTCAAGGACTCTTACTTGGGTGCCAGTGGTAGCAGTCCTGGGCTAGGAGGGTAGGCAGGTTCTTGGGCCACCGGACAGCAGGTGTGGTCTTGGTGATGTTAGTAGCAGTGGCAGGATAATTCTCTGACTCCCAAGCAATTTGTGCTAGTGTTGGTGGTGACTGTGATGGGCTGGGTGAGCCAATTCCCAGGCTTGGGGGCATGTGTGAGTGGATACCAGCTGTGGTGGTAGCAGCAGGTTGGTGGGACAAACTTCAGACCTTCAAAAGGAATGCTCAGGTGCTAATGATGATGGATTGATCTGTGTGGTCCCCAGGCCCCCGAGTGGTGTGCTTAGGCACTGGAAAATCAAAGCTGGGCCAGGAAGACTGTTCTTAAGCCCTATGATCGTGTGTGCAGGTACTGATTGTGATAGTCAGGAGGAGATCTCCAGGTCTCTGACGAAATGCTTGGGTTGAGTGGCAGTGATGGAACTCTAGTCTTGCTGCTTGCAAGACTGGGACTGCTTTCACTGGCAGCAGCTATATTTAGGTGCATGGGGAATACTTGTTTTCTCTTGTTTTTTCAAGGTGGTGGTAAGCCACAGTGGCAGTTGCTGTTGGTAGGGGAGTATTTCCTTGGAACATGTAAAATGCACAGTTGCTTTTCTGCGGGGGCAGCAGGGAATTGCCAATGGCTCACACTTCAGCCATGGCAGTGGCTGCAGGCCTGGAATGTCAATGGAGCTCCAGCAATGTGGAGATGCAGTAGCTGTTGGGCTCTTCAGCCAGGATATAGTCTGGTGGGGGTTGGGTTCTCAATAGGGTGTCTTACTGTAGCTGCTTAGGGCTCAGGGGTGTGTGGGACCCAGCATGAGCTCCCTCTCAGGAACAATGCCTTCATGTAGTCTCCAGGCAGCTGCCTAGGTAAGTTTTGGGGCCTGCTAGTATCTAGAAGCTCTCCTATGGCTAGGATTACAGGAGTCCATGGTGGGAATGTGGATCGCCGAGGGCCACTCACTCTTCACCTGCATGAGGGAGCCTCCCTAGGCTCCCAGCAGATCCCAGATGATCAGGCTGCCTTTCTTCCTTCTCCTTCCTTGCTTTAGGTGTTTCTAGTCACTTCTCTGGAACAGATATTTGAGTACCAAATAAACAGATCAAATAAACAGATATTTGAGTAGCACTATATGTCATCTCTTATTCTTTGTCCATGTCTATGTTTTCTCTTTTGTGTAAGCATATCTAAGATTACTACTATATATACACATATGTCTAAAAAATATACATATGTATGTGTGTATATATGTATATATGTGTATATATTTACATGTGTGTATATACACATGTACATATATACATATATATACACGTCATATATATACATATATATATATATATATATATATATTTTTTTTTTTAGACAGAGTCTTGCTCTGTTGCCCAAGCTGGAGTGCAATGGCACGATCTTGGCTCACTGAAACCTCCGCCTCCCGGGTTCAAGCAATTCTGCCTCAGCCTCCCAAGTAGCTGGGATTACAAGTGCCCACCACCACACCTGTCTAATTTTTTTTGCGTTTGCAGTAAAGACAGGGTTTTACCATGTTTACCAGGCTGGTTTTGGACTCCTGACCTCAAGTGATCCACCTGCCTCAGTCTCCCAAAGTGCTAGGATTACAGGCGTGAGCCACCACGTCCGGCCTCCTACTTTATATTCTTTATCTTATAATTTAACATAGGAATCTTTTAGGGGTTTAATTATGCCATTTTTAAAAAATCTTTCTAACGTCTCTTTTTTGTGTTGTTTCTAGCAGTAAGCTTATTATATACGTACGGTGCCTTTACCTAGTGTTGTGCTAATAAACTGGTTCCCATCATAAAAAGCCAAATTTGTTTGCCAATTTATATGGTATAAATGTTCCCATGATAGTCAATTTTGATACTATGTGCCAGTAAGTACTGCTAGTTTGACATCACTGAATATGAAGTTGAAAAGAGGTGCACACAATTGGCTTTCTCAAGTAAGTCTGCAAGAGACAGCTCCAGTCCACCACAACCTTTATCTGTAGAAATCCTACTACATTAGGATTGAGAATCCATTCTTTATAGGGAATTTGACTTTGCTTTTGTTGAGCACCTGTAACTGTTCCCAATGTCAGGCCACTTTATATTAATTTCTTAGCTTTTTTGGAACATGTAGATAGTTTTGAGTTGGATCCACAAATTTATTTGAGGAATGCTTCTTTTTTTGTTATGTTTTTATTTTTTTAAACTGACAGTAATAACTAATTGCATATATTTACAGGTTAAAATGTTATATTTTGATATGTGTGTACATTGTGGGAGGACTGCTTCTGTTAACAGATTCTCAGAGGAGAAGTTCTTTTTGTATTTTCCTTCACTCAAGGCCAAAAATAGTTCCCAGTTATATCCTTTCGCAAGGCTGATATTTTTCTATTCAGCCTCCCATTCAGAGTGTAGCCCTTTAGGCTCTTGGCTTTATTCAGCATTTCAACTTCAATTCCCTATTTTGTGAAGGCTTAAGACTTTCAGCTATTAAAACCCAAGGCTCTTGCTTTTTGGAGGTCAGCCAATGCCCTTGGGGTGGCTGCCAGCTTTAGCGCCTGCTTACCAGTCTAGATTCATTCTGGGATCCTTCACTTCTGAATACTTTCTTATTCTCTTGTGAGCTTAACTATGCATTTAAAATAATTGTGAAAAAATGTTTATACAGTGTTTTAAAGTGTTTTGTAATGGAAAGGTTTTGAGGATATGTAGACTAATATTTCTAGAAGCAGAGTTTCCATTTTAAATTTCTAAAATTCTATACACCTTTTCTGGTTATCTATCTCTGCATAACGAATATTACAAACTTAGGGTTTGTAAGAACAATCAATTAATTATGTTTATGATCTGTGGGCTAAGAATTTGGACAGGGCTCAGCTGAGTAATTCTTCTGCTCTATATGGTATCAGCTTGTTCACTTGTGTTTTTCAGCTGGAGGCTTGCCTGGTTTGGAGGGTCCAAGAGGGTTTCACTCACATTTCTGGTGCCTTGGCAGGGACAGCTGAAAGTCTGATCTCAGTTGATTTGTTCTGTTCTATCTGTCTATATAGTCTTACAGCCCACCATTATGATCTCTCCAGCAGAATCACTGTATTTCTTAACATCATCACTCAGGGCTCAAAGAGTAAATGTTCCTAGAGTCAGAAGTGGAAGCTACCAATTTCTAAGTCTAAAGGTCTGCACATTGTCACCTTTGTCATATTCTATTGGTCAAAACAGTCCTTGAGCCCAGACTGAAGAGGAGGAGGCAATATAGAGATCACCTAGTCTCACATTTTCCCTCAAAAGATGAAGAAGCCAGGACCTAGAGAGATCAAATAAATTGCTACAGTCACACTGTGGCTAGTGTCATGCTTTGGATCCAGTAAAGAATAACCCAGTTTCTGCAAATGAAATTGTCCAACTGGAATAGACCCAGGAATCATTGCTACAGATGCTGGTAGGAAGTCCAGAAGATAGAACAGGTAATGGTAACCAGAAAGTAAGCCAACAGATAACAGGTGGTAGTTTTACACATTAGTTGGTCTGCAGTTCACTGTTTAATAACTAGGTATCCCAACAGGGGAATAAAAAACTGATGATATTCAGAAATCCAAGAGACAATTAATTAAACAGATATTGAGGACCACTATACTCCAGGGACTGAAGCATTAGTGAGACAAGGGCAGACACAACGCAGTTCCTGGCCTTGTAGGGCTTAGGAATTGGGCCAGCAGAGGGCAAGCAACCAGAAAGTCTATTAACAGGGAATAAGGCCCTAGCTACTGGCTACTTAGACAAGCAAGCAGAGTTCTAGTTCTAGAAGTGCCGGAATACTGAGATATTTTCCAAGATGAGGACGTGAGTGCAAAGGCCAAGGCAGAGATCTCATTCTGATTAAAGGATGTGTATCAGATATTAGGGACAAAGCATTAGCACATTTATTGAAACCAGATAGGTGGACATAAAGATGTGTATGCTGAGTTTTGGAGTTTATGGCTAAAGATCCTTAAGTTTTTTAGGATTTTCTCAGAGGCTCACCTAAACAGAAATGAAGAGATTGAAAACATAACCAGTAGTTTATTATTGAAAACATGGAAGATGACTAAAGGAAGTGAATCATAGATACTGATGAGCAGCAGCAAATGATAAAAGGTAACCGAATGGGTAGGCAAAGAAATTAAGTTGTCACAGCTAGTAAATGGGTGATTCATAAGTGTAATATACAGTAATGTAAGTAGTAAAATTGGACTCTGTATTTCAGAAGTTATATAGTTAATAGCCTACAAAGGCTAGGCAGCAAACATAAATTAGGATGCAGGCTGTTTTGGACTGAATTGTGCTCCCTGAAAATTCACCCCCTTAAATCCCCATGTGACTGTATTTGAAAATAGTATCTTTAAGAGGTAACTCAGGTGAAAAAGGTTATAAGAATGGGACCCTAACCTGGTAAGACTAGTAGCCTTATAGAATAAGGAAGAGAGACAGAGAGAGAGAGAGAGAGAGAGAGAGAGAGAGAGAGAGAGAGATCTGCATATACAAAGAAGAAAGGTAATGTGAAGACACAGCAAGACGGTGGCAGTCTCCAAGTCAGGAAGAGAGCCCTCAGCAGAAACTGAGCTTGTCAGCACCTTGACCATGAACTTCTAGGCTCCACAGTTGTGAGAAAATAATACCTATTTTTTAAGACACCCAGATTTTTGTATGTTATTATGGCAGCCCAAGGAGACTAATACACAGACCAAATTTAGTATAACAGGGCAAGCAGTAGAGAATACAACTGGGATTGGTGGACAGAGCCTTGAAGTAGAGCACAAAAGCCTCTTCCAAAAGGAATAGATGCTACTGAGCTCCAGTGAATTGAGGTTGAGCTTGGTGGGAGGGAATAGGGAAATATATGTAAAAAAATGTGGTGGTAGACATTGATAGCTTCTTTTAGGTTAGGCAGGGCTCTGAAAGATTATCCTCAAACTGCTCTCCAAGGTCCTCATTTGCCTTAGGCCAAAATGTTTTTTAAAATGAATGGAGATGATATACATGAAGTTCAGGGTAGGGCGAGGGGGGTAGTTGAGACAGTAATCCTTTCAAATTTGCAGACCACCTGGGGTGGAGGGTGGCTCATGGCCCTCAGTGGGTTCCTCACATGACTCTCTCCCTCATAACCTGCCAGAATTGATAATCTTCAAAGACCTGGGGTCAAAGCTCTGATCTCTTAGTAGATGTCTCTGCCCTAAGCCTACTCTAGGATTCCTAGCTCAAACCAATTTAAAATATTGTGCGGTTTTGACTAGATAGTTCTCCAAAGCAGATATACAAATGGCCAAAGAGCACATGAAAAGATATTCAATATCACTAATCAGTAGGGAAGTACAAATCAAAATCACAATGGGATACCATCTCATATTCATTATCATGGCCATTATATATGTAAAAAAGAAAATAACAAGTGATGGTGAAGGTGTAGAGAAATTGGAACTTCTGTGCTCTGTTGGTGAAAACGTAAAATGGTGTAATTGCAATGGAAAATAATATGGCAGTTCCCCTAAAAATCAAAACTAGAATTACCATATAATCAAATAATTTTACTTCTGGGTATAAACCCCAAATAATTAAAACCAGGTTCTCCAAGAGATATTTGTACAACTATGTTCATAGCGGTATTATTCCTAACAGCCGAAAGGTGGAAGCCACTCAACTTTCTATCGGCAGATGGATGGTTAAATGAAATGTAGTATATACATATAGCACATTTATATGTATATAAGCATTATTTGGCCTTAAAAAGGAAGGAAATTCTGACACATGCTACAACATGAATGAACCTCGAGGACATTAAGCTAAGTAGAATAAGCCACTCACAAAAAGATAAATACTGTATAATTCCACTTGTATAAGGTACCTAGAGCAGTGAAATTCATAGAGCCCAAAAGTGAAATGGTAGTTGCCAGGGGCTGGGGTGGGGAGGAGAAAATGAGGAATTTTTAAATGGATATAGAGTTTCAGTTTTGGAAGATAAAAAGTTCTGGTGATGGCTGCACAACAATACGAATGTGCTTAATACCACTGAACTGTACTCTTAAAAATGATTAAGATGACCAGGCACCATGGCTCACGCCTATAATCTCAGCACTTTGGGAGGCCAAGGAGATGGATCACTTGAGGTCAGGAGTTCAAGATCAGCCTGGCCAACATGGTGAAACCCTGTCTTTACTAAAAATACAAAAATTAGCTGGGCATGGTAGCAGGTGCCTGTAATCCCAGCTATTCGGGAGGCTGAGGCATGAGAATCTCTTGAACCTTGGAGGTGGAAGTTGCAATGAGCTGAGATCATGCCACTGCACTCCAGCCTGGGCAACAGAGTGAGACACTGTCTCAAAAATAAAATAAAATAATAAGATAAAAAATAATTAAGAGGGTAAATTTTGTGTTACATGTACTTTGTCATTATTAAAAAATTATTTTGCAGGCTAACAACACATGAACCAAACATACTGGTGAGCCGGAACAGCCTATGAGTTGCCAGCTTACAACCTTCAGGATTTAGCAATAGCTGAAATGGCCAATACAGGGCCAATAGTAATGACTGAATTCAGCACGATGATCTTGAAGTAATGAATAAATTCAGCATTATGATTTTTTTTAAAGATGTTTGTCTATTACTCAGGCAGGAAAAGTTACTTCCCATTGAGGTTCAATATTGAAATCTTATTTGAATTTGTATGTTGTAAACTTTGATATAACAATTGATAGCATGGCTGGCAAGGGAAAGAGGTATATCATAAAACAAAGAAGAGCTTGTTGCTCAGATAAGGAATGAAAATAAATTTGAAAGCTTTAAGACCAAGATAGGAATTTGTAGAGTTAACAAAAATGAAATGAATATATGAAATATATACACAGGTTCTTATTGCTAGAAAATAAAAAAATAGAAGAAACAATTTTTAAAAATCTGGTCATTCACTATATGCCTGTATATATTATTTATACACATATATTTATATCTTGTTTATATATAAATTATATAGATGGTCTTTCATACTTACCCTAGATGGGTAACCCAGTGGTGAAATAAAACTTCTGTACATAAGAAGTTTGGAAACTGAGCTGAGGTTTCCCATTATTTCCCAGTGGACTAGTAGAGAGTAACTTCTTTCTCCTTTTATCAACAATCCCCAAGAAAAGGACAGTGTTTGAAAGCCTCCATTTTTATAGAGTTTTCCAGTATAGCCATTCTAATGCCAATACTCTCAAAGTGAAAGTGAACTAAAATAGTCAAACCAAACTATGCATCAGATAAGTGCTTATATAACCACAGAAAATGAATTCTGAGGGAATCTAGAACAAATTAATTTGATTTCAAATGCTTCCTGGAATGCAGTCTAAAAACAACAGAAACTGCCTAAGCATGTGAACTTTGGTAGCTATTTTTTGTTTGGATTAAATTTTAAATTGTGACTTTAGAATTTTTTTTTTGTATTGTTGGTAAAGCAAGTAAGTAATTTGTTTCATTGCAAGTCAACAATTTCAGTGTAAGAAAAAGGAGACGTAATAACTGAATCAATAGTTTAAATAGGAATGCTGCACTATTGGAAAGATTAATATAAATTTGTGGTGTTCCAGGGCTGGAAAACATTGTTTATAGCCCTGTTCACTGACATGGTCCAGGGCAAGGTCATTCTGTGATCTACCCTAGTGTTCAAGAGCACAGGACCTTTTAGAAAATGGTTGATTCCATGTATGGGCTGGAAAGTACAATGTGAAACTCTACTATCAGGTTGTGCCAGGAAGGAGGGAAGCTTTTGAAGATTAATGGTGTTATGTCAAAAGACCACAGAAACCAATTTAAGGTGTACTTGAGACAATTCGAGCACCAAAAGGAGGATAATAGTTTTGGTCAGTTGACACACTGTAAATCTGAAAAACTATTAGTTCATAATAATGTGCAAAAGAGAAAAAAAATAACCAAGTGTTGAGTCTTGTTATTCAATCATGTTAGTGTTATTAACTAATTTATTGTATGGCTAAAGAGTGTAGAAACAAAAAGTGTAAATGTGTCAGCTCAATGCATTTTCTGACTCAAAGGGAATATGAATAGAATGATACCACAAGTTGTGACCTTAAATCAGACATAAAATATTCAAATTAGATTGTGTATATATACATATTAGGTTGATGCAAAAGTAATTGTGGTCTTTGCCATTTAAAAGAAAAAAGGCAAAAACCACAATTGCTTTTGCACCAATTTAATACATATATAAGCATATGTTCTAATATATTATTGGTAATATATAGTGATATATATTATATATTGATGTATTAATACACAATAATGTACATTATATATTGATATATAATCATATATATTATACTGATATATGTTCATATATCATGATTATATATTAATATATCATGACATATTAACATATATAAATCCTATTAATATATAATATACCATTATATATAAACATATATAATATACCATTTTATATATAAACATATATAATATACCATTATATATAAACATATATCATATATGATATATATGTATTAGGTTGGTGCAAAAGCAATTTTGCTTTTTTGCTTTTTTGTATAGTTCTATAGTTCTAAGAATAAAAAAATTTCAAGAATCATCAGGCCCAAAGGATTTAAAGTTACATTTCTCAGGAGCCCATCAAGGGAAAAGGCCTTCAGAATTAGAAGAGGGATCATGTTTCTATTACTTGAAGTTTTCCAACTTGAGTGAAAGAACTCTTACTAGACTAAAGAATTAGATCATACAGATAACCCGAATCCATGAGACTAGGCTAACTGATCCTCTTAGAGTTGTGAAATCACTGGTGTAACAAAAATTGGGTTCAGCAACCATAGTAACAAATAGCATCCTTGTGAGGTAAATTTCTCTCAATAATGTCAATTAAAAGGTATGGGAACTGTTTTCTTCACATGAATTAGCATGTTTTTCAACCTGAGAATATTTACAACTAAGTACAGAAATGTTAAGAATGAAGCTCTGCCCTTCCGCACAGCAAAAGAAACTACCATCAGAGTGAACAGGCAATCCACAGAATGGGAGAAAATTTTTGCAATCTACTCATCTGACAAAGGGCTAACATCCAGAATCTACAAAGAACTCAAACAAATTTACGAGAAAAAAACAAACAACCCCATCAACAAGTGGGCAAAGGATATGAACAGACACTTCTCAAAAGAAGACATTTATGCAGCCAACAGTCACATGAAAAAATGCTCATCATCACTGGCCATCAGAGAAATGCAAATCAAAACCACAGTGAGATACCATCTCACACCAGTTAGAATGGCGATCATTAAAAAGTCAGGAAACAACAGGTGCTGGAGAGGATGTGGAGAAATAGGAACACTTTTACACTGTTGGTGGGACTGTAAACTAGTTCAACCATTGTGGAAGACAGTGTGGCGATTCCTCATGGATCTAGAACTAGAAATACCAGCCATCCCATTACTGGGTATATACCCAAAGGATTGTAAATCATGCTGCTATAAAGACACATGCACACATACGTTTATTGAGGCACTATTCACAATAACAAAGACTTGGAACCAACCCAAATGTCCATCAATGATAGACTGGATTAAGAAAATGTGGCACATATACACCATGGAATACTATGCAGCCATAAAAAATGATGAGTTCATGTCTTCTGTAGGGACATAGATGAAGCTGGAAACCATCATTCTCAGCAAACTATCGCAAGGACAGAAAACCAAACACCGCATGTTCTCACTCATAGGTGGGAATTGAACAATGAGAACACTTGGACACAGAAAGGGGAACATCATACACTGGGGCCTGTTGTGGGGTGGGGGGATGGGGGAGGGATAGCATTAGGAGAAATACCTAATGTAAATGACGAGTTAATGGGTGCAGCACACCAACATGGCACATGTATACATATGTAACAAACCTGCACGTTGTGCACATGTACCCTGGAACTTAAAGTATAATAATAATAAAAAAAAAAAACAGAAAAAAAAGAAGGAAGCTCTGCCTTGTTCGTATTTTATATGCTAATAATAAACATATTATTGGCCAGTGGAGTCACAGTCTTAAATAATTTGAAATGGCTATTTAAATAATATGCAGTATTTAATTTATGACTTTAAGAAATAATCACATACAGTTTTATCTCATCTAAGAAAACATTAGGTTTACATTATTTACAAGCATTGCTCATTGAATTTGTAAGAATTATTGAAGACCCAGGAAAATTTTATTTCCTGTATTAGCCAATTGTAGTATTTAAAAGGCAAATTCTTGAGGTGATCCAACTGCTTAGTGTTCTTCCATCACAGAGTATCACTCCTCCCTATTGTCACTCCTATTCTGTTCCCCAACACCTCACTACCTGATCTACAAATTGGGGGTCTGAGTGTTCAAAGGCCACCTAAACACTGCAGGTTATTTAGTCTCCTTGTTCACGGCTCTGGCTGTATCCAGAAAAACTTCTCATGGCCTAATTCACTGCTCCCTGTCCTAGTCTTGTTATTTCATACAGTGACACACTGGGGGATAACAATAATAACAATAAGAGCAGGGTGCTTTGATTTTCTCAAACAACAGTATCTCATCATGTGTTCTGCTCCATTTTTTCTATTTATTTTATTGTTTTTGAGACAGAGTCTTGCTCTGTCGCCCAGGCCGGAGTGCAATGGTGCTACCTCAGCTCACTGCAACCTCTGCCTCCCAGGTTCAAGTGATTCTCCTGCCTCAGCCTCCCAGTAGCCGGGACTATAGGCGTGTGCCACCATGCCTGCTAATATTTGTATTTCTAGTAGAGACGGTGTTTCACCATGTTGGCCAGGCTGGTCTTGAACTCCTGACCTCAGGTCATCCACCCATCTCAGCCTCCCAAAATGCTGGGATTACAGGCATGAGCCACTGTGCCTGGCCCATTTTTTCTATTTATAATGATACAGGAGGTGGGCAGAGAAGTGCTGGGTAGAGAAGAATGGGGTCCCTGGAGAGGGCCCCACCCTTGGGCCTGTGCCCCATGGACCTAGGTGAGAACGGGGACTCCTATTTTCATGCCCAAATGTTGCATTTTTCAAGACCACTCTGGTCCTCCATGCCCCCCAACCTGTGCCCATATAAACCCGAGACCTTAGTGGGCACAGCCACAAGCACAAGCAGCTGAATGTCAGAACTAGCAGATCAGTGATGATGGAACAACATGGCAGAGAAAGAGAGAAGAGGAAGGATGTCTGGATGCCCAGGAGAGTTCAGCCAGGGGCAGTTAGAGAAGACTCTGGCCGCTGGGAGGCCTGATTCTAGGGGAAAACCACCTTCCCACTCCATCCCCCACCTTCCAGCTCCCCATCCATCTCAATGAGAGCCACCTCCACCATTCAATAAAACCTTGCACTCATCCTTTGAGCCCACGTGTAATCTGATTCTTCTGGTACACTGGGCAACAACTCTGGGTGTTCTCAGGGTGACAGCCTCACCCTGGCCCCCTGCCCTTGCAATAAGGCCTCAGAGGGTCCATTGAGCTGATTAACACACAAGTCATCTGCAGATGGCAAATCTAAAAGAAGTTGGTAATACACACCCATAAGCGCTTCAGGAGTCACAGATAGCAACTCCGAGAGGCTGCCGTGGGTCCAGCCCCTGCAACTGCCCATCTGCATGTTCTCCCTGGGGATTTGAGCTGTGGGGAAACCAAGCAGACGACACCCCACAGACTAATTCTGAGGGGAATCAGAGAACTCTCCCATTTCAATAACATTTATAAAGCAGGGAGGCCAGTACTATACAGGGCTACATTGGGTGGGTAGGGGTTCTGCACTCATTTAGAAAATGACCACAGGTGACCTTTGAACAATGCGGGTTTGAACTGCATGAATCCACTTATACGTGAATTTTCTTCACCTATGCCACATCCGAGATAGCAAGACCAAGCCCTCCTCTTCCTCCTCCTCCTTTCAGCGTACTCAATATTAAGATGATCAGGATAAAGATCTTTACAATGATCCACTTCCACTTAAGGAATAGTATACATATTTTGTCTTCCTGATGGTTTTCCTAATAACATTTTCTGTTCTGTAGCCTAATTTATTGTAAGAATACAGTACATAATACATTTAATGTACAAAATACGTGTTAATTGACTATGTTATTAGTAAGACTTCAGGCCAATAGTAGCTATTAGGAATTAAGTTTTTGGAGGAGTCAAAAGTTGTATGTGGATTTTCAAATGGGAGGGGGATTAGCTCCTCTAACCTCTGCATTGTTCAAGAGTCAACTGTATCTGACTTTTCCATCAAAGGGGTTATGCCCATGTCCTGGTTGTTCCATATCTGCTCTTTGGATGGGCTAAGGGTTTCCAAGTAGTATTAGTGTCAAAAATAAATTGCTCTAGAAATAGATTTCTTTCGGGGGGTCATAGACTCAGATCAAGGTTCTGATATTATAGAACATACTTTCTACATGTATGTAAAATCCTAAATGTCAAATAATAACCTCATATTTTTTCCCACTCTCAGTACTCTGGCAAAGTAAGAAGAGGAAACTATGACATTAACGAAACACTAAGTAATTTTTCAGTGAATGAGGGTGCAAGTGGCTGAGACCTTCCAATGATCAATACATGTGAGAAGCCATTCTGCATTCTGCGGGCTTCAGGCCACTGAAATCATCAGGAACAATGCAGAAAGCTTCCAGCTTATATTCTGGCTATTTCTCTCCAAAGCTGAGAACAAGGTAATGCCATTTACAAACACTTGTTCTGGCTACACTTCCTTTTCTCTATACATACGGGCTACCAGTTCAATAATATATTTTACACCAATGAATTCTTTTCAGCTGGAGATGGTCTGTGTAAAGGAATTTTGGACTAAAACTGCCTTATACCTGGATGGACTGTGCCCTGTGAAATTCTCTCAATCCCATTGCTGAACTGTGCTTAAGATCACTGTTATGTATGCTCCTGTCTCATTGTTAAGTCTTCCTGCATGTTAACCAGGGACCTGCAAATTCTAGGCCTTAACTACATCGAAGTAATCATGGAAACCAGGGGCATTTCTATAATTTACAGATACCACTGAAGAGTTGAAAAGCTCAGAAAGGGACTCGTAGTTTTTACCACTTTGTGGCAGCCTCAGATTTAAAATGGGAAAACGCAATTGCCTTGGGCCATTAGCCACTGGCTAAGGGAAGTCCATAACATAACCTTTTTTTTTTTTTCTTTTGAGAACGGAGTTTCACTCTTGTCACTAAGGCTGGAGTGCAATGGCGCGATCTCGGCTCACTGCAACCTCTGCCTCCCGGGTTCAAGCGTTTCTCCTGCCTCACCCTCTGGAGTAGCTGGGATTACAGGTGTCCACCACCATGCCTGGCTAATTTTTGTATTTTTAGCAGAGATGGGGTTTCGCCATGTTGGTCGGGCCGGTCTCAAACTCCTGACCTCAGGTGTCCACCCGCCTCAGCCTCCCAAAGTGTTGGGATTATAGGAGTGAGCCACAACATAATCTTAAAGATCTGGGAGAGGAGGGACAAGCAACCTCAGGGCCACAGCTTCGAACGAAAAAAAACACTCGGTTAATTTTGTGGCTGCCAGTAGAAAGGTCCTCCTTTCTTGTTTCTCTGCATCCTATTCTCCATCTGCTTGTAGACCGCCTCTCAAATTCGTCCTTCTCTAACTCTTCCTCTGTCTTTTGATGACATGGTTGTTTCTTCTTTTTCCATATTTTCCTCTCAACCCATGGTTATGTAAGTCACTATGAAGTCCTTTCCTTCCAACTACCGCCATTTTGACCCTTCTGCCCATTCCCAGGATGCTTGTAATAATTCTCTGCTTGAGGTTTTTTGGACCACCCAGTTTCTGCCAACTCAGGCTGCAGATCAGCGTGAGAACCGGTTGTGGTTAAAACTTCAGAGTGCTTTTGCCCCTTTGTTAAGGATAGAATTCAGACAGCTACTTCTTCTTGTAGACGTCTGAAGGTGTAGAATGAAAGTGTTATTTCTAGTTCACCCTTATTTTGAGGACAAGTCCTGGCAAAGATTCTTTGTGCAGTCAAACTTCAGTCAGACTTCTGAACTTTTTCTTAGGCCTGTCTGTGCACTTTCTTATAAAATCTAGTTTTAGCAAAGAACCCTACTAAGTCAGTTTAGCAAGAACCCTCCCACCCCCAACATCTGGTCATTCTTGATCATATCCCTCATCCTCCACCCATGTCCTGGGGTAATCTCAGATCACATGAACAGCCTTCCACAGACATCCTGGCAGGTGGTTTTAGCCAGAATCCTCCTTATCCCTGATGTTTTCTCTTCATAATTTTCCACCCACTGACCCTTACCTTGCTCCTTGGCTATAAATTCCCACTTGCCCAGGCTGTATTCAGAATTGGGCCCAATCTCTCTTCCACTGAAAAATCCCATTGTAGGGAGCCTTATATCTTTCATAGTGGTCCTTAGTAAAGTCTGCCTTACCATGCTTTCACAAGCGTCATTGAATAATTTTTCCTTTGGCATCCTTGCTTTGGAGGAGAGTGTTTCCTATTATTTTCCTCACTTTGCGTGGCCTTGTCTCCTGTATTTGTCTCCGCTTTAGGGCTTATCTCCTGTACTTGCAGAGCTGTGACAAAGTGAGGATTAACTTTCCAGGATTCAACTAATGCCTTCATGCTGAAGGTCATCACACGTTGAAGTGCTCCTCTGCTCTCTCGGTTATTACACCCCTTGTTGTATTGGGAGTAATAGCATCTTCTCTCAACCTGGATATTGAGGACTCTATCACATGGTGAGTGTCCATCCCTTCAATATTGGTAGTAATACTAATTTCTTCACTCCTGGATATAAGAAACAGTATCACAGGTGTGGTGTAGACCCCTTGCAATATTGGGAGTAACACGACCTCTCCCCATGTGGTTACTAGGGACAAAATCACAGGGTGGGTGTACACTTCCTACGTTATTGGGAGTAATATCAGCCACAAACCCCCTGGATAGCAGGAACCATAACACAGAAGGGGTGTACAGCCCCCGCGATATTGGGAGTAATATCAGTCTCTTCCCCACTGCATATTAGGAACAAAATAAAGGGGGGGTCTTTATACCCCTGTGATATTGGGAGTATTATTATTCTCTTTTCCCTGTACATTAGGAACTATATCACAGGGGGGCTGTACACCTCCTGCGATATTGGGATTAATGTTATCCTCTTCCCCACTGAATATTAGGAGTGATATCACAGAAGGGGATACACCCCCTGCGATAAGGCCGGTAATATCATCGGCTCCTTCCCTGGATATTAGGAACAATTTCACAAGGTGTGTACAACCCCTGCGCTATTAGGAGTAATATTATTCTCTCTTCCCCTGGATATTAGAAAGAATATCACAGGCGGAGTTTACACCCCACCCCCTGCGATATTGCGGGTAGTATCATCCTCTTTTAACCTGGATATTAGGAGCAATATCACAGGGGGCGTGTACACTTCCTTCGATACTGGGAGTAACATCATCCTCTCTCCCCGTAAGTAGTAGGAAAAATATCAAAGAAGGGGTGTACATCACTTGCGATATTGAGAGTAATAGAATCCTCCCCTCACCTGGATATTAGAAATAATATCATGGGAGGGGTGTACACGGCCTGCGATATTGGGAGTAATATTATTTTCTACCCCCATGGATGTTGAGAACGATATCACAAGGGCGGTGTACACCATCTGCGATAATGGGAGTAATATCATCGTCACTCCCCCTGGATATTAGAAACAATAGCACAGGCAGATTACACACCCGCTGCAACATTGGGAGTAATATCACCCTTTCCCCCGCTGGATATTAGGAACAATATGTCATGGGAGGTGTCCAGCCCATTCCATTTTGGGAGTAATATCAATTTCTTCATTGCTGGAAATAAGAAACAATATAACATGGGTGGTGTACACACCCTGTGATATTGGCAGTAATAGAGACTCCCCTCCCCCACGGGATATTAAGAACAATATCAAAAAGCGGTGTATACAGCGATATTGGGATTAATATCATGCTCTCTCCCCTGAATATTAGGAACAATAGCCAAGAAAGGGTGTCCACCCTTTCATCATTTCATCCCCCCTCTCCGTGGAGTTTAAGAACAACACCGCAGAGTTGGTGTACACGCACTGCGATACTGAGAGTAATGTCATCCTCCTCCCCCTGAATATTAAAAACAATATCACCGAGGTGGTGTACAACCCCCGCGATATGGCCAGCAATATCTGTGTCTCCCCCACTGGATATTAGGAACAATATCACAGGGGTGTGTACACCTCCTGCGCTATTGGGAGTAATATCCTTCTCTCTTCTTCTGGATATTAGGAATAATATCACAGGTGGGGTGTACAACTCCTGCGGTATTGGCAGTAATGTCACCCTCTCCCAACCTGGATATTCAAAACAAAATAACGGGGGGGTGTACACCCCCTGCGACATTGGTAGTAACATCATTCTCTCCCCCACTTGATATTACAAAACAATATCCCAAGAAGGGTGTACACCCTCTGAGATATTGAGAGTATTATCATCCTCTCCCCAACTAAATATGAGGAACAATGTTGGTGCGGGGGGGTGTACACCCCCTGAGATATTGGGAGTAATATCCTCTCCCTCCCTGGATAGTAGAAACAATATCAAAGGGGTCGTGTACACCCCGTGTGATATTGGGAGTAATATGATTCTAATCCCCCCGGGATATTAGGAAGAATATTGTGGAGGGTGTGTACACCTCTGCCATATTGTGAGTCATATCATTTCTCTTCCCCTGGATATTAGGAACAATACCACTAAGGAGTGTACACCTCCTGTGGTACTAGGACTAATATCATCCTCTCGCCCCCTGGATATTAGGAACAATATCACAGGGGTGGTGCACACCTCCTGCGAATTTGGGGAAATGTCATCCTCTCCACCTTTGGATATCAGAGACAATATCACAGGAGGGGTCTACGCCGCCTGCAATATTGGGAGTAATATCATCCTCTCCCCGCCCTGCATATCAGGAACAATATCACAGAAGGGATGTACATGCACTGCGAGATTTGGAGTAATGTAATCCTCTATCCGCTGGCTATTAGGAACAACACAGGTGGTGTACACCTTCTGCGATATTGGGAGTTATAGCATCGTCTCCCACCCAATATCAGGAATAATATTTATTAATATTAATAACCAATATCAAGTATTAATATTAATAAAATTATGCTAATTAATATCAATCATTACTGTTAGTAATGTGCTTACAATGAAATTAATATTATTAATATTGATAAGAATGATTAATATTAATAATCAATATCGAGATTAGCAATGGTAAATACAAGCTTAGCAATGGATATTGATAACAACTATTAATATTAATAATAACTAAGAGCATTATTTCAGAAATCAGTATTCGTTGCTATTAATTATAAATAATACTATTCATAATAATTAGTAATAATACTATTCATAATTCATATTAATAATTATGAATAATACTAGTCATAAATAGTTATTATTAATAATAACGATTCATAATTAATACTTATTAATAATACTATTCATAATTAATAATAATTAATGATTAATAATGACATTATCACTATTATCACTTCTAATACCGCACAGGGTCTACACACAACTGCGATAGACCCTGTGCGGTATTAGAAGGGAGGGAGAGCATGCTATTCGTTTCAATATCGCAGTAGGTGTACACCCACCCTGTGATATTGACTCTAACATCCATGGGTCAGAGTATGACATTGCTCCCAATAAAGCAGGGGGTGTCCAGCCACCCGGTGATACTGCTCCTACTATTCACAAAAGAAGAGAATGATATCACTTCCGATATCGCAGGGAGTGTACACTTCTTCTGTGATACGGTTCCTAGTATCCGGAGGGGGAGAGGATGATAATCCTTCAAGTATCGCAGGATGTGTACAGCCACCCTGTGATATTGGTCCGAATATCCAGGAAGGGAGAGGATGATGTTACTCCCCACATAGCAGGAGGTGTACACCCACCCTGGGATATTGTTCCTAATGTCCATGGAGGAGAGAGGCTGATATTACTTCCGATATCGCAGGGGTTGTCCATCCACCCTGTGATACTGTTCTTAATATTCAAAGGCCGAGAGGTTGATATTATTCCCAGCATCGCGGAAAGTGTGCAGCCCCGTGTGAAATTGTTCCTAATATCCAGAAGGGGAGAAGATGATATCACTCCCCATATCGCAGGAGGTGTACAGCCACTCTGTGATTTTTTTGAATACGCAGTGCGGGATAATATTATTCTCAATATCGCAGGGAGTGTACAACCCCCTGTGAGATTGTCCTTAATATTCAAAGACAGAGGAGATGATATTACTCCCAATATCGCAGAAAATGTACACCCCCTAGTGATATTGTTCCCATGATCCAGGAGAGAAAAGGATGATATTATTTTCAATATCACAGAACGTGTACACGCACCCAGTGATATTGTTCCTAATTTCAAGGTGGGAGAGGATGATATGACACCTGATATCGCAGAGAGCAAAAACACACCTGTGATATTGTTCTGAATATCAAGGGTGGGGAGAGGACGATATTACTGCCAATACTGCAGAGGGCGTACACCTGTCTGGAAATAGTTCATAATTTCAAGAGGGGAAGATGAGATTGCTCACAATTTCGTAAACAAGCTGTCGGTCCACCGTGGATCGCAATATCCAAGGGAAGAGAGGGGGGTGATATTACTCCCCATATCGTGGGGAGTGCCCACCCCCCTGCGATGTGGATTGCCATATCCAGGGGGCAAGATGGGGATGATATTACTCCCCATATCGAGGGAATGTCTACCCCACTGCGATGTGGATCGTAATATCCAGGGGAGGAGAGGGGGGTGATATATTACTCCCCATATTCTCTTATGATCTCATGCCTCCCGCCCAGCCCAGAGATGAGACTTTCCTTACCCAATGAGGAAAGGACAGTCTCTTCAACAAATAGTGCTGGAAAAACTGGATATCCACATGTGGAAGAATAAAAATTGACCCTCATCACACAACACACACAAAAATCAACTCAAAGTGGATTAAAGACTTAGATGTATGACCTGAAAATGTAAAAGTATAGAAGAAAATAGAAGGGAAAACCCTATGACGTTGATCTGGGCAGTGATTTTGATTTTTTGGATATGACCCCAAAGGCGCGGGCAACAAAAGCAAAAAGAAAGAAATGGGATTATGTCAAACTCAAAAGCTTCTGCCCAAGCAAGGAAGTAATCAACAGAATGAAGAGGCAACCCATGGAATGGGAGAAAATATTTGGGAACCATATATCTTATCTGATAAGTGGACAAAATCCAAAATCTATAAGGAAATCAAATGACTCAATAACAATAAAACAAATGACCTGATTTACAAATGGGTAAAGGATTTGAGTAGATATTGCTCCAAAGAAGACATGGAAATGGCCGATTGCTAAGAAAGTAGATTTTAAGTGTTCTTTTTACAAAAAAATGATAAGTATTTGAGATAGGGCTTTGTTAAATAGCTGAATTTGGCCAGTCAACAATATATAAATATATCGAAACATGTTGTATACTATAAATATATACAATGTTTACTTGTCATTTAAGATAAACAAATTTTTAAAAATGAAACAAACAAAAAGATTTGACAATTCCAGAATGAATGACTGAGATAAAATGTAGTGATCTGATCATCTTGAAAGGTCATTACAATTGATGGAATTATTTTGGCTGTTGTGGAATATTTTCCACGTGGCCTTGTTTGGAAGCAGGGTTATAAATAAGGTCATCCTTTCCTGATTTTAGGGATGTGAAATCAAACTTAGAATTTTAAAATTTTGTTTTGAGTTGGGCTTCCACTGGTAGAAAAATAAATAAGAACTTAATTCCATTCTTTGGAATTGAAAAAATAGATTTTTAAACAAAATTTGTCTACCTGTGCTGTGGTGGAAAAGTATGGGTGTCTGTGACAGTGTTTCTTTTATCAAGTGAAAAAACTTCAACCCAGACTGGGCTAATTTTTCATTTCATAATATGGCCATATCGGGGAAGCAATCATTTCCAGATCTTCACTGGCATTTTAATTACTAACTTTTACATTTCACATGTTTAATGGAATCTGGAAAAGGAGACACAGATTTTAGTCTTCTTGGCTTGTTTGTGGGTATAGAACAATCTTAACTCAGATATCGTGGAAGTCAGTGGGCTGTGTAGACAGGATCTTCTGGGGAGCTGATTGTTCACGCACTGCACAACTCTCTTTCAATTATTGAAATCAACTTTTTTCCAATGCCTCAAAGCAAGGACGATTCTGAGGGCTTTGAAAGCAATTTTTCATTTTATTTCTTTGCAAACTGACACATCTTGATGTTTACTATATAACAGAAGAGCTGATTTAAAGCAGTATGCTGCTAAACCTAGCTCTCTCCCTACCTCTCCCTGCCTCTGCCACCCTGGATCCTGTGGCCCTCAGTACTGTTCTGTGCCATATGTTAGAATCCCAGAATGACATTCTAAATAGGAGACAGGCAACAGAATACTAAAAATTGAGTGAATTTATGATTCAACTGAGATTCTCTCTCCAGTATTCTTTTCCCCAGTAAAGTGATTGTACTGATTCCTTTGTAAATGTGGTCACTTGGAAAGTTCTAAGGATTGAGCAAATTGCTTTTAAAGAATCTCCATTTTCTACATATGTATGTCACCTACTCAAAATCTTATTTCCCGGTTTAAATTGTTTTCTAACAAATATGGTATACTTCCCTCAGCAATCCCTCAACTGTAAGAAAAATGCATTTTTTTCTTCTAGTGATAAATAGTAAGTTCATTGCATTTCTTAGAATAGAAACATTGATAATTGATAACCTCCACACATGTCCCCAGTCCTCATGTCTGTATTATTAGCTTCATATGGAAGGACTGTGTGTGTGTGTATGTGTGTGTATGTGTCCATAATAAAAGAGGAATCTATTGTGCTAATGAGAGTTTCCAATCAACAAGTTTTGCCTTGTGAATTACAGTTTTAAAGTACTTTCGATTATTAAATTTATTGCTATTTAAAATCCATCTTTAGGAACCTTGCTATTCATACTAGAACTTTAGTTACGGCCTCAAGTTTGAGCCCCTCCCAAAAGATCTCATCTCCTGGAGCCTGCTAAAGTGTATAAAATATGTTCAGAAAAATACATCTTGGCCAGCCATGGAGTGGAATGGAGAGCTGGTGGGATGTATGGCTGAGAGGAGAGGTCCAAGACAGTGCCTTTCCTGGTCACAAGGTCAAGGTCAATATGGCTCACATGGGTGATGCCATTTTCTTCTTGTTCTCATAACATCCAGAAGATGTGCTGGCTGATCAGCAGTTTTGCAGAACTGCTACTTTGCTTCTCAGGGAGTGCTCTAGAATATATTTACATAACTTGAGAAAAATATCTTCAGCATATACTGTATGGCCAGTACTGTGCCTGAGCCCTCTTAGTGTCTAGATGTGAACCGTAGTTAGAGTCTCATGGTTAAAAGTTGTTTTGTATTTCAGTCTCTTCTGCCACTTGGTTTTTCAAATGTTTTCCTTTTTGAGACAATCACAATTACCTGTATATGTAAATTTTATTGTTAAAGATGAGTACTGATCTTTGGACTTGATTTTGGGTCATAGGCTTGCAAAGCTTTACTTAAGACTTCAGTAAGTAAAGGCCCATGACTGATTTGTAGAATCACTGAAATAATAGTAAGACTCTACTTCTCAGAAGATGAAACAGAGTCTTAAAGAAGTTTATTATTAAATTAGACACTTTTTTTCTCTTTTTTTTTTTTTTTTTTTTTTTTTGAGATGGTGTCTCACCCTGTTGCCCAGGCTGGAATACAATGGCACGATCTTCACTCACTGCAATCTCCATCTCCCGGGTTCAAGCAAGTCTCCTGCCTCAGCCTCCCAAGTAGTTGGGTTTACAGGTATGTGCCACCCCCCTGGCTACTTTTCGTATTTTTAGTAGAGATGGGGGTTTTGCCATGTTGGTCAGGCTGGTCTCGAACTCCTGACCTCAGGTGCTCTGCCCACCTTGTCCTCCCAAAGTGCTGGGATTACAGGCATGAGCCATTATGTCCAGCCAACAGCTGTGTTTTTAACTTGAATTTTATTCTCTAATTTCTGATAAGAATTTTTATTTGGGGTGTGTTATGATATTTGAATATCTGATATTTTGTGGGAGATGGAGATTGCAGATGATTTACCAGATTTGCAGAGCAAGTAATAGAGGACAGTTTATTCCTTCTTAGTTTTCACTTGCTCTTCTTCCACATGCGTTAGCCACTGTTAGCTCCACTCCAGATGAGATAGAGCTTCTTTTCTGTCTGAGCATGAATTTGCTAGGAGCCATAAGATAAGTTTTTTTCTTAGGTCACACAGTTATTAAATAAATATTCACTGAGTTTAATTTATGAACAACGAAAGTAAAACCAGACATGATTCCTCCCCAAAAGATGAGCGCATGTGAAACAGTGGGGAACACAACATCTTTCAGGTTGCCAGTGTATGGTGGCACTACAGGATCGAGGTTATGTATTATAGACAATAAGTAAGGAAGACATATCTGAGCTGATTCTAAGATCAGAATCTGGTGATGTGTTAATTGAACACTTGGCAATTGCTTTCTTAGTTTACCCATTCAGATTACTTATCCTATTGAGGAAATGAAGACAGAAAAGATTGGTGGCTTTATTATATGTTACACTGATGCTTTGGGTTAGAGAGCATGGGTTGTATAAAATATTTTAAAATGTGGATGGATAATTTTAGACCAGTTAGGATGGCTACATTAGAGAATCCAAGGCAATGTCTGCCATTATCTTTACAACACACACTGATTTTTTTGTGTACCTTGTCATTATGTAAGCTGCCTACAGGGCTGTGGTAAGTCACGGACAGGGTTAAGGAGAAGGGTACATGTCGAGAAACTAAATCACATTTGGAGAGGAGATGTAACAAAGGTAGGGTTCAGAGGTTTACTGGTAACAATTCCAAATTTGGAATGAAAAAGTTACTCTTTGTTTAGCGTTCAAGTTGGGAGTTTGCCCTGCAAGAGACAGTCAACAACTGACTTCACTCGAATGTGCTTGGAAAGGGAAGAACTTAAACCAGCCATGAACAGGAGAAGAAAGCCAGGTTTTCTGGAAACATCGCCAAAACCCAACAATTTCTCAGAATGTTCAGAGGCGCCAGGGGGGTGTTTGCATTTCAATGGAAAAAGTTCTGAAAGCGCCTTTCCGGCTGTGACGACATAACCCACACGAGAACATGCCTCTCGCAAAGGATCTCCTTCATCCCTCTCCAGAACAGGAGAAGAGGAAACACAAGAAGAAACGCCTGGTGCAGAGCCCCAATTCCTACTTCATGGATGTGAAATGCCCAGGATGCTATATAATCACCACAGTCTTTAGCCACGCACAAACGGTAGTTTTGTGTGTTGGCTGCTCCACTGTCCTCTGCCAGCCTACAGGAGGAAAAGCGAGGCTTACAGAAGGTTATTCCTTCACGAGGAAGCAGCACTAAAAGCACTCTGAATCAAGATGAGTGGGAAACCATCTCAATAAACACATTTTGGATAAAAAAAAAAAATTCTGAAAGCTCTGGAAACTATTCTGTTTTACTTTCTCATTGAAAGGCAAAAAGCATGGCTGTAAATAAGAGACAGAAGCACTTGCTATGGCTTTGTTAAGAGTGAAGAAAAGGGACCTCTGGAAAATTTGAATTGTCCAATCCTTTGCCACAGAGCCAAGACAAAGTGGTCCAAGTCATAATGGCAAATAGAAAATAAAAGTACTTCCTCTCTGAGAGAAGAAATAGAAGTAGCAGTTTTTATGGGGGCCCTGGGGTGGGTGTGGGCATTCACTATCTTCAATTTCAGACCTCTTGAGTTTAAGGTGCCTTTGAGAGCTGGAGGTAGATAGCAGGACTGAAAAGCTGGGTATAGATTCAGGAGTTGTTGGCTGGTCCCTGCAGCTGGATTCATGGGCCTTGATGGCACTGCCCAGGGAGTAATTTATAATATTACTCTTAATAACGTATCTTTTGTGATTTACCTTGAATCTAGAGAGAAGTGCAGTTATATTTCTTCACACCATCAAGGAGACCTAATTGTCTCCAGTCACTGATAAGATAAATGATGGGAGAGGGTGGGGTGCTCAAAAGTCAGTCTTTTCTGGGGACACAGGTCAGTGTGTCTCTCCTGGGTCCCTCTGTGCCACAGCTACTCCTCTTAAATCTTGATTCAAGGGCTTCAGAAGCTAATGGCATAGTTATGAGAGGGGTGAAGACTGTGACTGCATTTCCAACAGACCCTGAGGACAACTGGGAAGAATGAGTACGGAGTCCTACTATCCAGTGCCATCTGCCCCATCTCACTCTCCATCCTTCCCTTTGCCCTTCCACCTTCAGTTGTTCATTCAACACGTGTTTTCTGAGCACGATCTGCGCTCCAGGCACTGGGCTGTGTGTTGGTGGTATAGCTAGCAAGACAGATTTGGTCCCTGATCTTATGGGGCATCCTTGGGGACAGGGTGGGGTAGGGAGATACAAATAAGAAAACCAAGAATTATAATTATACTTATGGGAGGTAATGAGATGGAGAAAAAACTTGGTGCATGAAAGTGCAAGAAAAAATTTGGCTCAGGAAAGTATGAAAGAGGAATCCTGGCTCGCAGGTGAGGGAGGGTATCTGGGAGAAACTGAACCAGGCAGAATCATTTCTGTTTCCTGTCTCCGTGACTTATTTCCTCTCTCTTGAATATTCTTCTCCATTTTGTTTGTCTAGTTAACAGACCAGGGCATGGAGCAAGCTGGTTTAATCACTGCATCAAACAGAAGAGTAGATACAGATAAGCTCATTTTACAGATTAAGAACCTGAGCTCAGAGAATTTAAATAATGTGCCAAGTTAACACAGCTATTGGTGGAGCTGGTGTCTCAAATCTCTGTCTTAGTCATGTCTGGCTTTTTTCAGCTGCGTCATATATCAAGCAATCTATTTCTGGTTTAATGTCCGTTAAATGAACTGATGTCAGGAAAGCACCAGGCATATGCCTGTTACAAGAGAGTATGGTGGTTAAGAACATGGACTTTTGAGTCAGATAGAACTGGTTATGTGTCCTCTTCTGTCGTTTTCTCTCTGGGTGACCTTGGTTATCTGATTTTGGTTTTCTGAGCTTCAGTTTCCTTATCTGGAAAATGAAGATAGTAACAGCATCTACCTTGTTGGATGATAGGAAATGCCTGTAGAGATTCCTTAATGTAAATATGTTCTCCATAAATATGAGATATTTTTATTGATTTAGGCACTGAATATTTTTGAGCAATTTCTATATGATAAGCAGTTTTTAGGTAAGTATTTCTTATTCTGCTTTTTTCATCTCTTTCTCCTCTTCCTTCTCTCTCACAACAACATGTAGCAAAGTTAAATGTTCAATGGCAATAAAAACGAGTGAGAAAAAAGAGAAGGATAAGACAATTGAGAGATAGAAATGGGAAAGAGAAAAGAGAAACTTAAGTGGAGGCAAAGGCAAAGAAAGAAAACAGAAGCAAAGAAATCACAATTATGGGTAACAGGAAGGAACAGTGAACACTTGAGGAGAGTGGGTAAAGAGAGAAACTACTGAATTACAGTCTCTCCAAGCTATGAGCTTTCCAATATTTCAACTGCTTCGACACAAAACAGCTGTTTCTGTTGTGAGGCTATTCAAGTTGATCCAACAAGCTAATTTCTATGGTCCTCTTGGATGCAAGGATTGAAACTGTGATTTTATTTGCCAGTTCTTTCAATTTTTGGATTTAATTCCTATTTTTTTCTGCTTGAAGCCAAACAAGCTTAAAATATGAGGACTGAGGACGTAACACAATGTGAATGTCAAGGAGAAGTTTCTATTGGAAATAGTGCTCTGGTTTGACAAGACCATCGGAAGCTGAAAACTGACATAACCTTAATGTATATAAGTAGATAAGGCTGTTCCCCAAGGGGTTCAATATGCTTTTATAGATTTATCATTCTATCTTCCTTCCAAGTTTTGCAGGAAAAATGAGACGATTCTTTTGTTTGCAAATTTACAGATAAATAAATCGAGATAGACTTGTGTAATAACTTGCCTGAGGTGACTCTGTAAAATGAATGGAGAAGTCAGGCATGTAGTCCAGTTCTCTAATTCTAACCCGGTAAACATTAGTTAGCAGGGTGTCTTGTTTTTTAAAGAAACTCAAAACCTTAAGGAGGAACTGCAACTTTATAAATGAAACACATTCAAAATGTTTGGCCCTCACTATTTTATTTCTTAGGTTTGTGTCTGTACATATTAAATGGGGATGGCAATAGCAAAAACCAATCAATTACATTTGGCAGGAAAGAAGTAGAATAAGTTGGTGTTTTCACTATTAGGATTTATAAATTTCATTGGATTTCAGATATCTAATAGATTTGGGATATGGCTGTTTAATATTTCCGTGTATTTAGTTGTCTGAAATTAGTATTGGTCAGCCAGCCTCCCCTCCCCTTGCATTTCAGGTTAATGCCAACAATAATGTGTGTGTCCAAGAGGGTTATAGGGGAGCAATGGAGGGGTGCACCCTGACTCTGACACCTTGTTCTGAAGTATACAGTTGCTAGACAGAGTTCTTCCTCTTGTTCTCTGGAATGTGGTGAAGAGGAAGGAACCAGCTGTCTTGGGTTGCAATTTCAAAATGTCAAGTTTTCTTTTTATGTGTATGTGTGTGTGTGTGCATGTGTGTGTGTATGTGTATGTGTGTGTGTATATGTGCGTGTGCGTGTGCATGTGTGTGTGTTATGGCCAGGGATTGGCAAGAAAAAGATTTTCACAGGTGAAGGCATGGCCTGCCCCTCCACACCTGTGGGCGTTTCTCGTCGAGTGGGACAAGAGACTGAGAAAAGAAAGACACAGAGACAAAGTATAGAGAAAGAAAAGTGGGCCCAGGGGACCAGCACTCAGCATATGGAGGACCCGCCCCGCTCAGCATATGGAGGACCCGTGCCGTGCCGGCACCGGTCTCTGAGTTCCCTCAGTATTTTTGGATCATTATCTCTACCATCTCGGAGAGGGGAATGTGGCAGGACAATAGGGTAATAGTGGGGAGAGGGTCAGCAGGAAAACATGTGAAAAATGTTTCTGTATCATAAACAAGTTAAAGAAAAAGGTGTTGTGCTTTGATGTGCACATACATAAACATCTCATTGTATTAAAGAGCAGTATTGCCACCAGCATATCTCACCTCCAGCCCTAAGGTGGTTTTCTCCTATCTCAGTAGATGGAATATACAATTGAGTTTTACACCCAGATATTCCATTGCCCAGGGACGAGCAGGAGACAGATGCCTTCCTCTTATCTCAACTGTAAAGAGGCCTTCCTCTTTTACTAATCCTCCTCAGCACAGACCTTTTATGGGTGTCGGGCTAACGGAAGGTCAGGTCTTTCCCTTCCCACGAGGCCATATTTCAGACTATCACATGGGGGGAAACCTTGGACAATACCTGGCTTTCCTAGGCAGAGTTCCCTGAGGCCTTCCTCAGTGTTTTGTGTCCCTGGGTACTTGAGATGAGGGAGAGGTGATGACTTTTAACAAGCAAGCAAAGCACATCCTGCATAGCCCTAAATCCATTAAACCTTGAGTCTACACAGCACATGTTTCTGTGAGCACAGGGTTGGGGGTAGGGTTACAGATTAACAGCATCTCAAGGCAGAAGAATTTTTCTTAGTATGGAACAAAATGGAGTCTCTTGTGTCTACTTCTTTCTACATAGACGCAGTAACAGTCTGATCTCTTTTTCTTTTCCCCACACACAGGCAAGGGGGATGAGTCCATAAGATGACACTGGAATAGGGGATTGGCTTGGGTGCACCAGGGGGCCAGAGACATGGGTCATCCCTGGAGACGGGAGTTGGGACGCTCCCCTGGGATGGAGACTGGAAGTGCAAGAGAGAAGAAAGTTGTTGTGAGGTCAGGAGCATGGTGGCTGGAGAGATCTTCAAAGTATGAAGAGCATCAGCTTCTGGGTCAGATCGCCCAGGTCTTCCACCTATTAGTTGGGTGATTTTAGGACAATGTCATCATTGGTGGCTCCCTAGAATCAGACCTTAAGTCAAGGAGTTGAGAGCAAGTTATTAACTTAGTGTTGATTCCAGGAAACACTGGCAGGAAAGTAGGGAACTGAGAAAGGAAAGGCACAGAATATAGGGTGGATTATCGAGCAAGTTAGCACAGTGGGAATAGGAGCTGAATTCTACTGAGGAGCCCTCAGAGCAAATGGAGAACGTATCTTCCCAGAGTTATTCCAACACAATCCTATGGAGGGAAGAGACAGACCCTCTCATATTGTTTTATATTGTTTTATACTCAGTACCTGTTTTAAGAAAAAGCAACAAGGAAGTAAAACCAAAGACAGGCAGCCCGGCGCCAGGCCCGAAACCGGGCCTGGGCCTGCCTGGCCTAAACCCAGTAGTTAAAAATCAACTCGTAACTTAGAAACCAATGTTATTCATAGATTCCAGACACTGTATAGAAGAACATTGTGAAACTCCCTGCCCTGTTGTGTTTCTCTCTGACAACCGGTGCATACAGCCCGTCACGTACCACCTGCTTGCTCAAATCAATCACGACCCTTTCATGTGAAATCTTTAGTGTTGTGAGCCCTTAAAAGGGACAGAAATTGTGCATTCGGGGAGCTTGGATTTTAAGGCAATAGCTTGCCGATGCTCCCAGCTGAATAAAGCCCTTCCTTCTACTACTCGGTGTCTGAGAGGTTTTGTCGGTGGCTCGTCCTGCTACATCTCCTGGTTCCCTGACCAGGAAGTGAGTTGACTGAGGGAGGGCCGAGGCAGCCCCTTAGGCTACTTAAGCCTGCCCTGTGGGGCATCCCTGCGGGGGACTCTGACCAGCCTGAGTGACGCCTTCCAAAGAGCGCTCCCGGGTGGGAAATTGTCCTGGTGGAACGCCTCACCAGAGCAACAGGTAGCAGGCCCCCGCGGAGGATTAACACAGTGGCTGAACACCGGGAAGGAACTGGCACTTGGAGTCCGGACATCTGAAACTTGGTAAGACTAGTCTTCTGAACTTGCCCCACTCCACCTGAGTGGAAGCGTGGCCTGATCACCCACGGTGTGCCTGTATTGGCACCTTTGTTCTGGTTTTGACTTGCCTTGACTTGGTAAGACTAGTCTTTTGAACTTGCCCCACTCCATCTGAGTGGAAGCATGGCCTGATCACCCATGGTGTGCCTGTACTGGCACTTTTGTTCTGGTTTTGACTTGAACTGAATTGCTGGATACTTTGGTTTTGGTTTTTGACCTGGCTTGGATTTCTGGATACTGTGATTTTGGTTTTGATTTTGGTTTGGCGTAAACAGCAAAAGTGTGTGTGTGTGCCCTTTTACCTGTTCTTTGTTTTGTGGTGTGTGTGTGTGGTGTGAGCGTGGTGTTTTGTCTCGAAAAAACATGGGTCAGGCGCAAAGTAAGCCCACCCCACTGGAAACTATGTTAAAAACATTTCAAGAAAGGATTTAATGGAGACTATGGAGTCACTATGACTCTAGAGAAACTTAGAGCTTTGTGTGAAATACACTGGCCAGCATTAGAGGTGGGTTAGCCATCAGAAGGAAGCCTGGACAGGTCCCTTGTTTCAAAGGTATGGCACAAGGTAACCTGTAAGCCAAGGCACCCAGACCTGTTTCCGTACATAGACAGTTACAGCTGGTTTTAGACCCCCTTCCCCCCTCCACAGTAGTTAAGAGAACAGCAGCATAAGCGGCTGGCAGAGGCAAGGAAAGACCAGCAGAGAGTAAAAGAGGCCACCTATACCAATTCTAAGTTAATTTAGACGAAACAAGGTCTTATTAATAGCAAAGAACAATTGAAAACCCAAACTTACAAGGTTTTCAACAAAAGTGAAGTTTGCTAAAGTTAACAGTGTAACATGTATTATGGTAACTTCTAATCTTGTGGCCTTAGACAGTCTAGTTCAAAGACATAAAGTTCGCTTTAAAAAAAAGAAATGGTTATCTTCAAAAAAACCAAAATTATAAGAAGACATAAAAATGTAAATTTTTACCTACATTAAGAGGTTAAAAAAATTATTGTTTTAAAAGTTTAAGCAAGTTTTAAAACGTTAATTGTAAAGAAAATTCTGTGTGTAAACATATTAGCTAAAGTTAAAAAGGTATCATCCAGTTTTTCTGTGAACTGGACATTAAAAATGCAACAGGTTTTTCTTAAAGCATCAATCTGCTCTTTAACAAAAAATATAAAAGGTTAAAAAGAGTCTATAAAATCTTACATTATGGTCAAACATGAAAAATTGAATAAATATATCTACAAGATTTTATTAAAATTAAGTTTAACATTAATAACACACTAATATAAAGGTAAAATTTAACTTATCTGGTATAAAAATCATACAAGAAGCGTTATTAGATATAAAATGATGTTTAGCTTCCTTTGGTCTAAAAACTAATAAAAATAGGTGCTAAAAAGACGTTCATTTTACTAGAGGATCCTAGAAGTTAAAGACTTAAAACAAACTTTGACAATTAAGACAGCATACCAAGATGCAAATGCCTGGTTGAAATGGATCAGATGTTCCATCTGCACGTTAAACAAAAGCAATTGTTATGCTTGTGCACATGGCAGTCCAGAGGCCCTGATTGTCCCCCTTCCACTAAGGTGGTCCTCCAGTCGACCAGGCGTGGGTTGCGTGGTAGCTCTTTTCCAGGATTCTACAGCCTGGAGTAATAAGTCATGCCAAGCTCTCTCTGCTATATCCCGAAGTCCCTGCGGGTCAGCCACTGAGGGCCATCCAGCTTCCGTCTCCCAACACTAAGTTCACTTAGTGTCTCTCATGGCAGGGAGGAGACTTAGCATTCCTTGGAGACCTGAAGGGATGCAGTGAGCTTAAGAATTTTCAAGAGCTTATCAACCAGTCAGCCCTTGTTCATCCCTGAGCGGATGTGTGGTGGTATTGCGGTGGACCTTTACTGGGCAATCTGCTGAATAACTAGGGTTGCACTTGTGCTTTAGTCCATTTGGCTATCCCTTTCACCCTGGCATTTCATCAACCAGAGGAAGGAAAAAAAAAAAATAATAAGACATCGTAAAGCGAGAGAAGCCTCTTATAGGTCTTTCAACTCTCACATCTATTTAGATGCAATTGGAGCCCCGCAAGGAATACCAGATCAATTTAAAGCTTGAAATCAAATAGTTACAAGATTTAAGTCAATATTTTGGTAGATGACAGTCAATAAAAATGTAGATTAGATAAACTACATCTATTACAACCAACAGCAACAAGCTTTTCATGAGTTTAAAAAAAAACTCAGGTTGGTCCCAGCCCTGAGGCTACCTGACCTGACAAAACTCTTCATCACACTCTATGTGTCAGAAAGAAAAAAAATGGCAGTTGGAGTTTTAACCCGGAATGTGGGGGCCCTGGCCAAGGCCAGTGGCCTATCTCTCAAAACAACTAGACAGGGTTTCCATAGGCTGGCCCCCATGTCCAAGGGCCCTGGCAGCAACGGCCCTGTTAGCACATGAAGCAAACAAGCTAACTCTTAGGCAAAACCTAAACAGAAAGTCTCCCCATGCTGTGGTGATTTTAATAAATACCAAAGGACATCATTAGCTAATAAATGCTAGATTAACTAGATACCAAAGCTTGCTCTGTGAAAATCCCCGCATAACCCTTAAAGTCTGCAAAACCCTAACCCTGCCACCTTACTCCTGGCATCAGAGAGCCCAGTTAAACATAACTGTGTAAAAGTATTGGACTCAGTTTATTCTAGTAGGCCCAACCTCCGAGACCACCCTTAAACATCAGTAGACTGGGAGCTGTACGTGGATGGGAGCAGCTTCGTCAAGCCCTGCAAAGTGACTCTGAAGAAGATGACAAGCCCTGCTCCAGTCACACCCGGAAGCTGACTGCTCCACACACGGCCGAAACATGAGGAAACTCATCGCGGGACTCATTTTCCTTAAAATTTGGACTTGTACAATAAGGACTTCAACTGACCTTCCTCAGACTGAGAACTGTTTCCAGTATATACATGAAGTCACTGAGGTAGGACAAAAGATTGCTACGGTCCTATTATTTTATGGTTATTGTAAGTGTACCAGGACTCTGAAAGAAACTTGTCTGTAAAATGCTATTCTATCCAAGGTATGTAGCCCAGGAAATAACCAACTTGATGCGTGTTATGACCCATTTTAAGCATCCCATGATCACAGTTTTTAAAATAAAATTAAGGACTGGTCCTTTTCTAGGTGACACAAGTAAGGTAATGGCTAAAACAGAAGAAAGAGGGGTCCCCAAAAATGTAACCTTAAAATTTGATGGTTGTGCTGCTATTGATAGTAAGCAGCATGGGATAGGATGCGGTTCTCTAGATTGGAAAAAAAAGTTACACAGCAGAAAATAAGTACATCTGTCAAAAATCATATTTATGTGAGATGTGTCAATATTGGTCTTGTGTCATTTGGGCTACTTAAAAAAAAATAAAATAAAATCCTGTTTGACTCCAAAAAGGAAAAGTCAGCCCCTCCTGCATGAGTGGGAGTTGCAGCCTTTTAAAACTGATAATCACAAACCCCTCAGACCCAAAGTAAAATTAAAAACACATGTAACATTAGGCATTGATGGAAAAGGACTAGATCCTAGTGTAAGCATCCTAATAGAAGGAGAGGTTCAAAAACGCTCTCCAGAACCAGTATATCAGACTTTCTATGATAAACTAAATGTGCCAGTACCTGAGATTCCAAGAAAAACTAAAAATTTGTTTTTGCAATTAGCCGAACACGTAGCCCAGTCTCTACAAGTCACCTCATGTTATGTTTGTAGAGGGACCGTAACAGGAGATCAATGGCCATAGGAAGCCCGAGAATAGGTTCCTACAGACCCAGTTCCTGATGAATTCCCAGCCCAAAAGATCACTCTGATCATCTCTAGATTCTAAAAGTCTCAATTATTAGACAGTATTACATAGCTAAAAAAGAAAAAGGATTCATTCATCCTGTAGGGCAGCTTAGTTGTCTTGGGCAAAAGCTGCATAACAGTACCACAAAAACAGTTACATTGTGGAGTTCCAATTACACAGAAATAAATCCATTCAGGAAATTTCCAAAGTTGCAGACTGTTTAGGCCCATCCAGAATTCCACCGGGACTGGATGGCCCCCACCGGGTTATA
Source organism: Homo sapiens (assembly GCF_000001405.40). Lineage (NCBI taxonomy): Eukaryota > Metazoa > Chordata > Mammalia > Primates > Hominidae > Homo > Homo sapiens. The sequence goes on from NC_000004.12 coordinate 22,604,127, forward strand.
CTGGATATGTGGACACAAAGCTTATGCTAAGCTGCCTGATCAGTGGACAGGTAGCTGTGTAACTGGCACCATTAAGCCATCTTTCTTCTTACTGTCCATAAAGACAGGTGAACTTCGGGGCTTCCCAGTCTATGCTTCCCGGAAAAAAAAAAAAAAAAAGAGAAAACGAAGCATAGCCATAGGTAATTTAAAAAATGATAAATGGCCTCCTAAAAAAAAAATCATACAATACTATGGACCCGCCACTTGGATACAAGATGGCTCATGGGGATATCGGACCCCCATCTACATGCTCAAGCAAATCATACGGTTACAAGCTGTTTTAGAAATTATTACTAATAAAACTGGTTAAGCCTTGACTGTTCTTGCCCGGCAAGAGACTCAGATGAAAAATGCTATCTATCAAAATAGACTAGCTCTTGACTACTTGCTAGCAGCTGAAGGAAAAGTTTGTGAACAATTTAACCTTACTAATTACTGTCTACACATAGATAATCAAAGGCAAGTAGTTAAAAATATAGTTAAAAATATAACAAAACTGGCACATGTAACCATGCAAGTGTGACACGGACTCAATCCAGGAGCCATGTTTAAAAATTGGTTCCCAGCAATAAGAGGATTTAAAACTCTTATAATAAAAGTAATAATAGTAATAAGAACCTGCTTACTGCTCCCTTGTTTACTATCTGTACTTCTTCAAATGATAAAAAGCTTCATCATTACCTTAGTTCACCAAAATGCATCAACACAAGTGTACTATATAAATCACTATCAATCTATTACACAAAGAGACATAAGCAGCAAAAATAAGAGTGAGAACTCCCACTAATAAAAAGTGAGAGTCTCAAAAGGGGGGAATGAGGGAAGAGAGAGACCCTCTCATATTGTTTTATATTGTTTTATACTCAGTACCTGTTTTAAGAAAAAACAACAAGGAAGCAAAACCAAAGACAGGCAGCCCGGCACCAGGCCCGAAACCGGGCCTGGGTCTGCCTGGCCTAAACCCGGTAGTTAAAAATCAACTCATAACTTAGAAACCGATGTTATTCATAGATTCCAGACATCGTATAGAAGAACATTGTGGAACTCCCTGCTCTGTTCTGTTTCTCTCTGACCACCGGTGCATGCAGCCCCTGTCACGTACCACCTGGTTGCTCAAATCAATCATGACCCTTTCATGTGAAATCTTTAGTGTTGTGAGCCCTTAAGAGGGACAGAAATTGTGCATTCGGGGAGCTCGGATTTTAAGGCAATGGCTTGCCGATGCTCCCAGCTGAATAAAGCCCTTCCTTCTACTACTCGGTGTCTGAGAGGTTTTGTCTGCGGCTCGTCCTGCTACACTATCAGCTGTGGTTGAAGGTTTCTGCAGGGAGAGTTGTGGCAATTCCAGTCTGCTCTACAGGCGGGCAGGGTGGACTCACTCAGGTAGAGTCACAGGTGTGGGTAGTTGGTTGGAAGTCTGGCTAGAGTGCAAGACAATGTTAAGAGATGAATAAATATGGGAAGGCACAGCTAGCACTCTTACAGACAGTCCATTAACATTCCTGAGTCTGTTTTCTCATTTTTAAAGTGGAAATTCCAAGAACTATTTTGGAAATGTTGAAATGTAAGTGAAGGCACTGGCTGGGATCCAGGACCCCAAACACTCTGTCTTACCATAGTAAGAGATCCCAGTTGTGTCTTCCTATACTCACTCTTCCTTTGGAAGTGTCCATGGTGTATGTTTGTGTCTATGCACACAAACAAGGCTGAGAAAAGGAACACACTACAACTAGATGGAACCCTAATCCTGTTCAGCTAAGACTACACAGATTTGTGGGAATTCTGTTGCTCAGAGAAGGCAATCCTAACTTTGGGCAGGAGGCCTCTTTGGACCCTTTAACCCGGAGCCATGCTAAAATATCAGCCCTCTGATTCGCAAACTCTGATACTGGGAAAAGATAAGTCTTTTTGAGTATTAACTAGATACATGCAGTTATAAAGTACCTAGTACAGTACCTGACATATAGTGTCTGCCATATAGTAGGTTTCTCCAAAATGTGAATGCATCCTGTCTCTATGCCTTTCTTCTCTGATTTTCCTTAAGTACTGGGCACATCATTTATAATGCTGCTTTCCCAACTTCAGATTAAGATGACCATGGGAACAGGCCCTGTGCACATAAGCAGTGACGGAGGTGGATGCTAATTCAATTAATAGTATCCATAGGCCAGTGGGCAACCAATGAGGGGACCTGGAGCAAGAGACACTGTCCAAGTGGGTAGAGAGTAACTAGCTAAAACAATGTGTCCATCTCCCTTTTGGGCTGTAGACTGGAAAATATGGAGAGTGGTCAGTTATTAAGGGGTAGGAGGAGAGAGAGAGCGAGATGAAGAGAGAAGAGGAGGCACAAAAGTAGCAGAATAGGAGTCTGAGAGGGCATCTGAGTGAAGATAAGGTGAAGCTGGGGGCTGTGATGTAAGTGACAGTCCTTTTCCAGGAAGCAGCATATAGCTGCCCCCAACCCTGCCCAACATGCCAATGCCTGCTAGTCCAAAGCCACTTGAGTCCTGGGAGCAGCATTGCCATGTGCAAGAGCAGTAGGGGCACTGGCAGGAATGCATTCTATTCGTCTCACTGGATTAAACATTTACTGGTCCCAGATCAGATTGGCTTGTGTCAGCACCTTTGAGTGACACACAGGCCCCTCTGGCTTATGTCACTTGCATATTTGACAACTCAGCTATACTCAAGGCAGCTCCCCAAAGCCTGGTCTAACCCTCACCGGAGAGCAGGCAGCTCACACTCTGGCACTACCATGTGTTACCTGGGCCCTGAGTTAGGAAGAGAGATTGCCTGTGGTATCAGATCATGCCATGGGGATTCTGAGTCCATACCGAATGGGGTTGCTTTTCAGGATTTCATTCTGAGAAAGAATGCAAATGAAGAATATAGAATTACACTAGCAGCAAAGTAGAAGGACAGAAGGGAAGACAGGAGTCAAGTGGGTTGTCATATGATGAGGTCAGAGTGAATAGAGCCCTAACGAAACTAAGCGAGCATCAAATGGATATTTGCAAGGTCTATGTATGCATGCATTCAGATACATTTTATCAACTTTATTTTTAGAATATTATTTCATTAACTCTAAGTTTTGAAGGTTTTTGGGGTTTCCAAAATGGGTTACTTCTCCTAAAAACAGTTCTACTTGATTCAAGATGCCAATTAAATGGGTACTGGAGGCAGCCATGGCCACGGACTCTCCTTTTGTTCTCTTTCTTTGTGAGCGCAGGTATAAGCTGCACTGATCCTGACCTTTTGGCCTGAGGATGGAAGTCTTCAGTATCCGTACAACTTTACACCCAAGAGCTGGTGTAGAATGAGTTCCTCTGGCCATGGCAGGATCACAGAGGGGTGCCTGCCACCTGCAGCCCAGCCTCAGTAAGTGCAACTGTGCAGTTGGCAGAGGGGAGGGAGCTAGGGGCACACCAACGGTTTCTGTTACTTCCTGTAGGCATAGCCCAAGTCTCAGGAAGTGGAATATACACAGGGTAGGGTGGGGTGGGGGAGGGGAGGGGAGCTGTTTCTTCCCCCACCCATTACCTACTAGTCCAAAGCCACTTGAGCCATGGGAACAGCAATGCTAACCACAATAGCTGCAGGGACCTGGAAGGGGACTGGTGATGACATCCAACAGCAATGCTCTTTTACATTGAGATGTTGATGGACAGGAGTCCACCTAGACTTCTCTAGAGACACACATGTCAAAAAGCAGGCAAGTATAACTCTCTAAACATTCCTTGGATGCTGTATTATCACCCCCTTCCCTCACTACAATTCTGTAATCTCCACCTTGGGAGGAACAAACACGTCTTATTGCACCTTGCCCAGAAATAATATCACAGCTTATTAATTCCATCTACTCCCCACACAAGGGATAACGACTGTCCACAGAAGGGGTAAGGAAGTCTCAAGTGCCACACAGGGAATTTTCCTAGGGCCTTCCATCATTTTAGGCCACTAGTAACTCACCTATAGCCAGTACTGTAGCAAGTTGAGAGTGTATGGATTTGGGTACCATTCATCTGTAAAAACCAAAGAAAAGACTTGCACTTCTGGATTAATTCACAGACCTGTGGGAAGACCCTCTTGTCTCACCTGTGACTCATGACCATATTTTGAGATTCCCAAGTCCCTGGAGCCTGCTTCCTCCTGAGCAAAGAGGGTTGTCTTTATTTCAATTGGCAAGGAAAGTCCATTTGTTTGTCTCCAGTCCCGCCAGGGGCTCCACTCTCCCTCAGTTACGGGAGACCTCCTGAAGCAAGGCTGGAGGGAGAGGCTGTGTGGTAAGAGTGAGTTTTGAATGAGTATGGACTGAGGGCTTTACATGCACCAGGTGCTGCACAAAATAATTGAATTTAATCCTCACTCCGGCTCTGACAGGTGGTTGAGATCATATCTTTATTAAACTTAGCATTTTACAATGGGCAATTAATTGCTGGAGATGGGATTAAAATCCAGTCTTGTCCAACTCCAAAATAGTATGTCTCTCACTACCTAACCCATGCTTGCCTCTCAGTGACATCACATCTGTAACTATAGGAGTGTTTCCTTGCTATCAGATCCAAGTGAATACAATCCTTTGTACCGAGTTACCTTGAGGTAGCCAAATGTGCCAGAGTCAACTCTAGTTAGAATGAATGAGGACATCACCCCACCTTTGGTTGCTTCAGTTCTCCAATTTAAAATAATATATGTTGGGTACCAAGAACTGATGCTCTACTGAACAATCCCAAATACTTGGAATGACCAAAGTACTAGGCTCTTGCTCCTGGAAAACAATGATGTAAGCCAGCACTGCCTGGACTTTGGGTCTCTCCTCAGGTAGCATAAACCACACAGAGATTGTGATCATCTGCTCAGGTTTTATGCCAGCCTTGCAACAAATCTCCTTATCTTCATGGGATCTTTATCTTCACTTCTGCCTCCACACTACTGTTAGAAACACATATACCAAGACTTGGTGGTTATGTAGTAATAATATCTTCACTCCATCGATGTTGGTTTTTTTCAAGAAAATTTATTTTAAATCTTGGCATTTCCACAGCTGCAAATCTGGGAGAACGAGCCAGCCCTTGCGGAGCTGTGTGTGTTAGCTGGATCAGGGGTGAAAGGGGGCAAGCTCAGGGTATCTTTCAACCGCTGATAAACTCCCAGGGACCAAGGAACCTGGTCCCCACGGCTTTTTATCACTGAGATGCTAGCTCTATAATGCCATCTCCATGGTGATTTCTATGTTGAAGAAGAACATTTGTTTCCTGCCACCAGTGAGAGACCACCTGAGTGTTCGGTTGCAGTATCTTCAACTCTCCAGGTGCATCAGTAGCATTGTCTTCTCTGGGCTTCTCTCATAGAACTCATTTTTAGCAAAGTCAAGTTTCCATATTCTAGGTAGTAACTTATCAGATGGATGATCAAAAAGATGGAAGCAAAACATTTTCATGTACTGCATTTCAGTTATTTTCTCTGGGGTTTTATCACCCTGCGGGTGGTTGTCTCCAAAATAACAGGTGTCATTCTGCTCCATTAATCAGGTTCCCCTACCTTTATCCGGGCACTTTTCTCTTCAGCGTCTTCTTCAAGGTATTTCCAGTTGCCCACCCTGGACTGTTTCAGAATGAGGAGGACACCTGGAGGAATCTACAGGTGCATAGACCAATTTGCAAAAGAACCTGTGAGCCAACGTAGGTTGTGAGATGCATATCCCACATCCAGTTCAGCCCAGTAACTTGGGAAATGGGGGAGAGGTAGCTCTGAAGACCAGACAGTACATCTTTACCCCCATCCATGCTTGCAACTGTAAGTTGATCTTAAATCAGTACTTTTAACCAAGTCAACCTCAATCACTGGAATAGGATACCCAGCTGAAAAACTTGGGGTCACTGAATCAATCTCTTATCTGTAAGAGATAATGACGCCTACCCAATGGGGTTCTGAAAAATATGTAATGCCTGACATGTAGTGTATACTCACTGAATGTGGCTTTTAACCACAACCTTTATATTTTTGCCAAGAGTATCACCTTTCTGCAGCAACCCTGAGAACCTCACGCTAACCTTGTCTTAGATTGCTCATTCCTTTCCTATATTTAGACACCAAACTCCATTCATTTTCCCCTTGAAATGTTCATTCCCATGATCAAGATTTTGCTTAAACACATTTTATTTTCATGTCCAGATTATTATCTCAGCTGGAAGAATTAATAAGCAACACAGTCACCCAAGAAGTATTTACTGAGCACCTACTGAGCTAGGGGGCAAACGGCTCTGACAAGTCTCTGTTCTCAAGGCACTTACATTCATATGGGTGAAGATAGATAACAAACAAGGAAAAAATTGGACAGACAAAAAATTTAGGTGGTGCCAAGTATGATGCAAACACCAAAACAGTGATGCAATAGAAGACATCAGAGAGAGTGGGAAGGTTACATTAAATAGATGTCCAAGGACGATGTCTCTGAGGAGAAGCTACTAGGGCTGAGATCTTAATGACAACAAGGAACCCAAGGGCTGGAAGCAGAGCATTTCGAACGTGGCCAGTGGGTGCAAAGGCCCTCACACGTGAATGGGCCTGGCCAGGTGGAAGGACAGAGGGCAAGGGTGTTGTGGTTGCCCTGTGAGTGCGAATGGCCCAAGATGGGATGAAAGAGGAGGTCAGGACCACACCGTATAGGAATATCAGATCATGGTCAGGGCTTTGGATTTTTCAGGGGTGCAGTATAAGCCATGGGGAGTTTTAGACAGGTACAGAAGTAATCTACATTTTCTTTCTTTTTTTTTTTTTTTGAAACGGAGTCTCACTCTGTCGCCCAGGCTGGAGTGCAGTGGCACGATCTTGGCTCACTGCCAGCTCCGCCTCCTGGGTTCACGCCATTCTCCTGCCTCAGCCTCCCCAGTAGCTGGGACTACAGGCGCCCAACACCACGCCCGGCTAATTTTTTGTGTTTTTAGTAGAGACGGGGTTTCGCCGTGTTAGCCAGGACGGTCTCGATCTCCTGACCTCGTGATCCGCCTGCCTCGGCATCCCAAAGTGCTGGGAGTAATTTACATTTTCTTTTTTCTTTTTTTTGAGATGGAGTCTTGCTCTGTGGCCCAGGCTGGAGTGTGGTGGCGTGATATCAGCTCACTGCAAGCTCCGCCTCCCAGGTTCACGCCATTCTCCTGCCTCGGCCTCCTGAGTAGCTCGGACTACAGGCGCCAGCCACCGCGCCCAGCTAATTTTTTGTATTTTTAGTAGAGATGGAGTTTTGTCCTGCTGGCCAGGCTGGTCTTGAACTCCTGCCCTCAAGTGATCCACCCGCCTCAGCTTCCCAAAGTGCTGGGATTACAGGTGTGAGCCACTTCGCTCAGCATTATAGTCCCTTTCTATATAATCCTTTTTAAACTTATCTCAATCTGAATGTGGCCTCTGTTTCCTTTGGGACATTTACTGATAGTTGGTGCCTTTCGCCTGGGGACAGGTGCAACTGCTGGGAGCTGGTAGAGTAAGGCCTGTGGCATCACCATTGCCTGGGGTAGTTTGCTTATCACCTGGGTATTGAGATCCAAGGCTGCTGCAGGAGGTATCTCGGCAGGTGTTTGGTGTAAATGGGGAGAAAATTGGCAGGTGGTAGGTGATAGATGGTACATGGTGTGTTTATGAGTCAGGTGGAACAAACTGAAGACCTCTAGAAATCATTTGTGAGATGGGACAAAGCCAGAGAAACAGTTTTATAAAAGTTTTTTTTTTGTGTATTTGAAACTTTAAAGCTGACATTTTCTGAGAAACACCTATTACTTTGATGAGAAAACTGAGGGTTCAGTAAGTTATTAATTTACCCATTTAGTCATTCATTCAGAAAATACTGAGGGCGTATTATGTAACAGGCACTATATTGGGCATAAAGTGAATGAAACAAACAAAAACCCTCATGGGGCCATATTTGAACCCAAGTCGGTCTGCCTCTCAACATAGAGTTCTTTCCACTGTCTCAAACTGCCTTCTATTAAACATTTGATAACTCTCATTTTTCCAAAACATGACATGAAGGATCAGTCCTCTGCCATTTCCTGGAACCATGGGCTACTTTTGCGTCTTTTCTTCTAGATGTGCACTTTCAGCTAAGCTTGGCAGGATCTCCAAACTCCTAAACTCTGTGTCCTGGTAAGTCATCACCAGGACTAATCACAAACGTTAATGTTGGTGCTTATTACTGAGCCGTTGGGTCTATTTTTAAGAACATAAAGAATGAAAAGATTAGCTCCCTACAAGATCCCCCATCTGTTCAAATGGAAAAACTTCACAGAGCCCTAGGGTGCTGGGCAGCGCAGATTCCAGCTTGTGTTTTTAAGGAGTATTATTAAAAAAAAAAAAAAAAAAGGAAACAATTATTTCAGTGTCTCTCCAAATGAAAACATCTATTTCAACTCAAAGAATACTTTGTAGCAGTAGAATGTAGTAAGTAAGATCACAAATTTGGGTGTCAGTAAGACTGGGTTCCAGGACTAATTCTTCATTTTAGTAGCCATGTGACTTCAGGCAATTTCCTTAGCATCTGTAAACCTTGATTTAGCCTTCTACAATAGAGATTATCAGAGACAATCCCTACCTTGTGAGGTTTTCATGGGGACTAAATGCTATCATGCACGTTTCATACTTAGAGTAGTGCAGGTCACATAGTAAGTGCTCAATAAATATAGTCACTATTGTTATATGCATAATATCTTTCACTTACCACAACCTTAAGAAGGAAAGAAAAAGTGATTATGTAATCTAAATATTTGTAGCCAGGGAAGCAAATAGTTCTTATTATAGTTTTATAAGAAGAACATTTTTGATTAATTTAAAGGGAAACCATAGACGTTTAAAATAAAAAATAGAAGCAGAACCTTGATGTGGCTAACACAAGTTAGACAACATTTATTAAAGTTCTAAAGCTTTATAAAAATTGTAGACCAAATAGAAATCCATAAAATTTCCTTTATTTTATTGCCCTTATCTAACTTAGCCACTAATAAATTAGTACAATATTTTATGGATATTTTCAGAGGCAGCTCTTATAATTTTCAGTTGACAACCTTAACAAGGTATTGGTTACATGAAATGCATGTTCATTCTCAACCACCCATCTGTTTTTTTTCTCTCCAGAAACAAATATTTTCATTTTAGACTTCAAATTCCTATTTCCCATTTAGTGTGCGTTACTTATATCTGCTGTTTTATTTTTCTTGATGTATTTATAATAAGTGAGAAAATCAGATCTAGACCCAGCTTACAGTTATGGAAGTTCTAGTGTTCTTCAGGGCAGAGCTTCTCAGGCAGCAGACTGTGGGCAGTAAACAGGTGTGCCACGGTATTTGCCCCCTGGCTCCTGGGTCTACCAGTCAGGGCCTGGGCCAGCCCAAATCTCTAAGCTCATTGCCCTCCCACCTCCAGCAGAGCAGTCTTGTCCACTGTGTGTGCTACACAAATACCACCTCCTTCCATGTGTGTTTCTCTTGGAGAAGGAGGAGCTTTGAGCTGTGCCCTTCCGGAACAAGGCTAAAGGAAATATGCAGGATTGACCCTGTGTTAAAGAGTAGAGCAGAAGAAGAGAGCACGAAGCAACCAGGATGAGGAAGAGGTGACATGAGGGACAAATGCACAGGGAAAGGAGGGAATATGGGAGGTCTTTCTGCCTAGTGGTCAGAAGGAAGGTCAGATGGCGATGGCAGGATCCTTAGACTAGAAAATAAGAGGCTTTCCTCTTCTTTAATGTCCAGAATCGTGATTTATTTCTTTCCTTCATTACTTGTAGTTGTCCAAAGTGAAGAAATTCTTGGGAAGCTATTATGAAAACTATTTACAACTGAATGCATTCCCAATTACAAGCACTGGACCAGCATTATTTGGGTTTAGAATTTGAACTGACTGTGAATGGATTATGAGACTCATGTGAGTGTCCCCTGGCTGGTGGGTCATGGCCTGAAGCTGCACTGTGCAACCTGCAATGTGTTTCATAAAAATACTCAATTGAGGTAGCAAGTACTGGTGCTGGTGGCAGTGTTATTTCCACTTACAGGAGCAGTGTAGCTCCGTAGCAGTGCAATCAGTTTATAACTATGTGAAGATTTGTGTATGAGAACCTCAGTGAACTGACAACACATTACTGATTTACTCCGGTAATGTCCTGTGCTTTTTATAGATTAGCACCCCTGGGCAGCAGGCCATCTGGCTTGCCCTTTAGTTTGACCTGGCCTGTAGCATGGGTTTTGGAATTCACAGACCTGAGTTCAAGTCTGAGCTCTACCACCATTAGCTGAGCAACACTGGGCAACTTATTTAACATCTGTAAGCCACTGATTGCAAATCAGAGAGATGTGATAACCATAAAATTTACTGCATGGTGTTGCTATGAACACTAAATGAATAATGTGTGCCATGTATCTAGAAGAGCTTAACACATGTTCACTCTCCTCTTCACTCCTGCAGCAACAGCAAAAATCATCTGTGGAGTTAACGGTAAAAAGATCTTATATTAGTAGCATCAGATGCTGAATAAACTCACAGAGATCAGTGCCTCATGCTCAACTGGTAGGCCTAGCAAGGGACTCAGGAAGAAAACATCTCATAGGAGGACAAGAAAGGGTGTCAAAGAAGTAGACATTGAGGAAACAAAAAAACCCTCTGGAACCCTGACTACCATCCAGTGAGACAAGATTGACAATTAAAACAGAATAGACATAATATGATCCATGCCTCAGTTCCTATGCCTAATGTTATACAGTTTGGCAAAATGTACATAGTTTATTCATAATGCTGTCTTTAATTTTCTCAACTAATTGTTTTTATTTCTTTCTAAAGTATCTGGCAATCCCAACTGATAGACTCAATTGATCATTTAGTATAGAAAGGGTACGTTAGGAAAATCCAATCTTGACAATTTTTAATGATTTTTCTGATGTATTAAAAAGGTGGGACACTATAAAAACTATGCTTTATATGACAGCTCTTGTAAAAAATCAAGGACAAAGGATAATTGAAAATATTCTTTCATTTTTCTAAAGAAATCTCTTTTAAATTCTTGGAAAAGATCAGGCACAGCAAAAGTGAGTTAAAGCCTTAAAAATATGTTACTGGTGTCTTAGACTCCAAAGTAGAAATATATACTCATTTTAAGTTGCAAGAATAATAATCTAGATCTTTGGGGATTTTAAAAATTTCATCTCTTTTCCTTAAATGATTTTGAAACAAGGCATGAATATAAATAATACATATAGTACTTCTGGATTTAAACATCTTTGATGAAATGATGGTACTGGCTTGGAATCTCTCTCTCTCACCACACACACGTTCATATGTGCACGTGTACGTGTACCTGTGATGTAGCTGTTTAGAATTGTTTGGCCTTCCGATGGACTGGCCACAGACCGTCCTGCCATGGCACGGTCTTGCCAGTCATTCTTTCAGCTTCCCAGCTCCCCTGGCAGTGGTGGAGAAGATCCCAGGCAGTGGTGGAGAAGATCCCAAGTTATTACCAACTGAACAAGTGAAGGAAAGTTGGGTATTTTAAGGCACATGAATTATTTTAGGATTTCTGGTTGTCCCTGGTTAAGTTTTTGATGATTACTGAAGATAAGAAAACTAGACTTAGACTTAATTATTACTTTCTTCAAAAAAAAAAAAAAAAAACCAAACAAACAAAAATAAAACAACTCCTGCAGAGTTTCAGAAGATTCTGGAAATTGACATGATTTCCTAATGTTCCAGTTGGTAGATATCTTGGGCTGGCCTGAGGACTTGTCATTTCAGTCGCAGGCAGACACTAGATATGCTTTTTGGGGGATGGGTCAAAAGGAGACTGTGCCTGAAACACCGAGGGCTTTATGCTTCCTTTTGTGAATTCTAACACTAATCATATTCATCATAAAAGACGTTTCCAATACTGAGAGAGTGTAAGGCGAAAATCAAAAAGGTCACTTTACCCTTAATCACACCCCCTATGTCTTTAAAAGCAAGAAGACTAATACAAAAATCCTTGTATATGCAATGAAAGCTTTCTGAATGCTACGTAAGGAGCTGCTTATATAAGGGACTGCTTATCTAACATTCTGAAAGTTTTTGTTGCATTTACAGGGATTTTTATATTTGTCTTTTTGCTTTTTACACGTATAGGGCCATGCTGTAGATGCTCTTCAGCTACTTCTGTTTTTTGCTTTTGTTTACCAGTATATTGTAAACACCTTTTTGTTGGTCCCTATAGATCTACCTCATTGTTTTCAATAACTGCATTGTATTCTACTGAATAGAAGTCCTATAGTAAGGGCAGATAACTATTGTATGTGTTTAGAAATTTTTTATTACAAGCAATTTGTCAATGAACCTTCTTGTAATCTTTGTGAATGCAAGTATATCCTACAGGTTAAATTCTTAGAAGTGGAATTATGTGGCCAAAAGGTGTGTGTGATGGTTAATATTGTGTCAACTTAATTGGATTGAAGGATGCAAAGTATTGTTGTTCCTGGGTGTGTCTGTGAGGCAATTGCCAAAGGAGATTAACATTTGAATCAGTGGATTGGGAAGGGCAGACCCACCCTCAATGTGGGTGGACACAATCTAATCAGCTGCCAGGGCGGCCAGAATAAAAGCAGGCAGAAGAAGATGGAAAGATTAGACTGGCTAAGTTTTCTGGCCTCCATCTTTCTCCCATACTGGATGCTCCCTGCCCTCGAACATCAGAATCCAAGTTCTTCAGCTTTGGACTCAGACTTACATCAGTGATTTGCCAGCGGCTCTTGGGCCTTTGGCCACAGACTGAAGGCTGTACTACTGGCTTCCCTACTTTTGAGGTCTGGGGACTTTGGGACTGGCTTCCTGTCTCCTCACCTTGCAGATGGCCTATTGTGGGACTTCACCTTGTGGTCCTGTGAGTCAATTCTTCTAATAAACTTTCCTTTGTATATGCATCTATCCCATTAGTTCTGTCCCTCCAGAGAACCCTGACTAATACAGTATGGAAATTTACATTTTTGGTTATTATTGCTAAATGACCATAAAAAGGTAATATATATTTATACTCCTACCAACAATGTATGAGAGTTTGTTATTTCACCCACATCCTCTAGCCTTTAGCATTGTCAGACTTTGAAATTGTTGGCATTGCTATTTCATGTTTTTAATGAACGTTTAAAAAAATTATGAGTGAGGTCAGTGCTTTTATGTTTACTAATCATTGGTGTTTATTTTTCTATAGCTTGTCCATTTTCTACACATCTAGTTTTTATTTATAATAGTTTTGTTGCACATTAAAGGAATTAGATACTTGTGTGCCATATTCTAAATAAGTTTTAAGTCTGCTGTGTTTTGAAGTCATGAAAATTTTTTTGCATGTGTGTGGATGTCTTTAATATGTGTATATTAATTAAATATTCTACAATGATGCATGCATTTCATACCATTCTTAGAAAGGCTTTTCTCAATCTACAGCTGTTTTTTAAAAATGAGCTATTTTCTTCTATGACTTTTACAATTTTTTTGATGATTTCTTACCTTATGGTTAAAAATTTGACACATTTGAAATTTATTTTGGTGTAATGCTTGAGGATAGGATCCAGATATGTTTGTCTTCCGGGTGGTTGGTCAGTTTTGCTCAAAATACTGATGAAAATCATATATCTTTCTTCTACTGATTACCACTTTACTTACACAAAATCCTCACATGGGTTCAAGTCTATCTATACTCACTCTGTTCCACTGACCGTTCTCGTTTGAATTTACGCAGGTTTTTTTTTTTTTTTTTTTTTGAGACTGAGTCTCGCTCTGTCACCCAGGCTGGAGTGCATTGGCGTGATCTCGGCTCACTGCAAGTTCCGCCTCCCAGGTTCACGCCATTCTCCTGCCTCAGCCTCCCTTGTAGCTGGGACTACAGGCGCCCCCACCAGGCCCGGCTAATTTATTTTTTGTATTTTTAGTAGAGACGGGGTTTCACCATGTTAGCCAGGATGGTCTCGATCTCCTGACCTTGTGATCTGCCCTCCTCGGCCTCCCAAAGGGATGTGATTACAGGCATGAGCCACCACGCCTGGCCACGAATTTATGCAGTCTTAGATTTTAATATTCTTTACTAGCTAGTCTTCCTTTTTTGATTCTCTCTCTGTCTCTGTCTCTCTGTGTGTATTTTAAGCCCTAATAATAAAAGGATAGAAGTTTCTATACAGGTTGAAGGTGACCTTGGGTTGTGAGTATATATTTGGCAATTAAGCTGCCAGATAAAGATGAGTTTATTCCACAAAATAGTTCTTGAAAGCCTACTGGGCCAGGCACTCTCCTGGGCTCTGCAGACACAGCAATGAATAAGAAAGAAAAGGTTCCTGTTCTTGCTGAGCTTACATTAGAGAGTGGGGGAGGGGCGTACAAACAATTAGCAAATAAACAAATGTATACGGTCTTATTGTGTCATGAAGTGAAATGAAGAAAATAAATTAGGGTGATGAGCTAGAGAGTGAGGGAGGAGTCAGGTATTTTAGATAAGTTACTTGGGGAAGGTTTTCTGAGTGACATTTGAGCGTAGCCTTAAGTTAAGCTTCAGTTTATCATATCTAATTTCTTTCTAAATGGCTTGACCTTGATACTTTAGTGTCTAAAATAGAATTTGTTGTCTTTCCCTTAAAATCTGTTCCCCTCTGATCTTCACCGTTTTGGTCAGTGTTATCATCATATTTCTTAGCTGTCCAGACCCTGAAATTTTGGGGCCATTTGCTTCTTTGTTTCCTTTCCCATATGACCCATTGGTAGGTCCAGAGCACTTTCTCTAGAGTGTCTCCAGCATGTTTCTTCCTTGGCCATTACCATGGTGTGTGCTTAAAATTGCCCACAGTGAGATCATCATGTCTGCCTCTAAACCAGTGTCTCTGCCTCCAGTGTCTCCCACTTTCAACCCAGACTCACCCTGCTGAGATGTTAAGCTTCTAAAATACAGATTTCTGATCAAAATCTTTGAGCTGCAAATGGAAAATATTTTGCTTATAGAATGACATTAGACTGCTTTATTTCAGATTCAAGATCTTGCAAAATCTGAGATCTGCTCAATTCTCAACTCTTCTTTCCAAATGAATGCTTCCTATCTGCCAGGTACAATTCTAAATGCTGTATGTATTGATTCATTTAATCTACCCAACAACCCTTTGAGGTAGGTACTATTATTATTATTTTTGAGACAGGGTCTCACTCTGTCAGCCAGGCTAGAGTGCAGTGGCACAATCTCGGCTCACTGCAACCTCTGTCTCTGGGGCTAAAACGATTCTCCCACCTCAGCCTCCCAAGTAGCTGGGACTACAGGCACATGCCACCACACCTGGCTAATTTCGTATTTTTTGTAGAGATGGGGTTTCACCATGTTGCCCAGGCGGGTATTGAGCTTCTGGGCCCAGGTGATCCTCCTGTCTTGGCCTCCCAAAGTGCTGGGATTATAGGCGTGAGCCACTGTGCCTGGCTGAGGAAGGTATCATCATAATTGCCACCTTATAAATAAGGAAACTGAAGCATGGAGAATTAACTTGACTCATCTAAAGTCGTGGAGCCAGCACATAGACATCCATCATTGCAATCGAAGAAATCTGGCCTCTACCCTTGGTGGTATATGTTACCTTCTAATGTTTCAAGATCTATTCCTGCTTGTGTGTGATTGAATGTTGTTCCTTCTGGCAGAAATCCTCTTTTCCCGGCTCATTTTTGCTTGTCTATGTCCTCAAGTCCCAGCTCAGGTAGCCTCCTATCCCTTTCTCTCACCAGCCTCATCCTCATTAGTGGCTTCCACCCCTGAACTCTCAGGACAGTTTTAGGATGTATCACCCACTACTACACAGTGGAGCAGATGATTTTGAGCACATCTTCTGTTTCTGCAACTAGATCGCAAACTACCTTAAGGTAGACACAGTGGCTTATTCCTCTGGGGCCCTAAGAAAGACCTAACTTGCATAGTAGGTACTTAATGTTGATTGTTGACCATGTCAGTCATACAACACTCAATGGAATAAAGCTTGTGTCTAGATATTGGTGACAACTTTAGCACATTTAAATTTAAATTATGCTGTGTAAAAATTTCAGAATAAAGACAGAGAAATTCACTCAACAAACACTTATGGAGCATATGCTGTGCACCTGGCATTGTTGTCAGTACTCAGAAGGCACCCCTGAACATGTGAGACATAGTCAGAATAGACTAGGTTGTGTTGCAATAGCAAACAATTGCCAAATCACAGTGGCTTAAAAAGAAAGGTTTATTCCTTTACCATACTCTATGTCCTTTGATGGCTGCCAGGGGAATAATGTTCGAATTAATCACTCAGGGAGCGAGCCCAGTGGAGCAGCCTCCATCTACAAAGATGCAGATGCTGTGTCGGAGGGAGGAATGGACGTGGCAGATGTGCTGACTGGGAAGAGCTCTGCCCGCAGCAGCAGCAGGCATCCCTTCTGCTCACTTTCTATTGGCCAAAGCAAGTCACATAGCCACGCCCAACTCGGGGGCGGGGGGGGGGGGGCAGGGAAATCCGCTCCTACACTAGACCTGGAAGGACAGAGCGCCCATGGCTATGGATAGACTCCCCACAGACAAAGATTTCTGTCTCGTGGAGCTTATTCCAGTCTCTCAAGGGGGACACAGACAATAAGTAATAGACACGATAGGTAAGTAAATGGTAGAACATGTTAGAAGATGACAAGTATTATGGGGAAAAAAGCAGAGCAGGGTGAGGAGACTGTGGTGGACGCGTGGCAGGGGTGTGGAGGGGAATGGGGTTTTCATTAAGATGGTTACATTGGGCCAGACGCCGTGGCTCAAGCCTGCAATCCCAGCACTTTGGGAGGCCGAGGTGGGCGGATCACTTGCGGTCAGGAGTTCCAGACCAGCCTGGCCAGCATGGCGAAACCCCATCTCCACTAAAAACACAAAAATTAACCAGGCATGATGGCATGGGCCTGTAGTCCCAGCTACTCGGGAGGCTGAGGCAGGAGAATCACTTGAACCCGGGAGGCGGAGGTTGTAGTGAGCCGAGATCGCACCACTGCACTCCCGCCTGGGTGACAGAGCAAGACTCCAACTCCAGATGAAAAAAAAAGGTGACATTGAGCAACGAATTGAAGGAGGTGACAGAGTCAGCCACGCAGCTATCCTGGGAGAAAGGGTTCTAGGCAGAGGGAGCAGCAGCGCAAAAGCCCTAAAGGGAGAGAGAGCAAGGCCGTGTGTTTAGGCAGCAAGGAAGCCAGTGTGGTGGAGCAGATGGGGACCGACAGAGTTTGGGGCATGAGGCCTTGGGGATTCCAAGCCTTTTCCTGCGAATGGTACAAGGAGCCGTGTCAGAATTTAAGGCAGAAAAATAACCCGATTTCACTAACTTGATAAAGGATCTGTGTTGGGAATGGACTCTGGGAGGGTAAAGATGGAGGCAGGGGGCGGCGACGAGCAAGACAGTGATCCAGGTGAGAGCTGAGGCGGCTCACCCGGGATGGCGCTTTTCCTTGCCATGGGCTCTGATATCAGATTTCCCTTCAAATGTGTGTTTTAAAACGCAGTTTTGGCTTCAAACGCTGCGTGGCACTAAGGATGAAATCCAGTTTCTTCCCACGACCCAGAAGACGGCCGAGCTTCACCCTCTGGCTTCATCCCCTGGCACCCTGCTCCGCGTTTACTGAAGCCAGCTACACTGGCCTCCTTTTGGTCACTTGATTACAACAAATTCTTCCAGCCTCGCGGACATTCCCTTTACCTAGAACATGTTCTCTCCTTTTTCATGTCTTAGCTCAAATGTCTCCCGTTGGAGAGGCTTTCCCTGACCTCAAGGAGGCCTCTCCTGTTTATTGTTGGTCTCACCACTCCGTGTACTTCCTTCATGGTGGTTACTGCAGTCTGCAGGCCTATAGTTTACCTAATTCCTTTTCAATGGTCTATTTCTTACTGCTAGAACGTAAGCTCTATAATCAAGACAGCTGGGATTGGCTGTGTCTTGTTCTGTGTGGAAATTCCAGTGTCTAGAGTAGTACCTGGCAGAATTAGGCACACAACAAGTGTGTGCATGAAAACAATGAATGAGTCAAGAGTCCCAAGGGATGAGAAGGCATCAAGGAGGCGAAGGTGCGGAACAGTGCGTAGAAGGCCCTGGGTTCAAGTAGTCTCATAAAAGCTGGAGAAGGTGTTGCTTTAGATCAAGCTTATCCAACCTGCTGCCTGCAGGTGGCATGAGGCCCAGAATGGCGTTGAATGTGGCCTAACACAAATTTGTAAACTTTCTTAAAACATGAGATTATGTTTTTTTGCAATTTTTTAAAGCGTATCTGCTATTGTTAGTGTTTGTGCATTTTATGTGTGGCTCAAGATAATTCTTTTTTTTCCAATGTGGCCCAAGGAAGTCAAAAGACTGGACACCCCTTTAAATGGGAAAGTGTTTTTTGAACCCCAAAGTGGGTGCCATCACTCTGAGCATGCTGGGCCCTTATCATATTCTAATGACCTGGTTTTTGTATCTGTTTCCCCCACCAGGGGCTATGTGCTATTCTTCCTTTTATCCCTGGTGCCTACGGGTTCAAGGAATATTTTATTGCACCAAACTATACTGACTGCTCATGTGTTCAGACTCTCATGCTGAGCTCTCTAATTAGATCCTCATGAAAAATAAAATCTTATCGTGAATCTTGTAGGGCCTTCATGGAAAAAAAATTGTGTATGCCTGCCATGATATTTTGGACACACTGAGATGTTTTTAATCAAGCCACCATCTGGGCCATACATTTTAGTAACTCTATTTTATTGTGTTCCGTCAATTCATGGCAGCCTCACACAATCTGAAGTATGGCATTTGAACTATGACCTATAACAACTCAGGGAGATGCCTATTTCCTTCCTGAAGTTTTAAGATCCAATGCAACTTGAAATGAAAGAAATAAGGGGCTAATAAGATGAAAAGCAGTCTTCAGGAGTGGACAGTGGACACAGGCAGGCATGGCAAAGATGGTTAACCAGGTGAAAAACTGCGAGTAACCAAGAGGTGAATGCAACACTTTCTCTAGTCACTATCAGTGTTCCAACACAGGTGGAATCCTGAAAAGAACAGCAAACATTTTGGATGGTGGAAGTATGAAAAATGTGGGAAAGGAAGAGGGAAGAGGAGAATAAGATATGAAGTGTGTTTTCTGTATTTTATAACTGCTGTTGAATTGATTTCTTCTGAAACCCTATCGGTGACTTTAGCTTTAGGTTATAATTTTGTTTCCGATTTAAAAATTAGCTTCCTTATGTTTGCATGGTGCCTGGCAGCTTTCAAATACTTCCATCATCCATGATCTCATCCGGTCCTCCCAACAAGCATATAGTAAGCAGAGTGGGCATACTTATTTTCTTTTCTTTTTTTTTTTTTTTTTTTTTGAGACAGGGTCTCATTCTGTCACCCAGATTGGAGTGCAGTGGCCCAATCTCAGCTCACTGCAACCTCTGCATCCCAAGCTGAGACGATTCTCCTGCCTCAGCCTCCCGAGGAGCTGGGATTACAGGCACGTGCCACCACGTCCGGCTAAATGTTTTTGTATTTTTAGTAGGGACGGGGTTTCACCATGTTGGCCAGGCTGGTCTTGAACTCTGACCTCAAATGATCCACCTGCCTCGGACTTCCAAGTGTTGGGATTACAGGTGTGAGCCACTGCGCCCAGCCCAGGCATACTTATTTTCATTTCACAAATGAGGAAAGACAGGCTTGGGGCTCTAGGCTCCTTGCTCCAGGTCAGAGAGCTGTTACACGGCAGAGCTGCAAACATGGGTCTTTTGATAACACACCTACTGTGTCCTGCCACCCTTACTTTGTTGTTTAAATCTATTGTTTTATTAGATAAGGTTCTCCTGAGCCAAGATTTCAGTTGCAAGTGATGTGGTGAGCAAGTGCTTCCAGGAGAAGCCAGTGAGGGTTGGGGGAAGAGACACAGGGAATGGGAAGGAGCCCACACTCAGCCTGACTTTCCTTTTTACTTGTATAAATGTATGGCATACAAGTATAATTTTGTTACATGCAGAAATTGTGCAGTAGTGACGTCAGGGATTTTAGGGTATACATCACCCAAATAATGTACAGTGTACTCCTTACATAATACCTCATCGTCTGCCCCCTCCCACTGCCCCCACCACTCCGAGTTTCCATTGTCCATCATTACACACTCTAAGTGCATGTGCACACATTATTTAGCTCCCACTTATAAGCGAGAACATGCAGTATTTGTCTTTCTACGTCTGACTTACTTCACTTAAGATAATGGCATTCAGTTTCATCCACATTGCTTCAAAGGACATGATCTTATTCTTTTTAATGGCTGAACAGTATTCCAATGTGTGTGTGTATATATATGTGTGTGTGTATATATATATGTGTATATATATTTGTGTGTGTGTGTGTGTGTATATATATATATATATATATATATAAAACATTTTCTTTATCTTAGTCATTGATGGACACTTGGGCTGATTCTATATCTTTGCTATAGTTCAGCCTGATTTTTGAGGGAGGGGTACTGCAGAGCATAAATTACATCTCCGAACTTATTCACCTTGGGGCAAAGGAGTTGGCCTTTTGTATTCCTACATACTTCTGTTATTGGCCAGTCAGCAGGAGGTGTCCCCCACCACAGGGAGGAACCAGGAGAACAAGGAGGACCCAGTGCACTGAGCAATCTTCTCATGGGTGGGAGTGCCAGCCTGTTAGCAGCAAAGCACATTAGAGGGGCTCCAACAATGTACTCCAAATCTACGCTCAACAGGAGGACTAAATAAGTGGGATAAGCAAAAGCTACTTAGAATTTTAAAAATGCTGCCTGAATATAAGAAATCATTTTATTCTGGTGCATTCTTAGGACAAATGGAATCATTCCAGAACCTTCTTTAAAATCAGAATCAGATACACTTGCAGTAATCTGACTCTCTCCCTGAGGAATCTGATATGAAGACACTCATTTAGAAAAAGGAGTTGTGGACAAAGCTGGATATTGTTTCACTGAATTTACAGAATTAATTCTTTTAACTCATTCTGTTCAGATAAAAAAGATCAAGCCCAGCGGACAAGTGATTTAGCCCCAAGCCACATAACTGGTAATTGACAGAAGCTGAATGCAAAGTCAGGTCTCCGGACACCCAGTCCAGAGTCCTTTCCAGTCCCTACCTGCCCAGCATTAGGAAGCGATTTTGTTTTCTAGCTGGGCCAGACAGGGATCCAGGAAGGAAGAAGTGAGGGAGACATCCCCTTCTTTGACTCTGATCTTCAGCATTTTTGAAGCCCACTCAGACATGCAGAGAGATTAAGTCTATTGAATGCTTTTCAAGTCCTTCTCTACCGTGGATGGGAAGGAAAGCATTCCTGTGACTCATTTGTAAAGACTGCATTATGTGACAAAGTCACATGAATACAGGAAGTCATCAGGCCACAGTGAGGAAAGGACGCTGGGGACAGGGGGCTGCTTTGCTCCTGAGAAGGCCCTCACAGTGACAATTGTGATCTGAAGGTCCTCAGAGTTTAGTAGAAGGAAAAAAATCCATCTCCTTGCATTTTTCTTCAGGCAGTCTTATGCAGTGCTTATGTATAGCTGCCTCGTCCAAGGGTTTGTCATCTTGTTTCTTCCTCTTTTATAAGGAAAGATGTTATTTGAAGGAAAAACATGAGTGAGAGATGAGGGATCTGAGCAGTCTCATATACCTTGCCAGGCCCTTTTATGGACTGGGAGCATCCTTCATGCAAAATTCATGGAGTCATTCTTATGAGAAGTTCAGCATGCATACTGTTTTCTATGGTCTTAGATTTCTAAGAAAAATGTGAATCTCTAAAGAAAAAAAGTTACTTGCCAATATGTAAAGCCTTTTAATTTGTACTGAAGCTTAAAAAAAAAGTTTAAACAAAACCCAGATGGAAGCTGTCTAAATGCCTAGGTTAGAAAGAAGATTGGGTCAAATACAATAGCAAGTCCTAAAGCAATAGCCTGCTGCAGGGAGTACAAATCTATCCTCATTTAGTCTAAATGTAGAGTAACCTTTCACCACCAAGCCTTGAGCTTAAAGTTGGCTGCAGTTATTGGAAATCATTCCCAAAGGTCATTTGTTAAAAAAAAAAAAAAGAAAAAGAAAAAAAGAAAAAAAAGTAACACGGATTTAAAGATACCTTCCATACATGTAGAAAGCCAAGTCTGCCATGCTAGTTAAAATAACATGGGATAAATCATTGTTGCAGTGATGAGTTTTGAAAATAATCTGAAAGGTCTAGGGCTATACAGATAGCAATTTAATTTTCTTTCCTTATCCATTAGTAGAATTGTTCCTATGTGTATTGCTAAGCTATTTACCGACACCGTATTATAAGCATCTGAAAAAGAATATGCATTATTGCACTTAGGAGGGAATTACTGAGAACCATTTGCTTTCATTAGGTCAGGGATATTACACTGAGGCCAGGCAGAGAACATTCCCATGAGCAAAAGTCTGACTCTCCAATGACTTTTGAGAGTCTTGGTGACTCTCAAATGTCACCAAGCGGTGACATTTATATGCAGGGTGTCCAACATGTCATTAGAGATTTTTCAAAGGGCATATATAGCCAAAGTCACTAGCGCATGATGCGTGCACCACCTTAGTAAGTTAAAAAAAAAACTTCACGGGCTCAGCAGGAGTACACAAATACTCTTATGTCCATCAGTGAATGCTAAATGAGTCCCCTTATTAGATGCAGGCAGAAAGAGAGCAGGTATGTGCATGTGTAAGAAATAAGACATGTTTTGATGATTCTCAAAGACATCTGCTCTTTTCCTGTTTTTTTTTTTTCTCCCAATGTAAAATTTTGTTTAAAGGGGAAAATAGATTTTTTTTGGAATAAAACAGAAATTCATAACAAATTTTTCTATTTTATTTAATTAGAAATCTGTCTCAAAATTTTTCTTTTTACTCTTCCCAACTAACCCATTTATTTTCCCTTTTTCTGATGCGTGTGTGTGTGTGCTGCTCTTCGGAGTGGATTCCTAAGGACAATGATAATATCTATTTTAGATACTTTATTTAGGACTTGTATGTTTATTAAGTTTTAAATCCTGTCATTTATTATTAATAATCCTTTCATTTATTGCCACCCCTCACAAATGTATAGAGCATCTCTCCTGTGCTAGAACTTTCCTAGCCACTTGAACCCACTTAGATGAAAAATAAGACATCTCTTCTGTTCTCACAAATATTCGTCTGTTTTTGTTAGCAAAGACAGAAGTGTCTATCATGAGTTTTGTGATGCAGAGGAATAAACACATGTTCATAAAAACATCTGACTTTTAGTGTTGCTTCTAACACTTACCAGCCTCGTAAGCAGAGGGAAGAAACTTCATCTAAGTCTTAGTTTCTTCAACTGTAAAATGAGAAAAAATAGTGTCAGTCCTACTTACCTCACAGGGCTGTGGAGAAAATAAAATGAAAGTAAACATTATGAAAATGCCTCATAAATTTCAAAGTGTTATGCAAATTCAAGGCACTAATGCATTGAGTAAATGGCAGATTTGGTGCCTGGCTCAGAGCTGAGCAGAGTGGATTCCCTACAAAGGGATGAACCCAAGGGAGAGTCAAGACCTTAGCCAATAAGAATTTTCTAGGTGACTTATGTGACATGGCCTATATCTGTAGTTTTCATTGTTTTTTTTTTTTTAAAGATTGTGGCAAGTATGTCGGGGCACAGAAGGGTCTTTTATCCTTGGGCATGTTACCCTGTGCTATTGCCTTTTGGAAATATGCCTATCCTATTTTGTTGTAAGTCTGACCATAAATAGTTCTCTTCTAAAATGTGAACACTTTGTGCCTTTTATCTTCCTGCTGGCAACCCCTTGCATCTTTCTTTCATTTTACAAATAATAATGCTTATAATAGAATATTTGGGGAAGGCCAAAAAGGAGAAGTGAGAAAAACATCACCCATAAGACAATCACTATTAACATTAGTTTATTTCTTCACTTTCTTTTTTTCTATGCATATATGGAAAAAAACTATATTTGGTTTTATATAGTTATGGACAAACTGCATATCCAATGTTATAGTCTGCTTTTGTTTCCCACATAATGTAAAATAAGAAATTTCCTTTATTTCCATTTTTTTCTGCCCTCCTATCATTCAAAACTCATGTTCTGCCCCATCTTCCTTTGGTAGCTCCTCATGTTTTGCTGATTTGATTTACAAGGCCTCATCTGCATTCTAATGACATGTTTCTGCCACTAGAATCCATCTCTCTTCTAAGAGTTAATTTAATTGTCTGTATCTCTTATTTTACCATGAGCTCCTTCAAGTAGGAACCATGTCTATTTGACTTTTTGTGCACAGAGACCAGATCAGTGCTTGGCGTAAACTGCTCAAGAAATATTTGTGGAATAGACTACCAATTCCTATGATAAATTCTTAGCAAAAATCATGTGTCTGCCCTCTAGACCATTGAGCTGATAAACTATAATTTCCTTAAAAATACCTCAATTGCTGGTTTCCATAGTTACATTACAATTAACATTTTAAATGTATTTTTTCTGTGTTTCAGATTGTTTTTAAACTTAAGATTCATAAATGAGAAATTCTAGGTCTCAATATTTTTTAATGACATTTGACATGTATTTTCCAATTGCTTTTAAAGAACTTGGATCTACTTTCATCACTTTCAAGATATATCCCAGAGTTCATCAAGACTACATTAAGACAGGATGGATACTCCTTCCTCCAGGAAGCCTTTTCTGTTTCCCTACCTGCTCTACTTGTTAAGCTTAGGTGTGTCTCCTCTGTGCTTCTA
The DNA here is from genome assembly GCF_000001405.40 of Homo sapiens. NCBI lineage: Eukaryota > Metazoa > Chordata > Mammalia > Primates > Hominidae > Homo > Homo sapiens. Next base: position 22,628,942 of record NC_000004.12, read on the forward strand.
TATAACCCTTCACTATAGAGTTAGGATGTTTTGTTATGGTTATATATTTATCTTTCTTCCAAAGAAGACTATGAGCTCCTTTAAAGGAAGAGGCAAATGTAATAAATTATTACAGTCCCTAGTGCCTAGAGGTGTAACAGATTCACAATACATTCTTATTCACTGTAAGAAACCAGTGCTTAATCCAACTATATAATAAAATTGACCCATGAATGAGGATAATAATGGCAATGATTATGTAACAAACATAAATTGGAGGATGAGAGAGATGAGTAGACTACAGGTTTATTCTTTACCCTGGAAACTTTGACAGAATTAATGTTCAGTACATGCTATAATGTTCGATTATTCCACAATTCACACACTGGAGTCAGGAAGTTGCCCAACACTGAATTTTCCCTTCTCCATCAGCCTGCCTTTACTTCATTTTATATGTCATGTTTCCTTCCTCTAAAAATTCTTAGGGTTTACCACTTCAGCATGCAGATTCAATTACTGGTAGTGCAGCCTAAGGCAAGCAGTCCTATCAGTGCTAAATCTGTTAAAAAAGAAAGTCCACACTTTTCTTGGGGAAAAAAAAGGTTTTATGAGTTCAAAATGAATATTTTACCAAGGGCAGAAAATGAGCAAAGAGGTATGAAAGAGGCTACAGGATTATTTCCTAGCAACCCATCAGCCAAAACGAAGCCTAAATATGCTATGTCCTAAATCCCAGTGCAGAAAGAATATAAGTGATCTTAAAGAATACATGCGCTTTTTTCATTTATTCAGTTTTTCTTCAACGTGCTGATCAGTATCATCTATATAGAAATGATCATTAAATATGTGAGGAGAGTTCTGTGATGTTGATGGAGTCACAGGAGGGTCCCTTTTTCTTATATTCACATTCTCTAATAGCAGAGTTGAATTATTGCATTTTTCCTAGTTTCCCAAGTTAAGAAGTAGATTGGGAAATTAGAATTGGTTACAGGCTGAATTTTACATGTTAAAGGCTTTACATGTTAAAGGCTTTTGACTTAAAAAGATATTGGTAAGAGCGAGCCAAGGGTTTCTTTTTACAAGGTCAAAAACGTAAATATGCATAACCAGACAAAGTCCTTCACACCTAAATACCAAGTTATAAAAAAATCTTGCTCCTAACCCATGTAGACATGATGCTTACTCTTCAGGGTGAGGTATCCATCTTCATTCCATTCACAAAAAATAGCCACTCATGTCTAGGATCCATCAATGTGTGAATTCTCGACACTTAACTGCAGCAAGTATTTGCTAAGTGGCATATTCAGAACAGAGCCGCATCTATCACTCAAGTGTTACTAATTTCCATTGTAATGAGCACTTGAGAATGAACAGTAACTTCATTGTTCAGGAATACATGTGCAATCCTGCTGTTGATCGCCAATAAACGGGAACTCATTTTCCAACCCTCAGAGCTTGCCTCTGGCACATGGAATTTGGAGGTATGAGTTCTGTGGGTAATTATCCCACTTTGCATGTGTACAGTGCTTTGTAGTTAACAAAGACTTCCACATCCAGTAGAAGCGGTGGCCTGACAGTTTAATTATTACTATTAAATTGAAAGCTAACTGTAATCATTTCTGACAAGTCCCCTATCTTTGTCAGCAAATTTAGTGGGTTCAGTCAACTACTAAGTTGAATCCAGTCCATTTTCCTCCATGCCGTCATTGCCCTAGTTGAAGTTCTTATCAGCTCTCTCGATCAGGGGCAATATTTCTTCTAACCGGTCTTCTGTATTCCAGTCTCCCATCCTCCCCTTCCCACTTCCCAATAAATCCTCCACACAGCAGTCAGAATGACCTTCAGAAAAGCAAATCTATTATGTTATTTTCCCTCCTTAACGTCATTCAATGGCTTACAGCTGCCTTTAAGATAAAGTACAAAATCCTCCACAGAGTAAAAGACTCATGATCTAGCCTCTGCCCAGAGGCTGAATTCTGAGTCCCTCAACACTGAAAAGATTACAGTGATCCACTTTCTACTTCCTCGTCTCTTCATCCACGTGTAATGAAGAAGGGAAGAAACTATAAAACATGAAACAATGTTGTAGTTAAAATAGTTTCTTAAAACAGTTCTGATTACAAAATTCTGGATAAATTTATCAAATCCACCTCCCTTTGATCTCTGGTCAGAGGATTACTTACTTTCTAGCCAGCCCTTTGATGCTTGTAAGATGACTTTTAAAAGATGTTATTTTAATTTTCTTTTTTTTTTTTGAGACAGAGTATCACTCTGTCACTCAGGCTGGAGTGCAGTGACTCACCGCAACCTCTGCCTCCTGGGTTCAAGCAATTCTCCTGCTTCAGTCCCTGAGTAGGTAGAACTATAGGCCTGCGCCACCACGCCTGGCTAATTTTTGTATGTTTAGTAGAGACGGGGTTTCACCTTGTTGGCCAGGCTGGTCTTGAACTTCTGACCTCAAGTGATTCACCTGTCTTGACCTCTAAAAGTGCTGGGATTACAGGCATGAGCCACTGCATGCGGACTTATTTTGAACTTGGTTGGTTTCAGTGGAAGGGTCAGTATGCAAACCCAGCCTACCATATTACCAGAAATGGCTCATTACAAGGTTTTCTAAAGTTGAACCAGACTCCTGTCTTACAAGAAACCCAAACTGCTTATGACCTATTTTCAGTATTTTTTTTTTTTTAAACTCATTGCTGTATTTGGTTTGCCATGATAATATTGTTTTGGGGGTTTTGTGTCTGTGTTCACATGTGAGATGTGTCTACAATTTTCTGTGCTTGTACTGTCCTTGTCTATTATTTGTGTCAATGTTATATTAACCTTGGGAAATGACTTGGGAATTGTTTCCACACCTTTTATTCTTCCATAGAAATTGTATAATATTGAAATTAAAATGTGACAGATCATGACTGTAAAATGAATATGGTGCTTTTTCGTAGAAATATTTAAAATGAGTGATTTTGTCAATAATCATTTAAGTTTTCGATTTCTTGAGTCAGCTCCAGTAATTCAGTATTTTTCTAGGAGTTTGTCCTCTCACTTAAGTTTTAAAATTTATTGGCCAAGAGTTTTAAAAACCTTGTGGTGTTTTCATCCCTAATGCATCCTTAGTTGTGTTTCCTTTACATTTCTAGTATTGTTTCATGTTGCTTTTTTTCCTGATCCATCTTTCCAGTGGTTCATAATTTTGTTAGTTTTATTTGCATATAACTTACATTTGGCTGGACTGAATGTCAGTATATTTGTTTTCTATTTTATTAATTTCATTTCCTATCTTTGTTATTTTCTTCTTTTTATCCTTTTGAACTTAGTATAGTTCTTTCTTTACCTTCTTATTTTGGATGCTTAGAGCTTAATTTTCAAGTTATTTGTTTTTCTAATACTGACTGAGTCTAATCTGAAAATTCAAAATCTGAAATGCTCAAAATCTGAAACTCTTTTGAGCACTGACATGACGCTCAAAGAAAATGCTCATTGGAGCAGTTTGGATTTCAGATTTTTGGTTTAAGAATGCTCAACCAGTAAGTATATAATGCAAATATTCCCAAATGTGAAAAAAATTCAAATTCTGAAATAGTTCTGGTCGGAACTATTTCGGATAAGGAATACTCAACCTGTATATATACATATTAGGCTATAAATTCCCTCTGTAAACATAACTTTAACTATCTCCCACAATGTTTGATATGTACTATTTTTATTGTGAACTTTTATTAATTTCAATTATATTTTTGTTCTTATGGGTTACTCAAATTTTTGTCATTGGTTTATATCTTAATTATATCAACAAATGTGGTTTGTGTGATATTTATTATTTAAAAATTGTGGGTATTTGCTTTATGGTCTAGTACATGGTGAAATGTTTATAAACATTCAGTGTCTTCTGTACTTGTTAAGTGCAGTGTTTTACATGTATTTCTTAGATCAAGTTTTCTAATTGGGTTGTTTAAATGCCCTCTATACAGTTTTTGTGTGTGTGTGTGTCTGTTTTAGTTGTCAATTGCTGAGAAGGAGTATGTTAAAATTTCTCGCTGTGATGAAGTACTTACTTGTAAATTTTCTTTTATCAAGTGATTTTACAAACCTTCATTTTTTCCAACTACAACAGCAATATATATTAGTTATAAAAAACTCAGTTATAGTTATAAAAATACAAAAATATATTAATGCTAAGATTGAATACGCCTTGTATTTCCACATAATAACCGTGAGCAATTTGGTATATAATTCTTTCACAATATGTTTTCTAGGTAGGGGTGTGTGGGGTGTGTGTATGTGTGTGTGTGTGTATTCCTAGAAAGCATTATGACAATCGTTTTTAAATTGGGAGACTACATTAGAATAACACTTTAAAATGAACAGCTGTGACCACCATTTTACTGAGAGGCCATTTTAACACCAAAAAAAAAAAAATGTAATCCATCTGTCAGATTCTTCCAATTCCTTGAGGACTGGATAAATTTATCTTAAACTTGACTTAAATCTGTGTGGCAAACTCCATTGCCTTATTCTAGGTTTGTCTGAATTCCCAGGTACCTTATATTCTCATGGCTGCATCTTCCTTTCAATTTATACTCTGTTTTGTGCACAAAGGTGACACCCAGCTTCTTCGAAAACAGTCACAACAACAGTAACAATCTCCCCTCTCCATTCACAAGTGTAGTAGGCAAAACTGAAGCCTGTGACTGGTGTAGGTAGGATGGTAGTGAACGGTGTGTGTGTGTGTATAAAGTGGAAGGAAACAGAGAAAAGTCTATTTGACTAAGAAGAGAAAATTCAAATGGAATATCAGACCGCATGACTCTAACTAAACAAGTCCTTCAGCCCCCCTAACCCAGCCTCACTCTTCTCTAGAATTTTTTATCTTGCTGACTTCTTTTTCCCCTTGCTTCTCTGTCCCCACTTTCTTCTCATTCCCGTTTTCCAAAACAATCAAATTTTTCTTTTTTCTTTTAGGTAGAATCATTTAACATTCAATTCTTTTGAAGTTTGGTCATGCTCTAATATCGCTTTGATTCTTAACTTATTACAAGATATTTTCCCAAAAAGTTTACTCACTAAGAGGGGGTCTGGAACTGTTAGGATAGCAAATCCTTTCCACTTTTTATGAAATAATATTCCCAGGAGTGGGATTACTGGATCATATGGTAATTCTATTTTAATTTTTTGTTGAGGAAACTCCATACCATTTTCTGTAGTGGCTGAACCATTTTACACCCCATCAACAATGCACAAGGGTTCCAATTTCTTCGTATCATTATTGATACTTGTTTTCTACTGATAGTGGCCATCCTAATGGGCTTGAGATAATATGTCATTGTGGTCTTGATTTCCCCACAAGACACTTTTTTTCTACTTGAATTGGAAGTCAGACATAAAGTAGAAACCATCATTTTTTCCTGAAAGTTAGGGTTGCCAATAAAATGCAGACTGCCTAATTAAGTTTGAATGGGGATAAACAAAAATAATTTTTTTAGTATAAATATGTCCCCATACTGCATGACACATATTTATATTAAAAGAATATTTGTATGCAGTATTTGGGACACATTTATATGTGCCTAAAAATTATTTGTTGTTTATCTCAAATCTAAATGTACCTGTGAGAGGCGACAGCGTGCTGGCAAGCCCTCACTTGCTCTGCGCGCCTCCTCGGTCTTGGCGCCCATGCTTGAGAAGAATCCCTTCAGCCCGCCGCTGCACTGTGGGAGCCCCTCCCTGGGCCGGCCGAGGCCGGATCCCGCCCCTTCCGCTTGCGGGTAGGCGTGGAGCGAAACGGGCCGGCTGAGGCCGGGATCGGGCCCCTTCCGCTTGAGGGCAGGTGTGGAGCGAAAGGCGAGGGCGGGAACCGGGGCTGCGCGCGGCGCTCGGAGGCCAGCGCAAATTCCGGGTGGGCGCGGGCTCGGCGGGCCCCGCGGGCCCGCACTCGGAGCGCCCGGCCGGCCGGCACTGCCGACCCCGGGCAGTGAAGGGCTCAGCACCCGGGCCAACAGCTGCGGAGGATGCACCGGGTGCCCCGCGCCGCGCGAGAATTTGCCGGGCCTCAATCACCTCCACACGGGGCAGGGCTCGGGACCTGCAGCCTGCCATGCCCTCGCTCTCTCACCCGCGGTGGGCTCCCGCGCGGACCGCGCCTCACCGATGAGCGCAGCCCCCTGCTCCAAAGTGCCTGGTCCCATGGACCGCCCAATGGCTGAGGAGTGCGGGCACACAGGCGTGGGATCCACCAGTGAAAGCCAGCTGGACTCCTGAGTCTGGGACTTGGAGAACTTTTATGTTTAGCTGGAGGATTGTAAATGCACCAGTCAGCACTGTGTCTAGCTCAAAGTTTGTAAACTTACCAATCAGCACCCTGTCAAAACGGACCAATCAGCTCTCTGTAAAATGGACCAATCAGCTCTCTGTAAAATGGACCAATCAGCAGAATGTGGGTGGGGCCAGACAAGGGAATAAAAGCAGGCTGCCCGGGTTGGAAGAGGTAAACCGCTAGGGTTCTCTTACAGATGGTGGGTGTTTTGTTCTTTAGCTGTTTTTAATAAACCTTGCTGCTGCTCAATTTTTGGGTTGGAACTACGTGTGTGAGCTGTAACTCTCACTGCAAAGGTCTGCAGCTTCACTCCTGAAGCCAAAGAGACCACGAACCCACCAGAAAGAAGAAACTCGGAGCACGTGTGAACGTCAGAAGGAACAAACTGTGGACAGGGCATCTTTAAGAACTGTAACATTCACTGTGAGGACCTGCGGCTTCATTTTTGAAGTCAATGAAACCAAGAACCCACCAATTCTGGACACACCAGGACATTCTCTATTTTTATTTGCTGAAACTGGCAACACTAAGTGCGGGGCACCAGACACTGCTGTGGCTCAGGCATCTCGCTATGGATAAGTGGTTCATCTTTCAGCCTGGGGAAGCAGCCAGATCTGGAACACCTCCAGCAATTGCCATATCCTTCAGCTTCAGAAGGCCGCCAGCAGGGGTCAGGTGAGCGGGCCAGGTGTGTGTGTAGCTCTGTGAGGGAGGGAGCAACTTACCCAGCAGGACACCCCTATCTTTCATACTGGAGGCTGGGAGATAGTGAGACACCTACATGGCTTCCAGAACATTCTAGTTGATTCTATTTAGCATTGCGGGCTGCAATTTGTCCTTCATGTTCATCTCTTCTGGAGTGCTGGACCTGATGGCGTCAGGTTATATAGCCCAACCTCAGCCTCACCTTGATGATCTAATTGGCTCTCAAAACTGCATAAGATGAAATCTTTGAAATTAATCACATATAGAGTCCTCTCTCTTTTCTTCCCTGTCCACTAATTCACCTTCTCAGAACAAATCCTGAATGATATGCGCTGGAATGTGCTCATATCCATTTTTATATAAGGACACTAGATCTCAAAGATTATAAGTAACTTGTCCAAGGTTATAGAAATAGCAAGTGGCAGAAGGAAGCAATATTTGATCTTGGTCTGTCTACCTCGAAAATACATGGTCAGATTAATCTGTCTTCAGAAATACAATGGGGTGATCACACATGTGGAATATTAATTGACTGATGAGTGTCACATTCAAAACAAGCAAGGTAATTAATCTAATTCAGCACTAGTGATTAGGTCTCATTAATACTGTATTTAGTAAGTGAGCATTTAATTTCTTTTAAGAGACATAGATAAATTGGAGGAATTTTTAGAAGACCAACCAACCAGAGAGGGATTTAGGAAGAGAAAATGTTAATGAAATAATGCAGGCAATGAAGTATACGGCAAAGAAGAGGAGTTGTAGTTAGAGCATAAGGGATTCAGCAATATGCACAGAAGTGGGCAGAGAAAGACATAAAAGCCCAGGGCATTAACAACAATTTTTAAGACGAGCAAGTTCCTTGCACATCCTCTGACATTCTAGAAAACTGTAAAAGGTGCATACAGTTCCTAAAGTACCAGTTAAATGCTTAAGTATCTCAAATTATTTCAAATAAGTGAAACTTCCCAAGCCAAAGGCCTGGCCCCCACCACTTACTCCCATATTTCATCTGTTCTAAGATGTCCTTTTTTTCCCCACTTTTTTTTACGTAACAAATTAGGATGCGTTTAAGTCTCGTTTTTTTTTTCTTAGCAGTATATAGTGGTGGATATAATAATCAATGGTATTTTATCATTTGTAAAATATAGTAACTATGCGATCTTGGGCAAATTTATCAATTTCTCTGTGCCTTCATTTCCTCGTCTCTAAAGTGGGATAATAATACCTCTTGTATAGGCTGTCATGAGGAGTAAATGAGCAAACTAAACGATGTGTTTAGAGCAGAGTGACAGTTATCTGTAGACACAAGAATGCTGCATTACACACCACACCAAAACTTGTGGCTTAGAACTATAACCGTTTATTGTTTCAGCTTGGTGGTTCTGCTGAAATGAGCTGGGCTTCACGGGGCTTACTCGTGCATCTGTGGCCAGCTGGGGTCCAGCTAGGAAGCTCTGCTAGTCATGGTGGGGCTCTCTCCCATGTCTGGAGCTGTGACTAGAAAAAGCCTTTGCTTCATGCGTTCTTTGATCTCTGGCAGGCTACCTTGGGCTTACTTTCAGGGTGGTGGCAGAGTTCCAAGTGCAAGCATGGAGGCCCAGGCTCAGAGCTGGCACGCCATTATGCCCATGGCATCCTGTGGACAAAAGCATGCCACAAGGCCAGCCCAGATTCAAAAGGTGGGGAGATAGACTCCATCTCATAATTTGAGAAGCTGAAAAGAGCCTGGGTATTAAGTTGGGGGCTGGATAATTAGGATAATTACAACATTTTGTTGGATAATTACAGAAACATTGGTTTTAAAAGTAATGTACTGCAAATGCTGCTTGGCACACAGTGTGTGCTCAAGAAGTCTTAACTATCATCGCCATCATCATTATTAATAAAGTCCCTCAGGAATTATAAATTGATTCCAGCTGGTTTAGTGCAAGTTGGTTAAAGGAAGGTTAATAAGTTGGCTGTGGGTATGAGGTGTGTTGGGTACAGCCAAGGTATCTGATGTGCGCATCAAAGGCTCAGAAGCAGAGTCTTCGAATATAAAAGTTAAAAAAGCTGAGAGTCCAGCTACTCTCAGTCCTTTACCTTATTGGGACGAAAAATGAGTTCAAGGGAGGTGAAATGGCCTCTTCAAATTTACATAGCAGAAGTACCTGAATGCCCAATTTCCATGCCAATACTCTTTCTACCATAAAACGCTGCTTCTCTTCCAAGTATGACTGAGGGGAAAAAAAGATCCTATTTCCTTTTAAGTCCGCAGCAAAATAAAACCTCAAATGAATGCAACACGTAATAAAATAAGCCCTTAAATAAACGATCATAAATACATGTTTATTCATGGTGCCACTTTAAATATAAGCTTTTAGTTTGTTGGAACTTACGAGTCCTTTTTAATGATGTCCAAATATTGTATAATATCAAAATAATTTTTAATTTTAATGAAAGTCATCTATTTCCAATTTTATATATGCATAGAATAAATAGATTCTTTGTTAGGCTTCGATAAGAATGGGCAGCACATAAAATTCATATGTACTTTTTAAGAAGCAGACAAGGATAAATTTCTGTTGGTTTAGAGTTAGAATAAAAACAAACCACTTAGTTTTAAATAGTAAACTGGATTTACTATTTCAAAGAACAAAGTCTGTAAATAGACTTAGTAGAATAATTGAGCATCAAAGACACTGAAAATATTTTTTATTTACAAATAAATTGGTCTGAAATTCACAAATTGAAGGTAGCATTGAAATGCCCAGCAAAATGCGTTTATTGTTTTGTCTACTAGTAAGAACTACACACACTGCATAAGATCTAATCCTTGGAATTAATTATATATATGTGTGTATATATATAATATATACATAGTACTTACATTTGTATGATTGTGTATGTGCTATTTGCTCCCATATACTCAAGGGTACGTTTATTAGAGTGCAATGGAGAGAACACCAGGTTTGAAATCAGAAGAACTGGGTGTGAATTTGTCGGTTATACAGCCCTGGGTAGTCTTATAACTTACTTGCATAGAGGAATGTTATATTTTAAATGTTTGTAGAAGAAGCTGTGTAGATAAAAGACAAAAAAAGTTCCTTGTATTTCCACAAAATATTTACCTGCCTTAATTCTTAAAATTATGATAAAATCTACTATCATAACCTTTTTAAGTATACTGTTTAACAACGTGTTTAAACACACTCACTGTTGTGCTACCATCACTACTACTATCCACCCACAGAACTCCTCTTATCTATCTTGCAACACGGAGCCTCGATAGCCCTTAAACACTAAATAACTCTCTATTCTCTATCCATTAAACATTAAATAACCCCTCATTTCCTGCTACCCCTAACCCTGGTAACCACCATTCTACTCTCCTATCTCTATGAATTTTACTACTCTAGACCTCTAGACGCCTCATATAACTGATTCATAGAGTATTTGTCCTTTTGTGACTGGCTAATTTCACTTAACGTAATGTTCTCAAGGTTCATCTATGCTGTAGAATGTGTCAGAATTTTCTTCCTTTTTCAGGTGGAATCATATTCTATTGTATGTGAGTTGTATATTGATACTGTATATAGATATATGTTGTATATGGATGCATTGCATATGGATATACGATGGAATATGTGTATGCATGCAATGGAATATGATTCCACCTGAAAAAGAAACGATATTTCTGAGAAAGAAATGAATATTTTGCTTATCCATTCATCCACTGGTAGACATTTGGGTTGCTTCTTTTTTTTTTTGGCTATCATGAACAATACTATTACAAACATGGATGTGCTCCACAAAATATTTTGATTTTTGACATACTAAAAATATACAAGTTGACATCAGGGTTAGTCAATGGTATGGTTTGAATGTTTATGATCCCTTGAAATTTGTATGTTGAAATCCTAACATCTAAGGTAATGACATTAGAAGATAGAAGCTTGGGAGGTGATTAAGTCATGAGGGCAGAACCTTCATAAATAGAATTGGTGCCCTTTTGAAAGAGCCCTGGCCAGGCACGGTGGCTCACACCTGTAATCCCAGCACTTTGGGAGGCCGAAGCAGGTGGATCACAAGGTCAGGAGTTTGAGACCAGTCAGGTCAATGTGGTGAAACCCCGTCTTTACTAAAGAAATACAAAAATTAGCTGGGTATGGTAGTGTGCACCTGTAATCCCAGCTACTCAGGAGGCTGAAGCAGGAGAATTGCTTGAACTTGGAAGGCGTAGGTTGCAGTGAGCCGAGATTGTGCCACTGCACTCCAGCCCAGATGACAGAGCAAGACTCTGCCTCAAAAAAAAAAAAAAAAAAAAAAGAAAAGCCCCCAGGGGAGCTCATTCCCCTGTTCTACCTTGTGAGGACACAGCTCAACAGCACTATATATTAATCAGAAGTCAGGCCCTCATCAGATACAAGCACTTTGATCTTGGACTTCCCAGCCTCCAGAGCTGTGAGAAATAAATTTCTGTTGACTCAGTTTATGTTACTTTGTTATAGCAGCCAGATGGACTATTCATTGCAACAAAATTTCCAATTCATTTTGGTGGATCTGGAGAGGCTTAAACAGCTCTTGAATTAAACCCTTTCCACTGTGGAGGGCATAATTGTTTATAGACCATAAAGCTAGGTATAAAAATACTTATTATTTTTTTTACTTTTATTTCAAGTTCTGGGTACAAGTGCAGGTTTGTTACTTACGCAAACTTGTGTCATTGGGGGTTGTTGTACAGATTATTTCATCAGCCAGGTAATAAGCCTAGTACCCGTTAGTTATTTTTCCTGATCCTCTCCCTTTTCTCACCCCTAACCCTCTGAAAGGCCCCAATATGTTTTGTTCCCCTCTACGTGTCCATGTGTTCTCATCATTTAGCTCCCACTTAAAAGTGAGAAACTAAATGCAGTATTTAGTTTTCTGTTCCTGTGTTAGTTTTCTATGGATAATGGCCTCCAGCTCTATCCATGTCCCTGCAAAGGACATGATCTCATTCTTTTTTATGGCTACATAGTATTCTATGGTGTGTATATACCACATTTTATTTATCCATTCTATCACTGATGGGCATTTGGGTTGATTTCATGTCTTTGCTGTCACAAGTAGCACTGGAATGAACAGATGCATGCAAGTGTCTTTATAACAATGATTTATATTCCTTTGGGCCTATGCTCAATAATGAGATTGCTGGGTTGAATGGTATTTCTGTCTTGAGGAATCACCACACTGTCTTCTACAATGGTTGAACTAATTTACATGCCCACTAACATGTTCCTTATTTCTTCACAACCTCAACAGTATCTGTTATTTTTAAACTTTTTAATAGCCATTCTGACTGGTGTTAGATGGTATCTCATTGTGGTTTTGATTTGCGTTTCTCTAGTGATCAGTGATGTTGAGCTTTTTTTCAATATGATTGTTGGCAATGTAAAATTTTTAAAGGAAAAAAATGACATGTGTGAACACTGTCCTGAACTGCCATTCTATATGAAGAAAAATCTATGGAGTTCTCCATCATTGCTAGTAACAGATTAATGCACTTACCGAAGATCTGCTTTATCCAACGAAAGGTCTTTTCTGGTTTGGTGTCTCTTCTCATATACTTCCCTGATCCTCTCAGGATCATGATACACTTCTGGATGGTTTTTTTTTTCATGCTCCTTGGAGCTGACAAAAGCCTCCTTGTAGGCTCAGGTTCTCTCTGCCTGCATACATCATGCCATTGTTCCTGATGCTGCTTCAGGGTATTGGTGCTGCCACTGGTTGTCTTCTTAAGACTCTCTACCAACTGGGTTTTATTGGCTGAAGCTCCTCTGCTCTTGGATTTCTCCAAACTCAGCATACTTCCTATCTACCTTCCCTTCATTGCTTGCACACCTCCTTAGAAATGCATACTTTTCACAAGAAAACCATCAGTAATCCAGATTACATTTTGGTTCCTCAACTGTTTAGTCCCTGGTCTTTTGTTTGCAGACACACTTTGTGACCCAATTCCTTTGAAGCTTGGCTTTGCATACATAAAATCCAACTTTTTTTTTTAATATAAAGAGAGAGAAAAGGGAAACTAAAAAAAAACCTAGGTGCCTATAAGTTAACTGCTAAAACAGTTTTGGTACTCCAAAACCAGTTAACTCATTGTTCTATTTGATATAATCCCTTCTCTCAAACAACACATACAGCTAATTGCACTGGGGCAGAGTTAAAGGGAAAAAGGATAATGAACTCCAGGTTTTTACTCAGGCCTGGGTAACCCAAAGATAACTATAGATGGGGAGGAGAAGAGAAGTTGAGAAAAAGTATAGCTTGGAGGATTTGATTCGTGTGACTCCAACTTGAGCATGGAGAGGGATGGACTGGCTTTCAACAGTTGGGTACCACGATTTTCTCTTCCATGCAATGAGGACGTTAAGTGGGAAGGAGAGCTGATGGTGCTATGGGGGATCGGCAGGAAGGAAGGAGGTTCAACATGCACTGACACCTGCCAGGTCTATGCACATTGGTTACATTATCTTATTGATCCGCACATTGACAGAAGGCAGGAAGAATGTTGATTTCCAATTTTATAATAAGAAAAAAATAGGACCTGGGGTTAGAATCTTAAAACCTTAAACATCATATCTTTTATTAATATCATACAATTTCAACTCAAGATTATTTAGGAATAAACCAAGAAGAAAGGTGGTGCTCCTGATTCTTCAAACTCGGTTGATTCCTTCACTCTGTCTGCATCTCTGTTTACCCAAGGGATAAACAAAAAGATAGGAAAGGGGAGAAGAAAAGGCTTGCAACGTTTTTGTAGGGCCTTGGATCATTTGGTGTTGACTGGAGAAACTGCTGCCCACTGAGGGTGACTATGGAATTAGAGACCAAAGCCTGAGCTCTTCTACTAATGCAAATATCTTCCTACTTAGTAATTTTTATGTTCGATTTGTGCTTATTAAAAATCTTTTTATAGCACCCCTGAAAAATAAGTGAAGTCATGTGGCTATGTTAATACTGGGGGAGAAAGGAGGGGGGGGAAGTGAAGTAGTGAGGATCAATTAAAAATCAAAGGTCACCAGATACTTAGTAGGAAGACCTCAACCTGTCTGTTCATACCTGTGCCCAAAGACTGTATTCTGATATCAGTCCTGTAAATTTCTAAGTGACTGTATACTGGTCCAGTCACCCTTGAGCAAATTATTCAATTAGAATTTTTTGTCAGTATGTAGTATCTAATACAGAGTATCTAACAATAGGATTGTGGTGAGATTAAGTAAGAAAGCTTATATAAAGTGCTAAAACAGGGCATGGTTTGATAAAGGATAATAAGGAAGTTAGGAACATGGATCCTGCAACCAGATTTTCTGGATTCAAATACTAGACATACTGATTACCAGCTGGAAAGACATTTCACTTCCCATAGAAATTTCTGAGGATTAAATAAGTTAATCTATGTAAAATGCTTAGCGAAGTGGCTAATAGAAAGTGTCCAATAAATGTTAGCTACTAGTATACTGTGAGCATTGTAATCTACTCTCAAGATACTTTCAGATTTTTTTTAGCATCTATAATTTATTGTAGTCTGTTCTTGCATTGCTATAAAGAAATTACGTGAGACTGGGTAATTTGTAAGAGAAAAGGTTTAATTGGCTCACCATTCTGCATGCTTTTCAGGAAGCATGGCTCCCTCATCTGCTTGGTTTCAGGAGAGGCCTCAGGAAACTTGTAATCATGGTGGGAGATGAAGGGGGAGCAGGCACATCACATGGTGAAAGCAGGATCAAGAGAGAGGGAGGAGGTGCCACACACTTTTATTAAACAACCAGATCTCAGGAGAACTCACTCACTATCCCGAGGACAGTACCAAAAAGATGGGACTAAACCATTCATGAGAAATCTGCCCCCATGACCCAATCATCTCCCATCAGGCCCCACCTCCAACACTGTGGGGATTACATTTCACCGTGAGATTTGGGTGGGGCAGTATCCCAACTACATCATCTCTATTATATCATCTGCATTACATTCATCAGGTTCATTACCAAAGGTCATGTAACCTACCCTGTACAGTGTGTTAAAGGAAAATCCTTGGCGAAATTAAATTTAACAGAGTTTAACTGAGCAAAGAACAATTTGCTAATTCGGCAGCCTCCTTAACCAGAGTAGGCTCAGAGAGACTCCAGTACAGCCATATGGTGGAAGGAGATTCAGGGACAGGAAAAAGAAAGTGAGATAGAGAAAATGGAAGTGAGGTACAGAAACAGCTGGGTTGGTTACAGCTCAGCCGTTGCCATATTTGAATGCAGTTGGAACAGTTGGCCCCCTTTGCCCAAACTCGGTGATTGGTGCAAGTGTGGGCTATAGTAGGCTTATACCTTTATTTAGGTTATAGTTTACTATGTACAGAGAAATTTTTAGGCTGAACTTAAAATATTGTAAGGAGACAGCTTTAGGCTAAACTTGATTTAACAAGTGAAAATACAGAATTAGGAAATAACAATGTAATTAGAAGAATTCTTAGCATCTTCGTATGTTCAGTTCTCTTTATTTAGTTCATTACCTGCAATTAAAAACATTTTAATCACAAGTCTCTCAGTCTCAAACCTGTTGTTTTGCATTTGGTAAATGTCTGTTATTTCTAATAGATACTTGCATCATTTTATCATTTTTCGTATCTAATTTACTAATATTCTTCATGAAATTAGTTGGTTTCTTGAAGTGCTCCCCAGAGTTTTATTAGTTGACAGTTTCTTTGTTGATGATAGTAGCTTTGTTATCCTTGGAGAAAGTTTTCTACAATATTAATGGGAGTCTGAACTGATCTTCTAACCTTCCTAGATGCCTAGAAACAAGCTTTTTGTAGAAGGATAGCGATTATAGAACCTTTCTCAATTTTGCCAGTCAGACACCTTGAAGAAATCAATTAGTAGGCAAATTATTAACTAATTGAGCATTTAGAGTGTTCTTACTTTTGAAAAATCAATTAGGCCTTTGCCCTTAGTTTTGAAGCATTATTTCATTATTAATTGTTTTAAACAGCGGTTCATCTGCAGTGGATCCAGATCAGCTGACAGTTGTTTTTTGTTTATATTCTGTTCTTAATTGATTAATACAATGAGCTGAAAACCTTTAACATCATTGATCATGTCATGGAATGCTGAGTAATTGGCTGGCAAATGTGATTTTTAAAAATTAATGATTCAATGGTTCAAAGGAATTCAGTAGCAGATTGCAGTCAGCAAAAAAAGAGGATTTTCGGTATTTCTTCAACATGTATGATCTGAATGATAGTTCCACCTCATTCTTGGAGCCAATATTTTTTTTATCTTCATTAGTGATAATTTCTTGTACTATATTAAGCACAGTAGGTCACATTTATTTTAATGACACTTTTATTTCCACTGTGTAAACACGGCTTTTAAAGAAAATTTGAAAAGATTGCCGTTTGTTGTCAAACTGTTATCAGAACTACAAAAAGAAGATTAAATTTGTAGGATACAGTTTCATACTTTATAAGGTCTTCAAATGGAAGCAATGGTGGGAACTGGGTGGAACCAGGAGTTAGAGGTCTTAGCTCAGGAGTTTGCTCTTCTAAGAAACTTTTCCTGAACCTTGTCTCTGTAAGCTCTGAGTCCCTTTCTAGGCTCCCATGGCTCTTTAGATGTAGCTCTGTCCCTACAGTTGTCATAGTATTATTGGGTTTATTTGCATGGCTTCCTTGTTAGTGAGACTAAACTTTCAGAGGTCATGGACTTACTTACCTAAGCACTTTTATATGTTTAGTATGGCACCTTTTTTTGGAACAGAGTTGATGCTGAATAAATATTGGTTGACCAAATGCAAGGAAGTGTGTACACACACACACACAGGACATTTCATTTAGTCAGGAAAACATATTTTGGTTATACATATGAAAAATCCACTATTATTATGATTATGTATGTATGTATCTATCTATCTATCTAATTTACCTATCTTTCCTTAACATTTAAAATCAAAGTCCCTGAGTTTCCAAGATATATCTCACAAACATGTAAAATTTTTTCCTTTGGCAAAACCTCAGAGTTCAGCCAAGGTCTTAGGTCAACTGCTGAAAAGCATTTTAATCCGTGTTATCCCTGTGTCTTCAAACACTTCTTGAGCTAGAATTTTAAATCAGTGTTCTCCAAAATACATTTGATAGAAAAAAGTAACTCAAGGTATTACTAACAAAAGGATCAAATAAATTTGCAAAAACATGTTACATTTATCCCTTTGGAAAATGCACAATGTGCATTACAATATTACAGTTTCTCGGAAGTCCAGTCACAACTTTGCACATCCCAAATTTTTTTTACACTGAAATTCTTTTTTGTGAATCATTCACTAATATCTCTGGGAACTAATGGTCTATAGAATCTATTTTGAAAAATGCTGCTCTAACAACAAATAGGTCAGAGATTGTGATTTTTGTTGTGCTTCAGGTATGGAAAAAATGTGATGAGGAAAATCAAGGTCTTACAGACTGCTCACAGGCGTTCTAGCCTATTAGTATGGCAATTTTAACTGTTTCATTTTCCATGTATTTGTTGCTTTCTTTTTTAGTAATAGTTGTTTATTGCAGAAAACTTGAAAAACAGATAAAAAGAAAAAGGAAAAAGTCTTTCTGGCTGTTTTCTTTAAAAGGCTGCATCCTCAAATAGATTTGGGAAGTGTGGGGTTAAACAAAGTTAGACTTTTATGCCTTTTCAGGACTTTAATATGATTACTAATGGACAACTTGTTTCTCCACTGGGGCTATGGTATATGGTTTTTCCCAATTTTGTGAACACAGGCTGCTCTTATTTCTAAGCATTTTGGGGAACAAGGCTTGTGGGAACTCTCTGTGTATAATGAAGAGACATTTGGAAGACCTCCATTGATTGCTACCCAGTATTACTCACTGGGAGATCAAGGTCTCCCAAGGTTACACAGTCTGAGACACTGGAAACCCATTTCAAGACCCGACAACTTGTCACATTTATTTTTACCCAAGGACTGAGCTGTGGCTCAGGACGCAAGGACCCAGATGGAGAGAGCTAAAAATAATAAAATTAAAATTAATATGCATTTGGGAAACAATTGCTCAGGCAAACCAACATGCGCAGATAATGGATTCTGTCCGAAGCTTCATTTTCCAAACTGAAGAACAATAATATGCGTATTAACCCAGGTGAATGTCTAAACAGATTCTTGGCAGCCTATGATTAGATAAAGGAGCTCATGCATCCTGAATGCAATTTACGTAGTTAAAATTAAGCACCATCACGAAGGGACAAAGATGAGATGCAGTAAAGTTCAACCGATTGTTACTTTCAAATTTTCTTTCTCACGTTCTTAATTCCCAGTAACTTTGTAATTTAAACATAATTTTATTTTCTTTCCAAAATGGTTGTCTGAGTTTTACCTTAATCGTTGGGTGTTCGGGAGGCTGTGGTGCAAGATGTTTATTTCTTAGAAAAAAAATTATTAAGAATCTATAAAGAAACTTAAATTATGTAACCTTTTTATGTTGTCAGTAATTCATGGTTAAGGAAAAATCGTGGTTTAATACTTCTGTCGTTTGTAGATGTAGCAGCTGCTGATAAAATAAAATAGGAGGAGATTCCTTAAAAACAATTTGCAAATGATAAAGATTTCATATTTAGAGGAGCTTGATTTCAAAGCACATTTAGTGTATAAAAGTCTGTTTCATCATGGGAAGAAAAGGGTACTTTTTATAAGTACAAATTTAAAAGCAAGTGAATAGTAAAATTTAAAGGAATCATGGAAAAATACTTATAAATATTTTATTTAGAACACTGTTGTGTATTATAAGCTTGGAAGTAAGTTATGTTTTATAAAATTAATATTTTTAATTGACAGATCATAAAGGTATACGTTATAGAGTAAAATGTGGTGTTCTGGTATACATATATGGTGTGGAATAATTAAATCAAGCTAATTAAAATATCCATCATCTTACTTGCTTATTTTATTTTATTTTATTTTATTTTTGAGACGGAGTTTTGTTCCTGTTGCCCAGGCTGGAGTGCAGTGGGGTGATCTCGGCTCACTGCAACTTCTGCCTCCTGGATTCAAGTGTGACTTTTCTGCCTCAGCCTGCAGAGTAGCTGGAATTACAGGTGCCCGCCACCATGCTGGGCTAATTTTTTGTATTTTTAGTAGAGATGGGGTGTCACCATGTTGGCCAGGCTGGTCTAGAACTCCTGACCTCAGGTGATCCACCCGCCTGTGCCTCCCAAAGTGTTGGGATTACAGGCATGAGCCACCGTGCCCAGCCCTTACTTGCTTATTTTTTTGTAGTGAGACATTTGAAATTTACTTTCCTAATTATTTCAAAATATGCAAAATATTATTATTGACTATAGTCACCCTGCATGCAATAGATCTCAAAACATTCCTGCTATCTGAAACTTTGTACCCTTTGACAAATAACTTCCCATTTCCTTGCTCCTCACTGCCCCTCCCCAGACCCTGGTAACCATCCTTCTACTCTGTGCTTCTATGAGATCAGCATTTTTAGATTCCACATATGAGTGAAGTCATGTGGTATTTGTCTTTCTGTGTCTGTCTTATTTCACTTAGAATAATGTCTTTCAGGCTTAACTACATTGTTTCAAATAACAGAATTTTCTTCTTGTTAAAGGCTCGATTGTATTCCATCATGTATGTATACCACATTTTCTCTAAACATTCATCCATTGATGGACGCTTACGTTGATTCTATAGTTTGTCTATTGTGAATAATGCTTCAGTGAACATGGAAATACAGATATCTCTTTAACATACTGATTTCAGTTCCTTTGGCTATATACCCAGAAGTGGTAATGTTAGATCATATGGTAGTTCTGTTTTTATTTATTTGAAGAACCTCCATGCCATTTTCCGTAACGGCTGTACTAATTTACATTTCCATCAACAATGCACAAATTCTCCTTTCTCTGCATCTTTGCTAACACTTCTTATCTGGTATCTTTTTGATAAAAGCTGTTCTAACAGGCATGAGGTGATATCTCACTGTATTTTTGATGTGCATTTCCCTAATGACCAGTGATACTGTTGATCATTTGTATGTCTTCCTTTGCGAAATGTTTGCGTAGGTGTTTTTTTTAAATTTTTAAATCTTTACATTTTAATTTTTTTTTTTTTTTTAAGAGAGAGAGAGAGAGTCTTGTTCTGTTTTACCCAGGCTGTAGTCCTGGAGTGCAGTGGCTTAAACTCAGCTCACTGCAGCCTTGAGCTCCCAGGCTCAAGCGATTCTCCCGTCTCAGCTTTCTGAGTAGCTGGGACCACAGCCATCAGCCACTACACTTGGCTAATTTTGTTTTTTTATTTTTTTATAGAGACGAGGCCTCACCATGTTTCCCAGGCTGGTCTGGAACTCCTGGGCTCAAGCAATTCGCCCACCTCAGCCTCCCAAAGTACTGGGATTACAAGCGTGAGCCATTGCGCCTGACTTCTTGCCCATTTTTGAATTTTTTTTTTAAATTTTCTTGCTATTTAGTTGTTTGAGTTTCTTATATATTTTGGATATTAACCCCTTATCAGATGTATGGTTTGCAAATATTTTCTCCCATTCTGTGGGTTATCTCTTCTCTATGTTAATTGTTAAAGTAAAAATTTGAAAGAGAAAAGATATCAATAGATAGAAATGGTTAAAAATAATTTTTAAAAATCTGGTTTTGAAATAGATATAACCATTTGCTGAGCACACGCTGTATATAGGCATTAACTGAATATTTTATGTGAATTATTTCATTGAGGCCTGTCATCTACCCAGAAAAAAGTATACTTTGTTCATTTCATTTTAAACCTGAAACAAAGTAAAGAATGCCTAGCACAGTAAAGAGAATTAGTATAGAACACAGCTAGCTACTGGTTCTCATCAATTTTGCGATAAAATGATCATAGTATCACCAAATCACGTTGTTTTTTTCTTTTTGTCATCAAAGAATGAATCAGAATGCCACATTTGATTCTCTTCATAGGTGGATTTTTCTTCATTTAAGAGCATTAATTTTTGATTTCTTATAAAAGATATATTTCATCACATAATTCTTTACATCATCAATAAAAATCTGGATAAAATAAGCCTTTTTATTATGTAGAATTATAATAATTATTATCATAATAATTCTTCCCATCTTTTACTTAATGTAGCCTAGGTAAATGACAGTGAAAAAGCATTTTGTGTATAAAAGCGCTATCAAGAACGCTACCTTCCAGGAACGTAAATTGATACATGGAAGAAGAAAGGAGCCAGGTGTGATAGCTTCCAGCTGCGATGGTAGTGGGTATAGAAAGAAGAGTATGTGCATATTTTTTTGTCTTTAAAAATTTTAAATAAGGAAATGAGAGAGAAACTAACCCAAGGATAAAAAGCAGAAACTCTTTATGGAATTGTGTTTAATATATTGTTTTAATGTTATTGTAACTTTTTAGGGATTTTTTTAATAGAAGAGAAAAAAACTTGTGTTTATATGTGTGTGCATATATATATATACACAAATAAGCATGAAACTAACTGCATTAAAAGAACTACAGATACCCTTCTTTTTAAAACTCATATTTTCTTTTCATGTTTATGAAGGTGAGGTTTAAAAACACAAAAGGCATTCAATTCAGAATTATAGTTTTTACAGAAATTGCAGCATAATTCTATTTCACACTTATTCATATTTTATAAAGCATAACGACCATTTCCAAAACCTCTGGGTATAATAACATATTTTAAAATACCAACACAATTACCAGGCTGAAAAAGAGCACTAACTAGGTATCTTCTCAAAGAAAACCATTTCACACCTACTCAGACTTACATATTAAGCCAGAAATTTAATATTTCAAATCTATAAAAGAACAAGTGATCATTTCTTTGGGATTTGTAGCTTTGGATTTTAGATTTCTGTCTATTTAGTATTTCAAATGGGGCACTGCATTTATGTAATTTCTGGGTGGGTATTGAATATATGAGCTTTGATGATAAACTGGCTCTCCTTCATTTCCTTGAAATCAACACAGAATTGAATACCTATTTTAATATGTGTTGGACTTTCTGCATACAAATGAAGCATTACTAAACAATTCCAACTGTGTGTTTTAAGAAATCAGCACAGTTCAATGTTTTCCTAATGCTCTGAGTCTGGGGAACATAAATAATCATTTTAATTCTCTGGTAGACACTGAATTACATAGTAAATTATCTCAAGCTTGGGAAAGCTCTATTTTTTAAAACTCACATATTCCTTCTATATGAAGAATCTGAGATATGAATTAAATGGTATTCAAAATTTTGACTAAAATTAACTGTAGCACTTAAAATCTTACTATTTTAAGGAAGAAGCTTTGGAGACCATTTAAAAAAATGATTTTATTGAAGAAGAAAAAGGCAGAGAGAAAGAAAGATAATTAATAGGGTATACTGGAGATGAATAATGAAATGAAAATATACAGATTTGCCAGAGCCCCAAGCACTCAGTATAATATTAATCAAATCTTGCCAACTATTAATTGAAATAATTAGAAAACATTTTTAGCCTGCTTGATCATGTTGGCATTTTAATTAAACCCTCTTGGATTCCAGATAAAACAATATATATATATATATTTTTGGAACTCTCTTTGTTCAACTATTACCAAAAATACTTTTGAAGGTAGTAACCAAGTAGTATAATTGGAGTCTGGATGTATAGGAACAAGACAGAACATGCTACCATAGATTCAAAATGTTGGCTTTTCAAGAAGTTGTCTATAAATCTGCAGCTACAAGAAACCCAAACAATGAAATGTGGATTTAATTAGAAGAAACTTTCCACATTTTTGGGGATAATGCTATGGTTATTCTTTTATAGTATGTACCTAATAGAACAGTTCTGGTCTAGTGAAATAAAGATTTTCAATAAATAAATATCTCACAATTTAATATATACTTATATAGTGTCCTAGATGCCAAAGACAAGTTCTTGGTGCTACAGAAATATTAACTCATTTAATCTTCATAACCACCTTCTAATATTGATATCACTTTTATGCCCATTTTAATGATGAGGACAGGGAGGCACAGGGAGGTTAAACAATTTGTCCCAGATTGTATAGCTAACTAGCTGCAGAGTGAGGATTTCAACTAGGTAATTGATTTCAGAGTCTGTGTGTTCAACCTCCACACTATGCCTCCTAATGCTCCTCAGATGCCTTTTGCATATTCAGCAGGCTGATTTGCTGGTACATGTATATCATCACATTTAATCCCCAGCATGGTACTGCAAAGGAAGTGTATCATCATCATTTTACAGATGGGGAAAAAGAGGCTCAAGGAAATTGAGCACTTGATCAGGTTTAGACTACCAGCAGAAAGGATGTAAGTCCATTTCTATCTGACTCTAAAGTGCATGCTTTTACTGACCTCTTTCCAATATATTATTGTTTTTTAAAGATTCAGGCATTTCATTTAGCTACCTTACATTGTAAATAAAATTAAGATATTATTTCAGGCAAATTGAACTTTAAGATATTATGTCAGATAAATTGAAATTTTATTGAAATTTAATTGAAATGTATCTGATTGTGGAAGGTTATTCATTCTTGCACCCGACATTTACTAAACATCCATTAAGAATGGATTTAAAATTTGCCCCCATCTTCTGGGGACAAAATTACCCTAATTTTGATGTCACTTGCAATAAAGCTTTCTTCCTTGGTAATACTTGTGTATTAGTCTGTTCTCACACTGCTGATAAAGACATACCCAAGACTGAGCAATTTACAAAAGAAAGAGGTTTAATGGACTTACAGTTCCACATGGCTAGGAGGCCTCACAATCATGGAGGAAAGTGAAGAGGAGCAAGTCACGTCTTACATGGATGGCAGCAGGCAAAGAGAAAACTTGTGCAGGGGAACTCCTCTTTATAAAACCATCAGATCTCATGAGACTTATTCACTATCATGAGAACAGCACAGGAAAGACTTGTCCCCATGATTCAACTACTTCCCATCACGTCCCTCCCACAACACGTGGGAATTCAAGATGAGATTTGGGTGGGGACACAGCCAAACCATATCAACTTGTTATCTCAGTGATTGGTTTTCTGTGCAGTGAGCAACAAGGCCTAGGCCAAACCTCTAGCATTTGGCAACAAAATTCTGGGAGGAATCTGGGTTTTATGGGGCCAGAACCGTATATATTATGGGAGTCATTCTTTAAGATAAAGAATACAAATTATGCATGTAAAATTAGATATGTAAGCATTTAATAACTACTCACTATGAATGACCAAAAATACAAATTATGAAACCATTATACCATGATGCAGTCTATTGCCCATGACCTTATCATGCTGGGTGGGTTTGCACAGTAGGCAAGAGTTCTTTCAGTGGGAAATTAGCAACAGCTTAATTACATTAATAGATGGCCAGAGCCTTCCCAGGCTTTTGAAATAGACATGGGTGTAAGCTTCATCAGCTCCCAGTAAATCCAGATTTGCAGTAGGTCTTCTGGCATGCACCCTTTCTGTTCAAGGCAACATTTTGCCCTACAAGAAATGGTGAATTTGCCAGCCTCAAACAGTATTAGGCCAGTAGCAGGATTATGTGGATCTAGAGGGCTAGAAATGTAAGCAGCAAGAGAAAAACAAACAAATGAAAACAACTGTGTTCTTTATTTTTGGTTGGATTATACTAATCTGGAAAAATTGAACAAAATCCATAATGATTTATAAAAAGTGAGAAAATAAATCTTTGTACTGTCTCCCTACCCCCAAAGTTACAAGGAACATTGGTAGGTAGAAACCTTGCCTTAAAATTTGATGCAGACTGAGATAGAAGAAAAAACAAATTTCTAAGCTTCTCTTGAGGCTTTCTAGAATTAAGAATGATGAGCAAATGTAGAGGGAAAGTCATTGTAACGGTCCCAGTTTCTTTTTCATTTTTAAGTTGACTAATAATAATTGTACATACTCATTGGGTACGTAGTAATGTTTTGATACATATAATATATAGTGATAGATCAGGGTAATTAGCACTTTCATCATCTCAAACCGTGACCATTTCTTTGTATTGGGAACAGTAATATCCTCCTCTTAGCTCTGAACCCTTCATTTGGGGTGGAGAAGGAAGAGGAAAAAATGAGAAGTTTATCTCCATTATGGGCTGGGAAACCTTTGGAGATTCACTTACTCATAAGTAATTATTGCCCTTATTATGCAATGATTCATTTGATTACTTGAGTAACAAAAGGCATGAAGTGAATTAAAAAAATAAAAGTACTCCTCAGCTCCATTTCCATCTCCTCTAAGCAAGTATTTGCATTGGTCATGGGAGACCAGAAGCCTATAGGAATAATGAAGGGTTATCATTTCACCTTACACTAGTCTAGGGACAAGAAAGAGATCAAGGCCTCTCCTGTCAAAGCAAACACTAGATTGTTTCACAGATTCTCTACCAAGGGATATTTGCAGTAGAGAGGCTGATCTCTGGGTTATAGGCATATGAGAGTGTTCATCTTTTTTTCCTTTATGAGTGCAGATTCTGGGGCACAAGAACCAACAGAGACCCAAATGCCAATTGTCTAATTGTTTGAAAGTTATAAATCAAATAACAAATCATTAAATAAAACATGTAGTTATTTCCTACCTGGAAAAAATGTGCTTTCATAATGACAAAATGGAAAAATATGTGTAAAGCTGTGAATTTCAGATGACTGAAAGTTGGCTAAATGTATCAAAGATGACTGATTTTATTATTTTGCAAATGGCTAGATGTTCCATTGACAGATCAAAGATTTACAGATAAATATGTACGTAATATATACATTATATATTTAGTTTATAAAATATGTCACCTGCATTTCAGCAGAATCGCTAATTATATTGTCATCAAATTTTTACATAATTTGTGTTTGCTTGGCAGGAATAATGTAAAGTAGGGGATGGCGAACATCTTAAAGAAGCAGTTACTGAATATTTAAGGTTTTTCAAGCTACATTGTTTCTATTACAACAGGTCAATTCTGCCATTATAGCACTAAAGCAGATACAGATAATATGGAAACAAATGGATGTGACTATGTTCCAATAAGACTTTATTTTCACATGCCATAGTTTGTTGACCATAATCTAAAAGATTTAAAAACAAATAAATATTTAATTTTTGTACACAATTAAATATATTCTCATTAAGAACGTAAAGCAAATATTAAAAGAAAGTTTTTCACGTATAGTTATCCTTTAAAATATTTACATAATCTATTAAAATTAAAAGAAAATCAAATGTTTATTAAATTATAATCAATGATATCAAATGTTTAAAACAAATTATTTAAATGAAGCTACACTTTTAATCTTTCAAAGTTTAATTATGCTTTATTAAAAATATTTGTATTAAATATGTATGTTTCTTTTTAATTTTGGCATTCATTATTTTTTCAGTTCTGGCATTTGATATCCATTTAGTTGCAAATGTAATGAATTAGTAATACCCATTATGAATGTTACATCTAGACCTATACCTACACAAATTTAAGTGTATTGTGATTGCTTAGCATTTCAGAATGATCTTTACTCCCCATTTGCAATGGTTGCAAAAACGTAGCTAATTCATAGTTGCTAATTTGCAACTATGAACTGAATCACAAAGACAAACAAGAATATTGATAAATGGTGTAAGCTATACTTATATGCAAGAATCTATTGTATTCATGCTATGGAAGGGAATGCTTTTTCAAGTTAATGAATTCATATGTCCTCCTGCTGAATTTCTTCTCCTGCTCAAATTATCTGCTTACTCTGGATCCCTATCTGTCTCTATCATTGACAGTGGCACAACCCACCAGCCCACAGCATTTGAACATAATTACTTTTTATTTAAGTAAGATAGGTCATGAATGAACATAGGTATTTCTCTGAGGACTGAATGGTGTTAGTCACAAAGGTGATGTTTAGTGATGTACATACTACCTTGCTTGTTCTGAGAACCAGTTATTAAATGACAGACACACTCATTGTTCTAGGAGAGAGCAAATGTTTCTAATGGGACAGATTTGGGTTTGGATACCTTTTTTTGGTAGATAATATTTTTTAATACAAAACTTTTTTAAAAATTGTGACAGAATTTACTACAATAAAGTGTACAGATTTTAGATGTAAAATTAGATGAGTTTTGACAAATGTAAACACCTAATTAACCAACACCAAAATCAAGATATTGAACATTCCATCATTGCAGAATATCTCTCTCTCTCTCTTTTTTTTTTTCCGGACAAGATCTCACTCTGTCACGCATGCTGGAGTGTGCAGTTGTGCAATCACAGCTCACTACAGCCTCTATCTCCTGAACTCAATTGATCCTCCTGCCTTAGCCTCCCAAGAAGCTGGGATTACAGGCTTGCACCACCACACCTGACTAATTTTTCTGTTTTTTTGTAGAGATGAGGTTTCACTGTGCTGCCCAGGCTGGTCTCGGACTCTTGGGCTCAAGTGATCCACCCATCTTGGCCACCCAAACTGCTGGGATTATAGGCGTGAGCCACCATGCCTGGCCTTGTCTGTCTCCTTCTAGTAAATCTCTATAACCAATCAGAGGTAAGCGCTGTTTGAATTTCATTTTGCCTGTTTTAGCACCTCATATAAATGAGATCATATGGTATGTACTATTTTGTGTCTAGCTTCCTTTGATTAATGCAATGTTTTCCAGATTAATCCATTTTTTATTTTGTGTAGTCTGTAGTTTTTATGGCTGAATACATGTAACTTATGTAAATTTATATTTAAAATTCCTAACATAATATATATTTATTATAATATATGTCTATTCATCCTTTCCCTTGTTAATGGACATTTGGTTGTTTCTAGTTTGGGCTATTATGAACAAAAAAGATCCTTACACAATTTTTTGTAGGGAATATGTTTCTTTTTGATAAATACCTAAGAGTAGAATAATTAAGTCATAGGGTAGAAACATGTTTAACTTTATTAAAAAACTTTCAAATAGTTTTCCAAAGTGGTTGTACCATTTTTGTATGAGAGTTCCCATTGCTCCTCATCTTTGCCAGCCCTTGAAATTGCATTAAAAAAAATGTTGGCCGATCTCCTGGGTATAAAGTAGTATTTTATTTTGGTCTTAATGTTCATTTCCATGATGATTACTGACATTGAGCACCTTACAGTATGCTTTTTGGCCATTTGTATATCTTCTTTTGTGAAATATTTGTTCATACCTGTTGCCCATTTAAAAATAATTAGGCTATTTGTCATTTACTATTGATTTGTAGGAATTCTTTATATATTTTGGGCATTATATATATATATATATACACACACACATACACATAGACATATATATTACACATATACATGCATTTATATATACATACACATATGTACATATATAATGCATATTTCCATATATATGTATTCTATATGTGTGCGTGTATATATATGTAATGCATACTTTCTCTTACTCTGACATGCCTTTTCATTTTTTAAATTCTATTTTATGATAAAGATAACTTTAAAATTTTGATGACCCACATGCTCTTTTACGCATTGTTGTAAGGCTGAGTTTATGATATGTAGGTTTCCTGGAAAGTACTGGGTTCAGGTTAGCAATCCCTCTTGCCGAGGTCTAAGCCTATTCTAGCTCCTTTATTTTTTATCTGCTCTCAAGGGAGACTTATAGTGTTGGACATATTCCAAACCCCGTTCTCTCTGATATGTGTTCTTGACATTCATTCTAAAGGGCCATATTACAGTTGAGCCTTGAACACCATGGGTTTGAATTGCACAGTTCCACTTGTACACAGATTTCCTTCTGCCTTGGCCACCCCTGAGACAGCAAGACCAACCCCTCCTTTTCTCCTTCCTTCTCAGCTTTTGCAACATGAAGATGAAGATACAGGACTTTATGACGATACACTTCCGATTAATGAATAGTAAATATATTCTCTCTTCCTTACAATTTTCTTAACATTTTCTTTTCTTTAGCTTACCTTATGAGAATATAGTACATAATATATATGTAACATACAAAATATATGTTAATTGACTGTTTGTTATCAGCATGGCTTCCAGTCAACAGTAGACTATTAGTGGTTAAGTTTTTGGTGAGTCAAAAGTTGTACCCAGATTTTTGACTGCATAGCGGGTGAGGACCCCTAACCCTGGGTTGTTCAAGGGTCAACTATATTTGATTAGCAAGAATGGGAGTGCAGAAGAAGATAGAGTCTTTTTTGCTGTGATGTCTCCTTCAATACATTACGTGTATGGTTGAGACAAGTTACTGCAGGTCTCATACCTGGAGTATTACTTCTTTTTTTTTTTTTGAGATGGAGTCTCGCTCTGTTACCCAGGCTGGAGTGCAATGGCATGATCTTGGCCTCACTGCAACCTCCGCCTCCTGGGTTCAAGTGATTCTCCTGCCTCAACCTCCTAAGTAGCTGTGATTACAGGCAACCGCCACAATGCCCAGCTAATTTTTGTATTTTCAGTAGAGACGGGGTTTCACCATGTTGGTCAGGCTGGTCTCAAACTCCTGACCTCGTGATCCACCCGCCTTGGCCTCCCAAAGTGCTGGGATTACAGGCGTGAGCCACCACGCCCGGTGAATATTACTTCTTTAGAAAGAACTTGCAATATGTTTTAGGCCCCAAATCTGAATCCTTTAAATAAATAGTTTATTAGCTTTCTCTGGAGCTGTTCTCTCCAGAAAGCTAGGCATGAGTCTAAGTGATGAGTTAAAGTAATCTGAGGTAGATACTTCAGTCTTTTTCGCCACCTTTATCCCCTAAAATACATGCTAGGGGACTTGACTAATGTGCTCAGGATACACTAGCCACAATTTCTTTGGACAGACCTAGACATAATTAAGACCCAAGACCAGTAAGTATGATTTGAACAAATAAATGGATAAGAATTAAAACAACTAGAATAATAACTCTTTGAACCCTTCTACCACTTGCTTTCACACACTAATCTCATTGGTTTTTCCTTATTTCTAAACATGCCATCATTTCTCCTACCTCAAGATATATGTACTTTTTCTCCTTCTTTTTCTAAAAATATCTCTGTTTTCTCTTTACTTCGCTAGCTAGAACTGTTTCAGAAACTTCAAACAATTGCCCTTGGTTATTATTTTAATTTATGTAAAGTTGACATCAATGCTGCGACACAGTAATATAGTTTGAGGTGTTATTTTATTGGGACTTCATTATACTGCCTCTTTAATTATCTAGCCCCCCTGAAAAATCACTTGAGCCCAGACAGTGTGTTTTGTTTATTAATAAACCCCGGTACCTAGCATCTTGTGCTTGAATAGAGGCCCTGAACTAAGCTTCCGCTTTAACAATGACACCTCTTTATTAGGAAAATACAACTTCACAGTCATTTGACATTCCCCGTTTCATTGCAGTGTTCATGCGTCCACTAAAGTTTATAACCAGGACTAGACTGGGGCTCTAAAAGGGTCCCTCCTTCCATCTCCCAAGATGCCTGAGGGTTTCGGTATCTTTTCCATTCCTTAAAGATTTAGGGCACTGTTATTCTGGGGATGTTGAGCAATTAAATAAGTTGTCTAGGCTAGTTCATATTATAATCTACTGTTGAGAATAGGGAAAGGGGAAGGGACACTGGTATTAATAGAGACCGAGTATTGGCAGACAAAGTCTAGGAGCTTTACATAACCAGCTTCATTTATGATAGCTGATAGGACATTAAGTTTTTTTGAGGAGATAGGGATAGGAAGATTGATAACAAGTAATGATTAAAACTATGAATTCTGGAGTCAAGAGATTGGGGTTCAAACCTTTGCCCCACAACATGTAAGCTCTATTATCGTAGACGATTGGCTCAAAAGCTCTCTAAGCCTCAGTTTTCTCATCTTTAAAATGTGCATAATAATTATATAAGTCTGTTTTGTGACAACAAAAAAAAAACATAGCTTTAGTAGCTTATAAGCAATAGAAATTTATCTCTCATAGTTCTGGAGGCTGGGAAGTCCAAGATCAAAATGCCAGCATATTTAGTGTCTGTGAGAGCTTACTTTCTTATTCATAGATGGCGCCTCTCACAATGTCCTCGCATGGTAGATAAGGGCAAACAAGTTTCCTGGGGCCTCTTGTATAAGGGCACTAATCTCCACCATGAGGGCTCCAGCCTCATGACCTCATCATTCCCCCAAAGTTCCCACCTTTTAACACCATTACCTTGGGGGTGACAATTTCAACATATGAATTTGGGGGGACACAAGCATTAAGACCATGGCAATTATAGTATGTACTTCATGGGATTGTTGGGTGATACGTGATTTAAGAGTAAAGAACCCCAAGTGTAGTGCCTAATGTATAATAAATGTTCAATAAGCATTAGCTATTATTATTATTATTATTATTATTATTATTATTATTATTGATACCAAGGATAAGACCTCTGGGACATGAAAGCTCTCAAATTTAGGTGAGAGAAATTCTGGAAAGTGGGAGAGTTGGCAAGGAAAAGGTCTGTTGAATAATTTTGTATCGCCAAACACTATCAGTATGTGTATGTTTTGAAGGGAGTTGTAAAGGGCAGAAAATAATTAGGATGACTTGAAATTTGGCAAAGGGAAGGGTAGAGTAAGGGTGCCAGAGACTGGTACCAGTCCGTGGCCTGTTAGGAACCCGACTGCACAGCAGAAGGTGAGTGGGGAGCTAGCGAGCAAACTTTCATCTGTATTTACAGCTACTCCCAGTCACTTGCATTACTGCCTTAGCTCTGCTTCCTGTCAGATCAGTGGCAGCATTAGATTCTCATAGGAGCACGAACCCTATTGTGAACTGTGCATGCAAGGGATCTTGGTTGTGTGCTCCTTATGAGAGTCTAATGCCTGATAATCTGTTACTGTCACCCATCACCCCTAGATGAGACTGTCTAGTTCTAGGAAAACAAGCTCAAGATTCCCACTGAGTCCACATTATCGTGGGCTGTATAATTACTTCATGATATATTACAATATAATAATAGAAACAAAGTGCACAATAAATGTAATGCACTGGAATCATCCTGAAACCATCCCTGGTCCATGGAAAACCAGTCTTCCATGAAACCAGTCTCTGGTGCTGAAAAAAATTAGAAAATGCTGGAGTAAAGGAAGTAATTTATATCACTTCTTTTGTGTCTGGTTCTTTGATCCCTAATCCCTTTTTGGGGGGTTTTATTAAGCAGAGTCAGAAATTAATAAGCAACAAGGATTGCTGACATTCCTTTCACTCCACCTTCCTGAGAACTTCCAACAGGCCGCTGTCCTTCCAGTCTGTATCCACCCTACCCCACTCCACTCTTACATGGGTACTATTGTGTGCAGGGTTCAGGTGTGTTAGATTGGGGACAAGTAAACCCAGCTGAAACTCCTGCGTCTGCTGTCAGGAGACTGGCCTCTCCTCGAAGGACAAAAAGCGGTCTTCATGCTTTTTTGCTTCTCTTCCTGCATCTTCCGTCACTTCACATGTGTGCATGTGGGGTATCTCACTCCTCTGTATCCCCAGCTTGCAGTTGTCAGAGCATGAGTGGCAGTGTGGGCCTTCTGCAACATGGAGCAGAATTTATACAAAACTTTGTCAGGAGGATAAGGGGAGAAAAGGTCTCCTATCACACAAACCAGAAAAGGCAGAGGGAAACTTGCCTGGCAATGCGAACGGCATGTTGTTGCTCATCTAAACATCTTAGATATTTGGGAAAAATGAACACATGCGTGCAAGCTCCCACATGCGTAAAAGGAAATTCCATTCTTCATTAGCTATGTTTTCCAGCTTTTATCTCTCATTTCATTCCAGATTCTTTTATTCTCATAGCCGTGCTTTCCAGCAACCAATTAATGTTTTCTCCGATAGATGTTTCTTTTAAAGGGTAATCTGTCTTCAATGTTAAGCTCAACATTCTTCTTCTAACTTCTAAGAGAATAGAAGATACATAAAGAGCTGAGGAGAAGAATACGATATGTTACCTTCCTGAGTTCTGAAATGTCAGCTCCAACTAGTTGGATTTAAATACTATGATATTTTCTGTCTTATTCATGACAGTACTCTTAGCTAGGATTTTAATGCATGTCCATATAGGGTAAAAGAGAAGGGACAAAATTCCAAATCCACATTCATATGTGGTTTCACCTAGAGAATAATGAACTTTTGGTTATGCTCAGTGTTTGCCAAGGAAATTTATATAACAAATATAAAAAGAGACCTGAGAGGACACAGCTCAAACTCTTGTGTTCTGTTGGTTAAAATTAGAGCAGGTTGCAGGAGAGACAGTGACATATAATACATCTAGAATTACAATAACTTGTAGTTTTGTTAATTTTTGGAGATTGGGCTTGGTATCATCATATTTCCACTTCTAATTCTTAAAGGAATGATTAAAACAATTTCCTAAATAATTGTGAGATTTTCTCTTCTTTTCTTTATAAAAGTGCATGTATTGTTTTGCTTGGTTTTGTTTGCAAAGCATATGCTGGTAGCTATCAGGCTGTATTTTTGAGCTGCATGAGTTGGTTCTGTGTGGCCAATTATGAGAACCTTATTGGGGTTTTGTCATTGGAAATAATAATGATTCTACCTAGTCCACCACTTTATACATTACAAAACATAATAGCATTCCCTATGTCCCTTAATGATATGCTACAGAAATTATGTAACTACTTTGTAAAAACCTATGCTCTTTCTTGCTTTTCATTAATATACTTGTGAAATAACATTTTCAGTTTTCACATACGAGTCTGACCTTAGAAACCCACAGAGTTAGACACATTTGCCAGCCTGTGGGACAATTTGAACAAGTCAGATGATTTGGGCACAGAAGTGTTCAGTTCTTCCAGGACATATTTGATCATTTGCATTCCATCAAAGACTTCCAATACTTATTTACAGGTGTCATCAAAGAATTCAAGGATCAAATTCCTACAATATTGACTTGAATAAGGTGAGTCTTATGCATGATCTGGCAGTTGTGAGGGTATTCATACCCTTTTAAAATATTATCCAGGTGTTTACATATTTCCAAGCTAAAAAGAAAAAAAAAAAAACTTAGGCCTTCTTATCTTCCCTTTCATCCTTTTGACTTTCCATTTTGTAGGCCCAAATTAAATTCTGTTTTTACATCTTCAATGATATAAGCATTCAGGGCACCATGAAAAATAAAGGCCTTATTACTTCATAATATGTTTGGAATTGTGCATAATTACATTTAGTTGATTAGTTGGCTGTAGTGATTGCAAGACCATGGAGTGACTGAAATTAGAAATGGAAAAGACCCATTGGATATCATTATCTTTCTTTCTGTCAAGACAAGATTGTTCTCTGAAATGCAGTGTGTGTGTGTGTGTGTGTGTGTGTGTGTGTGTGTGTCTTAGCATTCTCCCTCAGCTACATAAATAAGCAATTTGATACTCTTGTTTAGATGGAAATAATAGAATGCTGAGAATAATAGAATCTAGTTTGGATGTCGCCCCACCCACATCTCATGTTGAAATATAAAATGTAATCCCCAGTGTTGGAGGTGAGGCCTGGTAGGAGATGACTGGTTCATGGGGGTAGATTTCTTGTGAATGGTTTAGCATTATCCACTTGGTGCTCTTCTCATGATAGTAAGTAAGTTCTCGAGAGATCTGGTTGTCTAAACGTGTGCGGGCTCTGGTGTCTGCACATAGCATGAGACCCATTTGGTATGGGATGAAGCAAGAGGTGGAGAGAAAATGGGCGCATGGCACAGCTGGGGCTTGGGGGTCAGGGATGCCGATCCCCACATTTTCACATCCTGAAACAGAATTCTAAGAAGTCTTAGACTTCTAAATTTGTGTCTGGCCTTCCAGTTGTAACATAGGAATAATTTTTTTCAAGGTGAAAGAGCAGAACATATTTTATTTTATTTAAGAGTTTGTTAACATGACTTATATCTTCTGATATTTAGCCATATTGCGTATGACTCTCCATTTTTGCTATTGTCCTGTACTCTGCCAGTGTAGGTGGCAGGCCTGTGCATAAGTCCTAGGTCTTAGGTAAAAACCAAAATATTTGGACACCCTCTCTAATTATCAGTGTTTGACCTAACTTGTCATACCTAAGCGTCATTGTCTGAATCAAAATGCTCCCTTTGGGTTAAAGCCAGCTATAAATTTCTGGGATCTGGTGTAAAATGAAAATGTAAGACCCCTTTTGAAAAAGCTGAAGAAAAGTATTAACGATGCTTAAATATAAAGTTATTTTCTTCTACAGGCTCTCTCGAAATTTTATGGTTATTTGCCATTTCATGTCATCATAACTTGAAAAAGTTAATTATTAGCATAGGCTTTATCATTTGTCTTTATATTGTGCAATGCCAATTTTAAATGCAACTATAAGAGCATTTAACTCACATGTGGAATCACCAAAAGTATGTAATTTATATTTTATAGCTTATACATGTATATCAACAAAAGGAGTTGGACAATGGGAGGAAGAACATAGTTGATTCCATGAGATAATTTGGATTGAGAGCTCAGTTTATGAACCCAGTGAGACACTCACATGGACTTCTAGAATTAGCTATTGAAGAGTTTACAGGAAGCAGGAAATCCCACAGAAACGGATAGTTCTAAAATTAGGAAATTTGGACCATCTGTTAGTATATCGTTTTTACCCATGGGATGATGAACATTAAGGTAAACTGGGATAAATATAAAATGAAAGATGAGGTAATAATCACTTCCTTTTACTTCTGTGTAGATTCACCACCAAAGTGTACATGAGAGACACCAAAGTTCATTCTTGTTCACTTTTTAAATAAGCTTTGTGAATCTCTCTATTTTTAAAATGGCTTTATTGAGGTATAATTTACATACCATAAAATTCACCCATTATCACTGCACAATTCAGTAACTTTTAGTAAATTTACAAAGTTGTGCAGCCAGCACCGCAATCCCGCCTTAGAAACTTTCTATCAACACAAAGGGTTCCCTCAAAGGCAATTACCACCCCCAATCCCAGCCCCAGGCAAGCATTGATCTGCTTTCTGTCTCTATGATTTGTTTTTCTGAAAATTCCGTATAAATAATCTAGTATTTGCAATCATTTATGTTGGGCTTCTTTCACTAAGTGTAATATTTTTGAGGCCCACCCATGTTGTAGTATGTAAAAAGTAATTCATTTCTTTTGGTGATTGACTACTATCTTATTTTATGGATAGATCACATTTTGTTTATCTTTTCACCAGTTGTTGGCTGTTTGAGAGGCTTCCAGCTTTTTGGCTATTATAAATAATGCTGCCACGATCATTCACATCTTTGGTGGACATCAGTTTTCATTCCTCTCAAGTAAATGCCTAGGATGGAATTGCTACGTTGTGTGGTAAGTTTCTGTTTACGTTTTTAAGAAGTAGCCATATTGATTTCCAAAATTTCAAGGTGTTCTCCCATTAGCAAATCCTGACCAATATTTGGTATTGTCATTCTTTTTGATTATAGCTTTTCTAGTCTCTGTGAAGTAGTATTTCATTGTGATTTTAGTTTGATTTTTCCTGATGATTACTCATGTTGAACATCTTTTCATGAACTTCTCGATCACGTTTGCATTTTTCTTTATGTCTATTCAAATCTTTTGTCCTTTTTTAAAAAACTGGATTGTTTGGCTTCTTACTGAGTTATAAAAAGTCTTTTTTTTTTTTTTTACCATGAGTACTAGTCTTTTCTTAGTTATATATGTTGCAAATATTTTATCCCAGTCAGTGTCTTGCCTTTTCATTATTAAACGATATATTTTGAAGGTAAAAAGATTTTAATTTTGATAAAATTTATCAAAGATACCCAATTTATCATTTTTTCATTTAACACATTTTGCTTTTGGTGTCATATCTGAGAAATATTTGCTTAATCCAAGGTCATGAGGATTACCTTCTATTTTTTTTTCTAATTGTTTAATAGCTTTAGCTCCAATATTTAAGTCTATAATCCATTTTTGAGTTAATTTTTATAGATGGTGTGAGGTCTGAATTAAAGTTTATATTTTCAGTGTATAAAAATCCAGTTGTCTTGACATTTG
The DNA here is from genome assembly GCF_000001405.40 of Homo sapiens. Classification (NCBI taxonomy): domain Eukaryota; kingdom Metazoa; phylum Chordata; class Mammalia; order Primates; family Hominidae; genus Homo; species Homo sapiens. The sequence continues at coordinate 22,665,954 of NC_000004.12, forward strand.
CCTTTCCTCAAAGATGACAAGTCATTGACATCTTTGACAAAAATCAATTGACTATAAATGTGAGGGTTGAAGTCTTTCTATGTTACATTTACCCTCCTTTTTCTGGTCTTAAGGACGCAGGGGATGATAGAATGTCTCAAAATTACATGTATGCTCATCCCACATTATACATAGTAGTGTCAGAATAACAAGACTAATATTACCAGTAAAGGCATAGTGGCTCATACCTTTAATCCTGGCACTTTGGGAGGCCAAGGTGGGAGGATCACTTGAACCCAGGAGTTCTGGACCCACATGGGCAACATGGTGAAACCCCATATCTACAAAAAATATAAAAATTAGCTGGGCATGGTGGCTAATTTTATGTTGTTCTTTTATGGTTCTCCCAGCTACTTGGGAGGCGAAGGTGGGAGGATCACTTGAGCCCAGGAAGCAGAGGCTACAGTGAGTTGAGATCACACCACTGCACTATAGCCTTGGTGACAGTGAGATCCTATCTCAATAATTGTAATACCAGCACCAATATAACTTTCCATTTTAAAGGAGAAAAAGGATTCTCCTTTTCTTACCCATCACAAGATTCAAGACTGACATTCCTCTAACGAGACAGATTAACAAGAGAAAAACATAACAAATTAATTTCATCAACATTTTATATGGCACAAGAGCCTTCATAAATGATCTAAAGACCCAGGGAAAACTAAATATTGTTATGGATCTGTGCAAAAGTGTGATTGGAGGACAAAAGGGTATGATCTAATGGATATAAACTAGGGGGAACTTAGCAAGGCCTGTTTGTTCAGATTGTTCTTTGCCTCCAGGTATAAGGAAGAATCCCTCTGGAATGAGGGTCATATCAGGTCACACCACATGCTTTGAGGGGAAGTAAGCCAGAGAATTCTTTTTATGACCTCAGGAGAGAAAGGTAGGAGAAATCAGAGAAAGAGAAGATCACAAAGACCTTTCTGCTTCTGCAATTTTCTCAATTTCCTTCAACTTAAAATACTCAGTATTCCAAGATGTCATATTTTGGGGGTAGCATTTCCATCACCCCATCACCATTTATTTTTAAAAGTGATCCACTGAAATGCCGACTGGAAGCTCTGGGTAAGAGCCTCTCAGGTTGGGGCTCCACTCCGGTGTGATGTGGCTGGGCGGTCATTGAGGAACCCTCAAATGCCATTATCCCTTGATTTTTCTTCTGTTTTCAGTTCCCCCATAAAGAGATTCTCTTATCTGCAGCCAGTAGACAGTTCTGGAAAGCAGGAAAAGAAAGAGGCTGCACCATAAATACATTTCCATATAGTCACCCTTTTCATGCTGTAACTTCTTCTTAATTAAACCTCATGTCTCTGAGTCCTGTGTCTCTGACATTTCTTCAGAGAATAAGCAGCCATTCTTTGGTTGCAGAAAAAAAAGGATAATTCCTCTACTGCTTAATAGGGTCAAATAAGAGGTGTGATGGAGCTGGCTTGAGCCAGCTCTCTGGAAGACATGTGTTCATGTCTTCCCAGTTCTGTGTTGAGTAACATTATATTGATAGCTTGAAATTGGCCATGATGGGAATATTTACGTCATGAAAACTGGCGAACAGGGCTTTTTATTGGGGGTGGGGTGGAGTAGGGAGCTGGTTACCAGCACAGCACTGGATCTTATCTTGCTGCTTATAAGACATATTTTTGGTAAATCCTTCATTGCTCAACCCTACCAACAATATCATTTTTAGATTTTGGAATTCCAAGGGCTAAGTCAGCTTGCCAGCTTGCTTCTACGCTGTCTCCTACTGGTAGCTTTGGTTTTGTTTTTCTCTGTTTTGCTAAATCTGTTAATACTTGTCCAATTGCTTTCCAGTTTCTCACACTTTGTTATCTCTTCTCATTCTGTTTGTCAATTTATCCTTACATTGTTATTTTAAGATTATTAGAAAGAAGGCTTGAACACAAAGTAAAGAGTATTCATTTAACCATATTTAATTTTAAGTAGCCTTTAGCTTTAAAAAATTTTCTTGGACTTTATACACATGAAAATACATAAAGATGCTATGCCCCATCTTTCTGCTCCCTCAGCTCTACTCTACAGATATTAAAAATGGTATAAAATAGCCATTTTCTGTCTTACAGAAGAACATTGTGAAGAATTATGTAATAAAAGGGGGTTCTCTTGTTTAAAAGAACAAAACATAACACGGTGACTGATAGGATGTACTTCAAGATGTTAAATGTTAATTACCTCTGGGAGTGTGATTCCTATTTTCTTATTTTTGTTTCTTTAATCTTTCTAACACATCTACAATAATTCTTCATTATTTTAGAAACAAAAAAGTAAAAGTTATTTTAAATGGAATACAATTTACATACAAACAAACCCAAAAGTATTATGATAGAATTATTTTGCAATTCTTGGGAGTTTACTGAGTTGAGAAAAGGAGATGTAACATTAGAACATAACCTAATTCTAATGTCTAATTCCAGGGCATGTTGTGTTTTTTGGCATATCCCTGCATTCCTCAAACATATGTACACTTTGGGGTTTCTAAAAGTAGAATATTATTACATAGATCTTGGTGGGAAGTGGAAAGTTGCAAACTGTTGTCACTTTCAGTTTCACATTTCTTCCTGTAAATTGAGAAAGACATTGTTCTGTCTCACCAACTGAGATATTCTATAAATGTTCAGCACACACATGTGTACAAGAACATGAAAGCTTTCATTTGTCTTATAAAATCCTTGGGTGGCAATACCACTATTTTTTTTAATCTATAGAAGTGTGGGCTTTTGAAATTTGAGACCTTGCTTCTTACCCTGAAGGAAAATTAGGAAGAAAAAAAAATTAAAAGGACCCTCTACTTTCCTGGTAATTTCAATTTCTTATGCCTTGTCTTTCCCAGGGATTTCAAATATTTCAACTGTAGTAGACTTGTTGAGGCATTCCCTACTGGCTGCTGTTCTGCCAGTAGTCACCTTGACAGCTTTCTCCTTACTTAGCTAGTGTTAGGAACACCATGTGAGAGAATATTTGAACTGGCCAGAGAATGAGTGGCCAGAGCCCATTTTGAGTAAATTTGACAGCTTTCAAATTCTGCTGAAGATATAAAACCCAGACATAGAAACAGGTAGGATTTGTAAAGGTCAAGGAATACAGATGTGAGCTGTTACCAGAGGACCCAACTCTGAGATCTCCCTGGAAGACCAGTCTCTGACATCCTTTCTTGGCTATGCTCCTGAGGCCAAATGCCAGTTCATCAACTATAGGGTAGCACTGGCAGGAAGAGAAGTGTTTTATATATATATATATATATATATATATATTTTTTTTTTTTTTTTTTTTAATTATACTTCAAGTTCTAGGGTACATGTGCACAACGTGCAGGTTTGTTACATATGTATACGTGTGCCATGTTGGTGTGCTGCACCCATTAACTTGTCATTTACATTAGGTATATCTCCTAATGCTATCCCTCCCCCCTCCCCCCACCCCACAACTGGCCCCTGTGTGTGATGTTCCCCTTCCTGTGTCCAAGTGTTCAAGAAGTGTGTTTTGAATGATTTGATGGTCTGCGAGGGACTCCACAGGCAAGGAGCTTGACATATAGTGCTTCTTGGTTAAAAGTAATGATCTTTTAGGTAAGAGGTGGTTGGGGTAGTTATTTTGGTCTCAGCAAATCTCTAAGGACAGAAAAAAGAATTCACAGGATCTCAAGGGGCAGGATTAGGCTAATTTCATGTGCTAAGATTAGGACCTAAGCCCTTAGTGGCCTAGCAAGAGAAGGCAGGGAGACTTGTCTGATTATACAGAGAACCTCCAGACTTTGAAGTGAAACATGAAGCTTGTTAGAATTGCAGCTAATATGGGTATGCTTGGCCTTGGACATGCTGAAAATGCATGCTTGTGATTACTATTATAAAAGATGTCAATATAAAGGCTTTGTGCTGTGTCAGTGAGCAGTTGTCTTCTGCCATTTTGATATCTGAGGGGGTCCTTTAATGGCTCCCAATCTTAATCTCTTTTTTCTCTAAGCTTTTAATATTTTCTCAAAAGTAAATCTTAATCGAATTTCTTAATCAGGCTAGCTTCTCTTCTTTGAAATTACTTCCCTTTGACAATATCTTAATAGTAACTAAGGCATCCATGCAGAAAATTAGAAACACATTGCCTGTTCACCTCCCATTATTATCCCCTACTCAGGAAGCTGGGAATGGTGAGTAGTGGGTGCTGTTGGCTGGAGCTCAAGGTTTTGTGAAGCAGGGAGATATCTTTAAGAAAGACTAAACCTTCTTACAGTCATTATACCATTCTTGGAATCCATCTCCTTTCTCCTTCCTTCCTTTCTTCCTTCTTCCTTTCTTCCTTCCTGCTTCCCTCACTCCCTTCCTTCCTTCCTCCTACCCTCCCTCCGTTCCCCCTCCCTCCCTCCCTTCCTTCCTTCCTCCTCCTTTCATTTCTTCTCCTCTTTTTCCTCCTCCTCCTTCTTCTCAAATATTTAATAAGAAGCTACTACACAAGAGGCTCTTGTGCTGAGTGTTAGGAAGAGATACGCAAATTAGAGCAATACACTGCTTCTGTTCTAAAGGAATACCCAAACTGCCGGAGAAGCTGCTAAGACATAGAAATGAAAGATTCAGGACTCGGAGTCAGAAAAACTGAGTTTCAATCCTGCTCTTCTGTTTCCTGACTATAAGTCTTTGGCCAAATTATATGCCTTTACTTAACCTCCATTTTCTTATCTATAATATGGAGTTAATAATAATGCTTTTCTCAGGTAGTTATTTTTGGAGGATTAAATGACATAGAACAGTGTCTAATATATATGAGGCACTTAAAACTGTTGGCTGTTTTTAGGGGAGATAGGATAGACGTACAAATCATGTAAAATAGTTTATATTAAATTAGCATTAAAATATATTAAAAATGAAAGGGATACAAAAAATCAGTTATTTAAGAAAATGTTAAGGAAGATACATAGCGGCATAAATTGTATGAAATGGGTAATTCTTACAGCTCATAAACTTTAAAACTAAATGATCTTAAAAGCTCTTTCAATGAGAGTAAAAAGTGTGCTTCATTTCTCTATTTTTGACACCAAAACCCACTGTCACCTTTACTGCTGACATATTTGAAGTGAGTGAACAGGCACATGTCCAAGATAAAGTGGATGCTGGGAAAGACATGAGAACTTGAAGAGAGTGAAACATCTCAGAATGGTGATGCTGTTAGGCTGTCAGAAGCGTGCATGAGATAAGCAAGAAGCAGTCAAGAGATGACTCATGGAAATGCCTTTGGTGTAAAACTGGGTGTTTAAATTGTGTACATGATATATTGCAATGTATAGAATGAGGGAGAATCAGAAGATTCAGGCCACACAAAAAAATAGCCCAGAGTAAGAATATATTGGGTTTTCAGTTTTAAGCCAAGATAAATAGGCTTTTATTCTACTCAGTAGTTCTTTCTTTCTTATTTAATTTAAAAATATTTGCTCTGCATACTACATGCTTTTTGTAGGAAAGGAACATGCCTCATACTTCATTTTTTCATGGAATGCAGCAACATGCTGAGCACCTTAGTCCTTAAAGGAATCTTATAACTTTAGTTAACCCCAAAGCTCTTGTTTTACAAATGCCAAATATTAGACTCTTAACTAATGTCTGTATGTTGGTTGTACAGATTGAGAAGGGTATTTAGGAAAAATAATCTCTAGAAGATAAAAATTCAACATTCTTTATTTGGACCCACAGAAGCCTGCTGAAGAATGCTTTGGTCTCCTACGTAGATTGTCTCATTGCCCAAAAATAAACTTTAATCATTCACGTAGAGATATTTTCCAGCACATTTCGAAAAGAGATGAAATCTCTTTTATCTGGATCCTGGAGTTAAATTTACAAAGACTTGGAGTATTAATTAAATCATATTTAACCATTACATAAATGATGAATTCATACATATGAAATAAATGTGTATATAATCACCCATGATGATTATATATCAGAAATAGTTCTAAATATTCCCTGTAAATGAAATAAGTTAATTGTAATAACTCTCAAAAATATGTACTATCTCTGTTTTGTAGTTGAAGAAACTGAAACATAATTTGACTTTAAGTACTTAACAGCTATTGAGTACCAGATCCTGAATTTCAACTCATGGAACAGAGCATGTGCTTGTAACCAGTACACCTTACTGGTTTTTGTTGTTATTGTTCAAGAGCAAGGGTGTTAGGGGGGCTTGGTTATGTTAAAAGAAAAACTTCACACAAAATAAATTTAACAGAGTTTATTTTCACATAAAAAATTTGTGAATTGGGCAGCACTCAAAACTGGAAGAAGTTCAGAGAGCTTCACTTTAGCAGCATGAGGAGCAGGTTTTTACAGGCTAACCACAGAAATAAACAAATTACCTTATTAGGTGGGAACTGGATCTTAGAGTTGAAATAATCACATCAAATCAACAGTCAAAATACTTCTTAATCTTTGCATAGTGCTTTATAGTCTTCTCATTTCTTCATTCATGAAACATTTATTTAGCATCTTCTATGTCCTACAATTAGCTACTGTAATTACTAATATAATAAATTATATTTTGAGAAGTATCATTTTGCTAGATTTATTTTTCCTGAGCTTATTTATACCTACCTGATTTTTACAACAACCCACCCAATTTTAGTACATGCATATTACAGGTAGTAAAATTGAGGCATAAAGAGATGAAGTATTTTGCTTCCTGTTCTCACAGTTGGTAAACCACAGAGCTGATTCAAACCCAGGTATTTATCAAGCTCCAAAGTTCTATGCTACTTAGGAGAGCTACCTTCCAGGGGCCCATGGTCCAGAGAGAGCATCAATATAAAAGTAATTGTGATGTATTATGATAGGAATGAACACAGAGACATGTGGATATTTGTGGCTTATTTATTTCCTCAATTTTTCATGTGTTCACACATTCGCATGATTTTGTAAGCTGTTGTAGTTTCTCTAGTATGTTCTTTTTTTCTCTCTCTCCTGCCTTAGTTTTTAATGGAGAAAATACAAGTTTAGAGTAGATTTAATCAAAATAATCAGATTGGTGAGCGACTGAGCTAGGATTGAAATACAGCGTTGTCATGGGTTAAAAAATACAACTTCTTAGTTGAATGTGGTGGTATGCACCTGTAGTCCTAGCTACAGGAAGCTGTGGCAAGAGGATCTCATGAAGCGAGGAGTTTTGAGACTGTGGTGTTCTCTGATTGCACCTGTGAATAGCCACTGCACTCCTGCCTGGGCAACATAGCAAGACCCTATCTCTAAAAATAAAACACACAGATGCACACACTCACACATACACAAAATAACTATACCTTCTTCTACTACTTCTTGAAGTCAGTTCGGTGCTGTGGTATGGTGGGGAGAATTTACTTCACCTGCCTATAGGAGTCCTGGCTGACAAGGTGGCACTTGGACTGAGGCTTGCAGGATAAGAAGCTCACCAAGTGAATGAATAGATAGAGGGCATCATAGATTGTAGAGACAGAATATGCAAGCACACCTGGGAGAGAGAAGCAGAGTCGATTTGGGCAAGAGAGACTCATTTGTTATGGTTGCTGACATGAAGTGACATGTCAGATGAGCTTTGATTTCACATAATATAAATAAAACACTAGTTCAGAGAATGAAAAAAAAATAATGTTGACTCTAGGGAAATTAGATAGAATCTCATATGAATGATGTTTGAAACTTGAAGGATGAGTAAGAATTAGACAAATGGAGATGGAGAAGAAAAAGTATTCCACACAGCAGAAACAACACTAGAAAAGGAATAAATAAATATTCGGTCTGTGAATATAAATCATGAATAGTCATTCAGTTTGACCAGACTTAGGTATATGAGTCTGAGAAAAGATGCTCTGCCAAATCTAGGAAAGCTTTGACTTCCAGGCTAAGGAGTTTTGTTTTACTTGGAGGATTCACTGACAGAACCTATAATCAAAAGTGTGTTTTAAGAAGTTGGAAGTTGATATAGAATTAATTTATAACAAACTTTAATTAAAAGTATTGTTAGATTAATTTTTCTCAAAATCAACATTAAAACCAATAGCCCAATTTTACCTGTGTATCATGTTTTTTATTTTATAACAGGTTGTAGGATTCACCTGATCCTTAAACAATAAAAGTGGCAGGCAGTTGAGGAACCTTGAGAAATAAATCTTAGGAAATGTTCCCAAGCCCACTTTGTTCCTAATGGTTATTCAGATCTGACTCCGGGTTGGGAATTTTCTGAGTATCCTCATGGTTGGCCCTGGCATGTTTTGGGTTTTGGTCTGTTTAGTAGGAACAAAAGGCACTGAAGTTGTCTCAGCCTAGTGGCCTCCCAATTAATTATTTTAATAGTTAATATACATGCAAAATAAGTGACATTTTTAAGATAACATAATTATTTCTGGGCTTGACTGGATATCTATAACAATGCTTTATAATAACAATCACAATGCAAATCTATGCAGTGATTTATGTGAAAGTAATAATTCGAATTTACAGGCTTCCCAGTGGCTGTTAAGATGATCTTTGTAGATTCTAATCCCTTTATGAGCACCCTCCACCCGACCTAGCATTGTTCATGTTAAGAGCAAGTAGAAAGCAATTAATTCTGGGACTGATTCCCATGGATCTTATAACTGTCAACACCTGTCTTAAATTTCTAATTTATAAACTAAGGCAAGTGGAAATACTCTCTAAGATACTTTCTGATCCTAAATAAAAACAACCAACATTTTACCTTTCTTTGCTTTGTCTTCATATAATTACAGCAAAAGGTACCTCCACCCGCTGCTGTGATGCTTGCCATGGGTATCAGATGCAGCTGCTGGAACTGTTTTTTTTTTTTTTTTTTGCAGTGACTTATAAATCATGAACAGGTCACAAATTGTGAGGTCTTAGGGCCTGGGCTTGTTCACCAACAGAAAATTAACTTTTGCTGATGAAGTACATTTGAGCCACAAGTAAGTGATTGTCTATTCAATTTATGGGTTTTAGAGAGATTAAGGGAGGCCTCAAGATGAGAAAGAATGACCAAGATGATTCATGGAAGATGGACATGCAAAGATGTGGCAGAGCTGTAGAAAGCTGGGTTTGAGTCCATTTCCCTCCCTCCCTCCCTCCCTCCCCTCCCCCCTTCCTCCCTCCCTTCCTCCCTCCCCTCCTTCCTTCCTTCCCTCCTTCCCTCCTTCCTCCCTCTCTTTCTCTTTCTCTCTCTCCTTCCTTCTCTTTTCTTTCTTTCTCTCTCTCCTTCCTTCTTTCTTTTTCTTTCTTTCTTTCTCTTTCTTTCTCTCTCTTTTCTTTCTTTCTTTCTTTCTTTCTTTCTTTCTTTCTTTCTTTCTTTCTTTCTTTCTCTTTCCCTTCCTTCCTTCCTTCCTTCCTTCCTTTCCTTCCCTTTCTCTCTCTCTTTCTTTCTTTTTTTCACCAAACCTTACTTTTTTCCCCTAATCCTTCCTTCCCTCCCTGCTTCCCTTATTCAGTGAGAATCCCAGGAGGGCAAGGACAGGTTATTTGTAGATACCACAATAGTTAACATAGGGCCCAAGTACTCAAGGATCTTAAAATCTACCTATGAAAAGAAACTGCAACCTCTTTTAGACAAAGGAAACAGTCTGTTAGTATAACCTTTTAAATAAAGGTGGTAACAGTCTAGAAAGTCAGAAGTCAGAGCTCCAAATGAAGGTGATTTATGCTTCTGTGAGTGTCCAGAAGAAAAGGAGGATGGTACTTGGGTCTTAATCTCTAGTGATTCCCACACAATAAAACCACAGTTCCCACATTCCAAATAACTTTCCTTTCACCTATTGATGTAAATACACAATCTTACTTCTATGGGAAGCCTCTTCCTTCTCAGCCACATTTTGTTAGGAAAAGTCTGGATTTTGCCTAAATGGAAAATGATGATTTTAAAAAAAAATTTAGCCTCACAAAAGGCAGAATGGGTAGGGCTGCAATGGTTGTCCTCTTGCAGAGTGAAGAGCCAAAATCTTCACACCCTCTTCACACATTGGAGCTTAGCTTTGAGTGTTTAGTGGTTTAAGGAAGAGTCATGACCTGTGCCGAAGCCAATAGATTTTACAGTCAAATAAATCCCGATTCCACTCCTTTCTAGCTTTGAATTCATCAGATTGCTTAGTCTTGATAAACTCACATTTCTAAATCTGTAAAAAGAAAATAAGACTTCAAGCCTTTAGGACTGTTGTGAAGAGGATCTAAGTCAGCTTTGCAAAGTGGGTAGAATAATGCCTGGTTACACTTGATTCCCTTCCGCCTCCCTCATGAATACCTGGTTTCACTATGAAGAATGAGAAAAGTCTTAAGATAAACTGAAGTGGTTAAACCTGTCCCAGGCTTGGGCATTGTGAACCCAAGTCCCATACATATTGTCAACAGTTACTGAAAGAATGACATAGCTGCCTGTCTGTTTTTCTGACCTCTCCTTCTTCCTCAAATCATCTGTAGTTTATCTATGGATTAGGTGTTAAAGAAAAAGAGGCATAAATGGTCAAGTCTTGGTTTGGAATATCTACCCTATCTTTTACCAAATCTCACCCTGTAGTGCAGGTGTCTAGACTGGAGCTGTGTTCTGGAATGTGACATTTAAGCTGAGGTGGAAAACTCAAGTGCTGCAGCTGACTTCAGCTGGTGTAGAGAAGCATGACTTTTTTCCTGCCTGTTGTGGCATGACTGTTGTTGGGGCTCAGGAAGTGATACCCCAAAGTACAGCACCTTGGTGCACTGAGTACTTTGAACTGAAGTAGATTGGAAGGGCCTCAGAAACAAAGTCTTTCTGCCTTTTTCCCATCCTCCTATCTCCTGCTTTTTTCTCCCTTGGAATTGATTCATAGAAAGCAATATTCTTTTCCCCTAAGGTGGGTCATACAAACTCATCTTCCCCAAAGCAAGTCATAAAACCTAAACAAATCACACTCCCTCTTTTCCTTTGAAGCAAATCATTTCAGATGGATCTTGTCCCGTACCCAGGAGGAAGAAATGCTACATAGGGAGGCCAAGAAGTATCTGAATAGTCTGGCCTTGCTGGGTTTCCCCCTGTTACCATTAGATCATACCCTTTTGTCCAGTCATATTTCTACATGGCTGTCCATTCTTCATTTAATCTAAGCATAAAAAAATGTCAGTTTTTCCTGGGTCTCTGAGTCTTCATACCCGAAGTCCCCTGTGTCACATAAAACTGTGATTAAATAAATTTGTTATACTTTTATTAACCTGTGTTTTAAAATAAGCTTTTAAAATTGACACATAATATTTGTATGTATTTGAGGTACATAGTGATGTTTTGATAGGTATAATGTATAGTGATCAGATCAAGGTAGTTAACATATATTTATCATTTTTTTGTTTTGGGAACATGCAATATCCTCTTTCTAGCTATTTGAGACTAGATATTATTATTGTTAAGTATAGTCATCCTACAGTTCTATAGAATACTAGAACTAATTTATCCTATCTAGTTATAATTTTTTAGTTTTATTTTTATTTATTTATTTTTTTGAGATGGAGTCTCACTCTGTCACGCAGGCTGGGAGTGCAGTGGTGCCATCTCAGCTCACTGCAACCTCCGCCTCCCAGGTTCAAGTGATTCTCTTGCCTCAGCCTCCCGAGTAGCTGGAACTACAGGCACGTGCCACCACGCCTGGTTAATTTTTGTATTTTTTAGTAGGAATGGGGGTCTCACCATATTGAACAGGCTGATCTCGAACTCCTGACCCCATGATCCACCCGCCTCGGCCTCCCAAAGTGCTAGGATTACAGGCATGAGCCACCGTGCCTGGCTGAAATTTTTATTTTTTAACAAATCTCTCTCAATCCCCCACCTCTTCTCCCTACTCTTCCCAGCCTCTAGTATCCTCTGTTCTACTTTTTACTTCCATGAGATCAACTTTTTTTAGCTTCCACATCTGAGTAAGAAGATGCAGTGTTTAACTTTCTGTTTCTGGCTTAATTCACTTAACATAATGTTCCTCCAGTTCCATCCATTTAATCTGTCTTTTCTCATAAGACTGTCAGTCATGACCCTTTGATGGGGTAGTAAACGTATCACACCATTCCATACCTTGTCAAAGGCAAGCTATCTTCAAAAAGTATTATTCTAAGCTATGTAAATTAACCCAAGTAGATTCTTTGTCTTCTTTTTATAACATCATTTAAATAATGGGAACTTTTTTAAAAAAAAGCATTTTGGTAGTGTTCTCTTCTTTAAGTATAGTGCTGATCCAACAAAATGGAGTGCCAGAATTCTGGTAGTATGTTGACCCTGGCAAGAGATATTTGCCTAAAATATGCTGTTCACTTGAAATCTCCCTCTTGGTTTGGAAACCTGGTTTACTGTTTTCTAGTCAACGTGGTTGCTACCAATTATTTTTGAGTGAACCAAAATATCACGGGTTTTCTTCACTGTGGTTATTAAATCCAGTGCCAAGCATATATCAAAACATATTTCCAGAGTTATTTATCTCTTTGCTACTTTTACTTTTATACCAGAGAAAGGGAAAAAGTAGAGGCAGTAATTTCTACTTTTTTTCTCCTCCTCCTTCTCCTCCTCTTTCTCCTCCTCCTCCTTCTTCTTCTTCTTCTTCCTCTTCTTCTCCTCCTCCTTCTTGGAATGGAGTGGGCTGGCACAATGGCTCACATCTGTAATCCCAGCACTTTGGGAGGCAAAGGTGGGCAGAGGAGGGAGTTGGAGACCAGCCTGGCCAACATGGTGAAACCCCATCTCTACTAAAAATACAAAAAAATTAGCTGGGTGTGGTGGTGCCTGCCTATAGTCCAAGCTACTCTGGAGGCTGAGGCACGAGAATCTCTTGAACCCGGGAGGCGGATGTTGCAGTGAGCTGAGATCATGCCACTGCGCTCTAGCCTGGGTGACAGAGTGAGACTTGGTCTCAAAAAAAAAACAAACAAAACAAAACAAAAAACAAAGTAAGAATGGAGTGAATAGACTTTGGCCAGGAGTAAAAAAAAATAGGAATGGAGTGAATAGACTTTGGCCAGGAGTAAAAAAAATAGGAATGGAGTGAATAGACTTTGGCCAGGAGTAAAAAAAATAGGAATGGAGTGAATAGACTTTGGCCAGGAATGTAATTTTTCTGCTCCTTTGGTTGTTGTTGGAAACACGCCTATTGGAAAGTGGAACCACCAAGTGAATGTGCCTATAAAAAGGAATATAGAATTCTCTGATGTCCCAGCATGCTAAAACATCAAAGTAAATTTGGGCAAAGCTCTTCTGGTATATGAACTCTAAGGTAGAAATATGCTCTGCCTGCAAGAATAATAATAGACTCTGTCTTCGAATGGGGAATTAAAATGCTGGAAAGAAAGATAGGACTTGGAATGAAAAAAGTTGGACTTGAGTGCTGGCTTTGATGACTTATTACAGAGCTCCTTCAGGCAGTTCTCTGGTTCTCTTCTTCCTTTATAAATGTTGTGCCTTACTAAATGACCCCTAATATCATTTCCATCTCAAAAGACTCCATGACTCTAACTGAGGATTCCTCTCCAAATTCCATGAACAGAGCCTTTTTAGTGCTATATTTTATGATTCTGAATGAAGGTGTTCCTTTCCTCTGACCACTGTAGAAAAGGGGGAGAGAGTCCTGGCAAGACACTGTGGGTAGTTAACTGCTATGTCATATGACACAGAGAACAGCTGCACTACAAACATTTCCCCTTCCAAATAAATAAATAAATAAATAAAATGATATGCTGAAGTGCACAAAAAAGGAGTAGTAGAAGGGCAAGAGCTTCTGGAATGTTAGCTTTATTTAGCCCAAAATGATTGGCAGCAAGTTGTGACTTTATTACTCAATGCATCTATGTTGCCATTCCAAACAGTTGTTGCAAGTGCTCGAGAGAGAACAGTAAGCCTGTGTAGCTGTTTTTCTTCTGTCTTCTAGTTGGGTGAAGAGAAATGCACATAAAACCTGCTTTGAAAAATACTAATGATTAGAATCAGGGTCTGTTGATGGTTCTGTAGAATTTATCCACTCTTCATGTGGTCTTATTTCAAGAACAATATTTTCCCCTTACTGACATATAATGCCTACTTATTGTACAACATTTGTAAAAGCACAAATGTAAATGAAAATAAATATTGTCATAGCCTCAACACCAAGACATAACCACATTTTGGAAATATATCTTGTAAAAAGCCAAAGGGGAAAGGGTGGTAGGAAATGAATACATATGAAAATTGAGACCTGGAGAAGTAAACTTTGCTGCATCTACGGATTCTTTATACTACAGCGCACTTCCTCAGGGGCTCAGCTAAGCATTTCAGAAGAGTGCAAGTGTTGTTGACATTTAAAAGCTACAGCATGGGCTTGGGATAAGGCAATTCTGTTCTCTATTTCTTAGAGAAGAAAAGAATCCCAGTGCACACCAGGAAAATAATTTTGGAAACTCAGTTAATTGTGAAGGTGAGGCTGAGCCAGCTTGTGGTTAAAGCTACAAAGGAAATATTGTTCACTTCCCATAAATGATTTCCCGTATGTAAAGTGGGGCCGATCCTAGCAGGTGACTTCAGAGACATGGAAACATTTAACCACAGATGAATAAATCTTGCAAACACATTTTTTAAAAATGCAAAGAGTAACCTATAAAATAAAATCTGTGGCTGTCACATTTGGAGACTGAAAGTTCAAAAAGCAGGGCCTGTTTATACCAACCACAAAGGCTAGGGATCTGTGGTTTTATTGGATTTCTCATCCCAAGAAAATATTTACACTTGGAGGAGAAGATGCGTTTTTAGCTATAAAAACCATATGTAGCATATTTGTGGACGATATTGCAAATAAAAATATCTTTTTTTCCTCAGCCTGACAAAACAGACAGTTCTGTTTAAAGCATCAAAAAATTAGGTAAAATAATCACAGTTCTTTTAAATGTGTGAGGCTTTTTATTTTTGGTGGAGATGTATATGGGTGGTTGCCATGAAGGAGAAAGATCTTTGGTGAGTGTCCTGCTTTCTGCTGCCACAAAATTCCAGTCACTAGAGTTTTTGGAAGTCTAGATCTGTGTGCATGAGAAGAGAAAAGAATACCATGAGAGAGAGCTAGAAAGAAAAAATAGTATGGACATAGCTCAATTGACCAAAGGCGAAATGAAATAAATAAACATTGTGGGGGGAAAAAAAGACAATTTGGAGAAGTTTAATAATGCATTTATTTATTTAAAAAATATATATATTTTTTCTTTTTTTTGAGATGGAGTCTCACACTGTCACCCAGGCTGGAGTGCACTGGTGTGATTTTGGCTCATTGCAACCTCTGCCTCCTGGGTTCAGATTTGAGACTCTGTCTCAAAAAAATAAAATAAAAACCATAAATAAATAAATAAATAAAAGATAAAACAATGATTCTCCTGTCTCAGTCTTCCACGTAGTTGGGATTACAGTTGCATGTCACCATGCTCAGCTAATTTTTGTATTTTTAGTAGAGTCGGGTTTTCGCCATGTTGGCCAGGCTGGTCTTGGTCTCCTGACCTCAAGGGATCCACCAGCCTCAGCCTCCCAAAGTGCTGGGATTACAGGCATGAGCCACCGTGCTTGGCCAACAATGTTTGTCATTTAATGATTGACAATCAAATTATTTTAAAAAAATTGATTTAAGGGTCAGTTGGTTTGAGGGGGAAAAAAACCCTTCAAACTAAATATTAGCTTTATGCATTAGCATTTATGCCATAAAACAGTTTTCATTTTTAATTGAAACTTGGACGTTTCTGAGCAGCAGAGGCAGAAATAAAAAAAAGTTGGCTGGGCACGGTGGCTCATGCCTGTAATCTCAGCACTTTGGGAGGCTGAGGCGGGTGGATCACAAGGTCAGGAGTTCGAGACCAGCCTGACTAACATGGTGAAACCCCGTCTCTACTAAAAATACAAAAATTGGCCGGACTTGGTGACACGCACCTGTAATCCCAGCTACTCAGGAGGCTGAGGCAGGAGAATCGCTTGAACCCAGGAGGCAGAGGTTGCAGTGATCCAAGATCGTGCACTGCACTCCAGCCTGGGTGCCAGAATGAGACTCTGTCTCAAAAAAAAAATAAATAAATAAAAAATAAAACAAAAGCTGTCTTCAAGCTGGGGAGAGTGATCCAGAAATAAGTGTGACAACGCAGACTGGTCTTTTGTCTTTCCAAAAATAATATCTGAATGCTTTAGAATAGAAGGGGTCAGACCTCCTGAATATCCCCTATCTCCTCCCTCATTTTTATAGCTCAGATTGCCTCACTGAAGGATATTAGGAAAACTCCATGACAAAACCATATAAAGAATTTCTCAAACTGTATTGTAGGGCTGAAATTTAATTGCAGCAAGGGTAGTGCAGGGAGATGAAAGTTTACCTCTACTCTCTTCAGGTTCCAGCTGGGCCTGAGAATTAAATTGACATAAGATAGATACACAGGAGGAAAACATGCAGAGTTTTACATGTCCATGGGAGCCCCTGTTAGGAAACAAAGACCCAGAGATGTGGCAAAACCTGAGTGCTGATATACTAGGTTGAACAAAGAATGGCAATTGTAAAAGTAGCTAAAATGTACAGGGAGGCTGAAGGAAGGTACAAGTTATAGCAAGATCTGTTTGTACAGATTTTTCTCAGCCTTGACTGCCCGTCTCTTGTGACAAAAATGTTTCTTCTCTCCTGGTGGAAGGTAGGCATCTTTCTACATGGGCGTTCTCTCCTGTCTCCAGTGACAAGAATATTTCCTTTTTCTTGGTACAGAGAGGGCCGATTGTCCTTTTGTTTCTGCTATTTTTTAAGTGCCTTTAGATCAAAATAATCCTTATGCCAAAGTGGCATACTATGGGGTGGCACATTCTGTCACCCATCAGTGCAAATATTGTTTGGAATATGAAAATGAGTGATGACAACAAATGCTTTTTGTTTGCTTGTTTGTTTTAGGTTATGATGGAATTTCAGGACAATACTATTTCAAAATATGACCCCTTGACATTTGAGAAAGCAGGAGACACAGGAAAGTCACTCTCACCTTCCCCTCAGCCTTCTCCCCTGAAGCAGGTCATAAAATCTGGGAAGGCCGCTCTCTGACCTTTTCCTGAAGTAGGTCATAAGGCCCTCATGTGAGGGGCACCCCTCTAATATCAAGAGAAAAAAAATCCTTGTCTCAGAAGACTCAGGAACACAGCGAAAAATATGAACAAACAGAACTTGCTAATCTTCCCCTAGTTTATTACCATCCTATCATACCCTGTTGTCAGCTGGCTTATTTTAACTGTTGTATTCCTAGGAAAAGAATCCCTGTCTAACCCAGGTTATACTCTCTTCAGAATCATCTGAAAGCCGAGCTACTACTTTGAGTAAATAGCAAGGCCCTACCCATGACTATTTTTGACAAGGTACCAACTGTGGGCCTGGCATTATTCTCAGGGATTCACATGTATCATCTAATTTAATCCCAGCAACCATCCTGTGAATTAGGAGTGATGACCGTTGTTTTACAGACATAAACACTTCGGTTTAGGGTGGTCAAGGAATGCACCCAAGCTTAAATCGTATCTAGAAAACAACCAAACTGTGCCTCATGTCTGGCTTGTCAGTTGATACCCAAGCCTATGCCCCTACCCCTCATTATTCTAGAAAAGAAATGTCACCCGTAATTTGAAAATACTAACTCAATATTCAAATCACTTCCCCAATGAAAAAATGATCAATCCTTCTTTCATGGTTTGAAACTTCTGCAGTTTCTACCCACTTTTGCACAATCTTCAGGTCCTTCGAAAAGTTGTTCTTGGTGTTACCTTTTGAGTTTGTAATTGAAGTTGGCAATAGGGTAAATCTGCCATCATCAAGCTACTCTGCCATTATAAGAAACTAGAATTTTGTTTTTATCCCAGTTGTAATGTCTTTGTGTTTTCTCTTTTTGTTGGTGTGTGCAATGTCTGTCTTTGCAGTGAACCACTAATCACATGAGAGGTGTGCCATAAAACAAAGCTTTCAAGGTAATCTGCATTTGTCACAAGCTCCCTCCCACTGACTTTGACTGCCACTGCATATTTTATGACCTCACCTTGATTTCAGGAATAATACAAATATATGGCTTATGTTGTGTGAATTTTGATTATTGTATGTGAGCATTACAATGCAAAAAATCATTAGTCAGAATGCAAACACATACAACACACATGAGATGAGAATATAATAATCTTTTATAATCACTAAAATAAACAGATTATATGGTAGCTCCAAATGTTATGGAAATGAAATGTTAAGTTCAGGGCTGTTATTGTGCCATGTACCATTGGGCAATTCAGAGGACCCCCAAAAAAGGGAATGTGAGTACAGTACAATGTTGCCTTACAGAAGATGGAGAGGAGAGACTTTCTGTTGGGTGCAGAGCCAGGGAGATGCCCCTCACCATCAGAACACCACACTGGGTGGATGGAACTTTACATCAGCTACGCTAAGATCAGGAACCTTCCATTTTTCTGATGAAGTCCTCTGAGGAGAATCCTTGTCTGCTCCCTGAGCCTAAATCCCGATTTCACTTCAGTCAGTGCTCTCAGAGGTTTCCTTTCCCCATTAATGACCTCCTGGACACAACAGAGCAGGGCAACATCCCATAGTTTTCGGTAGATTCTTCCCTCTGCCTCTCCATTTCGTTTCTCTACTCTGGATCTATAAGGTATTGGGAGGAGGCATTACCTCTAGGAAAACTAGAGGTAACTGTCTACTTACTCTTAGATTCTTCCCCAAGTAACAAGGAATAAAAATGGGATGCTATTAAAACAAAGCTGGGGAACTTCAATTAGTAGACTATAAGAGGACTTAAATGTGGACCATATGTTCAGGGACTAACTGGGTTGGCTTGGCTCACCATTGTCTTTCTAGAGTTTAGTATGGTTCCTGGCTCATAGTAAATGCTCCATGTATTTTTGGTGAATGAATTGATGAGAAAAGACCCAATGAGCCTTTAATTCTTAGCTTGCCTGATTAAGGCAATCCCTACTCTCAGAGAAGTTATGAATTAATGAGGAAGACAGGCAACTAAGCAAGTTTTAAAACAAAATGTTATATATGAGTGTTATGCAAAAAGGCATAAAAGAGACAATGGAAACACAGTGCTGGGGGACCTGGCTTGTCCTGGGGAGTCTGTTCTTAAAAAGTAACCTTGAACTGGTCAATAGGAGATAAGGATTAGCCAAGATAAAGGAGAGAAGAGTTCCAGACCAGGAAACATCATTTGTGAAGAATCAGCCCCAAGAAAGAGCATGGATCATAGTAGATTTGAAAAGCTGAAAAAAGTTAAATACGCTTATGAGAGGAACACTGGTGTGCGTGTAAATAGAAGGAGACAGGAAACTGATAATGCGGACCTTGCTAATATCAGGAAGTTTGAACTTCAGGGACAGAGGCAATCACTGAACAATTTGTGTTTTGGAAAGGACTCAGGCTGCAGTAGAGTATGTTGGATGTGAACAAAACTGGAAGTTGGGAGCCTATTTAAACCTTTCTAGCCCTGAAGGGATTTCTTTTGACTTTGATTAGAGAAGAGGCCACAGAAATGAAGGTAAATTGACATACACAAGACATGTCAAGGAATCAGAGTCCACAGTGTTTGTAAGGGGGCTGCAGGTGGCAGGAAGCAGGAGGAGGATAAATGAAGGGTTTAGATGGCATCCAGGCTCTGCAGCAGTCTTTAATTATGGACCCAAGAGAGGAAAGTCTGGGCAGGTTCTCCCAGTTCTAAAGCTGTGCTGGCTTTCCAGTCTAGTTGATCTAAAATAATTTTACTATCACCAAAATTGTTCTGTTTCACTCTGTTTTTATACTTTATTTGGCTCGATTTCATTCTTTTATGCTTCCTTTCCAGATCATGGGCTTCCAATGCATTGCTTGATTTTCTGTGGGAGGAAAGTGCTTTTGAAGTTCCAAATCCAATCCCTGAAGCAAGATTAATAATCAAAGATCCTCTCCAGTGTGCAAATCCTCATGGGATTTAGGTGGATTGCTACAGCCTAGTCCCGAGGCATGTGGCACACCTGTACGTTGCCACAAATAGTTCAGAAATAACACCAGTTCATGTCTACAACAAGGCCTTTGAACTTGAGTATTCTCTTTCTGGTATTCAATGCTGGAGCTGCAGTGAGAGCGTGCAGTTCCCTAAATTTTGCCCCCGAGGAACCTTACTTGTCTCACCATAATCTCAGTTCATTTGAACACTTCTCCAGATACTCTGTAGGAATACAACGGAGTTAGCTTGTTTCAAGGGAGAGTTTTTTTATTGGGAAGATGACCTAACTGGCTAAGTCCAAGTTTGTGGAAACAACATATCTGAGGAATCCGAATCAGATCAATGAAATAGAGTTTCTAGCAGCTGCACTGTGAATAACGTCCTGAAAGATGCTGCTGCTGGAACTCGATTCCACAGCTATGGGTGTTTGTTGGAAGGCACCCAAAAGGGATTCCAAGGGCCCTGCCTCTACTGACTGCCGTTTATTCTTAAAGCACTAGGCTCAACAGTTGAGCTTTGTGTGGTATTGAGTGGGTTTTATGATTACTTGTTTGCCATTGTTAGTGTCAGCCTGTCAACACCTTGAAGGGCAGAGCATTTTTGTTTGTTTTGAAAATTACTCAATAGCAAATCCTTAATTATACAGCAGTATGGCTTTTTGAAAGGTTGAGTGATGTACTGCTGTTGTTTTAGATTTCTTTCATGCTAAATCTTATGAGGTGCATAGCCTTCAATAACTAAATGCAAATAATGCAATCGAATCCCACTTGAGCCTGCCATTAATTATCTCACATTTATCTTCATTTCCAGGCTGGTGATATGGGCCAGCATTCAAGACAACTAGAAAAAATATCCAGTAAAGGTTTTGAAGTTCCTTTATGTGCAGGGATTTATGATACACAGACACGTGTGAACCATACACACATACATGCATGTATACACACATACATGCATGTATGCACACATCTGCTTTCACATCTACACACATCTACATCTGCATAATACCACATGCATGGCTAGATGTAACACATGCACATATCAATGTGTCACACATATTTACACATATATGCACACTCACATGTTTACTGTATTTGAAATTTTTGGTTGCAAGTAACAGGAAACAAACTCAAAGACACCTAAACCATAAAAGGAATCCATAATTTCACAAAGGTTATTTCATTCCCTCTTTCCTCTATATGCCAAGGTTGATCCTCTATGTTTGTGAAATGGCTGCTAAAAACTTCCGTATTGAGGTGTAGCAGGAAGAGTATGTCTTTCTGGATAGCTTCTTTGGAAAAGTGAGGAAGCTTTTTTCTTAGAAATCTTAACAGACCTTCTCTCATTTTTTATTGTTGGAATTGGGTTTCAAGCCCATCACTAATTTAATCCCTGTAACCAATGAGATGAAATATGAATATGGCCTTAAATGAATCCCTGGAGCTGACAAGTTATTACGTGGGGCCCAGGGTCAGATTTTCCAGAAACATTTAGGCTGCATAGGGTAAAAGGCAGATACCCAATGGAAAATCAAATTCTGTTACCAAAAGGTAGGTCGTCCAAGTCCTGGGTGGCTCATGTTAGTAAATGTTCCTACCCCTGGCTCCTGCACACGTACACACACACAACACGGCTGTCAGAATTTCCACAACCAAAGACGCCCTTTATTACTGAATTACTTTCTACACCTCATGTTTTGACAGATTCTGTCTACTAAGAAACTGAGAGCAATATGGTAACTAATTCATTTTTGCATTTTCATGCCTGAGAAGCTGGTATTACCACAATGAGTTTATGTAATTCCAGTCAATATTAAAGCAATACAATTGATGTTTAGGTAGCCTGGGAGACCTTATAGGAAGTAAATGTACAGTAGTAATTAGAATTATTGAAATCTTAAAAATAGCAGATTACTTGCAGGAGTCGGCGGCCTTTTTGAGAAGCAATTTTGTAAAATTTGCCTTCTGAGGTCAAAATTTGGCTAGACCTTTCTTGGTAAATGCAGGAAATCATGATGAATAATCCATTGCACCAACCACTGCAAGTAGATGTACCCTTTGCACCTGCCCCTTCTTCACGTTCCCTTCCACTTCCTTTCTTCTCCAATGACATAGTATCACTGAAGAGGCTCTCCTCTGGAAGAAAACACTTTGAAGTCATTTAACTATGTTAAAAAAAAAAAAAAAAAGCTCAAGGAAGCAGTTTGTTTTCAGAGAGTGTATTTATCAGCAACTCTCCACTCTCAGTAGTTTAGAAAAATAAAAGTTTATTTCTTATTTACACTGTAGTTTAAAGTGGATTGTTCACAGGCTGTTATGTGGCTCTGCTCCATGCTGTGATACAGAGAACCAGGCTCCTTCCGTCTGAGAATTCCTAGGGTCTTAGAGTCTTCCAGTGGAGCCTGTATATCCAGCCAGTGGATGAAAGAAGAATGATGATACATGGCTGAAACATGAATGATTATGCAGGCAGATTGTAGTGTCCCAGCCTGGCAGTGGTACACATTACTTCTGCCTACATTCCACTGGCCAGGACACATAGTAATGTGGTCACAACCATTTGCAAAGTTGCTGAAAAATGTAGTCAAAAAGTGTGGCAAGATGGAAGGGGAAACAAGGGCGGCTAGAACACACAGGCATCTTTGCTACAGATAGACTAACGTTCATTTAGAATCTTTTTCTCCTACACAGGTATGCAGGAGCATTTTGAATGCCAGAGTTTTTGAATCTCAGCAATTCAAGTTGGGAGGGTCAAGATCATGACTAATAGGGCTGAATTCTTACTAAAGAACAGCTTGTTTTACAGTTAACAAATAAAGTTTTGTGCAAGATTTTTTTTTTCCTTTTTACCTAGAGGTCCCTGAATTTACAGTTTCTTCATGATATGGTTTGGCTCTGTGTTCCTACCCAAATCTCATGTTGAATTATGATCTTCAGTGTTGGAGGAGGGGCCTGGTGGAAGTTGATTAAATCATGGGGGTGGATTTCTGCCTTGCTGTTCTCATGATAGTGAGTGAGTTCTCATGAGATCTGGTTGTTTAAAAGTGTGTAGTCTCACGCCTGTAATCCCAGCATTTTGAGAGGCTGAGGCGGGCGGATCATGAGTTCAAGAGTTCCAGACCAGCCCGACCAACATGGTGAAACCCCGTCTCTACTAAAAATACAAAAATTAGTTGGGTGTGGTGATGCATGCCTGTAATCCCAGCTACTCAGACGGTTGAGGCAGGAGAATCACTTGAACCTGGGAGGCGGAGGTTGCAGTGAGCCGGCATTGCGCCACTGCACTCCAGCCTGGGTGACAGAGCGAGACTCCGTCTCAAGGAAAAAAAAAAGTGTGTAGTCCCCCTTCACTTGCACTCTCCTCCTGTCACATGAAGACATGCTTACTTCCCCTTCATCCTTCTGCCATGACTGAGGCCTCCCAGCCCTGCTTCCTGTATAGCCTGTGGAACTGTGAGTCAATCTAACGCCTTTCCTTCATAAATTACCTAGTCTCAGGTAGTTCTTTACAGCAGTGTGAGGACTGATTAATATACTTAGCAGTCCCAGGACTTCTAGAAAGAGCACACCTGTAGACAAAACTATAATGCAAGTAACTTATGTTTGCTTGGGGAGTAGACAGAGGTTGGTGACACTCGTGAATAAAAAGGTTTGTTGTGCTGTTCTGAGGCAGTACCTTCAGAAGGTGGCAGGACGTCAGAGGAACTACTGTGGCTGTGATGAGCGGCAGTTGAACATAGAACCTCAGAGCTTCACCCCTGGAGAAGGCTTGAGTCCCTAGAATCAGTGGACTTGAAGAGACCATAGTAGACCTGGAGAGTGGGCATCTTGGCATTAACTGGTACAGACCAACACTGGGAGGTAGGGGAATAGAAACACAGGTATTACAAAGAATTTTGGTTTTCATAAGACCCAAATTTTCTTGTATGGCCCTAAAATGAAGCAGAGGGGGCCCAAATACAGTAATGACAAATTAAATTACCAGCCAATCTTCCTGGATGGGACCATGAAGTCAGACTACTTTTTGTATACAGAAAAATCTAAAATACAATAATTCTTTCTTACCTGAGATGATGGCTGCAAATTCATGCCTTAGAGCCATTTGGGCCCTAGTGCAGGGCAGATGAGTGAAATGAGTTCTCAGAAACGTGAGAAAGATACAGAGGGGTGCTGGGTTGCAATGGAAGGTCTTAGGGGAGGGGTGGAAAGTGAGTTCAAGGAGGGCTACAGTTACGAAAATGTGTTCTGTGGACTCCTAGAGGTCCTCAAGACCCACTTGGGTGTACACCAGGTCAAAACTTTTTATAATGATGCTACGATATGATTTGCCTTTTCCACTCTTGTCTGTATTCTTCTGTGAGTGTACAGTGGAGTTTTCTAGAGACAACAAATTGAATAAGACGCAGATAGGAACATTAGCTGTCTTCTATTAAACCAGGCATGCAAAGAGATTTGTAAAAATCTTAAACAGTGACACTCTTCTCACTAAATATTTTTGTTTGTTTGTTTGGGGTTATATGGTTATTTTTCATAAAATAAGTAACTTCTGTTAACATGCTCTTCATTGCTGTTTGAAGTCAACGATAAATGTTTTTTTAAAATCTCAGTTTTAATTTCTAATACAGCAAATATATTTAATATAAAATATAACCCACATGAAAGAAAAAAAGTTCTTTAGGAACCACAATTATTTTTAAGAGTGTAAAGAGATCCTGACACCAAAAAGCTTGAGAATGTTGGATTAGAACAACAACCCAATCAATGTTGAGAGAAATTAATTCTGCCACTTGTGGACTAATAACTTCAGAGTATGTGAAGCACTGAGAAGATAGATTGTTTCTTCTGGAGAAGTATCTTTAGAAGAGCAGTAGTAATTAGCCAGGGGCGACTGGTGTAGACAGCCATTAGTGAAATAACTGAATTTTAATACCACTTTATACTGCAACTTGCAAACCTAAAAAAATTGCAATACTGCCATCTAGCGTTCTATCGTGAAAACATTTCGATATTTATTTTTTCTCTCAATTTACAATTGCTTCAGAACTGAATGACAACATAAGCCAAATTTAATAGTTTGCCATGCATTTGTTAGGTTATTTCACCAAACATGTACCTTTAAATATCTTCAGTGTCTTTTCCAATTTCTTTCTGTATATAATCTCTTCTTAGAGTTAGGATAACTGGAGAAGGTAGGATTTCAACCTACTTATACCTTGTTTCAAACTTTATGTTCCTGTCATTACACAATGTAGAATGATTTAATGGCAATGTAGAGAAACCGAGTAAGTAACTTTCCTCACTTCGGTTATACATACCTCCTCTCTTTCCATAGTCTTTTTTTTTTTTTTTTTTTTTTTTTGAGATGGAGTCTCATTCTGTTGCCCAGGGTGGAATGCAATGGTGCAATCTCAGCTCACTGAAACCTCTGCCTCCTGGGTTCAAGCGATTCTCCTGCCTCAGCCTCCCGAGTAGCTGGGATTACAGGCGCCTGCCACCATGCCCGGCTAATTTTTGTATTTTTAGTAGATACAGGGTTTCACCACATTGGCCAGGCTGGTCTCGAACGCCTGGCCTCAAGTGATCCGCCCGCCTTGGCCTCCCAATCCATAGTCATTTTTTTTTAAATAAACTTTTTATTTTGGATCAATTTTAGATTTACACAGAAGCTTCAAAGATAGTACAGGGAGTTCCCATGGCCCCTCATCCAGTTTCCCCTACTGTTAACATGTACATTTCTGTGGAAACCCATACCCACTGGGTTCCTGGCACAATGGACAGAAGTTCCACACCAATGAACATGACTGAAATTTCAGAAACAGAAACTTGGGGGTCAGAGAGGGTGGGCTGGGGAAATAAAAAAGTTTACATATAAAAGAACAGGACTTGTATTCTCATCAAACTTGTCAGTAGCCACACCAGAAGCTAGAAAATCAGGAACCAATGCCTTCAAAATTCTGAGTGAAAATTATTTTCATCATAAAATCCTGTACAAAACTGCATATTAAGAGCAATGTTAGACTAAAGACAATTCCAGAGCAACTACAGAGTTTTGAAATATTTATGTCCCATGCCCCCTTTATCAGACAGTTATTTGAGGATGTGCTTCTCTAAAGCGGGAAAAGAAACAGAAAGACCAGGGGAGAGGTGAAGGAGCCTCTCTGAATGATGTGAAGGAGATCGTGGGTCAAAGCTCTGTGGTGTCCTAAAAAATAAACAGTGCAGAATGGAGCAGGAAGACAGAGTTGTTTGAACAACTCAGAGATGTATTCTTCTGTCAGAGTGTTTGGGGATGAATTAGTAATAGGTGTAAAGAAGATGAAATAAACATAAAGATCAGGCAGTGGATTAACCCTAGAGAAAATTAAAAGTTGCATGGAAGCATGGTATGTATACTATATGGCTCAGCTTTGAGCCATACAGACTCATAGAAATATAAATATTGAATTCATTTAAATGAAAAGGTAATTTTATCATGTTGGCCAGATGGGAGAAGGTGGAAGAGAAGGAGGGAGGAGGAACAGAGAGAGAGAGTGCTAGATCCTCTGCCCTATACCCAGAAGTCAATAATTATCTAAAATTGAAAAAAATAAGCAGCAACACCCTATTATTTACACAATATGGGATTAAATATCAGAAGAAATGGTTAAAAGTGGTTACCTCTACAGAGTACGGATCAGGAATTGGGATGAATGAACTAAGGGAAAATTCTAGTAGGATGATAATGACTTTTTAAAACAATGTTCATGTTACTTTAAAAGGCAAAACATCAGGTAAATGGGTGCCCTGCCAAATCAGGGACTTAGCACCCAGGGTTATCAACTCTGTTAAGAATCAGGGAGTGCTGGGGGAAGAAAGTATAAATGATGGCCTTGTACAAAGTATCTTGGATTCTTATCAAGGCTGTGGCAGTCAAGTGTCCTTTGCCCCTGCTTCCTTGTTGTTTGCATAAATATTTGTATTCTGAGGCTTCATTCTAGGGTGAGAGCTCATTTTCTGTTTGCACAATTGCCTGGCTCCTCTGGCCAAAGGGTGCTCTGCTTCTGGCAGCTGAAGATCCCAGTAGACAGCTTCTTAAACCATGGCTTTCCCTGCAGGATTTGGATGGGCGGCAGCCACTGCAGCTTATCAAGTAGAAGGTAGGGGACACTCTCTCCCCTTCACTGGGGTGGGAGTGCTTTATTTCTGGTGTGTCCTGTGTACCTGAGGAAGATGGTGGGGTAAGGAGGCAAAAAGAAAAGCAAAGAATTGAACAGACCACAATGTTATCAATGAATTTGTTTCCCTTTTCAAACATGTCAGGGGTGGGGGCTCACATTCTCTTGTCTCTTTAGGCACAAGGAAGGGTGGAGGGATGAAGAGGTGAAAACCAAGCTGTGGCTGGATTTTCAGTCAGTCCAAACTCAGCTGAGACATCAGTTTACATTGGACCAGCTGCTTTTATAATTGATTTTTAGAATCCATTTGCCCCAACTCCTCTACAAAGGAGAATCATTTTTTTCTATTGGCTGGAAGAATATTGGGTCGATTTTTTCAAAGAGCCCTTCATTAATTGGGAAAAGTTCCCTGTTCTATTCTTAGTGAGCGCCAAGCCAAGCCTAATCTTGTATGCCACCATATTTCCTGGGGCAGCTGAGAAGTAAATAGAAGCAAATGGTAAAGAGCACCCAGAGTGCCTGTGGAGCCCAAGTTCTGATCCTCATCCTACCACACACAAGTGTGTGAATTCTTTGTCCTCCTTGAGTCTCAGTTTCTTCATCTGTGAAATAGGAAGATGAGCTTTACTTTTCTAAAACACGTATGTCCCCCCTTCCCCTCCACAAAGGGAGTTAGAGATTGTTAATAGCTACCATGGAGAAAATATTTATTTGGTCAAATAAGTATATGAAACCCTGGATTAAACAAAGCAAAGTGAGTTATTGTGGTAGCTTCCTAGGATTGCCATAATAAAATATCATAAACTGTGGGGCTTAAACAACATAAATTTATCCTCTTACGGTTCTAGAAGCCAGAATTGGCCACTGGAGGATGTAATTAGCCAAGTTAAGATGAGATCATACTGGAGTAGGGCAGATATGCAATCCAATATGACCGGTGTCCTAAAAAGAAGGAAATTTGGACACTGAGAAATTTGGAAATTTGAAAGAAGAAAAATTGGACAAAGAGACAAGGAGAACACCGTGTGTGAGAGAGAGATTGGAATGTTACAGTAAGCTAAGGAGCAATAGTCGCCACTAAAAATTAGAAAGAGGCAAGAGGGATTTTACCTAGAGACTTGGGGGTCCATGAGCCTGCTGACACCTTGATTTTGGAACTCCAGCCTCTAGAACTGTGAGAGAATACATTTCTGTTGTTCAAGGCTTTCATTTTGTGGCACTTTGTTACAGCACCCCTAGAAAACTTATACACCGAGAAAAACAAGTCAATCAATCAATGAAATAATGACTGCTATGGTAAGTGCTATGGTGATAATAGGATGTTGTGGGAAAGGGTCACGTGAAAACCAGTTCTTCAGGATGGGTCATCAAGGAGGATCTTTGTGAACTAGCATCATTCCGTCTAAACTTAAGGTATGAGGAGGAGACTGCCATTTGAATATGGGGAGATCTTTCTAGACAAAGAAACAGGACAAGTTGATCCTGGTACAACCCATGCTGCCTGTGATTCCTAGCTTCAATTGCTATTTCCCCATCCTCTAGAATGGGAAGGAGGAATCTTTACTACACAGTTGTGATAACTGCCATGTAGAAGACATCTCCCACTGGGGGATTATGTATATTATTGCACATATATGATCTGTGATACAAGGCTCTTTTAAAGGAACGTCTGACAGTGTCCTGGTTGGCTGAGATTCCATGCCACCTTTTTCGCTACATGGGATCTTCTTTCATCTTCTTCCAGATAATTTCCACTTTGTTGTAGAGGGTGACTGAATAGGCTGACCCTCTGGGAATAAAAACAAAAGCAATGATCTTTGTTAGTTTCCGTCTCAAAAGAGAGGTCGGAAAAATCCGAGAAAGCATGGTAGAGCACCAGAATGGTGTAAATAGAATCAGATTCTAGAAGCAACATAGCATTGGTGATTATTAAGATGAGCTTTGGGGGAAGACTCTTTAGACTTGGATTCCATCTCTCCTTTTACTAGATTTGTGACTTTGTCCAAATGACTCATCTTCTCTGTGCCTCCTCACCTGTAAGATGGAGATTATTATGGTGTCTCCTGTGTAGCACAGCTATGAGGTTTAAATAAGATAATGTGTGTTAAGTACTTGGCATTTAGTGAGTGCTCGATGCATCATATTCATATCTGGGAGGATCACAAAAGGATTACAAAGAATGATTCACTATGGAACTCTACAGTTAACTTGGCATAAATATGCAGTTATACAAGACAATAGAGTGGGTTTCAACTACTAACTTTGAGTTCCTGCCCACTTAGGACCTGGAGGTAACATTAACTGGCCCATTCTGAGCTCCTCTCTTCACATGATCTCAATACTGTTGCATCTCTTCTGTCTGCTTGGAGCCAGTTTGTCCTATGCTCTTCGGACTTAGGCTTGCTTCTGCCATATTTTGAGGTCTTTATTTGTGGCCTCTAACCTGCTGTTAACTATCTATAGTTTACTAGGTAGGGTACTTGATCCATCATGCTCTGCCAAGAGCCATCAGCCTGCTATCTTTGTCAACTCACAGCATAACTTTTGCATGCTTGCTTGCTTTCCACCCTAGGAGCTCTTCCTGATCCTTTTGTGCTGTGTGTGAATTTTAGCTCAAGCACTTACTAGCAGAGTGACTTTGGGCAAATAATATATTTAAGCCTCAGTTTTCTTATTTGTGAAATTTGAAACATAGTCATACTCTCTCTGTAGATTGGTTCTAGGGACTGAAGAGGTAAGCATATGTAACTGTGGTATAAGAGTGCCCCCATGTAGTGCTCACCAAATACTAATATTAATGCCAATACTATTATTATTTTTCTTTCTCCTGGCTGTATTCTCTTGCACTCTGAGAGAAGGAGAGTTACACTGTCTACTCCATTTAGTGGGAATGGTCATTTCTTGTTTGGACTGCTAGTTAGAATCTATTCCCTCCTTGCTCATGCTTGACTACTTCACCAGCAGTTGCCAGGAGAGTTACTGTTTAACCATTTCTCCCACCATCGACTGGATTACAGTGCAGGAAGTTCACTCGTGGCTTTATCAAATCAGCATGGCTTGGATTTAAAGCCGAGAACAGCCTGTCTCTTTTTGATTTTGATAATCTTTGCAGTTTTGTGCTGCCCTGGCCTTGGAAGGTCTGTAGATGCATTGGAAGTCAGGAGACACTCAGCAGAGCTGAGGACTGAGCCTGAATTGTATTTGTAAAAAAATCTAACACTTTTAAAGATTTGTTATAAAACATTACCACGTATCTCTTTCTACTGTCTCTCTTTCCACTGTATTTCAAAATACAGTTGTCTGTATTGGTATATTTGTTTTCAGATACTCTCTTGAAATCCCTGAAGAATAACTAGCATACTCTCCCTCACCCTCACTGCGAAAATGGAGATATTTTGTCTCCATATAGAAAATACTGTCAGGGTCTTTGCAGGTGGGCCCCACTGAGAGGGGCAGGGACTGGGCCTTATCACCAGGTCTCCTAACACATTGACTACTTGGTTGCGTATTTTGCCGGAATCACGGCCTTTCCTTTGTCCTGTCCTTGTTCAGATCCTTTCTTCCTCTCCTCTGGCTATTTCACTGTTTATGGTCTTATAGAAGAGTTTAATGTTATTACATAAGAGTTGACTGCATGGTGCCTTGAGCCTTTTGGAAGAAAGCACAATACGAATCTAATAAATAAATAATAAATAAATGGTATAAGCAGGAGGAAAATTATGTGTTTTAGGTGAGTTGTAAAGAACCATGTAAAACCTAAAAAATGTATTTGTTAGACTAAGAGGCAGGGAAGAAAGTGCAAAAAATCATCGTACATACAGAAGTGAGTCTCCCGCAATGTTTTTAAGTAGAGAAAAATTCCCATGATTTTTAACCCCTTGTGAAGCTGACTCTGTCCTCTGTGTTTGGCTGGAGGGAACGTGAGGTGCAAAAACATCAGGTAGCTCCGTGGCATTTTGTTTACTTTGATGGTAGGCCACGGAAGAGATATGAAAATGACATTGAGGACCCAATTCTACAGTTCTTATGAGCTTCTAACTCCCGGTGATTTCAGGGAAGGCTCTTAAGGAGCGAACATGCTTTGCAAAATCCCACAAATCCTAAGCAAAGTCTAAACTACTCTGTTAATGCTTCCTAGTGGGATCTGAGTTTGTGGTTTTTAAGGAGCCAAAGTTCTCAGTTTTAGGAATGCCATTGTGAATCCTTGATATTACTCTAATATAACAGTTGATTTTAAGTTTGACTTTGGTTTTATGTCGGCAGAAATTGGGGATTGCCTCAGACTTTGGCCATCTCTATTTGCCATACGTTAAAGGTGGATTCTTGTAGTTAAGACATTTGTGTGTGTGTGTGTGTGTGTGCATGTGTGTGTTCCCTTAAAAAATTGGAAAAAGAACATGGCAGCTGTATTTTTTGGTTATAAGTTGAGTTTATGGTGTTTCTATATAGGCTGTTTTTTCTTTGGTCCTTTTTTTAAAAAAACTCAACTGATTCACACAAACCTAAGCTGGAGACACACTTCATCTACTCGTTGTAAATGTCAGCACAAGCCCCATATTTCTCTAAGACCACTTCCTGATTGCTTTCTTCACTCAACGGATTTTAACTGTGTGTCTTGGTCTCTATTTTCTGCCAAATCCCATGGATTAAACATCGCAGTCTGAGACTTGATCTCTTGGCTGCTCTTGGTACTCTTCAAGAAGAGGAATATCCAGACAGATATGCTCCTTGTCTGGACCACCTAAGAAAGACGGAAGGGAAGCAGACTTAAAGCATGGTCATTTATTTCTTGGTATGTAAGGAAACAGGGAGCAGAGAAGTGGGCATTTACCCATGAAATTTATCATAGCTTAAAAGTTGACATGACAGAAACCATTCTTATTTCTTTCCCCCAGTTTCAAATTTGAAATTCACAAAAATATCAAATATTGCCCTCCTTTTTCATTGTACCATGAAATTAATGATGTAGGCATCATTGGAAGAGTACAGGCTTAGAGAGGGATGATATTCAAATATTAATCAACAAATATACTCGCCATGCTCACCAATCAGATGCCAACTATAAATAGTAGGCATAGACTAGACTGACATTTGGATTGACCGGTCAGAGTGGACGTCAGCCATACACAACTACCAAGGCCACATTTAGATGTATTGATTGAATTTCAACCTTGGGCTTAGGAGGGGGACACATCTAAAATATATTGGACTCTGTTTATAGACTACTAGACAGTTTAATTATTTAACTTCTCTAAGTCTCCAATTTCTCACTTGCAAATTCCTAATGCTGATCTCTCTCTCTTTTTAAAAAATTTCATTGGATGAATGTTGGAGACCTTTTTCTTACATTTTGTGCTTCTTTGGATCTTGATTAATTTCTTCAACTTTTTATTCCAAATGACGATACTTTAACTGTGTTTGGACTTTAGCTGAATTCATTCTATTTTTCAACTCCTCTATTGAATATTTATTTTTGGCACTCATATTTCTAATTTTTAGGAATGAATTATTTAATTGCTTCTGTTTCAGGAGACATATTTTATTTTCTGGATGTTGTCACCTCTCAAATCTCTTTAATAATGCTAATTAAAAAAATTAAGTTCCTGATCCAGCAATCTCACATCTGGGTATTTACCCCAAAGATTTGAAATCAGTTTGTAAAAGAGATGTCTGTATTTCCATATTCATTTCAGCACTATTCACAATATCTATATTGGAATCAATTTTAAGTGTCCATAAACAAATGAATGGATAAAGAGTATGTGGAATATATACACAATGGAAAACTATTCAGCCTTAAAAAAAAGGAAATTCTGTCCTTTGAGACAATGTGGATGAGCCTGGAGGACATTATGCTAAGTGAAATAAGACAGGCACAGAAAGAAAATACTGCATGTTCTCACTTACATGTAGAATCTAAAACAATCAAACTCATAGAAGCAGAGAAGAGAATAGTGGTTACATAGCTAGCGGGTGGGGGAATCTTGGGAGATAATGATCAGAGGGTAAAAAACCTCAGTCAGATAGGAGAAAAAAAATTTTTTTTGAGATCTATTGCATCTCAAAAAATTATTAACTATGTAGTTAATAATATAGTATGTTTCAAATTTGTTAAGAAAATAAATTTCAAATGATCCCACCATAAAAATGTTAAGTATTTGAGGTGATGAATATGTTAGCCAGCTTGATTTAATTTTTAAAATTCGTATTCATCAATAATAACATCACTTCATACTGTGTTAATATACATAATTATAAATGACCAATTTACAATGAAAACTTTTAAAATTAATTTCTCTTTTTTGTGTGTATCAAAGAATTTTGGTCCTTATGTTTCGGGTTACTTGTTTTTTGTCAAATGCCATATGATGTTTATGAATGAATGGTTATCTTGATTAATACCAGTAACTGATATAGGCTTCCTTTGAAGTTAGATAGTTCTATGAACTGAGTCAGGGTTGGCTCTATAAGAAAACAGAGTTCTATATAAGTTGGTGGGATCTATTGACAGTCAGTTGTCTCACAAAAGATTATGCGTGTGAGTGGAAACAGCCAAAATTTAGACCTTGATAACTGCCATATAGCAAGGACTTTAAGGAGGAGTGTGCTTGATTTTAACTTTTGTGTTTCCTTTCTGCACGTCCTTTCAAGTTCATGTTTTTAGCTCTAGAGTTTGTTCTGCTTTTTTTCTATGGCCTCAGTACCCATGATAGGAGTCCTCCCCAGTCACACGTCTCACTTTTATGAAGCATTTCTTAGGACTTCAACATGGGGTAAAGGCAGAACCAATGACCCTGTTTATGGAGAAGAAAAACCCATCAAACAAGCTATAAGATAATCCTTTAATTACCATAATGATTGCTCTGAGGCCTGGACTTCTGTCTGAATTGGTTGGCCCAGAAAAGTACTTTAGTAAATGTTTTGTTCTATTGGGACCTTTTTTGTTTGTTTGTTTTCAGCTCAGTTGTGGATTCCTTCTCTTATTTACTGTTATTTCAATGGGGTTGTGAGAAGAAAAGGAATTAAATATGTTCACTGTATTCCCCACCTTGAATTGGAAATATTTAAAGACTTTAATATAATATTAACTTATGTAGAAGTCTTTATTAACATGCATTAATATTTGAAAGTGCCTCATAAATCATGAGGTTCTATGCAAAGTTAATGAATGAATTGCCCCCTTTTACCATTATCATCCTCCTTGTCATCACTAATATATCCAACTTCTAGAAGTTTTCTAGTCCTGTGCTTTTTAATGAAGAAGATGAGTGCTATAGACTAAATGTGTGTGTTCCCCTCAAATTCATAGGTTGAAACACTAATCCCCATATGTGATGGTATTTGGAGGTGGGGGCTTTGGGAGGTGATTAATCAGTGATATGGTTTGGTTGTGTCCCCACCCAAATCTTACCTTGAATTGGAGATCCCATAATTCCCACATGTTGTGTGAGGGACCTGATAGGAGATAATTGAATCATGGGGGCAGTTTCCCCCATACTGTTCTCGTGGTAATGAGTAAGTCTCACAAGGTCTGGTGGTTTGATAAGGGGTTTCCCTT
Source organism: Homo sapiens (assembly GCF_000001405.40). NCBI lineage: Eukaryota > Metazoa > Chordata > Mammalia > Primates > Hominidae > Homo > Homo sapiens. Next base: position 22,700,650 of record NC_000004.12, read on the forward strand.
TTCACTTGGTTCTCATTCTCTCTTGCCTGCCACCATGTAAGATGTGCCTTTCACCTTTTGCCATGATTGTGAGGCTTCTGCAGCCATATAAAACTGAGTCCATTAAACTTCCTTTTCTTTATAAATTACCGAGTCTTGGGTATGTCTTTATCAGCAGCATGAAAGCAGACTAATACAGTCAGGAAGGCAGAGCCCTCACGAATGGGAATTCTGCCTCATATTAAATAAAAGAGATCCCAGCCATGTGGGAATGCAGAAAGAAGTCAGCCATCTATCAACCAGGAAGGCATCTTCACCAGAACTTGACTGTAGTGGCACCTTGATCTTAGACTTCCAGCCTCTAGAACTGTGAGGAATAAATTTCTTTCCTTTTTTTCGTTTTTTTAAATTTTACTTTAACTTCTGGGATACATGTGATTAACGTGCAGGTTACATGTGCCAGGTATACATGTGCCATGGTGGTTTGCTGCACCTATCAACTTGTCATCTAGGTTTTAAGCCCGCATGCATTAGGTATTTGTCCTAATGCTCTCCTTCCCCTTCCCCCACACCTTGTGACAGGCCCCAGTGTGTGATATTCCCCTCTCTGAAGACAGCATGGTGATTCCTCAAGGATCTAGAACCAGAAATACCATTTAACCCAGCAATCTCATTATTGGGTATATACTCAAAGGATTATAAATCATTCTACTGTAAAGACACATGCACATGTATGTTTATTGCAGCACTATTTACAAAAGCAAAGACTTGGAACCAATCCAAATGCCCATGAATGATAGACTGGATAAAGAAAATGTGGCACATACACACCATGGAATACTATGCAGCCATAAAAAAGGATGAGTTCATGTCCTTTTCAGGGACATGGATGAAGCTGGAAACCATCATCTTCAGCAAACTAACAGAGGAACAGAAAACCAAACACCACATGTTCTCACTCATAAGTTCGAGTTGAACCATTTCTGTTCTTTATAAGCCAGTCAGCCTATGGCATTCTGTTATACCAGCCAGAATGGACTAAGAAAATGAGCTAATGTGGAATTAATGGAATTTCAGACAGTATAACAAGAGAAAGCAAAATATTCAGATACTGTGAGAAAAGTCATAGTAGGGGGAGGTGACTATGACTGAGAAAGAAAACATGTCTCATCATCTGCTTTTGAGGTCAGCTGATCCAATCCATTTGCATTTTTCATAATTTATTACCTCCCTCAATTCCTGAACACAGATTCTGCATCTACTAAGTTTTCCTGTACCTCAGCTGGCTTCATGGGCAGTGCTGAAAGGTATCTGCTGCCCTCCCTATGTGTATATGTAAGTTATTTATTGATAAGTGTCGGTCTGCCTGTTTGTATATTCTTTTTTTTTTGGAAAGGTTTATTTATTTATTTATTTTGAGATGGAGTCTTACTCTGTCGCCCAGGCTGGAGTGAAGTGGCACGATCTAGGCTCACCACAACCTCTGCCTCCCAGGTTCAAGCAATTCTCCTGCCTCAGTCTCCTGAGTAGCTGGGATTAAGGCACTTGCCACCAGGTCTGGCTAATCTTTGTATTTTTAGTAGAGACGGGGTTTCACCATGTTGGCCAGGCTGGTCTTGAACTCCTGACCTCAAATGATCTGCCTGCCTTGGCCTCCTAAAGTGCTGGGATTACAGGCGTGAGCCACCGCGTCTGGCTGTATATTCTTTTGTATCAGCAAGATTCTGAGTAGAGTGGGTGCTAGTCACATAAGTTTAGAAATATTTTTTGTATTATGAAAGGAATACAAGATAATTTTAGAACATTTAAAAGATACAAATAAGCCAAAAATAAAATAATTAGCCAGTAGATATTTAAAATTTTAGAATATGTATATTTTCAGTATTTTTCTATGTATCTGTAGACATACATGTACCTATACACTTATTTCTCTGATAAGAGCATTCTGTAAATGGTTGTGGTTTTCTTAACACACTTAGAAATATCTTGATAAGCTATAACACTTCTCTGCATCCTTTCTCCTCTTCCTGTTCCCTCTCTCCCTTATCTGTGTTTCTACAGTGCACAAGGATGTTACACAGAAAGCTAAATGTGAGCCAATATATTTAACTTTGAGAAACCAGATAAAAATAACTGTATCTTAATTATTTGTTTGGTGTAGGGGTTCTATCTGTTGGACCACACAGTCATACATGAATTTTTTTGTCATTACTAAATTAGTCAGTTAAGAGAGGACATTTGTTTACTTGAATAAATATGTGCCAGCCTTGTACTGGAGGAAAAAAAGGTGTTGGTTGTGCTGTTCCTTCCTCGGCTTGCCCATCTGGTAGGTGTTGCTTCCTAGCTAAATTCACTGGTGCACAAGGTTAAATGAATCTTTAAAAATTATTAGACCGTCACACAAGTGCCCAAACCAGAAATAAGCTAGACTGTTCCTCTTACTCCTTCATTTTACCAATTCCTTTTTATTCTATCTCCTCTAAACCTCTTGATTATACCCATCTTCTTCATTGCTACTACCTTTCCTTCTGGAACTTAGCATTTCTTATCTTCTTAAAGTTTCCTTCTGTCCTCTCCACTCTCCTCCAATTTCTCTTGCATATTACTTCTAGCATGGTCTTTTACAAATCTGACCACATTATTCCATTTTCAGAGAGAGAGGATGAGCTCTGAAATCAAACAGACTGGATTTAAACCCTGACTCCACTTATCAATTGTATGATCTTGGAAGATATCTAAGCTTTGCAGGCCTCAGTTTCCTTATTTGCAAAATGAGAACGGTGATAGTGCTTATCTTGGGATCATTGTAAATATAAATGTGTTCATAAGTAACAAATGCATAGAACAATGCTGTGCAAATCTTAACTGTTCAGTAAATGTCAACAATTGTTAAAGAACTTGAAATGTCTTCTGACCTTCTGCAGGATAATTTCTGAACTTTTTGAATAGCAGAAGAAAACCCTGCAATTTTCTCTCTGACTGCAACTCCAGTTTCACCTCTTGCTTCTTCTCTATTTGTATCCTACTCTTTGACCAAAATAAAGCACATGGAATTTGCTAAATGTGCCATGACCTTCATGCCTCTGTACCTTTGCACATGCTGTTCCCTTTGCTTGAATATACATGACTATTGGCATCAACAGAGATCAAAAGATGACAAAGATCCAGCCTTTCTCACTTCCAGGCTGGAGCTTGAGCTACTCCAGCACACTGCCTCTTTCATCTTTTATGCTACTCTCCCAAGTGTGTTACTGTGAACTTGGCAGTGGTAGTAAAGGGCTCGATGACTGATGGGGGTGAAGAGAACCCCTAAAAGAGGTTTTTAGTATATACGAACAAACATTATATTAACAATTTGGAACAGCATGGATAATATGCCTTTTTACCTGGGGGCGTTTGAACATAACTCCATGTATCTAAAGAGGACTAACATCATGAGAGGTGTTGATATGACTGTTGCAGCTGTGTGTTTGTATTTTGCATGTCGTGGGTGGTGCCGTCAGCAGCAGCTGGGGCCCTGCTGTTTTCCTTCTGTTCTACTATGTGGCCCTCTTCCTTGGGGCACCCTCAACCAGACGAGCAGATCTATATTGGCTTTGGATCTTTCTCAAGGTGCCTGCTCTTCCTTTCATTAGCGTGGATAATCAGAATTTGATTGTAAAGTATGCCCAGGCCAAATACAAGGGCTTTTAAAATCGTCTGCTGTTTTAGATTATCCAGGCCACTGATCCCCCTTCCTTAGCGTGGATAATTGAGAGTGGACTGGGCTGAAGAATGTTAAGCAGAACCAATTGACAAAATAAATGAGATTTTAAAAATCCTTTAGATTTTAATAATAGAAAAAAGTTTTTTTTAAATCTGAAAGAGCTTATTTTATATTTCAAAACTGTAAATTTATTCGGCTTTAAATTACTTCAAAATAGGAAAATATTTCATATGATGCACCCATTTAAAACCTATTTAAAATGTATACTAATTACAATATGCACTTAATGGAGTTAAAGGAAGAATGGAACATACAGACAAGAGGTTGGAAGTTTCTGATTCAATGTGAAATCTTCTTATAATCATGTTTATATTTCATCAAGGTAACAAAGAGAGGGTAGGAGCCACTTCCAAACTCTGAAAATCTCTCTCTTGATAGTGGAGGCTGCAATTCTTTGCTCCTAGTGAACAATAATCATTTAGAGACAGGCATTTAAAAATGTATGTATAAGATGAACAGAATTCTGATTTCTGGGAATATATGATCAAATTCACCTGTCATTATTTCATCTTTCCCCATGCCCCATGCCCCTCCAAATGCAGGTAGAAATGTATTTGCATGCCATTTGACTGGGAACTGAGAGGACATTTTCCCAATGGAACAATGCTGTAAACGGGGGTAGGTGTCAATAAATACCCTTCAGGTGTGTAATGAGGATAAATAGATTTGGGGGTTTGCCTGGGAATTTGAAACATAATGTAAAAGGCAATGGTGAGTTTCTGGGCAGGTGACTCATAAACAAGTTTTTTGAAACATTACCCATTTTTACGTTGGGAATTGCCAAGCTCAGCCTTAACGTCTCCCACAACACCTATGAATAATCATTTAAATACAGGCTTTGAGACTTGGGGAAAAAAGCGTATTATTTACTCTAAAGACAATAATCTTCCTTGGAGTCATTGTAGTCCATCATGCAGATGCATACTTGGGGATCTTTGGAAAAGCAACATTTTCTCTTGATGGTCCATTACTTCATTTATCTTTTAAGTTATTATCCAGGACTAGATTGCAGACACAGGTTAGGGCTGCACATCAGCCACTCTGTAACAGTGTGGGAGACTAAGGTTCTTTCACAGGGAGAAATATGACAAAGCGGCTTTGCTCGTTCCCTATTGCGTTTGTGTGAAGAGCAGGATACAGTAATGGAGGTAATGGGGACTCTAGTGCATCTTTTGGTTCCTTATAGTGCTGAGAACTTGGCAAATGTAGGCACACATAAATTCTTGTTCCCGAGTGGTTTGATGAAGGGAGAACTGAGAGGTTCTCAGCACAGATATTATACAGCTGAGACCAAATATCCCCCTAGGGTCATCCTACTACTCTTTCCATGGCTGAAATAAAGACCAGATACCACCATACTAAAGCTGTGATGTGGTTGGCTTGTTGCTGGATGACTTTTCTCATGCTTGGAGAAAATTACGTAAGAAGATTGAGAAAAGTTCTATCCCAAAGATCCGCATCTGCAAAGACGAGCAAGATTGCAATGTCTGGATTAAGTTCTCTAGAATTTAAAGTTCTGTCTCATGTTGTATTTGGAGACCTGGCTTCCCTAGCATGAAGTGAATAATTAAATTACATTTTATTTTTTATGTAGCTAGTAGTTAATCCCAATTAGAAATTTATCTACTGTGGTTACTAGAGCCTGGGAGTATAAAGGTGAACAAAATGATCACTTGAATCTGACATTCTGGATGGGGAGAGAGGCAGGTACATGACTACAGTAGGATGTGACAGCCCCAACAATAGAACAGACAAAAGGGTATTTTGCGGCAGAGGTGGGCAGGATGGGGAAATAAGAATAAAGTGTGTGAGGCCGGATGTGGTGGCTCATGCCTATAATCCCAGCACTTTGGGAGGCTGAGGCAGGCAGATCACGAGGTCAGGAGTTCAAGACCAGTCTGTCTAACATAGTGAAACCCCAGAAAAAAATTAGCCAGATATGGTGGTGTGCTCCTGTAATCCCAGCTACTTGGGAGGCTGAGACAGGAGAATCTAGTAAACCCGAAGGGCAGAGGTTGCAGCAAACCAAGATCATGCCATTGCACTCTAGCTTCCAGCCTGGTCAACAGAGAGAGACTCTATCTCAAAATAATAATAATAATAATAATAATAATAATAATAATAAAGTGTGTGAGATTACTTGTGGTATCTAAATTGGGTTTTATGAAGACATGTTTTCTGTTTTGTTTTGTTTCCAGGAAAAGACACAAGAAAGGGCATATTAGCAGAAAAAATATTTTGACATGAGACATAAAAGTATAAATACTTCTGTTGTATTTTTGGAATGGTGTAGTCATGTACAGTTAAGTAGGCACATGAGTTAGAATTCTAATACTTTAGGATGTATTCGAATCACTTGGAGTTCTAATTAAAATGTAGATTGGGGGCCTCATATGAAACTATAATAACAGTATTCACAGATGAGGGCCAGGAATTTATATTTTTTGTAAGTGCCTATATGATTGTTTTGTAGATTGCTCATGCTTTGATAAAGCCTGCCATAGGCTGTGTTTTCTGATGACGGGGTTAATGGCAGAACCTGAAGCCTTATGTCGTGATGCACGTAAACTGCTAGGCTAAGGAATTAGTATTAGCATCATGTGCATTAGCTATTTGACAGCCATAAAATATACTTAGTCAAAGGGTGTAATACAGTCAGGTCTGTATATTTGAAAGAGTTTTGATGGCAGTGTGGAGAATAAACCGAAAGAAGGAGATACGGAGCTGGGGAAAAGTTGTCGGGTTATTGCCATAGATGAGGCAGATGATGATGAAGACCTGAATTTGGGTGTCAGGAACAGAATGGAGAAAAAAAGAGTAAAAAAACATTGAGGGAAAACCAAAAGGATATGTTCATAAATGCAATTTAGGGCATAAAGGAAATAGGAGGAAGACTAAGGTGACTTTTGTGATTATGGTTTAGGTAACTGGCTGGCTGAGGATGCCATGAAGAGAAGTAAAACACTAGAGAAGGAGCAGACTTGGAGGTTGTGTGGTAGAAATTTAACAGCTTCAATTTCATTTGAGATTCCTTAGGGTATTTATAGAAAATTGTCTGGGAGGCAACTGAAAATTTCTGTCTCCATTTCAGGTTGGATTTTCTGTTAGAAAACCACAGCTGATGGTGAAAGTCATAATGAAAGAGAATGCTTGAAAGAGGGTGATAGAGGGAAACAAGAAGAGAAGCAAAGATGAGCAAGGTTGCAATGTTTGGATTAAGTTCTGTAGAAGAATTGAAAAGTCTCAGGGGAAACCCACACAGAACTGACATTCTTACAGAACCTTAGAATGACTGAGAAATAACTTTAGAACATTTCTAGTCTGGTGGTTTTTAAATGTGTTTTGACGTGGCAAAGCCAGGTTTTCAAGCAAATCTAACAAGGTCTTTTTGATCATTGCCGATGGAACCCTTCTTTATGCTGACAATCTATTGTCAGATATGCAGGATTAACCATATGTAGCTACTTTTATCAGTGTTTAGCATGAAAATTTCAGAAAACTGCATTCAGGGAGCCATGTTGATACACCAGAAGAAATCTGCCAGGACTAAAGACCGACCCAATAATTCCCGAGGTACCTTCAGGAAAGTCAATTTATTTTTGAGTCAAAGGAATCTCAAATTATCCTAAATGGCATTGCTTCCACCAGAGTTCTGTTCTTAATTTAATAAGCTGCTACAAGTTCCAAGCCAATGTTCCTTCTTAGAAATATGCTATGCTATGGGATGTAAATCTTTTTAAGTGCATTTCATTGTACCAATTTTTTCATTTTGAAAAAGCCCATTGGTTTATTATTAAGTGGTCTATTTAATAGTGCCAATAAATTCTAAAACTGGAGACTAGGCATTGTTATTTTAGATGCTTTAATGATATCAATTGTCTAAGTTGCTTGGTCTTGGCTTATTTGCTTGACCTTTGTCTGTTTTAATGATCTGGAAAAATTCCTCCAAACTATACAGAGTTGATATAGTGGCTCTTGATATATGATACAAATCTGAAAATACTTTATTAGAATAAGTTTACTAATAGTATTCGAATGATTGTATTAGGTCTATACAATCAAAGTGAAGTTGATAACTGCAAATTTTAGAAGAACCAAAAGCTTCAAGTAAAAATTCAATTTCTGGGAGGTGGGGTGGGATAAGGGTTAAAAAATTACCTATTGGGTGCAATCTTCAATATTTGGTTGATGGGTACACTAGAAGCTCAACTCCCACCATTATGTATGCAATACCCATGTAACAAAGAAGCAAATATTTTCCCCAAGTCTAAGGAAAAAAATCGACAAAACCCAAAATAAGATCACAGTTCAATTTCTTGTAAAATAGGTTTTACTTATTACTTCTGTGTTTTGAGTTAACTGTAATTATAGAATAACTATCCAGAAAAACAACTGGACGATTATACTGCAAAATACTAATACAGAGAGGTAATATAAACTGGTGGTTTTTAGTACCAGTGATTCTACACTCTATTGAAGACCAAAATTTCAAATAAGAAAACCAAAATTCCAAATTTGACTTCTTATATTCAAAAGTAATGTGGTCTTGTTCTTGTTTAGTATCTTTAAGGCTTACTTTTCTCAGGTTAGTAACACCTATTGGCAGTTTATTGGAGTTTATTGGCAGCATAAAATAATTTAGGCAGTCTCTTAACACAGGGCTTGGCTTTTAAAACAGGACTTCAATAAATGCTAACCTTTACCATCATAATTTTTATCACCACTATTACCACCACCGTTATCATCATCATCATCATCATCATCATCATCCTTCTCATCGTCTTCATCATTGTTGCCATCAGGTGGCATGTTAGTTTGGATCCTCTGAGAAACAGATACCAAGATGATATTGAACGTGCAAGAAATTTATTCAGGGAAATGAACATCAGGGAAAATGGGGAGGGAGCCAGGAAAGGCTATCATGCATGTCTGACAAGCAAAGGAGAGAGTAAAGGAAGAAAGGGAGTTGGGGTGAACCATTTAGACTACAGTGCAATTCAAAGGGAAGTTCATCAGGATCTTTGGAGAGTCCTTGATCCAAAGTCACCTGTCAGAAGAGTCGCACATCCTCCACGAACAGGCCTACTTTCTTAGCTTTGCCACACTCAGCATTGACTGAGATCAGCCTGGGGAACTGTGGTGTCAGTAGAAATGCTGTGACATGTTTCAGTGCTCAGTGGCTGAAGGCTCAGTCAGTTATGCTCCCTGAGCTTGGAGGTAGGTTTTGTAGTGTGTTTCTATAGGTGTCACAGACAAAATTGTGGGTGATTAAAAAATATCCCATTTTTTGGTATTTTATTAATTATCTATATGTAACCTGCATTTAATATTTGAGGGAAGAAGTAAAATAAATAATTAAAAATATTTCCTTTTGCTTGGGTAGCATTAACTCTTTGAAACTTGCCCAAATCTCACAGTAACTGTTTAGCTTTTTAATTTGCATGAATATTCTGGTACAGCTCTGCTATTACGTCAACAGCACCTTGCCACGACAAGTTTTATTTTCTTGTTCCAACTTTTTCTATTTAGAAACCTGATTTGATTAGAGTGTGAAAGTTTAAGTGTTTGAAACAGGATTCAATTAAACTAGGTCATTCTTGGGGCTCTGAAAATGGTAACTGGCCTTAGGCAAATGAGAACAAAAGTTATAAAACTCAGTTGGATGCATCACAACATTTAGCATCTTTAAGGAAGACGTCTTGCCTAATAGATTCAATTTAGAAATATTTAGTGTAGGTCATCAGCTTAAGCACCTAAAAAATGTGTTTGTTTGTTTGTTTCTCCCTTTAGTTATAACTAGAATCGGAACACCTGGACTCTAATCTACAAAATAAACAATTTGTGCTGGGACCTTGAAGAAAGTCAATTAGTTTCCGTGACTTTACCAGTAGGTTAAAAAGGAGATTGTAATATTAGTGAATAATGTGCTTAGAGATGTTTGCATAAAAGATGCTTTGTCATTGTAAAGTATTATTGAATATTTATGGTCTACCAGACTGAGCCAAATGGCCCAGAGGAAAAAACAGTTAGATTTATGTAAACCTTGTTCAGTGTCCCAGATACTTCAGGATGGGTGCTCTATATGTGAATAAATAAATAAATGGTATAAATATTATTTTAAAATTTGAAGGTACATCAATATTATCTGGGGTGTTAGCCAATGTGCCTGACCTATGACATTGAAATGAAATGTCTGCCTCCAGGTAACTATTTCAACCTCATAAATATTTTTAAAGCCAGAGGCTTTGATGGCAAGTAATGTTTTCTTAGAGTTTTGTGTCTGCAAATAAAGGTAAATTATATCTTTACCTAAAATCTACAAGAAATGATTGTCTCTCATCCAAAAGGTTGCTCAGAGAGTTCCCAGATTGAAATTGTATATGTTATACTTCTTTCCCTTTCTTCTAAAAAAGTATTTTACTTACTCTTGCACGGTAGTTTTCTGTCACATTATTGTGAGAGATCAGAGCCTCAAAGAAGAAAAAAGTTAGCCATAAACACTGCCCAAGGACTTAATGGATCTTACTGAGCCACACCATGCAGATGTATTGGAACATAAATAGGTATAGGAGATAAGAGGCACAAAAGCAATTTGTTTGGATTGGGTCACTGCTTAATCCAGATGGGTTCAGCAAAAGAATTCATGAAACGTGACAGTGGGCCAAGAAGAACTTGCTGTGACATTTCAGATTCCCCTACTTCTTCTAATTAACCATTTCAAGTATAACAAAACTTATAGCACATACAAATCTAGTGCAACCCATCTGTACCAAGCGCAGACCTGTCCGTGGAGGATGGATGGTTCTGTTCTCAAGCAATGGACTATGACACAATAATATCTCAAGTTGGGCTTTTAATTTCTATGATACATTGATTCTGAACAGCATTTTTCTAAAAGACAAAAACTATACCAGAGTTGCTTTTTGACATAGCCTGTCATTAAATGCATTTGGATATATTGCATGGATCAAAATATACTGCAAGTTTAATAAGATATTTGAAAATATAAAAATTGCACGTAGAAAAAGCCCACCATCATGGTAATGATGAGAATAATAACAACAATAGCTACCTTTTAAAAAAAGCAACTATTACTTGCCAGTCACTATGCCGGACGTTGTACACATGTCCTTACAAAAACTTTGCGAGGTGGAGATAATTATTCTCTTTTTATAGAGGAGGACACAGACTCAAAGAAGTAAAGTTGTCCAGGGTGAATTAGTATGTGGAAGATGTAAAATTTTTTTTGGAATTACAGAAAAAACTCCACAAACCCACATTCCTGCTTAGGCAAGTCAAGAATTCTTGCCTCTTTAGTTGATGGGTTTAGAATAATTTTTTCAGGTGCTAATATCAGGATATAACCCATATCTCTTCATACACAGTTCTTCAAATCTACCTGTTCGCAGCCCTTCTTTCTTCTCTTGAGAAATAGAAACTAGGATTTAAACCTCAGAATTATGCCTCAGTATCTACAGCACTGTAGTGCCTCATAAATATTAGTTGAAATGGTAAAAGAAAGATACAATTGCCCCTAATGCCTATGATATTCATTAGTCAAAAGAGGATGGAATTAGCCCATTTCCATGAATGTAAAATTTATATATGTATTCTAGAAAACATATATCAAAATGGAGTTATTTTAAATAAGATGTTCATATTTAACTGACAAACAGAATCAATCTACCGTGCCTAGTTCATAGAATAGATTCGGGGAGTCAATTTTTGTGCTTAATTGTTTGTACAAAGAAAATCTTTGACTTATGAATGATAAGAAAATAATGAAAATTGAGTTAGTGCTTATAAAATTCTCGAATTCTTTTGCTTTTGCAATCAAGCCAGGCAGATTTCTAGGAGTTGAGGTTTCTTAGGGTATTTTATGTTTCACATGACGTCACCAAGAAGTTACGGATCAATAGAACTTTGTAATGTTCATGTAGCAGAGGGATGAAAGAGTTAAAGGATTTAGGTGTTGCAAAGGGTGCTTCTTCTGGGCAACAGAGGTTTGAATGTAGGGCACCTTTTGCATTTTCAGCATTAATGTTTGAACTCTTGTCCTACAGTTATGTAATAAGACAACTTTATTTTTTTTTAAAAGAGAAACAGAAAAAAACGTCTGCTGAGAAAAATACTTGCCGCCCTTGGGGACAGATTTTGCAGTACATTTTTGTACAGGAGTCATTCTCTCCTGTCCAAAAGCTCTGGAACAGGATGAATGTCCTTCTCAAGGTTCTTAGAGCCCAGAGTCATGACTGACTACACGCATCAGAAGAAACACAGAGATGTATGGGCAAGATTCAGTGGGCACACCCACAGGTCTGAGAGATCACTGGGCTGGCGAGGCATTGCAGCCAGGCCGCCAGCTAGTCTAGAAAAAGAAACCAGGACTGCAGTCGTCGGTAGACTAGCTAGATAAGGGTCGGTTCCCTCAAGGACTAGTTACTCTGAGGTCTGTTCTAAGGGGAGGCAGCCCATGAGCAAATATAGCCTAGTATAGTAGGTATAAAAACTGTTAATTAACAATAACATTTATGTACTGCCCCCCAGCAAGTCAGTTTTAAATTCAACAAATTTTCTCAGTAACTTTGGGAAACAGGAAGACCAGGTGTTATCCTCATTCTCATTTTACATATGAGGAAACTGAGGCACAGGGAGGTTGAGTGAATTTCCTAAGGTCACAGATATAGTAAGCTACAGAGGTGAATTAATGTATGGAAAATACTGATTGAAAGGCTGGAGAGCACAGACTTTGTTCAGTCACATCTGACTTACAATTTTAGTTCTGCCGACTGCTAGATCTATGACCTTCTCTAAATCCTTGAACTCAAGGAAACTTCAGATTCCTCGTATTTAAATGGAAGGGAGGGAACATGAGTAGTTATGAAGCATGTAAAGTGCTTAGCACAGTGCTTACCCCATTATAAGGGCTCAATAAATGATAGCTACTATTACTATCATGATGTTTTTTTCCACTATACCATTCCATCCTTCCAAATGGAGCTCAGTTTAGCACAGTGACAGTCAGAAGCTGAAACCAACTTAGAGTGATCAGAAGCTGAAACCAACATAGATGGATGGATTTGCCTATCCATATCCAGTCTCTATGTTGCAGCTTAGACCAGCACCCAAAACACTAATTGTTATCTTGGTGCTGTAGTTGACATTCTATTTTGTCATCTGTTACATGTATGTTGTACTAGTTATATCTACGTTTCTAGTTTACATATTTAGTATTCCTTAGCAATGCTCTGATGGATGGAAAGAAGAGTCGAGGTTTTGTTGCAAAGACAGAGCAAAGTGTCTTTCACTAGATAGCGTGATTCAATGCATAAATGACTGAATGCAAGGAGGCTTAATTGAAAGATAAAAGAATAATTGCTGTAGAATAGCAGAGGCAAAAGCAGCTATGGTAAAAAGTCGCCTGTCTTAAACAGAGTGAAAATAAATGAAGAGGGGGTTTGAGAAGTCTTTGTAGCAAAAGATCATAAGAAAATAAACACCAGTGCAAGGCAGGAGTCCAGAAGAACAAGTCCCAGAACCAAGACTGATATATTCCTGTCAGAATTTATCACTTCTCTAAATTACCAGGTCAGTAGTTAAATTATAATCACATTCTGTTATATATTATACTGGTTCAGTCAACAAATGAGACTTTTAGGAAATCCTTATAAAAGGAACTTTGTTTCTGTTTCCCAATGTCCCTTTACACTTGCTTGGTGGAGATAACTCTTCCCTTCCATTTAGAAGAAAACGTAGGTAGGTTCTATTTCTCTGGTCACCTTAAATTTTATTGTGTACTGGATATTTTCTATTTGCCTATCCATATCCAGTCTCTACTTTTCCTTGCTCTGGGCCAACCCATGTGGGTTGGCATCAATGGACTCCATTGTCCTTTATCTTCCATTTGGACTTGATCAATGGGAAACATTAGCAAGAGATGGGAAGGTAAGTGGGAGGAGAGAAACCGAAGTCTTTACCCTGCTGGTTTCCTTCCTGCTGGACTGCAGTGGGTTGGCTGTGTCCCTCGACTAATGCCTCCTCTCGTGCTAGGCAGCCTTTGGCAAACTGCTACTCTCTGCAGGTTTTGTAAACCAATTCTACCCCAGCCCCTTCATGGGCAGCAATGACTTCCTGCTGTTGCAAGCCCTGAGGTACTGCACTATTCCTTGTTGCTTTCCTTGAACCCTGCTCACACCATCGTAAACAGTCTTTTTTTAAAGCTTTCCTCAATAACCCAGTCTGAGTGCTGTCTGTTTCCTGCTAGGACCCTGGCTGATGCATATGGACACTTTAAATTGCAAAATACCGTCTAATTTTGATGCTTAGAATAATCTGACTATGAAGTAGTTAAAATTCCAAATTGAATTTAGAATTAAGTCTTTCTTAGCTCTATTGGAAGAGGGAGCAAGGCCGTGGTTCTTTCTCTGCCTCCTCTTATTTCTGCCTGTTTACCATGGTTTCTGACCTAGTTGCCGGAGAGGTAATAAAATGGAAAGTTCTTAAGGTGGCATCACATGCTCTGATTTCGGTAGATATTTAGAGTTGATTCTTTTTCTTACAGACATTTGTGTGGCCCACTGCTGAGAAGTACTCTAGTATCTTAGATGCAGGTGATGCTGTGTTCTTCAGTTCATCACTTTCTCTGTCCTGTGGGCATCTAGCCATTTACCCTAGCTTCCATTTGTTGAGGTCTGCAGTGGTCTGAGCAGCCACCCCCACAAGATATGTCTGAGTCTTAACCCTTGCTCTCCGTGAAAGTGACCTTCTTTGGAAATAGGATTTTTGCAGATATAATTAAGATAAAGATCTCGAGATGAAATTACCCTGGATTTAGAAGGAGCCCTAAATTCAATAAGTGTCCCTTATGAGAGACAGAAAAAAAGAAGACACAGAGACACAAGGGGGAAGGACATCAGAAGACAACAGCAGAGACTGGAGTGATGCATCAAGCAGCCAAGAAATGCCAAGAATTGCAGCAGCAAATGGAAAAGAGGCATGGGATAAGTGCTTACTTCAGTGACTGCAGAAGGATCCAACTCCGCCAACATCCTGATTTCAGACTTCTGGGCTCTACAACTATGAAAGAATACATTTGAATTGTCCGTAGTCATCAAGTGTGTAGTGATTTGTTACAGCAGCAGTAAGACATGAATACAAACTCTGTTTGCCTTTGTAGGCCTCCTTGGAGAGATGCTAAGGCATCACTGTGCTTACTCCTTCACCTGTGCCGTGTCTTGTCCAGGGGAAACATAAGCACATCCTTTTCTCAGTCTCTAGGGCTGCAGGAAGATCCCAACCCAGCTTCAGTTTTCCTTTGCTTCTTCTTT
The DNA here is from genome assembly GCF_000001405.40 of Homo sapiens. NCBI lineage: Eukaryota > Metazoa > Chordata > Mammalia > Primates > Hominidae > Homo > Homo sapiens. The sequence continues at coordinate 22,715,722 of NC_000004.12, forward strand.
CTTTCATCATCTTTGTTTCTTTCCTCTTGTTCTCTTCCTGGGTTCTTGATTCATTCAGTAGAAGTTAAGACTCCAATTCATCATATTCCTTTAACTGAAGGGACTCATACCATGACCTGTGAGTAGTTCATTTGAGTGCTGAATTAGTCTTCCAGGGCTGCTCTAGCGAGATACCACAGATTGGGAAGCTTAAGCAACCGAAATTTATTTTCTTACAGTTCTGGAGGCTGGAAGTCCAAGATCAACGTGCTAGCAGGCTTGTTTTCTCAGGAGGCCTGTCTCCGTGACTGGCAGACGTCCACCTTCTTGCTGTCCTCACATGGCCTTTGTCCTATGCCTGCATCCCTGCTGTCTCTTCCTCTTCTTACAAGTACACCACTCATATTGGATTAGGGCCGCATCCTAGTGGCCTCCTTTTAACTTAGTTCCCTCTCCAAAAGCCCTATCTCCAAATATAGTCATATTCTAAGGTATTGTGGGTTAGAAATTCAACATATGAATTTTGAAGGAACACTATTCATAGCAAGTGTCCACCTTTAGGTTGAAGTGAAAGGAAAGTAATCATCCTCCCTTTTTCTTTGAGGCATGAAACGCACATTACACGGAGAGTTCTGTTCAAGGAAAATACCTCTTGAAAATCCTCATTAATCTCCACCGCTGATGTGGGTGAGAGAGTCAGGTGTTGTGACCCCTGTTTGGGAAAATGCATTTGTGTTTGCAGCTTAGACCAGCACCCAAAACACTAATTGTTATCTTGGTGCTGTAGTTGACATTCTGTCATCTGTTACATGTATGTTGTACTAGTTATATCTATGATTCTAGTTTACGTATTTAGTATTTCTTAGTATTATTCATCTTAGAGTTGTTTTGATTTATCTCAACTCAGTTTTCTAAATCTCATTTCAGAGTCTCACTTAAATACTGTTAAGTACTTAAGTGAATAAATGGAGGAAAGAGAGAGAGAAAGGAAGAGAGAAAGAGGAAGAGAGAGAGAAAGAGAAAGAGAGGAAGAGAGAGAGTAAAGTCATTCAGCCATCTAGTCTATATTTCTTTTAATGTCAGGAAACCAGTTATTTAGATAATGCATTAAATTAATAAATATTTATTTCAGTTTGGTCTGTTTTAGTGATCCTTTTTAAAAACAAACAGGTTATAGCTATGTCTACAGAGGGAATATGATTGTGTGTGTGTGTGTGTGTGTGTGTTTGTGTGTGTGTGTGTGTGTGTGTGTTAGTTAGGGAGGGTGGTGGGAGGGAATGTCCTGGTAGGAAGAACAGGGAAAGGCCAATCTTAAATGAATAGTTGTCCACCAAGTCAATACTTTCAAAATATTTAAGACGAGTTTGGACACTTATATCTCATGAAGTAACTATGTAAGTTGTCTAATTTCACACAGTCACCCAGTCACCCATACTTTGAAGAAATAATTAAACTTACTGACAAAACTGAATTCCAACTCCTTCCATATGTTAAGTTCCACAGTGAGATAAAAGCAAGTATGACTAAGCTTGAGTCTTTTATCCTGGGAATGTAATTTATTTCTCAAGTCCTAGAGATACTGGTCTTAGAAGGACTGGGGAGCTTTATTTCTTAACAGAGAAATCTTTAATCATGTCATTTGTCTAGGACCATTCCTGGTGTAAAGATTCTTGAAATGCTGAGTTGATTTTAGGGTTTCACTGTGTCTTTGTGAATGAGACGACCGAACAGGCACAATATGCCTAACCAAACTCTTATCTATTTTCTAAGGTAGAAATTTCTGAAAATCTGGACAGTGAACTCTCCAATTGGGAAAAGTCCATTTTAAAGCATTTAGCTGCATTAAAGATGTTTATTTTCTTAAAATAACATTAGTAACACATTTTTCCTTAAAATTATTTTGCTTTTATTTCCTGCTTAATCTAAGATTTACTTCAGAGTTTTTTAAAATTCCAAGCACATAGATTGGAGAAGATGGTACGTAGACTTATTTTTTTATTGTTAATCTTTCTTCCTCTTTTCTCCTTTCCTCTCGCTCTCTTCTCTCCTTCCTACTTTTCTTTTGTTTTTCCTTCCTGCTCTTCTTTTTTTCCCTCTCTTCTGATTGGTTGTCAGATAATGTAGCCTGTATGAATTATATATGAGTGAAAGTAATTTTATTGTTATTGTTGAGTATGAATTTCTGTCTCTCTCATTCTTTCATATGTATATGTGTATCATTTGTATGTGTGTATACGCATACATACACATATAAATATACAAAGACATATATACACATGTGTGTACCATACAATTTTACAATAATTTTATTGTTGTTGAGTATGGATTTCTGTCTCTCTTATTCTTCCATGTGTGTATGTCATTTGTATATGTGTATATGCATACATCACATAAAAATATACATAGACATATATACACATATGTGTAGCCTGTATGAATTGTATATGGGTGTTTGAAAATAATTTTATTGTTGAGTATGAATTTCTGTCTCATTCTTTCATACGTGTGGGTATATCATTTGTATACACATGCATACACATATAAATATACATAGACATATATACACATACGTGTGTACCATGGAGAATAACTTTACAAACTATTTTAATCAAATTATCTTTTTCTTTGTCAGTTTCTGAGAGAAACTCTCTCATTGTGTTAGTGCAGTTTTCAACATATTCCTGCATCTAGGGAGGTTTTTATCTGTAGATTTCAAAACTCGATTGTTAGATGCATAAAAGTTATTCTATATAGTTTTAGTACACTGTAACTTTTAATGTGAAAATATTACTACTCATTCAATTTAATGCTTTCTAATTGTATTAATTTAAAATATTAATATTGCTAATTGTACTTTTTAAAAATATTTGCACGGTAAATACTTTTTTCTCTTAACCCTTACCTTTGTTCAAACAGGAATATTTAATGAATTGGTAATTTTTGTGCTTACCAATATGTTTCAACTTCTTTTGGCCGTATTATTATGGTATATTTTCTGTGTTTTTTTTTGGTTTTTATTTTTATTTTTATTTTTTTAATTTTTTTTGTTTATTATTATTATACTTTAAGTTTTAGGGTACATGTGCACAATGTGGAGGTTAGTTACATATGTATACATGTGCCATGCTGGTGCGCTGCACCCACTAACTCGTCATCTAGCATTAGGTATATCTCCCAATGCTATCCCTCCCCCCTCCCCCCTCCCCCCACCCCACAACAGTCCCCAGAGTGTGATGTTCCCCTTCCTGTGTCCATGTGTTCTCATTGTTCAATTCCCACCTATGAGTGAGAATATGCGGTGCTTGGTTTTTTGTTCTTGGGATAGTTTACTGAGAATGATGATTTCCAATTTCATCCATGTCCCTACAAAGGACACGAAGTCATCATTTTTTATGGCTGCATAGTATTCCATGGTGTATATGTGCCACATTTTCTTAATCCAGTCTATCATTGTTGGACATTTGGGTTGGTTCCAAGTCTTTGCTATTGTGAATAATGCCGCAATAAACATACGTGTGCATATGTCTTTATTATGGTATATTTTCTAATGCTATAGTTTCCTTTTGTATTTTCTTCTCTTCTAGCTTTTCCCCCGTCATTATGTTTTGCTTTACTCTTTTTCCCATCTAGTGCAGTGTTTCCTAGGAGAGGTGCTGTTGACGTTCAACATGGCCGTTTCTTGTTTGTGTTGGCTGCTCTCCACTTTATTATTGGCTGTGCCACTAAATATCAGTAGCATCCCAGTCACTGGGACAACCAAACAACACTTGTTCCTTTCCACATGCCTCCAAGGGATGTCATACCACTCTGAACTGCAAATAGGTGCTCACTACTTTGGGATCTAAAAGTCTGAGTTCTCTTCTCTTGTGGTTATCTTTATTTTTCTAACTGAATGTTTAGTTTTGTCTCTGTAATATATGTGTATGGTTTAAAAATTGAAATAGAACATTGAGAGTCATACCACCCAATAGCAAAGAATCATCATCTTTTTTATCACTCTACTTCTTATGTTCTTGAATGCCAACACTTTTAATTGTATTTACTTCTATGTAAATACATGCATATATAGTTATTTGATTTTTCTAGTTGAAAACATGACATTGACTTCCTATTATATACGATGAATTTTTTCTTTTTCTAGTCTGAATACAACATTATACAAAGTAAACTTTCTCTTCTCCATTTTTCTAATTTGGTTATTTAACAAATTTTGTTTAAATTGTGACTCAGTTCTTACATCATTTTTAATGTAAATATTGTGCGCAACTGAGCCACTAATGTCCTAAGACTAATTTTTTTTCAGTAGAGTTTTTGTTTGGTCTGAGTTAATAATTGTCTTTGTTTTTGTTGTTGTCTTTTATTTGATCCTTTTCTTAATTTTTTGCCCACTGTCTGCCAGAAATGTAAATTCCGTCTTGATTTACTCAAACACATCAGAAACTTTGTTTCTTTTTCTTTTCTTGGAGGGATCCTTCTGGAAACTTCCATCCTCCTGTGACTTAATAATAAAATGTGCTTCCATGTGGTGTGGTGGTTTCCCTTGTGACTTTGGAGGCTCTTGTCCTGTCAGGATTAGTTTAGGGCACAGAGTGCTGCTTGCAGATCAAGGCATCTTTGCTTACCACAGCCTCAAAGCTTTCCATACCATACTTATGTGTAATACTCTTAATGAATGTTAGTTGTAAAAATAAACAAAATTTTCTTCTGAAAGAACACCAAATCACAACTTATACGGGCATTGACTTGAACTTTTAGTCACATTTTACCTTTCAAATAAAGAATTTTCAATTACTTACGAGCACGACAAAGATAACTTCTGCACGTGTCTGTGAAGCAATGAGACAGTAAACAGCAGTATTCGTATTTTATGTGAAGCACACCCCACAAAAAGCATTTTACTGAGCGTGCACTATTTTGATACATGATTCTTACTACTGGAGGGACACAGACAGGTCAGTAAAACATGGACCCTGCTTTGACAGAGCTCAAACTAAAGGAGGCCAAAGAAAAATGTTTTTAAAATGACTCAGCCAGGCGTGGTGGCTGACGCCTGTAATCTCAGCACTTTGGGAGGCCGAGGCAGGTGGATCACGAGGTCAGGAGTTTGAGACCAGCCTGACCAACATGGTGAAACCCCATCTCTACTAAAAATACAAAAATTACCTGGGTGTGGTGGTGTGTGCCTGTAATCCCAGCTACTCAGGAGGCTGAGGCAGCAGCATCGCTTGAACCCCGGAGGCAGACGTTGCAGTGAGCTGAGAACATGCCACTGCACTCCAGCCTGGGTGACAGAGCAAGACTCCATCTCCAAAAAAAAAAAAAAAAAAAAGACTCTAGCACTATGCGTTATTTGCAGGGTGGGTGTTCAGAGGAGGATGTGATAATGGTGGGGAGTCAGAAATGCTGCCAAAAGGAGGCAATGTGGTGATGTCAGTTTTGGGTTTGGAAGGAAGAATAAACAGACAGATAGACAGATACATGTACCCCATCCCCCTTAGTTATTTATTTCTTACTTGACATGATTTCCTTTGTGCAGGGGTCTATTAGGTCTGTGACCTCGCAAAGGCATTGTTATGGCAATTGTTAAAGTGATAGGATACCATTTGTAATGGTGTTTTCTATATCAGGAAGCTGAGGGCCCTACAGACCAAGTTATACAAGCCAAGACATTGATTCTTAACCACAGGCAAGTATGCAAATATTAACAGTATTTTCTACATGTGCATTCTGGCATCAATAGGGAGGCCACAGAGAGAAGAAAAAAACAAACAACAACTGGTCATTTGCATTCAGCCTAAGGGAGGAGAAAAGAACTAATACATTTTGAGCACATATTATTAAATATCTGCCATGCACACTACTAAGCATTTTTGCTTTGACTACTAGAACCCTATGAAGTAGATAGTATCTTCCTATTTTACACACAGAGAGGTCATGTAAATAGTAAGGGGTAGAGACAAGACATAAACTCATTTATGCCTGCCTCCAGAGCCTATGCTCTTTTCATAATCCTTTGCAACCTGGGAAGTCTTTGATATTTGATAAAATATCAGTATTTTACTTTTTTGTGGAAATCCCTTCTATGTTCTAATAGGATAATTTCAAACACAATTTTATTTTCTTCCAAATTACTAAAAATAAAACACAGGATCTTGTCATTTCTTGCCGAACATATTGCAATATAGCTAACTGGTCTGGTTTGGGTCTCTATGCCTTCTTTCTCCAATCACCCCAGCACAGCCATTGAAGTATGCACTTGCTTTCCCTCGATGAGAACTCTTACTCATCTTTGAACACCCTGGCTTAAAATGTTTTCTCTTGGGCAAGTATACCTGACTCCCAACAACAGAATTAATTATTGAATGCCTGTTCATTAATTTTCCCACAGTTTTTTTTTAAAACAGGTTTTAATACAACTCTTAATGTAGTCTAAGAATTTCTTTGTATAATATCTACTAGATTGTGAGACCCTTAATGAGACCTCACCTAAGTTGTAAGTATTAGTAATGGTCTCCAAGGAGGTTAATCTATTGGTGTTGATAAGGGAGGACTCTAAGGGTATCACATTTTGCTGTTCGGTTATCAGCTATGTGATCATGGGAAATCAACTCAATATTTACATGCCTTGGTTTCCCTTTGTACTTATTTGGAATAATCACAGTGCATTTTTGAAGGGTTAGAGTGAGGGAAACAATGGGATGGTTGAAGTAAGCTGTTGGTGTAGTGTTGACAGAAAACTAGTGCTCAATAAATGGCCTTTACTATGAACAATGAAATTATAAAATTGATTTTGTTAGATACACAATAGATAATATTTATAATATCTGTATATAGTATTAAAAATGATATTTACCTACTCCCACATTTCCAGAACCTCCTTCAATATTGTCTGTCTAGCCCTCTGCCCAGTGGTATCCAGGAAAGTGAATTTTGCATTTATCAATTTTTTTGCTTATATGGTCTTGCTACATGAGAATGTATAGTGTGATAATTTATTATTTAATTTTACATGCTTTGGGACACTATATAAATGGCAATGTATTATGTGTATTTTTTGCAACTTGCTTTTTCTCTCTCATTATATTTGGGACATTTATGCACATTGATCTGAGAAGTAGTTCAGTCTTACTCCTGTACAGTCTTTCATTATAGAAATATGCTATAGTTTATTGATTTATTGTCCCAACAAAGGAAATTTGGGTTGTTTTCAATGGTTTTCTTTTTTTTTCTTCTTCTTCTTTTTTTTCACTGACTGTTGCATTCATGGATATATATGTCTCCTGGTCCATTGTAGAAACAGGGTATACAATGGTATGTGAATTACTCGGTTTTGGTGTATGTGCTTCTTTAATTTTAGTAGATGTTTCCATACTGTTCTCCCACCAGCACTGTATACACATTTCTGCTGAGCAACAACCTCTCCTACACTGGATACTGCCCGACTTTTAAATGTGTGCCAATTGTGTAGGTGTAGAATGGTGTCTCATTGTGGCTTTCATTTGCATTTTCCAAATTTTTAACACTCTCTTACCTTTTTAAAGAAATGTTTACTAGCCATGTGTTTTCCCTTCTGTGAAGAAATTCTTCACATCTTTCATCAATTTTTCTGTAGTCTCGTTGGCCTTTTTAACGGAAATATTCAAATATAATTGCGGATTTCTTGCAGTTCTGTAAGTTTTTGCTGCGTGTATGTTGAAACTCTGTTATTTCATGGATAAACATTTAGGATTATTAGGGCACTACTCCTATGTGAGTTCTGAGTACTGTCACCTCTAATCCTTCGGGTGATTTTTCAATCAAACTCAGATGGTTTCTTCACGCATGTGCCTGGATAAGTATTCTGCATGCTCAAGTGCGACCTTCTATGGTTTTTGTTCTCTCTTTGGAACTCTTTCCCTCTTTGGTGCTCTGCCCTGAGAATTCTAGACATCTTGGTCTCCCTGGGTCCTCAGCTTTGTCTCCTCAGCTTAAGAAGTCTGCCAGACTGTGGGTTTGTCCTCTCTGTGCTGTGTCCTGGAAACTTCACAAGGTAACACGATGGAGCAGTTGTAGGGCTCATTTGTTCCCTGGCTGTGGATGATCCCTGTTCTTTGTTGTCTGAGGCCAAATGTCTTCAATTTCACTGTGTCCTATATTTTGTTTGGTTTTCAATTGTTTTAGGTGAGAGAGTAAATCTAGACCCTGTTACTACATCTTGGCAGGGAGAAGACATTCAGGTCTTTTGTATTCATTTTTAGGAGTTCTTTATGTGTTCCAGATAAAAGTTCATTATTAGTCATGTATGTAGCATATATATCCTCTTACTTTGTGCCTTGCATTTTAATTTCCTTAATGATTTCTTTTTGTAAATACTATTTCTTAATGCAGTTGAATTTCTGAGTTCTCCCCCTTTAGGTCTAAGCTCTTTGAGTCTTTTAAAGATCTTATTCTCTAACCTGAGGTTACAAAAATATTCTGTGTTGTCTTCTAAACATTTTAGAGTTTTCCTATTTAATCCACCTGTTTATTGTGTATATGTGTAGTGAGTAGGCATCCATTTTCACGAAAAAATATATAAATCAATTTTCCCAGCATTATTTACTGAAAAGTCCCTCTTTACTGACTAGAATGCCATCTCTTTTGTATATTGAATTTTTTATATTGAATATGCATGGTATTATTCTGGGGTCTCTATTAAGTCCATTGATCTATTTATGTGGGCCTATGCCAGTGCCACGCTAAGCTACTTATTATAAATTTGTTCTAAATCTTAGTATATTTTAAGATAAGTTTCATACAATATTTTTTTGAGAGATTTTAAATACTCTTGGCCCATTTATATTTCATACAGATTTTAAAATCAACTTACTAAATTCCTTTAAAAAACTGTTAGGACGGGTTGGAATTGCATAGCATTTATAGATCACTATTAAGAGATTCAGAATCTGGATGACATTGAATCTTTGTATTCATAAACATGATATTCCATAAACAAATATTTAGATATTCTTGAAAGAAAATTTTACTTCCTTTCTTATCTTTCAATAAAATTTTATAATTTTCTAGACAACATGCTTACACTTTATTATATATACATTTAGGTATTTTTGCTGCTATTTATATAAATGTTATATTTTATAACTGTTACTTTGTATAGAATGCATTGTCCTTTATTAATTTTGTATCAAGCAAGTTTACTGAGCTAAACTCTATAAATTTTATTCTATTTTAATTTATTTTATTTTAAGTTCTGGGGTACATGTGCAGGATGTGCAGGTTTGTTACATAGGTAAACACATGCCATGGTGTTTTGCTGCACCTATCAATCCATCACCTAGGTGTTAAGCCCCACATGCATTAGCTATTTTTCCTGATGCTCTCCCTCCCCCCCATATCCCCTGCCCCAGTTAGGTCCCTGAGTGTGTGTTGTTTCCCTCCCTGTGTCTATATGTTCACACTGTTCTGCTCCCACTTACAAGTGAGAACATGTGGCGTTGGTTTTCTGTTCCTGTGTTAGTTTGCTGAGGATAATGGCTTCCAGCTCCATCCATGTCTCTGTAAAGGACATGATCTCTTTCCTTTTTGTGGCTGCATAGTATTCCATGTTGTATATGTACCATATTTTCTTGATCCAGTCTGTCATTGATGTAAACCCTTATTCTTATAATTCATCCTTACATTTTTTTGGAGGTTTTACATAGGTAATCTTACAGTTAACAAATGATTGTTTTGTTTTGTTTTGTTTTTTCCTCTCTGGGGCTTATATTATTTAGTTAGTTTTATTTCAGTGTACCTCTAATTAACAAACCTTATGTAATGTTGAATAGAATTGATTATAGCAGACATCCTTGACTTTTTCTTGATCTTAAAAAGAATGTTTTTTAGCATGTAGGTTTTTTGTAACTATTAGTTACTACAATAGGGAGATTGCCTTTTATTTCCAATTTACTAACACTTTTATTCATGTATACATATATGATGTTAACATTTGTATGTATTGAGATGACCACACGGATTTCTATCCATTAATCAGTGTTTAATTACATTAATGAATTTTCTAATGATAAACTAGTCTTGTATACCTGGACTATAACTCAGATTTGTAAAACATTCTTTTTTATACCTGTTCAATTTGGCAACCTGTTATTTTATTTAGCACATTTGCAACTGTGTTAATGAGTGAGATTGGCTTATGCTTTTTCCTTTATTGTAGTACCATTTTCTGGTTTGGTATCAAGATTATACTAGTCACATAAAATGAAGAGAATATTTTTTTCTTTCTTATTTTCTGGGAGAATTTGCACAAGAGTAGAATTTTTTGTTTGTTTCATTTTTTAAATGATTGTTGGAACTCAGTTGTAAAACCAACTGGTCTGGCATTTTCTTTGTGGAAGATTTTACTACCAATAATTAGTAACTACTGATTTAATTTCAAGTTTTTCATTTCTATTTGAGCCAACCTTGGTAAGTTATAATTTTCTAGATTTGTCATTTCCATCTAACTTTTCAAATGTATTTTATAAAGTTTTTAAAATAACATATAGATGCTGTCAGTTTAACCTCTGCAGCTTCTTTAGCTATGTTCCCCTTTGCATTTCTAACATTTATTTTTACCTCCTCATTTAAATACATACACACCTCAGATGAGTTTCTATTTTCTTAGACTTTTTTTTAAAAACCATCTGCTTCTGTTAATCTCTATCCTGAGTTTTTTTTGTTTTTTTTTTTTTTTGGTTTTTTTTTGAAAGGGAAAAAAATTTTTTTAATTACAAACTCAATTCATTTGGTGCATTTCAAAGGTGCAATACTTTTCTTCATTTATCAGTGAAAGAAGTTAGAAATTACTTGGTGCATTTCAAAGGTGCAATACTTTTCTTCATTTATCAGTGAAAGAAGTTAGAAATTAACTTCCCAAAAAAATCAGCAAATGGCAAACAAATGTCCTTGAAAGTCACAGTCACATATAGTGCGTCCTAGAAAAGAGGAGGGGCAAGACGGGCTCCACCCACTTTCATGAGTTTCATCAAATACTGGATCTACTCAAGGGTGGAGAGAAAAGGCAACTTTCAAAAAGGAGTATGTTATTAAATGAGGCATTTACTATACTCCTTCCTAAGAGCACCAGATGGGGAACATGTTTTCTAAACTAGATCTAGGAAATGGAATGTGGAATCAATCCGTCCTCCTCCCCTTAAGGGCTAACCACTGGTTAATGAATTAAAAAAACAAGACTAAAAAACAAACCCCACACACACTCCCCCCCAAAAAAAGAGGAGGGAAAAAAAACAAAACAAAACACTAAGATGTCCCAGATTACTCTCCAGAGTGGAACCAGGGAGCAGCTTCAACAATTCCAATTAGTCTGTTACAGAGTCATCCATAAGCATGCCTTGCTTTTAAACAAAACAAACAAACAAAAAAACACACACAAAAAAATTTTTTTTGAAACAACAAAAAAAAAACTAGTACTAATCACTTTTCTGACAATACAATTACTCAAAATTAACTAGTACTGGGAGGGGGAAGGGGGGGCCATACCTATGGGCCTTGTCTCACACGAGTGCATGTGGGTAGGTGCAGGGCATTTGTCATTATTGGAAAAACGAATTTTAATTTTTAATCTTTAGTTTGATTTAAACATTGCTTTTAGTATGATGCCGACACCAGCTGTGCAGAAAGGGCTCTGGAGAGATGTTCATAGCAGCACACACCTGCGGCTCTTTTTCGGTTCTGGAGGCTCCAGGGCAGCCAATATTGCTTCGTCAAATACATTCTTTAGGCCTTTCTTTGTAAGTGCAGAACACTCCACATACTTGACAGCCTTCAGGTCACGGGCCAGCTTTTCAGCAGTCTCTGGAGTGATAGGCTTCTGTTTGTTCTTGGCAGGTTTCTCAATAGTAGAGGGGTCATCTCTGAGATCAATTTGAGTCCCAACAAGCAAAAAAGGAGTCTTTGGACAGTGGTGAGTTATCTCAGGCACCCACTTTTCTTTCACATTTTCAAATGAAGATGGAGAGACCACTGAAAAACAGACTAGAAATACATCTGTTTGTGGATAACTCAGCGGTCGTAATCTGTCATAATCCTCTTGCCCTGCAGTATCAAAAAGTCCAAGAGTATATGGTTCTCCACCAATCATAACTGTGACTGCATAGTTGTCAAAAACAGTCGGTACATATTCCGATGGAAATTTGTTTGTTGTGTAGGATATCAGGAGACATGTTTTACTAACAGCACCATCGCCCACAACAACACACTTAATTGTCTGCATTGCTGAAATAGTTTTGTATCCACTTTAAATATTTCAAATCTGATGTTGACCTCAGCTTCTCCACCGGGGCGTTCCCCTGAGTTTTTTTTTCTATCTTATTATTTCTAATCTTACCTTAGTTTTTCTCTTTCTGTTTCTTAGTTTCTCCTTCTGTTTTCTTTACCATCTTTCTCTTCCTTCTATTTTTCCTCTTCCTCTTCCTCTCTTACGTGATTAGCTCAATAACGTTGAAGTTTGCTTGTTTTCTAATACATACATTAAGGCTTTCTGTTTTGTCAAGGCTTTCTATTTAAGTACCACTTAAACCAGATGACACAATGTTTTAATATTTTGTGTTATTTAGTTTTTATTATATTTTTGGTAACTACTATTATTTATTCCTTTTTTTCCCTTAAGTTCTTCCTGTGTGCATTTTCATATTTCTGAACTTTTGGGGTTTCCTAATTATCTTTATTTATTGAATTCTAACTTAATTGGTCAGAAATTGTTATCTGTATTTCCTCAAACTTGAAATTTATGAAGAGTTTATTTACGGAACAATTTGTGCACAACTTTCATAGTGTTTTTTGTCTGCTTGAAAAGTATGTATTCTTCAATTATAGTGTTTGTTATTTTGCAATGTTATGTATATCAATTAGATCAAATCTGTTAATGTCTGACTCTTTTCAGTGGCTGAGAAAGGGGTTAGTTAAATCCTCCCATTTTGGAGGTGGATTTGACAACTTTTTTTCAGTTATGTCAATTTTTGCTTCACATATTTTGAAGCCATATTCTCAGGTGCATGTATATTTAAAATAGTTTTATCATTATGTAGTGACCCATGTTCTCTCTAGTGCTGCTTTTTAAGTCTTTTTTAATGCTGTTTTATTTGGTGGAGGGGCAGAGTATCATATTTTGACTTTTGATTTTCTTATATCTCCATGTTTTCAAAGTGTGAGTATAGTAAATAGCATATCATTGGATTTTTAAAATTTAACAAACAATGCATGTTCTCACTCCTAAGTGGGAGCTGAACAATGAGAACACATGGACACAGAGCGAGGAACAGCACACACCAGGGCCTGTTGGGGGGTGGGGGTGAGGGGAGGGAACTTAGAGTACAGGTCAATAGGTGCAGCAAACCACCATGGCACACGTATACCCATGTAACAAACCTGCACATTCTTGTACGTGTATCCCTTTTTTTTTTTTAGAAGAAATAAAGGAAAACTAAAATAAAAAAATTAAATATGGTACTGAAGCAAATAAACCACTAATAGCTGAAAAAAAAATTTAGTCTGACAATGTTTGTTTTTTCACCGAGTTTACTTCATTGACTTAGATTGTTAGAATGGATCAGTTTTATTGTGTCCTACCATCTTACTTTATGCTTTTTATTTTGCTAACTATGTATTTTTCATTTTTTTATTTTCTTGCTCTTTTTTTTTATGTATTTACTTTTCCGCAGCTGTCATGATCAGTTAACTTCTCATTGTGAAAGATGAGGATTTATCTCTTTGTTAGTTTTCTTTCCTTCTATCTTCCTATCTCCACTACTACATGAAAGATTCCAACACCATAATCCTCCCCAAATAATCAGATTTTAATTGTATTTAGATCAGTGGTCAGGGTTTACCTCATTGTAACCACTGAAACTTATTTACACCTGAACCACATAGTATACTATCATTATTTTTATTTTCCAGAACAACATTTTCACACAAAGTTAATACTTGTTTTCTATTTGTTCATTTTGTTTTCTGTGTGTTTATTGCTAAATAAATCTAATACTTTTTATTTCTATACATTTTCTCTCATTCTAACATACTAGATAGCCCTACTCATTAGTGATGTAAGGAATCTTTCATGTACTTATCACTACTAATCATTAGGGAAATACAAATCAAAACAACAATGAGACATTGCTTCACACATAATATGATGGCTACTATTAAGAAAAAAAAAAGCAACAGAAAATTTCAAGTGTCAGCTAGGTCGTGGAAAAATAGGGCATCTTGTGCCCTGTTGGTGGGAATGTAAAATGGTGCAGGTGCTATGGAAAACAGTATGGTGGGTCTTCAAAAAATTAAAAAGAGAATTACCGTGTGACTTAGCCATTCCTCTTCTGGGTATATGCCCAGATGGTCTGAAAGTAGAGTCTTGAAGAGATACTTGCATATTATGTACATAGTAGCATTATTCAGAATAAACTGGAAATAACCCAGTGTCTATTGAGAAATGGTGGATCAACAAAATGTGGTATGTACGTGTGATGAGGTTTCACCAAGCCTTAAAAAGGAAGAAAATTCTGACTCACGCTACAGCATGAATGAAGCTTGAGGACATTATGCTGTGCAAAATAAATCAGTTACAAAAAGACAAATACTGTGTAATTTCACTTTTCTGAGGTACCTAGAGTAGTCAAAACCAGAAAGTAGAATGGTGGTTACTAGGGGCTTGGAGGAGGAAGGAATGTTGAGTAATTGTTTAATTTTTGCAATGTTTTAGTTTTGAATATTTAAAAAACTCTGGAGAAATGATAGTGTTGATGGTTGCTAAACAATATGAATATATTTCATGTCACAGAACTATACTCTTAAAAATGGTTATGATGGTAAATTTGATGTGTATTTTACCACAATTAGAACAATATTTTTGTTAGTTCACGATACACAATAAAATGATTACAGATTGAATGAGGAAGCTTGGGTGGATTCAGACAAAAAAGATTGGCAAAATGTTGAAGACTGCTGCAGATGTGTGACAAGTACATGGGTTTCATGCTATTCTACTTTTATGACTGTTGAAAGTCCCATGATAATTTATTTTTTTAAATAAAACTTATGTAATGGTTAATTGTATGTGTCAACTTTACTGAGCTATGAGATGCCCACATAGCTAGTAAAATATTATTTCTAAGTGTGTCTGTGAGGGTGTTTCTGAAATAGATTAGCATTGGAATTGGTAGAGTGAGTGGAGAAGATTACTCTCATCAGTGTGGGTGGGCATCATCTAATCAGTTGGTTTGAATAGAACAAAAGGCAAGGAAGGGAAAATTTGCTCTGAGCTGGACATTTATTTCTTGCCCTCATACACTGGCACTCCTGATTCTCGGACTTTCAGACTTAGATTCAGTTATACCACCAGCTTAACAGCTTTCCTCGTTCTCCAGAATGCAGATAGAAGACTGTGGGACTTCTTGGTTTCCAAAATTGAGTGAGCCAATTACTATAATAAAACTATATATCTCTACCTTATTGGTTTTCTGGAGAACCCAGACTAATACAACATACTAGATATTCTATTTGTATCATCTTCTTGAGGAAATAGCTCTCACAGCCTGTCGCCTGCTCAAACAGACTGGGTACTCCCTGTGTCTACTGCATAGCTATCATCCTGGAAGTTTCCCTTTGCCTTTATACTCCTGCATGAGTTTGCCAGGACTGCCAAAACAAAATACCTTTTGTCTGTGTTCACACATTCCTGATCTCTCTCTCTCTTTTTATAAGGACACTAGACATTTTGGATTAGACCCTCACCCTTATAACCTCATTTAACAATCATTACCTCCTTCAAGACCCTATCTCCAAATCCAGTTACATTGGGGGTTAGAGCTTTAATATATAAATTTCGAGGGGCTACAATTTAGTCCATATCTAATATGGTTTGACCGTGTCCCCAGCCAAATCTCATCTTGAACTCTAGTTCCCATAATCCCCACATGTCATTGGAGGAACTTAGTGGGAGGTAATTGAAACACAGGGGCGGTTACCTCCATGCTGTTCTCATGATAATGAGTGAGTTCATCTGGCTTTACTCTGCACTTCTCCCTGATGCTGTCATGTGAAGAAAGGCATGTTGGCTTCCCCTTCTGCCATGATTGTGAATTTACTGAAGCCTCCCCAGCCCTGAGGGATTGTGAGTCAATTAAACCTCTTTCCTTTATAAATTACCCAGTCTCAGGTATATCTTTATTAGCAACATAAGAAGAGTAATACAATATCACTCAGTGATTTTGTCAATTTCTTCTCCTGAATTTCTTTTTTCCTGGATCCTAGATCTTTATCTTTCTTGATTACATCATTGTTTTAGTAAAATGTATCCTCCAGTAATATCCAAAGAGAGGAAATTTTTGAGAGCTCATGTATCTGAAAATATCTTTTTCCCATTCTCACACTTAATGGTTTGATGGCTGAATTGTGGTTACAAATATTGAGGAGTAATTTCCTCTCTCCACCCAAGTTTGAATCAAGCTAATTTTTTTGTTCTCTCTTTCTGCAGGTTGGGTTTGTCTCCAGTTTTTTTTTGCAAAGGATATGAAGTCCTTGCATACCAGCTTTTTGTGACCATCTCTATTTATACTTTTCATCTTTGATGCATCTTAGACTTTGTCTCCTTTCTCCCTTGTTCCACAAGCCATTAAAATGAAAGCTCAGATGGTCTGAACTTAGCAGACACTCCCAGTACAAAAGCCTGCATCACTACTCACATATGCATCTAAATTACCCCTCGCCCTTTGTGTTTGGGTCACCTAACCTCCTGCTAGAGTAACAATGCATTAAAAAGTGTATTTCCTATATGTAATCCAACAATCATAATTGTTTGGAGAATGGCTCTGAGTATGCAGTCCACCTGGAAACAGTAGTCTTATTCATCATAAAGGACATCATGCTTTTAGAATGTGGGCATAATTGCAACGGGAGAAAATTTCTAATGGGCAAATGAGTTATTAATATCATTCATATAGTAAGATTTACATTAAAACTACTAACAAATATTGGCCTTTATATGATTTTTATCCAATTTCAGTTATAATTGTTAGTTATCAATTTGAAGATTAGTTTTTTTTAGAAACAATGTTGTTTAGTTCTGCTTTGTCTAGCCTAGTACATGTGGAGAATAAGCGACTCCACCTCAGTACATGTTCCTGCTAAGTGACATTGACCTGTTAAAATTGTCAAAACTTGTTTGAGTTATGTTACTTGTACTGCTTTCCAAAATGTATAGATTATGTTTTGCACTTCTTAGTCTTGATAAATGAAGTAGTTTGGTCATCAGCTGACTTTTTCTTCATCACTCTGCGTAATTATTACTAAGAGCAACATGGTCCAATGGCAGAATCTTAGACTTCTAAGATCTGAATACAAATCTTAGCACTGTTACTTCCTAATGGTGTGATCTTATTCAAGTTAGTTGTAAGTGATGTGGTGAAGCCCGCTTGTGCTGGCTCATGAGAGCCTATTGAGTTTTTGTGTGAGCTGATTCTTTAACACAGACTTTATTAAAAATTACTTATATAAGCTTATAGGTAAATTATATCAAAAACAAAGTTAGTAAATACTTAAAATCATTACTTAACTAATTACCAAATTTCACTGTTTTCTATGGCCTTGAGGTAATTTAGATCTCTTGTATTTGAATAGGAGAAACACTGTAATATGGTGTGCTGCTACGGCTCTTCTTTTCCCAGCTCTGCCTTCACGGATATCATGGTTGCAGAAATTGGCTGATGCTAGAAGTCATTATTTGATTTATTGTTTTGCTAGTTGTCTAGACCTTAGAAAGTGATAGGAAACATGTTAATAATATGGATTCAACTTAAAAGTGTGTCATGTCTGTGGCTGTGGTGTTGTGAGTAGCACCAAAAATTGAGGAGACAGTTACCAGTGTTTGAAAACTGTTACCTGATTCAACAAAGAAGTAGCTCGTGTCAGTGGTAAAAAGTGAAGTTCTGGTACATCTTTTGTCTTCTTTTCCTTCTACCTGTGAATATAAGGAAAAATATTAACCAAAAGTCATATGATAACTACATGCATTTGTCAAATTACAACTGTAGGTTGGCTACTGATATGGTTTGGCTCTATGGTGCCCCCGCGCCCTGCCCCAAATCTCATCTTGAATTGTAATCCCCGTGTGTTGAGGGAAGGTCCTGTAATCCCCACACATCAAGGGAGGGAGGTGATTGGATCATGGGGGTGGTTTCCCCCATTGTTCTCATGATAGTGAATGAGTTCTCATGAAATCTGATGGGTTTGTAAGTGTTTGAAAGAAAGCGCTCCTCCTTCACTACTTCTCTCTTTTTTGCCACCTTGTGAAGAAAGTACCTGCTTCCTCTTCCCCCTGATTGTAAATTTCCCGAGGCCTCCCCAGCCATGCAGAACTGTGAGTCAATTAAACCTCCTTTGTTCATAAATTACCCAGTCTCAGATAGTATCTTTATAGCAGTGTGAGAACAGACTAATATAGCTACCAATATGACTTTGCCAAAAATCTAAAAGAGCATCCTATATGAGAATCAGTTGGTTATATGGAGTTCACAGAAAAGGGCATTGCATAGTTTATTATTTGTAAATTGTGTATTATGCATACTTTATATCAGCAAAATTGATAATAAACATATATACATATAGGTCTATACTTATTTTTTAACATATAGCCAGTTAAATATATACCAATACACCATTGCTTAAGCTGAGATTAAGCTTTTTCATGTATTAAATCAATCATTCAAAACTATGAGCATCATACTTCAAAAATTTTAGTTTTGTGTTTGTTCCTATTTCATTCTATGAATACCACTCTTCTTTTATCCCCATTCCTCTAAACCCCATATGTAGACATAACTTGAGAGTCACTGGATTGTGTAAAACTATTTGCTTCTATAATTACATGGCTCCAAAGTAAAATACTTTCGAATATTCATAGCTTTTTTTGAATAGATATTTAGTATTCTACCTTGATATCAATGACCACTTTTGCTTTTGTCAGAGCTCCTTTTAGCAGCCTCTTCTGTATCCTCATGGCGCCGTCCATGACTTATCACTCCTGCTGTCCTGAGGTTGGAACTGGAGACTATACCTAATCCTTTTAGATCTGTGCACAAAATATGAGTATGTAGATGCTCAATGAGGTAATTGTTTTCATCTATTTTACTCCAGCTGTGACCTCTTTTCTTACATAGTAATTATAAGATATTATATATTAGGCTTATAGAAAGGGATTGCCAAAAATGTAATAAACAGCCCCTCATATACCTTCTACCTTGTTTAATGAGTGAAACATAAGAGATGCATTTGAAGGCCCTGTAGACCCCTCCATGGTTCCACTTCCTTCTCTTTTCCTCAAAGGTAATCACTCACCTGAATTGATCATTCCCAGGCATGCGATACTTCTACCTCACATGTATATGCTCAGAATATACGTGGATTGTTACATATATTTTTAAATATATAAAATATGATAAACATACTGGATATGTTCTTTTATTAAATTAATGGACTTTATATTTTAGATCAGTTGTAGGCTTACAGGAAAATTGAGCAGAAAGAGACCTCCTCTGACTCCAGCCCACACTTGGATAAATGCCCTTCCCTCGTTTCTGAAAAAGAAAGGGCCTTTACATTGGCTGTTACGTAAATTCCCCAAAACATGAGACACAACATAGTTCACTCTGGTATCCCCTGGGCTTGTTATCCTGCTTGACACATAATATTTGTTGAGTCAAGGGCAGTATGAATGAATGAGTTTCAGATAGCAATATCGTATAAGCAGTGGTGGAAACCAGGGCTCCCTCCCCTCCAGAGATGGACTGGACCAGCACAGCCTCCATTGTCAGAGAATAGGAAAATAGGGTTTAAATGTCAAGGGCCACACATAAAGTCCCAAGATCCTGTCACGCATAAGGACAAGGCATGTTAGTCATGGCCAGGGGGAATGTTTGCAAGGAGGAGATGTTTTCAACTCAGATATTCATAAGCCAGGGCCTGCCTCTGTTTACCAGCTGGGAGGTCTTCAGATAATGAAACATGAAAGCCTGCTATGCAGCGGCGCTATGCAATAATTTTTCATTTGCCACCAGTCAGCTTCAGGGATCAAGGACAGCTAAACACATAATCCGCTCATGCATGTTATTTTAAAGGCTTATATTTTAAAGGTTATAAATATGGTACATTGAGTTAATGAGGTATGTTCTTTTGGTGACAAATATTTACATTCCACATATGCCTCTTGATGTCAAGAGTGTAACTGTTTCATTTTCTTCTTTTTCTCAGGAGGCTGGGATGCAGATGGAAAAGGCCCTTGTGTCTGGGACACATTTACTCATCAGGGAGGAGAGAGAGTTTTCAAGAACCAGACTGGCGATGTAGCTTGTGGCAGCTACACTCTGTGGGAGGAAGATTTGAAATGTATCAAACAGCTTGGATTGACTCATTACCGCTTCTCTCTTTCCTGGTCACGTCTGTTACCTGATGGGACGACAGGTTTCATCAACCAGAAAGGCAAGTGTTTCTTAAAAATAGAAGGTTGCAGCTTTAATTCAAGGTTATTGCTGCAGTCTGGCATAATTAATCCAGTATGCTATTCTGCAATGTAGCTTTCAAATTGCAAGTTTTTAGAGTGATTATGGGATAAATTTTTTGAAATGGGTTTGCATTAGTTTTCACAGTAATATTTTGGTTTTCTTTGACTGTTGAGATCTTTTCTGGGGGTGATGAGTGGGAGGGAGGTTAGAATAAGTGTTTTATTATGTAACGTGAGTGTTAATCTGAAGGTAAATTTAAAAAATTTGTATTAAACTATTTTCAGTTGTGTAACCCTGTGATGAGTTATGAAAAGTCCTGAAGAACTTGAGATGATTCTAAGCACTTCAATTAGGGCTGAATTAGTGGAGCTAATTAACTAGCATGGGGTTAACACCAAGGCCCCTGGAGTTCACTTACTGAAGATTAAGTCCAGCTACATCACTTACTATCTGTATAAACATCTCTTGGGCATCTCTCAGTGCCTCAGTTTCCCCATGAACAGAAAAGAATGCTGTAATAGTGACTAATTCAGAGAGTTGTTGGAAGGTTAAATGAAATAATCTTTGTAAAGTGCTTAACACGGTTGCTAACATTTCAAAAGCATTTAGTAAGTGTTAGCTATTCTTCTTATTATGCCTTGTAAGTAAAAGGACCAGTCATTGCTCTATTGAATGCCTGTTATTTATGAGGCATTTTCACCCATTTTCTTTAATTCTCACCAACAGTAGGGAAGGCATAGTGATCATATTTTACAGAGGTGTATGTCCAAATCCACATATTTGGCAAATGGCCGCTCAGTTATTTAAACCTAAGGTCTAGCTAGCTCTTTCTACAAAACATGGTTGGAAAACTATGACCTGAAGGTCAAATGTGGCCTGTCATCTATTTTTGTAAATAAAGTTTGATTGAAACATAGACATGCCTGTTCATTATGCATCATCTATGGTTACTTTTCCACTTTAATGGCAGAATTGAGTAGCTAGGGCAGAGACCATATGGCCTGCAAAGCCTCAAATATTTGCTATCTGGTCCTTTACAGGAAAAGTTTGCCAACCCTTGCACTACGACATATGGTTTCTTAATGAAGACACTTTATTACTACTTTGTCTTAGAAAAGATTTTACACCATCTATGGTGCTGGGACTAGGTGAAGCAATGAGGTGTCTAGGGCATAAAATTTAAGGAGAGCCTCTTAAATTTAAGGACAGGCCTCACTTGTATGACCTAAGAGAACACCTGCTTGCCTCGCCATGCTTCCCATCCCAAGAACCTTCATTAATACAAAGGCATTATTCGTGAGTAACTTATGTGATTCCCTATATAGAACAACCCTTGATGACAATTCCTAGATGGGCTTGTGCACTTGAAAAGCTCATTTTATTTAAGTTGGGATAATCTTCACATCATGAAATAGAATTGCAACTCATGAACTCACGTGTAGTATCAGCCCTAGAGTAGCTTCTCCAAAATAGGGACAGTTTAGGATCAGCAGGCTCATTCCCTGATTCTAAAGACATTGGCCCATGACCAGTTGCTGCTGATTAGATGTATACTTTCTTGCCATCTCTGACTAGTTTTATTTTTTATGTTGAATGGAAGGTAATTTGTTGTTCAGTTTAAAAGTGAACTTATTATCTTCAATCTTCCTAATCCAACATCTGTATTCTCCTTTCTTTCTGGCACCACCTTACTCCAAAGTCTAAAAAACAAAAATAACCTTTGAATCCTTTCTTGTCTTTTCTTCCTCCATCTAATGGGTTGCTGAATATAGTCCATTCTAATTATGACTTTTTAACTTATCTTCTAATCCCTCTTTTTGCCCCTGCCCTAGTTTGGGTATTTATCATTCTTACAAGGACTTTTTGATATATCCTTGATGAATCTATCTGTTTTCACCTTCTGTCTGTCCTTTGCTTTCTATAAGATGCCATCATAGCAATTTTCCTAAAGGTTGACCCAAATCGTATTGGTTTGGATCATCTACTGCTAAAAATGAAGCAAGATGCGTGGTGGCTCATGCCTGTAATCTCAGAACTTTGGAAGGCTGAGGCAGGTGGATCACCTGAGTTCGGGAGTTCGAGACCAGCCTGACCAACATGGAGAAACCCCGTCTCTACTAAAATACAAAATTAGCTGGGTGTGGTGGTGTATGCCTGTAATCCCAGCTACTTGGGAGGCTGAGGCAGGAGAATCGCTTGAACCCAGAAGGCAGAGGTTGCCATGAGCCAAGATCGCATCATTGCACTCCAGCCTGGGCAACAAGAGCGAAATTTGGTCTCAGATAATAATAATAATAATAATAGTAGTAATAATTTAGTCACTCAAAGCCTCAATATACAGTCCATACTCCTTCATATATCATTCCAGGCTCTATTTGACTTAGACTTAATCACCTCCAAAAACTTTGCAGTTTTGGAGGTGATTACCCCACGTGTATGATCACGCAATATCCTAAACACACATTGGTACAGGTCTATAATCTTTTATCTGTAAGTATAAGTAACCCACTACTTATTAAACATACCATACAGTTTTCCACCTTGTAGGAATTTGCTTAAGCTTTTTATTCTGCCTAGAATGAGCTTTCATTAACCCCAACTATACCTGCTGAAGGCCTGTCCTGCTGTTCAGGGCTAGCACAATTGCCCTCTTCTTTACAGTATTTCTCTATTCTAAGCCAGAAAAAAAATCTCTCTTTTTTTTTTTTTATTCTCATGGCACTTTGCGAAGCTCTTAAGATATTTCTCACATTCTTCATTGTTAACTGTTACTATATCCCATGTTAGACTATGGGTGCCTTAAGTTTAATTCAATTCAACCAAAGTGTGCTGAATGTTTATTGTGTCAGGGACTGTGCTAAGTACTCATGACATTCATATTAGAGAACCCCTGGAATTGTTTACAGTGTAATGGGTAGATAATTCTGCCCTGTTACCCTTGTAATCTAGTCCAGCACCATCCATGGAAGGGATTCAGTAAAAATTATTGAATTCAATTGAATTAGGTCAATAACAATCATAAAAATAACTCTAAGGGTAGTAATGCTTGCCTTTCATTGAGCATATGATATACAGAGCTCACCATGCAAACATTGCACATACTTTTGTTGATTTAATGTTCATAACAGTCCTATGAATGAGGGGCATCTCTAAACAGAAGCAATAATGCTAACATGGGAAATAAGGTTAGGCATAAATTTGCCAAGATGACAAATTTAGTTAGGTTCAACCTAGGCTTGTCTGACATAAAAAATCTTGCATCTAGTCTAGAGCTCAGTAAGTTTGGCCAAACCACTTGAATTCTCTGTGCTACAGTTTCCCTGTTGGTTAAATGAAGTGGAGGCCTTATGGTACTAAAACTTCTTGTACTCATTCTAGGGGTTTGGAGTTTTTACTGAGCTTCCATTTGGATGGTAAACAACAACAACAACAGCAGAAACCAAAAACCCACCAACTTGTAGTATTGGTCCACAGTGCCGTATCTGAAGTTCTAAAATCAAAAGGCTCTTATTACTAAATCTTTCTAAAATTAAATTGGCAGCAAAAGCTAACTGAATTGTTGTGAATATTTATTCTGTTTGGTGATAATATTTATTTATTTTACTACAGACATATTAGGAGATACTCACTCAGATTCACTGAGAGTGTTAATATATGGTATATGCTCTGTGTTTCCTTTCTAAAACATTCTGAACTCATATGCCCCTAAGATTTTCAGACACAAGATTATGTACCTGTACCAATATGTCAACATATTCAGCTTTGAAAACCAACTTGAGATACTCAGAAGTTTGTAGAGACACACTGTAGATCAGCAATCCAAGAGCAAGGAAACCGAAACCACTGGAGAGTGGGGGTGGTGGTACTGAAGTCATGGAAACCACCTGAATATTGTGGAGAAATTGCTCATGCAGATCTCACGTGGGGATCACGTGCCTGTAGCACTGAGATTTTTGTGTTTGGCCCTAGCTTTGGTAAAACCATGGCTGATTAATATTACAGACTTTGCTTTGAACAAGAGGGCACTGGAGGTGCATCCAGGAGGTGGAATTTCAATAAGCAGTTGTTCATTCTTGTGCAGTGATCTGTTGAAGCAATTGGAATGGTTTTAACTTGGAAAGGCCATCTCTTTTTTCCCATTTAAATATTTTCTCAAAAAGCATGCGAAGAATTAGAAAATCCCTGTCACTGTTCTTCCCAAGGAACGACCTTTTTGTGTTTGACTATCCATTTCAAAGCTTGATTATAGGACATTTGGAAACTTGTAAAATTCTGTGTCCCCAAACTAGAAGAATGTTTTTATGAAGTGGAATTGTTACAGACTGTCTCTTTCAAATGTCAGTTTTTCAAAGTTTAACAAGAAAAGATTGAGTTGGCAACTGAAATCACATATTCCTGTATTTCTCAACTGTTCAAGTGCATGTTCATATCTGCCACAAATGTAAATTTCAGACGATTAGTGGGAAGCCCAAGTATTGGAAATAAAAAAAGGGAATATTTATGCAGAATTTAGTGCTCACTTGAAGATTTAAAATATGAGTTCTCTTAGCAGGGATGGTTTAAATAAATTAACTAAACAAGCATTAATCTTGTATTCTATGTTGGGCACTATAATAGACTGAAAATGGCCCTCTGAAGGTGTTCATGTTCTGATTCTTAGGAATTGTGAGTGTATTAGCTTGCATGGTAAAACAAACTTTACAGATATGATTAAGGGAAGGATTTTGAGAGGAGGAGATTGTCCTGGACTATCTGTGTGGTCCAAGTATAATTACATGGGTCCTTAAAAGAGAAAGGTAGAAAGATCAGAGTCAGAGAGAAGAGGTAAAAGAGATAATGATTAAAGCAGAGGTCAAAGAGAAGAGGTGAGGATGAAGATGGGAGAAGAAGCCATGAGGGAAGGAATGCAGGTCGCCTCTGCCACCTGGAAAAGGTAGAAAGATGAATTCCACCTGAGAGCCTCCAGAAGGAATATAACTTTGCTGACATCTTGATTAGCCCAATAAGCACTGTTTTGGACCTCTGGCCCCCAGAACTGTAACATAATGCATTTGTCTTGGTCCTGCCACTAAGTTTGTGGTAATTTGTTTTAGCAGCAATAGGAAACTAATACAGGCAGTGTGGCAAGAGAACACAGGAGCAGTTAAAGAAATTGATGGGAGGTGGGGGATCACGAGTTCAGGAGATCAAGACCCTCCTGGCCAATATGGTGAAACCCCGTCTCTACTAAAAATACAAAAATTAGCTGGGTGTGGTGGCACGTGCCTGTAATCCCAGCTACTCGGGAGGCTGAGGCAGGAGAATCGCTTGAACCAGGGAGTCAGAAGTTGCAGTGAGTTGAGATCACACTCCAGCCTGGGTGACAGAGCGAGATTCTGTCAAAAAAAAAAAAAAAAAAGAAAAGAAAGAAAAGAAACCGATGGTGTGAATGGTGTGAATCTAGAAAGGTGTGAACCAAAGAAAGTTGTAAACTTGATGCATGGTAGGCATGAGATCAAAGGAATTCTATGTTACTTTTTTTTGTTGAAGGAGGATTCTAGGTCAATTTTTTTTTTAATTTGAGACATCATCTTTGCAAGTTCGAGCCACGCCCTCTTCTAGGGGAATTCCCCTATATCTTTGTTTTATATAATCCTGCTTGACCCCAGGTCACAGCTGACAGGACAAAGGAAAGACATTTTTCCCTGGACTTATAATGAGCTGTGACCTCATGGAAAAATAGGAGCTTGCTCCATTGTTTTCCTCCCTCAAGGATGTCTGGAATTGAGGTACTGAGAGGCTGAGTTGGTTGGTGGTTGGCACTGGGGCTCAGAAGTAGCTTTGGCAGGTGGGACGGCCATTTTGAGACCACAACAGATTGAGTGTGTAAAGAAAACTGGTTCTTTCTTAAGTATATATTTTTCTGTTTTGTCTCTGCTGCTTGAATCAGAAGGGAAAGCTGTTTCTGAAAGACGAAATGGAGCAGATGTGTTGAGAGAAGCTGGGATGGAAGAGATCAGTTTTCCCTGAGAAGCAAAGATTTTCTCAGCTCCCAACTTCAATTCTTTTGACTTCCACTTGCCATTATTTTCTGTCATTGAGTCCCTGATCTATTTCTGTCATTTAAAATAATGTCCACTGCATCTATATCTACTACCCAACTGCCCCCAGTGCCACCTTTGTATATGAGTTCATCTGGGTTGGTTTTTGTTATATCCAAAAGACCTCTACCTCAAATATGTTTCATATTTTCTAAGATCAAATAGGCAGAAATCAGCTTAATTAGAGAAGATAATATTGACTATGAAAGAAAGCTATAGAAGTTTTAATCCTTAAAATAATCAATTCTGTCCTAAATACCCAGAAGCAGAATGGGATCCAAATGACCTCTCAAAGTTTCAAAATCCCTAGATTGGTAACAGGTGATCATTTAAAAAATACACATTTATTCAGAAGGAGAATTTGTTTATCAGTGACT
This sequence comes from Homo sapiens, assembly GCF_000001405.40. Taxonomy (NCBI): domain Eukaryota; kingdom Metazoa; phylum Chordata; class Mammalia; order Primates; family Hominidae; genus Homo; species Homo sapiens. Next base: position 22,742,689 of record NC_000004.12, read on the forward strand.
TACACTATTCTGAAAAACAAAGTTAAATAACCCTTTGGCAGTTTTATTCTCATTCAATACTCACATGCTCCTAAGGTGGCAGTATTAACATTCCCATTTTACAGATGAGGATACTGAGGTGTAGAGAGACCAGTGATTTATCCAAGATCCTTTGACTGAGTTTTCTGGGTCTGGGGCTCTCCTCTTAAAAATCCCACTCTGGCCGGGTGCGGTGGCTCAAGCCTGTAATTCCAGCACTTTGGGAGGCTGAGGTGGGTGGATCATGAGGTCAGGAGATCAAGACCATCCTGGCTAACACAATGAAACCCTGTCTTTACTAAAACTACAAAAAATTAGCCGGGCGTGGTGGCGGGCGCCTGTAGTCCCAGCTATTCGGGAGGCTGAGTCAGGAGAATGGCGTGAACCTGGGAGGAAGAGCTTGCAGTGAGCCAAGATCATGCCACTGCACTCCAGCCTGGGCGACAGAGGGAGACTCCATCTCAAAAAAAAAAAAAAAAAAAAAAATTCCCGCTCCACTTCATGGAAAAGTTTCATTACAATATTGAATAAACTGTATGATCGAGAAGTGAAGTGCTTAATTCTGGGATAGTGAATGTTAATTATGCAATGCTCTGTTGCTCTGCTGTGCTGATGAGTGAGAAGAAAATTTTCTTAAAATTTACTTATCTTCCTTTCAACAGACAGTTATCATGTGGTTTGAATTACATTGATTGGCCATCATTAATGACTTCTCCACAAAGGGGGAAAAAGGAATTTGATATTGTGATCAGGTCTGAAGTAGGTGACCATGAACGCTGGTAAAATAGAGTCACATGTTTCCGGCTCAGGAACATTAGTTAACATGAGAAGTGGGATGTCATAGTGAGAACAGTTCAGTCTTTGTAGTGAGACAGACTGGGATTAAATGTGGGCCATGCCATTTGTCAACATTGAGACTCTCTGAATCTGTTTTCTCATTTTTAAATGGGAATAAAAACACCTATCTCTAGAGCTTAGCGCTTGGATTTGGCAAAATGCATAGTACGAGTTCAATAAATGAAAGCTAATATTATTTTCATGTTCAAAGTCAATGGAAAGAGTTGGCTATGAAAACCCTCACACATACCAATACCCAGATTATTTTATCATTTTATCTTTAGATATCTCATTCACAAATATAGAAATGTGGGTTTATGGGGGCCCAGGGGTGGGATGGTGAAATACTCTCTTTGAGAGAAAAAAGGATAGTTTATAAAATTTCATGAGTATGTTAGTTTTATTGCTACTGTAACAAATTATCACATATTAGCTGCTTAAAACAACAAAAATTTGTTACCTTAGAGTTCTGCAGGTCAGAAGTCTGACATGGGTGTCTGTGAGGCTGAAATCAAGATACCTGCACGTCTGTGTCTCTTTCTGAGGGATCTTTGGAAGAGTCTGTCTCTTGGTGCATTCAGGTTGTTGGCAGAATTCAGTTCCTTGTGATTGTAGAACTGAGGTCTTTATTATCTTGCTCTGGCTATCAGCTAAGGACTGTTCTCAGCTTTGAGAAGCCATCTGCATTCCTTGGCTCATGGTGGGTCTCCTTCCTCCATTTTCTTTCTTTTTTTTTTCTTTTGAGATGGAGTCTCACTCTGTTGCCCGGGCTGGAGTGCAGTGGTGCGATCTCGGCTCACTGCAAGCTCCGCTTCCCGGGTTCACGCCATTCCCCTGCCTCAGACTCCTGAGCAGCTGGGACTATAGGCGCGCACCACTACACCCAGCTAATTTTTGTATTTTTTTAGAGATGGGGTTTCACCATGTTGATCAGGCTTGTCTCAAACTCCTGACCTCGTGATCCGCACAACTTTGCCTCCCAAAGTGCTGGGATTACAAGCATGAGCCACCGCGCCTGGCCCTCTTCCTCCATTTTTAAAGCCAGCAGTAGTGGGTTGAGTTTCTCTCAAGCTGCCACTTCTCCTCCTCTTCTTCCGTTGTTGCATCTCTCTGACCCACTCTTCTGTCTTACTCTTCCACTTCTAAAAACTCATGTAGTTATATTGGATCCACCTGGACACTCTAGGGAACTCTTCCCAATTCAAGGTCCATACCTTAATTGCATCTGCCAAGTCCCTTTTGCCATGGAAGGTAACATGTTCACCCGTTTCACGGATTAGAGAACGGACATCTCTGGGGAGAGGATGAGTTATTCTGCTACCAAGTGAGAAATAGCACAGAAGTGTGTCTTCCAAATATGGAGTTGTTATGCATGATTCACAGTACATTCCAGTTTGCAAAATAAATGAGATGGTGTCAAAAATACCCACTTACCCAGACAGAGAGAAAACACATGATTGTGCATAATTTGGCTTCTGCTTACCTTGCTCATCTCTCACCATTCTATTCCTCTTTTGACCATTCTATTCCTCCTTATACTGAACTTTTTATTTCCAGAAAGTGAGTGAATATACAAACACTGGCCAGGTCATATCTGATAATAAAACTCAGACTGACAAAGGAAACCCAGGAAGCCAAACCTTAGCCTCTGCAGCAATCAGCCCAGAGTAGTCACAGTGTGGTCAACTGATACCTTCTCTATTTTCTAACCCCCTGCTCTCTGCTTCCAACTCAGGAGCAACCTGAGAAAACCAAATGTGCTCCCCAAACTAATCAGAAAGGATGCCCTGCTTCTAGTTAGCTCTCCAATAGCTTCCCAAGGCCAACAAACTTTAATCAGGGCACACCCAAGGGTTCTCTTTTTTCCACTCTAAAGCTTTTCCTCTGTCCTGACTGTATTTGAATACCTGCCAAATGCAAGTATTGGTGGCTGACTCTCTTGCTATAGCAAACTCTGAGTAAATAGTCTGTTTTTCTCATTTGAGTGGTCTTTGTTTTAACATTTCCTTTGTGTATTGTTTTTGTTTCCTCTTTTTCTCTTCCTTGATCACATTTTTCTCCTTACCTTAAGCGATTAACTTGTATTCATATTTTAAATATCAGCTTAGATGTCACTAATAACAATAATAATTACTATTTCGGTGATAGCTAACCTGTACTGAGCCCTTACCATATGCCAAGAACTGTTCTAAACATGTTTAATTTACCAGCTCATTAAACTCTCACAACAGTTAACTGAAGAAGGTTTCTCTTATTATCCACATTTCTCATACAGGAAAAGATAATTCAGAGATATTAAGGATCTTGCCCAAGGTTGCAGAGCTACTAGGTGAAAGACTTAGGACAGAATTTAGGTGGTCTGGCACCATAATTCACTCTTGAAACAATTACGCTATGTTGCTTTCAGAATATTTTCAAATACCCTGAGTTTAGGATGGATATCCCTTCTCATATGTTTAAATAGGACTCTGTAATTTATCTACTACTCTATTGTAATTGTTTATGAATTTCTCTGTAGTCTCTGCTACTAAGCTCCCTGAGGACAAGGGTGGTGTTTGTTTTGCTTATGTTTGTATGTCAAGCATATAGTAGTTTCTCTATTAATGTGTATTTAAGGAATTAACAAACAAATGATCGAATTAATGAAATACATACAAAAGTGTGAATTGTTATTTTTAAAAATTGGAGGCTCTTAAGAAAAAAGAAAGGGACCTTAGGCAGACTTTCAATGCAACACACTTCTACATATGACTTCATAATTTTTATCCAGGAAACAACTTCTTAAAACAGGGCAGCTTCTCTTGTCTAAGCTTAGGTTGCCTCCATATTTTTAAATATAAAACCACATGAAATACTAACATCAGCCTCTTCCCAGAAAGCCTCTTCCAAGCTAATCGTCATCATTAAGCTAGACTCAGTGAATTCTTGACATAAATTCTGAGCCAGGTCATGTTCAATTTAGAAACTTTCTTCTGAACTCTGCAGCAAGCCTAAAAACTCTCTCTTACATACTTGCAGTCCTGGAAAAATCAGATGAGAGCCAGAGGTGGCTATGTATCCCCATGAACTATGTTGGAGTTTTAGAGCAAACCTCCAACTGGGTGCTTTTAATGTCCTAAGCCTCTGGCTGTCTGTCCTTGTAACCCAGATTCTGGGGCAGATGCTGAGCTCTTGTTCATTCTCAGTAGGTCTCTTTTCCTAGACTTGTGAGACTAGTTGACCTGGAAAAGCATTAAGGCAGTCATCTGGATCAATTCCTTTACTTTATATTTAATACCATCGGATCCATGCATTTATTAAAGAAATATTTATTAGCCTCTAAATTTCTGGTACTATCCCAGGATTTGGAGATCCAGAGGTGAATTAAACAAGCCTTCTGCTATCATGGGGCTTATATTCTAGTGGGGCTAAGAGACAAAAATGAGCATACATACAAATGCATGAAATCATTTCAATATGTATGAAAATAACACAAAGTTAGATAACAGCGATCTGCCTAAATGTATCCATTTCAATACGTTTATCTTTCAATCATGTCACCCCATTAAACTCCTACTTCCTGATCAACTACTCTTCTTTGGAATTCTCAGTGTTTCCTCTCAGTCTTTCATTGATTATATCAAGGAAGTAGTAAAACTTGTTTTGAATAAAAGTCATTCAGAAAATTGTTTTTGATATTCTCCCTTTTAAAATTTATTGCCAATATACTACAAATAACTTTTCTTCTTAGGGCACTTTCTTTTTCCTCCTAGGAATTGATTATTACAACAAGATCATCGATGATTTGTTAAAAAATGGGGTTACTCCCATTGTGACCCTCTACCACTTTGATTTGCCTCAGACTTTAGAAGACCAAGGAGGTTGGTTGTCAGAGGCAATCATTGAATCCTTTGACAAATATGCTCAGTTTTGCTTCAGTACCTTTGGGGATCGTGTCAAGCAGTGGATCACCATAAATGAAGCTAATGTTCTTTCTGTGATGTCATATGACTTAGGTATGTTTCCTCCGGGTATCCCTCACTTTGGGACTGGAGGTTATCAGGCAGCTCATAATTTGATTAAGGCTCATGCCAGATCCTGGCACAGCTATGATTCCTTATTTCGAAAAAAGCAGAAAGGTATGGTGTCTCTATCACTTTTTGCGGTCTGGTTGGAACCAGCAGATCCCAACTCAGTGTCTGACCAGGAAGCTGCTAAAAGAGCCATCACTTTCCATCTGGATTTATTTGCTAAACCCATATTCATCGATGGTGATTATCCTGAAGTTGTCAAGTCTCAGATTGCCTCCATGAGTCAAAAGCAAGGCTATCCATCATCGAGGCTTCCAGAATTCACTGAAGAAGAGAAGAAAATGATCAAAGGCACTGCTGATTTTTTTGCTGTGCAATATTATACAACTCGCTTAATCAAGTACCAGGAGAACAAGAAAGGAGAACTAGGTATTCTCCAGGATGCGGAAATTGAATTTTTTCCAGATCCATCTTGGAAAAATGTGGATTGGATCTACGTGGTACCATGGGGAGTATGTAAACTACTGAAATATATTAAGGTAAATGCATGATTTTTTGTGTGTCCATGTACACCCAATTATGTGAAGGTGGGCAAGACAGGCATATGTATATATATATATATATATATGGACCTGAAAAAAGAATTACTTTAGGTAATAGCATATACATTTGCTGGCCTGGGAAGAGCAGATTAGGATTTGAGTTGATGAGGGGTAACTAGCCGGTAAAGGCTTCAAAAGCAGTGGTCAAAGTCTAGGATTTGTTGTTAAAGTTAGTTGTGGCTATAGAAGTAATTTGGACATATTTTTCAATCTGGTGTCACAACTATGATTATAAAAGACATTTTAAGGATTGAGATAGTTGGATCCTTTTTTTGAGTCTCAGCTATAGTGGATGACATCCAGTTAGCTAAAATTAAAATTTCAATTACAGGTTTTCAGAACCCCTCCTATGGGGGATGTAGAATGTAGCTACTGGCAGGACTGAGGGGTTAAGGAGCAGTGACAATCAACAGATGCTGATGGAAGAAAGATATTTCTGTCTTCTCATTATAATAAGAGTCATTTGACTGTCTTCATGGACATTTGCACAGTTTTGCGTTTCCATTGTTAGTTATAAAAGGTCAGTGCATGGAAAATTAAGTTAATAGGGTCAGTGCAATTTGATGAAAACTAGTTTTGGGGTTGTAGCTTACAGAAGATAGAGGGTAATGTACCTGATTTTATGAGCTTTCTTTTTTTAAAACATCTGTTTGGAATAAAACTTCTGTTCTTTTTTTTTAGGATACATATAATAACCCTGTAATTTACATCACTGAGAATGGGTTTCCCCAGAGTGACCCAGCGCCTCTTGATGACACTCAACGCTGGGAGTATTTCAGACAAACATTTCAGGAACTGTTCAAAGGTACCATTTGAAATGATGAAAGATCAATTGTGCAAACTTAATATAATTTTCCCATTTGCTTATTTGCATTCAGCAAAGACCAATAATTTTTGAAAGCTGAAATCCATGTAAATCAATGCAAAGCCATATAATTAGGAGAGGGGGAAAAAGTATTTAGGAAAGAGGAAGTGGAGGATTTTGGCCTAGCTACAACCTCCTGAAATTGAATCAAGTGAAAAGTGACTGTCTTCAGCATTTTGTGACTCCCAGGTGAAGGTGACAAGAACAGAAGGAGTGGTGGCTGTTGGGAGAGAACATCAGTTATTACAGAATAGATTAGCACTGATCAACTATAACATGCTTATTTGCATATTTTAATATCCTAACTACCAAAAAAAAATGAAATGACAGGATTTTTAAAGAACCCAAATTAAGCATCTGTGCAATAAACTTAAAAATGGCACAAGTCCTCCATCAATGTATGTTGCATTTAAGCTGTAACCAAGCAGCCCAGTTAGAAACATTTTTATTGTCGTATGGAAAATGTGAGTTGTGTTTTAAGATAATGTTATTTTAGTATCTCTTTTCCCTCCATGGAATTCTTTTCATATGAATTCTTAACATATTTGAAAACAGTCATGAAGGAATAACCTCTAACTGGTAACACACATTTCTAGGCAAGTTAGCACCTCCTCTCCTATTATTTGTTGCTTCCCAAATTTAATTCCTCTTTTTTTTTTTTTGAGACAGAGTCTTGCTCTGTCACCCAGGCTGGAGTGTAATGGCGCTATCTGGGCTCACTGCAAGCTCTGCCTCCCAGGTTCACGCCATTCTCCTGCCTCAGCCTCCTAGTAGCTGGGACTGCAGGCTCCCGCCACCACGCCTGGCTAATTTTTTGTATTTTTAGTAGAGGTGGGGTTTCACGGTTTTAGTCGGGATTGTCTTGATCTCCTGACCTTGTGATCTGCCCGCCTTGGCCTCCCAAAGTGCTGGGATTACAGACATGAGCCACTGCGCCCGGCCAATTTCTCCTTCTTAAAAAGGAATCATGTCATAGCAACAAAATCCAATGTAAAATAAGACTTTAAATTTCCTTTTTTTTTTTAAACCATGATAGCCACACTTATTTCTTATCATTCTGAGAGGTTCCGACATTATTCTTTCTAAAATTATTCAGTATTACACTGGTAATCACCAGAAGGAATTCTGGAAAGTGACACAAAGTGGTCTTTTTCCAAAACCTGAAATTTATTTACTGGATCCTTCACTCAGGCCTGGAGTTTATTGGCAGAGAGCAATTGGATTCTTGCAATTTGACCCAAGTGAAGAAATTATTTTGTATTGCACACAAAATAGATTCTTCCGGGTAGGAGTTCATCTTCTGATAAGAGAGGGAAATCTCTAGTTTTCTGAGATTCCTCTCCACTTCTCCCTGTAGATGGGTCCTGTTCATAGTTAATCTATTGATATTCCCAGGCTTTATCCTGAAGAACAAATAGGCTAGTTACTACCCGGCAGATTTATGGATGGCTACAGGGAACACAAATGACTTGCCTAAAATTGCTCTGTGTATTTTTGGGAAAAGAGAGATAAACAGAAATTGCTTTTTTTTTTTGTTTCCATTCCCAGCCTGGTACTCTGTTCAGCGCTAATCATATAGAGGCATTTCGTTGTTTTTTCAAATAGTTTCAAGTACTTTATACCATCCTTTACATCTTTAATGCTAAATGCTTAATGATCGACCCCAAACTAAGGTGATTCAAGGATAGAAAAGTAACAGAAGATAAGAGTGGAAAATAAAAAAAGATTTGGATTTCTAAGAGACGGGAGAGAATAGGGTTAGGACAAAAAATATGTTTTTCAATTTGTTGAACTTCTATTTTGTCTTCAAATTACTTGATGAGAGGTTTATTAGGCATATAAAACATATACTGTCTACAGCATCTATGTTCTCTTCTGAATCTTAACAGTAGGCTAGCTATATTCACTGTAATAGACACGTACTATTTTTGTTTTGCCTTTTAAAAAAACGACTTTTTAAATGTGTAGAAATATATATATTGAGAAGAAAAACATATGCATAAATGTATTTATTCTGGACTGGGTATAGTGGTGTGGTAACTTTTTTTTTTTTTTGAGATGGAGTCTCGCTCTGTCACCCAGGCTGGAGTGCAGTGGCATGATCTTGGCTCACTGAAAGCTCCGCCTCCCGGGTTCACGCCATTCTCCTGCCTCAGTCTCCCAAGTAGCTGGGACTATAGGTGCCCGCTACTACAACTGGCTAATTTTTTGTATTTTTAGTAGAGACCATAGCCAGGATGGTCTCGATCTCCTGACCTCATGATCTGCCCGCCTTGGCCTCCCGAAGTGCTGGGATTACAGGCATGAGCCACCGCGCCCCACTGTGGTGTGGTAACTTTTTTATGTATTCTCGTAGTGGACACCAATTATTTCTGCTGTGGTGCAACTCTCTTTCCCCTTTCTTCTATAAAATACTCACCTCCCCATGTACATGCTTACCACAGGGACATCCATGCAAGTGGAATACAATCCTCCTCCTTCAGCAGATAACTGACTGGTCCAAACGTAGGCACAGGACGTGAGCTGGGGCAATTTCAGTTCTTCCCTGGTACTTAGAACGTGGACCAATTAGTTTCTTAATCTCTTGGACTGGGTTGGGTGGATGTAGCTTTGTGAGCCACTGGTGACTCGGTTCTACCCTGTAAGCTTAGGCACAGTGAGAAGGGAAGATATCTATGCATTAAAGGAAGGTAAACATGGAGAACTTCCAGACAGCACTGGAGCCTCTGCTTTTCATTTTTCCTGAGATCTGTCTGCATGCAAGTTCTTGAGAGACATTACTTTCATCATAATAAAGTGCTCTTTGTGCTTAATCTTATTCTAATTGGGCTTCTATCTCTTGAATAAAAAGAGTTGTAATTGATACCATCATCTCGTTTCCTTCTCAAAACAATGATATGAAGTCATTACTCCTACTTTATAGATGAGGAAACTGAGTTTCAAAGAGGCTATATTATTTGCTAAAGAAAATAAAGGCACTAAGTAGTATTTCCTGGAACAAGGCTGAATGCATGTATATTATTATTATTATTATTAACTATTTGGTGTGAGATATAATCTGTGAGTTCAGGGCTCTCTGAGTTAAAGTGTTTATTTGTCCCACCACACAGAAACTTTTCCTTATGTTTGGTTACTTTGGGTTTGCATGTATTCTTTCAAAGTGCTTCATGCTGTCTTTGAAGAAGAGCCGACAGGTTCTGTGACCTTGAGCAAAGCTCAGACGCCCTATATCCTAGTTCTCATCAAAAGAGCAGAGCTGAACTTGCTAATCAATTTTCTGAGACTCCTCCGAGGTAATGCTGATGATCTTGGTTGCCAAGAACTTTAATAGTAAGAAGCACCCTGTGAGCAATTAAAAATAATAACAGGCCAAGGAAGATATTCCTGGGAAGCGCTGCAGGTGAGAAGTGACCAAAACCTAGGGAGTCAGATGGATGATGGCTCTGTGATTCTCACGAACAAAGCCTTTCCTCTGACATCACACATATGGAGAGGCACATAATGACACTATAGATGGATCAATGGGTCCGCTTGGAGGTCTTACTGATCTCTTCAGGTAGATTCCCACAGCAATTAATCGAGCATTAAAAGGTATGCTAATGTTTCTGTTTCCTTTTGGAATATGAGAAAAAAAAAAGAGAAAAAATATCATTTTAGAATAAAAGGAGAGAAATCAGCTAGTGCCTTTTAAATTTTGCATTGTTTAATTGTATTAAACACCTTTTAATAGGTTATATTTTAAGTAATGTAGAGGCAGGTGAGAGTAAAGGATACCAAAAAGTTGAAATAACATATAACTAGATTTGCATTCCAGATCTGCAAATTATTCAATAAGGGACCTTTAGCAAATTGCTCAACCTGTCTAATCCTCAGTTTGTTTATCTATAAAAATGGGGTTAATTTTTTTTTCTGGCGGGGTTGTTATAGTGAGATTCCATTTCATGAGCTAATGTGTAAAATTCCCTTAGCAACTACCTGACCCATAGTAGCTCCTTAACCAATGGTAACAATTATTATTATTACAAAATGTGCACTCTTAAAAACGTATCTATTATCTCCAAGTTATTCTCCTTGTTATTAAAAAAATGCCATTCCAAGACTTGTTATTTTTCTATCCCCCCCCCACAAATTATAGCAGACTATTTCCCCATATTTCTGTGTTTCTCTTCCTTTTTGAGGAACTTCTGGATGTGTGTTATAACATTGGTCCTCTGGCTTTTTCTAGTGTGAATTGCACTGAGGAGAAAGCAGCACCTCCATTCATTATTTCCCTGTGGGAGGTGACCAGATTAGGTGAAAAGTCAAATCATTGACAGTGGAAACTGCTATCAAGTAACTGGGAATTGTTCTGCCACTTGAATCTTTGTATATGTTTGGGATTCAATGACATTCAAATAGTTAAAATTTTCTTGTATCATAGGAATTTTTATTATATTCATAACATTTATGCCACTCCTCAATACTTAAGAGCCAATGGGCAATTTTGGCTTCATATGTAGATGCACACAAATGGATACCTCTCCAGTCTAAGTGCTTTCATGGAGATGAGGAAGAATGGGGAGCCAGGGGCCATTGCTCCGATGGCTGATACTGCCCCCATCACCTAAATTATCTTGAAAGGGGATCCGAGCGGTGCTCAACCTGTTTCTCATACCTACCCAGCACATGTGTGCTTTTAGCCTGGCTTATGATCCTTCCTCCACCTGGAATGCCATGCTCTTTGCTTTCTTCCTGGCCCACTTTTGTTTGAAGTAGATGGGCTTGCTTGAAGTCAGAGAAAACATAGGTTTGAGACCCTGGTTCTGCCCATAATGAGCCCAAAACTTTAGGGAAAATTCTGAAACAGGCAACCACCTCAGTCATCTAATCTCTAAAATGGGGATAATAAGAACATTGATCTTCTAAAGAGTGGTGAAAAATGAGCAAAATAATGCTTATGATGCCTAAAAAAAGTCTGGCACATTTCCTAAGGATTCTGTAAATGATTGACTAATTTTTTTGGGGGGTGGAGGTGCTGTGAATTCTCTGAGGGCTAGAGCTTTGTCTTTTTTTTATAATTATATCTTCAGCTCTAAGCACCATGACTGTTACATAGTAGTGTTATACACATATTTGTTGAATTTGGTTCTATCATGGAAAGGCTAGATAATGAATAATGAGAAATAAATGACTAAATGGTTGGGAGGCATATTTTCTTTCCCTGAAGAAATATACCCCCCCACACACACACAAAAAATGCAGCCTTCTGAAAAGTTTCTGAGCCAGTCCAACTTTCCAGGCAGATCCATGCCTGAGTTAGCACAGCGGTAGATGATTGCAGAGAAGGTTTGTTAATGACCAGCTTTCAGCTTTTAATGACAAAACCCCTCAGCAAGATGTCATCGAAGTTATTGAAGACTTCACTGAAAGTGTTGAAGCTGATACATTGTAACAAGAAGGTTATAAATCTTGCAGCTTGGATATACCACCAAGACAAGATGCTGAGCACAGAATCACCCTGCTGTTGTCTGTCAGCATTCTCCCTCCCTCTACGTCTTTCCCTTCCCACGGAGAGCAGGTAAAGGAGAAATACATCTATTTCCCAAAGTAGTGCAGACCTGGCAGCCACCTGCCTATGCCAATTTCAGATCACAGAGGTCCATTTAACTGGACAAAATGTGTTAAGCGCCTGTGTTTTTCTAAATGTGCATTAGAAAAAAATCCTAAGCATTAGGGAAAGATTTCAAAGGTTAATACGGTGACCTTTTAGAAACACCAGCCAATTAAAAATCTATTGCAAGCTCAGAATAGAGACCCAAATACCTGAATATAGATTCTCACTGTGTATCTATTGTTTTATTGCTTCTCAGAGGACATCTTTGTCACCTTGGCCCCTAGGAAGCAGTTCATGTCATAACTCCTGTTAAATATAACTGTATGGCTTTGGGGCCACGTGGGGTGGGATTTGGATTGACTCAATACTGCTAACCAGGCTGCTCCTGGCTGCACTGGATGGCTGCTAGCCACAAGGGGCCAGGTCAGAACACAGAGGAAGAATGAGGTTGAAGGCTGGGCATGAGAATGGCTAGTGGGTGCTAGTATATAGAGTGTGCAATTTTTGTTTTTTAATTTTTTAATTGACAAAAATTGTATCTTTATTGTGTACAACATGTTATGAAACATGTATACAATCTAAAATGCCTTAAACACATGCATTACCTGACATATTAGCATTTTTTTTTGTGGTGGGAATGCTTACCATCTACTCTTTTGGTAATTTAAAAGAATATAACAGATTGTTATTAATTATAGTCACCATGTTGTACAATAAATCTCTTGAATTTTTGGCTCCTATCCAACTGAAATGTTGTCTCTTTTGAAACAGCATCTCCTGAGTTCCCCAGCCCCATAAACGAGATCATTTATGTCTACATATGCTCTGAATGCCTTAAAATGTTAGATGTTATTCTCACCATCTACTCTCTGCCTCTTTGAGATCCACTTTTTTAGATTCCGCATATAAGTGAGAGCATGTGGTATTTGTCTTTCTGTGCCTGGTTTCTTTCACTTAACATAATGTCCTATAGGTTCATCTGTATTGTTGCAAATGACAGGATTTTATTCTTTCTAAGGTCCAATTGTAGGACCATGCTGTTTTGGTTACTGTAGCCTTGTAGCATAGTTTAAAGTTGGGTAATGTGATTTCTCCAGCTTCACTCTTTTTGCTTAAGATTGCTTTGGCTACTCGGGCTCTTTTTTGATTACATATGAATTTTAGAATAATATTTTTCTAAATCTGTGAAAAATGACACTGTATTCCCCATTTTCTTTATCCATTCATCCACTGTGGACACGTAGGTTGATCCCACATCCTGGCTATTGTGAATAATGGTGCAGTGAACACGGGAATGCAGATATCTCTTTGACATACTGATTTCATTTCCTTTGGATACATGGTAGTTTTATTTGTGGAATTTGAAAAGTCATGAAGAAAATAATTTCTTATGTTTGTGTCCCACTAGTCTACATATGTAGACCACACTTAGACTCAGCCAGGGTTTACAGAGTTAACCTTAAAAAGGGATATGCCAGATGCCCTTCTCATTTATTTCCCCCTGCTACTTCCACTCATGACGTACTTGTCATTTGCCCTTCCTTCCCACTGGGAAGCATGGAAGAGTAGAATGCATCGAAGTAGAAAGTCTGCAGGCTTTGGAGAGGAAAGATGAACAGAGTTCTGTGCTCTAGTGGTGTGTCTTTGGGTAAGTCATCATTGGTACTCTCTAAATGTCAATTTCCTTATCTGTAAAATGGGACTAATGCTAACTGCTGTTCTGCCTAATCCAAGGTCAGTTGTGAAAATAAAATGAGATCATTTATATCTACATATGCTCTGAACACCTTAGACTGTTAGATGTTATTCTCATATTTGATATACGTACTTTATGCTTCTGTTTAAGGACATTCATCACTCTGGTCAAAATACATTATCTGGACCTCAACATTCTCCACTGCCAAGGAAAGGGGTTGGTGCTCATTATTTGGGTCTTTTCAAAGTCTAGATTCTCAGATTTTATCAATTTATTTTCCTGCACATTTCTATACTGCTGTGTAACATTGTGACCAATTTAAGGGTTTTTAGAGAACATGTACTATGACCAAGTGATTAATATAGTGCTTAATAAAGCCAGAATAACACACATACACAAACACATTCACACATACACAGAAATATGTATACATATATGCATATACTCTGTATGTCTCTATCTGGCTACCTATCTATGTAAGTTTATGTAAGTTTTTTGATGAGCTACTTTACCACACTTGTCTGGTGAGGCATATATTGATGTGGTCAGAAACCTAAACCATTTATGAGGCACATTCTCTTAGAAACATAGAACCTGGCATACCTGCTTCACAAGAACAGGTTTCATGGAGTTGCCCATGTGAGAAGCAGCTTGATCACACATCAGAGAATCTTTCCTTGTGCGTTTTAACTGGAAACCATTATCTTCTCTGTCTGTAGTATTCCAATATCTATGCTGTGCCCCAACTGATGGACATCACTTTGGGCTTTTTAACTCAGTTTCCACTACTCTGAAGTGATACTTAAGGTCTCCCACCATCTCAGGTCCAGTGAATTTTAAGGATACAATAAAGCCTTTAAAAAAATCAGATGATTTCAAACTAACCTTTCTTTTTTTCTTTTTCTTTTTCTTTTTTTTTTTTTTTTTTTTGAGACGGAGTCTCGCTTTGTTGCCCAGGCTGGAGTGCAGTGGCGCGATCTCGGCTCACTGCAAGCTCTGCTTCCCAGGTTCATGCCATTCTCCTGCCTCAGCCTCCTGAGTAGCTGGGACTACAGGCGCCCACCACCATGCCCAGCTAATTTTTTTTTTGTATTTTTTTAGTAGAGACAGAATTTCACCATGTTAGCCAGGATGGTCTCAATCTCCTGACCTCATGATCTGCCCACCTTGGCCTCCCAAAGTGCTGGGATTACAGGCGTGAGCCACCGTGCCTGGCCGTAACCTTTCTTTTTTTCATGAAAATGTATAGTGTAACAGTAAGCAGAAGCTCAGTTTTTATTTTCCACAACTGTGAAGACCAATGAGGAAAAGAATTGTTATTTATCTGAAAAAAGTTAGCCTTTCCAATATGAAGAGTTGGCTGAATGGAAACTAGAAAAAGGGGAAGGGGGAGAAAAGAAAAAATTCAATAATGATTTTTTATTATTTATTGATTTATCTATTTTTTTCTATTCCCTAGATAGCTTCAGGGAGGATTCAGTAATGATTTTTAAAAACTGTTCCAAGAGAGAGCCATGTTGGAATATTTTAGTGATTAGGGGGCTACTGGAATTGAAGCAAGGTGAGTATCTCAGGTTTCCCCCAGAGTGTAGATGAGGTGGTCCTCAAGCATCTGTCTACATTAGCTCTTATTCCCTGATCTCCAGAATAACCTGGTTACTATCTGCCTCTTAGTCATCTTGGGAGCGAAAAATCACTGCCTTTGAATGAAGCCAGTAGAGTTCCACTTTAGTGTGATTCACAGGCGTTGCCTGGATGACTGTGTTAAGGATTCTGTTGGATAGCTATGGGCTCATGGAAAGAATCAAAGGAAGTAGATGGTCAAATGCTATCTATTTCTGCTCATGAAACTTAACATGAGTTTTCCCATGCTTGGAAAGAGATATTCCTCATTGTAAATTAATACGTTGACATTAGGTTTTGTAAATAAAAATCTTGTTCATTAGTAGGGATTAGCTCTCGGTGCAGTGAAAAAAAAATGAAATGGTGGATTTGCAGTGCGACCTTAGGCGGTGCTGATCTCACCGGTTCTATAACCTTCCTCTCTGTAGTCTTCTCATCTTACCTTTTTATAGCTTCAATGTTGCTTATATTGGTCAGTTGCTCTACAGTGATATAAATGTTGTTTCTGCCAACTTTCACAGACTCCTAATTCTGTGAATTACTGGTTCACTACCTCCTATCTTATTTTTTTCAATAATGAGCCTGATACTATGTAGACAAAAATCAGCAATATTATGATTGAAAACATTAAAAATTGATGCCATGACCACTGCAGAGGCTTCTAACTACAGCATTGTAGCAAATACTTGTTGAATAAGACAATTGAATATATGGAACTTGAGAGATACTTTGATTCTTGAAGATGATATCCATGATAATCTTTGGGAAAAAAAAAAGAGCATTTTCAGGAGAAAATGAAAGTTATTAAAAGGTAAAAGAACTCATAGGCAGAAGAAGTGTACCTAAAGATTTTATTCACCATTTTTAAAGACAAAATTCTCACCAGAAAAAATTTTGGAGTTTTGAGCTATATACTCAGCATTCCGTAAGTGCTCAGTAAATGTTTAATAACTGAAAGGAGATTGAGCCTAGATTAGCAGAAAAACTGAATTACTTACTTCTGGGAATTTCAATGAAATATTAGACTTATGCCACCATTGTGCTTTTTTGATTTCTAAAGAAGTGGCAGATTATTTATTCTATTATAAACAATTTGTATGTATTAGAATATGCATGAACACTAATTATATCCTTTTGATATTAAACTTCTGTTTGGGACAACAACAATTTAAATATATGCTAGAGTTTTAAAGCTCTCATGTATAAATTCTCTTAAGCGCTCCATGCTTCAGTTTCTTTAATTGAAAATAAAAGGGCTGAACTAGCTGATCTTTTGGGATACTGCCAGCCTAAGAATTTTGTGACCTTCTAGATAGTCGTTCTGCAGAAGTATGTCACGGATCACATTTTATTAGAACTCTTGATAATTTCGTAGGCTATAAAATTTAGTCCAAGGAATTATAATTAATGGTCTTTTTTTATACAAAAAAAAAAGCCTCTCTTCATTCTTCTTATCCAGCTACCTAATTTGAAATTTAACACCTTTCTTATATGGACATAAAATTAGACCTTGCTT
Source organism: Homo sapiens (assembly GCF_000001405.40). Classification (NCBI taxonomy): domain Eukaryota; kingdom Metazoa; phylum Chordata; class Mammalia; order Primates; family Hominidae; genus Homo; species Homo sapiens. Next base: position 22,759,449 of record NC_000004.12, read on the forward strand.
TTCAATGCGCTGTTTCTATTGATATTGATTGAGGTTCCAGGTAACATTTTCTTGACCTTCAATCTGAGTGTTTCCTCTTCTATTCATTCACATTGAAAATGAACCTCACCTTTCTTTGCTTGAGAAAGTTTTCCCTTGGAATTCATAGAGTCAGAAGGGCACTTCAGACTCAAGTTTAACAAAGTTACTGTAGAGAGCATAAAATCTCAGAGAGGAAACTGGATGTGCCAACTCATTTCAAAGCATTAGTGTAAAATCCCCAGCTGAAGAACTTCACAGCAGCTACAATCACCAGCAGTAAAATCACCTTTCAAAACACAATTATGGCAAGAGGCATCTAATCTATTAAATTTTAAGATAGTTAAGTATGAGTTTTTGAACTTTGCCATAAATGCATAATTTAATTCAATTAGATAGCGTAGTAATTTTAACTTTACGTATATTTAACTTGAACACTAAACCTTTGTTTCTGGGTAAGATCCTGAATTAGAAGGAGGGATTATATTGCGGCGTTTTCAGAATTACAGTCTCATCATAAGTCTGTGCAGAGACTTCATATAGGCAAGTCTGTTTTTCTATTCTGACTTCTGAGCGTAGAGCTTATTCCAATCAGTACTGCTTTTACCTCAAGTTACTGTTTAGGTAGCATTTTCTTCAATACAATGAAAATATCACTCTGGTGCTAGAGATGAAAATAGTTTCTTTTAGAAAGTAATTCTTAAAGTTTATCTGAAAAGGCTATGTGCAGAGATGGGGGAGGGAGGCCCGTCTCATTCAGTAGGGTCATCTCATCAACAGCAAAGTCTCCTGTGTGTTGAGATTAGCTAATGAAACAGTATCATGGCCTGAGATTAGTTTGTGTTATCCTAAAGCTCGGCCACATTTCCCCCCTTGTTTGTGAAAGTCTGTTATAGGAATCACTGTCTGCTTTAAAAATAAGTGAAACTATTGTGGATGGAGGAAGAAAAGGCATTTGAACCCTGAAGAATTTTAATTGGTGCTGGTGAGTGAAGGTGAACAAGAAGCCATCGATGATTCAGGTGAAAACATTAATGAGTGCGGACTAAACAGATAATAGGAGTAGGGTAGGAGGAAGAATGTTTGACATTTGCTGATGAAATAACCTTTTTTACTCTCCTGGCAACAAGTGGAATTCATTTCTTTGATATTTAGACACAGCTCAAAGTCTTAAATAATTTTAAACGACCATATTCTTTTATGAGTCAGAGTCAAGTCAAATATGTTTTGTAGTTGAAAATCAGAATAATAAAAAATTAGATCAGCACATAAAATATGAGTAAATGAGTCTATTGTAAGGTATACATTTATTAGTAGATCATTTTTATGTGGTTGAGGCTCTGTGGGTTTAGTCCCTTAAAACATTTTTTTTCCCCAAAGATGTTCAGGATATGTTCTTGATACTTTGAATGAGCAGTTGGCCTTAAAAAACAAAAAAAAGGAAGCTTCAAAAATATTTCATGGCCAAAGTTTGCTGCCCTCATGAATAGATGGTAACAATGACAAGAATAGTTCAGAAAAATCTTTTAGCACTCCTAGAAAAACAAATAGCCTGACCCATTGATTGTGTACAAATTTTGTACAGACAGGCAGATAACTTTATGAATACTCTTATGCCACAAGGATTTGCTTGTTTGACATACTGAAAGAGCATATTCTTTGATTGATTGATTGATTGACTTAGATAGATTCAGGGGGGTACATGTGCAGGATGTACATAGATATATTGTATAATGGCGAGGTTTAGGCTTCTTGTATACCTGTCAACCAAATAGTGAACATTATACCCAATAGGTAATTTTCAACCCTCATCCATCCTCCAACTCTCCCCACTTTTGGAATGTCTAGTGTCTATTTAATTTCCTTCTTTGTGTCCATGTGTACCATTGTTTAGCTTCCACTTATAAGTAAAAGCATACAGCATTTAATTTTCTGTTTCTGAGTGATTTCTCTTAGGATAATGACCTCCAGCTTCATCTATGTTGCTGCAAAAGACATGATTTCAGAAAGAGTATATTCTTTAAAGACAGATCCATTTTCAGAATCTGGTTCTGATACTCTTTCAGCTTGTGAGCCTTGGGCAAGTTATGAATATCAGTTCATCATCTCTGAAAACTTATTTTTGGTGCAGATTAATGGCATACTTCATATCCTAGAGAAATGCCTACCACATAAATCCTCCAAATGATAACTATTGCAGTGAATTATTTATTACCAGCATCTAGTAACCAGGATTTTGGAAAAACTGCGACTTCCTGCATAGTCATCAAGCATTGATAATTTATGCTTCTCTTGATGACCCCAGAATGCATTCTGAATAATTAGAGAAAGATTAAATTATAATCAGTTTAGTTTCAGTGTTAAGTGTATTTTAATTTATTCTCATTCTTTAAAAATTTGTAATCTTTTTGCATGTGGCAACAATTAACAAAAAACATTTGATTAGCTGGGGCACCACATTCCCTGACTATCAAGCTAATAAAGAGTTTATTGCAGGTTGTTGAAACTCAAACTTTTCCCTGTGCATAAACTGGGCATTTGCTGGATGGAGTCTCTTCATGCCAGTCTTCTATCCTTTCTCAGAGCCAGTGTGTTGACTGTTGGATATCTTAGATTTAATCTTTATATATCCTTGAACAACACTCTTGGAACCTATACCAGACACTTCTTGTGTATTATTTTGACGCAGGGTCCTAGTCCTGGTCATCACTTCTGATTTGGTGCAGATGAGGACCTAAGTCTTCTATTTCTGAGGTTGTCTGTTCTTTTCCTATGTATTTCTAGAGATGAACATCTCAGCTGACTTTAGTAACCAATCTATCTTGGTGTTTGATCAACCTCTGCTCTTACCCAATCATGTTTTGGACTTGTTCTCACTAGGCTTTTTAGGCTATATAACCTTCCTGATGAAAACTTCACTATGCATTTTATCATTTTTGTGGTTCTTTGAACTTTCCAGTTTTTTTTCCATTTGTCTTTTTTCCCCCAACACACCAATGTCATATGTTGCTGTAAAAAGTGCCTTAACACCTGATTTGTGTTAAAAGGCATCTCTTCAAAAATTCATTCATATTATTGTTCTTTTGTGATCTTGATTATGGTACATTTTCAGGCAAGCAGATTGATTTTTGTCATTTGATCGATCAACATAGGACATAGGATTCATCAGTTCCTTTTCGTCTCCCTTATTCTGCCTTCCTTTACATATCTGCCCTACCCCAAAGCCTCTCTTTGCAACCTGACACTCTCCTTTTTCATAGTGTCCTTCACATCCCAGCTGACATCCCCAATACTTACTCAGTGAATGAAGTAAGGCAGAGACTGCTTGTTTCCCTTAAAGGGAGAGTGAGGCCAAGGGGAAAAACAGCTGATAAAGAAATAATTTTTCACTGTAAGCCCAGGCAACTCTTGGGCCTGGTGTAAGGGGAAGATTGATTAGGATTCTCTTGTTAAAATGTAGAAGCCTTCTTTGGTCATGTGTGGGTGGGTGTCCGGTGAGAATCGGAAGCCTGGGTGTCTAGCCAGGAAGCAACAATTAGCATTCTACTCTAATTCTGTGATTTCTCTGATATGGAGCTCACTGGGTAGCTGCATTTCAGTTGGTCAGTCAGGTTGCCTGTTACTGCTACTGTGCGTAATTTCTCCCCAAAGTGATATTTTTCATTATATAGACAAACATTAAAAGTCAGCAACTCAGTAGTAAAGCAGTCACTGTTCCTCTAGCTGTGGCACACCTCTATTTAGCTACTGCAAATACGTTTAATATTTGGCAAACCATATGTATATTATTGGGCTATTTTGAATTTTCTGGGAACTATGATTTTGAGCTTTGCTGTGTTTGAATGATCAATTGCAATGCTTTGTTGAATAGACTTCTTTACAAAATGTTACATTTTCATAAATATAGCATAAGATCACCTGGTAAACAAATGAATTTGTGTTAATAGAAAGTGTGAAAATTTCAGAACATTCACAGAATTGAAGTTAAAGTAGCTACACTATCTTTATGTATAGATAGATTGTTGGTCACAGGAATGACATATTAGGCTGGGTGTGGTGTCTCGTGCCTTTAATCCCAGCACTTTGGGAGGCTGAGGCGGCAGGGGTGGGGGGACGGGGGGAACGCTTGAGGGCAGGAGTTTGAGACCAGCCTAGCCAACATGGTGAAACCCTGTCTCTACTAAAAATACAAAAAAATTTCCCGGGCGTAGTGGTATGCACCGGTAATCCCAGCTGATTTGAAGGTTGAGGCATGAGAATTGCTTAAACCTGGGAGACAGAGGTTGCAGTGAGCCAAGATCACACCACTCCACTCCAGCCCAGACAACAGAGTGAGACTCTGTCTCAAAAAAAAAAAAAAGGAAAAAATTGCCATATTAATACATGTGTTGCAAAGAAGGAGACAACAGTCACTGGGGTCTGCTTGAGAAGAGAGTGGGGGAAGGAGGGAGAGGAGCAGAAAAGATAACTATTGGGTACTGTGCTTAATACCTGGGTGATGTTATGTGTACAGCAAACCTCCGTGACACGTGTTTATCTGTGTAACAAACCTTCAGATGTACCCCCAAACCTGAAATAAAAATTTAAAAAAGAAGAAAATCATTTCCATGGGATTCCAAATAAACTAGCTCATGGAGTATGGAAAAAAAAATGTGTGTTGGATGGTAGTTGAAGGCCATTTATATATCATATTCTTTAAATTTTGACATTTCGAATGCTGGATTCTCATGAATTTGGGTAACGACATTCACTCTAAATAATTTAGTGCTCTCTTTTATTTTAAGGGATATTTTATTTTATTAAGAAAATGTTCTTCCTGTATTTCTATCTTAAAAATATTTTTTGGTTAACACAAACACAGTAGTTTCCCTTTAACCATGGTTTCACTTCCTGTGGTTTCAGTTACCTGAGGTCAACCGCTATGCAAAAATAATCAGTGGAAAATTCCAGAAATAAGCAATTCATAAGTTTTAAATTGTTCACCATTTTGAGTAGCTTGATGAAATCTCACAAAGTCCCCCTCCCTCCTCCTGGGACATGAATCCTCCTTCTATCCAGCATATCCCTGTTGTCAACACTACCTGCCCGTGAATCAGTTAGGAGTCACCTGGGTTATCAGATCTGCTGTTGCAGTATCACAGCGCTTGTGTTGGGTTGATACCCTTTTTTTTACTTAATAATGGCCCCAAAGTGCAAGTGTGTGATTCCGGCAATTTGGATATTCCAAAGAAAAGCATAAAGTCCTTCCTTTAAGGGAAAAGTGAAAGTTCTCAAATTAGTAAGGAAAGAAAAAAAATTGTATGCTGACATTGCTCAGATCTATGGTAAGAATGAATCTTCTATCTGTGAAATTGTGAAGAAGGAAAAAGAAATTCATTTATAGTGTATATATGTTTTGGTACTATCCGTGGTTTTAGGCATTCACTGGGGGTCTTGGAACGTATCCCCTGTGGCTAAGGGGAACTACTGTACTGGAAAACCTTTGTGATTTGTAATAATTATAGAGATGACAATTCAGAAATGTCAGTTAAATTGTTGAGAGGTATTAATTTTTGTCAATTATTGAAGATGGACCATTTTATTACATTGAGGTTCTTGATAAAAAGAAATACCAGCTCATAAATCAGTGGTAGGGAGGGAGTGGGAGGATGTAAATATCCTACCCGTAGTTGTTGACATAAAGCTTGAACACTGGCTTGTAGCTTCCTGGCATTCAGATCAAAACGAATTCACCATTGGTTTTCAAACTGTGCTTTCTGGAGCTTTCTGATCTATGAAGATATCTTTGGGGACTCAGTTAGATGCACAGAGGGTGGGAGGAAAAGCAGAGCTCCAGGGCACCTCTGCTTTTATTGGTTGTGTATATTAGGAATCCATAAAAATTTTCATTTGAAAGGAAGACTCTGGTGCTAAAAAAAAAAAAAAAAGAAACATTGGAAAACCACTGAATAATAGGGATCTCATTATCAGAGGGGCAGAAACATGGTAGCTCCTTTGGGGAAATAAAGCACAACTTTCTTTCTCTTTCACTTGAAAAAATGAGTTATTTCAAACATACAGAAAAATACAGGTACCCATACAACTGTGACCCAGATTTAACACATGCTAATATTCTGTCATACACATTATACATGAAAAAGGAAATTAAATATTATTGGCCCAGGGTAAGTCCCTTTATATCTTTCCTGTATCTCCTTTCTGTCTTCCTTCACTTGGGTTAACTCTGATCTTGAAGTGTGTGCACTACACATTTTGCTACAAATTTATACATCCATGGCCTATCTGTATAATGCTTTCTGCATTTTACTATTTACATAAATGGTGTCACACTATACACATATATATTTTCAACATTATGTTCTTTGAGATTTATCCATGTTGATCCTTTTAGCTCTAATTCATTCTTTTTAGTGGATCTATAGTATTCTGATGTGTGAAGAGACCACATTTATTTATCTCTTCTTCTGCTGATGGATGTATGAGGGTCTTTCCTTTTTTTTCATTTTTATAAACAATGCTGCACTGAATATCCTTGAGTGGCTCATAGGCTGAAAATGCATTTCTTACATGGGAGTTTATGAGGCAGCCCTGCTGCTAGTCCACATGATATCTTTGTACCATTAGAATGAAGTTTCCCTTCCTCAAAAATGTTACATTTTTAAGAAAATGGTTGCAAAGGCTATACAAATTTACAATGACTTTATATCAACAGTGTTCTTTAAAGTTTTGACATTTAAAAAAAAGCAATAGTTCTATATGTAGGGGATGCTACCATAGAAACCTGTAGGGTGTAAAGAGGTTGGGCGAACTAATGTGTTTAACAGGTTAGAAGCTAATCTAAATAAAAGTCTGTGGTTAGCCTATATAAGAGGTTTTTCTAGCTAAATGCAGGGGCTGGGGAAATTGTTTTCTTCAGAAACGGTGTGTTGCAAGTAAAGAACACAAGGAAAGTGTGTAAGGCTTTTGATTTTTCCCAGGTTACAAGGCCAGTGGCTGGCCCAAGTGATGTTGTAAGGGAGACCTTATCCATCAGTTTTCCCCTTTCCAGAATACAGCCCTCAAGACTGTCTATGTAGACATGTATACAGTGCGGGCTTCTACCAGGCTCCATCTGCTAACACAACAGTGTGCTAAGAATGAAGAGAAGTTGCCTAGGGAAGACAAATAAGCCCTTGCTCTGGGAAGGAAAGTTTGAATTGTATCCAGAGGAAGTAGTGAGCCTCCCAGAAGACTGACGCTGTAAGTCCCAATACACTGAAATAAGTTCATGTTCATCCAAGTTCCATTGGTCCTCACTAGATGGCTTTGCCTGGGGAGGGAAACAACTCCACAGCAGGCAATGCAATGTCTTCTCTATTCTTTATGAAAGTTAATAGGGGAAAAATTCTTTCCTGCTTTGGAAACTTACTTTAGAAATTAAATTTGGAAGTACTCAAGAGTAGAAGCCTGGTGGAAATTGTTGGATATTCTTCATGGAAGCAATTATATATGTTGTGGTCATTAAAAATTTGCCTAAATTAAGATGTGGTAACATCACTCTCTGTTTATATCTGTAATACTATTTTCCGTCCTGGGAATCATTGGGCATTAACATTAATATTCACAATCTAAATTATACCCAGAAGACAGGATCTACGATGATTGTGTGTATGGAGAAGCCTGTTAACTTCTGTTAATTCTTTTAAGAACTATCAGGTAGAAGACTAAAAAAATTCATTTTATGTTGTGTCGAGGGCAGAACTCATGCCAGTAGGGGACCATTACATGAAGACAGGTTTTAGTTCAACATTAAGACAGAACTTTCCAACAATTAGAGTGGCTGAGTAAGAGAATGAGTGTCCTCAGGAGATCATTAGAGGCCTGTCAATAGATGGCAGAAAAGCAGATGCCAGATTCCCATCTGCCAAAGATGCTGTTGGGAGGATGTCTGCTCCATGTGGGAGGGTCATTCCACAAGTGCGTACAATCACCTGCTATTTATTAAGTACCTACCGTGCACTTGCTGTCGTCGGGGATAGGGACTGTTGTAGGCACAGCTGTTGTCTGGATGTGATCATCTTCCAGTCCTAAATTCTGTGAATCCCAGGGAGTTTTAGCCAGGGCCCTGATGAAATTTTCACAAATTCCACATTAGAGTGGTCTGAAGTAATGAGGTCTCACAATGCGGCTAGCCTAGTGGTAATGCTTAACCTTACTCCCAGCAGGAAGGATATGGCGCAGAACACCACTTCTTAGCTAAGACCTGCTTTTGTCCCTGGATTTCAGCTTTGGCTTGGCTTTTGTGACATGAAAGATCTCAGTATATTAAAGTTAGTTTCTTTTCTCTGGTTCACTTCCTTCTGGTCTTGAAAATTAATATAACTTCTGAGCTCCAGATGATGTGTGTCAGCTTTATTTAGTCAAACTCTGTCAAGATAAATATTTTTGCATTGGAATTGAATCTCTGTAACTTCCATTCATGACAAAAGCATGAATTACAAAGTGGAGACTTTATGGAATTATAACTAAATACACTTAATTCTTTAAAGTCAAGTCTGCCTCAATCACAGTGTTTGACTTGGAAACCTCCTTTAGTCCAGTAGAGAATATAAATAAATAAATGTATGGAACAGTTTTGAGATTAGATCTGGATATTATATTATGAAGGTAACATTTTGGTCTGAATTCTCTGGCTTATGCTGAAGACACGACCTTGGCTGCCTCATGGATATGGCCTGTCTTTCACACACTTTAGAGACAAGTGTGTTAGAGTCCCATTAATGCACATAATGGCTCCTGCAGCTCACTGATGCACATGCTATCACAGTGACCTGAAGAGTTAAGGTGCGTACTCCTTAGGCTACTTCACATAACATTGAAGCCACTTTGACCCAGAGTAGACTAAAACCCCATATATTCAATATTTGCTTTCATTAATATATTCATAAATATACAAAATCCTTGAGTGGTCTTTTAAACTGTTCCTTTGTTATATAGTCTGGGGCCCTAGCTATTTCTTCTATTGGCTGAAGTTTCTTTGTGTGTGTCAGCTTTTCATTTATGGACCCTGAAATTAATCCGGTTTAAAATTATGCTCTTCAAATATAGTTCAAATAATTCTGTTTTGAGGAAGAAATGTAGTACAGAGGGAGTCTTTCATGAAAACAACTTTCCCAAGCCATTGCTCTGGAGTTGCTAAGGGTGATCAGCCAGCAAAGCCCAAAGTGTTCATTTAGTATGACATGCAAGTATTTTAAAAAGATCTTAGCTGGAAAAGCAATATAATTGGCAAATTAAAAATATTAAAATGAAAGTTTGCACCTTCTGACTAGGGAGAAAACAGTGCCCTTACATTGTTCCTTTTTTTGTTGTGTTTTCTGCTCTGTGCACAGTAAAGATTTGTGGCACTGCATCTTTTAAAAAAAATTTATTTTACTTTAAGTTCTGGGATACATGGGCAGAATGTGCAGGTTTCTTACATAGGGTATACATGTGCCATGGTGGTTTGCTGCACCCATCAACCCATCATCTAGGTTTTAAGCCCTATATGCATTAGGTGTTTGTCCTAATGCTGTCCCTCCCCTTGTCCTCACCCTCCGACAGGCCCTGGTGTCTGATGTTCCCCTCCCTGTGCCCATGTGTTCTCAATGTTCAGCTCCCACTTATGAGTGAGAACATGTGGTGTTTGGTTTCTGTTCCTGTGTTAGTTTGCTGAGGATGATGGTTTCCAGCTTCATCCATGTCCCTGCAAAGGACATGAACTCATTCTGTGTTATGGCTGCATAGTATTCCATCATGTGTATGGGCCACATTGTCTTTATCCAGTCTATCACTGATGGGCATTTTGGTTGGTTCCAAGTCTTCGCTCTTGTAAATAGTGCTGCAATAAACGTACGTGTGCATGTGTCTTTATAGTAGAATGTCTTTATAGTAGAATGATTTATAATCCTTTGGGTATATACCCAGTAATGGGATCGCTGGGTCAAACGGTATTTCTGGTTCTAGATCCTTGAGAAATCACCACACTGTTTCCACAATGGTTGAACTAATTTACACTACCACCAACAGCGTAAAAGCGTTCCTATTTCTCAACATCCTCTCCAGCATCTGTTGTTTCCTGACTTTTTAATGATGGCCATTCTAACCAGCATGAGATGGTATCTCATTGTGGAGCACTGCTTCTTAATCTTGGCTGCACATTGTAATCACACAGAAAGATTTAAAATATACTGTCATTTGGGTTTCATCCCCAGCTGGACATTTAAATATCTTAATGTCTGGGGTGCTGCATGGGCATTGGGGATTTTACAAGATCTACAGGAGATTCTAATATACAGATAATGCAAAGAATGATTGATTTGAGTGCTTTGATCTTCTAATATTAAAAAGAAATCTAAAAATTTCTCTGTTATTATTTGTGGAGTATGATTTGCATGGAACCTAGACTGCCTGTGAATTTAAGAGTTGAAAAAGTCTCAGTTTTTGAGATACTTCACTTGGTCTTCTCACTTATGTTGGGCCATTGTGAGATGGTAGATAATTTTTCTGAAAAAGACTTCGGGAAGAGTTTGTTACAGGTGCAATGTTTTCAGAGCATTTCCTAACTGCATTGTTTGAGAATGTAATTCTGCTGCCTTTGCACATAAATAGCAATTTATATGTGTCTGAAATTCTTTTTCTTCTTCATCTCCTCCTCTTCTTTCTCCTCCTCACAGGAGGTCACAAAGATTTAAAAACAAGAGAAAAAATAAAAGACATGGGGAACAGATTCAGAAAATCCAAACTCTGTAAAAATATACTTCTCTTCTTCCTCCTCCTTTTGTTTCCTTCTAATTAAAGTTTTGCTCCATTTTCTTCTGAACATTATTGTTGTGGAAGAGAAGTCTGTAGATAGACTGATTTTTATTTCTTTGTAAGTGATTAAGTGTCTTCATGAATGCTTATAAGAATATTTATCCTTGAAATACATACAGACGATCTCTGTCTTTTCATTTACATAATCAGTAAGCCATTTGCAACAATTGTTTCAGGTTTTTTGTAAGCTCAGGAAAAAATTATGCCATGATGCCTATAATAATTAGGTCAGCCTCATCTGTACCATGATCTACAATTGAGAACTAATTTTTACGTATAGATTATTGGATTTTTCTTATCTAGTCTCCATGTCTATGTTTTCTCTTATATTTAAATCTTTTTACTTTTCTCTGAGATTTGGACGGATTTCCAACCCTGTCTTCCACTTTACTGATTTGATTTTCAGCTATGGCCAATTTTCTGATCTCTACCACCACCACAGTGATTTTTTAATCCAACAATTTATTTTCTCTATATGTTCTTTCCTGATCTTATGACTGTTTACTCTAGTTTCATAAATACAATAAGAGTTCACATACTGTTGAGATAAAGGGGCAAAATTTTTCTAAACATGTGTACTTTTCTAGCAGTAAATCCCTTTCATAGTTGATATGGTTTGGCTGTGACCCCACCCAAATCTCATCTTGAACTGTAATTCCCACAATTCCCACATGTCATGGGGAGGTGACTGAATTATGAGGGCGGGTCTTTCCTGTGATGCTCTCATGATAGTGAATAAGTCTCACGAGATCTGATGGTTTTGAAAATCGGAGTTTCCCTGAACAAGTTCTCTTCTCTTGTCTGCCGCCATGTGAGACATGCCTTTCACCTTCTGCCATGATTTTGAGGCCTCCCCAGCCACATGGAACTGTGAGTCCAATAAACCTCTTTCTTTTGTAAATTTCCCAGTAATGGTTTTGTCTTTATCAGCAGTGTGAAAACAAATTAATACAAGAGTCAATTATTTTCTGTAAGTTTTTGGAGTAGTTTTTTTTCTTATGAGGGGCAGTAGCTTTTCAAGGGTCTGTTTTTCTCTTCATTTGGGAGGAATCCAGGCTGTGATTTTCCTGCTGATGATGTCTGCCTTTCACATGAGTTTTCTCTACTTCCTGTCCACGCTGATCTGTCCTCCATTCTTCCTTCACCCTGGTGCCATCTACCCTCTCTCAAGCAGAACAAACCAGAAACTACATTTTTTGGCAAATGGAACACATCTTTTATGGTTTTCAGAGGTATTACAGGTTTTACTTACTATATATTTTGAAATGTTCCACAGGAATATGGAAATTGGGAAAATTAGCTACTTGTACTCACACTAACAGATTATCTAACATCATGATAAATCTTTGGAGAGTATTTTTTCCACCCAGCTTACATTTACATCCTCAGGATATAGTTCTATATGGAAAATTACTAAGTCAAAGAATATGACCTTTTATTTTTTATATTTTATTTTTATTTTTTAATTTTTAAAAATTTCCAATAGCTTTTGGGGTACAGGTGCTTTTTGGTTACATGGATGGGTTATATACTGGTGAAGTCTGAGATTTTAGTGTACCCATCGCCCGAGTAGTGAACATTGTACCTAATGTGTAGTTTTTTTATTTCTAACCTCCCTACCTTCATCTCCCTTCTGAGTCTCTAATGTCCATTATATCCTTCTGTATGCCTTTGCATAATCATAGCTTAGCTCCCACTTATAAGTGAGAACATATGGTATTTAATTTTCCATTCCCGAGTTACTTTACTTAGAATAATGGCTTACAACTCCATCAAAGTTGCAACAAAATACATTATTTCATCATTTTTACTGCTGAGTAGTATTCCATGGTGTATATATACCACATTTAATTTATCCACTTATTGGTTGATGGGCACTTACGTTGGTTCCATATCTTTTCAATTTGTGAATTGTGCTGCAATAAATATATGTATGCATGTGTCTTTTTCATAAAAAGACTTCTTTTCCTTTGGGTTGATACCCAGTAGTAGAATTGCTGAATCAAATGGTAGATCTGTTTTTAGTTCTTCAAGGGATCTCCATACTGTTTTTTACAGGGGTTATACTAATTTACATTCCCACCAGTGGTATACAGGCATTCCCTTTCACCACATCCACACCAACATGTATCGTTTTTTGACTTTTTAATAATGACCATTCTTGCAGGAGTAAGGTGGTGTCCCATAGAGGTTTTAATTTGCATTGCCCTGATGATTAGTGATGAGCAATTTTTCATAGTCAACAAGTTTGTTGACTATTTGTATATTTGTATATTTTCTTTTGAGAAATCTCTGTTCATCTAATTTGTCCACTTTTTGATGGGATTATTTGTTTCTTGCTGATTTGTTTGAGTTCCTTGTAGATTTTAGATAGTAGTCCTTTGTCAGATGCACAGTTTACAAATATTTGGTGCCATTCTGTAGATTGTCTGTTTCAAAGTGTATGCACTTTTAAAAGCACTTAGATATATATTATCAAGTTGATTTCTAGAAAATTTTCTCTTAACACTTGTTAGGATATTCATTTTGCCACATTGTATTAGTCTGTTCTCACACTGCTGATAAAGACATATCCAAGACTGCATAATTTATAAAGAAAATATGTTTAATTGACTCACAGTTTCACATGGCTGGGGAGGCCTCACAATCATGGTAGAAGGTGAATGAGGAGTCAAGGCACATCTTAGTCTTACATGGTGGTAGGCAAAGAGAGAATATGTAGGGGAACTCCCCTTTATAAAACCATCAGATCTCATGAGACTTATTCACTATCATGAGAACAGCATGGGAAAGACCTACCCCCATGATTCAATTACCTCCCATCAGGTCCTTCCCATGACACGTGGGAATTAAAGAAGCTACAATTCAAGATGAGATTTGGGTGGGGACACGGCTAAACCATATCACATATTATCACCAATACCGAATGTTGTTTTTAAAACATACAGGCACACAACACACACTTTGCTAATTTGACATGATACATACATTAAAAGTATATTTTTATTTTCATTTACATTAAATTACAGAGAAGGCAAAATATTTTATTTATTAGTTTATTTGAATTTCTTCTGTCGGGTTTTTGTCCATGTTATTTGACCATTCTATCCTGGTTTTTGTGTTTAGTGTGTATTTTTTAAAAAACAATAGCCATTATAATAAATGAATGCCATTTCACCTAGCAATCCCCAGGAAGTTATTTAGAGACAATGATGATTCCAATATATGAAACAAAGTCTTCAATTTTTAAATATTTTTAAATATTGAATCCATTATAATCTTGGCTACAGTTGTACATACTTTTTAAAGCTTAAAATAATATTTTAAGATGCCTTTATATGAATGACATCATATGAAGACAGCTAAATGAGAATGAAGTGAAGGAGAGGGGCTCGGAGTTCTGCCATCTCAACTATAATACTCTTATAGTTTCATGAGACACAATTTAAAAGCCAGAGTTTAGAGCTTTCTTTTCTGTTCATGCTAATCAAACACTTTGGTATTATTTTCCTGTAACTTCATTTACCTTCAGCTTCAGCAAATCAAATGGAATATCCCCATAGCTGCTTACTGCCTACATACATACTTAAATGCTTATATATATATATATTCTGGATATGTGTTATGAATTTAGCAGTGATAATGAAAAGAAACAGGCTGCTTGTTGAATCCTAATTAAAACCAAAGTTGTTTTTTATGATTCCTTAAATCTAGGCCACACTTTAATTTCACAAACATATCCCAAAGAGAAGGCAACATAAATACATTGTATGATTTTTTTCTAGAGGTGCATGATTTATGTTCTCTCTGTGTACAAATATGTTCATATACTATTGCAATTGTGACAAATTGAAGGTGTGATATTATACATTGGAATCTGGAGTAAAACAGACTGAAAAAGTTTCTGTTAATGGAAAAGATATGTTTTCAGATGTTGCTGAACTTTGTAGTCAGCACTCAATATATCTCAGTATAAAAGATAGATATAAAAATTCTTCATTTCTTGGGAAAATGATTTTTTGAGCCTCATTTTAATTTTTCTTGGTGATTTTGTGATGGTGTCTTCCTTTCTTTGATATGACCTTTCCTCTTCCTCATTGACCCTTCTTTGTTCACTGTTATTCTTTTATCTGTAATGCACCATTCAGCCTGACTTGGAATAGTTTTGTATAAATAAGAGAATTGTGTTATATGCTATTCAATCTTAAGGGATAAAAATGATTTTTACTTTAGTGAAAAGAAGCAGCACCATGTTTTAAAATTATAGGCTTTTAGAGCTGGAAGGAGCCATGGAAATCATAGAGTCCATCCTTCTTGTTTTATGGATTAAAAGTGAGCGTGCAATCATTCTATCATAGGTAAAGGCTGCTCCGTGTACTCTGGGGCTTGCTTCATATATCTTGCCTACCTTATTTCCTCAGATTAAGTTTAGCCAGAGTTAGATTAAAGTATAATAGTTAAGAGTACAAGTTTGAGGTTAAACAGGTGTGGATGCAGACTGGTCCTCTATCTTTCAGCTCTTAGAGCTTGAATAAGCCACTTCACTCTGCCAAGCTTCAGTTTCTTATCTGTAAAACAGGGCTAAGTATATCTACTAAATTAAGTCTTTATGAGAATTGAATTATGTTATGTTTGCAAAATATTTGGTTCAGTGCTTGATACTAAGTGTTACCAAATAAGCATCCAAGAAATGGCAATTTCTTTTACTGAGATTCTTTTGTTGTTGTTGTTGTTTTTTGTTTGTTTGTTTTTGAGACAGAGTCTCACTCTGTTGCCAGGTTGGAGGATAGTGACACAATCTCGGCTCTCTGCAACCTCTGCTTCTTGGGTTCAAGTGATTCTCCTGCCTCAGCCTCCCGAGTAGCTAGGACTACAGGCATGTGCCAGCACGGCCAGCTAATTTTTTTTTACATTTTTAGTAGAGAGAGGGTTTCACCATGTTGGCCAGGATGGTCTCAATCTCTTGACCTCATGATGTGCCTGACTTGGCCTCACAAAGTGCTGGGATTACAGGCGTGAGCCACCTTGCCTGGCCTACATAGATTCTTTTACTTGTCCACCTCTCTTCCTAGACTGAGATTTCTCAGAGCCACCAAGTCTTGGCAATCTCTGTATGGCCCAGTGCCTTCGCATGGCATCTCATTCATTGACAGCTCCAAGCTTCCAATTACTTGAGTCCAAAATTTCAGAGCCATTTTTGTGTCTCTCTCTTTTTCTTTTTGTATACTCTCAGAAAATTAATCTGCAAACTCCTAGATTCAAGCCACCGTTGTCTTTTTCTGGATTCATGGAATTTGCTCTTAACTGTTCTCCCATTTATCCATTTTGCAGCAGCGAGAGTTATCCTCTTAAAGCATAAGTCATATCTTATAAATGTTCTGCTTAGACCTCTTCAAAGGCTATCCATCTCACATAGAGTAATATCAAACCCTTAACAGTCCAGCACCATCCCCTTCTTATTCAGTCTCTTTGACCTCATCTTCAGTTGACCTCTCTCACACTCCACACCAGTCACACTTGCCTTTCTGCTGTTCTTCCTGCAGTTCTTTCTCAACACTCCACCCATACAACTGCCCCGAGTGAGGAGTAGAGTCAGATTTTTAAAGAAAGATAGTTTGTGGCAGGAACAGAAAAAAAAAAAAAAATAACTGCATATGCTCAGTTATAAGTGGGAGCTAAACACTGAGCACACATGGACGCAAACATGTTGTATTAGTCAGGGTTTCCTAGAGGGACAGAACTAATGGAATATATGCGTGTGTGTGTGTAAATAGCAAAGACTTGGAACCAACCCAAATGTCCAAAAATGATAGACTGGATTAAGAAAATGTGGCACATATACACCATGGAATACTATGCAGCCATAAAAAATGATGAGTTCATGTCCTTTGTAGGGACATGGATGAAATTGGAAATCATCATTCTCAGTAAACTATCACAAGAACAAAAAACCAAACACCGCATATTCTCACTCATAGGTGGGAATTGAACAATGAGAACACATGGACACAGGAAGGGGAACATCACACTCTGGGGACTGTTGTGGGGTGGGGGGAGGGGGGAGGGATAGCTTTAGGAGATATACCTAATGCTAAATGATGAGTTAATGGGTGCAGCACACCAGCATGGCACATGTATACATATGTAACTAACCTGCACATTGTGCACATGTACCCTAAAACTTAAAGTATAATAATAAAAAAAAGATAAATATCCAATAAAACTTTTTTAGTTTAAAAATTTTTTAAATATATATACACACACATATATATGGGTGTGTGTGTATATATATATATGAGTTTATTAAGTATTAGCTCGCACAATCACAAGGTCCCACAATAGGCCCTCTGCAGGCTGAGAAGCAAGGAGAGCCAGTCTGAGGTCCAAAACTGAAGAACTTGGAGTCCGACGTTCAAGGGCAGGAAGCATCCAGCACGGGAGAAAGATGTAGGCTGGGAGGCTAGGCCAGTCTCTCTTTTCCATTTTTCTGCCTGCTTATATTCCAGCCATGCTGGTCGCTAATTATATGGTGCCCACCCAGATTAAGGGTGGGTCTGCCTCTCCTAGTCCACTGACTCAAATGTTAATCTCCTTTAGCAACACCCTCACAGACACACCCAAGAACAATACTTTGTATTCTTCAATCCAATCAAGGTGACAGTATTAACCATCATACATGGGAACAATAGACACTGCAGACTATGAGAAGGGTTGGGGGGGATGGGTTGAAAAATACCTATCTGGTAGTATGCTCATGACGTGGGTGATGGGATCTGTACCCCAAACCTCAGCATCATGCAACATATCCATGTAACAAACCTGCACATATATATCCTCTATCTAAAATAAAGGTTGAAATTTAAAAAAAGAAAGGTGGGATAGGTGCCATGGCTCATGCCTGTAATCCCAGCACTTAGGGAGGCTGAAGTGGATGGATCATGTGAGGTCAAGAGTTCAAGACCAGCCTGGTCAACATGGCAAAACCCCTGTCTCTACTAAAAATACAAAAATTAGCAGGGAATTGTGGCACATGCCTGAAATCCAAGCTACTCGGGAGGTTAAGGCAGGAGAATCGCTTGAACTCAGGAGGTGGAGGTTGCAGTCAGCTGAGATCACACCACTGCACTCTAGCCTGGTGACAGAGCAAGACTTCATCTCAAAATAATAATAATAATAATAATAATAATAATAATAACAATAATAATAAAAGATGTAGTATACAAGTACACCACAAGCTAGCTCCTGCAATTTAAATGGGTGTTTTGTAGTCTGTCTACTTGCTTTCATATGGGAGTAGAGAACACTTAAAAGAAAACTAACGTGAAATTCAACGGATTAGAAAAAAAAGTGCAAAACTAAAGGAAAGTGATTCTTTAGTAATTGAAGGTGGTCTGGGACATCCTACCATGCAAGGTAGTGTATCGGAAATTGGTGGGTTCTTGGTCTCACTGACTTTTAGAATGAAGCCGCGGACCCTCGTGGTGAGCATTACAGTTCTTAAAGATGGTGTGTCCGGAGTTTGTTCCTTCTGATGTTTGGACATGTTCGGAGTTTCTTCCTTCTGGTGGGTTCATGGTCTCGCTGGCTTCAGGAGTGAAGCTAGAGACCTTCACGGTGAGCGTTACAGCTCTTAAGACAGTGCATCTGGAGTTGTTCGTTCCTC
The DNA here is from genome assembly GCF_000001405.40 of Homo sapiens. NCBI lineage: Eukaryota > Metazoa > Chordata > Mammalia > Primates > Hominidae > Homo > Homo sapiens. The sequence continues at coordinate 22,777,963 of NC_000004.12, forward strand.
CCATCCAGAGTTGTTCATTTCTCCCAGTAGGTTCGTGGTGTCTCTGGTCTCAGGAGTGAAGCTGCAGACCTTTGCAGTGAGTGTTACAGCTCATAAATGCAGTGCGGACCGAAAGAGTGAGCAACAGCAAGATTTATTGCAAAGAGTGAAAGAACAAAGCTTCCACACTGTGGAAGTGTACCCAGTTGCTGCTGCTGGCCCGAGCAGCCTGCTTTTATTCCGTTATCTGGCCCCACCCACATCCTGCTGATTGGTCCATTTTACAGAGAGCTGATTGGCCCATTTTACAGAGAGCTGATTGGTCCATTCTACAGAGAGCTGGTTGGTCCATTTTGACAGGGGGATGATTGGTGCGTTTACAATCCCTGAGCTAGACACAGAGTGCTGACTGGTGCATTTACAATCCTTTAGCTAGACACAAAAGTTCTCCTAGCCCCCACCAGATTAGCTAGATAAGTGCTGATTGGTGCATCAACAAACCTGGAGCTAGACACAGAATGCTGACTGGTGCATATATAATCCTGCAGCTAGACATAAAAGTTCTCCAAGGCCCTATTTAACTCAGGATCCCAGCTGACTTACCCTTGTGGATCCTGTGCTGGGGCCATGGGCGGAGCTGCCTGCCAATCCCGTGCCTTGTGCCTGCACTCCTCAGCCCTTGGGCGGTCGATGGGACTGGGCGCCATGGAGCAGGGGGCGGTGCCTGTTGGGGAGGCTCCCGCCTCGCGAGAGCCCCACAGCGGGGGGCGGGGCTCAGGCATGGCAGGCTGCAGGTCCGGGCGGGAGGCGGCTGAGGCCTGGCGAGAATTCCAGCGTGGCAGGTGTGGACCGGCAGTGCTGGGGGACCCAGCGCACCCTCCACAGCTGCTGGCCGGGTGCTAACCTCCTCACTGCCCAGGGCTGGCCGCAGCAGCCGGCTGTTCCGAGTGTGGGGCCTGCTGAGCCCACATCCACCCGGAACTCGCGCTGGCCCGCGAGTGCCCTGCGCCCGCGCCTCTTCCTCCACACCTCCCCGCAAGCAGAGGGAGCCGGCTCCAGCCTCAGCCAGTCCAGAGAGGGGCTCACACAGTGCAGGGACTGGCCAAAGGGCTCCTCAAGTACGGCCAGAGTGGACGCTGAGGCTGAGGAGGCGCCGAGAGCTAGCCAGGTCTGCTAGCACGTTGTCACCTCTCAGTAGGAACTGGGCTTCTAGTTCCATTACCCAAATAGTGAACATTATACCTGATTGGTAAGTTGTCCACCCTCTCTCCCTCTACCCCCCCCCCACCCACTTTTGGAGTGCCAGGTGTCTATTATTTCTATGATTATGTACATGTGTACCCATTGTTTAGCTCCCACTTCTAAGTGAGAACAAGGGCATATTTATCTTTGAAAATGGACTAAAATTTTTACACTATTTGTTGGAGGGAGGATATAGACTGAGATTGACTCTTTTGAAATGTAATTCACTTAATAACTGTGTGTGCAAAAACTGTTAGAAACATGACTTTTTGTGGAGCGGTGATAGTTTTTATGGTCTTAGGGGACCCCTGTGATGCAATGAAAAGAAACTTAGATTTAACCCAAGAATTCGAGACCAAAAAGATGTCACCATAAACAAGTCATTTGAGACCATTTTGTCATGATTTGTGAAACGGGGTCATTGCAGCTCTTACATTCTATACAGTGTTTTGACTTTTGGCTACTTTGAAGAAATCACAATATTTCAACCTATAAAGGACTCTTCTATGCTTCTGATTATAGTGGAAGTTGATCCTTTGCAATGAAATTAACCTGATGACCTGTATGGCTCTGGTAGTTTGAAGGATATGAGCAAAAGGGATGATACCTGGAGGGTCCACCCAGACAGTTGGACAATGTCCTTTGGAGGACATTATTGTGACTGGCCACAGCCACGATCCTCAGCTTTGTTTGCTCAGAAACTAAAGTTTTGCCAACATTCTTAGAGAATATCCATTTCTCCTGAAATAGACTCATATCTAGCAACTCTCAAGACAATGATATAGAAACCAAAATGTCAATTTATAAATTTATGATTTAAAATACAACTGTCAAGGACATAGGACATTTATGTCAGTTAGACATATCTTTCTGGAAGACGTCTATATACGTGAGCAGAAGTCAAAAAATGGCCAGATGATCACGGCAGGACAGACTAAGAGCATTGTAATCTTGCAGTCAGATGCACCCATCTCTGTTTTATGGTTATTTCTACTTGGGGGCACAGAATATTGCACTAGTTGCCCAGGGCATCCAGTGCTTGGATGTGCTGGATACATATTGACAAATCTCCCAATTTCCTATTTGGATGGCAGAACGTCTCCTTTCTCTTGCTATATCCTGCCTTTAGGTGTAGTCGTACCTTCATTTTGGCTCTGGTCAGCTCTGTCCTGTACTAGAAAAAAGTGCTGTTCGAGAGGATTTCTGCAGTTGTCTGCTCTCACTCATTTTTGTACGGCTGATGCTTTTCTAATTCACTGAGTTCTGAGCATGCCTTTTGTTCCCCTTGCCTGTGTTCCATCCACATCGTACTGCAGGATTCTGTTTACTGTATGTATGTATGTACATTTTGGCAGTAACAAAAGGAATTCTCTTCAGGATCTGCATTCCCAAAGCATGAGTTATCTCCCAGCCTAAATGCTGAGGGAGGGGATGGGAAATTAGATGGAAGGGGATGAAGGGAAGTCTGAGGGGAGTGGCTACTCCCAAAGACAGATAATTTGTCTTTGCTTTGTCCTTGCTGGGCTCAAACCTTGAAGGATGGATGTTTGGTATTTACTTAACACTTGCAGTAGTCTTGGACTCTCTTTTTGCAGACCTTGAATATTTACCCCCTCAGGGAAAACTTGATTCTCAAGAGTAAAATGAATTATCTATTTAGCTAATTAGCTAGAACATAGCAAAATTCTCAGGAGGATCATCCCATCTGAGGATTGATACAATGTATGCTTGTATTTGCAGAGCCTATCTCTTTTCATTTTCTGGCCTGCCCGTCCTATCGCTCATGCTTCACAGAGAAGGGAAAATTGTCCAGTAAGCAAAACCTCTTTTTCTTTCCTGCACTTTTCTGCCTTGCTTCTCTTGCTGTGCCTCGTAACTTCTGATGCTCATGGGTGACCTAAGGCACTTGATCTTTGCATTTTCCTGCTCTACAGATTACCCATTTCAGGAGGTGCAATGTGCTTACCCCACAACACTCACCAAGACTGACATTCTCTGTACACTCTTCTTCTCAGATGCCACAATCTGCAATCAGTGAACATACCAATATCTTGAAGAGTAGAAGAGTAGCTACCAGGGGCAGGGAGATGGAGTGGAGGTTGGAGATGTTGGTGAAAGGATACAAAATTAATTGGGAGAAATAAGTTAAATCTATTGTATAACAAGATGACTTAGTTAATGCATTGTGTTCTTGGAAATTGCTGAGAGTAGATTTTAAGTGTTCTCATCATGAAAAATGAAAAGTGTAATGGAATGCATATGTTAATCAGCTTGATTTAGCCATTCCACAATGTATACATATATCAAAATGTGTTGTATACCATAAATAGATACAGTTTTTATTCATCAATTTAAAAAAGAGAAATAGTGTACAAAACTACACTGCATGGGTCCTGCCTGATGCATTGTTTACTCAGAAAGTGGCATTTCCTTCTCTCCCCGAAAACAGCCAGAGACATAGCCTAATGGAGTAGTTAAGAACATGAACTTAGAGTAAGACTGCCTGGGTTCAACTCCTGGTCTCCCCACTTTGGGGCTAGTAAGCAAGGGCAAGGTAATTATTAATAATCTTTCTGTCCCTCAGTTTCTTCATCTGTAAAATAGAGGCAATAATAGCATTTACTCCGGGGATTAATGAGGAAGAGCAAGGACAAGAGGCAGGAGATGCTAAGAGCAGAGAGTGGAGGATTGGAGGCTAGGGGCTGGTTATACACGTCTCACCTAGTAGGGGCCTTTTGAAGATAGACTTCAAGAAGCTGAGGGTACAAACATCTGAGGAAAAGCTTCCAGAAAGAGGGAAGCACCAGAAGAAAGTCTCTGAGTTGGGATCTGGCTTGACATGGCCCAGGGACAGCAAGGGAGCCCCTGTGGCTCAAGTGGCGTGGGTAAGGGGGAAGAGTATGAGTGAGCAGTGAGAGGTCACCAGTGGGAGAGAGGAAACCTGGATGATGAGATTCCAGAGGACCAGGCAGACCTTTAACAACAATGGCCTCTACTTTGAAATAGGAGCTTTTGGAGGGTTTTGTGCAGAGGAGGGACAGAATTTGATGTACATTCTAAGTGGATCTCTGGCTGCTCCCTTGGGAAGAGATTTGGGGAGTGTGTTAGTTTGCTATGGCTGCCATTACAAAGTACGAAAGAGTAGGTGGCTTAAACCACAGAAATTAATTTTCTCACAGTGCTGGAGGTTGGAAGTTCAAGATCAAGGTGCTGGCAGGATTGGTGTCTGGTGAAGGCTTTCTCCTTGGCTTGCACAGAGGAAAGGCTGTGAGTGGCTGCCTTCTCCCTGTGTCTTTCCATGGCATTTCCGCTGTTCTTGTGCATCCTGGTATCACTTCTTCTTTTTTTAAGGACAGCAGTTTTATTAGGTTAGAGCCTCACTCCCCTTTTTTTTTTTTTTTTTTAAGACAGAATTTCGCTCTGTCGCCCAGGCTGGAGTGCAGTGGCATGATCTCGGCTCACTGCAAGCTCCGCCTCCCAGGTTCATGCCATTCTCCTGCCTCAGCCTCCCAAGTAGCTGGGACTACAGGCGCCTGCCACCACGCCTGGCTAATTTTTTGTATTTGTAGTAGAAACAGGGTTTCACTGTGTTAGCCAGGGTGGTCTTGATCTCCTGACCTCATGATCCGCCTGCCTCGGCCTCCCAAAGTGCTGGGAGGCGTGAGCCACTGCACCCGGCCCAGAACCTCACTCTTATGACCTTATTTCACCTTAATTAACTCCTTAAAGGGCATATTTCCCAATATAATTACATTGGGGGTTAAGGTGTCAACCATATACATTTCTGGGAGATCCAGTTTAATCTACAACAGGTAGTATATTGGTTAATTTTATATGTCAGCTTGGCTTGGCTATGGTGCCCAGATGTCTGGTCAAACACTAGTGTAGATGTTGCTGTAAAGGTGTACTTTAGATGTGACTAACATTTAAATTAGTAGACTTTGAGTAAAGTAGGTGACCCTCCATAATGCAGATGGGAATTGCCCAATTAGTTGAAGGCCTTAAGAGAGAAAGACTAAGGTCTCTGAAGGCATTCTGCCTCCAGGCTGGCTTTGGATTTGGGCTGCAACATCAACATTTCCCTGCAAATTTTGGACATAATCATGTGAACTGATTTCTTAAAATAAATCTCTAATATTATATCTAGATTTTTATTAAATGATCATAACGTTTAATTCCATATTATAATATCACAGTGTGCATATTATATTATCGATTGGGTTATTTACATCTGTCATAGAAGGCATTTTATATTCTACAAATGAACTGGGATCCCACATGAGAGAAACAAAATGGGCAGTTTTTCTAAGCATGGCATGTATAGGCTTATGTTTTGTTGTGAACTTGGTCCCTTCTGCAAGGTTTTAAAGGCACATAATATTCAGCAGACTGTGATTATAGCTGACCGAGAACCACACACTGGGCTCTTAGTAGCTTCTCAATGCATATTTCATAAATACATAAGTGTGAGGGCCATGGCTGGTTAGAAAGGAAGCTTTAGGGGCCCTCAGTGTAATGAAAGCTGCCAGTGAAGCATCTTTAGCCCATTGCATGCTCTCTCCTTGGGGCAGTGGAGGGTTTGCGTCTTTTATAGTTTTAGGTCCTCAAGGTGCATCACTCATCCTCTCTCTGATGCCTGTATTCATGGTAAGTTTATTCTTCAGGAAATTGTTTTTCAAAAAGCCTCATACTGTGATGGTTAATATTGAGTGTCAACTTGATTGGATTGAAGGATGCAAAGTATTGTTCCTGGGTGTGTCTGTGAGGGTGTTGCCAAAGGAGATTAACATTTGAGTCCGTGGACTGGGAGAGACAGAGCCAGCCTCAGTCTAGGTGGGCGCCATCTCATCAGCTGCCAGCTCCCCTTGAATAAATCAGGCAGGAGAAGATGGGAAAGCAGACTTGCTGAGTCTTCCAGCATTCATCTTCCTTCCATGCTGGATGCTTCCTGCCCTTGAACATCAAACTTCAATTTCTTCAGCTTTTGGACATTTGGACTTACACCAGTGGTTTTGCCAGGGCTTCTCAGGCCTTTGGCCACAGGCTGAAGGCTGCACTGTTGGCTTCCCTAATTTTGAGGTTTTGAGACTCCGACTGATCCACCACTAGTTTCCTTGCTCCTCGACTTGCAGACGGCCTATCGTGGGACTTCACCTTGTGATCGTGTGAGTCAATTCTCCTTAACACACTCCCTTTCATATGTACATATATCTTATTAGTTCTGTTTTACTAGAGAGCCCTAATACATATACCTTAGTTATTTTGAGGAAGGAGACAGAACCCAAGATTTATTATTTTTAGTAGTGAGACTTTGGACAGGTAGCCTAACCTCTTACACTGAATTTCTTCATTTGTAAAATCGGGATGACATAGAGACAGAATGCAAATTTGTTGTTGCCATGGGCTGGATGAAGGGAAGAGTGAGCAGTTAAGAATTAACTGCTTAATGGGTATGACATTTCCTTTTGGGACAATGAAAACATTTGGGAACTAGATAGAGGTGGTGGTTGCACAGCATTGTAATTATACTAATTCACTTTAAAATGGTGAATTTTATGTCAGGTGAATTTTACCTCAATAAAATAAGTAGATGATAATAGTACTCAGTTTATAGGGTTATGAGACTTATGGATGTTAAATACTTAGCATATGCCTAATACTCAGCACATGGTAACCAATCGAAGAATGTTGGTCTCTTCTTTCTCCTCCTCTTCTTCATTGCCACTGTTGTCATTGTCATAACCATTCTGGAACCAACTTCTTTTTAAATAAAAGTGCTAACCTTCATCTATTGTCACTCAAAGGGCAATACTGGGATATAAGGCTGGAAATAAGGCTGGGACTATGTTATGCCTACCTGAGAGAGGGAGAGAATGTACGTAGTACAGCAAGGGACCACTAAAGATACTTGCATAGAAGATCAAAGGGAGTCAAGCTGTGCTTTCAGCCAATTAGCCTGGCAGCCATGGGTCTAGTGGTTTGAAGTGGAAGAGGCTGAAAGAGGGGGACACAGTTAGCAGGTTACTCTCAACAGGGTCGTTAGATTTCCCTTTCTTATTTCCTCCTCAGTCACCTTGGATTTGGCTGGCTACATAGCAAACGCTTAATAAATACTTGTAGATTAGTTATTTTACACTTGTTTAATGCCCTTCTTTGAAGTACTTCCAGTTGAGATTACTTCTACAAATCATATAATACAAGATAAAATACCCTATATATCTGTCAGTTTTCTCTAAGACTGTTTTCTAAGTATTATATGTGCTTGGTTCATGGGCTGGGTATTCAGTTGCTGAAAAAATAGAAATCACTCCATTAGTCATGCCTCTGCAAATTTCACATTTTATATTCCAAGTCTGTGGTAGGTGATATTTAAAGCATTTTTTTTTGTTTGTTTGTTTGTTTTTTTTTTTTTGCTTGCTGTTGTATCACTACAACTGTATATTGCTTGTGGACATTTTGATCTCAGATCTCAAGAAAATGATGATGTTCCATTTGTTATCACTTTAAGGGAAGCACAAAAAGACCTTAAAGTGAAAAACACAGCTTAATTAGCACGTTGGTGATTTATGTTACCCAGTGTGAAATCTCCATTAGTACCAAAAGAAGGATTTTTAAAAAGGCATCTTCTGAATTTTTAAATTATTTTTGGTCTTATTTAGAATTCACAATCTTATTTCCATGTCTCTAATCTGCAAATCCCAAAATGTAACATCATTGTCTCAAAGTTATTGCATTTCACAATATCATGCAAAGGAACACAGCTGCTTATTGTTTAATCACCGAGGACAAATGTCCTCTGTACCATTTTATATGCAGGTTTATACCTTGATTTATGTAATGCAAAAGCTCTTAAACATCATAGAGTTTTAGAATTTGAAGGGACTGCTAAAATTTTCTAGTTATTCTTGTACTATATATTGTTGAGAAAATCCTAATAGAAACACTTAAAAAATTTATATCAATTCATATTTTATTTAACACATTATCTACATATATTATAAATATTTGAGCATCTTTGTACTAGACTGAACAGTCAACCTATAGACTGTACATATCAGATACAGCTCTTTCAGTTACCAAAACTTAGAATCTGGTTTAAGAAACGGGGAAATTTATTTCCTCAAGTGACTGAAAAGTCCAAGAACAACTCTTCAAATTAGCAGGACCCGGAGGCTCCAAGGGATGTTTCTTTTCCATCTCGTGGCTCAGCTTTTATGTGGATTTTCAACTCCTAGGCTCTCTCTGTGTGGCTGTTACCTGATCCGGGCTTAAATCCTTTAGGTTCAAGACCAGAGAAAAGGGAAAAACTTCCTGTCACTTCTCCAGCCAATCGTTGGCTTACCTCTGATTAGACAGTTTGAGTCAGGAGTCCATCTTTAGAGCAATCACTGTGACTTTAGTTTTAGAAAAGAGTGATTGACCTGTAAAAGGGTTTGTGTCCGTACTTGAACTCGGAGCCCATTGAAATCATGTGCACTGAGTGTGAACAGAATGGTTTTTCCAGAGAATGTGGAGTGGCTGTTGGAAGATAGGTGTAAGGTAGGCAAAACCATTGTATGGCTGTGAGACAGTCACAAGTGGATTCCAGGATATCTTCTGGTAATAACAGAATGGGAAGGAGAAGATGTAAGGAAGAACCCTCCCCCAAAAGACTGTCTAAGTCTATGGATTAGCACCCCTGTTTATAATTCAACTTTTTCATGAAGATGTAACCTCAGAAAAACTAAGTGGCATGCCCATGGAATCACAGTTAGAAAAGTAGAGGCAGTTTAACACCATTCTGATTATCCTCCAACAGAGAAGGACATTTCTTAGGTTATTCATATATATGATTAAAAATAAATTGTAAATTTTTGAAAGTGATAGTTTTGCCTAATTTCAAAAATTTGCATAATTAAAAAACCACAAAAATAAAGTAAGCAAATACTCTTATTCTCTCTCTCTCTCTGTGTGTGTATAATGAGAACTGTCATAAAAATTCTGTTGAATTATTTTGATTTAATTCTATAAAAGGAAAACTTAATGCTATTCCTATTTAATCAGAGTCTCTGATAATGTCATTTTTTTTTCTTTTTTAAAATACTTTCAACTTTTATCTTAGATTGAGAGGGCACATGTGCATATTTGTTACATGGGTGTATTGTGTGACGCTAAGGTTTGAGATATAAATGATTCTATCACACAGGTACTGATAGCATAGTACCTGATAGGTACTTTTTAAGCCCTTGCCCCTCTCTCCCTTCCCTCTTCTAGTAGCCACCAATGTCTACTGTTCCCATCTTTATGTCCATAAGTACTCAGTGTTTAGCTTGCCGTTATAAGTGAGAACATGTGGTATTTGGTTTTCTGTTTCTGTGTTAATTTGCTTAGGATGATGGCCTCCAGCTACATCCAACTTGTAGCAAAGGACATAATTTCATTATTTTTTATGGCTATATAGCATTCATGGTTCATATGTACCACATTTTCTTTATTCAATGCACTGTGGATGAGCACCTGGGTTGATTCTGTCCCTTTACTATTGTGAGTAGTACTGTGATGAACATATGACTTCATGTGTCTTTTTGGTAGAATGATTTATTTTCCTTAGGGTACATGCTCAGTAATGGGATTGCTGAGTTGAATGGTAGTTCTGTTTTTAGTTCTTTGTGAAACCTCCAAACTGCTTTCCACAATTGCTGGACTAATTTACATTACATTTCCACCAACAGTGTACGAGCGTTCCCTTTTCCCCACAGCCTCACCAACTTCTGTTATTTTATGACTTTTTACTAATAGCCATTATGACTGGTGTGAGAGGGTATTTCATTGTGGTTTTGATTTGCATTTCTCTGATGATTAGTGACTTGGTTTGGCTGTGTCCCTACCCAAATCTCAGCTTGAATTGTAGTTCCCATAACTCCCATGCGTTGTGGGTGCGACTCAGTGGGAGGTAATTGAATCATGGGGGTGGTTACCTGCATGCTGTTCTTGTGATAGTGAGTGAGTTCTCACAAGATCTGATGGTTTTATAAATAGTTTTTCTCCCCCACCTCCCTCTGTACTTCTCCTTGCTGCGTTCATCCGGAGAAAGATGTGTTTACTTCCCCTTCTGCTGTGATTGCAAATTTCCTGAGACCTCCCCAGCCATGCTGAACTGTGAGTCAGTTAAACCTCTTTCCTTTATAAATCACCCAGTCTTGGGTATGTCTTTATTAGTAGTGTGAGAACAGTCTAATACAATTGGTGATACTGAGCATTTTTTGTATGTTTGTTGGCCTCTTGTATGTATTCTTTTGTGGAGTGTCTGTTCATGTCCTTTGCCCACTTTTTTTTTCTTTTTTTGAGGCAGAGTCTTGCTCTGTCACCCAGGCTGGAGTGTAGTGATGCTACCTCAGCTCACTGCAGCCTCGGCCTCCTAGGTTCAACTGATTCTCCTGCCTCAGCCTCCTGAGTAGCTGGGATTACAGGTGTGTGCCACAATGCCCGGCTAATTTTTTTGTATTTTTAGTAGAGACGGGGTTTCACCGTGTTAGCCAGGATGGTCTTGATTTCCTGACCACGTGATCTGTCTGCGTCGGCCTCCCAAAGTGCTGGGATTACAGGCATGAGCCACCGCGCCCAGCCCTTTGCCAACTTTGTAATAGGGTCATTTGTTTTTTTGCTTGTTGAGTTGTTTAAGTTTCTTATAGATTCTGGATGTTCGACCTTTTGTCTGATGCATAGTTTGTGAATATTTTTCTCATTCTGTAAGTTGTCTGATTATGCTATCGAGTAAGCAGAGTTTTGCACATTGTTGTACAAAAGCCCTTTAGCTTAATTAGAGCCAATTTGTCAATTTTTGTTTTAGTTGTAATTGTTCATGAGGATTTAGTCATACATTCTTCATCAAAGCTGATGTCCAGGATAGTATTTCCCAGAATGGTATTTCTTCTAGGATATTTATAGTTTGAAGTCTTACATTTAAATCTCTAATTCATCTTGAGTTAATTTTTGTGTATTTTGAAAGGGTAAGGGTTAAGTTTCATTCTTCTGCATATGACTGGCCAGTTATCCCAGCACCATTTATTGACTAGAGAGCCCTTTCCCCTTTCTTATTTTTGTTTACTTTGTCAAAGATCAGCTGATTGTAGGTGTGCGTGCAGCTTTATTTCTGAGTTCTCTAATCTGTTCCATTGGTTTATATATCTGTTTTTGTACTAGTGCCATGCTGTTTTTGTTACTGTAGACTACAGTTTGAAGTTGGATAATGTGATGCCTCCAGCTTTGTTCCTTTTTCTTAGGATTCCTTTGGCTGTTTGGATTCTTTTTTGGTTCCATAGGAATTTTGGAATAGTTTTTTCTAATTCTGTGGAAAATGATGTTGGTAGTTTGAGAGGAATAGCATTGAATCTGTAGATTGCTTTGGAAAGTATGTTCATTTTTATGATATTAATTCTCACAATTCATGAGCATGGAATGTTTTTCCATTTTTTCATGTAATCTCTAACTTCTTTAAGCAGTGTTTTATAGTTTCCTTGTCGAGATCTTCACCTTAATTGGTTACATGTATTCCTAGGTATTTTATTCTTTTTGTGGCTATTTTAAATGAGGTTATGTCCTTGATTTGGCTCTGAGCTTGAACATTATTGGTGTATAAAAATGCTACTGATTTTGTATGTTGATTTTTTTATCTTGGAACTTCATTGAAGTTGTTTATCAGTTCTAGGAGCCTTTTGGCAGAGTGTTTAGGGTTTTCTAGGTATAGAATCATATCATCAGCAAAGAGAGATAATTTGACTTCTTCTCATCCCATTTGGATGTCTTTTATTTCTTCTTGTTGCCTGATTGCTCTGGCTAAGACTTACAGAATTATGTTGCACAGACGTGTTGAGATTTGGCATCCTTGTCTTGTTCCAGTCCTTAAGGGGAATGGTTTCAGCTTTTGCCCATTCAGTATGATGTTGCCTGTGGGGTTGTCATAGATAGTTTTTATGATTTTGAGGTCTGTTCCTTCAATGCCTAGTCTGTTGAGGGTTTTTATCATGAAGGGATATTGGATTTTATCAAACGCTTTCTCTGTGTCTACTGAGATGATCATATAGATTTTGTTTTTAATTCTGTTTATGTGGTGAATCACATTTATGGATTTGCATATGTTGAAGCAACCTTGCATCCCAGAAATAAAGTCACTTGATCGTGGTGAAGTAACTTTTTGATGTGCTGCTGGATTTGGATTGCTAGTATTTTACTGAGGAGTTTTGCTTCTATATTCATCTGGGATATTGGCTTGTAGTTGTCTTTTTTTGTTGTACCTTTGCCAGGTATTGGTAGCAAATTGATGCTGGCTTCATAGAATGAGTTAGGGAGGACATGAAGAGGCCTCCACCCCATGATGACATTTTTAATGCACAAAATTTTCACTGAGTTGTTTTGACAATTTAGGTTGCATGTGTGGAAAGCTACATTTGCAAATTCTTTGATGATCTACAACCTGAATTACATTATTTACATAAAAGCCATTCGTTTTAGTGTAAGGGACTTCTTGCAGGCTTTTCCAGAGCCCTGTAATTTGCTTTCCTTCACTGACTGGCTGTCACTCTTCTGTGTGGCAGGTTCCCAATGGGCTGCCTCTTTTGGGTGCTCATAGTACAGCCCTCTTCACACTTGCCCTACACAGTCTGCTGGCCCAGAATCATGGCTCAGTTTTGACCTCTGCCTGTCAGCTTCAACCCACAGTTGGCAAGCCACCCACCCTGTCTCCCCTTGCTACAGGGTCCCCTCGCTCATTGAGTGGCTCTTTTGGGAGTGCTTAAATCCATCTGTACACTGACATCTGATTGACATATAGGAAAATCTCCATATGCTTGCCATGGTTAATTGTGGGGGTGCAGTCTGCCCCATACCACTGCCTGCCTTACCTCTGCTGCCCAACTCCTGCATTTCGCCCTACATATTTGCAGCATTAAGCACTCTGAAGATCCCATTGCTCAGCCCTTCAGGCAAGAAATGATCACCAGTCCCTGACTTAGTGGAGGTGGGGAGAACATTTGGGTCCCCTCAATATTATAGAAGGCAGTGGTGGAGAAGTCCAAGAAGAAAGGATGTCAGCTGCTCCAAAAAACTGTTATAAGGTGACCTCTCTACGCCTCTTATTCTAGCCAGATCTACTGAGCTGGATGGAGGTTGAGGTGGTGATCATGGTGGTGAGTGTTGAACAAAGCTCCCAAATGAAGCAAGCTCTGTGGGGAAGTGCCTGCCTTTGACTCCTGACAGTTCTCTAAACTTAGGAAGTGCAGGAGTCAGTGCCTTTTTGGTCTTAACTATGATTGCTGCAAAAATAAGATTCCACCTTGCCCCTAACCCCATCCTACCATACAAGTCCTGTGTAGATGAAGCAAGCAGGTCTAAAACCTCTTAAAGTGATGATAATTTTATCAAATAAACTGACTTTACTCTCTGCCTGCCAAGTTTTCCCTTCAGAATTGTACCCATTTGTCAATCTGTCCAAAAATGTGGTATTTTAAGTGATGTTTTTCCTTCTGATTTAATGCAGTAAATATAAATTTGTGACTATAACCTATGAGCCAAGTGCTGGGCTAGGTTCTAGAGATTCAAATAACACCAAACAACATAAGGGTCCATCTATTGGGCTTTCTCTCAGGCCTTGTACTCATGTTATATGAATGTTATTGCTAATTCTTAAATCTGAACTGCAAGATGAGTATTTTTCGTGTTTTTATGATATGACAGTGGAAGCATAGAGAGGTTTCATAACTTTCTGAAGGTTTTATATCCAACAAATTTGGAAGTCAGAGCCTATTTCCACTATATTTACTATAATATTTCTTAAGAAATTGGAATAAAGACATAGCTCTTGCCTTCAAGGCGCTCACCATCTAGTGAATTTATTAGTGAGTACCCAACCAAAAATAACAGAAACCTGATTGTGATACTGTAGTCCTTGAAGTGGTTAACAAAGGAAATGAAAGTCTAAGAGATTCCAGCTCAGTTGTCAAGGGTAATTTCCCAGAGGGGGTCTCAAATAGGAGTGTTTATTCTATCTTTGGATTCCTAGATGATGAATCTGAGAACAGAATTGAGTGTATGTGATAGATAGGCTGGATGTGTAGAGGCAAGCTGAAATGGACGGCTGCTTCACTACAGCCCCACTTAGGAGTGGCCCTAGAAAAAGCCATGTGAAGACAGGGAAATCCATCCAACTGGCAGAGCTTTGGGTGGTCTACCTGGTCATCTGCTTGGTGTGAAAAGAGAAGTGGCCTGAAGTAAAGTATATGCAGGCTCATGAACAGTGATAAAGGGTTTGGCTGGTTAGTCAGACATCAGGAAGGAGAAGTCTTTGCTTCTGCTGGCAGTCAAGGGGTCCCTTTGTTCCTGAAATATCAGCTCTTTCCCAAAGAGTTTTGTCTCAAGATGCAGTCTCAGACTCATCTTCCTTTTCTTGTTACTATTTCAAGGGTCATCATGAAACTTTAGTATTTCAATCTCAGGCTAATCCCAGTGGTAGGTCAAGCCTGGATTGCTACTTTTTTTATTCTTCCTGTTGCTCTAATTCTGACTCTATTTGTATGGCCCTACTATTGGCATTTTGGACTAGGTTCTGGGCATTCCAGCCTGTGTCCTGGGAACTCCCACAGTGGCCGTCACAGTTCCTACAGCCGCTTCTTTCTGCTCAGTTCTCCTTTGTGTATATGAGAGAGTGTGGGTGTGTTCTTCGGATCTCCTTTGAAGCTAGCAATGCAATGTGTGTTCAAGAATGTATCATTTCCAGGTTAACTGTGGTGTAGGAAGCTTCTTTAAAACACTTAGATATTCGTAATTATGCCCCATTCTGTTTTTGAACCCATTCTATAGGGCCTTTGCACCCACTGCTTCAACAAAGCATCTCTTACAAGAAAACCAATGACCTCTAATTGCCCAATAAAATGGTGATTCCTGAGTCCTTGTCTTACTTTATCTGTAGGAAGCAACTGACTTAGTTGTTCCCCTTTTCCTTGAAATACTTTCTTCCTTTGGCCTCCAAGGCACAATTTATTCTCTCTTAATTCTCCTCTTGCTTCACAGGCAGCTTCTTCTCAGCTTCTTTAGCCTATCTCTCTCTTCTTGACCTCCAAACACTGAACTACATCAGGATTCAGTCTCCAGAAATTTTCTTTATCCATGTTCACTCCCAAGATAATCTCAGCCAGTCTCATGGCTTTAGGTAACTCTGTAAGCTGATGATTCTCTTTTCTATAACTCCATCAAAAACTCTTCCCTGAACTCCAGACTTGTACATTCAACTTCCTACCCAACGTTTATACTTGGAGTCCTAGTAAACATCTCAAATTGTAACATGTTCTCAAGGAATTTGAAGAATTGTCTCATAGTCTTCTCTGCCCAAATAAATGATACTTCTAGTTGCTCAGGCTAAGAATCATGGAGCTATTACTGACTCTTTACTTTATATCATACACATCAGTTTCTCCTAAATCTGTCCAGAATCCTGACTATCTCCATTAGTACTACACTTCCACTTCACCATCATCTTTTGTTTGGACTATTGAAATAGAATCCTAACTAATCTACCTGTTCTATATTTGCTTCCTAGTTGTCCAGTCTTTGCATGGCAGCCAAGTTAGATCATGTTTTTTCTCTTCTCACAACACTTCTAATGGCTTTTCATTGCACTCTGAGAATCAGATCCAAAATCATTGCTGTGGCCTACAAGACCCTTAACTGATCTAGTCCTCACTACCTCTCTCCCACCTGCTGTTTCATTCTTCCTCTGCTCATTTAAATCTAACCTGGGATTCTTGTTGTTCTTGTACATGTCAAAAATGCTTCTTACCTGAGGGTCTTTGCATTTTCTGTTTCCTCTGCCTGGAATGCTCTTACCACATATTCTCAGGATTTGTTCCTTTTATTTATTTTTTATAACTTTTATCTCAAATGTCATTTTATCAGCAAGGTCTTTCTTGAACATTTCATGTAAAGTAACATCTTCTGACAATCTTAGTTCTTACCCCAATTTCTTTTTTCTTTATATCATCTATCACCACCTGATATATACATATCTGTACTTGTTTATTGAGTTTTCTCCCACGGACTTTTCCTGTTTGGTTAATTGCTATACTCCTGCAGTCAGGGCGACACCTGACAATTGGTAGCTCTTAGTAAATACTTGTTGACTTAATAAGTGAATGACAGATGAATAAATTAAGGGTGGATATAGTAAAATTGAGACAAAACACAGAAACTTATTTCAAAGTTTCTGTTGACTGGTTTTAACCAAATGCAAATTTCAAATCCCTGACAGAAAAGCCAGCTCCTCTCTTAATTTTGACACAATAGTTTTGACTGTTTCCATTTTCGTAAGGAATAACTAGGGAGCTGTACAAATGATGAGAAGCCCTGTGGGCATTTGGTACCATACATCATTTCTTCTTTGCTGCTAGGGCTGTTATTGCATTCCACATTTTTACTCCCACACGCTCATGTGATGGAAGCTACAAGGCCAGACTAGGTAACTGGTAAGATCTCCTTTTGCTCTAAAATGTATACCCTGTGCATTTCTTTTCCTTCCATTCCACTCTGTGTGCATTTAGTGCAGACATTGTTCCTTTTCGCCTCATCTGTATTGTTTGCCTGCTCATAACTTGCAGATGAAGCTATTGTGGGACATGATTTGGAAGACTGATCTTGACTATGTCTTTCAAATGTCAGTTAATGGTGGCTGTAGAGGCTGCTAATTTAGGAATATGATTCGGATAGTGTGGATGATGCACCTGTTGTTCAGACTAAGGCTCTGCTTGAGGCTATCAGTTTTCATCTGTAGAGCCGTGTGGAGTTTAGGGCTCCGAAGGCCATTAAAAATGGCTGCTTTCCGTTTAGTCAAAGAGATTTGCAGAGGTGATTTTTCAGTTAGTCTCTGAGGTTGTTGACAGAAAACAAGGGGACAGGGCTCTTTCTGTAAACATTTCTCACCAGAATTTTTAGCCTCTCATTCCTGGCATAAGATTTTTGTTACATTTTTGCCTAAAATCAATACACTTAGATTTCTCTGGGTCTAATAGAATTATGTGTGTGTTTGGTTTGTGTTTTTGTGTGTGTGTGCGTTGTGTTGTTTTTTCCCTTTTAATTTACATAGCGTGGGAGAAAGAAGATTTTTATGGCTGGGATGACAGAATGTTTGGGTTGAGCACATGTCCAGCAAAGAAAAGGAAAGAAAAAAAAATATAAGCCCTAACTTAGAAGGAGAAAGTTTATTTAGAAATAGAATTAACCTGTCTTGAACATGATAAATGCCATACTTTTCAAAGGTTTGTTATAGAATTGATTTCTTTCCATATGTTTCTAGTGGTTTAATTTGATTGGCAGAAGAAAATGTTGCCATTTGATATAGGAGAAGTTATTTTTAATGCACAGGACTGTAGGTGTGAATTTTATTTGTGTTAATAATGTTGAATAAACGCATTTATGTGTTGGGTTTATTTCTGGCTACTGTGCTACTACATAATTTGATTGTTCAGTTTTCAGACATGGATTTAAATCTTTACACAGCTGGGAATTAGCTAGTCACATTGTATTTGCTTCTGCTTATGGAATCAGGAAAATGACCGAACTAAGGAAGAGGAGCTATTTCAAGGTTTTCTTATCTTTCTTTAAAGTACAAAAATATTTTCTGTAGGAACTTCTTAATGAGAAGCAACTTAACTCTTTCCAGAAATGTGTTTGAATAACAAGTCTTCTGACTTTTCTGTTTAATTGCTACATATTGCTAAACAGAAGATGTAATATGTTTTCTATATTTTCTTTAAACCTATTTTTATTCTTTTAAAAGAGATTAAATATAAATTAAAAATTGGCTTTTATTACATTATAAAACTATTATCTTCAATATTTACCCTGACAATTATAATTTTCAATCACTGATCTTCAAGTACTCAAACTTGTGAAATGGTTACAGGGGTAATGCTGTTTCAATAATACTAAATGTGTAGTATTCTTATATACTAAAGTAGACTTAAATTTTTGTAGACTGTAAAATTATTTGATCAAGTTGCATAGCTTCAGTGACAATTCCAGTTAATTCAGGCAGGATTTTAATTTACTATTCTACATCTTAGGCTAAGTGTTGCCCAACTCCAGTGGAGTTAAGACTATGAGGCTTTAGTATACATATACTTCGATTTTGTTTTGAAGTCCTCATAAAATAAGCCACCTTTGGCTCAGGAGTAAGGTAGGCTTTTTTCCTGGCTTATTTTATTACTGATTTGTTCTATGGATCTGTTAGGGTTTAAATGTGTGTGTCTCCCCAACATTCATACGTTGGAATCTAAGATCCAATGTAATGGTATTAAGAAGTGGGCCTTTAGGAGGTGATGAAGGTAGGAGGGCTCCACACTCATGAATGGGGTTAACAACCTTTCAAAAGGGCTGAAGGGAACTACCTAGATCTTTTTTATTTGCCAGTCCTTTCTTCCACTATGTGAGGAAACAGCAAGAAAGCCTTCACTAGACAACAACTACTGGCACCTAGATCTTAGACTTCCTAGATCCAGAACTATAGGAAATAAAGTTATGTTTTCTATAACTTACCTAGTCTTAGGTATTTTGCTATAGCTGCATGAATGGACTAAGATAAGATATGACTGCACGTTTGTCTAATTGGATACCAAAACATGACTAGAGCTTAAATGGTTGGAATTATTCAATCTCAAAGAGTTAGTACTCATGGATAGTAGAGCTAACTCACCAATATTCAGTCCAGCTGATTCTCAACAGGGATGACAAAAATTTAATCAAGAATATCAATCAACAAAAAAATATCTATTGAGTAGATGATCCTGGTGGTATGAAAGTGAACATGAAACCTGTCTCCAAGGAGCATAAAATTAAATTGATGAGAAAATTATATCTAATACTTACCTAATGCTCAAGCATATGAAAAGTTACTTAGCTACATAGTAATACAAACTAATAATAAAATATAACTTAATTGCCAATTGAGGGATATAGGGGATACAACAAATGTCCTGAGTAAATTTGTTTTTTCAAACCTGAGTAAATTTATTCTCTCCCCTGACTTTTTTTTTAATCCCACTTCTTGGGTTAAGGTGGGTTGTTGCATATAAATAAGCAAGAACAGTAAATAGTATCAGTTCACATTTACTGAATGGTTTCTATATGTAGGGCACAGGTTTATTACCTCATTTGAGACTGCTAAATCTCATGCAATTATCCCCATTTCACAGATGAGGAAACTGAGAACAGAATATCTTGTTGAAGGCTGCACATCTGGCAAGCACCAAGACTGAGATTTGAATCTAAGCAGTCAAGGCTTAGTGCCAGTGGTCTTTGCCACTACTCCATCCTGCCCATCCAGCATACCTGATCCTGTGGTGTATCAGAGAGGGAAATCTGACCACAGAGAGCCAGCTTCTTTCTTGCTGCAAGTTTACTTTCACAGGGCTCCAATTAGTACACTGAAAGAGCTCATTTACTAAACGGGCTCTGAGTAATTGGCTAATGGGCTTGGGGTGAGTGGTGTCCTCCAGAGGGCTATTTCCTCGGGCTGACATATCGGGCAGTCAAGCCTGCAGTTGTTTATCCCACTCCAGGATCACACAGCCAAGCACATTAATGCTGCTGGAAAATGATTCTCTATTTAAAACTCAAACTGGGTGAACAGAGCCTGGCTCTAGCTTTCTTTCTTTCTTTTTTTTTTTTCTTCCAACTTTTAGGTTCATGGGGTACATGTGCACGTTTGTCACATCGGTAGATTGTGTGTCATGAGGTTTAGGGTACGAATGATCCTGTCATCCAGGTAGTGAGCATAGTGGCCAATAGGTAGTTTTTCAACTCAGGACTCGGAGCCCAGCAAGGTGGTCCTGGGTGTACTAGGGTGTAAGCTTTTAAGCTGGGGGTGGGGTGGGGAAATAGTTCTCACCTTTCATTTATGGGTGAAAACAATGGGGGCTTGTGTCTGGGTTTTCCCTCAGTTCATGTGCTCTGAAAGAAGCATGCCTCCTGTGAAAGGGGCCAAGTCACTCAGCTTTACCACTCTGTTGTTCTACCACCATTATCCTAGATCCTGCCCAAAGGGGAAACTGTAACATGTAGATCATTTGTCCCAAGTGACACAGTTTATTGCTGCCACCTCTTTGTACCCCATGTGTTTCTTCTATAAAATGGGGCTAACAATAATACCCAATAATACCTACCCTATGGGGTTGTTGCGAGTGTTAAGAGTTGATAAAAATAAGGTACTTAGAAGAATGGCCAGGCCACAATAGGCATTCAACACATATTAGCTATCTCATTATTATTTTTTATTATTATTCTTTGTATCAGATAGTGCAGTGGAAAAAAATGGGCTTTGAAAAGAGTTCAGGTTCTGATTATTCCATTTACTATGATTGGGAGCTTGGGCAAGTCACTTACTCTTTCAGCTTAGAGTTCTCATCCGAAGTGAGAAAAACACCAACTTCACAGGGCTGTTTAAAGGAATAGTCACAAAATAATTAACATCTATCAATTTCATTTGCAAACTGTAAAGCTTCATGTTCATTATCATCATTAATTCCCTAAAACTGGTTCTTCTATTGAATTCTCTTTTGTATTAACCCAATGACACAACTATTAAACTAGGAGTCATCTTAAGCTCTTTTTTCCCATTAGTTGGCCCTTAAGATTTGTTGATATCTCTAGCATCTGGCCACTTCTTCCTATTCCGTTGCAACTTCCTTAAGATAGGGCTTTAGCAGCCTCCTAATTGGCCTCCTGCCTCCAGTCTCTAGTCTGCTGGCAGGATGATTGTTCAAAAGTACAAATTCAGTCTTGCCATTCCCTTTCTTAAAACTCCCTAGTGGTTCCTCATTGCCTTCAGTGTAAAGTTCTGATGTCTTAGCATGGCAAGCAAGGCCTTCCATGCCATGGCTTCCATTAACTTCCTTAGGGTTGCTGATACCTTTTACCTTTGTCACACCAAATTAAATATAGCTCCCAGAATATATCTGTTACGGTTCACTTCATGTGTCCACTTGACTAGGATATGAGATGCCCAGATATTTTGCTAAACGTTATTCTGGGTGTGTCTGTGAGTGTGTTTCTAGACAAGATTCACATTTGAATTGTGGACTGAGTCTAGCAGGTTGCCTCCCCAATGTGGGTGGACCTCATCTAATTTGTCCAAGGCACCCGTAGAATAAAAAGGCTGAGTAAGGGAGAAATTGCTCTTTCCGCCTTACTGTCTCTGAGTTGGCGACATCCATCTTCTCCTGCCTTTGCATTCAGGCTAGACCTTTCCCATCGGCTCCCTCGGGTCTGCAGCTTGCTGACTGCAGATCTTGTGATTTCTCAGCCTCTATAATCACATGAGCGAATTCCTTATTAAAAATCTCTCTCTCCCTCATATATATTTCCTATTGGTTTCATTTCTCTGGAGAACCCTGCTGATACAGTGTCCTTGTCTCTTTCTTGTGCTTTCTGGCCTTTTCCTTCCCATCCTCTTCTACTTACCCTTCAAGATTACTCTAGCATCTTACATCTAGCACCTACTCCAAAGAAACCTTCTCTGGCAGTCCCTTTCAACACCCTGGCTGAGTTAAATGTCCCTCCTCTTTGCTCCCATTGCACCCAGCCCAGTATTTGCTCTGATCTGATCACATGGTACTGTAGCTGCTCCTTTATGCTTCTGTCCCTTTATGGAGGAAACCTTCAGGATTCTACTTATTTCTGGATTCCTAGTGGGTTGGGAAAAAAAACAATAAACATTGATTGAATGAAAAAATAAACATTATAATTAATAAAAAATAAGATTATGTAGTTGCCTTTCAAGAACTATGTCCAAATTGCCAATTTGCTCTACTCAACAAGAAGAGACCCTACTTGAGATTTATTACTAAATAAATGACTTTGAGCAAATGACACAACCTCTCTCTGCATAAGTTTTGTCAACTTGTAAAATGGGACTACAAATAGTATCTGCCTTATAGGACAGTATCTGCCTTCCTTATTTTTGGAAAACCTAAATGAAATATGCATATTAAACTTTTAAATCAATGCTTTGCTGCTTGGTATCCTGTAAACACCCAGTGAATGTGAATTTCTACTGTCTTATTAGCTCCAAAATTGGAGTAAACTTAATCCTTCATTCAAGATAGTTGCTATTAGACGTGGTCAGTGAAATTGGTGGGAGAGCTGGTCTATGGATTCCCTTGACCCCACTGAAGTAGCTCATAATAGAATGCATTTACTAAAATCCAACAAGGTAAATATAAGGTAAAACAATGGAACTCACAGCCTTAAAGAGTCCTGGCATGACCCAGAGGAAAAAAAAATGTTGATCTCCTCTCCCTCTGTCTGATGGTTTTCTCTGCCCTGCAGTTCACAGTGAAATACAAGGTTTTTAATTCCCATGCACATTTTCTAATCTTTCTCCCTTTCTGCTTATGCCTTTTAGGAATATTTTTGTCTTTTTAATATTCAAAACCAGAAAAGAATAACTGATATATAAAAGACAGGGAGGTCAAATAAGGAGAGATGCTAGTTGGCATGTCACTGTCAGTCACATGCTCAGTGCAAGGCACCTGTCTAGAGTTCCTGTGTCACCTCATTTGCCATGGCCACCTGCAGTGCTGTGATCAACAGTCTTTTAAAGCATAAGTACAATAAATAAAATACCAGCGATCCTTTACATCTTAAACTGGGGCATGAACGCTGATGAAGATTAATCAGCAAAAGGGCAAGATAGGGTCTTAGAAAGAGCATGGATTTTGGAGGCAGACAGCTGGATTTCAATCCTTTCTCTACCACTTTTCTTTTTCTTTTTCTTTTTTGAGATGGAGTCTCACTCCGTTGCCCAGGCTGGAGTGCAGTGGCGCAACCTCAGCTCACTGCAACCTCCACTTCCCGGGTTCAAGCGATTCTTCTGCCTCAGCCTCCCGAGCAGCTGAGACTACAGGCATGCACCACCATGCCTGGCTAATTTTGGTAATTTTAGTAGGGGGTGGGTTTCATCATATTGGCCAGGCTGATCTTGAACTCCTGACCTTGTGATCCATCCGGTTCGGCCTCCCAAAGTGCTGGGATTACAGGTGTGAGCCACTGCACCCGGCCCCATTTTTCTTAATTACTTTGAACATATTTACTTTCTTTGAACTTCATTTTCTGTGTCCATATAATGGACTTAACAGCATCACTCTTTAAGGGTTGTTGTGAATAGCATGGGTTTTAGCAACAAATAAGAGCTGTTCTTTCTTCTATGTGCAAGGGAAGTATCATGTGCAAGGGAAGTATCAGGTGCCATCTTTGGCAATCTTCTCATGTTCTCCTTGAATCTGAAAAGCATTGAAAGATAGTATCATGGCTACATATTTGTTGAGAGCTTAGAGATAAAAAGAGTTTAGAAATACTGTTGATTGTGTAAGTAAATGTTCCTCCCTGCCTCCAACCTTTCCCTCCTTGCTCCCTTCTTCCCTCCCTTCCTTCCTTCCTTTCTTTCCTTTCTTTTCCTTTCCCTTCCCTTCCCTTCCCTTCTCCTCCCTTCCCCTCCCCTCCCTTCCCCTCCCTTCCCCTCCCCTCCCCTCCCCTTCCCTTCCTTCCCCTCAATATGTTTCCCAAATAACAACCCTTAGTCAAAGAAGCTCATCTTTTTGCATGTTATTGATGCCATCATCAATGCCTCTAGGAAGCAACACTTACTTCTTTTATGTGTCTCCAGGTCTACCATGTAATTTTGTAGTTAAAATCTTCATTTCATCTATTGCTATTGGTTCTACATTCTTCATTTTATAGTAAAAGTATGATATCCTTCTATGACACAAGTCAAAGGCTCTTTTGATGTTGAACAAGTGGTTCGGGGGAAAAAGAATCTTAGCAGGAAAGACTCAGCCACTATATCATTGTGCATAATGATTAGGCTAAGCCATCTTATATAAAATCCATACTTAAAATCTTAACAGGTACCACTGTACACTGTTTAGAGTAAATAAATAAAAGGGTTTCAAATTTTATGTAGACTCTTAGTTTGGGAAGAGATTTGAGTGCAGTGGATCTATAATAATCATCCATTCCAAACCAGTCATTTAATCATGTGAACACTCACAGATACACATGTCTTGTTCATGGATAAGCTAATTAAAGACAGAGGTGGAAACAGCACTTGGGGCTTCAAAGTGGATCACACTGCCCAGGGCCTTGGGAGAGGTCAGTGAAAATGACACATGAACATAGTTTCAACCCCAATGTAACTCATACCTTCTCTTTAATAACTAGCTGGCAGACCCTCATTTATTTTTCAAGATTCTATTCAAATCCCCTTTCCTTTGGAAAGTTGTCCATGAACTTCCCAGAAGGGCTAAGTGATCCCTTCCTTTGTACCTCAAGTTCTTTTTTTTTTTTTCTTCTCTTTTTGAGAGGGAGTCTTGCTCTGTCACCCAGGCTGGAGTCAGTGGCACAATCTCAGCTCCCTGCAACCTCTGCCTCTTGAGTTCAAGCAATTCTCCTGCCTCAGCCTCCTGAGTAGTTGGGACTACAGGTGCGTGCCACCACACCCAACTAATTTTTGTATTTTTAGTAGAAACAGGGATTCACCATATTGGCCAGGCTGGTCTCGAACTCCTGACCTCACGATCCGCCTGCCTCAGCCTCCCAAAGTGCTGGGATTACAGGCATGAGCCACCGTGCCAGGCCCATACCTCAAGTTCTTTTATAGCTCTTGTTTCTCTGTGTTTCCAGACCAGTTCTTTTGGGTCTACTTTTCCAATGAGACCATTTATAGCTGAGGGCAGAAACTACGTGCCATTTATCTCTAAATCATCACCCTTAGCCTGGAGTCTGGCACATAATAACTGCTCAAATGGATATTTGTGGAGTGATAATGAACAAACTGTGCTTCTCACATATTTGGACCAGATGTGGAGTCACAGGGCTCACTTGTGAAGGAAAGCTGCTCATATCCCCTCCGCCCCTGACATTCCTGACGAATGATGTTCAGCCTAAATGTATGTCAAATGCTCTCCTGTCTTTCCAGGGCTGCACAGTTGCATTGCTTCTTTTTCTTTTCAGGAAGACTGGAGGGTTTTGTATGCGATGTTGGAGTCTCCAGAGTTTAGGAGGAGAGATATATATCATGGCTCTTATTCTGAGGCCTATAAGGAGTTTTATTTTCTGAATAAGTATTGATCGCAGCTTACAAAATACTGCAAACCCATATAATTAAAAATAATGAGACCAGTCATTTGTGGGCAGTGCATGGCTAAATATAAGAGAAGACAAATTCTTCAGGTGCCTGAGATTTTATAATTGTACTTGGTTGGGAAGCTTATTAAAGCCTTGCAGGTGCAATGTTTCCTCACAGAGTAGTGAACCTTTGAAAGATATGCATAATAAACAGAGTTTGAAATATGTTTTTATTCCAGGCCATATGGTCCTGTCTGGAGCTTTCCTGGATCTTTGGGTCAGTTCATTGTTGAAAGATGGGCTTGCAAGGACCCACCTCTCGGAGCAGCTGTCAGAGCCCTATCAGAACGAATCTGCTTTTGCATGATTATTTATTTTATGTGGCTCTCTGAAATGAGCCCAGCCCTGCTCAGTAGCTGAAATGTGCTGAGCAAAGTCTCTTCCCTGAACAGCTTGTGGCCATATCACCAAGCAGTGTCCTTCCTTGTCCTTAAAAAGCAGACTAGCGAGACTTGTACATTAGGTCAGGATGGACAGTCTGGGTGAGGTTTGCCCACCTGGGCTTGAACTTGGTGCCAGCAATATGAAAACTTACACGGTAGCATTTTAAAGAGGTGTCATTGCTCTTTCTTCTCAGCTGTACTAATTTTCCTATCTCTCTCAACTCTAGGCAATTACTGTGACAGCTGTCCATAAGTACTTGAGGTGTTTTTGTGGTGTAGTGGTGAGAACAATGCTAACACAGCCTCTCCTTTTGTAACAGAGGGTGGCATTGACTCCTCTGAGAATGTCTTTTAAGAGGCATTTAATATAATTTATTCAGTATTTATTGCACATATATATATATGTATATATACACAAATAGCAGTTATTGACAAGAGACTTGGTTTTGAAGTCCAGTGATCACAAGAAGATGTTCTGTTTCCTAACATAGAAAATGGGCAGTGAGTTGATCAGAATGGAAGAAGGTTAAATCTCATATCTCTTTATGGTTATTTGAAAAAGTTGAAGTTGAATTTTGTCATCTTGGTCAAGGGGAAAATCTTGCCGTTTTAGGAAGCGTCTTTCATCTACTCTTATACTGCTGACATTATATTCAATATCATATATATTTGTAGCCATTTGTTCATTTGGACTATATTCAGTAAGCACCTGTCCTTTACTAGCCACTGTGCTAAGACTTGAGAATGCAAGAGCCCCAGAATTCTTGCACTCCTGGAACTTAGAATCTGAAGTAGAAGACAGACATTGAAAATATAGTTAATTATGTCTTACATATGTTACAAAAAGAAAGTGAAAGATATTGAATGAATGTACATAGCAAGAAAACCTATGTGTGGTCTTTGGAGTCTACTTGCCTTAAAGGAAAAGTCTATGTCAAATTTCTTTCCTCCTATATAGGAGTCACTCTGCCTGAAACAATAAATTGTATATAGTACTAGATGCTTATTTTGGTCCATTTTCTGCTGTTATAACAGAATATCTCAGACTGGTTAATGTATAAAGAATAGAGACTTATTTCTTACAGTCCTGGTGGATGGGAAGTCCAAGATAGAGGACCTTCTTGCTATGTCATAACATGGCAGAAGCCATCATGTAGTGAGGGTTGGGGGGGAGAGAGAGAGAGAGAGAGAGAGAGAGAATGATATAAATATCTTCCATTAGGCCCCATCTCCCAATACTGAGGCATTCGGGATCAAGTTTCCAACAAATGCTTTTTGGGGAACATGTGGAAACCATAGCATTACTTAATAAAAATTTGTGGATATAATGGAGAATGAAAGTAAGAAGAAGAAAGTGTAAAGATTATTTTGTTAATTCAGGCTACAGTTTAATAAATTATAATTTGAAATACCTAAATTAGTTTTATGGTAAAACTACATATTTTTCTTTTGCCGCCACATTCAGTGTTGCCATTTTAAAATTTACCCATGGTAACTATTTTTCCATTTCTGGAGTCATAGAACCTAGAACTTAACTTCTTACTTGAGTACAGAAATATGAGACTCTGATATTTCTCTCCAGGGTATCAGCTACTTTCTTTTGGGGATATTCTTAGGTGTCTTTGGTTGGTAGAAATGAGCTATTTCTTTTTTTCTTTTTTTTCTTTTTTCTTTCTTTCTTTTTTTTCTTTTTTTTTTTTGAGATGGAGTCTCACTCTGTGGCCCATGCTGGAATGCAGTGGCTTGATCTCGGCTCACTGCAACCTCCACCTCCCGAGTTCAAGCAATTCTCCTGCCTCAGCCTCACGAGTAGCTGGGACTACAGGTGCATGCCACCACACCCAGCTAATTTTTAATTTTTTAGTAGAGATGGGGTTTCACCATGTTAGCCAGGCTGGTCTCGAGCTCCCGACCTCAGGTGATCCACCCGCCTTGGCCTCCCAAAGTGCTGGGATTACCGCAGTGAGCCACCGTGCCTGGCCAAAATGAACTATTTCTATATACAAGTAGATCAATATTCTTATGGACTAAAAAGTGGTAGCTATTTCAAAGTGTGTATCTTAGGCCTAGGGATAAAATCACATGATGGAAAATGTTTTCTTCCATCTGTACTATGGTAACCTAAGGGACTCCCAGGACCAGGGAGACACCATTCAAGTTTCAGGCTGTGCCCAGGAGAGTGTGGTGCTATTACCCCAGAATATCTGAAGCTTTCAGAGTTAACAGATCAAGAGGAAAACACTCAAGAGGACTGCCCAGAAATGCAGCCAAGGGCCAAATAGAGAGTTCTTGAGAAGCATTGGGAATCAGAGTTGGAAGTGTGGTAGCAGCCACTGAGACAGTGGAGGAGCTTTTAGGCAGTGTCATAAAGTAGAAGGACAGTGGTAAGCGATGGGGAATACTTGGTCTGAATGGATGGAGAGTTGAAATCATCAGGTTGGGACTGGAAGCAGAGGCTGGTTGTGATGGGAGACGGAGACTACCGGCAGTGGTAGTCCATCTTAATCCAGAGATTAAGATGCTGGATAAGGACTTGAAATCAATGGCCACCGAAGCCTTTGTTGTTCAGCCTGGAGATGCTGTGATTCCACCACCCAGATGGGAATAGTGAGACCAGAGTCCTATTAAAGTCATGTTAAGATGATCCCTCTTTGCTCCTTCCCTTTCTTCCTTCCTCTCTCCCTCCCTCCCTGCTTTCTTTCATTCCTTCTCCTCTCATATCTCTTTCCCTCCCTCTCCCACTTGTTCCTTCAGCAAGTGTTTACTTAGCCTCTACTATGTGCTACTTATTGTTCTCAGGGTGGGGTATATTAAAAAGAATAGATGAATATGATCTCTTTTTCTCATGAGCCTTTCCATCTTCTGGGGGAAAATAATACAACATGAGTAAATACATGAAGAAAACACTTTATTTTAATGGTAAGGGCCACAAAGAAAACGATACATGATGACATGAGAGAGAATGGGTTGGTTAGGAATAGAATTTTAAACTGGAGAGTTAGAAAAGACTAACTAAGGTTGAATTGGAACTAAGACCTTAATGGCAACAAAGGATCATAAAGTGATTGATCCAGAATGATCCAGGCAGATGGAAAAGCTAGTGTAAAGGCCATGAGATGGTCAAGAGCTGGCACATTCCAAGAAGAAAAAGGATCTCAGTGTCCCTGGAAAATGGCAAGTAGAGAGCAGTGCCTCATCATATAGGACTTTGAAGGTCATAGAAGGATTTTTGCTATTAGGGGTCTGGTGTTCCAGGTGCTTCTCCCACTTCCAACCACTTCATGCTCTCCACTTGGTCTAGCATTGTTCCTCCCATAGTGGCTTTGACTCTTGCTTGTCACTTCTAGTCCTTGTATTCTAGATTTGCAATCTTTCAATGTTATCCATATGGAAAGATCATGGGCTTTGGAGTCAGACAGCCTTTGGTTCTATCCTCAGATTCTCCTTGTATTGGCTGTGTGACTTCTGTAAAATCATATCCACAGAAAGCATCTCTTGTGATTTTATCAGCTTAAGGGTCTGGGGGTATTTCTGGCCCTCTTTCTCTGTCTCCCTTTTCCAGCCTGTCTTTAAAAGCTGGAATGCTGTAAGGC
Source organism: Homo sapiens (assembly GCF_000001405.40). Classification (NCBI taxonomy): domain Eukaryota; kingdom Metazoa; phylum Chordata; class Mammalia; order Primates; family Hominidae; genus Homo; species Homo sapiens. Next base: position 22,807,364 of record NC_000004.12, read on the forward strand.
TTGTACCAAAGTCTTGTTTTCTTATTCTCTAAATTCTATTCAACATCCATGATTTCAATTACCATCTCCCCATCATTATCCAAAGTTTCCACCTCCATCTCGGACTCTACTTTGAGCTCTTTATCTGTTTATGCAATTACCTTTTCAGCTCTTTCTTTGGAGGTCAAAAAAGGTAACGTAAAGTCATCATAACCAAAGTTTGATTCATTATCTTCCCTGCCACTCCCCTAAAACTTATCTGTGTTCAATATTTTCTAATTCAGACATTGACAATATTCATTAAATTGTGCTAACTTTGCTTTCTTATCTCCTTCTGCACTGATAGTCAGTGAATTGCTGAATCTTGTTGATTTTTATCTGAATATCTCCTCTGTTGAATCCATCTGGTTTGCTCCATCTTCACTTAAGCCACCCAAGACCAACCTCTCATCATCTCCGTTGTGATTTACTGTAATCACTCCTAAATGCTCTCTTTGATTCCATTCTTGCTACACTCAAATCTGTTTTCCACAGAGGTCACAGTAATCTTTTAAAAATACAAATTAGCTAAAGTAACTCCCCTGCTTAAAACCCTTCGATTTTTGTTGTTGTTGTTGTTGCTGTTGGGATAAAGATCAAAATTTTTAAAATCTTTAAAGGGAGCTGAATGTCTCAGGCACTACTTTGCGACTTTCTCCCCATAAATTTTTTATAATATATCCTGCTGAACTGTCTTTTTTAAGTTCCTTAAATGTGTTGTGACCCCTTCCCATAGCTGAGCTTTCAGATATGCTATTTTGTTTTCTTGGATTGCTCTTGTCGTTCTTCATCTAGTGCTGTAGACATCTGTCATGTTTTCGGCTGTCTAGCGTTTGTTGAACACATTGGTTACATTTGAAAGATATCCAGCATTATGAGTTTTGTCTAGCCAAGGTAGAGAGTGAGATTCCCCAGGTTTCTCTGGAGCAAGGGAACAGACATGTGTCCCACCAGTCAGACTCATCTGTGTGTGAATTTAATTCAAGGGGAACAGCTTGACAAAGGCAAAACCTATTGTGCTGGTAAGGATGGCAGAAGAGACATCCAGCTTTTGAGAATGATAGTCCTTGTAAGGTCTAGTTTCTGGTACAGAAGTTGCCAAGATGTTGGTGTCTGCTAGGATTGCAAGAAAGTTGGATGTGGGGAGCCACATGAACTGCAGAAGCTCACGCTCATTGGGTCATTAGCAGTTGAGGCAGTTTCTTTCTTTTTTTTTCTTTGAGATGGAGTCTTAGTCTGTCGCCCAGGCTGGAGTGCAGTGACGTGATCTCGGCTCACTGCAAGCTCTGCCTCCTGGGCTCAAGCAATTCTCCTGCCTCAACCTCCCAAGTAGCTGGGACTATAGGTGCCTGCCACCACTCCCGGCTAATTTTTTGTGTTTTTAGTAGAGATGGGGTTTCACGCTGTTAGCCAGGATGGTCTTGATCTCCTGACCTCATGATCCGCCTGCCTCAGCCTCCCAAAGTGCTGGGATTACAGGAGTGAGCCACCGCACCTGGCCCAAGGCTGTTTCTTTAACCAACTAGTTCTGTGGTGTGCTTCTGAGCACTGTTCCTGAGAGCTTTATTTGAGCTTGTTTTTTCAGCCCAACACTTTCTATGCTTCAATAGCCAACTTCAGCTTCTGTTGCTTACAACCGAGAAAGAGCCCTGCTGGTTAGTGCTAGGTAATCCAACTCATTTGTGGGCACTCAGCTCTAGTTTACTCCAGGAAACTGTTCCATTAGCCTTATTCTGCCACTTTTGCTGATTAAGGCAGATCTTCCACTCTCGTGTGCTGTCAAGACTCAGTATGGCATGATGGCTTCACCTGCTGCTGCTGTTGTTACTCTGCCTGGGTTTCTATGTCAACTCTCCTACTTGCTTGATGTATGAATTTTGCAAAGGTTACCTAACCGCTCTGTGTATCAATTCCTTTACCTATAAAATAGCGACACTGATAATAACTATCTAACTCATAGGTTGATTGTAAAGACTAAATGGATGAATGCATACATGAAATCCTTAAAGTGGTAACTAAATGTTCAATAATTGTTAACTAAAATGTTCTCACATTACCCACTTCTTTCTTTTCACACTACTTTTCACAGACAGTAATTTGATACTCACAGAGTGATAATTTGATTTAGATATACCTTCCACATAAGCTGTAAATGAAGGGCTGCTTATTTTGTTCATCATTGTATTCGCAGTTCCTAGCACAACGTATATTTACTTAATGGATGTAGGATGGATGTTGCAGGATCCCAAAAACCTTGAGTGATGCCATCTCCATCTCCCAGCACACTAAAGCAGGGGAGCTTCAGCAGTATCCAGTGTTCCTGGCAGAATCACCCCGAGCTCCTTGTTTTTGCTGATTATTTCTTGTGACCCACAACTGACCCGTTCTCACAGAGCACAAACCCTGTCCCAGATGCTGAACTTGCCCTCTATGCCCTGATTTCTCTGCTTCTCAGCACCGATCATTTTGTGCTGACTCTATACCCTCTGAAAGCTGTTTGAAGCCAGATGGGAGAAAGAGATAAAACAGATTTCATTCATTGCCCTCCCAGACTCTGAGGGAAATAAAAACAATAGCAACAACGAGGTAGTTTATATTGGGTGTTTACTAGGCATTATTCATTATTTAATACGCACCACAATCCTATGAAAATGATACTATAACCCCATTTTGCAGAAGAGGAAAGTAAGTCCCAGAGGAGAAAAACAAAAGAAAGAAAGGAAAGTAGAGAGAAAGGGAGGGAACGGGGTAAGGAAGGCAGCTTTTCCAATAGAAGAGAAATTCCCTTGCTGAGAAGAAATTTCATTCCCATAAAAGAAACTTCTCTACTGGAGGATAAGATACTGTAAAAATAATATTGATAGAGAAGTTATAGAAGATGACCCAGAACATGAACCTAGCCTCAGATCAGCTTTAACATTTAGATTTTTAAAATATAATTCCTTTCAACTACTTGCTATTTGCAGCCTTTTCTCTCCAAAGTCTAATGTAAGTAGTAGGAATAATACTGATAATTAAGAAATCTGTGCAGTTTTTTTCTGGTTAATTGGCATTTTCCTATAAAATATTTAAAAATTAGCTTTTGGTTTTCAAAGACTCTCTTTTCAGAAAGTCATAGTTTTTGCTATTAAGAGTTCCCGTCTGCAGGTGGGGCTTCCTGCACTGGGATTATTTGGGCATTTTCACAGATGTTGTCCAGCCACTGATATTCAGCTGGAGTTGGAGTGGGGGGCTTATGATGCATTTTCTATGTTTAGATCTTCCTGATGTTGTTTTATTTTTTTTTCCAATGAAAAGAGAAAACAGCCAACATGCCAGTTTTCTTGTAAAAACTGTTATCCAGCTAGAGATGCCCTCCAATTGTAATGCTCTTGTGCATTTCAACCAAACTCAAAGAAACACATTTTCAAAGTGAGTGTGGGTGCAATTGCCAGAAAATTGGCTTCAAGCTGGGTCCCCGGAAGGCTTTCTTTCTCCAGCTTTGACAGGCCTTGAGAGAGGTTCTCATAAGACCCCAGGAAGATCAGGTGGGTGGTTTGGGACTCAGAGCCCAGTTGGCAACCACTCTAAAAGAGCATGGTGCATTAGTTTCCCGTGGCTGCTGTGAGAAATTACCACAAACCTGGTGGCTTTAAACAACAGAAATTTATTCTCTCACAGTTGTGGAGGCCAGAAGTCTAAAATTAAGGTGTCAGCAGGACCGGTTCCTTTTGGAGGCTCTAAGGGAGAATTTACTCCATGCTTCTATACTGGCTTCTGGTGGCTGCTGGCAACCCTTGGTGTTCCTTGGCTTGCAGATGTATCACTCCAATCTCTGCCTCTGTCTCCACGTTGTCTTCTTTCCTGCGTGTCTTTGCCCTTTCTCTTATCTTCTGAGGACACTTGCCATTGGATTTAGGGCACACTGTCTTCCAGGATGATCTCATCTTGAGATCCTTAATTTAATTACATTCTCAAAGACCCTTTTCCCAAATAAGGCCACATTCACAAGTTTTGGGTAGACAGACTTATCCTTTGCAGGGGCCACCATTAATCCACACACATGGTGAACTGAGAGAACTTTCCTGATCCACTGGGGATGAAGCTGGATTTCAGCTAAGCAGTGGGCTAAAAAGGCATTTGGCCCTGCTGAGCCAAAGCATCTTCTTAGTTTCTCAGTGATCGCCATACATTTCTGAAAGGAGATACGGCATTTTTCAGCAGAGGCTAACTTCTCGCTATGTCCTCACATGGTCTTTCCTCTGTCCATGTGCCTTCCTGGTGTTTATTTTACCTTGGGTTCGGCCTTCCTTATTATTTCATTTACTCTTTTTAACATCACTAGGAGTAGATAATAGTGTCTCCATTGTATTCATGAGAAATGAGAGGCTCCTTCCAGCTAGCAACTGGTGCAGCTGGGATTAAAATGTAAGCCTGTAGAGGTTCCCTTTCCAAACATGTCACCTCAGTGTTTCTGGGTTCCTAACCTTGAAGATATTTCAGGCTTGTCTGTTTTCCTTAAGCATGGTAAATGTGGTTGTTGTACAGTCTGTATGACAGTTCTAATAACTAAGTGCTTTGTGGATTTGTTTCTGTTGTCTGTTGATTGTGGTTATTTATTTTTCTTTATGTCATAATTTTCCATGTCTTTCTGGTTATATATGATTATGTGCTGATGATTATACTTAAAATATTGTAATAACTATTGGAGTTTTAGAATATACAGATCACTCTTTTCAAAAATAACTTGAATGTCCATCTGCCAGGTACTTGGGGGTACTACCAGTATGCCATCACCTCAAACCAAGATCCAGACTTTACACTTGTTGAACCACCGGGGATTAAACTCAAGACTTTCCAATGACTAGTTTGTCTCTGGCACTCTCTCACCATTACACGGAGTGTTTTATCTTTTGAGTGTGTAGTCTTCTCTGGGTGGGGTCTCATACTAGACTTCCCACCTGCTATGACTCTGAGTTTTGACATCTAGCTTTACCCCAGGAAACAGAAAAAGATTTAGATTTTCTAAGATTGGAACATGCCATCAGGCAAAAGTAGCTCTCATGTCTACCAACCTCAAATTCCACTTTCAAATTTGACTTGTTAATTCTCTACTAACTTGTCAGATTTCCATTGTTTTGAAGATTTATTTTTAAAAACTATATTCAGCCTTCTTTACTTACTTTCCTTAGGAAGGTTTCCTTGAATATTATAGCTTGCCATTAGCTAAACAGAAAAATCTAGAGGCCTATATATTTTTTCTCCCTGCTCATTCCTGGCACTTTACTCCTCTCTTTTTTTTCCTTTGTGAGGCGGCTGCTTTTTGCACTGTCCTGAATTTTTCCATTGATTCTTGACATGGCAGCTTGGGTCTATGGATGAGTGGTTTTTTTTTGATAGCTTGATAGTTTTGTCACATCCACAGGTATCTTATATATAAGTCCTAGACCATCGTGAAAACAAAGACTACCTCTGTTTATAAATTGTGGAAAAATAAATTCCATTGATGCTGAGCTTCCAATTTCTAGAGTTTTGTAATGTGACAAACACAAGCATAATTAGGATGTTTCATAAACCAGCAACTTAAAAAGATTCTGCCCCTTGTCATAAAATAATGAGTTTCTAAAATAATGTCTCTATGTATATGAGTATGCACACACGTGTAGTGAAGAATTAAATTTTGTCCAAAGAGCGGTTTGGTTTTTGCACTCAGCTTCTAAGAGGCAATCTATATCATAATTGAAAAAAATCTCTTTGTTTAGGTTGGGAGCTCATCACATCAGGAAGACCAATCACATTTAATGTGGGGGCTTTAGGTTCCTGGCATCAGTTAACCAGGAAACTGAGTTAATCCACTTGGGCAATCAATTGATCAATCATGCCTCTATAATAAAGCCCTTGTGATGGTTAATACTGAGTGTCAACTTGATTGAATTGAAAAATGCAACATTGATCCTTGGTGTGTCTGTGAGGGTGTTGCCAAAGGAGATTAACATTTGAGTCAGTGGGCTGGGGAAGGCAGACCCACCTTTAATTGGGTGGGCACCATCTAATCAGCTGCCAGTGAGTATAAAGCAAGCAGAAATTGGGTGGGCACCATCTAATCAGCTGCCAGTGAATACAAAGCAAGCAGAAAAACATGAAGAGACAAGACAGGCCTAGCCTCCCAGCCTACGTCTCTCTCCCATGTTGGATGCTTCCTGCCCTCAAACATTGGACTCCAAGTTCTTCAGTTTTGGGACTCAGACTGGCTCTCCTTGCTCCTCAGCCTGCAGACAGCCTATTGTGGGACCTTGTGATCATGTAAGTTAATACTTTATATATAAAGCGTAGTTTATATACATATATATCCTATATACATAATATATCCTATTAGTTCTGTCCCTCTAAGAGAACCCTAATACAGCCCCCAATAAAAACTCTGTACACTAAAACTCAGGTGTGCTTTCCTAGTTGGCAATTCTCTATGTGTATTGTGCACGTTAATACCAGGAAGACAATGCATTTGACTCCCAGGGGAGTCATATGGAAACTTCATGTTTGGAACCCCTCAGGTCCTGTGCTATGCATTTATTTCTTTAGCCAATCTCTATCTCTTCCTGTAATAAATCAGAACTGTGACTATAACAGTTTTCTGTGAATTTTGTGAGTCTTTTTAGCAAATTACCAAAACTGAAGGTTTGGCAAACCCTTGATCTTGTGGTTGGTGTCACAGTGAGGACAGTCTTATGGTTGATGTTATGCCCTCAACCTTTTCAGTCTGGCTAACTGGGCAGTGCATTTATGTGTGCATGTGTGTGTGAGAGAGTGTGTGTGTGTGCGTGTGTGCGCGCATGTGTAGAGTACAACACTAGCATAGGGTTTTTTTTTTTTTTGGCAGAGTGTCACTCTGTCACCCAGGCTAGAGTGCAGTGGTGCGATCTTGTCTCACTGCAACCTCTGCCTCCTGGGTTCAAGAAAGTCTTCTGCCTCAGCCTCCCATGTAGATGGGACTACAGGCACATGCCACCATGCCTGGCTAATTTTTGTATTTTTAGTAGAGATGGTTTTTCACCATGTTGGCCAGGCTGGTCTCGAACTCCTGACCTCAGGTGATCTGCCGCCCGTTTTGGCCTCCCAAAGTGCTAGGATTACAGGTGTGAGCCACCGTGCCTAGCCTGCATAGGGTATTTATAATTAGAACAGCCCGAAAGAAGCTATAACATATTAGCAAGGCTTAGATACTTCTCTTACACTTTTATTTCCAACCTGCTTACTGTGAGACGTTTTCCACTGATCTTGTAGTCCAAACCCATACCCTGACTTTGTGATGCATGTCATTTTTATCCTAGTGTGCTCCATACTCACCCAAAGCTCCTGTGTTTATTTTGACTCCAACTCTGGAAACAGAAAGTGAACTCATAGAAGTGTTTTTTTTCCCCCTGGCAAGATTTAAGACCTCATAAATCATGGTGGCAAGAAATGTAATGATGGTCTCTTTTGGTTCTTGAGGAGATTGGAAGAGGAGAGGCATGCAGGTTCCAGTGTGGTTTTGTAATTTTTCCCAGTGGTGGCAAGTGAGGAAGATTCCAGCAGGCTAGTTCCTCAGTCTTAACTAAGTAATTCTCTACTTCAATGTTCCTGCAATGAAAATGCACAGACATTCACCAGTGTCACTCGGGCAGTTTAGTGCCTGCTGCAGAACTCCTGGCAGTTAACAATGAAATTGTCAAGATTTCCTTTTTGTTCCCTTCCAAGCAGGCAAGGCATCGTTTTTGTCCAGTGGTTTAGCACATGAATCAATCCTTTTATATGTGATCAGTGGGACCATGTGTGTTTTCAGAAACTGTCTGGCTTTATACCTGGCAGGGTTTCTTGTTGGGCAGTGGTTCTGCAAATGAGAAAGAAAATATGCAAATTCTCACATGTCCCCAGGTTGAATTACAAGGCAAAAGAGACTATTGCTTTCTGGCCTGGTATTTGGCTTTGAGATAAATATATATATATATATATATATATATATATATATATATATATATATATATTTTTTTTTTTTTTTTTTTTTTTTTTTTTTTTTGAGTTAGAGTCTCACTCTGTTGCCCAGACTGGAGTGCAGTGGCATGATGTCGGCTCACTGCAACCTCTGCCTCCCAGGTAAAAGTGATTCTCCTGCTTCAGCCTCTCAAGTAGCTGGGACTACAGGTGCCCGCCACCACGCCCAGCTAATTTTTGTAATTTTGGTAGAGATAGGGTTTCACCATGTTGGCCAGGCTGGTCCCAAACTCCTGACCTCAGGTGATCCAGCCACCTCGGCCTCCCAAAGTGCTGGGATTAAAGGCATGAGTCACCACGCCTGGCCAGACCATTTTGATTCTTAGAGATATGCCATCCAGTACTTAAACTGGGTTCTTAAAAAAATAAATTATATAAAACATTGATATTTCCAGATTATAACTGACATAGCAAATGTGGACAGGTAGGAGAAAAAGGGATATCTAGTAATGCTTTTATTCATGCACAGCTTAATGTGCTTATTGCTATATTTCTTATTTCTCAACAATATTTATTTAAAAAGAGCTAATATGTAAATCTGTACAACCACTATGGAGTACAGTGTGGAGGTTCCTCAAAAAACTAAGAATAGAGCTACCATCCAGCCATCCCACTGCTGGGTATGTACCCCAAAGAAAGGAAATCAGTGTATTGAAGGAATATCTGCATGGCCATGTTTGTTACAGCACTGTTCACAATAGCCAAGATTTGGAAGCAACCTAAGTGTTCATCAATCAATGAATAGATAAAGAAAATGTGGTACATATACACAATGGAGTACTATTTGGCCATAAAAAAGAGTGAGATCCAGTTATTTGCAACAACATGGATGGAACTGAAGGACATTATGTTAAGTGAAATAAGCCAGGCATAGAAAGACAAACTTCACATGTTCTCACTTATTTGTGGGAGCTAAAATTTAAAACAATTGAACTCATGGAGATAGAGAGTAAAATGTTAGTTACCAGAAGCTGGGAAGGGTAGTGGAGGGTTTGTAGGAGGGGGCAAAGTGGGAATGGTTAATGGTTATAAAAAATAGAGAGAATGAATAAAACCTAGTATTTGATAGCACAACAGGGTGACTACAGTCAATAATAATATAATTGTACATTAAAAAATAATTAAAAGTATAATTGGATTGTTTACAACACAAAGGATAATGCTTAAGGGGATGGATACATGAGATACTTCGATATAGACATGCAATGTGTAATAATAACATCATGATAAATCACATCAGTTACCGTGTGGTCGTGGTTGGTGTCACAGTGAGGACAGCCTTATGGTTGACACTGTACCCCGTGCCATTTACCATGATGTGGTTATTACACATTGCATGGCTATATCAAAATATCTCAGGTACCCCATAAATATATACACCTACTATGCACTCACAAAAATTGAAAATTAAAAAAAAATTAAAGGAGTCAATCCAGCTTGGCTTAATTCCTGCCTCAAGGCTATTTATAAAAAACTCTCTAAGCAAAGCAGATCTTACGCCTCCAGGCACAAATGTTGAGGGGGTTATACGTTAGACTGTTGGGGGCTTTTTGTCTACGGAATATCCATAGAAAAAAATTCCAAGAATGTTTGGAGAGCAACGCATGTGTAGTGGAATATAGATATAGTGCTTTTAAGAGACCTGAAATACAAAATGGACACCAATGAAAAAATTAAAGGTTAGGTATTATTTTGCTGAATATTTAGAGGAGTCATTTTGGTTGAAAGCAATCTCTGAAACAATTAAAATATGATTTAGTATATGAATGTTTATTCTCACCTAGCTTATTTAGACATATATCCACCTTATAAAGCAACTGGCCTTTTCATTTAATTTCTCTACTGAGAAATGGATATTTGGTGTTTTAGGAAGTGCATCCCATAGGTTGGGTTTATTTATTCTGGTTTTAAAAAAGAAAATGCGCAATGCAAGGACTCACAAGACCTCAGAGTTTTGCCAAGCTTAAAATGCTAAGAAAATGTAAGCTAAATTCCCTGAATAAAGTGATGGAAATCAGTGTGAAACTATGTGGAGAATAGTTATATGTGTTGAATCTACATTTTGATGTCTTAACATGGAGTCTGTGGATGGGCTTCTGGGCATCCACAAATAAAATCATACCAAATATTTATGAATGTATACACTTAGTGGAGAGATGCTCCATTGCTTTGGCTCTTAAAGGGCTTAAGCACCATTTTGAGTTTAGATATGGGGCAAAGAGGATGTGCTATGGATGGAAAGTTTTGTCCCCTCCAACCCCGCACAAATTCATATTGACACCTTAGCTCCCGGTATCCCAAAGGTGGGGCCTTTGGGTGGTGATTAAGTCATGTGGATGGAGCCCCCATAAATGGAATATGTGCCCTTATAAGTAGAGTATGAGAGCGCTCCCTGGCCCCTTCTGCCATATGAGGACACAGCAAGAAGACACTCATCTGTGAACAGGATACAGTCCCACACAAGACAGCAAATCTGTTGCCACCTTGATCTTGGACTTCCCAGCCTTCAGAACTGTGAGAAATAAATTTTTTCTTTTTATAAGCCACCCAGTGTATGGTGTGCTGTTATAGCCACCCTATCAGACTAAGAGAGGATGCCATAGCATTTCTGTACTCCCTCGGTCTAGGATATAGTCATGGCTGAAGCTGCGTGCTGACCCTTGACTCTTTTCATTTTGGAGGCTCTGTCTCCAGAATTATAAGACATGTCTCAGTTTGACCATGGGGACAGCAGGTAAGCTCTGAGGCTTCCTCAGGCATGCTACTGTTATCTCTTCCAATTTTCTAGTGGACTTTCTGGAATACCTGGAGGCTGTACTTACAAACGGAACAGTGTCTTTACTGAATATCCTTCTAGGTACCAGAGAGGAACTTGTGTGTGTATCTTTGTGCCTAAAAAGTGATAGGTACTGAAAAATTGTTCATTGAGTAAATGAATGAAGTAAATTCGAAATGAATGAATTGCCGAATAATTAGAATAATATATAACAACTTATTGAATTAAGCCCCTGCTTGATTCAAGCAGAAAACTGGAAAAGGGGATTTTTAAAATAGACAAATAAAAGTTGGATATATTTAAGGTGTACAGCATGATGCTTTGATATATGTACAGCATTGTAGAATGGCTAAATCAAGCGAATTAGAATGCATTACCTTACATACTTATCTCTTTTTTGTGGAAAAGGGGGATAGAGAACAGGTTTTGTCTTCTCCCACTGTGATCTCCTGCAGAGAAGGAGAAAGAGACCCAGACTGCTCATCAGTGATTTTGTCTGTGTTCTCATCAGGCCTTCCCAGAAATGATAATTTTCTTTTTTTTTAAATTTCAGCTATCCAACTTGATAAAGTCAATCTTCAAGTATATTGTGCATGGTCTCTTCTGGATAACTTTGAGTGGAACCAGGGATACAGCAGCCGGTTTGGTCTCTTCCACGTTGATTTTGAAGACCCAGCTAGACCCCGAGTCCCTTACACATCGGCCAAGGAATAAGCCAAGATCATCCGAAACAATGGCCTTGAAGCACATCTGTAGGCAAGATGGCTGAGAAATACAGGAGAGGCGTCTGCTTTTGGAAAGGAAATCTGCTTTGGTGATGATCTTTCAGGCAATCTCAACTTACTTCTTTAATCAACATTTAATATCAATGGATCTGTGATTAAATGTCTGAATATGTAATGCCTCGTGAAGTATTTAATAATGGCCTTTATTTGTATTTGGATCAATGAGGTTTTTAAAAAAAATGGAAGAGAAAACCACTAACCTTGATTTTTGTATTGCAAAATCAGATAGACCTGGAAACATAAATTTAAATCCTTAGACATTTTTCTAGAAAAAAATGCAAAGTTTATAAAGATGATACAACCATGATTTGCAACTGTAACAGGAGACCATTTATTATAAGCGTACCTGTTTGTGAACTTAATTATTCTGATTCCATAAGCTGTTTTTGCTTAGGTGATCCACTGCCATGTGATCCATAATTTTTCTACATAAAAAATCAAAGTTAAAAGTCACATTATACAGTTATGCATTCATTTCAACAAAATAGTGAATTGATAATCTACTTGTTAATATATTCGGCCCATATTTTGTGTGTTTGGACAAGTACATCTCCCTTTTGCCTAATGAACTTTTGAAAAATAATAAAATAATAGAATAAATTAGACTTTGAATGGCAGAAAAAGTATTTGAGTGTTGATGTTCAGTAAAAAACAGATTCCTAATTTGGCAGAGTGGTGCCAAATTAAAAGCTAAGTGATAAGCAGGGCATAATTTCCACTTTTGAATGTTTCTTTAAAGTTTAGAACCTTAAGAACCTCATGAAAAAAATACATGAAGTGAATGACCAACCTCAGTGTAAGCAAAGGTGGGGTGGGGATTTATTACCCCGGTAGTTGAAATGTCTGAGATTGGTATGGGGTTGACTGGAATTGGACATTTTACTGAACTTCCTAAGGTAGGGGTCAGGAGTAGAGGCAGGGCTCCTTCTGGCCTCCATGTCTCCCCTCCAGCAAACCCTTCACGTATGTGGAGTTTGGTCTTTCACATCCATATTTCAGTAGACTTCAGTAAGCACCTAGTTACCCATTAGACTTGAAGCTAAGAGGTTTAACTATGATCATCCCCATTTTGCAGACTGAGAAACTGAGGCCATACTGTTGTGCATCTTTCTCAAGCCATTTGGGTTCTGATTAACTGGACTTGGCACTTCCCTTGGCATCAGCCCTATTCTCACATGATGGCAAACTGTAGTTTGAGGTACCATGGAAGTCTTCTCTGCATTTTCTGAAGACAGGAACAAAGAAATAGAGGTGTGGAGTTGCCTTATGCAGGAGGAAGGGAAAATGGTTTTTTGCATGCAGCCCCTGCTTCCCTGAGGAAACTGCACATGCTTTTGGCATTCTTGTAAGGCTTTTGGCCCTGAGCAGATGCTCTGTCATTTTTTTTCTTTTATAAACTGTGGTCAATTTCTGGATCGTTTTCATGTTCATAATCAGGGAATTATTTACAGCAAAGAAACACACTCTCAGTAACTTTGGACAGAGTGAGAAAGAAATGGTTGTAGTAGTTCAATAAATGTGGATGCACTGGGGAAAATTATATTAAGATTAAAATGGTATACAGAGGAAATTCTATTACATCTTTGCCACTGGTTTGTTATTTTTATTGTTCAGTGAGACATTATCTCACAATTTGTGTTCATTTAAGAAGCACATTTCCGAATCTTATTTCATTCCTTTCCTATCCAGCCTGTCTTTTTCATTTTTACCATGTATCTTATTTACAATTTATGTGCCCTTTTGTATTATCTTGCAAGACAACTGAGTTTTCCTTTTAATTAGGATGTTGCTTCGAATATTACTTATCCTACAGGGCATATTTACAAGTTTTACAACAATACAAATGAGCACTGTATTTTTGTTACCAAAACCAAAAAAATTAGTATTCACACTGTAAATAAGACGATCTGTCATGTTTGGTCTACCAGGTGAAATAAAGATTCTAGCTGCTGGCGCCCAAGCTTACTTACAGTGCTGTGGCCTTCTGCAGTTCTTTGCTGGATTTTAAAGCCCAGCTCTTTATCCTAGAGATGGATCATACAAAGGGTGCTTCCCTAATTGGTCATGTAAATTAGTATTGCCACAAGGTTAAGATGAAGGAAAAAAAAATAACTCACCATCTAAAAACCTAACAGCCCTGCAGTATTTCAATTAATGTTATTTTTAATTACTTACATTAGCATTTGAGAACAAGACTGATTGGCTTTTGCCTGTTAAGGAAACAGAATGAAAATTCTTTAAATAGAAAAACAAGTTGTTAATTATACTTAAAAATCCACAGATACTGTACTTAGATGTCTTGAAGGTCATCTGAGACTTGTAAAGCACATGTTTTATGTCTGTTTTATCTAAGGAGAAACCTAGGTATCACAATGATGAATTGGATCTATTTGTATTTCCTTCTCTGTTATTTTCCTCCTTTCTTTTTTAGAAGAGTATGAACACATGTTATTTACATTCTATGAATCACTTTTAAGAAATTTTTTTGACAGGTTTTATTTTAGGGCAAGTCATTTCTGAATTTCTAAAAACATATATAAAATAACAGTAGGCCAGTTTCATTTTAGATGTGTAGGGTTTTAGTTTTGCAACTCCTGGTTATATCAGGAATTATACTAGGAACACCAGGAGGAATTGTCTACCTAAGCCCTTTATCGAATGAGAAGGTAGAAGTTCTCATTAAGAAACCCATAAACTCAGAAGCTGGCAACCTTGGTATTTGGCAGTGGGATGCCAGTCAGGTTTTCGTGTTCTGGGAATTTGTGTTTGGCCTGTAGCTTTTAATTATTTTTATGAACTAGGGAATAATGAATACATTTGTAATATATTGAAAAAAACCCTCCAACACTGGCTGACCAAAAAATAGATTTATATGATAATTCTTAAACACCAATTCTATTACTCAATGCTAGGCAGAATGAAAATAGAATACTGAACCTTATTACTGAGAGAGCAGAGTATAATCAAAGCTGGTAGAATTAATACTGTTTAATTATTAGCAATACGCCTCACCCGGAGAACACATATTCATCACTAATCAGAATATTTTAGGCTCTTGTCTGAGGGGAGGGACATAGTAGAGAGTACAAAGCATGATGAGCCCTAAAGAATGAAATTAGGAAAAATGTGACATAGAGACATTTGATGATGGTCTTTCATAATATGGGTTATGGTGATGTGAAAGGAGAATAAACCTTATTAACTGTGGCAGTAGGTAAGATGGGGAGGTGGGGGTTGAAGTGCCAAGGTAGGGCCGGCCATAGGAAAGAACAACCCCCAACTATGTGAGTTGCTGAGAGTGTCTCGAAGAGAGTAGTAGACAAGGCCTGTGATCCCAGGCTTTCCCAGTGTCTGAATGTGATACCTGAGCAATGACTGACCTAGATGACCTTGCCGGAGTGGCTATTTGTATCTGGTATCAGGCAAATGTAATGCATCATTAAGAGTGTGGGTTCCTGAGCCAACTCACCTGGATTCAAATCCTGGCTCCGATGTTTATTATCCAAGTGACATTAAGTAACTTACTCAAGTTTCCCATGCTTCAGTTTCCCTATCTGTAAAATGGAGATAAACTTCCTTATAAGACTGTTGTGAGAGTTAGTTAAGCTGATATATATAACATGTTTATATCCTGAAGCATGGTAAAGGCACAGTTAGTGTCGAGCTATTATTTTAAACTCTCAAACTTGTCCACACTGAGCCCCCAGCAATTCATCAATTATAGTTTGGCTTTTCCTGTTATGGGACCATCTCTGCTTCCCACAGAAGTATCTGTTTATGAGTCTCTGTCCTGGTAAGTTGGGATTCATGTTTTGCCTGTCCGTGTCTAATTCTGGTGTCAGTGGTTTTTCCTATGACCTTAATTCTCTGATGACTCTAAAAATATATGTTAATTTTCTGTTTGGCTGTTTTGCTTGTGTTAGGATGGGAGTGACAAGTTCTGAGCTCCTTAAATGATGGGAGTGACAACTTCCAAGCTCCTTAAGTGCTGGACTGGACACCCAGAGATCACATTATTTATATCATTAGAGTTGAAGGTGTCCGGCTGCTCAATCAGTACGTATTGATTAAACTAAACTGTGCAATACTTTATAGAGATGCAATACTGCAGACAAGACAGTTCTCCAAAGAAGTTCATGAACTGGTTGGGGAACTAGGATAGAGACTAAAATGATAGCAAACAATGCTGGGTGAATTTTTAGAGAATCAGAGTTGTACAGCTATGTGTCACGTAACAACGTTTAGGTCAATGACAAACCACATACACGATGCTGGTCCCATAAAATTATAATAGAGCTGAAAAATCTCTATCACCTTGTGACATCGTAGCCATCATGAAATCTTAGCATAATGCGTTGTGCTAAGATGTGTTTGTGGTGATGCTGGTGTAAACAAACCTACTGTGGTACCAGTTGCATAAAAGTCTAGGATATATGAGTGTGTGTGATACACAGTATTTGATAATGATCATAGATTGATACTGTTTTATGTGTTTACTATACTTTTAATCATTCTTTTAAAGTGTTCTCATTCTACTAATGAAAAAAAGTTAACTGTATAATAGCCTCAGGCGGATTCTGCAGGAGGTCTTCCAGAAGAAGGGGTTGTTATCATAGGAGAAGACAGCTCCATGCCTGTTAGGGCCCCTGAAAACCTTCCAGTGGGACAAGGTGTGGAGGTAGAAGACTGATATTGATGATCCTGACCCTGTGTAGACCTAGGACAATGAGTGTGTTTATGTCATAATTTTTAACAAAAAAGTTTAAAAAGTAAAGTAAAATAAAAATAGAAAAAAGCTTAAAGAAAAAGGATATAAAAATATTTTTGCACATCTGTAAAATGTGTTTGTGTTTTAAGCTATGTTATTACAAAAGAGTCAAAAATTAAGGAAATTAAAAGTTTATAAAGTAAGAACATTATTTTAAGCTAAGATTAATTTATTATTGAAGAAAGAAAATTTCTTTTTATAAATTTAGTATAACCTAAGTATACAGTGTTTGTAAAGTCTTCGTGTACAGTAACGTCCTAGGCCTTCACATTCACTCACTACTCACTCACTGGCTCACCCAGAGCAACTTCCAGTCTCAAAAGCTCTATTCATGGTAAGTGCCCTACCGTTTTTTACCTTTTAAAAAAACTTTTATACTGTATTTTTCCCATATCTTTTCAGTGCTTAGATATGTTTAGCTACACAAAACTTGGTCTTGTGCTACAATTGCCTACAGTGTTCAGTACAGTCACATGCTGTACGGGTTTGTAGTCTAGGAGCAATTGGCTCCCCCACATAGCCTAGGTGTGTAGTAGGCTACACCACCTAAATCTGCGTAAGTGCACTCTACGATGTTTGCACAATGATGACATTGCCTAACAATGCGTTTCGCAGAACGTATCCCTGTCATTAAGGGATGCATGACTATGTATAAGCAGAGGAGAGTGAGGTGGGTGGGGATGGCTTTCATGTGCAAGGGAAAATAATACAATTAAAAAATAACCTGAGTGATAATACAAATAATATAGGTAAAAATATGGAAGTAGAAAGCATAAAGCCTGTGGGCTGTTGGGGGCAGTGCTCAGGCCAGCTCACCTCAGGGAAGAGAGCAGGCAGGCTGGGACTTGAATGTGGAGAGTCTCTAATGTTCTCCAAAGAACCTTCGGTTTTTCTCTCAGAGTAAGGTTGAAGGTTTCTGAGCAGGATGGTGATGATTTATAGGTAGCACTTTGAGGAATAGTAAAGGAAGTGGGATATAGGAACCAGACTGAAAGCTTATAGTAGAGTATACTTGATGTGTTAAGAGTCCTATGTGGAGTGGGAAGTACATACATGGAAAGTTAATTTATAATTGTAATTAATGTATCTAAAGTACATGGGAACTGAAATGCAAGATGATTTTTTGTATTATATCCTGGAACAGAAGAAAGAACATTAGTGGAAAAACTGGGAAATCCAAATAAAGCCTGCAGTTTGATTAATGCTGCTTTATCAGTGTTAACTCGTTAGTTTTGATAAATATACGACAGTTACCATTAGGGAATGCTTGGTGCAGAATATATAGAAGTCTGTGTACTCTCTTGAAACTCTTCTGTAAGTACAAAATTATTTCAAAATGAAAAATTAAAAATGTATATGGAAGAGTTAATATATTTATGTAATACATTAGATATAGGATATATATTATAACCTCTCTCTCTCTCTATACACACACACACACACACACACACACACACACACACAAAGAGAACAGATGGAAAGAAATAACCACTATGAATATCTAAATTTTTTCTAGGTTGTGGTGTTATAGCTAATTTTTCTCTCTTCCTTATAATTTATTCCAATGTTTTCCATACTTAGCTTCTGTTTTCTTTTATTATTAGAAAAATGCATTTAAAGATAAAGACACATTTCAGCAGTCAAGATAATTGATTGGATATTTGGATAATGGAAATGGGTAGGTCAGTAATGGCTCTGAATACGAACAATGGTCCAATTGATAGACATTGGCCAATATATACAATACTCCATCTAGGTGTGCATTTAAGACAACAGATATTTTTTCCATTTTAACAATTTTTAAAATGATATGTAATAATTGTAATTTTTTAGTGCATGTGATATTTTGATACCCATATACAATGTGCAATGACCAAATTCAGGCCACTGGGGTATCCATTACGTCAAACATTTATCTTCTCTTTGTAACATATTTTTAAAGTACTTGTTAAAGTTTCGAGATACTTAAAAATTAACTGCTTCCTCTGGTCTGTAATCACTAATTTATATCTCTGTCACACATAATTTTTTTAACCAACATCTCCCCAACCCCTTTCCACTCCCACCCCTAGTCCCTGGTAACCACCATTTTACTCTCTACTTCTATGAGACCCACTTGTCTAGATTCAACATATAAGTGAGATCACTTGGTATTTGTGTTTCTGTGTCCGAAATATTTCACTTAACATAATGTTTTCCAGGCTTATTCATGTTGTCCCAAATGACATAATTTTGTTCTTTTTAAAGGCTGAATAGTATTCCATTGTGTAGATTTGTATGTATATACATATATTAGTTTACATATCATCCATCCATATATATATATCTATATATATATAGATATATATCCATATCCATACATACATATGTGTCTGTGTCTCCCACATTTTCTTTATCTGTTCATCTGTTGATAGACACTTAGGTTGATTCCATATCTTGACTATTGTGAATAATGCTATAAGGAACATGAGAGTGCATATTTTCCTTTGAGCTTCTGATTTCATTTCCTTTGGATATATGTCCAGTAGTGGGATTGCTGGATCATATAGCAGTTCTATTTTTAATTTTTTTAGTGTACTTTCAGTTCTGGGGTACATGTGCAGAACATGCAGGTTTGTTACATAGGTATACACGTGCCATGGTGGTTTGCTGCACCCGTCAATCCATCATCTACATTAGGTATTTCTCCTAATGCTATCCCTCCCCTAGACCCCCACCCACTGACAGGCCCCGGTGTGTGATGTTCCCCTCCCTGTGTCCATGTGTTCTCATTGTTCAACTCCCACTTATGAGTGAGAACATGTGGTGTTTGGTTTTCTGTTCTTGTGTTAGTTTGCTGAGAATGATGGTTTCCAGCATCATCCATGTTCCTGCAAAGGACATGAACTCATCCTTTCTTATGGCTGCATAGTATTCCATGGTGTATATGTGCCACACTTTCTTCATCCAGTCTATCATTGATAGGCATTTGGGTTGGTTTCAAGTCTTTGCTATTGTGAACAGTGCCACAATAAACATACATGTGCATGTGTCTTTGTAGTAGAATGATTTATAATCCTTTGGGTATATACCCAGTAATGAGATTGCTGGGTCAAATGGTATTTTTAGTTCCAGATCCTTGAGGAATCACCACACTGTCTTCCACAATGGTTGAACTAATTTACACTTTCACCAACAGTGTAAAAGCATTCCTATTTCTCCACATCTTCTCCAGCATCTGTTGCTTCCTGACTTTTTAATGATCGCCGTTCTAAATAGCATGATATGGTATCTCATTGTGGTTTTGATTTGCATTTCTCTGATAACCAGTGATAATGAGCTTTTTTTTCATATGTTTGTTATTTTTGAGAAACCCCCAAGCCATTTTCCAGAATAGCTAGACTAACTTACCTTCCCAACAATGGTGTGCAACGGTTTCCTTCCCTTCACATCCTCACCAGCGCTTATGTTTTGTCTTTTTGATAATAACCATTCTCACAGATG
The DNA here is from genome assembly GCF_000001405.40 of Homo sapiens. Classification (NCBI taxonomy): domain Eukaryota; kingdom Metazoa; phylum Chordata; class Mammalia; order Primates; family Hominidae; genus Homo; species Homo sapiens. The sequence continues at coordinate 22,827,204 of NC_000004.12, forward strand.
TAATATGTTACACACATACTGTTTTCAATGTTTTGGTGGTTTTGAGATACTTTGTCCTTCCAAATGGTGAACAACTTGAAGTCGTATTCACATTTATATTTCCAGTATCTATCACAATATTTGGCATATCTAAGTAATTTATAAATGCATATTAAGTCATTGATGGAATAGATATTAAGTAGTCAAGTTCTTATTTGCAATGAAAACTTAAGACGTGGATTGACTCACTTAATCCTCACAAAAACTTTGTAACAAATTCTACGATTATTTTCCCGATTTTATAGATGAGTAAATTGAGGCAGAGCAGAGATCAGTAACTTGTGTAAACCATGGAGTTGGGAAGTGGTGAAGCCAATATTGAGACCCATACACTCTGACTGTAGACATTAATATGCTGCTTTGTATTCTTTCCCCACAAGGTTGTAGCAGAACCAGGCCTGGTAACAGGGCTTGACTCCTGGTTATTTTCAATGGGCTGCCCTGACACAGCCACACCACAATCTTTCGTCATAAGATGGTCTATGTCTCTAAAACTTCAGCCAATTTTCCATACCTCACAGCTAGTCATTTCACAGAGTAGTAGAGGTATAGTTTCTTTTTATCTAAGATTATGATTGTCCATGTCAAAAATTATTTTATTCGTTTCTACATTCACCCGGGCCATTTTGTTTTTGAATCCTGGCTTCTAATAAGCTTATTACTCTTCCCAGCAATGACATTGACCAAACTAGAATTATTCCCATGATTAAAGTTTTGCATTTCCAGTCACCAGTTGAACAGATGTGATGGTTAAGCATGAGAATAGTGTCACATAGCTCAGTGTGTGATTATGGCTCCACATTTTATGGAACGTGTGACATGAAGCTACTTACTCATATCTTTGCTTTTTATTTTCACCATTTGTAAAGTGAAAGTTAAGCAAAAATACTTTATATAAAACTTCAGTGAGAATTAAATGAGATGATATATGTAAAATAACTTAGAACATTGTCCACTAAGTGCTCATTATAATGCTTATGGAGTGGTAGCTATTATTATTATTTCCCATTAATTTTATTGTAAATACTCTAATATTATGGAAATAATTACAGACAATCAACTCTTGCTACATGCCCACCTTACTTTCTTATTCATTGCATTTATACCAGGGCAATTGATTCCAATGAAGGGCATTCACTGGTAACTCCATGAAAGCGTCTTATTCTTCTTGCAGTGTGGGCTTATTCTTCCCTGGACTAGAGTTTCTCAATTCCACTGCTACTTTCCCAGATCTGTTATGCCCAGAAGATGGAGGGCTGCCTTCCAGAAGAGTGGCCACCTCCCAAAGCTACTGCCTATCAAGTGATGATTTAAGAGGTGCCCTGAATGAAGTATAATTCTGTAGTGGGCTCCATGTGCCTTTTGTGGGTTCGAGTTCCATGTCGTGCAAAAGTGAAAACATTCAGCATTTGTATAGCAATGAAGATGACTCTGGAGAAATCACACTGTGTTTTCCTTTTCCTGCAAATGTCTTTCTCTGTTTTTACCTCCCTGTAACTGCAATACACAGTTCTCGTTACCTAAATAAACTGAGATATGGTCTGGCTCTATGTCCCCACCCAAATCTAATCTTTAATTGTAATCTTAATTGTAATACCCATGTGTTGGGGGAGGGACCTTGTGGGAGGTGATTAGATCATTGGGGCAGTACCCCATACTGTCCTCTTGATAGTGAGTTTTTCATGAGATCTGATGGTTTTATAAGGGGTTTTTCCCCCTTCTCTTTGCACTTCTCTCTCCTGGTGCCACGTGAAGTAGGACGTGTTTGCTTCCCCTTCCACTATGATTGTAAGTTTCCTGAGGCCTCCCAGCCATGCTGAACTGTGAGTCAATTAAACCTCTTTCCTTTATAAATGACCCAGTCTTGGGTATTTCTTCAGAGCAGTGTGGAGAATGGACTAATACAGACCGTGAATGGATTTGTGTGCAAAAGGGAGCTAGTGAAAAGTTTGGCTGAGAATGAACATTTTTTTCCCCTCCGTGTTTCATTTTTTTACAATAGAATGCATCCCTGAAAACCTTCCAGATTCTCTACCTTCTGATCATACTGTCTATTATAATTCTGCCTGATGGCAAAACTTCTCCTTATTGACTCTAAATTACATTTAATCTTGTTAGGATCACTTCTTATTGAAAGGCATGCGTTGTGATGGCATTGACGGGAATCCAGAAGCTGTGATGCCCAGCCAGAGGAAAATAAACTCTTGGAGCTTCCTACTGCTTGTCATTTTCATGCTGGGTCCAGCTGTGTAGCCTCTTGAAGGATGTAGAGGATTGGGGTGCTCAGTGCAGATAATAGTGGGCTCCCAGGTAGTGTGGAGAGCTCTCCGCCACAAGAAAATAATCTTTTGAGCCCAGTGGACTGAGAACGAAAGGCCATTTTGAGCTTAGACAGTATAATTCTATTAGTGAAAAGCCCTTGCAGAAGGAAATTGCCTGTGTTAAAATCTGTGCACAAATTAAAATAACAGGGCTAAGGGGGAAAATATCTCTATAAAAGGCTTTATGACTCCAGTGGATAATAATATCCTTGTCACATTAGGATCTGGGGACCTAGAGATATAAGAAGGTCTTTTTCATTGTTATTGTTGTTTTCACAGCATATGAGCCTTCTTTTCTCCACTTCAGCCTGTGGAATAAATTTATTCTTGGCTGCTTATTTTATGAATTTGGATGCTATGTCAAAGCATTGTATTGTTTCTTATCAAGAAAGTAGAAAATAAGGTCTGCATCATTGTCATTTATTGGCACCTGATAAGATTGATATCATCTAAAAGCTCCATTTTGGCTAAATGTATCAAATGTGTAAGTTCCCTGTAATTTGTGTGGGATTTTGTAGGCACAAGTTAATATAGCTGTTTTGATATAGCATGTACAAAGTATTTAAATACATATCTCAGTTTAGAATAGATTCATTAGAAAGGGCAGAATAGGGAAAAAAAGCTGTCAGCACAACTGATGTTCATTTTCTAGGGTGACAGAATTCAGAAGTCCCAAGGACTGTAGCAGTTGGATAGCTAATGCTGCATATCGCAGCCCTATCCACAAAGCAGGCCCTACTCATTCATTGGATGGCAGCTGCAAGTTTAAGACTTAGGCTACATTTTCCTAATTCCATGAAAAAGGCAACATGAGCAATGGGCTGTCATGTATTTGAAAATTATGCCATGTAAGTAAATAAAGACATAGTTCATAATTCCACGAAAGGTTGATGGCAACATTTATTCCAGAATTAGGCAATAATGAAACAGATGATTCTTTGAGGTCTAGCAATGAACCAGGGAGTTTAAGACCAACACATCTCTCTCCTAACCTATAGCAAAATTAAGATAGTAACCAACTGGTTTATTTTCTTCTGCCTTTCCTCGCTCCCTCCTTCTTTCCTTTTATCTCTCCTGTCGTTTTCTTCTCTCACCCTTCTCCATTACTTTATCTTTTTTCCTCATTCTGTTTCTCTCCATCCACTCACTCACCCACTCACTTATTCTTTAATTAGACATTTATTTAAGAACCCATCTTGATTCAGGCATTGTCCTGGCACTGAGAATACATTGTGGCTAAGACTGAAATAGTTTTGGTCCCCATGAAACTTACAATTTAAGTGAAAATATTGCTGGATTGTCCATTAGGAAGACCAAGCCTGTGCTTATGGTAATAGCAAAAAAGGAGCGATCCTTCTCTCATCTGTTAAAAATTAAGTTTGAAGATGTTAGCAAGAGGGTCCACTAGAAGCTCCTAGTAGCGCTCTCTCTGCTCCCCTTCCCTCACTGCCAGAAAAACAAACGACAAACAAAAAACTACATTTTGACCAAAATAACTAAAGGAGAGCATCGCAGAACAGCAAGGAGGCAGCAGAAGTCCTGTAGACCGCAGAAACCCAGGATGGCTGCATGGAGAAGAGGAGGAATCACCATGCCTCTCCCACTTCATTCCCCTAATTAAGGTCAGCTCAGAACCAGAAGGAACTTCTCCCTGTGGAGGAAAGGTAAAAAAGAGGACCCCAGCAGCCCCCATTGCCACTGTGGACACCTGCAGTCTTTGCTACTGGAGAATCCTACAGTCCTCAGAGACTTGGGGCCCATCTGAGAGAGCCCTCTTGAGTCAACATGCTGAGCTACCCCCAGAGAAGGAGCTGAGGCTGTGCCTCACATGCTTGTGGCCCATGTTGTTGCTGCTCTGTACCATCTTGCAACAGAAGTCACTGGTACAGTGTGTCCTGCCTGAGGATGAGTACCCATTGCATCCCTCCATCCACCCCTGAGATTCAGTCACTGCCTCACAACACCCACCCAAACATGTCATTTCCATGGAGAGCTACTGCTATACCCTATGCCCTAGAGCTGCTTCATTTTCTCATCCCAGTCACTAGTGCACCCCCCTACTAGGGTCGAGCTGAAGTGGTACCCTGCTCACAGGGATCCAGAGCCTCAAACTACTGGAACAGCCATGCCCCTGGTGCCACAGCCAAAGTAACACCCTGTTCCCCTACCCCTTCAGGGCTCTGATATTCTGGCACCCTGAAGCAGTTGCATCTCTTTAACACCACAGCTTACATGATGCCCCACCCCCGGGGATCCAGAGGCTCTGCTGACCCACATTGCTGCACGTTGTGTGGTCAAACAGATGCAGTGCCTCATATCCCAGGAAATCAGAGACTTGGGTGAGCTGTGCTACCCTGGCCTACAGGCCAAACAGCCATGTTCCTTGTCTATCTGGAACTAAACTAGTCCCCTGCAGTCCAAGCTACTGAAGCACCTGCCTTTTGGGATTTGAGTCATTGCTGCACTGCTTTCTGCTCCTTGTGGTCCAAGCAACAGCAGGATCATGCTATTTCTGGTTCCTCGCTGCTGTTGCAGCTGGCCTCACTGAACTCAGACAACTTCTGCATCCCATCAACCCAGAGTCCAGAGTCACCACTACATGGTACATCATTCCCTGGAGCCTGAGCTGCTACTGTGCCCTGTTGGTTTTGGGTCCTGAATTGCAGTTGTGCTCTACTCCCTGCAGCTTGAGCCTCTGGAACACCTTTACACCCAGGAGTCATACCAGTAATGTGTTCTGACCCCAGAGTTATATCCACAGCTGCATTCTAGCCTGCCTGGGTCTGAGCTGCTGCAGTGTGCCTTAGAGCAACATACCCTATCTTAGTGGCTGAATTACACGCATTTATGCCTTGGAAAGTAAAACTATGCTTCAAGTCCCAGGTATAACAATAGTTTCACAAGACCCTGAGCCCAGGAAGCTGGCCCTGCAGCTGCTCTGAGCACCTGTGTCCTGGATCCTGGTACTGATGTAGCTTCCTATGAGCTGTGTCAGACTCAATACAAAGAGATCATCAGCTAATATGCCTCACTGTGAGGAAACAAAAACAAAAGGATCCCTAAAGCCTTTACCCTAATAATCTATGTAGCTACTGTCACTGCCACAAGCTCCTACAGCCTAGATCACTGACACTCCCACAGTCCTAATGTTGATCCCAACTGCAGAAGCTGTATAGAGACCACACCACTATGCCCACATAGAACCAGAGCCACTGCACCCTACATGATCAGCACCCTCAGGCTCATCTTCAGGGGAGTCTTCCTCTGTGAAAGCCACTCTGTAAAGTTTGAAAGAGGTGACCACACCACCAGATGTACAGACATTAATACGAGGACACAAGAAAAATAAAAATGTAAGGAAACATAACACCACCAAAAGAATAAAATAATTCTCTAGTAACTGACCTCAAAAAATGGAACTTTATGAATTCCCTGAAGAGAAATTCAAAATAATAATCTTGAGGAAACTCAGTGAGACACAAGAGTACAAATGGAGAATTCAGTAAAGTTAGAAAAACAATTCGTGATCTGACTGGAATTCAACAGAGAAATGAATATCATATAAAAGAAACAAAATCTTAGAGCTGAATAATTCAATTAACTAAATAAAAAGAGAACTTCAACAGACTAGATTAAGCAGATGAAATGATCTGTGAACTTGAAGACAGGTCTTTTAAAATGATTCAATTAGAAGATAAAAAAGAAAAAAGGAATGAAAAAGAATGACGATACCCTACAGTACTTTGAAACACCATTGATCAAACAAATTTTGTGTTATTATAATTTTATGAGGAGAAGAGACAGAGAAAGTCACAGATAGTTTATTTAGTAAAATAATTATTGAAAACTTCTTAGGTTTAGGGACAGATATGAAGACCTAGACACATGAAGTTCGTAAGTCTCCAAATAGATTCAACCCAAAGAGATCCTCTCTGAGGTGCATTTTAATCAAACTGTCCAAAGGTGAAGGCAAAGAGAATTTTTTAAAAAGTTAAAGTATCAAGTTACATATAAGGGGACCTCCATTACACTGTCAGCAGATTTTTCAGTAGAAACCTTGCAAGCCACTAGAGAATGTGATAATATATTCGAAATGCTGAAAGGAGAAAAACTGCTAACCAAGAATATTATATCCAGTAAAGCTGTACTTCAGAAATTAAGGTGAAATAAAGTAAAAAGCAATTTCATAACAAACAACAGAATGGCATAGTAAGTCTTTATCTATCAATAATAACCTTGAATGTAAATGCATTAAATTATTTAATCAAAAGACATAGAGTGGCTAAATGAACAAAACAAAAGATCTAATTATATGCTGCCTATAAGAGATCCAGTTAAGCTGTAAGGGCACACACAGACTTAAAGTGAAGGGATGGAAGAAGATATTCTGTGCAAATGGTAACCAAAAAAGAGTAGGAATGACTATGATTATATCTGACAAGATAGACTTTAAGTCAAAAACTTTCACAAGAGACAAAGAAGGTCATTATTTGATGATAAAAGGGTCAAGTCATCAAGGGAGAATAACTATTGTAAATATGTAAGCACTCAACATTAGGGTACCAAAATACATCAAGAAATACTAATGGAATGAAGGGAGAAATAGATAGCAATACAATAATAACAGGAGACTTCAATACTCCACTGTCAACAATGAATAGATCAACTAGAGAGGACTTTAATAAGAAAACACAGAATTTAAATTTCACTTTTGAACAAATGGACCTAACAGATATGTAAAAAATATTTTCATTCAATAGCAGTAGAATGAACATTTTTCTCCCGTGTACATGGAACATTCTTCAGAATAGACTACATGCTAGTCCACAAAACAAGTCTTAACAAATTTAAGAAAATTGAAACCATACCTAGCATTGCTTCAGACCACAATGTTATGGAAATCAATAACAGGAGGAATCTTGAAAAGTTTACAAATATGTGAAAATTATACAACATGCATTTAAACAATCAATGGGTTAAAAAATCAAAAGGGAAATTAAAAAATAACTTGAGACAAATGGCAATGAATAAAAACTTACAGAATGCAGCAAAAGGAGATCTAAGAGGACAGTTTATTGCAATTAATGCCTACATTAGAAAATAATGAAAATTCCTAATAAATAGTCTAACACTATGCCTCAAGAAAATATACAAAAAAAACTAAACCAAAAATTAGCAGAAGGGAGGAAATAATAAACATTAGAACAGAAACAAATGAAATAATGGAAAAACCATAGACAGAATTAATAAAACTGAGTTGTCTATTTAAAATAAATAAACAAAATTGACAAACCTTCAGCTATCCTAAGAAAAAAAGAGTGAAGACCCAAATAAATAAAGTGAAAAAGAAAATGTTACAACAGACATTTGAGAAATAAGGAGATTATAACGGACTAGTATAAATAAGTATATGCTAATGAATTGGCTAACCAAGAGAGAATGGATAAATTCCTAGAAAAATACAACCTACCAAGATTGAATCAGGAATAAACAGAAAGCCTGAAGAGACCAGTAACAAATAAAAGAGAGTAAAGAAGTAGTAAAATATCTCCCCAAAATGAAAAGCTCAGGATCAGATGGCTTCTCAGCTGAATTCTATCAAATATTCAAATAATTAGCATCAATACTCAAACTCTTGCAAAAAATAGAACTAGAGAAAAGACTTCTAAACACATTTACAAGGCCAGTATCACCTTGATGCCTGTATTAGTCCATTCTTGCATGGCTATAAAGAAATACCTGAGACTGGGTAATTTATAAACCAAAGAGGTGATATTGGCTCATGGTTCAGTAGACTGTGCAGGAAGCATGGTGCTGGCATCTGCTCAACTTCTGGTTAAGCCTTAGGGAACTTTCAATCCTGGCAGAAGGCAAAGAGGAAACAGGTATGTCACATGGCAAAAGCAGGAACAAGACAGAGAGAGTGGAGGGGAGGTGCCACAACTTTTAAATGACCAGATCTTGTGAGAACTCACTATCATGAAGACAACATCAAGCCCTAAGGGATCCACTCCCATAATCCAAACACCTCCCAATAGAGCCCACCTCCAGCACTGGGGATTACAATTCAACATGAGATTTGGGTGGGGACAAATATCCAAACTATAAAAATGCTTAAGACAGACAAATATATCATAAGAAAAGAAAACTATAGGCCAATTTCTTTAATGAACATTGATGCGAAAATTCTCAATAAAGTATTAGCAAACTGAATCTAACAACACATTAAAAAGATTATACATCATGACCAAATGAGATTCATCCCTGGCATTCAAAGCTGGTTTAATATACATGAATAAATCAATGTGATGCATCACATTAATAGAATTTTAAAAATCACTTATCATTCCAATCGATGCAGAAAAAGCATTAGACAAAGCCCATCATCCATTCTTGATAAAAATTCTCAACAGTTTAGGTATAGAAGAAAAGTTGCTCAACATAAGAAAGGCCATTTGTGAAAAAATCCACAGTAAGTATTAAAATAAATGGAGAGAAATTGAAAACTTTTCCACTAAGATCTGACACAAGAGAAGTATACCCACTCTCACTGTTTCTATTCAACATAGTACTGGAAGTAGACAGTTGACTTTTGAACAATGTGGAGGTTATGGGCACTGATTCCCATACAGTCGAAAATCCATGTATAACTTTTGACTTCCCACATACTTAACTAATAATAGCTCACTGTTGACTGGAAGCTTCACAGATAATATAAATAGTTGATTAACATATATTTTGTACGTTATATGTATTACATCCATAAGCTAGAGAAAAGAATATGTTATTGAGAAAATCATAAGGAAGAGAAAGTATACTTACTACATAGTACTTGAAATATATCACCAGAAAAGTCTTTATTCTTGTCAACTTCCACAGAGTAAGCTGAGGAGGAGGAGAAAGAGGAGAGGTTGATCTTGTTGTCTCAGGGGTGGCAGAAGCAGGAAACCCACATGTAAGTGGACCTGTGCAGTTCAAACCTGTGTTGTTTAGGTGTCAACTATACTCACTAAAGCAATCAGACAAGAAAAAGAAATAAAAGGCATCCCAATTGGAAAGGAGAAGTGAAATTACCTCTATTTGCAGATGACATGATTCTACATGCAAAAACTCTAAATATTCCACAAAAAATTTTAGAACTAATAAATAAATTCTGTAAATAGTAGGACATACAATAATCAGTAGCATTTTAATACAAAAATACCTAACTGAAAAAGAAATCAAAAAAGTAATCTCATTTATGATAGTATCAAAAAAAACACCTGGGAATAAATTTAACCAAAGAGGTGAAAGATCTGTGCATTGAGCACAATAAATGGATGGAAAAAAATTAAAGAAGAAACAGATACATGGAAAAATATTCATGGCTTATGGATCATAAGAATTGTTATTTTTAAAATGTTTATATACCAAAAGCAATATACAGATTCAATACAATCCCTATCAAAATCCAAATAGCATTCTTCACAAAAATATAAAAAACAATCCTAAATTTATATGGCAGCATAAAACACCATAAATAGCCAACATAATTTTGAGAAAGAAAAACAAAGTAGGAGTCATCACAGTTCTTGATTTAAAATTACATTGCAAAGCTATAGTAATTAAAACAGAATGGTAGTGGCATAAAAACAGACACATAGACTGGTGGAACAGAATGGAGAACCCAAAAATAAATGTGTTAATTCATTTTTGACAAAGGTACCAAATGGACACAATGGGGAAAGTATAGTCTCTTCAATGGATGGTGTTGGGAAAACTGGATTTTCACAGGGAAAAGAATGAAATTGGACCTTTACCTTATACCATACACAAAAATTAAATAAAAAATGAATACAATACCTACATATAAGAACAAAAACTATAAAACTCCTGCTCCTGGACATTGGCCTTGGCAATGATATTTTGAATGTCATTACAAAAAGCTCAGGCCACAAAAGCAAAAATAAATAATTGGACTATATTAAACCAAAAAGCTTCTTCACAGCAAAAGAAACAATTAATGAAATAAAACATTAGCCTTTGAATTGAAAAAATATATTTGCAAACCCTGTATCTGATAAGGGTTAACATCCAAAATTTATCAAGAACTCATACAACCCAGCCCAATAGTCAAGAAACAAATAACTTGGATACAAAATGGATAAAAGACCTGAATAGACTTTTCTACCAAGAAGACCTGCAAATGACCAACATATATAAAAAGATGCTGTGCATTGTATCATCAGGGAAATGCAAGTCAAAAAACACTATGAAATACAACCTCACACTCTTTAGAATGGCTACTAGCAAAAGGTCAAAAGACAATAAATGTTGGTGAGAGTGTGGAGAAAGGGGAACTCTTACATTCTGTCTGTGGGACTGTAGACTGTTACAGACATTATGGAAAATAATATGGACTAAAGAAATTAAAAATAGCACTACCATATGATCCAGTAATCCCTCTTCTGGGAATATACCCAAAGCAAATGAAATCACCCCTTCATAAAAATATCTACAATCTCATATTGATTGTAGCATCATTCATAATAGCCAAGATACAGAAAAAAACCTAAGTGTCTGCCAATAGACAAATGGATAAAGAAACTGTAGTACATATATGCCTAATGGAATATTATTCAAGCTTTAAAAATAAAATCTTACTATTTGCCACAACATGGATAAGCCTGGAGGGCATTTTGCTGCGTGAAATAACCCAGACCCAGAAATAAAAATATTGCATGATCTCAAATTTATATGTGAAATTAAAAAAAATTAGTTACTAGGAGTGGGGGCATGAGGGGAAGGGAAGAAATGGAGAGATGTAGATCAGAGGATATAAAGTAGCAGACATGTAGTATGAACAAGTCTAGAAATCTAATATGCAGCACGCGGACCACAGATAATAAAATTGTATCGCATATGGGATTCACACTAAATGAGTAGGTGTTAGCTACTCTTTGTCATAAAATTTTTAAAATGGGTAACTATGTGAGACGATGGATATGTTAATTTCCTTCACTATAGTAACCTTTTTACTATCTATATGTAGCCCATAACACAATGTGATATATCTTAATTATATACACTAAAATTTATTTAAAACATTAAAATAAAGTTTAGTATACGATATTTGGAGTAAAGCAGAGAAGCACTCACGATAGGTAAAATTGAAACCTTATTGGATTTCTTGAACTTATTTTAAAGTTTTGATTTTAAAAAAATTTCAAAATCCATCTGGTGTTGGAAGAGACACACCATTATCTTGTCAGAGCTTAGGGCCTCTGAAGTCTTAATAGAGAACATGTGGGGAACAAGTAATTAGACAGTGACATTGAACGACTAATTAGAAGTGTGATGAGTACTGTAAAGGAGAAATACAGAGTGCTAAGGAACAAATGACAAGGGGACCCTAACATTCCTTTTCTTTTCTGTATGAAGTCTAAGACATATACATTTTCAAATGTAATGCAAGAAAGCTCTTGAAAGAGTTGGTGTTCAGAAGCCTGATATGCGCGAGGGGTTGGGGGTGGGAATCACCCCATCTGGCTGCCCATGAACTGAACAAAAAATTGAAAGCCTTGAAACAGGACTTGGATAGGGTAAAGATATGTTACTCTAACAAAATTTAATAGTTGGACAATCTTGATTTTTAGAAGGGAAAATTATTTCCTTTACCTTCCATTGGTAGGAATATAGGGAAGAGAAGCTGCCAGCAATGGCCACTTCACATTGTATGGATAAGCTTGAAACATTTTACATCTCGCGACTTTCAGGTTTTTGGAGCCTTGATTATCGGAACTATTTCTATGATAGCTTCATGGTACCAAAGTAGGAAGATATTAGATTGTCTCTAGAATGTTTGATATAAAATTGTGTGTCAATCACAGTATGATCTAAGCTACTACATTTAGCATATGCAGTGGTCTTCAGTTTCAGTGGGCATCAGTGTCACCTGGAGGGCTTGTTAAACTATGGGTCACTGGGCCCCACCCTGGAGTTTTTGATAGATAGGGTCTGGTGTGGGGCCAGAGGATTTGCATTTCTAATAAGTTCCCAGGTGCTGCTGCTTCTGCCCATTTGAGTATGCCAATGAGTCAACTAACCTTAATGATGGGAGGTTAAAGAGGATTGCCCTAAAAATCAGAAGACCTGAGTAGAGCTTTAAGCTCCACCATATAAATGTCTTGACAATCTTAATCTTAATCTTGTCATTAAATGTCTTCCTTCAACCGTAGGATGCACGTTTTACAATAGCATTGTCATAGAGCTAGAGACTGTATATATTATACAATATATGCAAAAGTGTTTTGTAAACTGAAAAAAAACCCTGAGATTTAAAACTTTTTCTTAGCTCTCATCATAATCATATATGTTTGGATAGCGTCTCTGATAAACAATTTTCAAAAATTGGGGGTGTCCTAGAGGGCTGCAAGAGCAAATCTCTGGCCTCCAACAGGTATGGTGGGAGGAAGAATGCAGTGACTGTTGATACGCTACTAATTGGACATTCCTGAAAAATTTACTTGTGACCAATCGTGTGGTGCTTCTGGAAGCTCCTGTCATTGTTGCCTTTGGAAATATGTCAGTTATTTTAGAAATGAGAGCTCTCTGATCCAATTTTGGGTGAATGGATGAAGCCTCCTGGCCAAGTATAATTAACATCCCTCAAGAGTGATAGGGTATCAAGAAAGAATGGTATTGTTTAGGTATTAAATGACATAAAAACAAAAACAAGAACAAAAACAAATAACAAGCTATTTTGGCTTTGTGAAGCAACTCACTTTTATTGATGAGCTTTAAAAATCCCAGCTGCCATTCTTATTCTCTGGCATATTTACCTATTGTACAGTTACTTTTATCCAAATGTATTAGGATTTTGAAAAAAAATTAAACTGTAAACCAAAAACCTTTCTATTATTATCAGCTAAAATCAAGGTCCCATATTTTATTGACTGTCAACTATCTAATGTGCTTTATCTCTAGTCTCAGCTGGGCCCTCCCTGACCTGAGCTGTTCCAGGAGAAATGGGCAACTCTGAACGCTGGTGAAAATTGGAACATCAATGTGTCCTCGAAGCAAATCTGTGAAGTGTCCTGGGAGAACTGCAAAATTGAGAATCCTTTCCGTGAGGTATCCTGAAATCCTTTATTTGGCCATTAAACTGTTCATAAAACTTATTTCAAGTGGCGACAGAAAATCATTGAGAAAGATTCCTTCTGTCCAGCAATGACAAAGAAAACATCCCTGCATATTGGTTGTCCCGGTCATGGTTGTTCTGAGCCCTGGGTGAATGCCAAATGACTGGCCAGGTAGCCCTCAAGGTTTGACTTGAAATATGGTTTTCCCTTAAGCTTTGGGGGTACATGCTTTCTTGTGTTTTCATAATTATAGCTGGAAGATTTCCCATAGGAGTCTGAATTGTTGTTCAATAGCATTTCTAGGGGTGAATAACAGATAAGGGAAGAAAACATATTTAAAAGAGTAAAGGACTGAAGGATTAACAGGAGATCCTTGAGAACAGTCCCTAGATCTTAGAAGAGTGGCCCATCAGCAGCTGTAAGATTCAAGTCTAAATCAATAGCTGGGACTCTAGAGTCAGACAGATGGGGCTGAATTCTTTGTTCCATCACTCTCTAGTTCTCTGACCTTGAGTAAATAACCTTCCAGAGCCTCAGTTTCCTCCTTCACAAAATTAGCTTAAAATATTTCCTTCCTCACATATGTATGGTGAAGATTAATAGGATAATATCTGTTAGTTTCAACTAGATTATTTGTTCCTTTACAGAAGAGAACAGGCCAGGCACAATGGCTCATGCCTGTAATCCCAGCACTTTGGAAGGCCGAGGCAGGTGGATCACCTGAGGTCGGGAGTTTGAGACCAGCCTGGCCAACATGGAGAAACCCTGTCTCTACTAAAAATACAAAATTAGCCAGGCGTAGTGGTGCATGCCTGTAATCCTAACTACTTGGGAGGCTGAGGCAGGAGAATAGCTTGAACCCAGGAAGCGGAGGTTGTGGTGAGCTGAGATCGCACCATTGCACTCCAACCTGGGCAACAAGAGTCAAACTCCGTCTCAAAAAAAAAAAAAAAAAAAGAGAACAAGGTCTCTGTCCATTTATTAATACATATTGTTTGGAGAAGCTACAATGTGCTGGAGACTGGGGCTATCTGCCTCTAGCTGCCTACTCCATCCCAGTATGAATAGCTCAATGGTCAACATGCAGTTGGCACTTACATATACTTGATTAATTAATTAAATAAACACTTCTTGTTTAGCTTCTTTAAAATCAAATGGTACAGTGTGTGTCAACTCCTTTATTCACGTCTCATCCTCCCCTAAAATATGTGCAACCTTTAATTTGGACACCCTATTATTTAAAAAATAAAATGGTGAAATTTCTTCACAGGTCTTCCATGTCTTAGTATTTCCTGGGGACACACTTGATTAAAACTTGACATGAGCAAAGTTTTTATTTTATACAGGATGAAATATATGCAAAGGACCATGGCTTTGTCACGATCATAGTTTATATTCTTGAAGTTTGGATCTAATTTTTGATTTAGGCACTTTGCTCTCAATGAAATATTATGTATTATAATGTAGTAGTTAATAAGATCTGATACAGTGACTTTAAATTGAATTTCATTAAAAAATAAGAGCATAAAATGTCTTCTTAATAGTCTTAATTAGGGAAAATGGAAAACCATAGTATTTCTATATTAATGCACTAACTAAGATAATTGGGATAATATAAAATATATAGAAAAATAGGAAGTCTGGAAGCCAAAGGAAAAATAACCCACTATTTTCCAGTTCTTGGTATTTTTGTTTCCAGACTGAGGAGGCTCACCAGATGTCAGGCATAACGTCTTTAAGCAATTATTCTCTTTCATGTGTATAAGTCAGTATTGTCTTGTTTTGTGGCGACTGTAGCCCTTGTTTTGTAGTGACTGCTTCCCTGGGAAAGGCATTGTTCTGAATCTTAATGCTTCATAACAACTGCCACTTGTCCTCCTGATTAGGGCATTGTATGAAAACAGTGCATTCATTGCCGGGTTCTCACTAATCTCTCTCCTTTCATCCAGTGCCTCCCAGTTTCTCAGAGAGCTCTGCCTTTGCATTTTTAATTGAATACTTCTAAAAGTTTATATTCATGTATTCTGCTTGCTAGAAATCTCTGTTCATACCTCGCTATGAAGGTCTTATCTTTCTCTTTTATATCTCAGTCTGGTCAGGGAGTGAAATTAAGCTTGATTCCCTAATTGGGAGCCACATGGGGCATCCACATTATGATAACTGTACCAGAACTCAATAGCTACCCAGCACTCTGAAACAGAAGGTCGCCATTTTGTAAAACCAGAGAAAATGCTACTGGGCATTTTGCAGAATTGTCAATCAGGACAGAATGGACACTAATTGCTTCTCCTACAGCTGTTAACATTTCTCTTCAGTAGCCAAGCAACCCTTAAGACAGAAAGAAACTCTCTAAGACATCTGAAAATTTTCTGCAGACCTAAGTATAGGCTTCCAAGGTGAACATCTGTGATGAGTCATCTGTTGATTAATATAAATGAAGAGCTAACACTTCTGAACAAATAAAACATTTCAGACAAAGAGATCTGACTCTATTGGAAGGATATAGTAATCAGATAAATAAAATTATCCTATGTGTACAATTTTTGGGAGTGTTGATATTGTTATAATTTTATGTGTCTCTCTATTGTAGTGTTCTCCAAAGTAAATGTGGTCACATCTGGAGATGGACAACGCAATTTAGTGGGTATGAGAACAAGTTATTAAAACTTCTCTCTATATTCATTTTTATTTAATAATTAAGAAAAACTATAAGTAACTTATATAACTCAATAGCAGAAAAAATCTAATTAAAATATGGGGAAATGACTTAAATAGACTTTTTTAAATGAAGATACACAAATGCCCAGCAGGTGTATGAAAAAGTGCTCAACATCACTAATTATTAGTGAAATGCAAATTAAAACCACAATGAGATAACACCTTATACCTGTTAGAATGGCTATTGTCAAAAAGACAAGAGACAACAAGTGTTGGTGAAGATGTGGAAAAAAGGAAACCCTTTGCACTGTTGGCAAGAATGCAAATTGGTAAAGCCATTATGCAAAACTGTATGGCAGTTCCTGAAAATATTAAAATTATGACTGCCTTATGATTCATTAATCCCACTTCTGGGTATATATCCAAAGGAAACAAGACATTGTGACGTGGATGAATCTTGAGGACATTATGCTAAGTGAAGTGACATAGACAGAGAAAGTCAAATACTTCACAATAAGCGATTATATATGTGGAATATAAGAAAGTGAAACTCACAGAAACAGAGTAGAATCGTGGTTTTCAGGGGATGGGGTTTGTGGGAAATGGGTACAAATTTAGTTACAAGACTGAAAAAGTCCTGGGGATCTAATGTACAGCATCAGTGACTATAGTCACAATACCGTATTGTATGCTTGAAATTTGCTAAAAGAGTACATCTGAAACGTTCTTAATGCACACACACACAATGGTAATTAAATTAAGTAATAGATGTGCTAATTTTATTGTGGTAATCATTTCATAATATATACATATATCAAATCATCACATTGTACACTTTAGATTTATGCAATTTTATTTTCCAATTGTACCTTTATAGAGCTGAACAAAATAATATTAAGAAAAGATGCAATCTTTACTAATATTTAGTTTGAATATTTAGCACATGTTTAATTCATAAAGAGATATATATATATATATGTATATATATATAGAGAGAGAATATATAAAGAGAGACAGGAAGAAGGAAGGAGAATGCATGCTCCAAAAATTTTTACTATTGGGAATATGTATTAGTTATCTACCGCTGTATAGCAATTACTGCCCCACCACCCCCCGACTCCAAATAACAGCTTACAACAGCAGTTATTATCTCACAGTTTCTGTAGGTCCGGACTCTGGGTGCAGTTTAGTTGGCTGCCTCCAGCTCAAGGTTTCTCATATAATCCTGGCCAGGGCTGTGGTCACACTGAAGGCTCAATTGGGGAAAAATCTGTTTCAAGCTCACCCACCTGGTTGTTGATGATAGGCTGAGAACCTCAGTTCTTCACTGGCTGTTGACTGGAGGTCTTCCTCCTTTCCTTGTCTTTTTATAGGGCTGCTCACAATATGGCAGCTGTCTTCCCTCAGAGTGGGTAATGGAGGAAAGAAAAGAGAATGAATGAGAGAGAGAGAACATCCAACTCAGAAGCCAAAATCTTTTAATAACTTACTCTTAGAAGAGGCATACATCACTTTTGCCATATTCTATTCAACAGAATAAAATAGAAGCAATTTGAATAGAAATAGGATAGGATAGAATAGGATGGGAGGGGATGGGATAGGGTGGGATGGGATGGGAGGCGAGGGGAGGGGAGGAGAGGGGAGTACCACTAAATCCAGCTCATGCTCAAGGGGAGTGGATTATACAAGGGTGTGAATAAGAGGATGCATTCATCTTCGTTTTTTGCTTTTGTTTTTTGTTTTGAGACAGGATCTCATTCTGTCACCCAGGTTGGCGTGCAGTGGTGTGATCTCAGCTCACTGCAACTTCCAAGTCCCAAATCCAAGTGATTCTCATGCCTCAGCCTCCTGAGTATCTGGGACAACAGGCACACACCACCACACCTGGCTAATTTTTGTATTTTTAGTAAAGACAGGGTTTTGCCATGTTGGCCAGGCTGGTCTCGAACTCCTGACCTCAAGTGATCCTCCCACCTCAGCTTCCCAAAGTGCTGGGATTACAGGTGTGAGCCACTGCAGCCAGCCTCATCTTTGTATTGATGAGTATCTTTGAGGCTGCTCACCACACAGCACATAATCAAAAAGTCTGGAGACCCCTTCCCTAGAGCATAAATGGGCCATCTCTTTTTTGAAAAGGTCCACATTATAAATATTTTAATCTTGATGGGCCACATGTGGTCTCTGTTGAATATCTTCATTAACAGCCTGTAAAAATATATAAAAATCATTCTTAGCTTGAAAGCCATACAAAAATAGACAACAGGCCAGATTTTATACAGAGACCATAGTTTGGCAATACCTGTTCTAGTGGACTGTGAGGCAGATTTTAGCTCAGAATTCAAAAGAGCTCTAATAATTAAGGCTATCCAATGATAGAACCAGTTTGCCCCCAAAATAAGGTGATTGCCTTATCCATAGGATTATTTAAGCAGAATTAGCTAGTTCTCTCACATTGGATGAAGGATAGTTGGAATTGAGAGATAAAGCAAGAAGAAATGGACCAGTTGAACTCTTCCCAGAAAATGAGTTTCAAAAGATATGACTCAATAAAAGTACCTTCTGGATAAATAAAGTTGGAAATGTATTTACTATATTTCATTTTGAGAGAAACACAAACTATTGGCATATCAAAGTCTCTAAGAAGTAAGAAAACTTGTTTGATTTTGTTTTTTCCAAACTTATTTGACCAAGGAATCTCCCATTCCCTTTGGTTGTAGTAACACCCCTTACTTTTGTTCCATTGCACAAAGTTAGGAAACAACAGATTAACTGATACGTAAGATCTCTTCTGACTTTTAGAGTTAATGATTCTAGACATGTAAGATGGTATTTGGTTTCATTAACTAATAGTTAATATTTTCCTGTATAGCTATCTCCCTGCGATGTTTAGTTCATTGTAACAAACATTTACCAAGTACACGCATTAGGCTAGGCCCTCTTGCTAGGCATGGAAAGGTAAAGATAATATAGCTCATGTCCTCAAAAAGCATATTAATTTTTTCTAGGCTCTGAACTTTAGCACAGTGCTTCTCACACAGAAGGTTTTCAGGATAGGTCTATTGAATGAATGAAGAACAAATAAAATGGAGCTGTTTGAACACTTTGAACCATTTGGGATTATGGACACAGAGGATAATTCCCTGTCTGTCTCTGTGTCTCTCTCACTTTCTTTCTCTCTTTCTCTCTCTCTCTCATGGGGAGAAAAAATTCCCCTCTGTGTTTATAATCCCAAATATATATGAAGAGAGAGACAGAGTGAATCAATGAATTCTGGATGAAAAGTAACAATGCAATCAGTTTTCCCAATGTGGCCATAAATCTAGATATATGTTCCTGAGCAATCAAACTAAGTTTATCACCATTATAAATGAAGAAGATTAAAGTAGAATTGTGCTTCTGAAATTCAGATTTATATTAGAGTCTGCCACTTTAAAAATAACCCTTGCAGATTCAAGTTGACGTCTTTCCACTAGATGGTTTGATATGACTGTGGCTTTCATCTTTGTATAATAGAGTATTATCTGGTTACAACACATAATTCAATTAACATTATCCTTTAAATTTCTCCATCCTTTGTTGAAATGCTTAAATTTATTCCTCTTTTATCCTCGCCTCTCCTTTTTCAATCTTGGAGACTACTGTCATTAATCTATATCTTTTGAGGTTATCATTTCACTTTAGCTAGGAAGCATTTCATTCTTATCAGCATCCACAGTGCATCATCTGGGCTGTTCTTCTGTATATTGTGTATTGCCATCAATATTCCATCCTTATATATTTTTAATCTCCGCCAAGAATGTTGTATCATCTTCATTTCTGGTCAGATAAAATAAATGTTTCATTGGATATGTAAATGATCCTGTGAGCTAGATGAATTTAGGAGGTTTTGCTTTCAGTGTTGAAATAAGATCTTTATCCTTAAATCAGACAGTATGGAAACAAATGAAATGTTACATGCTGACATATTTTTAAATGCTATTTTTTTTTAACCTCCCCATGAAAAAAATGACATCTGCAAGTTAGGATTTGCTTTGGAAAATGAAGTCTTTTCATTTATTTACAAAAAAAAAAGGAGGATCAAGAGCACTTAGGGAAGGTTTAATTCTTTGTCTATCGCTCCAGCTGTCAAGTCATAATAGCACCGGCCTCTGCTTGCCTGGGCTGGAAGCAAATGATGCCCCACAAAGCAACCTGGGAAATAAAATCCAGAATATTTTAACTGGAAGGAAACTAAAATGATATCTGGCCCAGCTCTCTGTTTTTAGAGTTGAACATACTAGGACTTAAAGAGATTAAGTAAAATTAAAAGCTACATGGCTGTCAATACTTGCTAGAGCCTAGATTTCCTGACTCCCAGCTCAGTGTTCTTTCCAACTCATCACATTGTGGTGCCTCTTCTTGTTTAAGTTTTCCTGAATAGTTAAGTGAGAACTTTGTGAACAGATCACAGTTCTTAGTAACAGATGCCCATTAGGAACCCCGGTAGGAATATTAAAGCAAAGAAGACCTTAAAATAATGAAATAAATGTAATTTTGACCCAAAACTTGTAGGTAGGTCTGCTATAGTTAAGTCAGAGATATGAGCGTGTGAGATAGTGGTGACTAAGTCCTCCATGGTGTTGACATGAGTGGTGGTGTTAAGACAAAAAAGGTCCACAGAAAGGGAAAGCATGAATAAGAGGTAGGATGTTTAAAGGTTTTCAATCCTTGGATGCTCCTGTTCAGAAGTCTAATCTATTTTTATTTTAATTGCCTTTTACAAAGATATTTAAGATGTTTTGGAATGTTTAAATAAGCAAAAAACAAGTTATTTGTATTTAGATGTATCTAAAGGGTACTGTTTGTTATTTTAAAATTCATTTTTAAAGATCTGAGAAAAAAAGCAGATCATGGAATGCAAAACAAAAGCCATGAAAATCAGCAATAAAAGGAAGCAATAGAAATCATTCTGATATTGAGAAGCCAATGTCACAAAAAATTCAGATTATAACACATGCAATAACTTCCATTATGATTAGGTGTCCATGAAAATTAAATCTTCTGTTTATGATTTTGTATGTTTGATGATTGGAAGAATTCTTAAGAGACTAGCTTCTGGTTTCTGACATTTCAAACCCTGTTTATTTTCTAATGCCTACACACTTTCAGTTATGGGTGTCTCAGCTCATGTTGCCATGTGACCCTTGGACCTGTACCTTTTATGTCATAAAGTCAGATTAGTCAGTGCTTAAGGTGGCGGGAGTTCCTTAAAGCCATTTATGTATCTAGACAGCTATCAGTAATTTAACTATCAATAGAAGTGACTGTGAATAGAGATACTAAATCTATGCCCCTAACCTCAGACTAATTGTGTCCCCCAAAGACTTTTCAATTTATAAAGAAAAGCAGAGACCCAGGGCAGATAAGTTATGTGGCTTTGTTTATCAGCTAGTTAGCAGTAGGGCTAAGACTAGAACCCAAATCTCCAGCTTCTATTTAGGTGGCTTTTTACCTTCCTTCATTCTTGGATTTTTCCTGGATATCTTTACTATACTTTCCTTTGGGCACTAAGAAGAGGCCTTAGAACTTTTCCCAGTTTTCCAAATGGGTGATTGGCCTGATGCCAGCGTTTCCTTAAAATTTTTTTTTTTTTTTTTTGAGATGGAGTTTCGTTCTTGTCTCCCAGGCTGGAGTGCAGTGGCGCCATCTTGGCTCAACCTCCGCCTCCCTCCACCTCCCAGGTTCAAGTGATTCTCCTGCCTCAGCCTCCCAAGTAGCTGGGATTACAGGCATGCGCCACCATGCCTGGCTAATTTTTTTGTATTTTTAGTACAGATGGGGTTTCACTTTGTTGGCCAGGCTGGTCTCAAACTCCTGACCTCAGGTGATCTGCCTGCCTCAGCCTCCCAAAGTGCTGGGATTACAGGTGTGAGCCACCGCGCCCAGCCCCAAAAGTTTTTCCTTAATCATGCTTTCTAGATGGAAGATTTATCAATGGATTCCCGTAACTTTGATGGCACAATTGCAGAAAGGTCCCTAAGTATGGAAATTTCACTTTTTCACAGTCTGGTTCCTGCCAGGTTCACCTGTCTTCTCTCTTGCTCTTCTCCTAGGTGTACATGCTGTTTGCTTAGGAATTTGTACAGTTCTTTGACATTTTTTCTCCTTTCTTTTAAAATTGTTCTTCTCTATGTTGAATCCCCTCCTGCTTCCTTTCTGCTTGGCTAATTATTTCTAGTTTCAGCTTGGGAAATAGATGAAGAAGTTGTATATCTCTTACCAATTTTTCAGTTTTCAACAGTCCCCAAACAAATTGTATGCAGCACCATGAGCCTACAAAATTACCTTAAAGTACAGCAAACGATTGCATTAAAATATCACCTTTTATCCCTAGGAGGAGACTGTGCAAATATTCAAAAGCGATGGTTTGTAGTTAGCAGGGAATACAGGGCAAGCCAGCTCTTGTTTTTAAATGTTATGCCCAGAAGAGATCTTTGAAATTTTATAAACAGATGGATTCTTTTTGCTTGATTCGCTAATGTTTTACAATTAACTAATTAACAGGTTTATTGCCAAAATTAGCAATAAAAAGTGTTCAGGAGCTTCGACCAAAGCAGTCTTTTGCAATTACATAGTTACCAAAACAATCTGCATGATAGTTTGAGGCTAAACGTTGCTCAAATCAGAATTTCACCTGCTGTTTTCAAATAAAAGTTGACAAATACAAAAATGAACCCTGTAGATTTTCAGACTCCTTTCATATACACAAGCCTCTGCCTTAATTAATAATAATTACAGGTAACACAAACTATAGTTGGAAGGCTTAAATGTACCCAGATTGCTTTCAAGTGTGCAAAACTGCTTAGCAAACACAGTTCTGAAGGACTATCAGGAACCATTTTTATGTAAAGTCCATCTGCTGTCCTCTAGCTAGCAGGACCTTAAATGACCTATTCAACCTGATTTCCTACTGTTCCCTACTACAAGCCAGGTCACTCTCCTGTCTTGGGAGTTATCATTAGACTGCCCCTCTGATGTTACCCCTCATCTCTCTCCAGCACACTGCAAGTTTCTACTATAGGCAAACCCTTGGAGTTCCTTGAAGACACCACACTCTGTATCCTGCTTGGGCATGAGCTATTTTTCTGTCTGGAATACTTTCTAAGCTCCTTCAGGATTTAGCTTGGGCATTACCTCTTTTGGGATATATTCCCTGATCGACCCCTATTCGTGTCTCCAGAAGGTAGAATGAAGCTTAGGAGGGGAAGGAGGGTTTTCCTTTTGGTGTTCTTTCACTCAACTGCAAGCACTTCCAGAGAAGAAATGTGATTTCGATTTTTTAAAAAAATTCTAAGCTCAGTGAATATCAGTTGGAAGGAAGGAAGGAATAAAAGGAGGGAGAAAAAGAGAAACCAAGCTTTTGTTTGTTTCAGTATCTTCAGTACAGACTGTTCTGTCTGCCCAAAACCCTTTGGCTTATATTTCTAGGTTCGTTTCTCAGAACCTCATGTAAGTTTCAGTTTCTACCAACACAGCTGTTCCTGCTGTTTTTGAGCCTTGCTATAGCCCTTTATTTTTTCTGGCATGAAATCTGTTTCACCAATTAGGCTATAAGCTTCTTGAGTTGGAAGGTATCAGCACTCAAAGGGGCTTAGAGGTACATATCACCCATTCTAACAATTTTCCCAATGTGGGAATTCCACTGGCCACAGTTCAGGCACTTCTGCTAATTCTCTTGAAGTTTCTTTGGTGTCCGGACCTTGATAAGCACTTTCTGTGCATGACTAACAATTAAACATTCCTGTGTTTAACAAGATTAAATACTGTTCTTGTGACTTTACTGATGTATTAAATTAATTATCCTTGTATTTTTACCCTGCTATGTTCCAAAAGAAATACATGCAGTTGAATACAATTCAGTTATGATCTCTTAACCCCGTGGTATGGCCGGAGTAGTAAATTAAAGTTCAGTATATATGCCTTTATTTAAGTTCCAAGAGGCAGTTTAGTCGACATTTTCTCCTGGAAGCCCTCCACAACTTCTCCATTAGAAGGTAGGTGTTTCTTATCTGTAGTTCCAATGCACTACTGTGCTTACCTTTATCATAACACTTATTAGACTTTGTATAACAAAATTTTGTCCTCTGATTTTACCTGCTTCTTCCACTAGGCTGTAAGTACCTAGAAGGCAGTGACAGTGTCTTCTTCTTGGTGTGGCTGCAAACACAGGGCCTAGGATGTGGTACCCTTCTCCCAATCCATCCTCCATGCTGTTGCATGAGCTCTCCTCCTGATAGAACCAAACCTGCATCCAACACTTCCCTGCAAAAAATCCCCTGAAGGCTCAGGATCTTCTGTAGGAGAAAGTGCAAGCTCTTCATTTTGGAATAGATATCTTTCATAATATGTCTCAATCTACCTCCAAGTCTCATCTCCACCCTCAATGAAAGCACTCAAAACTTCTCAGGATTTACATATCCATAACTTGTGTGTTACCTTAAACTTTGAGTGGAGAAAACAATCTTTCTCTTCATTCATCCCTGCTAGATAAATATTTCTCCACTTGGAAATGCCCTCATTTTTCCTTCAAGATTTAGCTCAAATATTACGTACTCCTTGGTATTTAAAAAAATTCTTTGACCCAACCAACCTCATAGTGATCATTCAACTAAAATTTCATTATGCAAGTAATATGAGACAGAACTGAGAGACAGGGACTCACTATGCAAACATAGAACCTCTATACTTGTTTGCTTCACTCATCCAGCTGGGTAGGAATCTTGATCATGTTGTTCTTGTATTTCTCTTTGGCAAAGTAAAATGTCTGGCAAGTTATGATAGTTTGCATGAATATGTTCTTGGGCATCTCTTAGTTGTTGATTTGTTGTCAACTTAAAGTCAATATTCCATTTTAACAACTAGTCTTTGTACGCATCACTTATGAAAATGCAAATGACTATAGACAGAATTTTCATGAATGAAATTTTTCAGATCTCTATAGTAGAGAACTCTCTGTAGTAATTCTAGAAGCTGACAATATCTTCTTGCTACCATCTTTCAGATCTGTCCTTGTAAAATTCCATTCTTTCCCTTTAACAATTTCCTGTAGTTAATTTTTGTATTAACATTGTCTTTAGCATTGTATTAACATTGTCTTTAGCATTGTATTATACATAATGCTTTTTTTTTACATAATGTATGGAGAATTAGGTATACAACTTCCCTACTGATAATGGTAATACTGATAATAACAATTTTAATGCTCAAAGTCCTTGCATATTTTATTAAACTGTATACCATTATTTTATCCTACTTTCTTCAGGGGCTGAGCAGACACTATTCAGGCAACTTTAAAATAAATACAAGCCTTATTAACTGTCATCTTTTTGTTAAACAGTAATCTGTTGCTTTGCTTTTCATGGTGGAATAGTGCTGTATGGGAAGAGATATAGCCCATAATGAATGAAATTTTGTATGCTCACAAGTACTAAGGGAGTTAACACACTGTCTTGGCATGCAGGCATTGCTGTCAGACAAACCCATATCCAAGATCCAGAGCAGCCTACAATAAATCAAACCAGGAGCACTCAATTCTACTAGGTCTTCTCTCCTCTCCTCTCTGCCTCAGAGAGAACACATCTGAATAGATGTGTATACTGTGAAAGGAAAATAAATCTTGGGGCTCCCAAATCACAAAGCTAAAGGGAAAAGTCAAGCTAGGAACTGTTTATGGCCAACATGCCTCCCATTCTATTCAAAGTCATCCCTCTGCTCTCTGAGATAAATGCATATCTGATTGTCTCCTTTGGAGAGGTTTTTATTTCCAACTTATTCCACTGTAGTCTGAGAGAGTACTTGATATAATTTCGATTTTCTTAAATTTACTGGGACTTGTTTTGTGGCTTATCATGTGGTCTGTCTTGGAGAATGTTCCATGTGCTGATGAAAATAATATATATTCTGCAGTTGTTGAGTAGAATGTTCTGCAAATATTTCTTAAGTCCATTTGTTGTAGGGTATAGTTTAGGTCCATTCCTTTGTTGACTTTGTCTTGATGACCTATCTAGTGCTGTCAGTGGAGTATTAAAGTCTCTGACTATTATTGTGTTGCCATCTATCTCATTTCTTAGGTCTAGTAGTAATTGTTTTATAAATTTGGGAGATCCAGTGTTAGGTGCATATGTATTTAGAATTGTGATATTTTCCTGTTGGACTAGTTCTTTTATCATTATATAATGTCCCTCTTTGTCTTTTTTAACTGCTGTTGCTTTAAAGTCTGTTTTGTCTGATATAAGAATAGCTATTCTTGCTTGCTTTGGGTGTCCATTTGCATGGAATACCTTTTTCCACCCCTCTACCTTAAGTTTATGTGAGTCCTTATGGTTTAGGCGAGTCTCCTGAAGACAGCAGAAAGTTGGTTGGTGAATTCTTATTCATTCTGTCATTCTGTATCTTTTAAGTGGAGCATTTAGGCCATTTACATTCAATGTTAGTACTGAGATATGAGGTACTATTCTATTCATCATGCTATTTGTTGCCTGAATACCTTTTTTTTTTTCATTGTGTTATTGTTATATCGGTCCTGTGAGATTTATGCTTTAAGGAGGCTCTGTTTTGACATGTTTCCAGGATTTGTTTCAAGATTTAGAGCTCCTTTTAGCAGTTTTTGCAGTGCTGGCTTGGTAGTGGCGAATTCTCTCAGCACTTGTCTGGAAAAGACTGTTATCTTTCCTTCATTTGTGAATCTTAGTTTCACTGGATACAAAATTATTGGCTGATAATTGTATTGTTTAAGGAGGCTAAAAAAGGACCCCAGTCCCTTCTAGCTGTAGGGTTTCTGCCGAGAAATCTGCTGTTAATCTGGTAGGTTTTCCTTTACAGATTACCTGATCCCTTTGCCTCACAGCTCTTAAAGATTCTTTCCTTCTTCTTGACTTTAGATAACCTGATGACTATGTGCTTAGGTGACGATCTTTTTGTGATAAATTTCTCAGGTGTTCTTTGAGCTACTTGTATTTGGATGTCTAGATCTCTAGCAAGGCCAGGGAAGTTTTCCTTGTTTATTCCCTCAGACATGTTTTCCAAACTTTTAGATTTCTCTTCTTCCTTAGGAACACCACTTATTCTTAGGTTTGGATGTTCAACATAGCCCCAAATTTCTTGGAGGCTTTGTTCATTAAAAATTGTTTTTTTCTTTGTCTTTGATAGATTGGGTCAATTCAAAAGCCTTGTCTTCAAGCTCTGAAGTTTTTTCTTCAACTTATTTGAATTTATTGCTGAGACTTTCTAGTACATTGTGCATTTCTCTAAGTGTGTCCTTGATTTTCTGAAGTTGTGATTGTTTTTTATTTATGCTATCTATTTCACTGAAGAATTTTCCTTTCATATCTGGTATCATGTTTTTTATTTCTTTAAGTTGTACTTCACCTTTCTGTGATGCCTCCTTGATTAGCTTAATAATGGACCATCTGAATTCTTCTTCTAGCAATTCAGTGATTTCATCTTGGTTTGGATTCATTGCTGGTGCACTGGTATAATCTTTTGGGGGTATTAAAGAAACTTGTTTTGTCATATTACCATAATTATTTTTCTGGTTCCTTCTCATTGATAGAAGGAAGATCTGAATTCAAGGGCTGCTCTTCAGATTCTTTTGTTGTATGGGGTGCTCCCTTGATGTGGTGTTCTCCCCCTTCCCCTAGGAATAGGGCTTCCTCAGAGCCGAACTGTAGTGACTGTTTTTGCTCTTCTGGGTCTAGCAACCCAGAGGAGCTACCAGGCTCTGGGCTGGTACTGGGGAATGTCTGCAAAGAGTCCTGTGATGTGATCCATCTTCAGGTCTTGCAGCCATGGATACCAGCACCTGCTCCAGTGGAGGTAATAGGGGAGTGAAGTGGACTCTGTAAGGGTCTTTGGTTGTGTTTTTGTTTAGTGCACCTGTTTTGTGTGGGTTGGCCTCCAGCCAGGAGGTGGTGCTTTCAAGAGTGCATCAGCTGTGATCCTATAGGGAGGATGCAAACTTATCCTAGGGACATCTGGGCAAGTGTTCAGGTTTCTCAGGTGGTGGGCAGGGCCATAGAGCTCCCAAGAGATTGTGACCTTTGTCTTCTGCTATCAGGGCAGGTAGAGAAAGACCACCAGGTCGGGGCAGGGATAGGCGTGTCTGAGCTCAGCCACTCCTTGAGCAGGGCTTGCTGTGGCTGCTGTGGAGGATAGGGGTGTGGTTCCCAGTCCAATGGCATTATATTCCCAGGGGTATTATGTCTGCTTCTGCTGAGCCATACAGGTTGCCAGGGAAGTTGGGGAAAGCTCGCAGTCTCAGACCTCACCCCACTCCCATGCAGCCTGCAGTCCCAAAGGCCGGTCTCACTCCCACTGTGGCCCGTCAACAGCACCAAGTCTGTTTCCAGGCAGCTGTTGACTGGAGTTGAGAACTTGCTCCAGACCATGAGCCTCCCCATTGAGAAAGCAAGCCAACTTAGTTTTTCAACATCTCAGCAAGCCTGCAGCACTAATTCAGTTCCTTCAAAGGGTTTGTGGATTCTCTCAGCTTTCCTGATATTTCCTGGTATTTCCTGAGGTAATTCTTAAAGCAAAAGTTCACTATGTGTGTTCACTTAAAGCAGAGTTCACTATGTCTGTCATAGCAGGAGCTGCAAGTCCTGCCACCTATCCACCATCTTAATCTCCTATCCACCATCTTAATCTCCTATCCGCCATCTTAATCTCCTATCTGCCATCTTAATCTCCTATCCCTCTTTCTTAAAACTTAATGTTTTTCCAATGCCCTACAAAAAAACACTTATTATTATACTTTAATAAGATGATGTCAGGGAGGAGGGCATGTTGAGAGTTTTAAAGAAAATAAGAAGGGCTCGAGTGGGGCAGTTAACTGCCAGAGCTCATTCTTCTTCTTTCTAGGGCCCAGGTCTCCTCTAGGTATGCAAAGGCCTATGACAATATTTTAAAAGATACAATTTGTTCAAGAGAGATAGGATTACTTTCAAAGCACAATAAAAGGGAATATAGAGGTTCTAGAAACTCATAATCTTGCAGAATTGGGAAAGCCAAAAGATCTGAAAGCAGCAACTAGCAAAGCCTGTCAGTAGATAAAATGACTCAGGATAAAATCACATTAATGGTGTGGCTACCACATTCATTGTTCCAGATGATATTAAAATATCTACCATTAAACTGAGAGAGAGAGAGAGAGAGGGAGGGAGAGGTGGGGGACAAGAAAACAAAGAAGTAAATTATATTTAAAAACAAAGTTTCTAAGAGCACTTATGATATCATTATTTGTACATGTAAATGACTGGAAGCAAATAAATCAGAAGTTTATTAAATTTATAGGAAAGCTTTATTGGCAAAGAAAATACAAACCTGGATTTTAAAAAATATGCTTCTAAGATTTAAAACAATGCTTGGGTTTTAACTTTCTGTAAGCACTTTAAGGAAACCAAAATGGAAATTAATGCTGCATTACTGGTATTGTTTATGTAAGAAAGATGACAAGGCAGTCAACTTGAGAAACTTAATTTGAAGAGAGGACATTCGATTCACATCCAAAGATTTGTAGCTACTAATATCTTAGGTATGTATGCATCACTTTTATAATTACAACAAAAGAGATCTTCTAATAACCTTCAATCTATATGTACATTTTAGTTAACTTGTAGTAGACTATGTGTATAGAATGTTTCTTGGAGGTGTTAATTTTGTTGTAGTTTGGGATAAGAAGGCAGGATTATATCTCAGCATTGCCCATCAAACAGCTTTTTAGTGGCCGTTTTACATCCTTCATTCTTGAAAAAGTTGTTGGGTGATCTCTCTTTAGTCAATCCTTTTTAATTCTTTGTTCCTGCTTCTTACCTTCTTCATTGTTTCTGTCTTCTGCAGTCTTTCCCCAAGTTTTTAGCCTCTGGATTTAGGTCTATTTTTTTTATACCCAAATAAATATTGATATATTTTGTATAACATTGATATTGTCATATTGATCTATTTTGTATAACAAAGGTAGTTCTTATCCTTAGGAGGAATTTTTTGTCTTTGATTTTAAAAATTAACTGTTTTTCTTAACGACTTTTATTGGTTGTTTTGTGCCATTATAAATTTGCCAATCTCTTCCACATACTATCTTATTTAAAGCCTCATAACAACCTTAGCAGGAAGGTATTATAAGTTTCATTTTACAGATAAGAAAATAGAAGACTAGAGAAGTTAACTTGCCCAAGGCCATAAGCTAGAAGTGGTTAAATTTAGTCATGAAACCAGAATTGCCTGACTCCTGTGCTCCTATGCTCAGGCTTTCTTATCATAATATCACATTGCCTTCTACCCCTTTTGGTATCACTTGAGCCTCAGCTATATCCAGCTCTAAACCACCAGCATTATCTAATTTCTTTCAATGCTAAACTAAATGGAAACTGAACAATCCACTTTTTCTAATCTACTATGGTGGGGGTGCGGAGGCGGATTTGGGACTAGTTTTTCCCCTATCCAGTCAAACCAAACATAATGAAAGTTCCTCTATAATTTTCCTCTAAAATGATTTCAGTTCAGACATTCAGTTCTCTCTTCAGCATGATCATTAGACTATTAGCTTCAAAATGACAGTTTTGTGCATTTTTCACCTGTGGATCTCTAATATCTCCCAATATGCCCAGCATGTAGTAGGCATCCATATTTATTAAATTGAAGAGTTCTTTTCTCCTTTTTGTTGCAACTTACAACTTCCCTTAGATTTCCTCTCCAACCCTCATTTAGTCTGATGGTCATCTCCCAGGTGACTTGGCTCAAGTCATTGAGTATGTGTGACTCAAGAGTCTCACAAAATTCCAAAAGTATTGTTCTTTGAGAAGAGAATAGAATTACTAAGAGAGAAAATAATATAAATAAAAGCAATAAAAATGAAAATAAAAATTATTTCTACCTCCCAAATTATCAAAAATAAAACTAAGATGATACTCGGTACTGGCAAGGGTGCAATAAAAGGAACAGGCTCATTTTTGCTGCTGAGACCATAAAGTGGTACAACCTTTGTTCAAAAGTAATTTGTCAATGTGATCAAAAGCTGAAAAAGCATTCTTACTGTCGACTTAATTTCCTAAATGAGGAAAAGGCTTTACATGTGAAAATTCTCATCACAGCTTTATCTTTAAGAAGCCATCCACCACCTAAATGTCCAGAAATATTAAAATATGATTACATAGGCTATAGTAATTCATATTAGCATAGTACTATACATCCATTTAAATTATGTTTAGAATAACTTATAATAATGTATAAAATTCTGTTTTTCTTAGGCTGGTCCTTTAGGAAGGAGAATCTGAGATGAAGGCTTGTGTGCAGGTCTTTTTTTTTTTTTTTAGGATGAGATTCCATGGTGCAAGTATGCAGAACACAAGAGAGTGGCATAGAAAGAGCCAAAATAAGGATGTGTTTTTGTGTTGTTCATGGCTGACTGGAGTTCAAACCTGCCAGGACCTTCAGAGGTGTCTTATCAAACAGAGGTCAGAACTATCTTCCTTAGTAACAAAATGGGGAGATCCTGCCTCTCTTTGGTCAAGAGCGGCCTCATGCACAAAACTCCAGTTTGTACATAGGGTCCCCACGAGTGCCCCTGTTTGTAGAATCAGAGAAACCTTCATGCTGGAAGCAAAAGTCTGCATGAGACCCTCTCCAACTGTGCCTGCCTGAAGCCCTTCAAAGCCTGCATGGAACTTGCCACTCTTGCAGTGCTTGGAGTTAGTGGTGAGATTGAGGGGTTAGTGGACTGATATAGATTCTCCATTAACTCCAAGATGCACTCATTTTATTGTTATAATGTTGTGAGAGAAAGCTAAGAGCTAAAGTTACATACTCAGTAATATCTCAATTGATTCATACATTCTGTAATCTGTTGAGTGCCAGATATGTCCCTGGTTCTGTGAAATCAAAGAATAGGACAAAACTCTTTTCCTCTTGGGAGCATACATTCTAGTGCAGGAAGAGGGTTTTGGGACAGGGCTGGGTAACAGACAATAAACAAGTAAATATGCAAAGTAATTAAGTAATGATTAGAGCTAGGCTAGAAGTGAACAGGTGCAAAACAAATTAACAATGCAACAACACTTAGCAAAACGACTCATTAAAGATACAACAAAACGTTATCAGTGGTAGTTCCTGAGTAGTAGAACTTATTTCATAATATTTCTGTATTTTCTAAATTTCCTATAGTCAGCATAAACTTTTCTTAATAATCAGAAAAATCACAATACAATTATTATTAAAAATTATTAAAGGAAAAGTCATTCATCACTACCTGGGTAGCCCCTGGAAATGTATCTATACCCCACTCTGTACTTGGTCTTCTTTCTGTGTGGCTTTGAGCTTTTCACAGCCTTTCAGAAATTTCACACAGGGAAAACAGATGTATGGTGTGTGTGTGTGTGTGTGTGTGTGTGTGTGTGTGAATAAAAATAAAATCCCTGAAAACAGGGACATTTCCAATGTTGCTGTGCCCTTAACACAGAACTTGGTGAGCCAGTGCTTCTGAAATACAACTTATCCCATTTTCTACTTGCTAACAAGGCCAGCGATCCATGAAGTTGATTCTTTTTTGGGTTTTGGTGCCGGAGCATTTAAATGAATGGTTTGAGAGTAAAGTCTATTACTGTATGCAGCATAGCCAGCAATTGTTTAAATTCAGAATAAAGTATGGATAGAGTTACATTTTCCGTTTTCAAGGTGCCTACCTAGTACTGTGATTGGCAACTCAACACTGCTTTCCTGTTCCCTATTACAAGGTGTAGCCAGAAACACAAATCTTTAAGGGACTCTGCCGCTTACCATCTGCTTGATACTCAGGGTCTCCAAATGGCCCCAAAAGGTGGTGGCTGTTTGCAGCACTCGGACTTTTGAATTATATTAAGTACCAATCTGAATTTTCTATTTGGCTGACCTCTAAAGAATGACAGAGGAGACCAATGCAGACATCAAGTGTTCAGCAAAGCAACCTTTCGGGACAATAGTTGCTCCCGTCCCGGATGCCAGTGTGACCAATTCAGCAATTCTGTCTTTCCCAGGGATAAAATGAATATTGTGTCAGTGAAGCTAGAATCATAGAGTGATGATCTGAGAATCAGTGAGAAGAAAGACACTGACCTTGGAGAGGTTTAAGAATGCCTTACAAATAGCTATCCAGAACATAATTAAAGGCATTTTAACATCATAAGCCTTGAAGAATGCAAACCATCACTACTGCACACTGGGGAGTAAAAGATACTGCTTTTATAGCTGCAGAGCTTATGGTCAGAAGTGATATGAAATATTAGAAATGTGACAGTTTTATAATAATTTTATTCTTGCTCATTGTGATAATTTTCATTTGCAGCTTTTTACCTTTGAATATCTTGAATTGCATTAAGCCTTTCTCACTCCATCTTTGTCCTGTAACATTAGGGGCCGTGGTTTTAATCTAAGGAATTACAGTAAATGCTACAGGCACAAGGAAACAGATAATGGTGTTTATGATGCTCTTGTTATTTGAAGAATTAAAAGTTCTGAGTGAATTTATATCCCAGTTAATAAAAGTAATAGAGCCCTAAATGAAATATGGCCTCTTCTTTCTTTTTATATTGTCACTAACTCTTCCTATATCCTATTTCCTCTCTTAGTTGCTGTGTATTTTGGCTATGGAAAGGGGGACAGAATCGTTTCTGTCAATTAATTTATTCTGCTCTGTTTTTTTCTTATCTGTATTCTTCTCCCAAATACCATATGCATTCTCTTTTTTTAATAACCCAAGTTAGAATTAGCACTAGAGCTCATCTCGTTTAAATATTTTAATTTCTCAGGTGAGGTAAAATACAGTCATAAGGCAACATAGCAGCAGAACCAGGACTAAAGTCTAGACCCAACACCATGAAAACAGTAGCTGACACTCACTGAGCATTTGCTAGGTGACAGGCAGAAGCTCTAAACACTTTGCACGCACAAACAATTTTAAGCTTCAGAGTGTCTGTATGAGATAGGACTTGCTATTCTTGTCACCCCCATTTCATAGTAGAGTAAACTGAGACACAGGAACTCTAGGGTACATACCCAAGGTGATACACTTCCTGGGTGCCTCTAGCTGAATAAAACGGGTTGTTGGACCTGAACTTGCACATTCTGCTGTATTCGAGTGCCCGAGGATCTTCACAAGGTTCTTTCCTTCCTTTCTTGTCCCAGAATGCTTTCTAGGAAGTATTGGCCACTCAACATTCCTTTCCTGTTCCTTATTACAAAGTGTTGCCAGAAGCACAAATCTGTTAGGGACTCTGCCGCTTACCGTCTGCTTGATACTAAGGGTCTCCAAATGGCCCCAAAAGGTGGTGGCTGTTTGCAGCACTCGGACTTTTGAATTGCATTAAGTACCAATCTGAATTTTCTGGTCTATTAAAATGCATTAAGTACCAATCCGAATGTCTTCATTCGCATGTAGAGTCACACACATATGTATGTGCCGTGGACTTGTTTTGATGCTGATTTGTTAACTGGTTCTCTGTCCATGACTGACAATGCTGTTTAGCACAGGGGTTGGTCTTTTGAGGGATTTGTAAAAGAAACAGGGAATGTGGTGCTCGGCTTTTAAAATATTAAAATGTAGTTGTAGAGTCAAAGCAGTTAAAATAAAATCACATCAAATGTACTGGGTAATTATTATATGGAGTACAGGGTACCAAATATTCATTAACTTATGACCAAATCAGGATCCAAAAGGCTGGTTATTAGTTTATTTATTTAAAAGTCCTGGAATACTGAGGTTGGGGGTGGTGGCTCATGCCTGTGATCCCAACACTTTGGGAGGCTGAGGCGGATGGATCTCTTGAGTCCAGGAGTTCAAGATCAGCCTGGCCAACATGGCGAAACGCTGTCTTTACTAAAAATACAGAAATTACCCGAGTGTGGTGGCGCGTGCCTGCAGCCCCAGCTACTTGGAAGGCTGCAGCATGAGAATCGCTTGAACCCGAGAGGCAGAGGTTGCAGTGAACGTAGATTGTGCCACTGCACTCCAGCCTGGGCGACAGAGAGAGACTCTGTGTCAAAAAATAAATACATAAAAATTTAAAAAAATAAAATAAAAATAAAAAGTTTTGGAATACTTTACAAGCAATCTTTATGAGCCGATTTATATAAAAGTAAGTTTTGTAGAAGAACTGTGACTATTTGAAATTTCTGATTTTTTTAACCCTCTAAAACATTTTCTAAATATTCCTTCTTTTTGATTTTTAGAAATCACCAGTAAGTTGCAGTGTGATCGTACTTTAGATATGCTATTATTTAATAAGGGACTTGACGGTCACATCTCAGGAGACCACTCCCAGAGAGCTGTGGTTGGTTGGCAAATTGCTTCACTTTTCATGAGAACCTTTCTGACTATGAAAGTTTGTAAATTGAATGTTCAAAAGAAAGGAAATGTCTGAATTATACATTATGGGAGATACAAAGATGACAAAAATATTCAAAGCACAGTTGCTGTGTTTAAGAAATAAGAATTCAGTTAAGAGACAAGACGTAATAACATTTCTAAGATCCCCTTCTGATTATTCTGTGAATTTATACAAGGGTTAGATTACTTTCACCGATGTATAATGCTCAAAATCTATCCAGTGGTGAGCTGGCAAATGAATGGCATGGATCAGACTGGAAAAAAGTGTGTGAACAGATGTCAGGCAGGAGAGGGGGTTTGAGCTGAACCCTTAATGATGGATAAGCTTTAGAAAGGTGGATAGAGGTGAAGAAAGAGATGGGACATTCCATCTCAATGTCAAAACCAATGATCAAGGAAACCATAACAGGAACAAACTTGCACTTCTCTTCCACTTTCCATCTCTTTCGTACTTGCTGCCAATAAGCAGGTGCTAGTAAGACTGCTCAGATTCTAAAGTGCTCCTTGGGCCACACGGTTGTTATGGCATGGCTGAAGTCCTTAAATGTGGAAATGGCATCTACCCCTCTCCCCTGTGATTGCTCTTTATATAATAAGTAAATTTATTATAGGAAGAGCCTGTTATCCTAAATAATAAGGTTCCTTATTTTTCAATTTCCCTTAGAATATGGCAAGTATTTCAGGTCAGGGCCTGCTCTCCATTTTTACCACTCATTCATTTTCTCTCTCTTTTTCTCTCTTCTCTGTACCCTCCTCTCTGTCTTGCATCTCTTCCTCCCTCCCTCCTCCTATGTATTTAACAAGTATAATTGTCTCAACATTTCAATTTGTAGGAAGAAAGTTTAAGGTCCAGTTTAGCTCTCCAGACAAAAGCTTACTTGTTCCAATTCTGTCATGTAACAGAGCGAAATGGAATAAGGATCTCATGCTGCCATTCACTTAGTGGTTCTTTTATTCTAAGCACCCTGCTCCTATATTTTGCACATATCTTTCTTGGAAACTGTATGGGGAGATAGGGACATTTGTCAGGGCAATGTGTAAGCATTCTTAATTACTTGGCTATTCAACGTTTACCCTAACATTAATAAAAAATGTTCTGGAAGAGGGTGCCTTCAGTTTATCTTTGCTATACCAGTAGGTAAAGAACTATTAGGTGGCTTGATTACAGAAATTTGGGATGATATTAAGATAGTTGTAATTTTCTTTAAATTATGTCTCTGTTACACAGGATAATTCATTTGCTATGTGATGAAGATGAGATTTTTCTTAAAGCCTGATATGGTTTGGCTGTGTCCCCACCCAAATCTCAACTTGAATTGTATCTCCCAGAATTCCCATGTGTTATGGGAGGGATCCAGGAAGAGGTAATTGAATCATGGGGGCCAGTCTTTCCCATGCTATTCTCGTGATAGCGAGTAAGTCTCACAAGATCTGATAGGTTTATCAGTGGTTTCTGCTTTTGCTTCTTCATTTTCTCTTGCTGCCAACATGTAAGAAGGGCCTTTTGCCTCCCACCATGATTCTGAGGCCTCTCCAGCCGTGAGGAACTGTAAATCCAATTAAACCTCTTTTTCTTCCTAGTCTCGAGTATGTCTTTATTAGCATCATGAATACGGATAGATACAAAGCCTCCGCCTCTGTTAAGTCACTTGGCTGGTGTGTGTGTATGTGTATATTTGCTTGCATGTACAAACCTCATGCCGGTCAACATGGTAATGTCACTTTCATTTATCTGATATCTAACTATTGTATAGGTTAGCTCTGTACTCTCAGTTTTAAAGGAGTCCTCTTTTAGGCCAAATTCGTAGTTACTTGCAAAGACATTTTATAACTTAAAGTTGCAAAGCAAATGTCAAGCAAGCAGCATCTAGACCAGTGTTCCTTAAATTGTGGTTTGTGGTCTATCTACATCAAAACTACATGGAGCATGTGTTAAAAATGCAGATTCATGGCCGGGCATGGTGGCTTATGCCTGTAATCCCAGCACTTTGGGAGGCTGAGGCGGGTGGATCACGAGGTCAGGAGATCGAGACCATCATGGCTAACACAGTGAAACTCCATCTCTACTAAAAATACAAAAAAAAAAAAAAAAAAAAAAATTGGCCGGGCATGGTGGCACGTGCCTGTAGTCCTAGCTACTCAGGAGGCTGAGGCAGGAGAATGGCGTGAACCCGGGAGGCAGAGCTTGCAGTGAGCCGAGATTGCACCACTGCACTCCAGCCTGAGCGACAGAGCGAGAATCCGTCTCAAAAAAGGCAGATTAATTTACTTTAACACAGATCTACTGAATAGATATTTGAATAGACATTTTGAAAAAAGTTACAAGAATCTATGTTTTTCACATGTTCCTTATGTTATTCATTTGGCCACCCAAGTTTGATAACAAAGGATGCTGAAATCTATTGAGCCTATACATCTAGAAGTATAGATGTAGCCAAGTATTGAGAAGTCCTGCACAATTGGTTAAAGAACAGACCTGACTCCATCTTTGGCCATGTGTGTGATGTGGCATCTGTCTAGTTTCATTGGACAATTCCTTCAATAACTTTCTTTACTACATCCGTAGTAGCTTCTATTATATCTGTAGTGTAGCCATTTGCTTGAGAGTGATGGGATGTGATTGTGACTGTTTTAATATAGTTTCCAAACATTAATTCTTTAAGCTCAGCAGATTTACAGGCAAGCCCATGTTCCAAAGTAGAATGTACAACAATTTATGCATTACAAATAACTGGCAGAGTGCGCTACTTCTGCAGCAAATATTTAAGTAAATTAGAAGGAGTTGGAGAGATTTTGATAAGTCCTGGAATAGTCCTGGTGAATTTATCTAAATTCTTGACCAACGTTTCATTTCCCAAGGAGTGTTTGCTTCATTTGACAGGAAAATGCCAGATATGTTTTAGTTTTCTGTTGTGTTTTCTGTCACCATTATCAGCATTGATTTGAAGCCATAGCTAAAAGCTAAGCCAACACTTTATGTAGTTTGGCCAAGATAATAAGATGTCTGCTTTCTGTAATGTTGATTCTTGAGCATATTGAAAATTGATTCACAGTGCTTTCTATCATCCAGCTTTATTTTTATTCATACTAAAATGCAGTGCTTTGGAAGGTAACTAGACGATGACCTGCAGTTTTCAGAAACCATGCTTTATCAAATAGTATAATGTGTATCAAGTACTCAACACAGAACCTGACACTTGGTAGAATTGAATTAAATAGTTACAAATATGTTTTCTAAAAATTAATTAAGCTTACCCTACTTCCTCTGTAATACAAAGTGACAATTCAACGGGAAGTCTGGAGTTAAATATGTATACTTCAAGTCAGGAGTTAAATATGTATACTTCAAGAAAAACTTCAGCACTAACCTGACCACATAAAAAGTACAGAAAGTGGCCAGGCGCCGTGGCTCACGCCTGTAATCCCAGCACTTTGGGAGGCTGAGGCGGGCGGATCACGAGGTCAGGAGATTGAGACCATCCTGGCTAACACGGTGAAACCTTGTCTCTACTAAAAATACAAAAAATTAGCCGGGTGAGGTGGCGGGCGCCTGTAGTCCCAGCTACTCGGGAGGCTGAGGCAGGAGAATGGTGTGAACCCCGGGGGCCGGAGCCTGCAGTGAGCCAAGATTGCACCACTGCACTCCAGCCTGGGCGACAGCGAGACTCCATCTCAAACAACAACAAACAAACAAACAAACAAACAAAATTACGGAAAGTGAAGGAGGTTTCCTGGAAAGACTGATGCCTACCCAACAGCATCACCAGCCTCCTTCCTATCTTGTAGAGCCACCCTTCCAAAGCCTACAGAGGCTAAAAAGCCAGTTCCTTGCTTGCCTGGCCTCCCTTGCTGCCAGGGTATTGGCTTGGGTTCCAATCCTGACCAATAGGACCTAAGACCAAACCAGTTGAGGATGTTGTCAAAGACTTTCCGCCCTAATATATGAGAAAGACAAACAAGGAACACACCTTTCCCCATTTTCCCTGCTTTTTATATTTTTGCATGTGTGTGAGGGTGTATTAGGCTGTTCTCACATTGCAATAAAGAACTACCCAAGACTGGATAATTTATGAAGAAGTTTAATTGGCTCATGGTTCTGCAGGCTGTACAAGAAGCATGGCTGGGGAGACCTCAGGAAACATACAATTATGGCAGAAGGCGAGGCACAGCACGGTGGTAAGCAAAGCACATCTCTCATTCTGCCAGGAGAGAGAGTGAAGGGGCACTGCCACACACTTTTAAACCATCAGATCTCGTGAGAACTCGCTCACTATCACAAGAACAGCATAAGGGACTTCCGCCCTGTGATAGTTAATATTGAGTGTCAACTTGATTAGATTGAAGGATGCAAAGTATTGTTCCTGGATGTGTCTGTGAGGGTGTTGCTAGAGGAGATTCACATTTGAGTCAGTGGACTGGGAGAGGCAGATCCACCCTCAGTGTGGGTGGGCACCATCTAATCAGCTGCCAGCATGGCTGGAATAAAGCAGGCATTAGAACATGGAAGGACTAGACTTGCTGAGTCTTCCGGCCTCCATCTTTCTCCTGTGCTGGATGCTTCCTGCCCTTGAAAATCAGACTCCCCAAGTTCTTCAGCTTTTGGACTCTTGGACTTACGTCAGTGGTTTGTCAGAGGCTCTCGGGCCTTTGGCCACAGACTGAAGGCTGCACTGTTGGCTTCTCGACTTTTGAGGTTTTGGGACTCAGACTGATCCACCACTGATTTTCTTGCTCCTCAACTTGCAGATGGCTTACTGTGGGACTTCACCTTGTGATCATATGAGTCAATTCTCCTTAATAAACTCCCTTTAATATATACATATATCCTATTATTTCTGTCCCTCTAGAGAATCCTGACTAATTAACATGCTCCCATGATCTAATCACCTCCCACCAGGCCCTTGCCCCAGTATTGGGGATTACAACGCAACTCAACATGAGATTGGGGTGGTGACACAGAGCCAAACCATATCAGAGGATGTGATGCTTAGAGTTATGGCAGCAATCATTAGACCATGAGGATGAGGATCCAAGAGCATCACAGAAAAGCTGACACAGAGCCTTGGTATTACTGAACTGTTGAATGAACCCTATAGCCACCCAGACTCCTTTTTATGTGAGTAAGCAAACCTTTATCTCAAAGCCTCTTTGCTTTTTGTTAAGCTGTTTCTTGAAACCAAAAACATTCTATCAGATACATCTTTCTAAAAGTTACACTTTTTTTTTTAGAATATAAGCTCCATAAGGGCAGAGATCAAGTCTATGTCACTCTAAATTACAGTGACTTCAACATGATGAAAATTTTTTTCATTCTTACACACAGTCTGGGCTGCTATAATGGTTCTGTGCTCTTGTCATGTGAATAGATTCCTTTTATCACATTGCTCTGCCATCCATGGGGTGCTGTCCTCATCTATAAAGTACAAGATGGCTCCCCACAGTGTCTGCATCCCAGACAGCAGAAAAGAGGAGGGGGAAGCAGAGGAGGCACCTTCCTTTTAAAGGCACCACCCAGAAGTTGAATGCATCACTTGGCTTAATATCTTATTGGTCACAACTTAGTTACCTGGCTATAAGAACAAGGATAGCTGGGAAATAAAGTCTTTACTCTGCAGCCATATGCCCAGCTAAAAGTTTCACTATTGTGCTTGAAAGAAAAAGCAGATATTGGGGAGCAAATAAGTTTCTGCCATAGCATCATTAATAAGTATGAATAATATATATAAATAGACTTGAAAAGATTTTTAAAAATTTAGTACTTGTTTTATGCAGGTGTTTCACTATGCTCTTTTACAAAATTTTCTCAATCAGTCATCACAATAACCTTATGACAGAGAGAGCATTATAATTCCCACTTTGCAGATGTGGAATGAAGCCTAGAGTTCAAGCAAGTTGGCCAGGCACGGTGGCTCATGCCTGTAATCCCAGCACTTTCAGAGGCCAAGGCGGGTGGATCACCTGAGGTCAGGAGTTCTAGACCAGCCTAGCCAACATGGTGAAACCCCATCACTACTAAAAATACAAAAAATTAGCTAGGTGTGGTGAGGCATGCCTGTTACCCCAGCTACTCAGGAGGCTGAGGCAGGAGAATCGCTTGCATCCGGAAGGTGGAGGTTGCAGTGAGCTGAGATCGCGCCATTGCACTCCAGCCTGGGCAACAAGAGCAAAACTCCATCTCAAAAAAAAAAAAAAAAAAAAAAGAGTTTAAGCTAGTTGCCCAAGGTCATACATTGAGTAATTAGTGAAACTTGTATTTAAGTCAAAGTCAAAGTCTATCCTCCTTTTTTTTTTTTTAGATGGAGTCTTGCTCTGCCACCAGGCTGGCTGGGTGGCTCACTAACACCTGCCCCCAGCACCCCAACTGCCTCACCCTGATTTTGTGGTCTGTGTTGTGTTTAACCCCATTTCAAATTTTGCTTGTAAATTCCAAGGGCTCACATTTTTAACTACTTACTTCTCATTCCAGTTTTCTGCTTCCCTTGAGTTTTATTCTCTACCCTGTATCTTTATAGCACTAGCTCCAACGTGGTACACACCTTTATCTCTCCTTGATTATCCTCCCTACCCCCAGTGTCAGTTATTAAGTAATTGTTTCTCCACTCCAAATTGACGCTTCTCTATTCCTTTCTGTGATGCAGGGCTAAAGCTGGACTCAGCCACCACCTTTGGCTTTGCCTGCTGCTCCCTAAGTTCTGCCAAGAGGAGGTGCTAGAGAGAGATAATGAGCCACACCGGAGGGGAGAAGGGATTCTCTTCTTCCTGTTTCTTTCCTCTTTGCTTATTCAACTTTCAGTTCATGTCAGTATCATTGAGGGGATGCTTCCTCACCCCAGCAGCTGAATGCATGTTGAAGTTTTTCCAAAACTTGCAAGAACACCCTCATTATGTACCCTCAGGGACACCAGTTCCAGCCAAGTAGCGCCCCCTCCTCAAAAGTCTGAGTTTCAGCTTCCCTGGATCTTTCACTGTTTTGATGCCAACTTTCCTCCTCAGTTTTCCCAGTCCTAGCGGCGGTAGCCCCTTGATGCAATTGCTAGTTCCACAATACTTTACAGTTATTAAGTTATACTAATTCTCCACACTCTCAATTCCTTTAGAAGGCATAAGTGGCTATGGTCAATTTTACACTTTTTTTTTGAACTCAATTATATGTTGGCTTGTTTTTGTTTTCCTGAATAGTTCTGTGTTTTCATTCCTAGGGAAATCAAGAAACTGCCTAGGTAATGCTTGGGTGAGGGCAGGATCCCATTCTTCTTCTCTGTCTGCTTCACACAGAAGTGGGCACAGTCTGGAGGGCACAGTGGAAACTTTGTGAGCACTTGCATATTCATCATTGCCCAGAAGTTGCTTTGGTTCTAAGTTGATTGAGTTGATTCAATCATGCTTGGGCTCTGGTAAGCTCAGAAGCATTACAGACCTGCAGACGCCTTTACTCTCAAATCTCTATCTGAGGAAGAAAAAGGACACGCATGGTGGTGCCCACTCAACAGAAGGGAAGACCAAGGCAGAACAAGAAGTTGACTAAGCTTTCAAATTAGACTGCAGCAGAGACAAGAAACAGTCAGGTTCTTGGACTGCTTTTTCCTAAACCCCCTAGACATGGGAGGACAAAACTGACCTTTAAGGGAGGGATTATTTTTGCTCTCTGACCTCTCTCATTGGCAAGTACAAGCCTTCATTTTCCTGGCCTCCTATTCTGGCACTTTCCACAGGCATAAAATTCACTTCAGAGGAGGAACATAAAGGTGAGATCAAAGGCTCATATAATTTCACTTCTCAGGGGGAGAGAAAGCCTCAGCTAGCAGCCTGCTTTCCAGGAGTTATTCAAACCACCCTGCCTCTATTGTCCATAGTGAGTTAGAAGCAAGGAAGAGGACCTGGTGTTTCTTTCTGCAGTCACTAATGAAACCAGCGGTGGCTTAGGCAGCTAAGGTAAAAATACTACTTGGAGGCACTGAGAGATGAGAATGAGCCATAGGATTTCCACCAGAGGAATGGGGTGGCACACTGAAGTCCTTCAAGATTGCAGAAAACTGGAGCCCTACATTCACTTGGTTGAGAGTACTTGCTTGGCTGTTGCCAGCCAAACAGCCGTGTCTGAGCCTTTCACCAAGTGACGTTTTGTTGGTAGTATCTGGCACTGTGGATACTGTGGCTCAGTAATTGACTGATTTCATCTCCAAGCCTAGCATTTAAGTCAGGCTATTTTTATTTTATTTTATGTTGTGACAATGGCAAATCCTGCCACAGAAGGGGTGAGCTGATATGATAAGTTGCTTTGAAGATTGAGTGATATTTAATATTTTGAGTGACTGCATCTTGTCAAAGCAATTGGGCTCTTCAAGGACATGCTATCCATGTTTAAAATGGTATGTCTGGGGCTGCCACTGCATAATCGACTGTGAAATAAGCCCCTTGGAAAGGACAATTACTCCTCGGTCCTCAAATGCAAGTCAAGTCTCCCGTGGCAGTGAGAGGGAGGGTCCTGTTAGGTTTTAGTCAGGAATGAAAATGACTGTGGCTTTTAT
The DNA here is from genome assembly GCF_000001405.40 of Homo sapiens. NCBI lineage: Eukaryota > Metazoa > Chordata > Mammalia > Primates > Hominidae > Homo > Homo sapiens. The sequence goes on from NC_000004.12 coordinate 22,871,260, forward strand.
TGCACAGCATCGGCTAGTGTGTGCAGTGTAACCTCACCACGGCATTACAGAGATGTAAGCACAGCCCAGGTGATCATCCAGCAATAGATCATAGTAAGAGCGGCTGTTATGAACAATCCATGCATCCATCAATTCATCAGCCCATCCTGGCATTAATTAACTATTCAAAAAAAATTATTGAGAACCTACTATGTGCCAGGTAAACACATAGGTACAAGGAACAAGGAGACACAAGGTATGCTCCTTAAACATATCCTTGAGTAGAAAATATGAAAGAGAGAAAGGAGAGAGAGAGAGAGAGAGAGAGAAGTAACATCTATTAACATCTATTAGAACCATACCATATGGCAGAAATTATATCTTTTTTAATTTTTTTTTTTTTTTAGAGACAGGGTCTTGCTATGTTGCACAGGCTGGTCTTGGGCTCAAGTGATCCACCTGCCTCAGCCTTCCAAGGTTCTGGGATTACAGGCATAAGCTACTGTGCCTGGACCCAGAAATTATATATCTTGTGAAGCTCTTCAACCACTTTATTAAGTGTCCATTTCACAGACAAGGAAACTGAGATGTAGAGCTGTTAAATAACTAGCCCAAGGTCACACAGCTTATAAGGAACAGAACTGGGAACCAGCTCCGTTTGAATACATACATCCTTGCTGCCTTAGTGGTGCATTAGAGAGAAGCTTAGTAGCCATAAAGTGATTGAGACTTTGTTTTCTCACAGTCACAAATCTTGAAAGCCTTACTGCTAATGTGGCCATTGTTATTTCTGTTTTTAAATGGAGATTTTTTTTTCCCCTAAACTAATACCCTTATTAATACCCTTATTAATACCCTTATTAATACCCTTATTAATACCCTTATAAATACCCTTATTAATACCCTTATAGTTCTGAAAGCTGCTTGGGTGGTTTTAGTGTAAGGGACATACTGAAGTCACATCATATTAGATGCACAATTACAATGACAGTTCACAAATACCCAAACCTAAGGCACCATATTGAACAAACCCCATAGAAATGTAAACCATTGGCCGGGCGAGGTGGTTCACGCCTGTAATCCCAGCACTTTGGGAGGCCGAGGCGGGTGGATCACGAGGTCAGGAGATCGAGACCACGGTGAAACCCCGTCTCTACTAAAAATACAAAAAATTAGCCGGGCGCAGTGGCGGGCGCCTGTAGTCCCAGCTACTCGGGAGGCTGAGGCAGGAGAATGGTGTGAACCCGGAAGGCGGAGCTTGCAGTGAGCGGAGATCGCGCCACAGCACTCCAGTCTTGGCGACAAAACGAGACTCCGTCTCAAAAAAAAAAAAAAAAAAAAAAAGAAATGTAAACCATTGCTTGACCTAAAACTGCAGCCAATATTTAAAATGCCAAACTAATTCAAGAAATCCCGTGGATGGCTCCAGGATTCAGCAAGGCACAGTGTAAGATGACAACTGTGGGCAGCCCTTCTGAGCCAAGAGATGCTTTTTCCTTATCAGTATTTCATTGTTCCCTACTGATAAATGCCCTTATCGGTCATAAAGCAGTTTTCTTAAAACACACACACACACTCTCCAAAGTAGGAAAAATATTAAAACAACATTTTTAGGAACTGATAAAATATCTGATTAATATTTATTGACAATATAAATTAAAAACTCTGTTATTTGTTTACATTGGTTTCTCTGTTTCAGACTCTGGTTAGTTCCTCGTGCATATGGCAGCCAGGCAAAAATTCCCAAACCATCATATTTATCATCTTCACTTTAATACTGTAATATAGTTTTGTGGATATTTTGGTTTGAATAATTTAAACCTCCACCTTCTTTCTAGTTGGAGACATTAAAGAGGTGAAAACCATCTTAAACTGCGTTTCTTCGAATTCTTTCTAGATAGGGCTCTGGATTTGAATTAGCTTCCACCAGTGAGTGATTCTGTGCAATATCTGGGAGGTGCCAGTGAAGTGGAGGGCATCTTTCTGCCCTTCCTCTTGGACCAAGGGCATGGGTAGGTAGATGTTTCTGCAGCTGCATTCACTGTCCACTGTCAGCTTCCTGGGCATCTGGAGGCCGTTATTGTGGGACAACCGATACAAGTGGGTTCTTGATCCTGGCACAGCCCCAGTTCTCTCCAATGCAGTAGCTCTCCTGGTGGCTCAATTCTATGCTGATCCAGCTGTTCCTGGAGGATCAGCCTGGAACCATCTCTTCCAGCAGCTCTTGAAATTCTCTAAGCTCCCAATTACCTATATTAAATATCTTCCCGACGGAAATACCTGGTGTTATTTCTCTTTCTAGATTAAACCCTAACTGACACTGAGTTCTGGAAAGGAGGGTTGGGATCATTCTCTTGGGGCCACCATGTGGCACCAGCTAACTTTTTGAACTTAACATCAAAATTGCCATTTTCTAATTTTTTTCTGAATGACTCCCTACTTTCATGCTTTCATTTTCTCTGCTTAGTATGTCCTTCTATTCTTCTGCCAAGCCTCAGTTCAAATGTCACTCACCCAGAGAGTTTTTTCTCATAGATTTAAGGAAAAGTGAGCTATTTGTATCTTAGATACATATATTTTTGGGGGCTATGATTACACGATGGTCCACAGATATGGAGATGAAAGACAGCTCCTGATTTTGGGGGGCTTTCAGTCTAGTGTGAGTGCTAGATGAGTAAATATATAAACTCAGAGACACAAAACTACATTAACATATTCATATATCTCTAAGAATGTAGCACAGTGTTGATGCTAATAAATGTGTGTTACTGTGGTTTTATATGACATATGTGAGTGAAATAGTATATAGTAAAATTCACATGGCAGTACTTGATGCCACGGAAGAAGCACTGTCAGTTCCACTTTATGGATTCAAAGTCCACATTTCATTTCACCAGCTCTAGGATAATGATTTGCCCACTGCTTTGATCGCTGGAAGCCACTACGATTTCTTGTGGAAAGAGAATATTCTGATTATTTCCTTTCTACATAAAATTCAACATTCTTTGAATTAATTTCTTTCAGATGACATCCCACAAAGCTCCATTTGAGTATTTTTTTAATGTACCTGATTAATCCCAGGATTAGAGTCCCTCCCCTAGCTAAGGAAGAAAAGTGTTAAGATGTTGGAATTATTACTTACTATCTCTGTTTTGTAAAATTGAGTATATATTAATGAAAGTTTTAAATTGAAGTTTTATTAAAACAAACAAAAAAGGAACCCAACAAAAGAAGATATTTTTAATTCTTCAATTTGTCCGCCCAGGAACATGGCTACCTGCCAGCCTGAGCCACTGTCAAACACACATACGATTCACAGTGACTTACAGCCTAATTTCTTTAGGGCTTCCACCTGTGCTCAATTAAGGACCTGCAGAACATGAAACCTGCTTTCTTTGAATCATTTTCTTTGTTTCTTGTTGGGCAACCTACTCTTTGCCGGGCAAATGAAATGCCCAGGCAGTATCCATTGTGTGTGCCAACAACTCTACAACTGCCCTCACTGCTCCCAGTTGTACCAGCTTAATTTCCAGTTGTACCAGTTTAATGCTTTCTTTCCCGATAACAATGCCAACTTGCTCTGTGTTCTCTCTTTTCCATATTTCTTCCACCTTGAACCTCCCTGCCTGGGGCCACCAGATGGCTCCAGCTTAATTTTTGGTTTTAACATAATGCTTAGCCCATCTCATCCCATCTCCTTATGATTCTATCCTTTGGATTCTTGATTTTGCCCTCTTGCCAAGACACCTCCTGAAACTTAAAACTGGTTATTGCTCTTCTGTTTACCAAGACACCAGGGCAGTCTAGATCTGAATATTTATTTTTGTGTGTGTCCTGCCCAAAGAGAAATGTTAAAGTTCTTTTTTTTTGAGACAGGGTCTCACTCTGTCACCCTAGCTGGAGTGTAGTGGCACGCTGTTGGCTCACTGCAACCTCAGCTTCCTGAGTAGCTAGGACTACAGGTGCATGCCACGATGCCTGGCTAAATTTTGTATTTTTTGTAGAGATGGGTTTTGCCATGTTGCCCAGTCTGGTCTTGAACTCCTGGACTCAAGTGATCTGCCTGCCTTGGCCTCCCAAAGAGCTGAGATTACAGGCATGAGCCAATGTGCCTGGCCAAAGTCCTTACTTTCGGTATTTGGTACCCTTATTTAGAAATAGGATCTTTGCAGCTGTAATCAAGTGAAGAAGAGATCATCCTCAATTAGGGTGGGCCCTAATCCAATATAACTGATATCCTTATAAGAAGAGAAACCAGAGAAACAGAAAGAGGAATGTCAGGTGAAGCTACAGCGACACACAGACACAGAGGAAGGTGGCCCTGGGAAGATGGAGGCAATGCCGGAGTCATGCTACTGAAAGCCAGGGAACACCTGGGACTATTGGAAACTCCAAGAGGCGAGGAAGGATTCTTCCCTAGAGGCTTTGGAAGGAGATTGGTTTGTTCACATCTCAATATTGGGATTATAGCTTCCAGAACTGTGAGAGAATTGTGAAATCTGTTACCATGGCTATAGGAAACTGATATAGAAACTCAAACAGGATGTAGCCCAGTTGGCCCTTATGGTTGGGCTGGGGACATCAAGAACATCAGAAGCATCTGTTCTAGCTCTCTGTTTAGAAATACTTCCTTACATTCCAATATAATGTTGAAGTTCACAGAACAGTTTTCATGTACATTATCTTCACGATTCTATGAGTTTGGTAAGAACCCCTGTATTTTACAGATGAGGTAACTGAGGCTGTGTGTTGAGTGACGTGATCAAAGTGACACAGCTGGTGGATGGCAGAGCCCAGCTCATTCTCAGTTCTTTCGACTAAAAGTTCAGGGGACTTTCCACTACCCCACTCTGCCAGCCTGGCAGAGTGAAAAGAAGTCTTTGGAAGAGAACTCATTTTAACCCTGTGTGTTGCTGTACAGGTGAACTCTGGGTTTGACACAAAACCTTAATCAGATCAGTGAAAGTAAACATGTGCTGAGCTGACTTACATAGCAAGAATGGTGTATGGCTTGAATGCTGCCCACCTCTCTTCATCTCCACTGCTACCACCCTAGTCAAAGTGACCATCATCTTTCATTGAACCCACTGCGCCAGCTGCTGTGGGTGCTTCTGCTCTTGCCCTTGCCAGTCGGTTGGCAAAGCAGCCTGACTGAACATTTAAACATGTAAATCACATGACAACAGTTCCTTTCAGAGCCTTCAATTGCACACAAAAAAATGTGTACCTTGAACCACAAAGTCCTGCAATCCCTCTGACTTCATCTCATGTCTCATTTACCCTTTGTCCACTGTGTTACAACCTCCCTGGTTTTCTTTTTTTTTTTTTTCCTTGAATATGGCAAGACCATGTCCATTACTAGGCCTTTGTACTAGTTTTTTCTATGCTTAAGCATTAAGGTGGCAGCTCAGAAAGTTCTTCCTTAGAAAGGCCTTCCCTGAATAACCTATCTAAAGTAGTAGCATCACCACAGCCTCTCTCTACCCAATCTACTTGGTTTTATTTTCGTCATAGAAATTGTTACTATTTCAAATTATGTTGTTTACAATTTTTTTGTTTGTTTGTTTATTGTCTGTCTCCTTTATAAGTCTCTAAGATTGTGAGGGCAAAAACCTTGTCCATATTTTTCTTTGTGGTATTTCCAGCATATAATTCAGTGACTGCTAGATAGTAAATGCTCAGTAAAGGTTGGTTGAATAAACACCAACTTCATAAGTGATAATAGCCAAGTTTTCCAGAGCTGACTATGCGTCAGGTACTGATCTGATCCTTACATAAATAATCTTATTTGCAGCAACCCTATGAGTTAGAAATGATTCTTCATCCCCATGTTGGAGATGAGACACTAAAGCTGAGAATGATTGAAGGATATGCTCAAGGTTACATAACTAATAAGTATCAGAGGCAGGACTCGAACCCAGGTATGTGAATGACAAGTTTGTTCTCTTGCTTCAATGCTCTCTGCTCATAGATTGTGCACAAACGCTAGTGGCTTCTTTCATGGCAGGCAATGACCATTTTACAAGGCAAATGTTAGGTATCAAAGCAATGCTCTTTTCCTTTTTGTGGGAGTTGACTGGCTCAGTTCTCAGATCCAGAGCCATAGCTTAGTCAGGAAAATGGCCCTACTCTTGCCAGTCCCACTGGTTTGAAGGGTGCATCATTTACTTTGGTGTTTTATGGGTTTTGGGGACATGATCCAGACAAATCAATGGATTCCCTGATAATAGAGGCTCCTTAGAAACAAAGGGGTCATGGCAGAGCGTTGTTCAATGCTTCCCCTCCTTCTCATATGCCTCCTATTAATTTCCACTTTTGCATTAGCAGAGCTGGCTGGGACGCAGGCTCCATTTAGCTAAACGATGAAACACAAACGTTTATTGAGACTGTGCTTCGAATCAACAGGGTTTTCCTCAGATTGAGTTGCCGCCAATTATCCTCCATGCAATTATGGTGATCCCAGAAGCAAGCAGATGGGGAAGAGTTTTGTTTTCAAATGGAGGAGAAACCAATATGTAGGAAGAAAAGGCAGCTTGTTCATTTGAACAGACTCCAGGTGGCTGGTCGCCAAAAGGCAAAGAGCTGGGGAGCCGGGTCTGGCCCTGGATCAGTCCGACTGCCCACAGACCAGAGAAACCACCGAAACAACAGGGTTCTGCCTCCACTCATCTCTTTTGCCATCGGCCAGGTTGGCCGCGAGAGTGGAGGCCACGGGAGAGACAGACCACAGAGGCCCTCACAAGTCAGTCTCTTGACCTTGATGCCACTGGAACATTGAGTCCTGCTATTTTGTTGTTGTTCAACAGCGACACGTCGGTGTATTTTATTAGAGAAGAAAATTCAAGAAAAGGCATGCAAAAGCCCAAACCATATGGCAAATCTCCTTGGACAGACTTGATTATTTGGAGTTTCATAAAACCTAAAAGCTATTTCTTTTTTCTTAAGGATTACATTGTCCCGGACTTCTTGTTGGACCCTGACTCTTGAGGTTACCATTCACAGGAGAACAGAGGATGCTGTTGAATGATTACCATAATTATTTCTGTCAGAGTTTATATTTATAATTACACAATGCACCTAAGACTCCATAAAAAATAGTCACTAATGTCAGTTCTAGGGGCATCAATGCTTACAGGGGATTTGTTCCCCTTTTGACAAGAAGGGAACATTATCAGATTGAAATAAATCCGAGGCACATGGAGTGTGGAAATGATATTTACATTTACTCAGTAAATTAATTGAGGTAAGAAAGGTATAATTAAATGAGGAAAATTGTCATGCAAAAATCAGCCCAACTCATAAGCTCAATAAAGGTGTTTGAATTTTGGTTCATCACTCACATAACAAATAATGATCTGCATTCTCGTTTCAAAAAGAGTAGCCATTTCACCTAGATAAATAGGTGATAATATGTTTAGATACCTCAGTTTTAGTCTTTGTCCAGTCACATATATTCACATAATCTTTGTTAGATCACTCATCCTCTCTGAGAGTTTGTCTCTTTCTCCAGATTAAGGGAGCACTCTCAAGTTCTGTGATAAATTTCACTAATGGATCCTGATGCCTGCATTTTTGGGCAGAGGGAAAAAATAGCCTGATAAATTTTGGGCTTCTTAAGGGACTGATTGACTCTGTACGTATCTAAATGAGATTGCTAGAGAGCATGTTGATGATTTCATAATGTTTTCATTTTACAACTGTTGCACACCTCTTACCTGAGTGACTATTATGGGAATAAACTGGGAAATGCAAAACAGAACTTGGCCATATAACAGCATATAGGAGATGGATGGTGTCTATTTTGATGGTAAGGGAAAAAAGCCCAGGAAACCTCTTAGAGGCAGGAAACAATTTTGGAAGTGCTACAAAAGACAATGATATTGTTCTTGGTTTAATAGGTGATCTGCCCCATGAAATAAAGCTGCAGGGCCACGTTTGTCTTGGTTAATAATGTCAGCGGAATGAGGATGTTTAGCTGTAATAACAGTAATAACTGTGTCAATGTAACTGCTGGGGCAGAATTTCCATCTGCAGCCTCATAATATATGACCTTTGTTATGCCTCTATCTGTTGATTTTTTCAAGGCAAAATTGGCTTGTCTGTTCTGTTCAGGGGATAGAGGCTCAAACAGTCCATTTTTCCCTGGATAAATCAAGGTCTTGTGGGTGGTAATTTAATCTCCCAAGTATCATTTTGGACTTGATTAAAATCACAGAGAAAGAAAGTTGGGCATTAACAAAATACATTGTTCATTTGATACTGAATTAGGTAGGTTTAAAGTAGGACATTTTATTTACTTCTTATCTTTCCCTTCATTACTTTCCTTTTATTTTTTTTCTCATAAAACAAATACTGACATCCACATTTTCTTCCTATGACACTTCCCCTGAGCTTTCCCTGACCTCCCCTGATAGAGTTAACCATTCTGTACTCCTGGAATGTGTTTTTCTTTTTACACTCTTCATACTGTTTTGGCAATACATTTGTTAATATATCTTGTCTCCATCAGTGGTCTGTGAGGTCTTTGACGGTAGAGGCTAGGTATTGCGTATCTCTAATCTTTAAAACCTAATATGGATCTTGGTTGATGTTCAATGCTTTCTTGAAGTACAATGAAATATTCTGCTTGATGCATTTTTAATTCCAAATGTTTTCACATAATATATGCTCATTTTCCTCTCCCAATCATTTAATGCTGTGCTTAGGAGAGGTGACATACCAGAATAAGAAACAGATAAAGTGAGGAGGTCAGTTGCAGGTTGGTCAGATTGCTCAGGGCTTCTTGACTAATTAGTAGTGAACCCAGGGTCAGAGCTCTTGTTTTCTAATAATTAACCTTGAGCTTGGCCCAGCCCATGTGGGAATGGTAACCTCATGGAGCCTTTGGCATCATTGTTCCCCTTTACCATGCTCAGGCTCATACATCACTTCACCTCCTTTCTATCCCATCTTCCATCTACCCATTTTGCTTTTTCTATTCCATCCACTTGCTAATTTTATTTTTTACTTTCTTCCATTTTGTTTCTTTCACCACTATTGTCTATCAGCCTCTTTTTTCTCTTTTCTCCCATTCGAGGCCTTAAGCCTGTCAGTGACACATCCTGAAAGCTATTGCTTAGCTTTAAAAACCATGTTGAGAGTTTCTCTGGCAGGCCTCATCTACATGATTTATACCTATGCCTCAGAAAGTTCTTGGGGAGACTAAAAATTACACGTAAAGGGCTACCAGACAATCATATCTGGATGCATTGTAAACACTTGATAAATTTGCCAATTACATTGGGCTCTTATCTTCTATTGACTTCTCTCTTTTTTAGTATCCAGTTAAACCCACTCTGGCCTTCAAGACCCAGCAGAAGTTTCTCCTTCACAACATTACTCCAGAGTCCCTCTGGAGGTCTCAGTGTCCTCTGAAATTATAGCACTGTCTATACATACCCCTGGCTAGTCGTATGCTGCCTTATGGAATCTGTTACATTGTCAGTTTCCATTTTTGTTTATTTTTGCCCTGTTTTCTCTGCTACACATACATAAAACACATTTGAATGTCCATGATGAGCAGCACTGTATGCTATACTCTGTGGGACAGCTGACCTCAAAGAGCTCATGACCGTGGGATCATTTCTGATTATGTTCATATTTGCTTGGTGCTTTCTAATGGCTTTCCTGTGCATCTTTGCCTCACTTCTTTTCCCATGTTTGTGTCTCCTAACTCTACTAGGTGGGCAGAGAAATATTCAATCTCCCCATTTTATAGAGGATCAGGCTGATCTTCAGAGAAGTGAAAGAAGTTGTTCTAGATTCCATGACAACCCAAATGTAGTGACAATGATGATGATGATGACAATATTGACACATTACCGGCAGGGATACACTTATTCATTCCCTGCTGTTTTTGTGGATTCTTTTAACCAATGAATTTCCTGGGGGAAGGCTTTGAAAACTTCTTCTCTCTTTCCAGTTAGCCACCAGCCAGTGTGTTGATTCAAGTTTCTCATTACCACCCTGATATGACAGTAAAAACTCCCGCAGGAAGATCTGCCAATGATTCCAGCCAAAATTGAACAGTAGCTATTTGAAAATCCAATTCCAATGCTGATTTTAACCATAAAACAACTACAACATCATGGACCAATTCACAGGTAGAAACAAGAAGGCTGAAGAAAGAGAGTGGACAGCAGGAAACACAGCAGGAGACAGTTAGGATGCAAAATATTTGTATCTGGTGCTTTTGGCCATCCCTTTTAAAGCTCATATTGACAGTTTCCTCTATCTCAGTGTTCAGAGCTTTGTACTCTTCTAATGTAAGACATTTAAACCTTTGTTCCAATTTAGGTCAAAATCACTCAAGCAGAACCCTGAGTTAATGTGTAAATTTTTCCCTAGGGTGTCCTTCATTTTGGAATGAAAAGCTTAGTCCCTTCTTAAGAGAATTTCAGGCATTAGTGAGCAGGCTTTAGAATCTTGGGAGGTGGGGGTTAGCAAGAAGAACTTTCCAAGTATTATTCCAAGAAAATATCATGCATATGAGTAGAGTATACTCTCTTTTGTCTTTTTTGAGTTTTGATGTTTCTAATATTCTCTATTATTCAACTATCTGTCTGTTAGTCTGTTATTTGTAAAGGGAGAGAATGGAACTTTGTTCTTGTAGGTCTCTTTCAGCCCTTACGTTATAAGACTCTAGGATTCCCCATTTGCTCTTATCTCCTCACCGTTCTTTCTAAACCCCCAACATCTTTGTTTATGTTATTATTATTTTTAAATTATTACTGATATGGTTTGGCTGTGTCCCCACCCAAATGTCATCTTAATTTGTAGCTCCCATAATTCCCACATGTTGTGGGAGGGACCTGGTGAGAGGTAATTGAATCATGGGGGCGGTTTCCCCCATACTATTCTTATGATAGTGAATAAGTCTCATGAGATCTGATGGTTTTATAGGAGGTTTCCTCTCTTACTAGATTCTCATTCTCTCTGGTCTGCCACCATGTAAGATGTGCCTTTTGCCTTCCATCATGATTATGAGGCCTCCCAGTCATGTGGAACTGTGAGTCCATTAAACCATTTTTTCTTTATAAATTACCCAGTCTTGAGTATGTTTTTATCAGCAGCATGAAAATGGACTAATACAATTACATAGTGGAGTTAAAAAAATAAAAATAAAAATCTCTTTCCTTTTCTCCCTCCTTCCTTCTCACTTCCACTCCTTGCATCCATTGTTGACCGTGTTCTGAATCATCAGTCATAAGCAATATCTATTGATGTCCCCCCATACACACACCTCTGGAAAGGTATGGAAATAGTTTACTATCCACCCCTTCTACATTCCTCTTCCTAGTTTGTAAATCAATAAGGGGTTCGTCTTTAATTTGTCTATCGGTTGCCCTTGTAACTTTAAATAGTATGCTTAAGCTTCTATTCCTTGGTCCTTCAACTCTAATAAGACGAGAACTCTTGTTTTTGTTTTCAATTCCATTGGTAGAAAATTTTCTCTGCTGGAGTCATCTTGGTAACAGGCCAGGCCTAGTTTTTGTACCGTAGATCAGCACATCCAGGAAAACAACCTGTCACCAGATGGCCAATTAAAACTTTAGGGGTAAAGACACATTGGAAGCCAATATTATGGAAGGTTTAGTAAAGTTAAAACTGATAAACTCAGGGCAAAAAAAAACAACAACATGATAAACAGTAATTGGGAAAATCACTCACTTAAAAAAGAAACACTATCCAACAATTAGTCAAATTAGCACCTCTATTGATTCTTGGAAGAATTTCCTCCCATTTAACCTACTCAGATCAATTAGCTTGGCATCTGCCTCCAACTTCATATATCAATATAACTGTTTTCTCCCCAGCTAACTGCTACTTAGGAGACAATGGAGAGGTGGACCATTTTACAGGACAATAACATGGTTCCTGGAGAAATAACTCGGGAGACTGAAGAAATCAGATTTATTTCCAAAGAAAATGGTACATCCCTCCCATGGTGCTTAATACACCAGTGGTTAAACAATTAAGTTTATTTTTGGGTACAAAGTTAATTACTTTGAAAAGGCAGTGATGCTGCCATTGACAAATACTACCCTTAAAACCCTCAGAAATAACAAGGCAGTCACCCAGAACAGCTAAAATGGCAACATTTGACATTTGGTATTGCAGGAATTACGGTCTTCCTGCAAAGTTACCTGATCTTTCTCATCTTAATTGAACCTTATCAGGGCAGGCTTTAGAAGTTATCTGGAGGTGGAGTCTGAGAACCCCACGATTTTCCTTGTTAGGACCAGTGAATATTCCCCAAATGACTGTTCTCCTCGATTAGCTGTCAAGCACCTTTCTCTCAATTGTTAAATCCCTTGATTTTAAATTCTATTTAGGAACTAGGCTGGCCCCAAATGTCAAAGAACACCATCATAATGGCCAAAGAGTGAACTGAATCTTGGTTTGCTTTCTACAAAATTTAGATCCCTGTTGGAAGCAGTAAATTACAAACAATAGAAAAGTAATCGAGCACATGTGTTAGACAATGTAAGATTTATATGGCCATTAAAAATAACGCTCTGAAATAATATTTAATGATAATGAAAATGCTGGCAATAATATTTAGTTGGAAAAGGGCAGGATACAAAACTACCCTGGGAATCTAATTTATTTAAAATAGGTGCATATGGATCATCATTAAATAAAAATGGATTTGAAAGAAATATTCTGTGTTTATCACAGGATGGTGAGTTTATGGATGATTTTTATTTTTTCTTTATACTTTTCTGCATTTTCCAAGTATCAAAAATATTCATTTAACACACATATCTTTTATAGTCTGAAGAAATAAACTATTTTTAAATAATTAAAAGAACATTAAAGGATTAGACATTTAAGGTTTTAGACCATTTTACCTCCAACTATCATAGGCAAAGAGCAGGATATCTCCACATTTCTCTTCTTTTTGTGGTTAAAAAAAGGCTGATACCTACTTCTTGCCACAATGGGACATAACAAAAGATGTCAGGATCATGCCTGCTGTGGTTTGAATGTGTTGTCTCCAAGAGTCAGGTGTTGCCATTGTGATGCTCTTAAGAGGTAGGGCCTTTAAGAGGTTATTAGTCCATGAGGGCTTTTCTCTTGTTAATGGGATTAAGGTCCTTAGAATAGAGGCTTCTGGTAGCAATCAGCTATCTGTTGCCCTTCTGCATTCCATCATGTGAGGACACAACAAGAAGGTCCTCACAAAATGCCAGTACCTTGATTTTGGACTTCCCAGCCTCCTGAACTATGAGGAAACATTTTTGCTCTCTACAAATTCCCCAGTCTGTGGTATTTCATTATAGCAGCACCAAATAGACTAACACAATGCCTATAAAAGCTTTTATTTCCTTAGAGAATAAAAAGTTTATATACTCTTCTAATAATGTATTTCCTAAGTGATTGTGGGTCAGTTAAAGACCCAGCAGAAGACAGACAGAACATATCATAGAGAAGGGTTCAGTATAGGTCCTATTTACAAAGGTGGTGTCAGACTGAAGGGCAATCAACAAGGATGGTGGAACTGCAGAGAATGCTAGTTGTAGGAGAAGACCTAATGACAGTAGTCACAGTCTTTGATGTGATAGGCCAGATGGAATACTGCAAAGCAATAAAATGTAATGAACTATTGATAGACTCAACAACATAGATACATCTCAAAATAATTATGTTGAACCAAAGAGTTCATACTCTATGATTCCATTTATATTAAATTCTAATGAAGGTAAAACAAATCCATAATGACAGAAATGAGATCAGTTGTTGCTGGGGCTGGGGAGATAGGGACTTGTGGCAAGAAAGAAGTAGAAAACATTTTATGGTAATAAAAAGCTTTCTTTCTTGATTGTGGCAGTGGTTACACAGGTGTACATTTTTGTCAAAAGTCATCAAATGGTATGAGTAAAATGGATTTTACTGCATGCAAATAGATTAGTTAATAACAATTAGGAAGCCACCTCCAACAAGTAGTTCAGAGAATAAAAACCAGAGGTACAAGATGCCAGTGTCCTTCCCTCCTGCTCTCTATTCTCTTGCTTCTATCTCTCATGGCTATCCCACCTGGAAGCCAGATGGGTTTTGAGGCAGGCTTTTAAGATCAGCCTTTCAGAGCCCAGAGCAGAGTAGAGAGTAGATCTCTAGGAGCCAGTGGAGAATGTCCTTCAGATTGTTTCCGTGCAGTGTGAGTCCCTTAACAAACCACTGGGAGAAAATGATTAGGTAGGAAAGTACCTCTTGGTTAACAAACTTGCAAATAGGACAATTGACAACATAGGTCAAATTGATTGAGGACCCTGTCTATACTAGGAAAGTACAGTGTGATATTGCAGAAAAATAATCCATGATGTATCCCTCTCTTTCCTCTCAACACACCTAGAAAGAAAAATCTGGATGCTAGCAGCTTGAAACTACTTTCTCAGGTGGTTATGTGCCCAACTGCAGAACCTTCTGCCTGAGAGTCCCAAGGGACTTGCTGAGCACAGCCATGCTCATCTTTCTGGATGTCAGCATCAAAGGTTAGGGCCTACTTTACACAGCCTTGTGTCCCACGGTGACTCATTAGGTGTCTGTAATCCCTTTATATGCATTTATTTAATATTTTGTCTGCTGCCACCAAGTTAGGAGAATTGATATCTGAATTCAATAGATGACTGAAATGTGGCATCATATATATTTCTCAAGGCCAAATAACATTTTTTAAAAGTTATGGAACATTTCCAAGTTTAGGGAAATAAAATGCAAAACATAATTTTAGCATTTTTGGAAACACTTAGTTTAGTAAGAATACTTACCCACTTCTATAAAATAGTGATGCATACATTGATGCTATTGGGAAATACAGGTCTTCCTTTCTCTTTATCAAATGGCCTCAGATTGCTACTTACTTTTTTCTTCTTTTTTTATTATTATTATACTTTAAGTTTTAGGGTACATGTGCACAATGTGCAGGTTTCTTACATATGTATACATGTGCCATGTTGGTGTGCTGCACCCATTAACTCCTCATTTAGCATTAGGTATATCTCCTAATGCTATCCCTCCCCCCTCCCCCCACCCCACAACAGTCCCCAGTGTGTGATGTTCCCCTTCCTGTGTCCATGTGTTCTCATTGTTCAATTCCCACCTATGAGTGAGAACATGCGGTGTTTGGTTTTCTGTCCTTGTGATAGTTTGCTGAGAATGATGGTTTCCAGCTTCATCCATGTCCCTACAAAGGACATGAACTCATCATTTTTTATGGCTGCATAGTATTCCATGGTGTATATGTGCCACATTTTCTTAATCCAGTCTATCATTGTTGGACGTTTGGGTTGGTTCCAAGTCTTTGCTATTGTGAATAGTGCAGCAATAAACATATGTGTGCATGTGTCTTTATAGCAGCATGATTTATAATCCTTTGGGTATATACCCAGTAATGGGATGGCTGGGTCAAATGGTATTTCTAGTTCTAGATCCCTGAGGAATCACCACACCAACTTCCACAAAGGTCGAACTAGTTTACAGTCCCACCAACAGTGTAAAAGTGTTCCTATTTCTCCACATCCTCTCCAGCACCTGTTGTTTCCTGACTTTTTAATGATCGCCATTGTAACTGGTGTGAGATGGTATCTCATTGTGGTTTTGATTTGCATTTCTCTGATGGCCAGTGATGATGAGCATTTTTTCATGTGTTTTTTGGCTGCATAAATGTCTTCTTTTTAGAAGTGTCTGTTCATATCCTTCGCCCACTTTTTGATGGGGTTGTTTGTTTTTTTCTTGTAAATTTGTCTGAGTTCATTGTAGATTCTGGATATTAGCCCTCTGTCAGATGAGCAGGTTGCAAAAATTTTCTCCCATTCTGTAGGTTGCCTGTTAACTCTGATGGTGGTTTCTTTTGCTGTGCAGAAGCTCTTTAGTTTAATTAGATCCCATTTGTCAATTTTGGCTTTTGTTGCCATTGCTTTTGATGTTTTAGACATGAAGTCCTTGCCCATGCCTATGTCCTGAATGGTATTGCCTAGGTTTTCTTCTAGGGTTTTTATGGATTTAGGTCTAATATGTAAGTCTTTAATCCATCTTGAATTGATTTTTGTATAACGTGTAAGGAAGGGATCCAGTTTCTGCTTTCTACATACGGCTAGCCAGTTTTCCCAGCACTATTTATTAAATAGGGAATCCTTTCCCCATTGCTTGTTTTTGTCAGGTTTGTCAAAGATCAGATAGTTGTAGATAAGTGGCATTATTTCTGAGGGCTCTGTTCTGTTTCATTGGTCTACATCTCTGTTTTGGTACCAGTACCATGCTGTTTTGGTTACTGCAGCCTTGTAGTATAGTTTGAAGTCAGGTAGCGTGATGCCTCCAGCTTTGTTCTTTTGGCTTAGGATTGACATGGCAATGCGGGCTCTTTTTTGGTTCCATATGAACTTTAAAGTAGTTTTTTCCAATTCTGTGAAGAAAGTCATTGGTAGCTTGATGGGGATGGCATTGAATCTATAAATTACCTTGGGCAGTATGGCCATTTTCATGATATTGATTCTTCCTACCCATGTGCATGGAATGTTCTTCCATTTGTTTGTATCCTCTTTTATTTCATTGAGCAGTGGTTTGTAGTTCTCCTTGAAGAGGTCCTTCACATCCCTTGTAAGTTGGATTCCTAGGTATTTTATTCTCTTTGAAGCAATTGTGAATGGGAGTTCACTCATGATTTGGCTCTCTGTTTGTCTGTTATTGGTGTTTAAGAATGCTTGTGATTTTTGCACATTGATTTTGTATCCTGAGACTTTGCTGAATTTGCTTATCAGCTTAAGGAGATTTTGGGCTGAGACAATGGGGTTTTCTAGATATACAATCATGTCATCTGCAAACAGGGACAATTTGACTTCCTGTTTCCCTAATTGAATCCCCTTTATTTCCTTCTCCTGCCTGATTGCCCTGGCCAGAACTTCCAACACTATGTTGAATAGGAGTGGTGAGAGAGGGCATCCCTGTCTTGTGCCAGTTTTCAAAGGGAATGCTTCCAGTTTCTGTCCATTCAGTATGATATTGGCTGTGGGTTTGTCATAGATAGCTCTTATTATTTTGAGATACGTCCCATCAATACCTAATTTGTTGAGAGTTTTTAGCATGAAGGGTTGCTGAATTTTGTCAAAGACCTTTTTCTGCATCTATTGAGATAATCATGTGGTTTTTGTCTTTGGCTCTGTTTATATGCTGGATTACATTTATTGATTTGCGTATATTGAACCAGCCTTGCATCCCAGGGATGAAGCCCACTTGATCATGGTGGATAAGCTTTTTGATGTGTTGCTGGATTCGGTTTGCCAGTATTTTATTGAGGATTTTTGCATCAATGTTCATCAAGGATATTGGTCTAAAATTCTCTTTTTTTGTTTTGTCTCTGCCAGGCTTTGGTATCAGGATGATGCTGGCCTCATAAAATGAGTTAGGGAGGGTTCCCTCTTTTTCTGTTGATTGGAATAGTTTCAGAAGGAATGGTACCAGCTCCTCCTTGTATCTCTGGTAGAATTCGGCTGTGAATCCATCTAGTCCTGGACTTTTTTTAGTTGGTAAGCTATTAATTATTGCCTCAATTTCAGATCCTGTTATTGGAGTATTCAGAGATTCAGCTTCTTCCTTGTTTAGTCTTGGGAGAGTGTATGTGTTGAGGAATTTATCCATTTCTTCTAGATTTTCTAGTTTATTTGCATAGAGGTGTTTGTAGTATTCTCTGATGGTAGTTTGTATTTCTGTGGGATTGGTGGTGATATCCCCTTGGTCATTTTTTATTTGCGTCTATTTGATCCTTCTCTCTTTTCTTCTTTATTAGTCTTGCTAATGGTCTATCAATTTTGTTGATCTTTTCAAAAAATCAGCTCCTGGATTCATTGATTTTTGAAGGGTTTTTTGTGTCTTTATTTCCTTCAGTTCTGCTCTGATCTTAGTTATTTCTTGTCTTCTGCTAGCTTTTGAATGTGTTTGCTCTTGCTTCTCTAGTTCTTTTAATTGTGACGTTAGGGTGTCAATTTTAGATCTTTCCTGCTTTCTCTTGTGGGTATTTAGTGCTATAAACTTCCCCCTACACACTGCTTTGAATTTGTCCCAGAGATTCTGTATGTTGTGTCTTTGTTCTTGCTGGTTTCGAAGAACATCTTTATTTCTGCTTTCATTTTGTTATGTACCCAGTAGTCATTCAGGAGCAGGCTGTTCAGTTTCCATGTAATTGAGTGGTTTTGAGTGAGTTTCTTAATCCTGAGTTCTAGTTTGATTGCACTGTGGTCTCAGAGTTTGTTATAATTTCTGTTCTTTTACATTTGCTGAGGAGTGCTTTACTTCCAACTATGTGGTCAATTTTAGAATAGTTGTGGTGTGGTGCTGAAAAGAATGTATATTCTGTTGATTTGGGGTGGAGAGTTCTGTAGATGTCTATTAGGTCCTCTTGGTACAGAGTTGAGTTCAATTTCTGGATATCCTTGTTAACTTTCGGTCTCATTGATCTATCTAATGTTGACACTGGGGTATCAAAGTCTCCCATTATTATTGTGTGGGAGTCTAAGTCTCTTTGTAGGTCACTAAGGACTTGCTTTATGAATCTGGGTGCTCCTGTATTGGGTGCATATATATTTAGGATAGTTAGTTCTTCTTGTTGAATTGATCCCTTTACCATTATGTAGTGGCCTTCTTTGTCTCTTTTGATCTTTGTTGGTTTAAAGTCTGTTTTATCAGAGACTAGGATTGCAACCCCTGCCTTTTTTTGTTTTCCATTTGCTTGGTAGATCTTCCTCCATCCCTTTATTTTGAGCCTATGTGTGTCTCTGCATGTGAGATGGGTTTCCTGAATACAGCACACTGATGGGTCTTGACTCTTTATCCAATTTGCCAGTCTGTGCCTTTTAATTGGAGCATTTAGCCCATTTACATTTAAGGTTAATATTGTTATGTGTGAATTTGATCCTGTCATTATGATGTTAGCTGGTTATTTTGCTCGTTAGTTGATGCAGTTTCTTCCTAGCCTTGATGGTCTTTACAATTTGTTATGTTTTTGCAGTGGCTGGTACAGGTTGTTCCTTTCCATGTTTAGTGCTTCCTTCAAGAGCTCTTGTAGGGCAGGCCTGGTGGTGACAAAATCTCTCAGCATTTGCTTGTCTGTAAAGTATTTTATTTCTCCTTCACTTATGAAGCTTAGTTTGGCTGGATATGAAATTCTGGGTTGAAAATTCTTTGCTTTAAGAATGTTGAATATTGGCCCCCACTCTTTTCTGGCTTGTAGAGTTTCTGCCGAGAGATCAGCTGTTAGTCTGATGGGCTTCCCTTTGTGGGTAACCCGACCTTTCTCTCTGGCTGCCCTTAACATTTTTTCCTTCATTTCAACTTTGGTGAATCTGACAATTATGTGTCTTGGAGTTGCTCTTCTCAAGGAGTATCTTTGTGGCGTTTTCTGTATTTCCTGAATTTGAATGTTGGCCTGCCTTGCTAGACTGGGGAAGTTCTCCTGGATAATATCCTGCAGAGTGTTTTCCAACTTGGTTCCTTTCTCCCCGTCACTTTCAGGTACACCAATCAGACGTAGATTTGGTCTTTTCACATAGTCCCTTATATTTTGGAGGCTTTGTTCGTTTCTTTTTATTCTTTTTTCTCTAAACTTCCCTTCTCACTTCATTCCATTCATTTCATCTTCCATCGCTGATACCCTTTCTTCCAGTTGATCGCATCGGTTACTGAGGCTTATGCATTTGTCACGTAGTTCTCGTGCCGTGGTTTTCAGCTCCATCAGATCCTTTAAGAACTTCTCTGCATTGGTTATTCTAGTTATCCATTCGTCTCATTTTTTTTCAAAGTTTTTAACTTCTTTGCCATTGGTTCGAGGTTCATCCTTTAGCTCAGAATAGTTTGATCTTCTGAAGCCTTCCTCTCTCAACTCGTCAAAGTCATTCTCCGTCCAGCTTTGTTCCGTTCCTGTGAGGAGCTGCGTTCCTTTGGAGGAGGAGAGGTGCTCTGATTTTTAGAGTTTCCAGTTTTTCTGCTCTGTTTTTTCCCCATCTTTGTGGTTTTATCTACCTTTGGTCTTTGATAATGGTGACGTACAGATGGGTTTTTGGTGTGGATGTCCTTTCTGTTTGTTAGTTTTCCTTCTAACAGTCAGGACCCTCAGCTGCAGGTCTGTTGGAGTTTACTGGAGATCCACTCCAGACCCTGTTTGCCTGGGTATCAGCAGCGGTGGCTGCAGAAGAGCGGATATTGGTGAACGGCAAATGTTGCTGCCTGATCGTTCCTCTGGAAGTTTTGTCTCAGAGGAGTACCCAGCCGTGTGCGGTGTCAGTCCGCCCCTACTGGGGGGTGCCTCCCAGTTAGGCTACTGGGGGTCAGGGACCCACTTGAGGAGGCAGTCTGCCTGTTCTCAGATCTCAAGCTGCATACTGGGAGAACCACTACTCTCTTCAAAGCTGTCAGACAGGGACATTTAAGTCTGCAGAGGTTATTGCTGTCTTTTGTTTGTCTGTGCCCTGTCCCCAGAGGTGGAGCCTACAGAAGCAGGCAGGCCTCCTTGAGCTGTGGTGGGCTCCACCCATTTTGAGCTTCCTGGCCACTTTGTTTACCTACTCAAGCCTGAGCAATGGCGGGCGCCCCTCCCCCAGCCTCGCTGCTGCCTTGCAGTTTGATCTCAGACTGCTGTGCTAGCAATGAGTGAGGCTCCATGGGTGTAGGACCCTCTGAGCCAGGTGCGGGATATAATCTCCTGGTATGCCGTTTGTGAAGCCTGTTGGAAAAGCGCAGTATTAGGGTGGGAGTGACACGATTTTCCAGGTGCTGTCTGTCACCCCTTTCTTTGACTAGGAAAGGGAATTCCCTGACCTCTTGCGCTTCCTGGGTGAGGTGATGCCTCGCCCTGCTTCGGCTCACACACGGTGAGCTGCACCCACGGTCCTGCACCCACTGTCCGGCACTCCCCAGTGAGATGAACCCGGTACCTCAGTTGGAAATGCAGAAATCACCCGTCTTCTGTGTCACTTATTCTGGGAGCTGTAGACTGGAGCTGTTCCTATTTGGCCATCTTGGCTCCACCCCGCAGATTGCTACTTTTTAAGGCTTTTGCCAATTATGTTTTTTCTGTTAGACTATTGCTTCTCTGTATTTTCAGCTTATCTGACTATGCGGCTGTTTGAGCCTAAGCAAGAGAGGACTGGAAAATCAAATTCCCATCTTTGTTAGAATTGTGTGTAAACTGAAGGTACATGGGCACCAAAAGACTGAAACATACAAGTTTTGATGAATAAACTTTGTAACACTGATTTTGCCTTTTACTAGAGTTTTTTAAAAAAGGTTTTCAGATAAGCTTTGGATTTTTAAAGCCCCCTTCAGTTATATATTTCTATATTTTCATTTCATTCCATACCATTTCTCAGGTTTACAAGTTTCTTATGTTTATTATCTGTTTTATGAATTAATTAGTGTTTTAAGTTTATGTTTCTCAAACTATAAATGATTCTGATTTCCATATGTGTTTAGGGGATATGGAGAAAAAGTCTGTGACCTATGCATATTGGAATTAATTTTATAGGTTTGCTTATAGTCATGCTCAGTCAGGAATTCCTGCCCATAGGCTTCTGTTCTTCTACCCCAAGTTACTTACTTTTCTGTGGGATCCTCATAGTTGACCATACCTGCGTTTTCCTATTTGATGATTCTGTTTTTGGAGGCATGGTAAATGAGACCATAAATATTACTTAGTTTCTTTGGATTAGTAATTTGCAAGCTGGGGTAGAAATCCTTAACAAAGTCAGTATCATGATGCCCGTTTTCCTGTTGAAGAAATTAAGGACTTGAAGAGATTTACCCACTCCCTTGGGTCTCTTTGTCAGTAGAGAGCCAGGACTTATATACAGGTTTTTCTGACTTGATCCTCTTTTAAAAATAATTATCAGGTTTATATTAAGTTTTCTTTTACCCTGAACTTGTTACAGGCCACATGAGTCATATGGAGACAACCAAGAAAATAAGAAAATTGAGTGTGTGTCCTCTAGATTGGAAGCTCCATTTTGGAGTTGGACACTATCACATTCATTTCCTGACACATAGTGTCATCACAAAAAGTTACTTGACTAAAATATCACTGATTTCTATACTTATGTTTCTATAGTTTTAGACTGCAAAATAAAATCAAAGAAGGTACTTTGCTAAGTTTCTAAATTTATACGTCTTAATTATCTGTAAGGAACCAGAAGATATTTATTTGATCATGCTAAGAATATTTATTGAGCAACTACTCAATGCTCTACATCAGTTTTCTGTTGCTATGTAAGAAATTGTCTCCAAACTTAGGGGCTTAAGAGAAGTTCATTATCTCAGAATCTAGGAATGTATTCACTAGGCATGCATGGCTCAGTGCCTCTCACATGACTGCCATCAAGGTGTCCTTCAGAGCTGCAGTGTTCTCAAGGTTCAAGTCAGAGAGGATCATGTTCTCTTGACATAAGGCCTGAGTCCTAGCAGGATGTTGATTGGAGACCTCAGTCCCATGTCATGTGGGCCTCTCCTGAGGGCTGCCCAACATAGCAGCTTGCCTTCCCTAGAGGAAGGGTGGACAGGGAGAATGCAGAAGGTAGAAGTCACAGGGTTTTGTTGTAAACTAATATTGGAAGTGACATAACATCACTTCTTCCCCATTCCATTTTTTAGAAGCAAGTTACTGCGTCCATCCCACATTCAATAGAAGATAACAAAACTCGGGAATATCAGGCAGTGGGGAGTATTGAGAGCTATCTGAGAAGCTGCCTACCAAATTCAGTCCCACTCAGTTGACAAGTATTTGATGACTGAGGACCAACTGTGTACCTAGAATTGATAAGGAGATTTTTGCGTGGCAGTGATGAGTTGGCTGTATGGCAGCTGAAAGATGGCTGAGAGTTATTTTCTCTGCAAGGAGATTGCAATGGGGTTGAGGAGATAGTCAATAACCAAGAGAAATAGTTAATATAAGGCTGTATGTAATTCTTTATTAAAAAAAAAAGTGGATCTTACCCTCAAGGGGTTTCTTATTACAGATGGGTCATGTTTTGGAATACCTATGATTTAAACTAGAAAAATCACAAGTCCTGCAAGAAAGAGATTGTGTAGCAGTGCAGAGAAAGGAAAGATGTCTGGGAAATTAAGATACTAGGTAAAACTAAACATTGACCTAAGAAGCCAGTCATAATTTTTAGGTTTCAAAAAAAGCCTTCCTTATTACTTTCATAAATTGTAATTCATTCATTACTTACTATGCCCTATCCCCTCTCCCCATGTGCGGCACACCATGCGAAATATTACAAACAGAATCTTCTTTTATTCACATAATCACCTTAATGTTAGTTGTTATTCCCAAATGTGCATATAAGTTAACTGAGATTCTGGTATGCAAACTGGTTTGCTCAATGGTACTGTTGAGATCTAAGTTTGTAATGCCATGTTGCAAGTACCATATCATCCATTCTTTTTTTTCCTTTAATTTATTCAATAAATATTTACTGAGGAATAACCATGTTCCAGGACCTGATTAAGGTCTTGGAGACACAGAGGTGAACAAGGCAGAAAAGGACCCTGATGTCTTCTGGTTTATATTCTAGTGGGAGAGGAATGGGCAGACAATTAAAAAGTAAATAAACCAGAGAAACAGAGGGAAAAGTGATTTATCCGTTTACTCTTATTGGAATGTAAACTTGAGAACAAGGATGGTGTTTGTGTTTTCGGCATTATATGCCTAAGGGCCTGGAAGAGCTTCCAGCACAGAGCAGGAGCTCAATCAATACTTTCAATTGACCAAAAATAAAATAGTAAATAACAGAAAGTACCGAGTAGAAAGTAAAATGATGATGTGACACAGGGGGACTGATGAATTACTTCAGATTAGGTAATCAGGGAGAGCCTCATTGAAGAGATTGCCATTTGAACCAAGGTCTGAAGGACTAGAAGAAGCCAACCATGCAAATACCTGGATAAATAACACCCCAGACTCAAATGAACAGCTAGTGCAAAGGCCCTGAAGGTGAGAATAGGCTTGATGGTCTTTAGCCAAAAAGAAAAGAGTTAGTGTCCTGAAGGATGAGGAGTTAGGAGGATAAGAGATAAAGCCAAATAAATGAACAGGACAATGTCACGTGTGTCCTAGCAGGCTATTAGGATGAGTATGGATTTTATTTTAAATGTGATGAAAACCACTGGAAGGCTTTAAACAGGAAGTCAGGAAACTAACACAATCTTTAGTAGTAGCTCAGGAAAAAAGTAATAGAGGCTTAAACTAAGGGGTAGGGATGGAAATGGAAGGAAAGGGTCAATGTTACTCATTGATGGGCTACTCATTAATGGTTTGGATATGGAGAGGAGTGTGTGTGTGTGTGTGTGTGTGTGTGTGTGTATGTGTGTGTGTGTGTAAGGGAACTGGCAAGTCAAGGATGACTCTTAACTTTCTGACCTTGTTTTTTTGGACAGAGTGTTGACATTTCCTTAGATGAGGGAGGCTGGGACCAAAGTCTGTATTAGCTTTCTAGAGCTATATTAACAAAGTAGCACAAACTATGTGGTTTAAACAACAGAATTTATTCTCATGATTCTGGAGGCTAGAAGTCTGAGATCAAGCTGTCTGTTGCTCGGATTGATGCCCTCTGAGGTCTGTGAGAGAGAATCTGCTTCATGCTATGGTTTGAATGGATCCTTTCCAAAATTGAGGGGCTGCCAATGTGACAGTATTTATTTATTTACTTTATTTATTTATTTATTTTTTTGAGACGGAGTCTTGCTCTGTCGCCCAGGCTGGAGTGCAGTGGTGCTATTTGGCTCACTGCAAGCTCTGCCTCCCGGGTTCACAGCATTCTCTCGCCTCAGCCTAATTTTTTGTATTTTTAGTAGAGACGAGGTTTCACCATGTTAGCCAGGATGGTCTCTATCTCCAGTCCTCGTGATCCACCCGCCTCAGCCTCCCAAAGTGCTGGGATTACAGGTGTGAGCCACCGCACCCGGGACAGTATTAAGAGGTGAGGCTTTTAAGAGCTGATGAGCTGATGAGGCCCTGAGGGCTCCTCTCTTGTGAATGCAATTAAGTCCTGTATGGTAGAGGCTTCACACAGCATTCAGTCCCATACAACTTCTGCCACGTGAGCACATGGCACTCCTCCCCTCCGGAGGAGCTGCCCTCACCAGATGATTGAACCTGCTGGTTCCTTGATCTTGGACTTCCCAGCCTCCAGAATGGTGAGAAATAGATTTCTGTTCTTCATAAACTACTGAGACTCGTATTCTGTTACAGCAGCGCAAGTGGACTAGGACACTGCCTCTCTCCTAGGTTCTGGTGGTTGCTGGAAATCCGTGGCCCCCCTTGGTTTGTAGATGCATCGCCCCATTTCTGCCTTCATCTCTACCTGGTGCTCTTCCTATGTGAGCAGGTTGAGTGGGGAGGGGAACTCACAGTTTCTCTTTTGGTCATTTTAAATAAGATTTGACTGTTAGACTCAAAGCAGTGATATCAGTTACTGTAGGAGAGCAGAGAAAAAAGAGTCAGATCACAGCTGGGAAGGTTTCATGGAGAAAGGGCTAAGGATGGATAGAGCTTTGGCACCATCAAATGTCAGGCTCCTCTGAGACTCCCAAGCCATTTGGATAAATAAATGGATAAACAAGTGTGTTGTAACTACAGAGAAACATTTATTGTTTTTCCCTTCACAGAGGGGAAGATTACCAAGAAATTATTACTTGTTATTCTGATCAGTAACTTTCACCATTTCCAGACGGAGCTGACAGCTACCCAGCAGGGAATGCTGAGTTAGAAATATCCCTTGCTTCCCAGTAAAAGAATTTCTTTTTCTGTCTCTGCTAAGACAGCAGGTCTCTACTGCTGTTGGTTTAGTCTTGCCTGTGACCTGCAATATAAAATGAAGATAATGGGGAAAACAAAATCACTGGATTGGAAATGACTCTTACTGCTACCTCGGCATGATTAGATATGATTTTAGGAATCTGCAAAAAATTCTAGTCTGGTCGTGTAGCTTCCTTGATGAAAGACCTTTACTTGCTTCCCACTGCTTTTAGACATGAGACTCCAATCCTAAACTTTGCCAAGAAGAGCTTGCATGTGCTGGCTTGGCCTAATTCTCTCTTCTCTGCATTCCAGTCTCAGTGGCCTTCCTTTATTTCTCATCCGACTTCCTAACACAACTTTCTCCCTTTTGACTTAAGAACTTTGTATGTATGACAAGCACCTCCCTTGTAAACTTGAGCTTTTTTCCCCCCTCCCTCTTCAATCTTGTTTTTTATTTATCCTCCAGGTGACTGAAGTGCCTAAGCTTTTAAGGGGCATCCTAACCTATTCCATCCTTGTCACTTGGTATTCCCCACTCGTCTGCTGCTTCTTTCTGTAATGACTTTCAAAGGAATAAGTAGGTTTTGATGGTGAATCTTTTGTAAACTATGAAATTTTATGATATTCTCTGCATCACCACTAGGGGGAGGGCTGCCCAAGTTTTATGGTTCAGAGCTTTGGTTACAGCTTACCTGATGGAATGAAGTCCAAAAGAAGAAAGTTAAGGACAGCCGCCCAACCACAGTGGGGAAGCCGGAGGGGAAGGCAGTGTTAGTGCTGGAGCATTAAATAAATAAAATAACACAGGGCAAAAAATTAGAGGAATGGTCACTGGTGATTACAGATGTTAGAAACGTAGCATTAGTTGTTTAAAAATGGATAATAAATGCCTTTGAGAGAAGACATCTTTGCAAAGGGTACTGCTAGAAGCTTTGCTGAGTGGGGGCTCTTTATTTACTATCTTTTTTGTTGTTGTTTGTTTATTTTATTTTATTTTTTTGAGATGGAGTCTCGCTCTGTCGCCAGGCTGGAGTACAGTGGCACAATCTCGCCTCACTGCAATCTCCACCTCCCGGGTTCAAGCGATTCTCCTGCCTCAGCCTCCCCAGTAGCTGGGACTACAGGCACCCACCACCACGCCCGGCTAATTTTCGTATTTTTAGTAGTGACGGGGTTTCACCATGTTGGCCAGGATGGTCTCAATCTCATGACCTCGTGATCCACCCGCCTCGACCTCCCAAAGTGCTGGGATTACAGGCGTGAGCCACTGTGCCCGGCTTATTTACTATTTCTTGTTCCCTCTCTGCCCCACTAGAGGAAACTGAAGAGAATCACGTAGAAAATTCAACTGGGAATTATGTAAGACTTTTAATAGAACTGATTTTTGGTGGAGGTGGAGGGTGGGAGAACATAACAGGGCAAGAGGGTGGTGGTGAAGAGCTTGGACTCTAGTGCTGGCATCTTTGCATTTGACTCCCAGCTCTATTATCAATTAGTTGGCTTACCTTGGATAAGTTACATTACTTCTCTATACCTTAGTTTTCTCATCTCTAAATTGAAAATAATATTAGTCCTTAGAGGGTTATTGAGAGAAGCAATAACAGCTGAAAATGTCATGCTTATTACGTATCAGACATTATCTTAAGCACTTTATATCTGAATCCTTTAGTCCTCACATCAACCCTATGAAACAGGGATCATTGTTATTATTATTATCTCTATCTTACAGCTGAAGAAAAGGGGGCATAGAGGAGTTAGAAATTTGCTAAGGTCACACAGCTAGATGTGACAGAGCCAGGATTCAAGCCCATCAGGTACTTAGTGCCTGGTTTAACTTAGGTACTCAACACACATTAGACATTATTCTGCAATTTCCTGGCTAATCGCTGCCTAGCTGTAGTTGTGGTTTAACAGTCAGGCATCTATTTTTCATCATCTCACTTTGTGTGAGAGGATGTAGGGAGGGAGTGAAGCCTGGCAGAGGAGAAACCACCCAATGCTTGGTAGGTGCAGCTTCATGACTGGTTTGTCTTGCTTTGTGAGAGGATTCTGGAATGTTTGGGATATGAGCAGTACTATTTCAGAGTCCACTTGTATGCCAGCCTGAGGAAACTGGGGCATCCTATTTTTGTGTAAAACATACCATTGTTGCTTCACTTCCATGAGGCCTGAGAGGATCACAGTGCTGTCTTGGCACCCCCAAGCCCCTCAGCTCACAGTTTGGGGAGGATGGAACCAGGTTCCACCTTGAGCCCCCAGGTGGATATCTTTGTTCTCACTGAGGACTCTGGAGGCAACAATGTGCAGAAGCTGTTTAAAGGAATAGGATTTCAACCAGCATGCTGAAGGGAAACAAGAAAACCCTTTATGAGAACATGTCGCCCACCCTGGGGACCTCTAGAAATAGAGAATTTAGAATTGGGAAACCAGGAGACTGTTAACATGTGGGTGAGATCAACAGGCATCCAAGAGTGACTGCCCTCAAAGGGAACACATTCAAACAGGCTATTAGGCCTTGGGTAATAGGATAAATATGGATCTATTTCCTTCCAATTAAGCTATTCTCTCTATTTTATGAAAGGGATAGGCCTGATATATTGTATAGTATTTATTCTCTGGGACGTCCACCTCATATCCCTCAGGAATCTGTCTTCTTGCACCAACGTTTGATTGATTTGAGAGGTGGAAGCTATAGACAGATACCAAGTTGTAATTCAAGTTGAATTTATCGCTCAATCTTTACACAAAATAGTAGTCAACACAGGTTTTGAAAACATATTCTCTTAGGAGAGTTCCTGATGCTGTTCTATGGGATTTACTATATAAATAAACAACAAAAATCAATATTATTAAAAATCAATATTTTAGTTATTTAACTGACTGGTGTGTCCATCATTTAGAAACAGAAGCATATGCTTGGAACCTATATGTATCCTCAGTATGGGCATCTGTGTTACCTTCTAGAGTGAGGACAGGTCAGCATCTGCCTATCTGGTTTTATATGATGCCCAGAATCCTGCAGGTTGTAGATGGATGCTCTGTTGGTATTCTTTGAAGATAACGAGGCCAGTGATTTCTTTCCAATCACTCACTAGAGAGTACATTTGGAAAATATATCTAACTCTCCCAAGAACAAATGACCTATGAGATGGGAAAGACTGAGTTTCCTCTGCTAGAGACATGGATCAGAAGGACACATAGCCAGCTTCAGAGGGTAGAGGGATGTCAACATGTACTTGGTTGCCACAAAGTAATGTTATTTCTATTGAATTTATTCTAGTCTGGTCAAGATTAATAAATTTATAGTCAGTGTTTCATTGGCATACTAAAGATGTAGGGCAGCAAACAATAATTTCTCTCCCCTTCTTTCTGTCCCCTTTCCAGAACGACAATTTGTTCTGGAATGTGACAAAGATGCAGCAGGATTGTCTAAAACATGGTAGGAGTTAGCTGCTACAGCGAGGGTTTGTGAATATTCTATCATATTGAGGAAACTTTACCTGTGAAGTTGCTTCCAAATATTCATCAGTCCCTGGTGTGATACAATGGCTCACTGCTATTGAGGGTAGATAAACTGAAAATGATGCCCCCATGTTTGAAAAGCTTTAATACAAGTATACACGGAATTATTAGTAAGGTTGGATGAGAAATGCTGGTAGTTTCATTGAGCCTTCCCAGAGCAAAAATTTCCCATAACAATTTTTAAAACAATAAAACTCGAGCCCTTAAGTATAAATAATACCTAACATGTACTGAGGGCTTTCATCTGTGCAAGTAGACAAGTACATCTGAGAAGTGAGCCAAACAACTTGGCATCTGCAATAGACTAAATGTTTGTGTCCCCCTCAAATTCACGTGTTAACTCTTAACCCACAAGGTAATGGTGTTACAGGATAGGGCCTCAGGAATTAAATGGGATTAGTGTCCTTCTTATAAAAGGGACTGTAGAAAGCTTCCTCCTCCCTTCTGCTGTGTGAAGACCAGTGAAAAGACAGCTGTCTGTGAACCAGGCAGGCAGCAGGCCTTCAACAGACACTGACTCTGTTGGCAGCTCGATCTTGGACTTTCAGCCCCCAGAACTATGAGAAATAAACTTCTGTTGTTTATAAGTCACCCAGTCTATGGTGTTATGTTGTATAGCAGCCTGAACAGACTAAGATAGTATGTTTGTTGTTTTGAGTTGTACAACATTAGGCAGGCTGGGTTTGCAACTCTGATACTAAGCATTTATTCTTGCATTGGCTGCTGAACATTCAAGCATGAGGAAGAAGGCAAGTTGCTTTTTTCTACACTGAAGTTCTGTTCCAATTAAGCTTGACTATGGGAACATAAGTACAGTTAATACACAGCCAAGAGACTTAAATAAACAGATTGTAAAATAGTAATAATAGAATTTTACCATACAAATTTTAATATTGCTTTGCTTTTCCTGATTTTCTTTTTTTCTTTTTAAATGGGGCTTTGTATTTAACATAGTTTGAGCAATTTATTAAAAATAAGTAAGTCTGGGGTCGAGAATAGTATGGTAAAAATTACATTTCATTGGAACTAGACTTTAATGGACAGATAGCAGTGTGAAAAACAAAATCAAGTCAAAATCTCTCTGGGATAGAATATCCTTCTTTGTAAAATGTAGAGAGCTAGACTAGACCATCTCCAAGGTGCTGTTTAGTACTGAATTCTATGATTTATAATGTGGGATATATATATATATATATTTGTCAGTTAGGAATTCACCAGAAGTGCTATTATGACTGTTTTGCCTGGACATCTGACATTCCTCAAATGTAACTCACAAGAAGTATCTACATGGCAGTGCTGATCCACTGATTAATATACGAGAGGAGCAGTACTAGAAAAGGAACACACTAGACTTTAATTCACAGCTGAAAGTGCAAATACAACATCACAGGCAGAGACAATTATGGTTGAGATCCTTAGAAAAACAAACAACAGTTAAAAAACAGTCTGTTAACGCATCAAAGTAGACATTGCTGGGAGAAAAAAATCATATTAGCATATATACACTGGCATCTTAAAAGTGGCTGGAGAGAAGAGAGAGTAAAAGAAAAGGAAACATAAAGGGAGAGAGAATAGGGTGGGAAGGAACAAAGCCATGAAGGGAAGGAGGGTGCAGATGGACTTTGTTGTGACTAAGAGAATGAATGGCTTTTGAATCCATGAATTTGATGCTCAGCTCTGTCGTGATATATTCCTAATTGTGTGACTTCGGGCAGTTTCTTTTTTCTCTGAGCCTGAGTTTTCTCATTCATAAAGTGTGTCTAATAATACCTTGTGTCTATTTTCTTACCTCATTGCAATGTTATAAGATGACACAGATAAGCACTTCACTAAGCACCTGGTCACATCTCTACAGGCTTTAGCTGTTATTAGTATTGGTGGTGGTGTTGTTGTGAGGATTAAACGTAAAATGAATCTGAATTTCTTGAGCAATTTCTGGCACCTGGTAAGCAGAAAATGGTAGCAAAAAACATTGATTGATAATGTGTTAATAATGACCTCTATTTATTAAGCACTACAACCTGGCAAGGTTGGATTATGACATCCACTTTATGGGTGAAAAAAACTGAGGCATAACAGTTAACTGACCCACAACCATACTGCTGGGAAAGTATGTGTTCAAAGATGTTATTCTGCGTAGCTAGACATGTGAATGTTCTTTTTCCTGCAACATTGCCAGGTACCACCTTTGGCTCATCGATATTTAATAGTTTATTTATTTATAGTCTATAATAACCTTGTGAGGTTAGTATTCTGCTTTTCTTCTATAGAACATCCCAGAAGGATGATTGTATTAGTCTGTTCTCACATTGCTATAAAGAAATACCTGAGACTGGGTAATTTATAAAGAAAAGAGGTTTCATGGGCTCACGGTTGCACATACTGTACAGGAAGGAAGATGCTGGCATCTAGTTGGCTTCTGGGGAGGCCCTAGGAAACTTACAATCATAATGGGAGGTGAAAGGGAAGCAGGCATGTCTTACATGGCCAGAGCAGGAGCAAGAGATATGGTGGAGGGAGGTGCTACACACTTTTAAACAACCAGCTGTCACCGTACCAAGGGGGTAACCCACCCCCATGATCCAATCACCTCCTACCAGGCCCCAACTCCTACACGGGGTATTACAATGCCACATGAGATTTGGGCAGGGATACAGATACAAACCATATCAATGATCTATCCATAATTCTGAGATTTCAATGCGTCCTCTCCACATAGGCATGAGTATTACATAAACTATTAAGTATATAACCCTCTGCAGACCAGTATTATTTAATGGAAATATAATGTCAGCCCAAAAGGAGCTGTGTATGTCATTTAAAATTTTCTAGTAGCCATATTAAAAAAGTAAAAAGAAACTAGTGAAATTTTAATAATGTATTTTACTTAATACAGCCAAAGTATTTTCACTTAAATATATGTTCAATATAAAAATGACTCACGACATACTTTACATTCCTTATTTTCTTGTGCTTAGTCCTTGAAATTCAGTATGTGTTTTACACTTACAGCGTGTGTCAGTCTAGACTAGCCACATTTCAAGTGCTCACAATTCACAGGTGGACAGTGGCACCATGTTGGATTGTGTAGCTTTAGACAATTGTTTTGTCAATTTCGATGCTTCTCCAGCCTATGGAAGGCATTGAAGTTGGAAGCCACAGCAAGATTGTCATAGTATAACAAAAAGGAAAAATGTGATCAAAGATTTCGCGAATTAATCCTGTCAATGAAATTTTGAACTACACTTGCTAACTTATTTTGCCCTTAAAGAAAAAAAAGTGTTTTATTCACTCAGGACAGGACTTTGGTTCTTTTTTTATTTTTGTAACTGCATTTTTTTTAAAATGTAGGATTTCATATGGAGCAGAAGTAAATATTTAGAATTCATTTACCAGATATTTAGGGAATACAAAATAGGGAGATGGGAGAATGAGAATTGTGAGGATGTCATCAAAGCTTTTTATCAGCAAAGCTGTCACTATTTATAGAGACGTAATCTGACAGGCACTACGTTGAGTTTGCTTTGGTTGAGAGCTTCCACTTGTGAGGTGATTTTTATGAACTCAACTCAGAAATTCATGAGAAAAGGCAAGAGACTATATCACATGCTTCTTCCTCTTTTATTTACTGGTCGCTAGAACCAGATGTCAGAACTCTTAAATTTGGAGATTTTTAAGTCCCATGATGAACTAGATAATAGTTAAAGTTGACAGTAAGGACTAAAGAGTTTCAAGAAAATGCTAAACATCTGTCATTCAGAAGCCACAGTTATGTAATACTTTACTGGAATGTTTAATAGTTCTAGAGAGCAGCAGTGGTTACCTAACAGCACCTTCCAAAAAACCTGAACAATAACCAGCTCCGTTTTTATGTTCATAGGTCAAGCAACCAAAATACATGTTTGTGCCTGAATTGTATGTAACAATCTTAGGTGTATACACTTGTATAGGTTAGTTCCTTATTTTATATCCCTTACTTGACTTTTTTTCATCTACACTATTGCTTTATCAAACTCTCTTTATTTTTATTATAATTCTAGAATAATTAGAAATAGTAGTAATTAAATTTCTGAAATCTGCCTGTGTAAAGTCAAGTAAGAGCATTTCAATTCTATCAGTGTGGGTGTTAATTATTTTAGGCAAGCTGTCATTTAGGCTTTCTAAAGTGGGTTTTGTTCTTGCAGTCAAGAACATTGCTTAGTGCAGAATTAATTAATCATTATAAATATAAAACGTGCAGTATCAGCTCCTATGTTCAGAAAGGTTTCAAGAGGCAAGGTTGAAAGAGTCAACAGGCTGCTAAAGGGAATCTTATCATACGCCCTCACCCTCAATCTGATAAAAGGACAATTAAACTATGTACTCCATCTTTTCGTAGGCCCTTACTTCAAGTATTGGTTCAAAAATTGGAAGCGAATACTTTTTACAACACAGAGGATTTTTGTTTCCTTTTATGGAATATCTTCTTTTAAAGAGATTTTTAAAAATAAGATTACAAGGAAATGGCTGAAAATTGAAATTTGCTTTGGCTAAAGGAAGATCTTAAAACAAAACAAAACAACAAAACAATTTTATTCTCATAGCACTATGATGAATAGAACATATGTTTTCAGTGGGCTCTGAATTTTCCCAAATACCCAGTAGCTACTTAAGAAATATTCTATACAATGGCCATAATAATTTTATTCCTCACAATAAGGCTCACAGTCATTTTGCTGCAGGAGGAAAAGCTCACTTTCTGCATCATGTTCTTACTGTTTTTTAAAATAATGGCTCTATGATATTGTTTCATTTCTCTGCCCTACAGTGAAAGCTAAATTCTACCAAATTAAACTGGAATACATTGACCAAAACACAGAGATCATAACTATACAGGTGAAGAAACATGTTGGCATAGTGATCTAGATAACAATATTAATGAACATTAATTAACTGACTACATGATAGCCACTCCAGATGCTTAAATATTATTGCTTAGGATAATTGCTTTGTATATAATTATTTCATTTGTCTTTACCACTCAGAGGCAAAGGGTGTTCCTCAATACAGAAACATTTGCATAATTTTTTATATTACATTGCTAATATTTCAAAATTTTAAAACTGTCTGTTTAGGCCTGACTCAGTGGCTGACACCTGTAATCCCAGCACTTTTGGAAGTTGAGATGAGGGCATTGCTTGAGTCCAAGAACTCTAGACAAGCCTGGGCAACATCACAAGATGCTGTCTCTACAAAAATAAAATATTAGCTGGGGATGGTGGGGCACACCTGCCATCCTAGCTACTTGGGAAGCTGACACAGGAGGATTGCTTGAGACCAGGAGTTTGAGGCTATGGTGAGCTACAATTACATCACTGCAATCCATCCAGGGAGACAGAGTGAGACCCTTTCTCAAAAACAACAACAATCCAGCTGAACCAAAACAAAACAATTTTTTAAAAGTATATTTATTTACAAATGTGTGAGCATTTGATCTTCACAAGGTACTCTCCTAAGAACAAGACAATATGCACTGCATCTCAAACTTGAATGTATGCATAACAGCTCAATCTTCTTGTCACACTGCAGATTCTAACTCAGTAGGTCTGGGTGGGGCCTGAGATTCCGCATTTCTAACAGCCTCCCTGGTGATATCCACGTGGCTGGCTTGAGTACCACACTTTGAAAACAAGGACAGAGTCTATAGCTAGAGCAATTTTGATAATAAAGGTCAAAGGACCATGGCATGATTGTTCTGGAAAGCTAATTAGTCACTGCAGCTTTGGGAAACAGGCCAAAGACTAACAGTTGAGTTGGGCCTTGAATAATGACTAAAAATAAGTGTGTGTTGGGAAGTTGCTTAGTATGTTCTTACTGGTTAATAAGTTGGTAGAAAAGATGTAGAATGTGTTCATGTTGTAAACCACATTGGGATATCCGCAGGGTGTTCAGCTCTCTCAGAAGAGGATCATCAGGGATCTGTTTGTTTTATTAGTATCCACACCTGCATCTGATGTGGCCTTCCAGTTGTTCCTTCTTCAGTAATGGTAACAGGAGCATCTACCTACATTTGGGCAGGTGGTGACTGAAAAGTGTGGAGAAATAGGAACACTTTTACACTGTTGGTGGGATTGTAAACTAGTTCAACCATTGTGGAAGTCAGTGTGGTGATTCCTCAGGGATCTAGAACTAGAAATACCATTTGACCCAGCCATCCCATTACTGGGTATATACCCAAAGGACTATAAATCATGCTGCTATAAAGACACATGCACACGTATGTTTATTGCGGCACTATTCACAATAGCAAAGACTTGGAACCAACCCAAAGGTCCAACAATGATAGACTGGATTAAGAAAATGTGGCACATATACACCATAGAATACTATGCAGCCATAAAAAATGATGAGTTCATGTCCTTTGTAGGGACATGGATGAAATTGGAAATCATCATTCTCAGTAAACTATCGCAAGGACAAAAAACCAAACACCGCATATTCTCACTCATAGGTGGGAATTGAACAATGAGAACACATGGACACAGGAAGGGGAACATCACACTCTGGGGACTGTTGTGGGATGGGGGAGAGGGGAGGGATAGCATTAGAAGATATACCTAATGCTAAATGAGGAGTTAATGGGTGCAGCACACCAGCATGGCACATGTATACGTATGTAACTAACCTGCACATTGTGCACATGTACCCTAAAACTTAAAGTCTAATAATAATAAAATAAAATAAAAAAAAGAAAAGTGTGATACCATCTGTGCCATACAGAGCATGAACTATGCAAGCACCCACCATTTTTTAGTTTATTTAAAAATATATCATTTTAAGATTAGCAGCACTATAGTTATGTATCTAATTAGATTTTATTTGATTTGGCATCCAATTTTTAAAAACCTATCTTTTAAAAATTTATTATACTTTAAGTTCTAGGATATGAAATATATATCCTATATATATACATATATATATATATATATACATGTGCAGAAGGTGCAAGTTTGTTGCATAGCTATACACGTGTCATGGTGGTTTGCTGCACCCATCAACCCATCAACTGCATTAGGTATTTCTCCTAATGCTATTCCTCCGTTAGTCCCCCACTCCCCGAGAGCCCCAGTGTGTGATGTTCCCCTCCCCGTGTCCATGTGTTCTCATTGTTCAACTCCCACTTATGAGTGAGAACATGCGGTGTTTGGTTTTCTGTTCTTGTGTTAGTTTGCTGAGAATGATGGTTTCCAGCATCATCCATGTCCCTGCAAAGGACATGAACTCATCCTTTTTAATGGCTGCATAGAATTCCATGGTGTATATGTGCCACATTTTCTTTATCCAGTCTGTCATTCACGGGCATTTGGGTTGGTTCCGAGTCTTCGCTATTGTGAACAGTGCTGCAATGAACATATGTGTGCATGTGTCTTTATATTAGAATGATTTATAATTCTTTGAGTACATACCCAGTAATGATATTGCTGGGTAAAATGGTGTTTCTGGTTCTAGATCCTTGAGGAATCACCACACTGTCTTCCACAATGGTTGACCTAATTTACACTCCCACCAACAGTGTAAAGGCGTTCCTATTTCTCCACA
This sequence comes from Homo sapiens, assembly GCF_000001405.40. Lineage (NCBI taxonomy): Eukaryota > Metazoa > Chordata > Mammalia > Primates > Hominidae > Homo > Homo sapiens. Next base: position 22,908,161 of record NC_000004.12, read on the forward strand.
TCCTCTCCAGCATCTGTTGTAAATATCTATTTTTAAAGCACGTCTCAGTTGCGACCATTCAGAAGTCAAACCAGGTTGGCACACTGTAACTCACTGGAGCCTAACTTGAATATATTTTGATGTAATCAGCTAGGGGGAATTTGTGAGTGACCTGTCTCTAATAGCCTTTTAAAAATTTGTTTTATGTGTTTTGTACTTCTCGAAGACTATGTCTATGGTCTAATGATATAAATAACAATTTTTACTAGAGAGAGTTCTATGGTCTTCGGGTAAAAGTTACTGCTTCTGATTTTGCAAAAGAGGCATTTTTCTAGGATGAAGTGCCCCTTTATTTACATATTGCATCTGTAAATTATGATTTTTTTTCTCCCAAAGTCACATCTATTCTGAACTTCTACAAAGGATAGTTTCAGGTCGTTGCTTTTTTTTCCTAGCGTTGGTTTACTGACATTTATTCACAAACTTAAATGCCTTCATGGTTCCTCCTTGTCCGTTGAAAAGACTCTACAATCAAGGCTCTTCATAGTATGGTCTAAGCTTAAACTTAAATCCAACTCTAGAATTTCCTATCCTTTCTCTTCCACCCCCATATACTGTGTACCTAATGATGTTGCTCTTGTTCTTTTTGCCTCGAATAAGTCCTTTAATGGTATGGTCTGACTTGAAGACATTTTGAAAGACCAGTCCAGAGCCAACTTGAAGCATGTGGTGATTGGGAACAGGAGGGGAGGGGACTGGTGACTTTCAGAGCCTATATAGAAGCTGAATGGGAGGAGCAAGTAGCCCCTTCATCGTCATCTCATTGACTCTATGTACAGGTAGCTCAGAGATGGAGAGTTCTAAAGATTTAGGCAGCAAATGCAACACCAATTTCCTTTTTGTTGTTGTTGTTGAGACCGAATTTCTTTCTTGTTGCCCAGGCTGGAGTACAATGGCGTGATCTCGGCTCACTGCAACCTCCACCTCCCACGTTCAAGCGATTCTCCTGCCTCAGCATCCAGAGTAGCTGAGATTACAGGGATGCACCACCATGCCTGGCTAATTTTGCATTTTTTGTAGAGATGGGGTTTCACCATGTTGGTCACACTGATCTTAAACTCCTGACCTCAGGTGATCTGCCCACTTCGGCCTCCCAAAGTGCTGGGATTACAGACGTGAGCCATCGCGCCTGGCCGCAACATCAATTACTTATGCCTATAACTAACAGTTAAAGACTTAAACCTCAAATGCCTGTGGTCTATAGCCTGGTGGAACTTTTGTTTTAACACTTATTTTAAGTTCGGGATACAAGTGCAAATTTTTCACACAGGTAAACTTGTGTCATGGGGATTTGTTGTACCAATTATTTCATCACCCAGGTATTAATCGTAGTACCCATCAGTTGTTCTTCCCAATCATCTCTCTCCTCCCACCCTCCATCCTCTGAAAGATCCCAGTGTGTATTGTTTCCCTCTATGTGTCCATGTGTTCTCATCACCTAGCTCCCACTTATAAGTAAAAACATGCAGTATTTGATTTTCTGTTCCTGTGTTAGTTTGCTAAGGATATTAGCTTCAAGCTCCACCCATATCCCTGCAAAGGACATGATCTCATTCTTTTTTATGGCTGCATAGTATTCCATGGTGTATATGTACTACATTTTCTTTATCCAGTCTATCATTGATGGGCATTTAGGTTGATTCTATGTCTTTACTATTGTGAATAGTGCTGCAATGAATGTATGCATGCATGCGTCTTTACAACAGAATGATTTATATTCCTTTGGGGATATACCCAGTAATGGGATTGCTGGGTTGAATGGGATTTATATCCTTTACATTTTAAAGTCCTGGACATAAGTAATGTCCAAGAAGCACAATAAAGGTGACTATCGATTTACCAGTGTTCAAAAAGTCAACATACTGAAGCTCTGCCCCCTTTGAGATGAGCCTTAACTGCAATGAAAATACATTTGTCGTACAACCAATCCTCATCTCAGCTGAGCCTGTTAGTTCAGTCATCCATGGAAGCCCACATAATTCCAGGCTCCCTAAACTCTGCACATCCCCAAACGGCCATACAACTATAAAAACTTTATTTGTTCTCCTGGTCCTTCCTGCCACCAGTGAGGGTCAATATTTCCAGAAGCCTGGCTATACTGAGAGAGAAAATGACTTTCACTTCTGTTTCCAAAGATAGGTTTTACCATATAATGAGACAAGCCCGTCTGTCAAATGTCAGGGAAGCTGTAGATTGCACAGAAGGCAGGCTATAACAGATGACCCAGGGGAAGTTTTTGTTAGCCAGGAAGAATAGTAAAGCCCTCTAAGCTTCAAGGTTGTTCAGACCAGAGAGAGAAAGAGGAAGAACAAGAGAGGAAGAGGGGCTGGGGAAAGACAGGAGAGACAAAGATGGTGGGGAGAGGAGGAGAGAGAAGGAAGGGGAGGAAGGGGAGAGAGGATAGGAGGAAGGGCAGAGAGGAGGGGAGGAAGTGGAGAGAGGATAAAAGGGAGAGAAAGAAATAAGGTTGGGGGGGGTGGAGACAAAGAAAGAGGAATGCATACATGAGTTCACATGTGTGTTTTGGCTCCCTGCTTAGGGCTAGTACCATGGTTGTGGCTTAGGAAAATGTATATGGGGTAGGAATTAAGGCAGCCTCACACAGCCCATCAAATTTCAGTGAAGTCTAGAGACAGCAATATACAATTCCCAGGCCCCCTTAGGTTGCTGGGAAATGCTGAGAAGACCTATTGATTAGGAAGGGCTTGGGCTGGGGATGAAGACACCACGGAGTGGGCATTCTGAGTATCAGCCACAGAAGGGGCCACAGGCCGCAGTGGTGCATGTTAGTGCCATACCCAGTGGATCCAGGCATATCCAGCCACAGCCAAGAGGACTCAGGTGCAAGACATCCCATGACCTGGTGAAATAGACCATAATGGAGTCCAGGGAGGCCTGAGGGGAAAACAGACCTGACAACTGCTCCCCCTGCTAATACCAGGAGGTAGGCAGGATCCCCTTGGGACTTCAGATCAGGTTTAAGGGGAGAAAGAAAAAAAAAGAGTGGGCAGAGATGCTGAAAACAACAAACAACAAAACAAAACATGCTGGAAATTTGTTCAGAGAAAAAAATAGAAAAACTATAAGAGATTAAGTTTAAATAAAAAATGATGGAACAATCTTGAAATGGCATAATTGAGTCTGTTGACCCCTGAAAGGTAGGAATTAAAGCTCATGAACAATTTGAGTTGAACTGCTCAACTCAACTATTTTTATACAAAAATAGTTACATGAGTCAAAGTGTGTAAACTTCAACCTATCCCTGCCACAATGCAAATGTCACTTCCTCCCTGAAACCTTTCCATTGCTGCACTTGAATGTTTTCTCTTACTCTGTGTAACTTTCCTGTGTAATCTACTTTTGATTGTCTTGGTTTATAGAAATTGCTAACTTATAGACTCATAGATGCACAGAATAAAGAAGGACCACATGGACCATCATTTAGAACTGTTCTCCCTCCTGAAAGATAATAATGTAATCTTTGAGGGCAGAAATAATCCCTTTTTTTATAGCCCAAGCTACCATGGTAGGGCTTTGCTCATCCTAGGTATAACCAATGTGTGTTCAGCATAGGAGGTAAAGTCCTGTGGTTTTCTCACTTGCAAAATAAAGATAATAATGCTATCTTGTAGGTGGACAACATTAACCCTTCCTTCAACTTATCTTAAATCTTTTGAAAGGATTTCACCCTTTTCAGTGACAGTAGGAACCAGAGAGAACAATAAGCAAAGGTTTTGCATTGTGTAGCTTTCTAATTGTTGTTTTGTTGTTTAAACTCACATGGGCTGTTCAGAGCCTCATCAACATGGAATTGAATGAATGGACTTCTAAAGCTGACTTTGATCTCATCGGCTTAATTGAGACAGCAGCTAGATTATAAGAAAAGGAGTATTTTTATTTCCAGTTAAGCCTTGTTTCAAAGTAAGCAGAGCTGCAAGATGTGGAGTTTCTAACCTGTCAATATGTGTAATAATATCTTTATTGTTGTTTGCTTTTATTGTGTTTTCACCTAAGACTTCAGAATAGAACTTGAAAATGCAGAGGGCGAGTGAGTTCCACTGGGACACAGAAAAACTAGTATTTTAGATGTGAAACATTAAGTTGTCTTCTAGTTTTAAAGAACAATAGATTGGCTGCCCCTGAATTATTATTATTACTATCATTATTCCTCTCCTTCCACTTTCTGTCTGTCCTTTCCTTCCTCCTTCCCCTTTCTCTCCTTCCCCCTCCCTTTCCATTTTTGAGGAACCACATATAGAGAGGGTTAACAACAGGAATCTGGAAGAGCCAACTGCTTGGTTCCATATGACTTGTTCAGAGTCCTAGAGTCATTAATTCAAATTCTCCTCCTTTATCCTCCTGCTTCACTTTGTTTTTTGATTTTTTGATTATAGCGTTTCTGGCAATGGTTTTATATTTCAAATGCCTGGACACTGGCTTTTATCATTAAAGAGTCGTGGGTTTTATTAATAAACAGAGACTGATAGTGTTTTTGATATGTTGGAAAAGCTTCTTTGAATAATGGAGGAGAAAAAGGTGCATGAGATTATCACAAACCCACAGGCCAAAAATTTACCAAGTATACCTTGTACCTGAATGCCTTCTCTCAGAAATCAAGTGATCATGGAATTAGTGCATAGACCTGGCAGAGCAGACAAACAAAATTCAAGATATTTCAGATGAACATAAGACCAGAACTCAGGAAATGGGTTTAGTTCTAGGAATAGCAGAAGAAAGCTGAGGTAGAATTAAAAAGAAGTAAAAATAAGCAGAGAGTACAATTAAGAAGAGCTCTATGATCACAGCCTATAGGAGAAAAAAGGGGTACTACAGGTGTAATTGCTCTTAAAAATGTCATGAGAAAACACAGAAGAATTCAAGAATTCTGAATTCTAACTTGATTTCCAGATTGTATTCCTATCTAGGTAGAAAAAGAGAACATATTTTATTTCTCAGTCTGTTAACTTTTTGATTTTGTTTTTTCACATTTTATTCTTTTTTTTTTACTTATTAAGTTAAAATACTTTGTTAAAAATGCATCTCCTGATGTACTATTTGATTACTCTGCCATATTTTACATATAAGAAAACCTAGATACATGAAAAAAATGTATTGTGAAGTTTATAACGTACACGGAAGTTAAATATAGGAAAACAATAGCAAAAACAAGGGGAAGGAGGAAGTTTTCAAACTGACCCTTAATCATTATGCAATGTGCCTGTTCATTCCTTGTGACAGTCCTTTTCGAAAGTCTTCTTTGTCTGATATTAGTATAACTATTCCAGCTTTCTTATGCATATTGTTTATATGGTATATCTTTATCCATCAGCTTTCTTCTCATGTATCTGTATATTTATAACAAGTTTATTATAGATAGAATATAGTCAATTCTTTCTTTTTAAAAGCAAACCTGACAATTTTTTTCTAAAATTATGGTGTTTAGAGCACATACACATACATTTTTAAGAGACAGAGTCTTACTCTGTCATTCAGGCTAGAGTGCAGTAGCACAATCATAGCTCGCTGTAACCCCAAATTCCTGGGCTCAACGGATCCACTGGCCTCAGCCTTTGGAGCACCTAGGACTATGGGTGCTTACCACCACACATAGCTAATTTTTTAAGCTTTTTTGTAGAGATGGGTCTTGCTATGTTGCCCAGGCTGATCTTGAAGACCTGGCCTCAAGAGATCCCTTAAATGTTTGGACAATGGTATGAGGGGCTCCCTTTATAATGTTGTCCCAGGCCCTACCATGTTAGGGTGGACTTGCTGGTAAACATCAGAACTAGAAGTAACCAGCTTATCATCTCACGAGCATTGCTCATTCCCTTGGATATCACTGAGTCTGGACTGCACTCAGTGCTGGGTTAGGGGAGTATAATTTTGCTCTTGGGACAGGGGACTGGCCTGTTCTCTATATTTTGTGGCTGTGGAAGTATTACTATAATAATCTATATATCTTATTGACTCTTTGGACATCTGAGAAAAAGGGGTACAAAGGAGAATTTGTACTGAACTAATTCCTGAAGGAATCACCTCCATTCCAGAGTGTTCAGTTCCTGGAGGAAAGCATTAGCGATAAATGCATCTGGCTGAGATGCAGAAGAATGAAATACTGGAAAGAATAAATTTAGAACCTTAATTTCAGAATTAGTTTAGACTGTAATGTCATTGAACACTAACTTAAAAAGAAATGAGGATTTAATCTTTGGACTTAAATTTTTATCTAGGAATGTAAAGGTTTAATTGTTTAAGTTTATAAATCTGGAGCATAAATTTAGGTACTAATGTTGTATTGTTTTAGTACCTTTGTGTAGTTATGGGTTGTGTTATAGGTTAAACACACAGACTTTGTGTTCTGGGTTGAATTGTGTCCCCCCCCACCCCCCAAATGTATGTTGAATATATTTTCTCTCAGTTCTTATCTGAGAACGTGACCTAATTTGGAAATAGTTATTGCAGAGGTAATTAGTTAAGCTAAGAGGAAGTCAGTATGTAGTAGGTTTGGCCCTTACTCTAATATGACTGGTGTCCTTAAAAGAACAAGAAAATAAGAAAGAGTGACTATAGACGAGACATCGCCATTTGAAGACACAGACACAGATGTAGGTGCAGATGCAGACACAGACACAGGCACATGAAGGGAAAAGACAGCCATGTGACTATGGAGCAAATTGGAGTGATGCCTCAATAAGCAAGAAACCTCAAGGATTGCCGGCAAACGCCAGAAGTTAGAAGCGAGAAAGGATTCTTCTCTATAGGTTTCACAGGGAGCATGGCCCTGACAACACCTTAATTTCAGATTCCTATCCTCTAGACAATAAATTTCTGTTGTGTTAAGCCAGCAGTTTGAGGTAATTTGTTTTGGTATCCCTCGGAAATACATACATTTGTACTTCTCTGGTAAGCCATGTAGGATACTTTAGTGGAGAAAATTTTGGATAGGAAATAGACTAGGAGATGAATTTGCAACCTTGGATAGAACGTGGCTTTGGCTCTATCTTGATCCATTTCAGAGGCTTCTTCAGGGAAAAGCTCAGCTGCCCTCCAGCTCTTCCAAAGAGGCAGTGGGATGGGAGAACCACTACATGCAAGTGGGAGTAAGAGTGCCCCAAATAAAATGCTAATATTTCACTCCTCCCCTAACTCTATTCAGGAAGGTATCTACATTCTGGTTGACCTAGCTGAAAAATATTAGAAAAGGCCCCACTTTTCACTCTATAAATTTCCATAATTAGCTGGGTTCACGAGGGTGAGCTAGGGGGTGGGGTTCCACTACGCCTTCCAGGGTAGAAATTTTGGAAGATATACTTTTGATAATTTTCCAGCACTCGCTCACTTCTCTTCCTTTGGAAAAATGTGCTTTTCTAATTGATGCGATTGAAAAGAGAATACTGAACATGCATGGCTAAATCCATTTCAGTTTTTCCTTTGGATGTAGCTGCCTGCAGCATAGATTTTCTGCTTTGGTCTTCCATATAGTTAGCACATATGGGTCAGTATCTAACCTTGGTTTCTAAAAATAGGCAGAAATTTGGGCTTTTTATGCTAATAAAGAAAAAAATAACATGTGGCTCAAAGGTTCTGAGTAATGGTGTCTGATCTCCTTCAAATGGGTCTTCCCAGGGTGTACCTTTGGGAGTAGTATTAGAAAGCTGTTAATATGCCTGCACCTTGAAGCCGGCTTTTCTCTTTTACTTTTACCTATAATAAGGGGGATACTTTGCCTTCTATCTAATGTTTCTGCCCATTTCTCAAGAGATATGTGTAGAAGACAGGTGTGATTGTTCACCATCCTAAACCCAAACATATGTTAAAGAGCTTATCCAGTGTAAAGCATGATAAAAATGCAACGGAACCATTTATATAGTGAGAAACAGCATCAAGCCTGAAGTTGGCTCTGGATTCAAATCCTAGTTTCTTGATTAACTAGTTATTGACCCAATTACTTAGCCTACCTGAACCTCCTCTGTAAAATATCCAGCACAAAACCTATCTCACAGAGTTGTAAAGATTAAATGAGATAAGATATATATATAACTTACTTCATTATCTCTCTATATCACCTAGCCTGGCATATAGTAGAACTCGACTGTGAGTTATTTTCCTCATTTCTCTTCTCTTGAACACGTAGCATTTATTTATCTCCCCCTTCCACTCCCATGCATACACATTCTCTGCACATTCATCGTGCTTATTTCACTTCATCATAATCACTTGACCTACTTTGAGAGAGGAACATGTTTTGTTGGGAATGCAAACGATTCAGTGCAACATCTATCATATATACACTCAATGAAAATTATGCTTATTTTTTTTCCTTACCAATACAGCCCCCTTGGAACTCTAAGTTTTGCCTTATGATATACCTGCATTTTAGAGTGTGATAAAATTACCCTAAGAAAACATCAGTCTACTCATTTGCAAACTTATGAGTCTGTATCATAAGACTGGGAAGAAACCTTGTTGTTATAAAATTCTATGATTATATAAAACACCATAGTGTTATTACCCTTGAAATGATTTTGTTTGCAGTGTTTGCTTCACGTAATTTCCCTAATAATTAGCCAAATCTTATGTTTATAATGCTTTTATGCTTTTATTCTGTAGAATGATAGAGAAAAAATAAAGTTCTTCTCCTTTATCAATGAAACCACAAAAAGTATGACCTCAGTGGGTGCTTCTGTTACACTGAAGCACAAAAGAGCTAATTTAAATGTGTCATTGCCATAGGTTCAGCCTGTATTGATCAATTACTTCTTTCAGTTCACATTTACTGAGCTCAACTCTGCCAAGCCCTGTGGGTACTGGGGCCATCGAGATGAATGAGATTTCTTCCCTGCCCTCAATAGGCTCCTGATCAAAGGGGGTTGAGGGGGAAGTGCAGGGTAGTTGTCACAGTAAACATATCATCATTGCATCAGTCAGGGTTCAACCACAGAAGCAGAACCGCTGGGAGACACATATAAAGAGATTTATTAAGGAATTGGCTTACACGATTGTGAGGACTATAGAGGCAAGTCTCATAGCTATATGGCAGGTTGTCAGGAAGAGCTGGCTGAAGTTCGTGGACTCAAGTGGAAGCTGCTGTTCACAGATGAGATTTCTTCTTCATCAGGGGAGTCTCAGCTGCTCTGAAGACCTTTCAGCAGATTGAATCATGCTCACCTAGATTATCTAGGATCAATTCTCTTACTTAAAGTCAACTTATCATGAAGTTTCATCCCATCTACAAAATACTTTCATAGCAACACCCAGATTAGTGTTTGATTGAATAACTAGGGGCTACAGCCTAGCCAAATTGACCCAAAAAACTGCCCATCACAATCATTATTTTCAAAATCCTCATGAATCAGAGATTGAATATAGAGCTATCTCAAAATTACAGACAATATCTGGTGAGCAAATATTGTGAGAATCTGTTACTTAAATTGCTAACAATTTCACCTCAAAAATACAATTACTAGTTTTACCATGTCTTCAAAGATTCAATACTCTTGCTGCTGTTATGTCTTAAGGGAGGAATTAGGGGGAGAAATGAGTTTTATATTATTCCCTCTAATCCATGTATGTGTGGAGGGGGAAAAATACAAGTATATAGTGGTACAAAAGAAATAGAAATGGTTACTTCTAATAAAACATATTCCTTTTATTAGACTCACTGAATGCAGTAGTCAGCCTTTCCTAAAGTGGGTTCCACAGAACACTAGTTTCTTGAGATGAAATGCCTGTTTGCAATATTCATCTATCTATTTATCTGCATTTAAACACAAAACATGTGTTTGATGATATATGTAAATATAGGTGTGTACATTTATATGCAAACATATTTTATAAATTTATACTTCAATTATGTGTGCGTATATATTTATATATAGAAAATTTCTGTAATAAAATGGGAGAAATGTCGAAACACATTTAAAAAGGCTTCTTTGCTACTAGATATTTCAGAGCTGTTAATATGTTGACATCATTGTCATCTTCAAAGGAGAAATTTGGAATTTAGCTTTAGTTAGACTCATTTGACCATTAGACACCTTTATTCATGGGCTAACTCTTTGGATCATTATTCATTGCAATGGACTTTTAAGAATTGTGTAATAAAGTATTGTTTATAGGGTGAGGGATGAAAAGGATTAACAATTAAGCAACTATACAAATTCAACGAAAAATTGTGTCATGATGTGTCAGGGGTGGAAGAGAGCATAAGGGTTTTCAAGTCCAAGCACTTGTCCAATGGATAATACTTCTATTTTTCTACAATCACACAGCTGGTCAATACTTCATATATAAAAGAAACTGCAGAGTTTGACAACATGATCCATCACATTGTCTTCATCATGATTTTGATAATGCCATTTGTCTTTGTCAAAGATTTCCAACAAAAATATTTCTAAAAAGAAAACCGACTGACTAGAAGAGAAAGCAATGCCATGCAGTGTGGTCTGCAAGCATTTGATGACTGTCTGTTACATGCAGAGCATGTGATAGCTCACCACCCATTTATGGAGGAGATAAACATGCCCCCCAACTAATTAATGCACCACAAGTCATGTCTAGTTGTAATCACATTTGTACAAAAACACAAGTGGGTCAGGCCATTTTTTTCCAGTTGTAGAATTAACATATCCATCACCTCACATAGATACCTGTGGGGTGTGTGTGTGTGTGTGTTGAGAATCAGTAATAGTTTCTCTCTTAGCAAATCTTAAGTATATATTGCATTATTATTAACTATAGTCACCATGCTGTACATGAGGTCTCCAGAACTTCTTCATCTTATAATTACAAGTTTGTATATTTTGACCAACATCTCCACATTCCCCCCAAGTCACAGCCTCTGGCAACCACCATTTTACTCTGTCTCTGTGAGTTCATTTTTTTTTAACTTTTATTTTTATTTCAGGGGTACATGTGCAGGTTTGTTGTATAGGTAAACTGCGTCACGGAGTTTGTCGTACAGATTATTTCATCACCCAGCTATTAAGCCTAGTGTCCATTAGTTATTTTTCCTGATCCTCCCCCTCCTCCCACTCTCCACCCTCCACTATGCCCCAGTGTTTGTTACTCCCTTCTATGTGTCCGTGTGTTCTCATCATTTAGCTCCCACTTATAGTTGAGAACATGCGGTGTTTGTTTTTCTGTTCCTGTGTTAGTTTGCTAAGGGTAATGGCTTCCAGCTCCTCTCATGTCCCTGCAAAGTACATGATCTCAGGTTCTTTTAAGGCTACATAGTATTCCATGATATATAGGTACCACATTTTCTTTATCCAGTCTATCATTGATGGGCATTTGAGTTGATACCATGTATTTGCTATTGTGAATAGTGCTGCCATGAACATACGCATGCACCTGTCTTTTTTTTTTTCTTTTTCTTTTTTTGAGATGGAGTCTCTCTCTGCCACCGAGGCTGGAGTGCAGTGGTGCCATCTCATCTCACTGCAATCTCTGCCTCCTGGGTTCAAGCTATTCTCCTGCCTCAGCCTCCTCAGTAGCTGGAATTATAGGCATGCACCACCATGTCTGGCTGATTTTTGTATTTTAGTAGAGATGGGGTTTCGCCATGTTGGCCAGGCTGATCTGGAACTGATGACCTTAGTTGATTCACCCACTTTGGCCTCCCAAAGTGCTGGGATTACAGGTGTGAGCCACCACGACTGGCCACATGTGTCTTTATAATATAATGATTTATATTCCTTTGGGTGTATATCCAGTAATGAGATTGCTGGGTCAAATGGTAGTTCTGTCTTCAGGTCTTTGAAGAATCACCACGCTGCCTTTCACAATGGTTGAACTAATTTACACTCCCACCAACACTGTATAAGCATTCGTTTTTCTCCCCAACCTTGCCAACATCTGTTATTTCTTGACTTTTTAATAATAGCAATTTTGACTGGGGTGAGATGGCATCTCACTGTGCTTTTGATTTGTGTTTTTCTAATGATTAGTGATGTTGAGCTTTTTTTATATGATTGTTGCCTGCATGTATGTCTTCTTTTGGGAAATGTCTGTTTGTGAGATCACACAGCATTTGTCTTTCTCTGCCTAACTTACTTCACTTAGTATAATAACCTTACGATTCATCCATGTTGTCACAAATGGCAGGATTTCCCTTCTTTTTAAAGGCTGAATACTATTCCATTGTGTGTGTGCCACATTTTCTTTATCCATTAATCTGTTGACAGACACTGAGCATGTTTCTCTATTTTGGCTATTGTGCGTAATGCTGCAATGAACATGGGGATGCAGATATCTCTTTGAGATAGTGACTGGCTTCCTTTGTGATTTATAAACATGGCAAGCTTTTACCAGCCAGCCCTTTTTTTTTAAATTTTATTATTATTATACTTTAAGTTTTAGGGTACATGTGCGCAACATGCAGGTTTGTTACATATGTATACATGTGCCATGTTTGTGTTTTGCACCCATGAACTCCTCATTTAGCATTAGGTATATCTCCTAATGCTATCCCTACCCCCTACCCCCACCCCACAACAGTCCCCAGTGTGTGATGTTCCCCTTCCTGTGTCCATGTGTTCTCATTGTTCAATTCCCACCTATGAGTGAGAACATGCGGTGTTTGGTTTTTTGTCCCTGCGATAGTTTGCTGAGAATGATGGTTTCCAGTTTCATCCATGTCCCTACAAAGGACATGAACTCATCATTTTTTATGGCTGCATAGTATTCCATGGTGTATATGTGCCATATTTTCTTAATCCAGTCTATCGTTGTTGGACATTTAGGTTGGTTCCAAGTCTTTGCTATTGTGAATAGTGCAGCAATAAACATACATGTGCATGTGTCTTTATAGCAGCATGTTTTATAATCCTTTGGGTATATACCCAGTAATGGGATCCAGCCAGCCCTTTTGAATTTGTAAACCCTACTCCCTGGAAGACGCTTCCTTCCAGATCATCCCTTGAAGGCTTATTTCCATCCTTCTGGCATTAGTGCCCATATCACTTTTTCAAAGGGTCGCTGCATTTCCCCAACACTCTGTCACCTAGGTCCTTTCAATCTCTACCCTGTTGATTTTCCTTCAAAGCACATCTCGTGCTCTGTAACTGTGTTATTTTATTTTATTATTTTTGTTTGCTGTCAGCCTTTCTCCTTCAACTCTGAGCCCCCATCTATAATGCAAACTCCAAGAGTGAGGGACTGTGTCTACCTCCTTCAACTGCTTCTTTCTGGAGTCTAGCAAAGTCTCTAGTACGTAATAGATGCTCATCAAATAGTGGCTAAATAAATGAATGGAGTAGTATGTTTGAAACAAGTATATTTTTGCAATTTTTTAAAAGTCGAAATGGCTTTAATGTTTTATATCATTTCACTTTCACACTAAAGGAATAATTTTGGTTAATATATTTGCAATTAAAGATATTATTTCTATCAATAAGTTTTAGAAAAACTAAATTTTGGAGGCTGTAACAATACATAGCAGTGAATTACAAAAAAGGTGAGTTTTTGACTTCACGTTTTCTAATAGAAAATAATTTAAACCATATACAACTTTAAAAAATGCATAAAAATCTGCATGAGACAGTATGTGTTATTTATACTATGTTCTTTGGCTCTGTGAGTCTGTGATGTGCATTAGGTTGTACAACAGTGGATGAGGTAGCCTCGACCTTTGGGTAGCTTAAGCATTTAGACACCTGATGGCAATCTTTCATTAAATTTGGTGTAGTAGCAGCCTCTCTGGCAGGTAGGAGAGAACACAATTTGTTTTTCTTCAGCAATCTTCATACCAAATATCTGAAAATGTTTCCCAGTGACAGACAGAACTGAGAGCTTAATGTCTTTCTAGATGAGCGTGGTGGCTTTCATCGGGGGAAAATGCTGTGGGTAGATGAGCTCAATGAAAAGCAAAGAAAAGAGGAAGGAAAATGAAGTTTATGCATGGTCCAGATACATTTAGGGACTCAGGCAGACTGCTTAGAGAGAGAGCAGGATGTGATGCTAATGGGCAGGAAACGAGTTCAGTGAGATTTATGTTGTGTTAAAATGCAGTATCATCTGGTGAGCCAGCATTCCCTCCGTTCTTCCTCCCTCCTTGATCTCTTGCCACTGCCCTCGCCTTGGCTGGGGTTGGGAATAAAAGACACAGTTTTGGGCAGAAGGGTGGATATTTCTCCTCAGGATGAATGAAAAGGGCAGGATTGAATGAGGGTGTGAAATAGCAAACCATTCTTGTGTCTCCAAGCTCATTCACTGGGCCATTTTCTGAGACCTTGATGATATAATACTGTGGGCTAAAAGCTACCTTTTATCAATAACCCACTGTGTGCTAAAATCATGCAATGTCTTCATATAATGAAGGACTTAAGTGAGAGAGGATTTGGTAACTTTCCTAAGTCATTTTGGCAGGTAGAGGGCAGAATATGGATTTGACTCTGAGGCCTAAGCACTCTCCCCCTAGGCCTACTTGATATGGTTTTGCTGTGTCACCACCCACATCTCATCGAACTATAGCTCCCGTAATACCCACCTGTCATGGGAGGGACCCAGTGGGAGGTAATTGAATCATGAAGGTGGGTCTTTCCCATGCTATTCTTGTGATAATGAATAAGTCTTATGAGATCTGATGGTTTAATGAAGAGAAGTTCCCCTGCACATGATCTCTCTTGCCTGTCGCCATGTAAGATGTCCCTTTGCTCTTCCTTCATCTTCTGCCATGATTGTGAGGCCTTCCCAGCCACGTGGAACTGTGAGTTCATTAAAACTCTTTCATTTATAAATTACCCAGTCTTGGGTTTGTTTTTATTAGTAGCATGAGAATGGACTAATACAGTACTGCCTTCCTCCTGTGCTCAGTGCCAGCTTATCTCACTCCCATGGTGTAGAATACCATCTGCATGCTGACAATTCCCTACTGAATTCTCCAGCCTAAGCCTTTCTTCTGAATGAGATCCATCACTCAGCTACCTAAAGCCATCTCCTCTCAGGTATCTCCTGGGTGCCATAACTTTACTCAAAATTAAATTCTCTCATCTTACCTCACCTTACCCAAATCCTTCTATCACAAAAAAGAATGCTGTGTCTACCCAGTACTGACACCAAATACATGGGAGTCATCCTTGACCCCTCCTCCAACCCCACACAAAACCCACATGCAAATAATCACTAAGACCTGCCACTTCTGTCCTCAAAATAAATTACAAATATGACCCCATGTCTTAGTTTCCATTAGCTTAGACCAAGCCACCATCACCTGGACCAGGTGATGAACAAGAAACAAAATTATTGTGAAATAAAATAAAAATTACACTCATATACATAATCTATTATATATAATAGAAGAATCTAGCTAGAGAACTTAGATGTATTGTTTAAAGAGGAATAATAAAATTACATCCCTTTATCCATCAACAAGTTTAAGGTTTAGAACATTACCATTATACGTGAAGAGTCTTTGATTTCATCTGCCCCCTGCTGCTCCCCCTGAAAAATCCCCACACTATACTGCATTTTGCTAATTATTCCCTTGCTTTCTCTGCAGTTCTACCATGCATGTTTGTATCTCTACATCATATTATAATATTTTATAGTTTTGCATGGTTTTGAAATGTAAACATTTCAAAATGCAATCACAATTATGTTTAATGTTAATGTAATGCCTAATGTCATAGCTTGCTCTTTTCCTCAGTACAGTCACATGTCATTTAATAATGGGGATACATTCTGAGAAATGTGCCATTAGGCTATTTTCTCATCGTGTGAACATCATAGAGTATACAGTACTTACACAAATCTGGATGGTATAGCTCACTACACCCCTAGGCTAGGTGGTATAGCCTATTGCTCCTAGGCTACAAACCTGTAAAATGTGTGCCTGTATCGAATACTGTAGGCAATTAGAACACAAATCACTAGATGATAGGAATTTTTCAGCTCCATTATAATCTTATAGAACCACTGTTTTATATGTGGTCTTTCATTGACCGAAATGTTGCTATGCAGTACATGACTGTATTAATATTTTTTATAATTCCTATGTATAACAGGGGTTGGCAAACTGCAGCCCATGAGCCAAATCAAATCCACTGTCTGTTTATATAAATAAAGTTTTATTGTAACATATTGTCTATAGCTGCTTTCATGCTACAATGGCAGAGTTGAATAATTGTAACAAACACCATATTGCCTGCAAAGCCAAAAATAGTCAAATCTGTCTCTTTACAGAAAATGTTTGCCAACCCCTGCTGTAAAGAAATCTTGCCCATGAACACTTAGAGGCATGCACAAGAATGTTCACAATAACATTGGTTTTAAGAGCATAAACCTTGAAACCACTCAAATGGTGATCAACAGGAGAAATATAACTACACTGTAGTATATTTATTCAATGAAATACAATACAACTGTGAAAATGAAGTAGCTACCTAAATCAACATGAATCCAGCCAAACCATAATACTATGATTTTAATAGCCCCAAAGAGCATATTAGGACTCCATTTGTTAACATTTAAAATCAAGCAAAACTATAATACGTTATGTAAAGATACAAAAATATGTGATTCAACTATAAGGAAAAGCAAGGGAATAATTAACAGATTACAAGATAGTCATTTTTGGAGGGCTGGTAGATCAAGAGCGCGTATGTGTATCTTATCCAAGTTTGTGATTTGCCTTTCTCTCTCTTTGAGGGTTCTTTTGATGAACTAACATTTATATTTTGAATAGTCAATTTATCATTTCTTTTTTCCAGAGATTCTCACATTATGAATCATTTAAAAAGCCTTTCTGAAAAATGAGAATTCTTTTCTATATAACTTTTGAAGTTTTAAATGTTGCCTCTCACATTAATTTTTGTATATGGCTTGAGGTACACACTTATTTTTTTCTCCATAGAAATAACTAATTGTCCCAGCACCATTTATTGAATAGTTCCTCTTTTTCTCACTGATATACAACATCTACTCAGTCATTTATCAGATTTTCATATATGCAATGGATCTGAGTCTAGGCTGTCTAATCTGCTCCACTGGTTTTAGCAGCCTTTTAACTGGTCTCACTAGTTCTACTCATTTCTTGTTCAAACCATTTTCCACCCAGCAGTTGGAGTGATCTTTAAAATGTGTCTCTGTGTGTGTACCTGTATGTATGTATATGTGTGTTCAAACCTTTCAGTTACTCAAATGTTCTTTTGAATAATTTGGTCCTCTACTTGTTATTTCTTAGAGTTTGTAAAATCTTCTCATACACATATTGTCATTTTCTCTTCCCATCATCCCAAACTACAGATAAAGAAATTGAAGCTTAAAAAAGGAAAAGGAGCTTTTCCTCACCCAGTGAAAAAGAAGCAGAATCTGCATTCATAGCTGCCTTTGCACTCCAGAATCCAGTGACACTTCTCTGCTTTCAGTTCCTCAGACTCTTTCTTTTCCCATGATCTCGAGTCTTTGGCTATTTTTCTCTGAGTGTATCCTTTCTTCTGCATTTAGGTTTTTTTTTGTTTGTTTGTTTTTTTAAAAAAAAACTAAATATTATTATCCTTTTCTCAGAATGACCCTCCTAATTAATTCTTCCTTTCCTTAGCCATTATCCTCAGCAAACTAACGCAGGAACAGAAAACCAAACACCACATGTCCTCACTTGTAAGAGGGAGCTGAACAATGAGAACACATGGACACAGGGAGGGGAACAACACACACTGGGGCCTGTCAGAGTGGGGGTGGGGGTGAGGTGAGGGACAGTATCAGGATAAATAGCTAATGCTTGCTGGGTTTAATACCTAGGTGATGGGTTGATAGGTGCAGAAAACCACCATGGTACACATTTACCTATGTTACAAACCTGCACGTCCTGCACATGTATCCTGAAACTTAATAAAATAGAGTAAAAAATATATTCTTTTCCTTTTCTGGGCATTTTGCATAACATTGGCTTTCCAAGGCCTGTGTCTTCTGTCTCCTTCATTGTTAAAAAGCAGGCATATTCCTCCTTTGTGCATCTTTCACCTCTTTCTTCCAAGCATCCTCCCTCTGTGCTCCACTGTCCAAAAAAGCCTATAATGCATCTTTTTCTTTCTTTCTTCATCTCGCACTAAGTCTTGCCACATTCACTCTTCAGAGATAAATTAAGACCTTCAGAGACTTTACAGTACATCAGGTCTTCAAAGAACGTAATTTTGTTCAATGTCCTTGCATTATAACGTTGATGAGAGAAAAGATTTAAAAAATCAGTTCCCTGCTGCGGCCACGCTGTGTGGAGCTTGCACCTTCTCTCCATGTTTGCATGAGTTTCTTCCCACATCCCAAAGATGTGCACATTGGATGACTTCGCATGTCCACATTGTCCTAGTCAGGGTGAGTGTGGGGGTGTGTGTGAGTGTGTCCTGTGGTGGGACAGTGTCCTGTCCTGGGCTGGTTCCTGCCTTGTGCCCTAATCAGTCTGGACAGACTTCAGCCATCTGAGACCCTAAACTGGAATAATGGGGTAAATAGTTACCTTACCTGTTTTTATTAATGTTTCTTAAATGTATGTATAGATCACATTTGTTTAATGTTTAATATTAGAAGTGTTTTGATCTTTATTTACAATTTCGTGATGTTTTTGTGACCAGAAACATGCTATAGGAACCTCTTATTTTTGTCAATTAACCTATAGCAAAATTGTTTTCATTATATGTCATGTTGCTTAAAGCCACAGTTTCTAAGAACTGGTTGACAATGTTAAGATCTTGGTGTTCCAATACCTAGCCCTGAGTGCATATAATTTAAAAAAAAAGCCTTATTAACAAGACTTAGTAACAAATCAAAATATATTTCAAAATGACACCAAATATAAATATATCTTGCCCTTAAAATATACTTTCTGTAGATTTTCTAACTCTCTTTTTCTTTCCTCCTGTGATCACTGTTTCTCTGTTACTGCCTTCTGCTTAGTGGAGAACCTAGCCCTCTCTCCATTTATCCCCCAGGGGCCGTCTTTCAATTCCTGTGGATGTCCTTTCGCTGTGGAGCTTCATCTCTCCCACCCCTGCACTGTGTGTTCTTTCTTTTCTTGTAACTTTCTTCCGGAAGAAACTCTTCCTTGCTATATCAAGGGTTATATTTTCTAGCCCTTTGCAGAAAAAAAAGAATGCAGATTTTTGATCACGAAGCCCCAAACATTTCTCACTTGAACTGTTACGGAACAGCAGGAGTTGAGTTTAGGTCCCATTGCTCACCTAAGAGAAAACCAATCACTGAAACAATGAGCATTGTCAGGGAAGAAGGCTTTATTATTTTACGGGTGACATCAGCCAGAGAGACAAGAGCCAAACCTCAAATCCATCCACCACTCCAGATTAAGGCCAGGGGTTTGCATAGCTGGGAGGAAAAACAGGAGGGGCAAAGAAGAGGAGTTGGTCAACAGACCGCAGGTGATTGAATGAGGGGGTCTCATTATAACCACATGCAGGAAAATGGGAATTAGGAATTGGTAAAGAGGAGGAATTGGTCAACATGCAGCAGGTGCATCTCATGTAAGTTTCTCAAGCATCAGTTTTATGGGCATCTACATTGCTGGAAAATTGGGCTGGTTTTAAAACCACGTTTTCTTCGAGGCACCTTAAAATCCATTATCCATAGCAACCAGGGTACTTTTAAACATGCAAACAGGGATAAGCCCTTCTATAGCCTCCCTTCACACTTACAAGATAATTCAGCTCCAAGCCCCATTTTACAAGCCATATATGAACTATCCCTGACTACCTCTCCTGCATTTCCTTGCCCCACTCTTTTTCTCAGTCACTTTGGTTGGCTAAATAAGATAAGCTTGTTCCTGCCACAGGGCCTTTGAACTGGTTGTTTCCTCTACCTAGAATGTTCTCTCTCTTGTTCAGTAAAGGTCACCAGCTCCTGTTGTTATTTAGGTCTCAGCTCATATCTCTATCAGGGAGGGCTTCTCTTTGTACTGCCCCTAAAGGACTCACCCTTTTCCTTTCTGACATATCAATTTATCACAATGCTCCAAAGAGTTCTCATCATTATCTTCATTTTTCTTGTTTGTTTATTTATGTCTTATGTTTGTTTATTTTATTTTTTCCCTGAGAATATTAGCTTCCTAAGGACAAGGACCTTTTTCTCTTCTTCACCGTTGTAGCACAGAGGCCTGCAATAGTACGTCTTACATGAATGACCACAAGGACTTGATAAATTCTTCCTTTGCTGTTTATTTCATTGATTATAGTTTTACACATCAATTTTCCAGATTAGATCCCATAATGATGTCTATAAAGTCATATGTCTGCCTTATAATAACATCTGTGAATCCACATGATAATATATAAACATCTTAGAGTCTCCTCTACGTCGTTTCAATTTCTGAAAAGAACAATTATTTTTAACTTCAATTTTCTTCTAGTTTTTCCACCTTAAACATGCTAGTGCCTTCACCTGGTTGGATAAATCAGAATAACATAATTATCCTCAATTCCTCTTTATTCATCAATCCCCACATTAAGTCAGTCACCAAGTTCTATTGATTTTACCTCCCAAGTATGCTTCATATTCATGTATTCTTTCCAAGGCTAAAACCCCAGTCCAATCTCTTGTTATTTCTTGCCTAGATTTCTGCAATGAACCACTCACTGATTTTACTATTAATACTTTTGCTTTTCCACAAACTTTATCCACACTACAATCAAAGAAATATTTCTAATATGCAAACAGAGTGCCACTGTCTTATATTTGGCCCTGGAGTGCTTTCCTATCATTAGGATAAAGTCCCAGGTCCTCAAAATGAATAAAAGGCCCTGACTTCTTGGTCACTGCAACATCTGTTGCTGCTTCTTCAATTTAAATGGTGATGTTGTGTTCTTCCTGGCAGGTGCTATTCTTGAAATGATGTTAAGAACAACGCAGAGAGAAAGTTGGCAATGCTATTCTGTTTTATAGATGGGAAAAGCAAGGACCGTTGCATGAACAGGTTTGGCCAAGGTCACGTAACTGGGAATGATCCTTAATTTCTCTTTCTCAGTCCCTGCATTCAGACAGTTATCAAATTCTATTGATTTTACATCAATGCCTCACACAGTTAAAAAGTAGCAGCACTAGGAACCAAATCTCCTGATTCTTAGACCATGTTTCATTTTCATTTTACTATAACATGATTTTTTCCCCTCCCCCATCATGTCCGATCCAGGACACCCAAAGGTTGTTGGTGCTAATCAGGTTCTAGTTTATTTGCAGATTAAGAAAAAATTCGGAAATATTTCTAAAATATTTCTGTAGTGTTAAAAGGTTATGGAAAAAATTTGAGGAAATGTCAAGTTATCTGCAGGCTGAGGATCTTCCTCATGACTCTGATCATATTTATTGACTTTTTGCATTGTATCAGGCACTATCCTAAGAGGATAAAATATAATAAATAATACCTTTTAGGTAATATTTATTGAGGTTTTTCAATGTGACAGGCATATTTCTTTGCATTTTCTGGATCTTATTCAATTCTCTCAGCAACTCTATGATGTAAGTACTATTATTATCCCCGTATGACAGATGAGGAAACTGAGGCACAGAGAGGTTAAGAAATTTGCTAAAAATCTCACAAGAAATGAAAGAACTCTGGTATTAACTCAGCCAGTTGGTCTCTAGAGCCCATGATTTTACTCATAAGATTGTGGGGCTCTCTTCTGGAATTCCTTTTTATAAGGGTTTTACAGTTGGCGTAGAAGAGAGGCCCGTAAACATAAGACAGTGTGATAAGTGCTATGATCTATTCAACATCTCTTGCTGGTGACCTCTATATGGTACATATTTTGTGATGTGCTTTCACTTACATAGTGTAGGGCAAGGGATCTGAATTCAGAAGTTACAGTTTTATTAATTGTGTCACTTTGGAAGAGTTATTTGAACTTTCCGAACCACGGTTTTCTTATAAATAAAAGATACCAATATCTATTTCAAAGTTTTAAATATTTAATATATATGAAATAGGCTGCACATAGTAGGCCAATCTGAAAACTTATATGAGTTAAAGGAATGTTAATGAAATAGCTATGTATAAAGTGTCAGGTGAGAATAAAGGAAGAAATTATTAACTTTGCCTAAGGAGTGGGGAATGTTCCCCACGGTCAATGGAACACTTGAGTTGAAACATGTCTAAGGATTATTTAGACTGAAAGATTTCTATCAGGATCCAGATTTTTCTCTGGGAAAACACCTTTTCCTCCAGATGTGTATACTTCATCTCATGTAGACCTGGTTGCTACTGACATTCATCTTGTTACCTCCAGATGAGCCCCCCCAGATACTGAAATTACAAAAGGCAAAGGAGAGAGATGGCAAGAAAGTGGGCCCTTGATAATGTCAAGAAGCCACTGGTTCAACCAGATATGAATCCTGTGAACCTCAACTTTCCAATCCATGAGCCAATACATATGCTTCACTGTGGAAGTCCATTTGAGCTGAGTTTTTGTTACTCGCAACTGACCCCCTTCAAATGGCAGAGAGTTCTATAGGAGGGCTGCATTACAAGGCTTGCAGAGAGATAGGAGGGAGCATGATGAGTTTGGAAATATTTCATTGAGAAATAAGGCCAGAAGGTGGGTCACTGCCAGCTTTTCAAGGGCATTGACTTCCATTTTAATGAGCTTGGACTCAAGCCTGTAGGCAGTGGGGAGCAACAGTTTTTGAGCAGAGAAGTGACATGATGAGATTTGCATTTTAGAAATGTGACTCTGGCTTGAAGTTGAGTTTGGATGGGAGTACAGAAGGCTGAAAGCAGAGAAAGGAGTTAAGAGATAACCACAATGGCATGGAGTAAGGGGTTACTGAACTTGGACAATGGCAGTGGGGAGAGGGAGGTAAGGATCTGGTCTCATTTTCTTTGGACACACCTTGTTATTATGTACTCACTGTTATGGATTCTCCTCAGCTCTTAATTCTGGGTTCACAGATGCCTCGCCAGTCACAGCTGCAGACTGGCAGACGGGAGAGTCTTGCTCTGCAGGTGCACTCACTGCAGAGCCTTCAAAATCCAGAATGCAAGGCCCAGGAGCCTTCCAACTTTTCATATTCCCTGGCTGTTCTTATTCCTGTATCATGGCGATGTTCTTCTGCTAGACATTAACAAGTGGTACCAAACTTTGTGGTCATCACAGAGCATAGATCAGAAAGCTGCTTCAAATATCCTTCTGAATTCATAGACGATTCCCTCAGCTCCTTCTCTTGCAGGCAGGAGATGCCCCAGCATGGAATATCAAAATGTTCTTATGAAATTCATGTGTATTGCCTCTTGTTTCTGTAACAGAAAACCTCCAACAGGTTACTGTGGAGTTAATTTTGCCTCCTACTCTTCTGAGATCTTTTCAGTAAGAGGGATGTGGGAATTGTATGGGAACAGAGATATATAAACAGATGCATAAACAGTTGCGTGGTTTTTGTTTGTTTGTTTGTTTTGAGATGAAGTCTCATTCTGTTGCCCAGGCTGGAGTGCAATGGCAAGATCTTGGCTCACTGCAACTCATCTGCCCCCCGGGTTCAAGTGATTCTCCTGCCTCAGCCTCCCCAGTATCTGGGATTACAGGTGCCTGCCACTACGCCTGGCTAATTTTTGTATTTTTAGCAGAGATGGGGTTTCACCATCTTGGTCAGGCTGGTCTTGAACTCCTGACCTCATGATCCACCCACCTCAGCCTCCCAGGTGTTTAGTTTTTAGGTATATACTTAAAGAGAAAAAAAGCAGGCTCTCATGTCCAGTCTTTCTGGCACTATGCTCTCATTTGCTGTATGCAGTTTGGTGCAAATTGGAATGGACGATTAAACATCTGTTAATAGGACCAGGGAAGAGTTATAACTCCACAGTTCCATGTGTACATACCATCCATGTTGTGCTAGTCTTCTGCTCAACTACAAAGTCATAGCTAGAATCACTTGGGGGGTTATGAATCTAGGCCAGGCAAACTCAGTTCCATTCCTTGGCCACCACTGCCACCACCACCACAACCACAAATCAAACTCTTTCCTTTTCCTTACCATGAATGGATGGGGCAATTATATTATTATGTAAAATTTTTGTATTATAATGTAGGAAAGAACCTTAGAAAGCATCTACTGTAAAATTACTAGTTTGTGATATTAGAAACTGTCCCAAAGTGTGGAGCTAACACCTACCACAAAGGAGACAAGTCAGTTCCCTATTTGTAAGATGGAAATGATTATAGTATCTACCTCTAATGGCTGTTTGAGGATTAAATAAATTAATATATGTAAAGCACTTCAAATGCTGCTGGCACATATTAAATATCAAATTGCTTGTTACTATGATATGATTGTTTGGAGATTCAGGTTTGCTGTCAACATGCAGCATGGGTAGGCTGGCTGGCTGCCTGGATGCTGAACTGGTAGAACTAAGCCAAGTTTCCTGCTTTAGAAAACAGGCAGTTATGAGTTTGTCAGGGCAAGGGAGTGGCGAATATGTTCTATGAATCCATGTGGCTACACGGAAGACAGATTTTCATGGAGGGATCTTAAGTCTTGTGCAAAAGAGGCTAGCAGATACTAGTAGAGAAAAGCTGGAGGTACTACTGGATTCCTAGAAACTGAGGAAGGGAGTAAGAAAATCAGCTGAAATAGAGACACATTCACCCTGTCAAAGGAACTGCAGGTGAGATCCCTAGTGATAGAAGGATAGAAGGATGAAAGCATCACACTTGCTTATTTCAGCTGAGTTTCTTACTCCTTTCCATCATAATGGCTACATAATTAGCAAATATTCACTGAACGTTACTACATGCCAGACACTGTTCTGATGCTGAGAGTGTAGTAGAAGACAAAGACAAACCTCTGCTCTCTTGGGAATTTGATTCTACAGGGGAAAATAGATGGCAAATTAATAAAGAAATGATTGCATAAATAACAGGTGTGATGTGAGATTATTAAGTGCTAGTAAAAAACAGAAGCATAAGAAGAAGGGAGAATGTGTGGAGGGAGCAGAAGGGACTTCTGATTGCTTCTATTTTCTCAGAGCACTTGGAAGTGACGGCATGGAAGTGGGTAAGGAGGAGGCAGCGGCTGTTGGAGTTTTAAAGGGAAGGTATAAAATTGTTACCTGGAATCATGGGAGAGAAAACAGAATTGGGACTTGTAGTAGGATTGCCGGCCCAGCTTTGGAGACCCTCTTGAGAGCTGTGGTAATGATTACAGAATGACATGAATGAGCATGTGTGTGTTTCTGTATGTCAGTTGAATTATCTTGGTGCAGGTACACAGAAAGTGGAGAGTTAAATTTATTCAGAGTTGGGGTTTGCCCAGGGTATCATGAAGGAGGAAGAGAGGGGAAAGGACGTCAACCTGTTTGCAAAGAACCATGGAATCTAAGTTGGATATAAAAGGGAATAAGGGCAAGAGAAGAGTGAATGCTAGGATCAGTGCTTGACTGTCCCCTGTGGGGTTTATTATTTGCTTGACTCACACAAGAGTGAGTGAGTTATACAAAGAGGAATGGAGGATGAGGAGAGGAAACTTAAAATGAGGATTATAGCAATGACAAAGTCTAGGAAATATCTTGAGAATTGAGTGCCTAAAGTTGGGTGGAAAACATCATGAAAAAAAGAGGTCAAGAAATCTCTGACCTGTAAGCTAGAGCAATAAAAGCAATAAAAGAACTATTTGGATATTGAAAGCCATCAAAAATTGTTGGATGCTGAAAGAGGGTCATGATCAACTCAGTATATCACTGGAGGCTATATGAGTAAGCAGCAAATTGTTTCTCATAAAGGCAGAATGTTGGCAGACTGACAAACTGCATCTGCCACCCAGAAGGGATACTGAGGGCAGTCACACCCCAAGCGCAATGTTTCTTGTAATTAGGCAAATCTGAAGCCTGTTAGCAATAACGTGAACCTGTGATCAATCAAGCAGCTGAGCAATCATTACCTCCTCCTCTCCTGCTCATTCTATCCAATAAATACAAAGGGCTGTGGAAGTTTGAGGGCGCCTTTCCTCACTAGAAGCAGGAAGCTCTCTTCTTCCCCTGGACCCTTCCTTTAAAGCAGTTTGTTTTGTCTTAAGTTTTCATTTCTGCATTTGTCCTCATTTGTTCAGTCCTGTAATGATGATCTCAAGTAGTAACAGTAGTAACTCTCCTAATGACAGTCTCAAGTAGTAACAGTAATAGCTGTTGTAATGGTCTCAAGTAGTAACAGCAGTAATGTAACTGTCGTAATGATGGTCTTAAGTAGTAAGAACAGTAACTGTCGTAGTGACAGTCTCAAGTAGTAAGCGTGGAAGTCACAAAAATCATGACAGGAGTGATACCAGAGACTAATAAGGATCATGGTATTGTCAAAAAGTGAGAAAGAGTGACTAAAGATCAGATTATAATGGAAGGTAGTAGTAGCAGTATAGACTAATAGAATTAAATTTGAAACTGGGAGTTTCAGTGAGAGGAAAGAGTAATGGTCTAGAAGTGGCTAGGATGTGTAAGGATGACACCCTACTTCTTGGTTCATTGGTATAAAAAAAATGGGAGAGAAAGGGGCCACTTCTTAAGAAAGCTATGAGAAAAACAATGTCTTCAGCATAGAGTAAGGTTTCAGTTAGTGTAAGTCAGGGAAATGGAGGAGAATGGAGATAACGGGTGGGGGAAGTTGCTGAAGATGGACTGTGAGTTCTACAAGACTTGTGAGGAGGAGTGGGAGATGGGGTCAGATTAGAAGATGTAAATAATTTTATGGTGATAAAAGATGACCTAGGAGATGGGGCTTCTGGTATTGACTGACATAAATATGGTAGTAGAATAAGATCAGCCTAGTCTTGATATCCTGGTTTAGGCTGATCATGGCAGTGAGGTTGCTGGGCAGGAAGGAATGGAGGTCTTGCTGGAAGAATTTACAGTCTGCTAAGTGCCATGGTCAAAAGAATGTGATAATTATACAAGGTAGGGCTGGACTGGACCCTTGCACATCTGAAGCAAGTAAGTTTCATCATACATACACCCAATTCAATCAGTTAGAATAGCTGCTTGGTGTCTGTATTAGTCCATTTTCATGCTGCTGATAAAGACATACCTTTGGGAAGAAAAAGAGGTTTAATTGGATTTACAGTTCCACATAGCTTGGGAGGCCTCAGAATCATGGTGGGAGGTAAAAGGTACTTCTTACATGGTGGTAGGCAAGAGAAAATGAAGAAGAAGCAAAAGCAGAACCCCCGATAAACCCGTCAGATCTCGTGAGACTTACTATCATGAGAATAGCATGGGAAAGATCAGCCTCCATGATTCAATTACCTCCCCGTGGGTCCCTCCCACAACATGTGGAAATTCTGGGAGATACAATTCAAGTTGAGATTTGGGTGGGGACACAGACAAACCATATCAGTGTCTTAGAGTGAGAAAGGGCTGAAATGGATTCATGAGATCAACATGGACACAGGAAGAAGAGTAGTTTACAAGCTTCAAGAGGGTCACCTCTTATTTTCATATTTTAAAAATAGAGATACAGAAAGGTCAGTGGTTTACTCAAAATCACACTATTTAGTGAGAGGGTCAGAACCACTCCACCAGGGAATACATAAAAACCCTATTTAGATAGTTCTCATTATCAAATAAATGCAATTTTATATCCATGTTCAGTTGGTGACAGTTAGTAATATAGATACTGAGTTTTGGCTTTGCCACCTATTGGCTGTGTTTTTCTGGGCAATTTATTTGACTGCACATCAGTTTAGGCTCCCCAAGATGAGATTAGATGTATGCTAGAGATTTATTTGAGGGAATTGCCTTTGATTAATAAAGTGGTAAGGAGCAGGAGGAGGCAGGGGAGCAAATGCAAGCCTGACATTTGTGAAAGAAGAGAGGGAAGGAAGTAGAATTGAGTAGAAGGAACCTCAGATTGTGGTGCAGCTCTAAGTGAAGATGACCTTCAGATGGATCCTGCACTGGGAAGGAGTGGGCTCTAGGGTCCCTGCTCTGCTCAGTCACTGGCTGGGAGCAACCAGGGAAACCATGGGTTTGAGGTGTAAATATCCCCAAGAGTTTGGGGAACCTGAGAGCTTAGCAGCTGGAAGCTGTCAGCCAACTACTTGCAGCAGATCCTCTTAGAGGAAAATAAAAGCAGTGCACTTCATGGTCAGCATGGTTCTAAGCCATTTAAAATGTATAATTTAAAATTATCTTTAAAATTGAGGTAAAATTTATATACCAAAATTAATCATTGATCATTTTAATGCATACTTTGAGGAATTTCATATATTTACAATGTTGTGCAACCATCACCTCTATCTAGTTCCAAGACATTTTCATCACCCTCAAGGGAGACTCTGTACCTCAAAATGTGAATCCATAAAAACAGAATGTGACAACACTAATCTACATTCTATCTTTATGAATTCACATATTTTGAAAGTTCTTATACATGTAATCACACACTATACAATGCTTTGTATCTAACTTCTTCAGCTTAGCTAAATATTTTTGAAGTTCATCCATATTATAGCATATGTCAGTACTTCGTCCCTTTTTATTGCTGAATAATATCCCATTTTAAGGATATACCACATTTTGTTTATCCACTCATCCACTGATGGAAATGTGGGTTATGTCTACCTTTTTTTTTTGTTGTTGTTGTTGTTTGTTTTTTTGAGATGGAATCTCACTCTGACACCCAGGCAGGAGGGCAATGGCGTGATCACAGCTCACTGCAACCTCCACCTTCTGGGTTGAAGCAATTTTTCTGCCTCAGCCTCTCAAATAGCTGGGACTACAGATGTGCACCACCATGCCCTGCTAATTTTTGTGTTTTTAATAGAGACAGGGTTTCACCATGTTGGCCAGGCTGGTCTCAAACTCCTGACCTCAGATGATCCACCTGACTCGGTTTCGCAAAGTGCGGAGTCGCCACGCCTGGCCAAGACTGTTTACTCTTACAGAGAAATGGACCACACTTCACTTTGGCTCACTGTGATCTGAGAAAGCAAAGAGCCCTTGGGACAGGATTAAAAGCATAATCACAACTTGTGACAATGAGTTTTTAACAGGGATGACTTTGTGGCCCTTCTCTCACTAGTGACCGCACTTCCTGCAGACAACTGCCTCCTAGCAGAGCTGTCCTTGAAATACGACTTCCAATTTGTAATGCTGGTCCCCACCTTTCACATCTCACCAAATTTGGTCAGGCTCTTACAGACTCTCACTTTGATACCTTTATTTTTCTTTCTTTCCTCTTTTTTTTTTTTTTTTTTGAGGAAAGGAGGAAGGAAAAAGGGAAAAGAAAATATTAGATTAAAAATAACAGTCATCCCTTGGGCCCTCAGTGAGGGAAGAAAAGAGAACACAGGCTTAATTAGTCCACAAGCAATTTGGAAGAGAGAGGGGGATGGAGTCACTGACAGTGAGCTGTCTCAGGGACTGTTGTGGATTACTGAGGAACATGTTGTTATTTCCTTGTCTGCAGATGTTTAAAATACTAAAAAACATCTATCTCCCTTTGTCCCCAGCATAAAACCTTTGCTTCAGCCGAAGTGATGACTTCTACCATGACAATATACTTTCTGGCAGTTCTGGTGGGCAGTTTCCCTTGCTACCTTTCTATTTTTGCTTATTTGTTTGTTCCCTTAAATAGATGTTTGTATCCCAAACAATGCCTGGCATACAGAAGGAGGAGCTCCATGAAGAGGTTTTCAACAAACTTCTCATTGCTGGCTGCCATTGTCTCTTCTTGGCATACTTGGATAACCTGGAGTTTGTTTAGAGCACTAATGGAGTGCGCAGGTTCTGGTATTGGACTGACTGGCTTTGGATGTTGGCACTACCACTTAGGCTCTGTATGATTTTAGGCAATTTACTTTGGTTACAAATAAAGATAATATTATTCAGTCTCTGAAGAGATTGATGTGAGGAATAAATCAGATACTTCCTGTGACATGCTTAGAAAATGCAAGACACATAATACGCTGGGTTGGTAGATGTTAGCTACTAACATTATTGACTGTCTGGTCTTGTTTTTTATCCATTCTACTCTTATCTCTCCTAGTAGAAATTTATGCTTCTTGAGAGCAAAGACTGCATTTTAGATATATTTAATACTTACAAAGCAAACACACACACATACAAACAAGCAAATGCCATTAACCAATAGATAGATGTATGGATTTAGTGCTTCAAATGTGTCATATAAAGTAGTAATATGTAAATCCAGTTTTTGAATAACCCAATATGTTTTGCAAGACATATATAGAGATGAAAATTAAAAAAAACCTTTGAGCAAAGAGTGGTAGTGTTTATTAAAATGTAATCTCCATGAGGGCAAGACTGTGTTCTCTAGAATAGAGAATGGGCACACAGTAGGCATTTCATAAATACTAATGGAATGGGTGATTAAAAAAATTAGCACTAGGAAATGCCAGAAATTCTGCCTATGTTTATTAACTTAACTCTCACAATACTATAAGACATAGTTGTCGCTGTGTTAGTTAAGAACTGAGGTTGGCCGTGAGTTGAGACTTAACTATAACAATGTAAACAAAAAAAGCCTATTTTTATAAACTAATGTAATGAGGAGTCTAAGTTTCACTGGCTGTAGTTTAATGGTTCATTGTTCAGAACCAAGGTCTCTGAAATTCTTTGTTTTTCATTACGGTCCTAAGGTGGTTGCTGCAGCTCCCGCTAGCACACTCTTGTTATAAATTAGAAAGGAAAAAGAACAGAAGAGCACTTTTCCCACCTGGGGCAGTCCCCTTTAAGGAGGTTTCCTTGAAAACCATGTTTTTAAAGAACTTTTACCCATATCCAATTGGCTATACTCATTTGCAAATGGAAAAGATAGAGGGCTTTTCTTTTTCCTCCTCCTCCCTTTTCTCCTCCTCTTCTTCCTCCTTTTTCTCACCTGGTCACGTTGTTACTCCTAACAAAAACATGGTTCTATCATGAAGGAGGAAGAAACTGGTTATTGAATAGGTACCAATAGTCTCTGTCATCTTCTTCATTTTATAGATGTAGGAAACTCAGGCTCAGCCCCATAGAGGTTTTATATATTGGTTTTACTGCAGCTTTTGAGGATTTGATTTATCACATCACAGTGTCTTCTTTGGAGGACCTGCAGAACAAAACCCTCTTGGTAGTGATTCTTGAGTAGTCAGCAGCTTGTTGAAGTTGTAGATGGTGCAAATAGTTTTGTGTCTGTCTTTACTTATACCCACTGCTAAGAAGTCCCAGAAAGTGAGGAGGTCTGTGTATGACAACCATTGGAGAATATTCTACTATGACTTTTTCTTTTCCAAAATTTCCCTGCTATCCTACATGCATTTTTTTTGAGACAGAGTCTTGTTCTGTTGCCCAGGCTGGAGTGCAGTTGTGCGTTCTTGGCTCACCGCAACCTCTGCCTCATGGGTTCAAGCCATTCTCATGCCTCAGCCTCCTGAGTAGCTGGTGTTACAGGTGTGTACCACCATGCCCTGCTAATTTTTGTACTTTTTAGTAGAGACGGGTTTTGCCATGTTGGTCAGGCTGGTCTCGAGCTCCTAACCTTAGGTGATTCGCCCACCTCGGCCTCCCAAAGTGCTGAGATTACAGGTGTGAGCCACTGCGCCTGGCCCTACATGCATTTCTTCAAGGTATCTGAAACTATTATGAAAAGAAAAAGGTGATAAATGGAAAATAATGCACATACACATGCACACACACAAATCCACTCACACATGTAAGTGCATAAAATGTAAGCTCTGAGAGTTTATGTAATTAGCTTACATTATGGGTAGTTAGAGATGAGTCAGGAGTCTACCCCATCTCCCTGACTCTAAAATCTATCCTTTACCCTCTCCAGCAGAGGTTCTCAACCCTGGTTGCACATCAGAATCAGCCAAGAGCTTTAAAGAACTTCCATGCTTAGGTCAAGTCCCAGACACATTGTAAATCAGAATCTCTGGGAGTTGAGCTCTGGCATCAATATTTTAAAAAAGCTCCCCCAGATGATTCCAGTGCAAATCCAAGGTTGAGGACCACTACTTTTCAGATACTCTTAAGCAAAAGAAATGAAGTGTGGTGTTCCATAAAGAGAGTACTTTTTAAAAATTATTGTAACCTAGCCCAGTGGTTTTTCTCACCTGCTTTATTTTCTCCTGGTGGAACCAGCAATATGCAAAACAGATTAAAGCAGAGTTTTCATAGTTGAGGGAGTATCTGGCTCCACTTCTTTATCACCCCTCGACTCACCCCATCTCTTGCAGATGGCCCTTGTGGCCACCCACAGGACAGTGACCCACCTACTTCAATGCATCCCATGGAATAGATGTTTTAACGATTCAACAGACATTCTGACCATCAAACTAACATTCATGACTTGGGAAAAGTCTCAGTCTTGTGGGTGATTGTGGTGTTGTCTTTCCTTCTGCAGATGAGCCTCCAATTTCCGTCTCTCTACCTGTGGTTATTCAGAGGACAAGATGCTAAAAAGAGCCCCAGGATCAATAACAGAAACACACAGATATTGTCAAGGTTATGCTTTCTCTCAGCTCACATGGCCTTGTGTGTGTGTTTTATCCCCACACCCCCAGGAGTGCAGTTAATCATGTGGACCCGTAATGCCGAATATTCAAACTCAAATGTCTACAGAGGTCAGGCGGAGAGATAATATGTGAAGTTTCCATGTAGATGCTATGGGGAATTGGAGTGTCTATGTCCTTCCTGAAAGCATTTATATTTTAAAAAGTATTTGAAACTGTGTCTTGGCAAACAGACACATACACACATATTTTCTGGGCATAAGGTATTTTAGTGAGGTGCCTAGTGAGGTGAAATTTATTTTATTTACATTTTAGCTGTAGAGGCTGTCAGTTGCTTTGTTAGGTGGACCCAGCTGGTAAGTTTAGAGCATCATTCTATTTTCAGGGAAGAGTTACTCACTTTCATGATGGCATAATGAGTGTATGTGCGTGAGTGTGGAACAGAACATTTTGAACCTTGATCAAACCTTCTCCCTACAAAGCCACTTGGCTTATAGTTGATCAGATAACTGTAGGGACAGGAAATTTTGCATAGAAGGCAAAGTGTCACCTAGAAGAATAGGACGCAACTAGAATCTCTTTGATGGATTGAGGTGGTCCCAAGTGATTGGTAGGAAAAACCCAGAAGTCTCTAAAAAGAGTAGCTTTCCCATAAGGAAAGAGAATACATGAGTGGCAGAAATCATTGCAGCCTAGATGTCATGGTGTGATCACTGGCCAGACCCTCCATTTCTCTCTTTTGCTGACATTTGGAAGCAGAACTGGACCCATTTATTGTATTGTATTGTATTTTTTTTTTTATTTCCATAGGTTTTTAGGGAACAGGTGATGTTTGGCTACATGAGTACGTTCTTTAGCGGTGATTTGTGAGACAGTATATACGTCACCCAAGAAATATACACTGCACCTAATTTGCAGTCTTTTATCCCTCACCACCTTCCCACCCTTTTCCCCAGGTCCCCAAAGAGAACTGGACCCATTTAGATAAATACATCCTTCTAAACTGAACCAAGTGGTAGAGGAGACAACAGATTTACTGCTAATATAAGCGTAGAGATATGTCAATAGTTGTTTGGAATTCTGGTGGTGTTTGTACCTTGAAGTAAACCAGGAGAAGCTGTGACTTCCTTTTGTTAGGTTGTGTACCTGACACCCCACCAGACATTGCAGGATCTGCAAACAAGATTAAGTCCTATTACTGCAGAGCTGCAAGTTCAGTCATGTGGAAGAGGGGAAGAAGCTGGAGCAGGTGGCTCAGTGATGTGAGGGTGGAGTTTAGCATGGCAAATCAAACAAATACTCAAGTAACTGTAATTTAAGGAGAAATGAAGTCTGATACAGAGTCACATTTATGAGATGTCATGGACACCCAGCGAAGGAAGAAAGCCCATGTGATTGGACACAATTTCCCAGCATTTAGAACAGCATAAAGTAATTTCATAATGGAAACTGGCAGGGAGAGTTTCAGAGTTAAGCAAATATAAAGCAATGTGAAACAGTCTTGATAAATGCTGCAGAAAGGAATCTGCAAAAAGAGACTGTGTGGCTAATGAATAACACCTAATGTTTACCTTCCTAAGCTTGGAGCCAACTGAGAAGTAGATGCAGGAGTTAGGTAAATGGGGAACAAGGATCAGCTTTGTTAGTAATAAAGCTGATTGAAAGCGCAGCGTGGGCCTGGGCGCAGTGGCTCACACCTGTAATCCCAGCATTTTGGGAAGCCGACATGGGTGGATCACCTAAGGTCAGGAGTTCGAGACCAGCCTGGCCAACATGGTGAAACCCCGTCTCTACTAAAAATACAAAAATTAGCCGGGCATGATGGCAGACACCTTTAATCCTAGCTACTATGGAGGCTGAGGCAGGAGAATCACTTGAACCCAGGAGGAGGAGGTTGCAGTGAGCCAAGTTGGTGCCGTTACACTCCAGCCTGGGTGACAAGAGCAAAACTTTGTCTCAAAAAAAAAAAAAAAAAAAGTGCAGCATGAGTGTCTGTTCCTCAAATGAATTCCATAAGACTTGCTTTTACAGAATTAAACATCTCCTCTAGGTTGAAGGCAAAGGCAGCTGTTGCTGTCTCTGTTTCTGTCCTGCTCTTCTGTTCTGCTCTGCCCTTATGGGGATTAGGTTTCTTATGGAGAAGCAGAGATGCATTCTGAACAGAGATGGCTCTGAAAAACAGAGGACTGAAAGGGCTAAGTCACACTTGCTTAGTTTCTTTAGAAAGGTTTTAGAATCTCCTGTTTTTCCTCTCCTTCTTCAGGAGGAACTATAAAAATGGGGAGCAGAGGCCAGTTATTTCCATGGAAATACAAAAATGGGAAGAAGGAGGTCCCGCCGATCCTTTTACAAACTTTTCACTCCAAAACAAAGGAACAATTAGTCCTTCATTACTTTCTTGTGCGCAAAGAGCTCTCTCTCTCTCTGTGTGTTTTCTGTTTCTCTTCATCTATTTTTTACTAAGGTAGGCCTTTGCCATTTATCTGTGACCCATGATGGCATCTTCTAAAGTATACATAGTTTCTACAATGTCAATATTTGAAAAGATGACTTGTTTTCTCTTAAATTCCATGCCTGTTGGTATTTTCTTGTGTTTAGAAGCACAAGGCAAGTTATCTGGCTTTTTCGTCTCACACTAAAGTTTTATATCTCACTTGAGGATCGTTTCTCTCAAAGAAACAAAGGTTTTATCACTCACTAGAGTAACTGTGTACACAAGATGAATAGAGAACAACAAACCCATGTTGAGATGCTGATGTTGAGCAGTTAGCTAGCAATTGAACTGAGCAATACAGATTTGTGTAAGAAAGGCATTCAGCTCATTTCTGAATACGTGAAACTTCATTTAAGTCTGACTTCCTGGGGATCCATGCCATAGCATTTATCTCTCTGTATCTTCAGTGAGTGTTTGTGCCTTTTTCTCTTTAACCATATCTTGAGCCCCATGTCTTTTTTAAAGTAATAAATTCCCAAGTATAGTAGCCCATTACAGAAACTCAATAAATATTTGTTGAATGAATGAATGAAGGGTCATTTATGAGAGCAGCATAGTACTCATTCTGAGCACATCTCATGTAACCATTTTTGGACCAGGTCATTTTAAAGAAATGTCCATGACGCAGAGCACATGCTAACTTTAGGCAGGTGTGTATTTATTCTCTGTCTGCAGAATATAGAGTAAACACAACTAAGAATTTGTGGATAGGGACAATCCTACCATCTGTGTTTTCAAGTATAAAAAAAGTTTGTCATGTTGTACATACTGGATCAACATGACTGGGTTATTGGCTTTCTGTAGGGTTCTATCACTCAGAAGCCCTAACCTCTGGAGTCCTGTGCTGTTATATAGAGAAATAGAGAGGGTTGTGATGGGAAAACAATGCCTTATTGTTTTCCTTCTCAGGGTCTTAGGAAAAACTAAGTGTGTTCTATAGAGATCTCCACCAAATTCTTCTACTTCCTGTGGTAGGTCTGGCTAGAATTGGGTTCTGAGGCCTGGAGCAGAGAAAGATTATCTCATTGAGATCAGGGGATGTCAGAACCTGATTTAGAAAAATAAGGGTCTGTATTAGCTTCCTACAACTGCTGCAATAGATTGCCACAAACTGGGAGGCTAAAAGCAACAGGAATTTATTCTTTTGTAGTTCTGAACATCAGAAGTCTGAAATTAAGGCATCTGCAGGCTTGGTTCCTTCTGGAGGTTCGGAGGGACAATCTGTTCCATGCCTCTCTACTAGCTTCTGGTGCCTGCTGGAAATCTTGGCATTTCTTGGCTTGTAGACACATCACTCCAGTCTTAGTGTTCACCATCACATGGAGGTTCCCCCGGAATGTGCATGTCCAAGTTTCCGTCTTTTTGTAAGGATACTATTCATTGGATAAGGGCCTACCCTAATCTGGTATTATCTCATTTTTATTTGATTACATCTGCAAAAACGTATTTCAAAAAAAGTTCATATTCTGATGTTCTGGGTAGATGTGAATTTTTGGAAGATACTCTTCAACCCAGTACAGGGTCCAAGAAGCTGGAAGAGAATTCCATTAAAGCAACTGGAGTCCAGGTTCAGGGTACTGGACCTGCCACAAGAAAACAGGAAACCAAAGCCAAGGGGAAGAGAGCAAGTGTAAACATTTCCACATTAAGGGGTGGGTAGGGATTAGGTATAGATCCTGTGATGAATACATTGGATCCCCTACAAGATTTTCTTGCTGTCCCTGGTCTGCATTGCATGGACACAGATGTAAAGTTAAGCATGAGTTTGTTTCCCAGACATGTCCACTTACATAGAATTATCAGTGAGCAATGTAGACTTTACTGAAGATATTATAGAGGAGGGATTTGTACATTGTACTCCACAGCAAACAATTTAAAATTCATAGCACATGTTTTATTATTTTTCCTTCTAAAATGTCACTGACAGTTTATCTTTCTTGCCTTCTTCTCTTCTAATTCCAGAGTATATCTGAAGTTCTTCTTCCTAGGTTACACAAAACAATTGAATTCTCCCTCTGGCTATTACTGCAAATGTGTACAGACTTATTCACCCAATGCTCTCTAGAACAAAATCTCTGCTATTACCATTATTTAACCTTATCAGAAGACAGTCAGGATTAGTGAGTGCCAATACTTCTTTCTCATTGTACCCCTAAACTGGATTGTTAGCTATTTTGATAACGAGGGCAATTATTTTCATCTCAGGTACTCTGCAGCACCAAGCGTGGTACTTCCCACATGTAAGGAACTTAATAAATGCTGGTTAATAACCATTATTATTAATACTGTTGATGTATAATAATGCTAATACTGTTGATGTATAAGTCTGTGTTTTTTGGTTTCCATTAAAAGTTTGTGGTGCTACAGAGATATCAAAACTTGAGCTTTTGAAGTGCCAAGTTTCTAAAGAAGTTGTTGAAAGGCTGGGAAATAATTTTCAAAAAGTTACTTATTTCTCCTCATGAGCAAGTTTCTAAATATATTTACATGCATTCTAACAGGGAGTCATTCAATCCAAAAATATTTATTAAATGACAACTTTGTAAACACTAGGAGATTCAAAGATGTCTAAGATAGTTTCTTCAACAGGCTTACATTCTAATTGCCATTATGTTTGTGTATGTAGGAGGAATATAAATCTTGTGGTTTGCTGTGATAGACTGGTTATTCAAATTCTCGCTCTACCCCTAAATAGCTAATTGACTCAGAGCATATTTTAACCTTTCTGAGACTCAGTTTCCTCATTTATAAAATAGGGAAAATAAGAGTATACAATAGGATTTGGGGGAGGATAAAGTAAGATGTTTCTTATTCAGCAATATGGTGTATATTTAATGAATGCTAGTTATTGTGATGATGAGTGATGATTAATATTAATGATGATGACAAGTGGTATAAGTTTTTTTGGAGGTGGGTTATTTTTTATCTAAAAAGATAAGGAAAGGTTGTAGGGAAGATAACATTTTTGAGATAGTCTTGTAAGAATGGGTAGAGTTACCAAAGTCTGAAGATATTCTTGCAGGGAAAATGGAATTAACGCAAAGGTACTTTAAAAAAGACTTGAAGTGGGCTCAAATCAAACTGGAGAGACTAGAGTATTAAAGAAAAAGTAGCCATCATAAAATGTTGAGAGCAACGTTTTGTTATCACACAATTGTGTCTCACTTTTACTCTGTTCATCTTTCAGACCAGACTACAGCTCTTGGTGATATGTTTTATACTTTACCTTCTACGCTCTATAGGTGTAATCACCTGGTACAAGCTTGTAGGAAGCATAAAGCTCAAAACTAGTTGAACTCATCTAATTAAATAATCCTAGAGCTTCACATGTTTCCTGTGAGCTGTTATAAACACACTTGACTCCTTTCTGAAAGTTCAGATTAAAAGGAAGCAAACTTCTAAAATTAGAATTGTAATTAAAATTTGACTTTGATCAGTAGCAGCTGAGAGGGTCATTAAGAGCCTTGAATGTGCTGACACAGGGAGTTGTTGGGTGGATAAGGTGAGGAGGGAAGTGGGGAGATTGGAAACAAATAAAAAATTGTGAAAAAGCATTATCGAATTGCAAATATCAATTATGGGTCTATGGATGAGCGATTATAATATTAAAAACATTCTTGGCGGGCAGCCCATATGGTTGTAGATAGCTGCAACTTCATCAGAGCTCGGCTTTAATTTGATTTTTGCAAACATGTTTTGGTTTCTTTTCTTTTGATTGATTTCAGAGAACACTGGACAACAGCTGGGTGGAAACTGCGTCTAACCCTCTGTGAAACTTATCAAAAGATGTTTTCTGCCTCCTGCAAAGCTTGGAACACACCGTCTCAGAAGGAGATGTGTGAGGGACAGAAAAGAGAAAGTTGCGGGGAATGAATGGGTTCCCACACTGGGTGTAGAAAGTGATAAGGCTGAGTGCTGCCTTGTCCAGAACCAAGGAGCAGTGATCAAGGAGGGAGAGATGAAGGAGTTGAGAGCTTGCTTTTGTTTCCCTGTTAAAGAATAATTTATTGCTGGCATGAATAATGAGGGTCAATGTGGCAAAACAATGCAAGAAAGATAGTAGTTTTAGCTCTCTGAGACAGCTGTGTGTTGTGACTGCCAAAAAGACTAATATGATCATAGGTTCCAATTATTGAGAATAGAACAAAATGATCATTACCCTTTCTCTGCACACTGGCAGTTACATATTCACTTTTAAGTGCCTGGAATGCCCCCTTGTCTTCCTGGTGTATCTCTAGTCATTTTTCCAAAGCTAGCTCAAGCTCACCTCTTAACACCTTTCCTGACCCTATATTCATCAGGCAGATTTAATCATTGCCATCTCTTCTGGGCTCAATTATACTAGTATGTTCATCACTTTGCATTGCCATATTCCTTACATAACCATCTGCCCTGGAGGGCAGGGTCCATGTCCAATCAGATTTTGTACCCATAGGGCTTGGCACCTAGTAGGTGCTCGGTAGATGTTTATGGAATTAAGTAGAACAGGCTAGCTGGAGCTTGTTTTGAGATCAAGCAGAAAGGTGGAAGAACCTAAAATCATATTGAAACCCATCTGGAATCAGGTCATGCTTCAGTTAGCGAGTTGACTAGTAGCAGGTGTCTTCCCAGATGATGGGGAGGGGCTCATCCTCCCATAGGAAGAACCACAGGAAAGGTCTGCAGAGTGACTGAAAAGAGACAGTCCAAAGGAAGGCAGAAGTGACT
This sequence comes from Homo sapiens, assembly GCF_000001405.40. Lineage (NCBI taxonomy): Eukaryota > Metazoa > Chordata > Mammalia > Primates > Hominidae > Homo > Homo sapiens. The sequence continues at coordinate 22,947,828 of NC_000004.12, forward strand.
CTACCATGTCCCAGAAGCAAGAACGAGAGAGTTACATGCAAAGGGAGAAAACGATTGTGTCATGCAAAGAAAGGACTTATGAATTTTCTTTCTTCTTCCCCTTTATTTAGCAAAATGTGTCATATATTTTCAAAGGAATTCAGGCAGCCAAACACATGACTGGATTTATGCCAGAAATGGAAGCATTTTCTGTGGATCTCAGAAAGTAATGCCAATTACTGAGGTCCCAAGGATGATGGACGCCAGAAACACCATATCGTAAGCAACAGAAGTTAAGGTGTAAGCCAAGTCAAGAAGACTTGAGATATCTCAGTCACCAGGAGTGAAAGGATGTGCAGAAGAGTTAAATTTTGTGGCATGGGGAATTCCAGCTTCTACTTGCCATATGTCAACGTATTGGTTCTTGTATATATATTTTTACAGTTCCTTCTGCACAACCTTTACAAATCGTTATATAAAAGTGCTAGAATAAAAATCGAACAAGCGTTTCCTATACTGTATTTCAGATACAGTCATGCTTTGCTTAACAACAGGGATACATTCTGAAAAAAGTGTTATTAGACAGTTTTGTCATTGTGTAAATATCATAGACTGTACATAAACCCAGATGATATGGCCTATTGCAAATGTAGGCTATATGGCACAGCCTATTGCTTCTAGGCTAAAAACCTGTACAGCATGTTACTGTACTGAATACTGTAGGCAATTGTAACACAGTGGGAAGTATTTGTGTCTCTAAACATATCTAAACATAGACAAGGAACAGTATAAGTATGGTATAATTTTATGGGACCACTGTAGTATGCAATCTGTAGTTGACTGAATCATTGTTATGTGGTACGGGACTGTATTCTTAGGAATAGCTGACTGTGAGGGAGGAAAAAGGCAATAAGGGGAGAAAAGAAAACATTTGACACACAGCAGAAATTGTGAAAGATGCGTTGGCCTCTTAAAAGGTCATATCAGGAAATGAATGATTTTGAAGAAGGATGTGCTACATTTTTACACATATAAAGGACTATAATACTAAGCAGGAATTATGCCTGTCTAAATTTCCCCAGAGGCATAAATACAAGATATGTGGGGTGTTAGAACTTTTGATTGCAATTAATATTAATTGACTTAACTTAATTTTAGGCAACACTCAAATTTATAAAAGTGTCAGGTGCTCACAGATCTGAAATTTAAGTTGAAGAATCTGTTCTTTCAGGAAACCAGTATCTTCAAGGTACTGTCATTGGGATACATTTGTTACAGCATTTTTCCTTTTTACCTCCTTATACTCAGAATTTAAAGCTCTGAGAGTTACATTTGGATTGTCATAGCTTGGATCACGTGAGCACTTTTTGGCTAACGGAGAAGGGGACACCTCAACTGATGGTCCCATTAAGACAGCATATAATGGGAAATAACAATTCCCCAAAGAAAATCAAAGCTCCTCCTTCAGAAGAAGAGGGAATGCAATATGCAGAGCTATTTGTCATCTGCTGCAAATGCATAGACTGTTCCAGAAATTCCCTTTGACTGAAGGCACTCAGATGGGGGTTGAGTGACTATTTGTCAAACACATTGTAGGCAAGATTCAATAATTGAGTGAGTAATTGGATTACATAACCTTCTCTCTAACCCTGAAATTTTACGTCTCTGCGATTTTAGAATAAGAATCAAATCACAAGACTCCCTCCAGGAGGAATAATGAAACTGTCTTTATTATTCCTATTCATATGTTTATTTGAAAATATCTAGGATCAACCTGTGTATACATAAACAAAAATACATGGATACGCAACCCACAGTGCCAACAGCTTGTAATTAAAGAACCAGACTAATGCAACATTTTCCCACTTACAACTCTTCCCCACTGCTGGCATTCTTCAAGCCTTCTGTTATCAGGCAATTTAGTTATACACAATAAAAACATACACGTGTGAGGAGATTTAAATATATTTTTCTAAATGTAAATTAGGGATCTTTATACAACTGCTCTGGTTTTTGAGCCTGGTTTATATTGGCTACAAATTGAAGCTGAAATAATTCTCCAGATAAGGTTATTTATTCTCATTTGAGAAGAACTGGAAAAGCTATGAAAGGATTCTTTTAAATTTTAAAATATGTGGATTCTGTTATCTGGCAGATATTAATGACAGTTTCTTATCCTGATTATATTATGGGATCATAGAATTCTAAAGGTGGAAGACATGTTGAGATGTCCTCTAGTACATGTTCCTTGGACACCAAGGAAATTACTTTAGATGGACTAGAGAGACACATAAAATTTGGAGGCTTGGGCTCTATTGAGGGAAAGGTGGAGAGTATATAAAAAAAAATGGTCTGAAAGCTTTCTCTACCATGTCTGAATGTGAGGAGCAGTCTTAGATAGGTAGCCAGGGCTCTGAAGTATTAAAGCTTCAGGGTCAGTTCACAGATTCAGGTACTGAAGTAGTTCTCAACATATCTGCAAAACTTACTGAGGGATATTTTAAACGACTCTAAGTAACAGCAATCTACTAAGACAATGATTCTCAAAAGTGGGGAAGGGAAACACTAGGGGACATCAGAAACTTGAGAGTGTGTTATAGCCCCATGTGACCTCCCTCACTGTACCTCCCTCAGCTCCAAGTTGAGAGTGAATGATTTAGGGGGAAAATGATAGATGTTTCAAATTGAGATGGTCCCCCAAACCTACAGAGCATGGTGGGAAATGATAGAGGTTTGAAATTAGGATGGTCCCTGAAACCTGTAGAATATGGTGACCCTGAGTGTGCCATTGGCTTATAACTAGGGAATAAAAGTCAAATAAGACATATTCATCATCTTCTACAAGTTTTCAGTGGTAGGAGAAATAAATGAGCTAACTTTTATAATGTACATAGCACAATGACTAGAACAGAATAGGTACACAGTAAATGGTATCATTCCTTTATCCCAGCCATTAACTCTATTTCCATAGATATCTCTGAATGCTTCTTATTGTTAAATGCATATTTAAATTTATGTTTCACTATGATAATCAGATAGTTAGTTTAAACCTGGATCTCTAATACTAAGAAAAGTCTAGTCTATGCATTTGGAGTCCTTGACCGTAGAGTTCCATTGCTATACTTCTATGGAGATCGATGTCTTTCTTCTCTGTTGCCATGATGACTTTCCCCATAGCTGGTTGCCACTTAAAGGGTCTGACTGGCTGGCACAACTATTTTAATGCATCATGACTGTGTGCTTCTGAAAGGAAAATGTTTTCTTGGAGTGCAATATAAGTTTAGGAATATCAAAGGCAGTCAGATACTCAGCATAATTATAGGTTAGGTTTGTAGACCAGATATTCAAATCATCTTCCTTTCATTGGAGGAGTGTCTGGATGATTAAAACATTGGAGGCAGCATCTGATACAAACATTCCAGAGAGCATGTCAAAGAGATCTGGTACCAAAAAACAGCTCTCTGAAGCCAGGAAGCCAACTCCATCCAAATAAACAGCACCAGAGAGGGAAAGATGGTTCAGATGTAATGCCCATGTGTATGGATGACTAATTTTTTAGGACACTTTTTTTCCAGTTCATGACTCTGAGGCAATTGCTAGATTTAGGACAGCATTTCCTTGCCCTCTACCACCTGGAAACACATGAGTGATGATGTTCAAAGACAATGGCATTGACAGGATTATTAGAATTTCTTTAGTGTTAACCGCAACCTAACCCCTTTCTCTCTCACTCAAAAAAGCATATCCACGTGCAAATGAGCTAAGGCTGGCATCTTTCATAGGGCCATAAGGCGTAGGACATTTTCCATAGGGCATTTTCTTTAGGGTTCTATAAAGAGTGGTTTTAGAAAGTTCATATACAGGAATCAAATCACATTGACACACATAGTCACTTTGTCCTATTTAAATTCTCTTTTAATTCTTTAGATTACATAGAGAAGAAAGACTCAGTTTGCTGCTAGTATTTCCTTAAAACATCTCAACTCTCTCTCTCTCCCTCTTGAACAGAGCAAAGGCCAGCTCTGATTCAGAATTCTCAGCTAGCAACAGTATCTAGCTACAATTTAACAACATCGTCTGGTAATGTTATATATTTTTATATTTATCTTCTATTTTGGCAAATGATACTGGATTTCCATTTATAGTAATGATATAAAGTTTCCTTAATAAATGCATTTATCTAAGTCAATAATTGAGTTCATTTAAATAAAAATATTCAAGGAAATAATAGGCCGGGCGCGGTGGCTCACGCCTGTAATCCTGGCACTTTTGGAGGCTGAGGTGGGCGGATCACGAGGTCAGGAGATCGAGACCATCCTGTCTAACACGGTGAAACCCCATCTCTACCAAAAACACAAAAAATCAGCCAGGTGTGGTGGTGGGCACCTGTAGTCCCACCTACTCAGTAGGCTGAGGCAGGAGAATGGCGTGAATCCGGGAGGCGGGGCTTGCAGTGAGCCGAGATCACGCCACTGCACTTCAGCCTGGGCAACAGAGCGAGACTCCATCTCAAAAAAAAAAAAAAAAAAAAAAAAGGAAATAATAGTAAAAATACGTCCCATAGTACATAATAATGCAGATATGCTATAATAATTATACAGATAGGAAAATATTCTGACAGTGCTCCTTGATGGTGGAAGTTTAGGAAACACTGTTGTAGGAATAATCTTGAATTGACCCTAATTTTTCAAAAAAAATTATTTTCAACTTTTACTTTGATGATTATTACTAGCAAATTTTTTTATGATATATTTCACAAATGTTTAGGGTGTTTCAGCACTTTATTCTGCTCTGGATTAGAACTGCTGACCTATGTAAACTCATTGCACAGAAAACATATAGAATGCAGAACTATTTCTACTTTAATTTTTTGGAACATGTTTCATGTTTATAATCTGTGCTCGTGCTCTTTTTTAAAAAATGGTAATAGCAAATGGTTCTAAAAGGCTTTTGTTGGGGAGATGGCTAGTTTTCTATACAATATTTTCTTTGTCTTTTTCGTTGTAACACCATTTTAGCTGGATATGGATATGATCAGTAAATTACATTTTTTCATTTTTTTTCTTTTTTGAGATGGAGTCTCGCTCTGTCACCCAGGCTGGAGTGCAGTGGTGCCATCTTGGCTCACTGCAACCTCCGCCTCCTGGGTTCAAGCGATTCTCCTGCCTCAGCCTCCTGAGTAGCTGGGACTACAGGCACCTGCCGCTACGCCCGGCTAATTTTTGTATTTTTAGTAGAGATGGGGTTTCACCATGTTGCCCAGGCTAGTCTCGAACTCCTGACCTCAGGTGATCTGCACCCCCTCGGACTCCCAAAGTGCTAGGATAACAGAATTATATTTTTTCATGTGGCAAAGTTCTTGCCCTTGGAATGTGAGCACACCTCTTCTCTGTTGTCCATCTGCTTCCTGTTGGCTGGATATGATATGAACTCAACTTCAGCCATACAGATGACATCATGTCTAAGGAAAGGTGGAACAGCAAGATGGAAGGAGCCTGAGTGTTGGAATGGCCAAGTGGAGCAGAGCAGCTCAGAGCCCCACATGGCACACACTGGAACTGTTATGTGACAGAAAAAGTCCATTTTCTTTTAAGCCTCCATATTGCTCTAAGTTCCTTTGTTACATAAGCTTAGCTTTTACCTTAATATGATAAATATGATACTTTTCCACCTCCCCAAACACTCCCTGTTAATATTAAATATAATTAGTTGGCATAATGAGAAAAGTTGGGAAAGAAGGTGTGTCACCTTGTGCCTTTGTAAATAAATTACATTTTACTCCTTCTACTGCAGTCTCTCTAGCTCCATAAGACTCAAAATGAGTTTGGGAAAAGAGTATTGGGGAGCAACTGTTTAAATACACATAGTCAAAAACTAAATAATAGCAAATCTGTTGCTTTACTCCTTAAGTCAGAGACGAATTCTAGGAATGTTAAAGGAAAAAATAATTCACTGGAAGGATTTAAGAAAGTTTATATAACCATGGGGAAAAAATGGAAGATGCAGGTTTCATTAAGGAGGTAGATTGCAGCTCAGGGATGGGGTGGGTGTTAAGTCTGGATAGCAAGAACAGTTAGGGGTTTTCTTCTCCAATCATTTGTTTTTTATTTGTGCCCTACTCCAGATTCAGATTCTTGGGAGAAAGAATCTATTTGGCCAGTCTTCATTTCTTATGATTACTCCTTTTCAGACAAAAGTGGGAGAACTTCATTGTTAGGTCCACCATGCGACAGAAGATGGACATTTATTCAAAGAAAGATTGAAGCTTTACTACTCTGCACTCAAGGGTGCATTGGAACCAGGCTGTGGTGGCTCATGAGAGCCGACGGTGAACATTTGTTTCCAACCCTGTCTTCGGTAACACCTCCCTAGGGGCTTGAAAGGGGCCGTGCTGGATGTATCAACACCATGGAAGTAGGCAAATGGTACAAATTAGAACCTTTTCTTCAAAGAGCTATTTGTTAAACAATTACCAGCATACCACTGCCTATACTCTATTTCCTTCTTTTCACCTCGTATTTTCTGTAGACTCTCATTAAATAGGCTGGCTTTGCATCCGACTTAAGAGTAATAGGAGTTTTTCATTCTCTTAGGGAAAACATCTAAAGAAAATGAAAAGTTTTATTTTATAAACATGCCCCCAAATCAACCTATAGTATTATTTGATTTAAACATTGAATTTTATCCATGTAGAACATGTATCTAATTAAAATGGAGTTCTAGGGTAATGTTTCAGCTTGTCCAGTTCTGAGAGAGAGGGTCCAAAAAGGCATTCTGTTTTTGTTGGGGAACAAAAACAGCCCAGCTTTAGTATCTGAGTAGCTCTCATCATACATTCTTTGACCATTTCATATGTAGAAGTATTGCCTTAAAGATGAATTGATTTTAATTTTGATACCACAATAATGAGAATTTTTGATTCTTTTTTCCATGATATTTATTTAATTTATTTATTTAATACATTTGTATTGAGCACCTAAAAGGTATCTGGTTTTAAAATTTTGTATTGGGGATAGAGTAAATAAAAATATATCTCTAATCCAAAACTTGAGGCCATGGTAATTTTTTGAAAGTTTAATTCTGATTTCAAATTTCTAAGAAGTTGGATTTTTAAAAATATCCCCAGAATAGAAGAAAATAATCAACCGGCCAGGAATAGTGGCTTGTGCCTGTAACCCCAGCACTTTGGGAGGCCGAGATGGGAGGGTCATCTGAGGTCAGGAGTTCAAAACCAGCCTGGCCAACCTGGCGAAACCCTGTCTTTACTAACAATACAAAAATTAGCCTGGCGCAGTGGTGGGCGCCTGTAATCCCAGCTACTCAGGAGGCTGAGGCAGGAGAATCACTTGAACCCAGGAGGCGGAGGTTGCGGTGAGCCGAGATCACGCCATTGCACTCCAGCCTGGGTGACAGAGCGAGATTCCATCTGAAAAAAAAAAAAAAAAAAAGAAAAATCAACCTATGTCATGTGAACAGTTCAAGCTGAAGGTATCTTTCTAAATGCAGAGTAATTGTTTCAACATAGTTAATTATTGAGAAAACATATATGCCACTTACGTCAAATATTGCTCTAAGAGGTTTACAAAAATTAACAAATTCTATTATCCTAATTTTACAGATATGAAACAAAAAACAAAGAAAGGATAAGTAATTTGTTAAAGATTACTTAGTTAGTAATGGGGGAATCCAGGACTTAAACCCAGGGGGTCTAGTTTCAGAGTCTATGCTCTTAGCCTCTCACTGTGCTGCTCCCTGAGATGGCCATAGGATCTATAAGTATAGAGATGGGGCTGATGGGAGGGTGGGAAAGTGGTCAGGTAGTGACAATATGGCAGATCAACTGAGTGTGGAAAGTGTCCAGTGATATCTTCAAAATGCATTTGTAAGAATGTTCTAAGCAGGGCATTATTCAAAATAAGCTCAGATTTTTTAAAATGCCATGCCTGTCAACAGTAAAGTTAATTTAAAGAATGACAGTGAAGTGCTATATAACAAGGAAAATTAACAGGCTACTGCTGTCGACACCATGTAAAAAAGCATCACAAACCTAATATTGAGCAAAACATTGAGACACAAATTTTGCTCAATATTAGGCTCATGATACTGTATTATTGCATTTGCATAAAGATTAAAAAACTATATAAATGTAAAACTAATCTATGAGGTAAGAAATTATCGATATGGTTACTTTTAAGGAAGAGGAAGAGATTAATGGTTGGGAAGGGATATGGGGGCTTCTGATGTGTGGGAATCTACTCTTTCTTCATCTGGGTGGTAGCCACATGGTTGTGCTCACTGAGTGATGAATCACTGAGCTCTAGAGTTATGATTTTTGTCTCTTTGTGTGTTATACTTCAACACTAAAGTTAAGAAACACTGACGAGAGGAGCAATAGGAAAAATGGTACAATTGAGGCCAGAGAGGAATAGGTTGAAAAACAAGAGAATTAGGGTTGAGAAGAAAAATCATTTATATGTGATATATTTATGAATTCAATCAAGTAAATCTTAATTGATTGATTTAGCTATTTTCTGTACAGGGCCAGATATAGTAAATATTTTAGGCCTTGCTGGCCACATATGGTCTATGTCACATTCTTGTTAGTTTTTTTTTTTTTTTTTTAACAACTTTTTAAAAATGTAAAGACCATTATGAGCTTTCTGGTGGAAAAAAAAAAAAAAAGAAAAGAAAAAAGCAGGCCACAGGCCATATTTGGCCTAGGAGTAGTAGTTTGTTTACTCCTCAGCCAGCTTCTGGTGATGCTAAATGATAAAAATGCAGTTTTTTGCCCTCCGTGTTTGATACATTCATTCATTCAACTTTACTGAAAACCTTCTATGAGCTTTAAGTTGGTGAGACAGATATACAAACCTGTGACTCACAGTGCAATATGATGAGGACCCTAACTGTAGTATGAAAGTGCTAGAAAAACATAAGAACATGGGACTTTCTTCTTTTGATATTAAATTTTAATTTTTCTTGAAGTAGGTAGAGACTTACCACGTAGAGAAAAGGGGAAGGCGTTCTGCATAGGGCATGTACATCATTATTAAATCCACACAGGCATAAAAGAATAGCGTAAATTCATATGTTGTTTATTATGTAACTCTGTGCAACTGGAACATGTATAGGGTGATAGAAGACAAGCCTAAAACAGTGTTTCCCAAACTTTTCATGTCATAGCACATACAGAAAATGAAAATATCCTCTGTTTGGAGCACTAGGTTGCACAGATAAAGCCACTTGTGACTGGAAGCCATGGGCCCAGGGACTCATGGAGATGGGGCTGATTGGAGGGAAGGAAGGTGGTTAGGTAGTGATAATATGGCAGGTCAACTGTGTATGGAAAGTGGCCAGAGATGTGGCTTGGCTTCCCCAAGCCCTCCTAGGCTTCCCTGAGACCTGAGTGCATTACTCTGCCCATTTAAACCCCTTGGCAATCCAGTTGGGAAGTTCTGAAGAAATTAGGAGAGCCTTGATTGAGCAGCTAAGACATAGAGCAAGAGGAAGTTTGGTGGCTTTTCACAACCCGAGGCTTAGGCTCAAGTTCTTGTTCTATCACTTACTTGTTGGATGACTAAAGCAAGTTATTTCAAATTCCTTTTGCTTCCGTTTCCTCCTTTATGTAAAATGTTACCTGCAGGATCCTACAAGGGATCTTGTCAAGCTTAAAATTAGATATGCTGTGTACATAGCTTTTACTGCAGTGTCAACTCTTGACAGATTATTTCGTCTTCACATCCTCCCAACCTCCCTAACTGCAATTTAAAATATACATATACATATAAATATATATTTTTGTATATATTATACATATGTAATTAGTATATATATAATTTAATATATATTATACATGTATATATTATATATAAATATATTTTAGTCTATATTATACATATATGTATCATATATAATATATAGTATAATATAATACATATATAATATAGACTAAAATATAATATATTTATATATATAATATATACATATAACCTTGACAAGAAAACCCATGCCCTTTCTGATCTCTACATCCACTGTCTGGGGATGGCAGTAGGGCTTTTCTGGCATGGAGAGAAGAATGATAAGTGAAGAGAAACTGTAAAATAATGAGCAAATATATTACTATTACATCAAATGATGACTTTTTTTTCTTCTAGAAAGAGAAAGGTCAGCAATTCTTGGAACACTTAGATATAGGTTGTGTTCTCAGTGTTAGGAAATCTCTTCTTTCTCTATCTATCTCTTTCTTTTATAAGCCAAGGGTGCTAGGGCTCAGTGGGCTGTGCCCTGGAGGTGAACTGAGGACTCTGGTTAAACATGGTTATGTTGGAAACTTATCACCTGACTTCAACAGAAACATCTGTGAGTTCATATTGGCCGAGTCCCTAGAGATTCTTTCACTGCTGAACATGCTACTTCCCAACTGTTCAAGATAGTGGCTCAGAGCTGTGCACATATTTTGAGATGCATTCTGCTGATTGGATTATTTTTAAAGCTTATCTCTTATTTAAAGTATTTCCTTTAATTGCTTCTTTTTGGACTGATGCTAGGTCTCAGTGAGGTTTTTCCACATCTAGGATCACAGAATGTTACCCTCCAAAATTGGAAGTAGCCACCCCATCACTTTCCAAATGAGGAAATTGAGGCCCATGGGAGAAAAACCTTGCTCAAGTCACACAGATATCTTGTTCTTTCTTCCTACTCTTTCTTTCTCTCTCATACCCTTCCTCCATTATTTACTGAATAGCTCCCAGATGCCATGCTTTGTTTTCAGTGCTAATGATGCAAAAAGACACATGACATAGACTACTAAACTCCCAGTCTAGTGCAGTGGCAGTGATGCAAGCCAATTATTAATCTAGGCATAAATGATTGCATAGAGGGTCACACAGAATTCCAAGACAACCCAGAAGAGGGGCAGTGAAATGGGACCTGGGGAACGATGGGAATTGACTTGAGTGGAGTCTTAAAGTGGAAGATGAAGGGAATGAGCTTTTAGAATAAAGATAAGAGAAATGATCTTCTAGGCAAAGGGAAGAGTACAATGTAATAGCATTAAATATACATTTCATTTTTCTGAATTCATATATTTGTGGAGAGAGACAGAGGGGGTGAGAGGGCAAGAGGGTGAGTTAGAAAATTAGAGATAAACAGAACACAATTCAACATTAAGGGTGATTCTGCCTGCTATTCTAGGCTATGCTTGTATGCTGTGCCCATCTACCCAGCCCAAGGGGATTATAGTTGAGTCTCACACTCATGAGGCCTCACAATCATCAATACTTCTCAGGTGTGTGTGAGTATCTCACCAAGCCAGCGTGACCTAGAGCTGTTTTGATGACACGTGATTATATATGCTAAGTATAGCAATGACATTCCTCCAAGATGTTCTTCCGCTTATAAAGGCATTCCTACTATGTACTTATCCATCAAAGTTTTTGTTAAGGAGAACTAGTTTCCTGAATTGACTTTAGGCAATGCAATCCTTTCTGTTGATTCAACGAAGATAAATTTTGTGGCTGCCATGCACCATCTTTTCTAATCTTTTTTATTGGAGGTGGTGGTGTCGTTGAAAGAACTGTGGAGTCAATAAACAAAGTTAACTAAGTGCACAACTTTTACTTTCCCAGCTCTGTGTGGGAGCCTGGAGGCAGTGTGTTTCTGAGATATGGCCTCCCCATAGGTTATGCCCAGGGATTTCCATTATCTTTAAGCAGCACACACTCCAGAGCATCTTACTAATGATATTTAATTACATTGAAATTAATGATGTTTTTCACCGATCCTGGGCTGATTTTACAGCTTGGAGATAAGCTGGGGTGATTTTGGCTTCTCTGTCTCTCCATCTCAGCAGTCAAGTGCCCCCTTTTATCTTTGCTGACTCTGCTTTTTTCCAGGTGCCCATTTTCTCCTCCTCCACTTACTCTCAATACCACTCCTCTTGTTTTCAGCAATAATTAGCTATCCCAAGTCACAGAAAGAATCCATTTCCATAAGACGGCTTCCAATGATGTGGACAATGGATTTTTTTCTCAACAGAATTTAATTTGCAAATATACTGGCGATAACTTCATTAGGTTTTGGAACACAGAGATTGTCAAATGAGCAATATCTGATAGCTCAAACAATACAGTAGTTTCAGCAGACTCTAATCTCATCATGGTATACTTGAGTGCTCTGGGTTTTGCTGATGAAAATCTTTTCAGAAGTGAAATGGAGTATTCAATTCTCAGGTTCAGGAATTGTTATTATTTCCCAATGAAAATAATGGGGATTGTAGACAGGATTTACCAAACTTGAACTGTATTGATGGCTTTTGTTTTGTTGGAGCAAAAACAGGTGTTTGGGGGAATTAAACATTTCTGTTGTGAACTGAAATACAACAGCATTATCAATGAAATGTTTAAAAACTGAGTATAGGGCATGATGATGAAAGTGAATTGGATTGTAGAAATTCAGAGTTCAAAATCCTATGCTATTTAAAGGATTCAAAGAGTAAACTGGAAATATGCTTTGTTTGGATGTTTTGTTCTCGGGAAATGGTTAGAAATGCATTTGTTAAATAATGCTTCATTGTATTGACAACTCAACTATTGATTTATTAGGGTGGAAAATAGAAGCATTACATCAAATAATTTCCCTATTTATTTCTTTCTCTTCTCATCTCAAGCTCTTTCTTGATCTTGTCTCAGGCTCCCAAGAATAAACAAACCCAAACAACAACCGAAATGATACCAAAATAATAGTAACAACAACACATAAACAGCAACAAATACAATAAAATATCTCACTGCATCCATTCAAGCAAGCTTCAACATATTGGACAATTTAAAATGTCCTAATTTTCTCTATATTTGATTCTAGGATAAACATATTTCTCTTCATCCTACTCTCTTGGCTTACTTATGTGTCTATTCATTCATTGAACATGTATTTATAGGCATCTTGTAGATTCCAGATATTATTGTATTTTAAGCACTGGAGAAATAGGGTAGGCCAACTATAGTCTCTACCTTTATGGATATTATGATCCAGTGGAGGCTGATGTTAATCTATAAATCACACAAGTAGAAATATGAAATTATAATCATGAGAAATGCTAAGAAGAAGACATCTATGGTTCCAGGAGAGATTATAGAAGTGAGATTTGACCTAACTTGAGGACCAGAAAAAGACTTTTCTGAAAAAAACCACCATAGATCTGAGATCTGAAGGAACAATAGGTATTTGTTTGTTTATGTCCAAGAGAAGATAGGGAAGGTGAGTGTTTCCCAAACAGAAAATACCACATGTGCAACAATCCTTAGTAGGAGGGGGCATGGTGTGATAGTGCAACTCAGGACTCTTTTGGGTAGTTCTGATCACCAACTTGACTCTATGTAAAGTCTTAGTTTCAATCCAATCACCCAGAGTCAAACACAGCTGGTATTAGCCAATACAAAATTAAATAACTCACTGATAAAATTTAGGTCCTCAAAGACTTCGTCTGAAATATTGCGTAAGTAAAGCAAAGGGTCATCTATATTTTCAACAAAGAATTTATCAGGATAGATCTCCTGCAGATCTGAAACGAATCAAGAAGTTTTAAGATATTCTGGACTTCAGTGTTTCTATCATTGAAGGGACTGAAAAAGAGGGGATGTCTAGAGTTTATTATATCTCAAATATTTCACGCTAAATGTTTTTTTAATCATTATCGAGAGGTGTTCGAGTCCAACAAGCCTGAATTCTCATCCTGGCCCTGTAATTCACTGGCCATGTGACTTTAAGCAAATTACTTAGACTCTCTAAATTTATTCTCCCTTTTGTAAAACAAAGGTATAATACTTACTTCACAGGATTTCTGTAAAGATAAGTGGACATACATATGAAATACATTTATGTGAATCTCTTGTACATATTAAGAACTAAATAAATGCTAATGCCCTTCCTTTTTATTTCCATTTTCACTTAAGTTTATATGAGTTTATTTGATCTGTAAGAGCTTATGTGCTTTAACTGGCCTCATGTGAAAACTTCTTGAGTGGAATGAGGAACCACAAAATTCTGCACTGTTCAAAGCCAATAATCATTCATAATATAAAATGCTTCAATTTCTTCAACAGTCTGAAAGTGAAATACATCTCCATTACTTACAATTATTTCACTTGTAATAATTAGGTATCAATCTTATGACTCATGATATTGCCTTATATTAAATTATAAGGAAGAAAAATACTTAGGAAGGTAAGGGGAAAATGAGTGTGAGATATTAAAAAGTTCCATATTCATTTTGGAAATAAATTTAGTGTTCTCGTTTTTGAAAGAATCACTGCTTCGGGGGAGAAAAGAGAAAATCTATTAAAGAGAAAAAAGTTTCTAAAGAAGTTAAGAGGTTCTTTTTATTTTCTTAAACACATTCTTACGGCCAAGCATTGGCTCTTGAAAAATACGGTTAGCCAGCTATAAAGTTGTAATAGAAAATAGTAAAAGCAATGAAATGTACAATTAAGGATCACACACCCCAGATATCTTCTAGTTCATTAGTTATCCTCCTATCTCGGCCCAGGAGATTTCTCAATCTCTGCACTTTACTCCTAGGCTCAACTACACAGTGAAACTGATGATAAGGTTCACTCTTTTTTATAGTGTTTCCTTGCACAAAGCAATGATCTCTTAAAGATGAAGTTTAATGCTCCCTCAGGAAATGCTGTCTATTTTAGACTTTTTTTCTGCTTGATAGCCTTCTCTTTTTCTCAGTGAACGTTGTAAACTAGATCCGTAGTCGAGGGATTTTACTGGATTCACCAGCAGAGGGAGTTCAAACCAAGTTGTGTAAAATTTGGGGGAAGGGATTGTTCTAGAATTTTTTAGAGTGCTGCACAATGTGGGCTGAATTCAGGGAACTGCAGGAATTGGTAATCAAATCAGATGGAACATTCAATTCTTTCAGCAAACACTGAACACTGGAGAGGCAAAAAAAAAAAAAAAGAATAAGAGACAATGTGTACTCCTCTCAAAGGGTATAGTTTGGTAGAAGTGGGTCTATGTAAATACATTAACTATAGTGCTCTGCTCTTGGTATAATATAGGGATGCAGACAAAATGTGAGAACCACGAATATATCCAGATTGGTGGGAGAAGGTCATGTGTTTGCTGTAGGTCCTAGAGTGACGAGAAGTCACCCTTCTCTCTGCAGGGTTCTTACTAAGTCAGAAAAGTGGGGTCATGAATTCCATAAGCCAAGAAATAGATATTTAGCAGACACCTCAGAGATCTCAGGGACTTTCTTTCTTTCTTTCTTTCTTTCTTTCTTTCTTTCTTTCTTTCTTTCTTTCTTTCTTTCTTTCTTTCTTTCCTTCCTTCCTTCCTTCCTTCCTTCCTTCCTTCCTTCCTTCCTTCCTTCCTTCTTTCTTTCTTTCTTTTATTATTATTATACTTTAAGTTCTGGGATACATGTGCAGAACATGCAGGTTTGTTACACAGGTATACACGTGCCATGGTGATTTGCTGCACCCATCAACGTGTCATCTACATTAGGTATTTCTCCTGATACTATCCCTCCTCCAATCCCCCACGCTCTGACAGGCCCCAGTGTGTAATGTTCCCCTCCCTGTGTCTATGTGTTCTTATTGTTCAGCTCCCACTTACAAGTGAGAACATACGGTGTTTCGTTTTCTGTTCTTGTGTTAGTTTGCTGAGAATGATGATTTCCAGCTTTATCCATGTCCCTGCAAAGGATGTGAGATCATCCTTTTTTATGGCTGCATAGTATTCCATGGTAAATATGTGCCACATTTTCTTTATCCAGTCTGCCATTCATGGGCATTTGGGTTGGTTCCAAGTCTTTGCTATTGTGAACAGTGCCGCAATAAACATACATGTGCATGTGTCTTTATAGTAGAATGATTTATAATCCTTTGGGTATATACCCAGTAATGGGATTGCTGGGTCAAATGGTATTTCTAGTTCTAGATCCTTGAGGAATCACCACACTGTCTTCTACAATGGGTGAACTAATTTACACTCCCACCAACAGTGTAAAAGCATTCCTATTTCTCCACATCCTCTCCAGTATCTGTTGTTTCCTGACTTTTTAATGATCACCATTCTAACTGGTGTGAGATGGTATCTCATTGAGGTTTTGATTTGCATTTCTCTAATGACCAGTGATGACTAGCTTTTTTTCATGTTTGTTGGCTGCATAAATGTCTTCTTTTGAGAAGTGTCTGCTCATATCCTTCATCCATTTTTTGATGGGATTGTTTGTTTTTTTCTTGTAAATTTGTTTAAGTTCTTTGTAGATTCTGGATATTAGCCCTTCGTCAAATGGATAGATTGCAAGGATTTTCTCCCATTCTGGAGGTTACCTGTTCACTCTGATGATAGTTTCTTCTGCTGTGCAGAAGCTCTTTAGTTTAATTAGATCCCATTTGTCAATTTTTGCTTTTGTTGCCATTGCTTTTGATGTTTTAGTCATGAAGTCTTTGTCCATGCCTATGTCCTGAATGGTATTACCTAGATTTTCTTCTAGCGTTTTTGATCTCAAGGACTTCTAACCCCTTTTCTGCCACTGAATGGTTCTGTGACCTTAACCACTCCCTTAATTACTAAAGTCTTATTTTTTTTCCACTAGAAGTGAAGGGGAATTGGTGCTTGAGGACTCGAGATTCCCTTTCATGAGGGATGCATAGAAGCATGACAAGGAGAGTTGTGCATAGAGGGACAGGAAACCCTGGCCTGTGTTAACTTAATTGGTGGAGTCATCTCCTTCATGTCTTTTGGTTACCTCCCCAAGTCCCTGTTCAGCATTGTGATCCTCTGAAACTAGCTTCTTTTCAAATCACTCTTCCTTACTGATCACTTCAGGTGTTAAGATTGTTCTTCTTAAACATAAATTAGAAATATCACATTCAAAAACTACTATCACATTCCCAATATTTGCAGTTGGGACAGATTCATTCTGGTTTAAGGGACTTTCCTTTGTGTTTTCACAGGTGCCGATGCTTACCTCTAGTATTAAAACAAACAAACGACTGTGTTTGAGATGTTAGTTGTCTAGCCAGCTTTTTGAAAAGAGGAGGAAATCTTAGTAATAATCTCTCCAGCACTCATCAGACAACTAGGCACATGGTAAATGCTTAGTGTATGTTGGATGAATAAATGAATCAATGGGTGAATGGGTGAATAAATTCACATTTTGCTAAATGTCTGATGGTTATAGAGAGTCTTCAGTTTCACCCAGGTAATGATAATATTAAACATGCCAGAAAGGTTAAGGTCCAGGCATACCTGTGATTTTTTATTTCACATGCAAATAGCCTTCATTTAGTAGAATTCTGTAGAAAAGTTTAGTATTATAAAGCCCTTCTCCTGAGATTGATTCATCCCCCAAATCTGTATGTGTGTCAAAATGCCAGAAATGAAATTAGAAATAAAAGGCAGTGAAAATTAGTCAAGGTGGGCAAGGAGAGGGGATCAGAACAAGACTTTCGGAATGATTAGAGTATTTTACATCTAATAACCTTGTAAGTTCCTTGTAAGACTGTGTTAATTGATTCTTAGGTGAAGAGGCAAATCTTACCACTTTAAGCAAGATCCTTTCTTTTTGCCTATCTTGAGTAATTTTCAATGCCTTTCCTCACTTCTAATCATTTCTAACTTGCACCATATTCTGACTAGGGACACTTGCCACAAAATTCACTCTCACTGCATTTATTTTTTATACAAATAACTTTAGCACTAACAATAAAAATAACTGATATGTTTAATTGCATGGCTAAGTGCTTTCACTTATGTTGTCACATTGAAGTTCTGCATACTTTCAAAAAAGATATTATTGTCCCTATTTTTTAAACATTGGAAAAATAGAGAGTGGTTAACTTGCCCAAGGTTTTGCAGTTTGTGTCAGAGTTAGAATTTATGTCAAGATCTGACTAATTTCAGCATCTGTAGTCTTTCACCTGTTTCATATTGTCTCTCATGGTATTAAACTCTTGATAGATGGAATAGATTCAGTCTAATAATCAGAAAATCTAATGAAATAAAAAGACAATTACAAATGGTCAGTTCACAGAAAAATCAATTCATTGCCTGTATTTGTGGCTTTTGAATATCTTGTGAGGTACTATATCTCCAGATACTCATTTGTCCCATAAAATTAGAAATTCAAGGAACTTTTGAATTCATTTATTCAGACAACATTTATTAAGCACCCCCTGTGAGCCAGCTTTTGGGAACGTTGGGCATAACATAACTGAACAAAATCCATGTTTTCAGCACCTTGCAATATATTGACGAACAACGCAGACAAAAATCCACGTCTGCATGGAACTCTCCTTCCTACTTTTGTCTCAACTATAATTCAGGTGGAATGAAATGATCCCAAATTATGTGGATAATGGACTCTGCACTCTATTTCATTGCTTCTGTGGACTTGACCAGCCAAAACACCCATTGGGACCCCATATAAACATTCTTTGAAAAAAAAAGTAAATTTGGAGATTTGAATATGAAGCAGAATATTTAGTTATTTTTTGGTCCCTGCTGTGTTTCTCTGTGGTCTATATGAAAGAAATAGAATTTCTACTTTGGTGAAATGGTAATAAGCCTATCTATTCCAGAATTATGTAGGAATTAGGAGGTAGTTGACAATAATTGTGTCTCAAAATTTGTGAATTATTTAGCGGACTGAAGATGTGTATTTGCTTCATTAACTCACTCAAACTGCACAGGTGTGAACAATATCCCCAAAGGTCATTGATGTGTGCAAGCTGAGTCCCCATGGACATGGTAGATAGTAACTCACCAAGATACTCCACAGCTTTTTTCATTAGAGAAACAGCTTTTTTCAAAGAGAAAATTGGCCACCTAAGCGTTCCATATTCATTAGCTAATTGTTTCTTCTTTTTTACATGCCTCTTCGTGCTGGTAGATGAGGTATTCCAAGGAGAGTGCAATTTAAAAAAAATCTTTGAACCTAAGAATGGCCCCCATTATCATGTATCACCCCTTGGTAGAAAGGGTACTTGAATAGCCCCAGTTATTGGAACTAACGGCATATTTTAGGCATATAGTCCATTAGCTGCAGACTTTGGGATTCCTGGGATTTAAGATTTGACATTTTGGGTGAGGCCGTGAACATCCCTGACATGTAGTAATAGCTTATTTTTTTTTCAGGTCTAAATTTAAATCAACTGTAACTGAAGGCAAATGTGTAGGGTAGTGGAGGCATTTAGGGCAGTGTTTCCCATTTTCTGAGCACACAGCTCACTGAAGGACCTTACTGAAATTAACATGCTGACTCATTAGGTGTGGGCAGGGGCTAGGATTGTGCATTTTTCTCTGGAGGTGCTGATGATGTTGGTCCTTAGAACACACTTTAGATGGCAAGGATGAATTTGTGAGTTGAACCTGATGGACTATCCATTAATCACAGCTCAAGGCAGCTTTGTTGTTTTCTTTTTATTGTTGCATGCCCAGTAATTTTAATTAAGGTTTTAAAGAAGAAACTTAAAATTTATAGTTGTAATTGAATGCATCTTATGAAGAAAATATATGCTACAGTGATGTTCACAATTTGGGATTAAGAAACTCTCACTTGAAATATAACCCTCATAGATGTCAGGGGCTCATTGTGTACATTTGGGGAACTCCTTCATATGCATTATCTTATTTGGACCTTAACACCTCTGTGAGGCAAGTCAGCCCAATATTACCAACACACTTTTATACATAACTAAAGTGAGAACATAGCAGTGATTACCCCCCACCTCCAAACACACACACCCCAAACTGAAATCCTACACAGCACTGTAACAAAGCAAGGGTCTGAACCCCAGAAGCCCAGTTCTCAGTTTGGTAGCAGATCCATCTAACAAAATGGTTTTCACTGTGTCCTTTTCTGAAACCACAGAGATTCATTGTCTGGCTTCACCAAATCTATGTTCAACCTAAAATAATGATATATGCTTCTTTCCAGTTTCATTACCATTATCACCTGCAGCAAGCAATGGTAACGCTTCTGAGAGCACTTATGTTTATGGAACATTTTGCATGTGTGCACATATAGAGATCAAGGCTTGCCCCTCAAATACCATTCAAATGACTTTAATCACAGCAGAAGTGAGGATGTTTGAAATATCGGATTACAAATATTAAATTAAAAGAGTTAATACAATTTTTTAGATGCTTAATACCCAATAAATGCTAAAATAATGTTACTATCAAACAATGGTCTTAATAAATGCTATAGAACATTGAAGCACCTAGTGGTCAAGAAAAGCTCGACAAATTAGGCAGGATTTGTAATGGCCCTTGGGAAGAAGTAAACTCAAACTGGATAATAGACAGGCTCTGGAATCTGGCTGCTCGGGTTTGAATTACAGCCTAATCACTTCTGTGCTATGTGAATGGGGGTTAAGTAATTAATTGACTCAGTTAACTCAGAGCCTGACTCTGATAAGTAACTCTGAGCCTTAGTTTTCTCATCAGTAAACTGGAGAGAAAATAATTGGTTCTACTTCAAAGGTTGTTGAGAGAATTAAATAAGACATGCAAAAACAGTATATTGTCTCGTATATGGTAAATGCTCTGGAACCAGAATTAATTTTATCAAGCATTTTCTACGTTCTTAGCACTACTTACATGTGTCAACTCATTTTATCTTCACATCAACCTTAGGAGTAGTACATTATTATTCCCATCTTAAAGATGAAGATCCTGAGGTCCAGAGAGATTAAACAATTTGCTTTAGTTCACACAATCTGGAATTGTGATATCTGTGATTAAACCCTAGGCATTTGGCTCCAAATCTATGTTCTTTACTAAACTATACCAACTGTACAAACATCAGCCCTACTGCTATTACTACTACTACTACAATTTGCTTTAGTTCACACAATCTGGAATTGTGATATCTGTGATAAAACCCCAGGCATTTGGCTCCAAATCTGTGTTCTTTACTGAACTATACCAACTGTATTGTTGTTGTTATTGTTATTATTATTACATGTCATTAACACTTTCAGAAAGCTGACAAACATAAGACGAACAGGAGTACATTCTAGTGTGAGCAAAGATAGAAAGGTAGAGATCTATCTGACCTAATAGATACTCCCTTGGCCAGTTTGATTGAAGCGGGAGGCTTATGTAGGAAAGAGTAGGAAGCCAGATTGGAAAGCAGGGTTGGAGACACATTGCAGAAGATTTTCAATACAACACTAGTCAGATAGGGCTTTGTTATCTGGAAAATGGGAGGATTTTGAATCATTTTAGTAAGAGAATGATTAACTTACATTACTGTTTAAAATAAAGTGGGCAAGGAGAGCAGGTAGATGTATATATAGATGATGGTTCGTTCATTCATTGATTCATTCATTCATTTCCCATTCCTGTGTCCCACCCACTGTAATGCATGTTCAGAGCACAAATAAAAAGATATACTTCTGTCTTTAGGACAACGAATACAGTTACATATCCACAAACCTATGCTCTGTACAGTAAGAAACACACACCAACATAAAATGTGGCTTTAAAGTAATGAAGCTAATTGCACAAGACTCTTGTGTAATCTATCTTATCACTTTATAGCCTTAGCTCGTGTATAAAAATTATATCAAAATGTAAAAGCTGAGGAATTAATCACATTCCTTAGAAGTTATTCTTCTACGTGACTCACTCAGTGGGTACGTGATGGAAGGAACTTTTATGGTGGGGGAATTCCTATCAGTCACAGCTTTTATAACTGCCTATTGATGATATACACTGCTCCATAATGGCAGTGCTAAAACTGGCTTTTACTTCCTTAAACCATCATTGTATTGAACCATGTAACCAGAAAATCACAATGTGGTGATCTCTCTCTACACTAATCCTCCCCTGAGCGCTTAATGACTTGTCTGTTCATCCTGGAGATAATAAACCTAACATTGAAGCAATAGCTGTCTTGGTGACTTTGCATAAATCATTATTTGTAAAAGTGAAGGAAAACCTATAGATAGGAGCCAAAGACTGGGATTGCTCAACTTTCAGGAATTAGCTCTGATAATTGCTGTGGCTGCATTAGGAATGCACTGAACAAATACATGCAAACCAAAAAGTAAATATTATTTCTCAAAATGATCAATATAATAACTTCCAAGACAGGAAGGGCAATTATGAAATATCTTAGCAAGATTTGTCTAAGCAAAATAACATTATAATGAAATGCTTGCTAGGGCAGAAAATGGGAAACAAGCAAAGAACTAAAGAAATATGGACAGTTTACTCTTCCACAGCTAGAAATCAAGGTGATGTGTTGTAAGAAAGTATATATGGAAAACAGTTGTTAATATAGTACAATTTACAATTTTAAATCGAGTTGTTTCCAATAATTTTAAAAGATGGCTGCAATTAAAATAGTTTTCTGAAGGCTGAAAACCTATTGGTTTCCCAAATGATTTTTATACTATTCTGTTTTCTTCAGCTTTTCTCTTCCTACCTTGAACCACTGTTGAAATCATTCTATTTCTCAGCATCCTCCTAAGCTAAGAGAACACAAACATTTTATTGAAGCAAATACAGATAGAATTTCTCCCTCAACATAGATTCACAAGAAAACAAGGCAAAGACAAACTGAAGAGAGAAGTAGGATATAGCACTATATTCAGTCCAGTTGCCTGATTTCCATTAGCCTTATCCTAATTTCTTTTAGGCTCTTGTCCCAGGGGCCAATTTTGTTGTTCAGAAGGCATACAGGCATATAGATGGGTGGCTCAGCCAGCAGAATGTACTCTTAGATTAATCAAAAGGAGCTAGGTTAGTAGCTACTAATCCTGGAAAGGAAAGCATGAATACACTGCTGAGTTTGCAGCTGATGGAATACCATACTAATGGGTTAGCAACTGGCTCAGAGTCTGAACAGGGAGTTCTGCTTTTATTTTTCATTCCCTAATGTCTTCTCTTCACAATCTCTTGCTTTCTCCTGTACTCTGATTCCTTTCTCTCTTTTTTCCTTTCTTCTACAATCTTTCCATTTATTCCTCCTACCTTGATTGTTGCAATGGCCTTCTAAATTGTTTTTCTGATCCCACACTTGCCCCTACAGTCTGTTCTTAGTATTGTAACTAGGGAGACCTTTTTATAACATAGGTCAAGTTGCACCCCTTCTCTGCTCAACACCCTGCCCTAGCTTCTCATTTCAAAGCTAAATCCTATGCCAAGGTCTTTAACATCCTACATGGTCCAGCCCTCTGTTCAGTTGCTGAGCTCGTCTTTTTTACTCTCTCCCAGGCAAGACAAGCCCACTCCCCAGTATCTGCATGACCCACCCTCACCTCCTTCAAGTCTGCTTAAATCTCAGCCTCTCAATGACCACTTACCACCCTATTTAAACTAAAATCAATCTTCCCTTCTTTTTCTTGACCGTGGTATTCTTGATTTCTTTTAGCCTATTACTCATAACATATTACACAGTTTACTTATTTATGTTTATTGTTTGTTGTCTGTCTTTTCCTACTAAGCTCCATTAGAATGGGGTTTTTGCTTGTTCAATGTTTTATTCTATGAGCCTAAAACAGTGCATGAGAAAAACTGGCATCCAATAAATGCATTTGTTGAATAAACAAAAGTAATCTATCTTCTGAGAGGAAGACAGACAATACAACTGGTAAGTGTAATGATGGAGGTCTATAGCATGATATTTTATCATTTTTTAATGGATACATAAAATTTTACATCTTTGTAGGGTACATGTGATATTTTGTTACATGCATAGAATGTGTAGTTATCAATTATCAAATTATCAAGTGCTCATCCCTTTGAGTATTTATCATTTCTATATATTGGAACAATTCAAGTCCCCTATTCTAGATACTTAGAAATATAAAATACATTGTTAACTATAGTTACTCTAATCTGCTGTTAAACAATAGAACTTATTATGCTTTTTTTAAGTTGTAACTTATGCCTTCTATGTAGCTGTATCTTTGCACCTGTTAATCTACCTCTCTTTATCCCCTCACTTCCCCACCCACCCTTCCAAGCCTCTACTATCTATCATTCTACTTTCTACCTTAAGGTCAACTTTTTTACCTCCTACATATGAGTGAGAACAAGAAATATTTGTCTTTATGTGCCTGGGTTAATTCACTTAATGTAATGAGCTCTAATTCCATCCATATTGCTGAAAAGGAAATAACTTTATTCTTTTTTATGGCCAACTAGTATTCCATTGTGTATATATACCACATTTTCTTTATCCATTCATCTATTGATAAACACTTAGGTTGATTTCATATCTTTGCTATTGTGAATAGTGCTGTGTTAAACTTGCAGATGCAGGTATCCCTTTGATATACTGATTTCTTATTCTTTGGATAGATAGTAGGGAAATTGCTGGGTTGTATGGTAGTTTTGTTTTTAGTTTTTTGAGAAATCTACATATGGTTTTCCATAGTAGTTGTACTAATTTACATTTTTACTATGGTGTACAAAATTTCTCTTTTTTTCTACATTATTACCAGAATCTGTTATTTTGTCTTTCCATTAATAGACATTTTAACTGAGCTAAGATAATACCTCATTGTAGCTTTGATTTGCATTTTTCTCATTACTAGTGATGCTGAGCTTTTTTCCATATACTTGTTAGCCATTTGTATGTCTTCTTTTGAGAATTGTCTATTTGTGTCTTTTGCCCTCTTGTTAATGGTATTTTTGTTGTTGAGCTGTTTGAGTTTCTTGTATATTCTGGATGTTAGACCTTTGTTGGATGAGTAAATTGCAACTCCTTTCTTCCACTCAACAGGTTGTTTCTTCATTCTGCTGATTGTTTCCTTTGGTCTGTGGAATATTTTTAGTTATTATGGTACCACTTATCTATTTTTTTGTTCCAGTCGTCTGTGATTTTGAGGTATTAGCGAAAAAACCTTTGCCTAGATCAATGTTCTGAAGTATTTTCCTCATGTTTTCTTTAGTAGTTTTGTAGTTCGGGGTCTTATATTTAAGTTTTTAACTCATCTTCAGTTGATTTTTATAGAGGGTGAAAGATAGGCATCCAGTGTCATTCTGCTTACGGATATACAATTTTCCCGGTACCATTTGTTAAAGAATGTGTTCTTTCCCCCGTATATGTTCTTGGTGACATTGTCAAGTCAAATGGTTGTAAATATATGAATTTATTTTTGAGTTCTCTATTGCATTTCATTTGTCCTTGTATCTATTTTTATACCAATACCATGCTGTTTTGGTTACTATAGCCTTGTAATATATTTTAAAGTCAGGTAGTATGATGACTTCACCTTTGTTCTTTTTGCTCAGGATTGCTTTGGCTATTTGGGCTGTTTTTTAGTTCCATGCAAATTTTAGGATTGTTTTTACTATTTCTGTAAAAAATAATGTTGGTATTTTGATAGGTATTGAATTCAATCTATATATTGTTTTGTGCAGTATGATCTGTGAGTATGGGATGCCTTTCCATTTGTTTATGTCTTCTTCAACTTCTTTCATGGATGTTTTACAGTTTTCCTTTTATCAGTCTCTCAGTTCTTTAAATTTATTCCTAGGTATTTCAGTTTATTTTATTTTTATAGCTATTGTAAATGGGATTGCTTTCTTGATTTCTTTTTTAGCTATTTCATTACTGGTGTATATAAACAGTTCCTGATTTTTTGTATGTTGATTCTATATCCTGAAAACTTACTGAATTTGCCTATCAGCTCTAAGAGTTTATTGGTTGAGTCTTTTTTTCTAAATATGAGATTATGTCATCTGTAAAGATGAACAATTTGACTTTCTCTGTTCCAAATTGGATGTCTTTTATTTCTTTCTCTTGTCTGATTGCTCTGGCTGGAACTTCCAGTGATATGTTGAATAGAAGTAGTGAAAGTAGGCATTCTTACCTTGTTCCAGTTCTTAGAGGAGAGGCTTTCATCTCTTTCCTGTGCAGTATGATGTTATCTGTGGGTTTCTAATTCTAACATCATATCTCTCAATATGGCCTTTACTATTTTGAGGTATATTCCTTCTATGCCTAGTTTGTTGAGAATTTCTATTATGAAAGGATGTTGAATTTTATCAAATGATTTTTCTGTGTCTACTGAAGTGATCATATGGTTTTAGTCCTTAATTGTGTTGGTATAGTATATCACATTTATTGATTTGCATTAACCATCCTTGCATCCTTGGTATAAATCACATTTGATCATATTCTATTATCTTTCTGATGTGCTGTTAAATTTGGCTTGCTAGTATTTTGTCAAGGATTATTTTATCTTTGCTCTTCAGGGATATTGACCTGTAGTTTTCTCTTTTTGTTGTGTCTTTGTCTGGTTTTGGTATCAGGGTAATGCTGTCCTTATAGAATGAGTTAGGGTTAATTTTCTGTTCTTTATTTTTTTTTTGGAATAGTTTTCAGAGAATTGGTATCAGTTTATAATATATTTGGTAGAAGTTAGCAGTGAATCCATCTAGTCCTGGGCTTTTCTTTATTGGGAGAATTTTTATCACTGATTTAATCTCACTACTCATTATTGGTCTGTTCAGGTTTTATATTTCTTCCTAGTTCAGTCTTGGTAGATTGCATTTTTCAATACGTTGTCCATTTCCTCTAGGTTTTCCAGTTTGATAGTGTATAGTTGTTCATAATAGTATCTGATGATCGTTTTTATTTCTGTGGTATCAGTTGTAATCTCTGTTTTCATTTCTGATTTTTTTATTTGGCTTTTTTCTCTTCCCTTCTTGGTTAGTCTAGCTAATGGTTTATTAATTTTATTTATATTTTCAAAGAGCCAACTTTTAGTCTTGCTATTTTTTTACATTTTTATGTCTTTATTTTGTTTAGTTCTACTCTAATCGTTATTATTTATTTTCTTCTACTAATTTGGGGTTTGGTTTGTTCTTGCTTTTCTACTTATTTGTTGTACATCATTAGATTGTTTATTTGAAATATTTCTACTATTATGATGTAGGCATTTATGGCTATAACTATCCCTCATAGTACTGATTTTGCTTTACCCACAGGTTTCGTTATGTTTCCATTTTTATTTGTTTCAATAAATTGTTTGATTTCTATCTTAATTTATTCATTGACACAGTGGTCATTTAGGAACATGTTGCTTAATTTTCATGTATTTGTAGAGTTTCCAAAGTTCCTCATGGTATTAACTTCTCATTTTATTTCATTGGGTCTTAGAAAATTCTTGATAAGGTTTTGATATTTGAAAACTTGTTGAAACTTGTTTTGAAGCCTAACATATGGCGTATCCTGAAAAATATTCCATGTGCTGATGAGAAGAATGTATATTCTGCAGTTATTGGATAAATGTTCTACAAATGTGTTAGATCCACTTAGTCTAACATTCAGTTGAAATCCAATATTTCTTTTTTGATTTTCTGTCATGATGATCTAATTCTGGGAGTGGGGTGTTGAAATCCACCATTATTATTATATTAGTCTATCTTTCTTTAGATCTAGTAATATTTGCATTATGAACCTGTGTGCTCCAGTGTTGGGTACATATATACTTAGAGTTGGTAAATTCTATTGCTGGGTTGATACCTTAGTCATTACATAATGACCATCTTTGTCTGTTTTTACTGTTTTTGACATAAAGTCTGTTTTATTTGATGTAGCTCTTGCTTGTTTTGGGTTTCTATTTACATGGAAGATATTTTTCCGTTCTTTTACTTTCAGTCTATATGTGTCTTTACAAGTAAAGTATGTTTCTGGTAGGCAGCATAGAGATGGATCATGCTTTTTTTTTTTTAATCCATGCAGCTAGTCTATATACTTTAAGTGGAGAATTTAATCCATTTACATTTAAAGTTATATTGATATGTGAGGTTTTGTTTCTGTCATATCGTTAATTGTTTTCTGGTTGTTTTGTATACTCTATTCCTTTTTTTTTTCTCTTATTGTTTGTCATTGTGGTTTTATGTAGTGGTACCATTTTAGCCTTTCTCTTCCTCATTTGAGTGTTTGCTTTACTACTGAGATTTATACTTTTGTGTGTTTTAATGGTGGCAAATGTCATTTTTGCACTTCCAGGCTTATGACTCCCTTCAACATTTCTTGTAGGACTAGTTTAAAGAACAACCTTTAAACTCAGTGGTGATGAATTCCTTTAGCTTTTCCTCATCTCAGAAAGACTTAATTTCTTCCTAATTTATGAAGGATAATCTTTCTGACTATACTACCCTAGGCTGGAAGTTTTTTCTTTCAGTACTGTGAATATATCATCTCAGTCTCTCTTGACCTGTAACATTTCTGCTGTGACATCTGCTGTTAGTCTAGTGGGGGTTCCTTTACAGGCAGCTAGATATTACTCTCTTACTATTTTTAGAAATTTCTCTTGGTTTTTGACTTTAGACAGTTTGAATATAATGTGCTGTAAAGACCTTTTAGTATTGTATCTCTTTGGAGATCTCATAACTTCCTGTATCTAGATGTCTAAATCACTTGCTATTGTTGGGGAGTTCCCATCTATTATTTTTAAAATAGATTTTCCAATCATCTCATTTTTATTTTTGCCTTCTGAGACCCCAATAATTCAAATATTTTATGGGTCCCACATGTTACGATGGCTTTGGTAATTCCTTTTTATTATTTTCTAAAGTTTTTGTCTTGCAAAATTATTTTAAAATATCTGTTTTCAATTTCTGAGATTCTTCCACAGTCAACCCCTGAGAGTCTGTCAGTTACATTTTTTCTCCCTGTACTGGGGAGTCTCTGTTAGCCTTCAGCTGATCTCAGCCAAACAGGCTGCCTCACTTCCTTATCCTTTTTGCTGTACGTATTTCCTGTCATTTTTCTGTTGAACTCCAGTGTTCTCTCTTGGATGATCTATTTGTGATTATCTACTCGCCGTTTTAGTTTTTCTTAGGGAGGAGGAGAGTATGAAATGTCTTTAGTCATTCATCTTGAAGCTCCTTTCTCATAATGTTGTTTTAAAAGCAAGAGTAGAAATTTCCATTTCTTTGTTGGCATGAAGTGGGGGCACACTCGGGGACATATTCAGAGAAATGGTAATAACATCAGTGTAAAATTTATAAGCATAAGTACAAGTTAAAACACCAGGAAGACTAGAATATACAGGAGGAGGAAGGGCATTTCAGGAAGAAAAAATGATGTGTGAAAAGAGCAACTTTGTATACATATTAGGGAGTGGAGGTCCAAGAAAGCTGCCTAGCTATGTTACAGGAGACATACAGGGAAATGGTTGGAAATGAAGTTGTATGCATAGAAAAATAGAAAGGAGCCAGATGATGATGGATCTTACCTGCAAAACTAAAGAGGTTAGAATTTTCTGGAAGACAATAGAGATTCATCAAAGTACTTTAAGCAGAGGAGAAACAATTAGACTTTTTTTAAATATAGTGATGGCCTTGGATAATTATGGGAGAAGAGTGCGTATGGAGGCTAAGAAGGCATTTGAAGGATGCTGGTAGAAATATCAATTAAGGTCCTAGAATCTGAGAGGAGAGGGGTCATATCTGAGAAAGTCTTAAAAGTAAGACTTCACACAAATCAGTGACTGATAGTATATGAGATACAAGGAAGAAGAGTGCATGTAAGATAATTTTGACGTCTTTAGTCTGAGTGACCTGTTGGGTTGTGGTACTATTCACTATAAATGAAAACTTAAAAGATGAGTATGCTTGAGGAAATGATGCTTTATACAGAAATGTT
Source organism: Homo sapiens (assembly GCF_000001405.40). Classification (NCBI taxonomy): domain Eukaryota; kingdom Metazoa; phylum Chordata; class Mammalia; order Primates; family Hominidae; genus Homo; species Homo sapiens. The sequence goes on from NC_000004.12 coordinate 22,977,448, forward strand.
GAGTTTGTGGTGTTAGATAACTCCCAAGAGAAGTTATGAGGTAATTAAAAATAAATGACTTAAGTAGGTGAAACTTAGGATAGAGGTTTAGGATGCCAGTGATAGAGATTTAGGCAGTGTTTTTTCTTTCCAAGATGGCAGATTGGAGGCAGTGTTAGCATGCCTCTGCCACTTAGAAAAACAAAATAGTGTAGACATTCACGTTGTGAACTTTTTTCCAAGAAGCAAGGCAGAAATGTAATGGGAAAACTGAAAGAAATTGCAGACTCTTTGAAAAAAGTGGCAAGCTATAGCCTACACTGTGATCCAGGGGATAAACTATAAGTCCCCAAAGCATGAGATGGAGAAAGGCTGCCTCTAGGATATACAGCCCCACTGGGGAAGCTGGCAATCCAGGCCACTGGGAAAGGCCTTAATCCTACCCAGTGCTAGAACTAATTTAGGGAGTGTGGAGAATTTGCAAGTAGAAGAAGCAGAGGGAAGAGTCTTGCGTGCTTTCCCAGTCTCTATCACAGATCAAGGGAAATCATTACTGATTCTACATCATAGGGGACCTCCAAGAAGTCTGCTAGCTAGCACAGGCAGTGGTTGCAGGTTGAGAGAAGCTTCCAACTGAAATGTGTGATATAATATCGAGTAGAAAAAAACTCCCTTGGCCAGAACCAGGTGGCTGGTGGAAAGTGTGCTGCAGCCATGAGTGCAGGAGCTTGGTGCTCTGGGAGAGGGGGTGACCTGAAAGCTGTGGTTGCTATCTCCACAAGGAAGACTTATGGTCTGGGACAGTTTGGGGTTCTGAGTGTAGACTCTGTGGAACTTAGCTAGCTGCTCCTAGTGGAACTCTGCAAGTGTGAGACCTGCCTTGCCAAATATATGGGAGCAAGGTGGGGCTTACTGCCACCTGCGACTCTCCACTGTGTGTGCAAACTCTTCTATGCAGCAGAGGCAGATATGTTTCTCCCAGGAACATTACCCTAGTGCCAAGAGAACTAACTTCTTATCCCCACAGGGGCTGCTGCTTGCCCCACATGTGGAGAGCCAGAGCACGGACCTGCCTGACCCAGCCCCAACCTGGCTTTGCCCCTTCACTCCCTTTGGTAGCTTAACACAAATGAAAGCAACTTTGGGGAACTCTATAACCCTTCCCACTGCCTGAGAAACCAGAGTACCTCCCCTGGGTAACATAAGGCAAGCACAAATCCCACTGCTACTACCACAGCTGGCCCTCTTTTGCAAGTCTCATCTCCTGGCTGGAGGACAACCAACATAGTCCATTATGGCATCTGCAGGTAGATAGCACTGCACCCAGGAAAGAGAAAATTTATACATGACCTCAGCTATCACCATTGCCTCTACCACCTTAGCTAACCAGGAGGTCCTGAGTCTTTCCACATGACTAGTTCATTACTATGACAACCACCATTTGAGAAAGTCAACACACTGAGGCTATTAAATAACCATGGAATCTCACAGACTTCATCAGTCTCCTGCCACTCCCATCAGAGCTGGTGCTGGTACCCAGTGCTGGGAGACTTGAGGACAGGTCACATTACTGGATCCCTTGCAGACATTCTCCAGCACCAGCCTAGAGTGAGGCAGTCCTATTGGGCTGCTAAACCCAGAGGAGCAGCATCATTCGCAGTAGTCTGGGTCTCAGGGACTCTCCTAGTTTAGGAGAGTCTCCTAGTCTAGGAGTCCCTAAAAAGCAGACTACTGTGAATGTTGATCAAGGGACCACCCTGTGGGACAAAAGAATCTAAATGGCAAGTCTTGAATTCCACATATTTCCGTGGTGGGAAGTTTCTTTCAGCAGAGATACAGTTGCAGTGCTGGGCTCAGTGGAGAAAGCCTGCAGCTCTACCCCAACAGTCAGGCAGCCATGGTGTTTATGAAATGTCATGAAGAAGGGAACATCTTTTCTCCCTCATCCACCACTGCAGACACAGCTGGGGCTTCTCCCATGGGGGCTTGGCATAAGTGCACCTATAGACAGCCTTTCTGGAACACTCCAGGGTGACTGCATGCCCACAGGAGGACCACTCTCCAGGTTTAGGCTTGCGCAAGAGGCAGAGTCACAACTCCTCTCTACTTAGAACACCAACATTCTTGGAGATGAAAAGTGATGCCTGTCTGATCTGAATAGCTAGAAAATTTGGTCAGGAGAGTGTCTGAGATGTGTATCACTTTCCTGCTGGCCTGGCAGAAGGGCTGAGGTGGTCCCTACTCTTCTCTTGATAATACTTCAGTGCATTTCACTGAGAGCTCCTCCAGCCGCCTCTGTCAAGGCTGGGACCTCTGCCCACCATTGCATATTGCATTTAGCCACCTGCTTTAGCTACAATTAGTTTCTACCCAGGGATACCCCCACTACTGGCCTGAAGCCTGGAACTATTCAACTCAGTAAATAAAATACTGGAGAAAAAATAAATAAAAAAGAACACACCACAAGGGAATTATGTAAGTTTCAAGAGGCGTCTGCCCTTCCAGCTCCATAGGAGGTAGTGAACTTGTTCACACGCTAGGCACATTGCTACTACAATCAGCATCTGAAGAAGCCATTATACAAAGACTCTCTATAACCAAGGAACTCAAACATACTGTTCACCCTTGAAAGCATCAAGAGCTGAATTAAGCTACAACAAACTATGAGTAATAAAGTCACATCCTTAAAGGGGAAAAATAAATTTAAAAAACACAGTTAAATAAAAAAATAAATTCAAGAATAATTAGAAGAAATAGTCTTCTAATGAGAAGAAATCAGAAAAATAATTCAGGTAATATTACAAAACAAAGTTCTATAACACCCTTGAAATATCACACTAGCTCTCTAGCAATTGATCCAACCTGAGGTAAAAATCTTTGAAATACCAGAAAAATAATTCAAAAAGTTGATTATGATGCTCCTCAAGGAGATACCAAACAAAAGTGAAAACCATAAATAAATTTAAAAAACAATTAAATATATAAACAAAAATTTTTCTAAAGAGAAATATATTTTAAAGAAAAACCAATCAGAAATTCTAAAATGGAAAGACATATTTATGAAATTACAAAATGCAGTGGAGAGTTTTGACGATAGACTAAAATAAGTAAAATAAAAAATTTCAGAACTTGAACACAAGCCTTTCAAATTAACCCAATGAGACAAAAATAAAGAATCCAAATAAATGAACAAAGTTTCCAGGAAATATGACATTATGTAGAACAGCCAAACCTAAGAGTAATTTGTTTTTCTAAGGGAGAAAAGAAAACAAGAAGTTTGGAAAATTTATTTGAGGAAATAATTAAGAAAACCTCCCCTGTTCTTGATGGAGATATAAATATCTAAATACCTAAAGCTCAAAGAACACTTGGAAGATTCACTGCAAAAAGAACATCACTAAGGCATATAGTCATCAAGTTATCTAAAGTCAATGTGAAGGAAAGTATTCTAAGAGCAGTAAGACAAAAGCATCAGGTAACCTGTAAAGAAAAACTTGTCACGCTAACAGCAGACTTCTCAGCAGAAACCTTACAGGCAAGAAGGGACTGGGGTTTTTTTCTTTAGCATCCTTACATAAAATAGTTGTTAGACAAGAATTTTTGTATCCAGCAAAACTAAATAAATGAAGGAGAAATAAAGTCATTTTCAGACAAACAAATGCTGAGGGCATTTGTCACTACCAGACCTTCCCTACAGGAAATACTAAAAATAGGTCTAAATCTTGAAACAAACATTTGATATGCACCAGAATAGAACTTCTTGAAAGAATAAAACTCGCAGGGCTCATAAAACAATAAGGCAATGAAGAAAACAAGGAAGGCATAATGATTGGAACAGTACCTCACCTCACATCTCAATATTAACATTGAATGTAAACATCCTAAATGCTCCACTTGAAAGATGCAGATTGGCAGAATGGACAAAAAACAAAACAAAACAAAGCAAGTATCTGCTGTCTTCAAGAGACTCACTAACATGTAAGATTCATTTAAGCTCAATGTAAAGGAGGAGAAAAAGATATTTCATGAAAATGAAAACCAAAAGCAAGCAGGAGTACCTATTCTTACATCTGATAAAACAGACTTTAAAGCAACAACAGAAAAAAAAACCCAAAGATTATTATATAAAGATGATAAAAGGGCCAATTCAACAAGGGATATTGCAATCCTAAATTTATATGTACCTAACACTGGAGCTTCCAGATTCATGCAACGATTACTCCTAGACCTAAGAAATGAGATAGACAGCAACACAATAATAGTGGGGAACTTCAACACTGGACTGATGGGACTAGAAAGATAATCAAGATGGAAAGTCAACAATGAAACAATAGACTTAAACTACACTCTAGAACAAATGGCCTAACAGATACATACAGAACATTCTACCCAGGAACTGCAGGATATACATTATTTTCATCAGCACAAGGAACATTCTCCAGTATAGACCATCTGATAGGCCACAAAACAAGTCTCAGGAAATTTTTTAAAATTGAAATCATGTCAGCTATCTTCTCAGACCACAGTGGAATAAAACTAGAAATCAACTCCAAAAGGAACCCTTAAAACTATACAAATACATAAAAATTAAACAATCTCCCCTGAATAAGTTTTGGGTTAACAGTGAAATCAAGATAAAAATTTTAATAATTACTTGAAATGAATGATAATAGTGACACAAGTATCAAAACCTCTGGGATATGGCCAAAGCAGTGCTAAGAGGAAAGTTTATAGTACTAAATGCCTACATCAAAAAGTCCAAAATTGATAACATAATGTCACACTTCAAGGAACTAGAGAAACAAAAACAAACTAAACCCAAAGTTAGCAGAAGAAAAGAAATAACAAAGATCAGAGCAGAACTAAGTAAATTTGAAACAAAAAATAAAAAAGGTCAATGTAACCTTTGAAATTAAATAGCTGATTCATTGAAAAGATAAAATTGTTAGACTGTCAGCCAGATTAACCAAGAAAAGATTCATATAAGCTCAATTAGAAATGAAACTAGTAACATTACAACTGACACCACAGAAATACAAAAGATCATTTGTGACTAGTATGAACACCTTCATGCACACAAACTAGAAAATCTAGAGGAAATGGATAAATTCCTGAAAACATACAGCCCTCCTAGATTAAATCGGGAAATAGAAACTCTAAACAGACCAATAATAAGCAGTGAGATTGAATCAGTAATTTAAAAATTGCCAGAAAAAAAGCCGAGAACCAGATGGAGTCACAGCTGAATTCTACCAGATATTCAAAGAATTGGTACCAATCCTACTGAAACTATTCCAAAAGATTTAGATAGAGAGAATTATCCCTAACTTATTCCATAAAGCCACTATCACCCTGATACCAAAACCAGGAAATAATATAATAAAAAAGAAAACTACAGACCAATATCCCTGATGAACAGAGATGCAAAAATCCTCAACAAAATACTAGCTTACCAAATCCAACAGTACATCAAAAAGATAATGCATCATGATCAAGTGTGTTTCATTCCAGGAATGCAGACATTGTTTGACATACTCAAGTCAACAAATGTGACACATCAAGTAAACAGAATTAAGAAACAAAACCCATATGATCATCTCAATAGATGGAGAAAAAGTATTCAAAATCCAGCATCCCTTTATGATAAAAACTCTCAACAAACCAGGTATAAAAGGGACATCTCTTTTACAATGGCAGCAAAAATAAAATAAAATACCTAGGAATACACTTAACCAAGGAGGTGGAGGATCTCTATAAGGAGAACTACAAAACACTGTTGAAAGAAATCATAGATGACACAAGCAAATGGAAACACATCCCATGCTCATAGATTGGAAGAACCAATATCATGGAAATGACTATATTGCCCAAAGCAATCTACATGTTCAATGCAATTCCTATCAAAATACCAACATCATTTTTCACAGAATTAAAAAAAACAATTTTAAAATTCATATGGAACCAAAAAGAGCCCAAATAGCCAAAGCAATCCTAAGCAAAATTAAAACCTGGAGGCATCGCATTAACGAACTTCAAATTATACTGCAAGGCTATAGGTACCAAAACCGCATGGTACTGATGTAAAACTAGACACATAGACCAATGGAACAGAATAGAGAACGTGCAAATAAAGCCAAATAGTTACAATCAATTGATCTTTGATAAAGCATACAAAAACAGAAATTGGGGAAATGGCACTCTATTTAATAAATGGTTCTGGAAAAACTGGATAGCCACAGGTTGAAGAATAAAACTTGATCCCTGTCTCTTACCTTATACAAAAATCCACTCATAATGGATCAGTTTGAATCTAAAACCTGAAACCATAAAAATTCTAGAAGATAACCCAGGAAAATCTCTCCTGACATTGGGCCTAAGCAAATAATTCGTGACTAAGACTTGCTTTTGAAAGCAAGTGCAACAAAAACAAAAATAAATAAATGGGACCTAATTAAACTAAAAAGCTCCTGTACAGCAAAAGAATTAATCATCAGAGTAAACAGGCAACCCATAGAATGGGAGAAAATATTTGCAAAGTATGCATCTGACAAAGGACTACATATCCAGAATCTTCAAGGAACTTAAACAAACCAGAAAACAAACAAACAAACAAACAAATAATCCCATCAAAAAGTGGGCAAATGAATAGGGAGTCTTTACCCATTTATTCTAAGTGAAGTAACTCAGGAATGGAAAATTGCTGATTTTGAGGAAATTGCCACTTCTATTTATTACTTGGGAAGTGAAATTCTTGTTATGTTTGAGGGAGTTAGGCAAAGGAGTAGGAGGGCTAAGGAACACAGAAAATATCTGTAATGGCCACTGTGAGGAATGAAGAGTGATCCAGGGACATGTGAAAGAACTATTGAAAGGAATTGAAGTTCAGCTGAGTACAGAGAACATATATTTGCAGTGGTGTGATTTCCTCCAGAAGGGTTCAGCAAGATTACATAGGAGGTATATATTTTAATTTATACTAGTTGGGGACTTTTATGGGAGTTGAAGTTCTTGAGAAAGAATGGTTCAAATAATACAGCATGAGATCTAGACTTGTGTTTCAGTTATCTATTGCTGCATAACAAACAACTGGTAAACTTAATGGCTTAAAGCAACCTATTTCTTTTTCTTTTTTTCTCATGCTCAGTAATTCAGGCAAGGCTCAGCTGGACAGTTCTTCTGCTCTGAGTAGTGTCACTGGGGTTATTCACTCAGCTGCGTTCAGGTGAACCTAGATTGGGCTGGAAGATCTGTAAAAAATTCATTCTCTTGTCTGACGTCTCATTGCTCCCCAACATAGTCTTTCTCTGTCTTTTTCTCTCTCTTTCTCCCTCTTTGCTTTGCTTTCCCATCTCTCTTTCTCTACACATTATATTTCATCATTTAAGAATCTAGCCCTAGCTTCTTTATAGCATAGAAGCTGGCTTCCCTAGAGAATAATGTCCCTTCTGCACTTTCCATTAATAACAATTCCAGCCCAGTTTCAAAGAGAATTATAGAAATAGGATTCACCACTTGATCAGAGGATTGACCTACATATACAGGGGAGAGGACAATCAGTGACAGCCATATTTGGAGACTACCCACCACAACAAGATAAGGGGAATAAAAGAAATACAGTTAGGTTCCAGATATGCAATTAAAAAAACTGGGATTTTATTTGTACATATATAGGAAATAAATGGCTGGGGTTTATTTTATGGGTGAGGTTATTCTACTCCTAGAGGGAACTGTAGTAGACCGAGTTATCTTTCATTATAGTGTCACAAATTTCCTAGCCAAAGTTTGAGGGCTCAGAAAAAAAATAAAAAACAAAACAACCCAAAAACTTCATATAGCTTTTCTTACTTGAAATTTCATTTTGACGTTAAGACTCAGTTCACTCTGAGGGAAAAAAAAAAGTAGCTTGGACATGAAAATATCACATTAAATTAGGCTCTTCTTGGCCTCTCGGGAGATGATAGAATTAGAATTTTCTCTGAAAACATGTAATAATTTGAATCTTAGAGGTAAGGAAGGATATTCAGGAAATATATGAAGTCAGTATAGTAGATGTAGGATACTCTCTTCCTTTGGGGATTCATTCCATTTACGGCAGCACTCAGCTCCCTTTTGAACCCAGGGACATTCATCATCTAGGGCTTGCCATTCCTGGGTTCAAATATTCTCAGGAGCACGTGTCCTGGGATTTCCTTATCAGAGTTGGGTCTTCCACCTTGACCCTCTATACAGGTTCTCTGCCTGTCCCTTAGGGCTTAAGACTCTGGAGTGAATGTGAGTCTACATTTGTATCTCCCTACTTGTTCAGGCTTTCAGTTTTAGACCAACTACCTTTTTGGCCTACGGAAAATTGAACTACATCTTCTTGGAGCTTCCCTTTATTACTTTTCTGAGGCTGTGCCATAGTTCTGGATTAACATTACAAAGTACCATGGACTGGTGTTAAGATTTCCTGGCTTATTATAGTCAAAATCTTAAGCTCTTTTGGAAGAGTGGGGTTTGAAATAAGATGGATACACAACAGGAAAAGATTTTCCTGACTGGGAGAAAGTTAGTAGGAAAGAAAAATGGACCATAATAAGCCAGGAAATCTTATCACAAGCCTTTCTTTGTTTGAGTCTGTTGCCTGCTTGAGTGGAGGCAAAGGACATGGAAAAGACAGAGATAACAAATTAATAATGCAAATGTCTTCCTGCCACATTTTCCCACCACTCCCAATCAATGATGATGTTTCTGTATGTCTACCTCCAAAAGGGAACACTAGCTAGTCTTTTAAACAGTACCATCTAAGTGAATATAGTCATTCAAAAGGGTGAGGGAAGCCTTTTGAGCTCCTACAATCCTCTTCCCTGACATATGTATCCACTTCTATAGTGGCCTTTTGGAGAAAATTCCTGTTTTCCTGGTCATTCAAAGAAGTGAGTTCAGTGATATGCATTTCAATCTAGGTAGAATCAAAGGAAAATAATGAGGCAGATGAGGGTGTGTGGAGCAGTGTAAAATTATCTAGTTATAATACTTAACTAGTGGATTACTCACCTCTTGTAGAATAGGGTCTGTCAATGTGTACACATTGATGTGAATCATAAAAATGCTGATGTTAATATTGCTTTACAATATCTGAGCACTTTTCTATCTACAATTGCATTTGAACCTGGATTCTACTCATAGAACATTGCCATGAAAAAAATTTACTTGTCTTTTCTTCCCTTACAATATAGGATTCCTAATTAAAAATATAATGAGCAGATGCAATTACTTGTCCCCAAAACATTCAAGAAACAGAGAGCTCACTGCTTCATGATGCCAAGTATTTTAAATGTACAGCTCTAACTGTTCAAAAGAATTTATGTTTTTACCAGAGCTGATAGCTATCATCCATAAATTTCATTCACTGGCCTCAATGTGGAGCTTAGAGAAAAAGAGAGCCAATCTTTGGAGTCAGGTGCACATGGGTCAAAAGAGTAACTTAAAGATTTACTGTGTATGATTTTTGAGAAGTGGCATGAACTCTCCAAGTAACACTGGGTGATCTGTAAAATGCTGGTAATCATACTGACCACAGAGGATTTTTCTGAGTACTAAAAAAAATGTTGAAGCATAAGCCGTTAAATGATAGTAGTTTACTTAATCCTCTCCCAGTAGAGGGAACTTGATGATGAACTTCACCGATTGCTCTGTATTGTATTACACCAGTTTTCCATTCAGGCTCCAAGTCACTGCTTTCACTGTGAGTGTGTCTGCTTCAGTTAGCATTCTCCCCACTCATGTAGCATTTCAGACTTGCTAAAACCATGCCACAGATAATCTCACACCTTACAGCTGAGGGTTGATTAAAAGGCAACATGCTCTGAATGAGGGTCTAGCCAAAGTCCATGTGTAGTTCAGGTTTAAGTTTTGTGGACGTTCTTTCCCTGGCTCAGAGTTCCTTCACTTTTATTTCTGAGCTCCACTAGGTTTTAAATTATTGGTCTTATTAAATGCTTGATAGTTTCTTCTACAACCTGTTCCTCCTTCTGCATACAACATCACTATGCATAGCATCAATATCTTCCCAGTTACTTGTGCCAGAAACTGGGAATCATACTTGCATTCACGCTTAGCCTAAATACCACAATCAGAGTAGGTTCTGTCAACACAACCTCTCAATTGTATTTTATATCCATCCTTCCTCTCTGTCTCCCCTGCCACCTGGTCTAGATTTGTACCATCCCTCCTTGGAACTATTGTAGGGCTTCCCAAATGGATTATTTCAAGTTAACTGAAGAACTTATAAAATTGAATTATAACCTAGCCTTTATTTAAGAAAACTGGGGTTTCTGTAATATATTTAGGAAGACCTCTATACCACTGCTGTCTGTCTTTCTTTTGATTATTAAAGTAGTAAGTTTCCAGTTACCTGGAAAATTCAGTAATGTGGAACCTGTCATTTAACTGTGATGAACAAAAAAGAGGACTAATATAGTGCATTTATTCAAGATTGATTTTTGCGAAAGATTGTTCCCATTTGTAGTTTGTACTTCTGACTCATGGAGTCTCTCTTTTTGTTCTGGCTGCTTTGAAAAGCCAAGCAAAAGTTCCTTCAAGCCCAGCAGTTAATTGTCACAGTGATGCCTCTTTGATGACTCGATATTTATTTTAAGAGGAACTGCATCCCGTTGGGCCTGCCAGGATGAGTTAGCTGCGAAATGCATTCCTAAATAGCCAAATGATTCAGCGCAGAAACCCATATATAAAATTGACTTTGTAATGCAGCTACATGTCTCTCTGTTGGAAAGTCTGTCTATTTCAGTTCTGTGCTTTATTTTATAATTCAATATTGCATATGAATAGGTAATGGAGGGAAGCTTTCCTGCCTCACAAAACCCATGTTACGACCAATATGTCGTTAAGACTTCACCCAGTTACTTGGAAGCTTCCTTTGACGAGGAGAGCTCAGTTATATGGAGGTAAATGTATCTGAAAATATTCACAATTTCACACTGCAGTTTGCAAATAACAACTAGGATGCTCTTGAACCGAGAAACCCCCAAGAGGATGCAAACCTCCTTTGCATCAATAAAGTAAAACAGCTTCTTATCAGAGGCTGACTTTTGCTTACAGCTAGAAATCTGGCTAAACCCAGTTTCTAACCACTTAGAGACTTCAAATAATTCCCAAATTATACCTTCCTTCAAAGGGAATATGCTTTAAATCAAGTGTTTAATGTTAGGAAAATAATAATTCACATACTTGCACACCTTAGCAGCCTGTTTTAATTTAGAAACAAAGAGAACAGAGAACAGCACAGATTGTGCTTTGGTCCCAGCCTCCCCACTTCCCCCAAAAGTACTCAGGAAATATGCTTCTTTTTAAAGAATAAGAACTTAATCAGCACTGAACCCCACAGTGACTCAACTGGGCATTTTCCTCAACAAATAGTAGATTAAGGATAAAAATGTGGTGTTTTTCTGATATAGGCCTAGTGATGTAAGGTTGCTGTTTACAAGGTCCAGAGTACCACTTGGTTTTCATTAAATTCTGTGTGTGTGTGTGTGTGTGTGTGTGTGTGTGTGATGGCTAATTTAAGGTGTCAACTTGACTGCAGAACTCAACTAATACAGTGTGTTTCATTCCATTACTACCAAAGCAACCAAAGGCTATCAATGGACTGGGCATTTATATCTCCATGGCTCCCTGTATTCTGTGGACCACCTGAGAATTCTGGGGGGAAAACAATCCTTGCATTGACAAAATGTGTGATGTGGGTGGGATGAGAGATACAGCGTGCTGCCAAGGATGGCCCATCTTAATGAGAGTTGTGGGAGAGAACAAGGTCAGTGCTCCAGATATTCAGGTAGATAGGAACCCGCTTTCTCTCCTATGTATCTTTATAGTCATTCAAATTATTTTTCTGCATTCTGTGGTTTATTTAAGAAACCCCAGATGAGAAAGGCTGGTTGAGAATCAGGATGCACCATTTCAAATGTTGTCATTTCACAAAGTTATAAAATTTTGAGAAAGCCAATTAATTACATTTATTACCATTTTCTTTATCTGTGAAACACATAAGAAGGGCTGGTTGATTTCTGAGATGGCTTAGTGCTCAAAGAACCTGAGGTGAGTGAGAAGGGTGGAGGAATGCAGAGTGATTATTCAGACCAATGACATGCTCAGGAGTTTTGTACCTTCACAGTTCAAACTTTTTGTATGTATTTTTACACTGGAATACTTTTTTTCCTAGATCAAAGCAAGAGAAAGAAAGTGCCATAGAATCTAGTTCAGTCTTGTGGCCAACCTTTGAATTTCTTCTAAAATACTTTTACTAAATAACTACATATTCCATACTTGAATGCCTCTAGTTACAGAACACTCATAATCAGCAAATTTATTCACTCCATTTTTGAAGCATTTTCTAACCATTTTGCCCTATGTAATATGTTATTTTTTTCAGCTCTATAATAGGACTACAAAATGAGGTTACATTTTTTTATACAAAATAATCTCTCCAAAGATGGTCTAGTTACTGGAAACTCACCCTTCTCAGTGCTTTCACTCCTTTCTCCTGATACTGTCTCATATAGACTTCAGACAACCCTTGGAATCTTCTGTGTCAACAGACTTAACCTACCATGGTGCAAGTTACCATGTTGTCTGGGAGAGAGGCAAGCTAATGCCTGGCTTCCATACGAGAAGCCTAGTACCAGGGTCATACATGGTGCCCCTGGAAAGAAAATGTTGTTTACAACTATAACCAACTCACACCAATTGGGACCCACATCAGTAGGGGCACATAGGCTGGCAGTGCCTCCAACATGGGTCCTTGGATAACTAATAGGCATTAAAGTTTCCAGTTCAGCTTAAATAACTGAGTCTAGTTCTTTATCATGGACAGACTACCTGAGAATAGTTAATCCAATTTGTTCTGTTTGTCCACACCATCAGCTGGGTGGCATTCATCCACCCCATGAAATTACTGTGCAACTGCTTTGGTAATGGAGGGGGGGAAACATCTGGAGGTGTTGGTGGGTGTTATGAGTGGGAGGCATGGGAACTGGGACCCTCTTCTGCTGTTTCTGATAGACTTCTCCGTAAGGTTAAGGTGAGTGGTGGTCAAATTGTGCTGGGAGCTCTCTGGTAGACACAGCAGTTAATCTACTTGCAATACTTTGAGAGAGCTGTATCAGAATGTTTTCTTTAATGGTTTTTGTACAGGGTGTTTTCTTCCTACAAGTGGATTTGAAGGACAGATGATCATTAATGTCCCCCTCTCTCTCTTATGTACCTCCATCAGTTTAAGTTGCTGAGCACTGGGGTTGTTACTCTCTCTTCACTGATCCAAAATCAGTGTGCCCATTCCAAGAGCTATAGCTTCACTTTTTCTCCAGTCATCCCCTATTCACACTGAGATTTTTGTTAGAAACAGTCTATTAAAAAGGGTGAAGAACACTTTTATAAAATGTAGAGACACTAATTATGTACTCCAGTCATGGGCCACCATAGAGGAACTCAGTGAGACATGTATTCATTATCTTTATGATCTAGGGCCATGTCAATACGACAGGAGAATCCAGGTGGATGAACTAGAATGAGCTCTGAATTCTTTAGGTGTCCTTTTGGTAAGGTACCTTAAAGATATATCAACTAGATTTTGTTAGAGTTGCTGTTAAGGGAAAAAAAAAATTGTCAAGCTTAGGAATTGTCAGGCTAGAATCCTGAATTTTCAAAGTAGGTCTATATAATACCTGCCACTTTCTTCCTGACAATTACTGACAATTACCCAAAAGGAGCTAAAAGGAGATAATACCTTTCTGTGGAAAGGCTGTATTCAGTGACCAAACTGTCTTCCTAATATGTATGGATTTGGAGGTGTTGAGAGAGGTAGAGTCAGAAAGCTTTTTGAGTCCATTTTGGAGGCTGTTCCAAACATTGTGTACCGATGTTAGATTGTAAATTGTACAGAAAGCTGAAAACATGACATGGATTAATTTTACAGGTCATAATGGTATGGCTAAAGTTGGATAATTGGGTACAGCTACTCATAATCTGAAAAAGTATTGACAGTGATGAGGCATCATTAATCATCTTGCAAGGGGTTAAAGTTCTGACACACTCAATCTACGGAGAACAGATGGGGACCACCGCCTGTGAAATATGGTCTTTCCAACTGCAAGAGAAATTGGTCAACTTTGGGTAGAATTCATATCTGGTATGCAGTAGTGGTCTGTGCCTCAGAAACAAGGGATCCTTGACTTTGTGCCCAGTCTGTGATGGTGGATGCATTGTCATGTCCAGTACTATGAGAGATCCAGGCAGCACTAGTGACAAACTGGGCTTAGTTAGCAGCTTGATTCCAGTTGATCTCATCATAGAGCTATCCCTTGCCATAAGGGTCATCTACACGAGTGACTCAGATGGTTTGGTGAGCAGCTGTGATTTGTCTCCAGAGTTTGTAGCCCAAACAAGGTATATCTTTCATCTGCCAACCTATGGTTTTCCAAGTGGCAGACAAAGGTTATTGAAAACAGGAGCCACTAGCTCAAGGATTAGTAGGAGTTGAGAATGGCCTTGAGTTTTGTTCAGGGAGCCAACTGACCACATCTACTTTCTGTTCTATATGGCTGGAGCTGAGATTTAACAACTGCAGTAGCCAGTGAACATAATTGGGTTTCAGTTTAGATGAACTATTAGTAAACCAGGCCCAAGCATTTAAGGGAACTTTAATGTATTGAGGGCCCTATTGAATCAGCAGCTTTGTGGAGTATAATGTTTCTCCTGAAGGGATAACTTTCACTTTTTAATGAAAGTTTGAGATGCTGCTTGGGCCAGACTGATTACATTACTGAATATACCATTTCAATTTCATAAGCAAATTTTGTTGGGCCTTTTCTACCATGTTGGCTATTTATTTAAAGTTGAATCACTCTAAAATGGCAATACCAGCCTGGAAAGTAACAAGGATTCTATGGGTCAGGAGTTCATTTATGTCAAGAGCCCAAGAGCAAGTTGAAAGACACTTTATGAAAGATGTCTACTTGGTAGACTTCAGAGGCAATGACTTCAAACCTAAGAAACTCCTCTGAATTGAGGTTACCATGGTTTGCCTGAGGCTTCACTTGGCAAAAATCATCAGTCACAGAGATCTTTAGTGTTAAAGGGATCACTGAGACCATGGGTCCCCAGAGATATTACCATTTCTTTATACGCAGTTCTTCTCAATCAGGAGAATCGCCTCAGGCACTTATGGGATGAGGAAGTATAAGCATATAGTACAACACTTTCTCTTACATATTCAAATGAAGAAGCAAAAAAAAAAATAAAAATAAAAATAAAAACACTAAATTGGCCCAAAGGCATTATCCACAAGGTCATGTTCACTTTCCTTCCTCACTCTTAACCCAACTCAAACTCAATCATTTGAATGCTGGTAGGCCCTCTTGTCATGGGACTGGATTTGATGGTGAATTTAGCACCTTTATCCAAAAAAAGCCGTGAAAGTTTGTGACTGTCTTCTCCCCAGAGTTTTACTACATACTCAATGGATATGACTTTCAGTCTCCTTTGGGAACAGGGAGAGCTTTGATCTACCCCAATGATCTTTATGTTTAGAGTAGTTAAGATCAGGGTAGAAGGGGATAGAGGGCTAGGGGTCCATGGGGAGGAAATGCTTCTGTGCCAGCTAACAAGACTTTGCATTACTTTCAATTTTGAGTGACATAGCAGCAGCTCTTGCTTCAGTTAAACAAATTTTCAATGTTTCCAGCCCATATAGTACTTTAGGTGATGAGGTCAACATTATTGACATCATCTACTTCAGCTTTGGTGACTGCTTTTCTTAGCAGCCACAACCACATTGCTTTCTGAGTAGATCTACCAGGTTTGCACACTGTGGCTGACTTGGGCTTGACTCCTACAACCCTTATTCTTTTATTTTATTTTGTTTTATTTATTTATTTAGAGGCATTCACCTTAATCTGAGGCACTTGCTAACCCATTAACAAGATAACATCTTGTAAGTTCTTGCCCAGTTTCAACATAAGAACTACAGGGAGCTTTCCAGGACAGTGGTGCTAACTGCAAGAATTTAATCTGTTTTTTGGGGTCAGTGTCTCATTTTCCAATAGGCCATTTTTATCAGCACTGTAACCCCAATCTGATCAATAAGAGCCCTACTATTAGTGCTTCATCTGTGGTTTTCCACAGGACTTTGTCTGTTTCATGGAAATCTGCCTGAGAGGGACAAAGCTCTCTTATACAAGCCAGGATCCATTAAAAAAAATCTGAGCATTTTTACTATCAGCTCTGATGGATCTCAGATGGCATGAAGATAAATTGCATCAGGCAATGAACTATAATACTTCCTATCTGTTACCATCCTTCTTTGTCAAGCAGTACATACTCTATTCCCTTATCTCCCAAGACGAGCAGCCAAAGTTCTCATGAAATGCCAGTTTTCTGACTTCAGTGGTCAATAATTCCCTCTTTTACCCCTCAGTGTAAGTTCATGTCTCTGTAATCCTTGTCTAAAAGGGGACAGAACCTTCTTCTGAGGTAGGGCAAACCTTAGACTGGTTGCTACAGTGTTACAGTAGGGTGGACCTGACCCTGATCACCAGATTGGCCCTCCTCAAGCCTAGGGGACAGATGGCAACAACGAAGGCACTTTACAGGAAGTTCCAGGGTTTTTATTTATTCATTCATTCACTTACAAACACTTAGTGTGTATCTACTAATGCTAGGCACTTTTCTATGTGCTAGGAATTTAGCAGGAAACAAAATAGATAAAAATCTATTTGCAGAATAAAAGCTCCAAGTAAGTAAATTACAACATATATTGGAAGGTGGCAAAGGCTGTGAAGAAGAAGCAGAAGGAGGAAAGAAAGGGAGAAGGGGAGGAGAAGAAGAAGAAGGAGAAGAACAAGAGGAGGAAGAGTAGGGAGGAGAGAATGGGATGGAAGATGAGGAGAAGAAGGAGAAGAGAAAGAGTGGGAAGAGGAGTGAAAATGAGAATAGTATACTAGAATTCAGGTGTGGAGAGGGGGTGGGGGCATGATGTGGTGAGAGCAGGGTGTAGCTTAGTTGAGGTCTGGACAGCTTGGTTGACAAGGCGAGAATTCAGTCAAGAATTGAAGGATTGGTAGTTAGGCAAACTGAATTGTATGGAAAGAACATTTCATTTCCTATCGTCTACCCATGACCTAGAACAGTGCCTGATACACAGTAGCTCAATGAAAACTCACTGAATGAATGGAAGTGCAGGCACCATCTGTTGAGTCCTGTTCTTTGTTCACAGACTGACATGAAAATTCCACATTTTATCTTTGTTCAGTTTCCAACTCTCCTGTGAGCAAATCGATAAACACGAACACATAAACCCAATGATCAAATACTTTTTAGTTGTAAGCAGAACATTTAATGGTTCAATCTGGAATATTTTAACTGATCTGGTTTCCCTTAGGAACAACAAGCAGATTCTTATTTTGCACCTACATGACTAAAGGAACTCACTAGAGGGATTCCCTCCCTCAACAAAAGGTGGATCTGTTCCAAAGACAAATTTCATTTTCTAACTAGAATGCAAAAATTGCTGGCAGACCCAAATTGCAGATTTCTAATTTCAAAAAAAATGTGATTGAGACTCCATCTACTGTCTATTACATTAAGCCAACATATGTCTCCCTAAATTTTGCCCATGGTCCCAATCCTACTTTTGGGGCCATTAAAATGAGTAGAATCCCTCTTTTATATATTGATGCTAAAATGTTTGAGGCAGACTGAGATCTTCCCTGCGTTTTCTCTTCTCCTGGAGTAAGTAACTTCAACTTAAAAAAAAAAAAGATTTCATTTAAGACATTGGAATTTCTCCACTATCTTATAAAATGTCCTCTAAAAATGTTCTAATTTGCCTTAAATTGTGGTACTTACAATTGAGTAAGTACACTAGGTGTGTTTTGAGCAGCACAGAGAGAAAAAATATTTCCATCTCATTTGTTCAAGATATATTTTTATTCATGTAGCTTAAGATCACATTCGCTCTTTTAGGGTAGTTTCATCTCCTCATAAATAATTATTGAAATTATTTCCAGCTAAAACAATTGTTGTTTTCAGCTGTGCTCTGCTAAGCCAAGTTGTCCCTGTGTTCTACTTGTGTAAGTTGTTTATAAGAGAACCCCAATAGTAACTTTACACTATTTCCTATTAAATTTTAACTCACTAGATTTAATTACAATGCTTCGTTCTGTCAAAATATTTTTAATTTTGGTTTCATCACCCAATGTATTTGATTTGTTATTTTACCCAAGTTTCATCTTACTGTCATATTAGATCAGTTGGTCTTTCTAATGATTATTCAAGGTAGTGAATTTAAAATTTACACGAACAGAAAGCTTTTTGAAGTAAACTGTTACACAGTATTCTAATATATAAAGATTGTCCTTGTCAGTATAATTTTATTTTGCAAGTTAAATTATTAATATTTATTTATTATGAAGACCTTCATATTAGCTAAATGAGGCAGTTATTGTTGAACACAAAATTTTCAAATCACTGTTTATGGATGACAGCTGAAATCAGATCAATCTCATGATCTAATGTACTTGAATATTTTATTTTGGTTGCACAGTATTGTGAATATTGTTACTGAAACAGAAGTAGTTGCAGTAGTCTCTTTGGTTGGTTGATTTTTAACTCCATTGTCTTTGCAATCTCAAGATATCTTTTTTTAATGAAATAAGATGTTTGAGAGAATATTAGAATTTTTTGTTTAAAGCAAAGTACAAGTAATTTTTACAACTGTTCTCAATAACTTATTCAACAAATATTTCTTGAGAATCTCCTATGTGACCAGCACTATTTTATCTGCTGTGGGCCGAGTGATGTATAATAGAAAAAAGTAACTGGCTCTTGGTACCTACATTCTAACGATGTGAGACAGAAAATAAACACATGCACATATAGATATGTGTGTACATGTGCACATAAATTGATGTAGTTCAGTGTGTGTGTATATATGCATATTGTATGTGTGTGTATGGGGATGTTATATTGTAAAACCCAAACCTGCGTCTGTGCAGTACGATAGGGCTGGAGAAAAAATACACAGTTTATGGACTCTTCTCACTTTATACTCATGTCCATTAAACTTGAACAATACTACTTGGTGGTTATATCACATTTCCCCAGTCCACTCTTCTACTTTTCTTGAGGACTATTTTGCACCTTCTTTTCTCTTCTCAATCATGAACAGTTTTCCCATTCTCACTTGCAGCCAAAGACTGTGCTTCCTACTTCTCTGAGAAAATAGAAGTTATCAGATGATAGGATTTGTAGTGTGTCAATATCTACTCACCTTTCAATTTTTGTTTTCACTATAGCCTGCGTATTTCATAGATGAAAGAGCCATGCTCCTATTTAATGCCAACCCATCTACTTGTTCCCTAGATGCCATCCCCTTTTGCCTATTCAAAGACCTGTTTTCAGCAATCCTTCTTTATTTTTCCTACGTTTGCTTTCTACTGGATTAGTTTCTCCCATCAGTCCTCCTTTTGATATCACTTCCTCAAACAGCTACTGCTTCATTTCTTTGCTCTCCTTTGAAACAGAATTCCTCAAAAGTATTTTCTATTCTCATAATCTCTAGTTCTTCTTCTTCAATTTTTTAATTGCTTGATACCGTAGTATTTTTCTAATGACTTTGGTTTTTTCGTTATGAAATATAACACAAGCAAAAAATTACCTAAAAGTTGATATTAATAGCTTAATAAATTATTAAAAACTCATATGAAAACCACCAAAATCAACAAATTGGATATTTCCAGCATCTCAAAAGCCCTTCATTGGCTTCTTCCAAATTACTACCTACCTCATCTCTTCCAATAGGTAATCATTCTCTTGATCTTTTATATTATTTCTTCATTATATAGCTCATATACCAGTTACGCATCTGATATGGTTTGGCTGTGTCTCCACCCAAGTCTCACCTTGAATTGTAGCTCCCATAACCACCATGTGTTGTGGGAGGGACTCAGTGGGAGGTAACTGAATCATGGGGGCGGGTTTTTCGTATGCTCTTCTCGTGATAGTAAGTCTCACGAGTTCGTTATAAAAGGCAGTTCCCCTGCACATGCTCTCTTGCCTGCTGTCATGCAACGTGTCTTTGCTCCTCCTTCACCTTCCGCCATGATTGTGAGGCTTCCCCAGCCATGTGGAAACGTGAGTCCGTTAAACCTCCTTTCTTTTATACATTACCCAGTCTCGGATATTTCTTCATAGCAGTATGAAAAGGGACTAATACAGCATCTCTAAGCAGTTCAGTTTTATCTGTTTCTGAACTTCGTTTAAATGGAATTATGTAGTCTTTGTGTCTGTGCATTCTTTGTATCTGGTTTCTTTTATTCCACATAATGTTTGTGTGATTACCTGTGTGTTATGTGTACTAGTAGTTTGTTTATTTTCATTGCTGTGCATGGTGTAAATGTACTACAGTTTGTTTTTCCATTCTGTCATTGATGGGATTTGGTTTGCTTTTATATTTTATTTTGAAAAATGCGATTATGAATATTCTTGTACTTGTCTCTTGATTTTTATGTATACACAGTTCAGTGGCATATATGAGATGTAAAATTGCTGACTCATAGGGACACATATCTTCAGTTGTAATAATGTCACATTATTTTCCAAAGTGTATTAATTTACAGTCTCACCCTCAGTACCTGAGAATTCCAGTTGTTCCACATGCTTGAAAAATTCTTAGCATTTTTAACCTTTTTAATTTTTTGTCATTCTGGTGGGCCTGTGGTAGTAATCCATCCATTTTAAGTTTACATTTATATTATGACAATTAAGGATAAACACTTTTTTTTTTTTTTTTTTTGAGACGGAGTCTGGCTCTGTTACCCAGGCTGGCATGCCGTGGCGCGATCTCGGCTCACTGCAAGCTCCGCCTCCCGGGTTCACGTCATTTTCCTGCCTCAGCCTCCCGAGTTGCTGGGACTACAGGAGCCTAGCTAATTTTTTTATTTTTAGTAGAGACGGGGTTTCACTGTGTTAGCCAGGATGGTCTCAATCTCCTGACCTCATGATCCACCCGCCTCGGCCTCCCAAAGTGCTGGGATTACAGGCGTGAGCCACCTCGCCTGGCCAGATAAACACCTTTTCAAATGGCAACTGGCTATTGGGACACCACTTTTGTGAAGTATCTGTTCAAGTCTCTTGCTTGTTATTTTTTGGTTGTCACTATTTCTTACTGTTTTGTGGAGGTTCTTTATACGTTATTCTGGATATTAGTTCTATGTCAGCTATATAGATGAAAATATCTTTTTCCAACTCATGCTGTCTTTTAACTTTCTTAATGATAATTTTCGTGAACGAAATATAGTTTAATTTATTAATACTTCCTTTACAAATAGAGCTTCTACATCTTATTAAAAACCTCCCAACTCAATGTTATGAAGTTATTCTCCTATATTATTTTCTAAAACAATTATTTATTTTGCATTTTATATTTAGATCTTTATCCAAAAATTTGTATTTGTTGATCATGTGAGGCATATGTTAGTTTATATATTTTTTCTCCATGTAGGCATCCAATAATCTTTCCCCAGATATCCACCTGGCTAACTCCCTCTAGTTTCAAGTCTCTGGTCTCATGTCATCTTATCAATAAGGCCTACCCTGACCACCCTAATCAAAATTGCAGCCTATATCCATCCTTCAAACACTGCCCCAGTCTCTGGCACTGTATTCTCTTATGATAAACTGTACAATTTGTTTATTATCTGTTTCTTCATTCGCATGTAAGTTCCATGAAGGAAAAAAATCTGTGTCTATTTTGTTCACTGATTTATATCAAGTACCTAGATGGTGCCTAGACCAGAAAAGGTGCTTAACTGATACTTGAACTATATGAGTGAATAAAGCAATGCACAAAAATAGGAGAAAATACTTTGTTCAAGTCAGTGCCTACACTTGTTCATGTAACTGTATGATTTATTGTATTGATGGTATCCAATATGTGAAATTTTGAAATATGGTGCATTTGAGCATGTGCACTATTTTATTTATTTATTTAAAGACTTTAAAATAATTAAATATTTTAAATAAATGTTTAATAAAATATTTTGGAAACTCTGAAGCTGCTCTGTGGACATCTAGGTTCCTGTGAAATGTCCGTTCATTCAACAGATATTCGCAGAGCACCCACTAGGTGCCAGTAAATGTATGAGAAGTCCTGTGGAATAAGACTGAAGTTGTCCTTGCCTTCAAGCAACTTGCAATTGCCTAAGAACACAGTTTAAAACCACAAAACTAAGGTATTTAAATTTAATTCCAATCTTTGTGATTCAGGTTAAGTGGCTCCAGCAATGTAAGATTAGTGTCAGAGAAGGCCTAAAGAAATCATCAATGAAAGTTATTTTGAGCATGAGATGAGGCCCTGGATCAGGTCAAGATCCACCCAGGACTTGACTTAGTGTCTAGGTCAGCCTGTGACCTACATGGCTTTAAGTAAGTTTCCTGAGGGTGGATTTTACAGGACTTAAAGGTTTCCTGGGTAACCTTTAAGAGAAGGTAATAGAAGGAGCATTCACATGGAAGCAAAGACTTATTTTGAGTTTTAATTCACTCAATTGTTATATTATTCATTCATTCATCAAATATATGTTGCATCTGCATCTTTTCAGGGTGAGGTAGGCACTATTGTTACTCTCATAAATACTCAGAGATGTTTAAAAATAACTTGCCCAAATCTATAACATTTTTAGGTGGCAGACCTGGGCTTCATTCTTTGGCACTCTGGCCAGAAATCAAAATCTTGGCCCCTCCTTTATTCATTAACTCATTAACTGATCAATTAATTCCTTTGTCTAGCAGCTACCTAGTGAGTGCCTACTATGTTCCAGGAAGTATGCTAAGAGCTGGGATAATGGGTGAACAGGGCAAAGGCTGTTCTGATCTTTTATGAGCTGATGGCCAAGCGATTACCCACATGCAATGTGGTTTATAATTATGCTTGGACTTTCTTTATCACAGGTTTATTTTGAGCATCTAAATGACATACAAATTTGGGAGCATTTTTGTAAGCTACAAAGTTCTCTACAGTCAGCAGTTTATCATAATTATTATTTATTCAAAGGTTATATGATTCAATAATATTAAAAAATTATTCTCACAATTTGACATTCCTTCTATAATTTTTGTTTGCTCTCTTCCTTTCTCCTTTATGCGAGTAAAAACAAATATTTACAAGGTGACATAATTTAAATGAGCCCCATTTATAGGAATTTGAATTTCTAAAATTTATTTAGAAAAGTAAATTAAACAATAGTTCTCTTAGTTTATTTAAAACATCATTTAATATATAAAAGTATTGGATTTGCACATACATTTTCAAGGATATGCTGTATATGTTTGCACTAACTGGTTGCGGTGCTTATATTGAAGCCATTTTTAAAAAATGAAACAACAGACCAAAAATACCACTTTATCCCAAAAGAGTCAGGCATCTCTGTCCTGAGTTTTGATTTCTTGATTGCTGCCACATTAAAAATTTTTGAAAAAATTAGGAATATGTATTTTAGTAAATTATGTATCACGTACATAAAATCTGGAAACAGATGGCAAGGGTTATTAGCTATATGACCTTGGGTGGGTCATTCAACTTCCCTGTTGTTGATTCTCCTTATCTGTAAAGTGGGAATGATCATAACAAACTATTTCTCAGTGTTGTGAAGCTCAAGTGAGTCAATATAAATCAACTGCTTATAACTAGGTCTGCTGTCTGGTAAGTTGTTATTTCTGTTTCTGCTAAAAAGAAACCTTAAATCTTTTTGAAAAAGAAAGAAAGGGAAAGGAGGAAGGGAGGAAGGAAGGAAGGAAGGAAGGAAGGAAGGAAGGAAGGAAGGAAGGCAGGGAGGGAGGGAGGGAAGAAGAAAATCATTATTAGATTTAGAAAACCTGACTGTAGTCAACTCTTTTCTCAGAGTTTTGATTGTTAAATTCATTTCTGTTGTCAGAAAAAGAGAGAGCGAGCGAGAGAAAGAATAGCTACATGTGATTATCTGAAGCTGAAAGCCAAGCACAAGTTAGATAGCAGCCATGAACGCAATGCCCAGTTTTGAAGAGGAGCTTAAAACATAAGTCAGTGTCTGGACACATTTGTTAAATTATCCTCAGCATTTCCATGTAGATCCTATTATTTCTACAAATTCCTTCATAATATTGCACTTTTTGTCATGATGAACACAACCTCTCTTATCTCAGAAGTGGGGTTTTCCAGCTGTTGGACTGAGGAAGCTCTATTCTTATGAGTTTCATATGGAAGCAGCGATAAGAAAGACAACACTGTGGTATTTTAACTAGCTGCTCTGATGAAAAGCTTCCATTGTCAGGTGGTGTAACACCAATTGTTAATTTTAATCAAAGGGAATCTAATAGCTTAATGAAATCATTGACATTAGATGTTCCTGGCCCTCCAGCAAATTGCTGACCATATTATGGAAGTTTATTTTTCACATATTAAAGTAATTACACTGCAGAACCCAGCAAACTTATTTATCAATTTTTTTGTTTTGTATTAAAGAAGCCCTTAATTCCTATTTCATTATGCTCTATGTAGCTGCTTTGTAGGTGAGAGAAATACCATGTTTTTAACCTCTTAATTGATGTAGATCTTTGGCAAAATTCTATGGTCATACTGTTTCCTGCATTTTCCATCTGAGGGGACAAAATGTATTTTTGTTTCCTAATATTTAGATATTTGTGAGGAGTCTTGATCAAACCATCTTTTGTTTTACATGATAATTATATAAAATTATTGGTTATTGATTGATCACTCTATCAGCTCTCATCCTGTGTGGTATCTTACAAATCACTCCTAGGATAGTTTCCATAACCTCAAAATGTAAAGTGGTTACTAATGAGCCTTCTAGCAGTCAAACAATAGGAGATTTTGAAATTCTGCTGTTAAGAATTAAAGACCATAAAATGTAATTCTTAATTTTTAAACATAATTTAAAACATATTTATATTCATCTGCTTCTATATTCTATGCGTGTGTGTGTGTGTATATATATATATATATATCAATCACAATTTTCAGTTATAGGAAATTGTGGGCAGCTGATCAACTATTATTAATCATAGCTATTTCTTGAACCAGATAATTTAGCCTCTGTTAATAGCATATAGTGTATTGGTCTCTTAGTTAATTAATGATACATTTTGAGTGACAAATATATTAAAGGAAATGTGTTTGCTTTATTTGTGTTTTTATTATCTTTCCAATAAAATTATGAGGTCTTTGTAACCAGGAAAATGGCATTTATTATTTTTATATTCCTCCTCCTAAGAACTACATGATTATGAAATCCCTGATATAACTAATAAATAAATATTAGTTATTTATTGATGTGTAGCAACTTACCTCAAAACTTAGTAGCTTAAAACAACTATAATTGTTTATTATGTCTGTGGTTCAGGAATTTAGGAATGGTTTCACTGGTGTTTCTAACTCAGGATTCTCACAAGGTTGCAGTCACAAGTAGCGGGGGGGTTTCAGTCTAAAGGCTTGACTGGGACTAGAATTTGCTTCCAAGGTAGGTTAATTATATTACTGATAAGTTAATACTGGGTTAGTGGCCGGACTCAGTTCTTCATGTAAGGTAGTCCATAGAGATGTTTAAATCTTCATGATGAAGGTAAAGAATCCCAAGAGACTGAAGTTGAAGCTTTTATGTCTTTTATGACCTAGCCTTGGAAATCACATGCTGTCATTTCTGCGATCGGTCATAACCAGTCCTGATTCCATGTTAGAGGAGACTACATAAGGACACAGGTACCAGAAGGTAAGGACCACTGGGGGTTCCCTGAAAGGATGGCTACCATGCTGACTGATAGAGTTGTCTCCACTACTCAGAAGTCAACAATCTGTACTTGCTAACTCTTACCTGACATCCATTACCATAAAAATGATTCAGATAAAGATGTCAGAAAAACTGATTATTTTAACATAGATGACTTAAGGTTTCATAACTCTCAACCATATTTGTGGTCTGTAAGAGAAAATTCAAATTATATTGGCTTAAACAAGGAGGGAAGTTGTTGATTTACACAATGCAAAAGATTAGAAATAAAGTGGACTTAATCTAGGTACTCAACAATGCCATGAAATACCTACTACATGTTTCGTCTCCTTGTTACACCCTCATCCTAAAATGGATTCCTTTCATGGTAGTGAAATGGCTGCCAAATACTCCTGGTAGTTTCATTTGTATCCATGTTATTAGTTTAACAGTAGTTTTCTGACTGAACCATCCTTATGGCCATGGCAAAGGAACTATCCTGAATGCATAGGTCATTTGAGACACACCCAAAAAGCAAGGGTGCTACGAGATAGGGAAAGGATGAAAAAAAAAAAATACTGGGAGGAACTACAGTGTCTTCTACAGGGACAGATATTCATATTTGTTAAAATTGGTAGCCCTGATTAAACTAACCAGATACATATGCTGTACCAAAATAAGGATATTTTATACTGCCCTTCTCTTCTTTCTGTAAAAACAAAGCAAATTCTTCAAAATTTCGATGCCTCTCCTAAATATCTCCTAAAGGGTACATTGTTCTTTTTAGTCACTTTATTAAAATTCAGATATAACTTTATACATTTGCAATGCTAATACCTCGCTTTCAAAGTAAGTCACCACTTAAATAAGGTTTCAGTTATTTGAGGTTTGCATATTTGGGCAGCAGTGATTCTGGTTACTTGCCAATGAACAAGAAAGTTTGAAAATAGACTCAATATTTGGGCCATAATTATAATCAATTAATTCACTTGTCGTTCTCTACCAATAGACTGTAAGCTTCTTAAAGTCCTGTACTATACGTTTTCTTTTTCTCTTCCCAGTATCTATTGTGTGCCTGGAACACAGACGAAAGTCAGTAAATAATTAAAGAGTAGATGGGTGAAATTTGAGGCTACATTAATACTATTCTAGCACCCAGTCCAGTGTGTGATGCTTCAGGTAGTCAATAAATGATGTCCATCTGCTTTAGAGAATTTCATACACATCACATTAAAGACTAACAATTGCAATTTCAACCTGCATCATTTTTCATTTTCTAGGCCATATGTGAATCTCTGTCAACAGCTTGCAGATTTCTCTGATTGAAAATCCCATATGTTAGAATAAAATAGACCTGAGTTCAAATCTTTACTTTGCTCCTTAGTAGCTGTACAACTTTTTGACTAATTTGATAACCTCCATAACTCAGAGTTTTCTCTAGAACAGATAATGATTTTAGTGTCTACCTCATAGAAGTGCCAAAAAGTTAAATGAGATAATGGACTGTGTTAGTTTGTTTTTGCATTTCTATAAAGAAATACCTGAGACTGAATAATTCATAAAGAAAAAAGGTTTAATTGGCTCATGGTTCCACAGGCTGTACAGGAAGCAAGATGCTGGCCATCTGCTCAGCTTCTGGGGAGGCCTCAGGAAACTTTCAGTCATGGCAGAAAGCAAAGGGGAAATAGGTATGTTTTACTTGGCAGGAGCAGGAGGAAGACAGAAAGGGGGAGAGGTGCTACATACTTTTAAACAAAAGTAAAGATCTCATGAGGATTCTATTACTAGAACAGCACTTGGGGGATGGTTCTAAACCATTAGAAACTGCCTCTATGATCCAATCACCTCTCACTAGGCCCTCCCTTCAGCATTGAGAATGACAGTTCAATAAGAAATTTGGGTAGGGACAGATCCAAACCATAGTATGGAAATAAATCTCCAAGAGCACAGTTCCTCATACATAGTATGCTAATTAAGCATCAGCTATTGTTACTCATATGTGGAGATTTTGCCCCTATCTCCCATAAAATACAAGGAGATTTCACATCGAAATTCAAAGTTTCGTGAAACTTAGAATTGCATTGGAAACCTTCTTGGCATCACCAATATTTTACTCATGGGAAATTGGGTACTGCAGAGCAGAGGAGTGGAATGTAGTATAAAATATTAGTAAAGAGCAAGCACTTTGAATTCAAATAGGTCTGATTTGGTTACTGATGTTGCCACTTCTTACCTGTGTGACCTTGAGCAACTTAACTTACCTCTTGTGTTAGTTATCTATTGTCACATAACAAATTAACGAATTTAGTGGCTTAAAAAAACATACATTTATTATCTCACAGTTTCTGTGGGTCAAAGAGTTGGGGCATTTTTACTGGTCTTCCGCCTAGTGCCTCAGAAAGCTGCAACTCACGTTTAAATCAAGCCTGGGTTCTCATGAGAGGCTCAGCTGGGAAACACTCCATTTCCAAGCTCCCTCAGGTTGTTGGCAAAATTAATTTTCTCATGCCTGTAGTATTTATGGCAACTTGCATCTACAAAGCCACCAGTAGAGAAATTGAGTATGTTAGCAAGATGGAGCATTATGTGATAAATTGTAATCATGGGAATGATTCATCACCTTTGACATGTTCTGTTGGTTAAAAATAAGTCACAGGTCTCACTCACACTGAAGAGGAGGGGATTATACAAGATACAGGCACCAGGAAGCAGGGAAGGGACATAAGGGCCACCGTAAGGTCTATCCACTGCTCCCTAAGCTTTCATTTCTTCTTCTGTGTAATGAGTAAAAATAGTGCCAACCATGTACAGTAATCCATACAAAGTGCTTAGCATTCTGCTTGGCACTTGATGACAGCTTATATATTGGTACAATCTATTAGTTGCTTATTAGGTAAGGGTAAAAATGAATAATTAGCCAGAGTGAGCTAGCGAAAATCAGGACCACTTGCAGGTAATTCATCCTCATTGCTCCTACAAGCTCCTAAATTTAAGGTATCTCTGTTTCTGTTACATGACACTTCTCAACACTGCTGTTATTTTGATGCCACAAAGCCCTTTTCTTCACACTTCAGTAATACAGGCTTGACTTTTATTCCCTCAGAATCAGATTTTCTAGGCTAATAACTATATTGATAAATTAATTTTTGATAATAGGTAAAAGCCAGAGAAATACTTTTCCTTTGTCTTTTCTCCATTCCTTCCTCTCAAATGTAAAGCATACTTTAAACAGTGCCATATATGAAACAAACACTTTTAGGGTAGAATTTGACAATTCACAAATTGCTCTAGCATACTTTACTGAGCTTTTGAGAAGCTAAGTAGTCTTCTCTCTCTTCTGCAACTATACTACTGTAACACTCTTTTGGAGATTCTCAAAAATATATGCCAAATTAAATTTTAACTAATGTCTA
Organism: Homo sapiens; assembly: GCF_000001405.40. Classification (NCBI taxonomy): domain Eukaryota; kingdom Metazoa; phylum Chordata; class Mammalia; order Primates; family Hominidae; genus Homo; species Homo sapiens. The sequence continues at coordinate 23,006,654 of NC_000004.12, forward strand.
TTTCAGAGTTTGTCCCTATGCTAACTTTAACATTTAAATAAATTAGTATAATAAGAATTTTGAACCAAGGGGGAAAATATCAAGAAGTTTCATTCATCACAGTTGGGTAAAAGATTATTTAGAGATAAGCATTTGGGCTAATTCAAATCATACTAAGGAGGTGGAATCATTACATTGACTTCCAAGTTTAGCCTGGTTTGTGGTATAAAGGAGGTTCACAGCCTTATTCACAAGCATGAATAATCTACATTGGAATTTATTTATTTAAAAGCCAGACTAAAAATATAATGAAGTACTAGACTACATCATTACACCATAATCAACCACAAACAATAATAAAACTGAACAAAACATATAAATTATTGGGTTTGAGGCTTTGCACAATAGGCAGCACAAGACAATGATCCCTGAAAAATAAAAATGTATAAAGGGAACTGCATGATTTCTGTGGTTATTTGCCTGAAACAAATCCCCAACAATGATATTAGGATGGAGAATCCAAGAAAAGAAGAAAAGTTTCTGCTGAGCTAAAGAAGCTAAGATCTAAGTATAGGAACCCTCCCTGAAGCAGTTGAAGTCTGAAAGAAAAGACAGTGGGGGCAAAGAGGCTCTTTATGATAAATACAAGTCTGTGAAGGCAAGGGCTCCTCATGAGTTCCTGATTGAGGCTCATTTGCACATACACAGAATAAAACTACCCAGGTCTACCAGGGACCAGCTGCTATGGATTTTATAGCAAAACAGAGATATAAAAGTTTGAATAGTGCTAAGGAATATTAGAGTTCTGGCCTATATAGAGTAGAAAAATCTCATTAACACTTTTGAATTTAACTGAGATATCAAAGTAAGGCCCCTCAGGAGAGACTTCCCCTCAAAAGTAAAGTCCACACCTTAGAGTTAGTTCTACTCTGTAGCAGCCTTAACCAACCCCAAATCAAGTTCTGATGACAACTTTAGAATTGATGGTTTGGAGGTAGGATCTAATATTAGAAGGACTGAATAAATGTTTTTAGTTTTCTGCAAATCCATCTAAAAACACACAAAATAAAGCCTACACAGTTTAAAGGGGGAAAAAAAGCCTATACAATTTCAGCCTCTAATTGAAATGCTTATTAAAGCAAAAGCAAAACAAAAATACATACCCTTCAGAGGAAAATAATAGAATCCAGAATCTCTACAGTGTTACTGACAATGTCTAGTATGCAATAAAAATAACTAGACATGCAAAGAGACAGAAAAATGCAGCTCAGCTTTAAGTAAAGAAAAACAGACATTAGAAGTCAAATTCAAGATGTCCAGGCTGAGCGCAGTGGCTCATGCCTGTAATTCCAGTGCTTTGGGAGGCTGAGTTGGGCAGATCATGAGGTCAGGAGTTCAAGACCATCCTGGCCAACGTGGTAAAATCCTGTCTCTACTAAAAATACAAAAATTAACTGGGCATGGTGGCGCGTGCCTGTAATCCCAGCTACTCAGGAGACTGAGGCAGGAGAATTGTTTGAACCAGGACCCAGGAGGCAGAGGTTGCAGTGAGCTGAGATGGCGCCACTGCACTCCAGCCTGGGCTACAAAGCGAGACTCCATCTCAAAAAAAAAAAAAAAAAAAAAAATCAAATTCAAGATGTCTTGTTATTGGAGTTAGCAGACAAATACTGTAAAGCAACTAATATATTTTCAAAGAATTAATGAAATATGTTCAAATAAATAATAAAAAATATGCCTAAATGCATAAGTATGTAGGCAATCTTAGCAGAGAATTGAAACTACACAAAAAACAAAACCAAAATTCTGGAACAAAAAAATACATTAACTGAAGTGGAAAATTAACTGAATGGGTTGATAGCAAATTGGATATGGAAGAATACACAGTCAATAAATTTGGAGACAATTAAATAGAAGTTGTTTAATTTGGAAAAGAAAGGGGAAAATTTAAAGAACGTTGAAAGATGTACAAGGATCTGATGGACAATATTAATTGGAGTCACAAGCATTACAGTTTTCTAAATATGATGAAAGACCTCACTGAGGCACATCAGATTTACTAAAATCCAAACATAAAAAGTTTTGAAATCAGCTAGAGATCAAAGACATAACACATGAGGAACAATTATAAAAATAATTGTTAGCTTTTCACAGGAAACAACAGACTCTAGAAGACCATGAATGACATATTTATAATGTTAAAAAATGCAAAAACAAAAATAGACTCTTAATGTATATTTGAATTGGCAAAAATACACTTTAAAAGTAAGGATAAAATAAAGACATTTTCAGATTAAAAAAAACCTGAGACCATGTATCACCAGCGGATTAACACTACGAGAAATGCTAGAGAATATTCTTCAGGGAGAAGGAAATAATATCAAATGTAAAAATTACATCTAGAGGTAGGAAAGAGAACCAAAATGGGAAAATATAAAAGAAAATATTATTTTTCTTGTCATAAGTTAATGTAAAAATAATAATATTAAAGGCAGAGTTAAAATGTACATCAAGGTAAATAAATGACAACAATGGTACAAGGAAGCAAGGGTTACATTTGTGAAGTAGAAACTGTGAAGTGTAAAATGTAAAATGGGAAGTTTATTAGTTATTAATAGTAATTAGTTATTAGTGATGCAATGAAGGGTGTGAAGTATGTGGGAAGTGTGAGGTGTGAAGTGAGAAAATATTAACTCTAAATACATTTTGATATGTAAAGAATGGATACTATAAATACATTAACTAAAAATAAAATAATTGTAGCTAATAAGCCAAAGAGGTCATGAAACATAACCAAATAATTCAAAAGAAGGCACACAGGAAGAAAATAGAAACAAAGGTCAGGTGAGAAAAACAGAAAAATAATAGCATGAATATATAGACTTAAACCTAACCATATTTATGACTACACTAAATACAAATTATTTAAATATTCTAATTAAAAGCAAAGTTTATCAGAGGGGATAAAAAGTAAGTCTCAGCCAGAGTTTATCTGTCAGAAATGTACTTTAAATACAAAGATGTACATAGATTAAAAATCAAAAGACAGAAAAAATATACTCTGGGAACACAAATCAAAAGAAAGCTATGCTGGGTATATTAACATCAGACAATAAAGGCTTAAGGACTATAAATATTAATAGAGATAAAGAGGAACATTTTACATTAATAAAAGGGGCAGATATACATCAGGAAGACATAATCCTAAAGATGTATACACCAAATAATAGAACTTTAAAATTAATGAAGCAAAAATTGACAGAAGCGAATGGAAAAATAAGAAATACATAATAATAGTTGGAAATGTAAACAACACTCTCTCATTATGATGAAACAAGTAGAAAAAATTTTGGAAGAATATAGAAAATTTCGGCAACATTGTTCACCAAGTTAATTGACATTTACCGAGCACTATACACACAACTGCAGAATAAACATTCTTTTCATATTGATTTATAATGTTCATAAAAATGTACCACATAGTGGGCCACAAACTGCTTCTCAATACATTGCAAACAATTGAGATCTTATGATATTTGATGTTAGACAACAGTAAAATTAAATTCAATACCAATAAAAAGAATATATCAAAAAATCTTGAAATATCTGAAAATTAAATAGCAAACTTCTAAATATCTCATGGAGACCAGAAGAAATCAGAAGATAAATCAGAACATGTTTTAAACTGAATAATAATAAAAACAAATCAAAACTTGAGGGAATGCTCTAAGCAGAGCTTAGAGTAGAACTTTAAGTATTAAATGTGTAGTTGAATGAAGAAAGTTTTAAGTTAATGATCTAATTTTCTACTTTGAAAAGTTAGAAACAACAATAAATTCAACACAATAAGCAAATTAAAAAAAATCAATGAATTAGAACAGGCAAACAATAGAGAAGATTAATAGCCAAGCATTAGTTCTTTGAAAAGGTTCCTAAAATTGAGAAATACCTGACTGGAATTATCAAGACAAAAAGGAATAAAATACAAGTCATCAGTGTTATAAATGAAAAAGGAGATATTATTACACATCATACAGACATTAAAAGGAATATGGGAAATAAACAATATGAAGAATTTTATGCTGATAAATTCAAAACTTGGTTGAAATGGTCACATACCGTAAAAAATACATTTTACCGTAACTGACATAAGATGAACTAAAAAATCTGAGTAATTGTATATCTGAATGTATAATAAGATATATATTATATATATATATAATAAGATATATAAAATTTGAATGTATAATAAGACCCAAGGAAAATTTAGGGTCCAAGTAATTTTACTGGTAAGTAGTATAAACCATTTATAGAATAAATAATACCAATTTTATGGAACAATAATAACAAAACTTTCAGAAAACAGAGATAAGTAGAATGCTTTTCAACAAATTTTATAAGGTGAGCATAAGCATGATATCCCAATTTGACAATATATTACTAAAAAAGAAAAGTACATATTAATATCACTCATGAACATAGGCATAAATATTCTCAACAAAATATTATCAAATTGAAAATAGCAATCTAATAAAAAAAGATAATATATCATGACCAAGTGGATGCAAGTTTTGTTTAAGCATTAAAAAGAATATCAATCAATGCAATCCCCCATATTAACAGACAAAAAAAGAAAAAATATAATTATATCAGATGTTTATGTTATATAAATACAGATATATAAATGTGTAATTATAACAGATACAAAAATAATGGTTAATAAAATTCAATACCTATTCAAGTTTAAATATATCCGTCAGCTAAGGATAGAAGAAAATTTTCTGAGTTAATAAGAAGCACTTCAAAATTCTAAAACTGCTATCATGCATAATGGTACAACACAAAAAAGATTTCTCTCTACAAATGAGAACAAGACAAGAATGTCTGTTCCATTAAATATAATGCTGGAAGTCCTTGCCAGTATAACAAGAAAAAGCTAAAGTGACATACATGTGCCAGTTTGGAAGGAGAAATGTAAAATTGCCTTTATTTACAGACTATGTAAGCAAAAGAAAATATTAGGGAATCTTAAGCAATGTATAAAAAATTTTCTGGACTTAACAAATGAATTTAGCCATGTTTAGGATACAAAATTTATAACAAAATCAATTAAATGTCTATTATATTTAAAAAATAAAAAATGACATAACAACAATAACAACAGCATGAAAATACCTAGAAATGAATGTAACAAAAGGCTTGAAAGATGACAACATTGAAACTGACAAAGAAATTAGAAAATGGAGAGGGACATCATATTAATGAATTGGAAGATTCTGTATTTTTAAGATGTCAGTTCTTCCCAAATTGAACTCTAGTTTGAATGCAATCCCCATCAAAATCCCAGAAAAATTGTTTAAAAATAGGCATTGTTAGGTTGATTCTACAATTTATTTCAAGAAGTCAAATGCTAATACTTCTAGAAGAAAATATAGAAGAGAATGTTTATAACCTTGGGAAAGGCAAAGATTTCGTGGATAGTAAATAAAAAGCACTGACTATAAAGCATGTTACATGAAGCTTAATCTAAAGTAAAACTTGTTTTTAAAAATACAGTATTAAGAATAAAAATTAAGCTACAGACTGGGAGAATAATTAAAATGAATAATTCTGACAAAAACTTCTAACCAGGATATATGAAAGCCTTTTACAACTTATTAATAAGAAGCTAGCAGATTAATTAAAAATGAGTAAAAGGACTTGAATAAACTTTTTATATAAACTCTTTAAGCACCTTTGTATACAAAGGTATCCAAATAGCCAATAAGTCATGAAAAGTTGCCCAGTATTACCAGGCATCATAAAACACAAATTAAACCATTATAAGAGAACATTTCACTTACTAGTGTGGCTAAAATTCAAATGAACATTAATATCAAGTATTGGCAAGAATGTGAAGCAAATGGAATTCTCACTCTTTGTTGATTAGATTGTAAGATATTATTGGGAAATAATTATTCAGTTTTTATAATGCAAAGCAAGCATTACCTTGTGACCTACCAATTTCAACCTTAGGTGTTTATTTTTGAAAGCATAGGCCCACAAAAAGACTTGTACACCAATGTTCACAGTAATTTTATTCATAGTTGTCAAAACTGGAAGGTAATATTCATTAATAGGTAAATATATAAACAGGTTATGGTATTTTAATACAATGAAATTTTGACCAGACACATACAGGAACAGGTTACAGATGTAAGAAATCTGAGAAATGACACACCACCACCTCTCTCCTGTTCCACTGATTACAGAGATTGAACTTGTTATGTGTAAGCAAACTACAAACAAAAGTATGAAGGCTGTGAATACCAGGAGGTTGGGATCATTTTGGCAGGTGGCTGCCATAGACATTTTTAAGAGGCAGTTATCTGATGAATATCTGGTGGTGAATTGGACTATGGGATGTCTGGAGTGATATAGGCAGGAAACTTAACTTGTATGTGGCAGAAATCAAACTATCATTTAATCCAAAATAAATTGTAAAGCAACTCATCTGCAGCAGTGAGACTGAAAATAATGTTGGATAAAACTCCTTCAAAAGGACTCAGTTTTGGAACCAAGACTAGGAAATACATGGTCCTCTTGTGTCCAAAGGTATCCAATTGGCTTGGCTCATTGCTGTATGTCTGTTGATGTTGATAGATAATTTGCAAATTGTGTTGTCAACACAACATTTAATCTGCTCTGAGCAGCTCATAAACAACAGTTTGATTAATTCTTTCAGTCCATGTCTTCTGGACAAGATTTACAGGGCTCTGCTTATTTGGATGAAAAATAGAGAAAGACAAGCTGTCAGTAGAAGGGGAGGGGAAAATGGGAAGATTTCCTTTTCTCTTTTTTTGGTTGAAGTTTAGAAGTGTTTTGAAATCATGATTCTTTAAATGTTTGGTTTTTGAAAGGAAGGATTTCAAAGTGAAACTCAGCAATTGGCATGAGACAAGACTCAGTGTCAAGGTGGCAAAAGTTAGGACAGACAGAGGCAGATTGGCTGTGGATTATTGTAGGGAGGGAAGAGTAAGTCAAGCCTAAGGCAGGAGATGACTTTCTGAATTACCCAATTAATTCCAGAAACCTGTTGGATGATTATAACTCAGAGAGCTTGCCATCCATGCTCTGTATGGAATACTAAAGTATTGTGATGAATAGAATTTTGTTCAACAAGCACATTTTGGAAAAAATAGAATTAAAAAGAGGCTATCAATCAGTGACATGAATATAGAGGTAAATGTTGTATTATTAGTAGTACTGAACAGTAATGAGAGACAGAGAGAAAGAGACTGAGTCCGTTGTCTTTTTCTTGTATTATTACGTGCCAGTTTTGTTCCTAAGGCCCCAAATCTGTTTAGTTGAGTGGTTTCTATTAATTTTGGCTTTGAAATAACTTTCCATTGAAGCATGGCTTTTAATCAGCACCTCTCTACCTGTGTTGATTTATCCTAGCCAAGATAAGTGAATAGAGTTCTAAATCGCTGTTTATGAATACCGTTGTATCACTTTGAAACATGAGGATCATCCAGGAGCTTAGGTGCAAAAACCTGGAAATGAATGTCAATTGGAATAAGGTCCTTTCATAGCAATTATGACACAAGATGTACAGACAGTCTATGGCTGATAGGGAAAAAAGATCCAAGAAAATAGCTATATAATAATTTCAGGACTATGAGAAATGTAAATAACCCAACACCACAATTCCTCCTTGTATTTGTCCCCTTTTATGTCTGTCTCCTCTCAAAGGGATAAATATGATTTTTATAAGCTGTATTTTGGAATGCACACATTTGCAGTGATCATGCCAAGTGTTTCTTTTGTTGTTCACATCTGCATCTTTCGATATGATGAAGAGTCAACAAGAAAGTAGATTTGGTTTTGTTCCTTTGACAAATAAAGTTCACTTTGGGACACCATTGGAGACAAGGGAGAGAAAACAACATTGCATCCATACCAGAAAAACCAAAGCTGAATTTTCTATTAGTGGCGGTTATAAGTTGTAACTTATATGTGATGGTCTTTGGAAATATTAACCCAGATTCAGAAATGAGTAATTATATTGACCTTGACATCTGTCCTCATTACCTTGTTCCCAGCTCACACAATTAGTTTAGCTGAGAATGTCATCAAAACCCTGCGTTTTAGATCTATTTCTAGCAAGAAACTCCTTCAAATCATTGCCCCATGAAAATTACAATATTAAGGACACAAAGGTATACGTGTATCTAATTGCAGTAATTGTGATGAGAAAGAATTCACATAAATCTCCTTTAGGGGCTTCATTCTGTTTGATGGACTTCATGTACTCTCTTAAAACTGAAATGATTTCAAAGCATTGTTCCACAAAAGATTATCAGCAATTATTGTATGTGAAAAGAGAAAGGGCAAGAGAGAACACTTTGAGAGGTTCACATTGTGAAATAAACTTCAGGCTTTTAACTTGAGGATGGCAGAGGCTGACTAAACCCTTGTAATTCTGGAACTCCCTGTTTACTGTGCTCACTCCCACTCCCACCCCTCAGACCACAATTTGTTGGGAGCATTGTTGTTGTACAAGCAATATGCTGACAGAGTTTAAATGTTAACACTACCCTCCTGAAAAATGAGCGAACCACGTACTCATACAAAGAAGAAAATACCTAGTAATTTTCAATCTCCTAAAAATAGTAATAATAGTCTATTGGGTTTATTTCATGATTATAAAAGCCTAATAATCTATGATAGCTGAAAGCAAGCGTGATTTATTAGGGTCTCTCACAGACAGAAGATAAACCCATAATGTGCAGGGAAACATTTTTTTAAAGGATTGTGCTAAAAAGAAAATAGACAACAGCTTGCTTACTCTGTAGCTCCAGAAAGTGATGATTTGAGGCTCCGAAATATCAGAGTTGATGAATGGGAGAAGCAAAATTATAACTGTTGTTCCATGGTGAGATAAACTTTCACCTCCGTGAAGAAAATATAGATTACTGAAACGGATTGCAAGCAATCAGCACTGTAGATTCTTCTTCCCTAACTGAGCAATGTTTGAATTTGCGCCTTTCAGACAAATGCATTAATAACATTTAGCCACTAGGTATTTGTGGAAGAAATTGGAAATTGTTTTTAATTTGTTGGTTTGGTGAAGCGATAATATATTGAGCCATAAGGGAGGGGGTTAAAAAAAAAAAAACTACTGGTATTTGATTTCTATTTGCATATGTAAATATATTAATGCAAACAAAGCCATGTTGTTCCTATAAACTCTCTCACACAAAGAAAAGGGTTAATAGACAGGCAGATTTTTTTTAAAAAAATGCATGACCATGTTGTGAAATATGAATTTAACACATAACTCATTGGAAGTTCCAATGAGTTATGGGCCTCATTTACTGCATATTACAGACATTTTTTTCATACTCCTTTTCAGCAAGGCATATGGTTTAAATTAGTTTCATCTTGGATTTTCTAGGGTCTTTTGTAGACTATTTCCTGCAACAAACTGTAATACTCTTGCTCTTTTAATTCTATAGTAAGATGCTATTAAATGCAGTTCTTTAATTACCATGTAAGGCAGTGCCTCAGGAACATATTCTGTAATAGCCACAAGCTGAGTAAGAGTTTAAATTACAAATTTATACTCAGTTGATGAACTTAAAGAAGCTGCAAATTCTTTATGGATACAGGTGAATGGGTAAAAGGTCAGTGTTAGTTGGGGGTAGCAGTAGGGGCCATTTGGGATGAAAGTGTTCAGACCCACCTTCAGTTGAATCAGGCAAGGAGACTGTGATAGGTAACAACATCCTGAAGGGTTAAGAATATTAAAGGACCCCATTTCCCATAACTTAGCTCATAAATCATATTTTCAGGTACTTTATATGATTTATGAGAGGCTGGCTGTCTGCATGATTAGGAAGTTGCATTAAAATGGCAATTGGTGCTTCCAAAACAGAGCCTTATGATAAGAATCCAAATCTCAGCAGAGAAGTTGTCGGAAAACTGGGGTAAAAAAGGAAGCATCTACAGTTCACTCTCCATGTCTAACACTCAGAATGTAAAATCGAAATATTAAGTGGGAGAAACACTGACTGAAATGATGATGCTTTGGTTTTTGATTTTTTTCCTCGCTGTGACCTTAAGCCATTTATTTTCTTTGGATCTCAGTTGCTTCTTTAGCAAAATAAAGGATTGAGGACACTCCTATCCCTGAATATGCATGCATTGCATATAGCTTCCATTTTGGGGCATATATTTATATCTTGTTTATTATCTATGTGCATATTATATATTGTGTGATATGTATGTATGTATGCATATATATATTATGTATAGGATGGTGTTTCCTTAAAAATAAAATATGTGAAAGGAGTTAGAGTGAATATATACATCTTTACATATACATACATATAAAAGAATTCTATATTTGCATGCATTCATATGCATATATGTATAAAGTATATATTATAAAATGATGTATACATATGGTACATCATGAGACAACTGGTCACTGTTCAGCACTATCAGCCTAAGGGTCTTGTTACCTAGTTTTACCTATTATTCTGAAAATAATAAATGCTGACTCCTAAAAATATAAAATTTATGAATGGGTTTATAAAATATAATCAAGCACTCTATTCAATATTATAGTTAGATAAGGATAGTATGTTGTTATCCTTTAGAAATGAAAACTTATAGGAAATTGGTATTTGACATTGATAGTAGGTAAATGAAAGATCAAAATAGAAGCTTATAACGGATGTCTTGTCACTTTATGTTAGTGAGAATAAATTCCATTTCAAGGGTGAATTAAAATTCATAGCTTCATTATTAGACCTTTATTTGAATGCAACTCATCCATATTTGGATTTTATAATGGAGGACTGGTACATCTTTTGAAGCTTTCTTAACAGGATCAAATTCAGTATATATTGATCTCTTTGCAAAAGACATTTTATCCCATTAGGTTATCTGGAAGTTGTATTTTCAAACACACCAGCCATGAGTAAGGCTGAACAGGTCACTGAGAAGCCAATAAGTAGAATGTGTTTGAGTTCAGAATTATTTGACATATTGAATCAGTTCAGACCTATGAAACCTAAACTTTTCATTATTAACAGGAATTTAGATAAAGGTTTTTTTCCCTAATAAACTATCCATAGTCATTGTACTCAAAAACACCACTGACCTCTGGTGTTTGCGCTCATTGCTTAGAGCCATTACCTCTATCTCAAGCTCTTAATCAGCCACATAAGAAATCAACAGTCCTTCAGATTTGGTCATTTGGGCTGCTGGCCCCTTTTTCAGTGAGACAAATTCTACTGTTCCAGTTAGTTTCCCATGGCTTCCTTCCCCGCTGCTCCTGGATCCAGTCACTTTCAGTTAAGAATCTTCAATGTGCTTTGGACCAAGGATCCTGTTGGTCGTGATGCTAATCATATCTTTGTCTCTGACTCAAACATGCATCACTTTCTTCCCTTGAAGCCTGGGCAGCACATATGGGAGCCAAATTTGAGTTTTCTACATGAAACCAGCAGCCTTTTTTTTTTTTTTTTTTTGAGACAGAGTCTTGCTCTGTCACCCAGGCTGGATGAGTGCAGTGGCGCGATCTGGGCTCGCTGCAAGCTCCGCCTTCCGGGTTCACGCCATTCTCCTTCCTCAGTCTCCCGAGTAGCTGGGACTTCAGGCGCCCGCCACCACGCCCGGCTAATTTTTTGTATCTTTAGTAGAGATGGGGTTTCACCGTGTTAGCCAGGTTGGTCTCGATCTCCTAATCTCGTGATCCGCCCTCCTCAGCCTCCCAAAGTGCTGGGATTACAGGCGTGAGCCCCCTTACCCGACCCCAGCAGCTTTTAACATTAAAATTTTGGAAATATTTTTCAAAAAGTTCATTTGATTATTTTCTCTCTCTCTCAGTAAAATTGAGACTCTGCTAGGTCAACAGTTATTTTGTTTACTACCGTATTTCCAGAGGCTTGAACAGAGACCAGTACGTAATAACCATTCAATAAATATTTCTGAATAAATCAAAGTGAGGATGCACAAGAGTTCTTTGATTTAATTTCAGTGATTTGCAAATAAAGCTGTATAGAAATAATATGTAAAAATGTTTTTAAAATAACAATTCTGGATGCCATCCCTGAAGATAATAAATCAGGTTTAGATAGGGCCCAAGAAAGTAGGTGTACACATACATACATACAAGCATGCATACATGTGAATGTATATAATAGATTTTGTAATATTTTAAAAAAGATATTAGCATTTGAAATATACTAGTATTTCTGTAGAATAGCTCTTAGAAAGTGAATTGCTGATTAAAAGGTAACGAATTTTATATATTTGTAAAATATTGTCAAATTTCCCTCCAAAAGAATCCTATACTAATATGAATTTTTATTCTCAATACTCTAACCTACATTGAATATTAACAATTAATTTTTGTATCATGTTCTAATCTAAGATTCAGCTTTTTCTGTTTTTTAATCATGTATGTTTCCTGTTCTATAAATTTTTTATCCAAATATTTTGCTCATTTTTCTATCAAATTATTTGGGTTTATTTATTTAAAGATAGATTCTTTAAAATTATTTCAACTTTATTTATTTAATAATGTTGTCCACTGTATATGAAGTATATCAGGTTTAACACAGCACATTCACATATGTACATGAGTTTATTTCTCTAGACTATTTATAATTTTCCCTCAATCTATTGAGGTGTGGTATTGGCTCACACCAATACTGTATTTATTTTAATTTCTGTAAGTGTATAATATATTTTGTTATCTGGTAAAACAAGTTGCCATCATTGTTCTGCCTTTATAAAATTATCCTGGCAAGTCTTGCATATTTTCTTTTATAGAAATAGTTAAGATTACCTTATCAAGTTCTATGAAAAAATCTTGTTGGGATTTTGATAGGTATTTAACCAGAATTCCAGATTAATGTTGGTGAAATGAATATCATTTTTGTTGTTGTTGTTGTTGTTTTTGTTTTGTTTCTATGTTTGTTTTTTGAGACAAGGCCTAACTCTGTCGCCCAAGCTGGAGTGCAGTGGCATAATCATGGTTCACTACAATGTCGGCCTCCCGGGCTTAAGCTACTCTCCCACCTCAGACTCCTGAGTGGCTGAAACTACAGATGTGCACCACCATGCCCAGCTAATTTTTTTTTTTTTCAAGAAATGAGCATCTTCACAATATTATGTCTTCTTTTTGAGGAACATAGCATATCTTTGCCTTTATTCAGATATTTTATGTCTCATCTAGTACTTGAAGATATAGTGACAATTAGATCCAATTTGACTTTTGATTTATTGGGAAAAAAAAGTGTCCATATCTTCATCTTGCTATTTGTAAATTACTTGCAAAAAGTAACTTGGAACACTTATATCCTATCATATAGTCAAAAAACACAAACACATTAAAAAATAAATCAGTGGTTTCTTTAAAATGCAGTTTTTAAAGATCCCAAATTATAAGCGCCAGAAAGTTTTTTGTCTTATGTTTTGATGGTACTAGCTACAGTTAAAATTTAATCTACATTTTAATACTCATTAGTTCTACAAACAAAAAACAATATATGTCATTTTTGAATTTATTTGTTAACAATTCATGCTTTTATTACATAATTAAAGTCAATGAAACAGTATGCATCACTTGTTAAATGGGAAAAGTAAAAATTTGTCTTTATATTGTATGAATAATATTAATGGTTCTATTAGCATCTTTATAATATGATATTTAATAATGTATGAATCCAAAACCACTTTTTTCTTATATCACTTATTATACCCACAGAAAATGATAAAATGATACAAAATAATAAGAGGGGGCTCTCAAGGTTCTATGCGACAGGAATGGCTGTTTTTAAAGACAAGCAAGATTGCAGTATATTTCAGGATATGTGATACGGCTTGGCTGCATCCCCATCCAAATCTCATCTTGAATTCCCACGTGCTGTGGGAGGGATCTGGTGGGAGGTAATTGAATCATGGGGCAGGTCTTTCCCATGCTGTTCTTGTGATAGTGAATAAGTCTCACAAGATCTGATGGTTTTAAAAAGGGGAGTTTCCCTGCCCAGGCTCTCTTCTCTTGTCTGCTGCCATGTGAGACAAGCTTTTAACCTTCTGCCATGATTTTGAAGCCTCCCCAGCCACGTGGAACTGTAAGTCCATTAAACCTCTTTCTTTTGTAAGTTACCCGCTCTTGGGTATGCCTTTATCAGCAGTGTGAAAACGGACTAATACAATATGTTTCTATGAATGTGGTTCCTATTCCCTAATTTGGAGTAAGTGCCCAGTGTGCTTTGTTTTTGCCCGAGCTTGTCTTTTGCTTTTCATCCAAGATCTCCAATCATAACCAGACTGCTGAGACAGTGGATAGGGGCTGGAGAGAAGTTGAGGAACATAGCAGTCAAATACTTGCTCTTCATTTTACGATCATTGCTATTTTTCTTTCAGAACTTAAAACTATCAGGCTAAACATAATAATAATAACTTGGGCAACTTTACATTCCTATCTAGGACTTAATTTGAGGAACATTCATATTTTATCAGGAAATCAGCATTTCTCTTTTAAATATGTACTTTAAAAGGTTTATTGTACCCTAAGGTGTGATTTATGATATCTCGAGGCTCAGATATTTTCTGTTGGAATGCTCTTCCCACTCATTCACAAAAGTCAACTGGCCAATGGAATTCACTATACGGAGCTTGCTTTTAGAGGTATTCGGGTCACTGTTGCTGTTTAGAGATTCAAAAACTATAGCCCGGATACAGTGGTATGAAAAACCAGTTGTTTCCATGAAACCTTCCTTATTTTATTTTTTGAGACAGAGTCTTGCTCTATCACCCAGGCTAGAGTGCAGTGGTGTGATCATAGCTCACTGCAGCCTTGATTTCTGGGGCTTAAGCAATTCTGCCACCTCAGCCTCTCGAGTAGCTGGGACCACAGGCACTCACTGCCATACCTGGCTAATTTTTAATTTTTTTGTAGAGACAAGATCCTGCTATGTTGCCCAGGCTGGTCTCGAACTCCTGGGCTCAAGCAATCCTCCTGCCTTGGCTTCCCAAAGTTCTGGGATTACAGGCATGAGCCACCACACCTGGCCCTGAAACCTTCCTTTATTATTCTGTGTTAGGTCACAAAGAAGTCTTGATTTGAATTATTTAAGTTTCACACAGAAAGTTTGGTATATAGCTTTAACATTTTTATGTAATATCCCACAAGCATTTGAGTTCTTTTTCAAAGAAAAATCAGAGAACAGTTACAGGAGGGTGGGCATCCCCCACCTCACGCCACCAATCCCGCATTAAAGCAGCTAGTATGCTCTGTGTTAAAGCCCAGGAGGAAGAATGTGGTAAATCAGAAATGGCAGAAACCTGCAAGACTTCCTAGTTTTTGGTTCTAAAAGACTAAGTGCATGAAAACAAACAGAGTGCTGGCTCCAATCTAGAAAATGACTTCCTGCTGTTGCAAGATACATGAGTCCCATGGCAGTATTGTCTTGAGAATGTGGCACACCCAGTAGCTGGAATCTTAGTCCTTGGGCTCCCAGCCTTTTGAGATTCTTGAGTAGCAGGCTAGCATCATAGTGACAAACTTGAAAAGAATGCATCAACAGGGCTGATAAACATTTCATTCATAACCACTGTGGGCCAATGATGAAGAATGCAATGACCTTCCCACCACCAGCCACTTCAATTGACCCTAGAATCTCAGTGTAACACTGAGGAAGCCCCAAGATAAACTAACATGTTCCCACCAGTAGAGGGTTGGCCTCTACCCTGCTCTCTCTCTTTTTTAATCCCTTCTCTCTAACTCTTTCATAAGTTCTTTCTGCTTTTTCATCCCCATTGCAGAATTGTGCCCTACATCTTTTCATTGTTAGTGACGCAGCTGACTAAAGGAATCTCAGCTTCAAATTTTTAGGAGATAAATTTGATGGGACAGGAGACAGTTCTCAGAGTCTAGCACTTACGAGGTCTCATGTTTTTCTTCTCATTATAATCCTGAGTTCATACAAACGAAATACCAGCGATCTAGCTCTTTATCCTTTTTGACACGGCCCGAAGTGCCTGATTTAGCTGTCCATATTTACCTAAGGCTTTTACATAAGTTTCCATATTATATACAAGTAAAACCTTTGTGGCAGAAGATACACCTATGAAAATCACATAAAATCGCACATGCAAAAAACATATAAAGTAATCAACGATAACATATTATGCACAAGGAACACAGTGCTTTTTAAAATTTCTCTTCCTTTTCCAAATTTTCTTCTATTTAGTACTCTATGCCATGCCTTAACTTTATTTTTTTCTTCTTTCTTCTTCAAAACTAATTCCCAAACATATTTCCTCCTAGTTCCTTTCTTTAAAAGCTATTATATTTTCCTTGCAAAATTTCTGCAATGCATTATTCCAATAGGGTGATGTAATGATGGTTGATGTAAATTTCTGACCACTTTGCTCCTTCGTCTTCTCAGAACTCTTTACGATGCGCAGGAGGCCAAGGTAGACTTATTTGCTAAATCACTGCTTCATTAATCTCATTCCTTTACCCCAAATTTCAGCCCTTTAACAATTTTAAATGGATCCTGAGTTTTACACTTCCAACTGATTTGCATTTTTCTTGGTTGTGTGCTGTTGAACAGCTGCTGTTTTCTCCCCAGAAGTGGGTGGGGGATGGTTTCCATGGAGATGGTGATGACTCTGCTAGATGTGGACACCTCCAATATTCCCACTGCATTTGTAATTTCTAGCATCCATTCCATGTGGAGTGTCTAAGTAGTTTCATTTCCTTGTGGCAATAAACCTCTTGGAATTAGGACTCCAGAACTCTTTACTTGGCCCTGGTTTGTGACTACAAATTTATTTAATTGACATCTAGATGTATTTATTTATCATTAAGTCCTTAAATGGCTATGTGCTAAAGAAGGCAATTAAAACAGGTACAATGCCTTTTATAAGTAGGACACCTTGCTGTAGTGCTAAAGTCATAGTAGACATAGAACAAATGCTTATTGATTGATTTGTGGCACTATAAAGGAAACGTTTAAGTCTATTATGTTACTGCAGAAGGAAAAAAGAGACTAAATTAGAATCAGTTCAAAAGCAATATTACCAAATTCATTAGTTACATTCTATTTTAGTCATCTTTAGTGTTACAAAATGCTAATTTTAGAGATAATCTTGCCTAACCTCATCATGAAAAATAATTTAATAACTTAGACGATATAGCTGGCATTGTAGGGTAAGGTTGAGTCATGGGAGGGCAGATTGTTGCAACACTGATTGTTTAAAGAAGAAAAAAATTGTAGAAAGTAAAAAAAAAAAAATTGAGACCTATAATACAATCATTCATTTATTCTTTCCTTTGTTGATCCAACAAATGTTTATTGAGGACTACTATGTGCCAGCCACTGCCAAGCAGCACAAATAAAATTCTGAGCAAAATATATTCTTTTCCTTACAGAACTTAGAATCCAATGAGAATATAAATATTAAACTAATAAACTCAGAAATATATAATTACTAGCAGTAATACTATTTCTTCTAGAAAGGTACAGAGTGGTATAAAAGCACTGTGTAACAAGAAGATAGAATCTAGACTGAGGTACATGTGGCCAGAAGAAATCCAAAACTTGGGTAGGATTTAACTGGATATGGTCAAGGTAAAGTTTTAATCAGCATTAATGTTCTAAGCAGTGTTTAACAATGGCTAATACTTGTTGTTCAATTAGGATAATTGAGTCACATCTAAGTACTTTGCCATGAGCCTGGTTTTACTATTACTTCTATATATGAAGAAATGAAATGTAAAGAAGTTAAGACCAAGGTAAGAGAAAGGCAAGGCAAGGCCAGGATTGGGTCCCAGGCAGTCTGAAACCAGGGCACACACACACCTGATCATTACTATATATTTTCTTATGTGGTGAGCAGAGGCAATAATAGAAGTTTTTGTTCCAGTAATCCAGTGATTTTGTAAGACCACAAATATTAGATCTGGGTCTAATGCCCAAAATGTTATCGTATTAGTTAGGCATAAAATGGGCTGAATCTATTTATGACTGCAGACAGTGTACATACTAAAGACATCATGAGACTGGTGAAGGATGTGAAGGGCTCTCACTAGAAGTCTATGCAGAGTGTTGATCTCACACCACAATTTCCAAATGTCTTATGTCTTGCTCCCTTTCTGCCCTTCTTTAATAAGTGATGCAGACAGAATAATATATTTAGCTATAGTCCTCTATATGTAAGGACTGGCAATCAGAAATATGTAGCAATTTTATTTTTTGTCATTAAGGAAGTGATTCCTTAAGTCATCAAAAGCCAGAGAACACTAACAATTGTTTTGCTTAGTTTCGTTTTCCCCAGGAGTCAAGATGGTAGAATGGGATGTTGCAGTTTAAATTTGGGCTCACTCATGCTAGGAGTAAATAGTTTTTAAAATTTAATAGAAATAAGATATATAAATGAAATAGCTAAAATATATGTGGTAATTCCCTATCACATATAAACTGAGTTTTTGGTGCAAAATAAAATAAAGCAAACTAAAAATATGGAAGTTGGGTTTATTCAGGCACATAGAGATAGAATCATATTTACACAGATTTCACTGGAAAGAGTCAATTTGGAAAACTCACATCCTCCCATCTTTTTTTTTTTTTCTGTTCCCACAGTTGTTTTAGGCCATTATGTACTAAATATCTGGATGTTTCCCAACACTCCCCACTCATTTGGCCCAAGAATAGACATAGCCTAAAGTTGCTATTGGTCTCTTTTGAATACACTAATAGCTTAATTGTGTTTTAAAATGACTGCTAATGTCCAAAGCTTCCATAAGCGAGTTTTTAAAACCTAGAAAATAAATACAGGTCTACATTGTTGCAGGGAGAGATTCTCCTTCATAACACTGCTGGGTCAGTGGGCTGCTAAGAAGTCTAATCATTTATTGTTTGTAAAGAACTTTAAAAAACATTACAGACCAAAAGAAACAAATAATAACACCTATTTTAAAAAACATTCATTACTTTTGAATATCATGCCAAATATATAATTTGGTATGCTTTTATATTAAAAATATTGAGAAAGTAATTTAAATTGACATTTGGTAAACTGCTGACATCTTGCCTTTCATTTTGTACAACATAGATCTTTTACACATTATGCAGATTTTAAATAAGAACCTCATACTAACCTTGTAAAAAAGGCAAAATTAGTAATGTTAATTTATTGATTAGTGAAGAAATGAAGTTCAGAATAAGAGAATGAGTTCTATAAAGGAAGCAGCTACAAAGTTGGATGTCTTAGTGCTCTTCCTACCACAAAACAAAAAGTTACAACTCATTTGGAAAACTTTGTATTGTATCAATTCTTTACAAGTATCAACTTGAACACCATCAAGAATTATCTAGAATAAGGGATTCAATCTCCAGCTAATGTACCAAGTTAGTGAGAACCATGCCTTTTGGGTAACAAATAAATAAGCACAAAACTAATTATTTATATAACTTTGGTGGAACTCTGTTTTATTGGCTGTTAAGTGGTAGAAATCTAACACAAACTAACTTAGGCAGAAAGATAATTGACTTGCTACCATATCTAATTATTCCAAAGGATGGGACTGGTTTTGGTCTTGGTCGAGTTCATGGATTCACAGCGTGCCATTAGGACCCTCTGATCTTCTCGTGGTTCAGGCTTTGTATCTGGCTTTATTTTCAGGCTGGCTGTCTCTGTATAACAGCTAAGATAACTATTGACGAATCTAAGGCTTTCATTATCTTCTCAGCTTGCCATTCCAGAAGAAAGTAGCACATATTTGGAAGACTCAGAGGGGCCCAGTTTGGATCATGCGATTGCCCATGAGCCAATCAATGTGGCTAGGGAGATAGAGTGCTCTAATTGGACAGGTTTGGGATATGTGATGATTCCAGGAGCAAGGTTTAGTGGGGTTATCCCCACATGGTCTTAATGAGATTACTAAAGATTGCAGCAACCAAAGCTGCTCTACTTTTATCTTTTCAATTTGTTGAAACTCTTTAGATATTTTTGAAGAAAGGGTTCTATAGCCTCAAAAAATCATAAACGACTGCTGTAGTGTAGAATGTTGATTAAAGCCAAGGAAAATGGCCGGGCGCGGTGACTCACGCCTCTAATCCCAGCACTTTGGGAGGCCGAGGCAGTCGGATCATGAGGTCAGGAGATCGAGACCATCCTGGCTAACACGGTGAAACCCCATCTCTACTAAAAAAATACAAAAACTATCCGGGCGTGGTGGTGGGTGCCTGTAGTCCCAGCTACTGGGGAGGCTGAGGCAGGAGAATGGCGTGAACCTGGGAGGCGGAGCTTGCAGGGAGATTCCGTCTCAAAAAAACAAATAAAAAAGTAAAAAATAAAGCTAAGGAAAATGTAATCCTTCTGGTGACTGGATTATATTGGAGATTAGGATATGGAGTTGAACGACCTGGGCTTGATTTCTGGCTTTTCCACATAGTAACCATGTGCCTTTGTGCAGAAAACCTGAGCCTCAGTTTCTCCATTGGTTAAATGGCTTAAACATAAAGCCTATTATGTTTTAAACAACATGTGTAAAAGTGTTTTATAAAGGTTAGTTGTTGCTGCTCCAGTTGTTATTTATTTTATTTTTTTAATTTGCATATAAGTCCAGGTCCTGACAGAAAATAGATGGTACACTCAAAAGAAAAAACACCCTGAGACTAGCAACCATGAGAAACCACTATGGACTCCATGCCTGAAGAGGAAAAAGAAAGGAAGAGTTGCCAGAATTATATGAGAACTAGAAGTCTAGGAAGGGCTACAAGACAGAATCTGTAGCTTTATGGAGAGAAACATAGGCACTGGCAAACCACAACTGTGAAAAGGGATGAAGTGATGAAGACCTCTGCCTTTCCTTACCCTTTCCCTTGCGTCTCCTGCTGATGCTTTCCATTGCCCAAATACATCTGGAGTCTAGAGCTCAAGGACCCTGGTGGTGATGCACTCCTTCCTTATGGAGCTGCCTCCTGGGTCATAGAGCTCAGTAGGGAAGATGGAGAGAGGGCTGGAGGGAGAAATAAAGAACATTATGGGCTGAACGCGGTGGCTCCCAGCACTTTAAGAGGCAGGTGTGTGGATCACTTGAGGTCGGAAGTTCAAGAGCTGCCTGACCAACTTGATGAAACCCTGTCTCTACCAAAAATACAGAAAGTTAGTGAGGCATGGTGGCCGTGCCTGTAATCCCAGTTGCTTCGGAGGCTGAGACATGAGAATCGCTTGAACCCAGTAGGCGGAGGTTGCAGTGAGCTGAGATGGTGCCACTGCACTCCAGCCTGGGCGACCTTTCACCTTAATTAGTTTTATCTTATTTAAGAACATCAAGTGTTTCACTATTTCATTTTGTTTAGTTTTTAGCTTATTAAAATTTAATGATTGTTAAAACATTTAAATGTGGGCTTCATAAAAAATGTTGCTTGCGTTAATATTTTGTTTTATGATCTGTACACGTGGACTTACAGAGTACCCTAAACATCCTTCAGTGTCATATGAAATTCTGCCTTAGATTGCAAGGCCATCTCTTCATTTTGCTTGTGAAAACAATACACAGAAGCTATGTAATTTTTCTATAGCAGTATTTTCAGTTGTACTTTAAATTAAGTATTTCAAATAAGGATTTAATTTAGGTTTAATGAGGGAGTTATTATATGTTAATTAAATATAAACTGATTATTATGAATATCTATTGGGGCATAACAACCTTTTTTATTAAGATGAATATCTCTTAAACAGTTGAAGCTTAGTAAATATGTTACAAATAATTAGCTTTAAACTAACATTCAATAGAAAGAATACATTTAAATGTATTACCTTGAATATAATATGGTTATTACCTATTAAATATCAATAGATTATTGGGACTATGGTTATCGAGTTTCAACTCATACATCCTAATAAACTTCTAGTTGCACCTAAATAAACCACCGTAAGTCAGCTAGTATTTAATTAGCAGAAATATTTATAGCATCACATTTATATTAGCATATTTATAATGAAATAAATAGCATAATAACTATTTTATTAAATCTAAATTAAATCCTTGCCAGAGGCATTTAAAGAGCAATGAAACTACATTGGCTACGTGGTCTTTAATATTTAACTCATTACATGATTTTTAAACTTTACTAATATGTTAAACAATAAATTAATATACTATATATATTCTAGGGATATTGCACATAATATATTTAGGACTTAAAATATTTAGGTTAAACTGGACAAGAAAATCCTTGAGTTCTTTTATTTTGTGCCTAGAACTAGGCACGAATGTGGAACATGAGTAAAATATGTCATTATAATTGGCTATGTTTATTGTTGCTAAAGAGATTTAACCAACATAAGTGGCGGACAGGGTTGACACTGCGGCATGTGAGGTGGCCACAAAACCTTCTGTAAGCAGGAGTTTGAATGCCAAATTGCACCCATAAGAAGAGAAGCCCTAAGGAGGCCCTGTATATAGTTAGTTATATGTTTATAAAAATAGCCTTGCTTATCACTCCACAGATGAATCAGCAGTTGTCTTGCACAGTTAAAAATGGAGCATAATTTCCTTTCAAGAGTGAGGACTAAAATCCAAACTAATTTTATTTCAATATTGAAATGTCATAATTAAGTTTCTTTTCACACAAAGCAGCCGAGAATGCAAAGAAAGCATATGAGTCGAGATCCATCTCTTCTGAGGAGCCTAGTTAACTGTTCCCTCATCCTTGCTCCAGGTAGAGAGCTTATTTCAGTAAATCTGTTCATTTCATGTTCTACTGGGGGGAGAAAAACAAAACAAAACAAAAAAACCACATTTTACTCTGCAGACATTAATTTCTAGGAAATAATTCCTAGGAATTAATACTGTGAGGAAGCTGACAATGTGACACTAACTTGTGTATACATGTTTACATTGGCCAAGGAAATCAAGGAAAGGCTACTGCTAATAAGTGGGCCCAGAACGTAAGTGAAGAATTCCACAATCTCCTTAGTGCTAGTGAAATTCCCAGCTTCTTTTCCATAGATTGTTGTCAAGTGAAGGAGACATGGATGTTGACAATGGTAATGGTGGTTTACATTTATGGAGTGCTAGGCAGACTTGCTGTGTGCAAGGCAATGCTCTCATTGTCTCTATGTGGATTATTTTATTTAATGCTTGGATCTCCTTTGATATGATACTGAGGATATCTCTTAATTTCTCTCAGTGATCAGTGATAGAAATCAGTGGACATCAGGTGATTCTTTGCAAATCACTATGACTTTCCCAACTTTATCCAAGTTATTTTACATGGACAAAATGCAGAGAGGATGCACTAGGGCAAGTCTTGTACTAAAAATTTGCTGTTTTGATTGCTACTCTCACTTCTGTGGCTAACTAGCTGCGATTTCACCAGGTTCTTCATATATGAAATAAGAGGTTTAGACTTGAGGATCTCAAATCCCTTCTGGCACTAGGCTTTCATACTTGAGGAAATTAAGAATTTAGGGAATCACATATATTGCAAGAATTTGGAATATAAAATATGTTTATTTTAATGTTAGTCTAACAATACATTATTATTTTGATGGGAGCTGGTTATATTAGTCTTAATATTAAAACTTAATCTTTATGCATGTCTTGAAAGGAGAAATAAAGATGATAATTATTGAATCTGTACATCGACTGTCTCAGAGGGGTTTAATTACTTTCCATTCCATGAATACCAAAAGGAAAAACTTATAAAAAAAGTAGGCTATGTATTTTGAAGGAGGCTTAAATGTAGCAATTCTTCTACTCTATTTTTATATCATATTTCTTTCTAAGATATACTGATAGAATCTTTCAAAATTTAGCTCCTGTAGAAACAGAAGTTTTAATTGTTTGATTCAGCATTTTAGATAGTAAGATTTTCACTTAATTTTGCCCCTGATAATGATTTGCTAAACCTGGTTCTTTAAAAAGACAGGGAACCAATGGTGCTTTTCTAGGTAGTTAAACTACCTGGATCAAATTTTCTAATGTCAGGATTGGCTTCCTTAGATAGAAAGAAGGCAAAAGATGACAGTGAATATAAAGCCCTGAGATCCTCACTACCCAGAAGCTGGAAGTTTCCATTCCAGACTATAGGGCTAAGGAGATCAGTAGAGAAAGAGAGAGCTTAGTTGGGGTCTAATTGTGAAAAAGAGAATTCAGACTGGAATCAAAGTTTCTACTTTGAAATTTGATTTTTGTATTTGTATTTCTTTCCATATCTCTGTTGGATAACATCTTTAAGGGACTCTTTGAGTATTGCTGTATTTTGCATTCTGATTTCATCTAGTGGTATACAAATAATACCATCAATTTTGATATCTTATTTAGAAGTCAGATTAGGCAGCCACACATACATTAATAACACTAGTGCAGGGGCAGGTGCGGCGGCTCACGCCTGTAATCCCAGCACTTTGGGAGGCCGAGGTGGGCAGATCATGAGGTCAAGAGATTGAGACTATCCCGGCCAACATGGTGAAACCCCATCTCTACGAAAAATACAAAAATTAGCTGGGCATGGTGGCACGTGCCTGTAGTCACAGCTACTCAGGAGGCTGAGGCAGGAGAATTGCTTGAACCCAGGAGGTGGAGGTTGCAGTGAGCGGAGACTGTGCCACTGCACTCCAGCCTGGCGACACAGCAAGACTCCAACTCAAAAGAAAAAGAAAAAGTACTAGTGCTTCTCTTTGGCTGCTCCTTTTTCTAGTACAAATTAGATATGCTTTTCCAACATTACAAATCATGGATGAGATTGATTTTGCCATTTATATCCAATTTTAGGGCATGGTACTTTTTTTAAGTTTAGATGAGTTTTGCCAGAACCATTGAACAAAGAAATCTAAGGTATAATAATCAATTTTAAAATATATGATATGTGAATATAATGTTTCTACAGCTACCATTTTAGTTGTAAAAAACATCTAAAATTAACCTGCTGCTTTTAAGAAAATAAATTGCATGGCTTGGATCTCTTTGTAACTATTGTGGTTTAAATGTACATGCAATTTTTACATATGTTATTTTTCAAGGTGCACATCTGTTTTTGTTGATTGCATGGAATCTGCTGAAATATTCTTGAAAGTACAACTAGAAATAGGTGTAAAAACCACCTTTCCATTGAAATCCCAAAGAAAATAGGACATTGCATTTTTTTAGAGGTCAGTCAACGACTACATATTCATTTCAAGTGCAAAGCTCTGCTTCATCACAACAACTCATATTGCCTGTATCCCAAATATGTGATATTAAATGACTTGATCAAACAGCTTGTCTGGCAAAAAGCAGATAAACCTCTCTCTAAGTGGTGAAGATGAACCTACTTTGAAAACACATTTAGAAATCAACTCACAAGATCAACGTTATTCCAATGTAGCTTGAGTATAGGAAACAGATAAAGAGAGACTTGAGGAAGAGAGACAAGAAAGCTCTTGGAATGATTGAGAAGAAAATTAAAACGCCCAAAGTAAAGTACAATCTTATGTTACGTGACTTTGCCTTTGTTACAAAGGCCTTTTCTTAAAACTATTGCATCTAGATTTCTTTATTTTTTCTAACATGTTATTTCTAGGATGTGTGTGTGTGTATATATATATTTTATCCATAGCTTTTATATTTCTCCTGAGGCTACCAATTATTCTACACTTCCTTTTCTTTTCTGAAGTGAGAACACACTTTGATTAACCTCTCTTAACCCATTTAGATCTTGTCTCTTCTCTGTGTTACTATATTTAATTCTTATTGTCTCTACCTGGATTACAGACACTTTCCTCCATTTGCTATAAGCCAGCCCTTCTATTTTACATCTATGAATCATTCACATGCAAGGTTGAGAAGAGATTTATAAGATCTTAATGCAGTAATTCAAAAGGCATATTTCTATCAGACATCTGATTTTCAAAAGAATAACAAATAAGTTCCCTCCTTTTAAAATAAAATGATAAATGTAGGTTTAATCATGATTTTAAGCTCTCTGTTTCGTTGTCACTTTCACAATTACTTTAAAATTAGTTCAGTGGTCATTTGAGTTTAGAGAGTGGATTTGGGTATCTTATGTTTACATCAATATTTGACTTTAATTATACAACTTGCCAAATGTATAGGATTTGTTTATTTTTCAGAGATAAATGGGATCAGCCCCAGACTCAATTTCTCTGTATCTTTTTTTTTCTAATACATTTCAGCTGGATCCACTGACCTGGAATGCCTGGACTGAAGCAGGTAGAATATAAAGAGTTCAATACCCTTAATGTGGGGCTTAGAATTTAGCTACTCATCCAGACAGACCCAGGGTACAGTGATCCCTACAAAGATGCCATGCTCTCCCAATTCTTTGTGCTACTTCCCTGCAAATGGTTATTTGCCAGTTTCTCATTTTCTCCATACTTACTGCCAGACTTAGCCAAAATCACCATCTCTCCACCTATTGTCACATTTTTTTCCATATATTTATCGTCCAGTTCATTATTTGAGTGTTTAGCTTTGAGATTGCTAGGACCCGGTCTGCCTTTGTTTTCCACTGTATCCTCAATGCCTAGAACAACGCTACCACTTCAGACTTCTAACTCCATCACTCTGCCTTTTCTAGACATTCATTCCTTAAATGCTGAGGCTGTATCTGGACAAACATATTTACTCTCCCTTCTTTCTGCAACATTCCTCATCCTCTTTCAATTCTTTTTTTATTTAATTAAAAAACTTTATTTTTAAAAATTTTAAAATAATTTCAAATTATATTTTAGATTCAGGGATACATATGCAGGTTTGTTACATGGATAAACTGCATGATGCTAAAGTTTGGGGTACCATTAATCCTGTCACCCAGGTAGTAAGGATAGTATATAATAATTATTTTTTCAACCCTTCTTCTCCCTTTTTCCTCCCACCTCAATTAGTTCCCAGTGTCTATGGTTGCAATCGTTATGTACATGAGGCAATGCAGTATTTGGTTTTTGTTCTTGCATTAATTCACTTAGGATAATGGCCTCCAGCTGCATCCATGTTGCTGCAAAGGGCATAGCTTCATTCTTTTTTATGACTGCATAGTGTTCCGTGGTATATATGTACCACATTTTCTTTACACAGTCCACCATTGATGGGACCCTAGGTTGATTCCATGTCTTTGCTATTGTGAATAGTAAGGAAATGAGCATCCAAGTGCATATATCTTTTTGGTATAATCATCTATTTTCCTGTGGGTATTCCCAGTAATGGAATTGCTGGGTCTAATGGTAGTTCTGTTTTAAGTTATTTGAGAAATCACCAAACTGCTTCCCACGGTGGCTGAACTAGTTTGCATTCCCACCAACAGTGTATAAGCATTCCATTTGCTCCTCAGCCTTGCCAGCATCTGTTGTTCTTTGACTTTCTAATTATAGCCATTCTGACTGGTGTGAGATAGTATCTCACTGTGGTTTTCATTTGCATTTCTCAGATAATTCCTAGCAAAATTAAGACAAAATATCTTGAATGATTTCCTTAAATATATTTTCCAGGTTGTTTGCTTTTTCTTCTTCTCTCTCAGAAATGCGAATAATTTATACATTTGGTTGCACTTTACATAATCCCATGTTTCTCGAAGACTTTGCTCATTTTTAAAATTCTTTAATCTTTATTTTTGTCTGACTGGGTTAGTTTGTAAAACTGGTCTTCAAGCTGTGAAATCTTTTCTTTTGTTTTTTTGGCTTGAGCTTGTCTATCGATAACATTTTCAATTGTATTTTGATATTCCTTAAGTGAGTTTATTTTAATTCCATAAACTATAAATTTTTTAATGATGGTTATCTCTTTCTTCATTTCTTGGATTGCTTTAGAAGTTTCTTTGTGTCAATTTTCAACCTTGTCTTGGATCTTGTTGAGCTTCCTTGCAGTCCGTTCTTTGAATTCTTTATCTGTCATTTCTGAGTTTCACTTTGGTTAGTGATCATTGTTAGAAAACTAATGTGAACCATTGGTAGTGTCACTACATTCAGATTTTTCATGGTACTATAATTCTTGTGCTGGTTTATTTTCATCTGAATAAACTGGCACTTCTAATTTTTATAATTATTTTCATGTGGGTGGGATTTTTTTCTTTCTTTTCTACATATATATATTTTATTTTCCTTTCCTTTCTGCCTTCCTAGGAATTGTGACTATAGAGGATGTTGAGTAGGGTCTTTTGACTTTGCCTTTATAGCCTTAGGCACCTCTGTTGGCAGGTTTTATATTATGCTGTGCAATTCAACCCACAAGGCAGTAGATGGAAGTTATGGGAAAGAGCTGGCTGTGGCCCAGACAGCTGGGTATATACTGGATTCTTGTTTACTGGGAGAAGCTCTCTGTTGCCTCAGGCAATAGGCTGATCTATAAAGTGCACAGTGGTCTCAGCTCCCTTCTCAGCCCTGGTAAAGTTGTGGGAGAAGATGGGCCAGGATGAACCAAGCAGGCTTATCTACCTGTTCCCTGATGGCAGACCTATTGATCTTCTTCCTCAAACATCAGCGTTGAGGAAGAATCAAGTGGGTGGCCACCAAGCATGCAGAGGTGTGCCAAGGCATGGAGCTGGGAAACCTCCTTGGCCCCAAGTTCTCTGCACAGGGGGAGGGTGAAGAGAGTGGGTGCTCCAGATGTCTGGAGATCTGTCTGAGCATGAAATAGGGAGGAACCCACTTCATCACAATCTGCACTAGAAGGATATAGTGGCTTAGGCTGCTAATCCACATGCGAAGGTGTCCAACTCTCTAGAGATATACCTAAGTGTGGGGCAGCCAGGACCTCGCTTCACCGCAGTCTCTGTACAGGAAGAGTGGGCAGGCCCAGGCTGCTGATTTAGGTGAGCAAATGCTTCAAATGCCTGAAAATCTGCCTGGGCTGGAGCAGAGAGGGGCCTCATATACTCAGATCTCTGCACAGTAAGGGTGGAGCAACTCAGGCTGCTGTTCTATGTGAGCAGGTGCTTTGAATGCCTGGAGATCTGATCTGCCTTGGTGCAGAACAGAGGTGGTCCCCCTGTACCATGATTTATGCCCAGGAAGGGTGGGGTGGGTCAGTCTGCTGGCAGGTGAGTGAGTGCTCTGAGTGCCTGGAGATCTGCCTGGATGGATCAGGCAATGGGTTGCCTGGGGATCTGCCTGGGGCCCCACCTGCACCAAGATCTCTGCACAGAAAGGGTCACGCTGCTCAGGATGTCAGTCTATGCCTCTGGGTGCTCTGAATGCCTGGAGATTAATGCCTGGAGTTCTGCCTGGGGCCGGAGCAGAGGGTGCACTACTGTACCATGATCTCAGGAGAGCACCCGTAGACTCATTCCAGGTCACCAAGCTGTCCCTGACTGCAAGCCTTGTCACCCAGGAGAAATCACAGCTGTAGCAGCTCTCCTCCCACCTCAGGCCTGTGAAAAAGGGAGAGTACAATTCCATCACCTACTACTGTGGCATTTACCACCACTCTGGCTGTGGAGCCCCCTGCTCCACTCCAGAGCAAATGCTCCAGCCTCCGGCCCTAGACCTTCCTGTGGCCTGCATGGCCACAGTACCAGGTCACCAAAGAATGACTGACTTTGTAGGTGCTTGGATTAAATATGGCATCCTGTTTTCGTCCTAGGTCTGAGAAAATGCCTGCAACTTATCCCAGTGTCTTTCTCTTTCAGTGACCTCAAGCCTCTTCCCAAGTTAGCTCCCTAACTTAGAGAAGCAAAGTGTTTTATCTTTGCTTGGGATGCTAGGGTCCCTACTGGAAAGGTGAGTCACAAAAGGAGGCTCCCCTTTTTCCTCGTGTACTGGGGCTTTGCTCCTATCAGCTAGCCACCATCATGAGGGCTGTTTGCTCGTATTTTCCTGCCTGGGATCTGGGGTGTCCTTCACAATTCTGGAGGATTCCAATTTTCCATCTTGAATTAAAGCGAACAGAGCTGATCTTTATGAACTGTCTTGCTATTTCCAAGTGGCTGAGGCACACTGAAAGCCTCTAATCCACCATCTGGGAAGGAAACAAACAAACAAAAAAACCAACTTAAACGTTTGTCAACTTTTACTCATCTTTCAGGTTTTAGCTTGGAGCTAACTTTCATCATCTCATGACTGAGTTAGACATTCTTTCAATGTTTACCCATAGCAACCCTACGCTTCTGTATTGCAATGTTTAGTGTATTTCTCTTTTTCACACTTCAGTGTAAGTTTCTGGAGGGCAGAAACCATGTCAGGTCCACTGGTGTGTCCCCAGGCCCTAGTAGATGCTCAGTAAATATCTGTGGAGGGTGGAATAAATGTTCTCAGATTTACCTTCATCCTATACATCACATTGGACCAGTGCATTGAGCCAAGTTTTTGCCTTAATCCTCTTTCCTAGGTTTGGACTATTCTGCCTTGTTCTTAACAGTATTCTTTTTGGGGACCTCGTGTCATACCCAGAAGAATAATTAGGCACCTGCTCCCTGAGGGTAGATCTTTAGGATAAGAAAAAATATGTCTGCGTGACCTTTGTGCTCTATCCACGTAATCGGAGATCCCTGTGCCGAAGTTTTCTTGTAATTGCACGTAAGGCTTATATGATTCTTATTCTAACTAAGCAAAATTTGTGGCTGTAACTCAACCATCCTGGAAGCTTGCTCAAGTACTAGATAACAACATTTAACAGAAAGGAATCTTTACAGGTGATATGACTCAATAGCTCTCAAACATGGTTGTGCAGTCGAATCAGCTGGGGAATGTTTGAAACGTACAAATTCTGGTTCTTCCACAGACCCACAGAATAAAAATTTTCCAAGGGTAGGGCCGAGGAATTTTGAGTTTTAAAAATATTCCCTGGTGATTTTTATATACAGCCAGTTTAGAAACCACGGTTTTTTTTTTTAATTTTCATATTCTGTTTCAAGGATCAGTACAATGAATCCTGAACTTGGAAAATATATTTCTTCATAAAGTAGGGAAAAGAGATAGTTTAAAACAGTATCAAATAACTGCCTAATTTTTCTTCAGAAAGTGAGATAAAAAGTATGTATCAGACAAAATTAATGATGATATTCTAGAAAATGAACCAAAATTCAAATAGCTAAGGTAAAAGGCTACTTTCATTTTTTTTTCTAAAGACAATTACCAAAGTTTCCAGTGCCTTCCCCATTTCACCTCGTTTGTTTATTATATCACTAACAATTATTTATTCAGGGCCTGTTACTGAGCAGACATTATTCTAGGTGTTAAGAATGTAAGAATGAGCAAAATTTGATCAAGTCTTGTACTTACACGGCTTAATTTTTAGTAAGAACAAAAGACCAATAAATCAATAAACATATAAATGATGAGTTTATCTTAAAATATTAAGTTCTATAAAGAAGAATAAGGCAAAATGAAAGCATAGAGTATTGCTGTTTTATCTAGGGTGATCAGAGAAGGCATCTCTAAGAAGGTGGCAGATGAGCAGAGGGACCCGAACAAAGTGCTTAAGAGAGAGTTGCAGGCCACTTAGAGAAAAGTAAGCTCTAAAGGACTGAGGCAGCAGTGCATGCTTTTATGAGAGAGCAACAATTTGGTCAGTCATTTACCCCTTCTGAACCTCAATTTTCTTATTTGTCAAACGGAATGATAATTCTGCTTTGCCTAGTTTTAAGAGGAAGGCTGTGTATTGAATTAAGCAATCAATGTACATAAATATTCTTAGTAAAAGCAAAAGCACCATGCAAAGGGAATCTGTCAAGTATTAATATGCTAATGCCGATCAATGTCGCTTTCACCCAGAATAAAAAGCACAATTTTAGATACACCAGAGCTGAAAGGAACCTCAGGAAACCTACTTACCTGCTCTAGGCTTTGAAGTTGAAGCGACGTTATTAACCTACTTTTCAGGTCATAAAATTTCATCCCAGAAAAATTAAGTGACTTGCCCAAGGTGACATGGCTAGTTAGGACTGGAAGGGATCTGGTAACTTGGTTTTCTGCTTTGTGAGGTAGGGTGCTTTATACTAGAGACTTTTTTGGGGTACCATCTTATTCAGTCATTTTGGCTCTCAAAGTCCCTCTAATGTGTTTAAACATCAAGCACTGGTGAAGAAAATGCAATCCAGTCTCTCCGCAGGCACTGTCCAGGCTCAGAAGTGGGGACAGAGAGCCTTCCGGTCCCATTGCTAAGATCATAAATATCTCTCTTGCTGAATTAGCCTGGGGGCTGCAATCCTTGACTCCAGAAAATGACTTCTGCAGCTGGGCCTTCCATCACTGTTAAGTGATATACATCATCATCTGTTATGGATTGGCCAACGTAAAAAAGCTCCTGTGTGCACAAATATTGAGTCATTTTACTGAGAAATGGGACTTGAGAAATTGCCCAATGTCATCCTTACTGTAGCCCCTCCCCAAGAAATGGATACACATGACTTGGTCTGAGAATGCTATGGTTTAGAAAAACTCCATTGGCCTGGAACTAAGAGAGCTGACTTCATGATTTTGGGGTGATTAAATCTGTCAGCGAATTCCTTGCAGGAAAAAGTCCTAGAGGGCAGATACCATATTGGTTTATCCTGCATAGAGCCCTGGTGAGCAAATTACATAGAAAGGATAGCATAATAATGCAATCTGTTTGTGGAAGAACTGGTCAATTTGGAAAGCTGCCTTAACTCATGCTTAACTCAACACTTGTGGACCTTTGAGTAAATTATTGCCTCACTGGGAGCAGCTGGCTCATTAGGCTGCCACATATACAGCAACGATGGCTTTATATTTCCATTCCTAGGAATGTTTGATAGATATTAATGGACTCTATTAAAGACTAGAGGCAGGAAGGATGTCTATTAGAAAGATAGCCCTCCATTTTATTTTACTGGCTGTGCTTTCAATCTCTCAACTCTCAGGGGGAAAAGACATATTCACTGAATGCCTACTATGTGTCAGTTGCTTTGCATAGGATTTTACTCATCGACTCTTACTGACAATCTCCATTTTCTAAATTAGGGTACTAGTGCTGTCTGTATTAATCAGGATTCTTCAGATAAACAGAAACAACAGGAGGTCGATATCTATATCTATATCTATATCATCTATCTATATTGGTATCTAGCTATTATAAGGAATTGGCTCTTGTGAGTATGGAGCTTAACAAGTTCCAAGATGTGCAGTGCAGAGAACCAAGAGAGCCCATGGTGTAGCTCTAGTCTGAGTCTGAAAGCTGGAGTATCAGGAGAGTCAATAGCTTAAGTTCCAGTTTAAAGGTGGGCAGGCTGGAGACCCAAGAAGAGTCCATGTTTTAGTCTGAGCCTGAAGGCTGGAAAACACCAATGTCTCAGCTCAGCTGCCAGGCGGAAGGAGTGTTCCCTCCTACTCAGCCTTTTTTTTCTCTCTTATTCAGGTTTTCAATTGATTGCAGTGAGGCCCACCCATATTAGGGAGGGCAATCTGCTGTACTCAGTCTACTGATTCAGATGTTAATCTCATCCAGAAACACCCTGACAGACACACCCAGAATAATGTTTGACTAAATGTCTAGGCATCTCATAGCCTAGTAAAATTGACACATAAAATTAACCATTACAGACTCAGAGAAAAAAGGAACTTGCTCAATGTCACACAGATCTGGGTGAACATATTTCTGTGCCTCAAAGCTTGAATCTTTTCCTTGTACCTCACTGCCCCTAACTCCTTCCTAACTTGTCTCTCTGTGTGGAACAGTATGTTTTAATAATGTGACTTGTTTTCTAACTACTTCAGGAGCTACCCCTACAAGTTTATCTTACTTTTCTCCAACATTAAAATTCCAACTCATTTAAACTCATGTCATTTTCAATGATGTATTTATGATCGATTGTATATATGTGACTATAACTTATATTGTATCAACATCCTACAGCAACTCCTATCCTGCTTCTGTACCTGTCCTCTACTCATTACTCGAATGTTTTTAATTTCCTACCAAATGCTGGAAATTGTGCTGAATACTAATAACATAGAAGTAATACAAATACTAGTCATAGTTATTATGTATTGGGTATTACTGTGTGCCAGACATGTTTTAACTATTTATACATATTAGTTCATGATGGTCCTTACAGAGCTACCATTCTGCCCTTTGTTCCAGGAGACTAACCAGCATGGGCTACATCAAAAAGGCTGCCATCTACTTTCTGCTGGGTAGGGGCACCAGAGAGACTTGTCAGAAACTAGAAGGAAGGTAGAGTGCGAAATCTGAGTGTTAATTCCCTGGCTTCATCAAAGGACACTGGTCTTCACAAGGAAACAGACTACATGATTCTCCTTTTGGGCTTCAGTAAAAACCCCCTCCTTTCATCCCTTAGTCTAGGGATGGTAAGAGGTCAGCAGCTAAGAATTCTAGGTTCTTTGTGGTTTTCCCGTATACATGTCTTTGATGATAGCCCCTTTGGAAATAAATTCTCCTAGACTTTTTTTTAGGGTGATTGGGTCATTGTTTTTTCTCCTGGAACCCTGAGTCCTCAAATCAACCCTATCTGAAATGTGCCATTATTGCTACATTTTATAATAGAGGAAGACAGATGGCTTATATAATTTGATGAAGATCACATGTTTTGTAAGAAGAGCTGGGATTGGAACTGTAGCAGTCTAGCTTTTCAGATCATGCTCTTAATCACCACAATAAGTATCAATAAGTGTCAATAATCACTATAATAAGTGGCATTGTAGCATAATGACACTCTACTTAGAGCAATAGCTTAGTTCAAGTCATCTTTTCCTATGAAACTTTCCATTTATTTGACTATTACTGTTTCATAGAACCTACCCCTCAAGTTTATTGAGGGTCATACTTAAATTTTCTATGCTTATGCTCTTTTTTAATACTCACAGAAAGAGTGTACCTATCTAGGGGGCAGAGACTACAGGTTCAGTTTTTTAACCCACGGCAAGTAGTCCTATCCTGAGAACATGGTACAAATTTAATAAATGTTTGCTGATTTATTTAAAAGTTTACTTGCACTTTGTAAGTAGCTCAACAAGGAGTATCTTCTTGAATGTGTCAGGAATATGGAAAGAATTAGGCTGCCATAGAGTGGAAAATCTTGGGTCTGGCAGCAACTCCAACTATTCTTTCTTCTTAGCTGTGTGACCTTGGATGAGTCACTTAACTTCTGTGTATCAACATTATCTCCATGAGAGTAGTTACCATGTTTGTGCCCCATGTATCTTGTGTGAACCTTGGAATCTATTAGACATTTGAAAAATATGTGTTAAATAGATAAATGAATGTGTATTTCAAAAATAAACTTTACTTTTAGAAGAGTTTTAGGTGTACAGAAGATAGTACAAAACATTCTCGTATATCCTATACCCAGTTTTCCCTGTTATTAACATCTTGCATTAACATGGTACATTTGTTACAATTAATGAATCAATATGTTATTGGTTTATTATTTTGTTAAATCATACTTCATTTCAATTTTCTTAGCTTTTACCTAATGTCCTTTTTCTGTTCTACATTCCTATCCAGGATACCACATTACTTCAGTTGTCATGTCTCGGGCTTTCTTGGCTCTTGGTGGTCTTGATAGTTTTATGTATTCTGGTCAGGGTTTTGTGGGCTGCCCCTCTTTTGGGATTTGTCTGTTGTTTTGTCATTATTATACTAGGGTTGTAGATTTCTTGGAGGGAGAAAACAGAGGTGAAGTTCTGTTAGATGTGAGTTCTAAATTTTCTCTTCAAAGAATCAATATGTTAGTGTGTTCAATTCTTTGCCTTCTACTTTTAAACTTAACTTCCTCATAGAACAACCTTTTTCAGTTACCTACTCCACCCTGACTCATTCCGATTACCTGCTCTATCGTAACCATTTTTCCCGCCAAACCACTCACCCCATCACTCTCTTTAAATTAGCCAGTCGGAATTAGTTTAACCTGTGTGGTCTAACCCTAGCCAATAGGGGAATGACACAGCAGCAGGGGCCACCTGCATCAGGGATAAGAACCCCTTCTCCTCCCTTGTCCAAGTGTGCGCTCACCATTGCTTCATCTGTGAGGGCGCACCCTTCTATAGAAGTAAATTGTCTTGCTGAGGATTAAAAAGAAAATTTTATATTCAAGTGCTATTTCTTTTGTGGCACCAAAACTTTATTTATAACAGTTCATTCTCATCACATTCTATCAGGGGTATATACTATCCTCCTAACTTAATGCTGTTGTCTCTCTGTTGCTGAGGTAATGCTTGTTAGATTCCTCCACTGTACAGTTTTCCCACTTTTCATACTGTGGAATAAGGTCACTATGTTTAGCCGACACTTAAGGAGTGGTGAGTTATGCCTCACCTTCCTGAGGGTGAAGTATTTACATCAATTATTTGGAATTCTCCTGCATGGGAGGTCTATCTCTTTTAACCCATTTACTTGATCATTTATTTTAACCAGTATGGACTCATAGATATTTATTTCATTCTATGGGGTATAATCCCATACTACTTTATTTTGTTGTTCAAATTGTTCCAGGTTTGACCATTGGAAGCTCTTTCAGTTGGCTCTTCTGTCACGTTAATATACCCCATCATTGTGTTTTCGTTTGCTCTGTGTGTGTGTGTGTGTGTGTTTGTGTTTTGTAAAGAACTTCTTTACTTTTCTTCCACTACAAGATGCTCCAGAGTCACGTGGTACATCTCCCATCCTAGCCTTGGAATCAGCCATTTCTTCAAGGAACGTTGGTTCCTTTTATTGGAGAATAGAATTAGAAATAAAGATCTGGATACAAGATACACTCAATAAGTTTGTCTTTAATGAGGGGAAAGGAAGAGGAAATGTTTCCCAAACAAGGACCTGTTGCTAATAAAAATAACAAAATGACTTGGGGTGCATCACAGGCACTGTCCATTTGGATAACATGTAAAAGGTGTTTATGTCTTTACAACTTTCTTCTAATTCTTCTGGTTCAAGGAGAAAACTTCAGTTTGATCCTGGTAATCTCAAGCTTCAGAATCCCATTTCTAACAGTGTGAAGAAACCTCAGGCTCCATGCCTCTGGCAAGCAAAAATATCGAGCTAGAATTTAGCAATATCATTTTGTTTCATTAGTAATATTGTTTTGTTTCAATGTATTCATTTGTATTATCACCAACAATTTATGGCAAATTCAACTAATTTTCCACTACAATAGCAATACATACTTTTTCCCTTAAAATATATTAAGTAAAAACTGTAAGTCAGTTTATAGGAAAAAGGTATTAGTGGTTGGTGCAACATACAGAAAGTGGCGAGTGAATGATTGAGTTTGGAAAACATTGGAGAGTCAGGCACAGTGGCTCACACCTATAATCCCAGCATTTTGGGTGGCTGAGGCTAGAGAATCACTTGGACCCAGGAGTTCAAGTTCAGCATTGGCAACACGAGGACACTCCTGTTTCTACAAAAAATTTAAAAATTAGCATGGGGTGGTGGCTTGTGCCTGTGGTCCCAGCTACTCAGGAGGCTGAGGTGGAAGGACCACTTGAGCCCAGGAGGTCAAGGCTGCAGTGAGCTGTGATTGTGCCACTGCACTCCAGCATGAGTGACAGAGTAAGACCCTGTCTCAAACAAACAAACAAACAAACAAACAACTGGAGAGAGTAATCTCAAAAATCTCTTGGATCTCTAGAATTTGATATTCTATGTCAACCAGCATCTATTATCTCACACCTGTGGCTGTGTACAATATTTGGGATAGAAAATATTTTGAAATCTGAAGATCAGAGAGAAAGACGTCCTTGTTGAGAGCACTAAAATCTTTACAGTTATTTTCTTGTAGCTATTCTCAGCTCCAAAACAGATCTAAGAGCCAGGCGTTGGCAGAGAGGTGAGAAATGCCGCGTAGTGCCTCAAGAGAGCTGTGGCGTTGGGATCACAGAACTACAAACCAAGGGGAAGGTTGATCCTAATAGCATCAATGGATAGCTTCAAAATATTCATAAAAATTAAAATATAAAGCAAATAATTGTGACAAGTGTATTTTCTAATTAAGATGAATGGGACATGGTTCTTATGCATTTTAATCTGTTAAATAAACAGCATATTAATAAGGCTTAATGATATCACCACATACTTAAAGTGACTTTCTAAAATAAAGTTTATTTTGATTTAACATATGCTTTTTTTTGTATGTTTTTCTAGCACTTTTACAAGCACCATACATAAATAACATCTTGAAATAAATCTCTTGGATGTGATCCCCATCTTGATAGAAAATTTTTCCTTTTAATTTATTGGATAATTCAGGATATGTAAAATAATTTTTTATTTTTGTGATATGAGTTCTTTCAGCCCTTCCATCTGAATATTGGAGAAATGACCTTCTTATCTTCGGTAGTGTTTCTTTGCAATTCTATTTGTTCTTACCCATTCCACATTTAGATGGTCAACATATACTTCTTATTCCATCTCAGAAACAGCTCCCTAGTCTGTCCCCACCTGCCCTTTACATCTATGGAGAATAGCTGCAGATTCTTTGACCCTTCCTCATCAAGAGTTTGGGTTAATTTCTTCTCCCTTTGCATTTAGGTTGGCTTGTGACCCCATTTTTCACCAACAGAATATAATGGACACTATTACCTTCAGAGGACTGATGATTTCTACCTTGATCTCTTGAAGCCCCGAGCATCAATAAGTCTGACCACTACTCACCCTGCTGGAGGAACCACATGGAGAGACTCTGAGACTATAGGGAGAGGGAGAGAAGCTCAGCTGAATCTAACCTTTAGGCCATTTCTGCTAAGAAATCTATCAAGTGAATGAAGCCACTCATTTACTCCAAACTAGCCCTGTGTGAACACCTGAGAATCATGAGCATAAGAAATTTTTAAGCCGCTGTTTCAGGGAATATGTATATAATAGATAACCAAGATAATGGATTTTTCAAAATAATGTTTGCCCTTCCCCATAAGAGATTTATAGCTCCCTACTCTCCTGAAGTCCGATTTTGCCACCACTTGATTTCTGGCATTCTTCCCTTTGGGGGGATTATACTTCCTTATCTCATTGACATCAGACTTGACCATATGATTCATTTTGGCCAATAAAATGTGAGCAGAAATGAAATGCCACCATGGCACAGAAGTTTTAGGAGCCATCATGTTGTTCTGTCCCCTACCTTTGCCCTCTACTGAGGGAATAAGAATGCCCCAAATGAGGGATATTCATTTGGCCTGGCTACTAGAATGTGGAAGGCAAGGAATGGAGGTGCAGCAGACTTACAGCTAACATGTAATGCAGGGAGAAATATTTCTTTGTTGAAAGCCACTGAGATTTTATTAGGGTCTTCTACAGAGCCACCAGGGTCATCATCCTAAAAAATAAATTCTGTTATTCACCTACATAAAAGACACCACATCCGTGTGGTTTCTTACTATTTTGTTCTATCTTACCTCTTCAGTCTCACCATGCATGTACCTCACAATTCAGCAGGGCTTGTCCTGATTCTTTACTTTTGGATGTGTGTGGTCCACTCTACTTGGCACATACTTTTCAGTTTCTCCACCTGCAAAGCTGATACTTTGAGACTCACTTTCTATGCCATTTACTTTGTGAAGCTTTTTCTATTTTTCCTGGACAAGATTAGTTCCTCCAATTTCAGTGTTTCCATAGCAATGATGATGAAGCAGCACAGGAGGAGGTTAGTGAAGAGGATGGTGGTAACACAGTCCTCTTTATGCACCAGGAATTGTCTTAAGTAGTTTGAATTTCAATTTATGTAATCCTTGTAATAACCCCCGAAGGCAATTCTAGCATTTCCATTTTATAACACAGCAGACAAGCACTGAAATGTTAGGTAATTCACTCAATATCAAACAGTTATTTATTACTGAAGCCAGAATTTGAACTCAGGTGGTCTAGCTTCTGAGTCAGTGCTCTTTATTGCCATACTTCACTGTATTTACAGCTCACATTTTTAAGGTGGCATTTATAAGCTGTAATAAAGTCGTCTGTTTTCTTGTTTACCCCGGTAGACCGTGAGTTTCTGCAGGGCAGTGACCATGTTAGTTGTGTTTATACTCTTGCATATAACCCAAAGTCAGGCATATAGACATTCAATAAATAACTTTCAATAACTA
This sequence comes from Homo sapiens, assembly GCF_000001405.40. Classification (NCBI taxonomy): domain Eukaryota; kingdom Metazoa; phylum Chordata; class Mammalia; order Primates; family Hominidae; genus Homo; species Homo sapiens. The sequence continues at coordinate 23,046,644 of NC_000004.12, forward strand.
AGTAAGGGTTTGAATTTAAATCCTGAAACTTTAAGTCCAGTTTTTTATTTTCTCTCTATCACATTAGTCACATTCATTTTATGTGGCTTTTCGTCTTACTATTATAAATGAGTTCTGGAAATGCATCGGCTCTATTAGTTGAAATAGTAGTGGAGACATTTATTGAAGAAGACTACTATTTCATTTCAATTATTTCCTTTAATGTTACAATAATTATGATTCAAAAAGGAATGCTAATTTCATGAGATCTTGTTGTGCATGTTAAAATGTAGTCTAATCTCATAGCATCTTCTTCAAGGTCTCACATTTCTTTTCTGGAATGTTCCCCACTCTTCTATCCCAAATTATGTTTTCTATTATAAATGATCTGTAATTTTTTGGTTCAAAGTTTTTACTAACTACATTGGTTGAAAGGCTCTTCTTTTTCATTAATATTCCCTTTCTATCACTGAGGGCTTACTGATCCTTCTCTTTCCTTAGTGACACATTTCTATGGAAGTACAAACTATCTTGATACCAATGCCACTCACGACCACTATAACTGTGATCATAATCATGATCATCATCCTTGTCCTCATTCAAATGTCAGGTGGGGTTGGTAACCTTGCCCATGTTATCTCAGATGATTAGGTTCAGACCTGAATCCAAAGTAAATTTAACACCTATCCTAAGATTTTCATGCTCTAAGTCATTTCACGTTCTCCTGTAGTTTTGAGGTCCTACTTTCTCTGAATTATTTCAGTTTAGAGAGTATCTTGTTTCTGGACTTCATTATCTTTTGGCTATAATGCATGGACCGAAACACAGAATTCAGCCATTTTCCACAATTTCTGCTGTGAAAACCTGCTCACATCAGGATTCCATATGTGAAGCAGGCTTTCTAACATACAGGTGTGAAGGACTTGTATTCAAGTCAAAGTGAGAAGTACAAATTTAGTTGAGGCTTCTGATGTTCATCATGCTGTTTGGCCATACTTCTTTCATTATTTTTCTCCCCTCCTCTGCTTGACCCTCCCCATAGGTGACATTTTTTGTTCAAGTCTGACTTAGCTAACAAAATTCTAACGACCTTTTTTTGTTGTCTTGGTTTCTCCAAACATATGCCTGCCTCACCCTCCTCCAACAGGCAGCCTCTCAGGGTATGTTTTTCTGACCACATATGTCTTTGCTTCTACCTAACAGACATTTATGTGCCATTATGCTTTTTGTTTTGGTTTCCATAATAACTGTTTTCTCCTATAGATGATATTTTATAGATCTTTAAAGTACTTTGACTTTTTTTTGATATTTTTCTCATAATAGACCTGTCAGATAGGAGAGGACCAGATACATTAAACTTGTTAACTAAATAACATAGTTGAAGCATGTAGTCCCATGTTTGAAACATGAAGTTTATATTAGATAAGGCTTAAATTCTATTCTGTGTGTGTGTGTGTGTGTGTGCGTGTATGAGTCTTAAAGTTGAAAGAGAACTCAGGGACCATTTAATATTAGAAAGATAAGATATTACAATTTCTGCTTTACAGATGCTTTACATGATGTCCAGAGAGTTTCAGTGATTTGCTAAAAGTGAGGAGAAATGGTGACATGTAGTCACAGAATCCACTCTCTTCTACTTCTTGGACAGTGTTCTTCCTCATTTCTCTAGGAAGTGTATGCTTTAGTGAAAATTTTTGAAAAGTGGGGAATAAGACAGTAGGGGAGCAGCTGGGCATGCATGTGGTTCTCAGATATAGGTCACTGGGGGAGAGGATGCATTGCAAAAGGTTTAGAAATAATACCAAGGAAATGAATTGTTCACTTAAGTGTAGATTCAGCATAGGGAGAGTCTGTGAGAATGAAGATTTGTAGAGATGTATTATTAATGTTTTTATTCAACTTGCTACTCCTTGCATCATTGCTAGCATCTTTGGATGGTTAAAGTTTCATCAGAGAGAAAATTATGCTCTCATATTAAGATATTAGACCTTATAAAGACACACAGCTACTTGTTTCACCAAGAGGTATAATCACCTCCAACAACATATATTTATACATTGATTTTTAAAAAATTTCTGTAAAGGACTAGGTCAACAAGTTTAGTTTATCAAAGGGAATTTCATTTCCTCATTGACTTTAAACAATGAAGCCCTTGAAACATTCAGTCAATACACATCTCAGGGAAGAACAAAGGCAGCATCTGAAAGGAGGATTAGTAAATTACCTGCCTTCAAAACTCAAATAAACTGCACAAAAGCAGTTCTGTAGTTTGGCTGGTAATTCAACAAAGAAAGTCAAATGAAGCCTATAGATCCTGGTTATGCAGAAATATTCAGCAAGCTGAAGGCTGTGATGAAAAGATGTTCAAATAAAGATCATTCCAATGAATATAATTAATAGAGGGCTGATATACATAATGAAAAATTTTAAAAAAACATTGTTTCTGAGTGGTTGACACACAATTGCAACATCACACAATTTGGGATTATAGAAAAATAATTGAATTCAATCTTTTATGGGATTGTACCAAAGTCAGGGTGGGGGGACCTTAAAATTAACTGAGCACCTACTATGCTATTAATGTATTGAGATATGTTATTATTTTTGTTTGTTTGGTTGGTTGGTTTTTGAGATGGAGTCTTGCTCTGTCGCCAGGCTGGAGTACAGTGGCACCATCTTGGCTCACTGCAACCTCCGCCTCTGGGTTCAAGCGATTCTCCTGCCTCAGCCTCCTGGGTAGCTGGGACTACAGGCGTGCAGTGCCATGCCTGGCTAATTTTTGTATTTTTAGTAGAGACGGGATTTTGCCACGTTGGCCAGGATGGTCTCAAACTCCTGACCTCAGGTCATCCGCCCGCGTTGGTCTCCCAAAGTGCTGAGAGTACAGGCATGAGCCACTGCACATGGCCATTATTATTTTTGATCCTTAGCTAACCTGAGAACAACAACAATAAGGAAATTTTGACTCATTGGCTAATGAGAAAGCTTCCTACAGGTCCACACTCTGCTTTTCTACATTTCTCTCCATTTTGTGCTGTATTAGCACAGTTAACAATTAGAAAACCCATAATTGAAAAAGTAGTGACAGTAGCAGGAATAGTAAGGAGAAGAGAAGAAAGCCAGTTATTTTCTTTCTCCTTTTCTTTCCCCTCTAGCATGATGGAGACTGTTAGAACAGTGATCTTCAGGGGATACAGCTTAAACAGAAATAACTATCTAAAGGGTAGAGCCAAACATCAGTTTATAAGACAAACACCTTTATGAGAATCATGCAAGGTTTTTTTTTTTGAGGTAAGGACTATTGAAAAAAAAAAAAGATTATGGGGAGAGTATGGAAATGTATTTGAAGCATAAAGTTAATTTTGGTATGGAAAGTGAATAGTGGGTAACTGTGTCCAGTTGACCTTTCTCTGGCTCAGTCACTGTGTTTTTCAGAAGGCAATAATAAAATCTTTCTTTACCACCTCTCTTAGGATAAGCAGGTTCTTGGATACTTGATGATACGTAAGTCACATTTCCCTTTTTGTATTATCATCATCTCTAGGAATAGAAAGTGATGAATTGCAGGGGTGGTCATGATCTTATTAAATATATTAAGATATTATTAGGTTATAAGCAATAGAATTGGGACAATTTATAATATGGCTTTGAAAGATTATACTTTAAGAATAATAAAAAAAGACATAGAGGTGCAAATTGAGCAAAGAAAGTAGTCAGCAGAAGGTTAGAAGGAAAAGCAAGATCAAAGACTAGGAACAGGTAGAGGATATTGATGTGTTGTAGAGTAGGTAAGCGGACCTGATACAGATTGGATCCCTTGAAAGGAAGGGATAAAATGAGAGTGGGGTTGGAGTAGAGAGGGTACCAATCTAGGTTCACAATGAGAGCATTGTTTCGGAATGGCAGGTAGACTGGCTGAATAAAAAAAGAGTCAATCCAATTACAATGAACAGGTAAAGGTGTAGTCCAGAACCCAGAGTCATGTTCCAAACCCAGATGGTAGCCACCTGCTTATCCCCTCCAAAACCATAGCAAGGTAATAATGTTGTTGACACAGTGGACACTTAAGTTTGTACTGGATTCAATAAAAAAGAATCACATTGCACTTTGTTTTTTTGAGACGGAGTCTTGCTTGGTCACCCAGGCTGGAATGCAGTGGTATGATTTTGTCTCACTGCAACCTCCGTCTTGTGGGTTCAAGCGATTCTCCTGGCTCAGCCTTCCGAGTAGCTGGGACTACAGGCGTGTGCCACCACACCCAGCTAATTTTTGTATTTTTAGTAGAGATGCGATTTCACCATGTTGCCCACGCTGGTCTTGAACTCCTGACCTCAGGCGATCCGCCCACCTCAGCCTCCCAAAGTGCTGGGATTACAGGTGTGAACCGCCGCACCCAGCCCACGTTGCATTTTTAAAAGACAAGAATCTATTAGTATTTGCTTTAACTTGGACTTATCCACTGTAGTTTCCTTCTTAATAAAATAACTTGCACCTCAGAGAAACTAATCCTACTCAACACTTCCTTCTCTGAATTGCTCTCAAAGGTGTAACGCAGACAGGAAACTCTTTTTATCTCCAAGAATCACTTTCACAAACTGAAATGTCTCTTGAATTGAACATTTCCAGCCAAAGCTTTGATTCTCATCGTCTGTTACCTGTCTTGTATTTCAATGACCACTAAATGGGTATCCCTGCTATGACGGCTCACTCCCACCTATTATCCATGTGGTCACCAAAGTATCTTCCTAAAACGTGTACTTGATAATGTCATTTTCCTGTTTAGAAACCATCACTGGTTTCTTTTCTTCTGAGTTGCTCCTTATTTGACCTTAATATTTTTCCAAACACTCTTCCTACCTTCCAGGATGCGCACCTGACCCTCCAGCCCTGATGAAGGCTTCACCAGTGCCCCAAAATGTTGTGTTCCACTATGACTGTGTCTTTGCACATGTGTGTATTTTCTGTCCCATTGACTCCTAAACTCTTAAGCATATTTCAAACTTTACGTCTCCAAAGAAGCCACTTCTATATATGGTAACATTTCCCCCTTGGTACACCCAGGTGATTTAAGACTAATATAAACTCTTGACACCTCTTTCTTTTGGAGACCCCACCTCATATTATATCAAACATATAAAAATGCATCTAAATCCCCCAATAAATGTATTTTCCTGTTGAGATTTTTGTGGAAATTTTTGTAATGGACTTTGAAATTCTTTGGCTGCATATAACTTAAAGTTGTTATGATTTCTCAGCAGTCATTGTGCATATTCAATAATTTTTGTAAACTAAGAGAATCTATCCTTCAAATTGTTTTCAAGTGTAATGAAATGTTTATGAGTGTTGAATTTGACAGTGAATGAAATTGACATAATATGTTTATAGACATCTAATTGAACCTTTGTAAATTTTGACTTAGCAGTTTTAATTTAATATTTTACAGCAGCAATTAGATTTCTTTTTGTCATGACTCAGGTATTTTCTTGGGCTTTCAAAAGGTTCGTTGGCCTCAGCCACTGTGTTTGTAATAATGAGAGAGCTTCCTGTCTCCCATATTGCTAGGTATTGTATAACATTATCTGCCTGTTCAACTAGATTGAGTTTCTCAACATCTTACCCAGTACCATTACCTGACACATAGAAGTGGTTGTATATATCTACATATATATGTAAATGAATATAGATGCCTTAGACATGGATATAGACATATAGACATAGATATAGACAGAGACATATATATCTTGTTTGAAAAAAATTCACTGAAGCTAGGCTGTTTAGTCTATTTGTGTCTACTGGAACTCAGAAGTTCCCGATTGTGAGTTCCAGATCTAGAGCCTAAAATGTTCATTTTTCATTTATGCAAGAAGTCTTCATTTGCTGCTTGTGCTGTATAGATAATTTGCACAATGTCAATTAAAACTTTTTTTGATCAGTGATTTGGCACTTTGTATCAGGCAGTGAATTCTATGGATTGGAATGAATTGTCTTTTCACATATTATTCACTCAAAGATTTTACGAGAAGGCATACATTGGTGTGTTATGCTTGGCGAATGATATATTCTTTCCATCTTATCGTCTTCATACTTTGAAAACATTTCCAAGAAATACTTTTCTAGGTACCATGTGAAACTGACACATGACATAAGCATTATCAAATTTATTTGCCTTATTGCAAAGCGATTCTGTGTCACCACAGTGTAAGCCTTTCAGCAACTAGTGAAGTATCAAAGCTTTTACCATTAAGTGGTTAGTTTACTAACCATTAGATTTTACCATTAGGTGGCTACTTTATATGGAGTTATATAAAAATTTGTCAAATATTCCCTGCTATTAATGAAATCTTAATGACAGAGCTCATACTTTGACATAATTTTTGGCAATGAAAAGTAATTGCAGGTTGTTTGGATAGATACTAATTGAGGTACTACTTTTTTCTCTATGATTTAAGTATAATGTTTACAGTTTTTATGTGGTTCACTTATATATATTTGTCTACTAACATGCAGTGGGCTTTGCAAACTTAAATTCATTTCAATTGAACCATGCTAAAAATATTTCTGAGGTTGTATACTAACCCTCTGAAAGGATCAGGTGAGAATTTGAGGGGAGTAGAGAATTCATCTTGGTATATAGAATAGGTTGTGGGCAGTTGTATGATAACTTCTGCTAATAATATTGAGAATTGAACATCTAAATATTTATAATCAGTACTAATATGATGTTCAGACTTGCCTAGAGTATATTACTTAAGAGTTAGCAAGCAGGGTCCCTTATTTTCCAGCACCTCAAGTTAGTCCATTATGGACAGGCTTTGGCATGTTACTGACTGTTTTTATTACATTTATCAGAACACTCATATCTATTAAGTGTAAAAAGCAAAGGTTAAATAACATTAAGATTATGACACAAATCAACAAAAGAAATTTGAGATGCAAGCCAGTGGCTTCTCTCCCTCTCTCTGTCTTTTTTTTTTTTTTTTTTCTCTTTGCTAGCATAGGCAGAAAGTGAATGAATGAGAAGGTAGCTAGAATTAAGGTAGAATTTCTACTTTCACTTGGTATTTCTGCTATGCATTATTGTTCTTTTCAAGGTGGAAATTAGATGTGTAAATTCCATCCTTCTGTATTAAAAATATTTGAGAGTCGAGGCTTTGGACAATTTCCTATAGACATTTGACTATACATGTGTAGACCCCTCAAGATCTATGAGCACAGGAGATGGGTCTGACTTAGGCACCACTGTATCCCCAGCACCTAGTACACAGTAGACACTCAATAAGTATTGGTGGATTTGTAAATAAGTCTATAAACATATTCTTAGCCACAACTTAACTACTAAAACATATATTTGGGCATGAAATGTACAGCATTAAGCATTAGATGTGGGAAATGCAGTGGCATACCTTATTCAGAGAATAATTATTTTTGCCCTTCTCTGGTTTACAATCTAGTGAGATAAGTAGTCAAAAATTAAACAAATAATCACACGTTAGGTAATTACAAATTATGAGCAGTGTGCTGCAGGAAATACATCAAAACCTTGAGAGATCATTCCAAGGGGTTTTTATTTTTATTGAGGAATCAAAAAAGAGGTCCCTGAGAAGGTGTCATTTAAGCTCAATTGTCCTTTGACAACTAGGAATTCACTCATTGAATGGTAGAGATAAGAACATTCCCAACATAGGGAAAAGCATGTGTAAATGTTCTGTGGCTGGAAAGAACATGGCATCTTCAAGGAATTGAAGGAAGGCAACGTATTCTGTGTAGACCAGAGATGGGGAGGGTGGCATGAATTGAAGAGGGAGGGGAGGGAAAATGCTTGGAATTTGAGTGTCATGCTAAAGCTTTGGGATTGGATTCTAAGATTTATGAGTAAATATTGAATGAATTTATGCACATACGTAGGAGTTATGTCACCTATTTTGGATTTAATAGGGAGCCTTGTAGCAGCTTTGTGAAGATGGAGTGGAGGGAGACTAGAGAGGAAATAAGATATCATTGAGGAAGCAATCACAGTACTCTAGGAAAGAGATGATGGTGGCTTGGACCAAGAGAGTGATCTTAGAGGTAGAGAGAAGTTGGCAGACTTGAGTCACAATTTGAAGATAGAACCAATACAACTTTCTGTTATTGGTAGAGAAATATTGGAGGAGAGGAAGGTATCAAGGACAACTGCTGGATTTATATGAACATCTGAGTGAAAATAAATGTTTTATTTAATAAGAGGTAAGAGGAATATATCTTGAGGAGACATCTAAAGTTTGAGATTATTGTGAGATTTTTTTTTTCTCAAGTGTATACATCATGCAGGAAATGGAGGTTAGAAAAAAGTCTAGATTGGAGATAAAAATTTGGGAAAAGCCAACATTGGAAACATGCGATTGGTATAATTCCTTAGGGAAAGACTGTGGCGTAAAAAGATAAGGAATCACAGAATTGTGTACTGACATAACTCAGGTTAACAGAGAAACAGGAAACTGGTTAAAAAAAAACAATTGCCAAAAATGTTTATGCCTTCATGGAATGGATGGAACTTAGGGACCCCAATTCAATGACTCTTAACCTGGGGCTCATGGTATCCTAGAGGATGTCCTCAAATAGGATTCAGGGAGTCTTCGCCATGTGACAGTCATATGAAAAGTTCTGTAGATTTGTACTTGGATCATTTCCTAATACTAATATTAACCCATGAAAACTCTCTAGGTGTCTGTTGCCTCGAGTTCCTTGACTTCTTCTATTTTTCCAAATCTTACTTAAATTTTTTCATCCTTCAGAATAGAGGAAGCTCTCAATTTATGTATTCCTGTCTAGAGAGATAATTTGCAAAACACGCTTCTGAATAAACAAATATATTCTTATGCAAGTGATGGACCGGTAATTTATTAGGAAAACCACCCAGGCTCCAGGGCTTCTGCTTTTTGGAAAATTAGTGAACTATACTACTCATGCAATTTTATAAACACCGTTTTTAAAAACTCCCAGAACTGTTTTTCCCTTACAGATTGAAGCATATCAAATGCTTAGAATATATGCTTTATATGCTGTGGAGAGACATATAAAGCTTTATGTGTCTCTATAAGCATATCACATTCTAAGTATGTGATATGTTTCTAACTACGTGACTTACATATACTTAGAATGTGATGGTGTGTGTGTGTGTGTGTGTTTATAAAAGGGATGGAGATATATGTATTTCCCCACCTATTTTTTTTGCAGAAACTTCTAAGTGCTGCTGTATTTCACCAAGCTCCAGTTGATATCCAAATTGGACAACTCCTGTGTGCCAGGACAATGTGCTAGGCTTGCTTTAAAATGATACATACAAATAAGATAAAGCAAAGAGACTTGGCTTTAACATTCAGTAAAACAATAATGTGTTTCTTAATAATAAACATTTGCACGTAAATGCGTCCCATTTTAAGAAAAAGATACTTTACCTATGCTGTTTGTAAGTTATGTTTCCTTATAAATTCTATTTTCTTAGCAACTCTCTCTAGTTTCAGAGATGTCTTTCTACTTCCCCTTTGTTTCTCGTGGTGAATAGCAATAAATCAGCTTCATGCTTATTGCCATGATGATAAATCTGCATGAGTATAAAAGGAATTGAGGACATGTACGTTATAGAATTGTACTGATATGTACTTTTTAAATTATTTATTTATTTATTTATTTTTTGAGGCAGAGTCTCACTCTGTCGCCCAGGCTGGAGTTCAGTGGCATGATTTTGGCTCACCGCAACCTCTACCTCCCGGGTTCAAGCAATTCTCCTCCCTCAGCCTTCCAAGTAGCTGGGATTACAGCATCCACCACCACGCCTAGCTAATTTTTGTATTTTTAGAAGAGAAAGGGTTTCACTATGTTGGCCAGGCTGGTCTTGAATACCTGACCTCAGGTGATCCACCCACCTTGGCCTCCCAAAGTGCTAGGATTACAGGCGTGAGCCACTGCGTCCAGCCCTGATATGTACTTTATATGAACATATTCATTCATTTAAAAATTATTATTGAATACCTACTAGTTGCTTATCATTTTATAAAGTATAGGACATAGAGCCTGCCGTCAGTGAACTTCTAATCATGTGGGAAATGCAGACAATAAACAAATGATGCAAAATTTATATTTAACTTATAAATATAAAAAAAGTATGTTTTAGTGTATATAATGTGTCAGTTTTTGAGTGTTAAATTTGACAGTGAATGAAATTGACATAGCATACTTATAGACATCTGATTGAACCTTTGTAAATTTTGACTTAGGAGTTTTGATTAAATATTTTACAGCAGCAATTAGATTTTTTTAAAATCACAACTCAGATATTTTCTTGGACTTTCAAAAAGTTCATTGGCCTCAGCCACTGTGTTTATAATAATGAGAGAGCTTCCTGTCTCATGTTGCTGGGTATCGTATGACATTATCTGCCTGTTCAATTTGACTGAGTTTCTCAACATTTTATATTATTATTATATTTATATATTGTATTTATATACCAAGAGCACCAGACCCGTGAGAGAGGCCATCCTAGATCAGCCAGGTCCAGCCCAGCTGTGCCAGACCAGGAGATCCATCCAACCAACCCATAGAATTATGAGAAATAGTAAATATTTTTCTTTTAAAGACCCTAAGTTTTGGTATAATTTGTTACATACTAAACTTTACAGCAGACTTTATTTCAGATATTGGATTTCTGTCCCTCTTAGCTTGCCTTAGCTTCCTAGATAGATGTCATATTTCATACCAAAGAACAGACAAATTACATCACTTGTGTATTATGTATTTATGATGATGACAAAAGGGAAAAAGAGTAAAATGTTTCCCTCACTTCATTCCTATATTTGCTCAAATGTTACTCTCTCCAATAACCCAACCTAAAAAATAATATACTTAGCCCACCATCACTGCCTCTTACCCTGTCATTTTCTTTTATGGTATATATCACTACCTACTATGATTATGATGTAAATTTCCATCATAACATACACACACACACACACCCACACACACACACACACACAAACACAAACTTATATACATACCATATGGTATGTGGTGCTTAATTTTTTGTGTCAACTTGGCTGTGCTATGGTGCTCAGTTGTCATTGTATTAAGCCATGACAACTTTGGAGCTCTTTCTTACTGCACCAAAGCTGATGAATAAATTAGTACTGGTAGTAAAGTGCTGCTATGTCAACATCAACAGTAACAACTTAAATTATATGACACTGACTTTAGGGTTGAGCAGCAGAAGGCCAGGAGATTGTTATTGGAGGCTAGAAAAAAATGGTAGCTTGTACTGTGAAGAGGCAAAACATTTAGTATAACTGTCATTTGTTATAACTTGGTAGGCAAGTCGTCTGCCCAATGACTCTGTGACTTTTAGAAAATATGCTTAAAGATACAATACACAAGTTTCCTTTGGTTGTAATTAACTGGATTTGACAAGATATTACCAGAAAGAGATGAGTTCAGAAAATGATTGTCTGTTTGTAACAGCAGTGAAAGGAAAAAGTGGATTTTAGGAACTAAAGGATGCACCTGTCTCTCACTTTCAACCAGTAAAAGGTAAAGTTGAAAAATGATTTGAACAACAAAGGCAAATTAAAAGCCCTCCCTGGAGCAAAGATTGAATCAAGAGTATGGCTGTTATGCTTCTGTTAAAACCTCTGAATCAGTTAAGAGGTAAGTGAGTAAGCCCTTTCAAGGCACAAAATGACTCAGGAAGAAAGAAACTAAGGGCATCATCCCATGGAGACTTGATTAGCTCTCTAGAGAGAGGAAGGCCTGGAATAGAATTAGAAGTATGGTTATTGACATATGAAGATGGCTGGAGTCAAACAAAGAAACAAAACCAACAGGAGCAAAGCTTTTCAGAGAGTTGCACTGTCAAAAGCACTGGCAGCTTGAATGCAGTCTTTGAACAGATTGTTGCTGTTCAAAATGTAAAATGACCTTTCAGTGCATGCTTCTCTACAGGGTGGAGTGAGGGTTGAGGGTGGATTCTTATTCAGCTATGCCCAGGGAGGATAATGCAACAAGAAGGACCTCCCAGACTTCAGAATTGCTTTGGACCAGTGTAATGTGTGGCTCTTTTTCCCCCTTCCAAAAGGGAGTAAATTTGTTTATGGTCTTTTTGGCAAATATGCATCAGGTGTATGGTGAACAATCTGTTTTTTGTTTTTAGTTCAATTAAGTGGACTGTATTAGTTTGTTCTCACACTGCTATGAAGAAATACCCCAGACAGTAATTTATAAAGAAAAGAGGTTTAATTGACTCACAGTCCTGCATGGCTGGGGAGGACTCAGGAAACTTACAATCATGGGGGAAGGGGAAGCAAACGTCCTTTTTTACAAGACGGCAGGAGAGAGAAGTGCAGAGCAAAGAAGGAAAAGCCCCTTATAAAACCATCAGATCTCGTGAGAACTCACCATCATGAAAACAGCATGGGGGTGGGGGGGTGGGTAACCTCCCCCATGATTCAGTTACCTCCCACTGTGTCCCTCTCACGACACATGGGGATTATGGGAACTACAATTCAAGATAAGATTTGGGTGGGGACACAGCAAACAATATCATGGAGCCACAGCTATTCATGTTATAAATCAAGAGATCCAAGAATTCATCCCAATGCCAATTGGTTACTTTTAGAGTGTATTCCATGGATGGAGGTTGAGTGAATTTTGCTTTCATTAAGGATGTAGGTATTTGTGACTGTGTCAGTAGACTGCAACAGATTGTATTATTGCTCCCAGTGATGTGCTTCTCCCCTCCCTGCAAAGTGATTATACATCCTCAGCATTGCTGTTTCTGTGGGAAAGTGTACATCCTGCCCCACTGCTGTTGGGATTGATCATGGGATGTATTTTGGCCAATCAGTATATGCAAGCTTAGTTTAGGCCACATCCTATCAGAAGTTTTAGAGATATCATAAGTTTCCTCTAATTCTCTTTCTTACTCTTTTCCCTTTGCCATAAGAAACGTATGTCTCAACAGGGCCTGATTATTCACCTGGGCAACAGAATCCAAGAACATAGGCCACAGAGGCACAGTAGCTGACCCACAGCCTCTAACGTGTAAAGTGAGTGAGAAGTAAATATTATTATAAGCTACTGAAATTTGGTGTGGTATGTTACTCTCTAAAGCTGACACTGTGGGAATGAATTATTTTTAGAGAACCAGGACTCAGGACAACCATTTTGAGCCTGAAAAACTCTACATGTATTTTGAATAATAAGAATAGTAATTTTTCCCAGGACAAATACCATTTTTCTCTGTATGATATTTCAACCTTGCTCTTTTTTTTCAGATAAGAGGTTTTATTTCTTTATTAATTTTTGTTTCTTTCCTGACACATTTGTTTCCCCAGCTTCCTATGTAAGCTGTCTCATTTTCTCCGAAGCCATGTGCTTGTTTTGCAGTATCATGTGGAAGAAATATTTGAAGGATTTAGACTAATTTTAAATCCTGCTTCTGCTGCTTGCCAGGAGCATGTCAACAGGGCCACCAAGATGACACTGAGGCCCCTACCCAGCATCCCAAAGGCAGTATCACAGCAAAAGGTGGTTGCCCAATATGTGTAACTGCTATATTTTTTCCTCTAGAGACAACTTTGTATGCTTTGTAATCTGTGTGAATGTTTAAGACTATCTCAAACTCCTTACTTTCCCACTATCAGCCTCATTATGAATATTATATAAGGAACATTTCAAAACTTCCTTTCTTCCTGAAATAACCTTTTAAAAGGGTATCTCTTCACCTCCATTCTCAGTGTGCAGATCTGTTCAGTTTTGAAAGCCTTAAAATGTTTCAAAGGGTTCATTTGTTTTGAGGACTTCCTTTGGATAGATAGAGGGATGTAGAACATTTCCTGTCTCCTCATTGTTCAAGCTACCTGCTTTCATTTATCACAGTCTGCTTGAGAGGGTCTATCTTTATACATATACACACACACACACACACACACACACACACACACATACACACATATGTATCTATACACATATGTATATATATGTATCTATATGTATATACATATATGTATATATATAATTCCTACATATTTATATATATAAAACAAGATATATATATATATATGTCTCTGTTGTTTTCGTCAGTCCAGTTTCGTTATAAGAAATAGTGTAGTGGTAGCTTCTAGCTATTTGGTGTGTTTGGTTCTAGAATTTAGAGTCCTTTTATTTCTTCCTGATGAAGGCTTTTATTCTGGGGTAAATCTTAGTCTATTGAGTCCTTGTATCCATGTTTCTTTCTTTTTTCTTGCTTGCTTTATTAGCTCTGGAGTCCTCATGACTCATCCCTGTCAATACGCTCAGAAGATTCTGGTGAGATGCCCAGTCCCTCAGTACCAATGCCTCTTTCTACAGTGAGGCAGTGGGAAAAAGTGTATTTGGGGCCAGAGGAGAGTAAAACCTCAAGTTTCACAGCAGGATTTTTGGTTTTAACTCTGAGACTACCACTGTGCTCCTTTCAACAAGTCACTGCCCTTCCTCAGTCTGTTTTGTCTTTTATACCATAGGTGAATCCCAGGAATTTATGAGACTGCAAAAAAAAGTAATTTTCTAATAGTTCACTTAAATATGTCATTATACACACACACACACACACACACACACACACGAAGGTTTATATTTTGACTCAGTTAATGACTGTTTTTTTTTCTTAATGAGAAAACCATATAATGGTTTAGTCCCCGCTTCTTTGCCTATTTAGACTTAGATTATATTTTCATGTAACACGTGAATTCAGCTATACTCCTTTAGCAGAAATAGACATAAAGAGAGACATGCAGATAAGTAGACAAAGATGGATACATCTCCTTCATCAATAGAAGCAATAGTAATATACTTCAATACTTAAATGTTTGACTTGCTGAGAGATGATATATCAGCCACTTCCTAAAGAAAGTTCAAAGGTAGATTTTAATCTTGTGAAATGTTTACCTGCTCAGGGCGGGCCCTAATCCTATGTGGGATGTAGGTCCTTTGCACTGCATTTGGCGCTGGTTTAATCTTGGGCACACATGAATCCTTTATGTCTCCACTCAGGCTGCCTGTAATGTGTTTTGCAAGAATAACGACCTTTGTGGAATGTCTGCTAGGTATCATGCACTTTACACACACATCAATGCCTGCTCTGCAATGTATATTTTACTTGTCCTGTTTCTCCCTAATGAAATCAGAGATACTTAGTCAGATGCTCAGGGTCAAACACAGCAAAATTATTGCTCATATAATGTGTTTCAAACCCACATATGATTATTTTTGAGTCCAACAGGACAAAGTCCAAGTTCATCAGCATGGCGTACAAAATATTTTGTGATCTCACCGTTCCATGCCCCTCCACACTTATAACCTCCTCCTGCTACACTCTGCTGCACCACTGCTGAGAAATGCTGACCTCTTCCCCAACACCATGCTGTCCCCCTCATCATTGTTTTGTGCCTATGTTATCCTTTCTGTGCAGAAACATGCCTCATTTTGCCTGAGTAACTGCCATATGTCCTTTAAGATTTAAGACACTGAAGATACAATTATGTGATTAAGAATGTAGCCATGTAGCTCTCTGTCACTTTCTAGCTATCTGCCCTTGGGCAAGTTATTTAATTTCCCCATGCCTCAGCTTCCCTATTTGTAAAATAGCCATAAAAGTACATCACAGTATTGTTGAAAGAACTAGATGAATTAAGTTACGCATGTATCCAGCACAGGGTAAAACATTACATGCTAGTGTTTGCCCCTTAGATTTGCCTCAGAAATCACCTCCTCCAGGAAGCTTTCCTTGATTCCTACTCTCCTTTCTACCAAACAAGATTGAGTGTCCTCTTTTATAATCATCTACAATATTAATTTCTTTTAGTATTACCTGTTTAGATGTTTGTCTTTGCTAGTATACATGTTTCCCCCCAAAAAACTCATAAAATAGAGACAGACATCTAAACACATAACGCTAAAACACATGTGTTTTTGAACACCTAACAGCTAGCACATTGGCTGCTACATAGTAGAACTCAAAAATAATTGCCAAATGAATGAATGAATGAATGAACGAAATACTTACTTTATTATTGTTGTTATTATTGTATTGTTGTTCTAACTAACCTTTACCAGTTACTTATTGTGTGCTAGGCACTGTTTTATGCACTTGGTATGCATTCTATAATTTAACCTTCACACAAATCCCGTAAGGTAGGTTTGATTAACCCCATTTGATGGATGAAGAAACAGAGATACAGAGAGATTAAATAACATGTCCAGGGTCAATCACTAGTATCTATGTGAATATGAATTTAAACCAAGTAGTTTGATCCAAGAGTTCACATTCTTAGCTATTTTCTGTTGCAGCCACCAAATGGATTTAAAGGGAAAATAAGAAAAAAGGAAAGGAAGGAACAGGAATAAATGAGAGAAAGTGGGGGAAAAGAGAATACCTGGAGTACCACAGTCTTGATTGGCATCACCTGAAGCCTTATGGGATTGCCTTTACTGGCTTCTGGGTTTATGTTAAATCTTTGACTTTTCACAAAAGTCACTGCAAAAAATAGCCCTGTGGAATTTCCTTCTTCATTTGCTGTGAAAAATTACTAGTGATCGTCACCCATCATATTATTTGATTCTTCTTATATTATCCCCCGCCACACACACACACACAAACACACACATACAGAGTCATACACAGAGTTTGTTCCTTGTAAAACTGTTGTGTCCCTGAAGGCACTGGCCTACTTCCTTCTATCTGATCACCACAGTTGCCCACTTAATGGAACCGCTTTGCATTGGCTGCTGTGAAACACAGAGCCAAGCTTCATGCTTGGTCACAGAAATTGTATTGCCCTCTGATTGGAATGTTAGTTTTTCTCTTTTGACTATCTTTCCATCCTAAACTTTAATTCCTATATAATTAATTGTATAATATTAGTATTTCTGTCTTCTGCCAGCAAAGTATAATTTTTTTTAAAGAGGTGGGTGTCAATATATACATTGAGTTGACCATCTGTATGAGATAACCTCCACCCTTAATGATTAATGTCATTCTAGAAGGGTATATTCAAGCAACTCATGGTAACCATTTTAAATAATAATAATTTAATGATAATAATCTTTTGTAAATAAGGTTCAGAGGGGTTAGGACTTTGCCCCAAATCACAAAACTAATTAATGGCAAAGTCCAGCGACAAACAGAATTTTCACCTCTGTGTTGGTGCCCTGTTTTGCATATAATGGCCATCAATATTGATCTTTCGAGGTAATATCAAAATAGATGGCAATGCCTCGTAAAACACATTAAAACATTAATTGTTGGAGATGAAGTGTTAGGTTTGACAGAGCAATATTATGACTTATTATTGAGAAATTTAGGCTCTTGTACCATCTAAATATATTCTTTATGTCATTTATCTCCTGTTTTCAGC
Organism: Homo sapiens; assembly: GCF_000001405.40. Taxonomy (NCBI): domain Eukaryota; kingdom Metazoa; phylum Chordata; class Mammalia; order Primates; family Hominidae; genus Homo; species Homo sapiens. Next base: position 23,064,043 of record NC_000004.12, read on the forward strand.
TTTAAAAAATAAATTTATATTTCCTTCATCACAAATGTTATGAATACCAATTATAGAAAATGTAGAAATCCAATAAATTAGAAAGAAGAGAGAAAAAATTACCCAAAGCCTACCACTCAGAGTAAGTCACTTAACATTTATATGTATTTTAAGTCTTTTTGTTTGTATAATTATTTTTTAAAACTTTTCATAATTGTAATAATACTATTTTATACTCTCATTTGTTACTGAAGGTACCATAGGTATTTCTCCATGTTATTATCGGCACTCAGCAATAGAATTTTAAATAGCTGTAAACTAATTAGAAAAGTAATTCCTGATAATTCCTTTAACCTTTCCGCTATTACTGGGCTTTGAGTTTATCCTTGATATTATTCACAATGTTTCAATAAATGTCATGATGTGTGTAGCCTGTTTGTATTCAAATTACTGTGTTAGGTCATATTAGCAAAGATCTAATTGTTTGCCGAAAGCTTAGGTGATGGAGTGTGCTGGACAAAGCACAGGCTCTGGTGCTAGAGAGACCTGGATTGGAATCTTGTTGCCGCGTCCCACTAGCTCTATGGCTTGGAGGAAATAGCCTCACAGATCCTTTGGGTCTTCTTTTATGAAATGGGTCCATTCAGATCTGTCTCATAGGGTTGTAGTACATTAAATTAGATATTGTATGTGAGCTCAGCAGTAATGTTTTAAGGCTTTGATGCCTTTTGTCAAATTATTTTCGTGATGGTTGATCCAAGTTACTTTCTCATATTCAAGCAATGTATGAAAAGTTCCCATTTCATCTCAACCTTCCCAGCATTTTTTGCAAACTTGATAGGTAGTAGGAGTGTGTGGTGATTTTTCAAGTACCCCTATGTACTTTGCTTCTCAGGGAGAATGAGCACATTCACATGTACTGGTTACCAGGGGTTCTACATCTTTTGTGATTTGTTGATCTTCTTTTCTTATGTGTTGATTGGGGTCAGTTATTGATTTATGAGGATTTTTTTCTTCCTCAGAAAAGAAATTTTATGTATAAAATGATTATTCCTGATTTCTCTTATCCGTTACTGTCGGGTTTAAAATGTCTATTCCTTAACATTCTCCATAGTCTTTTCTTTATGTCTTCTCTTAAAGCCTTGTGATTACAGGATAACTGAAGGAACTGGTTCTCTTATATACAAACTATTCTTGTTTACAGGTGGGATCTAATGAAATCTTACCTGCATGAGTAGAATCTTATTGCTTTACTAAGAGTAATTTGCTGTATGCAAGTAATTCTTTTTAATACTTTATTTCTGTATGTATGTATAGCTCTTTTGTTTCTATTTACTTCAGCTTAGCAAACATTTATTGAGTGAATACTATTTCCCAGACATCATGTGAGACTACAAAGCATGTGCACCCCGAATGCTTTGTGGGTATAAACCAATGTGATCTGTGAACTTGGGTATGAAAATATTTATCAATTTTCATTAACCTCTTACCAACTGATCAGTAATTCTCTCAATTGCAAATGTAAAGCCACAAATTCCAGCAGTACTAGCCATATTGGTATCAGCAATAGAAATCACAGATATTCTATTTTCAAATGATAGCTATTGCTGATATCTAGAAATGTTGTCTTGTATTATTTCAAAATTATGTAAGTTATTAGTATAACTATTGGCACTTATTTTGTAATGTATTACTAAAAAAGAAATACATTACTATGTCATAAATTTGTTTTTTAAGTTTTCTGATGGTTTTATATGTAAATACGCAAATGTTTTTATAATTGTTTTCATGTATAATTCTATGAATGTTATTTATGTATTTAAAAGCCTTTTTCTAGGAATACGCTATTCTGTACAGGTTACATCAGCTTGACAAAGGCACGGCAAAGAAATGTTTAAAAACCTCGTCGAATGAATAAAAAATTCATAAAAATAAGGCTCTCACAGTACTTCAATTCTGTGGATTTTCCACGTGTCCTCTGTATCTAATACAGATATTCTACTGGGGAATGGTGATCCTTTGGTATTCTTTACTCCTTCTTATATGACTTAAAATAATGCATGTGTACCAAACTCTTACCATGTGCACTAGATACTTCATGTTAACTCCATTATCTCATTTAATTCCTCAGAATGTCTTACCAGTTGAATACTATCATTTCCCTCATTTACCAGGTAATGAAACTGAGGCTTGGAGAAATTAAATAACTTTCCTATTCATAGTGCCCTTTAGTGGAGGAAACTGAGCTGGTTCCAAGGCCCATGATTGCAATTGTGGCCTCATTAAACAGGAGTCACTTGGCATAATTAATTTTAATAAAAAGCTACCGAATAACATAACCCATATCCTATTACCTTAAGAGTTCCAAGAACTAAGAGGAGAATGGCATGCTTCCTTTCTCCAGCATATAGAGGAGTTTCTGTGCTGTTCATTTTTTATTTTCCCTCCAGTTACGTTATTTGTCCTTCTCAACCTGCAGTCTGCCTCAGAAGTCTGATCTTAAAAATTATGTTACTTGGCCAAGTGCAGTGGCTCACGCCTGTAATCCCAGCACTTTGGGAGGCCAAGGCAGGCGGATCACAAAGTCAGGCGATCAAGATCATCCTGGCCAACATGGTGAAACTCCATCTCTACTAAAAATACAAAAATTAGCTGGGCGTGGTGGTGGGTGCCTGTAATCCCAGCTACTCAGGAGGCTGAGGCAGAAGAATCGCTTGAACCCGGGAGGTGGAGGTTGTAGTGAGCCAAGATTGCGCCACTGCACTCCAGCCTGGGTGACAGAGTTGAGACTCCGTCTCAAAAAGAAAAATTCATATTACATGGGCTCCACTTTTTCTCTCACTTTTACTTAGGTTCTGTGAATGGAAGTTACCTGCAAGAGTTGAAGAAAGGAAAGGGAGGGCTACCATTGTTTCTTTCTCTCCTGTATCCTGCTGGGCCATGGTTTTGGCACTGACTGTTTCTTTTTCTATGGGCACAACTCCTGGGTGGTGGTTCCTTTTCTTTTGCTACAACTTTTTCTGAGTACTGGTAACATCATTCTCATCCTTGCCCCTTTAGGCCTATGTTAATAATATTCTCCCACTGTTGCTAATCCCTGGGTACCTCACTATCTTTTGCTGGGAGGCTTAATTTTTTTTTTCTCTGTGTTAATGATGCTTTCTTTGAGGTTTCTTCATTTAACACACTAAGTAGGCCATCTGATTCTTATCAGTACCCCAACTGACACAGTCTAACTTTCACAGATGGAATGGCCAACCCTTGCCCTTACTTCAAGAAAATCAAAAGTGGTTTCTGTTCACTAAATGTTTACATTCTTCTGCCTTAATATTTTCATATTTGATCAAAGTACATTTTGATGGATGAGAAGTTGAGCAAAAGAGAGGAATAAGTGGGAAGAATACTAAGTCAAAAGACTTAGGTCTTGCTTTTCAACTGTCACATCTTACTGAAGTAAACTCAGGCAAATTCTAGAGTCTTGGTGAAACTTGATTTCTTCACCATGGCAATGGTGATAAGGATGCCTGTGAGGAAGTTGTGAGGAATGAATGAGATGATCCAGCAAAAAGACTATTCTATAAAGATACATATAAAGTGACATATTCTAAACCTTAAACATTGCTCGCACTCTATGTTTACTCAGAAATAGGTAATCAATATGGAAGTACTGCAATAATTAGACATTCTATAAAGGTTATTTAATTATTTATATTGTATATTCCAGAAATTTAGAAGCTGTTTATAGTGTTCTAACAAAATATTTGAAACCAAGGGACTTATTTAAAAAAACAGAAATGTATTTCTCACAGCTCTTGAGGCTGAGAAGTCCAAGATTATGGGGCCAATAGGCTCGACTGTCTGGCAAGATCTGCTCCCTCCTTCCAAGATGGCACCCATTGCTGCACCCTCAAAGGAGAAGAATGCTGTGTCCTTGCATGGCAGAAGGTAGTACAGCAATTTGGTACAGCAAGCTAGCCAAATGCTGCATGAAGCCTTCTTCGTAAGGACCTTAGTACCATTCATGAGAGAGGAGCCTTCATGGCCTAATTACCCCTTAAAGGCCCCAGCTCTTAATATCATCACATTACCCATTAATTTCAACACCTGAATATTGGAGGAGATACACTGAAACCATCACAAATGGCAAATAGGAAATGATCTGATGTGACTCTAACAGAAGTTGGCTGTGAGAGAGAGGGGTGCTAGAAATAGTGCAAGCTCAGGTGAAGATTGGGACATAGATACAAAATAGGCTTCTAGGCTAAGATGGAAATTTTGTTTAATAAAGTAAATGTAAGCCAGAAGCAGGAGGAATAATCAAGATTAGATTCAAAGGTTCTAACTTGGATGACTGCATAGATAGCGGCACTCAACTGATCATAAGGAGAAACTTTGTGGGTGGACGTAACTCACGTTCAGATGTGTAATGGAAAGAACCAGTGGGGCATGTAAACAGAGATGTCTGACAAACTTTTTGAAATCTGGGTGTAGGATTCAAAAGACAGGTCAGGGCTGCAGAAATGGATATGAGATTTTATGAATGCCACAAACAATGAGTCATTTTTAAGAGCGAAACTTTTGAATAGTGTGGGTTTATTACGTTAAACATTAAAACTTTAAAAAATCATTTGGAGGAAGATCTTTCTAAAATTTTATTGCACATTTTTCTGCCATCTTAAATGATGCATCTGGAACCAAATTTATTTTTTTCTTGTTGTCTCAGGGTCATCATTATAATCATCTGTTATGATAGCATGCTATAATTCAAAGATGTTCTTGGAATAATTGAGATGCACAGAGCTGTTTCCCTTTATTAAACAACTTCAGATCATTGCTGTGTTTTTTGTTCTTGAGTTTCATTTTTATCATTTCCATGCTTTCCATTTGCTCTCGGCTGTCACTTCCTGTGGCTATTAATGCGTCACCCTGAACTGATATACTGTGTCCTTTCAATAACTTGCTCCTCAGCTAACACTAGTTGGAAAACCAGATAATCCAACACATGGTAGCTATGTGCAAACAGTTTCAGAAGAAGGCACAGAGCATCTCCCCTAACAGGCAACTTACACTTTGGCAATACCTCTTCGGACTCTTCAAAGAACTTTGGTGTTTATATTTTAGTTTTCAGCTGTGTTTCACAAAGTTGCATGTCTAAAATTTGGGTTCTGGATTAGTAAAATGTTATTATTATATGCATACCCCCAAAGGACAAAATAAACCAGTGGTTTAGGAAAGTGCAGCTTAATGTGTATTTTTAATTTCTTAGAGATAGAATCTGCTGTGATTTTCATCAATATATAAGATTAAATTTTCAGACTATTTTTTTTTCAGTACATTTGCTATAAGAATAAAGAAGACAGTCTATCTGACTAGCAGGTCTTTAGTGTGAAAATTGTGCAAGGTCAGTATTCTAACAATTTTTTCAAGATGACTAGATTGAACCTGGTCGACTGAACACACCAGTGTTTACGCAGGGCGAGCCTTCGTTGTTTTCCGTCCATGTGCCCTTGCATTGTTTTCCAGGCAGGTTTCCTGATGCATTGTCTTGTGTTGGCCTATGCTAATATGCTGAAACGTGTAGCAGTTTCTTTCTCTAGTTGAAGTCGTCCTTCACCATTTGTCACCGTTTGTCACCGCAAATGCTGCTTTGAAGCTCTTTTTCTCTCCCACATGCACATTAGTTAGCAGTTTCTTGGTAGCATCTACTGGGTTATTTGTCTCTGAAGAGTATCATTTTTGATACTCTTTTGATATTCATTTAATGATTTGTCACTTCAGCTCAAGCCATAATTTCCTGTCAATTATATTGTAAATTTCTCATGCATCCATCAGCATGTCTCCTGGTATTCCTCTTGTTATGTCTTGTCTTCAGAAATTTTCTTTCTTCTATGACCTTTGGCTTTCTGAGGGTTTCATCTTTCCCTTCCTCTACCTTAGGACCAGGAAAGTATTTTCTGTTTTTACTTAAGCAGCTTTTTAAAAGATAGCAAGAAACATACATATGAGACAGCTCGCTCCACTCTCATTTTCTTGTAACTTTTGATATCTAGACAGACATGCACAGGCCAAGGGGGAATGCCATGCTCTGATTGGAGTTATGCGTTCACAAGCCAAGGAGCTACCAGAAGCTAGGAGAGAGACCTGGAACAGACCTTTCCCTAGAGCCTTCAGAGGCGGCATGGCCTCACTGACACCTTGATCTCAGGCTTCTACCCTCCAGAAACATGTGACAATAAATTTCTATTGCATGAGCCACTCACTTCATGATATTTTGTAATGGTAGCCTTGGAAAACTAAACCAGTTCCCACAATTTGTCTCTTTTTTAAACAAAGGCAGACTTGTCCAAAGAAAAGTCCTTTGTAGAATCTGCTTTGCACACCTCAAGAAGGAGACTCTGGGGTTTTGGTATTGAAAAACCCAGGAGAAACTTTCTGCCCAGGCTTAAAAAACAACTTTTCAAGACAGTGTTCCTCAAACCTAGCTTTGCCAGAAACACTTGGATAAACCTTTTTTAAAAATGCAGATGTCTAAGTTTAACTTTCTGGAGATTCAGATTCAACCTGTTTGGGAAAGAACTTAGTTATCTATTTTGAATAATTTGTTTACATAATTATTATGATTGGTTCAGTGTAGGAAGCACTTGCCTAAGAGTTTGAGTAATGAAGGAGAGATTTTGAGAATTGGGGCATGCCATTCTTGGGGAAAAAAAAAAGATAATCTAATAAAACTTTGACTTCCTTGCCTCCATTTTCATTGATTTTAAGATGGAATGAACTAACCAGAAAATCTCTGACCTGAATTTTATTCTTGTAAAGCAAAAAAGATGGGGACCTTGAAAGAAAGTGAATGTAATAAACTTCTAGGAACTTTAACAGGCAATGAATAAAATGTTGGATAAAGTTGGGTATTACAGGAAATCAGATTCCATTCACTATTCATTCAACAGAGTTACAGAGGACCTACAATGAGCCAGTTAATATGGACATGAGCAAAGAAGAGATATGCTCCTATGACCAGAGTTTCTAAAAGAAGAGATGACTAAGGAAGAAATGACAGCAAGCTTGAAAATGTAATCTGGAAATATGACCTCAGGTGCTACAGAAACCACTGTGGCTGCAAAAGGAGCCCTCTCATGAATCCAGATTGTCAAAATTATGTGCAAAATATTGAAGGAGAGACACATAGAAAAAGACTACAAAAGAATAACATGAAGCTAAGAAAAACAGAGCCAGAAAATCTAAACCCTTTGCAGTAACAGAGCAGGCATTATAGTTTTTATTCACAGATGGGTAAACTGAAACTAAGAAAGATTAAGGAACTTGATTGTATCTCATACCTAGTTAAATGGTACTGAGGCCTGCTCTTTCATTCCTTCCACTACCCTGCTGCCCAAAGCTAACGTTTCTGTTCTCTGTGGTGCAAACCTAAAGGAGTCACATGTTTCCCTGGAGAAAATAAACCAAAAATTCCAACCTTTCTTCATGTTCATATAGACCGCCTATACACAAAGGAAAAGGAAATATTTATTAGTCTTCAAAATATTCTTTTTGCTGAGAGTTGGAATAAGATAATCCCTGAGAAGGAAGGGATATCAATATACTTTTTCCTGACATCAAAAAATTAGGATATGTCACAATGTTTAATTTTTTTCTAGGTCAGTTTTTATAATCTTTCATATGTTTTGAATTACTGTAGTCAGCTGCCTGATTTTAAAAGCTTGTTTGAATCCCAGCACTTGGCGAGGCCAAGGCAGGCGGGTCACCTGAGGTCTGGAGTTCCAGACCATTCTGGCCAACATGGTGAAATCCCGCCTCTACTAAAAATACAAAAAATTAGCTGGGTGTGGTGGCAAGCACCTGTAATCCCAGCTACTAGGGAGGCTGAAGGTTAAGGTTGCATTGAACCTGGGAGGTGAAGGTTGCACTGAGCCAAGATTGTGCCACCGCACTTCAGCCTGGGCAACAGAGACGCCATCTCAAAAAAAAAAAAAAAAAAAAAGGGTTGTTTGAATGAATGAATGTCTCTTAGTCCAAGGCTTTGAGAGTGTAGAGATTAATCTCTTTTCATGACCAACTTGTGGCATCCCCTTATGTCCAGATATGGTTATAATTTAGGCTTTTATTAAGCTAATTGTTTTAATTTTGATGAAAATCAGTAAAACCTCCCACTGAATACAACTCTAGCTCTATGACTGTAAGTGAAGCCAGACTAGGGCTCTGAAACACACCTAGAGATAGACTTTTAAATCGTTAGTTGACTCTTAAGCTATATTGGACAAAATCAAAGGGCTCTGTAATTACCTAATCAATCCTCCCAATAAGTCTTTGAGGTAGGTGGTTAATACCATTGAACTCATTTTGCCAATAGGAAACTGAGGCACTGGGAAAATGTATACTGCTACCATTTATTTATGTGTTATATGCAATTCTGAAAAAGAAATCCTGTTTTCTTTCCCACTTTCGATCTCTAGTCTTAGAATAGGTTATTTTTCAGTAAATGATGAGAATAAGAATAAGAGAAAAAGTACTAAACAGAAGTGAATACAGAACCAGCTGGAGTAAGCTTGAACACAGAAATAGATTTTCTTTTAGAAAATCCTTCCATCATCACAGATATTTATAAACCTTGCCTAAAACATCAGACTTGACTGACATACTACATTGTTGAATCATGATCTATTTTAAAAGGGAGAGAGGGTACTATCAGGGTGTCCACACAAAGGTAAGCAGGTATTCTGTTCTGTTTGAAAAGAACAATGAGGATCATGATCTGTAACTTGCAGAGCGTTCTCCGCACCTCTGCAAGAACTAACTGGCCAAAAGGACATCAGAAATAGATCATGGAATTTCCAGGCAAAAGGCAAAGGAAGGATGTGTACAAAGTGAACTTTCTTAAGAGATGAGAGATCTGAATTCCAGTCAAGAGCGTCAAGGGGGTACATGAGTGAGACTGAAGAGCAAGATAGCTGTAAGGAACTAGCAAGGGTCTGCGTCTTTAGAGTTTTACTATATATCCCTGCCTGTATTAGTCAGTTGCAAGCGTGCATGAAAATGCTGTGGCAAGGTCTGATATTCGTTCCCTACCATCTATTTCAACTGGTGTGAAAATTACCCAAATTTCTCTATGCAGGAGCCCACCCTACAGGAAACTTACAGGGCATTTAGTTCAATGCTCCCATTGTACAGATGACAAAACCAGACACAAAGACATGAAGTGATTTGCTAAGGTCACACCACTTATTAATAACAGCCTGCAGACTAGAGCTAAGGGATCTTGAGCTCCAGAGCTTTTATTTCATGAACATTATATTGTCCTTACTTTTTGTTAATTCATTTCTTCATTCAGCAAATATTTATTAAGTGACCACTATGTGCCAGATACTCTGCTAAGTACTGCCTAGTGCCTTCTATTTTTCAAGAAAAAAATAAAGCAGTCTCTGACCTAAGACCTCACAGTTTAGAGAGGGAGGCATATATGTATTAAGATACTGACAGCAAAATGATAAATACCATAAGAGTGGTATGTGCAAAGAGCTATGGGAACAGAGAAGAGGGATGAGTGTGGAGCTTGCAGTGGCACAGAATTCGCTTTCTTCATAGGCTTATTTTACGAAATCAATTATTTACCTAAGAATTCCAATTTAAATCTTTGATCTGAAATAAGATCATTTAAAAATTATATGCTTTGATTTTTTTTTTCTTATAAATGTGAGTCAAAAGCCATCATAGGTTTGGAAATGTATTTTTTCTTGGAGGTTTAAGTTTTGAATAGGCTTCTGATACGGGTTGAATTGTGTTGCCCCAAAAAGATAGGTTCAAGTCCTCACCCCCAGTACTTGAAAATATGATCTTATTTGGAAATAAGGACTTTATACAGATATTCAAGTTAAAAAGAGATTATTAGGGTGAGTCTTAGTCTAATATGACTGGTGTTTTTATAAAAAAGGGAAATTTGGACACAGAGGCAGATGCACACAGAGGGAAGACCATGTGAGGACACATGGGGAGAAGATGGCCAGGGGACTGCTATGATGCATCTGCGGGTCAAGAAACACCAAGAATGACTCCTTAGAATTTTGGATTTCTTTGACTTCAGAACTCCAGCCTCCAGAATTGTGATAGAGCATATTTTAAGGCACTAAATTCCTGCTACTTTTTTAAGGCTGCCCTAGGAAACCAGTACAGCTTCCTTGGAGAGTGATCAAAGAGCAGAACTAATTTCTATTCCTAATACCTTGCTGCAAGACTTGGAGAAAAACACTGGCATCTGTGCAGCCATTTTTTTTATGAACCTTGTGGAATCTTGACTTTACAACCAGCACAGTCAGACACTTGCAGAGGATTCTACGAAGGCTGAATGGAGATTTGAGGACATTCATCTATCCCCACCTCCTCCACATAACCATTTGTGTTCCTTCAGTCCTTCAGTAAGTTTTCAGTGCTGGCTTCTTAACATTGTCACACAACTATCTCATGACACAAAAACTATGAACAGCAGACCAAGGCTAATAACACCTCCTCCATCTCTTTGGGATTAGAATATCAGGGTTTTTGCATTGAAATGATTGGGCTTGCAACTTTCCATTGACAAACTCTAATTCGGTGATTGTTGTTAAAGAGTAAGCTTATGTTTTAAAAATGATTTTGATGACCATAGCTGCAATAAGGGGTACAGTGCTTTTTAAAACCATGAAACCATGACTGTAGGTGGCACTTGAAAAATACACTCTTTCAACATAAAAAAAGTTTATAAAAGTTATTAGGCAGCATCTTTGAGAGTTGTGTAACTTTACCTAGAAGACTGTCATAATTATTTGAAGACCTAGGTATTCATAACTTGGATTAGAAACACCAGCCCTTCTGCAATTGACTAGTTGTGCATCTGACGCACTTCACTTACCCTCTCTGGGCTGCTGTTTCACAGAGCAGGAAACCCAAACAATGATATTTCTTTCTTTAAAGGGTGATGAGGAAACAGAAATTTGTGTCAGGGATGCTTTTGAAATTCAACAAGTTGGAAATAAAAACACTTTTTATGCTTTCCAAAGCATCTTCAGGAGTCTTGTTTTCAATTGATAAAGAGGAAATACATTCTTCCTGTACTTGAGACTTTTATGAAGACCTGTTGTATATCCAGTCACTGATGTAACAAACTCATGGTGGAAAACGTTGGTTGCCAATGAAGCTAGAAGCTGCAAGAATGGCCTGAGATCTAGAACCTCTGTCCTGAGATTCAGCCAAATATTGGGCACAGCAAGTTATAGAGCCAGGAAGTTCAACCCCACATTGCTAAAAGACCAGGTAGTGTCACAGGGTAGAATCAGAGTGTCAGTGTTAATGTACTAGTTCATGAACAGGAATACAAAAGCAAATCTGATAATACAAGCAGAGAGATTGCTATTGAAGGTCTTCTTGTATATGTTACACAATCACAGGAGATGGTTTTATTAGAAGGTTCTTGAAGGGTAATTGCTTACCTGTCTGATCAAAAGAGAGCATCAAAATCTTGATTTCCATCTTGAGGTAGATTTCATCCTGTCCAGTTATATCTCTACTTTTATTACAGATAATAATATTTAGATAGGTATGTTAACTTGAAGCATTGTACAGAAAAAGCTTTGATGAGGGTGACTGAACTAATCTCTATGTTGAGAACTGTATACTGTTTATCCCACATACCCAGAACAAATCACATAAGGGGTTATCAACTGTTCTGATATCAAACTCTGCTTTCTCTTCACTAGCAAATTGGTGACAATGTTTAACTAGTATAAGCAACAATATTATCTCCCTTTTGTTCTGGTCTGTTCTACAGTCCTTTGTGGGCATTTCAAGCCACTCTTGCTTTCTGCTTTCTGCTATGGGGCACCGCTTCTTATTTCAGTTCTTTTAGAATTAGTCCCTGAAGATCCTAGGCTTGAAGGGTTGACTCCTGGGTCTGTTGGATGCTGCAGCTCTTTGCCTCTTTAACCAGAGTGCACTGAGGTCATGTTCTCTGGGAACAGCTGGAATCTTTCAATAGAAACACAATTTTCTCTGAGCTTAGAGACATTAAAATAGGGCAATGCAAAATCGTTTTCTATAGTAGAATTATTTACCTCTGGATGCTGGCCAGTTGACAGTACCACACCATTCTCTATGCAGCACTACTGAATTCTCTCCCTATACTCAGATACATGAGTGTTATAGCTCAATTATGTGTTACATTATAGCTCCAGTACACAATTCCCTTCCTAATGAATCCCCTCTCTTTTCTTTTTTCCTCACCTTTCTCTCTTTCTATTATTTCCTTTAACCCTCACTAAGCAGTTAGTATACTCTCAACACTGTACTAAGTACTGTACACACAAAGATAAAATAACCATATCTTTTAGATCCCATCCTAGGCTCACAATTTAGTGAAGGAGATAGTTAGGTAGACAGAAAAACTAAGTAAGAGTGTGGTAAGTGCAAAATGAGCAGTCTGTAAAAACTACCATGAAGACAATTAATACTGTGTGGGCAATCAAGACCTTTCACAGAGAAGGTGTTATATATGAACTGAATCTTTATGGGAGAGACAGAAGATGTTAGGTAGACTAAGAACAAAATTATAAGGGTATATGAGTATGTGATAGGCTAGCCATTGGTCTTTCAGGTCCGAGAGCTACCATTAATCATGGTTATCGCACATGATAGTATATTGTGTGTAGTAGTCATACCTATGCCCTGTCAAAAGCCACCTGAATACCTTCTTTGAGTTTTCTTACCTTCAGGGTACTCATCCCCAATTTTTACATCACTTTCTCATATAATGATTTGATTCCCTCCCTCATTCCTCAAATCCCACGAGTGCACATATGTTCTCATCCTGGCCTCTGTGGAAATGTTCAAGTTTGCCACCAGCCTTTGTCTTCGAATGTGTGGGAAGCCAAGAGAAGACTATTTCCATTCACTAGAACTTCTTCTAAAGTCTTCTGATAGATGTTGACGGATCCTATGCCATCAGCAGGTCAGTGTAATCCATTGTACCAGAGTAGATGGATAGATGATGGGCTCTTCCTAGATAAAACTGTGGAAAGCAGAGAGGATTTACCCTGTAAAACTGCTGCATTTTGCTTGCTGCTACAAAAGTCTCTCTAGCTCTCCCTCTCTAAAATGTTTTCAGGTACTTAAGTTTATAATGCAGAAAGTGCTACCACCACTAAGGGTCTCTGTAGTTCGTCATAATTGTGGTTCTTAAATCAGTTTTTAAAGTTCTTTTTATTCAAAATAGAATATAGCATCTCCTCCCACCTGAAGGGCACAATTAAATATCTCCTTTTTGGTCTTGGAAGAAATTCAAGCAAGCATCATTTGGCAACATGCCTTAGGTCATTATAAACTTTACTACAGCAACTAATTCAACGTAACTCAACAAATATTTGAAGGTCTATTTTGTGGGTAAGCATTGTGCTAGGCTATGAGGAAAGGGAGGAATGTAAAAATGAATAAGCCATAGTCCCTGACTGCAAGGAGCTAACAACCCAATGGTGAAAATAGATATTCACACAGCAAACTATATTACAGACACATAAGGAGATTCCTATGGGAAACAAGAAGGCAGAAACATCACTTTTATTTAGTAGATATGTATAGGCATCAACAAGATTACACCACTTGAACTGAGCATATTACCAGAAGACCAATACTTACATTGAAACCCCAAGAGCCTGTGGCTATACCTACCTGAAAAAAGGATTTGAGCCCCAACTTCACCAGCTTATTGTGTATCCTTATACAAATTGTTCAACCTCTTCATGTCTTAGTTTTGCACTTAGTTTTGCTTTATTTTGTCTCTATGCCTTTAATGTGAAATAATAACATTAATCTCACAGGTTGTTGAAATAATTAAGTAAGATATAGGAAAAAATGCTTTGTCAACTCTAGAGGACTCTACAATTTTTAGTTGTTATGATTTTTTTTTTTTTTTGGTTAATCTCCATGGATGAAATAAGAAACATAATCTTATAGGATACTATAAACAACATATTTAGTTAAAAGGTATAATTCATTAGAACTACAGTTCTGATCTGGGTCAATGCCTTCCCCATGACCCATCCAATAGTAGAACAATGGTTAAGCCTGGGTAGTCCAGTTCCTGGTTGTTTTAGTACTGTGATATGAATGCAATATTCTGTATTCCTAGGATTTTCATTTTTTCTGAGGCTAGCTGTACTGTTCAGAAGGCAATAGTGTGGAAGGACAAATTATATCTTGGTACTAGATATGTTTATTTTATGTAGCATCTTCCAGAGCTTAACAAAGTGCTCCACAGTGACTGTGAACTGAAACGCCATGTTCCTAATTGCTAATTGAGACACCCAGGCTGGTCTCTGTCTACTTCTCATTCCACTGGATAACTCAGAGTGCTTTTTATTCTCTCCATGATAACCATCAAAAATAAAGACCTTTGATTTTGTTGAATATTTGTGACTCTGAATTGCACACGTTATTGAAGCTTGCTTCCCTTTCAAAGCAAGGCTATGGTTTTGCTGTGGAATCTCAATTATCTCCTCTTGCTATAGAACAGATATGTCAGGTAACATTTCATTTCTCCTCACCACCTCTCAGACAAATGAAGAACCGGCATAGCAGGAAGGAATATCAAACTCATTAATGGGATTTGAGGGTCACCAATTGAAATACTGCTTAAATCAGCTGGAGGATGAAGAGGGCGAATTATAAGATGCAAGAAGACATGCTGACAAGAGTCCTATCTTCATGAAAATGGATGATTCTGTAGGTTTCTGAACACATGGACATTCATCTTATATTTTCCTGAGGCTATTGGCAAGTGACTCTGGCTGAAAAGTTTAAAACAAAGGTGAATAATCATTCTGGTTCAGTAAAACCTCTGCATCAACTTTTCCTGATCTCTTCGAAAGAATCACTTTGTGAAAATACAAACTATCACAGTTTTCTTGCATCTTGGACCATTGAAGATTTGGCATAAGGCAGAAGGGCCTCTGACCTCAGCAAATTGTTTCTACCTGTGGACACTTGGCCTGTGTTTCATTTCTATTGCTCTAGGCTTTAAGAATGCAAGTGTGTTAGTCCACTCCCATGCTGCTAATAAAGACAGACCCAAGACTGAGTAATTTATAAAGGAAAGAGGTTTAATTGACTCACTGTTCTGCACGGCTGGGGAGGCCTCAGGAAACTTAAAATCATGTCCTTCTTCACATGGTGGCAGGAAGGAGAAGTGCTAAGCAAAAGGTGGGAAAGACCCTTATAAAACCATCAGCCCTTGTGAGAACTCACTAACTATCACAAGAACAGCAGCATGGGGGTAACAGCCCCATGACCTCCCACTGGGTCCCTCCCATGACACATGGGGATTATGGGAACTACAATTCAAAATGAGACTTTCGTGGGGACACTGAGCCAGACTATATCGTTCTGCCTCTGGCGCCTCTCAAATCTCATGTCCTCATATTTCAGAACACAACCTTGCCCTTCCAACGGTCCCCTAAAGTCTTAACTCATTCCAGCATTAACTCAAAAGTCCAAGTCCAAAGTCTCATCTGAGACAAGGCGAGCCCCTTCTGTGCATGAGCCTGTAAAATCAAAAGCAAGTTAGTTATTTCCTAGATCAATGGGGGTGCAAGTATTGTGTAAATACATCTGTTCTTAATGGGAGAAATTGGCCAAAATGAAGGGGCTACAGGCCCCATGCAAGTCCAAAATCCAGTAGGACAGTCATTAAACCTTAAAGTTCCAAAATGATCTCCTTTGACTCCATGTCTCACATCCAGGTCACACTGATACAAGAGGGGGGCTCCCTTGGCCTTGGGCAGCTCTGCCCCTGTGGCTTTGCAGGGTACAGCTCCCCTCCTGGATGCTTTCACAGCCTGATGTTGAGTGTCTGCAGCTTTTCCAAGTGCACAATGCAAGCTATTGGTGGATTTACCATTCTGTAGTTTGAAGAACAGTGGCCCTCTTCTCACAGCTCCACTAGGCAGTGCCCCAGTGGGACTCTGTGTGAGGGCTCTGACCGTACAGTTCCCTTCTGCACTGCCATAGCAGAGGTTCTCCATGAGAGCTCTCTCCCTGCAGCAAACTTTTGCCTGGATACCCAGGCATTTCCATACGTCCTCTAAAATGCAGGCAGAGATTCCCAAACCTCAGTTCTTGACTTTTGTGTACCTGCAGGCTCAACACCATGTGGAAGCTGCTAAGGCTTGGGGCTTGCACCTTCTGAAGCCATGGCCCGAGCTGTACCTTGGCCCCTTTTAGCCATGGCTGGAGCGGCTGGGATGCAAGGCACCAAGTCCCTAGGCTGCACACAGCAACAAGGCCCTGGGCATGGCCCAGGAAACCATTTTTTCCTCCTAGGCCTCCAGGCCTGTGATGGAAAGGGCTGCCACAAACAGCTCTGACATGCCAGGAGACATTTTCCCCATTGTTCTGGGGAAACTTGTTACTTAGGTAAATTTCTGCAGCAGGCTTGAATTTCTCCCCAGAAAATGGGTTTTTCTTTACTATTACATCATCAGGCTGCAAATTTTCCAAACTTTTATGCTGTGTTTCCTCTAGAATGCTTTGCCACTTAGAAATATTTTCTGCCAGATACTCTAAATTCTCTCTCTCAAGTTCAAAGTTCCACAGATCTCTAGGGCAGGGGCAAAATGCTGCCAGTCTCTTTGCTCAAGCATAACAAAAGTCAGCTTTGCTCCCATTCTCAAAAAGTTCCTCATCTCCATCTGAGACCATCTCTGTCTGGACTTTATTGTCCATATCACTATCAGAATTTTGATCAAAGCCAATCAACAAGTCTCTAGGAAGTTCCAAACTTTTCCACATCTTCCTGTCTTCTGAGCCCTCCAAGTATCTAGGAAGGTCCAAACTTTCTCACATTTTCCTATCATCTTCTGAACCCTCCAAGCTATTCCAACCTCTGCCTGTTACCCAGTTCCAAAGTTGCTTTCACATTTTTGAGTATCTTTATAGCAGCACCCCACTACCTGGTACCAATTTACTGTATTAGTCTGTTCTCCCACTGCTAATAAAGACACACCCAAGACTGGGTAATTTATAATGAAAAGAGGTTTAGTTGACTCACAGTTCCACATGGCTGGTGATACAGTTTGGCTGTGTCCCCATCCAAATCTCATCTTGAATTCCCACATGTTGTGAAAGGGACCTGGGGGGAGGTAATTGAATCATGGGGGCAAGTCTTTCCTGTGCTGTTCTCATGATAGTGAAAAGTCTCACGAGATCTGACAGTTTTAAAAATGGGAGTTTTTCTACACGAGCTCTCTATTTTTGCCTGCCACCATCCACGTAAGATGCAACTTGCTCCTCCTTGCCTTCCTCCATGATTGTAAGGCTTCCCCAGCCATGTGGAACAGTGAGTTCTCCATTAAAACTCCTTCCTTTGTAAATTGCCCAGTCTCAGGTATGTGTTTATCAGCAGAGTGAAAATGGACTAATACAACTGGGGAAGCCTCAGGAAACTTACAATCATGGCAGAAAGGGAAGCAGACACATCCTTCACATGGTGGCAGGAAAAGGAAGTACCAAGAAAAAGAGTGAAAAGCCCCTTATAAAGCCATCAGATCTTGTGAGAACTCACTTGCTATCAGCAGCGTGGGGTTTAACTGTCCCCTTGATTCAATTACCTTCCACTGAGTCTCTCCCATGATAGGTGGGATTATGGGAACTACAATTCAAGATGATATTTGGGTGGGGACACAGCCTAACCATATCAGCAAATCAGTATTGTGAGAAGTTCCATCTTTCTGTATTCACCCTCAAGCATACCAGTCAACTGTAGCTTTTTCTCCACCCCAGAAGTGGATAGATAATTCCAGTGCAAAGAGATAATTTGGTGCCCTCCTGTGTCTCAACGTGAGATTCTCTCTCTTGACCTCACAACCTCTTCTATGCCTATGGGAAAGGGTGTAATGCAATATATCCTTGGAGGGCTTCTTGGTTGCTTGCATGTTACCCACATTTTTAGGGCAGGAATCCACCATGCCCTCAATATTGTGTAATTCTCAGAGGAGCAAGAGTAAAAAGACAAAGACAGACCTGTTCATATTTTCTTTGTAGAAAGAGCTAAACATAACAAAAACAAGTATAAAATTTCAGTCCCAGTACCATCCCTTACAACTCTTTGTTCTTAGAAAAGCCATTTATCCTCTTTGGACCTGCAGAGATTTTTTATGGAACAAGAGCCTGGGGCTAGATGATCTCTAAGGGTCTCCTCAGATTCTATCACCCAATGATTCTGAAATACCAGGGAAGGAAAAAAAGTTTCCAGATGACTTTTACACTTCAACACTTGGTAAAATGGCTTTTTAGCATTTTGGCAACTCAATTTGCTTTAAGAATTTAGAAAGAAGTTGCAGTAAAATGCCCACTTAAATCATGCATGGTATGTAAGTAAGTATGTGTGTAACCTAAATAAAATTTCTCATTGCACCTGCACTTTAGCAAGATGGGATGGCAGCTTGAGAAGTCATCAAGAGAAATCATTCTAATTTCCTTGTTTGACAAGGATGAAGAACATATAACTTTCTTTTTGCGGTGCTTACTGCTTGATAAACGGTGACCAGTAGATTACGAACTAATAAATGAATCGGAAAAGAAAAGGAACATCTGTCTTAACTCTTTTCATGCATATGTAGAGAAAGCAACTATTTTTATGACAATAAAGAACAAGAAAACCATCACCTATGACTTAAATTATTCTCTTTTTTATTACCCTGACCCCTAACTCAACAGTACAGCCATAGTGAATCTTACCATTAGAGACTCATTCATCCCACTGGGTAGCAGTTGAGTATCCCCAGGGTTCTTCTTTATGTAAGCAGTTGTCTGGGGAAAATAACACTTTGTGGCTGGTAGCAGAGGCTAAGTAAAGGATTGCTGAATAAATAAGGGGATATATCAAGTTATTGTTAGTCATGAGCACTTTTGCAAGAATCAATTTGGAGAAGAATAGCAGATAAGTCCCAAGGAGAGAGAAACAAAGTGAGAAGAGACTGGCAGAAGCAAGGGTATAGGGGTGTTATTGCTGGTGGTAATAACCCACTAGAACATGAAACTGAATTTGAGGCAAAGAGTTCTATTTGGAATATTAAAATAAGGACATTAATTAGGCAGGAGAATGTTCTTTGACTTTAGACCTATGCTGCACAATAGAGTAGCCATTAATCACATGTGGCTATTGAGCAATTAAAATATGGCTAGTCCAAATTGAGATGTGGTCTTACAAAACACACTAAAGACTTTTGCAAAAAGACCTAGTGCAAAATAAAAAGATGATTTTAAAGATTAGTGCAAAAAATGCATATAAAACTCTCATCATATTTTTATATTGTAATTTTTTAGACCAGAGAAACGGTAGCTTTGAACATGATGTAGCAATGATGAGAAGTGGTTGGATTCTGAGTATATTTTGAAGTTTCCACCCACAGGGTTTACTGATGGATTGAATGTGGGGTATGAGAGGTAGGAGTCAAGGATGACTCTAAGGGTACATTTGCCGTTAATTGGGATGAGGGAGTGTGCAGGAGGAGATATGAAGAAAGTCAGGCTTAAAGATGTTTAATGATTCACCCAAGGTCACACTGGTAATTCAGAGAGAAATGGAATTAATTGACCTGTTAGGAAACTCAGAGATCTGCTGGTCTTTCTTATTTTACAGATGAAAAATTTGGAGTCTAGTGAAAAGAAGTGACTTGCTCAAAATCACACAGCACATGAAGAACAGAGCCTCTATGATGAATTTCTTGACAGGTAGGCTAGAAATCCTATATTTTGTTTTTTGAGTTTTTTTTTTTTTTTTTTTTTTTTTTTTTGCCACTACACTGTATCTGTGAAAGTTAAAATGAAACCATGTTTAGCTATGTCTCTAGATGCATTAAGGAAAGAAGAATCACTAGTGACACTTTAGGGGTGAGTCTTCACAACTCTCAGGTAAAGCATATTCTAGAACATTGAATGTTCGTACTAATTAGATAACTCTAAGTAGATAGATAACTAGCTAATTAGTACTAACATTTAATGTCAGCACTAGTTAGAACTAATGTTAGTACTAATACTAACTAATTAATACTAATGTTAGTACTAATTAGATAACTACCCTACTTGAATTTGGAATAAACTATTTCCTCTTTAACATTAATTTAATGTCATGATGAGTAATGATAACTATCCCTTAATGAGAAAAAGTTTTTATCAAGAATATAAATTTCATCCTTAGCCCAAAGAAATCTCAAGGCTTACGTCAAAGGAAGGGAGACAGATAAAATATAACAGATTATAGAAAACAAAAGCCATCCTTTCAATATTTTTCTCTAGAATGAGAGTTCAAGCTCAACGTATTTTAAAATGGTTGTGGGTATTCATCTATTTAAATATGAGACCCAAATATGTGATCATCTTGTCATCTGTTTCCTCATCTCCATTGATATTTTCCATAAAAAATTCAAACTAGCGTGGCATGTGGTGTTTTTTTTGTAATGGACATTTTGTAGAAGTCAATTATTGCCAGGATAATGTAGTGTAACAAACCACACCAAAGATTCAGTGGCTTACTCTGTAATGAAGAATTTCACTGGCCTTTGTCCCCAGTTCCTGGGTGGTAGCCTCTAAGTCCTGGGGATTTCCTGAGCCATAGAAGTGGCTTTGTTATTCATGATGGGCCCTGAGAGTTCACTCAGAAGGGAGATTGGTCATGCCAGAAAGACCAACCATATGTTTGGATGGTTGAGTTGTGAGCTATATGATAATATCTTGACTTTTTGGGAGAGGAGGCTGACTGTAGATTGAGTGACATGGGGATGATTCAATCACTCATACTTAGGACACAGAAGCTTAAGTGAACTTCCCTGGTTGACAATATTCTGAGCATTGTCAAACAACGATGTGCCAGAAAGGGAACTCTGGACTCCATGAAGAGAGGACAGTGGGGCTTCCATATTTGGGAGCCTCTCAGACCTTGCTCTGTGTCAATACATTTAGCTAGTGCTGATTTGTATTCTTATGCTATAAGAAAACTACAATTATAAATACAGTTCTTTCTTGAGTTTTATGAGTCATTTTAGCAAATTAATGAATCATAGAGGAAGTGGGAACGCGTGGATTTGTAGCCAGTTGGTCAAAAGTGAGGGTGGCCTGGGGACTCCTAACCTTGTGGCTGGTGTCTGAAGTGAAGGCTGTTTTAAAGAGGACTATGCCCTTCATCTGTGAAGTCTGACCTAACTACAGGTACTTGGTGCCAAAAGTCACTGCACTTACAAATATAAGTATTTTTATTTAAAGCATATTTAATTAAATTATTTAATGTTATTTACATATTTTTAAATTTTTATTTATTTTAAAATTTATTTTATTTTGATATTTTATTTATATGTATTTATTTTATTTAAAGCACATTTATTTACTCACACGTCTGAGGGTCAGCTGGGAAGTTCTGCTTCAGACTGTGAACTGACAGGGCTTGGATCCAGTAGCAGGTCTAATTGATGTGTCTCATTCCGAACTGCAGGCTGGAGGAGCTGTGGCTACCTG
Source organism: Homo sapiens (assembly GCF_000001405.40). Taxonomy (NCBI): domain Eukaryota; kingdom Metazoa; phylum Chordata; class Mammalia; order Primates; family Hominidae; genus Homo; species Homo sapiens. The sequence continues at coordinate 23,085,565 of NC_000004.12, forward strand.
GGATATGTTCTCTGCATGGTGATGACAAAAGCAACTACATTAGCACATTAAACGTTTGCTTACATCACATGTAATAACATCCTGTTGACCTAAACAATGTGAACAATTAATTATTGGGCGGGATATTTAGTTGACCCTTGAACAACGCAAGTATTAGGGGCACCAACCCCTGCACAATAAAAAAACAAGCAAACAAACAAACATACAACTTTATCTCCTCCAAAACTTAACTACTGATAGTGTACTGTTGAGAGGAAGCCTTACCAATAACATAAATAGTCAATTAACATGTATTCTATATATTATATGTCTTCTATACTGTATTCCTACAATAAAGTAAGATAGGGAATAGAAAATGTATTTAAGAAAATCGCAAGGAAGAGAAAATATATTTACTATTTATTAAGTGGAAGTGGATCATTATAAAAGTCTTTATTCTCATCAACTTCACATTGAGTAGGCTGAGGAGAGGAAGGTAGAGGAGGGGGTGTTGATCTTCCTATCTCAGGGGTGGCAGAGGCACGAGAAGTAGAGGGGGTGGAAAGGGAATCAAGAGAGGCAGGCATACTAGGTATGACTTTAATTGAAAAAAAAAATCCATATATAGGTAGACCTGTGCAGTTCAAACACATATCGTTCAAGGGCCAACTGTAAACGCAATCCTACCACAAGGCCATGAAAATGGTGTGGGTATGTAAGTATGCTAGTAGGGGAATGACAACTGAGACTTTTATTCAATATTCTGCACATTTACTGAAGAACATTGCACACTCAGCACAAGCCATCTTTAGCGCTGTGTCATCTGACAATTCTGATCTCTCATGTTTCTGAGAGAAGACACACATGTCTTCTCAGAACTCCTCTACAGTGCTCAGTGTCTCACTTACTGCCCTGGGCAACTCTCCTCTTATTTCAAACATAGATACCCTCATTCAAAAAAACAAAATCCTGGAGCTAACTCGGCCTATTATTTTCTTGGATGCAATTTAGTGATCATTTTTTTCTTTTTGTTAACTACCAGTTGCTGTCTATGTGACCTCCTGAAAGTACATTCTTGTTCCTTGTCTTCGAAATGGATATATATTACCTACCTGATACAATTGAAATGACATCGCAGTGAGATAGACATTTAAGCCCTTAGAACAATAACTGGAACAGAGTAAGCATTTAATGATAATCCTAGCAGTGATACTATGAGGTCAGTATTTTGCAGTTTTGTTTTTCATCCTCATGTTACATAGGATGAAATTGAGGACCAGAGAGTCACACAGTCCGTAAGAGGCAGAGATGGAATTTTAACTCAGGTAGTTAGGCACTTATATCCACCCTCTTACCCTCCATATGCTATTACAGCCATCTTCAGAACTCAATAAATGGTTGTTGTTGTTGCTCTTGCTCTTGTTTTTATTTGAGCTTGTCTTTTAGATCTTGCCCCTGCACCAAGAGACTTATAATAGGTTTTCTTCCAAGAACATTTAATAATATTCATAAGAGCCCTTTAGATAAATGCAGTTTTCCCTCACTTCTTTACATTTATTTATTTCTGTTCCACTTGGTTAAATGGGGCTTAATGCCTTTTGATGTAAAAACATACAATACGACAGGAAAAAAACATAAAGAAAATTGGCTTACACAGGAATTATTTTTTCTATATTGTAATACATTCATCTAGAGTTTATTTGTAGACCCTCAAAAGGGGAACATGGTATAATGTCATGGAACATACTGTCAATGATATGGCTGCCACAAATAGAGTGGCAAGTAGGAGTAAAACTTTTCTTGTAGTGTTTCTCAGCCAAACCTGTGGGCCAAGTGCCAAAGCACAGTATTGTAAAAAGAATTTCATGAGAGGCCAAATCATAGCTGAGGGATGTCAAGCCCAGTATTGCAGCACCTTGAAGCACCTAGCAACAATTTTTCTTAAGTTCCAAGTGTAATTATGAAGTACTGTGATTAGTATTTTAATAAGGTTATTGGAATTGTACATCCAAATGCATGCTATCATTCCAACTCATCACCTTGGGAGGCTCTAAAGGTGATGCTATGCTAATGATGCCACTATGACTCAAAACTCATTTTAAAAATCTGCATTCAGTGCTGGTTTAAGGAATCAAACAAAACTACCAATCTCACTAGTTTGTAGTTATAAACTGCATCACTCAATTTTATCACCAGCCATCCCACCCACCATTCTACCCATCCCACCCATCATAGTACCCAAGGAATGACCAAATATCTTTGGCTGTATCAAAATGTAAAGCACCCTAAAAGAAGGTAGATTCGTTAAGAATAAAAATGTTATAAATAATACTGTTGGAGTTTCAGGGTGCTAATACATAACATCTGTATCTTCCCTCACTGAATTTATTTATTTATTTATTTGTTTGTTTGTTTGTTTGTTTTGGGGGGACGGAGTCTCACTCTGTCACCCAGGCTGGAGTGCAGTGGCGCGATCTTGGCTCAATGCAACCTCCGCCTCCTGGGTTCAAGCAATTCTCCTGCCTCAGCCTCTTGAGTAGCTGGGACTACAGGTGCACACCACCATGCCTGGCTAATTTTTGTATTTTTAGTTTAGATGGGGTTTCACCATCTTGGCCAGGCTGGTATCGAACTCCTGACCTCAGGTGATCCACCTGCCTCGGCCTCCCAAAGTGCTGGGATTACAGGCGTGAGCCACCATGGCCAGCCCCTTCTTGAACCTGCAACCAACGTAGAAATGGATGTTGGAGTTAGATATTTATAGAGCAACTTCCTACATTTACAGTACTAATGTCAAACAAGGTCTGTGGAAATGCAAGCTTGCTAATCCAACAGCCCTAGAATGAGACCAAATGACCTACCAGATCACTGACTGCTGGGATACCAGAAGACTTCTAGGGCAGGGGAAGGCCCCTTACTCATGGTGATCAGACCTGTGTGCACATCCTGGACAATCCAGGGTAGCTGCTCTGCAATAATCCAGGGAGGAGAGAGAATAGGATGACAGTCCCTAGTGTTTACAGGTTTTTATTAGATTCATTACAGCCAAATGGGAAACATGAACCAATTAAGGGCACCTAACAGACGGGAACTCACTCTTCCTCCCTAAGAGATATTGAAGTGGAGTAGGCAATCCAGATTTATACTCTAGCTAAAATTGCCTCATGGAAACACAGGGCCAAGGAAAAAGAGAAGATTCCCAAACTTCTCCATAGGGTCAACTGTATAACCCCAAAGACTCTGAATGCAGAGAGGTTGTGAGCAACAGCTCCAATACTAGAATGAATATACATACTGTCATGGTGACTATTTTTTATTTTTTATTTTTTTGAGATGAAATGTCACTCTTGTCCCCCATGCTGGAGTGCAATGACATGATCTCGGCTCACTGCAACCTCCACCTCCCGGGTTTAAGTGATTCTCCTGCCTCAGCCTCCTGAGTTGCTGGGATTACAGGCACATGCCACCACGGCCGGCTAATTTTTGTATTTTTAGTAGAGACGGGGTTTCACCATGTTGGCCAGGCTGGTCTCAAACTGCTGACCTCAGGTGATCCGCCTGCCATGGCCTCCCAAAGTGCTGGGATTACAGGCATGAGCCACCAAGCCCAGCCTGTCATGGTAACTATTCTAAAGGGGATAAACTTATCTAGTTGAATGCTGTTTAGCATTTTAGTAAAGTATTTGCTACTACGGCTTTGTAATATCTGTTTAAGAAATTCAATTCATTATATACATTTACTGTATATATGACAAAATGTTATGTACAAGCCTTGCAAGTTTGGGTTACAGTTGTGCAGGGACTAAAATGATACTCCAGCAGTGAGGGTTTCTGAAAAAGCGTCTTATGAGTACTTCTTCAGACCCCTGCTGGGCTAATCACCTTGACTCTAGAATGTGCCAGAGATACATGGGGAGGCTCTCTGGTCTGATAAAATTAATGCTGTCAGGCTTAAAAGATGGAATTATTCATAAATATTCCAAATACAGTTATGAAAATAAAGATGTAAGGAGAGGAAACAAACATGAGAAATTAGGAGCAGATGTACTATTTCTTTTATATGAAGGTTTTTTGATGTATCACAAATGGATAAACACGTGATAACCTCAGCAAATATTTCTCTACAAACGTACAGTAACAAAAACAAATGTAACTTTTGAATTGGATATTGTTTAATAAATGAATTAATTACGTGGAATTTGTATTACATGTAAATTTGATGGTGGCAGTTTAAGATAGTTCCTAGTATTGGTCAATATTATAGCATTTCTGGGTATTTCAGGACCGGTTTTACAGCTTAATAATCATCTCCTAATTATTGTCACACCCTTTACCAGCTGCTGTTTGCCCGTTTCTGATGCCATCATACTCTCTTCATTGAGTCCCACCTATGTGATCTTCTTTCCAGTTGTTAATTTAGTCATTTATAAACATGTTTGGTTTTGCACCATTTAGGCATTATAATTCTTACTCAGAAATATGTGCTTCCTTTAAAAAGATTATAATCTAGAAAGGGAGCTAAGCATAAATTGCTTTAACCTAAGCAGAGTAAATGCCATGGACAAAGAACACAGAATGTCCTTTAGGAATTCAGAGACTGAAATGGTTATTTCCATCTGGGAACATCAAGAAAGATTTCATGGAAAAAGTGACATTTGAACTGGGTCTTGAATGGGTCAGATTTGAGCATGAAGTAATGGAAAGAAGGAGGCAGAGAGAACAGAAGACACATAAGCTTGGCAGTAGAAAATTGTAAGGTGCTCCCTCTGATTAGGAAATGATCAGTTTGCCAAGGGATAAAATGAGAGAATTGGAAAGAGAGGGTAGGGTCAGATGTTGGATGATCTTGAATGCACAATTCATTGAGAATAATCAAGTAGGAGACTGCTATGGGCAGTCCAGATCTGTGGCCCAGGCAGAGTAATCATGCATCAGTAAGAAAGATGAATGTAATATCAAAGACTGAAGATGCAGGGAGTATTAGGAAGCTGTTCCAGATAATATTTTGGGCTTTGACGCAGAACTCATTTTCTCCAGTTAGAGCTTGGTTTATTGAGTACCTGTTAACACTCAGCACTTCCTCTTTGACTCACTCTTTTGTTAATTTCCTTCAACATAATTCAGATCTTCACTAACATCGATGTAATCAGCTATTGTGTATGTTAAAATACATTCTTCCCCGACATGCGTGCATGTATTCATCCAGTCTCCTCTGGTTCTATGAATGACTCCCAGAAAACATGCAACCCATTTATTCTGTTAAAATATGACTTGAGTGAGACCTATGCTCTTATTATTAAAAAAACTTTAGAAGTCACAACGTTTCCTTCTCAGCACTTTTCCTCATCCTGTGCCCCTTCCGTCATTGGAAGCTGTGACATACACAGGTTTCACCGAATGACAGGTATAGGTCAAAAGGTGTCATTTTTAATCATATTTAATTACGTTTAAAGTATATACACATTCAAGTAATTTTTTCAGTCATATGAAATGACTTCTGAATGCCTTACTTCCACTCAAAGGATTAAATCATAATCAGAGTGTCCAATTCTAATTTTCTTGAAAGAAATACTGCCCATTCATCTTCATGTTTCCCGGATCTAGCACAAAGACCTGGTAAACAGTGGGTACTCCCCAAACACAGGCTGAATGAAAGAATGAATAAGTGAATGAATTACTGTTTTTCTGGCAGTACTTTCTAACATTATAAAAATAGCATTCAGTTGGACTGCTTATACTTCAACCTTGGCCATACAATCTTTCCAATTATCTCCATTGCTCTGTTTTTCTCCTTATTATCTTGAACCATTTGTTCACTCCTTTCCTTTGCTTTTCTGTCTCCCTCAATTTTCCACTTCCCATTTAAAGAATGTGATGAATATTAATTATGTTTTAATATACAAAAATAGCACCCTCATTGCCTTTGATTTTTCTTTGACTTGTCCTTACTCTTTCTTTGACTTGTCCTTATTCTTTTGATTTTTCATTATTTTATGTGAAGCTCAGTCAGTGAGCCCTCTTTTTTTCATTTTATCTCGTCACTTCTTCCTTTTGTAACTGCATTTTCTTTTACTTTGCTTTAACTGTTTTTTCTCATTGTCTTCAAATTGTTCATGGTCATATCCCTTACTTTATACAGATAGCATCTAAATGCAAATATTCCCCAGAAAAATCAGAGTGGCAGAGGAAAGTAATGGTTTGAAATAAACACTGTATATTCAATTGGTTTCCAAATCAGCACCAGCTAAACAAATGCCAAATAGCAGTCCTTAGAGACACAAGATTAGTATGTTCTGAAATGAGAAGTTATCTTTTCCTCTCTCTCTAACTTCCCCTTCCTCTTTTTCTTTTAAAATAGCATAAAGAATTCTTGCAAACAACAAAGGAGACTTAGCTGAAACTTTTGGCCTCATATCAGAGAGTTCATGTTTGTCTTTAGACAAACAGATAAACAAACGGAATCTGGGAGAGGAAGCATTAATTTGACTTGCAAGCAAATCATTTTATACTAAATAAATGAAGATTTTGTATGCTATCCAGTTTCTTTGAGATGTATGTGCCTTATAAAGATGTTCCTAAAAGATTCAAAGCCATGAAAAGCATCCGTGCACTTTATTAAGGTGTACCTCTGGTTAATTTATGATGGAGTCAGCAAAGAAGTAGTCCAGTAGGGCTTTCTACCTGTGAAAAGAACATGGTTTGAAGCCACCAAGCAAATCTAAACTGTCATCTTTGTACTTACTAGCCACGTGGCTTTGGGCAAGATGTAGCCTGTCAGAACTCCAATTTCCTCATCTGCAAAATGTGGTAGATTCCAATTACATGTATGAAAGTGAAATAAAGCATTGCCTATAAGGGCTTGTAAGAGTACCAACAGTTTTTGGAGCTCTAACTTGTAACAATTGCACTATTAAACTATTTCTGAAAATAGTAATAAACATGTAATAACCCTAAATACATACTCTCCCGGAGTATGCAGTGATCTTTCACACATTCTTGCACACACTACCCTCTTTTCATAACATGCTCTCTTCCCAGTTTGTCAACTGGGAACAAAGTGAACATTTATTCATTCTTTATAACTTATTTGACACCATCTTTTCAGGAAGTTTGCTCTGCCTTTCCTGAGCATAACTGATTACTTCAGGCATTGAATAATTCAACCAATATTTACCCAATGACTTCTATGTGCCAGGCACTATTCTAGGAGATATGGAAACGATTATTAAAAAAAAAAAAACAGTTAAAAAAAAACCTGCCTTCATGGAGCTTACATTCCACTACGAGACAAGGACAGTCATCAAAACAAATAAGTAAAATATACAGAATGAAAAATGCTCATTAGTGCTATAAAGAAAATAAAGCAGAAAGAAATTACAAGATGCCAGTCTTGGGGATTTGGGCAGTTTCAGTTTAAACAGGCTAATCAACAAAGACATTTCAACAAATGTATGAGAGAGGAGAAAAAATGAATTACTTGGAAACTGGGTGAAAATTGATCCAGGCGGAGAAACGGCACATGCAAAAGCTCTGGAGAGCCACCTTTTGTTTATTATACCTCCGTACCATATCTATTAATACATTTATTAAAATATTTTGTAATTATTAAATGTTTAAAATAAATATATTTATGTTATATAAATTATACATTTTAAGTTTGCATTTAAGTGTCCCAGGCTATAAAGGCAGGAATTGTATCTCATTCCTCTATTAATTGTGCTATGTAGCAGAGTCTAGTCTTGAGCTGGTACTCAAAAATATTTTTTCCATTGAATTTAATTATGATACTAATCTTTTTGGACAAATGCTAATCTTTAGCATTGTCAATTGCTGAAGTAGTTGGTCAGGTTAGGAAGTCTTAGCATGGTTTGGTAGTCTGTTGTTGGCTACTGAGCAATAGACACATTCCCTTGGTGTCTTACATTTCCTTTTATTTTTCTTGCTAAATTGCTTCCTTGGAAGCTACTTTCTGATCAGAAGAAAGGTATTTGGGATGTTGTAGCAGCAATAGGCATTATACTTTATTTCACTGCACTTTGAATATATTGTGTTTTTCACAAATTGATTTATGGCAATCCTGTGTTGAGCAAGTCTACATGCTTCCTTCTTGTATCTTCATATCTTGGCAATCCTCACAATATTTCAAACTTTCTTATTATTTTATCTGTTATGATGATCTCTAATCAGTGATCTTTGCTGTTAATATTGTAATAGTTTTGGAGCAACACAAACTACACCCATATACGATAACCAATCTAATTGATAAATGTGTATGTTCTGATTGCTACAGTGACCAAACGTTTTCCTATCTCTCTCCATTTGCAGGGGCCTCTTTATTTCCTCAAACATAACGATATTAAAATTAGACCAGTTAATAACCCTAAAATGGCCTCTAAATGTTCATGTAAAAGGAAGAGTTGTGCACCTCTCACTTTCAATCAAAATGATTAGGCTTAGTGAGGAAGGCATGCCAGAAGCTGAGATAGGTTGAAAACTAAGCCTTTGTGTCAAACAGGTAACAAACCTGCACGTTGTGCACGTGTACCCTAGAACTTAAAGTATAAAAAAAAAAATACAAATGAAGGCCAGGCACGGTGGCTCACGCCTATAATCCCAGCACTTTGGGAGGTCGAGGTGGGTGGATCACAAGGTCAGGAGTTTGAGACCAGCCTGGCCAATATGGTGAAACCCTGTGTCTACTAAAAATACAAAAATTAGCTGGGCATTGTGGCAGGCACCTGTAGTCCCAGCTACTCGGGAAGCTGAGGCAGGAGAATTACATGAACCCGGGAGGCGGAGGTTGCAGTGAGCCGAGATTACGCCACTGCACTCCAACCTGGGTGACAGAGCAAGACTCTGTCTCAAAAAAAAAAAAAAAAAAAAAAAGAATATGAAGGAAAAGTTATTAAAGAAAATGGAAAGAGCTACTCCAGTGAATACAAGAATGATAAGAAAGCAAAACAGCCTTATTGCTGATCAAACCAGCCTCAACATTTCCTTAAGTCAAAGTCTAAACCAGAGCAAGGCCCTCTCTTCAACTCATAGAAGGCTGAAAATGATGAGGAAGCTGAAGAAAAAAAGATCTGAAGTTAGCAGAGGTTGATTCATGAGGTTTGAGGAAAAGTTCACTCCATATCATAAAAGTGTAAGATGAAGAAGCAAGTACTTATGTAGAAGCAGCAGCAAGTTATTTAGAAGACCTAGCTAAGATAATTGATGAAGTTTGCTACAATAAACAACATATTTTTAATGTAGGTGAAATAACCTTCTACTAAAAGAAGATGCCATCTAGGACTTTCATAGCTAGAGAGAAGTCAGTGCTTGGCTTTAAAGCTTTGAAAGACAGGCTGACTTTCTTATTAGGGTCTAATGCAGCTGGTAACTAAGTTGAAGCCAATGCTCACTTACCATTTTGCAAAACCTAGGGTTCATAAGAATTATGCTAAGTCAACTCTGCCTGTGCTCTATAAATGGAGCAAGCCTGGATGAGACAGCACATTTATTTATAGCATGGTTTACTGAATATTTTAAGCCTGTTGTCGAGACCTACTGCTTGGAAAAAAAATATTTCTTTCAAAATATATTACTGCTCATTGACAATGAACCTCGCCACCCAAAAGCCCTAATAGAGACATACAAGGAAATTAATGTTATTTTCATACCTGCTAAAACAACATCCATTCTCTATTTCATAGATCAAGAACTACTTTGGACTTTATGTCTTATTACTCAAGGAAGACATTTCCTAAGCTACAGAGGCCATAGATAGTGATTCCTCTGATGGATCTTGGCAAAGTAAGTGGAAAACTTTCTGGAAAGAATTCACAACTCTAGATGTCATTAAGAACATTTGGGATTCCTGGGAGGGGATCAAAATATCATTAACGGGAATTTGGAAGAAGTTGACTCCAACCCTCATGGATGAAATCGAGGGATTCAAGACTTCAGTGGAGGAAGTAACTGCAGACATGGTGGAAATAGTGAGAGAACTAGAATTAGAAGTGAAGCCTGAATATGTAACTGAATTGCTGCAATCTTACGATGAAATTTTAAGAGATAACGAGTTGTTTCTTATGAATGAGCAAAGAAAATGGTTTTTTGAGATGGAATCTACTGCTGGTGAAGATGCTCTAAACATTGGTGAAATGACTATTTAGAATATTACATAAACTTAGTTGATAACATGGTGGCAGGGATTGAGAAGATTGACTCCAATTTAGGGAGAGAATTACTACTGCAGGTAAAATGCTGTCGGACAGCGTTGCATGCTACAGAGAAATCTTTCATCAGAGGAAAAATCAATTGATGGAGAAAACATTATTGTCATCTTATTTTAAGAAATTACCACAGCCACCCCAACCTTCAGCAACCATCTCTGATGAGTCAGCAGCCATCAACATCAAGGCAAGACCCTCCACCAGCAAAATGATTACAACTTGCTAAATGCTCAGATTATTATTAGCATATTTTAGCAATAAAATATTTTTATTTTTAAGGTATGTACATTGTTGTTTTAGACATAATGTTATTGCACACTTAATAGGCTATAGTATAGTATAAATGTAACTTTTATATGCATTGGGAATCCCAAAAATAGTGTGACTCACTTTATTGAGACATTCACTTTATTGCAATGGTCTGGAACCAAAACTACAATAGCTCTGATCTTTGCCTATATAGTAAAATAAGAAATTGATAGATTTCAGCCTTTTTGTAGCTGTTCTCAGTCATTTTTGCAATATACAGTATACTTAGATTGGAGCCATGGCATCTTCAGTTGAAAAGAACCTGGTAGCATCTAGTCCAGGCATCATGAATGGCCATACCTATGGAGCCAGGTGGGTGACATATAGCAGTAGGATTGTGGCCAGTGGAAAGTGACTCCTTGTCTAAACGTGGCTACTGCAACTCTCTTCCAGGCATCGGGTGTCATGTCAAAATGAAAGATTAGTTTTTCAAGGTGTTTTGAGCAGTATTAGATCTATATGTTATATAAAATCTTCTGACTTTTCAATGTTGTCAACATATCCAGTTTTTTGAAACAAATAAATATGCCAAAACAAAATGCCAAACAAAACATGCCTGGGTACTAAATTCAGTCATTTTACAGTCTCTTATTTGGTTAAACCCACTCATTTTCTTTGGCAGAGAAAATAAGAAGTAGAAAAACCAAGTGCTTTGTCCAATCACAGAGTGAGGCAGGGGAAAACTCAGGACTGGAACCTCTAAAAATCCAAGCTGTTATAAAAAATCATTTCATTTTTCAAATGCAAATAATAGCTACTGTGTTTAATATACACATTCAGCTCTGATATTCAAATGCATTAATAAACATTGCATATCCTTTTTCTTTCAGTTTGTTTGAAGGCTTAGTGTAGAAACAACTTCTGTTACATCGAAGATCAAAACATCAGGTTTTGGAACATTTGCGTGCTCATTAGAGTTAGTGTCAAATGTATCTCCCTGGCTCACACTTACCTGCCATTGAAGGGAAAACATCTTATCGACTATTTATGGAAGACCCCGGGGCTTCCTCTTGAGAGATCTTGAACATGTAATTTTCACCACTGCATGGCAACTGCCACATTTCCTCCACCTCTGCCTCTGCTCCCAAACAACCCTTTACTAGTCACTGGTATTAACACTGCTGTGGATTTTACCCTCCAAAGTCATGATTCTTAAATTGGCTCCCTTCATTTTATTTCTAGCTAGTGCCTTGCTACCCTCATAGCACACTACCGGAAAGGGGAGAAGCATTTTTTTAGTTTATTATTTGTATTTATTATTATTTTTTTTACCCAGAGTCTCCATCTGTTGCCCAGGCTGGTTGCAAACTTCTGTGCTCAAGTGATCTTTCTCTTCGGCCTCCCAAAGTGTTGGGATTATAGGCGTGAGTCACTAACCAGGCCAAGAAGCCAGTTTTTACTGACGCATTTCCTGTTATGTCATTTTTGTTAGGGTTATCCCAAGGCCGCTTATTTTGCCTTCCAAAAATTACAGGAGTCTGTGTCTGTGTTGCATATACGTGTATGTGAGTGTTACACCTGTGTGTGCAACAGAGAGACAGAGAGAATCTTTCAACTTTAATTTTATAGGCTAAGTGGTTTTCAAAGGATAATTTAATGGCAAGAGAAAATAATAATGTTACAATCTCAAATGTTTATTGAACATTTTTCTCAATAATTTCTACTTTCATAATTTGAAAAAATGTATTGTCAGTTAATTGTTTAAATAATTTGATAATCTAATTAGTTAACGTATTTCTTAGTCTATTTTAAAGACAGGTTTTTCAAAGTATAATTTACATTAAGAAAATTTACCTTCTTAAAGTGGACAGTCAGGTGAGTTTTGACAAATGCATGCAGTTGTGTAACTATAATGATAATCAAGATGTGGAAAAATTTCTTCCCCCAAAATGTTCTCTTGTATAAAAGTATATAAAGTGCAAAAGTCAGTCTACCCCTTATCCTATCTCAATCCTTGGTAACTGGTGATGTTCCCTGTTCCTTTGATTTTTGTCCTTCCTAGAATGTCAGATAAATGGACTCGCACAGTATGTAGTCTTTTGTGGATGACATTTTTTCATAGCATAATGTCTTAGAGATTCATCCACAATGTGGCACATTTGCTCCTTTTTACTGTTGAATAGGTTTCTATTATATAAATATACCATGAATTGCTTATCCATTTACCAGGTGGTAAAAATTTGAGTTGTTTCCCATTTTTGGCTATTAATAGCTATTATATACATTTGGATACAAGTCTTTGTATGGATAAGAGTTTTCATATCTTTTGGAGCAGGGTAGCTTGGTTATATGATCAATATGTGATCAACTTATAAGAAATGGCCAAAATGTCTTTCAAAGTGCCTGTACTGTTTCACATTTTCACCAGCAATTTATGAGAGTTAGAATTGCTCCACATTTTTACCCATATTTGGTACTATCAGTCTTTTTAATTTTAGATATTTGTGAGGGCTAATTTTATTCATCACCTTGGCTGGGCCATGGTGCCTAGATATTTGGTCAAATAATTTAGATGCTTCTGTGAAGGTGTTTTGTATGAGATCACATTTGATTTGGTGGACTTTGAGGAAAGCAGGTTGTCCTCTATAATGTTGGTGGGACTGCTTCCATTAGCCAAAGACATAAATAGAACAAAAGGTTGACCCAACTTCCTCTGAGCAAGAGGGAATTCTACCGACAGACTGCCTTCAAACGTGGTCTGCAACATCAGCTCTTTGTGGTTTGCCAGTAGACTGTCACTGGATTTAACTATGCTTTCCTGAATCTCTAGTCTGTTGTTCTCCCCCACCAGATTTTGGACTCACTAAGCCTCCACAATGGCATGAGCCATTTCCTTAAAATAAATCTCTTTATGTAGATGTCTATCTATCTATCTTCTATCTTTCTAGATATAGATATAGATATAGATACATAGATATCTAGATAGATACATCTAGATACATAGATATAGAGATAGATATCTAGATAGATATATCTAGATACGTAGATATCTAGGTAGATATATCTAGATGCGTAGATATCTAGGTAGATATATCTAGATGCGTAGATATCTAGGTAGATATATCTAGATGCGTAGATATCTAGGTAGATATATCTAGATGCGTAGATATCTAGGTAGATATATCTAGATGCGTAGATATCTAGGTAGATATATCTAGATGCGTAGATATCTAGGTAGATATATCTAGATGCGTAGATATCTAGGTAGATATATCTAGATGCGTAGATATCTAGGTAGATATATCTAGATGCGTAGATATCTAGGTAGATATATCTAGATGCGTAGATATCTAGGTAGATATATCTAGATGCGTAGATATCTAGGTAGATATATCTAGATGCGTAGATATCTAGGTAGATATATCTAGATGCGTAGATATCTAGGTAGATATATCTAGATGCGTAGATATCTAGGTAGATATATCTAGATGCGTAGATATCTAGGTAGATATATCTAGATGCGTAGATATCTAGGTAGATATATCTAGATGCGTAGATATCTAGGTAGATATATCTAGATGCGTAGATATCTAGATAGATAGACATAGACATCTTATTGGTTTGATTTCTCTGAAGAACTCTTATTAACATCATGTTCTAGTGGGTTTATGATGGTATCTCACTGTGGTTTTAATTTGCATTTTTCTGATGACTAATAATGTTGAATATTTTTAATGTACTTAATGCTGTTTGTGTATCATCTTTTGTGATGTGTCTATTCAAATATTTATCCAGTTATCCAGGTTTTTGTTTGTTTTGTTTTGTTTTGTTTTGTTTTGTTTTGGTGAGGGGGCAGGATTGTTTGCCTTCCTATTATTGAGTTGTAAGAATTATTTACATATTCCAGATACAAGTCTTTTATATAATATGTGTCTTCCAATATTTTCTCCCTGTGAGTGGCTTGTATTTTCATTTACTTACCAGTGTCTTTAGAAAACCAAGAGTCTTCATAAAATCAAATTTATTGATTTTTCTCTTCTGACTCACGTTTTGGGTTCTATTTAAGAAATGTTTTTACGTAACCCAAGTTTGCAAAGAACTTTCCCTGTATCTTCTCCTAGATATTTTATAGTTTTAGATCTTACATTTAGATCTGTGATCCACTTGGAGATAATTTTTGTATATACTGTAATGTAAGGGTTGAGATTTATTGTTAGGTACATGATTATTTAATTGTTCCAACAGCATTGTTGAAAAGGCTATCTTTTCCCAAGTGAATTATCTTTTCATTTTTCAAAAGAATCAATTAACTGCGTATTTGTAGGTTTATTTATGAATTCTCTATTTTATTTCATTGAACTATATTTCTGTATTTGTGTCAATAATACTATAGATTGCAAGTGAATCTCAAAGTAAGGTAGTGTGAGTCTTCTAACTTTATTCATCTTGTTCACAATTATTTGGGCTATTATAGGTCCTTTGTATTTCCATATATAGTTTATAATCGACTTGCAATTTCTGCAAAAATATGCTGTGATTTTAATTGGGATTGTGTTGAATCTGTTGATCAATTTGGGGAGAATTGACATCTTAAGAATAGTGAGTCTTTCAATCCATGAGCACTGTATTTCTCATCATTTATTTACAATTTATTTAATTTATCTCAGTTATTATTTGTAGATTTTAGTGTACAGATCTTGCACATATTTTGTTAAATCTATCCCTGGGTATTCTGTCTTTTAATGCTATTGTAAATGGCATTTTTAAAAAGTTTTTATTTCCAAATGTTTGCTTCTAGATTAGAAAAATATAATCAATTTTTGAATATTGATTTTCTATTCTGCAACTCTCCCAAACTCAAATATTAATTTTAATAAGTTCAAAATTTCTTAGTATTTTCAATATACATTATATCATTGTCTACAAGTGACAATAGTTTAATAACAATTATTTAAATATTTAATTAATTCTTTAAGTCTTTCACCATTACGCATAATGTTATGTGTAATTTTTGTGCATATGCTCTTTATCATGAAAAGTAAATTCCTCTGCATTCTGAGATCCCTGTGAGTTTTTTCATGATGAATGTTAATTTTTTGTCAACCACTTTTTCTGCATTTATTAAGATTATCATATGGTTTTTCTTTTTTTACTTGTTGATGTAATGGATTATATTGACTAATTTTCGAATGTTGAGCCAATCTTACATTCCTATCATAAACACAACTTGTTCATGATGTAATGTCTTTTTAATGTATTGTTGGAGTGAATTTGCTTATTTTTTGGTAATGATTTGTGTGTTTATGTTCACAACGTATTGATATGGTTTGGCTGTGTCCCCACCCAAATCTCGTCTTGAATTCTAGTTCCCATAATCCCCACATGACACAGGAGGGACCCAGTGGGAGGTAATTGAATCATGGGGTAATGGTCTTATAAGGGGAGTGATAGTTTTATAAGGGGCTTCCCTCTTTGCTCAGCTCTCATTCTCTCTCCTGCTGCCCTGTTAAGAAGTGCCTTCCACCATGATTGTAAGTTTCTTGAGGCCTCCCCAGCCATGTGGAACTGTGAGTTAATTAAACCTTTTTTCTTTACAAATTACCCAGTCTCAGGTGCTTCTTCATTGCAGTGTGAGAACAGACTAATACAGATATGCTGATCTGTAGGCTTTTTTCTTGTATTTTACCTGCTTTTGATATTTGGGTGTTAATCAAGTTTAGCCTAAAGTTGCCTCCTTACATATTTAACTTCAGCCTAAAGGTTTTTCTGTACATCGTGAACTGTAACAAGTGGAGGTGTAAAACAACTGTAGCCCACACCTGTGCCAACCACTGAGTTCTGGCCAATCAAATGTAACCGACTCTTTGAACCATGTTCAAATAAGGCAAACACCTAGCTGTAACCAATTCAGTTGTTTCTGTATCTCACTTCGGATTTCTGTATGTCATTTCCCTTTTTTTTGTCTATAAAGAGCTAGAGTCTCTCTGAATCTGCCATGATTCTGGGGGCTACCACATTCGTGGATCATTCATTCCTCAATTAAACTCCCTTAAATTTAATTTGGCCGAAGTTTTTCTTTTAACATGGGTAATATTAACTTTTTTAAAGTGAGTCGTCAAGTGTTTCACTCCTTCAATTTTCAGGAAACTATTTGGTAGATTTCACCAGTGAAGCCATGTAGGCTTAAAGATTCTCATGCCATCCCATTTATGTGTGTGTTAGTACAAAAGCTGTTAATTATACATGTACTTTCTGTAATAGATAAAGGAATATTCATGTTATCTATTTCTTCTTGAATGAACTTTGGTCATTTGTATCTTTCAAGGGATTTTTCCATCACATCTAAGTTGTAGAATAAGCAAACAGTTGTCATAGTACTCCTTTATTATCTTATTAATAGCTGTAGGATCAGTAGTGACGTTTTTTATTTTATTCCTGAACTTGGTAATTACATTCTCTCTCTTTTAAAAACAATTATTTATTTATTTAGCTAGAGGTTTATTAATTGCATTAAACTTTTCAGAAACAGCTTTCAGTTTTATTGATTTTTCTGTTTTTCTCTTTTGTATATAATTCATATATTCTTTTATCTATATTATTTCTTTCCTTCCTCTTTTTTAAGTTTAACTTGTTTTATCTTTTTCTAGTTTCTTAAGGTAGAAAATTACAGCATTGATTAGAAAATTTTCTTTTTTCATAATATTAATTTTTCATGCATTCAGTTCCTTTTGAGCACTGCTTTAGCTGCATTTCTACAAAATTTGATGTGTTACATTTTCATTTTCAATCAGTTCAAAATATATTCTAATTTCCAATGTGATTTTTCATTGACCTTTGTGTTATTAGAAGTGTCTTGTTTCATTTTCAACTATTTGGAGATTTTCCTTGTATTTTTCTGTTATTGATTTTTTAGTTAATTGCTTGTGGTCAGAGAATACATTTTGTATTATTCCAGTGCATTTATATTTATTTAGATTTGTTTCATTTTTCAGAATATGGTCTATCCTGAGAAATGTCTATTTGCACTTTAAAAAAATGTGTATTCTGTTGTTGAGAGGCATGTTCTATAAATGTCAGTTAGTTCAAGTTATTTAGTAGTAGTTTCATGTCTTTTATATCTTCACTGATTCTCTACTTTTAGGTCTATTTGGTTTGCTTTATGTATAATAAGTGCTAAATTCATCCAATTATTCTGTAATAACTCTAAGTAATAACTCTTAGCATCAGACCACTATTGGTAAGTGCTATTATTGTCTCCCCTTGGATGGTGAGAAAACATGTGAAAATATTTAATTACTTGCCAAATGACATACAACTCATATGTGGGCTAGCTGGAATTTGGACCTAGGCATTCTGGAATTTATACATGGTAAAATACTAATTGAAATTAGAATGCTAAGTGATATGGTTTGGCTGTGTCCACACAAATCTCATCTTGAATTCCCACATATTATGGGAGGGACCCCATGGGAGGTGATTGAATTACGGGGGTGGGTCTTTCCTGTACTGTTCTTGTGATAGTGAATGAGACTCAGATGATCTGATGGTTTAAAAAAAAAAGGAGTTTCTCTTCACAGAACTCTCTTTTGGCCTGCTGCCATTCACGTTAGATGTGACTTGCTCCTCCTTGCCTCCTGCCATGATTGTGAGGCCTCCCAAGCCATGTGGAACTGTAAGTCCAACTAAACCTCTTTCTTTTGTAAATTGCCCAGTCTCAAGTAGGTCTTTATCACCAGTGTGAAAATGGACTATTACAATAAATTGGTACCGGGAATTAGTGGGGAGTTGCTGAAAAGATACCTGAAAATGTGGAAGCAACTTCGGAACTAGGTAACAGGCAGAGGTTGGAACAGTTTAGAGGCCTCAGAAGAAAGGAAAATGTGGGAAAGTTTGGAACTTCCTAGAGACTTGTTGAATGGCTTTGCCCAAAATTCTGATAGAGACATGAACAATAAGGTCCAGGCTGAGGTGGTCTCAGACAGAGATAAGAAACTTGTTGGGAACTGGAGCAAAGGTGACTCTTGTTATGTTTTAGCAATGAGACTGGTGGCATTTTGCTCCTGCCCTAGAGATTTGTGGAACTTTGAACTTGAGAGGAATGATTTAGGATATCTGGCAGAAGAAATTTCTAAGCAGCAAAGCATTCAAGAGGTGATTTCAGTGCTGTTAAAGGCATTCAGTTTTATAAGAGAAGCAGAGCATAAAAGTTCAGAAAATTTGCAGCTTGATAATGAGATAAAAAAGAAAATCCCATTTTCTGAGGAGAAATGCAAGCCAGCTGCAGAAATTTGCATAACTAATGAAGAGCTGAATATTAATCCCAAAACAATGAGGCAAATGTCTCCAGGGCATGTCAGAGATCTTCACAGCAGCCCCTTCCATTACAGGCACGGAGGTCTAGGAGGAAAAAGTGGTTTTGTGTGCTGGACCATGGGTCCCCATGCTGTGTATAGTCTAGGTACTTGGTGCCCTGCATCCCAGCCACTCCAGCTGTGACTAAAAGGGGCCAAGATATAACTCAGGCTGCTGCTTCAGAGGGTGGAAGCCCCAAGCCTTGGCAGCTTCCACATGGTGTTGAGCCTGCAGGTGCACAGAAGTCAAGAATTGAGGTTTGGGAACCTCTGCCTAGATTTCAGAGGATGTATGGAGACACCTGGATTCCCAGGCAGAAGTTTGCTGCAGAGGTGGAACTCTCATGGAGAAGCCCTGCTAGAGCAGTGCAGAAGGGAAATGTGGGGTCAGAGCCCCCACACAGAGTCCCTACTGGGGCACCACCTAGTGGAGCTGTAAGAAGAGGGCCACCATCCTCCAGAACCCAGAATGGTATATCTGCTGACAGCTTGCACTGTGCACCTGGAAAAGCCTCAGACACAATGCCAGTCCATGAAAGCAGCTGGGAGGGAGGCTGTACCCTGCAAAGCCACAGCGGCAGAGCTGCCCAAGACTATGAGAACCTACCTCTTGCATCAGTGTGACCTGGATGTGAGACATGGAGTCAAAGGAGATAATTTTGGAGCTTTAAGATTTGACTGCCACACTGGATTTCAGACTTGCATTGGGCTTGCAGCCCCTTTGTTTTGGCCAATTTCTCCCATTTGGAATGGCTGTATTTACCCAATACCTGTACCCCCATTGTATCTAAGAAGTAACTAGCTTGCTTTTGATTTTACAGGCTCATAGGCGAAGAGATTTGTCTTGTCTTGGATGAGACTTTAGACTGTGGACTTTTGAGTTAATGCTGAAATGAGTTAAGACTTTGGGGGACTGTTGGGAATGCATGATTGGTTTTGAAATGTGAGGTCATGAGATCTGGGAGAACCCAAGGGCCGAATGATACGGCTTGGCTGTGTCTCCATCCAAATCTCATCTTGAACTCCCACCTGTTGTGGGAGAGACCTGGTGGGACATGACTGAATTATGGGGGCGGGTCTTTCCTGCACTGTTCTTGTAATTGGGAATGAGTCTCACAAGCTCTGATGGATTTTTTTTTAGATGGGAGTTTACCTGCACAAAACTCTTTTTTTGCCTGCTACCATCCACGTTAGATATGACTTGCTCCTCCTTGCCTTCCATCATGATTGTGAGGCCTGCCCAGACATGTGGAACTGTAAGTCCAATTAAACCTCTTTCTTTTCTAAATTGCCCAGTGTTGGGTATGTCTTTATCAGCAGTATGAAAATGGACTAATACACTAAGTGACTACATTTATTATTTACAAGAGAATGAGATAGAGCTGGGAAGCCAATAGTGGATATCACTGTGTGGCAGATTTTGGGTGATTTATTTCTTCTTCCCACAGTTTTTCATTTTAAAAGTGTGCTTCTTAATTTTAGGTGTCACTTTGAATGGATTAAGGGTTGTCTAGAGAACTGGTAAAAGATTACTTCTGGGTGTGTCTGTGAGGGTGTTTCTGAAGGAGACTGGCTTGTGAGTCAGTTAACTGAGTCAGGAAAATCCACCCTCAATACTGGTAGGCACTGTCCAATCAGCTGGGGGCCTGGATAGAACAAAAGGCAATTTCCTCTCTCTGGGACCTGGGATATACTTATCTTCTCTTGCCGTTGGACATCAGAACTCTAGGCTCTCCAGCTTTTGGACTCCAAGACCTACACCAGCAGCCTCTGGCTTTCTCAGGCTTTTGGCCTCAGAGTGGGTGTTATACAATCAGTTTCCCTGGTTCTGAGGCTTTTGAACTTGGACTGAGCTGTGCTACTGGCTTTCCTGGGTCCTCAGATTGCAGAGGGCCTATTGTGAAACTTCTCAACTTTCCAAATAAACCTTTTCTCATTTTTCATTTATCCATCGATTTCATATTGGTTCTGTCTCACTAGAGAACCCTGACTAATACAGTAAGCTTTCTACAATGCCTGTATAAATTTGTTATAGAAAGAAAAAAATTAAATTATTATTTTATTTGCTTGTAGTTAGTAGAATAATGAAAAAGAAGGCAAGTCATTCAACACATGCATTTTTAGTAAATAACTGTTGTGTTTATCTGCCCAATAATTTGCCATAATCTATTTAACCACACTTTCAATTTTATTTTTAGAATGCATCCAAATTTGTTATAAATAATGCTGTGCAAAATAGTATTGCATATAATATTTGACTATATTTCTTATTATCTCTTTAGCATAAATTCCTAGAAGTGTATTACTGGCTCAATTGTACAAACAGGTCTATTTATTTTTAGTTTGTTTGCTTGGCCTTTAGACTGTTTTACATAAAACTTATGTTTCTGTTGAAAAGGAATCCTGTCAAACAAGTTAAGGATTATATTTAGTTTTTTAGGAAGTACTTTATTGAGCCACAGTAGAAGAGAGATACACAGAATAATTTGCTATCTCAAATATAATAATTACATAGTTTTCATAGTTTAAGCTAATACACGTATACAAGGTAGGAAAGGAGAAAAAAATAAAAGAGATTCTAAGATTTCTTTATCTCTTAAACATTTAACTAATAGCTGTGTTTGAGAATGTCATTTTATACAATCACCTAAAATATTTTTTTACAACACATGACATTCACACTGACATAGAATTAGATGAAATTATTTTTAAAGTAGATTTTAAAAATGACTAGTGATCACTCTTATCGTTTAGATTCTTAACAGCAGGTTGACAAGAGGGCTAAGAAACAAGAGGTACAGCACTACTTAGCCTATGCAAACAAGATCCTCTGCTGACAAGGTGTTCAAAATAGTCAAGTCAGAATCATACATTGTATTGCCTTTGAATTAACACTGTGTTCCTGGGATTTCTTCAGATTTTTCCTTAATGTATATAGATTTATTTCTTAAAAAGACACTCATATTTCTAATTTCATATTTATTCTTCTTAGTAAGGAGCATTATATTATCCCGTTTGTTAAAGGGTAGTTGAAGAATTAGCAAAAAACGATTTTCTAATTGTACTATTACCAAAACCAAAGCAGTCAAATTTGGCTGTATATTCTTCTACCTTCCTCCTTCTATTCACTACCTGCCCTCTGCTCTTCAGTAGCTGAAATTTGTTTGTTTTTCACATGACATTTATCTGCATTTGTGAATCTGATGCTACAAGTGAGAAATTTTAAACGTCTATTTTATTTTGTTCATTACAGGTTATTCTTATGATGAAAGATAATGAATCAAAAAAATTCTTTTCATTTAGATTTTTCAGATAATATTGTGAAATATCACCATTGCCTCGATACTTTCGCAGGTTCATTATTGAGGCTAATTCAGTCAAATGTATCATATAAATTGATGTTCTTGTTTAGGACATTGTGGTGAATAAGCTAGTTGTTGGACCATGGCTATTTTAACGAGAAAATCACAACCTTTTTAATACCAAAACTTACTACTGAGGTTTTAATTTTGTTCAACTTTTGTTCAATGCATGTTGGCTGATACAGAAATATATACACACTGATATGGTTTGTCTGTGTCCCCACCCAAATCTCAACTTGAATTTTATCTCCAAGAATTCCCATTTATTTTGAGAGGGACCCAGGGAGGGAGGGAGTTGAATCACGGGGGCTGGTCTTTCCTGTGTTATTCTTGTGATAGTGAATAAGTCTCACAAGATCTGATAGGCTTATCAGCGGTTTCTGCTTTTGCTTCTTCTCATTTTCTCTTGCTGCTGCCATGTAAGAAGTGCCTTTCACCTCCCACCATGATTCTGAGGCTTCCCAGCCATGTGGAATTGTAAGTGCCAATTAAACCTCTTTTTCTTCCCCGTCCTGGGTATGTCTTTATCAGCAGCATGAAAATGGACTAATACACACACATATACACACATTTGAAGATAAACATATATGTAGAAATATGAAGATGCATAGATAGATGTGTATATAAAAATACAAGAATTCAGAAACCACCACATACATTTAATGCATTTATCTATCTATTTCTATGCCCATTTATTTGTGTATATGAGTGTATCTTGATGTACATATAATCATCAAACCGGAACTTGAAATATATACACACATACACCCATATACATACCCATATATAAATATAAATAAAATTGTTTCTGACTTCTTGTATGCCTGAGAATGTATTTTTCTTTGCTTTCAAGCAGAAAGAAAACATGGTAGAAAAAGCTAAGAAAAATCCTTCTCCTGCCCAGTAGATGTTGCCACACTGCCCCCACACTTTCAGTGTTTCAGATAAGAAGCTGAGATTAATTTCTTTTAGAATAACTAAATTTGGTTTTTGAAACTATATAAGCAGTTTCCTTTTTCCTGGTTTTGTCTTTGTAGGACATTGTTTTTTATGGTTATAATACCAAATTCTTCTAGGCTCTAATATAAAAATTTTGCCAGGATAAATATTCTTATTCTTTCACTTTTTTGTTGAAAACTTGATAAGACTGTCAACCTTGTATTACTTTTCTATTGCTGTATAGCAAATTATAAACTTAGCAGCTTAAAGCAACACACAATTATTTGCCCACAGCCTCTGTGGTCCAGGAGTCGAGGCATAGCTTGACTGGGTCCTACCTTAGGGTCTCCACAAAGGATAGGGACCTGGCTGCATTCTCCTCTGGATGCTTGCCTAGGGAGGAATCTGCTTCCAAGCTCATTTGGATTGTGGGCAGAATTCATTTTCTTGCAGCTGTATGCCTGTGTTTTGCTGCCTGTTGGCTGGAGGCTGCCCTCAGTTCCTAGAAGATGCCTGACTCCATGGTCCCTCTGGCAATATGGTAAGTTATGTCTTTAAGCCAGCAAGGAGAATCTCTCTCCATCTGCTAACACAGGGCTTTATAATCTGTAATGTAAGCATTGGAGTAGCATCCCATTATCTTTGCCATGTTCTTTTGGTGAGAAGTGAGTCACAGGTTCTCACCTGTGCCAGCAGGGCATTCCAGGGAAGAGATTTTGGAAGGGTGTATGCATTGGACATCACCTTAGGGCATGTCCACATCAAACCCACTCTCTTTGAGCTCAGAAAATAATTTTCTTTAAGTCTGATTATTGGTTCTTTTTCAAATACTTCATTTTCTTCCTTGGCAACAGTGGTAATTTGTAGTTTTCCTAGGCTGGTATTCTGTATTTGTTAGGACTTTTATGATGCTAGTGACAGAAATTCAGAGCTAACTACCTTAAGCAAAACCTGAAATTTAATGAAAGGGTCCTGGGGTAGTTTAAGGAATACAGGCAAGGCAGAGATCAAAAGAGCAATGGAAAAGTCCAGCAGGTGTCAGGAACAAATGCAAGTGGGAAAGGTCCGTTCTTGGAGTGGCCCTGGTTTCTGACTTCTGCCTTGTTCTAAGTGCTGCTGTTTCTCTCTCTTGCCCCATGCTGCTTACCTTTCTCCCAGTCCAAAGCTAGATAATAGAGGATTAAATGAGTTAGTGCACTAGAGCCATTAGAACAGTGTTGGTGCATGGCAAATGTCGAGCCATTGTAATGTGTTATTATTGGTTTTTTACCATGAATTTTATTATTATTGCATCATGTGTATAATACTGTTGTAGGAGGGGAGAAGCTCCAGTGCTAAACAAGTTTGGAGAACGCTAGAAAGGCTAATCTCAGTTTGTCCCTAGAATTTCAATTTTCTCTTCTTTTCACTAAATTGTATTGCTTTGTCTTTTTCTTGCACATTCTCTAAGATCTCAAATTTTTATTCTGTATCACTGATTCTGCATTCCACTCTATCAATTGTACTATTTTTCATTTCAATGTAGAATTTGAATCTACAATGAACTCCATCTTTCTTTCTCCTGAAACTTTCTTTTCTCATGGTTTCCTCTTCCTTCTCTTGTTTGGAAGAGGAGGTTGTCCCACCAGTTT
Organism: Homo sapiens; assembly: GCF_000001405.40. NCBI lineage: Eukaryota > Metazoa > Chordata > Mammalia > Primates > Hominidae > Homo > Homo sapiens. The sequence goes on from NC_000004.12 coordinate 23,110,293, forward strand.
ATTCTTTCCTATGCCTCTTTGCTTTAGTTACGCAGAGACTATACGGTATGTATCCTCCCAAGAATAGAAAACATTTCTCTAAACATTTTTCTGGTTATTATAATAAATATTTTTCAGAGATTTTTCTTCCTGTGAGCTCTTTACCTAAATATTTTTTTCTAAATTCTGTTGTTTTATGATTTTGTGTTGATTCTCTTCTCATCTAATGACCTTTCCAAAACAGATAAGAGATTCTGGCAGCCCCTACCCATATTTCTTCTCCACTCACCTCTCTGGGCAGGGTAGTAACTTCATACTGCAAGCACCTGGGATTCTACCCATAAAGCCTTTCTTTGGCACACTTGGGGACAGGGCAAAAGTGCTGAGGAGTTGGCATTCCTAACAGTAGTCCTCATGGGAATAGCTCAATGATGGAATGAAAGCTTCCCAGTTTCTTAGTCTCTTGGTTGAGACAACTCCAAGACATGGCCTAAGCTCTCTCCCAGGAGTCTGCAGTGGGTCTAAGTGCCTGTTTCTCACAGCAAAACTTGCTTGGTAATGCCCCTTCCTGACTACCTTCCCTTCCTTTTGTTATTTCCTCACTCGCTGATTGAAGCTTCCTGGGATCCCATCCCGTATAAACGCTTGCCCTCCAACCTTGTCTTGGGCTCTTGTAGGGGAACCCATACTAAGTTAAGTCATTGTATTAGTCCATTTTCACACTGCTATAAAGAAATACTTGAGTCTGGGTCATTTATAAAGAAAAGAAGTTTAATTGACTCAGTGGTGGCCGGGCACTGTAGCTCACGCCTGTAATCCCAGCACTTTGGGAAGCCGAGACAGGCGGATCACGAGGTCAGGAGATAGAGACCATCCTGGCTAACACGGTGAAACCCCATCTCTACTAAAAATACAAAAAATTAGCCGGGCGTGGTGGTGGGCGCCTGTAGTCCCAGCTACTCGGGAGGCTGAGGCAGGAGAATGGCGTGAACCTGGGAGGCAGAGCTTGCAGTGAGCCGAGATCACGCCACTGCACTCCAGCCTGGGTGACAGAGCAAGACTTCCTCTCAAAAAAAAAAAAAAAAAAATTGACTCACTGGTGCACTTGGAGTGGAGGCCTCAGGAAACTTGTTACAATCATGATGGAAGATGAAGGGAAGACAGGCAGCTTCTTCACAAGGCAGCAGGAGAGAAAAGAATGAAGGAGGAACTTCTAAACACTTACACAACCATCAGATCTCATAAGAAGTCACTCACTAAAATGAGAAGAGCCTGGGGGAAACCACCCCCATGATCCAATCACCTCTCTTCCTCCACACATGGGGATTACAGATCTTTCCCTCTACAAGTGGGGATTACATTTCAAGAAAAGATTTGGGTGGGGACACAGAGCCAAATCATATCAGTCATCTATCAAAAAATCAGGTGAATTATTTCCTCTTGGGATTAAATCACATTTTGGATTTAGAACTGTAAAGCAAAATGATGCACATGGTTCCTAATTTTAAATATTGTCATTTGGCTTTACATCATGAGGAACAGCATCTTATCTGTCCTCAAGAGATTCACAATCTAATATTTCTGAACATGTGGACCATAGACTAGCTACATCAAAATGACGTGAAAGATGAATTTGGGACCTTATACCACACCTATTTTCTGTTTGTGTTTTCTGAGTCCTTGCTTGTCTGAAAATATTTCACTTCCACATTTTATAGATTTGGCTCAGCATACTACCTTAGGTTGAAAATAATTTATCCTTAGATTATTGAAGGCACTCTTCTATTACCTTCTAGTGTTCAATGTTGCTGAAAAAATGCTAGTCTGATCAGTTTTCTCATTCTAGAAGCTTTTAGGATCTTTCTTTTTTCTTTGGGGTCTTAAAATTTTACAATAATATGTTTAGTGTGATTTTCTTTTTATTCACTGTGCTGGCACTCAGTGGGCCCTTTAGGTTTAGTGTCACAATCCTTTTGTGTCTCTAGATGCTATTTCTTCAATAATTTATTCTTTTTGTCTTATTGAGAATCCTATTATTCTAGGCACTGGAACGTATGTACTGGTTTTCTTTATGCTGTATTGTCTCTTACACATTGTCTCTCTCACTTTCTGATTCTCTGTCTTGCATTCTTTGTTTTTCCCTTCTGTACATTCTGGGGGATTTCTGAGTTTTATTTGCCTTTTTTTTTTTTTTTTTTTTTTTTTTTTGAGACAGAGTCTCACTCTGTCGCCCAGGCTGGAGGGCTGGAGTGCAGTGGCGCGATCTCGGCTCACTGAAACCTCTGCCTCCTGGGTTCAAACAATTCTCCTGCCTCAGCCTCCTGAGTAGCTGGGATTACGAGTGCATGCCACCACACCCAGCTAATTTTTGTATTTTTAGTAGAGATGGGGTTTCACCATGTTGGCCGGGACGGTCTCGATCTCTTGACCTTGTGATCCACCTGTCTCAGCCTTCCAAAGTGCTGGGATTACAGATGTGAGCCACCGCGCCCGGCCTATTTGCCCTGTCTTATACGGAGTTTTTAATTCCAGCAATTCTGCATTTACTGTCTAGGAACTCTTACTCATTCTGAGTATTTCTTTTTTACAGAATCTCGTTCATATTTATTGATATAGTATATTGATGTTTTCTCCATGTTAATTTTTTTTAAAGGTCTCTTCTGCTTCCATTTTATCTAGGATTTACTTTTTTTTCCTGCATGTTGATTTTGGCTTTTCTTCTTTATGCTGCTGTTTCCAAAATTTTTGATTATCCATTTATAGTTCTTAAAAAAGCTTTGTTAACTGGTGTGTATTCATTTTTGTTTATTATATAGTTTGTATTCTCATTGGCCTCATTGGTAGTAATAATTCTTTCAAGAGTCTAGCAATAAGTTGACTTTAGTTTTAAATTGTGGAGAAGTTGTAAGACTATCTGTTTTATCTCTCTGTTTAGAAATTTTTGCAGCAGGCTTGGAGTGGCTGCATAAGCCACTAGCCATGTGCCAATTAAAACTGGAACTGAGTCCTGTGTTTTCCAAATGAAGTTAACAAACTTGGCTCTTAAATTCATAAACTATGTAATGACATTGGCTGTGTATCAGTTCTTGCTCCCAACTTGTGTTAAGTACTCCGGCACTGGTAATTTCCTGGTATATATATTGACCTTCGTTGAAAAAATTCTACCTAACAAATGTGATGAGCTGCTACTTCCAGGCTATTATTTGCACATATTGGGGGATATTTTAAAGCACAGACTTCATGCCAAGTGGTTTTAATCACCTGAAAAGCAAATTATCCTGGGGTAATTTATTAAGTTTTTTTTTTTTTAATGTGTTTTTGTTCTCTGGGATCCTTAAATAGAAAAGAAACTATCCGAGACGGGCTTTTTTAGGCTGGAATACCATGGTGCGCATCTGCCTAATAAAGTTGTTGTTGAAGCCCTTCCTGTTGACTTTTAACCTCAGGGTCTGTGTAAAGCCCCTCATTCATTAAGCAGTTGATTCCATTAGCAGCAGGCTGTGTCTGGGATCCTGGGGACCCTGCACCTGGCCTGCTTTCTTTCTGACAAATCATCTAATTTTATTGATAGCCACCTGGAAAATTGTATTTAGGACAGGGGGCCAGGACACACAGCTCAGAACCCACTCCTCCAAAATGGGCAATGAGAGACAACCCCCTAGAATAGGCATCTCTGCAGCCAGTCCACAGAAATAGGCATTTTTAAAAGATTGGCTCAATACTGCTTTGCCAAGTTCACTCTGCTATTTCTTTCTCTGAGGGGTATTTTAAATGAGGTAAGTTTCTCCTGCAGCTTGCATTTCAGAGGGGGCAAGGCCAGCTCCCAGCCTGCCATCAAAAGTCTTCAATGGCCCTTTTACCAGAGTGCCTTGTCAACTCCTATATGACTGTGTCCCCCAGGCCTCACAAGATGCTTGTGGGGTGGTGCCTGGCAGTTCGGGAATAGCAATGCTTCTGACCCCTGGCAAGCCTTCTTTCTGGCTGCCACATTAGATCAAAAATTGTGTGAGATTATCCCTTCAGGAGGCAGTTCTCCTTTTTCAGTTGTTAGCAGGTGTTGCTGAACAGATTCACACTCTCTGGGGAGATGGGAAGCACATCAGTGTCAGGGGGAGAGATTTGCTCCAGGTTAATGGTGATGATGCCACACCTACACACACTTCGTGTAGTTCCCAGAATTTCATCCGGAGCTCTGAAGCAGTAAAGGCAAAATTGGTGAAAAGTGTTTTCTTCTGGGGCAGAGAGAACAGAAACCTTCTAATTACTACAGAGAAAGGAAGAATCTTTGTCAATTATGTTTCCAGAGATGATGAAAAGCTTGAGGGCACTCTCCAAAGTAGAGTCAGAAAACTTATTGTGAACAGAAAACAAAACAAAACAAAACCCCAGAAGATTGCACATGGTTTTAGAAATGAACTCATGTTTGCCCCTGTTTCTTCAGATTTGAAAAGGATGGAGCTTGAGGTTTCTGTGGCTTTTCTAGCAGCTTAGGTCTTATGAGTTCACGTTCTTAGCAGTCCTTCTAAAGTGGGGATTGACATAGTGAAAGATTGCAATGTTTAAATAGTATCAAGAAATAATAGCTTTTGCATAGATTATGTAGACTTGTTGCTTTCAAGAGAAAGAAATTATCCAAACTAGACCAACTAAAGTATTGCAAAGCACAGCTCCTTGGAACCCTGGAGTAGGGGAAATGACAGTTCATTTGGATTGGGTGACCCAGGCTTAGACTCCTTTCATATTTCCTATTGACTGTGAGATTTTGAACCACTTAGCCATTTAAAGCTATAGTTACCACTATCTCAGTTTGAGAAAAATGTGACTATATTACAGGGTTGTTGATAGAAGTCGAAACAAAACTATAAAACATGGAAGTCACCTTCTCATTTTCCATAGAATAAAATCTAAATTTCTTGCCAGGACTTATGGGAGCCTGCATGCCCTATCCCCTGCTTCCATCTCTAGCTCATCCACTGCTCAGCTCCCCACTCTCCTTGTCTCGGCTGTTTCCCACTGTATTCTCCCAATCTCAGCACAAATCTCTCTTCTTAGAGATGTCTTCCTTTACCATATAGCGCTAAGTAATATAGCGTCCTCCAGCTCTACCCCATGTATTCATTCATTTGACAATATTTATTGAGCATCTACTATGGGCCTGGCATTGTTCTAATAGCTAAGAATATAATACTGAACAATCTCCAGTAGATCCTTGCTTTCATGAAACTCCAATTCTTATGGGATAAACAGATTATAAACAAGCAAACAAAATGATTTTAGAGAGTAACAAGATCTATAAAGAAAAAAACATGAGGGTGGATGGGGCTAGCATATTTTGCGGTGTCAAGGTCACCAGTGAGGAGGTGGCTTTGAACTGAGACCTCTGCTTAAGCCAGAATCTTGAAACAAAAAGGAGATAAGTTCTTTTTAAAAGAAGAATTTCCTATCCCACTCCGTGTTAAAGGAGCAGGTTTTGTGACAAGAATAAACCTGGATAAAAATGTACTTCTGCAAGATAAACTTGAGTTGCCATATCACTCTTTCCCACCAAGTTCTCTGACTTTAGGAGGACAATAAAATTTTCCTTGGAATCTATTGTAACTGCTGGGAGAAAGTACCTACAATAGAGTCCAAATTTATAAGGTTTTACAATGCAACACTTCAAAAGGGAAACTTTTGAAAATCCTGAGTTGGATGTGTGGCTGATGTTTTATTTCACCACGGATAAAGTTGCATTTTTTTATTCCTCCTCTTCCCTCGGTCATCCATGTTTCCAAAACAACCATTATGTGACTGGCTGCAGGGCTCTTCTCACTGGTTGTACGGATAGGCTGTCCATGAAGTCCACAGCTGGCACCATGGCTCATTAGGCATTTATCCAAGGCAGTCATCTCAATTCTGACTGTTTTCAGACCATGGGTCTTTCCACTGTGGCTATTTCTTCCTCTCTCCTCTGATGTTTCACTCTCTCATTGCTTTAACATGTCTTTGGGGAGTTTCTTCTCAGTGTATCTGGGAGAATGTTTTTCTTGAATCCTTACTTAAAGAGAATTATGAACCACTGGGAAAAAGCTCTTCTGTTGATTAGGCTTTTTTTCTCCATTTGGGGGAAATCAAATGACTAAAATATAAATTTGGTTTGAACAGTTCTTAAATATCTTTTTTTTCAACATTGACAGGAATTTTGCTTCTGCATTTTGATTTTGCACATGTAAAAAGTCAACCAGAAAGACTCTTAACAACTAAAAGTAGAAATTACAAAAAGCACTCTAAATACAAACCAGCAAAAATGATGATGATAAAATGTCTTTTGCACGTCTGATCTGTAAACACATCTAATGGCTCACTCAGAGAATGATGATAGTATTATTGCAAGTAACATATTCTTGGAAAGTGAGTCCCAATTCAATTTTTAACTGTCCCAAAGAATTTGGAAAGGTTGTCAAATATGGTTTTTAAAAATGCAACACTCTCATAGACCTGCATTACAATTTGGAGAAAACAGAGAAAGACAGGGTAAGGTATTCATACTTTTACTAATGGATGAGGCATGTATCAAGTCAAAGAAATGATCACATATTTCACACAAGGTATAACATGAGCTGCTCCAGAATAGTGGTAGGTTTCAAGATGATTCTGCCTAGTATCCTGTTGTTCAGGATCAAGAGAGTTCAGCAGCAAATTTTTCTAGATACCTTCATCTTCTGAGTGGTCCGTTAGATGGCCAGCTTTCCATCTTGAGTTAGTTTAGCTAGAGCCTCAAAGACACATCACTTCAAATGAGACAGTCACATCAGATGAACTGCTGGGATGAGACCATCCTGATTGAAGGCAACTGAAAGAACAGCTAGATAATGACTCAGAATGCACAAAGTTCCTTTGAACTTTGGTCTGATTCTTTCGGCAAGAAAGCTCACTGTTTTTCAATGCCATCTTTTCCTGCCTTAGTGGCTTCTTTTCTCCACCCCTCTCCATTCTACATCATCATCATAACTAGACATTGAGAGGTAAGGGAAATTAGCGCTACCAGAATACAAGGAAATATGTCTCCCTTATAAGGATGTCAACTGCACTTCATAGTGGCATGTCTGGTCTTTGTTTCTGATTCTAAATTGGAACACTAACATTTAGCTGTTTAGGGTGAGGGGAGCTGAGCAGGAAGAGGACTTCAGTTATAAATCAAGGAATTCAGTGAGAACCTAAATGCAAAACAACAATACACATTCTGCTAGTTCAAAAACTGGTACTACTGCATAAAGAAGTTAGTAACATGATTATACTTAAGAGTGGAAACACATTTTTCTCATCGCTATGAGCATATCACTTTGTAATGTGATGCTGCTGCTTCTCCCTTTAAAAGGTGAAGTTGATTTCTTTAGTCCTTGAATTTGAGATTGTTCATGCAACTTGCTTTTAGCAAATGTGATGGAAGCAGAGGTGTACTGTGGCTTTTTCTCTCTCTAGCTGACACAGAACAGAGACAAATTATCCTATCTGAGACTTCCTAGACCAGAGATTAGCAAACTTTTTCTGTAAAGGGTGAGATGATAAATATTTTAGTCTTTGCAGGACATATGATCTTTGTCATAACTACTCTGTTCAACAAATGAGCATGATTGTGTTCCAACATTAAAAAAATAAATAAAAACATGTATGGTCCATGAGCTGTAGCCTACAAATTCCTGCTCCACACCAGTCCACCTGCCAAACACCAGCCAAACCTCCAGATGAATGCAGATGTCAATAGGCAAAGATAAGATCTGGCACAGACTGGAAGAACCACCCAAATGATACCTGACTCATAACTTTGGGTGGTTTATTACTCGGAGAAAACAAATGATAGATATCTTCTCTTAGAACTCATATGTTCATTTGTTTATAAACTCAAGTACCAAGTAAAATGAATCCTTTTTGATGCATCAAAGGATATTGGTTCATGAAACTACAGAGTACAAGTCAAAGACAAAAAGAGAAAGAAATAAGCCTCTCCAGAATGGCTGCAGCCCAATTTCTGTTTTTCTAAGAACTTAACAGTCACCAAGCCACAAATTCAAATGGAGAGAAGACTTGAAATATGGGTGTATATAAAACATTTTCATGAACCCCATGGTGGCAGCATCTTGGGTTTTGATAAGTTTAAAATAATTACAAATAAAAGGCCCATTGTTTATGATATTTTCACAAAGTATAGGGTCCCCAGTGATACCAGGTAAAAACTAATATTGTGTGAGAAAATGGGCAGAGACGGCTTTGGAATCCATAGCCATGTGCTTGCATAATAAAATAAAAGTGGGAATTCGATTCATTTGACTCAAATTATTTAGCCACACTTCTGATGGTAATATTGCTATTTGGTATGTCATTTCTCTTCCTTGAAATTCTTAACTGTCACTTTAAAAACCTGACTGTTTATTATTACATGTCATTCTTCAAGTCCAGAACTATCACCAAAGGAGACATATAAGACATTCTTTTAATGCCAGGATTTACTATAAATCACAATTTCTTCTTCTTTCTGGAAAAAGAAAGGGGTAGAAGACAAAGATGACAGGGGGCACCTGTTCTTAGTTACATATGATTTGAGACTCAAGTTAATAGCATGAAATATATTCATACAGTGAACTTCTGCAAATGTGAAATTTCTGTGCTTCAAATCGAAATTCATTATCAATGGAAAGGTTTAAAACCAGAGAAAATGACTGGGGAAAACTGCTTGAAAATATAAAAGGCTTCAAAAGCAAGAGAAATACAAGATTAAACTAAAAAGAATGACCTGGTATTTAGTTGGTTCAGTAAGATTTTATATGCATAGAATCTTCATAATTATGAATGTACAAAGGAAATTGTGATAGGAAAATGTAAAGGCTGAAATTATATACATATTCAAACAAAATAATGATAGTATTTATGAGAGACATAAACTATGTAGGTTCAAATTTATGTTGGAACTAGGCATAGGACTTCCCCAACTGTCACCATATATATAAAATTTTTAAACTCTTGTTCAAATTCACGTCACTGCAATTCTGACATGAAAACTTGTACCAAAAACAAACAAAAATCTTCCTTTGAAGTAATTTGCAAATGATCTAATTAAATAAATGAAGTAAAGTTGAAATGGAGCAATTTTCTTACTTTTAAGTTTATTCACACAGTAATGAGAGTCAGGTTAACACCTGCCAACCCTGCCGCCTTTCAGGTGCAGACATTTATCAAATTTGACTTGAGAAATCAAGGAAGGCCATTTGCTTGAGGAACTGGTTTCCTGAAGAAACAGAAGAGTTAATTACTAGAGGCGGTGGTGGGGGGAAGAGCATCTCAGGCTCAGGAAACAGCATGTGCAAAAGCCAGTCTTGTGATAAGAGGGAGAATTGTGCACGTGATGAATTAAAAGGAGTGTGCCGCCATTCAGTCGTTCACTAAGATCATAGAGTCGTAGGCTGGAACGGGCCCTTGGGATGCCCTAGTTCAATCTATTCATTTTACAGGTGAGGAAACAGACTCAGAGGGGTTAAGTGACTTGGCCAAGGTGACACTGCTAATGAGTGGTGGAGCTGGGATCAGAGCCCAGGGCTTCTAATTGCCCTTTTAATGCTTTTCCACCACACCATGCTGATTCTTTGTATCGGCGCTAATGAGTAGATCAAGATGCTGCAAAATTAGCATAATAATTATTTGTATATAAATACTGCATTTAAAATACTGCTGTATAACATAGCTTATCCTTCATGACCCACACCTACAAGCTGTCAAGGTATGACTCAGAAATAAATAATTAACAATTGGCTTTTCATCATTAAATGGTGCAGATCAACACCCAAGCTTGAGACTTCTATGTATTAACACAAACCCTATATTAGTGCATTCTAGATTAATGACATTTTATATATTGATTTATTTCTTTATTTAATAACCATAGTGCTGTTTTCTAAGCATTGTACTGGGACTAAAATGGTCTCATTTCAGGAAAACAAGATCCAGTTGCTTCTTTCAAGTTTATAATTCAGTAATTCTACTTATGCTTTACTCCTTTTCTCTTTGCATCTGAAAGCTGATATAAGTCTTTTGAGGTACAGCCTGGCACAAAAAGGATGAGATTTGTGGGCAGAATTTTGGAAGAATATCTCCCGAGAGAACATTCAGGACAGGTAACTTCTTAGATGAGAATGTTTTAGGGGTGGAGGGGATGAGGGTGGGTGGATGGGAGGAGATTGCAGTTGTTACTTAATTAGACCTCGGTTAGGTCTTCCAATTGAAATTACCTGGTGTTCTCTTATGACAGATTGCACTGCTTTGGAGAGCTGGTGATGAAATCCGGCCATTGAATTACACTGCACTATAAACTTCATTTGTTCTTGGGTGCATAGTGATTTGCTATAATAATGATCATCCATTTGCCAGACAGCTGAGATTTTTTAAAAGCTTGATTGCTTTTGGCATGGCATTATTAGTCCTGGAAGAAGGCAGCACATTTGTAGCAATTCTCAGCTTGAGCAAACTAGAATATTCACCTCCCACAAATGCTGGCCATTTAAGATCTGTGTGTTAGACTTTGGCATTTTTTCTAGCAATTCTACAACAGCATACACACTTTTATTTTTCATTAACACCATTGTGAATATGCCCATCTCTAAAATTTCAAGGGGGTTCACTTAAGCTACTGAGTTTTATGGACAGAAGGGCCAAGAAAAGTCCCCAAAGAAGAGTGCATGCTGTCAATTGCCAATTATTTTTTTTTCTAATGAAAGCCAAACAATTCCAGACAAACCCTTTTCTAAGAAATGAACTACATATCTGGATCCAAATAAATACTCATCTGATAAGAATCTAAAAGCTCTACTGAATTACAGTGGATGAGAACATGATGATGGTGATTCTTTGAAGATTACTGAGGAAATCAACTCTCATGTCTGATTCTGATACTTTTATAGTCCATCCATGTTGAAAATGTCTATGGAATGATTCTGTTGTACCTTGAGAAATGAAATTCATAGGCATGGATTCTCTCACACAGCAACTTTATACACAAAGATGAGAATAGAAGAAAGGTCATTTCCAAAGAAAGTGACATTTATTCTGTATTCACTGAAAAGCCAAAAGAATTTTCTCATTCACCCATACCGACAGAGCCCTACATCTCCCCGAGAAGAGGTGAAAGAGACTGCTCCTATCTGCTTCTGCATCAAACTTCAGGCTCAAGACCTGTCCAGAAAAAAAAATGTCTTCTTTCAGGGATGAACTGCTGTCCTCATCAGACGCCTTATTTTGTTTAGAATTCAAGCTCACTTGACAGGTATTCTATACTTTTTTCAATACAACTAAGCTAATGCCCACCTCCTTTCTGAATTGATTTCATCCCAGTATTACCCTTCATAGCTTTCTCTTATAGAGTAAGACAATAGCTGAACAGATTTACATATACATGTGTAAGTATCTAGATTGTATACAGGTGTGTGTCTAATATATGATACATGGAATATAGGTACACATATGTATGTGTGTATGTGTTTATGTATGTATATCACGAAAAGTTACAATAGTTTCAAAAGGAACATAGGCAGGCATCAATTACTGAGGTTATTGGAGGCCACAACCAAAGTCAAATCAACGTATCCTTCCCAAACCTCATATTAGCCAACAACACCATAATATCTTTTCCCAAAGTCCTTGCTAACCAGACTGCCAGAACGGAGTTTGAAATAGCAAATGTGGCAGAGAAATCAAGCAGTTTTTAAGCAGTGGCTTTACATAAATTTGAATCACAGTTCCATCCATTCCCAGGGTCCTACTGAGGGCAAGGAGTGCAGGTGCTGTAGCAGAGAAAGGGAGAATACTGGTAGGATGGAAAGGTTTTCTGGCTTTCTTGCTTGCCTTAAGTCAGAGCTTTGTGGCCTCCATCACACATAATGAATAATTAAGAGTTTATTGTCTTTTGCTCAGTTGAAACTGATTGTGTTGGAAGATTGCATTGCAGAATGGTTAATGACACAGATTTTGAAGATAAATCATGGCTATGCCACCTACTAGTTTTGGAATCTTGAGTAAAGTCCTTAGCCTGTTCGTGCTTCTGAATCTTCACATGCAAAATAAATTTCATTTATTTTAGGTTATTGTGAAGATTAAATGAATTAATACATGTGAAGCAACTGTAACAACTCTTGACATGCGGTAAGCACTGTAAATTGTGAACCATTTAGGAATGCCCCATTGGAGATAATTTAGGTCACTCAGAAATTGTAAATTTTGAAAGGTGAAAGACCGTGTTGTTCAAGTTAGGGCTGAACTGGAACTGTAAATCTGATGGTTGAATAATAAACAGAGTAATTATTGAAGAATTAACAGCAACTCTTATGGTATTACATTTAAGACTTGAACCTTACTCAAACTACTTTTAAAGACTTTAATGTTTAAGGGCTATAAATGTCAGAGCTCACTAATTTCTTTGGCTTTCAATAAATGCCAGTGACTTTGAGAATTGCTATCTCTTTAGCTTATCTGGCAAGAAGAGCACAAGCTTAAAGGGTACGCAAGAGGGCCCTGATGACCCACTCTCTTCCCAGTGGAAAATGCAGGCTTTTGAAGTTAATCAGCCTCTGGGGCCCAAGTCCTTCTAGGGAACTTTTGTGTAGAGTCACTTGAGCTAGGTGCTGAATGAGGTTCCTAAGGTCAGATAAGACACAGCCCCTCTGTTAAAGAATGCCTACTCACTAAGGGAAATATGTTAACAAAGACATATAAATTACTCTAGAATCCTTGAGAATAAGATAATTTTATCTAATAAAATGTTTCAAATAACCAAAGCTTTTCCTATTTGGGTCTGCAAAAAAGCGACTTAAATATTTCAAATGGAAATCTTTTAAATAGAACTTGAACACACTTGACCAGAGACTCTGGAGAAGAATTTTGCCTTTACTTAATAATGCAAGATCATCATTATGGACATCAATTATTGAACTGTGCTATAGTATAGGGGGCTACTGAGGTATGAAGGACTGTTTGCCCCTGTCCTAAATAACCCCAGATGAACATCCTTTTTACAGCTCTTCTGTTTCTTTCTTTTTTAGATAGGCAGTTAGCTTTCTTTAAATAACACAGCCTTTTCTCTTCTCTTAGTGGGCTGGACTTCCAGAAGAAACGTTGTCAGAACTCTGCCCAACTGAAAACAAGCCTACTAAAAATAAATAAATAAATAAAATTTTAAAAAATTGATTAATTAAAAGTATTTTCTTGAGCACCTCCCATGTATTAACAATCTCTGCATTCACCATTACCACCTAGTACTCTAACAATTTTTGCAACATAAAGGAAGTGACTGGGCTCAAAGTCTTTCCTTATGTGACCTAGATCAGTGCTTCTCTAAGTGTTGTATACCTAAGAAGCACAAGAAGAGCCTGGTGAAACAATTTCCTGGGACTCATCTCCAGAGACTGATTCAGTAGGTTTGAGGTAGAGCCCACACATTTCCATTTCTAACAAGCTCCCAGGTGACGCTAATGGTGGTGCTCACTGAATAAAGTTTCCTGGATGATATATTAAGTGATAGATGGAATGCCATCCAATGACTAATGTCAGAGTGCACTATTTTTGTGAAATCACACTGTTTTGAATATGTTGACATAAATTTTTTCTAGTCAGACATACATTTTCTCATTTAGGAGTCTGAATTATTATGCTCTTAGTAGCTACATTTTGTGGATAAGTCGGTAGCTCCAGACTCAGCGATGTTGCTTACATAACTGGTTCCTAAGCTGTCTATGCATATATAGGTATTTATTTCATTTTGGTAAATGTTGGTCAGGTATTGTTATAAGTGCTGTTGATGAATACATCAGGAAACAAGATGTGCAAATTCTTCTTCCTGGTGGAGCTTGCGTTATGTAAGAGGGAGTCAGATAAAACAACTGAAGTAAATAACAAAACATGATAATTTCAGAAAATGATAAGGGATGTGACGAACTTAAAAAAGACTGGCAGGATAGAGAATGATGACATGAAGAAGGCACTCTGGATTGGGTGGACAGGAGAGACCTCTTGGATGGGGTGGTATTTGAGCTGGTACCTTAGTGTCGTGAAGGAACCAGGTCATTGAAAACTCGGCAAGTGAATCCCTTCTGATACAATGAAAAGCTCCTGAGCTGGGGAATTAGTTTATTTAGAGGGAGAAAAAAGCCCATTGAGTTTGTGGTCTGCCTTGGTCACCAGGGAACAGTGTAGGACACCTGGACAGAGTCAGAAAGATGACATAACATAGTTGAAAAACTCTTATTTCATCCCATTGCTGCATGGTGGCAAGGAAGAAAAATAAAACCTTGAAGGTCAGGCGCAGTGGCTCACGCCTGTAATCCCAGCACTTCGGGAGGCCAAGGCGGGCGGATCATCTGAGGTTGGGAGTTCGAGACCAGTCTGACCAACATGGAGAAACCCAGTCTCTACTAAAAATACATAATTAGCTAGGCATGGTGGTGCATGCCTGTAATCCCCGCTACTCAGGAAGGCTGAGGCAGGAGAATCGCTTGAACCCGGGAGGCGGAGGTTGCAGTGAGCTGAGATCGCACCACTGCACTCCAGCCTGGGCAACAAGAGCGAAACTCGGTCTCAAAAAAATAAAAAATAAAACCATGAATGTGAGAGGAGTATCCAAGAAATTGAGAGAAGGACTTTGAGAAGGGCTGAGTAATAAGTGAGGATCTAAAGAGAGACAAGGGTGTCCTTTGATGGTGTGGGTGTGAAGGAGATGGCTTGAAAAGACTTTTGAGGAAAACAAGCTTCTATGGTGGCCTGAGCCATACACGGAAAGAATTAGTTATATTAGATAGTAAAGTCTGTTTATGATCAGCACTTATTAATACTTAGAGGCCTGGCAATAGGTAAGGGCGGTAAGATGGCCTGGAATTTAGTTTAAATTTAGTTTAAATATGCATACATATTTAAACAGTGATTAACTATAGCCATGAATTAAAATCACCTGATGCTGAAAACGACCGCTGCCTGAACCGCATTCCAGATGAATTAAATTGGTATCTGTGGATAGTTGGGCCTAGGGTGATATGCGTAGTTCTGATGCGCACAATACTCCCAGCTGAGAATCATTACCCTAGAGCAGGTGTTAGCAACATTGACTGCACATTAGAATCACTTGGTTAAGCATCAAAAAATAACCCATGCCCAGGCCTCAACTTTGATCAGTTAAATCAGAATCTCTGGGGGAAGGGGACCTGAACCTTGGTATTTAAAAAACAAACAAACAAAAACACCGCCCCCCCCACCCCACCCTTGCCAGAGTTTCTCAGGTGATTCTAATGTGCTGCTAGGGAGAAACCCTGCCTGGGGCTGCCAAGATAGATGAAACAAGGTCTCTGTCTTCCGAGTTTACACTGTAATAGGAAAGACGTGAATAAATGCAGGGCAGTGAGCCACTCTTTGTAACATTAAAAATAAAAAGTGGAGGAGCATTAGAGGAGAGAGGGAGTTATTTTGTAACTGAGGGATGGAGCAGGGTGGCCAACTCATCCAGGCTTGTTGGGAATTTTTCTGGTTTTAGAACTGAAATTGTAAGTTCTAGGAAACCTCTCAGTCTCATGCAAACCAGAGTGATTGGTCACTCTAGTTGGTGGTATGAGTTTCTGATGGGAGTTTTGAATGGTAAAGGGCCTACCAAGTGGGCTGTATGGAAGTGCAGGGGAAGGTCGAGATGGATCCATTTCAGGCAGCGACGACGACTTGCAAAAAGGTCTGCATGGATCAGGGCTTGGAAGCACAAGGAGCTTAGTTCTCTGGTGTGAAGGCTGTGAAGTGGGGTCGGAAGATGAGTCTGGAGAGGTAGCTCTAGGTCATGAATGGACTTTCTTATATGTCCGGAAGCTTTGTGTTTCATCCTGAGGGCATCATGGGAGTCATTGATAATGTTGAAGCAGGTGGTAGGAGAACATAGTTGTGCTCTTCCCTGAATTTGGCTGTTCATTTTAAAAAGATCCCTGGAGGAGGCTCTGGGGTCAGATGCTTATTTCCTTCCAGCACCATGGACTCATTCTGGGACCAACTCATTTAACCCCTCTCTATATGCCAGACTCATTAGGGAAACACAGGGGTCACAGTTTTCCCAGGGCAACATTCAGATGAAAGCAGTTTTTATCTCTTGTGAGAATTCTTTGGATGAAACAGCTTAGGAAGTTGCCCAGTATTCAGACATCAGATTTTGTGAGGCTCTGAAGCCCATCTGGGCTTTGCCACACAACCCTAACAAGTTCATCAAGTTGAGTCTCGCGACAGCAACTCTAAAGAACAGAGCTTGTCCTCTAACCCAGATGATGTGGAGATTAATGAAGTTTAGTTTGAAAGAGTTTTGCACTCTTGGAGGGAATTTCTCACATAGATGTTTCTGCTATTGTAGAAATAATAGTGGCATCACAGCCAAATAAAACATAACTAATTTTCCCAAGTCAGTGTGTTTCCTTGCTGGAAAAGACCACACCAATGACAATCCCATTTTAATAGTTGAAGTATTCTGATGCAACATTAACCTTTGGTGGATTATAACATTTTGATATCACTATTTCATCAACATTTTTCTAATCCCTCTCCATACACTAATCCATTTAATTGAATGGGTCTTAGATAACATTTCATGTTAACTTTTACCTCATCTTCCTCACTCTCCCCTAATTTTAAAAGAAACAAAGAAACAGCCTACCGAGTCTGATATGGTTTAGCTGTGTAACTATCCAAATCTCATCTTGAATTGTTGTTCCCATAATCCCCATGTGTGGTGGAAGGGGCCCAGCTGGAGGTAATTGAATCATGGGGGTCAGGTTTTTCCTGTGCTGTTCTCGCGATGGTGAATAAGTCTCAAGAGATCTGATGGTTTTATAAAGGGCAGTTCCCCCACACACGCTCTTTTCCCTGCTTCCAGGGAAGGTGTGCCTTTGCTCCTCCTTCGCATTCTGCCATGATTATGAGGCTTCCCCAGCCATGTGAAACCGTGAGTCCATTAAAACTCTTTTTCTTTACAAATCATCCAGTCTTGGGCATGTCTTTATTAGCAGTGTGAGAATGAGTCAATGCAGAGTCCTTAGTTCACAACATCACAAAGAACAAAAAGAGGAATAATAAAAATAAGTAAACAATAAAAATAAACCACAAACATTAGTCCCTGAAAGTGATGTATCTACATAAAGTATGTGGAATGTGTCAGTATGGGAGATTTGCCTCTTCTCTCCCATTTATTCATTTAGTCAACCATTTACTTACATTAATTTGGACACCTGGATATTCATTTTATACTTTGGATTATAATCCAATACTATATTATTTATTTTCTTGCCCAGAATATTCCATATTGTTCAATGAGGGAGCTTTTTCAGTTGCTTCTTGTGTGCCTTTGACCTGCTCCATTCTTTTGTTTTTTGAATCCTTACTTACTGGCCTAACAAGGTGTTCCAGGCACATTTGTATATTCCCTGTGCCAGCCCTAGAATTAGCCCACTTCTTAAGCTGGAGAAGGGCATTAGAAAACAAAATCAGGGTGCTGGCATGTCACCTTTGTTTTTGAGAGTTGTCCTTAGGCTGAAAATATGACAATTTTGTCTGTATCTGGAATGCTGAGTTACTGTTAACTCTGCTTTGCAAATTTTACTGAAAGCAAATTCTCTTTAGCTTTTTGGATGCATGCAGTACCATCCTTAAATTCAGCTATAAAACTTACACACTGTTTTCAGGAGCTACCAGTCATGTGTTTGAGATTTGATTTTGACTTTGTAGTTCTTCGTCCTATTCTTCATGTTCTGGTGGATTTTCCAGAGTTTCCTATGTATGCCTTGCTCTGTTTTTGGTTTGTCCTATAAGCCACTCGGCACTTCCTTCTCACACCTGAGCTTAGTGAAGATAATAGCTAAGGGAGGCCTTGGCCCGCTATGATGTCCCAGTACCTAAAGTACTATTTGGCATAGAGTGAGCACTCAATACCTATTTGTCAAGTGAAGGAATTAATGAATACATTCTGATAATAGGATTTATGCAAGATACTATTGATCAGCAATAGCTTAACATGATATTCTTTTGAGGTCTAAATTGGTGAAAACCGCAGATGAGATCCATGGTGATACTATGTTAAAGTGATGACAGCTGTCTGGGTTGATTAATCCCACCAATCGTGCAGTCACCTAATCACCTTAGAAGACCTTTGGGTTAGAGGGGACATTAAAAGTCTTTAAGCCCATTATTGTATCTTCTCCATCTGATGCTCAGCTTTTCTGTGATTTAGAACGATTGATTCTTCACCTAAGGTGCTGAACACAGTCCGAGGAAGGTGGTGTCAGTGGAAGGAGCCAGGAGGTTTTATGGCACGGTGGGCAGAGAGAGGGACACATTTTTGTCTTGTGATGAATCATCAAGAAAAATGGACTGAAGTGAACATTTATTAAATGCCTAATATGAGCCAGACACTGTGATAGGTCACATTCTCCTCTTCCTCCTTTTTGCATTCTTTTTCTTCTTTTCGCTCCCCTTCCTCTTTTCCTTTCCCTTCCCCTCCTTTTTCTCTGCTTTTCCATATAACCATTTATCCATTGACCCTGCTCTTCTCTCCATCGCCTCTCTCCATCACCTGTTTTTCATTATCCAGTTTAATAATACTATGTGAGCTTCCTACTCCCTGTCTAGCTTGTAAGAAACTTGGCAATTATCACTCTGTCCTAACAACAAATAGAAAGCTGAACAAGCCAAACAATAAAAAATTATTCTTAAAAATTATCAGAGAAGTCAGGTCACAGGGCAATCATTGTTCCCCAAAATTGGAGAGACAGACAGATGAACACAGAAAGTCACAACTTACCAGAGCAGGAACCTCTTTGGGAACCAGAGCCAAATAAAGAAAATCTGAACCATAATGGAGAAATTGCTGGAGGCTCAGAGTGCAAGTGCCTGAGGGGTTCTTCCTGCCCACTGCACAAATAAAGATCATGGCATTGCAGTAAAGAAAGTTTAATTGACACAAAGGCGGCTGTGCCACATGGAAGACGGAATTATTACTCAAATCAGTCACATCTTAGGTTGGTAGATTAGTTTTCCAAAGGCAGTTTGGGGAAGGGGTGGAGGTGGCCAGCTAATGGGTGCTTGCTGCTGATTGTTTGGGGTGGAGATAAAATTGTAGGAGGCTGAAGCTGTCCTCTTGAGCTGAATCACTCCTGGATGGGGTTACAGGAGTGGTAGAGCCAACAGTCCAGGTGGAGCTATGGGGGTCAGACATGCAGAAAACCTGAAAAGACATCTCAAAAGGCCAGTCTCCAATAGTGAAGCTGCTTCTTTCACAAGAGAGACCAGTCCACAGCTTACGACTTCAGGCTTCTCTCCTTCCCCTGGTCAGATGGTCTCTCATTAGTTTACAAAGGTGGTTGAGTTTTGGGGAAGGGCTATTATCATTTAAACTATGACCTAAATGTCTTCCAAACTTATCTCTGCACAAAAGCCCAGGAATAATTAAGGGAAAGGAAAGATGGGGTGTGGGTTAGATCAGATCTCTTTTACTGCCATAATTTTCTCACTGATATAATCTTTGCAAAGGCAGTTTCAAGAGTAAACAAGCCTGGGAGTAAAAAACTCCAGGGGACCCACTCGCACTCATGGCCCACAGTTATCTGCACTTAACCTTCAAGGGCTAAACCAGGTTCTCATAGTGAATATCAGAGAAAAATCCTCTCATGTTTCCAGCAGAGGAAGGGAAAATGTAGTCATTTTGAAATACACTAGAGCACTTGATTCTTCTTAACAAGGCCTGTCATTAAAAAAAACTGTTTTACCAGAGCCTAAACTATTGGAGTTTTATAGAGCCTAACTGACCTGGGGGAATGGAGATACTCAACTCCAGCCCACTCTAGGTATCCTGTCTTAAGAGCTTAGTGTGGGACTAAGAAGCACATGCAAAAATGTCCAGAGGTACAGATTCATCAAAAGACTAAGATCTGATCATAGGACTATATAATGCATTTGCTGCCCACCACACTGCTAAAGGCATATTTACCACAATTCCCTTTACCCAGTGTATCGTATCCAACTAGAAAGAAAACAATTGCAAGACATACTTAAAACCACAATATAAAGAGAAGGAGCAAACATTAGAGCCAGACTCAGGTATGGCAGAGGTGTTGGTATACTGTGTGAGGTACCAGACATCAACCCATTTACATCCTATGTAATCCTTACAACCTCAGGAACTAAGTATGATTTTAGTCATTTTACGGATAAAACATCTGAGGCTCTGAGAGGTTAAGTAAACTGTTAAAGGTCCCACAGCTTCTAAGGGCAGGTATAGAGGTCATCAAGACACACACCATGTGGTCCAGGGAAAGCCTTTGTAATGATGCTTACCTGCTACAGTTGTGCCTTCCAGTATGGAAGCCACTAGACATTGGTGGCTATTTAAATGTAAATTAATTAAAATTAAGGTTAAATTAATTATAATTAAATTAATTTTATTTCCTCATTTGCATGAGCCAGGATTCATGAGCTCAATGGCTGGTTGGGCTAGTAGTGATTATATTAGACTGAGCAGATATAGAATAGTTCCACTACTGCAGAAATGTCTATTGGGTAGTGCTATTTAGAGTATTAATTAGTAGACCAGGAAACAACCTCCTTCACACCCAAGTTGAAAAGCACTTGGGCTGCAGATCAACTTCTATTTGTTACTTTCTTCCCACATTTAAGTCAAAGTTCCTGGCTCAACATCTTCTCTTATTAGTATAACTGGACACCCCCCAGAGGAAGATGTACATATTACCAGTAATTGACATGGTCTCCCACTGGTGGCCAGGTAGTGCCTTCCTGTTTAAGCAAAAAGCAGCTGATGCAGGTTTCTCTCTCTCTTCCTTCAGCAACAACTTAGAGTGGATGCATTCTGCTTTTTTATTCTTGTCTCGAAATTTATTTTTGTTAGTTTTGCAATATTGTAGCTTATCCAATTTACGTCTGCCCTTCAAAGGCTTATATTCTTATTTTTTCTCTGTAGTCTCTAATTTGATCTGGGACTAATGTCAAATCTTTTTTCTACAGCTCTGGTACATACTTCTTATAAACAGACATCACCCCCATTTGAAAATTGAGACAAGAGTGTGCCTTCTTGGATAATGTAGATAAAGGTTGCTTTTGTAATTGTTAGACTCAAAGTTGTTTTTTTTTTTTTTTTTTTTTTTAATACAGAGTCTCACTCTGTTGCCCAGGCTGGAGTGCAGTGGTGTGATCTTGACTCACTGCAACCTCCACCTCCTGGTTCGAGCGATTCTCCTGCCTCAGCCTCCTGTGTAGCTGGGATTACAAGCTTGTACCACCATGCTTGGAAAATTGTTGTGTTGTTAGTAGAGATGGGGTTTCATCATGTTGGCCAGGCTGGTTTCAAACTCTTGACCTCAAGTGATCCACCTGTCTCGGTCTCCCAAAGTGCTGGGATTACAGGCATGAGCCACCGCACCCAGCCACAAAGCTATCTTTTAAGAAGATGCTCAGTTCCTGAGTAAGAGCTTGTGTAAACCTGGGGGTTATTGAGACAGCCAATGGAACTCTCAACTCCTCTCTGACTTTCTAAATAAAAGCCTTTCACAACACAGCTGTCCCTTTGGGAGAGTAAGTAGAGGGAGGGAAAAAAACCATATATGGGGTTTGTGTGTGTGGTCGTGTCTCCAAGAAACAGATAGGGAGCAACAGGCTGTGTGCCTTGCTCTCGATTTGCTGTTATTCTTGCTTTTTTTTTTTTTTTTTTTGAGACCGAGTCTCACCCTGTCGCCCAGGCTGGAGTGCAGTCGAGCCATCTCGGCTCACCGCAACCTGTGCCTCCTGGGTTCAAGCGATTCTCCTGCCTGGCTCACCGCAACCTGTGTCTCCCGGGTTCAAGCGATTCTCCTGCCTCAGCCTCCTGAGTAACTGGGATTACAGGCGTGCGCCACCATGCCTGGCTAATTTTTTGTATCTTTAGTAGAGATGGGATTTCACCATGTTGGCCAGGCTGGTCTCAAACCCCTGACCTGGTGATCTGCCTGCCTCAGCCTTCCAAAGTGCTGGGATTACAGGCGTGAGCTACGGCGCCCAGCCTATCCTTGCTTTTTATATTTTATTTTAACTATCTTTGGGACAAGAAAACTGTGTGTTTTCCCAGGGAATGTTAGCACAGTGGAGAGTGGTCAGTATTTTAAAGGCCTTTCTTGTTTGAGGATTAAGAGGAGTAAGTGTGATGGATGAATGGGGAGATGCTAGTGAAATGCCCCTGGAAGCTGGAAACAATTCAAAGCAGCTTGCCTGCTCCACCTATCTTTAGGCTTAGTATAGCTACTCAGATTTCCCCGAGTTGATAGTCAAATATGAAGTGATTATAAGCAAAAAGAAACAAACAAAATGAGATGAATTGCTCCCAAGGAACTTAAACAGAACAAGGAAGGACGTCCCAAGTATCAATCATATGAGACCCGAGTTTTCTGTATGCACTTAAAGCCCCAATTACCTAAGATGAGAGAAACTGAAACTCAGGAGTTTCTTATTAACAACTTAAAGCTCAGGCCCCTTCATAAAATTTCAATTCATTCTGGGCTTTGGCACAGAGATGGAGTCCTATGTGATTTTTTTCCCTGTTAGAATTGGAGACTTGATTTGGAAACACCACAATAAAACTAACTCATATTCCCAAAGCACAAAATGCAGAAGCAGACATTTATTTCTTCAATACAGTGGAGATTTTGTATAAATTTAACTTCTGATTAGAAAACTTTTTACATTGGAAAATTTCAGCAATGAAATTTCAGTAATAAGCCAAATGCAGGTCTGCTCGAGGTCGAATGAAATTTAGATGAAAAATCCAGGATTATCAAAAAGAATGAGGGAACTTCAAGTTTCTGTACATCCAAGGTTAATGGGTTGGATTCTTTCATTTTTGATTTTTATGGCAGCACATAATTTCTCTTCCTAGTTGGCTTTCTGCTTTTTTCAAGCAATAAGTTTTGAGTTAAAATAGTATACCTCACTTGTAATCAAGCCTGTATGTTTTCCTATGTGAATATTTCTATAGTACCTATCACTTGAGCATGCTATGGATTATTTTCTTTCATAGAAAATAACAACACATGAAATAGTCCTTTAGTAATATTTTCTTTTTTCTTTTCTTTTCTTTTTCGAGCCAGAGTCTCACTCTGTCACCCAGGCTGGAGTGCAGTGGTACAATCTCAGGTCACTGCAACCTTCGCCTCCTGGGTTTGAGTGATTCTCATGCCACAGCCTCTGGAGTAGCTGGAACTATAGGCACCTACCACCACGCCTGGCTGATTTTTGTATTTTTAGTAGAGATGGGGTTTCACCATGTTGGCCAGGCTGGTCTTGAACTCCTGACCTCAAGTGATCTGCCCACCTCGGCCTCCCAAAGTGCTGGGATTACAGGTGTGAGCCACTGTGCCTGGCCACTGGTAATATTTTCTAGCAGGATGTATTAATCCTAGTCATTTAATTATTGAGAAACTGAGGTATAAAGGAATGAGTCTATGGTGAGCAGTTCGCATTGAACTTATCCTCTTCTAAATAAGAAAGGATATAACATTCATTAAGCATCTAATTCCACACCTATTTTCTCATTAATTTGTAGCATATACTCTTTATAGCAATCGTTGGGGAAAGCACCCTAGTATTGTCTGTTTCTCTCTGCGTTGTTGCCTTTCATTCTGATGCCATCATAGCACCTTTATCATTCACTCTTTCTAATAAGACTGTAAATTATTTATGGGCAACGATGGTGCTTTGAACTTGTGTTTCTCTGTCATAATGCCTAGCATAAATACTCGAACACAGTCTAATCAAAATGTCAATCGTGACAAGAGATGCCTGCCAGACCAGTTGTTGGAGACCTCCAGTTTTAACTTAAGAGGCCTCACTTATGCTGTGTCTTTGGGAGAAAGTGAATAGGGGCTGAAGGGATATAGGAGGAAACCAGGGAGAATCTTCATCCTGCAAGATTTCCCTCAGATCAACGTTGTCTCCGTAGTTTCTCTTGTGGGAGCCTTACCCTTTACTTATGCCATGTTGAATAGAGGGAAGGACTTAACAGAAGGGATTTATGGCTGAAAGCTTCCTTAATTATAGGCTAGTATAATAAGTCCTTCCACTATCTTAATGATTGGGGAATTAAGAAGCTCCTTAATAGAAATTGACAGGTTCCATTGTCATTGCAAAGAAGGTTCTGTTATGGTCTAGAGTACCCTGCCAACCATCCAAGGATTTAGGGTTCCCCAAAGGCTCATTAACATCTTAGACCATAAGGTCTCCAAAGGAGGCACTAATGGTCCACCTCGTTATGATCTGAGGATAATGACTGCTTGACATCCATATCCATTGAGATGATAATCGCTCTGTAAAAACTGTTATGATGTCAGCAGCCAAAAAAAAAAGAAAATCTCATTTGCACTTTATAATCTTTGGTTTCTAATATAGTATTTAAATTATGCTAGAATTATTTTATGAATCTGGCTTAATAGAGGCAATGCATATGATGCTCTTTAAAAAAAATTAAAAGTCTCTTTTAAAAAAGTTGTTATCACCCTTATATCACTGCATAAATGAAGGGTAAGATTAGTAAAGCTCTTATAGCACCGAAATACTTATGAGTAATTGAATAAAAAACAAAGACTTAAATTTCCCTTAATTTACATACACATTTACTCCAGGGAGTGAAAAGAAATTCTCTTCTTAGAATGCCCCCAAACAGAGAAAAAAAGCTCATAGTGGTAATAATACTAATAGGAGAGATTGTCAACTCACGCCGAGTGCTTATTATGCATCTTGTCCTGCACTAAGTAATTTTCCTGCATCTCATTTTCATCTTCGCTGAAACATCTCTGAGGGGGCATCTCTCTTGCCCTCACTGTACAGATGAGAATAGGGAGGTGCACAGTGGTGAAAGATGCTGTCCGTGATCTTCAAGGTGGTGCATAGCAAGGCGTGATTCAAATTGATTCACTCTGGATTCAGACTTGTGCTGTAACGATGAGGATTGTGTGCCAGAAAGAGTTATGGGTTTCAGAATCGGGAGAAATGGGCTTATGCTTGGCCACTAACTAGCTGTGTGAACTTGGAGAATTTATTTCACCTCTTGGGACATTCTGGACTAGTAAATCTTGAAAGCATTTTTTACTACCAACGTTTATACTGACAAGGACATCTCAGTAGCAGAACTGAAATCAGAATTTTCACATTACTCTCTCAATAGCTACCAGTATTCATGAGTAGTAACATCATCGTTTTCCCATTGTAATTCAGTTTGGCTGAATGGTTTTCCACTTTGGTACGAAAGTGCTGATTTTAAAATAATCTTACTGCTTATAGAAAACATATGGAAAAAAACCATCCCATATTATTGTTTAACTCTGTAAAGTATACCAAAAACCATTTTTCCAATCAATTTCTATTTGACTTTAAACAAGGGAAAAATGGAGATGAGTGTAAACAAAAATCTATTAGTCAGTGTTAGTACAGCCTTTTTATAGCTCTAAGCATTTCCCTGTGTATAAACATAAGAAAGCAAATTAACATTTTAAAGAGATTTCTCTATTGGGTTATATTTAATAACAAACCAGCATAAAAAGAAGGAATCTTGTAATAATAATTTTCTAAAAATCTGCAGATGCTCTTACAGCCTTGAAGCTTAGCTATTTGTTGGAGCTAAAGCTGCAATACCCAGATTCTTCCACTAGAGGGGTGAATTGTTCCTAATGAATAAGATCTCATTGTCTGGGGAGGGGGACAGACTGGTGCTGATAACTTACAATGATACTGTGGACTCCAAAAATATACTTGGAGTGGCCTTTACCATAATATTCATATTCAGTGAAACTAGCTATAGGACAGAGTGATAGAAAAGAGGTTTTAACTATCAAGTCCTAATGGAAGTACAATCTTGTTATTATGAAATTATTTAGGCTATGGATGGGAAAAGAAATAGTTGTATTCAAGTTGTAACAAAAGATGTCAATTTGGCTGCAGAATGATAGATGAAAATAGAACTTCTGGGGGACAGTATGGTAATTCTGAGTATCTGAGGAGAAAGTTCACTGAGAACCTCAAACATTTATGGTTACTACAGTTGTCTTGCAGAAATACATTCATTGCAATTTTTACACAAAACATGATTAATTAGAAAAACAATAGGCCTGGGCATAAATAGCCAACATTCTCTACTTTGTTTTTTAAGGAGAAAGGAATGTACTGCTGACAAATTCTCTTCAGCTGCACAGTTCATTTCCTATTTGCTACTGCGTTCTCCAGGGATAGTGAAATGTCTGACTGTAGCAGGCAAAATATTGAAGGAATAGAAGTGTCATAAGCCACAAGATTGGCCAAAAATATATATTAGCATGTCCTGACAATCATTGTTTAAAAAGTAAAAGTCAAAAACTAGTTTCTAGTGTTCTAGCAAAAGCAGAAATGCTTTAAGCAAATAATTTCAAGTTATTTCCAGTCCAATGTTGCACATTGACTTTATGTGCACAGAATGTAGACATCATTTTGACATGTTGCTGATGGAAGAGATGCAAAGAAATAAAAATGAGCAGAAAAGAGGTATTTCAAAGGAGGCATATATATATATATATATAATTTTTTTAAGAGAAATTCATATGTTAGAGGTTGTTTTCAGTAGTTTCCAAGTTTTTTAAAGGATCCTTCTTGAGGAGACTTTATATAAAACTCTCCATCAATGCACAGTCCTTTCAGTTTGTGTCAAGGAACAGTTTCTGACACAGTAAGAAATACTAGCTGGTGTCTGGGATAAAATTTACTTCCATCTCACACACACACACACACACACACACACACACACACACACACACACAGAGTCAATCATTATTCACAGATCCTGTATTTGCAAATTTGTCTACTTGTTAAAATTTATTTGAAACCACAAAATCCATATTTCAGGTGATTGTTGGTCATTCCTAGGCATGCATGGGGTGGGAAAATTTTGATCTGACCATATGCAAATACCCAGCTGAGGCTGACATAGCAACACTCTGCCTTCTTATTTCAGCTCTGACTGTAAACAAGGGTCTTTTTGTGATCCATTTAGTGCCTTTTTTTTTATTTGTGCTTTTTTGTTGGTGTTTTAAAATGGCCCTTAAGTGTCATGCTTAATTGCTGTCTAGTGTTCCTATGTGCCAAAGGCTGGGATGTGCCTTACAGAGAAAATACATGTTCCAGATAAGCTTGCAAGTTCAATGTTAATGAATCAACAATAATATTTAAAAAGATGACTTTAAAACATGATTATGTATTGGTCGATTGATTGAAATGTGACCAGAGGCTCACAGGAACCTGACCTTTCCTTTCCCTTAGGAAAGTTCAGTGCCCATTAGCTCAGTGTTGGTGGAGACTTCATAGAACACAACTACTGTGAATAATAAGAATCACATGTGTGTGTACAGAGAGTGGAAGGGAAAGGGAGAGAGAGAACAGAGGAAAGAATCATAATTGTGAATAACAAAGTGTCCTTCACTTTGGAATATTCCTCTCTGCTGACAAAGACAAAAGCATTTATTTTAATTTTTGCATTCAAACCAAACTCAATAGAAGTAGATCAAATACTCCAAAACTGATGAAGGGGAAAACACCCCAGTACAACAAAGGCTGATAGTAAACCATTACCAGCAGTATAAATGAAGATTTGGTATAATAAGTATGTGTCTGCCAATAGCATAAGGTTAGCTCTAGTCTGCCCAGGACTCCATCCCAGCTACGCCAATTGCTACAAATGTGATCTTAGATGATTTATGAAAAACCTTTAGCCTCAGCTTCTTCATCTGAATAAATAGAAATAATATCTATTCAAATAGTTTCCATGAAGTTTGTATAATTTATATAATACAACAAGCATAATGATTATCTTATCAATGAGCATTATTTTACCTTTTGTATTCATTTTTCCTAACAGTTTTTCTTCATATTCCATATAGAAAAAAAAATTAAGACTATGCTCTAAGCAATAGCTTTTAATTTAGGATCAGTCATTTATGATCTCCAGCGTCACCCAGCTCCTTAGCATTTCTCCACAGTTCTTCTGTGGTCCTTTGTCAGTCAGTTC
Source organism: Homo sapiens (assembly GCF_000001405.40). Classification (NCBI taxonomy): domain Eukaryota; kingdom Metazoa; phylum Chordata; class Mammalia; order Primates; family Hominidae; genus Homo; species Homo sapiens. The sequence continues at coordinate 23,138,362 of NC_000004.12, forward strand.
CTGTACCCATTTCTTACAATACTTATCTGAAGCTGTTTCCCATATTCTCCTCCTTCTACCCTATCATTTCCTTTGCTCCTCTCTCACATGGCCTGGATGTCTACCATAAAGGACTGAATGTTTGTGTCCCCCCAGAAGAAATTGTGGTAAAATCTCACTCCACAATATGATGGTGGGAAGGTGAAGCCTTTTGGAGGTAATTTGGGTCATTAGTCCTAAAAAATGAGACTATGGCCCTTATAAAAGAGGTCCCAGACTGCTCCCTAGCCCTCTTTCCACCACGTGAAGTTACAATGAGGAGTCAGTAGTCACAAACCAGAAGTGTAGTATGAGGGAAATATGAGAAGAAAGACTGAAGAGGTAGGCAACGGACAGATCAGAAAGACCTAGTGAGCTAAGACAAAGAGAAGTCCTCTTTTGCAAGAGCAATAAAGAGGCATCGTAGAAAGTTAAGGAGAGCTGTGATATGATCAGATTTTTGTTTCAGGAAAATTCAAATTTGACAGCAGTGGGGAGAATGGATTGCAGGGATCAAGATAAATGCTGAGAGACCCATTAGAAGCTTATGGCAGTAATCCAGATAAGAAATGGATTACTTAATATAGCCCAGCCACACAGGTACCCTGTGTGGATAACCCAACCACACTGGCACCCTGATTTCAGACTTCTAGCCTCCAAAACTGTGATAAGTAAATTTCTGTCATTTATAAGCCACCAAATCTGTGGTAGTTTGCTATAGCAATCTTAATGGACTGAGAAACCTACTACAGAGAAAATAAACACTTTCAGAAGATAATTCCCTCAGCTTCCTCCTCTATCCCCTGAGACACAATTATATGCATCCACCCCTATCCTTGGGTATGTATCTTTTATTAGGGTCTTACCAATTTGTGGAGAATTACACTAAATGCTCAACATATTTATCTTATTTAGTCCACATGACAAATCTTTGACATAGTTCAATGCTTGGCACTCCAGGTGTGCCTCGTTGAGGAAGATTCTGATGCTAAATTGGAGGATAATGAGGAAGAGGTCTATGATAAACCCTTTGTATGCTGTGTGCACAAGAATGAGTTTTGGTGGTCCTTTTGCCACATGGTTGCCATCTCTCCTCTTGCAAATCTTTCAGTCTCCTATTGGCATTCTTTTTTTCTCTGTTCACTCCTTAAGTGTTGGCATTTCCCGGTGTTATATACGCACGTCCGTGCTACATTTTCTCTAAGGCTGACTGCATCCACTCTTACAGCATCACTTTCTTATGTGAAGGTGACTTCTACTTCTCCATCTTTGGACCTCACTTATTTTCCTCCTAAGTCAGACCTCTGGTTCCATGTGAATTTTCATAGGCTTGCGGCCCTCAACATAGCCAAAACGGAAGTCACCATTTGACCTACTGAACTTTCTTTTCCCTGAGTGACTGCCATCTCCAAGAGCAGCATGGCGATCAGCTGGCTTCCTCCCCATGCCACACACCCAAAGCCATTCTCAAGCTCCACCTTTACGACTACCCTTCATATTCATCACTCAAAAAGTACTGTTAATTTGACCCATTGAATATTTCTGAGATCTGCCCTCTCTTTTCTATTTTCTCTACTATTTACTTAATTCAGATTCACAACATTTCTTACCTGGATTACTGCCATAAGCTTCTAATGGGTCTCCCAGAATTTATCTTGATCCCTGAAATCTACTCTCCCTGCTGCTATCACATTTGAATTTTCCTGAAACAAAAATCTGACCATATCACAGCTCTTCTTAACTTTCTACAATGCCTCTTTATTACTCCTGCAAAAGATGACTTCTGTCTGGCTTAGCTCACAAGGTCTTTCTGATCTGTCCCTTGACTACCACTTTAGCCTTTCTTCTCATTTGTCCCTGATGCTCACTCCCATATCATAGTCACACTTAATTGCTCTCAGTTTCTTAATCATGATAATATACTGTATTTTGCTTCTAAGACCTTCTACTTGCAAATCCCCTTTCCTGGAGCCATCTACCTTCTTCTTATCAAAATAGCCTCCTAATATGTTTAAAAAGTTAACTCAAATACCACCTACTTCACAAAACCCTTTTCAAACAAAGTCCCACATGATCTCTATTGGGCGTTTTTATAATGTATCATTCTTAACTTTCTTAGAGCACATAACACGTGATTTTGTAATGGCCTGCTTACTTGTCTGTCCCTGTCTTCATTTGAGTTCACTCAGAAGCAGATTCTGACACAAGGGTTCAAACGCAAATAGTGTATAATGTAGCCGAGTTCAGGAACCTCTAGTAGGAGAGTAGAGAAATGAGTCAGAGGAGAAAAGAAAGCCGATGAAGTGTGTGTCCTCATGTAAGTTACCACTATTGGTAACTGGTACATAAATCTGCTAAGGAACTCTGGGAATCAGTTTTGAAGATATGCCTCAGAATTGTTCCAATTGAAGGGTGAGGGAGCTGGGTTATTTATACACCAATACCCATTAGTCACTGTTGAGGGGCTGTTAATAGGGTGGGAGTGTTGGTGGGTAGAAGATAATTTGGGGACATGTCCAGTCTGCTGTGTTACACAATTCCTTAGCAAAAAGATGAAAATGCTATGAATGGAATTCAGGTTGGTATGCACGTGAACACAAGGCCCCAGAGCATAGGGACAGGGCACCGATCTAGCAGTCATCTACTTGAGAACTGGGGTCACTACCTGAATGTTTAATGTTAGAATATTAATTTCCCCATAATAGCATATGTAATAAAACTCAAGTGAACATTTTAATCCAGTTTTATCAGACTCCAAATTCTTAAGTCTTTTTCCCACATCAGACAGCCACCCATCTAGACACCAAATAGGAGAAAGGATGAAAATGAGGAGTGTAAAGGCAAGCTATCAATATAAAACAGGTACAATGGAGACTTTAGAGATGTTAAAATGTGCCTAAAAATTTCGGTTTAATTATGTGCAAAGAACTATGTTTTTCCTATGGGATCACAAAGAGTAAGAGACTATCTCATTTTCAAGTATATCGTTATCTATGTGTATTTGGGTTTTTATGTATGAGTTTGTATGTGTCTGGGGGGAAGGGTGGTGGTGGTAGTGGTAGAATAGAGATATATGCCACTTCAAGGAAATTTCTAGCAAAGAATGCCTATGCCACCCAACTAATTTAACTTTAACAGCTTTACCATGGCCATAAACATTTCTGTAGGAAAAATTTACTTAGAATAAACCTTTGTGCAGTGAAAAGAGCAAATCAGTAGAGTATCAAAAGCCACAGATCCTATGCATAACTTTGCAGCAAAATTGCTGTATTACTTCTAATAAGTACTGATTTTCCTGGCCTCACTTCCCTTATCTGTGGAGTGGGGTGAAAGCAAAGGACCATTATTATTTGAGGAGCTCTAAGGTCCCTTCCAGATGTATAACTATCATGTTGTGCCTTAAAACAAGCTGTAAACTAGATAGTTTCAAATGAATGTTCTTGAATTCCTTTTTCTCCAAATGAGTTCTGTGGCAGTTTAGTATTTGCTTTTTAAAAGCATCCTTGCATTTTCTTTTTTTGATGACTAAAAGTAACTCATTGATATTCCAAACAGGATATTTGTTAAGCCTTCATTTCACAATATGACCCTTTGCACATTAATAGTCAGAAAACTAAGACTTAAATAAATAGAAATTACTGTTTGTCCCAAGGATTAAAAGAGAACAAGTTTGTTATTGTAAAATAATTTTCACAAAGAATATTAGAAGGCCATGCATAGGTTTTATAATAGGACAGAACAAATTCAATTTTCTAAGTTAAGGCCTCAGAAGACAAAGTTAAATTATATATAAATAACATAAATTTTAAAAGTACATGTATTAATTTATAATTATGTATATATTTATATAGTATGTAAAATATTTAAATAAAAAGATATACATTTATATATTGATGCACACTCAACAAGATAAATATTTTGGGGCTGAAGTATGGCATTTTATGTTTGATTTATTTCAAACTGCAGAATAGTTATAAACATCTAGTGGACTCACAAGAAAATTTTTATTGATTATTGATTGATGCTGTGTGATGTTAGGACCAAAGAAAAAACTTTCTATAAAAGTTCTCAGCATATTGACTTGAAGACAACTCAAAAATGAAAAATCATAAACTTACAGCCAGAGAAAAGAAAGAACACATTTGAGATCAGAAATATTGAAGTGTAATACCAAGTAGAGAAAACTACCCTTTTCATTATTTCCCTTTCATTTAATTAATACACCAACCATGTTACATTTGCTCTCATGTAAGAACCAATCCTATGCAAGATCCGCCTCCCCAAGTTGTTTTCTGAAGTTTGCATTACTTTCTTAGAAATGTTCAATAACTACTATGTTTTTGTTGTGACAGTAAGTCCCAGCTGGAGGCTACATATGTTTGTGGTTGATAAACTGATGTGTGTAGTATCAGTCATCTGAAGCTGATATTTATTGGGGCTTTTTTTTTTTTTTTTGGCCAACAGAGCCCTGATTGGGGGAAAGGAAGATTGGTAAAATATAAAAATGGTTGTTTGAGGCATTACTTTCTATCTTGAATCCTAGAATTATATTTAAGCCTTGAGAGGGAAAAAACATAGGCAGAAGTCTAAGGCAATTTTTTTATATGCTGCATCCTCTATTGGGAAGACCTAATCCATTATTTTCTTGATCTCCCCTCTTTTGGGCAAAATTACGCATAATTCAGGCCTAAGCTCTTTGGGGCACTTCCTACAGGAAGCATTCTCTACATGTCTCCCCTCTTCTGACCAGCATATGTCTTTCTGTTATTCACTCTGTTACTTCCTAGGCATTTTCATGTCACTTACCACGTTAATAGTTGACAATTAGAGTCTTTCTTGCCCCAAGACAGTAGCAACCATGCTCATCTTGTTCCCTAGTGTATTTTCGATATGCAACCTGGCGCTTAAATTATGTCAGTTGAAAAAATGAGTGGTTCTGTTTCTTGCCCAAAGAACAAAGCCTGCTAGGTGAATATTTAATGAATTCTTGAACATTTCAAAAGCACTCTAAAAAAATAGTCATCTCAATTTTTGATATTTTATGGTACTAGAAAGCAAACTATAAATCAAGACCATAAAATAATGTTTTTAACATTTTCATTGGGAAAATTTCAAAAGTGTGATAATACCAAATGTTAGAGAAATTATAAATCAACAGGAAGTCATCCACATTGCTCATAAAGACATGTTGGAAAACAAGTGACATTCTTTTATGGCCCAGTAGTTCCACTCGTACATATACACCCAAGAGAAATACTTTTACATTTACCTTAGAAGTCATGAACAAGAATATACATAAGAAGCACTGCTCAAAAAGTGAAAGACTAGAAATATAATCAAGGCCCACTAACAGGAAAGGATAAATAATTTGTGGTATGTTTAAATAACAAAATATTAAACAACAGCACAATAAACTCAGCTACATGCAAAACTATGAATGAATCTTAATAATGTGATATTGAGCAATAAAAATGTCTCAGAAGAAAACATGCCAGATGATGATACCCTTTATTGTAATTAAATTTAAGAATCACAAGAAAATGATGTATATTTGAGGTATAGTTATGTATATAATAATAGAATTTTAGAAAACAAAAAAGGTAAATACAAGATCCAGAATAGTCCCTACCTCATAGCATGGGGCAAGATAGTCAGAAGGAATGGGAGGTATTCAAATTCTTAGGTTGGACGGTGTATTCCCAGGTTTTCATTATAATGCCACATCAACTGTATGAATAAATGAGTGTGTAAATTGATGAATCAATGAACAAATGCACAAACCAGTAAATAGGTTAATGAATAAATAACAAATAAGGTCTGTGAACATACAAATTATTGCAATCCACAGTAAACCAATGTCTGTGATTAACACAATTTTGTGTTCCTGAGGTTCATTAAAAATACATCAGAGTATATAATGAGTGGTAACAACTTTGATTTTATTTCTTCAAATACTCAGATTTGATGATTCTTCTTATAAAGACCAAGATTAAATACCAGTTTGTTGCCCAAAAATTATCTTTGAAATAAGCAGACACATTTTTGAAACTTTAGGTTCATTTGTTCATTTATTCATCCACTTATTTAATTTTATTCTAGGACTATTTAGTGAGCATCTACTGTGTACTAGCAACTATATTCAGTATGTCAAGAAGTGTGTAAACTCTATCCCTAAGACATGAATTAAGGCTCAACCTTAGAATAGGAACAAATCACTAATTACTACTGTGATAAATGCTTCAAAGGTAGACATAAAACGTATCTACTGTGGGGGAATTCTGAATGTTTCAAAAGTGGGAACTCAATAACTAAAATTAATCTGTTTTTTGGGGCAACTTCTCTGGTGAACAAGCATCTGAATTGAGACCTGAAGGATGAACAAAATATATCTAGGTGAAAAGAAAATTACTACTCCAAGTAAATAAACAGAATTAGAAACCCTGAAATGTGAGAATGACCTATTAAAGGAAGTAACACAGGCTGATATGGCTGGAGATAGGAAGAATAGCAAAAGATGAAACTGGTAAGGTAGGCAGAAGGGCATGTTTACAAAAGCTTCAAAGGTTATAAAGTCTGAACCATATTCCAGGAGAAGTGTAATTCCATTGAGGTTTTACAGCAGAAATATGGCAATAATAGATTTCCACTTGTTAAGGATCATACTTTCTGCTGGGTGGGGGAAGAAGTAAAGGAGGGGTAGGTCAGTTGTAAGGCTATTTCAGTGTTTCATGAAAAGGATCATCGATACTTTGATCCAGGTTTTTGTGATAAAGATAGAAAAATGTAGGCTAATTTGAAAGATATAGAGGAGGAATGTCGTATACACAGAATTTGTGTGTCTCTTCCCCCCCAAATTCATATGTTGAAATATAACCTTCAACACAGTGATAATAGGAGGTGTAGGGCGTTTGGGAGGTGACTAGGACATGAGCATAGAGACCTTGAATGGGATTAGTGCCCTTATAAAAGAGACCCTGGAGAGCTCCCTTGCCCCTCCTTCAACTATATGAGGGCACAGTGAGAAGAACCAGAAAGCAGTTCCTTACTGAACACTGAAACTGCAGCTGCCTTAATCATGGACATCCCAGCCTTTAGAACTACTAGAAATACATTTGTATTGTTTATAAGCCCCCAGTGTATGGTATTCTATTACAGGAGACTGAATGGATTAAAACAGAAATATATATAGAATTCGGTTTCTGATTAAGATTGTTCGTTACTTTTGTTCCACTCTTATTATATTAGTCTGGTGTAAATAAATACTGCTTATTTATCATGCTTTAAATTCACTGGGTTTTCTGAGTCTCAGCATATTGGTCCAGGTAATGAATTCTAGCTTCTATAACAAATAATCCACAAAGTCATTGTTTTAACATGCTAAAAGTTTTATGGCCTTGCTCATGTGAACTTCAATGCAGATGCTCCTGATTAGTGGCTTTCCTGGGCTTTTGTCCTGTAAGCAATGACCCAGTTTTCTTTAAGTTTGCCCTCGGGTCATTAACTTGTAATATTTTCTGAAGGATGGAGAGGTGAGAGAGAGACAGATGAAAATGTGGGAGGCACATCCACTCTTAACTATATCAGTCAGAAAGTGACCATCTCTTTCATTTCCATTCTGTTGCAGAGAACCAGTCAAATTACTCATCTAAATGCAAGGAGGGCTGGGAACAATAGTTTACCTATATGCCAAGAGCAACTGACTAGTCTCCCATACTGAGGAATACAGTTTTTCCCCAATTCTAAGCATTTCAGAGTTATTAACTCTTCAAATACTGTCTCTGTCTCATTCTATTTTCTCCTTCTAGAACTCCATATATATAATAAATATAATTTAATATATATTGTTTTATATATAATATGTATGTATATTTTGAAGTCTGTATTTCATACTGACACCTCTGCTTCTTTGTACTGAATATTAGGTAATTTTTTTTCAGATTTTTTCCCAGCATATCAATTCTCTTCAGTTGTAATATTTAGTGCCTTTGTTCAGTTTTTTATTTCAATGACTATATTTTTTAGTTTGAAAATTTCTACTTTTAAAAACTTTGGATTGTTTCTGATAGTCTGATTTTTCTGTTGTATTTCAATTATACTTTTTTATTTATTTAAAGCTTATGCATACATTTTGTATCAGACAAGGCACAGTGGCTTACGTCTGTAATCCCAACATTTTGGGAGGCTGAGGTGGGAGGATTGCTTGAGCCCCAGAGTCAGAGACCAGTCTGGGTAACAGTGAGAACCCCACTCTGCAAAAAAATTTAAAAAAATAAAAATTAGGTATAGTGGTGCATACCTGTGGTCCCAGGTACTCAGGAGGCTGAAGTGGGAGGATCACTTGAGCCCAGGAGGTTGAGATTGCAGTGAGCCTTAATCTCGCCACTGCACTTCAGGCTGGGCAAGAGGGTGAAACCCTGTCTCAAAAACAAAACAGAACAACAAAAACCTTGTGTCTAAGAATGTCATATCAGAAGTCTCTGGGAAGCCGAATTCTATTGCTTCTTTATTCTTTTACTCTTAGTGGCCTGTTTCCCTATGTTAGTTTTGGATTATGGAATCTTATTCGAATGGTAGGGCTTTATCTTTAGAACTTCTGCAAAGCTTGGGATTCATTTCTTTAGAGAATATTTATGTTTGCTTCTTCCTGGCTCTCCAGGATTCTACTAAGTTGAGATGATTTTGAAATCATCGTTTTTAGCTTGTAGTTTGTCAGATCATATACATAGTACAAATAACAATTTCAGACACACTTAAGAAATAGCCTGATTTTTACAAATTCTCTGAGAAACTTTTGTTTTTACCTAAATCTGGGCTAAAATACATGCTTTCTTTATAATTGCTTTCAGGCAGACCTTTTTTAATGGCCCACGCTTTCACTAAACTCTCATGAGTTTTGAAAAGCTTGTCTTCTAATTCTAAACTCACCTTTAGTGGGCCTAATGTTATAAAACACAGGTCTCTTGAGTTGTGGAAGTTTCATGCATGTTGTCAAGATGTAGGTATGGCTCCATCACATTGTCCCCTTGTTTCCTTATTTCCAGCATTCTTTATAATTTTGTCTTTTTAGAATCATAAAATCATAAACCACTGTTTACTTGCACACTCAGCTATATGTTTTCCAATATAATTACTATCATTCAATATTCCTAGATGTTTTATAGCAGAAAAGCTTTTCTGGTATGTAGTTAACCATGCTTTCAGATAGGTAAGTTCTTTGTAATCAATTAGATATGCAGTTTTCTAATATTTATATTCCCACAGGTTCACTTATGTTGCTGGCTGCTAAATGTATGGGTTATTTTTCTTCTAAACCATTGACTAGTGTTTTCAGTTTTATGTCCATTACAGCCATTTTAAACATGTTATGCTTAAAATAGTATACCTCATCTTTCTTTCTTCCCACTTGGGGTTCTCCCACATCTGTTTTCTGCCTAACTCCCAAGTCTTATTCTCATACCTGGGTCCACTGGTGCAAGCTCAGTTCTTCCATGGTCTTGGAGGATATCTGGACTGAGTCACTAGATGTTGCCAGAAATCTATGGCTCATAAATCCAGTGGATATCACAATTAAGCCTTATATCCAGTCTTAAGATCAGTAGGTCATTGCTAATGAAAAGACATTAAGGATACTTCTACTTTGTGAGCTAGTTCAAGGTGTTGAGTTATATTTTCTTAGCAGGCTTTGGTAATATTAGAGAGTTAAGGGGCCTTCTTTATCTCAATGAGTGTTGGACTAATAGAAGGAGTGATAACAGTGTGGGGAGTTACAGCAATGTCACCTTCCAGTAGCAATGTCAAGGTCAAGTCACAAGGCAGAAAAGCAGCAGATTCAGGGTAGCAGGTAGGCGTGAGGTTGACACTGTGAGCTTTATCAGAACCTGAATATCTGCCAAGGAAATCACATGAGATACTTGGGACTCTGCCTGAAGAAGAAAGAGAGTTAGAATTCTTGAATATTTAGAAATTTTGTTGAATGAATACTCAGAATCATAGACCCTATTTATGGCTATCACAGATGTTCTCTTTTAGGCTAGAATAGTAAGAGTTATCCATATATTACTAAAGTACATGTAAAAAGGAAAATTTTAATACAAACAAATATTACAAATAAGTACTTGAAGTGGAGAATACTCTCATATTTATACTGCCACTGTTTCACTTACATTGCCTATTTGTAATAAATATTACTAGGAAGAATAATACAAAAAGTGCCTTAATATACGGGGTTGGAGATGCAGTCAATTGGTTTCTGAGAATAGAGGAAATTGATGAATTTTATCCATTTCATTGCATAATATGAAGAACCAAATTACCTGCATTTGAGAGAATTTGGTTTGGGATTCCTCATACTGAGACAATTTGAAATGGCTATTCAATGTAAAATTTCCCTAAAGCAACAGTATTAGGATAGTCATGATTATCTGGTAGTAGAAAAAAAAATCCAGCATCTTAGTGGCTTAACTTAATAGTTTATTTCTCATTCAGGCAAAGTCCCTTGAAGTCTGGCCAATTCACCTTTTATTTTCCCAAAGGATGTTACATACTATTATCATTTTAGACACACAGGTGAGAAGTACATTTGTTTTCACAAATCAGGGCTTAATTCTCTCATGAAGGGCAACTGCCTTCCACTTACTAAGGCAGTCATCTGGGCTGAGGAAGGTTCTACCATCCTCCACCTATATCATCTGGAATATCTACTCTGCTTAGTCAACATGACAGAAGAAGAGACAGCTAGGGAGTTATTGACCATCTCTTTGATACTTCTGCCCAGCAATGTCCTGTCATATATGACCACAGCCACTGACCAGACCTAGTCTCATGACTTCACCCAATTGCATAGTGGTGGAGAATTAGAATGAGACAAGAACCAGACATTGGTGAACACTATAATGTCTATCAAAACAAATTATGGTGATAGTTAAGAAATAATAAAATCTGGTTTTGATTTGTAATTTGTAGAGAAAAATATCTAATACTATATGCTTTACAGAAGAATTATGAGGAGAACATTCTTTGAAGAAGTGGTGACTTTTCTATCAACAGACAGAAGGTGGTCTTAGGATTTTGATTATATATGGAGATAGGTAATATCACTGCAAAGTTAAAAATACTTTGTGAAACCAAATTTTTAGAATTTGTTTATAAGAATATCAGTTTAAAAATATATCCTTGAGGAGTTACTAATCAACAGGCATACAGCTTCAGTTAAACAAGATGAATTAAATTCTAGATATGTTGTACAACACTGTACCTCTACTCAACAATTGAACTATACTTAAAAATTTGTCAAAAAGGGAGATCTCATTTTAAATGTTCTTACCACAAAGGTAAACCTAAAAACATAAAAGAATGGCAGGATATAGACCAAAATATTGGCAACAGCTTTTCTTTAAAGAGCTGAATTTATTATATTATGATTTTTGTTCTCTATTTCCTAATTTTTGACAAGGTACATGAATTAATAAACTTATGATGCATTCCTCCATGCAACTGTACAATGTATATGCATATCTATAATGTATACATATTACTTTCATGGCATAAAATATATCCAGTTGACCCTTGAACAATGGGACGATTAAGGGCGCTGACCCCTGCACAGAGATCAGAAAGAAGAACTGAAATCAGAAAGTCAGCTGTATTAGTGTTCTTATGTTAACTGCAGCACTATTCACAAAAGCTGAGATGTGGAAACAACCTAAATGTTCATTGACAGATGAATGAATATAGAAAACATGGTATATGCACACAGTGGAACACTACTTAGTCATAAAAAAAGAAAATTCTGTCATACGCGACAACATGGATGAAACTTGATGACATTATGCTACATAAAGAAAGCCAGTCACAGAAAGACAAATATTGTATGATTCCACTTATATGAGGTATCTAAAATAGCCACATTTATAGAATCATAGAGTGGAATGGTGGTTACCAGGGACTAGAAGCAGAGGGACATAGGGAGTTACTAACCAACAGGCATAAAGTTGCAGTCAAGCAAGGTGAATACCCTCGAGGGATCAGCTGTACATTTTACCAATAGTCAACAATAATGCATTGTACACTTAAAAATGTGTGGAAGGAGTAGATCTAATAAGTGCTCTGACTACAATAAAATGATAATAAACACATATCTAAAAATAATGTCAAATTCTGATAACTGCTATGTAGTGTTAAGTTTTCTATAAAATATTACTTTTTGGATGGAATGGGAATGAAAAATTCTATATAAGACGTGTTAATTTTGAGACACCTGTGAGGCCTCCAAGTGAAGATATGACATTCCAGAGAAAAGGAAGCATGAAAAAGCTGTCAAAATGCAGGCAAGCACCTTTAAAATTTGTCATACCTAATACATGATTTTCTTTGATCTATATAAATACGAAAATCACAAATATTTCAATGAGATAGAAATTAAAGGCAGGCAATGAGTTTGTCTTACGGAGAGATTTATTGCCAAATCTACATTAAGATCCTGCTTTCCAACAATATTTCCATAAAATGCATCTCCCTTTACCTGATTTTCTATGCCTACCCTATCTACCAGCTCAGTCACACAATGATTCTTGAACTTCAAAGTGCATCAGAATCATCTGGGGAGCTAGTTAACAATCCCAGACTCAGGGTCTGCTCCAGAAATACTTTGGGGCAGAGGGAAGATATTTGCACTTTTAAGAGTTTCCTGAAGATTCCAATTAATTCATTTGTCAAATTATTCATTCAAATATTTATTGAGCATTTAGTATGTGCCAGACACTAGAATACAACTCCCTGCTAATAATAATAAACCAAATAAAACTCCTTGCTTTCATAGAGCTTACCATTGGGGTGGGAGTAAAAGAGAAAGTAACAGACAATTAAAAATATATAAACACAAATGTAACATAGTACATTTGAAAGTGATAAGTACTATAGTGCTGGTAGGGACAAGGGGCAGAGAAATTCCAGTAAGAAAAGGGTGTGTCCCTGACAAAACCCCACCTTCAAGCCAAAAAGCACGAAACCCACAGCCCAAAGTGAGAACTTCTATCCCTGTGTCCCCAGTGAAATGTTGCCTTTTCCTAAACCACCCATGACCTTGCCCCACCTCATTCTGTGCCTATAAAGACCCCAGACTCAGCTGGCCTAGGGGAGAAGCAGCTGGACACTGGGGACTACGGCTGGATGTAGGAGAGAAGTGGCTTGATGTCAGAGGGGCAGCTTGACGGTATAACTTTGAGGAATCTGGCCAGAGACAGCTGGATGTCAGGGGAAGATTACCTAGTTCCCCCATCACCTTTTCAGCTCCCCTTCCCATCGAGAACCACTTTCATCAGCAATAAAATCCCCTGCATTTACTGTCTTTCAATTTGTTTGTGCAACCTCATTTTTCCTGGATGCTGGACAAGAGCTCGGGAGCCACAAGTGTGGATACAAAAGGCTGTCACACCGGCCCTTTGCTCTCGCTGGTGGAGGGCAGCTGCCTTATGTGAAGAGGGAAAGGGCCCACTGAGCTGTTAATATTTAAGCCATCCATCCATGGCAGAACTAACAGAATACTGTAACATGCGCTCTGGGACTTCGGGGGTTGCAGGAACCCCCACCTGGTTGCTGCCAGGGAGTTCGCTCCTCCTGGGGCTGAAGCAGCCCACCGGTTCCAATGCTCATCCAGTTCCCACCTTGTTTGTTTGCTTGCACACTCCTTCCCATGAGGAGTTGAGAGCATGAGGCTGAGTAAATGAGGCAACCCTGCTGTGAGTCCTGCAAAAGGGTTCAGGGAAACAGCCTCCTTCAGGGCAAATGAAAGCTTGAACTTTGTTGCCTTGTATTCAAGTCTGCCCACATTAAGCACTATTTTACCATCAGTGGGTTGGTCCTGAGCAAGAATATTATATTCTCATGTAGCAAGTATAAAATTTCCTGTCACAATATTCTATAAATGCCAGTGCCAAGGTTTACTTCTCTTTATTTCCCCTTTTAATGAAAATAAACCTTGTTCTTGAGGCCCTATTTCTCCTAATGACTAAACTTAAGTCTTGTCAACTTTGTGAATTTGAGTGCTTCCATCTAAGTGAAGCCTGTATTTCAAGATTCTCCTGTTCTGTCTTCTGCCCTAAGCTCTGTCCACAGATCTGGCCTCTTATACTGGCAAAACAGGGATGGTTTTGGTGGTGGTTGCCTCTTGACTGGGTCTGCTGCTGGTGAAGTTGACCATCTGTTCTCCTTGCAGTAGTAAAGATCAGTGAGGAGCTCACTGTCTGCCCCTGCTGGCTGGGCTCCAGCTCTGACTGATACCGTTGGTTCTCCATGATACAGTCACATTGTTCATTTCATTGTTAATCTGGCACGAGGCTTGAGTAGTTCATCCAAAACCACATGATAGCAACCCCATAGGTGATCCACCGGCTTTCAATTTTAATTGTCATTGCTCCCTCCCTGGACATGCAGGAACTTTTAGAATATCCTCATCTCCCTACAGAGGCCATGGGAGACTCAGTGCCAGACTGCATCTCAGACATCCCTGCTGCCAATACAAGCCTTTCTGTTACTTCTACTCCACTGCAGCTGCCTATAGTTGGTGTGGGACATTGTGAGAAATCGTCTCCTTCCTGTCCCAGACAGAAGGGGTTCACGTCCCACTCATCTTCCCATCTGCCATTAAAATGCTTCTGACATTTCTTCTACTCAGGGAGAGTTTTGGCTGCTGAAGATAATAAGGATCCAGGCCCCTACCTTAGCATGAACACTTTGACTCACCGCAATCTATCCTTTCAGACCTCTTTTCTGCAGGCAAAGGAGTACAATTATTTCCTCCTTGAGCCCAGAAAAATGTCTTGAGTCCTCATTCCTTTATCTTTAGCCTATTTCTGGCAGAATAAATATGTTGCATCAAAAATTTGGAGCAAACCCAAAACGTGAATAGTCATCAGGGCTAAGTTGAGGTTTGTGCCCTGTAAGGGGTTGGTTAGTGCTAGAAACTAAGAGGCTTTTTGTTTCATGGACTTGGATGGGCAGGAGTAGAGGCCTGTGGTCATGGCCATTTTAATTCACAAAGTTAAAACTGAGAGCTCCTTTCCCATCCAGTTAAAAATGAGATCCTTAAAGGGTAATCTATTGTTTAAGAAAATCACCTACTAGCAAAAGGAAATAACACAAAAACATGGGTTAACCTTGATTCCAGATGGGAAAATGTATCCCTGAACATTTTGATCTATGGGCTTGCCATTAAACAAGTCTGGCTTTATACTACTCAGGAGGTAGAAGATTCTCAAAACTCACAGTACTCTTTCCAGTATATCTGTACACTAAAAATAAAATTCTAAGGCTCCCCAACCATCTGAATGGACTTCCTCCTCAGCCAGGGCTCTTTTAAAATGTAACCTGAAAGACTGGTTCAGGCCATGAAGGGAAGGTGGGGGTCGGACTTGCCTCATTATACCTCTCCAGCATTAACACCACCACTAAGTCTGATTAGAAACATTTTACAACCTATTCTCTCTGAAGCCTACTACCTGGAGGCTTCATGTGCATAATAAAACTTTGGTCTCCACAACCTCTTAACTCAGACATTCCTTTTTTTGATCCAAGGTCTTTAGAAAAACTCAACGAAATGTCAGCCAGAAAATATTTAAATTTACCTGTAGCCTAGGAGCCCCTCAAACTTCCCTGCCCTCTTCAAATAGTCCTGGCTTTCTGGACTGAATTAACGTATTTCTTAAATGTATTTGATTAATGTCTCATGCCTCCCTAAAGTGTGTAAAATCAAGCTGCACCCCAACCACCTTGGACATATGTTCTCAGGACCTCCTGAGGGCTGTGTAATGGGCCATGGCCACTTATATTTGGCTCAGAATAAGTTTCTTCAAATATTTTACAGAGTTTGACTCTTTCCGTCAACATATCAATTTCCAATCCCAGAATTTCAGGTCTTCCTTCTTTATTCCTTTAGTAGCATTTATCTCTATTGTACTATATATCTTGTTTATTTTCTCTGCCTCCGCAACATAGAATATAAGTAATGTGAAGGCAGGTGTTTTATCTGGTGTGTTCACTACTGTAGCCTCCAGTGATTAGAACAGTGCCTTGGTATTCAGTTAAGTATTCTTTTAGGAGTGAATGTTGCATTAAATATAAAGAGTGGTTTCAGGATAGGTAGTAATATCTCTGTAATCACAAAACAACTCTAGTAAGAGACCCTCCACTCAGGCCATATAGGATTTCTGCAAATCTTTCTGAAGATGAATTCCTAATCCAAAATTATAAAATTTACTAAGAATTCACTAGGAATGAGAGTCAGCATATACTACAAAAAACCAAGATTAGATACTCAAGAACTTCAATTAAATTGTTAGATATGAAATTAAGTTGCTTAAAATGGAGACCTTAAAAATAATTCAAAACATAATAAAGAATAAAAACGTTTTAAAAATGATTTAGTATATTTGAAAAAAAAAAACCAACAACAAACTAAACCTTTATGTTAGGAATAATGCTCAAAATCCTAAGTAAATTGAACACTCGAACAAAAGATTGTTAGCAAAGCAATTTTACTTCTGCGCAGAGGGGTGCCTCCTTGGCCAGTCGCCATGAGAGCACACCTGAACAAAGGGGCACGAGAGCCTTTATTCCTGATGCGAGTCCTGCCCCTGTACCCTTTCCCCATTGGCTGGAGTTGGGTTGTACAGTCTAAACTAATCCCAGTTGGCTAAACATTTGATTTTTTTTTTAGATAGGGTGGGCACGTAGAAGAAAGTGAAGAGGAAGGGGAAGGGGTGTCTGTAATGAGCTAGAAAGTTAGTCCTCTTTCCAAATAAGGAAAGGAATGTGAGCTGGTACTGATAACGCTTGGTACTGTGGTGTGCCTGGGCATCTAACAAAGGAAAAAAAGGAGGAAAGGGGGGGCGCTATGAATTAAAGAATAAAGGGTTGATCAGATTATTTGAAGAGAAACCTCATCATATCCCACACTTTAGAAATGAATCATGGAATAATTTAAAAACACAATAGCCAGATTAAACAAAAAAATTAAATAGAGCCAAAAAGAAAATTAATATTGCACCTTAATATTTTAAATAAAACATAATTCCAGTATCTTATCTCCAAAAGATAGGATTAAGAATTTTTAACCATTTACTTCTGTATGCATTTTTCCATTTTAAAAGTTTTTCATAAAAAACATATTGATTCTAAAATTAGAAAAAAAAATAGGAATGTTCATGTTTGTTGACCTTTACAGTAATTACATTGAAACTCTCAAAGGAACAAAAATACTAAGTTAAAAGTTAGTCAGCCAAAACACAATGCTTGCTCTTTGCTTGATGCTTTCCATAATTGCATCATTTTATTCTGAAAAAAATTGAGAAAACAATCTAAGCACTTTGAGATTTAAATATGAGAACGTCACTCCCTTTTTCCTATAACCTCCCCTCAGGGAAAGTATTCTTATTTTAAAAGTCTATAGGTGACAATTTAACTACAAAATGGGAAAGAATGATTATTGGAGGATAATTTCTAAATACTATCTTAATAAATCACCCAGGGCAGAGGTGTTGATACGTGGAATGTCGCCTGGGGTGTTTCGTAAATTAGGCTAGCCTTCCTTTGTGAAGGGAAGGTAGAAAATTCTGGAACTGTGGGTAACACAGAGCTATTACATTTTTACCTTTGAGGAGAGATCCCCTAACGCTATTGGACAGAGTCTAAATTTAATGTTTATGTTGCAAGTCTGTTTAGACCTTACTCAAAGCAGAGAAAAAGAAAGTAAATCAATGTTTTGTTTTTGTGGTTTATCAATAAGCATAGATTATATGCCAATATAAATGTAGAAACTGTTATGTTTATTATTTTCCTTCAGAGCCAATGAATAAGGTATAATAGGGAAGACAAATTAAGATTTATGTTAAATCAAATTATTTAAAGTTTTTTTTTTTTTAAAAAAAAAAACAGTTTTATTCTTTATTCTAGCTTGTAAACTGAGAGTTCTAGAAAGGTTTACACTTATAAGCAGTTGCCTGAGACGAAAATTTGCCAGTAAGTAGTTATAGCTCAAATTTGTATTTTGGTAAGCCCTCTCCTAAAATGAAACTAGTTACTGATCACCTCATTTAGCAGTTCTTGGAATATAGTCTTGGGATTCCTGTAGGTCCCTAAAAACCTTTGAAGAGGACAATGAGATAAAAACTATTTTCATGATAATATTTAGAATTATACTAAGAATTATTTACCTTTTTTGCTCTTTTTTTCTCATGAATGAATTGTGCAGTTTTCCAGAAGTTACATGAAGTGTGATAATGTCATTACTTTGATGGTTAATAGGATGCACACTTATATATTCTTATATTTTAAAATTTCTCCGTTTTAATTTTGATACAGTAAATATTGATAGATATAATCCAAGTAAACATAAGCCTTTTGAGTTCCTTGTTATTTTTTAAGAATTTTTAAAGGAATTCCAACATCAAAATGTTTGAGAACTGATGACCTAATTCACTGAGCTGATACATACCTTCTCTCCTAAAATTAACAGCGGCCCTGTATTTCCTTTGGAGCTGATAAATTCAGGGTTTGTTTTTGTTGTTATCGTTTGCTTTCTTTTTTTTTTCTTTCCCTTTCCATGTCTCTTCTAAACTTCTGTCTTTCTCCAGCTTTTCTCCTGTTGCTTGGAGCTTCCCAGTACAAAACAAGAGTGAGATCTGAGGAAGAGGTTGTTTTCCCCTAAGGAATAAACTATATTTGTTAAAAAGATATAAGGATGTTAAATTATTAAAATAGAGATGATAATTAAGATCTAAAGTGCCACATATGAGGTAACAGAGATGTGAGACAGAGCACCAAATAGAACTTATAGTAGTGTCCGGAGAACAACAGCACACTCTTTACTCCAACTCACTCAGAGTGCGCAAAAGAAGCACAGGAATAAACTGGGAGGAAGGTGTCTTTGGGGAACTTTGTGTCATAGCCCCATGCAAGAGGTGAGAGGTAGGGTTACTAGAGAGGATCTTAAGTGGACCAGTATGAGCCAAATGTGAGACACTTGCATTTTGAAGAAATTTTAATTAATGATGTCTGACTTCCATCTGGGAAATTTGGAAGACCTGAAATGAATTAGCCACTGCTTTCTTGGTAGATGGACCAAAAGCAGAAATGTTTTAGATGGACATGAGATTTTATACTCCAGAGAAAAGAATGCATGAGTGATTGCACTGGACCAGATATGGGCATGTTTTACACACACACACACACACACACACACACACACACACACACACACGTATATGTATGCACATATGATACACCATACTAGGAAAAAAAACAAATCTTGATAACAGCAATTGAGATTGATGGGGAAGAATCTTATGTCAGATTGAGTGGTCAGAGAAGGCCAGTCCTAGTCGGTGATGTTTCAGTTAAACTAAGAATAAGAAAAAAGTTAGCCATGCAAGGATCTCCACAAAGAACATTCAAAGCAGAGTAAATAGCCAGATGTGAATAAATGCTGCATGCTCAAAGTCCAGGAAAAAAAAAAAAACCCAGGGAGGCTGGAGCCAAGTTGAATTTTGGAAGATAAGATGATGAAGGCAGGAACTAGATCAGTAAGGTCTTGTTGCCAAAGGTAAGACCCATATAGCTCTGCCGATGAGAGACAGGACTAGCTGGATTTCCTAGGCCAACTAAGAATTCCTAAGCCTAGCTGGGAAAGGTGACTGCAACTACCTTTAAACAGGGGGCTTGTAACACAGCTCACACCCAACCAATTAGGTAGTAAAGAGGGCTCACTAAAATACAAATTAGGCTAAAACAGGAGGTAAAGAATTTGTCAAATCATATATCACCTGAGAGCATGGGGGGAGGGACAGTGATCAGGATATAAACCCAGGCATTCGAGCAGGGAGCAGCAACCCCCTCTGGGTCCCCTCCCATTGTATGGAAGCTCTGTTTTCACTCTATTAAATCTTGCAACTGCACTCTCTTCTGGCCCATGTTTGTTACGGCTCGAGCTGAGCTTTTGCTCACCATCCACCCCTGCTGTACGCTGCCATCCCAGACCCGCCATTTACTTCCACCCTTCCGGATCTGGCAGGGTGTCTGCTGTGCTTCTGATCCAGTGAGGTGCCCATTGTCGCTCCCGATCAGGCTAAAGGCTTGCCATTGTTCCTGCACAGCTAAGTGCCTGGGTTTGTCCTAATTGAGTTGAACACTAGTCAGTGGGTTCCACGGTTCTTTTCTGTGACCCATGGCTTCTAATAGAGCTATAACACTCACTGCATAGCCCAAGGTTCCACTCCTTGGAATCCGGCCAAGAACCCCAGGTCAGAGAACAAAAGGCTTGCTGCCATCTTGGGAGCAGACCGTCACCATCTTGCAAGTAGCCTGCCACCATCTTAGGAGCTCTAAGAACAAAGACCAGCCAGTAACACTGATATCCTCTTCCATGTACTATTAAAGCTCTATAATAATTTTCCAAACCTTCAATGAATTTGAGGTTTCATATTCTTCATCTTGGAGCTTTCAAGGGAAGTCATAGAAACTATAATTTTATGTGTTCTGAGGAGATTGAGTGTGACTATAGTTTTATTAATATCTAGCTAATCCCATGAAGTCCTCTAATAATGGTCCAAAACATTAATTTTAACAAAGGCTGTATTTATTACATGAATGCTCTGACTAGCAGTAGAGATGTTTTGGGCCAGATGTTATAATTCCTATTCTATTTTTATTTTCCTGATCACTGCATTAACTCTTGATTTTAGGAACACTTGTACTAGAAAAAACTTTGACATTCTTCAGGAGAAAAACCCAAATCAACCAATTTCTTTGGCAATATCATAATTATAATGTTGGTCTTTATATTGAAGATATTTTATCTAATCTTCTTGGAAGAATTTAAAACGTTCTTTAATAGGTACTATTTTAGCTGTTTATTGTCTATTATTTAAAAAATATTGTCAAATATCCATTGTCCATTCTTTTAGGTGACTCTTTTTCAGATGTTGTAAAAATAAAGAAAAGCAAATAACTCTTCTCCCGTTTCTTAAAGAATCTCTCAATCTACGTGGAAAGGTGTGTGTGTGTGTGTGTACATGTATATTCCAAATACATATAACTGAACAGATAATATATACATATTTAAAATAATACAGTTATAAAGTTTTAAAGATAAATGATATTATAGCTAATAAAACCTGCAGAAATTTAGAGGAGAGATTTTAATAGGACTAAGAAGACGATTGAGCATCTTCCTTGAGGAGGAACAAAATGAACGTGAGCCTGAAGAATGACAGGAGTTGAATAGGAGAGTATGAGACAGATGAAGCATGCAGGCATGAGTTGATAGAAAACATGGCTATGGAATCACATGAAACTTAGTTTGGAAAGCTGAGAAGGCCAATTTGGAGAAATGAGTGTATTGGTGAAAAGAATTGTAATAAAATTGGAAAGAAACTTTCAAGCCAAAATGAGTTATCTTCTCTACTTTAACAGTAGATGTGACAGAACATCTAGAAGTTACTGTGAGGAAATATTTTAGATCTGCTTGGAAATTCTCCCTTTTTAGTAATATGTCAGTCACTGTGAACAGCTTTTAAAATGAGCAGTCAAGACTTGCCCATGACCTTCCTGAGAAGCATGCTTACAAAATAACATTTAACAGTTTATAGACCATACTTCACGATTGGCAAAATTTTATGGGATGCTCATTTTGGCCCAACCATAATACACTAATGATTCAGCTTTAGAATCCACCAGAATTATTTATTAGTGACACAGGTATTCACATCTGCTCCCAGGGCAACCCATCATTAAATAATGCATGAGTAGGAAAAGGATTAAAAAAAATTTCTTTTCTTTAAGGTTAATGCATGTTTCTTTAAATAAATATTTGTAAATTGACAAACAACTTTATAATTTGGTCGCAAACTGCAAGGAAATGATACTTTTAAATTTAGGGCTTGCCCCTGAGAGCTAGACTTGAAGGAGCAATCACACACAGGACACACTTGTATCCTGCCCTAACTCTTGATATTGCAAGTTCAAGCACTATTTTATCTCCTTACATTTCTGCTGCAAATTAATTTCACTTGTCTCATGAAGAAGATTAATTTTACCTCTAGTTTTGCTGTCTTTCACCTCCTTCTCTTCACTTTTGGCAGAATGGTCTTTCTAAACAGACAGAAGGAGATCTGATTATGCTACATTGTGTTTAAAATCTCAGTGATTCTTCATTTTTTTTTTTGAGGGCGAAGGTTAGGCTGATTCAGATGGTGAAGAAAATCATCTCACCAGTCTTCTGATCTCTGTTTAGCTATTATATCCTTAGAGAAATCTCCGATACCACTTCCACCAGGTTAGCTTCGCCTGTTAAGCTTTCACAGCACCATGCATTCATTGCAGTTTTAGCATTTATCACAATTGTATATTTATGACTGGTGTCATTATTGATAAAATGTTTGTCTCCCTCATTAGACTGCAAGTTTGATGACGGCAGGGACAAAATGTGCTTTTACAACCTATTCTTAGCCACTAACACAGGACTTAAAAAATAGAACTTGATAAATAGTTGTTGATATTTTGATGATGCATGAATGAACAGATTAATTTATGACTTGCACAGATAATATAGCCATCACTTATTACATTCACAGAATCATAACATGTTTGAGAAGAAAAGTATGTTGGAAATGTTTCATTCTAAATCCCTCATTACTTTGATAAGAAAATTAAAGCCCAGAAACTAAATGGCTTGCCCAAGATTATATAGCTAATCAGAATGAGAGCTGGGTTTATAATCTGGGTTTCCACTACTACTCTGAACTTTTTAAAAATTATGTTATAGCTCCTCTCAGCCAACCTCCTCATTCCAAAAGTGCAAGCTAAGGACCAGAGTCATAATAAATTTGTGTGGCAGTTGGGTGCTTTGGTCAGAGGTGTCTCCACCTGTCTCTATACCTTTAGGGATCACGAAATAGTTGAGTTTCGTAAATCTGACAAAGCTGCATTTGACATGATCTCTTCACTGTGCCAGAAACCTTTCCCTGACCCTTTCTTAGACTAGTGTTCTCAACATACATATCATGGTCACAGAAGGACTAGGAAATGAGTCTGAATGGAACCGGAAAATATCCACACCTCCAGTAAAAGAGCTCAACAATCGGATCCAATGATAGTAGTTTTAGTCCAGCCCATTCACACAGCCATGCATGAGATGTGAGCTTAGTAATACATCCCATCAGCTTCAATTCATTCATCTCTAAACTCCTTAAAAATACTCTTATTTCTAAAATCCTTTGTTTCTAAAAGTGTCCGAAGGAATTCTCCTCCTCCTCATTTTTTTAACTGTTTTTCTGCTCAATTGTTATGAATTTGTTGCCTCTTAATTATAGCAGTGGAACTCAGTGTGAAGTAAACACCACTCAATGTGTCCCCCATTCATTGCAATGTCTCATTACCGAGTGGGTCAGATCAACTAATGTCTTTGCTCCCTTGGGAAGCTTGGGGTTACCCCTAGGTAGTCAGATAGAGTAGTAGGTTGGCCATTTAATCTCCCCCCATTCTCCATTTCACTTCCTTTCTTGTGAACACAAAAGAACTTTAAGTGATCTGTTCGCGGCATTGAAATGCCAACCTTAGTTGGTACTTTGAAAACTCAAAGCCTTTTACAAGATGAATAGCAAACTGTGGATGACAGCTCCTGTGGAGGCATTATTGAATTGCAGCCCTGATGGCTGCATTACTTTGGATTTAGATAAAAGACTCCATACAAGACAAATGGTAGGAGGACATCAAACAAGACTGTGTCCATACAGTGACAGAAGCAATCCAATTGAAGAAGCTGTTGATTTCCCCAAGGCTACATACTATTTCTTCCTGAGTAATTTATATTAAGAAACTAAAGATTGTATATTCATCTATTCATCTTCTATTTATACTTTTCTCTAAAAATACAAATGTCCAGTTGTCAAATCAAAGTCCTACTTCTCTGCTCTTGCCTGGAAAAGAAATATCGATACAGGAACATGTTAATTATTTTGTATTGTGTTTTATTTAACCACAATAGCAGTGTGTGTAAAGGTTATAGACTGAGAGTTACAATCTATAATGATCAGATAAAAAGATTAGTCAGCAAATCGATAGTTCCCTGTACCAACAGGAAGCTTGGTATATTCAAGGCAACAATGAGTACAAAGGGTACAGATAAACATCAGGCACCTTTATTTAGATGAAAACTAATTCTAGAGAACTTCCACCACTTCATTAATTATGTACCAACCTTCAGGAGGAACTGGGTGAAACATCATTAGGGGCTTTTGGAATATGTTGGAAAATGCTTCTGGCTTTATAAAAACTGTATAAAATCAGAGCTTTTCTTTCTGTTGGGCTGGCAGATGTTCACGCAAACCCAGTTACTCAAAATGGAAAGGGTTTCATATATTGAACTTGCACACATTTTTTTTGCATCCAAAATTTTGGGAATGAGAATGTAGGACACTTTAGCTTCAGAAATACCATCAAAATTGTTTAAAACACGGATTTAAATACTAATCTACTTAATAGGGAAATGACACACTTTATGTATGCTTTATCCTTAACCAGCTCTCTATGTTGACATCTTAAAAAAAAAAAAAAGCCTTTCTGATGTGAACTTTGCATTTACTAACTTGCATAATAACAATTTCCTTTACTTTTCCTGTTTTATTTGGCATAATCTGTCTTCCTTCCACCCTTCCCTTATATAAAAGCTAATCCGTTGAAAAGTGGATTTGGATTGGCTGAATTGTGAACTTTGAATAGAATCTTTGGAGTGGAATGGGGAGCTTTGTTTAAATTAAGATCTCTTTTGGAATTACATGTAACTTCATTCATTTGCATAACCATCTTTTGAATGGGGACTCTTTTTAGCATTTTTGACTTTGGGTATTTCTAAAATCAGACCTGCTCTCTTCTGGAAAATTATTCAATTATTCAGGAATTCATCAAGATGAAAGCAGAATATCATTTGTTTGGAAAAGAGTCAGACAAAAGAATAGATTTCAATAAGCTCAAAGTTCTTAGAAATAGCTTTAATGGTGTCTAATAGGTAATTCCTGTTTCACACCAATAATTAATACCAAAGAAAATGTAAGAAAAGAAAAAAGAACTGAAAGAATCTGACAATTGAGCTCAGTAAAAACAGTTTGATTTTCCTGAAGCAATCCTCAGATATTACTTTGCATGATTGCTTTTAGCATTTTTTTCATCCACATTTTGCAAGTTAGAATGGGTGTGTATTGATTTCCTTCTTCTGGGTCAAATTATTCCTTTAGATGTGCTCCTGCAACTCTCATACTGAATCCAATGCGAAATATAGTCTATATTATGTCTCTTAAATACAAAACTCTAGGGGTGTGTGTGTGTGTGTGCGTGTGTGTGCATGTTTAGTCAGTCTCCAGGAATGTGTAAACAAACCTAGCTACCGCTAATTGTCAAAAAAAAAAACCCAAAAAAAACCTGTGCTGTCTTTCCTGTTGCCTTTGGGAGGTTGTGTGTTTGGCAACAGCTTTCTTTTGCTGAGCTCACCTTAGCTGTGGCTATTTGTGTAGCAATTGAACCACTGAAGAGGGGTTCCGATTAGCTTTCATTTGAGCCAATCAGCAGCCATCTGGAGAACTGGCCGAGACCTGGGTTACTAGTAATCCTATTGCACCTCTAGGGTAGACCAACAGTTATTATCCAATTTAATGAAACACTTTGACTTCTAATGTCTATTTAGCTGAAGACTACTATTCCTCTCTGACTTCCTCTCCTGCCTTACTCATCTTCATTCTGTTTCTCCTTTCTCCCTCCCTCTTTTCTTCCTTTCCTTTCTTCCTTCCTTCTTTCTTTCCTTTCTTCCTTCCTTCTTTCTTTCCTTTCTTCCTTCTTTCTTTCCTTTCTTCCTTCCTTCTTTCTTTCCTTTCTTCCTTCCTTCTTTCCTTCCTTCCTTCTTTCTTTCCTTTCTTCCTTCCTTCTTTCTTTCCTTTCTTCCTTCCTTCTTTCTTTCCTTTCTTCTCTTAACACCATAGTAGCATTTTACACTTCACAAAGTAATTTCACACTCCGCCTCTGCCATGATTCAGGCCCTCCTCATTTCTTGCCTGGGTTACTACCATGGGCCCCTAATTTAACTCATTCCTCTCTCACTGGCTCCCACCACCCCTCCAGTTGCTACACCCTGATCCTCCACAATGCAGGCAAAGCAATCTTTCTAAAACACATCCTTCTGCTAAAAATACTTCAGTGGCTCTGCACCACATCTAGGAAAATGATCAAACTCCTTAGAAAGGCATCCAAACCTTTTCCTGGTCTGGTGATTGTTTATTTCCCTGGTCTTATCTTCCAAATTCTCCCAGGCCATACAGATACCCAGGCATATCCAACCTTCTCCCACTTCCCTGCCTTTGTATAAGCCGTGCAAAGTTCATCCCTTTTCTCTGTATCTTATCCTTCACCTGGAGCTCTATTTTTGGCCTGGCTAACTCTAATCTTCTTTTTAAGCCTTAGCTAAAGAAATTTCTCTTTGAAGTCTTCCAAGACCAACCACCTATGGCTGTCCTCTCCAGCACCCCCACCACACATGCACACACGCACGCGCACACACCACCACCACCACCATACTCACATTGACTTGGGCTAGGATCCCATTATATCCCTACATGTCATTAACTATACTGCTGTGATAGTATTAATTCTAATGTATTGGAATTGCTAGTTTACTTACTTTTATAATTTATGTATTTATCTTTGAGACAGCTGTGTCCCCCAGGCTGGAGTGCAGTGGCTCAATCTTGGCTCACTGCAGCCTCTGCCTTTGGGTTTAAGCGATTCTACTGCCTCAGCCTCCCAAGTAGCTGGGATTACAGGCGTGTGTCACCATGCCCGGCTGATTTTTGTATTTTTAGTAGAGACAGGGTTTTGCCATGTTGGCTGGGCTGGTCTTGGATTCCTGGCCTCAAGTGATCCACCTGCCTTGGCCTCCCAAAGTCCTGGGATTACAGGCGTGAGCCACCACACTGGCCTTCTGCAATTGTTGATTTACTTTGATATCTCTTCTTCTACAGCCAGGATTATTAAACCTGTCATACTATGAACCCCTTTGGCAATTTGATAAAACCCATAACCCCATTCACTTTTGAACACATAAAAACCAAATATGTACAATTATAAAATATATGCGTGTTTATTTTCTAAAGCATTAAGTCGAGCACCAAGTCCACTAATGTAATTTGAAAGCAGTAGTGAGTAAAAACATTTTAAGATATCATCAGCCACTGTACTATATTTGTCATTTCTAACTGTGACAAAATACTTCTGTGGTTTGTTGTCTGCATATATATATTTTTTAAATGCTGTTTTATTTGGAGATATGTAAAACTAAAAATGTAATTATCATATCAAGCCAGTTCATGGAGAATCTGTATTCTAGAATTTTGTTTTAGTTTTAGACTATAAGGTCTTTGAGGTTTTCATTTTAATATATCCATACCTTGGACATAGTATTGCGACATAGCAAATAGATAAATGTTTGTTGCCTAAATTAGTAAGAAAAGAAATAGTTTTGTATTTCATGTAATTTAAACTTTAAAAGACTCCCTGTTAATTAGACTTTATTATTCTGATCACATATTAAGAAATTGAAGCTCAGAAAGGTTAAATACATTTCCCTAGTTCACAGGGCTTTAAATGTCTATTCCACCATAAAGTTGTCTCTCATTTATTAATTAAGTTACTCGGTAATGACTTATATTGTATCTAACCTATCAAATAGTCAAGAGAAAGGGAACAAGCATGGAAAGGTTATACCATCTGTCTCTAAAAGGAAAAGTGTATTTATGATACCTTAGGAAACTCTTGGCTCCCATTATATTAATGTTCATCATTATGGACCAGCTGATTATGTGGCATTCATTTGGACCTTAGAGAAAGTCTGAGCCCACGTAGGAGATGAGCCTGACATCCCTGAGAGTTTGTTTCACCAGGAGAAATGCTTACTTGGACTCAGGAACAACCTGAGAATAGAAATAAGGATGGAAATGCCACTTCCTCGACAGCCTGCTAAGGGAGCAGCGGTTGTATAGCCTTGGCTTTTTGTTTCATTAGCTCTCTTTTGAGTGGAAGAATAAAAGAAAATGACTGAAACTAGGACAACCCTTTCACATTTCAGGATACAAGCGAAGGAATGTTTGGTGTGCTCTATTCTGCCCTGCACATTGAAATGGTCAGACCATTGTGTGGCACAATAACTCTTTCTCCAGGACAGTGGTTGTTATTGTGCCTTTCTGCTGTTCTGTTTCGCTCCTGTCTCTTTGCCTTCTTTAATTTTATTTCCTGTATCTAGTCTACAAAGAAACCACTTAGTAGCAATGCCTGGGCAGACTTCTTAAGGAAAGCGAAGTGAAAGAGAGAGAGACCTGCCCCCCTTCTCTCCCTAACACATAACACACACACACACACACACACACACACACACGAAAAGGAAGAGATGGAGGTGGTGTGAACCATGGAACTTACAAGCTATGTTGATGCAAGGATACAAAGTCACTTTAAACACACCAAACCCTTGTTTCCCCTGGCATGAGAAATCAAACAAAACAGAAAACGATTTACACTGTCAAGGTTTGGGAACTTGGCATAAGGATAGTTAAGCTCCTGCCATCTGATATGTCTCTAATTTAGGTATTTCTTGATCTTTTATTTTATGCCTATATATTTGATGAGTCAAACTAGCAACATCAGGAATTGCACAATAGTTTCTAGGGAGCTCCAGCAATAAGATGTGTTATATTAGTTATACAAGACAGTGAGAACCTCAATAGCTAGGGTACTTTAGAACAGGGTGTTAACTTACCTGTGAGGCCATAAGGAAATCCTCATTGGTTCCCACTGTTGCTATTACAATTTAAAAAAATACTCTAATTTTTTTTTCCATTTTATTGCTTAGAGAATGGTGACCATACTTTTAA
This sequence comes from Homo sapiens, assembly GCF_000001405.40. Taxonomy (NCBI): domain Eukaryota; kingdom Metazoa; phylum Chordata; class Mammalia; order Primates; family Hominidae; genus Homo; species Homo sapiens. The sequence goes on from NC_000004.12 coordinate 23,167,335, forward strand.
TTTTTATTGTCTCATCATATTAGTGCTGGTGTATTAGTCTGTTGTCACAGTGCCATGAAGAGATACCTAAGACTGGAAAATTTATAAAGAAAAGAGGCTTAATTGACTCACAGTTCTGCATGGCTGGAGAGGCCTCAGGAAACTTACAATCATGGTGAAAGGCACCTCTTCACAGGGCGGCAGGAGAGAGAATGATTGCCGAGTGAATGGGGAAGCCCCTTATAAAACCATCACATCTGGTGAGAACTTACTATCATGAGAACAGCATGGGGGAACTGACACCATGATTCAATTATCTCCACCTGGTCCTACCCTTGACACTTGGAGATTATTACAATTCAAGGTGAGATTTGGGTGGGGACACAGAACCAAACCATATCAGCTGCTATAATAAAATAACTGAAACTGTGTAATTTATAAAGAACAGAAATTTATTTCTCACAATTCTGAAAGCTGAGACGTCCAAGCTCAAGGTATCAATGATTTTGGTGTCTGGTGAAGGCTCAGTCTATGCTTCTAAGATGGCACCTTTACCACTGTCCTCCAGAGAGGGTGAGTGCTGTGTCTTCACATGGCAGAAGGGATGGAAGCACAAAAATGGGCCTAGTTATTTTCTTTCAGCCTTTCTATAAGGTTGCTAATCCCATGAAATAATCACCTTCTAAAGGCCTCACTTCTTGATATTATCACATTAGGTCTTAGGTTCCAGCATATTCATTTTAGGGAGACACATACATTTAAGCCATAGCTATTATTATTATTATGTATTATTTAATTTCGAGGCACCTTACTCTAACTCATGGGCATAATTCTAATCACTATTGCTCAGCAGTCATAGTACTATAGACCAAGAGATAGATACAATTATGATGCCGAGGAACACTATAAAAATTGTTTTCTTCGCCTAGAGAAGGAATGTTTTTGGGTTAAGAAAGCACATAAAGTCCGGGCGCAGTGGCTCACACCTGTAATCCCAACACTTTGGGAGGCTTAAGGGGGGCGGATCACGAGGTCAGGAGATCAAGACCGTCCTGGCTAACATGGTGAAACCCCATCTCTACTAAAAATACAAAAAAATTAGCTGGGCATGGTGTTGAGTGCCTGTAGTCCCAGCTACCCGGGAGGCTGAGGCAGGAGAATGGCATGAACCTGGGAGGCGTAGCTTGCAGTGAGCCGAGATGGTGCCACTGCACTCCAGCCTGGGCGACAGAGCGAGACTCCGTCTTCAAAAATAAAATAAATAAAATAAAAAAAAAAACACCCCAAGTCAGACAGCTCTGAATGTGACTCACAGGGATGTTATTTACAAGCTATGTGTCCTTCCACAAATCGCTTGACTTTTTTCATCCACTGGACTCCTTCAAAAAAATTGTTGTGGTGCAATTTTAAACCTGCTTAATATTGTTGTATTGAGAATTAAATGAGTTAAATAAATGGATGATGTTTGTACTGTGCCTAACTCAGTGTCTGGCACACAATGAGAATTTAATAATAATGAATAGCTGTTATTATCTAAGTCCTGTTGTGAACTTGTTAAATTGTGATCTGCCTTCAAATGGAGTACACAGTAAGGACAACGTAATATTAAGTACAACTAACATTTGCCTACATTTTACTTTTGTACAAAGTATGATAAAATACATCATTTCATTTAAGTCTCATAAATTCCACAGTGTAGTTACTATTATCTTCCTCATTATAACAATGGGGGTGGGGCTGAATCTTGGATAGTTTAAGTGCTTGCTGAAGGTCCAAGCTAATATACGTTACAGTGAGAGCAGATTGTCTTCAGAAATCCACTTAGTGGTTCTCATGAACTGCAGTTTTACCTTAGATGTAATTAATTAAGTCTCTGATAAGTATAATTACTTTTTTTTCCCCTCATTTCTTATAGTCACATGTATTGTCCCATAAAGGATACAGCTTTGGTGTGCAGAACAGCTATCTGGAAAGCTTGTTAAAACAATGAATTCCTTTCTTTCTTTCCCTCCCTGACTCTAAAAATTCTTATTCAGGATTTCTGGCATAGGGCAGAGAGGTTGCCTTCCTAACAAGCTCCAGGAGGTGCTAAGGGTACTGGTTCTGGGGCCACATTTTGACAAACACTGCCTCAAGCTATTTTTACCATCAGTGAATATCTTGCACTACATTTCACGAAGAAACTTCACAGTCATTGCTTTATTTAGGCAGAAAGGATGCAGCAGCCCTCTTTTCCAAATAATTTGTCCTGAGATGCATCTTTTTGGCAATCATTCTATCGAGCTCCTAATCAGGCACGAATAGAATAACCATTTGTAATACTGGTGATGGAGGCACCCTTGCAAATTTCAGGGGAAGTTTTGGTGCACAGCACTTTTCACTGTCTTCCGACAGCAATTTCAGGCTCCTGCTGCCTGCCCCGTGACCATCTCTCGTTAAACCTCTGTGAGTAGCCCTGCTGCAACCATGAATGATACTCTGAGGGCTTCACACAGGCTGGGTTTATTGAGCTGCATTATAGGAGACTATATCTCAGATGGCCCCAGTGCAGCCAAAACAATCTGTCACTTTTAATTCTTCCTGTCACCTCATTAAGTATATGGCAACATTGACAATAAAACACATTTTCAAACAAACAACACACGCACCACCCCAATTGCAACATTTCCTCCTCTTATATTCAGATGTTGTTATAAATATCCAGTCATTGAAAGATTCATTGAACAAACATATGTGCCAGGGTACTGTATATAACTGACAGAGGCACAGAATAGTCTCCATGGACACATAAAGCAATTAAAAATAACTGTGCTTCCAAGCGGGCTACTGTAATACAAAGGTCATGCCCATAAATATGAACAGGGTGGCAGTAATGTCTCTATCCAAATATACCCCCAAACACATAACTACAACAGTTCAGAACTCAAAGGTTAATGTAAAAAAAAGAAATCCCTGAAATTATTCCATATTCATCTTATGCCTTTTACTTCTTGTGGTCTTTTCATCAAAGGTTAATATATGTGAATACAGTGGGAAAATAGTATCAAGGCCAAATGTGTGTCATCAGGAACTATTTTACTCAGTGAAAAATATTTACCCTTGTACATACGATAAAATGAAGGAGCTGTAGTACATTTTTTGTGAAAGAAAAAAAATGTCTATTGCTTCCTCCCCCTTTCTTTACTAGGTTGCTTGTTTTTACATTAACTGCACTGAAGTTTGAATTTTACTCAAAGCTCTAGAGAGACTGTTCTGAGAGCCGGGATAGTTTTTGCAGTAACACACTGAGTGTGATAATAAGGTTTATGCATGGTTGTAAAGAATGTGCTGACAGATGGAAAAGAAGCCACCTCAGTCTGCACAGTATTCATTTTTATATATATTCAAAAAATTCATACAACACCTGACACTCATTCAAACAGCAGTTCTTCCTCCTGCTGTCTCCTGGAAACAGAAATATTTTAGAGTATATAGAAAAAAATCCAACCCCCAGTGGACTGATTCACTAAAATTTCAAGTTCTGCGCACATCAGAGTAACACAGGCTCCTGCATTACCATTCAAGGTGTCATGTGCGATGAAAAACTTATTCCCACCAAATATGGATCTTTACGTAGTATGTGCCTTAGATAGTGAGCAAGTAAATTCAGCAAGGAAAAAGATGTGAACAGAATGTCTCCTACAAAGCAGAGGCATTTCCCACCCTTCCTCTGAAAAGCAAAAGGAGAGCTTCTTTGCCAAAGATTTGCTTTCATCAAGGGATATTAAAATATGAGAGCAGATTATATTCGAGCATTTAGGTCATCTGTGCCTCTGTGATGTTGTGACATTTGAGAGCACATTGATTAAAAGAAAAGAGCAGTCTGAGGTAAATTCTTTGCTTTTAATAATAATGAAACAATGACTAACCCACGTAGCACCTTGATTCTCTAAGGCATCAGCTTTCTAGAGAAAAAAAAGCAACTCCCAAATTCTTCTATCTCCTAGAACTTATTACTATTTTCTTAGAAAAGCCTAATTCTTGATTTAAAAAGAATAAAAGTTAAAAAAAAAACAGTTATTTTCCATTCATCCTCAACCTTTGGACTGAATGCATCTGTCATATGGTTTGGTTGTGTTCCCATGCAAATCTTAATCTTGAGTTGTAGCTCCCATATTTCCCACATGTTATAAGAGGGGGCTGATGGAAGGTAATTAAATTATGGAGTGGGTTTTTCCCATGCTGTTCTCACGATAATGAATAAGTCTCATGAGAGCTGAGGGTATTATAAAGCACAGTTACCCTACACAAGCTTGCTCTTGCCTGCCTCCATGTAAAATGTGACTTTGCTCCTCCTTTGCCTTCTGCCATGATTGTGAGGCCTCCCCAGCCATGTGGAACTGGGAGTCAATTAAACCTCTTTCCTTATAAATTACCTAGTCTCAGCATGTCTTTATTAGCAGTGTGAAGACTAATACAATCCGTATTTGTTTTCTAGGGCTGCTGTGCCAAAGCACCACAAATTGAATGACATACACAACAGAATTTATTATCTCACAGCTCTGGAGGCCAGAATTTCCAAAATCAAGGTGTTGGCAGAGTTTGTTTCTTCTGAGGGCTGTGAAGGAAGGATCTGTTCTAGGCTTCTCTCCTTAGCTTTTAGATGGCCATCTTCTCCCTGTGCCTCTTCATATCATCTTCTCTCTTGTGTGTCTCTGTGAAGTATTGGACTTCAATGTGTGATTTTTTGACAGGATACAATTCAATCCATAACACATCTTGTACTCAAAAAAGGAAAAAAAAAAAACAAGCAATATCAACAAAACAAAACTTGGATCCTCCCACTTGTGCCATCTCTTACCCTGCTGCCTTCCCAAACAGAGATGACTCATACATCCCCAGAGCAGATTCCAAAGACAAGAGTAATTTTTTTCATTATTGCTAAGATGCTGCTAAATTATTGCATCCATTAACTTTCATGTCTCACAAATTCCAAAGAACCAGCTATACGTTTCCTACTTTTATGATGTGTTCTCATATACTAACCTCAAAATTAATCCCGACATTTGACCATTACTTGAACAGTTGGTCATTATTCTCTCATCAAATTCTGGCATGACTGTTGGTCACTTCTGTAGCCATGTGAATTAGCCACCCAGCAATCTACCCAATTTGCTATTGACCTTTTCAACTCAAGTGTGCTCAGCTACAGTCTACTGCTGCTGCCTAATCATATATATACTCTATCTGGCCTGTATCTTGTATTTATGTATCAGCTCTAAAAGTTTAAATTTGAATACTCATTCTTTGACTTTTATCTGCTTACGTCAGTCTTCTCCTTTCTCTACTTCCTTTATAGCATCAGTTACCAAATTATGTTATTACAAGGAGCAATAGTGTTTTAGCATGTTCATAGGAGAGACACAGAGGAAGATTTTAGTACGTTTTCACACTGCTGTAACTACCTGAGACTGGGTAATTTATGAAGAAAAGAGGTGTAATTGACTCAGTGCTGTAGGCTTAACAGGAAGCATGACTGTGAGGCCTCAGGAAACTTACAGTCGTGGCAGAAGGCAAAGGGGAAGCAGGCATGTCTTACCATGGCAGAGCATAAGAGAGAGCAAGGGGGGAAGTGCCGTACACTTTCAAACAGCCAGGTCTCACGAGAAACTCATTCACTATCATGAGAACAGCAAGGAGGAAGTCTGCCCCCATGATTGAATCACTTCCCACCAGGCCCCTGTGGGAATTATAATTCAAGATGAGATTTTGGTGGGGACACAGAGTCCAACCATATTAAAGATAAAATGGTGTGCAGGGATAATGAAAGTTGAAATGTTTCTTTACTGAAGAATTACAAACACTAACATTTATTCTGAATAAGATTTTGTAATGGTTTTAACTAAATTTATGTGAACAATTAAAAAAGCCTGCTGATCTACTGAACACCAGTTTGGTAAATAGTTATAACTATTCTTTTATCTATAACACCTAATACCCACTCTTCATTTTATTTACCCACTTAGCATTCTTTGATATACCCCTTACTGTACTCTTTTGCTAAATGTTCTTTCCACCTACTTTTATTTTCAAATCCACTCTGCAACTCTATGTCCTGTCTATTCCCATGCATATATTTATGCTTTCCAACTTTCAGTAAGCCTTCAGAACTGCAAATAAGAATATCCATGCTAATTCTTCTTCTAATTTCATGAACATGTCATATATTATTATTTCCTAGATTACCTACTCATCCACCTAACTCTCCTCTACGTCACAAGAAAAAGCAACACTAATTGCCATTGTGTAGGGAAACGCTCAACTTCTGACTCTAATGTAGAACAGCATGCATGGCCACATATCCTCTTATATTCCTTCCATTTTCAGTGAAAAGCAATTCCTTTCTGAAGGCAAATTAGTCCCAGTCTCTCTCTATTTCTCCTACCATCTCAGGGACTGTTCTCCATCTTTTGTCCCTCTTCTGTGTCTTCAGCCTCTTCTCTACCAATTCTTTCTCCAGGATTATTAACCAATTCCAAGGGTTCTCACTTTAATTTTGCTTTTCTTTTACTCAACTTCCTTGAATTTTGGACTTGTCTTCCTTTTCAACAAAGTAATTTACTCTCATAATTTCAATGTTCTCACTTACAATAACTTTCTTCAATTTTCTGAAAATATGGGCACTTCCATCAGCATTACAGTATAGCTTTTTCTTTTTTTTTTTTTTTTTTTAAGACTCTTATTTATGGCATTCATTTGGCACAGAGAAAGGAAGAAAGTGTGAACTTTGGATCCTCACACTAGAGTTTGGGTTTCAATTTCAGTTTTTCAGCTTCTTAGCATTATGGCCATTGGCAGTTTTTCTTAGTCTTCTTGAGCTCCAGTTTTTTCTTCTGCAAAGGGGCAAGGATAATTTTATCTAAGCAGGATTTTTGGAGGAATAAATTAGGCATTTTATAAAAAGCTTCTAAAAGTTAGTCAATAAGTTTTAACTGTCTGATATTGTTTGTCTCTGTGTCCGCACCCAAATCTCACCTTGAATTATAATCCCCATAAACCCCATGTGTTGAGGGAGGCACCTGTTGGGAGGTGACTGGATCACAGGGCTGGTTTCTCACCTGCTGTTCTCATGATAGTGAGTGATTTCTTACAAGAGCCGATGTTTTTTAAAGTGTTTGGCAATTTCCTTCATACCCTTGCTGCCATGTAGGATGTGCCTTTGCTTTTCCTTTATCTTCTGTCATGATTGTAAGTTTCCTGAGGTCTCCCAGCAATGGAGAACTGTGAGTCAATTAGACCTCTTTCCTTTGTAAATTACCTAGTCTCGGGTATTTCTTCATAGCAGTGTGAGAATGGACTAATACACTGTCCTACCCATTGACTTCACTCTTGCTTCATCATTTGACACTGCTGTTTACTCTCTCATTGAAATTCTCCCTCCCTGTTCATGTAGCACCACTGTCTATTGTGCCTCTTCTTAGTGTTGTGGCTGTTTCCTACCTTGTCATCATTCCTTCACACTTAATATTGATGTCTGTTAGTTTTTCCTCTCTAAATTTTCCTTCCTTCTTAATATAAATTTTCTCTAAGTTCCAACTACCATTTCTAAAGATTCATTTTTTTAAAAATTCTGCAACCTGGGAAATTTGTGTAATGCCAGACGGGTATGTCTAATTATTCACTGCACATCTCAACATGAATTCATTTTTTTCAATGAAGTTAATGAATTTAAGTTTAAATTAAATTCAAACTTAAAACGTGTAATAATGAATTTATTGTCTGTCTTCACTATAAAATTGTCACCTTGTATCCCTTGTCTCAATAAGTGAGACCACTGTTGGCATACATGAGGCACTTTTAGATGCTATACTATCACAGCAATAATTCAATTGAATTACCTAATTAAAATGACATTATTTTTTTCATTTTTTTTTTCAAGCCTTTCAGAATACAGCAAGAAGAAAGCTTCTGTTTTGGACTTAGTATGTCTTTGGTCCTTTTAATGCACTTCGAAAGCTCCTATTTTAACAAATAGAGATCAGTTTTAGAACCTTTAACGTGGTAAAATTTAAAAATGTTGACTTTGTCAATTTTGTCTTTAAATTCTATTTATGGTAAATAATCCATTGTTTTAAAAAGTGAACCAGCTTCCTCAAGAAATAGGATTAGCTAAACATCAGTGAACAATAAACCAATAAAAGTTTTCCAAGTGTGAGTTTTAAAATGCAAATATAAAAATACAGTTTTTAAAAAACAACTCACGTACTTTAAGATTTTAAATAATCATAATCAGCTGTCTTCCTAAATGAATACCCTTTATTTCTTTCTCTTGCCTGATTGCCCTGACCAGAACTTCCAATAGTATACTGAGTATGAGTGGTGAGAGAGGGCGTCCTTGTCTTGTGCCAGTTTTCAAAGGGAATGCTTCCAGCTTTTGCCCATTAAGTAAAATATTGGCTGTGGGTTTGTCATATATGGCTCTTATTATTTTGAGGTATGTTCCTTCAATACCTAGTTTATTGAAAGTTTTTAACATGAAGGAATGTTAAATTTTATCATAAGCCTTTTCTGCATCTATTGAGATAATCATGTGGTTTTTGTCTTTAGTTCTGTTTATGTGGTGAATTACACTTATCGATTTATGTATGTTGAACTAACCTTGCATCCCAGGGATGAAGACGACTTGACTGTGGTGGATAAGCTCTTTGATGTGCTATTTGCAGTATTTGATTTGGTTTGCCAGTATTTTATTGAGGATTTTTGCACGATGTTCATCAGAGATATTGGCCTGAAGTTTTCTTTTGTTTTACTGTATCTCTGTCAGATACTGGTATCAGGATGAGGCTGGCCTTATAAAATGAGTTGAGGAAGAGTCCCTTCTTTTCAGTTTTTTTTTTTTTTTTTTTTTTTTTTTTTTGGAATAGTTTCAGTAGAAATGGTACCAGCTCTTCTTTGTACCTCTGGTAGAATTCAGCTGTAAATCTGTCTAGTCCTGGGCTTTTTTTGGTTAGTAAGCTATTTATTACTGCCTCAATTTTATAACTCTTTATTGGTCTATTCAGGAATTCCATTTTCTCCCTGGTTCAGTCCTGAAAGAGTGTATGTGTGCAGGAATTTATCCATTTCTTCTAGATTTTCTAGTTTATGTGCATAGAGGTGTTTGTAGTATTTTCTAATGGTTATTTAGAAATAACCATTATAGCACCACTGTGGGGTCAGTGGTGCTATAATCTTATTTCTGATGGTGTCTATTTGATTTTTCTCTGTTTTCTTCTTCATTAGTCTAGATATCAGTCTATCTTGTTAATTGTTTCAAAAAAACAGCTCCTGGATTCGTTGAATTTTTTTTTTTTTTTTTTTTGAGACAGAATCTTGCTCTGTCTCCCAGGCTGGAGTGCAGCGGCACAATCTTGGCTCACTGCAACCTCCGCCTCCTGGGTTCAAGCAATTCTTCTGCTTTAGCCTCCCGAGTAGCTGGGATTATAGGCGCATGCCACCACGCTTGGCTAATTTTTGTATTTTTAGTGGAGATGGGGTTTCGCCATGTTGGTCAGGCTGTTCTTGAACTCCTGACCTCATCCGCCCACCTCGACCTCCCAAAGTGCTGGGATTACAGGCATGAGCCACCATGCCTGGCCCATTTGTTGATTTTTAAAGGGTTTTTTTGTGACTCTATTCCTTCAGTTCTGCTCTGATCTTGGGGTTATTTCTTGTCTCCTGGTAGTTTTCGGGATTGTTTGCTCTTTGTTCTCTAGTTCTTTTAGTTGTGATGTTAAATTGTTGACTTGAGATCTTTCTAGCTTTTTGATGTGGGCATTTAATGCTATAATTTTCCCTTTTAACACTGCTTTAGCTGCATTCCAGAGATTCTGGTATGTTGTCTCTTTGTTCTCATTTGTTTCAAATAACTTCTTGATTTCTGTCTTAATTTCATTGTTTATCCAGGAATCATTCAGGAGCAGGTTGTTCAATTTTCATGTAGTTGTGTGGTTTTGAGTGAGTTTCTTAATCTTGAGTTCTAATTTGATTGTGCTGTGACCTGAGAGACTGTCATGATTTCAGTTCATTTGCATTTGCTGAAGGAGGAGTGTTTTATTTCCAATTATGTGATTAATTTTGTAGTAAGTGCCATGAGGTGATGAGAAGAATGTATATTCTGTTGTTTTGGGGTGGAGAGTTCTGTAGAGTAATTAAAACAGCATGGTATGGGTAAAAAAACAAACACATAGACCAATAAAACAAGAAATAACTCGGAAATAAAAATACACACCTACAATCATCTGATCTTTGACAAACCTGACAAAATGCAGCAATGAGGAAAGCAATCCCTATTTAACAAATGATTCTGAGAGAACTGGCTAGCCATTATGCAGAAAATTGAAACTGGACCCCTTCCTTACATTCTATGCAAAATTCAACTCAAGATGGATTAAAGACTTAAATGTAAAACTCAAAACTGTAAAAACACTAGAGAAAATCTAGGCAATACTATTCAGGACATGGGCGTGGGTAAAAACTTCATGACAAAAATGCCAAAAGCAATTGCAACAAAAGCAAAAATTGACAAATGGGATCGAATTCTACTAAAGAACTTCCACACAACAAAGGAAACTATTATCAGAGTGAACAGACAATCTGCAAAATGGGAGAAAAATTTTGCAATCTATCCATCTGACAAAGGTCTAATATCCAGCGTCTATAAGGAACTTACACAAATTTACAATAATAAGACAAACAACTTCATTAAAAGGTAGGCAAAAGATATGGACAGACACTTCTCAAAAGAAGACATTCATGTGGCCAAGAAACATGAAAAAAAGCTCAACATCACTGATCACTAGAGAAACACAAATCAAAACTACAATGAGATACCATCTCATACCAATCAGAATGATGATTATTAAAAAGTCAAGAAACAACAGATGCTGGCAAGGTTGCAGAGAAAAAGAAATGCTTTCACACTGTTGGTGGGAGTGTAAATAAGTTCAACCACTGTGGAAGACAGTGTGGTGATGACTGAAAGATCTAGAAGCAGAAATACCATTCTACCCAGCAATCCCATTACTGGGTGTATACCTAATGGAATATAAATCATTCTATTATAAAGATACATGCACGCCTTTGGGAGGTCGAGGTGGGTGGATCATGAGTTCAGGAGATCAAGACCATCCTGGCTAACACAGTGAAACCCTGTCTCTACTAAAAATACAAAAAATTAGCCAGGTGTGGTGGTGGGCGCCTGTAGTCCCAGCTACTTGGGAGGCTGAGACAGGAGAATGGTGTGAACCTGGGAGGCGAGCTTGCAGTGAGCCGAGATCGCACCACTGCGCTCCAGCCTGGGCGACAGAGGGAGACTCTGTCCCCCCACCACCCCCCCCCCCAAAAAAAAAAAGATACGTGCACGCGTATGTTCATTGCAGCACTATTCACAATAGCAAAGACATAGAATCAACCCAAATGCCCATCAATGATAGAGTGGATAAAGAAAATATGGTATATTTACACCATGAAATACTACACAGACATAAAAAGGAATGAGATCATGTCCTTTGTAGGACATAGATTAGCTGGAAGCCATTATCCTCAGCAAACTAATGCAGGAACAGAAAACCAAACACCTAATGTTCTCATAAGTGGGAGCTCAGTGATGAGCACACAGGGACACAAGGTCGGGACAATACACACTGGGGCCTGTCGAGGGTGGGGTTGGGGGAGGGAGAACATCAGGAAGAATAGCTAATGGATGCTGGGCTTAACACCAAGGTGATGGATTGATCTGTGCAGCAGACCACCATAGCACACTTCTAGCTATGCAATAAAACTGCACATCCTGCACATATTCCCTGGAACTTAAAAGTTGAAGAAAACAACAACAAATCATCATCATCATCATCATCGTCATTATCATGATCTAAAATATTAGATTAAAGGAAAAAAGTAATGAAAGTTTGTTTTACTTATCAAGAGATAGTGATTAGATACAAACTTTTTTAAAATAAAGTTTTAACTTTACAGAGAAATTGTAAAGATAGTACAGAGAGTTTCCATAGGTCCTGAATAATTTCATCTATTATTAACATCTTTTGTAAGTTGATCACCTGGCTAACATGGCGTTTGTTTGTGTCATGTTTCTCCACTGTAAAGTTTTCTTCTTCTCATTGAACAATATACTCTCTTGAAGGAAGTCACTACGTTCTGTCCACAGTCAAGATGTAGGGCCTTATGCAAGCAGATTATCCACTTTCTTGCAAGCAGATTATCCGTATAATGTATGCAATTTATTATTAAAACATAGGTTATTGGGAAATCCCAGGATGGAATGTGGAATGTGACAAATCAATCTCACTGTATTACAAATGTGGGAAGCAACATCACCACAAAGGATGATGGATAACACGCTGATTTAACTAGAAACGAGTGGAATTTGTAAAATTACAGGCAAAAAACAGTGCATATTAAGTATGGGAATTGAGTGGAAAATGTTGTTTCGTACAGAACAATTAGTTTAAAATTATTGTACTGCTCTACATGTATACAAGAATTGAACAGTTAAGTAAGTGGATGGTGGGTAATGGGGGCCAGGTGGGAAGTCAGGATTTACCCATAAGCAAAGGGAGGAGGCTAGAATAATCCATATTTTAATAGATAAGAGTTGTAGACATCAGTATGAACTCATGTGTAACTTTATATACATATGTATGGTTACATAGAAGAAGTATTTATAGATGTGTATATACACAGGTTAGTATACATGTATATGTTTTCTTCATCAACCTGGAAGTAAAAACATCCCAGTATGTTAACGAGTATATCTGGAGCTCAGGTCTTGGTTCTGAGTACCATTCTTAAATAAAAGGAGCCAAGGCTCCTTTAAGAAATGGCTGGTCTAGGCCTGGGGCTTGGAGCATCTTGTATTGCTAATGGTAAGGAAATGATGAGGAAAAAAAAAACCAAAAAAACAAAATTCTGCTCTGACGGAACCCTGTCAAAGGATACAGAGACACTCAAAGAGCTTCTAATAGCCAAACCTGGAATAATGGGAACTAATAAAGTTAAATAATATTAGATTATAAAATAAATATGTATGATCCCACATGGGTATCAATTATTGAATATGTAAATGAGGGAGAAGAAACAAGTATCCCATGCAGAAAAAAATTAAAATGTAATTTTATAAAAGATAAGACCACTAATTTTTTTTCAAATATTTTAAGGTTGATTCAGGGAAAAATACAGAATAAAAGCATGATTTTCAAATTACAAACTAGCATTAAAAAATAGTTAAAAAATAGATCATGGTCAAAAAAAAAAAAAAGAACGCAAGTTGAGTATCCCTTATCTGAAGTGTTTGGGATTAGAAGTGTTTCGGGCCAGGCGCGATGGGTCACGTCTGTAATCCCAGCACTTTGGGAGGCCAAGGCTGGTGGATCAGGAGGTCGGGAGATTGAGACCATCCTGGCTAACACGGTGAAACCCTGTCTCTATTAAGAATACAGAAAATTAGCCGGGCGTGGTGGTGGGCGCCTGTAGTCCCAGCTACTCTGGAGGCTGAGGCAGGAGAATGACATGAACCTAGGAGGCAGAGCTTGCAGTGAGCCGAGATCGCGCCACTGCAATCCAGCCTGGGCGGCAGCGCGAGACTCCATCTCAAAACAAAACAAAGACAAAACAAAAAAAAAAAGATTCAGATTTTGGATTTTTTTTGGAGTTTGGAGTATTTGCATCATACCTGGGTTAGCATCCCAAACCTAAAAATCTGAAATCCAAAATATTCCAATGAGCATTTCCTTTGACTGTAACATTAGCGCTCCAAAAGTTTTGGATTTTTGAGCATTTTGGATATCACATTTTTGGATTTGAGATGTTCAACCTTCACTTATCAGGGAAATTAAATAAAAATGGAAGACTAAAGATCAAATGCAACATTTATTTTTTTCATATAAGAAATGTTAATTCATTCTTTCTGAGGTTATGCTAAGACCAATTCATGTTGAAAAATTTTCCAGGCTATTCCAAATTGTATTGAATTTTGTGAGCTGCTGATACTACAGAAAAAATTTTTAGAAGTATCTATGTTACATTATGAAACAAAAGGAATACAACATCAAATGTAGAGAACATTTTTGTAAAGATTATTTAAATTCTTTATACTTTTTAGAATATCAATGAAATGAATAATTTTCCAGAAGGAATTTTTTTGTTAAAATTAATACTTTATGATGAAGCTTAAAATAATTTCATAAATATCAAATAAATAGAAAATAATATCAACGAAATAATTATCAAAAGATCATTCTCACCAAATAATTTAGGTTGTGTTTTGAAACTGATGTGAGTTTAACTAGTTCATATTATAAAAATTGATGGAAAGCTTCCAAATTTCAATTATGAATAAAGCATAATCATGCGCCAAAACATAAGAAAAATGGAACATTTAAAAAAAAGAGATTAAACATCTTTAGAACCACAGCTGCAAAATATTAGCAAATCAGATGTAGCTCCTTACTAAATGATAGCGCACTCTGACCAAATAGGTTTTTATTCCAGGAATGCACTAACAATTCAATATTAGGAAACCAAATAATAATTCATCACAACAATCGATCAAAGGAGAAAAAAAAATTTTATCTTGAGAGATACTGAAAAAGTACTTTAAACTAATTCAACATCAATTATTGATAAAAAGTGTTAGTCAATTAGGAATTGGAGATCAAGAATAAATCCCCAAAATGATGAAGGCTAGCTATTTCAAACTGACAGCAAACATTATGTCTAATTGTAAAACATTAGAATCATTGTCCCTGAAGTCAGGAATAAGGGAACGATCGCTCTTATTGTTTTCTCAGTTAATTTATTTTTAAGTAAGTATTATTGATGTATAAACAGTAAAATAGTCTTTTAAGTATACAGTTTGATGAGTTTAGACAAATGTAGTTATATAATTATCAGAATAAAAATGGAATTTTTTTTCAGTTCATCATATTTTCTCTTGCCCTTTTGCCTCTCTGTCAGTTTCCAGGCCTTGATGACGACTCTTCTGATAACTTTCCCTGTATATTTAGTATATTTATCTTTTTTATTAGAATGTCCTGTCATATAGTATATAGCTTCTGTGCAATATATGATGCTTTCAAAATTCATCCATGTTGTTGCATGTATCACTAGTTTATTATTTTTTATTGCTGGGTACTATTTCCTTATATGGATATATTACATGTTTATTCATTTATAAGATACATTTTTGCATTATTCCTGATATTTAGTTAGTATGAATAAAATTGGTATAAACATTTGTGTACATGTCTTTGTGTGAAGATAGGTTTTTGGTTCTCTTTGCTGAATATACAAAAATAGTGTCTTAGACCATTTTGTATTGCTATAACAGAATACCACAGACTGGGTAACTTATAAAGAAAAGAAATTTATAGCTCTGAAGGCTGGGAAGTCCAAGGTAGAGGGGCCCACATCTGGCGAGGGCCTTGCTGCTGTGTCTTCCTAGGGGTAAAGGTGGGAAGGCAAGAGAGCAGGAGAAAGTAAGAGAGAAAGGTGGCCAAACTTGTTCCTTTTATTGAGAACCCACTCCCATGAGAACTAATCTACTCCTGCTATAATCCCATTAATCCATTGATGAGGGCAGGCTCCTCATGACCTAATCACCTCTTAAAGGTCCCAACTCTTAACACTGTTGCATTGGGAATTAAGTTTCCAGTACATGAACTTTGAGGGACATACTTAAAACAGAGCAAATAGAATTACTAGATTATATAATCAGTATATATATAAACTTTATAAATATTTGTCAAACTATTTTCTAGAGAGGTATACTATTTTGCATTTCACAAGATAAGTATGAAAAGTTCTAGATTTCCATATCACCAGCATTTAATATTGTCAGTCTTTTTAATTTTAGTCATTTTAGCAGATGATAGTGACATCTCATTGTTTTTTATTTGTATTTCTACAATAACTAGATATTTAAACATATTTTATGTGCATATTTGCCTTCTGTGATTTTCTGCATAGTCAATTATGATATTCATGAATAAAGATTTTTTAACTCTATCTTAAAATCTTGAAATCAGGTAATGAGAATTCTCTTTTTATTCTCTTTTAATTTCTATCTAAATTTTGGAATCATCTCAATTTCTAAAAGTAAAACAAATACCTTATAATTTGGATTGAGATTGTCTTGAATCTATGCATCAATTTGGCAGGGATTGACATTTTTTTGTATTAGTCAGGGTCCTTCAGAGGGACGGAACTAATAGGATCTATGTATATATGAAAGGGAGTTTAGTAATGAGAATTGACTCACGTGATCACAAGGTGAAGTCTCGCAATAGGCCATCTGAAGGGTGAGAAGGAAGGAAGCCAGTAGTGGCTCAGTCTGAGTCCAAAAGCCTCAAAGGTAGGGAAGCTGACAGTGCAGTCTTTGGTCTGTAGCCAAAAGCCTGAGAGCCCCCAGCAAACCACTGGTGTAAGGCCGAGTCCAAAGGAGGAAGAATCTGGAGTCTGATGTTCAAGGACTGGAAGCATCCACAACAGGAGAAAGATGAAAGCTGGAAGACTCAGCAAGCCAGGTTATCCCACCTTCCACCTGGTTTGTTCTAGCCATGCTGGCAGCCAGTTGAATGGTGCCCACCCACACTGAGGATGGGTCTTTTTCTCCCAGTCCACTTACTCAAATTTCAATTGCCTCTGGCAACACCCTCACAGGCACACCCAGAAATACATTACCAATTATCTGGGCATCCTTCAATCCACTCAAGTTGACACCTAATATTAACCATCACATTAATATTTAGTCCTCTGACCCATGAGTACAGTATTTTTTTTTTCTTTTTTTTGAGAGGGAGTCTCGCTCTTTTGCCCATGCTGGAGTGAAGTGGTGCGATCTCAGCACCTCCGCCCGCCGGGTTCAGGCGATTCTTCTGCCTCAGCCGCCCAAGTAGCTGGGATTACAGGCACATGGCACCATGCCCGGCTAATTTTTGGAATACAGTATTTTTTAAATTTACTTAGGTCTTTTATATTTCTCAGTAATGTTTTATGGTTTTCAGTGTACAGACTGCACATATTTTGTTAAATTTTCTAATGTTTTCGATGCTTTTATAGGAAGTATTTTTAAAAATTTTAGAATTTCCAATTGAACACGGCTAGAAATAGTTGCTTTTGTTTCTAATAACCTTGTATTCCGTTATCTTGCTAAAGTCACTCATTTCCTCATGAGCCTTTTTTATTAGCTATGTTGTGATTTTTCTCTGTAGATGATTGTTATCTGTGAATGCACATAGTTTTTAAACATTTTTCTTATGTTAGTATTTTCTTTCTTTGTCCTGCCTTACAGTCTTTGCCAGAACTTCTGGTACAATGTTAAATAAATGTAGTGAGGGCAGACATACTTGCATTGTCCCTGATCTTAGGGAGGAATCAGTCTTTCAGCATTTATATGTTAGATGTGGTTTTTTAATAGAAGTGCTTTTCAGTGCTAAATTCTCCATCATTAATTGTGGAATTAAATATATTTCCTTGTATTTCTATAGCAAATATATTTTTGCATTATCATATTTTCCTGATAAACTTATCCCATTATTTCAATGTAATACAATATTTCCTTTTCTCAAGTCTAGTTTGTCTGATAGTATTATAGCCTCTTCAGTTTTCTTTCCATTAGAGTTGTGTGGCATATTTGCTATTGATTTTAACTAATCTATGTCTTATATTTGTCATTGATCTCATTGTTGGTAGCATATATTATTTTTTTATATGATTTTAAAATCTATGCCTTTTAATTTAGCATTTATATAATTTGCATTTAATGTAATTGATGTATATGCTTACATTTAAATATACTATCTTGCAATTTTTTTCTATTTATACTATCTGGTTTTTGTTTCTTATTTTTACTTTCTATTTTTAATTTATTACTTATAATTATTTTATATTAGTTACCATAATGTTTACTATATAGATATATATATCTTTATCTTGTCACAGTCTGTTGCCTGATAATATTATGTTGCTTTATGTGAAGTATAACAAACTTAGAAAAGTTCATTGACTTCCTTCTACACTCTTTGCTATTTTTGGTCAAATATTTTAATTCTACATGTAAGTACCACAATACCTTGGTACTATCGTACCTTCAGACAGTCACATCATTTAAAGATATTAAACATAAAGAATAACATATTTTATATTTACTCACATTTTTATTCCTTCCCAGGTATTTTATTTCTTTTATAGATCCATGTTCCTGTCTGGTATCATTATTCTTCTGCCTGAGAACGTCCTTTATTATTTCTGATGGTGCAGGTCTAGAGTGATAATTTCTTTTACCATGTGTATTCCTTAATATGTCTTTACTTCATCTTTATTTTTAAATTTTTCTTGATAAACTTTATTTTTAAGACAGTTTTAGGTTTACAGAAAAACTGAGTGGATAGTACAGAAATTTTCTATACATTTATCTCCCCCCCCACACACACGGTTTCCTCTATTATTAATATGTATATTTGCATAGTATGTTTGTTACAGTTCGTAAGCCAATACTGGTATACTATTGTTCACAGTTTATTCAGATTTCCTTCATTTTTACCTAATATCATTTTCTTATTCCAGGATCCCATTGAGGATGCCACATTATGTTTCATTGCCATGTCTCCATAGACTCTTCTTGGTTGTGATGGTTTCTCACGCTTTTCTTGGTTTTGAAGACGTTGACAATTTTCTTCCATTGGGATTTGCTTGATGCTTTTCTCATGATTACACTGGAACTGTGACTTTTTAGAAGGAAGATCATAGAGGTAAAGTGTCATTTTTATTGCATATAAAGCTTATTATTAACATAACTTCTTACCACCGTTGAAGATTTTCAGGTTCCCTTACTGTAATTCTTTTGTTTTTTCAAATTGTAATCTTTGGAAGGAAAAGTCACTGCGTACAGTCTACACTTAAGGAGTGGAAGTCATGTTCCATCTCCTTTAAAGTGGAATCTCTACATAATTCACTTGTTATTCTTCTTCATTGGAGACGTGTCTCTTTTTCCTCATTTATTAATTTATTTAATAATTTATTTATAATATGAATACATTGTTATTTATTTTATACTTTTGCATATAATCCAATACCATTTTAATTTGTTGCTCAAATTGTTTCAGATTTGGCCATTGGCAACTCTTTCAAATGGCTACTGTGCACATATGACATATCACCATCCAGTTTTTAAAACCTTTTTTACTTTCTACCATTAACATGATGCTCCAAGCTTATCTTGTACATTTCCTGCTGCAGTCCAAGAATCAGCTGTTTATCAAAAACCTCTGGTTTATTTTATTGGAGAACAGTATTAGAAAGTAATATCTAGGTGCTAGATGTGGTCATTGCTGCTGAGGTGTAATTTCTATTTTGCTCCTTTTAGCTGACAGAGCAAGGAAACTGTCAAACTAATTCTAAAATGGTTGCACTATTTTACATTCCTATCGCCAATGACTAAGAGTTTCTGTTGTGCTGCATCCTCAAATATCAGCATTTGATGTCAGATGTTTGGATTTTAGCCATTTTAATAGGTTTGTGCTATCTCATTGTTGTACTAATTTGCAATTTTAAAATACAAAAGGTTTTAAACATTTTTTTAATATCCTTATCTGTACATCTCCTTTGGTGAAGTGTCTGTTCAGATATTTTGCCTGTTTTTAAATTGGGTTGTTTGTTTTATTATTGTGGAAAATTCACCGTTCTTTGTATATTTTGAAAATAAGGCCCCTATCAAATATGCATTTTACCATAATTTTATCCCAGTCTATGGCTTGTCTTTTCATTCTCTTTACATTGATATTTACAGAGAAGAATGTTTAAATTTTTAATAATAAAGTTCAACTTATCAATTTTTTCTATCATGGAGCATACTTTTGGTTGTATATAAAAACTATTAGGAAACACAAGTTTACCCACATTTTATAATATTTTTCTAGAAGTTTTAGGAGTTTGCATTTTACATTTAGATCTAAGACCAATTTTGCCTTCATTTTTATAAAAGGTACAAATTATTAAATTCTTGTATTTTTTTGGTTATGAATATATAGCACTATTTGTTAAAAGACTGTCTTTTCTACATTGTATTGCCTTTGTTCCATTATCAAAGACAAGGTGATTATAGGTAGGTAGGTCTAATTCTGGGATCTTTATTTTGTTCCCTTGATCTATGTGTCTATTATTTTGTCAGTATCATGCTCTTCTTATCACTGTAGCTGAAGCTGATGAGTCTGAAGATAATAAGTCTGAAGTTGAGTAGTAATATCAATCCTCTATTTTGTTCTTTTTCTTCACAATTGTGTTGGTTACTCCAGGTCTTTTATCTTATCATACAAACTTTAGATTCAGTTGATCAATATTCATGAAATAGTTTGCTGAAATGTTGACTGGGTTGTGCTGAATCTATAGATCAATTCAGAAGAACGGACATCTGAACAATGTTCCATGAACATGGTATATTTTTCTACTAATTTACATCATTTTCAAATTTATTTTTTCAGTTTTTTTAGTTTTCCATATATACATCCTGTACATATTTTGTCATATATGTGCCTAAATGTTTCATTTTTTGATATTGATGTAAATAGTATTATGTTTTAATTTTAAATTCAAATTGCTCATTGCTGGCATAAAAGAAGTATTTTTCATATTTACCTTGTTTCCTATGACTTTGCTACAATTAATTCAGAGTTCCATTTTCTTGTTGATTCATTAGGATGTTCTACATAAATAATCCGGTCATCCTTTTAAAAAGACAGTTTTATTTTTTCATTGATTATCTGTGTACCTTTATGACCATTCCTTGTCTTACTGTACTAGGTATGACGTCCAGTACAATATTTAATAAGACTGGGGAGAGGGGACATTCATTCTTTGTTCTTAATCTTAAAAGAAAAATATACAGGTACTGGCCATTAAGTATGATGCTATCTGCAGTTATTTTGTAGATGTTCTTTATCAAGGTGAGGAAGTTCACCTCTAGTTTTCTGAGTTTTTTTTTTTTTTTTTTTTGCCATAAATGTATATTGGATTGTGCCCAGTGCATTTTCTGCATCAATTGATATGATTATGTGATTTTTGTTCTTTAGCCTATTGATATGATGGATTACATAGATTGCTTTTCAAATGTAGAGCTAGCTTTGCATAAATGGAATAAATGCCACTTGCTTATTTTGTATAATTCTTTTTGTACATTGTTGGATTCAACTTGCTAATGTACTGTTGAAGATATTTTATTTAGTTCCATAAGAGATATTGGCAAGTAGTTTTCCTTTGTTTAGAATGTCTTAATCTGGTTTTAGAATTGTATAATGCTGGCATCATAGAATTAGTTAGGAAATGTCTATTTCTGTTATCTAAAAGAGATGGTAAAGAACTGGTATTGTTTCTTAAATGTTTGGTAGAATTCACCAGTGAAAGCATCTTGGTCTGGTGCTGTCTTTAAAAAATTATTAATTACTTTTTCAATTTATTTAATAATTATAAACCTATTCCGGTTATCTGTTTCTCCTTTTGTGAATTTTTTGGAGTTTGTGTCTTTCACAGAATTGGTCTGTTTTATCTAAGTTATTTAATCAGTGGGCCTAGAGTTACTCATAATATTCCTTTGTTATCCTCTTAATGTCCATTGGATCTTTAGTGATGATGCATTTTTTTTCTTTACATTATTAGTAATTTGTGCCTTCTTCCTTTTATTTTTTTGGTTAGCATAGCCAGAAATTTGTCAAATTGATTGATCTTTTTGAAAACCAGCATTTGGGTTTGCAGACTTTGCGGATTTTCTGATTTTAATTTCATTGATTTCTATTCTAATTTTCACTATGTATTTTCATCTGTTTTTATTAGGATTAAATTGCTCTGATTCCTTTCTTATAATCTTTTATGTTATGAATATTATATAATTCATAATTATAGTACATAACTAATAATTGTTATAAAATGAATTATAATAACATATTGTAATATTTCATAATATATGCAGTCAATGCAATAAATTTTTTTCTATTGGTGCAGAAGGATATGCACTGCGGTGCAGAGTTTCATAGCACCGTTTTTGCTATATTGCACACATTTTAATAAGTTGTCTTTTTATTTCACATAGTTAAGATTATTTTAATATTTCCATTGTTTTTTTTTTGTTTAAATTTGACCCAGGTGTTATTTAGAATAGTGTTATTTAAGCTTCATATATTTTGGAATTTTCAAGCTTTCTGTTATTAAAATTTAATTAATTTGATTAAATCTAATTAAATCTAATTAATTTAATTCCATTCTAATCTGAGATTGTACTTTGCATTATTTCTATTCTTTTAAATATGGTATGGTAATTTTACAGTCCAGAATGTTGTCCATCTTGTTGAATATTCCATTTGGTTTGAGAAGAATGAGTATTCCACTGTTGTTGATTGAAGTATTCTACAAATGTCAGCTAGATGCAGTTGATAAATGGTGGTGTTTATTTCAACCATGCCCTTCCCAATTTTCTACTGGTTGTATTTATCAGATGCTGAAAGAGGGGTATTGAAGTCTCTAACTATAATCATAGATTTGTCTATTTCTCATTGCTTTTTTCTCAGTTTTGTCTCTTCAATGATTTGTTTTCAGATGTGGAAAAGTGGTTCTTTTATTACTATGTAATGCCTCTCTTGTAGCTCTGATAATTTTTCTTGGTCTCAATTCTGCTTATCTGAAGTTAATATAACTACCTCCACTTTCTTTTGATTAGTGTTAGCATGATGCATATTTCCACATGTCTTTACTTTTAACCTGTCTTGCTTTTTATTTAAAGTAGGTTTCTTGTAGACTACTTATAGTTGAACCTTGTTTTCTTTTTTTTAATTCAGTCTGATAGACTGTCTCCTAATTGTTATATTTAGACCCCTCACATTTAATGTGAATACTGACATATTTTGATTAGTGTCTATTGTGTTTTGAATTTTGTATGTGAATTGCACTTACCCTTTACTTTTTAAAACAGTATTTTACCTTCTCTGGCTTTAACTGAGCCAGACTATTATTATTTTTTCTCTTAGTATATCAATCGTGCTTCTTTTCGAAGTATTTTAGTGGCTGTCCTAGAATTTATGATATACATTTGCAACTAACCTAAGTCTACTTTCAAATAACACTATACTGGCTGGGCGCGGTAGCT
This sequence comes from Homo sapiens, assembly GCF_000001405.40. NCBI lineage: Eukaryota > Metazoa > Chordata > Mammalia > Primates > Hominidae > Homo > Homo sapiens. Next base: position 23,190,478 of record NC_000004.12, read on the forward strand.
CATGCCTGTAATCGCAGCACTTTGGAAGCCAAGGTGGGTGTTTTATTTGAGGTCAGGAGTTCGAGGCCAGCCTGGCCAACCTGTCTCTACTAAAAATACAAAAATTAGCCAGGTGTGGTGGCGCATGGTTGTAATCCCAGCTACTTGGGGGGCTGAGGCAGGAGGATCGCTTGAACCCAGGAGGTGGAGGTTGCAGTGAGCCGAGATCACGCCACTGCTCTTCAGTATGGGTGACAGAGTGAGATGCCATCTCAAACAAATAAACAAACAAACCCACTATACTGCTTCAGGGTAGTGCAATTACCTTGTAAAAGAGTATCTCCAATTTCTCCTTTCTTTTGTTCCTTATAAAATTGCTGTAATTCATTTTACCTAACCATATTTTATCATCACTAAATACATTGTTATTCTTATTTCTTTGAACAAACAAGTATCTATGCAATCAAGTAATAATTAAAACAATAAAAGATTTTATTTTATCTGCATTTATTCATTCACCAGTTTCTTTATGTGGATGTTAATTTCTTACCTATTTTAATTTCTTTTCCTTTGAAGATTTTCTTTTATTAACAACATTTTACAAGACAGTTCTTCTGACAGATTTCTTCATATTTTGTTTGTCTGAGGAACTCTTTATTTCTACTTCACTTTTGAAGAATAATTTCACTAATTATAGAATTCTAGCTTGGTGGTTTTGTTTTCATTTCTATACTTTAAATATTTCGCTCCACTGTCGTCTTGTTTGCATCGTTTCTGATAAGAGGGCTACCGCAATTCTTATCCTTTCACCTCTACAGCTAAGGCATTTATCCACACCTTTGGCTGCTTTCAAGATTTTATCTTTGATTTTCTGCAGGTTGAACAAGATTTGCCAAGGTGTAGGGCTTTTTGTTATTGTTGTCTATTTTTTTCCCCCACTTATAGTACTCAGTGCTTTTTGAGTTTCCTATATGTATTGTTTGGTGTGCATCATTAATCTGCAAAAGTTCTCAGCCATCTTTAATTCAAATAATTATTCTGTTCCTTTCTCTCTTTCATCTCCTCTTCTCATTTTAATTATGCAGATGTAACAGTTTTTATAATTGTCCCACAGTCCTTGGGTATTCTGGATTTTTTAAATTCTTTTTTTAGTTTCTAATTTAGTTAGGAAGTTTTCGTTCGCATATCTTCAAGCTTATCAATTCATTCCTCAGCTATCTCTAGTCTTCTGATGAGCCCATTCAAAGTAGCCTTCACTTCTGTCAAAATATCCTTTAGTTCTATCATTCATTTTTGATATTTTTATCAAGTTTTCATCTCTCTGCTTACCACCTATACTTGCATGTTTTGTACTTTTTTTCTTTTTGAGACGGAGTCTCTGTCTGTCACCCAGGCTGGCGGGCAGTGACACGATCTCAGCTCACTGCAAGCTCTGCCTCCTGGGTTCACGCCACTCTCCTGCCTCAGCCTCCTGAGTGAGTAGCTGGGACTATAGGCGCCCACCACCATGCCTGGCTAATTTTTTGTATTTTTAGTAGAGACGGGTTTCACCGTGTTAGCCAGGATGGTCTCGATCTCCTGACCTCGTGGTCTGCCCACCTTGGCCTCCCAAAGTGCTGGGATTGCAGGTGTGAACCACCACACCCGGCTATACTTTTTTAACTAATGAATTTAAGATATTCATCATGGTTGTTTTAAATTTTCTAGGTGATATTTTGAAAGTCTGTGACTCTAACTAATCCTTGTCCTGATACTCATGTTGTCTCCTCAGAGATTGGGGTTTTTCCTTGCTTTAGCTAGTCTTGTACTTTTAGTTGAACTCTGGACATGATGTATTGCATAATAAGAACTGAGATAAATAGACTTTTAGTGTGAGATTTTATGTTAATATTGCTAGGGGCTAGGCTATGTTTAATATTTACAGTATATTTACATGTAAAAAGCTTCCATTTTCTTCATTGTCCCTATTTATCTTTATTTTTCCTGTTGTCTTTGGATTTCCCTAAGAATGCCTAAATCAAGTCCGTGTCTTGCAGTGTTTTCCATCATAATAATCTACTGTTACTACACTGAAGTTATGTTGATGTGGTGGTAAGGACTGAGGGAAGGAAAGCGTTCTATAGTCTTATAACTGCACTCCAGACTGGGCGACAGAGCGAGCCTCCGTCTCAAAAAGAAAACTACTTGTTGGACTAAATTTCTGAGTTGCGACATTCAGAAGAGTTTCTTAGCCTTCCCTCCATCCTCTTAGTTTGAGTCAGGAAAGCTAGAGAAGGATGGAGTTGACTAATTGCCTTTCCTCCAGGTAGGCAAGGCCCTGGTAAAACTAGGTTTTCTTGAAGAGCAAGCCTTTGTTATGATGAATGTTCTGAGTGTATTTGAAATGGCTACATTTTTCTCACCCTAACTGAAACTGGAGGGAATGTTTTTTGGATCCTGAGAACCTGATTAATTTTCTGGAGGCAAAGTCCATTAAAATGTGCATCGAGGGCAGGGATCTTAGGCTGTAGCTTCTCATCTTCACTGTAGGCCACAGCCTTCAGCAGTTATTCACAATTGCCTTTTAAGTGTTCCCACCACATTCTGGCTCCAGTAGCTTCTGTTATAGGTTAGGTGGTTTGGGGCTGTGATTTTCTATATTCTCCTGTCTCTCCAGTTTTTGTTATGGCACTTTACTCCGTCACCTTAATCCTCTGATGGCTCTAAGAAAAGTTGTTGATTTTTAGTTTGTTCAGCTTTTTTCTTATTGTAAGAACAAAAGTGATGACTTCCAAGCTCTCTGGTTGGAGTTAAAACCAGAAATCTTGCCTTTGTTTTTTAAGAACATTTTCACCAGATATAAAATTCCAGGTTGGCAGTTTTTTCTCTCAGTACTTGAAAGCTATTGCTTAACTATCCTCGTGCTTGGATTGTTTCTCAAGAGAAATATGCTCTTTCTTATCTTAGAACATATAAGAAGGAATAAAACAAGTGAGGGTTGGAGAAGAGGAAGAAAAGGCTTCAAAAACACAGGAAACATTTATTAAAAGATGAATTACCACATCTGGAACAACAGATAGGGAATAATACGCCATTCTGAGGAGGGATACTCTGGCAGACCAGCTGCTAAGCTTGCGATGCTTTTGTCACCCTAGGTAAATTTTAGATCCACAGAACTGAGAAAGAAGTGAGATTTCAACACTCCCATGACTTCGAAGATGAGCAGTGGGAATCGCTTTTATTTGGTGAGGTAGAACACTTTTTCAAAAACGTGACAGGAAATGTATAATAAAAAGTATTCAGCTTTAGAAGCAGTCTTAATAAACCAAGCATTCAGGCCCCAAGTTCAAGAACATGGCATGAGAAATGGCAGAATGTCAGGAGTATTAAAAACTCTTGTCTTCCCTAAGATTGGAAATATAGCATCTCATAAATCAAACATAAACCAAATAAGTATTAAGCACAGTTGAAACTTGGGAAGTAAGTACAGAATGTCAAAAATGTAGAATCCTATTTTTCTTTTATTCTTTAGATGGTATTTCAATGATTTACCTCTAAATGAATTTCCTCAATTTTAGGGTTCAGTCTCTGAGCTTTAAAACAAACACATAGTATAGCTATTTACTTATTAGCAATGTCAAAGTGTAGAACTTGTTGTTTAAGTCTCACCATAATTGGCCATTTTATCAAAGAGTAAAACGCACATAGCTGAATGCACTCATAATATGATTAGTTTGTTATAACATTTTGCTCGATGGGAAGGAAACTTTCACATAGTCCCTACTTTGGCCTCTAAAAACTTAAGCACTAATAACACAGAAAACTGACACGGAAAACCTAAATATTTTGGAAGTATAATAAATACATTACACAAGTGTGTAATCTAAAAGCAGAATATTATATGTCTTATTGCATGAAGGTACCAAAGTGAAAAATAAGTAGCAGAATATTGCATACAAGACAAGGGGAAAATATATGTGAGTGCTTAGATAGGGGTATGAAAATCATGATTCTATTTATGGGCAGTTTGATTTATTCATTTATTGTCAAAGTTTTTGACAATCTAGTGTATACTACATACATTTCACAAGAATAGCAAGTCAAGATGTATTGCTTTTGACATTCTCGAGGAATAGACTGGTTAACAGGCAATTAAATACACCAGGCCATGTTCTTTAATAGGAATACTTATTGCTTATTTTGAAGGGTCATAAGACACTTTGTATAAATGAGGCATGAAAAAAGATCATCTAATTAAGAATAGATGTATAAGTGATGAATAAGAGTATCTTGATCTGTTTTCTGTTGACATCACAGAATACCCAAGAATAGATAATTTATAAAGAAAAGAAGTTTACTTTACTTATAGTTTTGGAGCTGTGAAATCCAAGAGCATGGTGGCAGCTTTTGGTGAGGGCTTTTGTACCACATTATAATGAGGCAGAATAGCAGAAAAGGAAGTGGCAGTTGCAAAAGGGGTGAAACAGAGGGGTGACCTTACTTTATAATAAGCTACTTTTTCAGTAGCTAATCTAGTCTCATGAGAGCAAGAGCAAGGTCTCAGTCACTCCCATGAGAATAAGCCAAGTTCTGCCAGAGCAGCATTAATTTCTCTGACTTCTTAAAGGCCCAGTCTCCCAACACTTCCACATTTGGAACTGAATTTCCAACCCATGAATTCTGGGGCAATCACTCAAACTTCAGCAAACAGTAAGCTCACCCCCCCATCCCATTATTAGCATATTGAAGGTAGATGGTTTTAGAAAGACTGTCCAGTGTTTCCTAAAGTCCAGTTGATGGCGGTGGCTGCTGCCATCACGATGGCTGCAGCAGGGAGGAGGGGCTGGGGCTGCACACTTCATGGAGCCAGTGGGAGCCCCGCCCTTTCTGAGTTGGAGCCTGAGCTCCCCCAGTGCCACTGCAGCTGCTTTCCTAGGGACAAGACCTGGGCATCTCTGCAGTGTGCACCCTCGGGGGCCCCATGAAGGACCTTTCTCTTTCCCCAACCCTGCAGGCTCAGGGGTGTCTGCTGCCGCTGACTGGCCTCTCTCTGCTCCAGGTGACTGCTTTGATCTCTCAGAGGGGTTTGGGGACTGGCCCCAGGGGCTATGAAAGGCAATGGGAGGCAGATTGATTCCTAGATGCAGGGGGGTGGGTCCCCAGTAAGGCCCCACCTTCAGGTTAAGGAGGGTCTGAAGGCTGGGGGACGGGCTGACAGTCCTGCAGGCAACAGTAGGGACTCATGATTCCTCTTCCTGGCTGCCCATGGCCACCCATGGACCAATTGGCACACACTTCCTCCTCTCTGAGGTCCATAAAAGCCCTGGGCTCAGCCAGAGCAGGACAGAGGACAGCCAGAGGACAAACAGGGCAGAGAGACCACCTTCTCTGCTGAGAGCTGCAGACAAGACCTGCTGGCAGAGAGGAGCCACTCTCTCCAGGCCTCCTGTCCGCTGAGAGCTACAGACCTCAGGATGACCAGTTGCAGAAGGTAGCTACCCTCTTGAGGGCCTCCTCTCTGCTGAGAATGGAACACTTGATGGATGACCTGCCTACAGAGAGAGCTACCCACTGTGGGTCTCCTCTGAGCTGTTGTAACACTCAATAAAGCTCATCTTCATCTTGTTCATCCTTCGCTTGTCTGCCTACCTCATTCTCCCTGGATGCAAGACAAGAACTCAGACAAAGGTGCTGTGGCCACAGAGGTTCCAGCCAGAAAACACCCCAAAGATACTGTAACGCAGTCATTATCAGACCACCTTCTCCAATATGGTCATGTCCTGTACCAACTGTGCCATTACTTAATGATGTTCTTTATGTTAATTTACTCTTTTGTTCAAATAACTTTTTATCAAAAGGGAAGGTTTCTATTACTAGCATAAAGACAGTTACATAGAAAGTAATCATATAAAAGATGCGATAAAAACACAATTATTTAGATATGGTTGTCTGAAAAAGTTGGAGCACAGTAAGTTATGTAAGCATTCAAGATTGCTGAAGATGGGTAGTACTAAACTGAGAATTTCTCTTTGACAGAAGGACAGAAAGAAAATTGAAATTATATTTTTTATTTCATTTGAGGTTTATGTGCCACAAACTAAATCTATTCCCTATGCCTGCTAAACCCATATGCCACATATGTCTTCTACACTTTGGGAAAGGCTGGGCTGTATGCAACAAATAGGAGTAAAGTGAATACTAGAGCTAAAAGCAGGAGAAGGTGTGAGAAAGTTCTTTTTTCTTTCAATAAAAATGTATTATCTTATTGAAAAGAAAGTTAGACAGCCTCAGTGTATCAGGATCTATCTAACAGTATTGTGATAATTATTAATTTTCATGTTAAGTTATAACCCTTCCACTATTAGATCCCATATTGTCATATTAATATTAAAGTTCAGCTCCATGTAAATCCCAGACACTAGTTCTACCTTCTAAAGAGGTTTACATATGAGAAATACTCTGTTGAGCTTAACTGAGTTTATGTGACATTCCAGTGGATATACATTTACCAGGATCTCTTTCAATAAAGAATGAATTAATAAAAGTGATGTTATGGGAGTAAACTGGAATCTCTAATTTATAACCAGTGAGTCTCAATCACAGACTTGTAGTCTTTAATTGTTTTTAGTAACACATCAGTTGGGATTCACCTACCAAATGACTAAAAAGAAGTGTATCCCCGCTGGGAGATGTGTGGGAGAACTGCAGTTTCCATGGCACAAAGCAAGTCTATTTTTGTTTTCTTACTGATTTATAAGGGTTTAGGGATCACTATCATTTTCCCTGATTTTCTCTTTTCCAGTTTAAATACCCTCAGATATGTCAAGATGTGATTTGAAATTGGTTTTCATTACCCTTATTACTTGGGTTGCCCTCATTTGAGTGGACCTCAGTTTCCTGGTATCTTTCACTGTGTGTAGTCTCAAGGATAAATCCTAGTACTACAGCTATGCTATGTCCAGTGAAGAACATGGAATAGCTGCTCTTTCTTGTGAGTTCCACTCTCTGCTTCAGTTTCTGCTGATTCAGATTAATTATGATTATTTTACCTACTGGCTACTGCTGGTTAAGATCCATTGTGATTACTTTAACTGCCACATTTTATTGTTGGCTTATTTATATAGAATTCTTGTTCAATGAAAACCTCAAATCTTTTATTTTCCAAGTGAATTGCTTATCATTATTATTATTTTAAAAAATATATATATATAATCTTGGCTTTGTCTCTGCTGGAATTTCCAAACAAGGAAATTGTCTGCATTGAAATCTAGTTCTTATATTAACTAGCTGTTTGGCCTTAGATAAATAGCTTCTCCATACTTTTTCTTCCTTACTTTTAAAGTAGTGAAAATAATAGTGCCTACTTTATAGGATTGTTTTGAGAATGTGAATTAATATGTGTAGCACAATTAGAACAGAACCTGGCACGTAGCAATGTCTTACATGTGTAACTTATTATTTTGGTATGAGACCCTGGGTATTCGTCTTCCCCTAACTTCAATAGAATACTTCATGGAGCATCTTATAAGTTAATCTCTCCTTTTAGTATGCCAGGAAAGCAACATGTGTAAAAGAGGTAATTAAAAAGTAGTATTTCTAAAATTCTAATCCATGTATGTTCATTACTTATAAGCTTATTTCCCTTTTTTCATCCTATCTACCATTAAAAGTAAGTTTTTTCATCCTATCTACCATTAAAAGTAAGTTTTCAGGTTTTAGTCTTCCAGAGAAAAAGGATAATATAACAAGGCAAAAGTCACTGCAAGACAGTAAGAGAAAAAGAAAAGCTGGTTCTTCCAGTCTGGTGATTTGTGGGGAGGAGAAGGAAGAGTGAGTGAAAGAAAGATCTCCTGACCTCCCTCACAGAGGGGAAGAGACATCATAAACAAAAGAAAGATAAAAGGCACAGAGCTTTGATGAGTTCCTCTTTCATAGTCTGTACAGAAGTTCTGTTGTACGGCTCCTCTCCAACATGGAGAAGCGAAATTGAAGAACGATGGTATAAGCTAAGCCCAAGTTAACATTTCAGAGCTGCATGACCCTGAGCTCCTGAGGGGAAAGGGCCTGACAAGTGTGTAGGGGGGTAATTGAGCAGAGGATGATAAGACAATTGATGGACTGGTTGGAAAACTTAACAGGGAGAAGCGCTGTGACAGCAGCGATGTGGCTCCATAACTGAGTGCAACAGAGCAGCACCGACATCGCGGATAGTCTACTTGTCACAGTCTGTTCTCTGGAGGCATCCACAGAACCAGATAACTGAGGTGAGGCTAAGACCTCTGGCCATGCCAAACAAGTGGACCACAGGAGCCTCTGGGGCAGACAGCAGCAACATCTACCAGTAGGAAACCCAGAGACTGGACTAGATATACATCTCAAAAGACATTCCATAGCACTCACCCAGAAATCAGCTGTCCTGCTGTGGAAAGCACACCAAAAAGAGACGGAGGCAAGGTAGAACTCCTCTACCAATACAAAATAGCTAAAAACTTTCTCCTACTTTCAGTTGCCATCTTGGTAAGGAGGCAATAGAAAAAATGTCTTCAAGAAATATTTACAGCACAGAGACTGACTTACTACATAGAAAGAAGAGGGATATATTCACAATTAGCAGTTTAGGTCAACCTCTATACTTCTGTTGGGTGAGGATACTTGAGGAAGATGATCATAGAAAAATAAAGATGTGTCCATTCATTCATTTATTAATTCACTCTTTAGCCTTTGTAAATTTGGTATAATTTAGCCTTTGTAAGTTTGGTAAATTTGAAATGCTCTGGCACAGGCTTGTATGTGGCCTTTGGATTATATATATATATATATTTATATATATGTATATATATTTATATATTTATATATATTTATATATATATTTATATATATATTTATATATTTATATATATTTATATATATATTTATTTATATATTTATATATTTATTTATATATTTATATATTTATATATTTATATATATATTTATATATATTTTTTATTTTTATTTTTTGCAGATCAAAATAGCAGTACCCTTTTACATTTTTCTGAGGGTATCCAGATAGTTTTGTCTATTAGCCACTAATTGGAAAACAAGCCTGCTCTAAGATAAGAATCAGTGAAGTCTTGTGAAGGGGAGCTAAGATAAAGGTATTTTGTGTGCTGCCTTGCATGGCATGAATTGGACCTTCAACTCTTTAGAGAGAGGAGAGGCAAAGTAAGGTGGCAGTTCACAAAGAAGACCTAAAAATGGGGCCTCTTTGCTCGGCAAGTAAGAGTGGAGTAGATTCTGAAGAACCAAGGTAAGTTGGGAATGGTGATGAGGGTGTGTTTGACATCAGAAACCAAGACTGGTGACCCCATACAGCGGGGAGTAGGGTCCACAGGGCTGGACTGGTGGGAGACTACAGAACACAAGGAACATTTGGTTCTCTGGGTGCCTGGTGTGAGCCTGGGATATGGAAATGCACCAGAAACAATGCTTTTTTTAGGGAGATTTTCAATTTTGTGAGTAATCTACAAATTTAATATTTGTACCTTCTATTCTATTGATTAATCCCCCATGATAAACTTGTGGTTCATGTGCTTGCGAGCAGAGAGCTCCAAGATAACCTGGTAGATTTTATTTTCCCAGCTCAGCTTGGTCATGCAAATTGAAATGTAAAAATCTCTTTTGAAAAGCAACGCATTTAAAATGTCCATAACCTTAGAAAATAGTTTCAATTCAAAATATTAAACCGTTGATACGTCATTACCACTGAGCAGCCCAAAGAAATCCTGACAGATGCACCATTTGAATCCATAAGAACTAAATATTAGACTGCCTAGGACTCATGGGTCTACTTTTTGAAATCCACCTTATGGTTACAATACAAATTGAGATGAAAGATGATAATATCTAGGTTATAACATTATTAATAATACAGAAAAAAATGGAATGGAAACAATCTATTAGGTCATACACACATACATATCCACTATTTACATATACAGTATATATTTGCATGTTAATATATGTGTGTATACATATATATGTGTATGTATTTATATGTACATTTATGCATATTTGAAAATATACATTTTCACATACAGGCATGTAACATGTATATGTATGTATATGGTATTTTTGTGTGTATCTATATCCATCTCTATATATGTTGCATGTATGGACACATAGAGGCCAGAAAAAAATATATCAGAATGTTAATAATAAGCTGGAATTATGACTAATTTTTGTTTTTGTTATACTTGTCTTTTTAAAATCTCAATTAAAATATTAAGCAAGCAATAACTTTATAATATAAACAATAACAACAAAGGTGATTTCTTAAATGCAGAATATCATGGTAGAGGTTTTTTTCAATTCACAGTTGTATCAACAGTGTAAATGTGGGAAACAAATATACCAGCAAACTCAGATCCAAAACTGAACCATTCATAGTGAGCAGCATAGCCTGGAATATGTCTCAACCTTTTTATCTCCTAACCCAAAGCACATCATTGTGCTGATAAAGTCAAGACATTATGAATATCAAGGAGTGAAGCAGTGAGGGCTAGGAGCCATAAATAGAAAGGGAGAAGAGAACAATCACCAAACTCTGACTGTGTGCTCTCACCGCATTGCATAGGAGAGTTCCATTTGTCCACTTGTTCTATCCTTACAAATACCGGGGAAACAGACATTTTCCATAAGAGGGCCCTGGTGCTCAGAGTGGAGCAATAAAGTGTCCAAGGTCATGCCGCACAGTAACTGGCAGAGATTTTTCTTTTTTTTCTTTCTCTTTTTGTTTTGAGACAGAGTCTCGCTCCGTTGCCCAGGCTGGAGTGCTGTGGCATGATCTCGGCCTGGGTTCAAGTGATTCTCCTGCCTCAGCCTCCCGAGTAGCTGGTACTAGAGACGTGTGCCACCACTCTTGGCTAATTTTTGTATTTTTAGTAGAGACAGGGTTTCACTATGTTGGCCAGGCTGGTCAAACTCCTGACCTCGTGATCCTCCCGCCTCGGCCTCCCAAAGCGTTGAGATTACCGGTGTGAGCCACCGCGCCCCGGCGAGGTTTTTCTTTTGTTCCATTTAACTTGGGACAGTAAAGAGAGGGAATAGTAGACATGCTTCCTGTTTTGGTGCAATGGGAGAGAATTTACACCAATTGTGTGCATTAGCTTTTCTTCTCTTTTAACGTCCTTGGAATCATTTGTCTCCTTCTCTGATTCCAAAACTCTGTTCTGTCTAAAAAAAAAAAAAAAAAAGTTAGAATATAATGCATTGATGTTCTAACACATTTATGTATGAATTTTTACTCATCTGAGAATGAAATAAGAAAAATGCATTTATTGTAGAAAATAATTTTCTATGCTTGGCATGCGACTTATTGAGTCCAGTTAAATTTTAACTGAGACATACATGTGAAATAAATGTATATCTTTTAAAATCAGTTTTCCTCTTGATCTGATTAAATTATTTATTAAATATCTAATGGTTAGCAACTTGGATACTCAAAAGATTCACTTATTTTAAGCTCTAAAATTTATCTGCCTGGATTTTATTTTGAATACCTTGTTTTTTCTAATGCCATTTCCCTAATATCAACGCTGAACTAAAACTAAAGATAGCAAGGGGGTAAGAACTCAGAATAGCAGGAACTGAGAAGATCAGTGTAATCAGCAAATTAGGGCTATGTACAAATCATGCATTTGGCATCTTGGGAGCAGCAAGGGCCACGCCATGTGGAGAAGAGAACACTCAACGTTGATCACTTTGATTAGCATTAACATTGATCGCATAATTCAGTTACCTCCAGGATGTTTCATGTTGCTAATAAATAAAAGATGACACTCTTTAAGAATGATGGCTTCTATAGTACCGTGGCCAGAGACGGCTGAAATGTGGGGTGGAGGTTTTATTTATTTCACCTGCATTTTTGTTGTTGTTTTTAATGCTGCTATGGCTAGGAAACCCAGATAGAGCTGTTTCTCAAAAAAGGGAAGCAATACTGTAGCTGATGTTCTCAGGGAGATTTATGCAGCAACCAGCTTCACCTTCAGACCCAACTCCTCCTCTTTTCCTGGGCTTTCTTCTCCTATTTGACTGGGCTCCTCCAGCAAACCAATGTCCTGATTTTTGCCTGTTCTAGGTCATCTTGGACAGCGTTTCATACTCCATACCTTTGTAGACTTCCTCCTCCTCATAGCAAATGCAACCCTCATCCACAGTACTTTATAGGTTCTAATTGCTTGTTATACACAATATATACCAGAATCTCTTTTTCTCCCTGTCTTTATCTCTTCTTTCTCTCTCCATAAGGTTCAAAGGCCTTAAGAAATGTTTCCAAGTTCCTAAGTCACAAGGATTTGTCACAAGGTCAAATTGTCTGCTGCCTTAAACCTTTCTCTTTATACTACACCTTACTATTCTAACTCCTTTACTTTCTCATTTTCATGAACTAACTAGCATTACAGTGGTCATAGTTGATAAACATTACAAAGAAGCACAAAACCTCAGTACTAAAAGTCAATATCTAGCAGGCTAATCTGATAGCAATCGAGTGAGTAAATAGAGCTTTCAGAATCCATGCCAAGGTAGCCGGGTGCGGTGCTCGCACCTGTAATCCCAGCTCTTTGGGAGGTCGAGCGGGGTGGATCACTTGAGGTCAGGAGTTTGAGACCAGCCTGGCCAACATGGGGAAACTCCATCTCTACTAAAAATACAAAAATGAGCTGGGTGTGATGGCAGGCTCCTGTATTCTCAGCTACTCGGGAGGCTGAGGCAGGAGAATCACCTGAACCCAGGAGGCAGAGGTTTCAGTGAGCCGAGATTGTGCCACTGCACTTCAGCCTGGGCAACAGAATGAGACTCCGTCTTAAAAAAAAAAAAAAAAAAAAGGTAGAAGAATCCAGACCAAGTTCAGGTTCCTTGGATACTCTAGTGAGGAGGAGCTCATTTCTTCTACTTCCATCTTTCTATTATCTTTTAAATTAGCTTTTGGTAGCAAGTTGAAATTTATTCCCAGAAACTTCTACTTTTTGATTCTAGCTCTGGGTATGAAGTCAAATAATAATATTAACTAACATATACATTGCTTACCTAAGTCTGTGTTCATTCCAAATACTTTAAGCACATAAACATTAAGGTAGTCTACTGAAAGGTTGCAATAAGTTCATTTTAAGATGGAGAATCTGAGGCTACAGAGAGGTAGTTGCTGAGAAGTAGTGAGCTAAATTTACAACCGAGTATATCTCCTTAGCTGACACACTTAGCCAACAATCACCACTGTCTTGTGGCCACTTTTAACGTGCTAGACCTAACAGAAACCTACTTAAAAAACTTTTAAGTTTGGAGTACACATACAGGTTTGTTATGTAGGTAAACTTGTGTCATGGGGATTTGTTGTACAGATTATTTTGTCACCCAGGTATTAAGCCTAGTACCCATTAGTTACTTTTTCCTGATCCTCTCTCTCCTCCCACACTTCACCCTCTGATAGTCTCCAATGTCTGTTGTTCCCCTTTTTGTGTCCACGTGTTCTTATCATTTACCCCCCATTTATAAATGTGAACATGCAGTATTTGGTTTTCTGTTCCTAAGTTAGTTTGCTAAGAATACTGGCCTCCAGCTCCATCCATGTTTCTGCAAAGAACATGATTTCTTGTTTTTCATGGCTGCATAGTGTGTATGTTCCACATTTTCTTTACCTACTCTACCACTGATGGACATTTAGGTTGATTTCATGTCTTTGCTAATGTGAATAGTGCTGCAATGAGCATATGCGTGCCTGTGTCTGTATGACAGAAGAATTTATATTCTTTAGGTATATACCCAGTAATAGGAGTGCTGGGTCGAATGGTACTTCTCTTATTAGGCCTTTGAGGAACCATTTTCCACAATGGTTGAATTAATTTACACTCCCACTGACAGTGTATAAGCATTCCTTTTTCTCTGCAACCTTGACAGCGTCTGTTATTTTTTGACTTTTTAATAATCACCATTCTGACTGATGTTAGATGGTATCTCATTGTGGATTTGATTTACATTTCTCTAGTGATCAGTGATGCTGAGCTTTTTTTCCATATGCTGTTGGCCACATGTATGTCTTCTTTTGAAAAGTGTCTGTTCATATCCTTTGCCCACTATTTAATGGGTTACCTAATTTTTTTTATAAATTTGTTTAAATTCCTTATAGTTGCTGGATATTAGACCTTTGTCAGATGCAATTTGCAAAAAAATTCTCTCATTCTGCAGGTTGTCTGTTTACTCTGTTGCTAGTTTCTATTGCTGTGCAGAAAGTCTTTAGTTTAATCAGATCCCATTTGTCAATTCTTGCTTTTGTTGCAATTATTTTGGCATCTTTTTCATGAAATCTTTGCCTGTTCCTATGTCCAGAATGCTATTGCCTAGATTGTCTTCCAGAATCTTTATGGGTTTGGGTTTTACATTTAAGTCTTTAATCCATCTTTAGTTAATTTTTGTATATGGTGTAAGGAAGGGGTCCAGCTTTAATGTTCTGCATATGGCTAGCCAGTTATCCCAGCAAATTTATGGAATAGGGAATCCTTTCTCCATTGCTTGTTTTTATCAACTTTGTTGAAGATAAGATGGTCGTAGGTGTGTAGTCTTATTTCTGCATTCTCTATCATGTTCCATTTGTGTCTGTTTTTCTATCAGTACCATGCTGTTTTGTTAACTGTAGCCTTGTATTAGAGTTTGAAGTTGGGCAGAGACTTTGAATTTTATCCTGAGATTTTTTTTTTCATCTATTGTGATGATCACGTATTTTTAGTTCTGTTCATGTGTTGAATCACATGTATTGATTTTCATATATGTTGAACCAACCTTGCATCCCAGGGATAAAGTGTACTTACATGATGATGATGGACTAGCTTTTTGGATTTTTGGTGTGCTGCTGGATTCAGTTTGCTAATATTTTGTCGATAAATTTGTGTCTATGTTTATCAAGGATATTGGCTTAAAGTGTGCTTTTTTGTTGTCTTGCCAGGTTTTGATATCAGTATGATGCTCGTTTCATAGAATTATTAAGGGATGAATCCTTTCTCAATTTTGTGGGAGTAATTTCAGTAAGAATGATATGAGCTATTCTTTATACATCTGATAGAATTAGACTGTGAATCCGTCTGGTTGTGGACTTTTTCTGGTTGGTAGGTTTTTGCTACTGATTCAATTTAGGAACTCATTATTGGTCTATTCAGGAATTCAATTTCTCCTTGGTTTCATCTTGAAAGTTTGTATATTTCCAGGAATTTTTTCCATTTCTTCTATGTTTTCTAGTTTGTATGCATAGAGGTATGCATGGTAGTCTTTAAGTGAGGTTTTTTTGTATTTCTGTGGGATCATTGGTAATGTCCCCTTTGTCATTTCTAATTTTGTGTTTATTTAGATCTTCTCTCTTTCCTTTATCATTCTAGCTAGCGGTCCATCAATCTTATTTACATTTTCCAAAAACTAACTACTGGATTCATTGATTTTTTTTAAAATTTCCATAGTTTTTAGGGAGCAAGTTGTGTTTGGTTGCCTAGAAAAGTTCTTTAGTAGTGATTTCTGAGATTTTGGTGGACCTTTCACCTGAGCAGTGTACACTGTACCCAATGTGTAGCCTATTATCCCTCAACCCCTCTCACCCTTCCCCCTGAGTCCCCAAAGTCCATTATATTATTCTTATGCCTTTGAGTTCTCATAGCTTGGCTACAACTTATAAGTAAGAATATATGATGTTTGGTTTTCCATTCCTGAGTTACTTCACTTAGAATAATCATCTCCAACTCCATCCAGGTTGATGCAAATGTCACTATTTCATTTTTTTTAATGACTGAATAGTATTCTATGATATACTTCACATTTTCCTTGTGCACTCATTGGTTTATGGGCATTTAGGGTGGTTTCATATTTTTGCAATTGTGGATTGTGCTGCTATAAACATGCGTGTGCAAGTGTCTTTTCATATAATGACCTCTTTTCCTCTGGGTAGATACTCAGTTGTGGGATTGCTGGGTAAAATGGTAAATCTACTTTTAATTCTTTAAGGAATCTTCTTACCGTTTTCCATAGTGGTTGTATTAGTTTACATTCCCACCAGCAGTGTAAAAGTGTTCCCTTTCACCACATCCATGCCAGCATGTATTATTTTTTGATTTTTTTAAATTATGGCCATTCTTCCAGGAGTAAAGTGGTATCTCTTTGTGGTTTTGATTTGCATTTCCTTGTTAAATAGTGATGTTGAGCAGTGTTTCACATGTTGTTGGCCATTTGGATATCTTATTTTGAGAATTGTCTATTTATGTCCTTTGCCCACTTTTTGATGGGATTATTTCTTTCTTGCTTGCTGATTTGTTTGAGTTCCTCATAGATTCTGGATATTAGTCCTTTGTTGAATGCATAGTTTGTAAAGATTTTCTCCCATTCTATGAGTTGTCTGTTTACTTTGCTGATTATTTCTTTTGCTTTGCAAAAGTGTTTTAGTTTAATTAGGTTTATCTACTTATCTTTGTTTTTGTTGCATTCGCTTTTGGGTTCTTGTTCATGAACTCTGCCTAAGCTAATGTCTAGAAGACTTTTTCCAATGTTATCTTCTAGAATTTTTATGGTTTTAAATCTTAGATTTAAGTCTTTGATACATCTTAAGTTGATTTTTCTATAAGATGAGAGATGAAGATCCAGCTTCATTCTTCTACATGTGGCTTGTCATTTATCCCATCACCATGTATTGAATAGGGTGTCATTTCCCCACTTTGTTTTCATTTGCTTAGTCAAAGATCAGTTGACTGTAACTATTTGGCTTTATTTCTCTCTTCTGTTACATTGGTCTTCATGGCTATTTTTATACCGTTGCCATGCTGTTTTGGTAACTATAGCTTTGTAGTATAGTTTGAAGTCAGGTAATGTGATACCCTGAGATATGTTTTTTTCTGCTTAGTATTGCTTTGGCTATGTGGGCTCTATTTTGATTCCATATGAATTTTAATCTTTCTCTAGTGCTGTGAAGAATGATGATGATATTTTGATGGGAATTGCATTGAATTTGTAGATTGCTTTTGGCAGTATGGTCGTTTTTACAATATTGATTCTACCCATCCATAAGCATGGGATGTGTTTCCATTTGTTTGCGTCATCTGTGGTTACTTTCAGTAATGTTTTGCAGTTTTCCTTGTGGAGATATTTTACCTCTTTGGTTAGGTTAGGTATATTTGTAAGTATTTGATTATTATTATTTTTTGGAGCTGTTGTAAAGTGAGTTGAGTTTGTTTATTTATTTATTTATTTTGACTGAGTCTTGCTCTGTCATGCAGGCTGGAGTGTAGTGGCATGATCTCAGCTCACTATAACCTCAGCCTCCTGGGTTCAAGCTATTTTCCTGCCTCAGCCTTCTGAGTAGCTGGGATTACAGGCCCCTGCCACCACGCCCAGCTAATTTCTGTATTTTTAGTAGAGATGGGGTTTTGCCATCTTGGCCAGGTTGATCTCGAACTCCTGACCTCAGGTGATCTGCCTGCCTTGGCCTCCCTAAGTGCTGGGGTTACAGGCATGAGCCACCATGCCCAGCAGATGTTGACTTCTTGCTTTGATTCTCAGCTAGGTCATTGCTGATGTATAGCAGTGCTACTGATTTATGTACATTGATTTTGTATCCTGAAACTTTAGTGAATTCATTTATCAGATCTGGAAATTTTTTGGATGAGTCTTTAGGATTTTCTAGGTATACAATTTTATAATCAGTCAACAATGACAATCTGACTTCCTCTTTACTGATTTAGATGCCCCTTATTTCTTTCTCTGGTCTGATTGCTCTGGCTAGGACTTCCAGTACAATGTTGAATAGTGTGGTGAAAGTGGGCATCCTTGTCTTGTTCCAGTTCTCAGGGGGAATGCTTTCAACTTTTCCCTGTTTAGTATACACAAAATTTAGTTATAGTGCGTATTAAAGGCTGCAGATACCGGGATATGCTTGTATCTCCACGAAATAAACAGGCATATTTATAATCCATTGGTAAGACCAGGATTCAGGCCTGGGAGGAGAGCCAGGAAACTGGTGTGTGGAACTGGTACACTATCCTAGGTGGTAAGTGAAATAAACTTCTTCACTACTGTATTAGTTCATTCTCGTTCTGCTAATAAAGACATACTTGAGGCTGGGTAATTTATAAGGGAAAGTGGTTTAATTGGCTCACAGTTCAGCATGGCTTCAGAGGCCTCAGGAAATTTACAATCATGGTGGAAAGGGAAGCAAACACGTCCTTCATCACATGGCAGCAGCAAGGAAAAGTGCTAAGCAAAACGGGGAAAAGCCGCTGAGGGTAACGACCCCTATGATTAAATTATCTCCCACCTGATCCCTCCCATGGCATGTAGGGATTATGAGAACTATAATTCAAGATGAGATTTGGGTGGGGACACAGCCAAACTATATCAACTACCTACTCGCTGTATCCTCTCTCACTCTCTTAGTCCCAAGTATTCATGGATGAAAATAATCAACCTTTGGAGACTCCAAATAATAATCTTCAGGCCAAACTAAATGAAGTTAAAAGGCATTTCGGTAGCTCCCAAATTTGTATAAATTACAAATATACAGAAAGATACTGAAAATTAATAGGCTAATTTGCCAAAAGCAATAACCTGATTAGAAATGTCCATGTGCTTGAAGGAGAGGTGTACTGTATCTTTACCCACAGTTATATGTGATCTGGAATATGCTTGCATACAAACAACGTGCCAATTAAAATGGGTTAAGTCTTTTAGAGGCATGTTGTTGTTACATTCCTCCAAGAATGGCATTTGACGATCAACTCACTTAATTCCCTCAGAGGTCTGAAATGACTTCCTTACATTTGATAATGGAGTTAGAAGTTATTTTGTGTCCTTAGAATCTCAGGTAATACCATTAATGCTGCATAAAACATCACAAAATACCAGGATATCAAACCAAGTAGCAATTACCAAAAACATTTTTCTGATACCTCCCCAGATTTTCCTTTAGGGAGTGCTAACTCAGTAAGTGTTCACTATGCATAAACAAAGCACAGGCTATAACTCTGCAAAGAACTTACGGTCTTTTCTAAAGTGTTTTCCCTTGTTTGATAAAATAGTCTTTGGGGGAAACTCTAATGGACAAAAGCTAGAGATCCAAAGAAAGGAAACCTGATCCATTTGAAAGTGAATAGGGGACTGCAGAGAGAAGTAAAAAAATATGCTGCTGCTCACTCAGAAAGTGCTGACTTCCTCTAGTAGGCCATCTTATAGGTCCACCTTATACCACATAATAGTGTAATTAAAAAGCGCTGATGTTGGGTACCAGGAAGAATCTGCCCTCTTCAACCCTTGTTGAAACAGCAATGAATCTAACTTCAGTGGGAGTCACTGCAGCACTGCAATTTTACCAATAGCTCAGGATACAATCAAACCTCATTAACTCAGACCTCACTAATTCTGAATTTACAGGAATTCAGATATGGCTTAAGAATTGATTCTTGCTGAGCTAAAAAGCTCCAGATAATTTCTTCTTTTGTGAATATCAGGGTTTTATTCACAAGACCAATAGAGTCAAACTTTGTAGTAGTTGTATCAACGAAGGGCTTGCTATTCAAAGTTCTGCTGCAGTGTTTGAATCCTAATTTCCCACAGAAACTTATTACTACGAGAACTAGAAATGTTAGTCAGGCCCAGTTATTTCAAGCACAAAAATCAGTGTTATTGAAAGAATAGAGCCGAATACATCACAAAGTAAATTTAGTATTTGAGTTTAGATGCTGAGATTATGGATAATTTTAGATTCTACATTTCTTTACTTTCCAATTTAGAAAAAAACAATCATAAAGACTAAAATCATCAAAAAAATTTTTTGGATTTGGAAAAGAGTGGACATATACAAATCTTACTAATATAATAATGTGAGCTTCTCCTGCCTAACTTCAATAAAAATACTCATTTCATCATAGTTTTATAACTTAAAAAATTAGATAAAAAATACCCTTCTTTATTAGTTGGATATATATATGTATTATACACTAGTTTATTATATATATTTATAATAAGTGGCCAACAGGGCATGATCTGACTTGAGGAAGTTTATAATCTTTGAAAGTAAAATAAGTACTAAAAAGGCAATATTAACTTTTCCCAGGAAAGTGACTAGCTGCTTTTCTTTTTCAGTATACTTAATTATTACCCAGTAGCTACTGTTACCTTGATCCCTCACTCTGCTCTCAATTAGAAAGCCAAATATTTCCCATTTAATTTCCTATTTGAGTCATTTACAAGGGCAAGTTGAGGACTTCTTCACTCAACCCCACCCTACAATAGCTACACAGGTTTTGCGTCTAGATTCTCTGGGTGTGGTTCAATGGAGCTTACTGATAGAGTATTTTACTTGCTGTGAATGTAGATGAACATTCATAACAATTTCAGTATGAACAGGTCTAAATGATATGCAGTCTATCTAATATAAGGGGTATTAAAATGAGAACGTTTGAAGAAAAGAGATAACTCTTTCCTTCTCTTCTTCCCCCTTCCTCTGTGATAGCTTCTATGAACATGGTAGGTTTATTTCAAGGTACTGCAGCCTATATCAGTGTTTTTTGCCATGTGATCTGTGGACAGCAGTTGGTCCACACTGTTACTAGTACACAAAGGGAAAGTGTCTAGAAACTTTATGACAATTTGCCATTGCTGTAATATTGAAGCCCATGATCAATGGACTTGGCTCATTTTACTGGTTACCAATTGGTTTTAATGCTGTCTATCTTGTGTGGTGGCTTGTGTGTAGTGTGAACTGCAAGTCAATATTGGTGCAAGAATTGGAAGAAAAAATTAGCCTTCATCACTGTGTGAACACTGGCCCATATACAAAGGATGATATGCGTGAAAAGTGCAACTTCAGATGGTATCTGAGTATGCTGTCCATAATAAGAGTGAATATAGACAATTAGCTACAAACTAGATTATAAGCACCATGGAGCACAAGGGGGTTGTCTGATTTATTCACCAATGTATGTCTGGAAACTAACACAGTGTTGGGTGTGTCTTAGACACTCAGTCAATCCTTGCTGACTAAATGTATAAATAAGCGACAGTGCAGTTTGTGATTACACAATTTTGGCTCCTTAGATTAGGGCACACACTTGAAAATAACTAAAAATTAAAAAACATAAAATACAAAGCTTAACAAAGACAAAGAAGCAAAGCATTGAAATTCAATTGTGAATGTTAGTGTTGACCTCCTAGAACCTGGCTGTATGTGAAGTTCCCAAGATTGTACTAGCAAAATTGAGAAGTGTTGTATGCTTTTTTCAGTAAGCCTGACCTCCTCAGCATCTTCTTAAAGATCTCTTTACTTGCCCATTTATAGCCCATAGCACCACAGAGGCAGGTACTGCTACCTTGAAGAATTGTCCACTAAACTATAAACTGCATGACACTTGTCTCAGCTCCTTGTACACTTGGAGTATGCTTGATAGGGCCCAGAAAAACTTAGTTGATTGAGTTAATGCTTACTGTATATTATAAGCTGTGCTTGGTGTTTTACATGCGTAGCCCCATGATAAATCAATGAGGAAAGTAATTTATTTTGAGGCTGGTCTGGCTCTGTCCCCGAGGCTGGAATGCAGAGGCAAGATCTCAGTTCACTGAAACCTCCACCTTCTGGGCTCAAGCCATCCTCCCACCTTAGCCTCCCAAGTAGCTGAGACTACAAGGTATGCACCACTATGCCTGGCTAATTTTTGTATTTTTTATAGAGACAGGGTTTTGCCATGTTGCCCAGGCTGGTCTCAAACTGCTGGGCTCAAGACATCAGCTGACCTTGGCCTCCTGAAGTGCTGGGATTACAGGCATAAGCCACTGCACCTTGCTGGAAAGTAACCTTTTTTTTTTTTTTTTTTTTTTTTTTTTACTTGTTTGGTGGATGAGGAAATTGAGACTTAAGATGGTGAAATAATTTGCTCCAGGTCACCTAGTTAGTAGTTAGTTAAATTACCTTTTACATGTTATTCTGTTTAACACTGGAGCTTTTATTTTTGTGTTAGTCTGTTCTCATGATGCTATGAAGACATACCCAAGACAGAATAATTTATAAAGAAAAGAATTTAATTGACTCACAGTTCCGCATGGCTAGGAAGGCTTCAGAAAACTTACAATCAAGGCAGAAGGTGAAACAAGCATGTATTACATGATGGCAGGTGAGAGAAGTGAGTGCTGAGTGAAGGAGGAAGCCCCTTATAAAACCATCAGATCTCCTGAGAACTCACTCACTATCACGAGAACAGCACGAGGGTAACTGTCACCATAATTCAATTCCTTCCCTCCAGGTCCCTACCACAACACGTGGAGGTTATGCGACCTACAATTCAAGATGAGATTTCAGTGGGTACACAGCCAAACCATATCAGTTTTCAACCATGCTATTAAATTGTTTAATGGTTTCTAAAGCCTTAGCCCAATGAGTGACCCAACTTGTTGTGTTCCAACTAAATCCCTCTGCCAAGAAATGAAGTATAAAATGCCTTTCTCTCAACAGAAACAGAGCAGACACAGAAGCAGCTACATAAGGAAAGGAGCTGAGAACATTAGCATTATTTTGATAGCGGCTATTTGCAGGGTAAGACAATTAGCTAGCATTTTACACTAACTGGAATGAGAACAGCATGGCATCCAAAGCAGATGATCAGTCATCAGTCATGGATAAAAACAGCAACAACAAAAACAAAAACAGCAACAGCAACAAAATACCCTGCATGACCATACATAACAAACAAGGGGAATATCCAGAGTTTCAAAATTTCTTAGTGAAGTGAAATTAGAGAAACAAATATCAGAGACGTGCTGTGTATAATTTGCAATATTTTGTACTTATATTTCCACTTATTTCAATTGTGTATAGTTTTCAGTCTATGTCAACCACCAATCTATTGGTGGTTGTTAGAGTCTTGAAATACTTCTTGCAGTATTGTTACAAACAGCTGTACAAATACAATAAATCACAGGTTGAAACTATTTCCGTGTTATCCTTACTGGTAACCACTAGATGCTTGTGGCTACTTAAATTTCAAGTAAGATTAAATCAATTAAAAAACTTAGTTTTTAGTCATATTAGCCACTTTTCATGAGATCATAGCCAAATGAGGCTAGTGGCTGCCACATTTTGGACAGATAGAATATTTCCCTCATTGCAGAAAGTTCTGTTGGATAGCACTGTTCTTCTAGGTGCTTTTGAATAAAGTGTGCAAACCCAGTAAGCAACATCCTTTCTATAATGTCTTTCTCAGGCCTTTTGTATTCTGATATGTCAAGGATACTTCTATTTAAGCATGCTGACTTGGCATAAGTACTAATAGTGTCCCTCTTTTACATTGAAAAATGTTCCAATTTGGTCAGTAAATTATGGCCACCTTAATTTGCCTCATGGCACACTGCTCATGATATTCACTTCCTTCCTTTCAAGTAATGAAATATGTGGCATGTTATTTTACCCGTTGGTGCTTCTCTTTCCTGATATGTAAAATGAGGATGTAGTGCTGTCTACTTTTTAGCTTCTGTCGTGTATTAGTTTCTCTCTTTTCTTCCTGCAGTGATTCATGTATATAAAAAATTCCTAAAAGACAGAAATTACATCCTAGGCTTTAGTACTTTTGCATCCCAGTGTGTAGTACAGTGTCTACTATATAATGTGACACTCAGAATGTGACACTTTTTAGACCCTCGAAAGCACACGGTTGCTGAGGAAAGTTCCAAGGGCCGTTTTTCATGTCTCCCTGTCCCAGTACAACTAAGGGTGCATCTATAACTTACTGTCAGCCATTCAGGTACATTGCCTCTTAAGCACATGTTAAACACTGGTTAGAAGGTGTATATTGCAGCTGAAGTGCTGATACATTGTACAGTCTGTTCCTGCCGCCTAGCTCTGCTCAGTTTTCTAGTCCAACCCTCCAGCTCCAAGCCCCTTAAATTCCTCCAGTCGATTGTACTTTTGCTTAAAGCTAACAGAATTTCTCCCTATTATTTGCACCGAAGAACCTAAATAGTACAACAACCTTGAAGGGAACTTTTAAGTTGCAAACTCCCAGTGATACTAGCTGTACTAAGCAATGCTACACATTTTTATTGCAATTTGCTCAGTGCTGAGGCTCACGGAGGCATCAGAGTAACTCTCCTCCAGATGTACATAATAACATCTACGTAATCATATGTTCCTCCACAAATTAAGACTGTAAGGTTAAGATTAGAGAGTTCCCTTCTTCAGAAGATTCTTCTTCAGATATTATCACAGCTTCTCCAGATGTTTATTAAGCATACATTCCCTTTAGAATCTGCTTCCAACTGCAAGCCGGCTTCTGTCTTTGCTGATGCTCAGCTGTATTATTATGTGGGTCATGGTCAACTCTCCACATTTTCACTATCTAATTATTGTTTATGGTTTTACTTTGGATTCTGCACTTCAATTACCTACTCTGTATTGAACAAACATACTAAATTTCCCTCTATTTATTATATCTTCCATAAATTGTATTGCCCATCTAGGATAATGGGTATAGCTAGCATATTTGTAACATTTCAAATAGCCTAATTTCTTGATAGCTTAAGTGTAGGGTGTGAAACTGTGGGGCTTCAATACTGCATATTGGAAAAATGATAGACTTCTCGAGTTCTCCTAGCTGTGTGTTTTTATATTAAAGTTAATTTCCCCTTTGGTAGAGATTGCTGTACAGCTGTGACTGTATCTTTGAAAAGTCGATGAAATAAAGGCATGTTATTCTCTCCATTTAAAACTTACAAATATTCCTATATTAAAGAAAAATAAAAACCAGTGAGGAAGCTAAATTTGCAGAGAAATTCCACTGGCATCTGGGGAGGTCATTTCTTCCTTCGAGGGGGGCAGAGAAACATGGTTACAGAGACTGAGGTCGCCATATCCTTCTCCCTGAACTTGAGATTTCTAAAGACAGATCTGTAACCACCAGGAAGACCCTGGGCTGCCTATTATGCACTGTAATCAGTTGGAACTGATTACTCAACTCTGGTCATTTTCATCTACAAACAAATTCACAAGTTTTCCAGACAAATATGGATGGGCTGGTAAATTTAAATTTCAAATGAAAAAATATCTTCCTGTAATGAGTTCACATACCTTTTATTTAGACTTCCAAATGCCAGCATAATGTGATTAGTTTTGATGTTGTTTCTTTCCACCACTTATGAGAAATCACCTCATCAATCATATTATCAAAATTAGATATGGAAAAGACCTCACATGTCAACAGGACCATCCCCAGTGCCAGTGCAGACTTGTTTTAGCCAGTCTGCTGTACTTTTTAATATCTTCTTCAATCTAATATTAAACATTCCCTGTGATCCAGTATCTACCGTTTCCATTGTAATGACATAAATATAAAGAATGAGAAGTAGTTTTCTTAAGAGGATATATCTATGTTTATCGTCTCTGTTTTTCAATAAAGAAAGCGCGTGGTGAACACATAGAAAATAAAGATAAATTGAATATATCATGATCAATAATTTTTATTATTATCAATACTTATCCCTAATATTTTCATAGAATTTCCACATATACTGTGTAAGTGATACACATTATACTAGTTGTTACATTGGTAAACATTACTCTTTAGAAAAAATGTATTGGGTGTCCTTTACTTGCCTTTAATTAGGTATACATAGATGTGTTTAGTTGTGCTTTGAAAAACAGTTTATTAAGACTTGAATGAGTAGTTTTTGCTTGGCAAGGTATAAAACTTGAAAGGATTTTGCTTACCTGCAATCTGTGTCTTTAGGTTTGCTCTGTCAAAGTTTTCACACATCATTTGTTGAAAATTTGTGTAAATTTGGATAAGATTTCAGTCCAGATTACAATTCTGAATTTGTCTAAAAGTTGCTTATACTGGATTCAGACTCTATGGATTTGAATTCCAGAACCACCACCACCAGCTTTGGATTTTTAGTTTAGTCATCACTTGGGTTAGTCACTCAAATTCAAATGGACTCCATTTTCTCAACAATCAAATGGAGAGAATAAAATAACCTACATCCTATGACTCTTATTATTTGCTATATGTTGAGCACTTGGAACATTGCCTGACATAGAGAAATATGCGTTAGCTACTATTATAATTATTAATATTATTTTAATTATTGTTATTTTATCACTGTCTTCGTCTCACACTTAAGCCATGGCTCAAAGACATCTGAGGTTGGGAAGAGCCATTATTTTTCCTCTTCATCCTATTCTAGCATCTACCTCTTTTCAAAGCCCCTTGTATTAAATTTTGGCAGGAAAAATAGGTGAGAAAGGGACCACTTTTCCAGACATGTTGGTTGCAGGAAAGAATCCTTGATCTCGTTCTAGCTTGACCTATTCCATTCATTGTGGGTAGTCTCTATCAGTGGATTGGTCTCCACCTGTAGAGTATGTGTAGTTTTGCTGCAACTGTGATCAACATTAATCCAGCACTCTGTTACTGCTGACCTACTTAGAGCAGTCATATCTCTTCTTATTTCTTACCAGTAATCCATGCCTCCAACACATTATTTTTGCTTTGATCACATGGTCAGCCCAGGGTACCTGCTTCTACCTCAAAGCATTGATCACTTTGAAACCAGAAATAGCTGATTTCATTATCAATGCCCTTTAAAGGCTGACAGAAACTTAGAGGAAGTGGGAAGCTGCTCCATCTTCTTCCTAGGCACATTACATTGTAATTTCTTTTTGTTCTGTTGTCAAAAGCAAGTCTCTCATCTTCTGAAATCTCCAGATAATGTGACCCCATGCTCTGTGCACATGTAAGACCCTAACCTTGAGAAAGTGCAAGTCATTCTCCCCAACCACTCTTTTGCTTCCACCTTGATTGATTGTGCAGTCCATCAATCATTTAGCAAGAAAGAGATCAGAGCCTTTATTTCTTTCAGACGATGCTGATCTCTAAGAATTATCTTCCTAACATCATGACTTAACTTTGCAAAGGAGTGGAGGAGCACTTCCTTTCTAATCATAAACACCATGCTCTCCAGCACATTAGTCATTCTCAACTTTTTTTCTTCCCAGTCTTATTTTTTTAATCATGAAGAGGGTTGTGGGGCATTCTGTTTTTGGCAGGTGGTGGTAGGGCCATTTCTAGTGACTTAAAGTAAGACCCAGCAGGAGCTGTCAAAACACAGTTGTTGAAAGTTCTCTTTAGAAAATAGGGAGCTCAGTACCAATTTGTTTGCAGCTTTGAGCCTTAGGCACTAAATCCAGGGCAGAAGGAAAAATCCCACTTAATTTTGTGTTATATAATTATGTAGGGCACATAAATCTTAGTAAGAATCATTAAACCTACGTCATATATTTATACAGATTAATATTACATTTTTAAAGACTACTAGGTGGCTGGCCTGATAGTAGGTGCTATATCTATCTTTTATGTTTGATTATCAAAACAATTGGTAAGCTAAAGAGACATTCATTTTTATAGAGAAGAGAAAGTTGAAGCTGAAGAGGTTCAGTAGTTCTCAATCACATGATGAGTAAGTAATCAGCAGTGGTAAGAGCAGGGACTTAGACCTAAGGTGTTCACCTCCAAGGTTCGGATGTAGTATATGGCGCTCTCACATGCATGAAAGCATTAATAGGAATGTTACATGGTAATAGATTTTATATTTCGTAAAGCTAAGACTTCATAAATGGTATTTGTATTTTGAGATTCACCTAAAGAAATCAAGTCAGTAGGATCAAATCCAAGTCTTTGGTTCTGCTGAATTCTGGCCTTTAGGGAACTCCACAGCAGCTGCTTCCTAAGCCTTGACAATTGAACATGAAGTATCTTTGTTCTCAGACATCATGGTCACTATAAAAACGAACACAAGACCCAATCCCTTCCTTTCTGAAAAACAGCTAGGAAGGAATCTTTCTTCTAATCAATCATATCAAATCGACCATATTGGGAGAGACAAGGGAGGAATGTTCCATTCGGCAAACTGGGGACACTCTCAGGAAATGCATTGTGGTGTAAGAGCTATGGGAATTTTTCTCATGTTTA
This sequence comes from Homo sapiens, assembly GCF_000001405.40. Classification (NCBI taxonomy): domain Eukaryota; kingdom Metazoa; phylum Chordata; class Mammalia; order Primates; family Hominidae; genus Homo; species Homo sapiens. Next base: position 23,218,446 of record NC_000004.12, read on the forward strand.
GAGACTGTGATACTTTTTATAAATAAATTGATGCATATATACTTATGACCTATGTAAACACCATATACCCCTGGGAAATTTGATAGGAAGGAAATGAAACTGCAAAGCTTTGGAAACCTGGTGACTTTCAATAAATCATAATTACACAAATAAATTCATGAGTAAATTTTAGGTAAGCAATCAAATAGCTAATTGTCTTTGTGTGTAACTAAACATTCAAAGAGATGACCACAGCCTCCAACTGAGGGTCAACCAATTGTTTGGAGGTTCTCACCAAGGTAAGAGGTACTTTCATTTCTCAAGAGCCCCACTTGCTGGAATTGCTGTTATGTTAGTGGTGCATAATCATGCAATAGCCAGCTTTATCCAAAGCAATACAAGTGCACCTACTAAAAAACAGAGTATTTAAGCTGTCTAATCACATCAAAATAACACTTTTGAAATTCAGTAGAATACAAAATGAGGGTAGAGAAGGCTACTTGAAGGCCAAATCATTAGTTGAAGGGAATCCCAAAATGGGAGGGTTTTACTTTTGTAAGGATTTGAAATAATGTATATAGTACTCCTAGCATATAGCAGTTCCTCAACAAATGGTAGCTACATTATCTCATTAATTATTCTTGAATATAACCTAAGTCATATAAACATACATCCTCATTTTAAAAGAAATGATTATGAAAGTCATTGATAATGGAGGAGTTAATAATAATAATTACTAAGAGAAAAAAATGCAGTCAATAATTAATGGGTTCCTTTATAGAAGGGTTCTCCTTTTTTGCTTTGATGGGTAATCCAAAAACCACCCTGTGAAAAAAGTGTTGCTCTATCTATTTCAGTGATGAGAAAGTAAGTAGGATGCCATGTCATTAAGCAACTTACTCTAAATCATGAGCAGCAGAGCTGGAATTAAAAACTCAGCTCTGTCCAGAGACTTGACTTTACGCTTCCTCTACTCTGCTATTCAACCCTCAGAAGATGGGGCATCAGAAAAGAAATGTGGTTTAAAGGAAGACATAGAAGTTGGAAGGAGATAAAATATGTCATGATAGTGCTTATTTAGCACTATTTCTCCACCTCTTTCTGTGGGCAAGCCTAAGCAAATGTGGCTCCATTTCCCCATCTTCAAATCTCTCTGGTCATCCATACGTCCAATAACCTCTCTTAGTTAACTGTTAATAGTGCCTGTTGTGCGTAATACTGTATTGATGCTAAAAAATTGCATGACTTTTTTCCCCCAAATAAATTATTAATTCCTTTAATGTTATAATAAAGACTGTCAGGGGTCAATTTGGGTAATGGAAGGGATACCACTTTCTTCCATATCTCCAAGTAAGCGAGACAAGCTATAGCAAAAGGATGAAGGTTAGATCCTTAAGGATACTGTTCACTTGGAATTAGTACAGTTTCCTAAGTTGCTTCTAGCTTCAGAGTTTACCTCTGGTTTTGCTGAAAGAGGAGAGGAGAGGAAGAATTAGAATCTCTGTATGGAGATACTTGGACAATGCCCCCTGTAGGTGACATAGTCAGCATGAGGTGGGAAGACTTTGCTGCCTTTTCATAATAAGCACTCTATACGTATTGGTTAAGTTAGTGAACAAATAAATCAATGTCTTCTCTTAGCCCTGTGCTAATCTCTTAATCTCTTCACAGTTAGCATTATGCTGCTTCTTGCTTTTCTCATTTCTCTTTGTCCAACTGTGAGCACCTTCATGTAAGAGAATGTTGCATTTCATATCCATGATCTCTACTGCTAAGAAATGACTGCTTGTCATTCAGTACTTGCTTGATAATTGCTGAATAAATACATAACTAATCTATGTCAGATAGAAATGCTGACTCTGTGGCAGACATGCACTTCCTCCCTCCCCTCTACTTTATGTCTAGCATTTTTTTTCTCAACTATTGTCTCTGCTTACAAACAGAAGACCCAGACGTAGGTGCCTCCTGTAGATCCACACTGGCAGCAATTACATAGTAGCAGAGTTTCCATAGCCCTCTCCACAAGCTTCCCTTTATGGGACCACTTTGGCATCGAGATGTATTTGGCTTACAAGATTTAAATGAGTGATTCTTATTCTTATCCTCTTCTTTTTTATAGATCTTCACTTCCCTATGTTATCACACAACCATGTAAGATTTAATCCCTTATTCCCATTTTTCTTATAATGGTTCTGTTTTCCCAACTAAACCCTTTTTAGTAATTTTCAGTACAAGAAGGGGGGTTCTGCCATAACAAATATAAATTATGTGACATTAGCTTTGGGATCAGGTAGTGAGAAGAGACGAAAAAACAAAACAAAACAAAACAAAACAGCGATAGAGTAATGGAGTTGCTATAGAAGGCTGGGAAATGGTAACCTATACTATGTAATTATAAAAAAATGGTTAAACTGTTGCCTGTTGTAACTTGGGAGATAAAAATAAATTTTGAGATTTGAGTCAGAGTCTTATGAAGAGTTGCTTCTACTACTTATTTATGATAAGGTACTACAAAAAAAGAAGTAAGATTTTAAAAGATCTGGCTAGTTTGCCAGCAGAATGAGGACTTCCTATACCGGAAAAATAAAAGTGTTTCTCATCTAAGTGTTTCTCATCTGTAGTTTTCTTTGCAGGGAAGGGATTCTCAAAGTAAAATATAGCCTGGAGCAGAGATTAAATTAAGGGTGTATCCATAAGAAGGAATTGGAGTGGTGCCTAACACCTTCTTTAAGATCAACAAACGTGCTTCTAAGAATCTTAAAGGCATGTTCTCACAGAAGCATGATCCTACAGTAATGGTAAGCCAAGAGAAAGTAAGACATGTCTTGAAAAACATTGTGGCATGGCTTTTGGAGTTAATATGAACTCAAATCAGATGCATTAACCACCCCCACCCCCCCCCCCCCCGCAAATTATTCAGGGAATTACATTAGCAAAAGTGCCTTCAGTTGGACTAAAAGAGCTTGACATTATTGAAAGGCACTGGATTCTCAACTTACTACAGGCAGGCACTAGGATGAAGAAAGCTTCCAAAGGGATTATTTCCTAATACTCTTTCAGAAGTGGCCAATGGAAAAGGGTGGCAATTCTGAAGAGCACAGTCAAAAGCCATAGAGAACAATAAACTGAGGAACTGTATCAGAAAAACATATCCAGGTGTGAGACGGACCACAAAGTTCTGGACTCCAAGCCTGATGCCATGATCATTAGAATCTTTTGAGATCCTTGGATACTGTGATCTTGTTTTGCATGTTGAAGACACAAGAAATAATTGAGAACAGAACGGAGAACTGATAGATTGATTGAACTAATAGCCCAATTTTTATGATTTTTGTATCACACCTGATTACATCCTCTGTGCGTTCCTTTCCACACTGACTCTGTGTACAGACAAATTGTCTGTACAATTTGCCAAGGCCAACAGGACAAAATCAAACTTGATACAAGCAAAAATCTTAAAAGCATTTGTATATTTCTGTTTTTGCTCTAGAACCCTTGTTTCTGCTCTGAAAACTAGCCCAGGTTATCCTGTTGGAGGAATGTGAGAGATATTTCGAGGAGAGCTGAATCTTCCCAGAAAAGGCTATCCAAGACTATCTAGGCCCAGCCAATTCATGAGTTGACTGCATAGGTATGAGGAAACCCAGCCTAGTTGAACAAAGACAAGCACAATTTGACAGAACTGCCTAGCCGATCCATATGCTTAAAAGAAAATAATAAATAGTTGTTGATTTAGGCTGATACATATTAGAGTGGTTGTTATGCATTAATACCTAATTTAGACATATCCTCTTACAAGTCAGAAAATAGAAAACTCTTTCAAGTAGCAAAAGAGTAAATACAATCTCACTCCTGGTTGCCAATACAGATGGATTCTTATTATTCTTTGCCTTTCAGTAACACTGACTTCCTTGCTTTGTGTCCACTTACCATGAGCTTCAGTGTCAGGCCCTTTATACTTGGTTGTTCTCTTAGACCAATCCTCTTTCCCCCTGTTCTTTCTATATCTTTCTCTTCTCCCTCCATTCATGTAAGTATCAGGTCTAATGTCATCTTTTCAGGGAGCGCTGACCTGACCACTTGTTATTTAAATTCTCTTACTCTGCTTTATTTAATTCCCCTACTTGATACCAAGAAAGATTAAGTCCTATAAAGGTCGTATATAGATACACACACACATATACATATATATTATATACATATGTATTATAAATACAAACCAGGTAGATAGATAGATAGCAGGGGCAAAGCCAGTAAATATATGGAATGGCATATATATGATGTGTGTGTGTATGTGTGTGTGTGTATATATATATATGAAGATGCTTATTAATATAGAAGGAGTTGGTTAGTTTATTAAGGAAAATGTTAAAGTCAAAAATCTTGGGGCTATACCAACCATCTCTTTTTGTAGAAGAAGAAACTGAGGCCTAAAAAGATGAGGTAAACACCCATAATTAGTACAGAATTTTTATTGTTTCCTGTGTACTATGTTTTTGTTTTGTTTTGCTATAGACATTAGTGAATAATTAGGTTTATGAAAATATTCTCTTTCAAAAACATTAAGTGACTCCCATTCATGTGCAAATTTAACACTGAGATGGTATAGAACACTCTTTATACTCTGCCTTTCCTACCTTCTAAAATGTTCTGCGGATGCTCCCCATGCCACGTTTATAACCCTTTGTATTTCTCACTCCGTCTTTTATTGCAGCAAAGTAGATAGCGGTCCACTTAAATTCGTGTTACTCCTTCCATAGAATACAGTTGTCACAGGATGTGGCTTCCCAGGAAAGGTCTGCGTATCCCGGTCCATTTGCATCAAGGTATGACAATAAGACCAGTTCCCACCAATGGAATATTAGCACAAATGATTGGTACCCTTTCTTGGCTAAGGCTGTTATGAAGCAGTTGTGCCTTCTCCAAGTTCTTTCCTCTTCTACTTGCCAAATGTAGAATGCTCTAAGTCCTAGATGTTAGAGTCACAAGTTAAAAGAACCTTCATCTTAGAATCGTCAAGTTAAGAACAATTAATTCTACATCAGAAACAACCACCATGCTCTATTATGTGTGTGACAAATTAATTTCTATTTTATTAAGAGACTGAAAATGTAGGATGCATTGGCAGTAGTAGCTGGCATTACATAACTAACATATTGTTCAATCTATTCATTCTGTGTAGCATGCTCTTCCCACTAGAGCTATCCATTGCTCAAAGATGAGCTTAAATGCCACCTTCTTCACATCTCCCCCTGAATCCTTTAGTCACACTTAATGTCTTCCTCCATCACATTTTTCTAGCTGTTTGTTGTATGTTATAATTAATCCTGTTCATGGTATTCACTACTAAATTATGAGCTTCTATGGGCAGAAACTCTATCTTAATCACTTTGTACCCCCCAGAATGTCAAACACAGTATCTCACAAACAGTAGGTGCTCAATAAATGTCTGTTACATTAAACCAAATGAAACCGACTTCATATATCTGAATGATTAATATGTTTATTTCATTCAAGATCTTTGGGCTGGTATGAAAAAAAAGAAGTCTATTACTTCAGTCTGACTCTTTAACTTGGCAGATTAGAGTGGAATAAAAATGTGTCCTGGATGAAATGAAAATGCATTGTTTTACATAAGATATGGCAATTTTGAAAAATACATTGATTTAATGTACTTAGGCCAGTGAAAAATCTGTTGGTTTAAGCTAACTGCCGTTAGTTTCAATTAAAATGTATCGATTTGGGTAAATGTTGGTTAGAATAAATGTTGCTTGACTGTGGAAACAGACCATTTGCTTAAGCTTGCCTTGGAGCACAATCAGAGAGAGAGGTGAGGTGGGCAAGGGTGGGGGGAGCGAGAGAGTGAGTGTGTTACACAGGCAGTCAGGCAGAATTCTCACTTCTCTGCACTATACTCCACTTGAAGAGGGCAAGACCAGGTGGCCAATTAGTAGGTCACCATCCTTTGGCGTTATATTAACTAACATCTATAAGTGAGAAAAGTAGCATTGAAAAAGAATTTTGCTTAAATTAAAATGCTTCTGCGTGAGGCCCACATTAGGTCAATACCATTAATTCATCATCTGCCTTCAAATAGGTCAATTCCATTCATTTATTTAAAAAGTGAAATAATTCAGTTATCTGAGTTCATAATGGCCAAAAAAAAAAAAAAAAACTGGGGAAGTACATCTTTCACTTTTTAACAAATGGTTTTAATGCTTTATGTTGAAAAAATGGCCACATGGCCATTTTTTGGTGATCGCAAACAGTGGATTATTGGCAATTTCATAAGGTTCAACCAAATAGATACTGCTTAAGGGTAATTAGAGAAAGAACTAGATTGTACTTTGTTTTCATTGATATTTTCAAACATAATGATGTGTTTCCCCTTCTGGTCTTTGGAGGCAGGAAAAACATACACACACACACCCTGCCCAATATATGCACATACATGTACACAAATATGCAAAATTATCTTTCTCTCTCTCTATCTATCTCTATCATCTAACATCTTTGCATTTCCAATCCAACAAGGTAAGGATCTGAAACATAGGAGGTATTCATTAAATGTTTGATAAAGGAAGGAAGATACAGGCAGGAAAACGTTAAATGATAGTAGATAAGTTTAGAACAAAAGGAACAGAAAATAATGGGAAATTTCAACTAATTTATTAATTGTAACAATTTGAGAAATGAATATTCTTTCTTCCCACGTGTTTTTAATGATGGGAAGGAACCAGATGTCTTGGCAATGACTACTGTGTAAAACAAACATAAATTAAGCCAGTGCATAACAAGGAAGTCTCATTGTTAAAGACACAGAGAAGGAGATGCCAAGGAAAATTTGGGAAAGCAATGAGGAGGATATAAGACATCTGAGTAACATCGTGGTAGGAAGTGGGAGGGTGGTGATTGTAAAAATCTATGTATGGAGTATCTGGAAAGGCAAAGATCATTCAGAAGAAAGACTCAGAAAATACCCCAACATGTTAAATAAAATACCTGCAAATAAAAGGGGAGAATATGTCAAGAGATAAATAGAAAATATGACTTAGGTTGTATAACTATAAGTTCTGATCACATATTCTTTATTAAAAGCAATTATATAGTACAGAGGAAATTAGAATTGATTTTTCAGTCTGGATTCTGCTGATAATTTCTGGGTGACTTAGATAAAACCCTTAAACTCTTTGACATTTTTGAAATGTAAAATAAAGATAATGAAAATAAATATTTTGTTGCCTGATTATTGTAAAGATCAAAAAGGAGAAAGTTCAGTGTGTACAATAAATAAGAAAAATACGTCACTGAGGACCTACAATGAACAGGTGATATGCAGGCAATACAAAGTACTTTATGTCATTTAATCCCAATGGTCATAATATGACACAGACTTTATCTTCAGTTTTCAAGAAGTAAGGCTTCCCTGTCAGAAGTTAAGCAATTTATCCAAATTTAAAGTAGGCACTTAGCAAATATTTTATGAATCACTTGATGAAGTACTCCCTAGCACTCTCCTTTGGCATTCCTCATATTTAATTATTAACATAAAGTAGAACTTGCGAATATGAAATTGTGTATGGAAGGGGTCTATGCTAAATAAAAAGTCTGAATTAAGAAATATTTGATGAATATAAATTCACCCAACGTTCTTTCCAACTTTTGAGTTTGGCTTATTTGATAAACTTCATAGTGTACAGAGTTATAAGGATTATATCAAATTGACTTTTTGTTGTTATTTTAATTATTATCTAAGAATGCTTCCCATGCATTTATTTATTCATTCAATCAGCAAATATTTAAGGGGCACTGTGCTAGGTAGTGAGGATTCAGTGATGAACAAAACTATATAGCCTCTGCTTTCAGAGGGCTTCTAGAATAGTGAAAATAATGGATTCTACTCAAATTGTTACAAAAAACTTAAGAACTCACAACTATGATAACATGATCCTATTGACAGAGCCTATAAAATGAGGGTTTGCTTTGGTAAGAGAGAGAAGGAAAAACTTGAACTGTGTTATGAGAGGTAATAAAAGAAGAGATGTGTGTCCAGGGCAGAAGGAACAACATGAAAAATAATCTCTAGAAGGAGAGAGGAAGCTGAAATGGTGAGAATAAAGAATACCCTGCTACAGGGTTAGAATGCACGTGTCTTCCTCAAAACCAATCATGAGTGGCAGAGGTGGCAGGTAAATGAAGATCAAAATATGAGCTTCATTAGTCATCTTGATCACTCTTTTGGGTGATCAGCTAAAATCTGGGACAAATAAGTCTTCTAACGTGCTACCTCCTCCAGCCTCCTCCAGTCTAAACCTCAGAATAATCCAATGAAAGTCAAATGTGCAGGTAAAGCACACCTACTTAGGATCAATGTGAAGAGGAGAGGAAACAAAAGAGATGGAAGAACAGAGATAAAATCATTCATGCTATCCATTTTATTTTATTTTATTTTATTTTTTTGAGACAGAGTCTCGCTCTGTCGCCCAGGCTGGAGTGCAGTGGCGTGATCTTGGCTCACTGTCAGCTCCACCTCCTGGGTTCATGCCATTCTCCTGCCTCAGCCTCCAAACTAGCTGGGACTACAGGCACCCACCACCATGCCTGGCTAATTTTTTTTTTTTTTTTGATATTTTTAGTAGAGAGGGGGTTTCATCATGTTAGCCAGGGTGGTCTCGATCTCCTGACCTCGTGATTCCCCGCCTTGGCCTCCCAAAGTGCTGGGATTACAGGCATGAGCCACGGAGCCCAGCTGATGCTATCTCTTTATTTGATAAACTCTACAGAGGTAGAAATGAGAACCAATGGCGCCCACCCATTCACTTGCAGAATGAGTAGGGGTAGCACAAAAGGCTAGGAATGTTATTTGAAGTGCAGGATCTTCCACAGGGAAACAGGTCTAGTATGAGAAGAGAAATCTTCCTTCCCAAAAGTTAGGAGAAAATTGGTTCTAGGTAAAGGATAAAGAGTTGGACAGGACACAATGTTGGTCTTATAGATGACTTCGAAGATGTCTATCATGATCATAGGGACAATAAGAAGTTAGTAAAGGATTTAAGAGGTATAGATTGGAGTAATCTTTTGAAAAGCTATTTCTAGCTGTTGTGAGTTAAAAAGATTGGGAAAGGAAAATGGAAAATTATTGTGAAAGTGTAGGCAAAAGAATATCAGTAGTTTGGGCTAGCATCTGGAGGATGGTAGTGGTGGTCAGGAGACATAGGTGTGAGAGCTGTTTATTATGTGAAATGAACGGACTTTGTTAAAGAGTTAGATATGGGGAATTATGGGAATATTGACAATGACATATGTATTGAGGAATGATGGATGCTGGTTTAATTTAGTGAATTCAAAGAAACTGAAGGAAAACCAGGTTTGGGTAGGGAAGATTACATGTAAGTATTTGAGCCTATTGAGTACTAGGTGCCTTTGAAGTTGGCCAAACATTTGCCTCCATATTAATATTTCAAAATTAATTTGTACAGTTGATTTATCCCAGCAATCTTATTTATACTACCTAATTACATGAAAACTTTTTTCCAGATCTACCTGTCAAGTAGTCATTACAAATTTCACAATACTGTAGTGGAATATAAATCAATGTGGCTTCAATGTGCTTATAACTTTCTAAACCATCTAAATCTATTCAGATATTCTTTTAAGCTTTTGAAAGGTGATTTTATTTTTTGCCTTTCTGTGTTGTGTTTCTGTGATATAATTGTCAGACCTTCTGAACAGCTTTTAGGGAAACCCTCTTGGAAATAGCAAAGTAGAATCTGATGGCAATCTTTCTTGTGTCTAGTGGTATTTTACACTATTATGCGTGTGAGAACTCATCATTAACATCATAAAGATTTCACAAATGTGGGAAATTAAGTCCAGACAACTTTTTAAAGAAAAGAGGGTTGGAATTATTTGTATAGCCTTGCTGAATTTAGAAGGAGCTGCCATTTCATCAAGCTTACCTTGGCTTCCTGTAAGACCACAAGAAAAGCATCTCACTAAGAAAAATGTACCCTGTATTTGAATAAGGCTTAAAACATTTTCTTAAACTTTTTAATCTAGGTTTTCCCAAAATTTATCCAATATTCGCCACCACAGAAGTTCTTCTTTACTTCAAATCTAAGATCTACTTGCTGGTAGTGAAACATACTTCTTTTTTCTTTTTCTGAATGAGAGATTTTACAGAGATAATTTTATAAGTTTAAATGTATCAGCTGTTTAAGGCACACACACAGGACTAGAGAATATTGTATTTTATGTGGAATCTAAAGAGAATCTTGCACTCATTGTTAATAGCTTAAAATATTTTCATGATTTTTTTCTTTGAATATTCAAGTGCAGAAAACTTAAAAAAACACAAAATAAAATTTTAAGTTTCAGGAGCAAAGAAATATCCTAATTTCTAAAGTGGTTTATGGAACTCATACACAGATAACTTTCAACTATATCTACAAATGGAGGAAAGTCTGTGTGGAGATACAAAATATACAACCAGTAATTTCAAATGTCTTCACTAAAATTTTATGAGAGCAATATCTGAACTGATTTTTACAACTGCTCTTTTGTTCAGCCTATGCCCTTCTGGTTAAGGATCTTCTAACAATCACATTGACATGGTTAAAAGAAGGAATATGAAGGAAGACCAAGGAAGAATATAGAGCATTTGCAATTCACCAATTGAATTATATGCAAAAAAATCAATCTTAAGGTCTACAGCATTATGAAAATGTTTCCCTATTACATAGAGTTTGATGTAAAAATGAATCTTATTGGATCCAGTAATTCCTGTGAATGCCCTATAACTTGAAAACCACTCAGCTCTGTCGTAAAAATAATTTCTCATAGGGCTCATATAACACTTCCTCTGAAACTCTTTCACAGCTGAACAAATTATGGTATCTTCATTCATCTATTGAGATAAACACATTTTTAAAACAGTTTTTTTTTTTGTTGTTTTGAAAAAACAATAACAACATACAAAAATGGAAAATGTGAGTACAAGATTACTCAAGAGCCAGTGAATCTGATTGTTATTTCAGGGAGTTTCAGGGGATATTTTAGCTATTTTGGCTATTTCACATCTGTAACTGTATGGAGACTGTATGGCTGCATGGTCTGGAGAGTTTGGTGTATCTTAAAGACACACTTTCCATTTGTAATGAAAGCCATTGCTGTGAAATTTTTAATGAAACAGTAGTGTTTTTGCTTTATTCTGTGGATACTGATTAATATGTATCATATACCACCTTTGGGTCCTATAAAGATTTAAAACCCATGAAATCTTAGATTTCAAGCTTTCACAACACAGAATCATAATCTCTTAGAAATGGAGAAGACCATTCCTCCTCCAATGTAGCAATTCTTTCTGAAACATCTAGGACAAAACATGGCTGAAGCCTCTGTTTGATATTCTACTGAGCGAGAACGTGATACTTCACCAAGCCGATTGTTCCTCTGCAGTACAGCTGTTTCAAAACTCTGTTTCATATGCATTAAAATTTATCCTATTTGTTGGCTCTACCCTACTGAGGCCTCACAGAGTATGTCCTTATTTCCACATTCCAAATTCTCAAATATCAGAAGGTAGCTATTGCGGTTCCTCTAATCTCTTTTCCTAGAAAAATGAACCCATTCCCCTTTATGATTTTACATAAAACATGATTGTCAGATTCTTGGTCATTCAGATTTTCCTGATCTGGACATGTTTTATGTCAATGTCCCTTTCAACCTAGTGGCCAGAATAACACTCTATAAGGGATTCTAATTACATGTAGCACTTTGGGGCTGTCATCTCCTTTATTTAAAATACTAAGATATTGCCAATATAGAGAAAAATACTCAGGTGGTTTTAAAATTAACTCTATTCAGAACAAGGTATTTTTTATCTTGCTCATTTTTATAGTCCTTTAAAGTAAGATTTACATGCCTTTTAATGCACAAATATTAACTGTACAATTTTGACAAGGTAATACACCTATTTAACTAGCACTCCTTTCACAATATGAAACATTTCCACATCTCCGGAATGTATCCTCATGTCTCTTTCAAAACAATTCCTTTTAGCTGTACCACAGAAACAACCCCTGTTTCTATGTACTTTTCTTTCAAGTTCTTGAACTTTAGGTAAATTCAGGTTGCTCTGTCTGGTTATTTTGGTCAGGAGTTAGTCTGAGAGAGTCTCCAAACTGTCAGTAGTTTGTTCCTTTTTATTATTAAGCAGCATTTTATTATATGATGACATCACAATTGGCCTATCTTTTCTTTAGTTGATACAATTTCAGTTGTTTCTAGTTTTCCACGATTGTAAATAAAGCTGCTGTGAATTTTTGTCTACAAATATTTGTGGAGACACATGTTTTAATTGTCTTGGGTAAAACCTGGAATTGACAGTGCTGGGTAGTGCAGAAAGTATATGTTTGGCCTATAAGGAATGACCCCAACTTGTCTCCAAAGTATCTAAAGCATTTTGCTTTCCCACCAGTTTCATATGAGATTTCCAATCACTCCACATCTGCATGTAGTATTGTAAATCTTTTTATTTCTATCATTCTAGTTGGTGGCTAGTAGTAATTACACTGTGGTATAGAGCACCAACATTGCCCATTATGTGGAGAAACCTTAGCCATACCTTTATCCCATTAAAAGATATAAATGGTGCCAAATATATTCCAGTCATTTTATTCTGCACCAAGGGTCCACTGCCTAGCAATAAATAGTCCTTCCAGAAAAGAATTACGAATGTAGTCATAGGCAATGTATGCTGTAGCTTTAAGTGTGATGTCATTAGAAGTTCTCAGTTCAGAACAAATCCTAAAACTTTGGATTTGTGGGGTTTTTTTAATAGCTCTTATTAATAAAGCAGACCTAAGAGTATCAAGTATAGGATGACTATACACACTGTCTCACCCGGGACGTCCAGATTTGTGCTTGTTTTTCCAGTTTAATTTTTGATAGTGCTCTTTTCCCTCTTAAGAGTGCTCCAGTTTAGACAATGAATTATATGGTCACCCTGGTTAAGCAGGGACTCTGATATGACTTATTTCCTAATGGTGGCTATAAAAGGGCCACAGTTGCAAGTACCAAGAGCTATTTGAGGGCAGAAGAAACACGAGGTTGGTGGAGGGATATTATCCAGAGATGCTACTGAGAGGAATTAGTCCTGGAAACTGTCTCCAATGAATGCCACATGCTAGCAACAGCTGAGCAAATTGCTAACTCATTTATTATTTATTAATTGCCATTAAGAATCATCACTGTTAGAACTGCAACTAGAAACAATAAATAGCATCAGATAGGAGATTCCTTAATAGCTAAACTCAGAATTTCCAGTATCAAAGAGCATGCTGCATAACAAATTGTCAAACATTTAGTGGCTTAAATCAATACAGAATTATTATCTCACAGATTATGTAGGTCAGGAGACTGGGCATGGTTTAGCTAGATTCTCTGCTTCAGGGTCTCACTAGGCCATCATCGAAGTGTAAACAGGTTCCCTTCTCATTTGGAGGCTCCAGTGAAGAAGGACCTTCTTCCAGGTTTATATATGTTAGTGGCAAAGCTTATTTCCTTGCAGCTGTAGGACTTGAGCTTCTATTTTTTGCTGGCTATTGGTTGGAAGCGACTCTCAGCTCCAAGTGGGTGTCCAAGTTCTCTAACATTCAATTTTCTTCATAGGCAGTTACACCATGGCAGCTGGATTTTTTGAGGACAGCTGGAGGGTAAGATCTAGTGGGCTAGCAAGACAGAGTCCTATAAAATGTAACATAATTATGTGAAGGACATCTCAACAACTTTGTTACCGTCTACTAGTTAGAAATAAGTCAAGGGTCTCACCCTCACACAAGGGGCAGCCATTACCCAAAGACATGAACTCCAGGAGGTGAGGATGATGGCAGCCGTTTTAGACTTAGTCCTCTTCCACATTCCACAATATATTCTTAACATGGACGTTAGAAATTGAAATTTATTTGATCTCCATTTTTCTTAGACAAGGGTAACACTTTTCCAAAAAGAAAACTAACTTGAGTGGAAGCTTGAGGTATATATTATAAATTTAATTGTAACCAGCAGCTTAGTTTCCCAAGGAATTTTCTTTCTTTTCTTTTCTTTTCTTTTTCTTTTTCTTTTCTTTTCTTTTTCTTTTCCTTTCTTTTCTTTCTTTTTCTTTCTTTCTTTCTCTTTCTGTCTGTCTAGCTGTCTGTCAATCTGTCTATCTAGCTGTCTGTCTACCTATCTATCTTTTTTTATACTTAATCTCATGCTTATTCTTCAAGAATGATTGTTAATCTTTCTTCTACTAGGCCATAGTCAAATTTCATAAAAATTTTCTTAACTATCCTAGTTCATAGGAATCTTTTTCCTCTTAAAGTCAGATATATGTGGGTTTGAGTTGACTCTTATCATTTACTGGATTTTATCACCTACAGCAGATATTTGAATCTCTCTTAATTTCAGCTTCTTTATTGGTAAAGTGAGAATAACACTATTTGTTCCACCTGCTTCTTGATAAATTTAAACGTAATTTTCCAGAAAAATAGCTGGGCCCACAGAGCATCCTACTCAAATGCTATTTTCTTTTCTTCCTTCTTTTTCTTGTCTTTCCCTTCTCTCTATATAATTATTTTGACAATAAATATTATCCTGCATAGTTCATTTTGTTATGTGTATATGTACATGTATCAGAGATATAGGTGAGTGGTGATTACACGTTACATTCTGTTGTGTAAGGCTTGGTTTTCCAGCTGTAGTGATGCGTTTGTAGTGATTCATCCACATTTTCCTTCCAAATCTCCAGAATAAGTTGCAACATATTCATGAGATGACTAGACAGGTTACACTTATCCAATCTTTGATCACTGTATATAGAATTCTTTTTGTGGTGCCTATCCTTATTATTCTAAACCCTGTTCTCTTCCAATCTTTGGGCCACTCTCTGCCCCATGCTTCTTATACCCTTTTGAAGCTCTCTAGGGAGAAAAATGTTCAGGGTCCTGCTTCGTAGTTTTAGATAGTAGATGGCTTTTTATTATACATGCCAGAGAAGTTTTAATTATGTGAACTCCTCATTATACAATTCCAATGGGAAAAAGTATATATTTTAGGAACATCCGCTTTGTTTTTAAAGTCCACTTACGTAAAATTAATATAAAGCGATATAACATTTTTCACCCGAAAGAGTAACTTATAAATTTTCCCTAAAAGTATTATTGTCTTACTTTTTAAAAAATCATTACATAAATAAAGTCACGGGCTCCATTTGAAGGTTCTATAACTGAAACTAGAATACCTAAGCTATGGGGAACTAAACTCTGAATTCTGATTTTACCACTAAAGTAGCTAGCTGATGATGAGTGGATCACTTTTATCATTGTGAGCCACAGATTCCTAGTTTCTGAACTGTGGGATTTAGATAAGGTGATTCATAAATTCCTGTCAGCTCCACAATTCTGTAACTTTGAAAAATTAATTGCATTTTCACTTATGTATTCTTGTTTAAAGTTGCATTCATTCATATTTTATTGTAACTTTAATTTTTTTCTCTTCCTTCATTCCTAAATTTGTATATAAGTTTGGGAATAGGATATGCTTGTTGAATTCTCATCAAAATGTTTTTCCATATAAATTTGTGCTGCTCAGGTGACATAGGAAGACAGAGATTTCTAACTAAGAGTAGATAATTAGGGGCTCCTTTTGAACAGACTTATATTAAAGAGAATAGAGCTTCTCTTTGTTATCAGTGCCAAGGGATGCAAACCAGGATACCGAAATTAGCAGGAATTTCAGGAATGAGCCTGAGAAAGAAGAGTTAAGTTTTTTTTGCTTAGCAATACAAAGAGGTGGGCGCACAGTGGAGGACCAGGAGTGTGTTTCAACATTCAAGTAATAGAAGTTTGCATTTGAACAGCAAAATTGCCTGGCAAAATCTGAGCACATTGAGCAGGTGACTTCTAAATCCTTAAGCTATGGACATTCTTTCTGAGCATCTAGAATATTAAGAGATGGGAAAGATGGCCAGCATATGCCGATCACTGTTCTCGACACTGAACACCAGACACATCTGACAAAGCTGCTGTCCCATCATTCAAGTGTGGCTAACAGGGCTCATTTCTGACCTGCAGTCTGTTCCATGCTGACTGCAAATATAGTTTGCGCCTTCTCGGTGCCAGCAGGGCCACCCGTGGAGCCTGTCGCTCAGCAATGGGCAGAGGCACAGTTACTTTGCCTTCAATGATGCATCCTGTCTTTAATCAAATTTCTCTTTCCCATTCTGGGAAACTTCTGGGCTTCTTGTTCATTCTTAAATGTCAGAACAGGATCTCTGCCTTCTTTCTTTTTCCTATTATAAGTACCAGTAGACCTTTAGCCCACACTGGTACATAAGGGACCACCTTCTCTAGTGCCCTCATTTCACAGAGCAAAGGAAGAAAGGCTCATGCAGGGAAGTGACTTGCTCAAGGCCAAATAGGAAGAGGCATAACTGGAACGATGACTCATGTATCTTGATTTCCAGTTCCAAGCACTTTCTCTGACTCCACGCTGCGTCAAAGCATTCTGATCTTTTTAATGCACATCCCGCTATGGTTGGCCAAGTTTGACCTTCACAGCTCATTATGATCATTGATCCTTATATGATGAACCTGATAAATGAGCAACAGGTAAGGTAAATAATTATGGTTAAACATACTGTCCTTTAACTCTAATTTTGTTCAAAGTACTAATCTCATGTAGAAAGAGTGCTTTATTGTTTTAAAAGTCACTTTCATATATTCAATAACTTTGATCTATTTTTTTCTTCATTAAGACAACCCCTGTGAACTTAACAAAATGATTGTGCCCAAAGGCTGACAGTGACTGTGGCAGTAGTTTCAACTTTTCATACAGAAATACCTATTTATTTATGTGTAGGTATGAAATGGTTAAACCAAGCATTCTGACAGAGTCATGCCTTAGATACACTACACTACTAGACTTTCTCAGATGAGAATAACTGAAATATTCAACATACATCTAGTAAAAATGGTTCATTTCTCTTTAGTAATTGAAAGGGCATTTGGGGTATGGCTAAGCCCTGGGATGGTTATATTGAATATCTCCCATAAGGCTACAATATAGAAGATGCAGAACTTGTAAGCTCAAGATACCGTTATCTTTGAAAGATTGAAATAGATTATCTCTAATGTCTCTTTTAGCTTCACTTCACTTGGCTCTGATTTACACAGAAGCTGTGAGTGGGCAGCATTTGTGAATTTCCAATTTAAAGCCTCTCATTTCAGGCCCCCAGGCAGTGCCAGACATACCATAACAGGTATTCAACAAACATGGGTGTTCATGGTTTTAGTGAATTCCCTGGGTAGCTCTTGTCTTAAGATGTTGCATTTGATGAAATCGAGGTCCTCTCATTTGGAGTCCCTCCAGTTCAGGCAATTCCTGAAGCCCTTTGTCACAGGAATGATTTTCTTCATTGCTCCAGGAGGCAAGCTTCTGAATAAGTGCTTCCCAGAGGGAGGAGGAAGTTATTTGGAAGAGGCTGGACTCTGTTAGATAAGTGAAAACTTCTTATAAATACCTGACTTGGAAGTGAGAGAGGAAGGTTTTCAAATCAAAGTGCTAAATTAAGAAGCTTAATTTTGGCACTTCAGCTGACTGAGTTGTTGATGGGAGGGTTTATGCTAACAATTCCCCTGCATCCACAGGGGATCAGGAGCAGAAGCTGATAAGATAGCTTCAGGGGAACGAAAGGACGGTCTTACTCCAGTAGCTCTGTCTTCAGAAAGCATGAGAGGAGTGCTGAGTCTGGGTCTGTTTCCGTCCCATGCTGGCACACAGATAGCTACAGCGTACTGACTTCCTTTCCACTGCACTCTCCTTGGAGGGACAGAGCCAAGGAGCATGTTTCTTCTGGAGTTCCCCAATTTATTATTAAAAATATAGTAATAAAAAGGAAACTCTTTGTCAGAGGGAAAGAGAAAGACATAGGACACTGAATTGACATTTAGACTATGACTCTAATCTCAAGTTCTAACAATGCTTGCTGGGAAAATTATTTACTCTGTCTGGAGCAGCTTTTATTTTTTTTTCCTTGTCCATAATGTTCTGCACTCTTAGAAGCGATATTTTCTATAGCTCTAATATGAAGTATATTCAAAGAATATTCCAATATATTTGTTTCAAAGTCCTAAAAAAACAGTTTTGGCATTGGACCTAGTAATTTAATTTGGGGGCATTTATATACAAATAATGAGACATTTGCAGAAGTGTTTTTCTATTAGGATCTTTATTTCACATTTGTAGTGGTAAAATTTGGGAGCAAACTAACTTCACAAAAAGGAGATTGAATACATAAATTATAGTTTGTCCATATGAAAGCACAAGCTATGCTGATTTGAATTCATATTGCTGAAAAATATTTAATGGAATAGAAAATATTCAAGGTGAATTCCAAATGATAAAATCAGATTGAAAACACTAAGGAGATATCTCAGTTTTGTTAACGATAAAAATGAGTATGTGTATATGTGTGTGTGTTGGAAGAGAAGAAAGACTAGAGGCTTCCGTTTTAAAATTTCAAATGTTTATATTGGTTTTGGTAGTTATTGGTAATTTTTACTTATTATAATATTCTATAATTTTCAATACTTTTAAAATGAAAATCGCATTTGTAGTGAGAAATATGATTAATCTTATTTAAATGCTACATGAATAAAAAACAATAGATGTACACATCCTCACCTTCTTTCACTCTCCTACCTTCAATAGCTCAGAATCTTCAAGAACCTTCAAGTCTTGTGACAAATGATATGCCATCTCAAGAAGTTTACAAAGTTGAAATTTCTTCTATTTATTTTTTGCATTAATCATAGATGTCAGGGCTACTGGAGACTCATTCTGGTTTCTCAACTCATGTTACAGAGGCTCAGGAAAGCCATTTCAACTGTCATATATCAGTAGTAGAAAAGTAATATGATAAGCTGCCCTTACTCTTATAGTATTCACCATTGTGCCTCAGAGAACGGAAAAAGTTTCAGAAATTATTTCATTAACACTTTTCACTTAAGCTACAAAATTTGGAATCAAAATTCACCATGTCTGATTCACAGTGAGGCATATAGCACAAAGTCATCTTGAAAGGACTCTAGCAAAGGAACAAAAGTATTAAATGATCTAAGACACTAAGATTCTTAAAAGCCTGATAATATGCCCACAAAAGTCAGGTAAGAAGGTTCAAATACCTTTCCAAATACAAATAGGACAAATAGAATAATTTGGTTTCATAAACCTGGGTGAATACAAAGTTGCCCATTCCTCTAGATTTCTGCCAAAGTGTAACTAGACATTATGGTATCTGAAAGGCATTTTATTAAATCTAAATAAATAGGTAGATTGTTATTATGGAATATGGACAATTATATGCATTTACCACCATCCCTCATCTCAAAGAGCAATTTCTGGTCATGTGGTATTGCAGCCTAATGACTGTGCTTTGACCATTTGCAGCTGGTGTTTGTCCCTGGGACATAAGTCACACAGGGCAAAACACGGCTGATATCCAGAAAGATCACGAGAACCACACCACTGCTTTGGCACCCTTTCAAGAGCTGCTCAGCAAGGAGCTCGTGACTGCTGACCATCTGGTTGGAAATCCTGGCAATGATTTAATATTAGTGTTAATATGAAGTCTGTCAGTAGAAAGCACTTTGTGGGATTGTAACCACCATGGTAGTCTATGTTAGGTAGACTCTTAGTGTTATCTTTCTTTTCACCCTCTCATTAGTTTCTGGAAAGATAATTCTGGACTATCATCTTTTATAGTCACATGCTTGCTTATTAGAAATTCAAACATAATATACTCAGTTTTTAATTATCTTAAATGCTGTGGTAATGGTTAAGTTGATTTCATAGAATTAACAAATTTTAATGCTTGTAAGGACTTTAGAACAATAGGAACTGTTAGTCTTGGTGCTGTCAGCATAGTTATAAATGTGAAAAGTTCTGTCCAAGGACATGAATACTTCAGAATACATTTATTGATTTTAGTTTGTAGAAATATATGCACCTTAATTAAATATTATCTAAACTAGCATATTACAACATAGATGAAAAAACTGAAGCTTAGGGAGATAAATATTCCTAAGGCCATAGCAGCAGAATGAGGCCCAGCACCTCAGTTTTTAACCCAATTCCATGTGTTTTCTTATAGGCTGACCACACCAGCTCACACTTGTTTAAAGTTTTTAATATGGCTCTTGGGGATTTGAAGAAAAAGAAAAAAAATAAAATATCAATTGTAAAATATTAAAGTTACAAGTAATTCCAAGTTGAGCTTATTATATTGTTGAGTTTTATAGGCTTATACTCTTGTTAACTTTCAGTTGTTGTCATAGAAGCCCTATAGTCATATTCATTATATCTGCCACAGGTCTAAGAACCTCTCTCTTCCAAAATTCCTGACCTGAGTTTGTCTTTTTCTCATCTCAATACCAGGATAGAGGTGGTGGTGCTGGAAACAGTGTATATATTCTTTTTTATTCTGATAGATTCTTTCACTACGGGTAGAGGTAGCCTGGTTAGGTTCTGACTAAGATACAGTGTAAAGAAAATGTCTTTGGATGTGGAGAATAAATATATCCTGCTGTCCATAGTTCTGAAATGTCGTTTTAAATTAACTTGGAAACAATGGGTGACTTTGCTCCAACTTCTCTCAAGAAATCTGTACAAGGTGAGGAAAAAATTTCATGTGCAAAAGGATAGAGGAAGCACAAAATGAGAGAAATGGAGAGAGGATGCCAAATAAGAATGGTCTGTCATTGATTAGGGAGAAAAAAAATCAAGAGACTATTCTTTTGGTGTAGTAGTCAAATTTTTGCAGTTTTAAGAAAAGATTGTTTGTCTGCCAGTAAATTGGTTGGCATGTGACTCTCCCATCTCCACCAACTCCATCTCCACCAATCTGTGCTTATCAATCTCCTTGATGATAGGCTTAGGTCTTAAACAGCCGGGCATATATCATCTCCAGAGAAAATCATAGAGAAAACATACATGCTTCTTTGGATGTTAAATTTAAATTAATCACCCATTTTTGGATTAGCTTTTCTAGATTTGAGATATGAAGCAGAAGAAGGCTATGACATGGGTCATTAAAATGCTTCATACTTGAGACGGTCACCATGAAAAGATGCTAGAGACACCAAACAGAATAATAAAAATTCTTATTGCACATTAGCAAGAAAATTATCCATGCAGCTAGTTTTCATTAATTTCTAGGCATTGAGGTGAACAATTCCTATGCATTATTTCACTTGATTCTCAGAACAACCTTATGAGATTGACATTATTTTTACTTAAAAAAATTAGGTGAGAAAACTAAGAATAATGGATACTGTTTGGCTGTGTCCCCACCCAAATCTCATCTTGATTTGTAGCTCCCATAATCCCCATATGTCATGGAAGGGACCAAGTGGGAGGTAATTGAACCATAGGGGTAGGTTTTTCTCATGCTGTTCTCATGATAGTGAATAAGTCTCACGAGATCTGATGGTTTTATAAATGGGAGTTCCCCCGCACAAGCTCCCTTGCCTGCTGCCATGTAAGACGTGACTTTGTTCCTCATTTGCCTTCCACCATGATTGTTAGGCCTCCCCAGCCATGTGGAACTATGAGTCAATTAAACCTCTTTTCTTGATAAATTACCCAGTCTTGGCTATGTCTTTATTAGCAGCATGAGAACAGACTAATACACTAACATATTTTTTAGAATGTTCAGAGATACGTGGCAGTGCTCAAATTAAAACTGTCCTGATTTCACAATTTACGTTTTTAACAATTTAGCAATATTGAGTAATATGTGTGTCAATGGGAATATTGTAGTAAGTCCTGGCTGGATTTTAGGAAGTAGCAAAACTGTCCAACCTCTCTAAGTCTGAGCAAGGTGATATGTGGAGATAAATTGAAGTGGAAAATAAAGAAGGGACAGACACTAATATCAAAATTGAGTTTTGAAGAATGAGAAGAAAGTCACCAAGCACTGCAAATAGGGTCAAGGGCATGCACAAAGTTCTCAAATGTCATAGTGTACTTGGGGTGTGATCACTTGTCAAAATGGCTTTATTACAGGATAAATGCTGAGAACATGGTGAATGATGAACAGAAAGGATTTTAAAAAGATACTTGAAAGATAGACAATAAAACCAAATTAGCTGGGCATAGTGGCATGAAGCTATAGTCTCAGCTACTCAGGAGGCTGAGGCAGGAAGACTGCTTGAGCCCAGGAGGTTGAGGCTGTAGTGGGCTGTGATTGCTCTATTGCCCTCCAGCCAGTACAACAAAGCAAGATCCTATCTCAAAAAAATAATAAATAAATAAGTAAATAAGTCAATAAATGAAAAGACAGGCTTTCTTTATTATGGAAAGTTCTTCTTATTAAAGCATTTAAATTATATCCCATGGACAGTGGTAAATAAACCACTGTGAGATTTTATATAGAATAAAGACATTTATTTTGTAAGATATTACTAACGATGGTATGAAGTTTACAAAATCATTCTTCCCATTAAAAATTGATGTAGGCCCACACTATTAAAGATTTCTGTGAGATATAGTATAGTGAAAAGAGCAGTAGAGAGAAGACCTAAGGTCTTTATGAGTTTTTCCTACACTATGACCACTATGAGTTTGAACAAATAATTAACCTCTGAAAACTAATGCTTCACTAGCTAGATTTCATGGGTCTAATTTTTTTTTTTTTTTTTTTTTCCGAGACAGAGTCTCGCTCTGTCACCCAGACTGGCGTGCAGTGACACAATCTCAGCTCACTGCAGTCTCTGCCTCCCGGGTTCCGGCGATTCTCCTGCCTCAGCCTCGTGGGTAGCTGGGATTACAAGGTGTGCACCACCATGCTCGGCTACTTTTTTGTATTTTTAGTAGAGACAGGGTTTCACTATGTTGGCCAGGCTGGTCTCAAACTCTTAACCTCAGGTGATCCACCTGCCTTTGCCTCCGAAATTGCTGGGATTACAGGCGTAAGCTGCTGCAACCATCCTGTTTTTTTTTTTTTTTTCTTTTTTTTTCCTTTTTTTTTCCTTTTTTTTTTTAAATAGAGATAGGGTCTTGCTGTTGCCCAGACTGAAGTACAATGGAGTGGTCATAGGTCACTGCTTTGAACTCTGGACTCAAATGATCCTCCCACCTTGGCTTCCCAAAGTGCTGCGATTGTAGACGTGAGCTACTGCACCCAGCTGACCGGTCTCAACCTTTAAGGTCCTTTTGAAATAGTGTTTATACATCCCTTTCCCTCTCTCTGCTGAAGAAGATGATAACATCCACAACCCAATTATTCTGGATCTTATTGTCTTATTTATGGATTGCTTTGTCATCAATGTTTTCATTATCTCTCTTCTATTACCAGTCAGGTAACCATTGCTCATTTGCACCTCTACTAGAAAGAAAAGATGTGATAGCCAAACCAATCAACATTTTATTTGCTGCAACTCTTGTAAAAAGTTCACTAAGGGGAAAGTATTTAAAAAGTAATGAATATAATAAGATCTAGAGATGTTCTGTCAATTCATTTCTCTATGCTATGTTTTTCCCCACTAACCTATGGAATTGGTATGCTCATTTTAAAATTTTGTAACCTTAAACCATATATTATACTGTTTTCCCTCCCCTGTTTTATTTTCCAGGAAATGGAACTTAAGTAAATTAAGTGTTAAGTGAATTCCAAAACATACTACATCAAGTTAGGGACAGGGCTTCAATTAGAATCTGAATCTCCTAATTCTTTGATCTGTCTGTGGTCCCAAATTCAATCTACTCTGTGTCCTCTAAATATTCTCATGGATTAGATACATAAATCTAAGAAGAAAGGACTGCAGCTTCAGTATGATCATTTAATTCGCCATCCAAACAAGAACATCTGTGGCAGTGAAAGGGAGCACAAATAATAATTACTCCAGGACAATAGGCATAAAACCATATTTATTTCAGGTTTGCATGGGTAATCTCTACTTCAGTCCAACCAAAGGTCATCTTAATATGTGGCCTTAACATTCAGGATTATCATTCAGGATTGTGTTCTTCAGGTTATGGCCCTGAACCAATCCCCTGTTAGGTATACTAGATATAGTTGTGCAAGTTCCTTCCGTATTCATTAGATTATGACCAGATTGTTTGAAAGGTTAGGGAGTTTGGGCTTTATCTTATGGATAATGAGAAAAAAATCTGTGTTTTTGTTTTTGCCTTAAAACAGGTAGGCTATACAAACAGACTTGTTTTTAAGAATGTAATTCTGCTGGTAGTATTAAGAGAAATCGAGTCTAAATAATGTCTGTGTTTACATGGCTCTTTGGAACCGAAGTATGATCATGAGGTATATACATAAATGTCTTAACCACAGGTAGGTGAAGTATTCCCTTTTGTTACAGCAATATTATCCAGCCTTTTTCCTCACACTTTTGCTCCACCCTTTCTAATATTCACGTTTTCATTGGAAGTATTTATTATTATCATTTTAGAATTCTGTGACATAGTGACTCCTACTTAGGCTAAATCATAAATTCTCTTTGTCCTTCAGCTTCCAAAAAAACTACACTTGAGATTTCCGTTTCTTTGGTTTCTCTCTATTAATAAAATGAAGCTAAATAACAGTTTTTTTTTTTCCTTCTCTTTTCTTTTAGTTGGTTTCTATTTTTTCCCGTAGTCTTTGATCAGGGAGAGCTGCCTACATTACCATCAAATTTGCTGAGTCATTTGTAGTTTTCTTTGAATGCTGAGGGCTTCAATGTCATTAGAAATGAGGTCCAAGTCTCATTGGTTTTTTAATATAATTGAGTCAAATTACATATTCTAATTGTACATACTAATTTTTAATGAAGCTGAAATGAGAAGGGGTCATAAGGGTGCATGTACTTACAAAATCTTTCATGAGGTAACAGAGAAATAGTGATTTATATCTTTCGCTGTTGCATTTTCAAGGAGAAAAGTTGCTTTAAAAGAAGCCAGAAAAGAGATCAAAACTGAAATAAAAACAGGAAAGTCTGAGTGGCAAGAAGCATGTTTTAACTTTGAAAGATGTCGGGGTTTGTTTCAGATAAACTATAAAATCACTGTTTGTTTAGAGGAGTCAAGTGTATGTGTGTTGTGAAGTCTGAATATGATTTGTGATTCACGTTAGCATATTGTTTTATACAGTGACCCTCCTCATGTCTTGTTTGACTGACTTGATATTTTAAAAGTGGCTACTAGATTTTTAGCTCTTACCATTAAGAGTATATTTCTCCATTTGAATCTTGACACGGACATGTGACTTGCTTTGACCAAAAGGACATTAACAAACATAATACAAGCCAATAGTTGAAATGTACTCTCCGATTCTTTTGCTTGTTTTGGAATGCAGCTACCTAGTAAAGAAACCTAAGATAGCCTTCTAGATTCTGAAGCAAGGTGGCCTAGTTATCCTTTTCTCTCCAGCCACCACCAGAAATGTGATTTACACCATCTGGGGCCAAGAAGCCCCAAGGAAACCCAAGAGATTAGTCGAGTTGCATGAGAAAATTCAGCCGAGATGATCAGAAGAACTGTCCATCTGAGTTCAGCCCAAATTGTCCCCACCCCCAACCATGTAGGATCCTAAGTAATTAGTTATTGATTCAAGCCACTAAGTTCGAAAGTGGATGATAAGTATCAAACACTAACATAACAGGTTAATGTGTCTCCAACTACGATAAACCAGATTCGAAGATGATCCTCAAAATTCTTACCCCCGTATGCCCTGTATAATCTGTGAATACAATAGGATACCACTCCTGGATTATGCAAAG
Organism: Homo sapiens; assembly: GCF_000001405.40. NCBI lineage: Eukaryota > Metazoa > Chordata > Mammalia > Primates > Hominidae > Homo > Homo sapiens. The sequence continues at coordinate 23,244,236 of NC_000004.12, forward strand.
GCAAAGGGATTTTGCAGATATAATTACAGCTGGGCCGGGCACAGTGGCTGACACCTGTAATCCCAGCATTTTTGGGAGGCCTAGGCAGGCAGATCACTGAGGTCAGAAGTTCGAGACCAGCCTGGCCAGCATGGTAAAACCCCATCTCTACCAAATAAAACAAAAATTAGCCGGATGTGGTGTTGTGTGTGTGTGTGTGTAGTCTCAGCTACTGGGGAGGCTGAGGTAGGAGAATTGCTTGAACCCGGAAGGCGGAGGTTGCAATGAGCCAAGATCAAGCCACTGCGCTCCAGCTTGGGTGACAGAGTGAGACCTTTTCTAAAAAAGAAAAAAAAAAAAAGATATAATCAAAGCCTCTAATCAGCTGAGTTAATCAAAGGGGAGATTATGCTGGATGAACCTGGCCTAGTGAGGTATGTCTTTAAAAGAGTTAAGAAGGACTTGAAACAGAAGTAAAAACTCTTCTTTTGGCCTTGAAAAAGCAACCTGCCATATCATAGAGATTATCACATGGCAGAGAATAGTGGGCAGCCTCTTAGATAGATAAGAATAGCCCTCAGGTAAAAGCCGGCAAGAAATTGGGGATCTCCATTCTTTAGCGGAACACTTTCAACAGCCAGTAGCTTAAAAGAGGACCTTGAGCCTCAGATGAGGTCACAGCCCTAGCTGGTCCCTAGATTTCAGCCTGGTGAGACACCGAGCAGAAGAACCAGCTAGCCTGTAACCTGGACTCTTGACTCATGGAAACGGTGAGGTAATACTGTGAGTTACTTTAAGCTAAATTCATGATAATTTGTTATTCAAAAAGAGAAAACGAATACACCAACCTAGACTTTCAAGTATCAGATATAGCAAGAACTGTAATTTACAGAGATTATCAGTTTACAGGTTTCTTCAACAGGTTTTAAATATTTACAGGTTTTAAATCTTGGTAGAAGGAAAAAGTAAGATGATTTTATTTGAAGAGAGCCATTTTTTTTTCCTCGAGGCTCATAGAAAATGTATCCTCTTTCATGCCATGTGATTTAAAACAAAGGAAGATTTTATCTATAAATGATGGTCTCTTCAAAAGCTGATATTCAACTGGAGTCAAAGGATTGGATTATTTGAACTCTTGAGGGAATTTCTTGCTTCCCTAATGTTGTGGCTCAGAATAATGTCATCTTTTCTTGGTCCTAAAAGTGCTGAAAGGCACTCAAAATTATAAGTCAAAGTGCGTGACTGATGGGATTGTTAATGTTGAAAAAGGAATGACTTGTTCTCTATTATAACACAAACAAAAGGAACATAACTTCCACCAAGGAAAACAAAGACTAGAGGAAAACTGTCTACTGATAAAATAAATGACATAATGAAGCCAGCAAAAGTCCCAGCTGGTTACAAACACAGATACAGACTAGCCAAATCTCCATGTGGCAGAATGGATGCAGAGCTTTCTCTGACAGAACAATGACAAGAGATTTCAGTGAATATGCATTGATTTAGCAGGGCCTCGGACAAATCCATCTTTACTGAGTGGCATATACAAGTTCCCTGTCATTAAGTACAAATCAAAGCATTTAAAATGCATGCAAGAAAAAATTTTCAATCCTGCAAGCCTTAGCACCATGCAGAGAACACCATAGGGCATCAAATTTTTAGAGTGTCATTCCTGTACCACTTTCCTGGATCTATCTCATTTTCTACTTCCTAATTTGCACTGATTCTTCCAAGTTCTGACCTTTTGATATGTTCACCGAGGCCCTTTCTAGCCATATAGCCTTTGCATACATTCTTGAATATGATTTACATCTCCCTCTGAATATGCTGTCTTTATCCCACGTTCCATAATGCTGAGATCTTCCACTACAGACAGCCTCTTTCTCTATGAGGAGTGCTTTCATCAAGTTTATCCCAACCCCTCAAACAGACTGAGACAAAGCTTAGGTATTATCACATCCCATGCAAACACTCTTCTCTTTCTCAAATAATTATTCTCATGCTTTGAAAATTGCCTGGTTGTCCTTATGGAGAATAAGGACTTTGAACAAGGACTTAAAGCTTGGAGAGGTTAGCTGGTCCTTCAAAGAAAGAGGGAAATATGTTGGGAACTAAAAGACTAGAATGATGGTGACATTTTGACATAACCAAATATATGCTTGGTTTTTTCTTTCACACATGAAAGTCCGAAGGTATGGCATCTCTGAAAAGCCATCAGATGCCCAGGATCCTTCTGTCCTATAAGTCATCCACAAAATCAGGTTGTCTACATCTGCACACACCAAGATGCACCAAGATGGTGCCTAAGTCCCTGTTTCAGCTATTGTGAAAGGCAGAGGCACAGGGCATGCTCAGATATTGCGCAAATCGTTTTCATTCATGTCTCAGTGTTCAAAACTTAATTACTTGGGTTTATGTAGCTGAAAGAGAATGCTATAGTTTGAGTATGTCCCTCCGAAGATTCAGGTGTTGAAACTTAATGGTCAATGTAATGGCATGAAAAGGTAGGGGCTTTAAGAGGTGATCAGGTCATGAAAGCTCCTTCTGCACAGCTATAATTAAGGTTCTTATGAGACTTCACACAATGTTGGGCTTTCATACCCTGCTTCCTTCTGACACATGAAGACACAGTATTCCTCTCCTCTGTGGGATACAGTTCTCACCTGACATTTGAACCTGGCAGTGCCTTGATCTTGGACTTCTAAGCCACCAGAACTAGGAGAAAATAAAACTTACATTTCATATAAACTATCCAGTCTTAGGTATTTTGTTATAGCAGCAAAATGGACTAGGACAGAGAGGCCCCTATTACTTTAGAAGAAATTTAGAAAATACACTGGGAGACATCTAGCAGTAAGAAGATGATCATGTGTTCAACCCTCAATGTTTTGATTGAGATGTTAATTGGAGAGGCCATTTATTCAACAAATTTTAATTAACAACCTACTCTATTTGGCATACTTTTAGAATCTTGGATTATATCAGTAAACAAAACACATGACCCTATCGTCTTAAACTAGTGATGCATTCGTGCATATAAGATAACTATAAAACAAGTAATGAGAAATGGGAGATTTGAATTCATGTGAGAATGTGGGAATAGACTTGAGTTCTTATCAAGTATAATTCACTGGACTAGGAACTTTACTTACATTACCTCTTTCAATCCTTCCAAAAACCAGATGAAGTAGGTATTATTATTATTATACCACATACACATTTGTGAGATATAAATATAAACCCATGAAAAAGATCTTTTTTTTCTTTTTGTTTTCTTTCTTTTTTTTTTTTTTTGGGACAGATCTCTCTCTGTCACCCAGGCTGGAGTGCAGTGGTGCAATCGTGGCTCACTGCAGCCTTGACCTCCCCAAGCTCAGGTGATCTACCTACCTCAGCCTGCTGAGTAGTTGGGACTATAGACATGAGCCACCACACCAGGCTATTTTTTTTTAATTATTATTTTGTAGAGATGGGGTTTCATCATGTTGCCCATGCTGGTCTCGAATCCTGGGCTCAAGTGATCTGCCCACCTCAGCCTCCAAAAGTGCTAGGATTACAGGTGTGAGCCACTGTGCCCAGCCATGAATAAGCCCTTGATATAGTGTGGTGCTTCCCTGAAATCATGAATAAACAGTGTGATAGAAGTTGAAGAACATGAAATATTGAGGCAAAAGGAAGTGAGCTTAATTTTTTTCTCTGCCAATTACTAACAGTGACTTTGATGGCTTTTCCGTTAATATTCCCTGTTAACCGTGATTTTTCCATGGCCTAAATGACATAGACTTGAGAAAGTTATGCTGGTACCTCCTGTCAATTTGTATTTTTAGTTGCTATAAACCTGCATGAGCCTATTCACATAACCACCTATTTGTAGAGGCAACTCTGACGCATAGAATCTTAAAGAACTTATTCTGCAAATATATCTCTTACTTCTAAAATAAGAAGTGTACTCCTATCCTCACTTTCCACCATGTTACTTTGTATCTTCTATATCAATGTGTCCCAAGATTTTAGTATGAGAATCACCTGGAGATGTTATTATGGAACACAACTGTCCTGGTATTTGATTTGGTCAGTCTGAAGCGGGGACTGAAATTTGCATTTCTAACAAGTTCCCAGATAATGCCAATGTTTCTGTTCTGATTGCCACATTTTGAGAACCACTGTCCTATACATTTACTCCTTCTTTAAACTCATTCCCTACTATATAACTCTTAACCCCTCATGCATATGTAAATATATGCAGGCAATCCTCACTTTGATAGTTCCAATATGAACAAACTTAGCATGGTTTAAATAACACCAGTCCTTCAGAATGAGGTTCAAATTTCAGTTACCATGGTTATTAACTATGAGTAATTGCATAAAGGACCAACTTCCATGAATCTCTTCAGTCCACAAATCACTATATACATAACAGATGTCCCTAATAATAATCAATCATTCCACTTCTTTCAAAGTCTATTGATGATTGTTACTGTGTGCATTGTGTGTCAGTTGACCTGCAGATAGCAAAGTGATGCAGTTATTTTGCCTCATTGTCTCCCAGTAATGAAGAAGCTGACTTAGTCAGTTTGGGCAACTATAACAGAATGCCATAGACTGGATGGCTTAAGCCATATAAACTGATTTCTCATAGTTTTGGATGCTGGGAAGTCCAAGAAGAAGGTGCAGGCAGAAATGGTATCTGGCAAGGGCTCTCCTTCTTGCTTGCAGACAGCCACTTTCTTGTTGCATCCTCACGCTGTAGAGAGAGGATCATAACTCTTGTGCTTTATCAGATAAGGGCACTAATATCATCCATGAGGGCTCCACCTTCATGACTTAATTACTTCCCAAAGGCCTCACCTCCAAATACCATCATATTGGGGATTTAGGCTTCTACATATAGATTTTGGAGATTGAGGGACACATTCAGTCCATGGCATTTAGAATTTTACACAAATGGATAATTAAAGGAGAGAATTGGCTAACAAAGAAAAAAGTTCAGTAAAGAAAAGTGAAAATATTGGAAGTAAAACTTGAATAAAATGTAAATGGGGTTATAGAAGAAATAGCTGAGTGTGGAATATTGAAACTGCCACCATTTGAAGATCCTAAATATGAAATAGTGAATCAACATACATGAAAAAAGTGGTCATGACAAAAAGGATGCCCATATCCTAGCTGAAGTAATTCCAGCAGAAACTTTACATTAAAGGAATTCTCAAAATATTTTAAAACATTAAAATTGCAAAAGATAAAATACTGGAAACTGAGCCCACCTTAGAAAGATGTATGGTAATTTGCCAAGTCATAGAAAAGGTCTTTGCTCCCTATTTTTAATCATATGACAAGAAGAAGAAAGAAAGCACCATTCAAACTAATCTTGACACATAAAATACTTTAATTCTCAATCTTTGCAATGCTTTAAATTACAGTGTACTAAATCACTATTAGTGTTACTGTGTTTTTTATGTTTCTGTGCATCTTCAATAGACAGTAAAATAATGTTTTGACAAAAGTTTTCAAATGTTAAAAAGCTGTCCTAATTTTCCCCATTGATCATAAATGTCGTTTTGCATACTTTCAGCTTGCATGGTCATTTTAACAATCCCACACTACAATACAAATTGTGTACTACCTGTACCTATTCCTCTCTTCCTAAGTATAGAGAGCCCCCTTTGTGGTTCTAGTGAACCAACGGTAGCTATATCAGCATCTTTCTCAAAGCCTCTGGTTTGTCCCTTTTTTTTTTTTTTTTTTTTTTTTTTTTTTTTTTTTTTTTTTTTTTTTTTTGAGACAGTCTTGCTCTGTCGCCAGGCTGTAGTGCAGTGACCTGAACTTGCATCGCTGCAACCTCCACCTCCTGGGTTCAAGCGATTCCCTTGCCTCAGCATCCTGAGTAGCTGGGGCTACAGGCACGCACCACCATGGCTGGCTAATTTTTTGTATTTTAGTAGAGACAGGGTTTCACCATTTTGGCCAGGATGGTCTTGATCTCCTGACCTCGTGATCTGCCCGCCTCAGCCTCCCAAAGTGCTGGGATTACAGGCTTAAGCCACCGTGCCTGGCCTGGTTTGTACCTTTTAATTGACCTGCACAAGAATAGTACTACCCTTGAGCAATATAGGGGTTAGGTGTCCTGACCCGCTTGCACAGTTAAATTTTTGTGTATAAATTTTGTGTATAAATTTTGACTTCCCCAAAACTTAACCCTTCTGTTGACCAGAAGCCTTACCAATAACATAAACAGTTGATTAACACATATTTTGTATGCTATGTCTATTTTATACTGCATTATTACAATAAAGTAAGCTAGAGAAAATAAAATATTATTAAAAATTGTCAGAGAAAATGTATTTACTATTCATTAAGTAAAAGTCAATCATCATAAAGGTCCTCATCTCCATTGTCTTCATGTTGAGTAGGCTGAGGAGGAGGAGGGAGAGGAAGGATTGGTCTTGGTATCTCAGGGGTGGCAGAGGTGGAAGAAATTCCACCTATAATTGAACCCACACAAGTCAAACTCATGTTGTTTAAGGGTCACTGTATATGGCTGAAATTTACTGCTGTGGTATAACCAGTGACCTAATATCAGTGACCTACAATAATACATTTCTTACTGAACTTCACACCATTGTACCCACTCAAAATGAAATGACAGTCTGGAGAGTGTACCACCCAATATGCTTTTCTAATACACTAGCCACTTGTGTTAATTTATAGGCTGCTATAACAAAGTACTACAAACTGGGTGGCTTGAAACAACACACAACAGAAATGTATTATCTCATAGTTCTATAGGCGTTTAGTCCAAAATTAAGATGTCCAGTAGGGACATACTCCTTATGAAATCTGTGGGAGAATCCTTTCTCCCTCCTGGTGGTTTACTAGCAATCTTTGACATTTCTTGGCTTGCAGCTACATAACTCCAATCGTTGTCTTCATTGTTACATGGAGATCTCGTGTGCGCTGCTGTTCTTACATGACTGTGTCGCTATAAGTAAGCCCGTATATTGGATAAGGAGCCCTCCTACTCCAGTATGAACTAGTCTTAACTAATTACAGCTGCACTGACTCTATTTTCAAATAAGATCACATAACACTTTTATTGTCACTGTATCATGTAAACCAACCATAGTTCAAATATTTAGGTCTGAGATCTAACCTCTCTTAGCCTCCGTTGCCTCAATATTTGGGATACTAATTCCTAGTCACAGGATAGTTCCAAGTATTAGGCGTATTTGTAATGCATTCATCAAAAGGTCATGGCTCCTTAAACACTTTTCCTGAGCACCGCCCTACCCAAGCATTTATAAATTAAATATTAAACACTCAGCATTTACTATCTTATATTACTAATAAATGTCTATGTTGGGTCACCTAACTAGATAGCAAAAAAACAATCAATATAATTGTGTGCTAACTATGATTTTGTATCTCCAAAGAACATAACACATGTCTGAATGTAGATATTTCAGATATCTATATCAGATATCCAATAGTTTTGTTGGATACTCCACCACTCAGTAAAGTTAACTGTATATAAATGCATGTTATGACCCCGATTCCTGAATCATTAGATCAAGATAAAAATTTGATTTTCACAATTGAAATTTCACAGAATAAATAAAAACCAGAAGAACTAATACTGTTCTTCTGGTGCTAAACAACTGCTTTCGTTTTTTACTTTCAGGATAACATGGGAATATGGTAATAAAGAAAACAAGTAATATTTTTCTCTACAAAAGTCTTTTTGTTAGGTGAAGGTAAACAGATTATCTCAGCTTGGAAGGGAGAGGTGTTTTACAGTTGAATGATTTTGGATGGAAGTGTGAGGGATTCTGATTTTAGATTTTTCTGGTTCTACACTTTTCAAGTCAGTAGATTTACTTACAAAGAGAAGTTGTAGAATTGTTCGCTGGGAAGTCTTAAAAATCTAATGATAAAATTAGCAGAGTGTGGTGGCATGCACCTGTAGTCCTAGAGTCCTAGGTACTCAGGAGGCTGAGGCAGGAGGATCACTTCAGCCCAGGAGTTTGAGATCATCTTGGGTAACAGAGAAACCCTGCCTCTTAAAAAAAAAACAACAAAAAACAAAAACAAAACAAACAACAACAACAAAACAGTAAAAAATGGAGAAGGATATATCATACAAATACTAGCCAAAAGAAAGTAAATAAATGACTTTAAAATAAGAAGTGTCCTAATGGTAACATAGTCAATTTTTCAAGAACATACAACAATTATAAATGTGTATGTGCTCAGCAGAATTTTTAAGTACTTGATAAAATACTTATAGAATTAAAAGAAAATCCAAAATCATAGTTGGAGACTTCACTCATATATTCATCAGTAATTGACAGTATCAGTAATTGATAGTAGAAGTGAAGAAAAATAAGAATATACAAGAATTGAATTACCCTATAACCAAATAGACCTATTTTACATTTAGAGATGATTCCACCCAACAATACCTGAGTACACTTAATTTTTAAATGTGTATACAACATTCATCAAGACAGACTGAATTCTGGGCCACAAATCTCAACAAATTTAGAGATCAGAAATCATACAAAGTATATTTATTGGCCATAATGGAATGAAACTAGAAGTAAGTAACAAAGATACCTGGGAAAACATGTAAATATTTGGAAAGTCAATAGCACACATTTAATTATGTCTCATCCATGAATTAAGTAGAAATTCTTAAGGGAAATTGAAAAATATTTTGGATTGAATAACAACAAAAACACAACATATTCAAGTTTGTGGTGTGCAGCTACAGGAATGGTCACTGTGAAGTTTATACCATTCAATGTTTATGTTAGAATAGAAAAAAGGGTCAGATAATCTCAGCTTCTACCTTAAGAAATTAGAAAAATAAACTAAAGAGTAAACTTAAACCAAAGCAAACAGAAAATAAAAATAATAATGATAAGTTAAAAATAGAAAGTCATTAGATAAAATCAATGAACAATGGAAAAAATTAATAAATTTCTAGCCAAACTAAGAAAATAAGTGAAAATACATAATTTATCAGAATTGAAAGAGAGGATATGTCTGCAGACCCCATAAACACTAATAGAATTAAAATAATAAAATGATCAACTTACATCACAGGCCCCACAGATATTAACAAGAGGAAAAGGATAATATAAACACCCTATTTCTATAAATTTGCAACTTGAGGCACAAATTCATTGAAAGACACATAATACCAAAATTCACTCATGGAAAAACAGATAACAGAATAATTATATATCAGTTAAAGAAATTGAACTCATAGTTAAAACTTCTCCAACAAGAAAACCACATTCCCAGGTATTTGCTCTTGTGAATTCTACTGAATAGTTAAGGAAATATATATAACTAATTCTGCAAAGTGTGTTCTAGAAAATAGGAGAGAGAACATCTCAGCTCATTTTAAGAGATCAAAATGAGATAAAGACATTACAAGAAAAGTACAGAACAATATTGCCCATGAATATAAACACAAAACTTCTCAAGAAAAATATTAGCCTGCTGAATTCAGAAGTAGATACAAAAAGATAATATGTCATAAAATGTGGAGTTTATCCCTGGAATTCTGGATCAGTACTCAAAAATTAAGATAATTCATCATGTTGGATAAATGAAGAAAACCCATACTATCATTTCATTTGATGCAGAAAAAACATGTAGAAGACTCAGCATCCATTTCTGATTTTTAAAACCCCTTGAAAACTTGGAAGTAAAGGAAGCAATTTTTAAAACAGCTTTATTGTGATATAATTGATATACAAAAAAACTGCACATATTTAATGTATACAATGTGATGAATATGGACATATGCATACACCCATGGTAACACTGCCACAATCAAGATAATAAACATATTCATCACCTCCAAAAGTTTCCTATGTCCCTTTGTGCATTTTTGTTGTTGTTGGTAACACTTAATATGAGATTTCCCCTCTCAACAGGTTTTAATGTGCACAGTATTGTATTGTTAACTACATAGATACTACACTGAATAGCAGATCTCTAGAACGTATTCATCCTGCATAATTGAAATTTTGTATCCATTAAGCAACACTCCCTTATAACCCTCTTGTCCCCAGATCCTGGCAACCACCATTCTATTTTCTGCTTCTATGAGTTTGACTATTTTAGATACCTCAAATAAATAGATTCATTCAATATCTGTCTGTCTGTGACTGGCTTATTTCACTTAGCATAATGTTTTCCAAGTTCATCCATGTTGTCATAAATAATAGGATTTCCTTCTTTTTAAAGGTCGATTGATAGTCCATTCATATATATACACCACATTTTAATTTCTGTTCATCCATTGATGAACATTTAAGTTGTTTTCATATCTTGGCTGTTTTGAATAATGTTACAGTGAACATGGGAGTAAAGATATCTCTTCAAGATAGTTATTTTTATTATTTTGCATATATACCCAGAAGCGGGATTGCTGGATCGCAAAGTAGTTCTATTTTTAATGTGTTGAGGAACCTCTATACTGTTTTCCATAGTGGTTGCATTGTTTTACATTTCCACCAATGGCATACATGGTTCCAATATCTCCACATCCTTGCCAGGATTTCTTAGCATTTAAAAAATAGTAATTGCCATCCTAACGGGTATTAAGTGATATCTCATTGTGGTTTTGATTTTCATTTTCCTGATATTTAGTGATGTTTAGCACATTTTCATATGCCTGTCGACCATTTGTATGTCTTCTTTGAAGAAATTGCTTTTCAATGCCCATTTTTAAATTTAGATTGTTCGTTTCTTTATTACTTTTGGTTATAGGGGTTCCTTATATATTTTGGATACTATCCCCTTATCAGATATATGGTTTATAAATATTTCTCCCATTCTGTAGGTTTCCTTTTTACACTGTTGGTTGTTTTCTTTGCTGTAGAGAAGATTTTAGTCTGACTTAGTCTCACCTACCTATTTTTGCTTTTGTCGCCTATCCTTTTGGTGACATATCCAATAAATTACTGCCAAAATCCATATTAAGGAGTTTTATCCTATTTTTTCTTCTAATAGGTTTACATTTTCAAATCTTGTGTTTAATTTGTCAATCAATTTTGAGTTATGTGTATGGTATAAGGCCCATTTTTTTGCGTATGAATATCCAGTTTTTCCAACAGCATTTGTTGAAAGACTGTATTTTACTCATTATGTATTCTTGGCAGTTGACCATATGTCTGTGAGGTTATAATAGTTCTCTGTTATCTGTGGAGGAAATGTTCCAAGCCCTCCAGTGGATGTCTAAATTTTGAACAGTAGGGAACCCTAGAAATACTATTTTTTAAAATATATATATATATATATATATATATATATGTTTTATATACACACATGTATATATTAACTGTGTTATACACATATACAAATATGTATATATAAACTATGTTTTATACATATATACACACAAACACGATACATTTTAATATAAATTAGGCACAGCAAGGAATTAACAACAACTAATAATAAAATAGAACAATTATAATGTATACTATGATAAAAGTTATTTTAATGTTTCTCAGTCTCTCTCTTTTTCAAAATATTTTAGTGTACTGTGCCCACTCTTCTTCTCCTTGTGATCTGTCAGTTTGATGTCAGAAATGGCTACTAAGTGACCAACAGGAGGGTAACATGTATAGTAGGGATGTGATGGACAAAGGTGATGATTCATATATGGGATAGGACAGTGTGGGGCAGTGTGCGATTTCATCACACTACCTAGAACAGTGCACAATTTAACCTGATAAATTATTTCTGTTATTTTCTAGTTAATATTTTCAGACCATGATTGATTATGTGTAACTAAAATTCTGGAAAGTGAAACCATGAATAAAGGTAGGACTACTGTATTTCCGTCTGTCTGTTCTGCTCTATTGGTCTATATGCCTGTCTTTATGCCAGTACTGTACTGTTTAAAATACTGTGGTGTAATGTAGTTGGAAATCAGGAAGTGTGATGCCTCCAGGTTTCTTTTTTCTCAAAACTGATTTTGCTATTCTAGGCCTTTTGTGGTTCCAAATAAATTTTACAATTTTTTTCTATTTCTGTAAAAATATACTATCAGGATTTTGCTGGGGATAGCATTGAATCTATAGATCACTTTGTGTGGTATGGACATTTTTAATAATAATATGTTCTTCAATCTGTGAACATAGATGTCTTTCAATTTATTTTTATCTTTTTAATTTTTTAATTAATGTTTTGTAGTTTTAATGTGCAAGTTTTTCATCCTCTTGGTTTAATTTATAGATCAGACCAATAAAGAGTAAGAAGATTCAGTTAGTAATCCAGTATGTCCCAGCAAGAAAAGCTCAGGACCCAGTGGCTTTACTGGTGAATTCTACCACTTAGAGAAGAATGAATGTTAACCTTCTGAAACTCCTTCAAAAAACTGAAGAGGAGGGAATACTTCCAAAGTGATATTAAAAGGCCAGAATTACATTGATACCAAAGCCAGACATGAACACTACAGGAAAAGAAAATGACAGGCCAATATTCCTGATACATATAAATGCAAAACTCTTTAAGAAATACTGGCAACTATAATTCAGCAGCACATTAAAAGGATTATACACCGTGATTACTTCCCTTCTCTCTACATTTTTCCACCACACCAACAGAGCTCATGTATTACAATGGAAAGAACTGAACATTTTAGAACTTATTTAAGAAGATATTTCTAGGGAAACAAGACAGCAAAAGAAAAAAATGTAAGAACAACTGAAGAAATTTTAGCTTCTCACCCCTACCGCTGCAGCAAATCAAACACTGCCTAACTCCTAATCATATAAGCACAACCCCCACACTACAGGACTATGTACTTAAATTCCTCCCACCTAGCATACTCATCATTCAATAAAATATTACAGTGATGCTAGAAGACTAAAACACACAAGAGAAACAGCAGGTGTCAGAGCAACACTCAGACATGGCAGAAATTTTAAAATCATCAGATTGGGAATTTAAAACAATGACAATTAATATGCTAAGATTTCTAATGGAAAAAGTGAACAACATACAAAAACAGAAAGGTAAAGTAAGCAAAGAGATGTGAACTGTATAAAAGAGTTAAAAAGTTAAAAATCCAAAATACTATAAAAAAGAAAGAATGAATTTCATGGGTTTATTAATATACTAGACATAGTAAGCAAAGAATCAGTGAGCTTGGGTAAATAGCAATAGAAACATCTAAAATCAAAATGCAAAGAGAAAAAAATGAAAAGGATGAAGCAGAATATCCATAAACCGAGGGACAATTATGAAAGGTATGATATATGTATTATGGGAATACCTGAAGGAGAAGAGAGAGTAAAACACAGTAAATATTTGAAGTGATAATAATTGAAGATTTCCCAAAACTAACAATAGACACCAAACCACATATCCAGGAGCTCAGAGTAGGATAATTACCAAAAATTCTGCACCTAATCATATATTTCAACTGCAGTAAACCAGAGACAAAGAAAAATCTTGAAAGAAGCCGGAGAAAAAGGCCACCTTGTGTATAGAGAAAAATAAGAATTATATTAGACTTATCTTCAAAAATCATGCATATAAGAAGAGAGTGGAGTAAAATAAAGTACTGAAAAAAAAACTACTAGCCTAGAATTCTGTATCTGGTGAAATTATCCTTCAAAATAGAAAATAAAGACTTTCTCAGGCAGACAAAATTATGAGAATTTGCTTCCAGTAGATCTGCCTTGCAAGAAACGGAAAAATAATTTTTTTCAGAAAAGGAAAATAATATAGACTAGAAACTTAGGTCTGCATTTCTCTAATGATCAGTGATACTATCTCAAGCCCATCAGAATGGCGATTATTAAAAAGTCAAAAAACAATAGATGCTGACGAGGCTGTGGAGAAATGGAAACACTTTTGCACTATTGGTGGGAATGTAAATTAGTTCAACCATTGTGGAAGACAGTGTAGTGATTCCTCAAAGATCTAGAACCAGAAATACCTTTGACCCAGCAAAGGCATTACTGGTTATATACCCCAAAGGAATATAAGTAATTCTACTATAAAGACACATGCACACATGTATTTATTGCAGCACTATTTACAATAGCAAAGACATGGAACCAACCAAAATGCCCATCAGTGATAAACAGGATAAAGAAAATGTGGTACATACACACCATGGAATACTATGCAGCCATAAAGGAATGAGATTATGTCTTTTGCAGGGACATGGATGAAACTGGAAGCCATCATCTTCAGCAAACTAACACAGGAACAGAAAACCAAATACCACATGTTCTCACTCATAAGTGAGAGCTGAACAGTGAGAATACATGGACACAAGGGGGGGAACAACACACACCGGGGCCAGTTGGGGGTTGGAAGATGAGGGTAAGGAGGGAGAGCATTAGGACAAATAGCTAATTCATATGGGGCTTAAAACCTAGATGACGGGTTGATAGGTGCAGCAAACCACCATGGCACATGTATACCTATGCAACAATTCTGCATATCCCAAACTTAAAGTAAAATAAAAAGAAACTTGGGTCTACATATAAAGAGCGTTAGAGAAGGACCAAATAAAAGTAAAATTAAACTTTTATTTCTCTTATTCCTAAGTTAATGAAACAGGTAATGTTTGTTCAACATAATAATAGTAAAGATGTATTCAATGATTATAGATTATGGAAAAGTAAAATGAAAAACAGCAATGTTATAAGGGACAGGAAGGAAGAATTGAGAATACTCTGTTGGAAGGTACATTTACTATTTGTGAAATGGTTTAGTTTTATTTAAAAGTGAACTTGGGATAGATGTAAATATATATTGCAAACTCGAGAGCAATTGATAAAAATGTTAAAAAGGCAGAATTAATATGCAAAGAGAGGACAGAAAATTGAATCATATAAAATGCTTCACATCCAGAGAGGAATAAAAGATAGTAAAAAACAAAAAAAAGAGAGGGGGGTAACAGAAAAAGGAAGAAAGGAAGGAAAGAAAGAAAAGTAGCAAAGAATAGAAAAGAGTAAAAAATATGGTATGTATAAGTGCAACTATATCAATAGTCCCTTTAAACATCAATGGTCTAAATATACCAATTAATTAACAGAGACTAGCAGAGTGGGTAAAAAATAAAAAGATGCAACTGTGTTTTGTCTATAAGAAATCTACTTGAAATGTAAAGATGCAGATAGTTTTAAAGGAATGGAGAAAAAGACACCATACCAACACTAGGCAAAATAAGTTGGAGTAGCTACATTAATTTCAGACAAAACAGAACTCAGAACAAGGAAATTTACCTTGGATAGATAAGGACATTACATAATGATAAAAGATTTAATTCTCCAAGAATATACAATAATATTTAATGTGTATATACCTAAAAAGAAATCATCAAAATACATGAGGCAAATACTAAAAGAAATACAAAGAGAAATAGATGAATCCACTACTGTAGTTGGAGAATTAAGCAACCCTCTTCCAGTAATTAATAGACACTGTGGGTGGAAAATCATCAAATAATAGTTAAACAGAACAGAACCATCAATCAACTGATTACAATTGACATTATATAAAACTTTATCCAACAACAGCAGAATACACATTATCCTCCATCTCACATGGAACATTCACCAAGACATATTACATTCTGAGCCATTAAATACACTTAACAAATGATAAAAGAATGGAAATCACGCAGTGTCTTTTCAGAAAACAGTGGAACTGAACTAGAGATTATAATAGAAAGATAGCTGTAAAACACGCAGATATTTCAAAGTTAAAATACTTCCAAATAACACATAGATCAAAAAAGAAGCCTCAAGAGAAATTTAAAAATGTTTTTACTGAATGAAAATGAAAATACAACTTATTGGCATTTGTAGGATACAAGAAAAACAGTGTTTAGAAGGAAACATACAGCTTTGAATGCATGTATTAGGAAAAAAAATAAGAATAAATTTTTCAAATTAAAAATAGCTCTATTGGAATATAACTTACATAGCATATATTTCATTTATTTAAAGTGTACAATTCAATAATTTTTAGTGTATTCACAGATAGGTGGAACTATCACCACAGTTAATACATTTTTGAAAATTTTCAGTACTTCAAAGGGAAACACCATATCCTTTAGCTTTCACCTTTATATCCTCCCACCTCACTCCTCTTTCTGTCCCCAACTCTAAGCAAATTTGGATTTATGGTTTTCGTTTATAGTTTTGCCAGTTCTGGATTTGCATGTGAATGAAATCACATAATATGGGAATCTTTGTGATTGGCATCTTACTATTTCAAGGCTCATTCAGGTTGTAGGATGTAGCAGTACTTTATTTTTTTTTATTTCCAAATAGTAACTGTATGTATATAACACATTTTATTTATCCAATTGTCTGCTGATAGACATTTGGGTTGTTTCCACATTTTAAATGTCATAAATACTGCTATCAACACTTGTGAAGAAGTTTTTTATGTGGACATATGTTTTCATTTCTCTTGGGTGTATACCTAGTAGAGAAATTGCTGAGTCATATGCCCACTCCATGCTTAATTGTTTGAGAAACTGATAGAGTGTTTTGCACAGTGGCTGCACTGGTCATTTTACATTTCTACCAGCAGTGTACAAAGTGTCCAATTTCTCCATATCCTCACCAGCACTTGCTATTATCCGTCTTTTTGATCCTAGCCATCTTAGGGGGTATAAAGTTGTATCTCATTGTGATTTTAGTTTGCATTTCCCTGATAACTAATAATATTGGGCATCTTTTTATGTACTTTTTGTCTATTTGGAGAGAAGTCTATTTAGATCAGTTGCCCATTTATTAAACTGAGTTTCTTTTTATTATTGATATATTTAGTCCAAACAAAAATCCCTTAAAAATGTGTGATTTTGTTTTCCCCATTCTGTGTGTTGTTTTTTTACTTTGTTCACAGAGTTCTTTGTATCACAGAAGTTTTTAATTTTGATATAATTCAATTTACCTACTTTTTTCTTTGGTTACCTGTGACTTTTATTCCATATCTAAGTTTTTTTTTTTTTTTTTTTTTTTTTTGCCAAATCTAGGGTCATAAAGATTGACCCCTATGTTTTCTTCTAAAGGTTTTATAGTTTTAGAGCTCCTACATTTGGAAGCTAAAATAATCTGAATTTCTACCTTAGAAAACTAGAAAAAGAAGAACAAATTATCTAAAATAAGCAGAAGGAAATACATAACAATTAAATTTTAAATCAATGAAATTATAAACAAACCAATGGGAAAAAAGTCAATAAAACCAAATGCTATTTTTTTCAAAAGATAATAAATTTGTAAAGATCCAGCCAGATTAACCAAGAAATAAAGAGAAAAGGTACAAATTGCTAATGTCGGAGAAAGAAGGACCATCACTACTGATACCATGGACATTAAAATAAAAGTAAAGAAATGTTATAAATGACTCTATGCCCACCAATTTGATAACTTAGATGAAATTGACCATTTCTTAAAATAATTTGACAAAAGTCACACCAAAAGATATAGATAATCTGAGTAGGCCTATAACTACTGATGATTTTGAATCAATAATTAAAAACCTTCCAAAAAAGCACAAGGCCCAAATAGGTTCACTGGTGAATTCTACCAAACATTAAATATCTTAAAGGAAGAAATTATGCTAGTTCCCTTCAACCTCTTTTAGAAAATAAAAGTGAAGGAATATTTCCTAACTCATTCTATGAGGCTAGCATTACCTTAATAGCGAAACAAGACAAAGAGGTAACCAAAGAAATTTACAGACCAACATCTCTTATTACACAGACCTACCTAAAATCCTCAAAAAATTTTAGCAAGTTGATCGTATCAATGTATAAAAATAGAGGTACACATCACAACCCAAGTGGGATTTATTTCAGGTATTCAAGTCTATTCAATATCTGAAAATCAATTCATATAAATCAATCCATCATGAATAAGTATTTTATAACAACCGAAACATTGGTAATAAAAATGTGCAGCGAACTTAGAGGGGAATTTCCTCACTTGATAAAGGACATCTCCAAAAACCCTACAGTTAGTATCATAATTAATGGTGAAAAAATAAATGCATCTCTGCTAAAATCAGAAACCAGGCAAGGATATGCCCTGTTACCACTCCTATTCAGCAGTGTGATGAGAGTCTTAGCTAATATAATAAAAATAAAAAGAAATGTATACAGATTGGGAAGGGAGAAATAAGACTGCCTTTGCTTTCAGATGACATAATTGTCTATGCAGAAAATCCTAAATAATCAACAAAAACAAACCTCTAGAACTACTAAGCAACTATAACAAGATTGCAGAATGTAAGATTAAAATGTGAAGATCATCTTTCTTATATAAAAGCAATGAAAAATTGTCATTTTAAATTAAATCACAATACCACTTACATTAGCATAAATAAATGAAATTCATAGATATATATCTATCAAAATATTCACAATATATTTATGAAGAAAATGAAAAATCTCTGATGAAATAAATCAAAGATCTAAATAAATTGCAAGATATTCCACATACATGAATAAGAAGAATTTTTGAGATATCAAATTTGTAGGTATAGAATTTTTCGTAATATATTTTTATTATCCTTTTAATGTTCATGGGATCGGTAGTGATGGAACCTCTCTCATTTCTGATATTAATGATTACTGTCTTCTATCTTTTTTCTTAGTTAACCTGGCTAGAGATTTATCAATTTGGTAATAGATTCAGCCTCTTCAAGCATAAAGGCCATGTTATCACTAAATATCACAGGTGCAATGTCTGACAGAACTAAGCTCTTTAAGGTTACAAGATTCAGAGCTGAAAGCAATCAAAGCTAATAAAAAACACTTTGTCATTTGTATAGTACTACAGCATTTATAAGTAATTTCCTTTCTGGACGTTCCTCTAAATTATAAGTTCTGTAAGTGGTGAGTCTTGGATTTATTTGCCTTATATCTAATTTATTTGAAGGGTCTGGAATGGTGACTGAAATTATGGCAACTGGTAAATAAAATTTTTTGAATTGATCTTCTAAAATATTTTATAGTATTCCCATTTTTCAAAAATAAGAAAAACAGAAGCGCAGAGAATTTAAATTACTAGCCCAGAATTTAAAAGTAAAAGAGCTAGATCTTGAGCACAGACTTTCAGATGCTAAAATGCTTCATTTTATTCCATTCTACTAGGACAAACCAAATCAAACAAAAACATGTTCTCACCTCAATCAATATTTTAAATTACCTACCAACTGTAATCTGAGAAGAGTAACAAAAATAACTATGCTTTCTGATAGCTGGCAATAGAGAGATGATAATTTTTCTTCGATTAACTGTGTTAATGATGGAAGAGTTGAGACAGTGTCAGTAACTTTGTATTTTGAAATATTTTATATTAATGAATAAAATATAAAAACGTATTTTTCTCTTAGGCAGAAATTTCTCTTTTACTATTGCACTGTGTCTGCAGGGTCATGACTATATTCATTTAAAGCAATGAGCCACAGATCACTGAGACATTCCAAATCATTTCTGACTAGTAGGAATTTTAAAATATGGTTGCTAGATTTAAAGTATTAAATTTATTTTGTTGTATAATCATGCTGTTGAAATTTGGGAAAAGAATATGTAATTTCCTATTAATTCAATACTTCAACAAATCTTTTCTATGTGCATATTAAAACCAGGCCGCATGCCATTTGCTGTGGGTATAATCCTGCCTGCAAGGAGCTCAAAATCTATCAGAGAAGACAGACGTTAAACCAAAATTCATATGAATTGAAAATTAAGATAGTAGAAACATAGGATGTTCAGAGTGATGTTTAGGTGGAGGCCAGAAAGGTAGGTAGGTAATAGGCAATTGAGTGCCAGAGAAAGAGGTTCCAGGCAAAAACAACAGCATATATGAAGGCTCAGAAGTGAGAGAGAACTTGGCATCTCCAAGAAACTAACTGGAGAGCACTCAGAATGCCCAGAGTGCAGAAAGCAATGGGAAGAACGAAGATGCGGAGCTCACCGCATAGAGGCCACATCAGTCATGTTGGGGAGCTGGACTTCACTGAATGTCTCTAAACTGGTTAATGGGCAAATTAATTATGCATTTTAGAAGAATCTTTCCTGCTGCTTTCTTTGAAGTCTCTAATAGTTATGCTACCAACAGACTGAGCTTTGCCCTTTCCGTTTTGTAGATTCTTGATGTGTTTTTATTGAATATTTCATGGATAAACTACAAATAATCTCCTTCACTTTATTTGCTTTACATTTATATCCTGCCTGCTCCCAAAAGGATTTGGAGCACAGTTCAGAGACTGTGTTTATGGGAATGTTTTTTCTCAAAAGTTCACTGGTTTATAAAACTAGAAGACAAGTATTGGGACAAGTAATACTTATCTCTAAATAATTATTGTGAGTTTCTTCCTATTGTGAGCTCTCTGAGCTTTGGCATGATACTTAGTAGATGCTCAATTAGTGTTCAGTAACAAGTGAATAATGAATGAGTACTCTGTTGAAGATGTAAAGTGTAGATGACCTGCAAGCAATGGCAAGTGTTGTATTAAGCACTGGGCAACATATGGAGTGGTGCATGTAACAATCTCTTTCTAGAGGCTTTTGCAATCAAATAGAGGATATCGCACCCACAAACACACAAGAAGGTGCACATCATTACACACGTGCTTTTACCTGAAGGCTGAACATGATAAACCCCATAAGAGAGGAATAGTGTGTGCATTTTCTAACACAAAACACAACATTTTTATTCCTCCTCAAAATAACTCAATTTGCAAAAGTTCAGATGCTTATTAAAACTAGCTCCAAACTCTGAAGCCTTGCGAGTTTTCTTGTCACTGCTTATATTTCAGTTTTGAAAAATAACTGCAGGATGACTTAATTAATTGTTCCTTCTTTCCGTTTTCTGTCTAAAGTAGACGAATACCTATGCATCCGACAAATCAATGAGCTGTGGAACTTCCTACAGATAGATTAGTACATCTGTAGTTTAAAGACAGTTTGCATGAGAAGGGAAAAATATATTCCCATGAGGAATGTTTAAGGGATCAATTCATAAGCAAAGAAAACATGCTATTCTCAGCAAGGAAACAATACATTTTGTATCTGTTGCTATGATTAATTACATACTACAGCTTGGAGAATGTTTTTAAAGGGCCGCAGTCAATCTTTTAAGACCCACAAGTTGACCTGCATTAAAAGCTGAAGAGGAATTATACACTTATTCTGAGCAGCTTTGTGTAACAGAACTGTTGTGTTAGAAATTACGGATAATAATAAAAACGCACAGTCTTTGGGTAACACTTAAAGTAGACAGTGTTGCCCCACCTCTTGTGACTGATTCCACTAATGAATCACAGTTAAAACAAACCTCTTTCCTGAGTGTTCCGCCAATTATACTGCAGTGAAAATGAGGATAAAATAGCGTCAGTAAAACTTCAGTGAGCCTCCTAATCCTCTAGATTCCTTCTAATAAACAAAACCTTCTCAAATGCATTTCTAAGAGAAATTTTTAAGAACAGATATTTGAGGCATAATATTGTTTCCTGATTTAGTGTTTAAGATCTTATTAAATCTATATTCTGCATTCAATGATAAATTAATAAATATATAATAAGCATAGTCTTTCAAAGTCAGGACTTGTGACCAGTTGCTCTCTCCTCCCTTCCTACTTATCACAGCCTTCTATCTTCTTTCTTTACTGATCTTTCCACTCTTAAGTACTGAGGCATAGCTTTCTCCAGGTGCACACCTTGCTGCAAACCGACTTGACAATCCGTTGCACCATGTCTTCTTGTTTTGCAAAATCGAGGATTGTATTCACATTTCTTCAGTAAAGTGTTGTTCTTACTGTGACCTCCTACCCACTCTATGTCATTTATTTATTCTCTATTATGCTGCACTTGCAGGACTAGGATATGGATTCTTAGCATGCAGATTTTCCACACTTTATCTCTGAGCAACTTTCTCCTACCTCACAAAGCTATGTACTCCTACCTGGGACTATATAAGTAATAGTTAATTTGGTTTCAATTCCAGGCAGATGAACCCTGCCTTTACACAGTGACCTCTGGCAATCAGAAGAAACGAAGCATGTGTTCTGACCACTCATATGTGGAGAAAGGTTGGAAATATCTATTTCATCAGTTTTTCCCCCATTTTTCAAGCTCCATTGCCACTGGTACATTCCCAGCGATGACCTGGAATGGGTCCTTGAAAAAACACAGAATCACTTCTGGTTTGTCTACTTTATAAATATCTGGATAAAGGGAAATTATCTGAAACCCATAAGTTTGAAGACTACTGCCTTACTCCCATAAAAGCTTAAGACTTCATTTTTGATGCCTCTGATCTACCACACTGTGGCAGTGAGGAGGCTGTTAAGAATAACAACGAGAACACATAGACACAGGGAGGGAAACAACACAATCTGGGGCCTGTCGGGGGGTGATGGGGGAGGGGAGGGAGAACATAAGGAAAAAAGAGCTAATGCATGCTGGGCTTAATACCTAGGTGACGGGGTTGATAGGTGTAGCAAACCATCATGCACACATTTACCTATGTAACAAACCTATGCATCCTGCACCTGTGCCCCAGAACTAAAAATAATAATAATAAGAAGAAGAATTAGTTGCTTAAAAGGATACCTGTCTGTCCTATGAAATTGTTCTAATTTCTGTTATCCTGAGATCTCAGTTGCAGGCATTCCGCAACCTCTCGGTGCTTGCTTTGTAGATTCTTGTTCTGGAACTGAAGTCATGGGTATGATGCTTGAGTTTTAATAATTTAGAATTAAAAGAAAAACATAGAGGCATACAGATGAATACAGTATCTCAGATTATCTGTCTAATCTTCACATGAGCTGCCAAAACTAGACAGGGATTAATCTCAATGAGTAAGTAGATGTAGGCACGGTTTCTAAGAATAATATCATTCTCATTCCATGAATAATCTTGTCCTCTCTTCCTTTGCTGGCATTGCGTATGCTGTCCCCTGGATCTAGTGTGTTCTGACCCCCCTCCCCTCACAACTCATCCTCCCAGAAGCATCTTTGCAAACTCTTTGTCTTAGAATTCTTTCTAAAACAACTTTCTGTTGGTAAATTTGGTTTAGATGCCCCACTTTCCCCATAGCTTCCCAACTTATCCCTTGTAGCACTTTTTACCTTGTATTATGAGTGGCTAACTATATGTTGGTTTCAAATAGGAGATCTCTGGCAGGAGAAACTCTATTCATTGAATGCTTTTTTTTTTCTTCTTTTCTTTCTTTCTGAGCATCTATCTAAAAACCTGTTGCATTCATGAATATTAGTTAAATGTGTATCATAAATGTGTTTAAAAGAGTATGATCTAGCAGATATCGGAGGAGAGAGCATTAAGTGTTAGGGGTGGGAATCAATTGGAAAATAAAAAGAAATGGAGATGGGAGAAGAACGTCGCTTTGCCAGGTTTGGAACAGAGGTTCTTCCTTCACAGAATTGCTTTTTTTTTTTTTTTTTTTTTTTAAACAGAATCTCATGCTATCACCCAGCCAGGGATTTTTTTTTTTTTTTTTTTTTTGCGATGGAGTCTCACTCTGTTACCTACCCAGTGTAATCTCAGCTCACTGCAGCCTCTGCCTCCTGGGTTCAAGCAAATTTTCCTGCCTCAGCCTCCCAAGTATCTGGGATTACAGACACGTGCCACCAACACCCAGCTAATTTTTGTATTTTTGGAGAGATGGGGTTTCACCATGTTGGCCTGGCTAGTCTTGAACTCCTGACCTCAAGTAATCTGCCAGCCTCGGAGTTCCAAAGTGCTGGGATTGCAGGCTTGAGCCACCATGGCTGGCCAGAATTGCATTTTTTTTTTTAACTTTTATTGTTCCTATTTAAAGAGTACAACTCCTCAGGACAAACCTGAAAACAAGAGAATATATCAAACTTGCTTTCCCAGTTACAATATCTCAGGAAACAGAAAAAAAAATTTTAAATGGAGGCAAACCAAAGAGAACGTGAAGAAATAAACTATTAGCCAGAGACCTGGAGATTGCTGGGGAAAAGACCATTTGCCATATATTTGTCAGCATTTTCTTCAAGTATTGGCAAGACAGGCTGATGGGTTAAATATTCACCTTGGTAACAGTAGCGTGGATAGGGCATTATATGGAGAAATTATACAACATATTTACCAAATGTAATGGGCTGATTCTATCACCATATTTTAGAACATAAAATGTGTATTTGACTAACAGATATTTTACCTTAAATTGCTTTTCTTAGTGTATTACAAACCTGTTTTCTGACACTGGTTATTACTTATTTCTACAGCCTTTATTAGAGGAGCAGTTAAAGAGTAACTTCCACTCTTAAAAAGGTTGATTTGTTTTGCTCCAGGAAGGAGTCTGGTGTGAAATGTTGAGACAAGCCTTACTTAAAGGGCAGTTGCCAGGTGACAGTAGAAATCATTCATCTCCTTCGTATCCTACCTTACCTTTTCTTTCCCCATCTTTCTAACAGTGAAAGTAATTGGTTACAAAGTCAGTATCCTTGCTTGCCTATTTGCAATGCTCTTTATTTTATCATTATTTTTTAATCCCCTCATTTCAAGAGATAGCCAATCATAGATGCAACCATGCACATCTATAAAAGAGAGAATGAAACAGGGACACTACATAATGGTTTTAATCATTGTAGTTAGCGTATTTTCCTCTTGTGCATTAGAAAGTTAGGCTAAGTTATTTAATTGTTTGCTGATTGTTAAGACATTTACCTTGTAAGGGCATTCATTATCTATTCAGAGAAATTCTTCAGCTTACAAATGAAGAGACTTTCATTCTGGGTGCTTTTATATATTTAAAAATATTTTAGCTATTGAGGTTTCCTGTACTTAATCCAGTCTTTTACTTTCTTTCATGGAAAAAAAAGGGCAGGTCTAAATGCAAATTAACATTACTGTTTAAATATCACAGACCATTTTCTCTGAGCCCAGTTACAATAACTAGTAATTATAAAAATTGCTTGCCTTCGGCTTCCGGCTAAGCCAGTGCTAAACTTGTCCTTTTATTAGATCTGTCAGACTGAGTTAATTATCTTTATGATAATAGATGTGCCTTACCTCCAACAAAACAAATACACTTATAATTAGCTTTTTAGTTAGAAGTTTAATTTATTTATAAAGACTGTTTGTTTTCCTTTTTGCCTGTTTTAAAAACCAGAGCATGGGGAGGGAGGATTTCTAGTTTATCAGGTTACCAGCCTGCTTACTAGTTTATAAAGACAGAGAGGAAAAACGACTCATTATATCTAACCACCAGGTCCACTGTTTCATAGTGGTTCATTCCTCTTCAATATTAGATCAGTTCAACTCCAAGGCATTTTATTTTTCTCTACGTACACAAAAAAGGCCCTTTTTATCTGCTTTCTGCCTTCTCAACAGAGCAGTGTTATGGAAGCTATTATATGGAAGTACTAACAAGTATGAATTGGAAAGCTTTCTGTATTACAGCAGAGCTGCATTAAAAATCAAATCATTTTATACTGGTGCCATGTCCCCAGACGTTTGTGGCACATGCTCCTCTTTCATCTACAACCAGCATGTTTCAGAATATTACACAACTGCCTGCAATGAATTACTGGAAAGTATCTATGATGAAACAGCAAAGCATAAGGAAAAAAAACATATGTTTTGTGTCATGTCAAAGCTGAGTTTCAGCTTTGGTTCTGATGCTCATTGCTGTGTCACTTAGGCCAGTTGTTCAACCTCTGTGCCTAAGTTTCTGCATCAGTATAATGAGAATAACACCTACATTAAGAGGGGCTATTGGGAAGACTCAAAAATAATGTATACAGAAGGTTCAACACAGTGCCTGACTCAGTATGGGGTACTTTTCATTATTATTATTGTTAGAATTATGAAGGAGTATAGATGCATGGAGAATCTGAAGTCACTATTAAAAACTAATAATCATTTTATAGGTTCTACTTTATATGTAGATATGTATTCTACTGATTTGTAAAACGACTTCCCTGATCATCTAGAAATTTCTTCTGATTCAAACAAAAATAATGAAAGCCCATACAAAGAAATGATTTTCCAAAGCTGCTATGCTGAACTTCTACCACTGTCATGCTGAAAATGGGCTGCTTTATCTCAGAGTTATTTGCACAAAGCATAACTCTTTTTTCCTTTCTTTCTATAAATGGACTAACTCATTTTGATTTGAAAAATTCTATTGGCTTAATGTTCCCTTCCAGTTGTGATTTGCCAAATATAGAGATCTTGGTTATGATAGCAAAGATCTTATTCACTCAATATAGAACCTAAAGATTGTTTTTTAAATGTGAAGTCAGATTTACCCAGAATAACATTCAAGCTGCAGGCAAATCATTATAAGTGAGCATTTTAAGCTGATTCCTGGCAAGAAGAGGTACCCCAGTGTTGGGAGTGGTGATGTAACACCTTGACCGTATAGCCAACTGCTCACACACCTGAATAGAGAGCATGGGAGGGATGTGAGGGGAAGGAGCTCAGGGCAGTACAGAGCCTAACAGTGCCATCCTGAGTTGAGCATCCTGGCACCTAACACTGAACAGATTTGTTTCTAGAGGTGCTTTAGGTGTTTGGGCATCAAGAAGCAGGATGCGATCATTCAAGTGCCATCCAAGGCCCCTTGCTGTAGGAGTTCCATGACTTTCCCAGTCAGGACATTATGCCATCTACATTATATTCTTATGAAATCACCTGAAGGTCTTTTCTGTACCTCAGGACCATGGTAAACACACTCAAATCCCTCTATTCCATTATCAAACTATGTGGATTTTTCTTAAAGTCAAGGGTCCCTTTTATTCCCTTTTTCCTAAATAGGGATGGAAGTCTTTGTTTCAGGGCTCTCTGGCTGGTGTTGCCAACATGAGATTATGGGACATATTTCTGTGACCTGTACTTTAGTCCTGAGCTCCTACAACAGGAAATGTATTCGTTAATTCAATAGCGATTTTTTTTGTGCCAAAGCAATGTGCTGGAGGCAGCGTGTACAGCAGTAAAATGTTAAACACATTCTCTGTTCTTTCTTTACCTCTGCTCCCACATGTTTTGTAAAAGGTCAGCTGCGACATGAAGACAATCCAGGGACAACTACAACAACATGGAGATGGGCACATTATGCAATAATCCAGAGAAAAGAAATATTCATATTTAGAAGAATAGTATTTAAAAGAACATTTTATCACTTAGGGGCTGGATAATCGGAACTTGGAATGTGGTCAGTATCCAGCATTTTCCGTTGTTTTTTTTTTTTTTTTTTTTTTGAGACACAGTCTTGCTTTGTCACCCAGGCTGGAGTGCAGTGGCACAATCTCGGCTTATTGCAACCTCCGCTTCCCGGGTTCAAGCGATTCTCCTGCCTCAGCCTCTGTAGTAACTGGGATTACAGGCATCCACCACCACATCCAGCTAATTTTTGTATTTTTAAGAGAAACAGGGTTTCACCATGTTGGCCAGGCTGGTCTTGAAGTCCTGTCCTCAAGTGATCCACCCACCACAGCCTCCCAAATTGCTGGGATTACAGGTGTGAGCCACCACACCTGGCCCTCCAGCACTTTTCAATCAACAAAAGTCATTTATAAAACAACATAACTATTTTAGTAGTTAAGAAAACAAATCTAGGTACTTAGTAAAGATATCTGGAGTTTGTATTCTTATTAAAATATATAGGCATATCATCTATTGATTCAACAAATACTAATTAGGATGCTAATATTTATCAGGTACTTCTAGGCACTGGGTATTGCTAGTGAACAGGGCCTTCTAGCTGCTGCTGTATCATAACATACACTTTTCTTATATCTGTACATAAGGCTAGGTACATAATACAGAAGAAGCTGCCTCAAACCTGTTCAGCCTAAACAACTTTCTAATCAACCCTTCCATTTTCCCTCTCAAACCTACTGAATAATGTAGCACCCTGCACTTTTATAACTGCTCCTACTCTGTTGAAGTATGGGTTTATGAAAAACCATGTTTTTTTGGTTTCTAAATTTTGTGTGTACCGGTTTTTCTTTTTAGTGTATTTATGGGAGTTAATTAAATAGGTAAACTAGTTAAATGTGAGCATAAAAAGAGAATTGTAAATTGTATAAAACTAATTGAGATGTTTGAGAGAGACTCAATAGGAATGAGTCACTAAGATGCATTTGTTTTTGAAATAAAAACAAGTGCAGCAAATGCTCATCTATCCTCACATGTATCTGGTAATGGGGAATGCCCTCTGGACATTTGCGATGACTGTATCTATGGCTGGCTGAGGATTGGAAGGTATAATGGAGCTCATAGAGCATTTGAAATATGGGAGCCTTCCTCAAAGTAATTTTGATGAATATCCTAAAGAATGAAAAGTAATAATTCACATTCTCTGTTTCACAAGAAATTAAAAATGTCTTCATTTATCCTTCATGAATGAATTCATGATTTAAATATTTTGGTAAAAAGAATTTTTTTAATAGCTGCTAGTAAGACTAAGTGAAGGAAATGGGGCTGAATGTAAAAAGGCCAATCTTGCCTTCCTTTTCTTTCTTCTGTGTAAATCATTTGGGGCTTTTCTTTGCTACTGCTGTGCTCCAGTGAGCCAATCTGATCTCTTAAGTCATTATTACCTTTTTTGCCTGAATGGCAGGGCTACATACAAATAGAACTTGTAGTGTAATTCTACACTTGTATTAACACTTATTTCTCTCCATTTTATTTAAGAGTAATGGTGCAGAGAGGCCCCAAAATAATATTAGACTCTAGTAGAGTGTCTGCAAATTACCATCCATTTCTCTGTATCCTGCATTTCCTTAGCTGTCACTTCCATGAGCTTATTCATAGACTTTAGCTCTTGCATCTGGTTCTACCACTGATGCTTTTCAAAGATTTATCAGATAGAGGTGGGGGATGGTTTTGCATGTGTCTATTTAATTAATTAATTAATTATTTTTTTTTTTGAGACAGAGTCTGTCTCTGTCACCCAGGCTGGAGTGCAGTGGCACGATCTTGGCTCACTGCAACCTCTGCCTCCCAAGCTCAAACTATTTTCCTACTTCAGCCTCCCGAGTAGCTGGGACTACAGGCACACTCCACCATGCCTGGCTAATTTTTGTATTTTTGGTAGAGATGGGGTTTCACCACGTTGCCTAGGCTCGTCTCAAACTCCTGGGCTCAAGCGAGCCTCCTGCCTCGGCCTCCCAAAATTCTGGGATTACAGGCGTGAGCCACCATGTCTGGCCTATATGTGTTCATAAACAGTTCCCGTCTCCTCACACATGGTTTCTACAGTGATCTCTTTCTAAAAGCCAGGTCAGGCATCTTCTCTTAGGCAATTCACATTCCTGGGCACTGTTTGTTTCTATTATGTCATCTCCTGCTCTTCAGATCAGGAGACATTGTGGTAAAAGTGGGGGTATAAATCTCCACCTCACAAAACATTCAAAGATCCAGTCTGATGGAGGCTCTGTCATCTTTAACATGTGTCTTCACAGATGACCTGGGCATTACTACCCAGTCAGAAAAGTAGAAATGAGTATGAAGGAGTATGCATGGGAAATTTATAAGGCCCAGTCCTGGGAGCTGGAAATATTACTTGCATGTATATTAGCCCTTGGTCACATAACTGCACAAAATTGCAAAAATAAAATAAAATAAATTGTGAAATGTAGGCTGTCTGTGGACCCAAGAAGAAGAAATGGCTTTTGGTTTCAGGTGACAGTGACCACCACAGTGACGTTATAGTTTTTCCGGAACCCAGTTGTTGGATCAAAGAGACCATCAATTACAAAGTGGAATTTTAGTGTGACAGGATTGAAAGATGAAAAGGTTTGGAAATGAGCATTCTTACACAAAAACTCTCTTAGAAATCCCAATTTAATGTGTTACGCTCAAAGGTTCTTGTCACTAGTGATCATCAGCCTTGCTATCAGAATGTGGGTTCTCAAATTTTCTGTGTCTTCTGGGAGACACAGTTGGGTTAAGAGTGACTCTGCCTCTTGAGAATGAAGTTCTGCCATGTTAGGAAAAACCCCAATGGAGGGCTTGCTAAACCTCTTACCTACAGCCACATCTGAAACGGTGGCCTAGGTCCAGTCCATTTGGGTCATGGTTTTTGGAATCTGCTGTTGTGAAGATTCTCACTACCAAGGATGAGGAGCCACTCTAGCAGTCAGATCTCCATTTGTCTACAAAGCTGTCTCTACTACATGACCAAAATTGAGTAATTCCTCATGGGCAAAAATATAACAGCCTTGGCAAATGGTTTCAACTGGTCCTATGCAATACAATTATGTTATAACCTAGCCTGGTTATAGGGTAGCAGTGCCCAGCTGGGTATGATAGTAGCTGCAAATATTGAGACCTCCACAAATCACATTGTATTCCCATGGTACCTTCAGGGGTGGTGAAATGGAGGCTATCTATACACCCATAAATAAACTGGCAGCAAAGAAAGCGCAAACTCTTAGATGTTTCCTATATTAGATACAAGGAACAAGGTACCATTCCTTCTATAGCAGTTCTCCAGGGAGGGATTGGAGATATTTGATAAGCAATATTCATTGCATATCCTTCACTTGGTGCCCATTTGTAGTAATATTTACTCAACATTTTTTGCATTTATTAAAATAAACTATGACTTATAAGAATTAGGTATCAGAGCATTTTTATCAGACTCTCAATTGAATTCCTTGCAGGACTTCTTCAGTGGCCACATTAATTTTGCATGAATAACCTACTAGTTCTGAAAACAAAATTAGATATATTTTGGTGAACTTAAAGAACACTTCGATATCTAGATTTGCTTCCACACAGTGATATTATCAGTATGTTGTCATTAAGTCATTGATATTACTAGATTTTCTTTCTTTTTTTTTTTGAGATGGAATCTCGCTCTGTCGCCCAGGCTGGAGTGCAGTGGCATGATCTCGGCTCACTGCAAGCTCTGCCTCCTGGGTTCACGCCATTCTCCTGCCTCAGCCTCCCAAGTAGCTGGGACTACAGGCGCCTGCCACCACGCCTGGCTAATTTTTTCTTTTTTTTTTTTTTTTTAGTAGAGACAGGGTTTCACCATGTTTGCCAGGATGGTCTCGATCTCTTAACCTCGTGATCCACCCACCTCGGCCTCCTAAAGTGCTGCGATTACAGGCATGAGCCACCACGCCCGGCCCTGATATTACTAGATTTTCTAAAATGAATACTAATACTAGTATGGTTTGGTGGGTTCTGTTTTCAGTAGGTTAGCTCAGGTGTTAGAGATTTTGACTTTAGATATTGTGGCTGCTTTTAATTTTCTGTGAAAAAGACATTTTCAACCATTATTTTGTCACCTTTGTAGATGCCCCTCATGTATAACAGCTCATAGGAATGGATTAGAGGAGATGAAGTGGATGATGAAGAAAATTTTTCCTTAGCAAATCCCTGTTATTCCTTTTGTTCCAACATCTCCCTCTTGGTATCAGTTCAGTTTGTATTTTCAAGGTCCATGATGGACCTCAGATTTATTCCTCTGCAAAGATATCAGGCCATTTTTATCTACCAAAAGAATATCATCCATGTGTAACTTTGCCTCTCTACAGCATCTAAATCAGAAAAGTTAGAGCATGACATAGGAAGGATCCCTCAAAATATAGTTTTGGAGATTACAAAGCTTAAGAGTCATTATTTCTCCTTCCCTCTATGTCACAAAAATAGAAAATAGACACAAGGATCACTAGCTAAATGTGAGAAGGTATTAGCTTTGCTAATGGCTAATCAGGTGCCCAATTGTCCTCCTAATATAGGCCTCCTGATAAAGTATGTTAGAGAATGTAGCTTAGAACCAAAGCCTGATGAAAAGTTTTTATTTTCATTTTAAAATGAGACCTTCAAGGAGAGCTGGGTCTGCAGAATAGACTCCAATTATACAAAGCTGGCCTGCCAAAAGAACTGTAGGCCTGGTTCATGCATGGTTACCAGAGAGAGAGAGAGAAAGAGAGAGAAATGGCAGGTCTTCTTGAGGGCACTTATGTTATGGGAACAGAGAACAGAAAAGGAAAGCTCACTCCCTATGTGTGTAAGCAGTTCCAGGACAGCGAGAGACTATACCTGACCTCAGCAATGAGCTGCTGCATGATAACCACACCCACTACTAAAAGTATGTTCTTACCATACCTGGGTTCTCACTAATCAAGGTCAGCTGTTCTCCCTCTTTAGAGGAGGAGGGAATAAGACAGCGAGAAAATACTGAAGTGCAGTGTGAGAAGTTACAGGATTAAATGCATACAGGCACAACTCGATTTATCATGCTTTGATTTATTGTGCTTTGCAGATAATGCATTTTTTACAAATTGGAAGTTTATGACAATTCTGAGTCCAGCAAGTCTATCAACACCACTATTTGTACTCATTTCATGTTTCTGCATCATATTTTTGTAATTCTTGGAATATTTCAGACTTTTTCATGTTTATTATATCTGTCATGGTGATCTGTGATGCAGTGATTTCTGATGTTACTATTGTGATTGTTTTGGGGTGCCATGAACTGTGCCCTTGTAAGATGGCAAACTTAATCAATAGATGTGTGTGTTCTGACTGCTCCACAAACAAGTTGTTCCCTCTTCTCTCTCCCTTTCTTGGGCTTTTCTATTCCCTGAGACACAACAATATTGAATGTAGACCAATTAATAACCCTGCAATGGCCTCTAACTGTTCAAGTGAAAGGAAAAGTTGCATGTCTCTCACTTTAAATCAAAAGCTAGAAATGATTACGCTTAGTGAGGAGAGCATGTTGAAAAGCAAGATAGGCTGAAAGGCAGGCCTTTTTGTGCCAGAGCTAAGTTGGGGATGCAAAGAGGAAGTTCTCAAAGAAAACTAAAAGTGCTACTCCAGTGAACACACAGATTAAAAAAAAAGCAAAGCAGCCTTATTGCTGACATGGAGAAAGTTGGAGTGGTCTAGATACATGGTTGAATCAGCCACAACATTCCCTTAAACCAAAACCTCTCTGCAATTCTACAATGACTGAGACAGGTGGGAAAGCTGAAGAAGAAAAATCTGATCTGATGCTAGCAGAGGTAGGTTGATGAGGTTTAAGGATAGAAGCTATTTCCATATCATAAAAGTACAAGGTGAAACAGCAAGTGCTGATATAGAAGCTATAGTAAGTTATCCAGAAGACTTGGCCAAGGTAAGTGATGAATGTGACCACACAAAGCAACAGATTTTCAATGTAGATAAAACAGCCTTATATTGGAAGATGTCATCTAGGACTTTCATAGCCAGAGAGAAGGAATCAACACTTGGCTTTAAAGCTTCAAAGGAGAGGCTGACTTTCTTTTTTAGGGGCTAAGGAATCTAATGACTTTAAGTCAAACAAATGGTTATTTAAAATTCTGAAAATTCTAGAGCCCTTAAAAGTGATGCTAAATCTATTTATCTGCACACTTGAACCAGAACAACAAAGCCTGGATGACACCATGCCTATTTACAACATGGTTTCCTGAATATTTTAAGCCAACTGTTGAGACTTATGACTCAGAAATTTTTTTTTAAATACTTCTGCTCATTGACAGTGCACCTGGTCACCCAAGAACGCTAACAAAGATGTACAGAAAATTAATGTTTTCATGCCTTCTAACACAACATTCATTCTGCAGTGCATAAATGAAAGAATAATTTCAACTTTCAAGTCTTAACATTAAAAAATGATCTTATCATTTTGTAAAGCTATGGCTTCCATAGACAGTGATTCTTCTGTGGATCTGGGCAAAGAAATTTGAAAGTCTTCCAGAAAGGGTTCACCTTTCTAGTGCCATTAAGAAAAGTAAAACCTTTATGGAAAACAATATGGAGTTAAAAAAATAGAAAATCATGTCCTTTTTAGCAACGTGGATGCAGCTGAAGGCCATTATACTAAGTAAAACAATGCAAAAACAGAAAATCAAACACTGCATGGCATCACTTACAAGTGAGAGCTAAACAATGGATACAAATGAACATAAAGATGGAAAAAATATAGACACTGGGAACTCCAAATGAGGGTATGGAGGGAGAGAGATAAGGATAGAAGAACTACTTATTGGGTACTACGTTCACTATTTGGGTGATGGGCTCACTGGAAGCCCAAATTCCAGCATTATGCAATATACCCACATGACAAATCTCAACATGTACCCTATGAATCTATAAAAAATGCTAAAAATAATACAAAAGATAACTATATGGAAATTTCTCAACTAAAAATAGATTTGACCCAGCAACCCTACTATGGGTATATACCCAAAGGAAAAGAAATAATTATATCAAAAACTGTACATCTGTGTACCCTCCAGCACTATTCACAATAGCAAAGTCATGGAATCAACCTAAATGCCCATCAAACAGATGATTGAATAAGGAAAATGTGATATATATATGTATATATGTGTGTATATATACACACATACATATATGTATACATATATACACATACATATATATCTGTGTATATATATATACATATATACATATGTGTATATACATATGTATACATATATGTGTGTATATATACACACACATGTATATGTGTGTGTATATATACACAGACACACACACACCATGGAATACTATACAGCCATAAAAGAATGAAATTATGTCAACATTGGTGGTGCTGGAAGCTATTATCCTAAGTGAAGTAACTCAGAAACCAAAAATCAAATACCATATATTCTAACTTACAAGTGAGAGCTAAACAATGGGTATGCATGGACATACAAAGGGAAACAATAGACACTGGAGACTCCAAAAGGGAGGAGGATGAAAGGGGGAGTGAGGGTTGAAAGGTTACCTATTGGGCACCATGTTTAATATTTGGGTGATGAGAAACCCAAACCTCACTATTACGCAATATATCCATGTAACGAATCTGCATGTGTACCTTCTGAATCTATTTTTTTTGAAAACAACATTTGAGATTTATGGAAGGACATGAAAATATCAACATTAGCAAGAGTTTAGGAGAAGTTCATTCCAACCCTCAGAGATGACTAAATTGCTGCAATGTCATGACAATACTTTAACAGATGAAGATTTGTTTTTTATGGATGTGCAAAGAAAATGTTTTGAGATTAAATCTCCTGGGGAAGATGCTGTAAATATTGTTGAAATGACAACAAAGAATTCAGAATATTATTAATACATAAGCTTACTTGATATTGACTACAATTTTGAAAGAAGTTCTACTGTGGGTGAAATGCTATCAAATAGCATTGAGTGATACAGAGAAATCTTTCATGGAACAAGTCAGTTCACGGGTTAAATTTCATTGCTGTCTTATTTTAAGGAATTGGTATAGTCACTCTAACCTTCAGCAACCACCACTCTTATCAGTCAGCAGCCATCGTCAACATTGAGGAAAGACGCTCCATGAGCAAAAGAATTATGGCTTGCTGAAAGCTCAGATAGATTATTTTTAACATATTTAGCAATAAAGCATTTTTAATATTAAAGTATATACATTGCTTTCTTAGACATAATGCTATTGCACACTTAGGCTACAGTATTATGTAAACATAACTTTTATATTCACTGGGAAAACAAAAAAAATTCATATGACTCACTTTATTGCAACATTTACTTTATTGTGGTGGTTTGGAACTGAACCTGCAATATCTCAGAGGTATGCCTGTACTTCTGCACATGCTTTTATGTGTTGTAGTAGGATTATTTCTTGGAAAGCCTAAGAGTTCCTTTGTTTTCATCAGGCACAATGAAAGCAGAAAGAAATATTCTGAATTGGCTGAAAGCAAAAGGTGAGGGAAGAAAATGGGTAGCTCAACTCCCATGGCTTTGAAAGGATTGCTCGTAAGGTGGCAGGACTGGTATAGACAGGTAGTGTCTCTAAATGTTATATTGACTCAAAGTGCCCCAACTCAGACTTCCACAAGGTCTTTCTTTATGTGGTAGCTAATGATGCTTTCATCCCCATCTGGCATTCAGTGTTCCAGGTCCTTCCCCACCTCTACCCCTAGCACCTGCCTTCTCAAGGACATGAAAGCTAGAATTTGAAATGAAATTGAGGACTGATAAGTAGGAATGTTTTAGAGGAAAGGAACGTTCCAAATTCTGCCACAAGGGAGATCTCTTATTTGGGGACAGGTTTACCACTTATTCAACAAACATTTATCAAGTGGAATGTAGCCATCTTCAAGGGTCTACTGATGCCAATTTGTGAAACCGTAATAAAAGGTGAAGACAGTCTGCCACTTTAGTTGTTCCCTTGATAGTAAAATGTTGTTGAAAACAAAGGCTAATGTTAGTGTTTGAAACATAATACCAAGTTATAAGGTGATCATCGATAATATGTTCATCTGTATTTTTAATATCATTATTGAAACTCAAAAAGAAATTCAGAGATCATGTGGACCAGAAAAATATATCCTAAGAATGCCAGAGACGTTATTCCACAGTTTTAGGAATGGTAGTGTAGAGGAAAAAAAGAATTATTCTGGGTCTCAAATAGACTGAAATTCTAATCCTGGCTCTGGAACTTATGAGATGCTTTATCTTAGCCAGGTTATATAATGTAATAACTTTATATTCAAAAAATGAGAATAATACAGCTTATATCATGGAGTTCTTATGAAAAGACATACCATGATGTGTGTAATATATGTCCTATAGCATGTTACCAAGTAGACTCCTAATCAATATGGGTTCCTTTTATGCCACACTGCCACCTCTTCTCCATTAAGCGCAAGGAACAATATTAGAGATTCAATGATCAATTTAACATCCACAAGAGGTTCCCAATGTATTAAGACAATAGAAATGTAAACACAAATACAATACATTGTGATAAATTATCACAATAGAAAATGTAACACATAGAAAAAATATAC
This sequence comes from Homo sapiens, assembly GCF_000001405.40. NCBI lineage: Eukaryota > Metazoa > Chordata > Mammalia > Primates > Hominidae > Homo > Homo sapiens. The sequence goes on from NC_000004.12 coordinate 23,281,045, forward strand.
GTTTTAAATTGTAGAAGAGAAATGCTTATGTGATTACAGAATTATGAGGCATTTTTAAGATGGCTATGATGTAAGAAAGAAATATAAAATCCCATTTTAAAAATTACATGGTTTTCTTATGCCAATATAAAAACATACTAATAGTTCCAACGTTTTATTTATGCCATATAGGATGATAGTTAAAAATTGGAGAAAGAATCTAGTACTAAAAAAAAAGCAATGATTTTCAATAAAGAAAAAAGAGGAAGAGAGGCCTAAGCTAACATGCTCTTGCCCCATTGCCATATGATACCCTCCACCATGTTAAGAAATAAGAAAAAGGCCCACCCTAATGCAACCCCTTGACCTTCGACTCCCCAGCCTCTAGAGCTGTAAGAAATAAATTCATTCTCTTTAGAAAAGACATGAGGCTACTGCAGCTTTCTTACCACCACATAGCAACTGCAAATGAAACCAGTAACAGGAGAGAGTAAGAACCAGCAAAGAGATGGTCTTAAGAGCATCATTAGAAGCATCATTTCCAGCCTGCAATTTCAGTTACCTGAACCAATGTATTTATTTTCTACTTAGGTCAATTTGGGTTATGTTTTATTTTACTTGCAACCAGAGGACTCCTGAATAAAGAAGTAGGGTTGCTTAGATGCCTAGTCATGTTATTTTCCAAAATTGTTATATACTTGCTATGTATCTTTTATTGTATGTGTTTAATATTATATTAAAAAATAAACTGTCTCGTAATTCTGGCTTAAGAAGTTGCACATCACCAGGGTCATTATAAGACTCTCTGAGGTTCTCCCCATCATCAGCTACACATTCCAGAGATAACAACTAATGTAAATTTTATGTTTATCATAACTTCACCTGTTTTTGAATATTATTAAAATGCCACATTATTCTTCAGAAATTTACTTTTTTGTTAAGAATCATGTCGTAGTCTACATAACTATTTTCACAATTGTATGAATAGATCACAGTTTATTTAAACACTGTACTGCTGAATAACCTTTGAGATGTATTTGAGTGAACTATTAAAAATGGGCTTTATGAACATTCTGATTGTGTTCTCTGGTGCAGATGAGTAAGATTTTCTCCACATATATCCAGAGAAGAAACTATAAAGTTATAAGACAGTCACATCTTCAATATTACTAAATAATATCAAGGCTTTCCCATAGTATTTTTTGCAGAAGTGTTATTTCCACCAATAGTGTGGGAGATTCTTCTTTACTTTAAATTCTTGCCTATCTGGGGTTTTGTCAAAATTTTTTATTTCTACTCAATCTGTGAAATTGTAACTCATTATGATTTTTATTTTTATTTCTCTGTTATTAAAAATAATTTTATCTCATATATTTCATGTTCTGTTAATGTTTATTCACGCATTTTGTTCATTTTTCTTTCTTTCTTTCTTTTATTTTTTTGAGACAGAGCCTCGCTGTCTCCAGGCTGGAGTGCAGTGGCGCGATCTCGGCTCACTGCAACCTCCCTCTCCTAAGTTCAAGGTATTCTGCCTCAGCCACCCGAGTAGCTGGGACTACAGGCGCGTGCCGCCATGCCCAGCTAAGTTTTGTAATTTTAGTAGATGGGGTTTCACCATGCTGGCCGGGATGGTCTCAATCTCTTGACCTCGAGATCCGCCCGTCTCGGCCTCCCAAAGTCCTGGGATTACAGGCGTGAGCCACCGCGCCTGGATGCATTTTGTTCATTTTTCTATTGCACTATCTGTCTTTTAATTATTAATTTATATTTTCGTTATGTATTTTGGATTCTAATCTTTTACTGGTCTGTATTTTACAGAAATTTTCTCCCAGTTTGTGGCAGATCTTTTCACTCTTATGATACCATTTGATGACCAGAAGTTTAAAAAAATTTAACATATATGAATTTATTAATTCTCTTATTTTATGAATTATGTATATTAAGAATCCTTCTCTATGCCAAGTTCATTTTTCTGTATTTTATTCTAAAAATGTAAAAGTTTGCCTTTTAAAAGTGTCTCCTAGGCCGGGCGCGGTGGCTCACGTCTGTAATCCCAGCACTTTGGGAGGCCGAGGCGAACGGATCACGAGGTCAGGAGATCGAGACCATCCTGGCTAACACGGTGAAACCCTGTCTCTACTAAAAATACAAAAAATTAGCCAGGCGCGGTGGTGGGCACCTGTAGTCCCAGCTACTCGGGAGGCTGAGGCAGGAGAATGGCGTGAACCCGGGAGGCAGAGCTTGCAGTGAGCCAAGATCGCGCCACTGCGCTCCAGCCTGGGCGACAGAGCGAGACTCCGTCCCAAAAAAAAAAAAAAAAAAAAAAAAAAAAATCTCCTAAAGCCTAATAAGTACTTGAAATAGAGATATAATTTTATATTTTTTCCTGTAGATAACTGATTCTTCCAGTAGTGTTTATTTAAGCATCAATCCTTTCTTATTGCTCTGAAATGTCACCTCTATCATAAATCATGTTTGCATAAGTGTGGGTTAATTTTTTGAACTCTTTATTCCAGACCATGTGTCTCTTTGTCCAAGGTGTGCCAATAATGTGGTCTTACTTCTTAGGCTTTTATAAGATGTCTTAATGTATATCACAAGTTCCCTCTTATGATTCTTTTTAAGAAATGTCTTCTACATTTAGCCGTTTTCTTATCCATATTCATTTATAATCACCTTGGAAAGCTTTGTTGGAATTTTTATTGAAATTAGATTGAATGTATACATTAATTTGGGGAGAATTGACATTTTAAAATGTTGAGATTTCCTATTTGTGAACATAGTATATCTCTCCATTTATTTAGGTCTTCTTTTATGTCTAATAGTAAAGTTTTAAACTTTACTTTATAAAGGTCATGTACCTCTTTTATTAATTTTATTCCCACATGGCATATATTTTTATCTTGTTTTAAAATTACATTTTCTATTTATCATATCATAGAAATTCAATTGATTTTTATATATTTGTCTTATGTCCAACAAATATAATAACATGTCTTATTAATTTTTAAGAAATTCTTTGTTTACTTGAGTTTCCTATGATGACAATCTTATTAATTGTGAAAAAGAATCTTATTTTTTATTCATTTTCAATCCTTGTACTATATTTTTCAATATCTTATAACTAGGCCTGAAGTAAATGATGAAGAGTAAATGATGTAAAGAAATGCCTATTTTCAATTTCTAATTTTATTGGCATTTTACAGTTAAATTTTAATATTTATTTTTCACTCCATTGCATCGTTGTCTTAGAATATGCTCTGAATAATAATGACTTTTTGAGTTTTGTTGAGATCATACTTATGACCTCATAAGTAGTCAAATTTTTATAAAACTGTATACTCTCAAATTGATGGATGCAGGATATTGTTAATACATCAACTTATATAAATTGTCTATATTTTTACTTATTTGTTAGGTTTAATTTAACCACTAAATGATGTGTGTTAAATGCTGATCCTGTTTTATTAATCAACCCTTTTAATACTGTAAATGTTTATTTATATTATGACTCAAAGTTTTTTGTAAGTCTAAAGCATATAATTCTGTTAAGCTGAAACTTTTATTCTTATGGAGAGATACTCTTTATTTTGAACAGTACCCTGCAGCTTAACGTCAAGTTTCTTTTATGTCAATATAGCTACACTTTCAGTTAGCAAATGCTTGGAAATTTTCAATAATTTTTTGTTTAACCTTACTCTTTTACTTTGATTTAAATCTGTCTTTTGTAAGCAGCATATAACTAGGTACTATTTACTCCAGAAGGACAAATTTTATCTTTTAACTACCAAGATTAGTCTATAGAGAAATTTTTACTGTATTGGAGTTTTTCTGGCATTTTATTTTGTGTGTTTTTGTCTTATTTTTTATTCTTTCCTGACTTTTTGGGACTGAGTTTTTAAAAGTTTATTCCATTTATCCTTCTGTATAGTTGAAACATATGTCATCTGATTCTAATCTGTTAGTGACTAGTCTAGATATTTTAACAGGTATAATTAATTTAATCCTGAATAACATAAGGACCTTAGAGAATTTTTTTTAGCAAATCACCGCATACGTATATTTGTCCAGAAATGTAATTCTATATCTATCTCCATGTATTATCTATGTTTATTATTGTTTTGTATTATTGAAGTCTGTTTAAATTTATTATTGCCTTATTGTTTTCTTTGCTTATCATTTCTTTCTGCACTTTAAGACTCTCAGGAATTATTCTTTTCTTGGAAATGGCATTTAGAAATTCCTTTAGTGATAAACTGTCAGTGGTAAATTCTTTCTTTTTAAATTTAAAATGTGGTAATTTTGTCCACATTTCTGATAAGTTATTTGGTTGTACAGTCCTAAGTTAGCAACTGATTTCTCCCATCACTTTAAAGTTATTATTGTAAACACATTGCTGTATATTACACTTACCATTTCTGCCCTTGGAATCAATAGAATATTCATTTCTCTGAGGAAGTTTGGCTTTTTCCTGGCTATATTTAAGATCTTATTTTACATTCTATAGGCTGAGTACAGAATAAATTGGTGTGGATCTCCAAAAATGCATTCCAATTCAGATTAACTATGTTTCCTAATCTGTGATTTAATGTCATCATTTCAGGAAAGTTCTAAGCCATTATGACCTGAAATATTTTGACTCTGTCCTCTGTATTATTTCCTTCAGGAAATCTGATTAAATCTATGTTAAGTATCATCATCTGTATTCTGTCTCGCTTCCTATCTCTGTGTTACATTCTGGGTAATTATATTAGATTTATTTTTGGGTCACTAATTCTCTCTTTAGCTAAATCAAGTCTGCTTTTTAATATATCCATTGGAGTTCAAATGTCAAGTATAAATTTATTCATGAAAAACATATTTGTTTCATAAAAAATGTCTGGTCATTTTTGATGGTATATTTTGTTATTCTTACACAGTTGACCCTTGAATACCATGGCAGTGAGAGGTGCTGACTTCCTGCACAGTGAAAAACCTATGTACAATTTTTGATTCCCCAAAAGCTTAACTTCTAATAGCTTACTGCTGAGCAGAAACCTTACCAATAACATAAACAGTTAATTAACAAATATCATATACATTATATGTATTGTATACTGTAATCTTAACATAAACAGTTAATTAACAAATATTTGTTATATGTATTATACAGTGTAATCTTAAAATGAAATAAGCGAGAGAAAATTGTTATTAAAATCATAAGGAAGAGAAAATATGTTTATTATTCATTAAGTGGAAGTAGATCACCATATAAGTGTTCATCCTAGTTGTCTTCACATTAAGTAGACCGAAAAGGAGGAGAAAGAGGAGGGGCTGGTCTTGCTGTCTCAGGAGTGGCACAGGCAGAAGAAGTGGAGGAGATGGAACGGGCGGCAGGAGAGGCAAGCACACTTTACGGAAATATGTCATAATTTATGTCTGAATTTTTTGCTTCATTTCTCTAAAAATATTTTTATATGGCATCAATCCTTCTTCCACCATTTCCTTTAGTTTCAGTGCCCGTGTCATAGAAGGGTACATCATAAAAGAAGTCAAAAGAAGTCTGAATAATTGGAATCCTTCTGCCAGAATGTCTAATGTCAATTTGCTTTCCAGTACTGCTTCTTTTACATCTTCTTCCTTATTGTCTGAACTGGTTCAAGAGCACTCATTTCCATCAAGCAGACATCTTTTAAGTCCTCTGGTGTGCTATCTATTAACCCTTGAGTTTCTCCAAGATCCCTTTCTTGAACTCCTTCACCCCTGCCACTTCCACTATTTTTTGCCGTATCCACAATCTTTTCCATGATTTTTTTTTTATTGGTTCTCTGATGAACTCCTGAACATTTGGACACAGTTTGCTCCAGCACGAATTTGTTATTTCTGGCTTAATTGCTTTCAGGGCTTCTTCTATAACAACCATGACATCTTCAATGGTGTAATCCTTCCAGACTTTCATGATATTCTATCAGCGTTCTTTTTCATAGTGTTGACAATCTTTTCATAGAATACTGTAGTATTGGTGGGAAGTAGACCATTTCCATGTCTTTGGTGTTGAGCTCATGGCATTCTGGGTAGTCACTGGCATTGTCCAATATCAAAAGAACTTTAAAAGGCCATTCTTTACTGGCAAGGGTACTTCATTACTTCAGGGACAAAGCATCAATGAAAGCAATTCAGAAAAAGTTATTGTATGAGCCTTCTTGTTGTACAGCCAAAAACCTGACAGGTGATGTTTATCTTTTTCCTTCAAGACTAGGAGTTAACAGTTTTATAGATGAAGGAAGGATTGTTTATAAACCCAACTGCATTGAAACAAAACAATAGAATTAGCCTATCCCTTTGTCTTACATCCTGAATAGGACACTTTCATCTTCATTAAAAACCTGTTCAGGAAAATATTCTTTCTCCTTTATGATTTTCTGAATGGTGTCTGGGAACTTTTCTGCTGCCTCCTGGTTGGCAGAAGCTGCTTCTCCTGTTATCTTGACGTTTCCTAGGCCAACTCTCTTTCTAAAATTATCGAACCATCCTTTGCTGGCATTACATTCTCTAGCTTTAGGTTATTCACATTCATTTTACTTTTTCAAATACTGTAATGACTTGACTTTTTCTTAAATCATACTAGAGTCTATAGGTATGCCTTTTTTTATAGCAATCCTGCACTCACAGAAAAGCTACATTTTCAGTATGAGATTAAAAGATATTTTGTAAAATAACAGCTTTTCATGCCTTCTGGCACAGCTACAGTGGCAGCTTCATGAATTTCCTTTTCTTTTATTACAGTTGTCTTTATACTGGATTCATTTATCTTAAAATGGTGGGCAACTACAGTTGCACACCTCAATCTGTGGTATATCTTGAACTATTCAACTTTTAACAAAATATAGTATCTTGACTGTTTTTTGCTTCTTGAGAGCACTTCCAGCATCACTAGTGGCACTACACATGGGTTCAAGGTTTTTGGTATTGGACTCAACACGATGAAAAATACGTGAGAACTGTGAGGGATCACTTTTTACTGAAATATGCAATTTACTGGGGAGACTAACTGCTCATGTGAAGATGATTAGCATCACAGTGCATTTTAAACAGATACTGGCAATACTTGAGTTCACCACAATAATAACAAGAGGTGGCTATAAAATTATTACAATAGTATAATATGTACTACAGTAATTTTATGGAGTTATGATTCAATACTGCATCTATATACTGATTTACATTTCTCTGAACAATAATGGTGCTATGTCCAGTCTCTGAGTGTTTTTGTGTGTTGTTTTGATATTTTAACTTTTTGTAATAGATTTGTGTATACTTTATGGTAGTAAATAACAAAATAAACTATTAATATTTTGCATATATTTTATGCATTTGTAACATATCTACTTTTTAAATATCTCTAGGCTACTCTGCTTATCTGTGAGTTTTTGCCAATTATCACACATCTACAAAAAGTTTTCCAGTATATTTATTGAAAGAAAAATCTACATATAAGTGGACCCATGCAGTTCAAATCCATGTTGTTCGAGTCAACTGTATAAGTCTTGCTTATCCATTTTAAAAAATTATCGACTCATATTTCCTGGGTTTTTATTTTTGAAAATTCTATGGTGAGTAGGCTTAGGGATGGTTTCTATATAAATTAATGCATTTGGTTTTGCTAGGCTTCTGGGGGAATTATCAAACCTGGAACACCATAAACTGTTTTCTCAGCTTGAGGGTTTTTAGCAAAATAGAAAATAAGAATTTAAACTTTTAATAAATTTAGACTGTTTTACATATATACGTATTCACTGAAAACTTTTTCCTTTCCATATGGCAATGGAAAAGATATTACTGTCATCTTTTTTCAGGCAGACATTTTTCCTAGTATACCTTTTCCCTAATCATATAGGCTTTTGACGGTCATGACATTATGCAGAAGTCACTATACCGTGTCCCACTTTGAGCAGGCTCAAGAATCTTTTATTATTTTTTTTTAACCTATGTGATAATTAAAGGTCAAAGCTCTAGATTACTATTCTTGCCTATTGCACCAAGATAGCTTTTAGCTTCTTTGCTCAATTACCGTTCTGGATTTGCTTCTGTTTGGGGTCTTAATTTCTGAAGGATTTCTCATATTTTCTTGTGACATCAATTCTATACTGAGAAGGAGCTTAAAAATGGCTTTTGAGGGCATCTCAAGGAATTCTGTAGCTGGACAATTTGAAAGCAATTAGAATTTCATATCGCTGATCAAGGAAACCAGCGCAATAGCTTCAATTCATTTTTTGCTGTGGAATTCTGGAAGAATATGTAAACAAATAGAACACATGAGTTAAAATTTATTCTGGTGGTTATGGGATTGGAGGGCTTCAGCCTCCACTTGCTCACCACATCATCCCATGTACCAATAGAGAAAGCTAACAGAGTTTGCCAAAGAAGAATGATAGACTCATGAGAAAATGTCCCAAGTTCCCAAAAGAAACTTTGCAAAGAAACTTTGAGAAAAAATTATATGGTTAAGTGTGAGACTACCCATCTTCACTTGCAAATATTGTGGATTTACTGTACTTGTAGACCATCTTATTATGGACCTGAATAGAGAAACAGTGGGTTCGAGTAAATCTTGTCTGCAAGTTTTAAGAAGGAAGCCAATTCCATTTTGGAGAGGCATACCTTACGGGATATCTGTACACTGAGAAAAAAAAAAAGTGCTGTGCAAGGGATTGGGGCACTTTTTCTTTTCCTAAAAGGCATATGGATACCTGATTCCTGCAGTGTCAATAGCTTTCCATCCCAATGAAAGAACAACATGGACATCAAGATTTATCTTCACTTCATACCCATCAAATCAATATAAAAATCTGCTGCTTCCATGGAATGAGAATGAACCAAGTTTTACAGTAATGCCAATAAGATGAGCAAAAGAGAAAATGCTGAGAGTTTTTATTTAGGAGCTCTATCTAAATGGGATGTGCATAAAATATCAAGCATTTAGATGTGCTGAAGTTATAAGGAGATCGTGTTGGTATGAGGAACAAAAAGGGTCTTTTACTCCCAAAGTGACTATTTCATGCATTCTGTATAGTCTAGAGTGAGTCCATCTGTTCAGCACACCATTGCCCATTTTAAATAGCAAAACCAAAGCCACTGAAACCTCTGGGCTCATTTTAAAAATGAGTTAATGAACATCAAAGTGTAAGAGATGGATGATGAAAATGTACAACACTGTAAAAATCCTCCTGGCAAAATGTCCAATAGAGTAAATATAGCTCCTATTGCCTTCCTTCTGTCGGAGCCCTCATCTTTGCTTATGTGGGTTCTTGGTCACTGACACTCGCTAATGTTGCTCCTTGGCTGCTAAAATGGATCCTGCGTCCCGGCATGTCCACCTTCCCACTCTCTCTTTTGTTTTTTCCCTTTAATATATGTTTGTCAATTTAAGCAATAGCTTGGGAGTTTGATTAAAGCAATAGCTAATTCAAAAAGCTTAGATTTAAATATATTTTCTCAAAGGAAATTAAATAATATGGGAAATCCGTCTAATTATAGGAATTTTAAAGATTATAGCAATTTTTTTCTGATAAGCCACATGAATAAGAAGAATGAGCAGATTATAGAACAATTAAATAGATATAATATTTATTTATTTTACTGATGGTATGTATAGTCACTGACTACACATGATTGAGCTAGGAGTGGCCTTAGCTGATAATCATGAGGTCTGTTTTTCTTCATCTTCTTCATTCCTGGAGTTCTAATCTAAAAGTTCTTTGTCATATTCAGCAACATTCTAGACACTACCTTTGTTTTAATCCTCAGGGTGTTATATATCCCTTGTGCTGAACCATTCTGACCATGCGTCTCATCCTAAGCAGCTTGAGTCATTTTCCGTATTCAATGCCTGTGAACACCTGTTTTGACTCCGTGAGGTCTCTCCTTGTTTCCTCTTTTCAGGACCTCTTTTCCCTTGAGGATGACTGGAGTTTTCCTGTCCTGTGTCAACTTAAAAGTAAGCCAGAAAAGCAAACAAATAAGTAAAGCACCCACTGAAAAACAGTTATTTACAGGGTATTATCAAATCCTATCAAAGTATTGTAGCTTCACACTGTCTCTCTCAGTGTTAATTTATTTGTGACATTTATCATTACCTGAACTTGCATATTCATTTGCTTTGTGTATGGTCAGTAAAATCCTGATCCTGATCCTGGTCAGTAAAATCCTGATGAAAACTCCATGCAAGCTGGGATTTTATCTGTTTTCTTCACTTTCAGGAATATCTATGCCCAAAACGGGTCCCATCACAGGGCATGTGATCAAAGATCTTTGTTGAATGAATGAATGGCTGGCAAAATATGGATGTGAGTCAGGAACTCACTTTAAATAATTCCATGAAATATAAGACAGTTGTCAGTGTTGCCGATGGAAGATCCCAAACACTATTCTGGGCAGTTAGAGCAATTTCATTTGGAAGTTAATGAATATACATTTTAAAAAGTGCTGATTTCTGTCACTTTTCTCCAAAAAGTATGCAAATAATTGGACAGAAAATCAAAGGTGACTGCATTTCCTTTAATGCTCCTAGGCTCTGTAGATGTGTTGTATGAAAATCATAAACATGATAAATAGAAAGATTTCTCACCTCTTTTAATTCAGGCTTGAGTAATTGACATTCACACTAAGTCTTTAAGTAGAGGGAGAGATACGTAGGAAAAGGACTGAAAAGTAAAAAAGCAAAAAGTGATTACACACACACAAAAATGACACCTTTTAATCTACACTTTTCACCTATTCTTGCCATGTGAAGGTTTGCAACTGTTTATGTCATGTTGTCTTAAATGTAATGATGATGATAAAGTTAATAATAATTATGGTAACATTTACCTATATGAATTATATTTCACATGTATAAACTTATGCTATGTACTGCATAGATTACAGGAGGTGTAGCACCAGCACACCCTGTAAACCCAATTGTTAGGGCCCTGTCATTTGCTTTCTATTTTAAAGCTTCCTAGTAGAAAAAAGACGTAGGATTCAAGGAACATTAGCGAATAAGATATTTGTAGGTCTTACAACTGTCTAAATTATTATTGATATATTGGCTGTTAATCTTAAAACAATTGTTAAAGAATGATTTGTAAAAATATGAAGACACAACACACAGTTATAATAAACTGAAAGTAAAAGTCTAGATGATTTCACCGAACGTGGGAGGGCATTGGACACAGGAGAGAAATAGAACAGGAAGGTAAGAATTTTGCCTTGGTTTGAGGGAGGTGTTAAATTCATTTTGAATGTGTGTATTAGTTTCCTAGGACAGCCATAATAAATTACCACAAACTGGGTGGTTTCAAACAACCAAAATTTATTCTTTCACAGGGCTAAAGGCCAGAAGTCCAAAATGAAGATGTCAGCACTGTTAGTTCCTTTTGAAGGTTCTGAAGGAGAAACCCATTGCATGCCTCGCTGTTAGTGTTTGTGGCAGCTGTGCAACAGTTTCCTGGTGTTCCTCGTGCTGTAGCTGCATCACTTCAGTCTCTGCCTCTATCTTCATAAGGCCTTCCCCTCTTGGGTGTCTATCTCTACCTATTTTTTTTTTTTTTTTTGAGACGGAGTCTTGCTCTGTTGCCCAGGCTGGAGTGCAGTGGCGCAATCTTGGCTCACTGCAAACCCCACCTCCTGGGTTCAGGCCATTCTCCTGCCTCAGCCTCCCGAGTAGCTGGGACTACAGGCACCTGCTACCACGCCTGGCTAATTTTTTGTATTTTTAGTAGAGACAGGGTTTCACCGTGTTAGCCAGGATGGTCTTGATCTCCTGACCTCGTGATCCTCCCGCCTTGGCCTCCCAAAGTGCTGGGATTACAGGTGTGAGCCACCACGCCCGGCCTCTCTACCTCTTAGAAAGACACCTGTCGTTGGATTTAGAACCCACCCTAATTCAAACTAGTGTCCTCTTGAAATCCTTATGTAAATTATATCTAAAAATACCCTTTTTCCAAATAAGGTCATATTCACAGGTTCTGGGAAGGAGTATGTTTTTGGGTGGTCCCAATTCTACTACTCCAATGTAGTAAACTCTTATAACATTTACAATATGTCAAGCACTAGGTGCTTTATATGTAGGAACTGATGTAATCTTCCCCTATGAACTATGTACTATTTTCCCATTTTACTGATAAGAAAAATTGCCCCAGATAACACACAGGAGGAGTAAGTGGTAGAGTAAGGGTTAGAATCTACAAGTCTAATTCTAAAATTTATGTCTCTAACCGATTTGTTAAGTTTAAGTGCTACAAATGAACTACATACAATAAAGGATGTAAAATCCTTTGTATGCTATCCAAACAACTAGAGGAAATTAAACTGAAACAAAGAGTACTCCATAAATTCTAAAAAAGGCAGAAAAATTCAGAAAGCCAAAAAAGAGCATAGAGAAGAAATCCAAATAAGATGGCTGATATAAATTCAAGTAAAATATGGAAATTCAAAGAAAACCAAACAATAATTTAAAACAAATTTCTACAATATGCTTTTTAAGAAATGAGATAGAGGTATGACAGTCTCATTTTAACGAAAGTAAGGAGTTACAATATTTTTTATAGACTGACCAGAGAATATTTAAAAATGTTCATCACACCATGTGATTCCCAGGTTCAGAGCCATGTAATGGCTTCTTCCTGTATTTCGAATAAAATACCAACTCCTTCAATGACCTACAAAGTCACAAATCATCTAGTTGGTCCCTGCCTAATTTTATACCTTGTTTCCTCCTCTCTGGATATCCCTCCCTATGTTATGAGTCCACTGAGAATGTTATTAGCCAAACTTATCCGTATACTCACTCTTCTCTTTGCCTAAAATGTTCTCTCTCTGGCACTTCCCTGACATGATTTCCTGTCCATCATTCAGATCTAAGATCAAAGATCACTTCTTCAGAGATGTCCTCCCCATCTTACCTGAAGTGACTCACTGTTATGCTCTACCACTTTTCTTTAACTAATACCTTCCCAATATTCCAATCACTTGATATTATTTATTTGTGAAAGTCATATACAATTGTTTACAAAGCCATCAATTTTACATCACAATGACCTATTAAATGAATACCTCTACCTCCAGTCCATGGCACCAAACTAATCCATGCCACCAGGAAATCTTATACAGGATGGCACCTAAGGTCAGTCTTAGAAGATAAGCAAAGCTTTAGCCTTTAAGTTGGGTAAATAGTGGTAATTGGTGAATGAATTTCTAGAGAATTTAAGTATATCCTAGAAAACATGTATTTGTATTTATATATGTGCATACGTACATATTATAACTATCCACACATACATGTACATGTGTGCACACAGAGAGAGAGAGAGAGAATATGAACAGTGATCATACGTTGTTGACCCTCTTTCAGTCATATCATGAGAAATCACCAACAGTATTATTCCAAATATCATCTGTTTGCCCTTTGGGTCTACTCTGCCTCCTCCTTCCAACTGCTTGATGCCAGTATGTGTGATCATATCAAAGGGCACTCTTGTTTTCTGGATTTCACTGAAAAGAATAAAGGGAGGTTGGCAATGATTCTAGCCTGAGAATAAAACACTCTCCTATGTGGGCTCCCTATACCCTGCCTTCACCTTTGAAAATAGTCCTCCTGTTAAACTCTGCTCAAATTAGTTCAAATGTGTAATTTGTTTCTTGCTGGGGCACTGACTAATACACATGTATTTCCTTTGAGCATTTCCAAATGCCAAGAGTACGTGCTTCATTTTTTTCTCCCTGCAGTTATTAATTGAGTGCCTACCATGTGCCAGGCACTGTTATAGACCATGGGGACATCCAGTGAACAAAGTAGAGGAAAACAATTGTTCTTATGAAGCTTACACCCCATTGTCGGAGATGACAATGAACACAATAAATATGCAACATCATATTAGATATACCAGTTAGTATTATGAAGAAAAAATAAAGATAACAATGTTGGGGTGTGAGGGGAATTTAAAGTGGGCATGGTCATGAAGGCTTCCACTAAGAAAGTTACATTTCAACAAATACATCAGAGCTATAAGGATCTAGCCATGAAGCTTTTTGGGAAAAGAGCATACCAAGCAGAGAGGATAGCAGAGGCAGATGGCCCAGGACAAAAGTGAGCCTGGTGTTTTCAAGGAGTCATGAAGACGCCAGCATGATGGAGTGGAGTGAGTCAGGCAGGAGAAGAGGTGAGGAAGGTAGATCCCACAGGACCTAAAAGCCACTAGAAAGACTGGATTCTACTCAGGGTAAAAAACAAAAAGGAGCACACTAGAGCGTTTGGAGCTCTGACACCATCTGACTTATATGTTACAATTGTAGTTGTTGTATTTGTTTGATTTGTGGTGTACGTGCAGTGTGTGTGTGTGTTTTGGTTGTTGCATTTGTTTGATTTGTGGTGTATGTGCAGTGTGTGTGTGTGTGTGTGTGTGTGTTTGAATAGACTAAAGGAGGGAAAGAAAAAGTATAAATTAAAACTTATTTAGGAAGTTAATAGCAATAATGCAAGCAAATTAAAATGATGGCTAAGACCAAGTTAGTGGCAAAGGAGTTTGTGACAATGTGGTATGATAGAGATTCAAGCTATATTTTGAAGGTAGACTCAATATGATTTTCTGCTAGATTCATTCATTCAAAACATATTTATTGAGTGTTTTCTATGAGCTAGCATTATGCTAGGTACTCGAGATAGAATTGTGAACAAAACAGAGATCCCTGCCCTTATAGGATTTGAAATATAATGTTGATATGTAGGCGGTAAACATTGAAAAAAATAGAGTGTAAAGTATGTTACAAATTGTTCCATGCAATGGAAAAAAAAAAGGGGGGTGGGGTAAAGAAGAGCAACTGGGTTAAAGTAATAAATGGCCATGGTCTGCCTGCTTGAGTAGATGACTTTTGAACAAGCGTGTCAGGGAAGAGAGAGAATCAGCCAAGAGGATATTTAGGTGACCAGGTCTTTAGATGGAGAGCACAGCAAGAGCAAAGGCCATAGGGTAGGCACATCTGGGGGTTTAAGGAGCCACCGGGAGGCTGGAGAGGCTGCAACAGTATCAAGAAGGTATTAGAAGAGGACTTGAGAGAATTAACAGGTTAAAACTAAAAATGACCTTGTAAACACTGGTGTAAATAAAACTTATTTTAAAAGTTAACAGCAATAACCTAGGCAAATTAAAATGATAATTTGGGTTTACATTCTGTGTACAATGAGAGCCACTGAAAGGTTTTGTGCAGAGGAGTAGCAAGATCTGACCGTTGCTTTAACGTGATTACTTAAATTATTGGGACTAAGTTCTGGATGGCAAGCATTGAGAGTAAGTTCTGGGTAGCAGGATTTGAAGCACATAGACCTGCTGGTGAGGTAGGATTTGTTGAGGGGGGGGCGGAGGATGGAGCCAAGGATGAAGTTGCCACTTAAAGGTGTGTAAAGACTGAAAGGAAATTAGGTTAGAGGGAGGATGGTAGGAAGGTTAGGATCACCGCATTGGACATAATAAGATTGAAATGACTATTCATGTTTCGCTATTTTTTTGTCATGTAGAGGGACTTCTGGTCTCTCTCATTCCATAGCGGCATACAGTTTGACAGCTGAGTTGGGAAAAAAGCAACTGGGTATGCTTAGCTTAGCCAGCACTTTGGTCCTCTTATTTTGGGACCCACCTTACTTGCAGGGGGAAAATGTGTTTTCTAATTCTCTGTAATGTAAGTTTTAAAGAGTCAGCCCCCCAGTGCGGTGTCTATGTCTGTTGAGCAATTGTGTTTGACTAGATGAGTAGACTGAAATATCTGGTGAAGCGTTAGCAAGTCTAGCTTGCTACAGTTCCATAGAGACTTTCTCTAAAGAGCTTTATATAGAATGAACAGTGATGACTTGAATCTCCATATTGATAGTCTCCATGTCAATCTGTCAATCCTTTTGAAACTTGGGGGTGGTGGAAGATGACATTATTCCTCTGTCTTTAACCTAAAGATTTTTTAAATGAATACAGAAAGAATTTTACACTTAAGATTATTATCAAGAGGCAACTTTCACATCCAAGTCTCCTCAATTTTGAAGGTAAAATTGAATTTGACCTTTAACTAAAGATCAATTCCACTGGGTAACCAATTTGGACTGATTCCACTGGAGATCACCTAAGAGTATTCTGGCATTGTAAATTGCCATTAAAAGCCATCAGCGCTATAATTCTTTGAGAAACAGATAGTTATGTGAGAGTCATATGATGGTTATTGCTTTATGATTTAGATATTATTTAATGAATAGTTGGAAATATCTATCAAGTCTAACTTGACAAAAGAGGACAGAGAGGACCTCCATCTCAGCCAAGACTACTTGGGGAAAATGCTGTAATTTCTAAAACCATATCCTTTAAGCTGATGATAATAGCACATTACCCATTTGCTTTACGTCTCTGATTTAAAATTATCAAAACCCTTTGCAGTGCTTTACTTCAGTCTTATGCCTTCACTAGCGGCACAGATATACATCATTAGGGCTGCCCATCACCGCCATCAGAGGTCACTCTAGCGCAGAGGTTTCTACCTGTTTTTTGTGCAGTGGACCATTTTGACAATCTTTTGAAACCTTCCAGAAAACTAGTTTTAAATACATGGGAACTCAAGGTAAGAATCATGTTAAAGTAAGTTGTATTTCTTTCAAGTCTACCCATTTTTCTCATTTTGCCAAAACTTGAGACCTAGTCACAAGTTTGTGGGCATTTTTGTCCACCAAGAGTAGCATTACTGTGTTAGTTACTTACCATTGGCCTATAAGATGCTTGGTTCATCTATGTTGCTCACAAGCATCATAAACATTATTTTTGCTGTGAATATCTCATGGCTGGTGTAAATTCTTTGCTAGATTGTTTGAACTTTTTCATGGTCTTATCGATTCAAATTCCTATAATGTTTCTGGCAGTTTATAGTTTAATGGAATATAACGATGTATATGTCTTTCCCCTACAATGTACATATTTACCCTTATTATTTAACCAGTACTTCTTGACTATATTATTGCAGACACAGGCACTATTCAACATGCTAGGTATTCAGTCCTGAATAAGACAAGATAAGAAAATAAGAGAAGGAAAGAAGGAAGAGAGGAAAGGAAAAGAAAGGAGGGAAGGAAGAAAGGATGAATGGAAGGAAGGATGGAAGGATGGAAGCAAAAAAGGGAGGGAAGGAAGGAGGAAGAGAAAGAGGAAAGGAAAGAAAAGAATTATAATGTTAAGCTATGATGGCAAGATAAGAAGTAATAGGAACTGAGAGTGAGAGAGATGGACAGGAAAGAATTCTTTAAGTAAATGACATGTGAATAAAGAAATAATATATGACCCTGAAAAATAATGTATTGTTGACAAAAACCAAATTTACTTAATTAAGCATACTCATACTTACATACAAGGTTAAGTTGTTCTGCCTTATACCAGAAGGAAGGAGCTCCCTGTGTCTGCCATTCCCAATAGGGTAACAATGAAGACACCTATTGCAGAGTCAACGTCTGGCAAAATTGAAGTGGTGGCTGACCCACTCTAAGCATAATAAGGCACCTGATGAGGAAGTGGGCAAGTTCCCAGGAGCATTTGACTTGAGTATGTTTCCCCATGTACTACTATGCACTACTATTACATAATCTTCTCTTCTTTCTAGATACCTTTACTCCAAAAAATCAGCTTCTACATCAAACAGTAAGGGCTCTTCTCCTTCTGAAACCCATGGGAGTGAATCCTTTCTTGCTTCCTCTAGCTCCTGGTGATTTGCTGGCAATCTTTGGAATTTCTTGACATGCAGCTGCACACAGTAATTTTTGCCTCCGTCATTATATGGTGTTCTCTCCTCATGTGTCAGTTTTTATATTGTCTTTTTATAAGGACAATAGTCATATTGAATGAAAAGCCCACACTACTCCAGGATGACCTGATCTTAACCACTTAGGTCTAGAATGGCCCCATTTCCAAATATTGTCACATTCTGTGGCCCTAGTAGTTGGAAATTCAACATATATTTTGGGGAAATGCAATTCAACCCACAATGGTCATTTCTAAAGTTTACACAAAAGGCCACGCATGGTGGCTCACACCTGTAATCTCAGCACTTTGGGAGACCTAGGAGGGTGGATCACCTGAGGTCAGGAGTTCAAGACCAGTCTGGCCAACATGGTGAAACTTCGTCTCTACTAAAAATACAAAAATTGGCCAGGCGTGATGGTAGATGCCTGTAATCCCAGCTACTCAGAGCAAGACCCTGTCTCAAAAAAAGAAAAAAAAAGTTTACACAAAAAAATGTGAAGTACTTAGCAACCAAAGTGAATGGAAAGAATACAGGTCTAGCAATTTAGATAGCTAATTATTTCACTTTTTTTTTTTTTTTTTTTTTTCCCAGGATGGAGTCTTGCTTTGTCGCCTAGGCTGGAGTGCAGTGGTGCGATCTTGGCTCACTGCAACCACCACCTCCCAGGTTTAAGCAATTCTCCTGCCTCAGCCTCCGGAGTAGCTAGGATTACGGGCACATGCCCCACCGCCTCCTGGCTATTTTTTTTTTTTGTTTTTGTATTGTTAGTAGAGACGGGGTTTCATCATGTTGGCCAGTTTGGTCTCAAACTCCTGACCTCGTGATCCACCCGCCTCGGCCTCCCAAAGTGCTGAGATTACAGGCATGAGCCACCACACCCGACCAATTATTTAACTTTTTACATTACCATTTTTGCATTGTTGATCTTAGAAGATTGCTAAAATGTCTTGATTCAGTCTTATCAGCCAAAAACAAATAGTAGTATTAACTATTTTGCAGAACTGTAGAAATAATATAAATAAAATGGGAGTATATAGAAACTCAAATTCCTGTTCAGTTGTTTGTGTAATTATGATTGGCACTAAAAATGAACTACAAGCCTAAGTAGATATTGCAAGTTGTTAATTCTTAAGAATAAATAGAGGTCCTGACTAAAAATTTTTACTGAAGATTAAAAAAAAGAAGATGTGCTTTTCTATATTGAGGTCAAAACTTAAAATTAAGATGATCCCTGATATACTTCCACTGCAAGTCGAATTGAATCAATGAATGAATGAAAAGT
Organism: Homo sapiens; assembly: GCF_000001405.40. Lineage (NCBI taxonomy): Eukaryota > Metazoa > Chordata > Mammalia > Primates > Hominidae > Homo > Homo sapiens. The sequence continues at coordinate 23,300,087 of NC_000004.12, forward strand.
CAAAAAATCACCAAAAAAAGGAAGGAAAAATGGCCTAATGCTTGATTTGCAAAATAACAGTCAGTATAGTTGCCAAAGAGAGATCAGTATTTCCCAACAATTACTTATCTTGAAGTTAAAGCCATGGCTTGTAATTAAGAACATACTTTTCATCAAAGCCTGTGCTGACTACCTCGTATAAGTTATGTCCACCCCTGGTAGTCTATCATAGCAGGTAGCTCTTTCCTCTATAACATCTATCATAATTTATAATTATATATTTAAGTCAGTGTTTGCTTGTCTACTCTGCATTTCCCATATTAGATCTTAAGTGTCTAGAAAATGAGGGCGATGTCTCTAGCCCCTAGCGTAGTGACTGTCACACAGAAAGGGCTCCATAAATATCAGTTTAATGAATAAATGGATTGGTGAGTTTATGGATGAATAAAAACATTATTACTCTCTCTAGACATCCTCATTTGACAGATTTCTCTTCGGCAAATATAACACAATAAATCGTACATTTATTCACATGCCATTACAGGGAGATATTGGATAAATTCATGGGACTTTGTTGGAAAAATCCTTTAAAATTTTTCAGCAACAACATATTTTGAACATCAAGGATATCTGTGACTTGTTACAGTTCTTTCTTTTGTGTCTGAGGAAAGGTACACATCAGAACTGTGGAGCTGAAATACTGGAAAAAGAACAAAGCAAAGCAAACAATGTTAGTGCAAATGAATAAGAAAAAGTCGAACAAGATATAGATGAAAGTGAAAGGCAAATTAAGCCAAAGTCCAAAAAATATGAAAGGATAAATATGGAGATATAAATAAGCCAGGTTAAAAAACTTAATGAAATAATTCACATTTCCACAGTTTGGCCCACAGTAAAATGTTTTACCTGATTTTTCATTACTAAACACATTGGTTAATATCCCCAGTGAATTTCTACCTTGTAGCACTCTTCTTCCCTCCTCTATGCCTAGAACACCTCCACTTGCCTGTCACTAGTTTTCTCATTGTATTATCTCTGAAAACCCCATTGAGATTCCAATTTCTCCATTACAACCTTCTTGTTTAATCTATTGAAGAGTTTGAGACTCAGGGGTGAAGAGACATGGAAGTTCACACAATTAGTGACAATGCCAGGACTAGAATACAAAAAGAGAATTCTTTCTACTGTGTTCCAAAGTCTACGATTTCTAGCAGTCTTTACTCTAAGACTTGAAATAGTTTACGCTATTGTCAACTGAGCCAGACCATGTCTATCTACTTGGGTCAACAGAAGGAACAGGAAATGTTAGCAGAGGGAGTGAATCTATTCGATGATACTTACTGTCAAACCACAGGTAAACATGATAGTGCCATCTAGTATATTTATATCTTTTCAAATATGCAGAATGAGGTAGATAAAAGAAAACTCCTAAGGAGTCAAAAGGTAAAAATGGCCCAAACATACAGAGATACATAAAAACTCTTAATTTCAAGGGATACATTTATGGGCACACAAGCAAAACTGAATGAATAAACTCCTATTCAATGATGTGATTTGCATGCCGTACAAAATGTATAACTTTAAGGAGATAATTTCCTTTTTGTTTCTAATCCATAACATAATTCTCATTAATGTTAATATGTGCCTATCAAGGGAAAACATATCCATTGATATGGGTATTGAGAGACCAAACAGTATTTTTAATTTAAAAGAGTAGTACAGTTACACAACATAAAATCAATATTTATTGGATATTAAAACAGTTCATTCAGGTTTGACGTTTACAGAATTTTGTTGGCTAGTTTCTTCATTTACCTTATTTGGAGACCCGAATAAGTGCCTATGAACTGTAGAAACTTGTCTCAGGAATTTTATATCTACTGCCATACACAAAGTCCACATAAGACTCAGGGTAATAAGTTACAAGGTTAGCAATAAGGATTTTTTACTTATAAGTAGAAGTTTCTCGATTTTATAAATGGCTTAGAAAATAATAGAGTAGAAAGTGTTCATGGCTTGATATGTTTTTAAAAGAGAAAAAAGATGATTTCTCTGGAAAACAATAATAAAGGAAGGAGAATACTATGAGAAACAAAAGATTCCCTGAAAACTTTGTTTCCTAAGACAAAAATTAAAACTTTTCATTATACAAATATGTCTTCATATAGAGCTTTCTGGATTGGAAAATACTTTAGAGGAGTCGATATATGAATAGATGGTAGAGAGATAAATGGATGGAAGAGTGTATATATATGTGTGTGTGTGTATGTCTGTGTGTGTGTGGGGGGGGGGTGTGTATGCACACACTGTATGTATACATATAAAGATTGAAGAGTTTATATATGTGTGTAATAAATATATAAAATACACAATTCATGTGTAAATATAATGTACTAGATAAAATAGAATATATATAATCCAGTTACTGCTGGCATACCTTCAAGGAAGAAACCTCATCACTTCCTGATGTTGTAGATGCTTACAGAAGCTTCCATCTACTCATTGATTCATGTATTTGTTTCGTAAGCATTAATTGTCCTCTATTATTGGATACTTCATTACAGTCACCATTCCTATCTTCATGGAATACAGAGTTACTGTGAGAAGACATATGTAAAATATGAATGCCATAATATAGTGGCCTTGAGAAAAATGTGAATGAAGTAGAGAAAATATGGTTAAGGATGGAAGTTGACAAAATTAGTATTGTAAGGGAAGTTTGCAGTACAGGAAAACCTCAGAAGAAGATCCTGTAGATTGCAGGAGCAACAGAGCAAAGGCTCAGAGACTCGGTTGCAAGGGCCCTGGCAGAATTGCAAGCCTTGCCCGATGGCTTGAATTTAAAATGAAACACTTACAGCTAAGTGAAACTACATGATTATAAACAAAGCAGGAGTAAATATATTTTCAGGTAAACCTAAACTGCAGATAAGCAGAGGTCACAGTGTTAATATCCATCAAATAAAATTTAAGGCAAAAGCATTTTATAAGAAAAAATAGCCATTTTATAGCAATAAGTACAATTTGCAATAATATAAGTGTTAGCTATCAAATAAAATTGGCTCCAAATACATGGAGGTGTAGTTAAAATGTAATATTAATGGGAGTCAATAGCACACTCATTTAAGTCTCTGGCAAATCTTGTTAGCCAAAGTTAATCAGGATATAAAAGCTATGAATTTATACTATATACTACGTATGATTTTGTAAGCTATTATATATTACTATATATCATAACATTTTATTATATCCTACTTTATTATATGTAATATAGTATATGTTTAGGCTAAACATTCTACCCTACAAATAGCAAATTCGCTAATTTGCTAAACCTTGCTAATCACAAATTTTTTAGAAGAACTGAACATGTAGTAGGCTACCATTGAAAAGCTAGGTAAATTTTTTAAAAAGTCTATGAGCCATATTATATGATAATGCAACAAAACTAGATATTAATAGAAAAACATGTTTAAAATGCTAGAAAAACAAATAAAAATATCATAAATAACTCTGAGGTCAATACAAATTAAATTTGCCCTGACAATGACATAGAATGCAATGTAAATGAGACTGCCACATGTTATATTAATAAAATGCAGCAAATCTCCATCTATAGAGAAATATATAAACCAACATGCACATATTTTAAGCAAGAAATAATGGATATTTTAAAAAGTAAATGTTCAGATCAAGAACTCATAACAAAGCAAATGAAAAATTAAATGAGTAAAGTAATATAAAGGTATTAATAAAAATTAGAAGGGAATGAATTATATAAACAAGAGGTACAAGAATGAAAAATGCATGTAAAATATAATTTGAAAAAATACAATAGTCAAGCCTTGCAGTGTTAATTGAGAAAGGAAATAAAAGTGAGGAAAATTACCTATGAAGCATTCGAAGTAAGAAGTATTAGATTAAAAACACAATGTTACTTTTAGTGTAAAATTACTGTAAACTAAAAATTGGAAAAAAACAAATTGCAAAATATATTTAAAAATTATATTAATTATCAAAATTAACATGAGAATCATGTAAGACCAATTACAATTACAAAACTTAAAAAAATTATCTCCCAAAAATTGTGACAGTGGAAGATGGTTTAGATGATTTTATGAAAAAGTTATGTCAAAATTATTCTTTTCTTATTTAAACTGTTTTAGAACATAGATAATACTTTACGAAGCTTAGAAAAGATTGATCTATAAACCTTCAAAACTAAAAACACATCATAGAGTGACTGTGCTTAAGATTATAGATATAAAGATCCTTAAGAAAACACTACAAATTTTGCCTAGTATTATATTAAATAAATAATATAAGATGATGGAATGGACTGGGCCCCCCAAATTTAAGCATAATGGCTTATTATGTTCATTATATTAATAGGCAGATTATTTTCCTGGACAATACAATAAATGACACAAAATGCAATGATAAAAAAACTGCTTTTAAAATTATTAGAAGCATTATGTGGTAAGGTGCTTCTATGCCTTATCTGATTGCAATGTGAATGTTTAAATCTGTCCAATTATCTACCCTTCCAAGAAATTCTCATCCCAGAACAAAAAACCAAACACCGCATATTCTCACTCATAGGTGGGAATTGAACAATGAGATCACATGGACACAGGAAGGGGAATATCACACTCTGGGGACTGTGGTGGGGTGGGGGGAGAGGGGAGGGATAGCATTGGGAGATATACCTAATGCTAGATGACGAGTTAGTGGGTGCAGCGCACCAGCATGGCACATGTATACATATGTAACTAACCCGCACAATGTGCACATGTACCCTAAAACTTAAAGTATAATAAAAAAAAAAATTCTCATCCCATTAATTTCTTGTTAATAACTAGTCTTTATTTCCTTCCTTTCCAGATTAATCCTCTATAATTTTTATAAAGCTACATATCAATCCAGACATTTTTTTCAGATCTTAATTTTTTTTCTCGATCTTAACTGCAATTTGTCCCATTCTAGAGGATTCCACTTTCTCTTTTAAATGGCAGCTCCTGTTTCTACACTTTTGCAAACATCTCAAAATATAACCTGAGAATCCTACTACCCTTATCGTGTTTCTTCTGACTCTTATGCATTAATCTCCATTTAAAAAACAAACAAAAGTGAAACTAAAACCTACTTCTTTGAAGTACATGTCATCTGGCTGAATCATCTGTATTCCTTCCTGGGGTCATCCACAAACATCTGAGTTAATCTTCTCACTCAACTAAAGACCTTGACCCTTAGTTCTCACTCTTCCTTTTCATCAAATTCCCACTATTATACAGGGTAACTCTTGAGCCACACAGAGGATGCATACATTCCTGGCCATTGCCACAAATTTGAGCCATAAGCTGGCTGCCACTGAAATTTTATCCTCATCAGAAAAAGTCGTATCTCTGAAATAATTAACTCAATGGCTTCACTCTCTCTCCCAATCCCCCATTCCTGCAGCTCCTCAACTCATCTCTCTTGCATCACTTCTTCCACCTAATTGGAACACCCAAGGCGTTGACTGGCACACATTCAAGTCACTTGAGGGTCTTTAAGACAATGTGGATGCTTTTTTGTCCTATGAAAGAACAATTATTTTACAATCTCTGCACTTCACATTTAGGCTCTAGTGAACCCAAGCACTGTGTAGGCAGGTTAAGAACCACTGCCCTGGGGTATTTATGTCTCTACTCTCGTTTCTTTCTTCAATGACTTTTCTACCCAGCTTGGATTCCAAGTCTCATCACTTCAAATTACCCTTTTCCCAATAGTCTCAATTCCATTCTTTTATGATCACTTTCATTTTTTTTCATGGGTAAAGCTTAAGGCCTCTTTGAAAAGTACTGCCCTGAGCTTCTAAGCTGAAAGAAGAATAACATACAACCTTTCATGCTGCTATTGTCAATACTTTGTAGTCATTAATATAAAATGATTTTTGTAGCTGCCCTGCAGTCCTACTGTGTGCATAATAAACTCGATTTTCCATTTCTCTATGGCACATGTCAAACCATCTCCATTTGCATCGAATCTCTAGCCCCATCATCTCTCACAGATGTCCTTAAATGACAAGCTCACGGTAAGAACAGAATCCTTTTAATGAAAACTCCCTGAACTTTCAGCTACCACAGCATCGAGCGTATTTGCTTCTGCACAATATTGTGTCTTTCATTTAATTGCAAAGTAATTAATGTCCTCCCCTCCCGTTCAAAGCTCACCTCTCAACTTGTTTACTGACTCCCTATGGCTCCTTCTCCTCAAAGGCTTTGCTTTCTTGTTTATCTGTAGGTAATTGGTTTAATGTTGTCAGTCACAGCCTGGGTTTGAACCATGGCTTCTCACTAAATGACTGTGTGACAATGAGCAGGTGACTTATCCTATTCAGGCTTATATTTTAAATATAAAATGGGGATATGAAATATGTCTGTTTCACAGAGTTGTGAGAATTGAAAACAATAATATTTATAAAAGACCTTAGAAGAGTAAGCACAATAAAAGTGTTTGACAAATCATTGCTGCACTCCTGTATATTTCAAACCTACTATTATATTCACTTCTAACCTGCATTTACACACTCACTCCATGTTTTCCTTCGGTAGCTCACATATTTTTCTCTTCCCATTCGCAATCAAACTTATCAGAGAAGTCTGAATTTGATCTCTGCTTCTGTTTCTCCTTTTCACTCCACAACCTTCCAAAATCTGGATTCTGCTTTTCCAACTCTGCCGAAACTGCTCTTGTCAATGTCAGTGATGATGGCCTTGTAGTTAAATCCAATAAATAATTTCCAGGCTTTATCTACCTGAACACTTGGCAGAGTTTGACACTATTGACTGCTTCTCCTTTCTTGAAACGCCCTCTCCCTATGACTTTTCTGTTACTGCACTCTCCTTACTTACCTTGTACTTCTCTGACCCTTTCATTTTTGTGTCTTTTGTGAGCTCCTCTTTCTCCTTGGCCTACCCTTTAATGATTAGCAATTTTCAGAATGCTGCTGTAAACTCTTTTACTTTCATATTTTAAATAATTTCCCTGGCTACAATTTTCTGCTTTCAAGGCCGCAGTTTCCATCTATAACCTGATAGGTCCCAATCTATAAGTCTCCAGCTCAGATGAGGAAGAGTGGGATGGTGTTTAAAAACATAAATTTTTAAAGACAAGGAGACCTATGCTCAAGGTTTGAATTCTTACTTTGCTACTTTCTGGATATCTGATAGAGAAATGATTTAACTAGTCTAAGCTTCAGATCAGTTTATTGTAAAAAATTGTTGAAAATAATTTCTTTTATACTCTAATTAAGTAAGCGTGTGTACATTATTTAAGAGAATCAGTGACATGTTAAAAAGTGCTTAATACATTTTACCTGTTTTTTATTGCCTCTACCTGTAGCTCTTTCTCTTGAATTTCAAACTTGTATGTAAACTGGCTATTTGATACCGCTATTTGATTGACCCAGAAAGCCCACAAATCCAATGTCTGAACATAGTTTCCCAAGTCTCTTTTTCGTAATGTGTTTCTTAACTCATTGAATGGCATACTTATTAAGAACCTCATTCCCAACACTTCTTTCTTATTTAATACCTTTTTAAGTTTCGTGCATTTGCAGTTATATCACCCTTTCCATTTATATTATTATTTATTTAGACTTTTTTTTTCTTTGATAAATCCTCCGGGAGATTTATCTATTTTATTAATGTCTTCAAAAAATAACATTTTTATATTTAAAAAATATTTTAAAATAATTTTATATTTTATTAATTCTGCTGTTAGGTTGATTATGGCTTACCTTCTTTAGTTGCACACTTAGCACATTTTGTTGCACATTTATGCAACAAAAAAGAAAAGTTGCACAGCTTTTCTTTTTTATATATAAGCACTTAGTGTATTTCCTTCTAAGTAAAAGCTTTAATATGCAGTAGTTTTCTACATGTGGTTATAACAACTTAAGAATAGTAAGTTATTACTCTTAAATAGAAGTGTGTATGTGTAATAACTCTTTCGTTATTAATAGTCTTGTGATCAGAGAATTTGACCATTTATATTGACCATATTTGGAAATGTATTAAAACCTACATTATGACTCAGTGCACAGGTTTTGTAAATGCTTCAGGTGTTTGAGAATAATGTACATTTTCTTATTCTTGGTTGAAGGAGTTTATATAAGTCTGTTAATTCTAGATTCTTAATAGTCTTCAAGTTTTCTGTATTTATACTCATATTTTCCAGTTTATCTATCAAGAATTGATAAACATGTTAAATTTGACACAAGGATGAAGGATTTGTTAACTTTTTAAAGTAGCTTTTTCAATATTTTGTTTTATTTATTTGGAGATAGTTTTATTAGGAGCATAGAAACATAGAATTGTTAGAGAATCATGGTAAATATAGCCTTTTATCCTGATCTGATAACAATTTATATCCATAAACATACTTTTGACCTTAAGATATATTTTTCTTCTATTAAGATAGTTATGTCCACTTTCTTTTAAGTTAGTATTTGTTTTGTATTTTTTAAATTATTTTTCTTTAAGCCTTTCCATGTCTTTAATTTTTAGCCATGTCTTTGTAAACAGCATATAGTGACACTTTAAAAATCCAAATTGATAATCACTGTCTCTTCTTGATCATAATACATTTATAAATTTTTTTATTAAAACATAATTGGGTCTGTTTCTACCATCTTACTTTTAAATTTATATGAGTCTCCCTATCACCATGCTACTTACATTAAAAAAGTTTAGCTAATGTTTTTTCCTCACATTATTATTTTTTTCATCTTTTTAGTTTGTATAACCCTGAAATTTTATCATGCAAATTTAGTTTTAGTAAGTCACAAACTAAACAATATCTTAATCCTCTTTTGTAATAATTTCAGAATTATAGAACTCTCTAAATTAGATCACTCTCCTTCTGACTTGCATAATATACAAAACATGTGGCACATTTTAGTTTTATTTTCCTTCTATGTTAAATATATTCTTTCAAATTTTCTTTCATTCAGCTTTTTTTGTCATAATGTCTCACTTTTGTTTATTTTCATATGGTTTATTTCACACTTTTCTTCAAGAATGGTTTTGCTGATAATATGATTCTAAGTTAGCAGTCATTTCCATCAGCAACTCTCTTGCTACTGCTTGCTGGCTTCCAATGATGCTCCCTATTTATCTATTTGTTGGTTATATGTTATTTCTCTTTGTCTTTTTTTAAATTATTTAAATCATTTTTATTTTAGAATGAACAATTATTATATTCTACTTTATACATTGAAAACATTCTAATGTAGGACTCAGGAACAAGAAATAAAAGGCAAATCACTACAAGAGCCAGTGTTCAGAGGAAAATAAATGTGGAATTGGAAGTCCGGGGTTTCTGTCCCTATTATGTCACATCTTAGATGTATGACCTTGGGCAAATCACAAATGCCCCTCAAGCTCCAGCATCTCCCTCTTTCAAGTGAGTATCCCCCTCACAGGTTTATCAAGAGGACAGAAAGAGATAGCATATGGAAACAATTACCTGAGAGCCTAGTTCAGAGACATGCCCAAGAGATAATGCTAAATCAAGAGAAGAAAAGGAAGCTTATTCAACTCCTGATTTGGGTCATCATGTGTGAATTGTATACAAGCTGCTCATGCCGTCTGGGGTTCAGGAAGCAGTCTGATAAGTTAAATACACCAATATTCAAAATAGCTAACATTGTTGAACATTAGCTATGTCTCTTAGACTGCTTTTAAAGTTTTCTTTTTGTCTTTATTCTTCCAAAGTTTTACTACAATATGTTACAATTTTGACTCCTTTATATTTATCCTGCTTGAGGAACATTCCAATTCCTAGATTCATAGATACATATTTTCATTGATATTGGAAAATCGATTTTCATCTCTTTACGTATTGCCTCTCCTCTATTCTCTTCATCTGGGATTAAATTATGTGTTTGTTAAAATTACTTGTATTATCCTTTATATCTTGTAACCTTTCATTCATATTTTCCATCTTTTTTCTCTGCTTCCTATTGACTACTGTTGAATATGTATACTGGTTCTCTAATTCTCTCTTTAGCTGTATCCATTCAGTTGTTTAGTCAAAATTTTTATTTCAACCAATATATGCTTAATTTTAGAAGTTACATAATCCAAAATGTATCTTTTTATTTCTAATAAACTGACTGAGTACCTTTAAGACAGCAGTTTTTGTTTTATTGTGTCGCATATAGAGTATTCTTTTATCTTCTGTGTCTGACATTTACATCAGCTGCAGAGATTTTTGACTTTATTTCTCATTTTTATTTCTAGTTTTCCTTTATGATGATCCTTAGACATAATGGCTTGCTTTCCTCTTTTGGGAATCTTGAACTATGTGTTTCTTAAACAGTGAAAGTTCAATGACCATAAATTAAGGGTTAGGAAGCTTTGTGCTAGAAGCCAATGAATGCCAGAAACTTGTGAGTATTTCAGCCCTTTCTGATAATCTAGACTCAAGTTCTCCTTCCCAACCTCCTGCCATTTCCCAATGGCATCATTGCTATTAATAATTCCCCAAGGGACTTCAATCATTGAACTTCAGCAACTGTGGTGTCTGTCTAGCTTTTAGGCCTTAGTTTATCTTCAGTCCTAATTTATAGGACATACATATACATTTATGTATCTGTACATATATATTTATAGGACTATACATATCCCTGCATATTTATCCTCCAAACAAATGAACAAACAAAAAGTCAAAAATGTTTACACTGTACTACTTTTCTCCATCCCCGTTTGCAATATTCCTGTTAAGATGACCATAATCTCCTGCTTACATTACTTAAACAATCCCTTAACTTTCTCCTTCTCTCAATTTGATTCACGTCTAATCCATACTTTCCATGTATTTAAAGTGCAAGTCTAAATATATATATTTGCTGCTTGAAACCATCCAGTGACCTCTCTTTCCTTCAGATAAAAGTCCAAGCCCCTTGTCAAGGTTTTCTCCTATGGTGCCCACATAAAATGACCATCGCTTGCATTCTGATCTTATTTCTCATTACTGCTCAATATTCCTCTGCTCACATTCTACATTGCAGGCAGTAAAAATACTTCATCTTGTTTCTCTTTGTCATGTACACTCTCCCCTCTAGAACCACGGGTATGCCATTTTCTATTTGGGATATCCTCCTTCCTCCCAGATCCCTACCCTCATCTTAAGTCTCCATTTCTTACTAACCTCTACCAAACAGAGTCTATTCATTCCTCCTTGGTTCAATTTAGATATAACTTCCTTCAGTAAATCTTGGAACACTATACTAGATTAGACATCCCTTCTAGATGCTCCTATGAAACACTATGTTTCTTTTATTGTAGAACTTGTCACACTTTGTTATAATCACTCTTTACTTGTTTGAATTCCCAGCTAGACTTTACACTCCATGAGAACAAGTATTGTCTACTTCGTTTATGATTGTATCCCAGATATGTAGCAAAGCACCTTGTATTGGGGTGCTCAGAAATAAAATTGCCAGCTACCACATAGTCTCTAATTCTTACTTAAAAAACCAAATCTGTAGTTCAATAAAGATTTCTTAAATAAATGCCTTAAATATAAAAGCTCAATAATTTTATTAAGGAGATAAAATATATTTATGGGTCACAACTAGTGATATCCTTGTACTTTTCTAAATAAAACTTACAGTAAAAGTGAAATTATGAAAATACCTGGTTACTTGATGTATCAAAACATTTTTTCTTACAGTTTACATATAGCATAGTATTTTGTCTTATGTTCATTTTCATGCAAATTATCCTAATTGATATTTGAATTTCACTGTGATCAGTTTGTCACAGAGTCCAGCCAAACCACAGTATCCCACATGCTATGCCACCCACTGTCTCTAACCATTTTATCCTGTCAGAGGCAGATCAAGCAGCCCTGAGTGTAATCATATCAAAATCGATTTTCATGGCTGAGAGAAAAATAATGGAAATTTCTCTAATGTAGTAAATGTATGTGTTCCTTTTGGTTAACCAAAATAGACTATATATCAGACCTGTCAAAATTAAGTTTTCTTGATTCAGTGCTCTTCCATCGACTTGTATACAAATTACAAAGGCATACTGTGGAGCACTATGATGCAATCTTCATGCTTCTCTGGACTGCTCCTGTGTCTCCCTCACATGAATAATACCACCAAGTTACAAAGCTACAAGCCAATTTACAGTGTGAATCCCCAAGCAACCTTCTCTATGTTAGGATAGTACTTTAAACCTATCACTTCTTTGGTCAATAGATTCTCCCATCATGAGATGTTCCCAAACAGTAACAATGGTAATATTTCGATGGGATCTGAACCAAATCAAATACCATCCTTTTGAACTCTTTTCAGTGTCTCATTTTCTTCTTTCTATAATCATTTGAGCAAAGGAATCACTTGCTTAAATATCAGTGTTCATTTATCTGAAGCCATTCAGGGTGATCAACCATGTTCAAATGTGATCCCAATGTTATGGTCACTCTACCTACACTATTTATTCCATGTTGTCTCAAAGCAGATACATTTTGAAAACGCTTGCACAATTTCTTTTTTTTTTTTGTCTTTTTTTTTTTGGTTTCTTGGTAAGCACAATCACAGTTGCATGTGATTAACTTGATTGATTCAGACTACACTCTTTAAAGGATGGTAGTTCACTACTAAACTTTGACTACCAAGTTAAGTGGTAAATAATGGCCTATAATAATGGTAATGTACAGGTGCAAAGTCAACTAGAAAAAATAATAATGCTTTTATTACTAAGGACAGAATGAGGTTCAATATATTAAAGAACTGACCCATGATGTAATTATGAAAATTGCTGACTAATATATAAATCATTAGGTTAATAAATAAATCATTTTTATAAAAATAGAATACAGCAGCCATTTACAACCAGCAAGAAATAAACCAAAAACTACTTCAAGTTCAGTATACCTAATGTATTATGCTGAAATTACAGAATTATTTGTTTTTTGGCCTGAAAGAAGTAAAAATCAGTATGCATTAAAATGTGCATCATATAAACAATGCCAAGATCCGTTCAAAAGAAACTTCTGGTAGTGTGGATACTCCCATTAAAAAAAAAATGAAGTAAGCTTCCCTAATATCTGTCCTGTTAAAATCAAGCTTATTTTCTTAGGTCTGTTTTCTTTGTTAAAATCAAACTCTTCTAAGCTCAGATGAAAACAAAATCAACTTTTAGAGTTTGGTAACTTGTGAACAGCAATGAGAAATTGGTTTGCATGTCTGATAATGGAAACCTTGCTAAAAGTTAGATTTCTGTTTTAAGCTTCTGGGATTTCTGAACAAGGTATCATGGTTACATATATGAGCAACCAGTGATAGTACTATTTATCAATATTCAAATTTCATAATCTTTACTCTAATTTGATGCTACAATTCATTATGTTCGCTGAGTTATTTTTAATAGCAGACAATATGATATAGTTGAAAAAACACTGAATTTAGAATTAAGAGTTCTTTGTTTCAACTTAATTTTCTGAATCTGGCTGGCCCATTAAACAAATCTGTCTTGCCAGTGATCAAACTCCTTTCAGTATTTCTTTTTAAATCTTTTTTAAAAAGCCAATTATCTTGAGCTCTAAGACTATGTGTGGCTAAAAAAAATATTTCTTATTGGCTTTTCATCTTTAAAAACCTTGAAGTTTTTTTTGCCATTCTTTAAGATCTTTGAGGCATTTAGGATTTTAAAAATCTAATAGCAGAACTTTTATGGATATATGGTAATTAACTATTGACTGAAATAAAATCTGAACTGGTTTTGATAAGACTCTCCTTCAAAGACTGATGAAAATATTGTAAAAAGGACGACCTAAACAGGGTGATAAGAAATCCATTCATACCCTCTCACAGACTTTCAATTCTAGACATTCCAGCTTCTAGGTGGCATGTCTGATGTGATGCATATTAGCATAATCAATAGGGAAATTGATCCAGTAAAAAGATGAGAAGAACTGACAAAGGTGTTTCCTTCTTGAAGCACGTATATAAAAAAACATAATTTCTGGCTGTTACGTAACAGTAGAAATTTCTTGACCTGCCCAGACTTTCAGGATGAAAAATAGCCCTCACAATCTGTAAACTCTTAAAAATTAGGCCACAGAATAAGTTAATACAGAAAACTGTCATTATTGTAGGATCTATTAAATTGTAGAGATCTTGGTGATTGTGTGCCTATAGATTTCAATATGTTTCAAAATCATACACTAAAGTCCTGGCAATGCCTCGTTAACAACTGTGTGGGTTCAAGACATCAGCATTATAATGTGTATATTATATGTGTTTTATGCACATAATGAAGTTGTTACATGAACATTCTCACTCATTTGCAAGTGTTTATTGAACATTTACTGTTTGTAATGATACACTAATAAGTGCTCTTATTTAAATTCATATTAACTTTGCAATAGCAAGGATTGGACATATTTCTTCCATTTTGCTGCCTGAGTTCAAATTCCATTTTCATCACTTACCTGTTACATGAACTTGGACAAATTATCCAACCTTTTTGTGATAACATGTTTTTCTCATTTATAAGATGGGAATAAAAAGAACAGGAAAAGTTATGGAAGTTTTGTGATGATTAAGCTAAATAATGTATTTAAGTGTTTAGTGTAGCAAGTTATAAATGCTATACATGGTAACTGCTATTATTTTCTTCATTTTAAATACCCCAAACTGAGACTATAGAAAGAAAATACCTTGTCTGTGAGTACATAGGTTATAAGTAGAAGAGTGGGGATTTAGACACTATTTCTTTAAATTGAAAGACTTATTTTTCCTTATATTTATAAAGATTATTAATTTTATCTACATAATGCCAAGATAGACTGGATTAAAAAAATGTAGTACATATACCCCATGGAATACTATACAACCATAAAAAGGAATGAGATCATGTCCTTTGCAGGGATATGGATGGAGCTGGAAGCCATTATTTTCAGCAAAATAATGCAGGAACATGGATGGAGCTGGAAGCAATTATTCTCAGCAAACTAATGCAGGAACAGAAAAGCAAACACCATATGTTCTCACTTATAAGTGGGAGCTGAAAGATGAGAACACATGGACACATTGAGGGGAACAACACACATTGAGGCCTGTGAGGTGCAGGGAAGGAGAGCATCAGGAAGAATAGCTAATGGATGCTGGGCTTAATACCTGGGTGATGGGATGATCTGTGCAGCAAACCACCATGATACATGTTTCGTATGTAACAAACCAGCAAATCCTGCACATGTACCCTGGGACTTAAAATAAAAGTTGAAGGAAAAGGAAACTGTAAAAAATAAAATAAAATAAATAGTAATAATGAATAAGACTTAAATGCAAACAACAGCAACCCTCTTCTTTTTCCTCTGCTTTCTTAATTCCAGTAACAAATTAATCTATTTCTTGGTTTATTAGTTTTAAATATTCTTCATTGTCTTCTATAATGAAGACTTAACACCCAAATATCTTCACCATCTACTTTGCATTATTTCATTCACCCAATAAAGTTGTATCAAAATAGTTCAGAAAGCAAATTTTAATGTTTGCCTTATAGATGCTAAGTAATTATTATTTGCTCGTCATCCAAGTCAAGCACTATGTTCCAGTTACCTTTCTTGTGTAATATTTTGTTTTAAGGTTTAAATGATTTTTAAAATTAATTTTTCCATAACTTTTTATGTCCCTATTATTAATTTTTCTTAAATTTTTCAAAAATTATCAAATGACTTTTGAGTCCTCTTTCTTAGAGGGCCAAACACATTAGATCATCTACTTATTTATTCCCGCTGGAGGTACTGCTCCAGTTTCAACTCCAGTTTTTTGCTACTCCAGTTTCAACAGTTTGTATGTCAGGCCAGGTATGCTGCTCTCATGCTGGGATTTCTCTTTTCTTTTCTCCCTTCTTCAAGACAAACCCATTCTTTCTGGATTCTTGGTCTTCTTTCTTGATTATCTTCTTGTTTTGATGGAACACATTTTGAGATGCTAGAATAGTCGCCTAAGAAAAGGTGCCTTAGCAGTAAGTATAGTTGACTCTTGAACAACACGCGTTTGAATTCTGTGGATTCACTTATAAGTGAATTTTTTTCCACCTCTACCACCCCTGAGGCAGCAAGACCAACTCCTTCTCTTTGTCCTCCTTTTCTTCAGTGTACTCATGTGAAGATGATGAGAATGAAGATTTTCATGATGATCCCCTTCAACTTAATGGATAATAAATAGATTTTCTCTTCTTTATGATTTTCTTATTAACATTTTCTTTTTTCTAGCTTACTTTATTATACAAACACAGTATATAACGCATATACCATACAACATATGTGTTAATTGATTGTTTATGTTACCAGTGAGGCCAACAGTAGGCTATTCATAGTGAAGTTTTGGGGAGTGAAAAGTTATACGTAGATTTTTGGCTGCACAGGGTTCAGCACCTTTAACCCCTGTGTTGTTCAAGGGTCCGCTGTGGTTTGAAAGTTAACGTGTCTGAAAATATATTTATTCTACTCTCATATTTGATAGTTTGACTAGATGTAAAATCCTATGTTTGCAGCCTGACCAACATGATGAAACTCCGTCTTTACTAAAAATGCAAAAAATTAGCCTGACGTGGTCGTGGGTGCCTGTAATCCCAGCTACTCAGGAGGCTGAGGCAGGAGAATCACTTGAACCCGGGAGGTGGAGGTTGCAGTGAGCTGAGATTGCGCCACTGTATTCCAGCCTGGGTGACAAGAGCAAAACTCCATCTCAAAAAAATAAAAAATAAAAAAATAAAATCCCATGTTGGAATATTTTTTCAGAATTTAAAAGGAATTACTCTATTCTTATGTAGTTTTTAGTTTTGCTTAAGATGTCAATTTCCATTCTACTTCTCCTTCCTTTATGTGTGACATGTTATTGTCTCCATGGGAATATTTCAATTTTAATTTATTCTAGTTTCAGGCATTTTATGATGATAGGACTTAGTATGGGTCCTTTTTCCCTTCTTTTAAATTGTTCTGAACACCAATGGGTCTTCAATTCTGAGAAATTTCCATGCACTATTTCTCTGATAATTCCCCCTTTAAAATTTCTTTCTCTTCTTTTTTTTTCTTGAATTTATGTTAGCCAGATGATGGACCTCCAGATTGTCATTTATTATTTAAGAAATATGCCCTTTTTTCTACTTTTAAAAATATTGGCCTTTTGATTCTACTTTCTTTGATATTTCTGTTGAATTTTTAATTGATGCTGTCTTTTCAAGATATATATATTGTTCTCTAATTATTTCCTTTGTATATTACCTTGCTCTTATTTTAGGAATGTTGTATCTTCTCTTATCTTTCCAACATTAAAAATTCAGTGTGATTTGTCTGTTTCGTGTTGAGATTTTTCCTGCTCTCTGTCCCTGTTCACGGCAAGCTCCCTCCATTATTTGTTTCAATCTCCTTCTTCCATGGTGACATTTCCCATATATGCCTGTTGATTCCTGAGTACCCACTCTAATTTCAAGTGAAAGCACTAACGAGATGATTAGAAGCTCTAGGTGAGCAAGGTATCACTGTTGCGTGATTGAGACAGGAACTAAACACTCTTTGCCCCAGTGAACTCAAATATTCTTATCTGCATATCTTTCTGTGCACTTTCTAGGCCCATTATGTGCTTCGTTATCATCCTTGTATTTCCAGAGAAGAATCTTCCAATCCACTATCTATAAATGACAATGCAGTGGAAAGAATAAAGCATAAAACTCCATAACAAAATTAACAAAATTCTGGGAGCTAAGAAGAAGGATGAGGGTCTCATTATTTAATGTGCAGAGATTTGTTAATATCTCTATTATCATTATTGTGCTGCTTATCTTGGAGAATCTTGACATTAATTTCTCTACATAGCAAGCTTTCTCCCACTATGAGTGAGAGGGATAGCTACACAGATACAGAGGATAAAGAGAGAGTTTCATGAATCTAACTACTTCTTCAAACTTTCAACCAATTCCAAGCCTTATAGGAACTTCTGAGGTAGCTGATGCCTCAAATGCCTGAGCTAAGATTCTGCAAGATGGGCTTGCCTTGCTTCTCATTTGATACTTCCTTAAGTATAGGTAATTACTACATTCATTAATTATTAGATAATTTTTTTCATATCTTAACATTTTTGAACATGGGGAACTGTATTACAGTTATTGGCAATATGGCAGCTTGTATTTTCCTAAGATGATTGTAAAAGTATCTTCTATCTCACATGTATTGTTTTTATTATGACTTTGCCATGTTTTATTACGACCTTGTTTATGACCTATGTTTATTATGACCTATGTTTTTATTACCTTGCCAACAAGACATGGAATGTACATCTTTTCTCACTGAAACTGGTTGAACTTTTGTGACTGCCTCAACTGGCAGTGTAAGGTGCAAGTGAGGCTATGTGACTTGAAATAGATTATAAAGAGAGATATAGCTTCTGCTTAGCTGTCTCACTTGGGATCTTTGATCTCGCAACTCAGCTACCATGTTGTAAAGAGGCCAGGGCTACATGTAGAGGCCACATGTATGTGTCCTGACCAATAAGCCCAGCTGAAGTCCTAGATGACAGCTAGCATTAATCACCATCCGTGATAGTGAAGACTTCGAGATGACCCCATCCCTAGCCTGCATCTCATGACAACTTCATGAGAAACCCTGAGCCAGCCAACCCAGTCAGCTCCCAAAACCGTGAATTATAGTAATGAAAACATTGTTGATTTAAGCTACAAAATTTGGTGTGGCTTATTATGCAGCAATAGATAACTGAACATTTATCACTATAAATTTAACAGTTATAATTGGCAGTGATTTTTCTTCCTTAATGAAACAAACAAATGGTGCATCTTATAATAAATGACATCACAGATTCAGAAAATATATTAATATTCTATTTTCTGTCTTGCTAACTTCTCTTCTGCTTTCTGTGCTCCAAAATGTTGTTGTCCTCTCTGGTTTACCAATAGTTCCCCTGGTCCTTTTATTTCATTTTCCTGTTCTCATTTTAGTGAGATTTTTGGAAGGAGTTGTGGTAAGTGTGTGTTCCATCTGCTGTGTATAGCTAAGCTCATCATGTTGTTTATGAGGTTCTGTATTTGTAGATAGAGACTCAGTGCTGATGGCTACCTAAAAACTAGTGTGTGTGTGTGTGTGTGTGTGTGTGTGTGTGTGTGTTTGCATCATTACCTAGGTCTTATTTCTTTACTTTAGTGATACCACGTTAGTGCTTTGTAACTGTTCATTCAATGAAATCCTTCTGTGCAAAAAATAGAAATATAACCAAAAGTGGACTAAGATTTAATTCAGTAGAGCTGTATTATAAGACCCTTTACACACTTGATTATGGAGTGACAATGAGCAGTTCAATATAACTTTCCGATCCCCAGTTTCTATAAGGACACAATGGAAATATCAATTCTAACAGGAATTTTACATGATAATTTAATGAGATATGTGAAACTTTGTCTTACAGTAGTTTATATATATTTCTAATAAATGTTTACTCAATATGAATCTACTTAACTTTCTTCATTATTTTAATGGGGCAGTTATAAATTAAGTTTTAAAAAGCATAAAATATCCCTGAACTATTCATCATGTTGAGTTTTTCACCATACTTTGTATACTAATTTCTCATCCTGAAAGAGCTTAATTATAGAATTGCTTTTTGTCTCCCCAGCATCTATTCCCTTTTTTTTTTTTTTCTGGTAACAGAAGATCAATTTTCCTCATTGGTTTTAGTCTTGTTAAACTACCCAATCATGTGTCTCTGCCCTCCCTTTGGTAAAGGATATGTAAAAGTTCAAGCTAGGCCATGACTAAGTTTTCTTCCAGAAATTTTAATATTGAATTGAGCTACACAGAGTTTAAAAATGGCCAGCCAGGCATGGCTGTAATCCCAGCACTTTGGGAGGCTGAGGCGGTCAGATCACGAGGTCAGTAGATCGAGACCATCCGGGCTAACAAGGTGAAACCCCGTTTCTACTAAAAATACAAAAAATTAGCCAGGCATGGTGGTGGGCGCCTGTAGTCCCAGCTACCCGGGAGGCTGAAGCAGGAGAATGACATGAACCTGGAAGGTGGAGTGAGCTTGAAGTGAGCTGAGATCGTGCCACTGCACTCCAGCCTGACTGCCTCTCAAAAAAAAAAAAAAAAAAAAACAAAAAAAAAAACTAAATTTCACTCATCTACAGGTAACATTTTGAAGAAACTGCCCTTTGATGCTTGCTGCCTAGATTCTTGGAATTGCCTTATGTGCCTTTGCTAATATGTGTTTGTTAAACTCTTCCTTTGAATCTTTGAGCTATTCTGTCTTCTTCCTAATACATTTCTGTTTTTACGCAAATGAATCAGAATTTGTTCCTGTTACATGCAACCAACAAATCCTAATTGATCATTGATATTCTGAGAATTCATTTCTAACAAAAGGGCAACCTGTATTTGAAGGTAAATCTGACAATATAAATGAGCTTAACTGGCTTATTATTTCTCATATCCTGTCCATAAAAATACTTTCTCATTCTCAAAATAAGATATTCTTATGTACATTACAGGCAGATTATTCACTTTCCATTTCTTTGAGATTTCAACAAATATAATGGTAGAGAGAGATGTGTTGGGAATATATAAAAGCAAGCCCTAAAATAGACTGGATGAAATTGCCATCATTTGAAGGAAAAATTTGCTTCAAATAAGATAACCAAATATGTCTTCACTGGACAGGTAAACACGTTAAATACACTTATCTAGGAATCTAGTTGCTGTAATTCATTAAATCAACTCATAATTTTAAATTCACACATCATTGGAAGTTTTCTCCTTCTACAAGAATTTACTTGGCATGGTGGGAAACAGAAGTGAGTCCTCTGTGAGCTGTTGCTTAAATAAAACACAAGGGAGACATTCATATGATGGGCCTCTGAACACATTGCCAAATTATAATTATCCATAAACAAAGACCAGAAACCCAGAAAAAAATCTATTAGTGCTGCCATGCCTTCTTAAAGCTCTTCCTTTGATGATTTCTATTGCTACTCAGAGTCACATTATTACCAGCTGATAGGGGGCACAGATGGCTCAGAGCAGAGAGGTTTGTTTCTGTTATGGTTGATGCTATTTCTTCATGTCTCTTTTTTTTTAATGGAGATTTGGCATATTTCAATTTTCTATATTTCTCAGATAATTGTTCTACTATATTTTTTGCTG
This sequence comes from Homo sapiens, assembly GCF_000001405.40. NCBI lineage: Eukaryota > Metazoa > Chordata > Mammalia > Primates > Hominidae > Homo > Homo sapiens. Next base: position 23,321,282 of record NC_000004.12, read on the forward strand.
TTGTTTTCACCTAATTAGTCAGAATGTGGTTTATGTGTATGGGGCACTAGCTTGGCTCCCTTTGAACTCATGGTAACAGGAGACAGCTCTGTTTATTTTCCTTCTGCTGTTTGTTTGAAAAATACTCTAGCTGATTTGGCTTTCACCATAAAGCAAGAAGCTGGCCCTGAGAATTTCAGCCCTAGTATCTGAGCACGTGTGCACATGTTATCTTGGGCTTTCTAATGCTTTCTCAACTTTAGTCTTTCCCTTGCTTTTCTTTCTCTCTGTCTCTCTCTCCTCCTCTCTCTCTCTCTCCCTCCCTATTTTTCTCTTTTTCTCCTTCTCTCTCTCTGTACGTTTCCTTCCTACACACCACAGACACACACACATACTACACACACATTTTCACCATTCATGGACACTGTCATTACTATGTATGGGAGAAATTCAATAATGCAAAGTAAAACTATTAGCTCCAAACTCTCCTACTTCAAATTACTTTCCAATGTCTGCTTGCGCTATTTCCATTTGTTTTCTTTTTTCCCCCTCTCATTATCCTTATGAATTCCTCTGCATTGCTATAATCTTTAGCTTGCTTAGGAATTTGACTGAAGAAAATCATAGCAGAAGCTTTGGGCCTCTCCTACATTCATGAATCCACAGAAAGTGTTAGGGAGGATTAAATGGCCCTGTCGTTGCCCCTGTTCCCATGATCTTTGATATAAATTTTCCAAGTAAGAAATTCAGACTTATTTCTCTAACCACAGACTTCCATCTTGTATATACTTCAAGAATCAATTTTAGCTACTAGGGTTATTTGATTTCACCTTCCCAAAACTTTCATTTAATATACTCTCCTTATAAACCTTACATATATTCAAAAGTTCACAGGCAGTGAATCTGTAGAACATATGAATATACAGTATTTCCATGTAGCTTCCACCATATTCCTTATAAGTGGGTCTCAGAATTCTATTTCAGAATAAGGACCAAAGGGGCTTTTAGGAGAATAGTATGTCATTAACTCACCTTCTGGCATTTTAACTGTTATCAGCTGTACAGTTTAGTTTTATTACAACAGACATTATTGTGATAACTTTTCCTACTTTATCGTTGCAATTTATTGAAGCAGTTAATTTCTCAAAAAGTAAGAACATTTTTTCTCATTAGAAATTCCTTCATGGCCTCTTTAATACATGTTCCTGGCTATTTGGAAGAACTGCTGATAAGTGATTTTGACTTGTATCCTCAATAATGTGAGGTGTTTAAGGGAAACTTGGCAAACCACTTAGGGTCTGAAGCCATTTCTTAAAACCAGCCCCAACTGATTAATTTCTGTCTCATTACTACCCTCAACATTCAAAAAGTTCCCAAATTGCAATGGTCAGCCAAATCTACTTATAAACTTCCTAAAGACAAAGTTTTTACTTTGTTTAATAAATTATTTTTTCTCAGATTATTGTTTTTTTCCTTTGATTACTTAATTCCAGTATTTGACAGCATTGAGTTTGAAGGGCTGGATTTATTAGCTCAAAATAAGTGGGAGAGATTTTAATTATCCAATAAATATATACTCTTTATAACTCCAAACCATGTAAATCATCATCTTTGATCTAATCAACCAACAAAAGTCAGACTCTCTCTCTTTTTTTTCTTTTGGACTTTGATTTCTCTGTGTGTATTTGTCTAGTTGTTGTCTCCTGACAGAACTCTAGCAAGATAAATGAGGAGAATTTACATCTGAGAACATGACCCAAATGTAACAGCCTTCAGAAAGTCTAGTAAATCATAATAAGAGGAAATAGGACAGATAAGAATTCAGCAATATGAGTAGAACAGGTATTAAAGAAAGAAAAATTAAAGAAAGAAAAGATTGATACTGACTGTGATGAGGAGTTGAGGGACAAGTTTAACCAGCCTAACATGGAAAGTGTCAATGTTACTCCTCAGATTTTGGTTATTTTTCTCTTTCCATGGACATTGGTTCCTTTATAAGTCCACATAATGGTCCACATTTAGAGCCCAGAGATTCTATTCTCTAGCTCCTAGGTTTATAGCCTACCATTCGGACTGGTGAATTTTTCTAAGCACAGTAGGGTAAGTCAATGTTAATTAATGACAAAGTCTTAACAACAACCCCAACATTAATGAATGTCTACCATATGCCAACAGAGCTAAAGATATTTTACACACATGATGTTATTTATTTCCTTCTATAATTCTTTATGGTAATTATTGTTGTTATTATTATTTTCTAAAATTATTATTTTCTTATAGTTGAGAAAACTAAGCCTTAGAGAGATGAAGTGCCTCCTTCCAGGTCCCACAGGCAGTGAGTCACCAACAGGTCTTTGGATTTAGGTCTCATCCACTGTGCTCTATTTAAATGCTTGAAGACAGCTGTTCTGCCACATCTACCCTCTGACCCATTTGTCCACCACATTCGCACTCAATGCTTTCCAATTTGAACAAAAAATATAGTAAAGTTTAAGTGTACCACTAATTTTAAATTCCAATATATCTTAATTTCATTGGAAAGCCCACTTTCAGCTGTCACCATATTTATAATACAACACACATTTATTAGTAACAGTATACATTTTTTCTAAGTATCCCTAAAGGTTTGGAAAGTGGGTAATTTTTACATCTATCACAATGCTATGCTTAAGGCACTGTGTGATAATAAGGCCCACAGAGTCCTGCTTCAGCTAGCTTACATCAAGAATCCAAATGCAGGGCAACAAGAATCTTAAGTAAGTCATCATCAGCTGAGCAGTGGTGAGTTTCATGGGCTTTTCCTGAAAGAGGTGATCTTCAAACATGCTTATTGAATATTAAGTAGAAAACCAGCTCTGGCCTTTGCAGAGACATAAAACACCCAAACGGAGTTTGCATGACACAGAAAAAATTTCAGAGACGCTATGGAAAGAAAATCAGAAAGGCTGAAAAAGAGGAAATTGAGAAATCACCCAATTTATGCAAGGTAATGCAAAGGGGGTACTAGAGGTTTAGGAATGATAAATGACTGATTGCCAGAATGGAAGACAAAAGCAACCTTGATAACATTATTCTGAATTGCTGATGAAAAAGCTATTTACAGTCAGTGACATCCACTACCAGAGCATTCTTAAATGACTTCCTGTACTGATGTTGCCTGAGTATTAGGAAGAAGACTAATGCATGATTCAGCCTCTAATTCCACACCTCAAACCACAGGGCACTTGGGCATATCTTTGTGCCTTTCTGAAGATCAGAGCTGGGAGACTGTAAGTCTTTGCCAAGTCCATCTCCATCATTTAGCAGATAAGGAAACCAAGTTTTATGAGATGAAATCACTTGGCTTAAATCACAATGGGCATGAGTTGTAAAACTGAGCACTTCACTGCTCTTCAGGATGCTGGGGAAGCTACTGCAGCAAAGGATTCCGAAAACTAACTGACTTAATTAACACCTTAGGGCAGGGAGGTCACAATGCCACCCAGAGACTCCGCTACCCTCATCACATGGTTTCCGAAGACATGGTTTCTCATTTTCAGCATGTCTAGCCAGAGAGAAGTGACAATATTGACCCTTTCCTGGACCCTGTGATTCTGGAAAACAGTGAAGATTAAGAAATCCCCTCATCCTTTTGTGTCCTGGGACACAAACAATGACTCTTTTTCATATATGTTAGATAACATGCATGAATTACCCCTTGTTTACCTAGGAAAAGGTTAGACCCAAACTCGAAATTCCAATTCTATGACTCATAAAGAATTATCTTAACTGCTTATCCCTGTGATTATTTGGAACCAAATGTTTGCTAATCAAACTCTGGTGAATTTTCTCTTCTCCTCCCAGGTCCTGAATTTTTAGCAAACCTTAGCCTGAGCTGTTATAAACCCCTGCTTAAAAGCCTTTCCTGAGAAGAGGCTGGCCTCAGAGTAAAAATGTCCTGTGGTCTACTATGGGACTGCACAACCCTTACATTTCACATCAGCTCTTTGTAGCCTCTTTCCCTCCCCTTAATAAAGGAGGAACTCCTGTTTTCCTAACCTCTGAGACATTGCTGATCTTATGGTCAGAGCATGATTCTCACTGCAATAGTCCATTTTCTCTTCCACTTCTTCCCTTTTCAAATAAAGCCTCTCCTTACTAAATCCAGATTTTTTTTTTCTTAATTTGGCAGGAAAAAAAATCAAAAACAACAACAACAAAAAAATACCTAGAAGTTTCAACATTGTCTTTGAACCACACCCCATCAACCTGTGGGCTCAAATACTGGTCTTCTCTGTATTCATTCTAGGATCAGTGCCAAATTATATGTTTTACCTTTCTTGTGTGTTAGTCTCCTCATTTAAAATAATGATAAAAACAGAATCTGCCTCATAGTTTGGGGGAAATAGCAAATGAGGAAATGCAGGTAGAGTGCTTAGTACATCATCTCCACACAGTAATCAACAAATAAATGACAGCCTATCACATATGAGAGTAATGCCTGGCATTTTTAACACCTATTATCTTTTAAAATTCTCATATAACATTATAACAATATTTAAAAGTTGTACTATTGTTACCGTTTTACAGAAGAGGAATTGGAAACCCACTAAGATTAAGAAAATCGTTTTTCTGACTATAATTCCTATCTCTTTCATCTCCATGTTAAATCATGCATTTCCTTAACTTCTAGAGTATGTTAAATGATTACAATCCCCTGAGTTTAACAGAAAAACTACCTTTTGTATTACTGAATCACTTTGCTCCAATGAAATGCAAAGATATGCATCTCCAATGTATACAAAAGAAAGAAAAGTCTCACTTATTTTTCTCAAAATAAGTCATGGAGAAACAAGAGTCCATGTAGACAATGCCGTTGAAAATTTGAAATCTCTTTCATCTGGTTGGCCAGATCAAAGGTCATGGCATGCAACAGTCAATAAAGATGTGCTGAACTACTGAATGGAAAGAAGAAAACATGGTAACACTCCTGGGGAAATGTCAATCAAATGAGACTACTGAATAGAAACGTAGGAAATGATGTCAATCCCATTACATGTAAAGGCAAAGACATACTTCTGTTTTGTTGTTGGATTAATGATGACTGCAGACATTCTCTAGAATGCCTATTCTGTTCTTATCTACTTCCATTGCATCTCACCAGAAGTAAAATAACAACATATTAAAATGGTTAAATGAGGTATTCGGGGCTGCTTTTATTTTGAGTTTAAAGATAAAGCTCAGTAATTAGTATTTTCAGAAATTTAAAAGTCAAACTTCAGCTATTATAAAAAATTTTCCTATTTCAAACTCTCAATACATTCTGAGGCTCCTTCATGATATCTTTAGGATCATGATAAGATTGTGGCTCTAGAACATTAAACATAAACTGAAAAGAGAGAACATGATGGTTTTAATAGTGGAAAATATTTCTCATTAACTGCATGCTTGTCCTTGATCTGCATTATTAGACTATAAGATTCTGAAGACAGAAACAAATTCTTATTCATGTCTGTCTCCATCTGTCCATCCATCTGTTCATCCATCCATCCATCCATCCATCCACCCACCATTTATAGAACCTCTATTGTATTCTTGACATTGCTTGAATGGAACACAAGATGAGAACACATTTTTTTTCAAATGCCACAATCTACTTGAGGACACAGTTATATACAACTTACAGTGATAGACCCAAATTATGAAAAGTGTTCTAGGAAAAATGAGGTAAATGTTTAGATAAAATAATGATTAATTATGACTAAAAGATTAGATAAGGCAAGTACCTAGTATAGTGGGTTATATGGTGCTGACAAACAACAAATACTGAATAAGTGAGTGAATAAATTGGACAATAAAAGCCACACTTGATCACGGTGTTTATTTCAGGCTTGACTGAATTATTCATATTTGGCATTGAAAAGGAATCTTAAACCAGATGATTTCTAGATCTATGAAGAAAGCCAATTCAATTCAACAGAATTTGCTTTCATAAGGTCCTTGTGCATAATACTTACTTGGTTCTCCTGGCAGCTGACAGATGGTGAATCCTGCCTGTCCAGTCCAAGATGAAATGACCAGGAACCCTGTGCACATACCTGAGGTTGTTAAGGATCTATGTGGTTGGAAAGCAAATAACTCTGCATCAAGTTCCTGAAGCACACTTTCCCCTCTGAACCTTTTCATAGATTGACCCTCTTATTCAATAAGCCTACACCTGTGTATATATGTACATGCCGTACACAGAACTTGAAATCAATTTCTACAGGAAGTTTCTTTGATTATCCCAATACTAGAGAAGGCACTTCTACATGCTACCCTGTACTTTCTCTATTATGATGTTGATGACAGTGTTCTATTTTATGTTTAATTTTCTTGATTGTAATTTCCATGCAAGCAGAGAGTGAGTCATATTCACCATTATATCCCCATTGCCTAGCATAAGTCCTGCCGTACAGTCACAGGACAATAATTATTCAGTAAAAAATTAGAGAAATGAGTTTAATGCATTACTAGAATAATATTCTCAAAGTACAGCTCTGATCATATTATACTTCCAGTCCAAAACTTGCCCCTGAATGCCAAATGAAGTTTAAACTGCTTAGAGTAGTAGTGTAGGTCTTCTACAATCTAGTCCTTACCCATATTATGCTCAATCATATGTCAAAAATTTCAGCAACATTGACATTCTGAATATACCCTAGATTCAAAGGCATTGCACATCAAAAATTTCCCTGAGCCTCATAACACTGTCTGTTTCAACTCTGCCCATCTTTAGAACCCAGCTGAACTCCTCTAAGGAGATGTCCCTAATCCTTTCCTCCTCCAACTCTACCCTAGCTCTGAGAATTATTTTCTTTCTTCTGCCTACCCATAGCTTTAAATATACCTGTATTACAGAGTTTACCACAAACTACCATGAATTATATTTGGCTTTTTAATACATGCTTCATCTCCCTTTTCAGACTGTGAGTTCCTGGAGGGCGGGAGCTATATCTTATTCATCCTTATCATTATCAGAGTGAAAAATGAATACAATTTTATCACTATGCAAAGGGAGAAAGAACTTTCCAAGTAGATAGAATTTATAATATCTTTTGATTGATTGTTGAAATGGCCATACATTAGTGTATAATAAAATATTTTAACCCATCTTAAATTTATTGAATGTCTCCACACGTAGTTGTTCCTTCTTCAGACCTACTCCAGAAATGTAGGTAATAATACCAAGTTACAGGATTCTTAAGAGAATCAAATGAGATGATGCATATCATGTATTTAGTGTCTGGTCCATAGTAGACAGTAAGTATTGTTTCTACTTATTACTACTCTCATTCCTATTCCTATCACACCATTTTCATTATTTATAATTTTATGTATCAGGTTGGCATTTCAAAGAGAACTAGAGCACATTCACACTCAATTTTCAATTCTTTATTTTGCATGATTTTTCCCAAAGACTCCTGTGTTGCACTGTTGCACGAAGTTATTATCACCAAAGCCAGGGCCCCATGTCTTACTAGCAGAACTGTATGATTCTTGACTCCATAATACTTGGAAGATGCATGCTTCACTGAAGTACCATTGATTTTCAACTAGAAGTGAAATGCTTTTATTTAATGCTTTCTTAAGAGAATTACCACGAAAGTTGAAGAGGGTTTGGCTTTAGAGAAATCCATTATTGGGATTTATATATTGAAATTTAAATATAGGGGTCCCTTACATCTGCTCAATCAAAATGTTGTTCTAAAGCTATTTGTCTTTTCTATGAAATGGAAAGCCTGTTTTGTCCTAGACTTCTAAATCCCTTGTTTTGCTCAAACAAGTCTTAGTATTTGCTCTCAGGGAGTACTACCTCTTTGTTCAGCATAATGGGTGTAGCCTCAAATTTCACATCTCTGTACTGCTTTTTTTTTTTTTTTTCCTGAAGAATCTTAAAGAGATTTGGTCATCTTAAAATACCTTGACCTCTTGACCTCTTGACCTCTCTCCATGGTAAAAAATAAATAAATAAATAAATAAACCTTAGGCTATGCCAGACATACAAATACATTCACACTCCACTCTGAGTGGTGCTGTTAATTCACTTTGTCTTAAATGATGCTAACTTTAACTTTGATGGCTTTCACTGCTCACCTTGGAGGCTTCTAAAATGAATTGGTATATCCTCAGTGTTCTGAAGAGGCTTCAGTCCAATGCAACACCTTAGAAAAAAGAAGACATGACTTTAAGAGCATCCTTTTTCCTACCACTTAAACCTTCATAACTCTGAAGAAAAATTTAACCTTCATCCCATTCAGTGGCTCCTGTAAAGTCGTAAAGCTTTATTTTCCATTGATACACCCTTTCTAAGCAATAGAAGTATAAATAAAAAACAATTTCAGTAGAATGTGATATATTTTGTCCACGTTTGCATAACTTAAAGGCAGAATGAATTCAGTTTGGAGTACTCTCTCCATTCCCACAAAAATTTTTTCCTTGGGCTAAATCAAACATAGGAAATTTTTGCCTAAACACATTTCTTAAAGGAAAAGTCATAATCAATTGAAAAAAATAGCAACTGATAATGAAAATGGTTTTTTCAAGCATAGTGATAACGTTTGCTGCTGTGCATTCTATAAAAAGCTATTAGATTCCTATAACAGGACTGTGATATTGCTTTGCTTCCTGCTGCTGATTATAATTTTAAAGATGGAAAATCGAGATGCTTCTATTTTGCCCTATGAAATAAACCCTGACTTCTTGGTCATCCTGGTTTCGTATTTCTCTAGCTGAGACCAAAAATTTTCCTAGGCAGCAAAAAGAGAATTTACATTTTTAAAAATTTCTTCAAATAGAAGTACGCACTTTCTATTCTTGCTTCTGGGGTACAGTAACTTAAAAATTCTTGCTAGTTGAAAGTTGGATCTGTAAAAAAAATGGTTAACATACCATGTGATTGGAATTATAATTAATATTATACACAGGCTGTGGGGATGTAATGAAAAAAGATCCATGTCCATCTTAAAAAGAAATGTCAATCTTGTAGAACCTTCAAAAAGAGAGAACTCTTGGCTGTGGATAGTCATTGCCTTCCTACCTGGAATGCGGGATGATTAGACTTAATGACGCTTTTGGGGGCCAAAAAGAAGAGTTGTCTAAGAGTCATTAGGCTGCTTGCTCTGTGTGCCTTGATGAATCTGTATCTGAAGGCAATTTTAAATGAAAGCTCCAAAATGTTTTGCATCAAATTGGCATCACTGAACATTAGGCTCTTAAAATTAAAAGTACAGTAGCACAGTGTAGAGATTAAAAGCATGTTTTTGGAATCAGACATTCTTTTTTCAATCCTATCCAGCCCAAGCTAGCAGTTATTTAGGCCAGTTACTCAACCTCGATATAAGACTCAGTTTCCTCACCTATAAAATAGAGATAATATTACCTCCCTTCAATAGTTGTGAAGATTGTACAAGATAATATAAGTGAAGACTTACATAGTATCTGGTACAAAGTAAATACTTAATATATGGTAGTTAATATCATTATGACATCAGTATATATTTATGATACTTCATAGTTTACAAAGTACATTCAAATACTTATGTTGATTTAAGTTTCACCACAACCTATTTGTTCAGGTTTTATTATTCTCACATTATAGGAGAAGAAACTGAGGTTCAAGGACTAGTAACCAGCAGCAGATCACACAGCTGGAAGACAACTAAGAGCAAAAAAACGTTAGTCTTTTGATGGCTATATCAGGCCATGTTCTTCCCAGTACAGCAAACCTGAACCTCTGTGGATGATGATTAAAAAGAGAAATACAGTCTCATCTTAGAGATTATCCTTGTCTTTCCTAGACATTATTATTTTCACTTAAAAAAGTTGAAGCCTTACTTACATCAAAAGGTAAGGATGGGCCTCTTTAAGGTAAGGCATAAGTATTAATGCAACAGCTTTTAGTAAATTACTGTTATTTAAAATTCTTTCTGTGCTCCTCCAGCATGTGTAATAGCTTGCCTCATTTATGTTTTTTCTTATTCATTCATTCTCAATGGGCAAAATTTCTAATTCATTCAGTCTCTCCTGACACATTGTACTTGGCAGGTAATTCGTAATAAGCTTTAATTTTGAAAATGAACATTTGTCATTTGGGACCGTAACTTAGATAGTTTAAAAACACCAAACCCGCTGTGCAAACATCTGGAAAAGTTGATGATAGGGGACGGTTTGCTGCAGTCAACGTGTCTACCAAGCAAATGACAGAATCGGACTTAGAAAGGTCTGTTGTCAGAGCTCGCCAGTAATGATGATTTGTCTAGTAAGAGATATTAGAGGAAGAAGAGATGAAAAAAAAAGCATTTTCCATCCATTTGGCAAATGCATTTGCCATTATATGCGAGTTGCTAATTGATGCTTTAAATCTGTGATCATATGTGCTATTAAATATGAAACCTGTACACACAGACATACAGACTCATATTGATATGAGGATAGATGTCTGAGGTAAATTTAGAGATGAGAAAATTAATGCAAGATGCTTTACTTTGGAAGTAATTCCTTTGGGAATTGTCAGATGCCAGTCAGGTGCTTGTGTAAGTCACCTTTTTTTGTGAGGGCTGAAAGACCAGGAACAAGGTTCTAAGAATTTAGACCACTGGTTCTCTAGTAATGTATGCAGATAATCAAAGAAGTAACATGAAGAAAAATGATGATTTTAGTTTTAAAATATGATAATCTATTCTTCTTTAAAAATAATTAATATCACAAGACCTAAAGCCTTCTTGTTCACTCTCTTCTCCGGTAAGCTTCATTTTGAAAAAGGCTAAAAACTTTTAGGGAGATTCTCTAGGGAGTTCTGGACTTGACATGCGAAAGTGTCAGAGTCTAGCTTTCATAGTAATAGAGAGGTCAAGAATGCTGCTGAAAAGCATTCTGGGGCTTACCTTGAAATGGGATATTAAGTGGACTCCAGAATTTTAAAGGAGCCAGTCTAATACAGCTCCTTAAGATAAACTAGATGTACCTAAAATGTGACTGCTTTTAAGTAGTTGGGAGAAACAAACATGAACAGATATTTTTAAATTACAATATATAACTTCTTCCACAGAGGCACAATTAAAGTGCTAAGAAATCACTGCAGACAGAGAACCTGACACTGACAAGGAGAATTACATATGCATCAATGAGGAGCTGGCATTTTGGCTCAGTCTAGAAGTCATAGGAATTTTCCTGGAGAAAGTTTTTTCAAAGTGAATAGCATATGCAAAAATGGTAAGAACTATTGAGAAATAGAGAGATTTTCCTTGAATGCGAGTTCAGTGAGATTACAAGGTTTCCAATAGCTCCTTTTGGTAGTGAATAAAACTGAGTCAAATTTGCAGAAATCAGTAACTCAAGGGAATTCCTTCATTGGTCCTCTCACTAATGTGAGTGCATATGTGTGTGTTTTACGGGATGTGTGTGGGAGGGGATGTTTTTACTATTTCTCAGAGCCACACCCTACCTAAATATTGTACGCTCCAAGTAAATTGAGAAAATAAGTGTTGGAGATGGGGAGAATGGAAATGGAAAGATAAAGAAGAGTTTTATCTTTGAAAATAGATATTTATGGTACCTTATTTACTTTAAAATAAATGAGATACCTATTCATGCACATATCTCAGAATAATTACTGTATTTTCTAATGGGAGAAGCCTTAGAAAATATCCAGTTTATTGCCCTATTTTAAGAAATGAGGAAACTGAGTTTTAGAGAAGTTGAAACACGTTTTCCAACCATGGTTACTTGCAGATATAAAGAATAGAACTCAAATGTTTTCACTCTTAGTACAAAATTATTTCCTTTCTACCAATGCAGCTTTTAGACAAATCATCACATTATTAATTGATCAGTCAACAGTTTTTTATTGATTATACTACAATGGGCCTTATAACTGGGCTCTATAAGAAATGGGAAATAAAAAGAATGTATGAACTGAAGACAACCCATTAAAATATCAGAAAGACAAGGTAGCAGCAATTTTAAATGAGTCCCTGTATTAATTGCTGTTGCAGAACCTAATGTTACCAAATGTTCATTTGGATAAAGTGGATATCTGAAAATCATAACCTTGATTATTAGGTTGTCTGATATGTGCTGTGAATGAGAAGTAGGTAGACTTTATTTCACATGGTCATTCCAGTTGATTTACCGTGTTTTCTTCAGGCACTTTGCTGAGAAGAATTCTGAGGTCCTGTTTGATGTCAACAGAAAGAAATGCTATAATCAATGTGTAATGACAGCCATACTAGTGACAATAAGACCAGGTAATTATCAAATATGTAATCAGTATAATAATAAAATCTTATATTGTACCTTTCTTCGAAGAGCAAAGATTGTTTCCAAATTCGAGTCACGAAATTAAAACAGAAAGCCTTACTTCTTACTCCAGAGAATGACTGGATGCCAAAAGATTAAGTAAGCATCACTAATGTGCTTACATGAGACAATATTGTGGCCAATTATATTTCTATCCTGCCTACATTACTCAGATCTTAAGGTGATGTCACTATGCGTTTGAGTGTATGTATGTGTGTGTGTGTGTCTGTGTGTGTGTTATGACATTATACCTGGAGAGAAAAACAAATCACCAAGGCTGATTTCAGAAGAAGCTTTGGCATCCATATGCCACTCACCTTAATCATTTTTAAATCAGACTGTCCTTCAATCTTACGATTCAGTCAAGGAGCTAATTGTATCTTGTCAATGCCATAGATACCCTCAAAGTCCTATAAAAGATGTTCTGGGCTTATGTAGGCTGAATTAAAAGACATTCACTTGTGGTGGCTTTAAACCACATAGGATGACTCATCATATCAGTTATATCCACTTGTGCTGACGTTTGTCTTGCGTAACCATTGTGTTAAGTGCTTTCCATAAAAAGCCTTCATGCAAATCTTTTTTTTTTTTCCTGATCATTAAGGCACTTTAACACAAAGAGGTAGAACAGTACGTTGTAACCACATCCTGGGTTTGTTTCTCTGTAGGAAGATTGCTTTGTGCCTGAAAGCTGTACAGGATATTTAAAGACTAGAGCAAATGATTAAATTTACCCACTTTTTTTTTGTTCCTGGCAGCCTAAGCCCTAAGCTTTACCTGTCATTCAACTCATCTAAATGCCAAAGAAAAGGGCTGACACAGAGTAGAAATCTTGTCACATGACCTCACCCTCCTCCCCATCTCCTTTCTAAGGGCTCCTGCAATTGTCATTTACATTAAAGTTCCGTGCTTAGGCCTGCAGGTGGAGAATTGCTCTTTTGTTGAGAGTTAGTTTCTGTTACAGGTCAGAAAACAGAAGACTTTGTCAGAGGTTGGGCTGCTTTCTAAAGTAACTCATTGCCAGAATTTTCTAAACAAGAAAAAAAGCCAGAAAGCAAGGCAATTCTTGAAATGTTAGTACAAGATAAAGGTGTCCATTGGGAAATGAGCAACATGGCTCTGGGGTTCTCTTGAAATTCAGAGTTGAAGAATTTAGCAACACTGACACTTCTGACACGTAGAGGAAATGTGGGAGAAAATGCAGCAATTCAATAAATTCTACAAACATTTATATGCTACTGATAGGCTGGGCACTGCTCTAGGCCTCAGAGATACCAGAGACTGATTTAGACTATTTCTCCAGCTTCAAGGGGCCCAGCGTCTGTGAGAACAATTATGCATAAGCAGTTGTAGCAGAAGTACAGACTCAGTATAGTTGGAAGGGATTGAAGGGCACTGCAGAGTAAAATGAAACAGAGGGAATGGAAAGTTCTTCTCATGTCTCCCATCATCTTCGAGACTATTTTGAAGACATAAATACAGACATAGTGCAGTGTAGATAAATAGGCATGGCCTTTGGAACAAGTATGTCGTCAAATCATTTTCTGTCTAGGTGATCTTGGGTCAAGAAAGGTTAGGCAATAACCAGAGGATATTCCCTATATGTCTTCAAAATAAAGTCTATTGTTCTAAGACCATAGAAAATATGAAGATTTAACTGAAATAATGGTTCATATTTTAGCCTAAGTATATATCCTGTTATATAATCTGCTGTTACTTTCTTTTAATTATTTTTGTAGTGATTGTGAATTTCCTTTCTTCTTTAATCTTGTTTGTAATTAATTGGCTTTAGTGGATTCGGAACTAATGGATACTTTTCTTGAGATATTTAGAAAGTACAGAAAAATTCAGAAGGGAATGCTATGGTTTTAATGTTTGTCCCCTCCAAAACTCATGTGTTGAGAGCCTAATCATTAAGGCCACAATGTTGGGAGAGGGGGCTTAATGGGAGGTGTTTAGGTCTTGCGAGCTTTGCCTGCGTGAATTGATTAATGCCACAATAAAATGGTTTTTGAGAGTGGGCTCTCTCCCTTCCACTCTTCACCAATGTGAGAAGCAGCATTGCTCCACCTCTGAAGGAGACAGCATTCAAGGTGCCATCTTGGAGGCAGAGACCAGGCCCTCACCAGAAACCAAACCTGTTGGTACCTTGATCTTGGACTTTTCCACTTCCAGACCTATGAGAAATACATTTCTGTACTTTGTAAATTACCTAGTCTCAGGTATTCTGTTACAGCAGCACAAAACAAACTGAGACAAGGGAAATTAACCAATCTATAATCATCTTATCCCACCACCCAGACTTAATCACTGTTGGCATTTTCAAGCATTTTCTTCGAGAATTTTAATAACCTGTTTTATTTTCCTAAAATTTATTTTTTGGATATCTACCCCATCATGATTTATGATACAATCCAATTTTTATTGGTGGGAGTATTCATGCTTATAATTTATTTAATCAATCCCATATGATTGACTATTACTATTTATTTTTTACCAACATTATCACTTTTCAAGTGTTTCAACATTATCACCACTAGTCAAGAAAGAGGAGCCAATTAGATACATTCTATAAAAAGAACTAAAAATAAACTTTATAAAAGTCCTCTATTCATGAATTAATGACAATATATTTGAAATCAAGGTCTATGTCTTAAAATTATTTTGAATTATCTCCAGCAGAAACTGTAGACCAGGTAGCCATGTAATACATGGAGTAGCTGATCTCTAAGTATGTAGAGATAATTTGATTGACTAAACATCACTTAGAAAATTTCAGAAAGAAAATAATATGCTATAAAACTAATTACTTAGCAGGCATTATGCTAAGCATCATTAGGGATTCAAGAGCCCCCATGCTGAAAGCATGTCAATGATTTTGCTTTGGAATTAAAATAAAATTCAAGTGTCTCAATGGGGTAATAATGATATAGCAACAGTTTTGAGTGTTTTATGAGTTAGGCATTGTACTTTATAAATCTTAACTTTTTTCCTATTGAAACTTACTTAGATTCAGAGAGAATAAGTAACTTGCATAAGGTCACACAGGTAGTAAGGGCATAGAGTGGGATTTTCTCCAACCACGTTTTCCTATAGCTACCTCTCATTTGTTTTTTATGCTTCACATCAAACGTTGCTACCCTCTATTGTAGATAGTTTTTATTATAAGGCCCTGGTTTATTTTCCTCAAAGTACTTATCATTAATAATGTTATTTTTCCTCTGATTTGTATGTTTACTTTTCCTGTTTGCATTACTAAAACATAACATCCATGAAGGGCACAGACTTTATGTATATTATGCTTATTACAGTATCATCAGCACCTAGAACAATATCAAGTAACTAACTGGTAATTGATGAATATCTCATTAAAAAAAGAATGTATGGAATAAAGAACACAGTATCTGTGCTCAAAGAACTGACCATCTATAGAGTCAATTCTAAGATATGCGCAGGAATTCTAGTTAACAATCCAGCATGGAAGAAGCTTGGAAGTTGCAACTCCATTCTAACAACTTATAAAAAGCTGAAAAAACTAAAAAATTCATAACTCTTGTTAAATCCATAACAGAAATTGTCCATGCGATCCTTTGATGCATAATTTGCCCAAGGCAAACCACTGTCCCCCAAATTGCAGAAACTGAGAGGCAAAAACAGAGAATCACAACTTACTGGAGCAGAAAGCCACCAGCAACAACTTCACAGGAACCAGTGCCAGGCTAGGAAAACCTGAAGTGTAATTAATGAATTGCGAATTCATGAGCTGGAGGCTCCATGAGGACAACTCTGAGAGATAAAAACCATAGGGGACCCAGCCTTCAGGAGCCCCCATGCACTTTTGTTAGTTTTACCTTCTGATGCTCCACCAGGTTCTCAGGGTGAGTATCAGAGGAAAAATTCTCTAATGCTTCCAGCAGGGGGAGAAAAAAAATTTTAAATCAGCCCGAGCATTCTGTTCTTCCTAAGGAAGGTTGCCCTCAAGTGAAACTATTTAACCAGAGCCTAACCTGCTGAGGCTTCCTCAGAGCCTAACTGACCTGGGGAAAGGAAAATACCTAACTCTTGCCTATTCTAGCCAACACTGTTCCACCTAAGGTGGGGCTGAGAAGCACATGTGAAGATCACAGTCCAAAGGCACAGGTTCAGGGAAACACTAAGACCTAATCAATCATAGGATTACAGAATGCTTCCCTCCACCCTGCACTTTACCACCAAATTACTAAAGACTTATTTACAGCCATCCCTTTCGCACGATATGTCATGGCCCACAGTCAAAAAAATATTTCAAGATATAAAGCATTAGCACCCAGACTTATATGGCAGGGAAGTTGAAATTATCAGGATGTGAATTTAAAACAACTATAATATGCGAATGGCTCTAATAGATAACAGAAACTTCATACAAGAATAAATGGGCAATATAAGCAGAGTGATGGAAGTTCTAAGAAAGTACAAAAAGGAAATGCCAGAGATTAAAAATTAACAGAATTGAAGAATGCCATTGATGGGCTTATTAGTAGAATAGACATGACTAAGGAAGGAATTTCTGAATTTAAGAATATATCAACAAAGACCACCAAAACTGAAGAAAAAAAAAAAGAAAAAAAGGGAATACATATTCAAGAATTGTGGGACAACTGCCAACTGTGTAACATATGCTTAATGAGAATACCAAAAGGAGAAAAAAGAGAGAAAGAAACAACAACAACAAAAATTTAAAACAATATTGACTAAGGATTTTCTCAGACACGAAGCCTCATATCTAGGAAGCTCAGAGAAGCCAAGCTGCATAAATGCAAGAAAACTAACATGAGGCATATGATTTTCAAACTACAGAAAATCAAAAATAAAGAAAAAACTGAAATAAGCTAGAGAGAAAAGGAAAGAAAACTTAACTATGGGAGAGCAAAGAAAAAATTTCATCCAACCAACTTTTCTTCAGAAACCATGCACACAGAACGTGAAAAGTGAGGAAAAGTTGTTAAGAAGAAAAAAAATGCCAACCTAGAATTCTTTATCCTGTGAAATTATTATTCAAAAGTGAAAGAGAAATATAGATTTTCTCAAACAAAAATGGAAATAATTTTTTGCCAATAAATTTTCTCTGCAAAAAAAAATGTTAAAAAAGTTTTTTAGAGAGAAGAAAACTGATGTAGGTCAGAAACTTAGATTAACATAAAGAAAGGAAGAGCATGAAAGGAAAAAATAAGTGAATGTAAAATTAAAATGTTTTATTTTATATTCTTAATTGATTAAATAGATAATATCATTCAAAATAATAGCAACAATATATTCAATTATATATTCATGTTTATATGTGTGGAATAAATGACAGTAATGATACAAGGAACAGAAAGGAAGAATTGGAATGGTTTTGTTATTAGAAGGTACTTGCACTATCCATGAAGAAATGTAGTGTCATTTGAAAGTGGCCTCTGATTAGCTGTAAACTTACATTGCAAACTCTAGGGTAACTACTAAAAACAGTAAAGAAAGGCGTACTAAAGAAGGAGAGAAAAATGAAAGTACATAAAATGCTTAATTACAAACAAAAAGGATAGAAAGAAATGAAAGACAAAATAGAAACAACAAGAGTAACAAAAAGAATAATAACAAATGCAGTAGATATTAGCCTACTATATTTGTAATCTCTTTGCATGTCAATGGTTTACATTAATTAACTAATAGAGATTGTCAGATTGGATCAAAAAACAAGACTCAACTACATATTGTCTATAGCAAACTCACTTTAAATATGAAAACAAATATAGATTAAAAATAAATTGATGTAGAACAATATATCATGCTAACACTAATAAAAGAAAAAGACTAGCTATACTAATTTCAGACAGAGCAGACTTCATAGCAAGAAAAGTCATCATGGACAAAGAGGTATTATATAATGATAAACAGGTCAGTTCTCCAAGAAGACATAAAAATTCTTAATATGTATATATTTATAAACAGTCAAAATACGTGAGGAAAAAACTGATACAACTCAAGGAGGAATCTAATAGAGTTATAGATTTCAACACTCCTCTATCAGAAATAGATAGATCCACCAGGCAGAAAATCAGCAAGGATGCAGCTGAATTCTACAACTCCGTCAATAAAGTGAATATAAACTACTTCATCAAACATTAACAGAATACATGTTTGTCTCAAGCTCACATGGAATATTTACCAATACAGACCACATTCTGGGCCATAAAACATACCTAGAAAAAGTCTAAAGAATATACATTTTAGCATGCCTACTCTCAGTTCAAAATGGAATTAAACTAGAAATCGAAAAAAAAAAAGATAGCTGGAAAATTCCAAAATACTAGAGATTAAACAGCATGTGTTCCACTAACATCAGGAATGAGGCAAGTATCTTCCCTATTGCCACTGCTTTTCAACACTAGCAGTCCTAGAAAATGCAATAAGACAGAAAAAGGAAATAAAATGTACACAAATTGGGAGGGAAGAAATAAAACAGTCTATGTTAGCAGTTGACATGATTGTCTATGTAGAAAATTCAAAAATTTTAACAAAAAACTACTGGAACAAATAGGCAACTATAGCAATACTGCAGGATATAAGGTTTATATACAAAAGCCAATTAATTTCCTATATAATAACAATGAACAGGCAGAAATTGAAATTAAAAACACAACAACATATACGCTAACACTCAAAACTTTGAAATACTTAAGCGTAAATATAACACATATGAGGAAAACCAACTCTCTCGTAGAAAACAAAACAAAACAACAAAACAGCAAAGAGCTAAATATATGGAGAGCTATTCATACTCATGGACACAAAAACTCAATATTGTCAAAATGTCAGTTCTTCCTGAATTGATTTATAGGTTAGTCAAAGTCTCTTCAAGCTATTTTGTAGATATTGACAAAATTATTCTAAAATGTATATGAAAAAGCAAAAGAACCAGAATAGCCAACACAATATTGAAGGAGAAGAAGAAAGTTGGAGGACTGATGCCTGACTTTAACACTTAATACAAAGCTGCAATAATTTAGACAGTGTTATCTGCAAAATAGAAGACAAATAAAACATTTAAAAATGAAAAAAAGAGACAAATAGATTACTGAACCAGAATAGGGAGCACAGAAAGAAATCCATGTAAATACAGTTTACTGATCTTTGAACACAGGAGCAAGGGAATACAATGAAGATAAAAATCTTTTTACAAATTGTGCTGAAATAACCGGACATTCACATGCAAAAAAAAAAAAAAAATAAATTCCAGATATTTACTCATTACAAAAAAATTCAAAATGCATGAGAGACATAAATGTAAAACACAAAACTATAAAACTCCTAGAAGATAACAAAAGGTTAAATCTAGGTAACATATGGTTTCATAATAATGTTTTAGATACAACACCAAAGTCACCATCTATGAAAGAAATAATTGATAAGCTGGACTTAAAAACTTCTACTCTGCAAAAGACACTCTCAAGAGAATAAAAGGATAAGTTACAGGCTGGGAGAAATCATTTGCAAAAGACATATCTGATAAAAGATTATTATCCAACGTATACGAAGAACTCTCAAAACTCAAAAAAAAAAACCAAACAAACAAACAAAAAAAACAAATACCCTAACTATAAAAGGAGACAAAGAACTTAACAAACATCTTATCAAAGAAGATACACAGATGACAAATAAGCACTTGGAATGATGTTCTCCATTATATGCCATTAAGGAAATGTTAAAGCAACAATGAAATACAACTACATACCTATCAAAATGACCAAAATTCAGAATAATTATAACACCAAAGGCGAACGATGATGTGGAGGAACACGAGTTTTCATTCATTGTTGGTAGGAATGCAAAATGGTATGGCCACTTTCGAAGACATATTGACAGTTTCTTAATAAAACTAAACACACTCTTACCATAGAATCCAGCAATTGTCCTTCTTGGACATATGGGAGTTGAAAATTATTGTCCACATAAAACTCTGCACACAGATGTCTATAGCAGCTTTATTCATAATTGCCAAAACTTGGATGCAACTCAGTTAACTCAGTTACTTTTCAGTGGATAAATAGATAATTTTGGTATATCCAGACAATGGAATATTACTTATTGTTAAAAAGAAATGAGCTATCAAGCCATGGAAAGACATAGAAGAAACTTAAATACATATTACTAAGTAAAAGAAACTAATTTCAAAGTCTACATATTGTATGATTCCAAGTGTATGTCATTCTGTGAAAGGCAAAACTATGAAGAAAATTAAAACAAAAAAAAGAGTGCCAGATTAAGGGAAGGGAGGGATAAATAGGCAGAACACAGAGAATTTGTAGAACAGTGAAACTACTCTATGTGATACTATAATGGTGAATACATTTCATCGTACTTGTATGCAAACCTATAGAATGTACACACCAGGAGTGAAACCTAATGTAAATTGAGTACTTTGGGTGGTTATGATGTGTTGATGAAGGTTCATCCATTGCAACAAAGGCACCACTCTGTTGGAGAATGTTGACGGTGTGGAAGGCTTTGCATGTTTGGGTGCTGGGGATATATGGGAAATCTCTATACCATTTGCTCAATTTTGCTGTGAACCTAAAATCACTAAAAAATGAAGTCTATTAAAAAAGAAATGCAAAAAATGTGTATTGCATAAATGGTGCGTTTTGATGTGTTTAAGAATTTAATTCTATGGAAACAAAAAGGAAACAGAGTTCACACCCACCTGTATTTAGAGATGGCCTCAGACAGAAGCCGAGATGAAGCTCAGCCTTGAACATATAAATTGTTTGAAGAAAAAGTATCTTTAACTTTGTCCCAGTCATTTAAGCTCAACCCTGGTGATTCCAGAAATGAAAGAGTGCCCCTTCAAAGGGAGAGCTATGAAACCCCATAGCCTTGGTAAAAACACATCAAATGAGATGTTAACGCCCCACATTGATCACACTCAGAAAGCCTGCCTGAAGATGTTTATCCTAATCCTCCAATCCAGACACTTCCTGAGATATGGTCAGGAGGGCTAATTACTCCAACACATAAAAAACGAAAATGCTCTCAACTCGAGCAGCCAGAGAGATCTACATTAGCAGCAACAGCAGTAAACCCTGACTCTGCCTCCCTGGTGAAAGAATAAAGAAATGTCGGACCAGTGACAGCAACATCCATAAAATCCAAATTGGATTCCTCCCTTGAAAATGAGCCACAGACTTCATCCCTCCCCCGATTGCTACGTATTAAGAAACATGTTTTAAAAAATTCCAACTGGGAGAAGAGATTTTCCTTGCTTTATTAGACTTTAAAATCGCCCTGGATTCAATCTGGCACCAGAAGTGAATCCACAACTGCTACAATGGGAATGGATGGAAAAACGAATGATGTGTTTAGGCTCCTATATCAATCCATCAATTGAAAGATGGAAATAAGCATAAATGGATGTCTTCAATGGGAAAGTGAGAAAAGGATGCACATCTCATAGCTTAATAGACACTAAGATGAGCAACTCCCAGGGTTGGAGCTTGCCCAAGCTCAGGGCTTTCGATAAACCAAAGAGGAACTGCCTATCGAGACACAAAACTGGACTGATTTCTTTATGCCCTTTAAATCATCAATGTGGGGACTAAGAAGAAGGAAGTTAGTCACACACTAGTAACCAAGCTCTCTAGATCCATCTGCAGGGAAGTTCTTGGACAATTTTATTGATAGTATGATAGCGTAATGATTGATAATAACACAATATAGAAAACAACATGCCTGGTTGATCATTAGAATGTGAATAATGAAGAATAAATAATTGCCATGTACTTACATCAATTAACTTATTTTTCTGATTCCAGAAGTACAAACATATCTAGGTCTTGAAAGAGCACACACTATTTTAGAAAAGGAAAATATAAATACAGATTATAAAAATTTTCTTACAATCTTCTTAATCTTTTGAATGAGCAGAACCTCGATATTTCTGAGAGAGGCCTCCAAGGTCTTTCTCTGAACCAAGAATATGACTAGAGCACATAAAGCTGCCCAATTCTTTTGAACCTAATGGAATAACTCTGACATGCAGTATTTTAAATTCGAAGTTGCACAAGATCTGCGTGAAACCACCATAAAACAGATGATGTTGTCACTGGGGTGCCAGCCAAAGTTTGGACCACAGCTTCTTATTCGTGGTCCTTAAAGGCCTGTCGTTTGAAGAAGAGTTAATAACATCAGCTTTAATTGTAAAGGCAAATGGTCACAAAGTAAAATAATTATTAGATCCTTAGCTTCTTAACATTATTTCTTTCTGGATAATGTTTTCACTAAGACCATATTATTCTAATATAGGTCTGATTTGTTTTTATTGAACCCTTACTTTCCAACCTTTACTCCTTTACCTCAATGAGTCTTTTAATTCTAAGAGGAAACACTCCAGAAGCAACATGAATTCAGTTAAAAAGTACTGAGCCTCTGCTACCTCTCAGACAGTGTAAGGTATGGCAGGCAATGTCCTCATTCTTGCGGAAGTGATGGTCTAGTGGGGAAGAGTGAGGCCTTAAACAAATAAATGAACAAGAAAAACTTCACACAGCGATGTGTTCAGCTGAGACACAGAATACATGACATGTTAGAAAATGAACAAATGGCTGTTTTTATGAATGGTCAAAGAAGCCACCTCTAGAAAGTTAATATTGAGATCTAAATTACCAAGTAGATGGAACCATCTTTAAAGGAAGGATAAAAGCATTTAAGGCCGAAAAATGTACTTTGAGCAAATGCAAAGACTAATAGGAAGGATGAGCTTTGGCTCCCTCAAAAAAATAAACAAACGCCAGTGTGCACAAAAATTCAGAAAGGAGAGAATGGTGTAAGAGGAACTCAAGGATTTAGACATAGGCTGGATTTTTCAGGGTTTTGCAAATCTGAGTAACAAGATGGGGTTACACTGGGTGAAAGAAGAGGCCATTGGAGAATTTTACCCAGAGAAATTACATGCTCTGGCTCAGAATTTTGAAAGATCACTCTTGCTTCCATGTTGTGAATTGACTGCATAGGGGCAAATGTAGGTTAAAGCATCAATTGCAAGGATCCAGGAAAGAGATAACAGAGACTTGGCCTAGGCCAAAATTGGTGGCGTTGGTGACAAGCAGGCATATGCAGGAGATATTCTAAAGGAAGAATGCAGGAATTTTACACTATCTAAAGCAATTCTTAAAATCTTAAATGTTAAGTCAAATTTTACCTGTGATACATAGGGGTTCAACTTTTGAAATTTATCTAAATTGGGCTAGTACAGAAAGATATATGTATGTACAAAAATATTCATCACTTTCAAGGTTAAAAAAAAAAAAACCTAAGAAATCAAATGGGGAATTTTGAGATACTCATCAATGGGAAGCTATTTAGATAAGTTATAAGTAAAATATTATAATATTATTAGAGATGGCGTGAATTTATATTTACTGACAAGAAAATATGTCAATGGCATGTTGTTAGGTAAAAAAGTAGATTAAATAACATTATGTATACTGTTAAAAAGAAATTTGAATATATACTGATATGGGGTATGTACAGAGAGAAATGTGGAAGGAAATGCACAAAACTATTAATGTATATCATTTTAAAATATCAACAATAAATATATTGTCATTGGGGAGAAATAGATATTCAGAACTTAAACTAAGACATTTACTACTCATGACATCCCTAGAATTATTTGTGCAGACTTGTGGATATTAAGGTGTCAGTCTTTTGTCAATTTAAGTTTCCTAACTGTCCACATCTCTGCTAAGTCATTAATTTGTCAGCTTACATAAATGCCCTGAAGATCATGCTTTAAAAGCAAAAGTATCAACAATGCCCCCATAAGACTCTGATTATTTTTAATGATAGCAATTGAACACTAAATTTTAATTTCTTCAGTACAACTTTTTTAAACCAATGAATATTTCATAAAATAGAGGCACAAAAATTGTAATATTTGGACAGTTGGATTTTTGTTCAGCAGCCTACACCATAACTGAAATTTCTCTCAAACATTGTCAAATTACACTAAAAGCCTCCTGGCCACAAATGGTTATGTTGTTCAAAGCTTTACTTCATATCGACATAAATACAGAATAAGAAATTTTAGTTATTTAAGTTTTAAGATAAAGATATCCGTGACACTTTACAAAAGTCCTACGGTAACTATTGTCCATAGTATAACAAGTTATTTTCTTAGAGGGCTTCCATTAACTCATTAATATATTATTTCTCTTTCTTCCCTCTACCTTTTTCCGAAGACAGTGTAATTTTGATTTTTAAAAAGATAAAATAGGATATCTAAAATAACAATAATAATAATAATTTCCCCTTTGTGGGCATACCTCCCAGATCTTTAGAACTAGGGTTCATGTTCTCTGGGTTAAGGGAATTGGTATGAAAATTGAGAAGCTCTTCTGGGATGCATTGTACCTGATGTCTGAAAAGATGAGCGAACACCACCAAGCAGAGGTATGGCATGGAACAGGGGCAGAAAAGGAAGGGGGACACTCAAATGGAACAGTAACCCAACTAAAGACAGAGTGCTGAGAAACAGCGTGGAGCCTGCAGGAAATACAGACACCCAAGGGCACCCGAAGCAAAGTGCAGACTAAAAGATGGGTGGGACAAAGCTAGGCAGGGTGTTACAAATTGTTCCCAAGGCTAGGCAAGGTTCCTTTGAAACATTAAAGGATCTCAGTTTCTTCTTACGGTTTCTTCAGCCCCACACCGAGGAGCTCCACTTTGCCTGACGTTGCTTGCTATGCTTAAAACTGGACCAGAAAATCTTCTAACTGGGGATCAAATGCTCGGGTTTATGAATACATATTGCAGAGGCCATTTACTACCTAAAGATTAATGGAATAGTAACTAACACGTGTTGCTCTTAGAGACTTAGTCTCAGTCTCAGACCCAGGCAAGAGGGGCCCTGCCCTTAGCTCCAAACTTTAGGGACCTCGTCTCTGGCTGCCTTTGGCTATATTATCCTTCACAGAGTAAGGCATACACAGGGCCTACTGGGCATGACCACACAGGACCTAGGTATCTCTAGCCTCACCTCAAAAATGCACAGATACCTCAAATCCTAGAATCTTCGGCCCAGTGGTCCCAAGCCCTTGTTTCAAGTTCCCTGTTTGCCTTTATTAACAGGTATCCAAAAGACAGCTATTTTCAAGAGAGTGGGCTGGATAGCATCAGTGTGTATAAAGCTTAGCAGTGTTTCTGGGTTGTCAACGCATAAACATGCTTAGCTGTATACGATGGAGTTAGGGATGGGAAAAGAAGGGACAGACTCTATCTGGGGCTGAAGGATGTTACTGAAAGCCAGTCGTGGAAGAAGGTCAGTTATAGTGTAAAATTTTCAGGAATCCAAGCCCTGTAAATTTGAACCTAGCCTTATAGGTCATTAAGGAAAAAAGATGAATTCAGTGATGTGCTAAAGCCAGTTCATAGATGAATTCAATGATGTGCTAAAGCCAGTTCCACTAAACTTCATGTTTAGTGGAATCATGTCAGTTGCTTGAAATTAGCCATGGAGAGAATATTGGTACCACAGAAATCAGCAAATACTGCCAATCAGTGTCTCCCCTGTTTCTCCTTCAAAGACCCAATTATTAAACATTTTTATAATGCCACTTGGTAAAGTAGATTTTATTTAATGGCTTGTAGTTTAATTTATAACTTTTATACCTTTAGATATGTGGTATGTAGGCCTCCATTCGTACTCAGCAAATGTTTGGGGAAAGATTACCATGGGTATGTCTGGGTGATTGCATAGCTGTATAAATTTACTAGACGATGTATGGTCATCTCTTACTGGACAGACAAAGGGTGAACACTTTGTCCACGTACTGCACAGGGGTCCTAAATGTCTGTAATAGGACTCGCCCTCCATTTCTTTTATTCTTATAATTTAACAACAGAGGGATGTTGGAAGGGTGCCAGGATATGTTATCTTTATTTTTTTGTTGTTGTTGTTAAAGGGGGATGTATTTATTAATATTTAACATGTTGGCAATTAAATCTGAAAAATTTGGAATGCAAGGATGCATAGCCATACATTCCAATAGCCATTAGATCATATATGACCCATTAACCATTATCCTATGATGTTATGACAATTCATGTCTCTGAAAAAGTCCACGGTACGGCTCTCAGAGAAAGAGAGTGAAAATGGCAAATAACATTTTTGTATTATTTGACCTCTTAGATCCCCCAGCATAGATCTTGAACTCCAGGGATACTCAGATAACAATTTAGAACCACCATTTGAAACCACATACATGGTACATGAATGTCAAATGATAAATGAGCCCTTCGTGATGAAATGGCCTTTAAAGTTTCACTCCTGTGTTTTTTCTTTTTGCTTTCACTTGTCTTAAAATGTTTAAATCCAATAATTTTGTTTATAAAGAAAACAGGAAAATATTTTTGTTATATATTTGTGTTCTGTCTCATGGCACTGTGTACTCTTTGAATCTATTGTGGACTTAAATCTATCTTATTTTTACATGAAAACAATTAGGTCCCTAAAGGCCATCATTTTTTCTGTAAGTTTCTGATGTTTATCCAAGGTTTCACAAGTGAATTCTGAAGATATTGTGCTTTGAGGAATGACCATCAGGATATGTTATCTTTATAGGAAGAATAATTAGACTTTGTTTTTATAGGCTTTAGATTTCCCCCTTAAAAACATGAAAAGAAGGTGCCCTTTTAAGCTTCCTAGACCTCACAGGTAACGAGGGCCAGATTATAAGATTAGAAGGGATATGGTGCACTATGATAAGGAGCTTTTTCAGAAGGTGCATTCTAGAATCTCCTTATATAAATCTAGGCCTCTCTCAGGCCACAGTCTTTGACTCATGCTTCTAATTTGGGTCCTAGGCAAGGGTTTTTCCATTAATATCTTGAAACTCAGGTGTAACTTAATCTAGGATAAACTGCCTAAGTCATTTTTCCACATTTTAAAACACATAAAAATGCCTGTGAAAGTAATTGAAAATGATGATTCTCTTTCCTCAGTCTCAGAGATTCTGATTCAGCAGATCTTGGATGGGGTCCAGAAATTTAAATTTTTAGTCAACTTCCTAGTTGTTTCTGGCCAACATAGTCCATGGATGGTACTTTCAAGATATTAACTCATATTTGGAACCATTTGTCTAATATTAATTTCTTAGAAATCCTCTCAGCTATTTGGTATCATAGACATGAATGGACCTTATTTGGTATGTTTTGGCCAACTCACACCATCACCATGAGGGTTATGGGCTAAATTGTGTCCTCCTAAAATTCAGTGGGACTATATTTGAAGATAGGGCCTGTAAGGAGGTAATTAAGTTTAAATGGGCCATTCTTATAAGAAAAGGAAAGATACACCTGCAATGTGGTCACACAGAGGAAGTACTATGTGAGGACATAGCAAGCCAAAAATAGAGGCATCACCAGAAACCGACTCCGCCAACATCTTGAGGTGGGCTTTCAGCCTCCAGAACTGTGAGAAAATTAATTTCTGTTGTTTAAGCCACTGGTGTATGGTATTCTGTTATAAGGGTCCTTGTAGACTAACACAACAGGCTAAAACATTTTTAAAAGAAGTTCCAAGTGATAGATGAAGTCAATGTGATATTTCTTAACATGATGAAAATATTTCTGCTGGAAGCTGGATTCCACCATTATAAGAAGGTCAATGTTTAATTGCATAAGGCTTTGACAAGAAAAGTATTTACATTGGCCAAACCAAGTGCTCTGATTTTTTTGGCTCTTAAATTGGCATTATCAAAGATTAACTCTCTGACTTTTTTTCTTTGCTATAGTGCCATTATTCTTCTGGTGAACTCCTTATTTCTTTAGCTTTGTTTGTTTTGTTTTGTTTTTACCTAAAGCAATTGACATGTTTACAGTTTGGTCTTACCACAGACCCACTTTATTTTTCTAAGATGAGTTGGCATGTCTCTATTCAAATACACTCTAGCTGCATAGTTCAATTTGCAGAGAAAGATCTGCAAGGCAAGATCTCAAAGTGAGAAAAGAGGCTACTGTATATCCTTCAAAGTTAATTTCCTCCCATTTGGGGTTTTAATAGTAGATGAAATAATTGGAAATTTCAAAGAGGAATGAACGATGCCACAAACTCTCTTTCTTAGGAAAATTGGTGGCAGGTAAAGAAAGTATTTTCTCTCAGTCTGCAGAAGAGTTGATTAAGAGGGAAGTTTCTTCTCATGACCACAATGGATAACCCAGTATCTATGCTCATTAAAATAGACGTACTGACATCTATAAGATGTGGTTCAATGTCTTCTTCTTCTGAATTCAGATTATTTTTTCCCTAGTCACTTTTTAATAGTAAGTATCTATTATAAATAAGTTAGTTTTAAGTAAGCTATTTCTAAAAGCCCAAGGAAATGTATTTTTCACATTTCTTTTTATTTGCTGTGGTAAAAAAGGAAAGCTCTGTCTCAGTCACCATGATTATTAAGTCATTTCTCCACAGGTTTCCAGGGACCCTCTGCTAACTAATTTCCATTTTCAGTTGCTGATGACTATGTTCACTCAACTAGAGTGATGGAGTTTCTTTTCACTGGTTTTAAAATAGGGTCTTTTATGGGAGGTTTCTGCATATCACTGCTGAAGGTGCAGTATGCCATTTGTTTTTGTTAAAAGTTTTATTCAAGTCATACATGACTGAGGACGGCTAGATGGGGAGTTCTGCGCTGAATTCCCTGAGTTTATTACTGAAGAAATTTAGTCTTCAAGTATCATATGGAGTGGAGAAAAAAATGATTATTAATAAACATTGTTTCTATTTGCAAGTACCTTACAACAGGCACCTTGTAATATTATTTCTATTTTCCAGATGAATACACTGAGGACCCAAAGGTCAAGCACATTAACTTTGGGATACAGTAGCATTAAGAGGATAATTCACTAACTTCCACTTTAGGAAATGAAGAAGATAGCAGGCTTTAATTTTAAATCTATCTTAAATAAATCTGGGGTGATCAAGTAGTCCTAGTTTTCCCAAGACTTTCCATTTTAGCACTAGAATTCTTATTTCCTTTTGGTCTTACATGAACCAGAAGACTGGGATCGCTCACCAAATCCTAGGCTCTTTCACAGTACCACATTATGGATTCATGCGATGGCTGTATCTATAGATTTGCTAAATCAAATGTTTTAGGCTGGGCGCATTGGCTCACACCTGTAATTCCAGCACTTTGGAAGGCTGAGGCAGATGGATCATGAGGTCAGGAGTTCGAGACCAGCCTGGCCAACATGGTGAAACCTTGTATCTACTAAAAATTCAAAATTAGCTGGGCATGGTGGTGGGTGCCTGTAATCCCAGCTACTCAGGAGGCTGAGGCAGGAGAATTGCTTGAACCTGGGAGGCGGAGGTTGCAGTGAGTGGAGATCACACCATTACACTCCAGCCTGGGCAACAAGAGCAAAACTCCCTCTCAAAAAAAAATTGTTTTAGAGGAAAATATTAGTATGAAATGCATAATATTTTTAAATATTACACATTTTTCTTTGTTTGAGTATACATTATGGTTTTTCATATAGTCAGTCAATTAAGCCATTCCATGTAAATTACTGTCCAGACAGAGTGTACAACAGGAAATAAGGAGTCGTTTCCTTGTCTGTTTCAAATGATTAGTTCCTCTAAGAAATGGGAAGGTCTTTAATAAGGACAATAAATTTGGTAGCCCACATGATGATGTATATATAAGAAATTTCATCACTGAAAATGATGACAATAATAGCGATAACAGCTAAAATATGTTGGGCACTTACAATGTCTTCGACCCTTTTCACAATTTCCTTTTGAGTTGTTGTACTCTATTTTACAAATGGGAAAACTAAGGCACAGAGAGCCTGAGTACATTTTCCAAGGTCACGCATAAGTAGATCCAGCGTTCAGCCTTGGGCAATCTGGTTTCAGACCCTTGTTCTCTTAAGCATCATGTTATGCTGAATAGAAATAATAACATTCACTGTAGAGAAGAGGGCGAATCGGAGAAGGAGGAATAAGGAATTTGATGCTATCAGTTCCTTGAGAGGAGGTTCAATAACTACTCAATCATTCAGGGGCTAAGCCCTAAAAAGAGAAAGTGAGAATATCAAGGTATGCTTAGAGCAAATCTGAGACAAGAGTAGATTTGAGCCCCATTCCCAAGAAAGGACAAGATCCCAGAGTAGAAATCACTTTGTGGTTAGGCTAAGGGCTCACTCCTGAGATAACAGAGATCAATTAGTGTTTAATTCAGCTGTCTATAACAAAACTTCAAAATAATGGAGGCTCACAATCCCTGCACCCTCTTCCCCAGGTTGCTCTAGAAATAAGCTGCTGCAGGCCGGGCACAGTGGCTCACGCCTGTAATCCCAGCACTTTGGGAGGCTGAGGTGGGTGGATCATGAGGTCAAGAGATTGAGCCCATCCTGGCCAACATGATGAAAACCCATCTCTACTAAAAATACAAAAATTAGCTGGGCATGGTGGTATGCACCTGTAGTCCCAGCTACTCAGGAGGCTGAGGCAGGAGAATTGCTTGAACCTGGGAAGCAGAGGTTGGAGTGAGTCGAGATCGTCCCACTGCACTCCAGCCTGGCAACAGAGCGAGACTCCTCCTCAAAAAACAAAAAAAAAAAAAAAAAAAGAAAAGAAATAAGCTGCTGCAATCTCACATTGGAAGGAGGCAGAGACCTCTCTATTCCTGATAGGGAAAGTGGACATTTCTTTTGCCTTCCTTCCTGGCTTGTTCCAGTGATAACTCCAGAGCAGAAGTCTCCCCCTGCTAGGAGAGTGTGAGACTTCTGCTTGTTCAAAAAGAAAGGAGAGTGGGCACTCGCCACACCTTCTTGCCTGGCTTGGTTCAGATGAATCCAGATCTGTAGATTCTTCCTGGAGGTAGTTTCTGTATGCAACAAGTGCCCCAACTTTTACAGCCTTCGCCTGAGGGACTGGCTCCTAAATCACCTCACTCTGGGAGTTGATGGAGGTGACTTTTAAACTTGCAAATGCTCAGCAGTCAAATCCTCAGGCTCAAAGCGAGCAGTCTGACCAAGAGTATAGGCACCTGCCTCAGACCCTCTCCTTGGTGTAGGGCAGGACAAGTAGGAGATAAGCTCTGGCTCTTAGCCTCTCTGCAAGAAAATAAAGAACTGGAACATTCATCAAATGCTATAATCTTTCCAGCTTAATCCCAAGGGACTGGCTTCCCTTCCACCTTTTTCAAGGCAATAGCGTGAATTGAAACAAATGAGTTTATTTTTTGCTCAAAAAGTCCAGTTACAATAACTCTGTAATTGTCAGGTAACAAGGTTGTCTCCATGTTTCTCAGGCTCTAAAATGGCTGTGTGAGCCATTTCATTCTTATTTAAAAGCAGGAAGGAGATAAAACAGAAGGGCAAAAGAACATGCCTCGTTGCAACATTCCTGCTTCATAACTTCTGTGTACATCTCAATGGCCAGGATTTAGTCACATTGCCACATTTGGCTGAAAGGATACAAAGAAGTAGTCTTTTATTAGGCACCTTGCTACCCTTAAACGAAATAATTTTTTTTTTCATTTAAACTAAAATAAGGAGAGAATGGATATTGTGCTTTCAACACACATACTTTCAACAAGAAGTATGTAGTAGCAGTATATATAGTAGCAGTGGGCAAAATCAGTAATTGAAGGAATCTTTTGGTTCAAGAGTGGCAGAAAACTTGAAGGGACTCACTGTTCTGAAGAGACACAGTTTTGAAGAAACAGCATGACCTAGTAATAGCAGAGGGATTCCTGAATGCCAGATGGACCCAAATTAGCTAAAAATATTCAGACACAAAAGACCCTGAGGCCAAAAGGGAGGTACAACATAGCAGCAATCTGCATGACAGATGAAAATAAGCACATTTAGAAATGATCTTCCTAATGTGTGATACTACAGTTTCTCCTCATCAAATATCTTTTAAGTCTCTGAGAACTGGATATAATCTTAGAGACGGATACAGAAGCCCTCCCTGGGCTGAAATTAACTTATTCCACCACAACAGGATGGGATGGAGAGACTCACTTAATGTAGACTGAGATTCATAAAAATTACATTTTTAAGTAAAAAGAGGGATAGATTATTCATTACGCATATCTTGTTAGTAACGAGATTGTGCTTAGAGCCCAGTGAATATTTTTATGGTACCCTTTGATACCATTTGATTCTATCCCAACCTCTGTGGACTCTGGTGGATCTTAGACTCTAAAAAAGAAGTTATTTTCTTGAATTCAACTGTACTAGTGTCCAAGGGCTGCCATGACAAGGCACCACAGACTGGATTGTTTGAACAACAACAGTTTATTTCCTTCCTAATCTCCTCTTCTTACAAGAACACCAGTCATATTGGATTAGGGCCCACTTGAGTGACCTCATTTTAATTACCTTTTCAAAGGTCCTGTCTCCAACTACAGTCAAATGCTAAGATACGGCTGGTTAGAATTTCAACATATGAGTTTTGGAAGGTAAAGTTCAGTCCACAACATCAGCTTTGCACAAAAATGATCCTGCACCTAGTTTACTATTGGGTGGTACATCAGGACCATGAAAGCCCCAGGGTTATTATTGTCATTAAGAATTATTGATCTAGCACCTTCTGGTTTTTTTTTTTTTTTTTTTTTTGGATAGATGGAGTCTCACTCTGTTGCCCAGGCTGGAGCAGTGGCATGATCTTGGCTCACTGCAACCTCCACCTCCCAGGTTCACACCATTCTCCTGCCTCAGCCTCCCGAGTATCTGGGACTATTGGTGCACACCACCATGCCCTGCTAATTTTTTCTATTTTTAGTAGAGAAGGGGGTTTCACTGTGTTAGCAAGGCTGGTCTTGATCTCTGGACCTCATGATTTGCCTGCCTCAGCCTCCCGAAGTGCTGGGATTACAAGAGTAAGCCACTACATCAGGTCTGATCTAGCACCTTCTATATGCCAGCCCTTCTGTTAGGAGTTTTAGGATCATAAGACCCAGCAATTTGCAGAGCTTCTCATGGACTAAAGTTTCGGGATGTAGAAATGAAATGCTGCACAAGGCAATCTCCTCTACTTGCTTTCTTATTGAAATTTATTCTTCTATAGAGCTGGAGAAAGGTCTAAATACTTAAATTATAGATGTGCCAGTGCTTTAAACATAGCAAGTATGTGATAAATATACATGGTGTGAATGAATGTGAGAACCAAAAAATACTGTGAAAATCCCTTGTGATGAAGTCTAGTTTATTGGGATAATAATTATTTATAAAGCTCTGTGGTATAACATGCCACATGTGCACTTTCAAAATTTGAATCATACTATTGAGTAGTTATTTTTAGAATTTATATTAATGCTAATTGTATACACCCTCCATTATCTCCATGCATGTTCATTTTAGTCATGAACAAGCCTCCTGACACATCAGAGACTTGTGCATGACTTTGTCTAACATCACTATCATCCTTCTTGGTAGTATCTAAGGGCACAAAAATGATATTCCTTTGGAGTCTGCAATGCTCACAAACTTCTATGTGCAGAATGCAGTTTTTGCCCAATTTATCTACAGGAAACTAGGGTAGGGCTTTCCTACTTTATCTATACACAAAAAAATATCAAAAATGATTCTGTATCAGTTAGGTTTATGTCAGGTTATGTTGCCAGAACAAAATAATCCAAAATCTCAGTGTCTAAAGAAAGCTTATTTCTTGCTTATACTATATGACAACAGGCAGAAAAGATTTTCTCCCTGTAGTCATTCAAGGATCAGGGACAATACATGCTTTCCCGTGATATACAAGTCTACTAGTGGAATTTGGTGAAATGCATAAACTACACACTGAATGTTGGGGATTCTGCCAGGAAGTGACATATACCACTTCTGCTCATATTCCCTGGGTGAAAGCAAGTCATGTGACCATGCTTAACTCTTACCATGTGCCTGGAAGGAAGAGAGAAATAAATATTTGGTGAACAGTGATAATGACTAACATATTTAATTCATTCAATTCCTTACACACGATTAAAGCTTGCCATGTATAAAGAAATGTTCCAGGGACTGAGGATATAGGAGTGAATAACATTTCTCTATCTTCATAAACCTTACATTCTGATGCGTATTTAGTATGTCATGAATATGCATGTGATGGAAAAATATCAAAGCAACAAAGGTGGGAAGAAATAGTCCGGCATAGAGTGATTGCAATTATATATAGGCTGCTTGGAAAAAGCTTTACAAAAATGTAAAATTTTAATCAACATGTGAAGTAGTTAAGAAGACAAGTCATATGGGTAACTTTTGGACAAGCATGCCAGGCAGAGGGAACAGAATTTGCAAAGATGCTAAGGCAGGAGTATACCCAGTATTCTTGCAGAACACTAAGATGAATGTGGCTGGAGTAGAGTGAGAAAGGGGAGAGAAGTAGAGAATGGGGTTACAGAGCTAACAGAGGAGAACATCATATAATATAGGCCTCTTCACATCATTAAAAAGACTATTATTATGAGTGAGACAGGAAGGTGTGTTTTAAAGAAAAAGTAACAAATTAACTTATATTTTAAAGGCTCAAGACCAGGGAAGAGGGCAAAAAAGAAGCAGAGAGACCATTTAAGATACTATAATTCAAGTGAGAAAAGCTGGGGGAATAGACCAAGGCCCATGGATCAAGATGAGGACACTAGAAATAGCAAGAAGATGTCTGTTTTGAAAATTAGCCCGATAAGATTTGTCAATGGCTCAGCTTTCAAATAAAGATTTGAATTAAGCCTTGGTATGAAAAAATAAACTGTTGTACAGACCACTGGTATTGAGCTGTAGGTCCTTTTAAATTTATCTTTAGATCAGCTGCTATTATCTACTTATTTTTCACAACTCATTGCTAAATTCCTGAGGGAGTGCAAAACAAAGACAGTAGGAAAATCATGCAATTCTATTAATTCTAAAGATGTTTTGTTTCTGACTGAGAAAAGTAAAAACAGATACATTATATATTCTTGACATCTTAGGGCACCCTTTTAATCTTGAGTGATATGTCCTGTATCACTAGTATATCCCAGGTAACTCATTTTGTAACAAATACTTGTGGTGCACTTACTTTGTACCAGAGACTGTGGTAGACACTAACATAACAGGCACAAACCATCTGGACATTAACCAAGTAACTGCAAGTGCCATCCATGTTACCAAAGTCAACGTCAAGTCCTACGGGAGTCTACAACGTAATTCAGGCAGTAAAAACAAATAAATGTGGCCGGGCGCGGTGGCTCATGCCTGTAATCCCAGCATTTTAGGAGGCTGAGGCGGGCGGATCTCGAGGTCAGGAGATCGAGACCATCCTGGCTAACACGGTAAAACCCCGTCTCTATTAAAAATACAAAAAATTAGCCAGGCGTGGTGGCGGGCACCTGTAGTCCCAGCTCCTCGGGAGGCTGAGGCAGGAGAATGAAGTGAACCCGGAAGGCGGAGCTTGCAGTGAGCCGAGATGGCGCCACTGCACTCCAGCCTGGGTGACAGAGCAAGGCTCTGTCTCAAAAATAAATAAATGAAATTAAAGTAAAATAAATAAAATAAAATAAATGTAAAGTGCCTGAACCAACATATGGAACAAAGGTTTACATCCAGCATTGACAAACTACAGTTTGCTAGTCATCTGCATTTTTTTGTAAGTAAATATATTTTGGAACACGGTTCTGTCTATTCTTTAAGTATCATCCATGGGTGCTTATCAGTACGAAGGCAGAGGTGACTAGTTGCAATACAAACTGTTATGATCTGCAAGTCTACTATATTTGTTACCTGGTCCTTTAAGAAAACAATTTCCCAACCTCTGGACTATAGAATGACAAATATCCAACCACAAGAATATTTATAACTTTTAAGTGTAGAGTAAAGCTATTATTCCTACTTCTATCTCATATAGTTGGCATTGGAAACAAAATTCTTTGCTGATTGGCCCGTGAAAGCAAGCCTAATAAATGAGGACATTTCTCTCTGCTGGCC
This sequence comes from Homo sapiens, assembly GCF_000001405.40. Classification (NCBI taxonomy): domain Eukaryota; kingdom Metazoa; phylum Chordata; class Mammalia; order Primates; family Hominidae; genus Homo; species Homo sapiens. The sequence goes on from NC_000004.12 coordinate 23,357,567, forward strand.
TGAAAGACAGCATCAGTCTTGTTTGGTTGTTTTTATACAAGGCAAACAGAGCTTTTCCTACCATGTGGCAGTTGGTCTGTCCTTCATTTTAAATAGTGAGAAAGACAGCACAGAGACTATCTCCAGACCCAAGTGCTGACTTACTGGCTTTGGCAACTCTTGAGCTCATGTTTACTTTGTCATGACAATAAAGTTATTCATGTTGAAGTTGAATCAAATTGACAGACACCAATAGCTATTGGTAAACTGGAACAAGTACAATTTTTATTTATAGGATTCAGCATAGTGTATTGTATTGGCATTTAATGAAAGCCATAAACAATCCCCCAACTGAGAAACAACCTAGAACAGAACAGCAAATTGACCAGCAGTTGTCCACTCATCAGGGTTTTACATAGAATGCTGTGTGAATGGTGTTCCTTGAAGGAGGCAGTGCACGGGCACAGTACTATTATTATTGGGAAAAGAACTATTCTTTCCAAAATAAAACAACATTTGTGAACCCCCTGCCCAAATCTAGGGGTTTTAAGGAAATCTCAACAGTCGCACATGTATTTTTATTTTTTTCCTATTTCTGAGAATGAAATTCTGTTATTCTTTCTTCACAAGTTTTATATTCAGTTACTTAAATTTACAACAAATTTGAACTCCTTTATACCCTTTCACTATTCAACCACATTTATTAAACATTCATCAGCACAATGGATTGATGATATAAGCAATCCCAATAGGAATGAGAGGACAGGCCCTTTGTCTTTCAAGAGTATGCAACCTAAAAAGAGAAAGAGAATAAACTCTAAAATATTTTGTAAAGCCCATTATAAGCTACATAATACACACACACCATCACACAACATGTTTATAAATGATGTGAGGCTGTGGGGTTTCCTGGCATATTGGGCTGATTATTGATTAAGTTTGCTCAGAGCAAATTTGAAGTGAACTTTGAATTGAAAGGAAAGAATTCATGACATTTACAAGATTCTTTAAATCAAGAGTCAGTAAACTACAGTCCAAATCTAGCTTGCTGACTGTTTTTGTAAGAGAAATTTTGCTGGATAATAGACATGTCCATTTGCTTATGTATTATCTACAGCTGCTTTCATGCAACAGTGGCAGAATTGAGCAGTTACAACAGAGATGGTATTTCCTGCAAACCTGAAATAATTTACTATCTGGCAGTTTAAGAAAGAGTTTGCTGACCCTGAGAGTGGAAAAAAAAACAACACAGAAACACTGACTAGCAAGTAGCTCTTATATTTCAGTTGTAAAGTGATGGGAACATGGATATGCGTATGTTTTTTATCTTAAATTATTTCTGGAGAAAGGATGGTTATAGATTAATATTAATATATAGCATGGTAGTCACATAATTGCTTGAGTCTTGATTTCCTTATTTAAAAACTAGAAATGATATCACCTACCAACAGATCTTTCAGAGAACTGCATGGGAGGCAAAGTCCTTTTCCCATGAAATGTGGCAGCGTTATTACCCTGGAGCTAACCTCCTCACTATCACTGGGTTGTGAATTGTGTGTTGTTATTGCTGAACCAGGGTCTACTTACATAAATATTTCCAACTTTTCCAAATGTTTCAGCACCTTCTTCTGAAGGAGGAACTAGATTGTCTTCTTTCATCATTCCTCAAGATTGTACTCTGGATTTCTCAATTTAGCTTAAGTGTGAACTGGAGTTTTAATCTGTGAAGGTTTCATTGTGAATGTGAAAAAAGAATATAAGAAATTTGACATTTCTTGAAATATGTCCTAAACCATCTTAGGACTTGTTGGGAATAGAAAATCATGCTTTGAACATCTTTTTTTTTCTTTTTTTTTCAAAAATTTAGAAAAAACCTTCAAGAGGACTACATTATCCACAAAAATATTCTAAGTACTCCCATGCTATAAAGTCCAGCTGTGAAACTAGTTCTACCTCATGTATAATGCACCAAATACCAAGCTGCAGAATTTAAAGTAATTTTAAGAATTATGAGTAGAGATGAACACATTTCCCTTTAAAGATACTACTAAATTGAAGCTTATGCAAATATGCTATAGACATTTACATTCTTAAATTTCTAATCCTCCAACCCCTGTTTAGGATCTGAAATGTGCTTCATGTTTCCAAGTATGTTCACATTAGTGGTTTTATCCCATAATCTGATTTGGAAGACAGGGTGAAAGTAGTTGTTCCTATTTTTTACTTATATAAAAACTGAGGCTCAGCTGGGGTAACAGGCCTATTCAAGATGCACACCAGAATTTCTGCTAATGCCCAGATCATTGGCAATACTTCTAAGATCCTTGGAAAGATAAATTTCACATTGCATAAAAACTGTTTTAAATGTCTAAGATTTAACTTAAAAATGAGGTATACATATGTGTGTATGTACATGTCTATGTATCTAAACTGTAGGTATAAATATATATCTATATATAGACAGAGGTATTCCACATCTGTTGCATATCTATATCCGTACCCTATGAAAGAATGCCTTTATAAGAATTTTAAGTTTCTATCTACAGAGAGAGTTGTGGAAATCACATTCACTCTCTGTTATGCTATTGTTTATTTCTCAGTGACCTTTAAGAGAAAATTTTGATGGCAGAGGTGGCCCATCTAGAGTGGCCACTGTGAAGATGTTGGCTGCAGTGGAAGAAGTACTGCTGGGGCTCAGTGCTTCACAGAGCCAGCAGGAGGTGGGAAGAGGTGGGATTCCTGCCTCCTTCCAAGTTGCAGCTGGTAGTCCCTAGTCTGTCCAAGTCTGGCTGGGTGGGGGGTTTTTATGGCCTAAAAGGAAGGAAGTGCATGCTGATTGGTCCATGGGCAGCCATGGGAGGGCCCGGAAAAAGCACCTCCCCTGAGTGCAGCTGCAGCCACCCAGCCACAGCTGCAGATGGGGGCATCCCTGTGCTCTCGGGGCCCCAGAAAACACTTACCCCACTGCCCCCACAGGCTCAGAAGTACCTACTGCCACTGCCCAGCCTCTCACTGCTCCCAGCACCTGATTGAATTTTGGAGCAAAGATGAGGCCAAACCTGGGAGCTATTGCCACCTGGCCAGGTATGCACATGCTTGAGGTGTCACTAACACACCAGCTCCCTGCCACCTTGGCTTCCTCCAGACTTTGGGCACTGAGGAGCATGGGAAGGTTGAGGGGGTGCTGAGGGCAGTTCAGTGCAGGCCTGCAGGTTCCCCTTGGCATAAACAGCCTGGGCACAGTGGATTACATGTGTAGATGATGGCAGGAGGCAGACAGGCTCCTGGGCAGAAAGGGGCAAGTCCCTGGTGAAGCCCAGAATTCAAGTCAGGGAAGGCCTGAAGCATGGGGTTTGGGCTGTCAGTTCCAGGTGGAGTCCCCAGATCGAAGTGAGAACTTATGGTGATTTTTCTGGGCCCACCCATGGCTGCCCATGGACCAATCAGCACACACTTCCTCTCTTTTGAGCCAAAAAAACCCCTGGACTCAGCCAGACTCCAACAGACATCAGCACTACCAGCTCCAGGAAGGAGCTACACACATCAGTTCTCCTCTTCACTGAGAGCTGGACGCTTGTGGGGACGACCTGCCTGTGGAAAACGGCTACCCACTGCAGGTCTCCTGAGAGCTGTTCTGTCACTTAATGAAGCTCCTCTCTACTTTCCTCACCCTGTAGTTGTCCACATACTTAATTATTCTAGGACGAAGGACAAGAACTTGGGACCTGCTGAATGGTGGGACTGAGAATTGTGACACAAACAGGGCTGAAACATGCACCCTCATTTGCCATGTTGTGGGTGACGAGAAGGAGAGAAGAGCTGTGACCTTTTGGGGAGCCTAGACCTAGGGGTTCCCAGAGCCAGGGCTGTGACACCCTCACTTGGGCTCTGCAGTTCCTGGTTTCTCCAAGCTTCTGGGCATCACCACGTTCCCCTTGTGCAGACGCAGGTGCCTGCAGCAGAAGCTATGTGTCGTACATCTGGTTCAGCAGTAGCCTTGCACAGAGCTGGCACCTGTACCGGTGCCTGTAGCTGCCCACCCCGCTGCAACAACTGGCGTGCCTGGCTGTGCACAGTGGTGAAACCCTGCACTTGCTTGCCCACACACCCCTTGCTGCTCCATGCCTGGCTTGCCCTTGGCAGATGAGGGATCCAGGCCAGTAGTGTGAACTGAGTGCAGCCTGCTAGGCTGCGTGGGTGGGATGAGCCCAGCGGGCACAAGCAGTACTCAGGCAGAAGGTGCCAGTGGCCACAGAGGTTTCTGGGCACAGAGGATCCAAAGCAACACCCCAAGGATCCCGTGACAATTTCATAGATTATACTTATTTTCTGCAGTCACAACAGATGGAGGACTCAATGCTTATGTTGGAGAAGGAAGCTACATTGTCCCTGAGTTCATGGAAATGTCAAGTCTAGAAGATGGAAAAGTTCAGTTAATATCTCCAGAGACCCACAGTGAGTTTCACGCTCCATAAAATTACTTATGCTTTTATGTACAGTGCATGATCATCATCTCTTGGCAACTGGACACAAGTTAAGCACCTTCCATATGCAGCAGGGAAAACCTCTTCAGCAAGGAGGTCTACCCATTGGCATGCACAGATAATACTAGCTTTAGTTTTCCTATGTTGAAAGGAACATTCACCATGCTTCATGAGGGGTGTTGGATTAATGCGAAGTGTTTTCCAAAGGGGAAGGGATGTTCAGATGCCTGAGGAAACAAGGCACCAAGAGGGTGTAGTGAAAGTCATTTACTCACATTGACAAATTAATTATTTTCATGGCTGTGAACACAGTCTGCAGTGTGCACATGGTGTGTGTGCGTGTGGAATATACACACGTATTTTAGGCTCTGTTTCTGCACTTATGTTTAATTTATAAAGCCCAATGAACAGCACTACCTTGCCACAGATAAGCAGACAATCCTTCAAGTAGCCTTTTCTTCCCTTGTGGAGAGGAAGCCTTGAGAACATGGATGTGTCTGTATGTATCCCCAAAACTCTCACTTTGTGTGCCAACTTGATTGTCCTTTTCATTAATTTTTAATACGATTACTCTGGAGTGCTCTGAATTGGAAACTAAGATGGATCAAATGACAAGATATCAATTTCATGTTCAAGATAGTCTCACTTTAGAGACTTGGGGAATATGGGAGATACTCTTGTCTCAGTAAAAGAACATTTTGAAAGCACCTATTAGGAGGAATTTTATGGTCAAATTCCAAAACTGACTTAAAGATATATTTATGTCTTATTTCAGAAAAATCCATTTCTTTGATCAGCCTTCCATGATGCCTATAATTTCCACCCTGAATATCATCATCCTTCTGGGTTTTAGCATTTTGCTTTAGAATGCCTCTAAGAATATGTATCACATATAAAGTCAGTATATTAAGAGTTGTGTCTTTGGGACACTGTTTCTTATAGACACTGTTGAATAAACTGGCACATCTGAATAGTCTGTCCACTAAAGGAAATTGCACAGGGCAGGTAAGTTTTGATTCATAATAAGGAGGATGCATTTATTTAAAGATTCATTTATCCAAGCATTCCCTGTTTCTCTGTTGAACATGCTTTATTAATTTTTCACTCTGAGTGTCCACAGGAGATGCTAATCCTAGGTTTGGTGAAGGCAATGACACCATGAGGCACCTAGGTGCACCAGGCACAGAGGGGTCTAAGTTTGCAGAAACAATATTGACAGTCAATAAAAGACACTCGTGAAAAGGGAAATCATGTTAGTCGGAGAATCAAGGTGAAGTCTATTCAACCTCTACCTTACCTCCGGGTGATCCTGGCCACTGTCCACATCACTGGATACCTAGGTGGCAGAGGAGACTGTGAGATGTCTTGAGACAACTGTCAGGGTGGAAGCCCACCCACCGCCACACTGTTGCCTGTCCAGGAACACACACCAGGGCTTCTTTCTTACACTGTTCCTGCCTGCTGTGGCCCTCTTGAGGATTTTGGTTATAGGCCCTGAGATAGGATTTTAATATTAAAGCCAATAAAATGATACTTTAAAAAAAGATGTAGAAAAGACTAACAGACCATTAAAGCGAGTACAAAGACCCTGTACTTGAGGGTCAAAGACAAGATCTTCGCAGTGGTCTACCAGGTTCCCATGATCTGTGTCCCACCTCCTTTAGCTCCTCAGTACTGATCCAAATTCAACTCCCTATTCACTTGTTTCAGAGTCATCTCTATGAACACAGGGAATGGGGGTTTCCACAGTACTTAGAACAGTGCCTGGAAAACAGTAGGCACTCATTATGTTTTTTAAAAGCAACACATGAAAAATCGAGGTCTTACCTATTCTATTCTATAACTTACTTGAGCCTCAGATTGCCCATTTGGTAAAGATGAGATCACTGCCGATTTTGCAGAGAAGGTGGGAGGATAAAAAGGATCATACACATAAAGGTCTTGGCAGAAGTGCTCACTTAGGCATCATATGTATTAAAAAAAAAGAAAAGGATCCTCACAGAGTGTCCTACAAAAAGTTGGTACTAAATAATGATTTGATTTGCTTCCTCTCCTCTTTTATTCTTCTGAATATAATAATGGCAGTTAATACTTATTGCACTTGTACTGTATGGCAGGCTCAATGTTGAGCATTTTATAAGGATTGTCTCACAAACTTTTCTCAACTCCGTGAAGTGAGAAACATATATTCTCATTTTTTAGATGGGGATTAGAAAAGTTAATTTTTTTTTCCCAAGGTCATCCAGCCAGTGAACAGTCAAACCAGGGTGCAAATTAGATTTACGTGACACTATCATTCCGCACTTCACTACAACACTATACTACAAGTGGCATAAGGAAAACTTAACTGTACTCTCAAGCTTGTTTCACACCTTGGTTAGATGACTCATATATTATCTATGCTTTGATAGCTGGGACATAAAGTGTTTCTTACAAATGGACATTATGAATCGTTTACATGTTTTTGTTTTTGGTTGTTTTTTATTTTTGTTTACATGGTTTTTGTTTTTGTTGTTGTTGCTGTTTGTTTTTTAAATCTCAGGGTATCTTAAATAGCCCAGCTAACTTAACACGTTTGCCTAAACCATCTTCATAAAACTCCATCCCTGGCTGTAAAGAGTTGATGTGAAGGTCTTCCTAAGATATAAAATAAAGTTATAATCTGTCATTGATTATTTCCTTGCAAGGAGCAATAATAAAAAATTAGATTTACACATCTTATATTGAACATAGCACCTTTTTTAAATCATGAAATGAACCCTATTTCATAGGCATTATTAGTATCCTCCAGTACCACTGGAGAGATTAGAACATTTGCCCCATGACCACACAGCTAGTAAGTGATGGAGCCCTTGAGAAATTATGAAAACTGAATTTTAGCAATTGATTTTCATAGGTGTTAACATAACTCAAGAACCTCATTTAGTCTAACTCCAATGCCTGTCCTCTTCACCATTGTATTAAACTATAAAATGCTATATCAAGGTGGTAATTTATTATACCTTTTCTTATACCATTATTCCACGTGGAAATTTCTTCTCCGGAATGCCTTCACAAGAACTTCAAGTTCCCATCTATGGAAACCCTCTTTACAACTATTTATTCAATGCACTGAGCTGGTGATCACTCTCACAAGTATCTGAGAACAAAGGGCAAAAATGACTTTGGCATAACAACCCATACTCCTCAAGTGTCTGTCTGACCACGTTGGCTGACTAGAGAGGCCCTAAGCTGTGAAGTAACAGATAGTTCTGTTAAGGCATTTAGATGGGTTGTCCAAAACCAAAAGTTGGCAATCGTCCCAAAATGATGTGGCAAGGTTCTGACCCCTTACTGGGCAGAGGGGAAAGTTGAAGACTCTTTTCTTGTTGCTGATGGTCTCAGTTGCCAAGGGTATGTGCCTGCCAGTCTCCAAATCAACTTCTGGTAGAGACTGGAGGTGGAGATCACTTCTGTAGACTAAATTAGGCATCTGGAGAAATAGTATTAATTCTGTCAAGCTGCTTAAAACTGAGTTCGGAGTACTTCAGCCTCCCAGCACACTGCTTATGTGATCAAAGTCAGCTGTATCTTACAGCCAATGCTGTTCTTCCCTTGAAAAAACTTCTCAACAAAGTTGGGAGATTTCCTTCTTTTTTTACCTCATAATCTGCTGTTATAATTTTTAAATTATTACCCAATACCATCATTCCCATTCTTTTCTACATTTTCTACCAAAGGCAGCCACATTCATTGAGTTTAGAAATATTTAAATTTCTTGTTGAGTTTCATTTTACTCCTAAACTCGTTCATCAATATCTGTCTCCATCTTGTCATTCATGTTACCATTATGGGATGAGTCCACTTGCATAGACACCAGCCCCCTTCACATGTACAAACTTTTATGTCATGTCTTATAGCCCACCACAGCACAGTGACACTTTTCAGGGTGCACTGAAAGCAAGATCAAAGATATGATGAAGTGACATAAAATTGTAAGCCACCAGATTCACAACAACATTCAAAAGTTTGGCAGGAGGGCATCATTAATATTTAAGAAGATTCCCTGCTTTTTGGCAGGAATTCTGCACACAACTTTCCAATTAGCATGCTTTATGGCTGGGGAGAAGCTGGTTTATCGGTTGTAAGTACATTGTCTGACTGAAATCTTTCCTGTCAGATAAATTACAAAGGAATTTGTACAACTTTACCCAGACTCAGACTTAGCTCAAGATTAATATGAAAACAGGGCCCTCCCTCAAGTCTTCTTTGAGTTCTTCTGAGAGTTTTCTTCATTAAGTCTTCCAAATGCTCTGCTTAGCTAGTGAAACATTAAATGATATTCTTACCAGGAGGTGCAGGATGGAAGTTTCAACTAAATCTTCTCACAAGAATGATCTAGATTGAGACATTGCATTAGGGACTGGGAGTGAATTACTTACCGTGACACAACCTTCTTACTTTCTGCTTGCTATGGGTTGAAATACAATTAATATAACTTGAGCTGAGTAGGATGAAACCTTAACTTAATAAACAAAAGCTTGATGGTGTCTCTTCCATTTTATGATTCGTGCCCTCTGGGCAAAATCTCAAAACATCAATAGGTAATTTTTCTGGGGATATTTTATTGTTTTGAAACATTTTAAATGTGTTTCTGAGATTCTGTATAGTCCTATTTGAGATGAATCATGACTTAAGGATGTTCTTGACTTACTGTTGCATGAAAGGAACCCCAAACATTTCCCATTAGAGAGAACTTTGTCCTACATAAGGGAACCTTTCCATCATTATCAAACTGTTGTTAGTGAAAACTTACAGGCTAATAATTTAGTTGTTCTAAATTTGCAGCATGTTGGTAGAAAACATTATTTCCCTTGTGATATTTATGGTTTAATTTGAAAATTAAATGCAAAAGAATTCTGCACTAACACTATGTACACACACAAAAAATCTCTTGAGGTCGCATCATAAAAAGTATTCATAATTCTGTGATTAACAGCCCTAACACATATGCATTGTGCTTTGAAATTGAGATGTTACATCTAATAGCTAATCTAATTTTCTGATTAACTTTGAATATATCTAAAGCAGCTGTTATTCATATAGGACACATTTATAAACCCAATGTGTATAGGATTTATATCATTATTTTCTATCAATGTCTTATTAATTGATTTGTTATAACAACATAAATATTTTTTCTCACATGAGAAAATAAATTATGCTGATAGTAAGCAAGCCAAAATCTCTTTGACAGTCATTGTGCCCAACTGAGATTTTTCTAGATGGATGCTATCCTTTCAATGATGAATTCCTCAGGAACAGGACTAGTGAGACACACTTTCTAAGCAAAAAATTTAAGGGGCCTCCAAAAAGCTCAGTAATCAAGATAAATAACACTTTAAGATGATATTTAAAATCTAAATTAATGCAAAACTACTTAATGAACAAAATACCAAAATTTTAAATCAAGACAGGGTTAGTATCACTGATATTTCCTTTGCCTCAGGTTCCATTATGGCTCAGCAGGACACTGGAATGTTTCCATTTCTTAACAGATCAATGGTAAATATTCACTTTGTATTATTTGTATAATAATATTTTCAGCCTTGATGTTGCACTAGTTTTAAAATGTTAACTCACTTTAATATGTGATTCTTTTTCCACCAAGGCTGTAAATTATTAGAAATCAGAAACTCTGGTTATACCTCTCTATTGCAGTAAACTACTGATCATAATAACTGTTTAACTCTACTTAAAACCACACTTGGATAAGGAGAAGACAGTCTTTCTTCTTAAGAGGCTATTTATTGAAACAAAAAAAGTCATACAGTTAGCAAGTTACAGGGAAGAAAAAAAGCAGTGGTTTGATTATTATCTCTGCCACTCAGTACCTGTGTGACTTCAGGCATGTTACTTAACTTCTCTGGTCCTCCATTTTCCCACCTGTGATATGAACATTTTACTGGGTGACACTGAAGATTAAGTGAGATAACCAGTGTGAAATACTCAACCCATACCAGACACTAAGGATTTTTTTCCTTCCCGAATTGCATTGTCTCCATCATATCTATGAATAATTAATACACACTTTTAGTTCCAAGATGCCAACCAAGTAGGCAATCATTCTTCTCTACGGATCATCACTGGGGCCACAGAAGTATGCCTGCACTCAAGAGCTAGCTCCGCCTCCCCACCTTTCCTGACCCTAGCTATATCTGGCTATTGGTTGTCTAACCTGGGGCATACACCAGATGGCAGTGTCCCATTGAGGACTAGATGTTTCTAGCCTTTCAGCTCACTGACCAAGTGACCAGTTGCTTTGCCATATCTGTATGCGTGTTACAGGTCAATAGCCTTAGCCTTGGGGCCTAGTAGATGTTCATTGTAAAAATAAACACTGGAAAAACCTCTGTACAGATTCTATTCCCCTTCAATTGCAAAGCATTTCATTTGCAAGGTCAATTGGAAAAGGTACATATGTGATGTAGTAGTAAGCATGCACTTCAAATAGGTTTGTGTCAATATTTACATTTGTGTGCACTTCAACAAGTAAGTACATAACGATCCTTTACGGTCTGACACAGTGCTAGGCACCAAAGCTACAGGCATAAGGAATGCAGGTTCACTACCTTCAAGCAACTCATTGTTTGGTAGAAAAGACAGCGTTTTATGCAACCAATAATAATACAATGTGATTATTGTTATTCTATTTAACACAGATGACTTCCAATTTTTTTTATCTTTTATGTATCTGTCCTGGAGTTAATGCATTGCATGGATTTTACTAAGTTCACTTGCCGTTAGCTAAAAACTCTCAAATGTAGATGCCTAGTGTTTTCCATTTAAAATATATAGAGCCTTTCTATCTTGCTACAATCCATCATGTATGTGACGTTTGACGTGTATATACCATATCCACTTTTTAATACTAAGAAGTAGTATACTCAACAGTTCTGCCACATCTATTAATTTATCTTACAAATATTTATTATGGGATGCCAGGTACTCTGCTTACGAAAGTGTAAATATGAATGAACTAGAGTTCTTGCTCTAATAAAAGGTTAAAAATGGTTAGAATGTGAAGTTCTGCTAAGGCAGTGTGCTGCAAGCACGTGAGTGAGTATGAGTGTGTATAAATTTATGTACACATGCAATTCTTAGCTGTGCTACTGCTATCTTTGGTAATATTTGTGAACTGATGGCTGAGTCATTTACACAAGGGATGTGTGTGTATGTGTGGGTGTGTGTTGTCACTTGGTGTATGATTATGGTTGCTGAAATTAAAGGCCACTTTTCTGTGTAGTTCTCACAAAGACACACATCATCTAGGATTGCCAAACTGGAAAAATAATAACTAGAGTAAATTTATTCTGGTCACATTGTCCTTCCCTTTTTCTTATTCATTCCCTTCCTGTCTCCGTCCTGAGCCACCTGCCTCCCACCAGGAGCAGTCACGTGCCCTCCCATGACCTCTAAGGACTCACAGGAATCTGATTTTCCTACTGCATCCTGCCAGCTGGGGCCTTGGGAATCTGACACCCCACTGGATCTTTCACAGGCTCTGCCCTGGCATTTCAGAGTAGGCGCCACACAGATCCCTCCCTCTCTTGTGCCCCAATCTATGCAAGGACACTGCCCATGGCATTTCAAAGACCAGCTCTGCTACTGGGAGGCTTGCTGTTCCTGGGAACCTGACTGCCAACACCAATGGAAGCTCAGCAAAGAGGCAGCTTTTTAGGTTCCTTGGCCAGTGGGGCCCCAAAGGTGCCTATTAGAGCTGCACATGGCCGACAGATTAAAGTTCAAATGCAGCTGGATCATTATCTGAGATTTAGATGAAAAGGGGATTCGAAACCCTCTCTTCTTTCTCAAAGTGTTGATAATTTCCCTCTGCACAAAAGGGAAGAGTGGAAATAGTCCCCGAAATCCTGACTTATCTGTGGAATATTGGAACTGACATCTACTTTTTTGGCCATTGATGTTTTAGGAGGCATCGTAGTTACTGTCTGTTCCTTCCTATAATTCACAAGGTCTGTGACTGAGTCTGGGAATCTACATTTTTAAAAATGCACCTTCTTTTTTTTTTTAATGTAGTCTAAATGGAAGCCACTGCTTAAAGTTTCTTCCTAACCTGATGCACTGTGAGTCTATTGCCTCCAGGATACAAACAGGGAAGCTTATCATTACAAAATCAAGTAAGAAGACAGGAGCAGACCAAGCTTAGACCTCAAGTGTCCTGGCATCTCATTGACTCCTGGCCCTCTGCACTCAGCTGACTCCAACAGAGCCCAGGTTTTACCACGTGAGCTTCAAATGAGGAATGAGGCCTGGACTCTGCATGGAAAAAGCAGATGGACACTTACAAGGCTTCCACAGGGCTCCAAAAATGACAAAGTCATTGTTGAGTGCTGTAAAAAGATAGCCAGAAGAAAAAGGAGTTGTGAGTTCTGGGAATGAGATGATAAAACAATGCAAATTTCTAAACAATGCCAATTTCTAAAAATGAAAGAACATAGCAAAGAATGAAGCAAGGGCTGCGGTGGGTAGGCCCTTGGTTGAATCAGGCTATGAGGTGTGAGAAGAACAGCTATGTTCAATTGTGTAAAGCAAGTCATGGAGCCTGGGAAATTGTCCAAACAGAGTAGGCTCTGGAAAAGGATGGCAGCCCCAGAGAAGGGAGGAGGGTTGCATAGTGAGTGGGAGGTGGGTAGCAGTGTACTGAAGACAACAGTGAGCTCCTGCGTGATATATCCAGATCACCCACTGCTCACACCTTGAAACATTTATCTCTAGGTCCCTGTCAAAAAGACATAAGGCAAAAAGACTAATCACAATGACTACTAGTTATTGAGCATGTGCTCTGTGCATAGAGCAGGTCTCTTGCTAGCATGCTCCTTTAAGGAAGCAGAAGTGATTTACTATGAAGCTATAAAGCTTACACTTCAGGGCCCTCACTTGCATAGGCCCCACTCATGGTCCTGAGAGGGGGCCCTAGAAATGTGTTCATTCAGTCACGTATTTTATAAAACTTACAAAGAAGAATATTTTTTAATTATCTTTCAGGAATATTTAATCTCTGGGTACCACAAATCCTGTTCAACCTCGGACTTTGGGGAGGTAGGTGATGGCGGTGGTTCTGGTATTGATGCTGCTGCTCACCAGCTGCAGTATCTTAGACACAGAATATTCTCTCTGAGCCTTATTGATCTCATCTGTAAAATGGGGTTATCTACCTTAGCCAACTTAATAGTGACTCAAAGGATCAAAGTCCATTCTAGTGAATGAGGAACTCCAAGAAGTATAACACACTGTTTTATTTCAGGGTTTTAGAGACAGTCAATATCCATGCAAAGAAATGTTTAGTTTAAAATGCAAAATATTATCTTCCAATGGAGTTACTAATATATATGCAAAGACCCAGTCATCTGTGCCTTTGCGTGGGCCAGAGTCTAGCTCTGGAATACAACAGTTACTGACAAAAAGGTCTCTAATGCTTATTTACCTAAAAGCAACAAGATCCCATTCCCCTCCTCCATCACAAATGGTCAACTTCCCCACATCAAAGACTATTTCACCAACCTCTCTGTGTCCCAGAGGGAGTACACCCAGAAAAAATTAGAAATGGAACTGTCTGCTCCATTAGCAATGCACAAATTTTTTATGGCCCAGGACCACTCCGGAAAGAATTGCTTATGACGCGATTCTCAAGTCATCAAAGCCCTTCCCACATGTGTAGTGAGGTCAATGCTGATGTCTCAGCCTTGCTCAGGAGAGTGCAAATCAGTTGCTCTTCTCCATTGTGGTGCTTTAAGGATGCGGGAACACTTTGAAAGGAATGCCTTCCTCCCAGCATAAACCTCCTTCGTTTACAAGGTGTTTTAGATGGCCCAGATCCCCAATGGATTTCTTTCTCCTGACTATGGAATACCTGTCCTTGAAGGTAAAGTTCAGGTGCCTAACTGATAAATACTTATTTTTCCTTGGCTTCTGCCTTTTCTTTCAGAATGGCCTCCAGGCCTCCCCTGTTAGAACCCCAAGGATGTCTCTGCTGAGACAAGGGGATGAGGAGAGCACAAAGAAATAAGTGGTAGATAAGAAAGAAATAAAGCAAATCGGATGGTTGCCGGGTCTGTGTGGATAGAAGTAGACATGGGAGACTTTTCATTTTGTTCTGTACTAAGAAAAATTCTTCTGCCTTGGGATCCTGTTGATCTGTGACCTTATCCCCAACCCTGTGCTCTCTGAAACATGTGCTGTGTCCACTCAGGGTTAAATGGATTAAGGGCGGTGCAAGATGTGCTTTGTTAAACAGATGCTTGAAGGCAGCATGCTGGTTAAGAGTCATCACCACTCCCTAATCTTAAGTACCCAGGGACACAAACACTGCGGAAGGCCGCAGGGTCCTCTGCCTAGGAAAACCAGAGACCTTTGTTCACTTGTTTATCTGCTGACCTTCCCTCCACTATTGTCCTATGACCCTGCCAAATCCCCCTCTGCGAGAAACACCCAAGAATGATCAATAAAAATAAAAAATAAAAAAGAAAAAAAAAAAAAAGAAAGAAATAAAGCATAAAATCCAAGATGCACTGAGTTCCTATAATGCAGCAGATACTTCATACATATCATCTTATTTAATCCTTTCTAGCAGACTTAGGGGAAGGGCTTATAATATTCATTTTGCAGAAGAGAAATCTGAGTGTCAAAGAAACTTTCCCAAAGTCAACAACTAATGAGAGAGAAAGTCAACATTAGACTCCATACTTCCAGAATCCAAAGCTCTTGAACTATTTCCCCCAAATTGCCATCTCCTTTAAAAAAAGGAATAAAAAATATATATATATATATATTTTTTTTTTCTTGCCCTCAAGATTACAAACTGGGCCGGGCATGGTGGCTCACGCCTGTAATCCCAGCACTTTGGGAGGCTGAGGCAGGCGGATCACCTGAGATCAGGAATTTGAAACCAGCCTGGCCAACATGGGGAAACCCCATCTCTACTAAAAATACAGAAATTAGCCGGGCATGGTGACGCTAGCCTGTAATCTGGTAATACTAGCTACTTGGGAGGCTGAGGCAGGAGAATCACTTGAACCCAGGAGGTGGAGGTTGTGGTGAGCCAAGATCACACTGCTGCACTCCAGCCTGTGTGACAAAGCAAGACTCTAACACTCTGTCTCAAAAAAAGAAAGAAAAAGAAAAGAAAAAAAAAGAAAGAAAAAATTGCAAACTGGCTTACACCAAGTGGAATGCAATCAGATTCCATGGCCACTTCTGCATTTGTTTTTAATTCCATGTAATCACCATGGCTGCAGCTTTTAATCTCCTGAATGGCCATAGCATACATTGCTGGTTCCATGCCAATCCCCAGAGCCCAGGCACCACTGAATGCAGGTAAGTGACTCACATGCTTTGAAAAGTTCCTTGACTCACCCTGTCAGTGACTATAGTCAGGGTTCCTTATCAACAAGTCCCGCCCCTTCTTGATAGGGGAGGACCTCTCAGCAGCACGAGTTGCCACTTCATCCTTCACACAAAGCTGTGGTTGTGTGGCTCCACAGCCCCCTTGTCAGTAATGAAATGGCCATGTGTGCAGTACTGTGAAGGGCCACAGATAGTTGCCAGGCATGCCAGCTGCAATGGAGTGTTTTGAGACATTGGAGTTTATGAGTAATGATCTAGGAGAGCATAGTTATTTTTTCTGAAGTGGGCCACAGTGAGTTCATTCTGGTTTAAGGGGCAGTGTCAGCCTGTGAGTAGTGTGCCGTTGGGGAATGCTAAGTGAATATTTTATGGTTACCGATACAAAATGGATGTTTTCCCTCTGCTTTTATTCACCCATCCATTCGTGTAATAAATATTTATCAAGCAACAATTATAATCCATGTACTACACTAGGAACATGGAAAACAAAGATGAATAAAGTATAAACTGTGCTCTCTGTAACTTAAGAGTTCAGATAGGAAGGTGTGCTTGTAAACAGAGGCATTTGGTAAAGTGTTCTGTCTATTACAGCCCCAGCATATGCAGGGCTTAAAGGAGAATGTGCTCAATAGGATCTGGGAAGGAGACAGAGAAGAGTATTCAGAAATACTTCATAGGGGAGAGCTTCCTTGCAAGAAAGCATTTTCAGCAGGAAAATAAGAGCTGTTGAATTAGATCAGTATGAAATTAAATCCTAGTTCTATTGACATTGAGCTATGTAATCATGACCTTGATTTTACCTTTCTGAGTCTCATCTGTACAGTGAGGATGACCCTACCCATGCCTACCGCAGAGACTTGTGAACATTGAATGAGATTCATGTTGGGCAATTCAAAGAGAGTTTTTAATAGTTGTGCATAATTCAGTACTTTTCCAGGGACACAGTCCCTCTGGGTAAGAGGGATGATTTTCCCAGTCATGCTGTCTGAACTTTGGCATGTGAATGTTTCCTTTTACCAATCTAAGATGTGCCAAGAGCAGGGCACCGTGACCTTAAAGATTAGGAATGTGAGCTGACAAATCAAAGAATTCAGTGACACCCAGGTACACGTGGTGGATAGTGATCACCACTGTTCCCTTGAGGAATGACGATTTACTTTACAACAAAAAGGAATGTGTTAGCCATTACTTCATGCTGTCCTTCTGAACTGTGAGAGTGTCAGGTATTCATATGTGGAAACCTGAACAAGAGATAAACAAATGTGACTTAATTTGCAATCTTTGTCTTTTTAGACTAGTCAATTATATATTGACCGTAATGCCTTTTCAGACTTATAAATTATATATTTTCTGTTACATTTGGAAAGTTAAGTCCATGTAATAGACTTATCAACTACTCAATGAAATAAAGCAGTGATTATTATTCCTGCATCAGCCAAGGTTCTATATTGCAAGCAACAAAATCTGACTCTGGCTTACTAAGAAAGAGAGTTTATTGAAAATATATTGAGTAGCCCACAGAATCATTAGGCGTGCTGGGGAACCAGAGTAACTGCTAATCTTTCAGGAGCTGATCTGATAAGAAAAGCAAGAAAACTGTGGACCCCACCATTGAACATTAGATGCCAATGCTCTATTCTTGGAAACTTGTCATTTCTGAGGAACTTGGCCTTATTGCTGTATTAGAGAAGAAGGAGCTCTCAGGCCCTTCCTTTCTCCATCACTAGGTCTTTGAGGCCTCTGATTGGTGGTGCACTGGCTATAAGAGAAGGTGGATGAGTTTATTCTTTTATTTTGAGAAAACAGAATCTAAGGCCAGGCATGGTGGCTCATGCCTGTAATCCCAGCACTTTGGGAGGCCGAGGTGGGTGGATCACCTGAGGTCAGGAGTTCAAGACGAGCCTGGCCAACATGGCAAAACCGTGTCTCTACTAAAAATACAAAAATTAGCCAGGCATGGTGGCAAGTGCCTATAATCCCAGCAACTCAGGAGGCTGAGGCAGGAGAATCTCTTGAACCCACGTGGTGGAGGTTGCAGTGAGCCGAGATCACTCCATTGCACTCCGTCCTGGGCAACAGAGCAAGACTCTGTCTCAAAGGAAAAAAAAAAAGAAAAGAAAATAGAATCTATAATATAAGGAACTCCAAACTTAGAGTGTTGAAAAAGATGTTGTAGATCCACAAACAAGACAGGCATCCACTGTAATAGTTAATTGTTATTATCATCATGATTATTACTGCCCCTAGTGATCCAATAAACATTTATTGAAGCACAAGCAAGTGTGAGGTATCCTCTAGAAGAAAAATTAGTAATAAAGGCCCTCAACCAGCTCTCACCTGGGAATAATAAGGCATGTACCTCAAATTTTAAAAAAAACTTATTCTAAGTCATTGAAAAAGGAAATTTGATGTAGACTTGAGTATTGCAAAGGGCTTCGTGTAGCCACTTAGAAAAACTTGAGTCTCGAGGTACCTGTGTAATTTGGTTACCAGGACTCTTTCTCCATCCCAGAAGTTAGAGCAGGGGTTCTCAAAGTTTCACACACATCAGAATCACCAGGAAGACTCGCTAAAACAGATTGGTAGACATCACCCACAGAGTTAGTGAAGAGGGACAAGAATTAAAATCTTCATCAAGTTCTGAGGGTAATACTTTAAAAACCAAAGAATTAAAAAAAAAAAAAAAACCTTCAGAACTAGAGACATGGAAGAAAGAATAAACCAGTGGGATTCAACGGAAAAGGAGATAGCTACATTCAAAACATAATCTGTGTGAGGGAAACATCAGGAACAAGATTGGAAACATAAATTTAGACCAGGCATTCAGATGTGGATTGTGCTTGAATGCCCTCCTGAGGTGCATGGAGTTAATGCTACAGACAGGAGAAAATGATAGTTGCCATTGGGCAGTTTATTCCAATTAACGTGTAATGGAGACTATTGAGTCTAGTATTGTACTGAGTGCTGAGAATAATACAGTTACATTTGATTTTTTCGATAAGCAAATCCTTTAATTATTCTCAAGAGAAAGGAAGACCAATCCAAATGTGAAGTGGGGCTTCTACGGTGACTTACCAAAGCAAATGAACAACTAAAATTAATGATATTTGAGAAAAAAATCAAGAAGATGTCTAAAGAGAAACCACTGTCCTTGCTACTAGCTTGCTGTGTGAGCTTGAGCACACAATGGATCCCCTCTGGTTTTCAAATGCATTGGTTCTTAACAAGTAATTTCTAAAGATCTTCCTGTCTCTAAAGGTATATGAGTCTATGATTAGACTGACATCTGAAGAAGAGAGATGACTCAATGGTAATTCAACATTATAGGACTAGAAAACTGGAAAAATAATGAATCCATAAGAAAGATAAAAATAATGTTAACATTTTTCATCTCAACTGGAAAATACTATGACCTTGCCTCAAAGCGGAACAACAACCACAACAAAAACTAGTTCATCAGAATGTCTTTGTTTAAAAAGTTGCACTCAATTTTGGAGGTTAAGAATAGATAATGTATTGGGAGGCAGCAGATATGCATATAGATGAAGCCTAATTCAATGCAAACCTGTTAGTTTATTTATGTTATTAATATGATACCCTAGAGGATATAAACCAATTAAAAACCCATTTCAATTATTAATTGGGTCCCCTAATTGAAGGGACATAATAAATTAATTAAAATGTCCTCAGCTCTATTCACTAAGGAGAACACCTAAGTCAGAGAATGGATTGGACAAACAGGTATTAAACTCTTAAACTGGGCCCTATTCAACAGATAGAAAAAGTAGCTAATTTACAGGAGGAGGTGTTTGAATGAGAAGCCCAGGAGAAGAGAGCTGAAGAGATGGATTTTCCACTTCATTCTGTGGATGTAGTGTCCCAGACGTGCCATCTAAATATGTCAGGATTCAGTTTACTTAATTGTAATGTAAAAACATTGAATCAAATAATTTAAAATGTTCCTATCTTGTGGTGGCCATTATGAGTCGCAAATGAGTTCTTGAGCCAAAAATGTCAATCCTAAAACTTCCAGCGATAATGAATCATTAATTAAGTTTTTACTGTGCAGACTCCAAGCCTCATCTTGTGCTCAGAACTAAAGGGTAGGAAGGTGAAAAACAGTTCTTGATCTCAGGCAGCTCACTATCTCAGAGTGTCAGAAGTAGGTACTGAACACGTGAAGAGAAAATAGGGACTTGGAGTGAAACTACATTGGCCTCAAGTCACAGGTCTGAAAAGAGATGGGCCTTAATTTTCTGTTTGCTGGAGAAAAAAAAATGGCAAAAATAACGTTTCAGAGGGTCACTGTGTTTATCAGATAAGATAGATGTAAAGATTATAACACAACACCGGGTAGACAGTATTCAGTACAAAGGCTGTTTTACTTTCCCATGTCCTTTCCTATAAATGGAGATGTGCTGTCCTCCGGGGAGGTTCTTAGAGAATATCATGTTACTTAAGAAAAGTGATTTTTCCTGTTATTTTGTACTGAACTATTAGCCAGGGTTTGGGGAAAGCACAAAAAACAACAAATGGTTTCAATGGCCAAATTTCAATAGATTAAAAGAAGCTTATTTGAATGGAATTTTTTTTTCATTTTGTAACTGGGAAATATGCCATACATATCGAAGAGGGTATATAAATATGTATGTACATGTTAAAGAACATTAATAAAAGTGAATAAAGTAGGCCGGGTACAGTGGCTCACGCCTGTAATCCCAGCACTTTGGGAGGCTGAGGTGGGCGGTTCACTTGAGGTCGTGAGTTCGAGACCAGCCTGGCCAACATAGTGAAACCCTGTCTCTACTAAAAATACAAAAAAGTTAGCTGGGTGTGGTGGTGGGTGCCTGTAATCCCAGCTGCTCGGGAGGCTGAGGCAGGAGAATCGCTTGAACCCGTGAGATAGAGGCTGCAGTGAGTCGAGATCATGCCACTGCACTCTAGCCTGGGTGACAGTGAGACTCTGTCTCAATACATTAAATAAATTAATAAATAAATAAATAGAGCCCCCTGTACCTAACATCAAGCTTAAGAAATACCTTGAAGGTTTCTAAATGTACCTCTGTAAACTATTTCAACATCTTCAGAGGTAACTGAATTTTTTGTGCCAATAATTTCACAACTTTGATTTAAATTTTTATTATATGTATGTATGCCTAAAATATGTACTATTTGGTAATAGCTGGTTTTGAACATTAAGTATATAGAATAATATTTTATACTCTATATATCCAGTGATGATTTGCTTCTTTCACACATTCGATTTTTGAGATTCATCCATATTGTTGCATGTAATTAGTTTATTCATCTTTACTCTTATATAATATTCCATTAAATGAATAATCACAAATTTATATATCCCACTATTAATGAACATTTTTTGCTATTGAACACAGTTCTTCTACAGATGTTGTTTCATATCTTTGTTGACTAGCATATGAGTTTCTCAAAGATACAGGACTTTAAGAGTGGAATCACTGGCTACCAGATATGCTGAGCCTTATTAAACATGCCAAATTATTTTCCAAAGTGGCTGTTTAAATGGGGAACCCCACCAGTGATTATTCCACTCGTGTGAAAATGCTTGGTATTTTCAGATGTTACAGTGGTTTCCAATCTGGTAAGTAAACAATTAGCTCTTCTCTGATTACTAATAAAATTGAGAATATTTTCATATGATGTGGGGTTGATTTGTGGTTTTCCTATTCTGAAATGTTTGTTCACATATTTTGCCCATTTTTATATTGGATTGTCTTTTTTTATTGGTTCATAAAAGTTTTTATTAAGTACAATTTCTGCACTAATTCTTTGCTGGTTTTATTTATTACAAATATCATTTCCTAGGGCTTGTCTTCTTTTCAATCTCTACATAATGTCTGTTGAGAAACAGATCTTAAAACTATGGTAGCTTTTCTTTTATAGTTTCAGCTTTTTTATCTTAAGAAATTTTTGTAAAGACCAAAAAAAGGGAAGAATCATGAATCCATGAGAGAGATAAAAATAATGTTAACATTTTTCATCTCAATTGGAAAATACTACAACCTTGCCTCAAAGTGGAACAACAACCACAACAAAAAACTAGTGCATCAGAATGTCTTTGTTTAAAAAGTTGCATTCAATTCTGCAGGTTAAGAATAGATAATGTATCGGGAGGCAGCAGATACGCATACAGACGAAGCCTAATTCAATAAAAACCTGTTAGTTTATTTACATTATTAATATGATAACTTATATTTACTATATGGCCTCCAATGTTTTTACTTAATCTTGCCAGACTTCTGTTCATTTTATTCGCCTTTTTCAATGAAGTAACTTTTATAGTTCTAAATCCTTTGTAATGATGTATTTTTTTCTTTTTCATCATGTCTACTCTAACCTTTATTATTTGTTTCATTATTCATTCCTTAAGTTTTTTTCATTTTTTCTAAATTAAGATAGATGCCTAATTTATTAGCTTTCAAGATATCTTCTTTTCTACCATAAGAACTTAAAACTATATATTTCTCTCTAATTATTCTGAAATTTAACTGCCTCCCACAAAATTTCTTGCATGATATTTTTATTGTTATTTTGTTCTAAGTATTTTTGAATTTTCATTATGATTTCTCTTTTGGCCCCGAATTTTTCAGTAGTATATTTTTAGGTATATTTTAAAATTTCTAAAATAGAGAAGTTTAGATTATGTCTCTGTTTTTTTATTTCTATCTTAATTGAATTTTATCAAAGATTATATTTCAAATGATTCTAATTTTAAAAAATTTATTGGGCTTTGCATTTCAGCCAAACTACATTCATTTTTGGTAAATACTGCGTTAGTTTTTAAGATACAGAAATTATAGAAATTATACATTTAAAATTGTTGTATCTTTTTAATTTAGTGAAAATATTATAGTTCTGCATTGACTCTCCTCAGGTCTAGGAAAGCGTCTTGATGTATTAGTCTTCTCTTAATATAGCTCTATAGTCTTCTGTTATTACATTTGGGTTATAATTTTTCCATCATTTACTTACAATTATGCTGCATCTTTCTCTTTTTGCTGTGTTTATTTTAAGCAGCACATAGTAGAAGTCACTTTTTTTTTTTTTTTTTTTAAAGACATGAGGTGTCACTTGGTCACCAAGGCTGGAGTGCAGTGGCACAATCATAGCTCACTGCAGCCTTGAACTCCTGGGCTCCAGGTATCCTTCTGCCTTAGCCTCCCGAGTAGCTGGGACTACAGGGGTGCACCACAGTGCATGGCTGAGTTTTAAAACAAATTTTGTAGAGATGGGAGTATTTCACCATCTTGCCCAGGCTGGTCTCCAGCTCCTGGGCCCAAGCAATCCTTCCACCTTAGCCTCTCAAAGTACCAAAATTACAGGAGTGAGTCACCACACCCAGCCAGAAGTCCATTCCTAACCCAGTAAAAGAGTGTTGATTTTTATGTATTGATTAGCCTGCTAACCTTGATTAAGATAAACTATACATATTGTTTTATTTCTAAGAGATTATTTGTATTTTAATTTGTCCTGATTTATTTTTCTGCTTATTTTCTATCTCATTTTTTTCTGTTATTGACTGATTTTTGGTGGAATATTTCACTCTAAATTTTATTTTTCCCTTTAAAGTAATATGTGTGTACTCTTTCATGTTTAGCCCTTGAAATTTTTAACAATATAGATGATTTAAAATAACTCAGAATGTATCAACTCTAATCACTTCTTTCCGACATATGTTTTTGGCTAGTGTTTTCATATCACTTAGACTTATTCTTAAGCCACTGTCATTGGTCAGCATTTTTATTCTTTTCAACAACCAGGATTTGTTTTAATTTACACACATAATTGCCTTTTATTTCCATGATCCCCTTAAATGTCTGAATTTCCTTCTAAAAGTATTTTCATTTCTCCTAATGTACATCCTTTATTCTTAAGGGTAATCCATTCTCTAAGATTGTGTTTGTGTTTCTGAAATTTTTTTTTTGCCACCATTAAAAAAAAATCATACAGAGACTGAAACTAGGGTGGCTCTCATTACTTTGTTATCTAGAAGTTTAAGGTCACAATTTCACTGTGCTCTGACTTTTACCTTGAGAGTTCCAATGATCGTCTAATTTCATATTCTTTGTGGATGATTTGTTTATCTTTTCTGGATGTTTCAGAGATCTTAGGCTTGTCTTTAGTGTGTTGCAGTTTGAAAATAACAATAAAGTGTCTATATATGAATCTTTTTCTTTTTTAAGTCTTGGTTGAGATGTGTTTTTTCCCTGAAATGGAAGATCACTGGTTTTCATCACTTCAAGAACATTTTCAGCCATTATCTCTTTTCATTTGGGCCTTTGTCTCATTTCCTCCATATGCTGCTTCTGCAATTCTAAATTTTTTAAAATTTCTTTACTTTTCTATGCTGTGTTATTTATTCAGGCACATTTTCAAGTTATCTAATTGTTTATTAGGATTTGGCCAATCATATATAGTAAATTAATTTGCCCTGTGTGTTACAGATATTATTCCCCAGTCCTGTTTTCTTTTTTCTTCATTCATAGTAATTTTCATATAGGTGAATTTATTATTAATTTATTTCATGGTGTCAGTGGGTTTTTTTCTTTTAAAAGTGAATTACACAATTCAGGCTTATATAATAAATATTCTGCTATGTTTAAATGTTTATTTCATTTTATCCTTGTATATTCCAACTACATAGATTTCAATTTGGATTAAAGAAAGAATACTATAGAAAACTAGTTTTGTGTTTGTTTCTAAATGGCAAAAGCATTTTGAAAGTATAAATGTCTTTACTGGATTAGTGGACTGCAAGCTCCTTCAGGGAGGCCACTCCACCTCCTCATCATTAAACACACGGAACTAACTTCAGTGACTAACAATTAGAAGTTGCTCTACATATACTTTGAAGTTATTTTATAAACAAATTAGCAACCTTCAAAAATGTGCAAATTAATACATTATATTTAAATTTCTGACTTCAGAAATTTTATGTAAAAATGTAATACAGCCTAAACTATGTATAAATTATACATAAATACATATCTTTTATGTTAACGTATAGCAAATGTTTACATATTTATGTAACATTAAGAATTCTTTTATATTATTTTATTATTCTCTTTATAGTCTTACTAAATAGTATATTAAATTATAATTTTTATAAATGCATCCATTTTATTAAGTTCATTTACCATATTTAATTTAACTTATTATTTGATGTTGGCAATTTAGATAGTTTCTGATTATTTTCATTATAGTAGGTTATACTTCAGAAACGTATTTGTGTAGCTAGCAATGTGTATGTGCTGTGGCATGACTGATTGCACAGTAGGAACTTTGTACAAGGTGTATGTTCAAACCTAACTTCACTTCTACTTACTGGCAAATTACTTGACCACTCTGGGCTTCACTGGGCCAAGCTCACAGGGTTTTCACTGGGATTAAGTCGAAAAGAGTATGTGGACTTCACCCAGTGTAAACTCAACAAATGCCAATTGACTATACCCTCCCTAAGACTTTCTCTTTATAATAAAGATATATCAGTAGAATTATTTAGTCAAAGACTATGGGCAGCTAATGGCTATTGCTAAGTATGTAACTGATAGCCACTGCCTGAATGAATGACTCATGACTATTTAGTCTAGAGCAGTAGAGTAAACATGAGCATCACTTACATCACATAAACAGCACAACCTACAAAGAATGTCCCCCCAGTTTATAGATAAGGAAGTGAAGCACAGAGAGGTAAGTGGTTTTCTAAAACCACACAGCTGAAAAATGGCAGTCAAATGACAGACTTGTATCCAGGCTTTCTAACTCCAGTGATTGTGTACTATGATGCCTGAAACTTTTAAAATCATGTCCCTGATACTAATTACTTTCTATTTCATGACACATTTTAATAAAGTTTCTTAATTTAAAATTGCACAAGATTTAGGGCAGCCTTTATTTTCTTTAGTAGTCATTTTCCACTTAGTCATACAGTACTTCAGTGTTAGTGATTTCACAAATGTATATATATGCCTCCTCTGCTTATTTTAAGCTTCTTTAAGAGTTAGACTAACTTCACATACTTCTTTTTAATTCTCTATAATATCTCCATAGTGGCTAATTGGTAAATACTTATTGCTTGATGTTTAGACAGTCTAAATATTTCATTTCTCTGTGAAATATTCTTCTTATAATAAGCCAATAGAAAATTAAAGTTGTCATAAGAAAACAAATCTAAAGAGAAAAAGAAATGTGTCCAAAGGTCATGTTTGATGCATGCTAGATGTGTTCTAGACCAGTATCTTCAACAATTTTTTGTGAAAATAATCCTATTACAGTTTCCTGAAGATCTTTGAATAGAAGAGTATCAACACTAGAATCTTCCTAGCTAGTAATCTTGCCAGTCTTGCATGTGGGTGGGAAATAACCAACCAGCTTGAATGCAGGTAACAGTTTATAATCTAAGAGACTATCTCAAACTGCCTTGGAAACCTAGTCTAAAATTAGCACCATGCCAAACATGGTGGATGTTTGTATTATTGTTTCTGATTTGAGAGATGAAAACATAACTCCAAACTCAAGAGGCAGCAGGAAATATGGACAGAAATTCAAACCAATTTTGATGATTGCATTTGCCACCAACAAGCTGAATAAACTAAGCTGCTTTCCTGATACATGGAGCTTCAGTAAAAGGTACAGATAAATAACTCCCTTAACTTCACAGGGATGCTGTAAAGATTAATGTGATAATATATTATCATTGACCCTGTAATAGGCGCCTAGGAAATTATGTTCTTGCCATGATTAAAAGATTACTTATGAGGAGCACCTACTTTCTATTCCTTCTATAGCCATCTGGGTTTTGAGGGCATCCAATTATTACAAATATAAATTGAGATATGTTTAAAGATATAAAGTATAGATATTGTTTGTTCTTCAGATCAGTAATTATATATTATACTGCTGCTACTGTAACTAAACTATAAAATCATACTAATACATTTGTGTGAATTAACAAATAAAACATTAAGTAAATCAATTATTGTTATTTATTATATTGAACTTCAAAATAGACTAACTTTCCTTAAGATGCAGTTAGAAAAATTATCGGCAAGGCAAAAATTGCCTAATAAATTTTATTTTTACATATGGAGAAAATCTTTTCTCCATCAAATAGTCTTATTTCGTTCAATGAACTTGAAGAGTAAAACCATCACTTAAAAGTGAATTAAATGGTAGTCATAAAATTTTCTCCAAATCTGCCAAATAAATGACCACATGAAAAGAACTACAGGATACATTTATGAGTCAGTAAATTTAATACTGTCATTGAGAAAATATGGATATATAATGTTGATCTACTCCCAAAGCATATATTTTAGAAACTTTGTGGGTTAATTTCAGTGCCTGCTCCAAGAGGAGTTGCATTTATGCCCATAATGTATAACATAGTTATTATAAGTACTGAGAAATATTTTTTTCCCTGAAAGCCAATCTACTGAGTCATCTAGGCTGGTCTGAAGTACTCAGATCTGCATACTGTTTCCTTCCAGTTAGTGGAAGAGCAGCCAGACTCTCAATGCCATTCCCTCCAGCTCTGTCACTCACTCTGAAGTTGAGAGGGAAGATGAAGCCAGGCTGACTCCGGTCAGCAGTGCAATGGTGAGGTTCACCAACATCATTGTTCATCGCATCTTGACTGAGAGACACAGGGGAAAAAAAACAGATCCAAAGCCTTCCCATGCGACAAGCAAAGCAAGCAAAAACAATTTTAATGATGGAAAATATTTACTTCATTTTTTTTCTTTTTGCTTAATCAGATCTATTAACACAATTCAAAGATAAGAGACAATGAAGGGTTAAGACAAAAAACCCATCTGTTGGACCATGCAAGTTGCCACCTTTGATGGGCAGAAGCTCTGTGCATATCCTCAATTATTTTCAAGTGAATGACTAAGAGCATAATGGAGAGATATATGACTTTATTTACAAGGCAATGGGCACTTTCATCTGACGCTAGGGTACTATTACATGATATGCATATTCAACTCAATGGGATTTTATCATATGTATTTTGATGGGAAAGAAAGAGAAAAAGAAGGTAAAGGAAAGAAAAGAAGTAGAAAAGAAGACTTATCCATTAAATTGATACTGATATTCAGCTTGTACAGTCGTTCAGTGTGCAAATATTCCAGAACTAGAATAAATTGCACAAATTGGGAGCCCAGAATCTGCCTTCTGCCGGCATCTTGGTTGCCATATGCCTCAAAAAGCCTTAGCAGCTCATCCCGTTAAATGTGTTTAAAGACCTCATTTTTGGATCAACATAGCCTATGTGAAGAAGCCAACTCCTTTATCAGGGGTTCAGCTGAATATACAGTGATCAATTCCAATGCTGGAGGAAACACTGACTTTGCTCAATTTGGTGAGAGAAGGTCTCTTACATGGCACCCACCAAAGGGAGTTCCAAGGGTAATTTCAAAATATCCAATTTTCTTCTTGTTTATGCTCTGACTTTATAAACTAACCTTCATGTGAGGGGCACCTTCATTTTATTTCCAAGTGTTCTCAGTTAATACAGCCTTTTTGCAGAAGATGGTAGCCCAACAACAGCTCATAAATGAGAAAGAGCTGTGAAGGTAACAGATGCAAAGCTGTATGCAGAATAAGGCATGGAGCAAAAGGAAAAGGGTGCAAGAGAAAGAAAAAGCAAAACCAAAAAGTGGAAAGCATAAAAAGGGAAGCCAACAGTAAAAATGGGCACATGGATTGAATTTTGTAGGCCTTCCAGTACCCTTGACCCATGTAGAATTGTTCAAAATATACACTTTATTTGTGTCTGTGATTGTACTTTAATGTCTGAACTTGCCATACTCAAGTTGACCTGAGGTTTGAAATACTAGCCTTTCATTAATCTAATTGTACTCCCAATATTTAAATAATTGTTGAAGGAATTCATAAGTTCTCCCATGTTGAATCACTCTTTGACTAAAGGAATTCATTAGGTTTTTCTTTCTTTCGGCTTCTCTTAATGAAGTTATATTGGAAATAAAAGTTCATTTATGAATAGGAAGAGGTAGAAAAATTATGTGGAATTGGACAGCACATAAAGATAGAGATCAGAAAGTCTTATTTTTCAAAATTATTTTGAAGATTTTCATAATGTTTTATTCATTATAGTAATTTTTTTTATTTACCATACACTGGCCCACCTAAGCAACATCAACTGAGGACACAATGCTTGGCTGGATTCCCATGAGCGAACTTTTACTGGATAACAAATGCTTATTTTAAAGACTGATGCAACTCTTTATCCGTTAACCTAATGCAAATTGAAACGTTAGTAGGTATCCAGGAATAAGCTAGGTAGAGTCGAAACATATAAGAAAAATAAACAACACATTTTCTTTACCCTAAGAATATCCATTATTGTCTGGGGCAAACCAAGTGAAGATAGAAGAAACAGAAAATAGAAGATTACTATCACATTGCTGTATTATGCCTTTCTTGCGACGAGTGCTATCGGACTTCAGAAATGGGAGATTAACATGTAGGCTCCAAGGGCCAGAATCAACTTCATGAAAAAGGTGGAATTTTAATTGGGCATTGAATAACGGGTAGAATGCGACTAATCAGTGAAATGAATACAGGGGCTTTCCAGACTGAAGAAAATGTCTTAACAGAAAGCACAGAATGGTTATAGGCAGTGTTTGGAGAGAGTGGGAAATGGACAGCAGAGCTGGCAGACATGGGGAGGAGGTTCAGGTTTGAGGGTACCCAAAAGGAACTGTGAACAGTTTTATTTGTGGCAAGATACAACTTGCTGTGGCTATAGTTTCTTTTTATATCCAAATAAAATACCATGATCCAATCTCAGCTGTGAGAAAGCCTGCACCCTTCTCCATTTCCTGAGGGTTCCAGGGCAGGAGTGCTGATGTTCTCCTGCACCTACCTCTGCCATCCTCTCCATCTTACTTCTGCTTCTCCTTCCACATCTTTCCTTTTACAATACCTATTTACTTCTACATCTCCTGAACCTTCTAGGTACTACCTGGCTCTGTGCATAGACGCAGCCTGTCCCCTTCATTGCTGGAACCACCACTAATTCAAAGTGGTGCAGAATATAATATTCTATAAGGTACAGAATATTACATTCTAACTGAAGATTAGGGGAATTATACAGAGGTATTGGGGGGATATTACAGCAAAATGGCAAACAGCCTAGGATTGATAAATATGACTATTAAAATTTTTTAGCCATCTCTATCCCAAGACATTTTTTAGAAAGCCTTATTCTTGCTCAGAATCCAGCTGGCCACAATTTCCTGATGTCTCTGTGTGTCTGTGAGTGTGAGTGTTTGTATATAATGTGTTTGTCTCAATTTCCATATTCTCCTATTTCTAGAATACACCACTACTTCTACCCCTAAAACCAGCAAGGCTCAAAGGCAAACTTCTTGACACTTGATACTTCAGAGTAATTTTGTTCTTCTGTCTCCACTTCCACCCTGGACCAGTCTTGGGGACCTAATTTTGAATAATCTAAAAATTTCATCAGTGTGTTTTCCTAAACAAAAGAGCATCTACTCCAGAGATGAATTCTGCTATTCTCCTATAATGCAGAAAACAGCTGCAGCCATTTCTATATTTTAGTGATTTCTTTTTCTTGCCTGTTACATATTATTTAAGCTTGATTAGCTAAGCAAATCACTCAGGTTCAGGAGCAAGGAAGAGGCATAACAAAGAAAATTTTTTTAGGACGGCAAAGCTCATATGAAGAAGGCTCTGGACAGTGCTTGGTTAATACTTGGGGAAAAAACAAAACGACCTTCCCTTTGTTTTGTTTTGTTTTTTTGTCTTTCGCCATATTCAACAAAATAAACTCTAGCAAATAAAAAGAAAATCACTATATGAAAGCAAGGCGATAGCACTGAAAGTGCGGAGTGGGAAAAACTGGCTACGTAGATAGCATAGTTCTATTATTTTCACAAAATATTTTGCCCTTCACTGGTGACCCTTTGCATCTGTTGCATGTGGTGCTGAGCCAGGGACATTACGAGAGTCAATGGGGATAAAGTAACAGACTCCAGTTCCCTAATGGGAGAGAAGCCCTCATTTATGCTGTTGTAAGTGTGCATTCTGAAGACTTACAAAACCATTTAGATTTTTTGAAGCTTTTAGATTTCCCTGAAAATCACCAAACCGCCATCTTAATTTGTGCAATTAGTCTGTGTTTAGGAAGTGTGTTGACAGCAGTCTTTTTGAAAAGGGAGGTATGTGTGAGTAAATAGTTCAATTTGTCCTTTACAGGTCCTGGGAAGAACATTCAACTGTGAGGCTCGTTTGACAGAAGCTGTATTTAGGGTGTTTTCCCTGAATGCAGCTGCAAGATTAGAACCTGGATAAAAACCCAGGAGTATAAAATGTTCAACTGCCAGCAGGCACCATACCTAGGCAGGGTCAAGGCCCCAGACAAATGACACTGTGCCAGGTCCATCTGCCCCTCTCTTAGTCACTTGGATAAAATCTAGGTAAGATGAACTTTGCTGGCAGCCTTGATCAATGAAACTGGAGCACAAATATCACAATCTGTTATCAGTAGATAGAAGTGGTTTTGGGTCCAAGCCAATCTCCAAGGGGAGGACCTGAGATTCACAGGCTGGTGGTAATTTTTATGTCAGTGACCAGGTAGTTATGCCCTTTCCTTTTTCCCAAAGCTCTGAATCACAGAATCCACTAAGGGGCAGCTCTGTGGTCAAGAATGAACTTGGCACAAAACTTCGGCCACCTGTTATTCTCAAGGCACAGCCAAGGAGGCAAGATGTGGGCAAAGACTAGATGTCCCTTGCCATAATAAGACCTTTTCCTGCAGGCAGCCCTTGACTTTCCTCAACAGTGAGACTACAGCCAGCCTGCTTTGTCCATTTGTTAAAGCAAAGTATGAATTGCTACTCTTTATTGTCCTGAAAAGTCACTCTCTTTGGTAATGCCTATGTGTATCAGGTGCTTGGCTATGATTGAACAGCTTTTTCTGTAGAGAAGGAAGCACCACCTTGTATTCCCACTAAATGTCTTGGTCTGCCTCTGGTGCACACTATCCCATGATGGATGCATGTATAAATTCAAACTGCATGTCTTTTATGAGTTGCATGCTGTTTCTCCAGCCTTTTTTTTTTTATATAGCATCCTCCTGCTTGCAATGAAACAAGCGTATTGGGTTTTATATGGTTATTAAATTTCACATAAGACAAACTATACAAAGGCTTTTTATGTAGCTGTAGACCTCTTCACAATACCTTTTTTTTTTTCCTCTCACCACTGCCACACCCCCTAACTCCCCATTCTATTTTCTTCTTTTTTCCTCTGGTCTTGAAACTTCTTATTCAAAATATTCTGGAGACTTCCATTTTTCTTTTTCTGCCTGTTTCTTGCTTGCTTTTATGAATTCAATGTATGGGAATCATTCTTTTTAACTATGGAGGAGCACATGAATGAAGGTCTATAATGACAACATCTGTCTTTCCTAAACAGATGTTGGGATAATCCCTGATTGCACACTTAGTATTTAGGTCAGTATAACCCAACATTCACCCTGAGAGTGAGGGTCCTCTGGTGTTCCTAGGGCAAAGGCAGATATTTGATTATCTCAACTATACGTTATTCTTGATGGTAAACCTCATTTTTGAACACAAAGGTGCTAATCTACCATCTACTGTACAACAATATTTAGTTGTATGTATTATACTATAAATTAGGTAGCACACAAAGCCAGTGTCCACATTATGACATTTGTTTACAAAATAATATGCATAGATAGGTCCTATATTATCTTGAGGTATATTTCTTTATGCAATAAGTCCAGATAAACATTCCACTACATTACATGCTATCCTAATTCACAGTAGTCAAATATTCCCAAAGGCTTTTGGGGGTTTAAGTTAATCCATGGTTAATCATGACCTTCACATGAAAACTTGGCTCTAGTATTATTTCCCAAAGAAAACTACAATATACCAGCCATACTTTGCCAACACCAGAATGCTTACGACATGATGAACAAGTTGCACATATACCCTTACGAACAAGTCAAAGAGTTGTAATTCAGATGGCAGGCTGGGAATGTATTATTCTGAAGAATGTAATTCAAGATGCCTGGGAAATATGAAGCACGGGTCATCCCAAACTACACACTCAGGAAAAACAGCCTTTAGAGGGAAGCAATGCTTGAGCAGAAACCTGTATGAAAGGAGGGCACCAGACATGGAAATACCTAGGGAAGAGGACAAGAGGCATAAGGAACAGCAAACACAAAGTACCTTATATGAGAATGAGTGTGGAAACAGGAAGGAGGACCATGTGGCTAGAGCGGAGTCCGCTGGGGAGAAGGTGGAAGGAAATGAGGTCAGGAAAGTAGCCAAAGGCAAGATCAGGGTCTTGTAGACCTTTAAAAAACATCTTGAATCTTACTCTAAATGTGGAAAGCACAAGTAAATGAGAGCAAAGGAATGATAAATAAAGACCAAGATAATACAATAATTATGTTACAATGTAATGAGTAAGAGCTATTTAAAAATATAATCCCAGAAAAGAAAATGCCTAATATTTCTTAGGAAACCAAGGCAAGTAAAACTGGCTTTGATCTTGAAGTACTTGGCTGAGAAAGGGGAAAATGTGTTTCAGACTGAGGCAACAGTTATGTGCAGAGACAACAATACACATAAAAGTAGAGGAGGAAAAATTGCCGTAATATATTCAGACAACCCTTGAAATAGTCAATCTGGTTGGAGAATGGGAGGAAGTGGCATAAGGTAAGGTTAGTATCAGATCTTCAGTGTCCCTGTATGTCTCCCTAAGGAATCTGGACCTCAGGCAGCAGGCTAGGGAAACACTGAAATATTTTAAGCAAGGAAGTTATGCAGCATGATCATAGTTTTATTTTGGAATAATAAATCTGTCTGTAGTGTGAAGAATTAATTGAAGCACAGGGGACTATCTGAGGTCAGGACTACCAGCTGGATAACTTGAAATCTATTTGAGTAAGAAGAAATGAACTAGGGCAATGACAGTAAAGATAAATATATTGGAGGGTTATTTGGAAGGTATGGCCTCACAACTAGATGTGAGTGGTAAAACTGAAGGCTGTCAAGCATAATTTCTTGGCTCATGGTTTGAGGAATTGAGTCTATGGTGATATCATTACCCAATATAGAATGGAGGATCAGGTTTGAGCCTAGAGGTATTTTCAGATTTAATAAAAAATGTAATCTGTGAAATAGAGGAGATACTCAATGGAACAAAGACCTAGGGAAGGTAAGAGAAAACACAAATAAGAGCATAGGTCTAACAGCTTTGGCAAAGGATGAGGGACAGCTTATTAAGTAGAAAAATATGTAGTGGTTGATGAAAACCTGGGTAAATTCAGAAATGGAAGGGGAAAAAATGTTAAGGGAGTTCAGTCTGAATTACCCCTTTCTCTATGTGTGTGTATTTGGATGCATACACATATAAATATGTATGGTATGTGCATGTGTGTACATATGTATACATTATTAAGTGTAGATTATGTATACGTCAATATAATTATATAGACACACTAAGAGAAAAGGCTTTGTAGAAGATAAGTTAGATAAAACAGTTTCAAAAGGATGGATGACTTTGCACAGAACAAAAATAAAAAATGATGCTGAAATTTCAAGCCTAGATGGTTAAGTATGGTATCATCCTTTGAAGAAGCTGAGGAAACAATTTGGGTACCAGCTTATTGGTAGGAGAGGGTAAATTATTAATTTAATTTCAGACATGTTGAATTTGAGATGATGGTAAGTATTCAAAATATATATGTTCACTAAAAAATTGAAATTGCACTATTGGAGCATAAATGGGTAGTCTGAGCAAAGTGGATAAATTTGCAAAAAAGGTAATGGTTGAAGCTGTAAAGTTATATGGGTTATCAGAAGCAAAAAGAGAAAATGGTGAAGGAGAAACCCTTGGACAATTATCTCCCTTTAACAATTGCCTTCCTAGTCAGTGAGATGAAAAAGTCAAGAAGTTGGATATAACTTCTCCGGTGACTCCAAAGTCATTCGTCACCTCAGAGTCCTGAACTGGCTCTATGCTGGTTAATTACTTAAGGAAAAGTCTTCCTGAAGAAATCACTTAAGGAGGCAGGTGTCTTACACCAAATTAATTCCATACTGAGAATTGATGAAAACAGGATGGGGAATGCTTACTCACAGGAGAGTGTGTTAAGAATATCAGTAGGAGGGTCTATGCAGAACAACAAAAATAGGAAATGGAGAATAAGGCCATAAACATTGTAAATTGCTGAATTTTTCAAAAGGACAACAAAATACAAAAATGGCATTCTGTGGCAGAAGATACGTTATGTAAACATGAATGTTCACCTCCATCACGGACAGGGTAAATTAGCCATGCTAAAATGAATCATTTACACAGAGATTTCTCCAATATGAAGTTAAGTTTACAGATTGTAGATTCCAGAAAAAGACAACTAACCCATATTCCAGTAATGGTGACAACCACATTTTCTCCATTCATCGTCCTTACCCCAATGCCACCAAGTATCTGCCACGGTCTCCGGAAACACTGATCTGGCTTCTTGGAACATGAACTTGTCTGGGATAACTGCCCTTGCGAAAGAGGATTGGCTCATTCTCCAATTGGATGACTGCAGGGCCAGGACTGTGAAAATCTCATGTGTCCCATTAATTCTCTGAAATCTTTAAAAGGTTAGAAACATCAGAGTCTTGGAAATAAGTTAACATGCGACTGAAGAAAGTATACAGAACTTTTTGAAAGACAGTCCAGGTTACAGCTGCTGATGAAACCCCAATGCCATCAGTCACCAAAAATATCTCTGGCAGAGGCTGTGCAGAATATGAAACTGTGGAAAGCTAGATTCT
The DNA here is from genome assembly GCF_000001405.40 of Homo sapiens. NCBI lineage: Eukaryota > Metazoa > Chordata > Mammalia > Primates > Hominidae > Homo > Homo sapiens. Next base: position 23,393,331 of record NC_000004.12, read on the forward strand.
TTTAAGCATACAGATAAAAATAATTAAAGTTTGGACTTTATTATTTCTGATCTTTAACTTGCAAAGTGTTATATCTATAGCTTTATTTCTCTTCATAAATTTATTAGTAGGATAGTTTATATTCAGATGGAAACATTTCTGTGTTTTACATGTTGTACTACTGGATTGTCCTTGTATACTTTACTATTGAAGTATCTTAATGCTGTCACTTCATCTGATAAATAAATTTCCTGCAAGCTCCATTGACAGTGTGGCTGGCCAAAATTTGGAGTGAAAAATATAACAGGAAGGGCGGTGTCAACTTTGGTTAAAAAGGCTGACCTTGAAGTTGATTATATGATGTACATTCCCAAACCATTTCATAACTTTATGAGGTGAGTATAAGTCACAAAGTTGGTCCAAGGATAAAACCTGAAAATATTCAGGTTGCCATTGAAGGAGTAGCCTCATAAGGATAAAAGCAGTGTAATCTTATCTTGGTAGAGGCCAAAAACCTCTCATGTAGCAGATAACAGATAACCACATTTTTATTGCATAGGCTTAGTAGGTAAACTCAATGGGCTAAGAGGACAAAAATTTGAAGAGTTTTAGGAAAGAGACCATCTTGTTCACTTTTCGACTCCTGATTCCTATAAAAAGAGATGTCTATGTGTCTAATTTTATGCCACTACCATCCTGCCATGCTGTTTTGGTTACTATAGCTCTGTAGTATAATCTGAAGTAAGATAATGTGATTCCTCTGGTTTGGTTCTTTTTGCTCAGAATAGCTTTGACTATTCTGGGCCTTTTGTGGTTCCATATAAATTTTAGAACTGTTTTTTCTATTTCTGTGAAGACTGTCATCGGTATTTTGATAGAGATTGCATTGAATATGTAGATCATTTTGGGTAGTATGGACATTTTAATATTGATTCTTCAAATCCAAGAGAATGAAATATCTTTCCATATTTTTGTCCTCTTGAATTACTCTCCTCAGTGTTTTATAGTTTTTACTGTAGAGATCTTTCACTTCTTTGGTTAAGTTACTTCATATGAATTTAATTTTATTTTAAGCTACTGTAAATGGGATTGCATTTTAGTTTCTTTTTCACATTTTTAATATTTGCTGTTGGCATATAGAAATGCTACTGATTTTTGTACGTTGATTTTGTATCCTGCCACTTTACTGAATTTATTAGTGCAAATAGTATTTCTTGTTGTAATCTTTTGTTTTTCCCAAATATAAGATATTATCTGCAAAGAAGGATAATTTTACATTCTCCTTTCTGATTTGGATGCCCATTATTTCTTTGTCTTGTCTGATTGATCTAGCTAGAGCTTTCAGTACTATGTTGAATAACAGTGGTGATAGTGGACATCTTTGTCATGTTCCAGATCTTAGAAGAAAGACTTTCAGTTTTTCCCTATTTAGTATGACACTAAATGTGGGTCTGTTGTACATGAATTTTATTATGTTGAGGTATGTTCCTTCAACACAAGTTTTTTGAGGGTTTTTATTATGAAGGGGTGTTAAATTTTTCTTCTCTGATTTTCAGAATCAGTTGAAATACTCATATGATTCATGGCCTTCATTCTGCTGACATGATGTATCACATTGATTAATTTGCATATGTTGAAGCATCTTTGAATTTCTGGAATAAATATAACTTGGTCATGACAAATGATCATTTTAGTGTATTGTCGAATTTTGTTGAGGATTTTTGCATCTATGTTCATCAGGGATTGCCTGTAGTATTCTTTTCTTTTTTGTTATGTGTCTTTGTCTGGTTTTGGTATCCGGGTAATGCTGATGTAATAGAATGAATTTGAGTTGGATTGGTATTATTTATTCTTAAAATGTTTGGTAAATTTTAGCAGTAAAGCCACCAAGTCCCAGGTTTTTCTTTGCTAGGAGACTTTTTATTATGGCTTCAATCTCATTGCTTGTTATTTGTCTGTTCAGTTTTTAAATTTCATTATGGCTCAATTTTGGTGGTTTGTATGTGTCTAGGAATTTATCCTTCTAGGTTTTCCAATTTATTGGCAAATACTTGCTTATAGTTACCTCTAATGATCCTTTGAATTTCTGCAGTATCAGTTTTAATGTCTCATTTTCCATCTCTGATTTTATTTGAGTCTTCTGTCTTTTTTCTTAGTTCGGTTAAAAGTTTGTCAATTTTATTTATCTTTTCAAAAACCAACTTTTCATTTCATCAATCATTTGTATTGTTTTCTTCATTTCAATTTAATTTGTTTCTGCTCTGATCTCTATTATTTCTTTTCTTTTACTGATCTTTGGTTTGGTTTGCCCTTTATTTTCTAGGTTTTTTTGTTGTTGTTTTTTGTTTTTTGTTTTTTTGAGACAGAGTATGGCTCTGTTGCAAATCTGGAGTGCTGTGGTGCAATCTCGGCTCACTGCAACCTAGGACTCCCTGGTTCAAGTGATTCACCTGCCTCAGCCTCCCAAGTAGCTGGTAGTACAGGCGCACACCACCACACCCAGCTAATTTTTTTTGTATTTTTTAATAGAGACGAGGTTTCACCATGTTGGCCAGGCTGGTCTTGATCTCCTGACCTCGTCATCCACCAGCCTCGGCCTCCCAAAGTGCTGGGATTACAGATGTCAGCCACCGCACCTGGCCTGTTTTCTAGTTTTTTTAAGATACATGGTTAGACTGTTTATTTGAAGTTTTTCTACTTTTTTGATGTAGTTGCATATAGCTATAAATTTCTCTCTTAGTACTGCTTTTGCTGTATCCTATAGGTTTTTACATGTCATGTTTCCATTATCATTTGTTTCAAGAATTTTTCAATTTCCTTCTTAATTTCTTCATTGACCCACTGATCATTCAATATCATGTTGTATAATTTTCATGTGTTTGTATAGTTTCCAAAATTCCTCTGTTATTGGCTTCTAATTTTATTCCATTGTGATTAGAGAAGGTGCTCGATATTATTTCAGTTTTTTGGAATGTATTAAAACTTGTTTTGTGGGCTAACATATTGTCTATCCTTGACAATGATTCATGTGTTGAGGAAAAGAGTGTGTATACTGCAGTCATTGAATGAAATGTCCTGTAAACATCTATTTGGTACATTTGGTCTAAAGTGCAGTTTACATCTGATGTTTCTTTGTTGATTTTCTGTCTGGATGATCTTTCCAAAGGTAAAAGTGAGATGTTAAAGTCTCCAGCTATTATTGTAATTGAGGCCTATCTCTTTCTCTTTAGCTCTCATAATATTTGCTTATTTATTGCTCCAGTGTTGGGTGCATATATATGTACAATTGTTACATTCTCTTGCTAAATTAACCACTTTGTCATTATATAATGGCCTTCTTTGTCTCTTTTTATAGTTTTTGTCTTAAAATCTATTTTATGTGATATAAGTGTGGCCACTGCTGCTTTTTTTGTTCCCATTTGCGTGGAATATCTTTTTTTTATCACATTATTTTCAGTCTATGTGTGTCTTTATAGGTGAAGTGTGTTTCTTGTAGGCAAAAGATCATTGAGTTTCATTTTTTTTTAATAGATTTAGCCACTCCATGTCTTTTGATTGGAGAGTTTAGTCCATTTTCATTCAGTGCTCTTATTGATAAATAAGGACTTACTTTTGCTATTTTGTTGGTTGTTTTCTGTTTTTTTTTTTTTGTGGTCTTCTCTTCCTTCTTTCCTTCTGTCTTGTCTTCCTTTTAGACAAAGTGATTTTCTCTGGTGGTATATTTTACTTTTTATTTTTTGTATGTATGTTGTATGTTTTTTATTTGAGGTTACCATAAAGCTTGAAAATAAGTTCTTATAATCCATTGTTTTAAACTGATGACAACATAACACTGATTGCACAAACTAACAGACATGCAAATAAAAAATTAATAAAAACTCTACACTTCAACTGGATGCCCTCACTTTTAAACATTTTGTTTCTGTTTGTATCTTATTGGACTACCTATGTCTTGAAAAGTTGTTGTAGTTATTATTTTTGATCAGTTCAGTTTTTAGTCTTCCTATTTAAGATATGAGTGGTTTATACACCACAATTACAGTGTTATAATATCCTGTGTTTTTCTGTGTACTTACAATTGCTGGTGAGTTTTGTACCTTTAGGTGATTCTTATTGCTCATTAATATTATTTTCTTTCAGATTTAAGAACTCCTATTAGGATTTCTTGTAAAACAGCTCTGGTGTTGATGAAATCCCTTAACTTTTGTTTGTCTGAGAAGGTCTTTATTTCTTCTTTATGTTTGAAGGGTATTTTTGCCTGATATACTATTCTAGGGTAAAAAGGTTTTTTTTTCCTTCAGCACTTTAAATATATCATGGCATTCTATTCTGATCTGTAAGGTTTCCATTGAAAAGTCAGCTGCCAGACATATTGGTGTACCATTGTATGTTATCTGTTTCTTTTCACTTGCTACTTTTAAGATCCTTTCTTTACCTTGATCTTTGGGAGACTGATTATTAAATGCCTTCTTTGGATTAAATCTGCTTTGTGTTCTATCACCTTCTTTACTTAAATATAGATATTCTTCTCCAGGTTTGGAAAGGTCTCTTGTCATCCTTTTGAATAAACTTTCTACCTCTATCTCTCTCTCTCTCCCTCCTCTTTAAAGCCAGTAACTTAGATTTGGCCTTCTGAAAATATTTTCTAAATCTCGTAGGCATGCTTCAATCTTTTTTATTCTTTCTTTTGTTCCCTCTGACTTTTGTTTCCTTTGACTTTCAAATAGTCTGCCTTCAAGCTCACTAATTCTTTCTTCTGCTTAATCAATTCTCTTATTAACAGACTCTGATGCATTCTTCAGTATGTCAATTGCATTTTTCACCTCCAGAATTTCTGCTTGATTCTTTTTAATTGTTTCAATCTCTTTGTTAAATTTATCTGATAGGATTCTGAATTCTTTCTCTATGTTATCTTAAATTTCTTTGAGTTTCCTCAAAACAGGTGCTTTGAATTCTCTGAAAAGCCACATCTCTCTCTCTCTCTCTCTCTCTCTCTCTCTCTCTCTCTTTCTCTCTCTCTCTCACTCTTTCTCTGGGATTTGTTCCTGGGGTCTTATTATGTTTATTTGATGAGGTCATGTTTTCCTGAATGGTCTTGATGCTTGATGATATTCATTCGTGTCTGGACATTGAACAGTTATGTATTTATTGTAATCTTCACAGTCTGGGCTTGCTTATACCCATCCTTCCTTGGAAGGCTTTCCAGATATTCAAAGGGACTCGGGTTTTGTAATCCAAGTTTTTGATCACTGCTGCAATATCTGCAGCAGGGGCCACCACAAGCCCAGTAACATTGTGGCTCTTGCAGACTCACAGAAGTACCACCTTGGTAGTCTTGGATAACATCTGCAAGAATTATCTGTATTACCAGGCAGAGACTCTTATTCTCTTCTCTTAGTTTCCTCTAAACAAATGGAATCTCACTTTCTGTGCCGAGCTACCTGGAGCTGAGGGAGGGGTGACTCAAGCATCCATGTGGCCACTACTCTGGTATGGGCCAGATCTAAAGGATCACTGTGATCACTACCTACCACCTATGTCTACTCAAAGTCCTAAGGCTCTACAGTCTTCAGGTGGCAAAGCCAGCCAGGCTTATGTTGTTTCCTTCAGGGTGGCAAGATTCCCTGGCCTCATATTGTTCCTGATATGCCACCCAGGAAGCAAAGTGTAGAGTCAGAAACCTTAAAAACTTACCTGGTGCTCTGTTCTACTGCAGTTTAACTGGTCTTTAAACCACAAGACAAAGCTCTTCCTAGTCTTCCGTCCCCTTTCCACAGGCAGAGGAGTCTTTCCCTGTGGCCACCACCATCTCGAGCCCATGCACAATATTGCCATGCTACTGTCAATTTTCACTTAAGGCCCAAGGGCTCTTCAGTCAGCTTCTGGTGAATGCTGTCTTGCCTGAGACTCACCTTTCAAGGCAATGAGCTCCCCTCTGGCCCAGGGAAGGTCCAGAAATGCCATCCAAAATCCAAGGCCTGGAATCTGGGACCCCAAAAGCCTGCTTAATGTTATACCCCATTGTGGTGGAGTTGGTACTTAAGATGCAAGACTAAGTCCCCTTTAGTCTTCCCTCCACTTTTCTCAAGCAGAAGTAGTCGCTCCTCAGCCACTACAGCTGGGATTGTGCTAGGTCACACCAGAAAACTGAACATCTCAGAGTCTTGTGCAAGGCACAGGGTAAGTGCTGTCTGGGTACCACTGCTGATTATTCAGGGCCAAAGGACATTTTATTTGGAAATTGATAAATCCTGCCAAGACTGGGTCCTTTCCTTTAAGGCAGTGGGTTCCTTTCTAGTCCAGGGTGTGCTAGAAATGTAGTCTCAGAAATAGGGCCTGCAATGCGGGCCTCACAAGTCGTCCCAGTGCCCTATCCTACTGTGGCTGAGCTAGTACCCAAGTTGCAAGACAAAGTTCTCTTTACTCTTCCATCTCCTCTTGTCAAGCAGAACAAAGGACTCTCATTCAGAGCTGTGACCTGCACTGCATGGGGTTGGAAAAAGGGTGCAGGCACTCCCTTAGCTGCCCTGGCTGGTGTTTCACTAGTTTGCATGCCCCCGGAGTCCACTAGCTTTGAACCCAGCACATCACTAGACTTGCCTAAGAGTTACAGTCATTGTGGCCTAGACTGCCTTTCAAGTTTATTTAGGATCCCAGAGTACTATAGCCTACAATGGCAAGGCTTGCAGAAACTCAAGTTTTATCCACTGAGATGTGCAATTCCCCTCTGGTTAGGGCTCATCTAAATGCTCCCTCCCTGGACGCTGGATGAGTTCTGCCTGATGATACTTTCTGCTGTGACAGGGCAGAACTATGTTCCAGTGCATAGTTCCCACAATTACTGCATTACTGCAGTCCCCCACCACCAAATGCAGATTCTCTACACCACATGGCCACTGCTGGAGGGCGGGGGAGGAGTGGTGTTGGCCACTCAAGACTGTCTTTCATCACTCTTCAATGCCTCTTTCATCAATATAAAATTAAAATCAGTTACTATAATTGCTCACCTGATTTTTTATTCTTTTGAAGGTGATTTTTTTTTCTGTACATAGTTGTTAAATTTGATGTTGCAGTGGGGAGTACAATCAGCGAAGGCTTCTATTTGGCCGTATTACACCACCTCCTCTCTTAGTAAAGGAAAAATTTAAAAATGAAAACTTTTTTTTTATTTAATTTAAATTTTTCAAAAAATGTTTAATTTTTTGTACTCAATTTTATTTTTTGCCTTTTATCTAAATTTGAATTATTATTTCTGCCTTTATTGTCACACTTAACATACCAAAATTAAATTTCTCATTTAAATAGAAGTACTTTTATGGTTGTATACTTTATATTTAAATTTTTCATGCTAGCTTTTTAAGTTTTAATTTTGGTACAAGTCATGAGTTGGGAATCAATTCTGTTCCAAAGGATCAGGCAGTTGTTTGAACACCATTCATTGTCATTTAATTTTAGTCATACATTAAATTAATAGATGTATTTGTCTATTTCTGCTCTGTCTAGCTTTAATAATATGTTGCTTACTTCTCCAATAAGAAGACTTTAATTATGGCAGCTTTAAGCAATTATTTCAATATTTGGTAAAGAAAGTCTTCTTTTATTATTCCTCTTTTCAAATTTAATTTTAACTTGTGAAGAGTGTTTTCCGGACAAATTTTTCACATAGATTTTTTTAATAAGAAAAATAATTCTACTAGAGTTTCTGACTGTCATAAAATATATAAGTTAATCTAGAATTCTATATTTATTAATTTAATCACCATCTTCTTCATGTCCTCCATTGATTTTCTGTCAACATTCTCATGATGGTATAATATGTCTCTTTTAATATTTATTTTAGTTGCTTATATTTCTGTCACTAATTCAATAGGGTATTTTGTCTTGAAAATATTTTCTACCTGGCTAATATTGGTATACAAGAAGGCTCTTATTCTTTCAAATGTCTCATAATTGTTCGTGTTCTAAATTCTTTTATTAATTCAAATAATTGTTCCATTGATTTTTTGAGAGGTGTACATTTATAATATTTACAATTATGTTTTGTTTAAATGTTCACTATTTATAACACGTTTTAAAATTTTAACTTAATTATATTGGAAAGTATGGAGAATCATAACAAAATTTCCCTGTGCTGACTTTGACATGACTTTTTCCAGTAACTTGCCTTTAAACATCATCGTTGTTATTAGTTTAGGATAGACTACTTAAATGTTGCTACACTTTATTTTGAGTGGATATTTGCGGGTTTTGTTTTTTTTTTTAAATCAAAAGTGAATTTTAGGCCAGGCACGTTGGCTCATGCCTGTAATCTCAGCATTTTGGGAGACTGGCAGGAGGATTACTTGAGCCTAGGAGTTCGAAACCAGCCTGGACAAGATAGCAAGACCTCTTTTGTACCAAAAATAAACATAATACTAAAACAATAGCTGGTGCCAAACACCTGTAATCCCAGTTCCTTCCGAGGTTACTGTGGGAAGATAGCTTGAGCCAAGGAGGTAAATGCTGCAGTGAGTCATGATCCTGCCACTGCACTCCAGCCTGGGAGATCCTGTTTCAAAAAAAGAAGTGAATTTTAAATAACAGATGCAGGAATATAAAATCTACAGTCATGCAGCCTGTGTTCTAGCAATGTTGCTACTCACAGAAAACATTAAGAAAATTATTCAATTAATTGTAACTTTGAATTTCTCATTTGAAAAGTGTCAATGATAATGTTTCTATTATCTTTCTACTCAGAAAATTAGGTAAGGTAATTCTTGTGAAATTATTACTTGACAATGCTGGGCAATGTTAAGTGCTAAATAAATATTAGTATTATTATTTACCATGATTATCTCCTTGTTTTCCCCTGAAAATGTTTAATTTAATGAGTAGATATCAAATACATTTCTCGAAAATTGAAAAAGTGTCTGGCCTGTAGTAAACAATAACTTCTAGCATCACTATTGATGATATTAAATTATGGCTTTATCTAAATTAACAAACACTGCAAGGATGTTACTTTTTTTCCTAAATATGTGGATTTTTTTAGTTATATTTTGGTCATTTTTTTCTAGCTTAATTCTACTTTTGTCAAAGAATATCTCTTCAACTTTTCACGCCTTTGATATTTGTTTGTACATGCTCTTTGTCATACAATATAGTAAGTTTTGGTAAATGTTCTCTGTGATCTGAAAAAGGAAGTGTATTTTGAAGTTCTTGAGTTCAGTGTTCTGTATTTGTCAATTAAACCATGTATATTTCTATATATTTATTGATGTTTTTGTGCATTTGTTCTCAGATAATGAGAGGTGTGTTAAAATTCCCACTATGATTCAGATGTATTTCTTTTTAGTGCTGTGAGTTTTTACTTTATTTGATATTTTTAAGTGAGTTACTGGAGCACGCCATTTTAGAATCACTATTTCTTTCTGGTTAATTGACCATTGTATCTTTGAACTATTCCTCTATCATGAACGTGTATATTTTTGTGCTCAATTCTTCATTGTTAGACATTTATTTAGCTAAACTATCTTTCTTTTACTGTTTAGATACTAGGTTTAGATTATAAATGTGTATGAAGTTGCTTTTATCTTAGTCATTGTTTTGAGATTGTAACATGAATCCTTGCCTTAATACAGTCTAATATAAATTGATTTTTACAATGTTTAAAACACTTTAATTTCTTTTTCTCCTTTTCCTGATACATGAGCTAGTGTTGTAATATGTTTTAATTTTATTTATATAAACCAACAATATTCATTTTTGGTTTTTAAATATATTTTATGTTTTTTCCATTTGAATCTTTTTTATTTTTATTTTAGTTTAGATTCAGGGAGTACATGCATAGGTATCTCACATAGGTATACCTCATAATTCTGAGGTTTGGGTTATGGATGGTTCCATCACCCAGGTACTGAGCATAGAACCCAATAGGTAGTTTTTCAGCACAAGATCCTCTCCCTACCATTCTCCTCTAGCAGTCCTCAGTGTCTATTATTCTCCTATTTGTGTCCATGTATATTCAATGTTTATTTCCTATTTATAAGTGAGAACATGCAGTATTTGGTTTTCTGTTTCTGTGTTAATTTGCATATGATAATGGCCTGCAGCTGAATCCATGTTGCTAATAAGGACAAGATTTTACTCTTTTTCATGGTCGTGTAGTCTTCCATGTATATGTACCACATTTTATTTATCTTATCCACTGATGATGTTAATATGGTTTGGATCTCTGTCCCTGTCCAAATCTCATGTCAAACTGTAATCCCCAGTGTTGGAAGTGGGGCCTGGTGGCAGGTGATTGTATCATGGGGATGGAGTTCTCATGAATGGTTTAGAACCAACCCTTTGGTGCTGTTTTCCTGATAGCATTCTCATGAAATCTGGTTGTTTAAAAATATGTGGTGTCCCCCGACCCCATCTCACTCCCTTTCTTCTGCTCAGGCTATGTAAGACATGCCTGCTTTCCATTACCCTTCTACCATGAGTGAAAGTTTCCTGAGGCCTTTCCAGAAGCCGTCATGCTTCCCGTACAACCCACAGAACTATGAGCCAGTTAAAACTCTTTTCTTTATAAAGTAACCAGACTCAGGTATTACTTTATAGCAGTACAAGAGAAAACTAATACAAATGGGCACCTAGATTGATTCCATGTCTTTACTATTGTGAATAGCACTGAGATGAACACAAAAGTACATGTGTCTTTTTAGTAGAACAATTTATTTTCCTTTGAGTGTATACCCAGTAATGGGATTGCTATGTCAAATGGTAGCTCTGTTTTAAATTTTTTTTAAATTCTCCAAACTGCTCCCCACAGTGCCTGAATTAATTTGTATTCCCACCAACAGTGTATAAGCATTTCCTTTTCTCCACAGCCTTGCCAGCATCTGTTATTTTTTGACTTTTTACTAATTTCCATTCTGACTAGTATATAATTATTGTTTTGATTTGCATTTCTCTGATCAGTGATGTTGAGCATTTTTTCATATGTTTGTTGGCTGCTTGCATGTATCTTTTGAGAAGTATCTGTTCAAGTCTTTTGCCCATTTCTTAATTGTGTTATTTGATTTTTCCTTGTTGATGTTTAATTTCCTTGTAGATTCTGGATATTAGATCATTTTCAGATGTATAGTTTGTAAATATTTTCTCCCAATCTGTAGCCTGTTTGTTTACTCTGTTGATACTTTATTTTACTATGCAAAAGCTCTTTAGTTTAATGAGGTATCACTTGTTAATTTTTGTTTATGTTGCAATTGCTTTAGAGAGCTTAGCCATAAATTCTTTCCCAAAACCAATATCGAGAAGGGTATTTACTAGATTTTCTTCCAGGATTTTTACAGTTTGAGGTCTTGCACTTAAATATTTTATCCATATTGAGTTAATTTTTGTATATGGTGAAAGGTAGAGAACCAGTTACATTCTTCTGCATATGGCTAGCCACCTATCCTAGCACCATTTATTTAATAGGGAGTCCTTTTCCCATTGCTATTTTCATTGACTTTGTCAAAGATCAGATGGTTGGAGGTGTGTGGCTTTATTTCTGGATTCTCTATTCTGTTTCATTGGTCTACATATCTGTTTTTGTATGAATGCCATACTGTTTTGGTTGCTGTAGCCTTATAGTATAGTTTGAAGTGAGTAATGTGATCCTTGCAGCTTTATTCCCTTTGCTTAGGATTGCTTTGGATGTTTGGGTTTATTTTGGGTTCCATGTGAATTTTAGAATAGTTTTTTTTTTTCTAATTCAGTGAAAAAAAGAGGCATTTTGATAACAATAGCACTGAATCTGTACATTTTATTGGGCAGTTTGGCATTTTAGTGTTATTGTTTCTTTTAATCCATGAACATGGAATAGTTTTTCCATTTATTTTTGTCATCTCTAATTTCTTTCAGATGTGTTTTGTAGTTCTCCTTGTAAAGACGTTTTACCTCCTTGTTTCTGTGTATTTCTAGGTATTTCATTTTTGGTGGCTATTGCAAATGGGATTGTGTTCGTGATTTGGCTCTCAGCTAGAATGTTATTAGGGTAGAGAAACACTACTGATGTTTTTACACTGATATTATATTCTGAAACTTCACTGAAATTGTTATGCAGGAGACTGTTAGAGTCTTTAGCTTTTTCTATGTATAGGATCATGTCATCAGCAAAGATAGTTTTACTCCTTTTCCTATTTAAAATCATTTTATTTCTGTCTTTTGCCTGATTGCTCTGGCTAAGACTTCCAGAATTATGTTGAATAGGAGTGGCGAGAGTGGTCTTGTTCTGGTTCCCAAGAGGAATAGTTTTAGCTTTTGCCCATTCAGTATGATGTTGGCTGTGGGTTTCTCATAGATGGCTCTTACTATTTTGAGGTACGTTCTTTCAATGCCTAGCCTGTTGGGGGATTTATCCTGAAAGGATGTTGAGTTTTATCAAAGGCTTTTCTTTGCATCTATTGAGATAATAATGTAATTTTTGTTTTTGATTCTGTTTATGCAGAATCACATTTATTGATTTGTATATGTTGAACCAATCTTGTGTCCCAGGAATAAAGCCCACTTGATCATGCTGAAGTAACTTTTTGGTGTGCTGCTGTAGTTGATTTGCCAGGATTTTGTTAAGGTTTTTACACCTATGTTCATTAGGAATATTGGCTTGAAGTTATCTTGTCTCTGCCAGATTTTGGTATCAGGATGATGCTGGCTTTGTAAAATGAGTTAGGGAGGAGTCCTACCTCCTTATTTTTTGAAATATTTTCAGACGGATTGCTGTCAGTATTTTGCACTTCTGGTAGAATTTGGCTGTGAATCCATCTGGTCCATATGTTGTTGTTGTCGTTGCTGTTGTTGTGAGATTGTTTTATTACTGATTCAGATTGTGGGACTTGTAATTAGTCTGTTCAGGTTCTCACTTTCTTTCTGGTTCAATATTGTGAGGTTGTGTGTTTCCATAACAGGCTCTGAAGATATTTTGTATTTTTTGGGATTGTTTGTAATGCCATCTTTGTCATTTCTAATTGTGTTTGTTTTAATCTTTTTTCTTCTTTGTTAATCCAGTTAGCATTCTATCAATCATGTTTATTCTTTTGAAGAACTGACTCTTGGTTTCATTGAGCTTAAAATGGACTTTTGCATCTCAATTACATTAAGATCTTCTCTGATTTAGTTATTTATTTCTTTTGCTATCTTTGGAGTTTTTTTTTTTCTTGTTCCTCTAAGTGTGACATTACATTGTTAATTTGAGATCTTTCTAACTGCTTGATGGAGACATTTAGCACTGTAAACTTTCCTCTTAACACTGCTTTAGTTGCAACCCAATTAGTTTGGTAAGTTGAGTCTCTGTTTTCATTAATTTCAAATAGTTTTTTATTGCCACCTTAATTTTGTTGTTCACCCAAGAGTTATTTAGGAGCAAGTTTCTAATTATCATGTTTTTGCATAGTTTTGAGAGTTGTTCTTTTTAATAATTTCTATTTTTACTGCACTGTGGTCCAAGAATGTTGTTGGTATAATTTCTACATTTTTGAATTTATTGAGACTGGCTTTATGACTGAGCATGTGGTCAATCTTAGAATATGTTTCATATATGGATGAGAAGAATGCTGTATTGTTGGGTAGAGTATTCCGTAGACGTCTCTGATGTCCAATTGGTCAAATGTTGAGTTTAAGTTCTGAATTTCTTTGTTATTTTTCTTCCTCAATTTTTTTTGTGTCTAATTCTATCGGTAGGGTATTGAATTCCCCTGCTATTATTGTATGACTGTGTATGTGTTTTCATAGGTTAAGAAAAACTTGTTTTATGATTCTGGGTGCTCCTATGTTGGATGCATACATATTTATGATAGTTAAGTCATCTTGTTGAATTGAACCCTTTATTATTGTTTAACGCCCTTCTTTGGTCTTCCTGATCGTTGTTGGTTTATAGCCTGTTTTATCTGGTATGAGAATGATGACTCCTGCTCTTTTATGTTTTTCCCTCTTTTTTGTTTCTCCATCCATTTACTTTAAGCCTGTGAGTGATGTTACATGTGACATGGGTTTCTTGAAGACAGCAGACAGTTGGGTCATGTTTTTTATTCAGCTTGCCACTCTGTGCCTTTTAAGCTGGTGTTTAGACCACTTACATTCAACATTAGTATTGATATGCAAGATTTTGATCCAGTCATTGTGTTGTAAGCTGGTTGTTTTGTAAACTTGATCATATAATTGTCTTATATTGTCTGTGTGCTATGTGCTTCTGTGTTTTTTTGTGGTAGCAGGTATCAATCTTTCATTTCTATGTTTAGCATTCCCTTAAAGACCCTTTTTAAGGCTGGTATAGTGGTAACAAATTTCCTTAGTGTTTGCTTTTTTGATAATGTTTTAATTTATCCTTCCTTTATGAAGATTCATTTAGAAGAATATAAAATTCATGGTTGAAATTTTCTTTGAAGATGCTGAAAATAGGCCCCTAATCTCTTCTGGATTGTAAAGTTTCTGCTGAGATCTGCTGCTAACCTAATAGGGTTCCTTTTGTAAGTGACCTGAACTTTCTTTCTAGCTGCTTTTAAGACTTTTTGTGAGTGTTGACATTGGTGAATCTGATGACTGTGTGTTTTGGAGACATTTGCCTTCATAGTATCTCACAGGGGTTCTCTGTATTTCTTGAATTTGTATGTCTACTTCTCTAGCCATATTGGGAAAATTTTTATGGGCTGTATCCTCAACTATGTTTTCCAAGTTTCTTACTCTCTCTCCCTCTCTCCTTCTCTCTCAGGAATGCCAGTGAGTCATAGATTTGTGTCTTTATATAATCCTATATTCTTAGAGGTTTATTCATTTTTTAAAATTCTTTTTTAAAAATTTTTGTCTGAGTTAATTTCAAGAACTAGTCTTCAAGTCTGAGAATATTTTCTCATCATGGTCTATTTTTCTGTTAATGCTTATGACTATATTATGAAATCTTTGTAATAGTGAATTCTTCAATTCTAGAAGTTCAGTTTGGTTCTTTTTTTAATATGGCTGTTTTGTCTTTCAACTTTTGGATCTTTCTTACTGGGTTCCTTGTTTTCCTTGGATTGGGTTTCAACTTCCTCCAGGTTCTTGATGAGCTTTTTGACGTCCAGATTCTGAATTCTACATCTGTCATTTCAGTCATTTCAATCTATTTAAGAACCATTGCTGGGTTCTAGTGTGTTTGAAGGTAAAAAAACACACTGGCTTTTTAAATTGCCAGAATTCTTTCACTTATTATTTCTCATCTGAGAGGGCTAGTGTTTCTTTAACTGTGATGTAGGTTGAGTGTAGTCAATTGGCTTCATTTCTGGATGCTTTCAAAAGGTCAAGGATCTATAAAGGATCTCAATTTGTGGCTGAAGATTTCCTTAGGTTTTACAGGCACCTGTGTACTGGCAGAATATTTTTGGCATTGTAATTTGGACCGTGATACAGTAGGTGGTGCTTAAGAATGACAGCTGACAGATAGGCTCTTATTCAGCCACATGGCTCTTATTCAGCCACATGGCTCTTCTGCATTTCAACATGTTCACTTATGCTGTGTGATCAGGAAGAAAATGGATGACTGTCCCTCACCAGGTCTACTCTTAAGCTTTAAATTAGCCACCACTGATCACTGATAGCACATCCACATTTTCTTTTGTATTAGTTTGTTCTCACACTGCTAATAAAGACATACCCAAGATTGGGTAATTTATAAAGGAAAGAAGTTTAATTGACTCACAGTTGAGCATGGCTGTGGAGGCCTCAGGAAATTTACAGTCATGGCAGAAGGGGAAGCAAACAAGTCCTTCTTCACGTGGCAGCATCAAGGAGAAGTGCAGAGCAAAGGTGGGGAAATCCCCTCATATAACCACCAAATCTTGTGAGAACTCACTATCATGACAGCAGCATGGAGGTAACAGCCCCCATGATTCAATTACCTCCCACCGGGTACCTCCCACAACATGTGGGTATTGTGGAAACTACAATTCAAGATGAGATTTGAGTGAGGACACAGCCAAACCATATCACTTTTTAATGTGTTCCAGGCCTCCAGGCTGTGGGACTCCCTCAGACAGTGGCCATGGATGGCTGACAGGACGCATTCTTCCCAGTCTGGCCCTGTGAAGGTAGGCATGCCCCATTCCTCCACCAGCCCAAGAACATGGGTATCTCAACCCTCTCAGTGTTCTGAGAATGGGGGCTACTCTTCTGCTCAGGGACTTCCCATGTTGGTAAGTCTTGCCTGATTAGGAGCAGTAGGGGTGGGAGGCCACACATCTCTGGATGTTTTCTAGGGGAACACAGCTGTGCCCACCTACAGATTTCAAGCGGGGGCAGGGTCACTGTGCTGGAAGCCCAAGCTCAACAGTCTAGCCTGGCTAGCTCATTGTTGTTTGGAACAGTCAATATTTGTTTGTATTTACAAACATTTCTAGCCATTTTATTCACTTTTATTCATTCTTTGGATGATTTTCTTTCTGCCTAAACACATTTAACATTTCCTTTACTGAATGACTTTACCGCCAATCCAATGGCAGCTATTGGTTTTGTTTTTTGTTTGTTTGAAAATATCTTCATGCTCTTTTAAAACATCAATTTCTGGGTATTGAATTTTAAGATTGCAAGGTTTTTATCAGAAATTTTAAGATTTCATTTCATTGCCTTCTGGCTTCTGTTGATTCTGTTGAGCATTTGTCATATTATTACTTCAGTGAATGCAATGTGTCCTCTCTGGATTTTTTTTTTAAGATATTGACTTTGGTTTTCAGCAGTTTTACTATAATATGACTGACTGTGGGTTTGCTTGTTTGTTTTTGCATTCATTCTGTTTGAGATTTGTAACTTTCTTATCTCTTATATTGATATCTTTCAATAGTTTTATAAGGTTTTCAGCCATATATCTGCCAATATTGCCTATTTTAATCTTCTTCCTCTCTGATATTTCAATTATATGTATATTAGAACTTGTCATTGTATCGCATTTGTGTCTAATGCCTTTTTTCTGTTGTCCATCTATTTGTCTCTTCACATTTCAGTCTGTCTATTTTTCCTGACTTGTCTTCCAGTTCACTAATTTTCTCTTCAGTTATCTAACCTTCTAAAAGCATCTACTGAATTATTTCAGTTATTTTATCTTCAGTTCTATAATTTTTATTTTATTGTCAATTATACGTTTTATGTCTCCTTAAAAAAAGTTCCATCTTGTTATATAATTACTTGAATGTAGTAAACATAGATATTTTTAAGTGTGTGTCTAATAAATTCTATCTGTGCATCTCCCATGGATCTATTTCTCTTTCTCATTTTATTTTATTGATAGTTCCATGAAATAGTGTCTTCCCATATACTAGTTTATATGTGATTGTTATGTATTGCATATAAATTTGTAGTAAAATAATTTTGTAAATTATATTACATTTCTCATAAGATTTACATATTTTTTTCTATTTGATTGCTATATTGTGGGCATATATGCCTTTTTTTAATGCAGTTGCTTGTCATCATCCTCTGTAGCACATGACAACATACCTCTAGGAACCAAAATATCTAATGCCCAGAAGTCAGTAAGGGGTTAATTGGACAATGAATGCATTCACCTTCAGGTATTACATACGTTTTATAGTTCAGAAATGAGTGTTACAGAAATGGAAATAGACTATTTTTCTTTGTAAATATTATCACTTTTTACATCTTTATCTTGTACTCATTGACTCAGATGTCTACCTCTACCTTATTCATTCACTTCTTCCACTGACCCAGGGAGGAGAGAAGATCCTGGATTCACAGAACCTAAAAAAGAGAAGGAGAATATAAATAAAAAACTATAATAAATTAAAACATGCTCTGATAAGTGATGTTAAGAATGTTGTGGACTCTCTGCAAGATATTATTTGTGTCATGTGACAGAATTTATTAAATCAATTAAGTCCTAGATGGTGACATATAAATAACTTTGCCATTATTTGCGTGCTTAGAAGTATCCTCTGAACACAAAAGGGAAAACTGGGCAAAATAAGTGATCTAATATAATGTTTATCAAAATGCAGGATGCGTGGTTCCATAGTGTTATAATTAAATAATATTAAATCACAGACTGAAAGAGTTATTGCCTTTAATTTTTTTCAATACTGATCTCAAGAGAAAGTCCGAGGTATTGTTTTACTTGTTAATCTCTTCTCTTAAAGAAAGTGCAGATTCCCAGCTCTGAGCATTTGGCAGGCAACAGTATCTATCTAGAATTTAATAACATTGTCCGTGTCTGTTGTTTTTTATTGCATTTGTTTGTATTGTTATATTTTATTTATTACAAGTGGTACAAGTTTTCTTTCTGTGTTAGTGATTTTTTTTTTACTTTTAAAGATAGTATGTTAGTTAAAAAGTGAATCAATACAAAATGTAAACTATTAGATTGAAGCATATGAAATTCTCAATATTTACCCATTTTTGAACTACAAAAATGACAATATTACATGATGCAAACTAATTGTAATAATATAGGTGGGGTGTGATAAGGGAACTTTTGTGATGATGTAGAAGAATGGCTGAAATCTGGGAATACTTATAATATAATGGGTAGCTTTTACAGGCACTCCTATGGGTAACACTGACTAAAAGAGCTTTTTCTTTTGTCCTCTCCTTATGTGTGCAAATCCTTTTATTTTAACAAGAAGAGTGAGAACTGACTTTGATTTCAGCCTTCAAGCCAGCAATGACCCATATACTGTCATTCTCTAATCTGGTATATTAATTCACCAGATATTGAAAAGAACTAGCAAAATGAGAGGTTGAACACTATGCCATGGGCCATGAGCCCAAATATGACTTCAACATCTAATTGGCTTGTATATCTAAAAGTTTGAGATTATTTAGAGAAAGCTACTTTATAATACAAAAAAGGCATAATAGTCTAATTAAAACCACAATGTGAACTGAGCAAAGACCAGCGGGGGAAAGAGAGTGGGGGGAGTTGTTAGCGAAGTTGATCCTCATCAATTACCAAGCTTCTACAGACAAAAGCCCTATTTCTATTATAATTCAGCTGTTTGGTCTTATTGCTAGATGAGTTATATCAAGAAGTTGTAGAAGGAAATTGCTCACAACCAAAGGGCTTGTACAGAATACAAATGAAAAAAATTCAGAGCTATCAATATATAATCTCTGAAAGTGAGATTTCAAAGCTAAAAATCAGAAAGTTATGAAATGAAAAAGCAAATTATAAATGCATTCCAAGAATGTGAGAAAATGAAAATGGAAGAGAACTTGAGGGAAAGCTTCTTAAGAGGGGAAAAAAATTAATTCCTCTATCACTAGTTTATCTTTTCTTGGTTAGAGAATTCACCCAGCCCTTTCCCGTGGCCGTGAAAATTGATGCAGTGCTACATATACATTTAAAATGTAAAATGAAGGAAGAAAATAAATAAGTGAGGCCACAATTTCCAAACCAAGAGAAAGAGAAAATGGAACATCATAAAACTATAGAAGCAAAGAGGAAAATCAATAAAATTCAATGCAGCACATCTTCCCGCTCACTTCTGAGCATGCAAGGTCTGCTCATCTGGAATGCACCAGGTGTACGGTATGTGCTATAAATCTTTCAAGTCTTCAGAAATATGATCTACCATTAGAAGCACTAAAAAATACCAGTTGGCTTCACTAATTGTGGTTTTTGCTTTCATCCAGACTTGGGTATTGAGCAGCATCCTGGGTACTTTGTGTCCATGTTAGTCAGAGAGGAGGTAGAGAGATACTAAGGATGGTGTTCTTACCATAAATTGCTGGCTCTCACTCTCTCAATCCGAAGTCAGAGAATATGAGAATGGAGAGTCTCTTTTACTCCTCCTCCATGTGCAGCAATCTCATTCCTATATCAGGATATTAAGATCTCACCACTTCATTCTATCCCTGTGATTGACTGTTTTAATGATTTCAAAATTGGCTTCCCGTGAAAATAATCTGAGAAGTCTTTATTCATGCAAATTTTTGAGCCTCACCTTCATCGCCTTCCCCCAAAAGTGATACTGCCTTGGAATTTCCATAAATCTTCATTTATTAAAAATTCAGTATTCTGATATAGCCAGTCATAGAAACACATTTGCGTATCGTTGTGGAAAATTCTTCATTCCTCCCTTTAATCCTTATAATGAGCAAGATTTATACCATCCTGCTCTACCTTTGAAGAAGAGAATCTCTATAAAATCCTTCCCTGTCCTCCCAAAGTTGTGAAAATATCCCCACCTTAATTAATCTTACCTCCTCCACATATGTTCTTCAAGTATCTCATCTATTTTCTTTTAGTCTCTTATTAAATTCTGGTGTCTTATGTCCATTAAGTTCCAACATAAATGCTGCACGACGTAAAATGATTCTGAAGGCTGGCTAGCCTTTACTGGCATCACATTTCTCCCAGCTTGAATTTATTTCTCGAAAGCTGGAAACATATTTTTACTATTGAGCCTCATAGTCTGACAAAAAAAAAAAGACGTAAAAAAAAAAATCTTAGCCATTGAGCATTATGAAAAAAGCAAACTGCACTATTCCACATTTCCCAAGTGGCTCATTAAAAGCACTTCCTCATGTTACTTAAAGCATTACAGAGAATTCCAATAAAGTTCCAGTGTTTGGATCAACATTCTAGCAGAGTTCACTGCACGGCTCCTGGTGGCTGGGATCTTGCCTAAGAAAGACTATTTAGTGGTGTGCTTTATTGTATGGCCTAGAATGAGGGTGCTAAGTCTTGCCCAGTTGTTATTTCATGGCTTCTTACCACTACACCCTATCTTATGGATATATTTTGATGGATTCAGGATGTCAGGCCATAGTTTTACTACATGCCACAATATTTGAATTTCTTGGCTAGATAGAAAGTGGCACAAACAAGTCAGGTGGCCTAGACACACCTCTCCTAGTAGTAAATTATGTGATAATATAGGCTATCTATCTCTCAGGTCTTCAATATATTTAGCTATCAATAGATGGCATGGGTCAAGACAAATAGCCTTCAAGCTTTTTTTCAGGCATATCAAACAATATAACAAACTCTTCTAAAATAGAACATTAACAAAACCAGTAGCAAACTCTTTAATATTAAAAATCCTTTCTCCCCCAACAGAATGGTAGCACAGGTAAACATAACCTATCCTGAATTACTGTATATCATTCTCTTGTTCATCTTTAGAATTTTAAAGTGTTTGTAGCCTTAAACATAGATATTCTTAGTTTTTATGTATGGTTCATATTCAGTCTCATAAAATATATTCTTCAGTGACTCGTTTGTGTTCATTATTATTCTCTTATATATACACCAAAATATATATGTTATTTCTTATGTTGTGAGATATTTGTGTTAGAACCAGCTACTTCTATTAAAATTTTATATACCTATCTTAGTGGCCATGTGTGTGAACTTTTAAAAAGTATAAAGAAATAATGTTGGATCTTAGGATATACTCATCTTCAACTTTACCAGGCCATTTCAAATCACTTTTAAAATTAGCCATATCAATCCATACTCCAAATAGCTCTGTATGAAAATTCCTGTTGTTCCAAGTATTATCAATACTTATTATTCCTGTTTTTTTTTTAATTTTTATCTTGCTTTCACTAGCAGCAACAATTAGACAGAGTTTGATGGCAAAAGAAGACTCACAAAATCCAAAGTCACAATGCTTACAAATTTATGTTTTATTGTAGAATAGTAATAACAAAATAATAACAAAGTAAGGATATGTATCAATGACAAAGACTGCCTCATGGCAAGAGGTGAGAAATGATAAGCATGAGTTCCAGTTGTCTTCTCTTGTAAAGGCCACACTGAATACATCCTTTTTTTCTTAAGGTCAACTAACATGTGCACAGCACACCTCAGAAACAGAAAGTGCAATACAGAGTTTTATCCCAGTGTTTTACCGTCTTGATTACATAAGCACATTTTTTTTTCTACATAACCAGTCTCAAAGGCACATCTTTCTTGGAGGGTCTCATCAAAACCAAATGAAAATAATCAATGCTCTTGTTGTTAATAAACAAATAGTGACAAGCTGATACAAATAAGCCCAAACTCTTCAAACTCATAATTATAAAACACCACTATTAATCAGTATGTTTTCTTCCTTGTCTGGGAATCAGCTCAGGACAATTCCAGGCCTTTATACATCACTATTCTAGTAATGTGCTATTAATAACTAGTAGACACATTCATACATTTATTGGCTGGTTGAAATTTCTCTTCTATGAAATTCCTGTTCATACCTTTTGATCTTTTTTTTTCTCTTCAGTTTTTTTTATTTTTAGTGTTAATTTTTAGGAGTCATTTACATATTTTGGATACTAATTCTTTACTAAAATCTGCTCTTTCCTCTTCAAATTCAATTTGTCATTTATTCATAACCTCATTTCATCATTCATAGTTTTACCTGTCTTTTGTACTTTTGCTCTATGTGTCTGTATTGTATTTCAAATGTTTACTTGAACTCATTTTCTTATTAATTCTTTTTAAAGATATGTTTAATTAATTGTTTAACTGAACTAGTTAACTATTGCTATGTAAAACATTACAAAATCCAATAGCTTAAATCAATGATGATTTACTGTCATCCACAAGTCTATGGTATATCTGGAGATTTGTTGATGTTGGTCGGGCTCAACTAGAAAGTGCTGATCTGAGGTATCATGCGGATAAGTTGGGGGTTGGTAAGTCTAGTCTTGGCAGCTCAATTGAGGTGACTCTGCTCCATGGGGTTCTCCTGACATGCTTTTCTCATGATGATGGCAGAAACATAAGAGAGCCAATGAAAACATGCAAAAGAAACCTCTGAAGGCCTGAGTTCAAAAGTGGCACTCATTACATCTACTTCACTATATTGGCCATAGTAATCACTATGGCTGAAATCAAAGTTAAGATACAGGGGAGTATACTACAGTTTGACTGGAGGCTCTACTAAGTCTTTTTTTTTTTTTATCATACTTTAAGTTTTAGGGTATTATACTTTAAGTTTTTATTATGCTTCAAGTTTAGGGTACACAACGTGCAGGTTAGTTACATATGTATACATGTGCCATGTTGGTGTGCTGCACCCATTAACTCGTCATTTAACATCAGGTATATCTTCTAATGCTGTCTCTCCTCCCTCCCCCCTCCCCACAACAGGCCCCGGTGTGTGATGTTCCCCGTCCTGTGTCCATGTGTTCTCATTGTTCAATTCCCACCTATGAGTGAGAACATGCGGTGTTTGGTTTTTTGTCCTTGCGACAGTTTGCTGAGAATGATGGTTTCCAGCTTCATCCATGTCCCTACAAAGGACATGAACTCATCACTTTTTATGGCTGCATGGTATTCCATGGTGTATATATGCCACATTTTCTTAATCCAGTCTATCATTGTTGGACATTTGGGTTGGTTCCAAGTCTTTGCTATTGTGAATAGTGCCGCAATAAACATACTTGTGCATGTGTCTTTATAGCAGCATGATTTATAATCCTTTGGGTATATACCCAGTAATGGGATTGCTGGGTCAAATGGTATTTCTAGTTCTAGATCCCTGAGGAATCACCACACTGACTTCCGCAATGATTGAACTGGTTTACAGTCCCACCAATAGTGTAAAAGTGTTCCTATTTCTCCACAGCCTCTCCAGCACCTGTTGCTTCCTGACTTTTTAATGATTGCCATCCTAACTGGTGTGAGATGGTATCTCATTGTGGTTTGATTTGCATTTCTCTGATGGCCAGTGATGATGAGCATTTTTTCATGTGTCTTTTGGCTGCATAAATGTCTTCCTTTGAGAAGTGTCTGTTCATATCCTTTGCCCACTTTTTGATGGGGTTGTTTGTTTTTTTCTTGTAAATTTGTTTGAGTTCATTGTAGATTCTGGATATTAGCCCTTTGTCAGATGAGTAGGTTGCAAAAATTTTCTCCCGTTCTGTAGGTTGCCTGTTCACTCTGATGGTAGTTTCTTTTGCTGTGCAGAAGCTCTTGAGTTTAATTAGATCCCATTTGTCAATTTTGGCTTTTGATGCCATTGCTTTTGGTGTTTTAGACATGAAGTCCTTGCCCATGTCTATGTCCTGAATGTTATTACCTATGTTTTCTTCTAGGGTTTTTATGGTTTTAGGTCTAACATGTAAGTCTTTAATCCATCTTGAATTAATTTTTGTATAAAGTGTAAGGAAGGGATCCAGTTTCAGCTTTCTACATATTGCTAGCCAGTTTTCCCAGCACCATTTATTAAATTGGGAATTGTTTCCCCATTTTTTGTTTTTGTCAGGTTTTTCAAAGATCAGACGGTTGTAGATATGCGGCATTATTTCTGAGGGCTCTGTTCTGTTCCATTGGTCTGTATCTCTGTTTTGGTACCAGTACCATGCTATTTTGGTTACTGTAGCCTTGTAGTGTAGTTTGAAGTCAGGTAGCGTGATGCCTCCAGCTTTGTTCTTTTGGCTTAGGATTGACTTGGCAATGCAGGCTCTTTTTTGGTTCCATATGAACTTTGAAGTAGTTTTTTCCAATTCTGTGAAGAAAGTCATTGGTAGCTTGATGGGGATGGCATTGAATCTATAAATTACCTTGGGCAGTATGGCCATTTTCACAATATTGATTCTTTCTACCCATGAGCATGGAATGTTCTTCCATTTGTTTGTATCCTCTTTTATTTCATTGAACAGTGGTTTGTAGTTCTCCTTGAAGAGGTCCTTCACATCCCTTGTAAGTTGGATTCCTAGGTATTTTATTCTCGTTGAAGCAATTGTGAATGGGAGTTCACTCATGATTTGGCTCTCTGTTTGTCTGTTATTGGTGTATAAGAATGCTTGAGATTTTTGTACATTGATTTTGTATCCTGAGACTTTGCTGAAGTTGCCTATCAGCTTAAGGAGATTTTGGGCTGAGACCATGGGGTTTTCTAGATATACAATCATGTCGTCTGCAAACAGAGACAATTTGACTTTGTCTTTTCCTAATTGAATACCCTTTATTTCCTTCTCCTGCCTGATTGCCCTGGCCAGAACTTCCAACACTACGTTGAGTAGGAGTGGTGAGAGAGGGCATCCCTGTCTTGTGCCAGTTTTCAAAGGGAATGCTTCCAGTTTTTGCCCGTTCAGTGTGCTATTGGCTGTGGGTTTGTCATAGATAGCTCTCATTATTTTGAGATATGTCCCATCAATACCTAATTTATTGAGAGTTTTTAGCATGAAGTGTTGTTGAATTTTGTCAAAGACTTTTTCTGCATCTATTGAGATAATCATATGGTTTTTGTCTTTGGTTCTGTTTATATACTGGATTATGTTTATTGATTTGCGTATGTTGAACCGGCCTTGTCTTATTACAAATGATGTTGATCCGAGGAAGACTGGAGAAGGTGACTGTCAATTCAATCTACCATATTCATACAGAGTTGTGATGATATTTGAAGTATCAATTTGGCTGGGCAAATATGGTGCCCAGATATTTGGTCACGCATTATTTTGCATATTCTGTGAGGGTGTTTTTCAATGATAGTAACATTTAAGTCAGTGAATTTTGAGTAAAGCACATTGCCTACCACAATGAAGATGAGTTTCATCCAATCAATTAAAGATCTGAATTAGAAAAAAGTCTTGGTCATCTTCCCTGGACTCCAGCCTGCTGACTCACTGTATGGATCTTTGATTTGACAGCCTCCATAATCACAGGAGTCAATTTCTTCCAATAAATCTCCATGTTTCGATACATATATATGCTATTGGTTCTGTTTCTCAGAAGAACCTTGACTAATACATGAGACTTACATTTCCATTTATTTTATTCTTCTTTGTAGAATTATTTTTGGTCATTTTTTCAAAATCTGCTTAAAATCAGTTTGGTTGTTCATCTCTTTAAGTATATAATATGTATTTAATTCATTTAGATATATTTAAAATTAAATATGTTTTATACATTTAATGATGTTTAACATTTAAATATATTTCATATGTGTCACCATTAAATATATTTATAATTGTGTACTTAAATATGTGTTTAAATATATTTAGCATTCATTATGCTAAATTCCAAAATCTGAAGTCTTTGATTCTATAGATTTTTTTTGTGTTTATCTTCATTCTGCCTTATTTTTTTTCTCTGTCTTGTTTGAAGATATTTTCTATCTTTGATTTACAACTGTTTGAATAGAATATACCTAGGTACAGACATTTTAGGTAGAAAATATATATCCTTCTTGGTGCTTTCAGAGCTTCCAGGAGCTTTGTGATTTAGTGTCTATGTTAATTTTGGAAAATTCTAAGACATTATTACATCAAAAATCTCTTTTTTTCTTTCCCTCTTCTTTTGGTATTTTAATTACACACACTTATACATTCTGTAATTGTTCCACAGTTTTTAGGTATTACTTTGCATTTTAAAATCATTTTTTTCTTTGCATTAGAGTGTTAGAGGTTTCTACAGAACTCTGTTTTTGATTTCTAGGATTTTCTTCAGACTCGTTCTTAGTGTTTCCATCTATTTATTGCATGTTGCTCATTTTTTTCCTGTTGCAATTTTTAGCACATTAATTATAACGATTTTAATTTCCTGGTCTAGTAATTCCAAAATCTCTGCTACACTTAAGTGTGGTTTTGATGTTCACTTGGTTTTTTTTTAGACTGTGTTTTCAGCCTTTACAATCCTTGTAAATTTTTTTGTTAAAAGCTAGCTGTGACATATCACATAAAATAAATTGAATAAACAGGTCTTTATGTGAGGTTTTATGTTTACTTGACTAGGAGTTAGGCTGTCTTTACTATTTTACTGTGGCTATAGCTATCAGAAAGTAAAATTTCCTCAAATGCTCTTATTTTTGTCTCCTGTCATCCTTGGGTTTCCCAAGAGGCTCCTCCTTAAATAGGATCTGAGGCTTCTAGTTTTTTCAGTTGCAACCCACTTTTACTATACAGGAGCCTGATTGACATGGTGGTAAGGCATGAGGGGGAAGGGAAGCATTCTGGGATGCTATGATTAGGTCTTAGTCTTTTGGTTAGCCTGTGCCCTTGGCTATGACCCATAAAAGTGCTTCTTACCTTTTTTTTTCTTCTCTCTCTTAGGTGAAACAGGAATGCTAGAGAGAGCCCAAAATCAGTTAAGCTGTGGTAAAACCCAAATTTGTTAGGTTTGTTTGACAAAACAGCTTCTTTTCAGGATTGAGGGCAATCTTTTGTTAAGGAGAATAGAATGCTCTAGACATATTTCACAATGGTTATTTTTTTTTCCCTCTGAAGTATGATGAGAATTTTCTCCAATCTTCACCTTGATAACTTAGTAGGTGTTTTGAAGGTAGAACTGACAAAAGTATAGGGGCCTTCCGAAGACTAGACTCCTGGAGCTTTTAATATCCAAGCTAGTTCACACTGGCCTCTACAATCAATTACAATTTAAGTGTTCATATGAGTACTGGCTTTAGCAAAGGCTGTCTGTTTTGGGCACCTGTTGTAGGTACACAGAAGGTTATGTGATTTGGTGTGTGTGTGAGTGTGTGTGTGTGTGTGTGTGTGTGTGTGTGTGTGTGTGTGGGGTGAGAACAGGAGTAATGACTTTCCAAGCTCTTCATGTTACCCCAGAAACCACACACCTTATTTCTTTATGAGCCTCTTTATTTCTTCTGTAGATTTGTGTTCCTTTGGTGTTAGCTATTGAATTCTACAACATCTGGGTCCAGAATGCATATATATATATATGTGTGTGTGTGTGTGTGTGTGTGTGTGTGTTGTATATGTATATATATATAGACATACAGAAACATATAGAAATATGTTGAATTCTTAAAAGGCTCATTTTAAGGGTTCATTTCTTAAAAGAGGACTGTCATTTGCTTCTGCTAGACATTTAAAGGAACTCTAGTTCAGAAATATTTTACATAATTTCTTAATTTAGAATTTCTAAGTAATACAGATCCTCTTTCCAACTGGTGTGATGGTTAATACGTAGTTAAGAACTTTTAGAGAAAATTGTAAAGTTTTATCTTACCTAAGATCTAAGGCTGGAATTGACAAGTTTCTTTGATTTATTTATTCACACAGTGTGTGTGTGTGTGTGTGGATGTGTGTGGGTGTGTGTGTGTGTGTGTGTGTGCGCGCGCATGTGTATTTCTTACTCAGCATTTCACTCAGGGAGTATCTTTTTTGGGAATTCCAGCTTTTCAAATGTGCCTTTTGTGATTCTGCATCTTTCTATAGGTCCAAGATCTTTTCTTCTTCCCCACACAGCTGTTAAAAGAACAGCTCTAGCTTACCAGGAATTCATGAGTGCTTTTAAGAAATCTTCCATTTTAGTATACTCTATTTCTGATCCCACTTTTTTTCTGTCCCTTGTAAACTTTCCTTGTTTTCTAAAGTACTGAGATATATATTTAAACATTTTAAAAATTCCCATATTTGTAAAAGAAAAGTTCCCAGTGGATCTAGTCCACCATATTGCTAAGCAGTCTAGTTCAGCCTTTATTTATCTCATATAATAGGATTTTTAAATAATATATTTTAAATTAAACTTTCCATGGCTACAAAAATATTTTAAATCATTAAATAAGAAAATCTCCAAGAGCATTGCCTCATCTAAAATCAGCATTGTGGTTAAGACTTTGAGCTTAGGAGCCAGACTAACTGATTTTGGTTTCTAGCTCTTCTAATGATTGCCTGGGCGACCTCATGCTATTTACTGAAGGTTAGTAACTGTGCTTCATTTTCTTCATCTGTAAAATGAGAATACTATATGCTAGCATCTATTCCATTGGGTCAGTATAAGTATTAAATGAGCCAATATAAATAAAAACATCTAAAATTGTGACTTCCACATAGCAAGCATTTAGTAAACCTCAACATTTACTATTATTTTTATTGTTACTTATTATTGCTGTTGTTGTAGTGTCATCTCTTTGAAACATACTGCTGGGCTGAAGTCATTACTTATAGATAGGCTGGCCCCTCACAAGACACCTGGAAATAGGCCTTTTTGGCACAAAACAAATGAACACATTACTTTTGGGTGTAGATGTACATACAGTTATACAACCCTGCTTTGTTCAAATCTGGTGTTTCTCCTTCATCCAGGAACAGGACTGGGTATTTCTTAGAGAAGTGAGGTTTTCCAGCTGCCCAGAGACCAAATTGTTGTACTGGTATTTCCTAGTTTAATTTCTTTATAGCCCTAGGCAACAAAATGGAAGATTTCCATGTACAATCAGTGACTTGGAACAGGGAGGCCACTTCCACACCTACCTAGACTTGCACTTCCACCTTTATCTACCATCACATAACTGAGGACCAACAACTACCTATGTATTTTCACATTCTGCTACTCACCTCTTATGTGTTATTTACCAGTGTTATAACGTGTGCTGTGCTAGGCACTTGTGAAACTGTGTTGATTAACAGCAAATCCTTCCTCTCAAAGAAGTCACCATCTAGTGAGGAAACTAACCTACAACAAGAATATGTGTCATAGGCTATGGAAGATAGTCTATGTGGGATGTTGAATTCTCAAAAGGCTTATTTTAAGGGTTCATTTCTTGAAAGAGGACTGGCATTTGCTCCTGCTAGACATTTAAAGGAACTCTAGTTCAGAAATATTTTACATAATTTCCTAATTTAGAATTTCTAAGTAATGCAGATCCTCTTTCCAACTGGTGTGATGGTTAATATGTAGTTAAGAACTTTTAGAGAAAATTTTAAAGTTTTTTAAAGTGGGATGTGCATAGAATATGGAAGATAATAGTGCCTGCGGGAAAGCAGAAAACAAAAGCTTTAGTGAATGGAGGTGGTCTTTGAGCTAAGTATTTCAAACTGAGAAGGAATTTTTCTCTTGGAGAGACAGGGAAAGGCATTCTAGGCCAGGGGAATGTTATAAAGAAAAGTATATGAGTCATCATTTGTAATTGTATGGCATACTTGGGCTTTAGTGAGCAAACTTATATGAGGAGGGTAGGAGATGTTTGAGAAGTAAGCACAAAAAAATTGAGACTAAATTTAGTTGAGGATCAGAGGTCTCATATATGAGTTTAAAACTTCATCCTGAAAGCAGTAAGCTTTCACAGCAGAGCAAGTGAAGCAGAGCAAGCCATGATCTTATTTCTCTTTAAGAAGAGTAATATGGAATACTAAGGGTTCTCACGCTGAAGACCAATTTGAAAGCAGTTATGGTGGATCTAGGAGACATAAAGTGGTCTGAGCTCAGGCAGAAGACAGTGAGGATGGAAATAAGGGGACTAATTTGGAAGATATTCACAGGTGGAAATGACAGGACTGGATAAGTGATTATAAATGAAAGATAAGAAACAGAGTGGGGCTTAAAGAAAATTTCTGTATTGGATGGCACATTTAACTGACAGAGAGATCACAAAAGCATTAGAAGAAGATGAATTTGTTTTTAATTCTGTACAAGGAAAACTTCAGCAAAGATAGGTCAAGTCAGCACACAGGCTTCGCCCTTTGAAGCCTCGAACCCTGTGCAGCCCAGGCTTGGCACTCCCCTGTTTTTCCTCAGAGCAGGCCCCAGGGACTCTTCCCACTCCCTGCTCAAAGCTGCCAATTCCAAGTCTGTCCCCGGAGGGTCCTCTCCTCTCCAGCCTTCCTGCACAAAGTAGCTGTCTTTCTAGCTTCCTCCTTCCTCCAGTCCCCAAAGACAGGTACACATGACATTTTCTTTAAAAATTATTATTAATCACTACAGGGAAACAGAGAAAAGCAAGAATAACAAACATAGAGGAATTGCAAAGCTAAAGAAATCTTACAGATTTCTTTTCTCTTACTGAGAGTATGACAAAGAGCCTGTCTCTGCTCCCCCTTGCTTTGTTAAACCTTTTTTCCTAAGGATAGAGTTCAACAATCTCCCCAAGCTTCATCTGGGCCAATCCTTTCAGAAGAGAACATGCTGATTCCTTTCTCAGAAAAGCCCCCCTTTTTTAAGCAGCTGGCCTGAATTCCCCCATATCTCCACATTAGTTCAATACCTAGTGAGCCCTTGCTGTCCTCCTGACACTGTGTTAGACCCTGGGAATACAGTGGTGAAAATGACACAGTTCCTGCCCTGGAGCCTGATCCAATAGTGGGTGGAAGAATTTGAATACATATGCATTAATACGCAGTGTCCTTTTCCCACGTGAATATTGTATTCAGGTAAATTCCATGGGGGCAGAGATTTTTTAAAAAATAAGTTTTGTTTACTGCTGTATTCTCATCACCAAGAATAGGGCTTGGCACATAGCTGATGCACAACACATATGCTTTGAATCATGAAATGTACTCTGCTAAAAACGGAAAAGTCTTCAAACATTTCTTCATAGAAGAAAGGCTCCCTTTTATGATTGAGGTATTCAAGAATAGTCCTATAGAAATGATATTCTTCATATTCATAAAACTATGATGAAAAAAGAAATTCACGTATTGAAATTTATTTTACTTCATTTGCAACTTCACTTCTGTGAAGTGCACTAAAAATATCAGGCAGTGAGTTGCACTAATATTATCCTGCCTGTTTCAGGCCCTAAATATGGGGGGTGGATGGGAGAGGGAGGGAAAAATAATATAAAGACTTCGAGACATCACCAAGCTTCTTATATAGGGATTCAGTCTGTTTGGGGTCCAAAGTTGTCTCAGATTGCATTTTCCCACAGTATCTACCAGCACATACAGTCTTCTTTCAATGTGATTTTGACATTGCTCCTGTTGAAATGTGAGGTCTTAGTTCCCTCTTTTTCAATCTGGATGGTCTTGTGACTGTGACTAAAATGATGCTACATGACTTCTGAGGCAAGTCCATAAAAGCGACATAGGTTCTGCTGATTTCCTTGAGGCACTCACCTTTGGAGCCCTGAGACACCATATGAGCAATCTGTCTTCAAGTCGCTATGCTGTGAGAAAGTTCAAACTAGCTTACATGGGGAGATCACAAGAAGAGAACAGACATAAAATTATTTGAAGAAATGAAAAGTTCATACAGCTCCCAGCTCCTTCAGCTCCCTGTTGTTCTAGCACCAGGGCCCTTCTGACACCAATCAAACAAGATGGAGCCAGAAATGCCCAGCTGAGCCCTTCCCAACTGTCCAACTTACAAAAACCTTGAAATATAATGAGATAATTGTTATTGTTTTAAGTCTCTATGATTTCCAGTGATTTGTGACACAGCTGTAGATATCTGGAACAAAAGCAAATGCTGATTCATTTTACTTGATCCTAGAAGGAAGTATTGTTGTTTCCCAGTTGTTCCTTATTGTGGTTTCAACAATACTCACATATCGTTTCTTTCTCTTTTTTGTTCTCTTTTTTCCTTTTCTTCTCTTCTTCTCTTCTTCTCTTTTTTTTCCTTTTCTTTTTTTTCCCCTTTTTTCTTTTTGAGGAATTTTCTTTCAATCTGAGGAAAGGTCAGAGTTTGTCTTGGTCTTTGTCTTGGTGCAGGAATAAATCAAAGTACCAAGAATAAGAAATACAAGCCTCTCCCAGGACTTTAAATCTTGGAAAGAGTAAAACAATTACCAAAATAAATTTTAAAATAGAACTTGATTCATCTCAGCTATCATGATGAGATTATTACTCAATGTTCTCTAGATCCTTGGCACTGTTCTGGCTCTTATCCTATTCTAAAACTACTTTTGTGAACTCTCCTACAATCTTATGCAAATTCCTTTTCTGTATAAGTTATCCACCATGAGTTTGATATACATTCTTAGATAATCCAAGTCAAATTTTGAGTTTTTATTTCCAAACTGATCAATCTACACAAGTAATAATAACAAACTGATGTTGACTCTCCACTTATTACTGGAGAGAGATTATTTTGGTCCTTGACACCTTTTGCTATGGTTTGCATGTGGTTCATCCCCACCAAAACTTATGTTGAAATTTGATCCCCAATGTGGCAGTGTAGGCTGGTAGGACTTAGTATTACAGTGTTTAGATCCTGGAGGGTAGATCCCTCATTAATAGATTAATGCCCTTTCAAGGTGGTGAGTGAGCTCTTCTCTTACAGAAGTGGATGAGTTTCCATGAGACCCAGTTTTTGAAAGGAGTCTGACTTCCTCAGTTTCTCTCTCTTGCTTCTTCTCTTGCCATGTGATCTATTTTCACATGCTCTTTCCTCTTTCACTTTCTCCCATGAGTTGAACCAACGTGAGATGCAGCTGCACAATCTTGAGCCTTACAGTCACCAGCATTGTGAGCCAAATAAACCTCTTTTCTTTAGAAATTACCCAGCCTCAAGTATACTGTTATAGCAACACTGTATGGACTAAGATGACATTTTTACATTTGATATTCCCCAGCCAAATTGATGTTCAGGGCTTGCTAAAGGCAGAAATTCTTATTCTTCTCTCTTTTTTATACCATAGGTATTTAATATACTTATGTTTACAAATGAATATTCCTCATGGAAAATTATGGAAAATTGTGATAAACAAAATAGAGAAGAAAAGGGAAAGAAGAAATACAGTTTTTCCATATTACTAAGAACACAGAGTTAAAACAATGCCCAATTTGAAATAATTTATGTAAGTAAGAAATGATCTGACTCATGAAACCAAATCGCATCCAGAGCAAGGATGATTCCATTCTCAGGGATGACTGGATCTAGGGATTCAACATGTCAAGATTTTTCTCCACATTTTCATCTCTGCTTATCTATGTGAGAAAATTGTACTTTATCCTACATCACAAGAGCTTCCTTAGACAGCTTAGGGGGTGGAAAGATTTAACCACAGACAATTTTAGTCTGAGTCTAGCATCAGTGCTCACAGATGACCTCCCAGGAAAGAAATACCTCATCCAGCTGACTCTGTCTTTATTTGGCAGCTGTAATCTTCAAAGGTCTTGCAAATTCCAAGTGTGAAACAACTTGACCAACCCATGTAAACTAGTTGGCACAAGGCAGTCAGTTCCATTCCCCTCAGCCACTCCCACTGCACTGTTAGTCAGGTGTTTGACTCTTAGATAATCTTCATAATCCTCAACCTCATTTCTACTGCCATGAAAAAATGACCCCTTGATAACCCTCAGAACTAAATTTTCATTCGATAGTGAAGCTAACGATTGATTCCTGTCATTCTGGGTCTCTTAATTGTTTTCAAATCTTGGTGAGAGATAGATAATTACAATATATTTTGATTCTCTAAACCCCCAACAGCTATAATAGAAGACTTGTGTCCTTCTCAAGTTGGAGATATTCTGGTAACTTGAATATTCGAGATATTCGAATGAAAATTTAGACTGGAGAACCAGGCTTTGATTTGCAAGCAAATATGGTTCTATAGTTCTCTATTCCATGCTCACCCTCTCATATCCCCTCTTGTCGTAGATTTTGGGTCAGCCTCTCTGAGGGATAGTATGTGCCTACAAAATTAATGTAAAGTTGCCTGGGCATGGTGACTTATGCCTGTAATTCCAGAAATGTGGGAGGCTCGGGCGGGTAGATCATCTGAGGTCAGGAATTCGAGACCAGCCTGGCCAACATGGCAAAACCCCTTCTCTACTAAAAATACAAAAATTAGCTGGGCATAGTGGTGTGCACCTGTAGTCCAAGCTACTCGGGAGGCTGAGGCAAGAGAATCACTTGAACCTGGGAGGTAGAGGTGAGCTGAGATCATAACACTGCACTCCAGCGTGGGCAACAGAGTGAGAGACTCTGTCTCAAAAAATAAATAAATAAATAAATAAGAAAGAGTAAAAAATTTCCATGTAAAGTTTGGGGGGAATAAGAAGAACAATTCCACCGTTCTTTAGTCATTTAATGGATTATCTTACTATGTAAAGAAATGTGGACCTGTGAGTATTTCTATTCCAGAGGAAAAGGCTGAAAATATAGAGAAGAAATAAGAGGCAGAAATATCATTCTTGTGGTGATAACTCCATCTAAAATATGAAGACAGTGGCGTAAGCAGTTCCTCCCACCCAGCATACTCCTGGCTACCACAAGTGCAATGGAGATGGATGGGAGTAGTAGTCTAGAATAGTCAAGTGATTTCTCTTCAGCCTCAGGTGAATCTGTGTTCTTTCCAGGTCAAATTCAGAGCCTTGAAGTTTCCACACTCTGGCAATCAGCAATCCCATCATGTGTCACTCTCCATCCTACCTCAGGTACCACCTAAGTCTCCCTCACCCAGAAGCTGTTTCCCTTCCTGCTCTCTGTCCCTACATCTGAACTCATCACCGTGTCCTATTAAGCCCTGTCACACTGATCCTGGGCAGTGGCAATCCACCGTCAACAAAATATACCAACTATCCTCAAATTTTTCTCTGAATGGTCTAAAATATCCTCACATTTTTCTCTGAATGGTCTCATCCCTTTCTTTCTCTAACTGAAATATGTGCCCCCTGAGAACTCTGATTCCCAGTTTCTCTCTACCAGACTAGATGTCTCACAATTTCATCCTCATTGTAACTGGTTAATGGGTTTTTTTACCCTCCTAGCCCCGATTGCTTCTTTCAAACAGTTTTCTTTCTTCAAAGACCTCAATTTCTTTAAGGTGTGTGTAATGAGATGTCATCATTTACTTCTGCTTTTTGGTGTTGCTAGTTATCATTTCAGTCCTTTCTTCTCATTTATGGATGACTGTGTATATCCTTTTTCAATACCACTCTGGTCCTCATTTTTAAAAATTCTCAATATAAATAGAACAGATTTAACCAACATGCTGGCCTCTCACATCTTGGTCCTTGATTCCAAAAACTTCTGTTAGGTTGTGCAAAAGTGATTGCTGGTTTTGCCATTAATTTTAATGGCAAAAACTGCAGTTACCTTTGTACAAACCTAATACTTCCACATTACTTTAGCCTCTCATATGTTCTACTCTGATATTACACCAATAACTGTACCTGTATAACCCCACATTTGTCTTACCCTTAATTTGACCAAGCTCTTCTTTCCAATTCATCTTCTCCGAATGCTCACTTCAGAAGCTACCTAGTATCATTGAATTTTCTAATCCATAACCCTGTAATATTTGTCCTGTCTATTACCTCCTTTCCGTTATCACTTCTGTCCAAGTTTAGCCTCCTTTTCATAGTCTGACATCATAATCCCTTTTTTAAAACACCCAATTTCCTTTTTCCTATTTAGAATTTTTGTAATCCCTATGTTATGTTTTTCTATGCTATGTAACAGGTTACCAAAAACCTAATGGCTTAAAACAATACTCATTCATAGCTAATGGCTTAAAACAATACCCATTCATTATCTCAGAGCTTCTATAGGTCAGAAGTCTGAACATTAGCTAGATTCTATGCTCAGGGTATGACAAGACTGAAATCAAGTTATTGGCCAGCCCATGTTCTTTTCTGGAGGCTGGGTTAGAGAAGGAACCACTTCCAGGCTCCATTAGGTTGTTGGCAGAGTACTTTTTTGTGTGGTTGTAGAGTTTATGAAGCTCACCCCATCAAAGCCATCAAAAGAGAGAAAGTGTGTCTCTGTTGCATTAAGTATCTATCTTTAGGAAAGACTTGAGCCCTCTTTAAAAGAGCTCAACTGATTAGGTCAGGCCCACCAAGGATTACCTCCCTTTTGATTAATACAAATTTAAATAGTTAGGGACCTTACCTAGATATCTGCAAAATCCCTTCACTTTTTCCATATTCTATTAGTTAGAAGTAAGCCAAGATGAGAGAATTAAACATTTGGCTCACTGGGAATTAATTTAGGGTATATCTACACAATCTTAGCAAAACCTGAATCCTGGTTCACATTAGTTTAAATCCAACTTTCTGCTAACTCTGTACCTATATCCAAACATACCTATATTATACATAATATAAAAAGTGCATGTTTCTCTGATTGGCTACTTTTCAAAGACATGACAACAAATCTTGAATGGGTATTTAATACAGAGAATATTTATCTAGAAAGATCACTTTCACTTACAGAAATGATTTTTTATATTCTCAAAACCCCAAATCCTCTCACTTTTCACCCTTAGCTGTTGACTATTCCTTATAATTAATAGGGAACTACTCATCCTTCTATTATCAAGTCTACCAGCTCCCCATCATCTGCATGTATTCTGCCTTCCATTCTTTGTCTATTTCTAGTCAGTGAAAAACCTCTCTATTTGTATCAGGAATGTCTCCCCTGTGGATCACTTCATCGAAGAATTTATTATCTGCTGGATTTATCTCTTTTGCTCATCAATTTATCCCTCTTCTTTAAAAATTACCTGTCTTAAAACACAATCTCCAAGAACAATCTCTTTAGTTTTTCTATAAATGTAAAATTATTCCAAAATAAAAAGATTGTGACTATAATAACAAAATTATCTTTGTCTACAGATCTCCTCTGGTTGCCTTTGAATTCACCCCTTAAGAGTTGTCTCTCTTTGCTCACTGTGCATGGTCACCTCTCATTCTCTCCTCACCTCTCCCAATTGGACTTTCATCGTCTTATTAAGAATATCATTGACTTTTCTTCTTACTCTAGTCAATATTCAATAATTCTGAGTAGTCTCATAATTATCTCCCATTAATCACTCATAATTTTCTTCCATTAATTGCTTCCTTCTTGAATGTATTTTTCTCTGGGATTCAATGGCACCGTATGCAACTGTTTTTTCTTATATTTTACTGTTTTCTCTTTCTCAGTCTTTTTTTTGCTGGCTCTTCTAAGTGATGGCCCTGAGTTTTCTACCTCCACTTTTCCCTAGGTAACTTCATCAGTTCCATGACTTTAAATATAATAAATATCATAATGATATGTCTGTCACAGGACTTTCCCCAGGGATACAGACACAACGTCCCACTTATTATATATCATCTTCCATGAATCTTTAAAAGACATATCAAATTTCACATGATCAAAACAGAAGTAGTTTTTTCCCTCCAAAATTGACTCTTTCCAAGATGTTTTCTAGTTCACTCAATGATAAGGCTATTCACTCAGTTGCTTAGTTCAAAAACTTACAAGACTCATCTCTTTTTTTTTTTCTTTTATCCTCCATATTCAAGCCACTTGGCTCTTAATCAAAAATATATTTTAAATATAATTACTCCTTTGATGGTCTTTCCTTGATTACACCTAGTAAAGCAGCACTGTACTTCCTTTCATTCTTTTAACCTAAAATGGTTGCCGGGGGCTTCATTTGGGCTGCTATAATATTGAGTAATTTATAAACAGAATTTTAAGATTTGTCTCTTAAATTCTTAAAACAGAATTTTGCATTGGGATTAAATAAACAAAAATGTGCTTCTCACAGTTCTAGAGGCTGGGAGCTCCACAACCAAGGCGCCAGGAGATTTAATGCCTGGTGAGGGCTCTATGTTTACTTAATATATGGCACCTTATTGCTATACTCTTATGTGGCCAAAGGTATGGAAGTCTTCCTCAAGCCTTTTATGTAAGTGCAATTAGTCCCATTTATAAGGGCAGAGGCTTTATGACCTAATCACCTCCTAAAAGTCCCAATTTCTAATACGACCACAATGAGGATTCAGTTTCAGTGTGAATTTTAAAGGGACATGAACATTCAGACAACAGCAGGGGCTTTTCTGCATTACATTCTTCCTTTTTACAAATCTTGTGGAAGAATGTGAGAAAATTTTTTTCTCAAGCAGAGTATATAAATTCTTTAATTTTGTTGAATAACATGCTGACTTCTTTTACTGAATCTTAGATTCCTATAAAATTAAATTAATAACTATGCTTGGATAACAAATGTAAACCAGAACAGGTTAATGTACACTTGGTCATATGCTCACTCTAATTATAGTCAATGTCATATGCTAACTTTCATCTTGCAAATAGTATATTTTGCAGTGCTTTAGCAAAATGCCCTCCTGTTTTTTTTCTTTTCTGGTTTCTCCTTGAAAAGCTTTTTTGTCCATATGTTAAATATTAGGTTTTTTGAAGTTTTGCTCTAAGCTTTTCTCACATAGCATCTTTTCTCGCTGGTTAATCCAATCTACTCTAATGGCATCATTTATCATCTATGTGCTAATAATACCAAACCTTTATCTCCATCCTACATAATACCCATAAACTCCAAATACATGCCAGTGTGTGCAAATACATGTTGGATATTGAGAAATGAATGCTCAAAAGACACCTCAATAATATATCATACTTTGAGTATTCACAATATACTAAGTACTATTCTGAAATATTTACATGTATTATCTTAATTTTAATAATAATTCTATGAGTTTAGTAATGTTATAATTATATTAATATTGTCCAGAAAACATAACCAATATTATATGGAGAGATACATATATAATAAACACACACATATACATATGCATATATAAAGATATTTATTTTAAGGAATTGACTCATTAGATCATGTAGGTTGACAAGTCCTAAATCTGCAAGGTGAGTCTCAAAGAACAGCTGATGCTGCAGTTCAGTTCCAGAGGCCATCAGGCTGCAGATGCAAAGAAGAGCCAGTGTTTGCCACAGAATACTCTTTCTTTTGGTGGAGGTCAGTTTTTGGTTCTATTCAGGCCTTCCACTGATTTGATGAGGCCCACCCACATATGGAGGGCAACCTACTTTCCTCAAAGATCACCAGTGTAAGTGTTAATTTTTTAAATGCCCTCAGACAAATATCCAGAAAGATGTTTGACCAATTTTCTAGTCACTGTGGCCCAGTCAAGTGGACATGTAAAATTAACCTTTCCAATTATCTAACAACATTCTAAATATGAAGAAATAAAGATATGTAGAGATGATTCACCAAAGATCACTCAGCTAATAAATGGTGGAATCAGGATTTCAAACTAGGCACTCTGAATTTGGAGCCCATTCTCTTCACTCTCATTATTTCAAATATATCACCTCCAACACTGAACTCATTGTAAATCTCGGTCTCTGTCTGTGTCCAGTATGTCATTGAAAAGAGTGATGTTGCTCATTATGCAAGTGGCTTAACTAGAGGTCACCTTTAATTACTCCCTCATATTCAATCAATTCATCAAATTCAATAAATTCCTATTGTTCTGCCACCTAAATACATCTCTGCAACAAATTTCCACAACCAGTACCTTAATTGGAAGTTCTATTTTTCCTCATCACCATCTCTTCCATATGCAGCATTGCAGCCAGAAACACCTAATCTCCGTCTCTAATTTCATGACTTTGTATATATTATTTCCTCTGACCTAGAAAATATCCCCACTTCTCTGCTTCTGGACAATCACGTGTGCATATTCACACATACACTGACACCACCTACCTAAATCCCAGTGTTTGAATAGACCTTAGATA
Organism: Homo sapiens; assembly: GCF_000001405.40. Taxonomy (NCBI): domain Eukaryota; kingdom Metazoa; phylum Chordata; class Mammalia; order Primates; family Hominidae; genus Homo; species Homo sapiens. Next base: position 23,433,424 of record NC_000004.12, read on the forward strand.
AGAAATTACTTTTCTCCAGCATTATTAATTGATATAATAAGAGCTAGTAAATTGGTCTCTTTAAGGGATTTCCCATCCTCATAATCAGTGCATATTACCTGTGGCCTAATCACCTGTGGCTGTTCCCCAAAATTCATGTGTTAGTAATGTAATCTCCAATGCAACATTGTTGGGAGGTAGGTCTTAATAGAAGGGCTTTAGGTCATGTGGGTTCTACTCTCATGAATGGATTACTATCACTATTAAGAACTTGCAAGAATGAGTTCTTTCTCTTTTGCCCTTCCACTTTGCACCATGTGAGAATGCAGCAAGAAAGCCCTCACCAGGTGCCAGTGTCCTGATCTCGGACTTCCCAGCCTCCAGAATTGAGAAATAAATTCCTGTTCTTCATAAATTATCCAGTTTCAGGTATCCTGCTATAAGAGCACAAAAAGGACAAAGGCAGACATTGGTGCCAGAGGAATGGGATGTTGCTATGTAACAAATACTTAAAATATGGAAGAGTCTTTGGAACTGGTTAATAGGTAGTGGCTAGAACAGTTTTGAAGCACATAACAGAAAAAAAACCCTGTATTGCCATGAATGAAGGATTAAGGGCAATTCTGTTCAAGGCTCAGAAGAAGAGAAAAGCTGTAGGAAAAGTCTGAAACTTCTTAGAGATTCCTTAAGTGGACATGTCCAGAATGCCTGAAGAGATGCAGACAGTAAAGGCCATTCTGATGAGGTCTCAGACAAAAATGAATAACAAGGCATTGAAAACTGAAGAAAAGGCCATCTTTTTTATAAAGTGGCTAAGAACGTCACTAAATTATGTTGGTGTCCCAGGACTTCATGAAAATCAGAGATTAAGAGGGATAAACTATGATATCTGGCAGAAGAAATCTCTAAGCAGAGCAAGTCTCTAACCTGTTCAGGATGTGCTGCAGCTGTTCTTAACTGCTTTTAGTAAAATGTAAGAAGAAAGAAATGATTTAAAGATGGAATTTATAAACTTAAGGGAAACAGAGGAAAAAAATTGAAAACCTCTCACCCTGGCCATGTAAAGAATTTAAAAATTATGTTAGGGAGAGAGAATACCATGGGTGTGGCCAAAGTATTATTTGATAAAGAGATTAGTATGAATCAAAGAAATTCATCTGCTATTCATCAAAACAGTAGGAGAATGACCCCAAAGGCATTTTGGAGATCTTCAAGGAGGTTGCCTCTTCTATCATAGCCCCACAATGCTAGGGCCTTGAGGCAGAATGGTTTAAATGGATGAGCCCAGGGCATCTGTGGGACTCTAGGGATCACTGCCAAGGGCTGCCTTGGGTCTTTACTCCCCACGTTCCAGCACCACCCCAATTGTGGTTCAAATGTGCCCAAGTGCAGTCCAGGTGCATCCCAGGCCACTGTGCCCCAAAGGGTGCAAGCGGTGAGCCTTGGTAGCAACCACATGGTGCTGATTGTGCAGGCATACAGAGGGGATAAGCTGTGAAGGCATGGCTTCCCTGACATGGATTTCAAAGGATGTCTCCAGCAGCCTCAGGACTATGGCAGAGATGCGCTACAGTGATATAGCTGCCACCAAAAGATCCATCCCCCCAGCCTCAGGCAATGCTCAGTGGAATTATGGGGTCCAGGCTACTGCAGAGAGCTGCCACAAGGGCAAAGCCTAGTGGACCTGGGGAAATAGGATGGCTCTGAGACTCCAGTCCTGTAGAGCCACCAGCATGCAGCACCAGCCTGGAAGAGCTGCAGGAACTTTCTTCCAGCCCGTGAGAGTGGTATCGGCAGTACCCAGCAAAGCCATGGGCTTGGAGCCACCAGGAGTCTTGATGACTCAACCTCTGCCCCAGTGTGTCTGAAAGGCAGGTCATGGAGTCAAAGAAGATTATTCTCAAACTGTGAGATTTCATACTGTTTGCCATTTTGGGTTTTGGACTTGCTAGGGACCTGTTACTCCTTCTTTCTTTTCTATTACTTTTTGTGATGGAATGTTTATCCTATGCCTGGCCTACCATTGCATTTTGAAAGCACATAACTTGTGTGGTTTCACAGGCTCACAGCTGAAGAGAAATACTTCAGGATGAATTGTACCTTGAATCTCACCTAAATCTCATTTAGATGAGATTTGGGACATAGACTTTAAAGTTTGTGCTGAAACAAGTTAAAACGTTGGGGGCTATTGGTATGGAATAAATGTATTTTGCATGGAAAGAACATGAATTTGTGGGGCAAGAGGCAGAATGCTATGGTCTGAATATGGCCCCTAAAATTGGAAATATGTCCCCTGTGTGTTAGAAATTTAATCCCCAACGCAACAGTATTGGGAGGTGCAGTTAATGGGAGATGTTTTGATTGGGAGGGCTCCACCTTCATGAGGGGATTAATACTGCCATAAAAAAGGGACTGTGGGAGTAGATTTTCTGTCTCTTTCCCTTCTGCCTTTTGCCATGTGAGAACACAGCAAGGGAGCGCTCACAAGATGCTGTCACCTTGATTTTAAACTTTCCAGCCTCCAGAACTGTGAGAAATAAGTTTCTTTTCTTTATAAGTTACCGAGTTTTAGGAATTCTGTTATAGGTACACAAAGTGGACTAAGACGTGGTTAGCTATTTGATTCTTTCCCTACATGACATGCTCCTTGAAATCCTCTATGTGTGATATAGTGCCTGTATATTATAAACACTCAAAAATTACCTGTTAGGTAAATGCATCTCTCTATTTTTTCTCTTATGTCCACCTTGTCTTTCTTAAATTTGCCATATCCTACTCAGGAACGCTATACTGAAATACAGGCCCATGACAATATATACCATTATGAAAAGTATAAAGAAAAAGCTTATTGCTCTTTAATGTTTAAAAATACACTTGGAACATTCTAGTGGCCAGGTTTTGTGCCGTCAGTCAATACTTTGCCACGTGAAACTGATGATCAACAAGCTCAGTCAGGAAAATGCTGAGTTTCATCTACACAGAGAAGTCAAGCATGTCCATTGGGAGCTCTGTTTAGACTTTCAACATTATGTAAGAATCCCCAAGTAGGTAGATGGCATGAGCCTTGGAAATGGGAGTCTCTAGGCAGAAATAATGGTTTTGGGGGTTCTGTGACAGGAATAACAGAAGACCACATTCCATGACTAGAGAGAAGAAATAGAAAAGGTAAACATGGGTGGAGGAGGTCCAAGCTTTGGCCATGTAAACAGAATTATTTTTATCACTAGAGAACAGACATATAAGTAGTAGCAAAGGTAGAATCTCAGGAATTTGGGGGAGATGTATCTTAATTGCATAAGCATATGTCTGCCCACTGCTTTGTGTAGCTGTGTCATGTCATGTGCCTCAGACAGCACTTCAGAGCTACTTAGAAATAACCGTAGTCACAGTTGACTCAGGAAATTGTGAGCCGAGCCTATCATTGGGAGAGGCTGGAAGGTACTAAAACACAACGGTAAAATTTTTCCTTTCTTTGATGACTTCTGTCCACAGGTTAGTGCTGACTAGAAATGCAGTCAACATTATTTCTTACTGACTTTTCTGTAGAGCTTCTCTATTACCAAAGCTTAGTTAACAAGAGCTTTTTGTAGGCATAAAATATTCCACTGTGCTTCCTTCTTTCTGTTATTCCTTTAGGATTTCCTCTTACCCACCCATGTTTACACTACAGAATAGTGATCAAGAGCAAGGACCCTGAAGATAAGGCCTAATATCAAATTCCACCTATACCACATACCGATGAGTTATGTAACCATGGAAAGGTTACTCAATCTCTATGCCTCAGTTTTCTTGTTTATAAAATGAGGAAAATTATAATGCCTCCATGTCAGAATTGTTGTGAAAATTAAGCTGTTAATAGTAAGTAAAATCTTAGAAGGGTACTTGGAACATAATAAGCTTTGTATGGTGTTAGCCATTATTTTACAGAGTTAAGTATACTTTCTCATGCTTGAATAATACTTTATGCATACCTCTGTTACAGCTCTAATCACATTACATTCATTGTATTTTACTTGTATATCTCCCCTCTGAGTTGGGAAGTCTTTGAGGGCATATTATATTCTCTGTATTCTTGAGTGTATAACATTGTGCCCAATATTGACCAAAGATGAAATTTAAGTCGATAAATCAATTAATTCCCATGAAATACACAATGCAGTTTTTCTTGTTTCTTCCAAATGAAAAAGGGCTATATTATTTAATAATTTATTTAAAATTTAGAAAACAAATGAAGGAATACAAAGTCATTCCTAAACTCCTGGGTTTATCCCAACAAGAGCAAAGGAGAGCTTCAAAATGTGATTCTGAAGTTACATTTGCTTTATTTAAAAATCATAATATATTACAGTAATTAAACTGTTTCATGACCTCATTGAAATCCTGTAAGGCTTAATTAATGTTTATAAAGCCTTTTGCAATCCTCAGGTGAGAAGCACCAGGAAAGTGTAAGAAATCATTATTGTTATCACTGATTCCATCTTAAATGATTGCAAGCAGTTTGCCTCACCTAAATTTGCTGATTAAATTCAAGCTATGACCATGCAGAAACACAAGCAAAATTCATTTCTACAATGTACCTCAGCTTTTCTTATTTAGAAGGTTGTAGACAAAGAAAAGTACAGTCATCTCTTTATATCCATGGGGGATTAGTTCCAGGACACCCACCAGATACCAAAATCTGCAAATGCTCAAGTCCCTTATATAAAACAGCATAGTATTTACATATAACCTACAGACATCCTCCAGTATACTTTAAGTCATGTCTAGGTTACTTATAATACCTAATACAAGGTAAGGAGTATGTAAATGGTTGTTATACTATATTTTTAAATTTTTATTATGTTTCGTTGTATTATTTTTTATTTACTTTTAAAAATATTTTAAATCTGCAGTTAGTTAAATTCATGCATGCAGAACCCACAGATATGAAGGGGTAACAAAGCATAATTTTTCAATGTAACTATTGTTCAGAGAGGTGACCTATAAAAATGATGATAAATAATGGGTAAAGGCAAAAGCATGAGAGTAGGCCATTGGCCTCAACTGTACCACCTGGGAACTTGCCCTTGCAAAATATCTTCCTATGAAGTTTGGAATGAGGCAGATCTAGGTTGGAAAACTGTCTCTATAACTTTCTTTCTTTGTAACTTTGGGAAAATTACTTGGGGGAGCAAGGGCTACACCGGATAGGTACAAGACTCTAACCCAGTCCTTAACATAGAACCTGGCACATAATACGTGTTCAACATATATAAATTTCTATATATGTGACTGTATAATGATGCATATTAAACAGTTAAAATACATTATCACCAACATTTAAAAGATTAATCACCTCTATCTTTTGAAATGCCATCATTCTATCATCCAAGATGACTTAATCCCCAAGAGCTCTGAATAACTGCAGTTTGCTGTGTTATTTCCATGACTAACAATTCTGATTTTGAAGGGCACTCAATCATGAAGTCGTATCAAAGGCTTTAACTAAAATGTTCTGTTTATCTATTGCTGCATAACAAACCACCTCAACATTTAGTGGTGTAAAACACTCATTTTTATTATGCTCACAATTCAGAAAGGTAGAGCAGGATGATCTCATCCCTGCTCTGTGATGACTGGAACCTCAGCCAAGATGACTCAAGTATCTCAATTTATCTGGGCCAGCTCAATGGTACTCATATGTCAAGAACCTTAGTTTTGTCCAATTCATCTTCATTTTTCTCTACATTGTGTCTCCTTGGGCTGGAATGTCCAAGATGGCTTTTTAATTTAAAAGTCTGTTGCCTCAGTTGGGATGGCTGACACAACTGGGACTAGCAGGTCATCCCTCTCTCTGTATATAGTATCTCCCCGTGACTAGCTTGAACTTCTCTAAAGAATGGTATTCTCAGGATTTCTTACATGGCAGTTGACTTCTCCTAGGATGAGCATTCCAAGAGGCATGGACAGAGTTGCGCAGGTTTTGATGACTTAGGCGTAGAAGTCCAGAACATCACTTTTGCCACATTCTGTGGATCCAGCAACTTACTATGGGTGTCCTAGGCTCACAGGGATAAAATTAGATTCCACTTCTCAGTTGCAGGAGTAGGAAAGAATCCACATCCACTTTTTATCTTCCCCATAAGAGAAAAATCATTTATTTCTTAACTTTCTAGAAATCAAAAAAGCATCATGAAGATTTTTTTTTTTTTTTTTTTTTGAGACGGAGTTTCACTCTTGTCACCCAGGCTGGAGTGCAGTGATGTGATCTTGGCTCACTGCAACCTCCACTTCTGGGGTTCAGGCAATTCTCCTGCCTCAGCCTCCCAAGTAGCTGGAATTACAAGCGCCCGCCACCACGCCCGGCTAATTTTTGTATTTTTAGTAGAGACAGGGTTTCTCCATATTGGCCAGACTTGTCTCGAACTCTTGACCTCAGGTAATCTGCCGGTCTCAGCCTCCCAAAGTGCTGGGATTACAGGTGTGAGCCACCGTGCTGGGCGGAAGAATTCTTCTTTATTAGCTCCCTGGTCCACTTCAAAGGTTAAGAGAGATAAGGTATAAACTTGCTTATAAGTTATAAACTTGCTTATAAGATAAGCTGTAAACTTGCTTATAAGATAAGCTATAAACTTGGTTCTGACACTTACTAGCTGTGTGATTGTGAACACATCTCTTAATCTCTCATCTTGTCTTCTAATCTATCAAGGAGAAAAATAATGTAGTTTTTATCCATATCACTGACTTGTTGGGAAGGTGACATAATGGAAGAAAAAGGTGAAGAAAATTTAGAAATCCTACACAGCTGCTAGGTATTGAAATGTAGGGAGGAAACTATAGTCACTAGGATTTGCAGGTCTAATTAAGAAGAGTTAGTTGCCTTGAGTTCCTAGACTCCTGACTGAGGCACATAGAAATTTCATGACCAAATAATAGTTTATTCAATTTGAGGTCAAATTTCAACCTCAAAATTGAGGCCTTGGTTGTACCTTGGTCTGACTCTTTGTCCGAGGTCCTTGAGTCTCCCAACTGACTGGTATCTATCTCACCTGGAAAGATGAATAAGATGAAAAATTTCCATGTACATAATAACTAAACCATATAACCATTTTGTGACTTTTTATCAATTGTAAGTTTATTTGATTATAAATATGAACACTTGATCATTTGTTCATTTTGTGGACAGAAGACCTTTAGGCTCTAATTCTTGCTAACAATCAGCTGAGGAAGGGAAACTGTATCTGAGCAACAATTTAGTAAAAACTGGGGTGTAGCTGCTCCTGTGATCCCTAACATCTATATGACCTAAAGGTAGGGTCCTGTTGTGTGTAGTTTTCAAAAGTATGAGTCTTCCCCTCATTTTGTGCTTCTGAGTATTTTATCACTTATTAAAAAATGTGTCTTTTCTGGGATTATTTCAAGAAAGAGATTTCCTTGAACAGTGTTTAAACACAACATTTAAATTTAGTCAAGTAATATGGTATAGAGACAACAGCACCAGCCTAGTATATGTCAATACTTGGGATATAAATGTTGGAGTTTCAGTTTCCTTTGAAGACAATGAGATCAGAATAGTTGAATTACTGGAATTATGAGATTCTATGATTCTTTGGTTGACTTTTTTTCCAAATATGTGACCATTGCTGATTCTGAAATGGTCTGAAACAATGTAACTATAAACTAAGTGTAATCTTAAAACCCAAACAGTGAGATGGTCTCTGGCAAATTTCTACTGTGACAGAACAACAACAGCCCTGACTTGACAGAGAGTTTCCAAGTAGTCACATTTTCCTAGAATCACTTATGGTCTGAGACAAGTGAAAAATTCTATGTATTCTAAGAAGCCACCAATGTGTATATTCTCCCAGCTTCTCCTTAGTTCATACTCTTAAGGCATCAAAATGATTCTTGGATCTGTCTGCCATTAAGTCTCATGTCCACCTTCCAGGTTTCATCTTTCTTTACTTTCGGCAGTATTTGACACTGATAACTGGATTCTCTTTAAACTTATTTGTTCTTTGATTTCTGAGACAAAACTCTTTTGGTTTTCTTCCTACTACTCTGGTACATTCTTCACAATCCTCTTTATGGCTTTTTCTTCTATTGCCTAATCCTTAAAGGTTTATGTAATACACACCTCTTCTCTATATATGTTTTTTGAATTATCTCACCCATATCCAAAGCTTTCATCATCATCAATTTGACACATAGCCAATAAATACTTATTTACTGTCTTTCATCTTCCAGAGACTATAATCTGATATTCTGAATTTAAATCTGTAGCCTGGTTCTTGATGCTGAGCTGCCCACATGCATATACATCTGCATACTAAATATATTCACTTGCAAATACATGACATAGTAGAACTAGCAGTCATGGTCTATGTGAATGATCCTCCCTGGAGCTGTGCAGCTCTCTGCCTTTCCTTATATATGACTCAAAGTCAACTTGTCCAAAATTAGACTCATCTTCCATTCCCAAAATGACCATTGCTCTCCTCTTGTGTTTCCTAGCTCAGTGAGCGAGATTCAAAATTGGCAAGTTGTAAAATCACTGAGTCATCTGGATCTTCCACTTAATAAAAAGGGAGAACCATCAACCTTAAAAGAATGTTAAGGCTCCTCTAGAAGACTAAGCAAAATGATAAATGCAAAATGCTCATTCTAGTATTTTGTGAATATTAAGTATTCAATATTTATTATTCTCCATCCTATTAATGTCTAAGCCAGAAACAGGACCTCGTCTTTGATTTTTAAAAAAAGTTTCCAGCTCCTTCAGCAAGTTCAAAAACACCTGCCTCTTTTTATGTATTTTCAACTTAATCAGTATTATCTCTGTGTTATGACTATCTAGTTGAGAGTACCATTATCTTCCTATCTTATCCTACTAACTGGTTTTCCTAATCTTAGCCATGCCCACCCTCTCCATCTATCTCTTACACCTTTTTCTCAATGAACTTTCAAGATGCTATTAAATTCTGTTGTTCTGTTTGACACTCAGCACAGGCTTTCCACAGCTGATATGGCTTGGCTGTGTCCCCACCCAAATCTTATCTTGAATTGTAGCTCCCATAATCCCTGTGTGTCATGGGAAGGACCCGGTGGGGGGTAATTGAATCATGGGGGCAGGTTTTTCTCTTGCTGTTCTCATGATCATAAGTCTCACAAGGTCTGATGGTTTTATAAAAGGCAGTTCCCCTGCACATATTCTCTTGCCTGCCACCATGTAATATGTGTTTTGCTCCTCCTTCACCTTCTGCCATGATTATGAGTCCTCCCCAGATATGTGGAACTGTGAGGCCATTAAACCTCTTTTTCTTTAAAAATTACACAGTCTCAGGTATTTCTTCATAGCAGTATGAGAACAGACTAATACAACAGCATTTGGGGCAAAAGTCCAAACTCCTAAGCTTGGCACATAAGCTACTTCATGGCATGGCTCTGTTTAACATCCACCACTTTTCCCCTTATACTCTGATCCAGACAATCTCACCTCTTTCATTTCCCTTGTAATGTGCTGCTTCTGCTGCTGGAAATGTCTCTCCTTCTTTCTCTAATTTACTTCTGCTACTGTTTCAGAATTTAGCTCATGGTCATCTTTTTAAAGACATTCTTCCAGATGCTGAGATTGGATTAGGTTCCTATACTGCTTACATGTGGCAATAGAATAAGGTCCCTGAAAGCATAAACTGCCTCTCATCCACCTTTGTAATCCCAGTGCCAAGCAAAAGGCCTAGAGTGCATATACTTATGTAAGCAATGACTGAAAGAATGGATGTATGAAAATGGTAGCATCCAAGTGAATGCTATCCAGCCGATGATCACAGCTGTTAAAATTGTATATAGAGAAATCTTTAGGCTGCATTAGATTGGGGATAGTGGAGGTTGCAGGGAGCAGCTGAAGGCCAATCTGTGATCCTTCCTGGGATTCTGATGGATCTAAGTATGTCTATAGAATGGAGGAACTAGCAGACAGGAACCTATTTGTGTGATATACTAATGAGCCTCTATAGGGAAAGAAAATCCAAGGCAGTGTTTCTCCATCAGGGCTTCAAGAATTCTAAGATTTTTTAAAAAGCTTTATATTTCACTTGGATGATAACACAAATAGCTACAATATACTGTAAGAACACACTAATTTATAGCTGGGCAATGCAAGAGTTTTCAGAGTCAGTGTTAGTTTTTACATAATGCAATTTTAATTACTGTCTGCTAATAAAAAGAAAAAGGGAGAAATTTGTTTGACACATAAACACCGTTTAACATAAAACATAAGCCAAACTACATCAAAGCTCATTGAATTAAAAAAAAAGAGTCCATGATATACTGAAGAGTTGAAATTGGTGGAGAAATCTAATACATGCCCCTTTAAAAATAGAAAAAGATTGTGCCATAATACATTGATGCCATATTCACATTATCGGAATTTAGTTTCAACCAAACAACATCATCCATCACAGTACACTAATGTTGTTATTTTTAGATATTTTTCTGTTTTTATTGAATTTATAAACTTATTTTTGCTTTATATTACATAAGAGCTTTACACATACAAACATTTAAGAGACAGTATAATAAAAACAACTTAGTATAATGCTGGAAACTTGGGAGATTATCTTTTTTAAAATAATTTGCACATTACTCAGAATGCAAAAAGACTATGTTGATGAAAAAAGAATCAGGTCATAACAAAATTGGGAGTAAACGCTTCTTTGTCAGAGTAGAAGGTTTTACCTCCTAGCTCTGCACAAATACACATATACACACTACACACAAACACACATGAGCTCACAAATGTTACACATACACAGACACACAACACAACTAACTCCCACACAAGAATACACACGTGCAACACCAACACAGACTTAAACATACACACTTGCATAGTAACATGCATGTGACACACACACTTATTTATGTATATCACAAACAGCCCCATGCATAAAGAAAACACACACACACACACACACACACCTTCCATGAATTTATGTCTGCATTTTATTAAGAGAGGAAAAGGACAAAAAATATAAACTGAGAGCTCAGTTCTCCAGAGTTTAGTGCTGCAGTTTTTAAAACAAGCCCTCTTGAATTAAGCTGCTCAAATAACAACCGCAGCTGTGCCCTATCCTAGCTGAATATCCTAGCTGGACATTCAAGTTCAGTTCCTCACTCTTCTGATCATTAAATTAGGAAGGATAGTGAGCATTTAGCTCATGGAATTGTTTAGAGAAGTGAATGCATTATTGCGTGATGACAACTTTAACACTAACCTGGCACATAGGAAAAAAAAATAGTGGCCTCCTTTGGGAAAAATTTAGATTTGATGGACGGATAGTACTGCTTTGGGATCCTATGTGAGTTGCAAAATTAAAGAGGGTTTCTCCCTTCTTTTGTCAGAGAAAATGAGAAGCCTGGGAGTTGTCCCTAATCTCTTGCGGTTTGTCACAACCCACACTTAATCAATAACCAGTCTTGTTGAATTTTTTTCCCTCTGAAACTCTCTTTGGTTGATGCATGTCTCCTCAACTCATGTGGGCTGAGGCAAGAGGTTTATAACTGCTTTCCCCACACCTACTTTGTTTTCCCCAGTGCAACCAAGCAGGACATTTTACAAAGGAAAATTTGATCCTTATTTCCTTAATACTTAATGACTTCCCAATGCTTTGAGGATAAAGCTCTGCACAATCCAACCCCACTCAAATTCAACATGCTCCTTGCTGGGTCAAGCCACTCATCTCTGTTGTGTGCCACTCCCCTATTAGAAAGCCTCATAAGAACAAGGACTGTCTGTTTAAGTTAACCATTGTCTCTTTATCACCTACTAGAAGCTTCTCTAAATGTTGATTGGATGGATGAACAAAACACAACACTGCTATAACACATCAGCAGATGTGTGCTCTATCTATTTTGCCTTTAAATTACCCAATTTGGGTGCAAAAGGCTGCTGACCAACAGAAAAGACAATGATGCCTGATATGATAGGACAGTACCCCATGGTATATGACAGTATCTGGTGAAAGGTGGTAGTATACAGTGGTACCATCACTATGGTTCACCATATGTTGGGAATAATACGTTCATCATATGTTGGGAATAAGTTAACCATAAAACTGTCAGTGGTGCCTAATGAACATATTGGTTTCCAATAAAAGGAAGACAGACTAGAAGTGGTATCTTTTGTTAGTTTGCTTTCTTGCCTTTTGTTTTTAATCTGTGGTTTCGCAAATATTTCTTTGTGAGCACAAGTGAGATTCCTTCTGGCTCTGTTTAGTAATAGATAGTGATTTCATTGTAGCAGGATGGAGGGCTGGTAAGATCCAGAAAAAAAAAAATGGCTGCTATATAGCTGTATCTCCCTCTTTTTTTTTTTTTTTTAATCCAGGTGAAATAAAAGACCTGTAGACCTGTGCTGGTCTGGTTCTCTGACGTGCATGCTAATGGGAAACTCTACACACATATCACAATTTTATTCACACCCAGCATAGTTTGCTTAGCTCAAGCCATGATAGGGAGTGAGGATGGGAAATAAAGTTATTGGCTCATTAGCTCTAATTTCTCTTGGTTCCATGGAGACATGCTTGTCAAGGCAAGGTGGCTAAGGAGGACTAGAAAAATGCATTGTTAGGTTTGAGATGCCTGCAGCTCACAGATTTCCTCATATATGCCTTTGTTTGGTATAAGACACACCAGTGGTCTGTCTGGTAATTGGGAGCAATATCTGAATGTTCAACTAAATAGGGTCTATATTCAAGTTGGGAAACCTTAGCTTACTTACATGTTTGATTCAAGCATCTGCTATACATATACTCCTATCACATGTACCCCATAACACTACTGATATCACCTTATATCACTACAGACATATCACTACAAGTATTATCAAAACGTAATTGGTGTTAACTATGCGTACTTTTTCAGTTGATTTATATTATGTTTTCCAAATTCTTAAACTCTTATTTGTGGGATGTACTCAATTCAAAGTAGTTTCAATACTCCATTCAGATATTAAGTTCATTTTCCCTCCGGCATAACCCCATCGTATAAAGTAAATGACCTGATAACTAACAGTTGAATGCTCTAGTTAACTCTGATATTTCAATAATTCCTCTGTGAACTTTTTTTGTAAAGTGAACAATTTCTCTGTAATAAAAATGATCCTCCCCAGTTATTGTCTTATAGATATGCAGAGATGGGAAATCATTTTTAAGTGAGTAAATTGTAGATTTTCTCTAACTGAATATGTATATAGTTATTAAATGAAAGTTACTGTGAACATTATATATACTCATTTGTTCAAAATTAAACTGTTTCCCTTTAACACTAAAATTACATGAAAGAGATTTATTTCTTTTCTTCTGTCACTTCAAAATTCTGCACTGTTTGGGGGTCAGCATTCATACTGTAAAGAAGATATTTTGCATTATTATTTATTTAGATATTATCAGATTTTTTGAAATGGGGGATATCTTTCTTTTTTTATTATACTTTAAGTTCTAGGGTACATGTGCACAACGTGCAGGTTTGTTACATATGTATACATGTGCCGTGTTTGTTTGCTGCACCCATTAACTCGTCACTTACATTAGGTATTTCTCCTAATGCTCTCCCTCCCCCATCCTCCCACCCCACGACAGGCCCCGGTGTGTGATGTTCCCCACCCTGTGTCCAGGTGTTCTCATTTTTCAGTTCCCACCTATGAGTGAGAACATGCGGTGTTTGGTTTTCTGTCCTTGCGATAGTTTGCTCAGAATGGTGGTTTCCAGCTTCATCCATGTAGCTACAAAGGACATGAATTCATCATTTTTTATGGCTGCATAGTATCCCTTGGTGTATATGTGCCACATTTTCTTAATCCAGTCTAACATTGATGGACATTTGGGTTTGTTCCAAGTCTTTGCTATTGTGAATAATGCTGCAATAAATGTACATGTGCATGTGTCTTTATAGCAGCATGATTTACAATCCTTTGGGTATATACCCAGTAATGGGATGACTGGGTCAAATGGTATTTCTAGTTCTAGATCCTTGAGGAATCACCACACTGTCTTCCACAATGGTTGAACTAGTTTACAGTCCCACCAACAGTGTAAAAGTGTTCCTATTTCTCCACATCCTCTCCAGCACCTGTTGTTTCCTGACTTTTTAATGATCACTATTCTAACTGGTGTGAGATGGTATCTTATTGTGGTTTTGATTTGCATTTCTCTGATGAACAGTGGTGATGAGCACTTGGGGGGCACATATTTCAATAGGAGAGGATGATCTCCCAGGAATCAATTTGCTGTATAATCTTGGTCACATACTTGGTATTTTTCAAATGCTGCAACTGTTCTACAGAAAATGCTGATCCATCCACAATCATTTCACTCACTTGCTCATTCATTCATTCAACAAAATATTTACTGTGTAATTACTATACGTGCAACATCCAACGCATTTTGACAGCTTTTTAAAGGTATGATCAACAAACAATAAACTGCATATATTTAAAAAGTGTACAATTTGATAAATTTTGACATATGTTTGTGTCTCTGAAACCAATACCACAATAAAGGAAGGGGCATACTCTTTACCCCCAGAACTTTACTTGTGACATGTCATCCTACCCTAACTACCATCACCAGTAACCACTGTCCTGTTATCTGTCCCTGTAGTTTAGTTACATTTTCTAGAGTTTTATATGAATGGAAGTTTTGTCTTTCTTCTTTTACTCAGCATACTTACTTTGGGGTTTGTCCGCAGTGTTGCGTGTATTAATATCATAGTGCTTTTTATTGTTGAGTAGTAGTCCATTTTATGCATACACAACAATTTGTTGATTTATTCATCCATGATGGGCATTTGGATCAATTCTAGTTTTTAACCATAATAAAGATGCTATGAATATTCAAACCCAAGTCTTTGTATGAACTTATGTTTTCACTTCTCTTGGATAAATGCCCAGCATTAGAAAATCATATAGTAGATACATCTGCTATATCTAATTTAATTAAGTACAACTTTTTCAAACTGGTTGTAACGTTTTGCATTCAAAACTGTAGTGTATGGAATTACATTTGCTGTGCATCCTCATCAACACTTGATATGGTCATTCTTTTCAGATTTAGCCATCTAATATATATGTAGTTGTATATCATGTTTTTAATTTGAATTGACCTGATTTACGTTGTTAAATATCTTTTCATGTGTTCACTTGCCACCCCTCTTTCCTCCACAGTGAAGTATCTATTTGAATCTGTTTTCCCCATTTGCCACCGGATTGTTTATTCTCTTATTACTGAGTTTAGACTATCTTTAGGTAGTCTAGATACATCTTTTATTGATATGTAATTGCTAAGAAGTTTTCCCAATCTGTGGCTTGCCTTTTCATTCTCTGAACAGTGTCCTTCAAGACTTTTAATGTTAATTAAATTCAGTATATTAATTTTTCCTTATGTAGATCATGCTTTTGGTGTTATATATAGACATTTTTGTCTAAGGAAGGGTTTCAAATATTTTTTCTTAGGTTTCCCCTAAAAGCCTCAAAGTTTTAGATTTTATACTTAGGCTCATATCTCATTTTAAATTAATTTTTGTGTGTAGTGCAAGGTGGAAACTCATTTTTTGGGCACGTGAATATCCTTGTCCCACACTATTTTCTACAAAGGCTATAATGTTTCTCCTGAATTGCCTTTGCACTTTTATTAGAAATAGTTGTTCATATGTGTATCTAATTCTGAAATCTCTATTTTCTTTGATATATGTGTCTATCTTTATACCAATATTAAACTGTCTTGATAACAACTGTACCTTTATAATAATTCTTGATACTGTCTCATTTAAAGTTGTTTTGACTATTCCAGGTTTTTTACATTGAATAGGAATTTTAGAATTGACTCGTCAATTTCTACAATAGAGTCTGCTGAGATTTTTATTGACAATATATTAAATGTATTTTTCAATTCGTAGAAAATTGTTGTCTTGGCAATGTTGAGTCATTGAAACCATCAACAAAGCATGTATCTCCTTTTATTGAGAGCACCTTCAATTTCTTTCAACAATATTTCATGGCTACCATTATAGTTATTTTATGTATTTTGATAGATTTACTTCTATGTATTTGATATTTTTCATGCTATTCTAAATGGTATAAATTTTTTAATGTAATTTTTAAATTATTTGTTGCTTATATATACAAACACAACTGATTGTTCCTTTATGACATACACTGCATCCGCACTTATTACTTCTATTAACTTATTGGTGGAGTCAACATACTTTCTGCATAAATGATCATGTCAACTGTGAATACAGAATTTCTGTTTTGGCTTTCCACTCTAAATGCCTCTATTTTTGTCTCTTGCCTTTTTATCCTGATTAGAACCCACAGTAACATGATAAGTAAAAGTAGAAAGTGGACACCCTTGCTTCTTTTCTAATCTCAGAGGTAAAATATTGAGTTTTCAATATTAATTGTAATATTATCTGGAGATTTTCCTTGGATATCCTCTATCAGGTTGAAGACATTCCCCTCCATTACTGAGAATTAAGTTGTTGTTGTTGTTGTTTTTAATCACTGATAGATGTTGGAACTTAAATGATTTTTTTTCAATGATCGAGATGATTATATGTTTTTTTTATTTTTAGTTTGTTTAAAGAGTGTTTTTGTTTTAAAAACACTTTCCATGTATTGTTAAATTTCATTGTCTAAGTGTTTTAAAAACATTTTATGTCAATTTTTATTATATATATTGGTTTGTAGTTTTTATTTCTTACAGTGTCTTTGTTTTTTGAACCAGAGGAGTGCTGGCTTCATAGAATGAGTTAGGAAGTACTTCCTCATTTTTAATTTTTTGGAAGCTTGTGTAAAATTACTGTTATGTTTTCCTTATTGTTTAGTAAAATTTACTAATGGAACCATCTGGACCAGTATTTTGTTTATATATCTAGAAATTTATATTTTAAATAGGTATAGTTCTAGTCAAGTTATCTATTTCTTCTTGATTGAGATTGGTAGTTTGTGCCTTTTAAGTAATTTGTTTATTTTACTTGTTAGTGAATTTATTGGGATGACATTTGTCAAATAATACATTATTAACATTATTATAATTATCTGTTTGATCTGTAATAATATCATCTTTCTCATTACTGATATAATAATTTTCTGTCTTCTTTCTTTTTCCCTGATCAGTCTGTCTGGAAGTTTATTAATGTTATTAATTTTCTCAAACAGTTTTTGGCTATATAATTTTACTTTTACATATATTGTATTTTTTATATCACAGTTAATTTTTCTCGGTTATTTTTGATGGCATATAAATTATAAGAAGAGTATCTTTTTAAAATTTTTATTTTTATTTTGAGTTCTGGGGTACATGTGCAGGATGTGCAGTTTCGTTACATATGTAAACATGTGCCATGGTGGTTTGCTGCACCTATCAACCTATCACCTATGTATTAAGCTCTGTATGTATTAGCTATTTTTCCTAATGCTTTCCCTTCTCCCACCCCAACCCCTGACAGGCCCCAGTGTGTGTTGTTCTCCTCCCTGTGTCCATGTGTTCTCATTGTTCAGCTCCCACTTGTAAGTGAGAACATGCAGTGTTTGGTTTTCTGTTCCTGCATTATTTACCCAAGTAGCTACCATTTCTGATCCTCTTCATTCCTTGATATAGATCCGTATTTCCATCTGATCTTCTCTTCTTTCTGTTTAAAGTACTTCCCTTTAACATTCTCTGTCATCAAGGCCTACTCATAATGAATTCTTTCAACTTTTGTGTGACTGAAGAATCTCTATTCATGTTTGAAACACATTTTGTTGTATATAGAATTCTAGATAGAATTCTAAGTTGACAGTTTTTCCTTCAATCCATTAAAGGCTGTTCTCCAGTATTTTCACTCACATTATTTCCAACAACAACAAATCTGCCAGCATCCATATTTTAATTCCTCTGTGCATACTTTTAAATTAACTCTAATTTTTTTTTTTTTTTTAAGAAATGGAATCTCATTATGTTAACCAGGCAGGTCTGGAACTCCTGGCCTTAAGTTGCCTCAGCCTCTCAAAGTGTTGGGATTATAAGCATAAGCTACCTCACACAGTCTTAAATAAACGTTTTAAGTTTTAGATTTACAGAAAAAAAAAATCTTCAGATGGTACACAGAGTTTCCATATACTCTTCACTCAGTTCTTCTATTATTAACATCTTACATTAGTATGGTATATTTGTTACAACTATTAAACAAATATTGATACATTATTATTATTAAAACTTAGATTTTCTTAAGTTTTTATGTAATGTTCTTTTCTGTTTGAGGATTTCATCTAAGATATCATATTATATCGAGTTCTCATTTCTCCTTTGCTTCTCTTTGCTATTATAGCTCATATGTGTCTCTCCTGCTCCCTGTCCCACCACTGGGAGATTTTAAAATTTTCTCCTTACCACTGGTTTCGAGACATTTGATTAAATGTGTTTTGGTGTAGTTTCCTTCCAGTATTTATTTTAATTTATTTTTACTTCGGATTTGTTGGGCTGCATGAATCTGTTGGTTTACAGTTATCTTCAATTTTGGAAAATACTAGGTCATTAATGCTACAAATAAATTTCTGTGTCCCTTCTCTTTCTCAGAGACCCAACCTCTATATTTAACACTTTCAATCCTCCTTTAGTTTTGTGAACATATGGAATACAGTTATAATAATAGTTTTATTATCCTTGTCTGCTAATTCTAACATCTGTGTCACATCTGTGTCAGTTTCAATTGATTGATCTTTCTCTTTATCATAGGTCATGTTTTTCTGCTTCTTTTCATGCCTTCTAATTTTGATAGGATGCCAAACATTATAAATTTTATTTTGATGGGAGCTGTGGGGTTTTTTAAAAAATATTTCTGTAATACTTTTGAGCTGTGTTTTAGGACACAATTATTTACTTGGAAACAATTTAATCCTTTCAAGTCTTTCTCTTGAAAGGATTTCTCTGTGCTAGGCAGAACCAGAGCAGCATTTTTTCTAGGAATAATTACTCTCCTCCACTGGGACAAAACTTTTCTAAGTATTCCACCCAAGCCCTGTACTTTACTATTATTATTAATCTGGTTGCTAGAAATAAGTGCTATTCTTAGCCTGCGTGAGTACCAGGCACTCTTTCCTCTAATTGTCTCGGATTACTTATTTCTCCAGTCTTTATTGGTTACTTGGTGTGCATGTCCTGATTTTTATTTTGCTAAATACTTGAGAGAGGGTTCCCTCTGCACAGATTCAGAATGTTTTCTCTCTGAAACTGTCTTCTTCTTGATACTCTGCCTTTAAATTCCTGCCACCTTGGTCTCCCGCAACTCTCAGCTCTATCTCTAACTCAGTTGTCCACCGAGTCTACCTGGGTTCCCCTCTCTTTGCCATGGTATATGAAACCTCACCTTTATGTCTTTCTGACACATTGGTCACTTTTGGATCCTCCTCATCTATCTCATCTCTTAATATTGAAGGACCCCACCAACCTCTTTTCTTTCCGTATCCACTTCCTCGCTTCTATCAGTCAGTCTCATTTGTATGCTAAGGGCTCCCAAATCTATATCTCTACCTTAGATACCTTGTCTAAAGTACATATTTTAAATGTTCGATGTATAGCGTAAATGTATATCTTAAGCCTAATATGTTGAGATAACATATCCCCACCTGAGGTGTGATCCCCTCCTTTCTCATAAACCTGCTTCTCTTGAAGTCTTTCCCATCTCAATTAATGGTAACACCACCCTTCTTAGGCTCAAAGCCATGGAGAATTCCTTGAATCAGCAGTTTCTCTTATTCCTTCTGTCTAATACTTCAACAAATCTGCTGTTTTTAATCTTCGAAATATATCCAGAAACTAACCAATTTTTCACCATTTCCTTTGCAGATAACAGCATCGCTTACCCCGATATTAGCTACTTAAAGTCTCAATGTTATCTACTTACAATGTAAGGCTGCTATTTGTACCATTTTTAAACAGAAGTGTTACAAATAAATATATTTTGATAGGAAGCATGTATAGTAATGAAATCCCACAAATAAATTTTATAAGTACAGAGCAGCCAAAAGATAGATATATCTTAAGAGATTTGACAAACTTTGTTTCTGCAAAGAATAGATTTGCTTCAAATATTTTGAATAAGCTTTTAATTTTAGAATAATTTTAGATTTCTAGAAAAGTTGCAAAGATAGTTCAGAGTTAAATCTTTATACCACTTACCCAGCTTCAATTTTCCTAATACTACCATTTTACATTATCTTACTTTGTCAAAACTAGACACCAGCATTAGTACATTATAAACTTTAAACTGTATTTGAAGTTCACCAGTTTTTACACTACTCTCTTGTTTCTGGTCCAGGATCTAATTCAGAATCTTGCATTGCATTCAGTTGTCATGTCTCTGAGTCTCCTCTGGTCTGTGACATTTTCTCAATCTTTTCTTCTTTTTCATAACTTTGACAATTTTAAAAGTACTGTTTATGTATTTTGTAGGATGTTGCTCGAATGGTTTGTCTAATGTATTTCTCATTATTAGAATAGGCTTATGGGTTTTTGGAAGGACCACCACAGAGGGGAAATGCCCTCTTCATCACGGTATATCGGGGGTACATAATATCCACCTGGTATCATTAACCACATTAATCTTGATCACAGATAGTAATTGCCAGTATTTTCCACTGCAAAGCTCCTATTTTTTTCCTTTCCATACTCTGTTCATTGGAAATGAGTCACTAGATCCGATTCATACTCAGAAGTGAAAGAGTATTTACAGTCTTCTGTAAGGAAGAGTTGTCTATTCTCCATTTTTAATCTATTTAATATGTGTTTATATTAGTATAGCCACATTTATATTTATTTTATACTTTGGGCTATAATCAATATCATACTATTTATTTTGTTGTTCAAACTTTTCCAGCTTTGGCCGTTGGGAGATCTTTAATGCTGCATCCTAGTTCCTTTGACATAATCCCTTATTTTATTTTTGACCACTTCCTTTCTACTATCTTCCAATAATTTATTTTCAAAGAATAAAAAAGTAATAAAAACTGAAAAATACTTAGGCTTTTCTAACACTGTGCCCTTTATGAAAGTAAAACATTTGTCATTGGTTTCAATTACTAGCTACAGCAAGATGTCTGGGGATGCGATTTAATTGGGTTAAGATGCTCTGGATGTTTTTGTTCAGTCTAGCTCAAGGCTGGCTGGTACTTTCTGAATTTCCCAAGACCAGTGTACATATTTTATAAAACTTTTTAATTCTATTACGGACACCAATAGTATCTGCCACAAAATGAGCAAATGTATCTAAATATGACCTCTTTTACAGTAATGTGCATGTCTATCTTTATACCTAAAATTACTATTATTAGTTGCACTATTCTTAGGGAAAAAATATGGTCCCAAAATATTTCTGTTTTGCCAATTAGAGGTGAATGGTACCTGAGGCACATATAATAGATAAGTTATTTGTTACAATGGATGATGGGAAATTTCAAAGTGAATCAGATGGCAGAAGCACATATGGTCGACATTTTTACATTTTTTTGTTCTTTCTAGTATTGTCACAGTTCATAACATATGAATATGCTTAGGAGCTAAAGGATAAGCCATTATCCTGATACATATATTTGAATCTTTGTAATATGTATTTTAATATAGAGAGGACTCCCTGAATGTATGACTTAGAAAATACAATATAATACCTATAATTAACTTAAAAAGCAATATTTGTCACACTTACTGATATCTCAAATTTTTATAAATTTAGCAGGGTTTCTGTCAAACTGTATGGTTACCTATGTTAACATCACACAATATGTTCGGAATAGACCTTTCTCTCATAACATTTTACTTAGCCAAATGGTTTGGTTAATATTAACATCAACCAATTCCAGATGTCAACAATTAAGTTCAATCCAACAAAACATTTAGTCAGGCACTTTCCTCTGACTGAGAATAAGAAGACTTTACATAAACATATGTACTGGATTTTTAGTCTATCTTAAGATAAAATAGTTGTGTTTAGTGACTAAACATATCATTACACAGATGCCTGATCCTCTTTTGCAGCTGTTCTTGCTGTTTTGGTTCTACTTAGCCCCTTTCCTTATCTTTCTTTTGTGTGGCACTATATGGGGGGACATCTGCAGATGAGGGTTTCTGGCTGATTTTGTAATGTGCCTGCAAAAAGCTAAGCTTGCATTGTAATGAGGTCAGGTTTCATTCTAAGCAAGGTCACACTCCAGGGTTGGTAGAACTCCAAGGAAAATCAAAGTGCTGACAGAAACATCTAAAAGGTGGTGATTCGGTAGGTGGCACTCTTTCCTCCACACAAATACCGACGTTGGTGGTCAGGTTCAGGCTGTCTTTCAAAGTTAATTTACAACATGTCCTCTTTTGACCATTAGGGATTCTATTGTAGAGAGTTTTTTTTAGGGGGAGAGGGGTTGTTTGTAGTTTTCCTCAGAAAGCAAGGATGTTTCTTTTAATCCCTATGTCCCAGATAAACATGAGCTCTGTATTTTTGTTTTGCTTTGCTTATAATTTCAACTTGATGAGCTAGGCTAACTGTGCAGTCACATATGCTGCCGAAAACCTTTACCCTGCTTGGAAAATGTTTCCTTATCTACATATGCGTTTTCTTCATTCTGATTATTTATGAAATTCTCACTTAGTCCCCAGAGTTGCATGAACCTCAAAATTAGCCTGCCCTGGAAAAACTTCAAATTCTAACAACAACCAAAAATATAAATACTGATTTCTCTGCTCTTTCTTCATGAGCCTGAAAAACACTACTCTTGGCTTTTATTAAACTGAATGTCAACCAGGGTCCAGAAGATGGATTTATTAATGAATTAGTCTTTTTTCCAAAATGTTTTTTTCAAATGTAAAAATAAAACAAGAAAATAAAGCTGGTACTTTTTTTTTTTTTTTACAACAAAAACTAGGATGAAGATCATATAAATGAAGATTGAGCCATAAAGGTGAATGTGCTAGACAATGAGTCATGATTTAATGTTAATTGAAAAAGTTATGGTTTATCCTATTGTTTTATTATCACATTTTCTTTAATTTTTTTTTTATTTTCTTGCGTACATTAGCCTTTCAGTGGCAATGTGACTTTTCTTTTGTTAAAATGTGTAAAGAGTGTCAGGTGTGACTGAACTCGGGATTAACAAAAGCAAAGGAGTGTAAGTAAATTCATTTGAGGTCCCATTAGTTCAACCTGAAAAGGTTTCCCAGTTATGATGGTTTGACATTTACTCAGTACCCATAGAATGTTATGCAGAAAAAAAAAAAAAAAAAGAAAGAAAGAAAATCTCGCCCACTTTCAGGCACACACGCACACAAATGCATTCACAGACACAAACACAATGTAGGATTCTATTGAGTCGAATCAACTTGATCAGCTCTAAATAGAAATAAAAGACTCAATTTCCAAAGGCTGTGACAATGATATAAACCATCTACTTCCTCTAGTAATGTTGTTTGAACCCCTTCAATAGCTTCATTTGGACCTATACGAATCCTCCCACCTATTAAGCTTTGACACACCAACCAGTGCCAACCATAAACCCCAGTTACAAAATTATATGATCTGCAAATCTCCCTAAACTCCTTTGGCTCCTAGTCCTAGAACAATACTGTGCTGTATGTAGTATTAATTGTTTCTGATGACAGGGATAATTTTAGAGAGCGCTTGGCTGGCTTCTCTGGTCTCCTTATTTGCACTTCTTTGTGACAAGTTTTGGAAGAAGCCAGGCATAGATGAATTCCCTGTAAAACTAACCTCCAATCCTGAGGTCATTTGCCTTGATGGGAATCCTGCATTCTTTTTCTTAAACAGGTCAGAAAATGCAAAGCAAGATTTAGCCTGCATTGTTTGTGTTTGATTCTATATTGTTTCAATCATCTTTTTTGGATCCTGTGATATAAAGATTTTAAACAAATCTTGACTGCAAATAAAAAATAACCACCGCTGTTTGAAGCTGGCATGGATTTAAAAAGTCATACCTGTGTATAGTGAGACACATGATTACATAGAAGTATAATGAATTGTCACCTCCATGCCCCCTGGAATTTTACAAAATCTTCATCTATGGGTCATGCTTTTGTATATTCTCTTCTTTCTTACCAGATTGTCATCCCTTAAAGAACCTTCCCTAATCTGCTTTGTCTACTAGCAAACTTTAAAAATTCAGTGCAGACATTAACTCATTGGAGATATTTTAGTTTACTTCCCACCAATGCAAATTGAGTTCATCTCTCTTTTCCCTATTCAATGACTGGACTTCATTAATTGAGCCTCTAGGGCCAATTAATTGGCCCTTCTAGGGCCCTTCTAGTTGCACACTTCTAGGGAGTGATGATTCTATATGTATGGTGCCTTTGATGTTTTACAAAGAAGCAGACCTTGCCTAGAAGCTACCACAATGCTTGCCACATAAAACCTACCCAGTAGACATTGATTGAACTGAATTTGTCTAATGTAAAACCAGGAATTGCAACCATGAAAATGCTAGAGTTCAAAAGAACTTCAGATGTCCTTTAGCTTATTTGTTCACTTAGTTCATTTAGTTCAGGTGTCATTTATCCCCTTAATTTATAGAAGAGTAAAATACCCCCAAAGCCATGAATTGACCAATTTATTTTGCACTGCTAGGTAGTGGCAGATTGACTTGGATTAGAACCCAATTTTTGTGTATCCATCCTTTCCACAGCAGCAAGCTGCCTCCCAAATCACTGAAATGGAAAGCTACTCTACCAGTAGGAAAATATTGACTTTATAAAATCCTGACCTTGGAAAGCATCCCTATGGAGAGACTCGCATTTCCTTCCAGTGTGTTGGATGACTATGACTATGACTCTAACTAAATTGAGCAATCTCTTTATCCATTTTGGTTCCCAGGTTAAATAGCACTTTGCACTCCTTTCCTCTTAAGATCACAGAGTTCTCTACAGGTACTAATTAGGCCTCATGACACTCCCCTGTGGAAATGATCTTATTATTATGACTCAGATGGTACTAAAGATATTTAAGGTGTTTAACCTAAAGTGAAGAAAAGGCACTAAAGTAGCCCAACCCCACGCTCCAGGTACTTACTGAAAGCACTCCAATGCCAAGAAGCTTGACAGCATGGCCTGAGGCAAGCTGAGGAAGAGGAAAAGCCTTGTCTATGGACATGTCTTCAAAGATACCATCCCACTCAACTGTCTACACCTGCTTCTTTTCCACCCCATTTTAACTTGGCCTTCTTTAGACATTTTTTTCCCAGCGTTCTTTTTACCCCTTTGATTTCCAATATAAGACGCTCCTTTAGCAACCTCATGCTTAACTCTGATAATTGGCTGCTGAAGAGCACAGACTGCAATGCTTTATGCACGTGTCTATTCTTTGGACAACTATTTTGGTTTGTCTTTAATTCTACAGTGCAGGGTAGAAATATATATGCTATGCCTTTTGTTTATCTAAACCAACTCTGATCTACTCCCAGCAGCTATCCTGCTTTGCTGCCACAGAATTTATTGTGTCATTTAGAAGTTTTTCTTTGCCACCTAGTGCATAGCAAAGTGCAAAGTTTCTGTTGTGGGAAGGGGTCCTCATGCAATTATGAACATTTATAGAGAACCCACAACTTTGGACCACCCTGGTTTTCGCTAAAATGGTCACTGGTGTAATTCTCTTTAGTCTCTTGAGTGTAGGGGATATGCTGGCTTCTTAGGTGCCCTTGGGTATGGTCTTACTTGCTAAGGTAGGGAAAGGAGAGCCTTAGTCTAGCTAAGGTCTCCTGGTGTCAGAGGTCATTTAGCCTCAGTGTGATGTTAGAAGGGACTCTGGGAAGGTCTCATGACTCATAAAATCTGTGCTTTTTATAGTCTTTTGGGAAGCTCTCCTCACCTTCTTCTAGTGTCCAATTGCTTCTGTCTTCTCATCCCAAATCTTTCTTTTTTTTCTGTAAGGACACCCTGAATAACCCCTTCTGAATGGGCTTCAGAAACCAAATTCTGTCCTTTCCTTCCTTTTGGGAAGATATGAAAAATTAGATCATTGGTAATTTTCCCTTATCCATTTCCCTCCCTCCGTCCCTCCCTCCATCCCTCCCTCCGTCCCTCCCTTCCTTCCTTCCTTCCTTCCTTCCTTCCTTCCTTCCTTCCTTCCCCTTGTTCCTTCCTGCCTGTCTGCCTGCCTGGGTCTTCATGCCTTCCTTCCTTCTCTATAAATGTACCTATTCTTTAACTCCTTCATATATCTTAATAAACATATTACCAAACCTAGCTTCCATACTAACCTTATGCAATGCTGTTTCTCATTTCTTTAATTATTGCCATTTGCCTAAACTTGCCTTTCCTATCATTTGACCAGCAAACTCCTATTATTCCAACAAAATCAGGCTAGGCATCACTTCATTGAATCATTTAGTAAGTATTTAATAATGATTCAATAATTCCAAACTCTAGAGACATTTTAGTAAAAAACAAAAAAAAGAATGTTTTTTAAAAATTTTGATTGACAATTATATGTATTTATGGGGTACAGTGTGATGTTTTGTCATATGTATACCTTGTAGAAAGATTAAATCAAGCTAATTAACATATCTATCACCTCACCTACATATATATTTTTAAATCTACTCTTAGTACTTTTGAAGTATATATTATTATTAATTACTGTCACCACTATGTAACAATAGATCATGAAAAGTTATTTCTCCAGTCTAACTGAAACTTTATAACCTTTGACGACCACTCCTTTTCCCATCCCACTCCCACCCCAAACCCTAGCTCCAGCCTTTAGTAACCACCATCCTACTGTCTGCCTTTATGAGTTCAACTTTTTGAGATTGCACATTTAAGTGAGAGCATATGGTATTTGTCTTTCTGTGCCTAACTTATTTCACTTAGCATTGTCAATCAACAGGTGCATGGGTTTTAAAAATGTGGCATATATACACAGTGGAATACTATGCAGCCTTTAAAAAATGAAAAAAAATGCTTGTATGATGCTACCTTTCTTGCGAAGCATACTCTGCCATTTCTCAGCATTAATATATATCTTCTATTTTAGCAATGATGCTGGACCAAGGTGTATTATTGCACTATTAGGTTTTATTTTAATTATTGGTTTTCACATCTGTATTTCCTGTATTTCTGAAAATTCTTGAGACTACTATTTGTATCATTGTGTTTTTATCTCTCCCCTCATTTCATAGTGTAGATTCTGGCATACATTACATGATTATAAAATGTTTTTGAAACAGATGTTGGCATGGATGTGGAAAAAGGGTATTTTTATACACTGTTGGTGGGAATGTAGATTAGTACAACCTCTACAGAAAAGAGCGTGGAGATTTCTCAAAAAAACTTAAATATAGATCTACCATCAACCCAGCAATTCCACTACTGGGCATCTGCCCAAAGGAACATTAAAAAAATTATGGAAAAAAAAAGACACATGTACTCATTTATTACAGCACTATTAACAATAGCAAAGTCATGGAATCAACCTAAGTGTCCATCAGTGGATGACTGAATAAAGAAAATGTGGTATATATACACCACGGAATACTATCAGCCATAAAAAAGAATAAAATCATGTGCCTTTCAGCAACATGGATGGAGCTGGAGGCCATTATCCTATGAAGTAACTCAAAAACAGAAAATCAAATACCACATGTTCTCACTTATAAGTGGGAGTTAAAAAAAAATGGGTACTCATGGACATAAAGACAGAAATAGGAAACATTGGATACTCCAAAAGGAGGGAGATCTGGAGGGGGATATTGGGTAAAATGTTCACTGTTTGGGTGCTTGGTATGTTAGAAGCCCAAACTTCACCATTGCACAATATATCCATGTAACAAACCTGGATATGTACCCCATGAATCTAAAATTTAAAAAATAAAATCAGTAAATGTTACCCCCCACAAAAAGTCCCAAATCTGCCCATCATAATACACAACAAACCCAATTTCATTATTATCTGAAACAATAAAACAAAAAGGCTTGTATAAACAATTTCATACAAAAGCAATAAAAAATATTTATTATTTAATATTTGAAAAGAAATGCTTGTTGAATTTTGATAATCTCAAATCTCTTGAGTGTCCACTCTACAAAAGTATTGTAATCATCCTTTTAGCAATTATAACAATAAGATAAATTAGATGTGATTTGATACTCTCTCTCAAAAAAAAAAAAAAATCCCTAACAAAGGAAATAGTGAGTTGCTGTTTAATGAATATAGAATTTCAGTTTTGCAAGGTGAAAAAGTTCTGGATACTGACTGTACATCAGTATGAATACATTTAACATTACTAAACTATACTTTTAAAAATGAATAAGATGGTAAATTTCATGCTATGTGTACTTAATTACAATTTTTAGAAAAACAGTCTACTAGACATATGTTTTGTTTAAATTTGATAGTAATATTAAATAAAAAGTGAAAATTCTCCTAAGAGATACACTAATCTAACTGCAATTTAAAAAATGGAAAAGAAAACAAGAAAAGTCCGTCTGTTTTTCCTCCAGAGAACTTGCCAACTCCAGGCCAAAAGAGTTGAGTTTCTTTTGTGGAAAATCATTGGAATTTTTCCCAAAAAGTAACAGAATTTGTGGGGAAAGAAAAACAAGTTAATATTGTTTGACTTTGAGTTAGCTAAAATCTGGAAGGACTTCCTAGGTGAATTTGTCTGGCAGATAGAGAGAAGGTTAGGACACAGGTCTGGATGAAAGATAGTGACTGAAAATTCACTCCCAACAAGGCTGAGGATCCAATGACAGTGTAATATGTTTAAGAGGAAAGAGGGCAGGAGAAGGAAAATAGAGAAAGCTGAGGACTAGCCTAGGAAAAAAACTAAGAACATAAGAAGAAAATAAAACGTATTAAGGAGATGAAAAGAAAACGTAAGAAAAGATGCAAATCAGCTGGGTGTGGTGGCTCATGCCTGTAATCCCAGCACTTTGGGAGGCGGGTGGATTACCTAAGGTCAAGAGTTTGAGACCAGCCTCGCCAATATGGCGAAACCCCATCTCTACTAAAAATACAAAAATTAGCTGGGTGTGGTGGTGCGCGCCTGTAGTCCCAGCTACTAGGGAGGCTGAGGCAGAAGAATCACCTGAACCTGGGAGGCGGATGCTGCTGTGAGCTGAGATCGCGCCATTGCATTCTAGCCTGGGTGACAGAGCAAGACTTCGTTTCAAAAAAAAAAAAAAGATGCAAATATACTGATAATATTTTTCAACCTTCTAATAATTAACACTAATCTTTGTGAACACTTTATAGTTTTAAAGGTAACATTATGATATGTAGTTTTTATTATCTAATAATAAGCACTAGCATTTATATGATGCATTACAATTTACAATGTTGGTCCTGAGAGCATTCCTGTGAGGAAAGAATCTATTCTTTTCATTTTGCAAAATAAAACAAAATAAAAACACAATTTAAATAAGCTACCAAATGGGTAAAGGAAAGAAACCATGTTTCTAACACAAATTCCCATTCTCTCTCCTTCTATTTATTTGTTTGTTTGCTTATTTATTTTGTAGCTCTGGACACCTTAGAAACACTGATAGCTTATTATGCTAGTTATGTGAAAAAAGTAGCCTCAATGATCAGAAAAAAGACATTGTATTTTATTAGGTTGGTGCAAAAGTAATTGCAGTTTATGCCTTTTTTTTAAGTAATGGGAAAACTGCAATTACTTTTGCACCAACCTAATTGACAAAAATAATTGCATATACTTATTAATATTTTGTTAATCTATACATTGTAGAACAACTGAATCAAGCTGAGTAGCATATTCAACACCTCATATAGTTCCTTTGTGTGTGTGTGGTGAAGACATTTAAAATCTACTGCCTTAGCAATTTTCAAATATACAAACACTGCTGTTACTCATAGTCAGCATATTGACAATAGTTCTCTTTAATATATGCCTCCTAGGGTTTTTTATTCTTTGACTGTCTCCCTAATTTCCACTCCCAGATCCTTGCAACCTATCTTCACTCTGTTTTTTATAGATTCCACATATGAGTGAGATTGTGTGATATTTGTTTTTCTGTGCCTGATTATTTCATTTACCATAATATCTTTGAGGTTCATCTATGTTGTTGCAAATAACAGGATTTCCTTCTTGTTTAGGACTCAGTAGCATTCCATTGTTTATATGTACCACATTTTCTTTATCCACTCATCTATTGATGGACACTGTATTAGGGTTCTCTAGAGGTACAGTACTAATATATATATATATATATGAATATATATATATATGAAGGGGAGCTTATTAAGTATCAACTCACATGATCACAGGGTCCCACAATAGGCCATCTGCAGGCTGAAGAGAAAGGAGAGCCTGTCTGAGTTCCAAAACTGAAGAACTTGGAGTCCAATGTTCAAGGGCAGGAAGTACCCAGCATGGGAGAAAGATGTAGTCTTGGGAGGCTAGGCCAGTCTCCCTTTTCATATTTTCTGCCTGTTTATATTCTAGCCACACTAACAGTTGATTAGATTGTGCCCACCCAGATTATGGGTGGGTCTGCCTATCTCAGCCCACTGACTCAAATGTTAATCTCTTTTAGCAACACCCTCACAGACACACTGAGGATCAATATTTTGTATCCTTCAACCCAATCAAGTTGACACTCAGTATTAACCATCATAAGTCCACCTCTTGTCAACTGGAACTCATACACACCTGAGATAATACATAATTTTCACCTAAAGACAATAATAATATCATAATTAGGCCTAACATAATACAACTATCATTCATACAACCGGAAACGCACCAATCCCCAACCCAAATACTATCACATAAAGTTAACAATACTTAAAGGCTGATGTGAAGTCAATAAGTCTTATATCACATGATAAAGGAGAAAGGAAATAAAATGAAGATATTTTCTTAGTACAAGTGTATAATGCACAAACATGTTGTTAACAATTACAGTGACATGCCAATTTCATGTCATACCAATTACATGTCATGTCAATTACATGTCATGACAATTACAGTCCTCATTTCTGCAGCTGGTCACATGGTCATAGCTGGTATTGATGATTTCCTTCTTCCACTACCTATTCTGTATTCCCTTTGCCTTCAACAAGCACCTCAGCAGGTCGTGGTCTTTTTCCTGGTGGAGTGACCCAAACCTTCATTCCTGAAGGGTCTGGGTCATTTGCAGTCCTGCTTGGATTGGACTATTGCAGTTTCTCATTGACCTTAATCACAAGGCATGGTAATACTAAGAAACGCCCTAATGGATATCCTGTATTCCATGCATACTCTTCCTTACCTCCGTTGTGGAGTAGTAGAATGATTTCATCTTGATAGTCCGGGTGAATCACCCCAATCAACATTGTAACTTCCTTTTTAGCCTGTTGACTTAAAGGTAGGAGGAGCCCAAAGTGTCCAGATGGCAATCTTAACTTATAGTTTAATGGAATCGTTGTTTCTCCTGGTGGCAGTATTCCTCCCTCTGGAACTAAGATCTCCAGGCCAGGAGAACATAACGTTTCAGGAACAGGAAGCAAAAATTTTGCTAGTGAATCTCTAAGGGTGATGGTGAGTGGTGCCACTTCCACTTCCACCCTTTGATTCCTGTACCCGTGAATCCTGGCTATGGGAGAAACAGTACCATATTTGATGCTGATTCAGAGCATACACGGCCTTCTGGACAACTTTGCCCCAGTCCTGCAAAGTATTGTCACCTAGTTGCCATTGTAATTGTGACTTCAAAAGGCCATTCCAATGTTCTATCAATCCAGCTGCTTCAGGATAATGGGGAACATGGTAAGACCATTGAATTCCATGAACATGAGCCCACTGCCACACTTCTTTAGCCGTAAAAGTGAGTGCCTTGGTCAGAGGAAATGCTGTGTGGGATACCAGGGCTGTGGATAAGGCATTCTATGAATCCACGGTTGATGGTTTTGGCAGAAGCATTGCCTGCAGGATAGGCAAACCCATATCTGGAGTAAGTGTCTATTCTAGTGAGGACAAACCTCTGCCCTTTCCATGGTGGAAGAGGTTCAGTATAATCAAGCTGCCACCAGGTAGCTGGCTGATCACCCTGAGAAATGGTGCCATATCGAGGGCTCACTGTTGGTCTCTGCTGTTGGCAAATTGGACACTCAGCAGTAGCTGCAGCCAGGTCAGCCTTGGTGAGTGGAAGTCCATGTTGCTGAGCCCGTATGTCACATCCATCCCTGCCACCATGGCCACTTTGCTTATGGGCCCATTGGGCGATAACATGGGTGGCTAGGGAAAGAGGCTAAGTGGTATCCACAGAATGGGTCATTCTATCCACTTGATTATGAAACTCCTTCTCTGCTGAGGTCATCCATTGGTAAGCACTCACATGGTATACAAATATCTTCACAGTTTTTGTCCACTCAGAGAGGTCCATTCACATACCTCTTCCCCAGATTTCTTTGTTACCAATTTTCCAATCATGCTTCTTCCAAGTCCCTGACCATCCAGCCAAACCATTGGCTACAGCCCATGAATCAGTATATAATCACACATCTGGCCATTTCTCCTTCCATGCAAAATGCACAACCAGGTGTACTGCTCAAAGTTCTGCCCACTGGGAAGATTCTCCTTCACAGCTGTCCTTCAGGGATGTCCTAGGAAGGGGCTGTAGTGCTGTAGCTGTCCACTTTTGGGTGGTTCCCGCATATCGTGCAGAATCATCTGCGAACCAGGCCCTAGTCTTCTCTTCCTCTGTCAACTGATCATAGAGAACTCCATGTTAGGCCATCAGTGTTGGCTGGGGGAGAGAAGCTAGGGTGGCAGGAGTGGATACTATGGGCATTGGAGCCACGTCCTCATGTAACTTATTTGTGCTTTCAGGAACTGCTTGAGCCTGATCACATATATATCACCTCCATTTGATGATTGAATGCTTCTGTGTATGACCTACTTTATGGCTAGATGGGCCAGAAAGCACCCAGTTCATAATAGGCAGTTCAGGTCACATGGTGGCTTGATGACCCACAGTCAAATGTTCAGTTTCTACCAAAGCGCAGTAACAGGTCAAGAACTACCTCTTAAAAGGAGAGTAGTTATCTGCAGAAGATAGCAGGGACTTACTCCAAAATTGTAAAGGCCTCCACTGTGATTCACCTATGGGGGCCTGCCAAGGGCTCCAAATAGCATCCCTATCTGCCACTGACACCCATATGCTGGGTCATATGGCCCAAGTGGCAGAGCAGCTTGCACAGCATCCTGGACCTGTTGTAGGGCCTTCTCCTGTTCTGGACCCCACTCAAAACTAGCAGCCTTTTGGGTCACTTGATAAATGGGCCAAAGAAACACACCCAAATGAGGAATGTGTTGCCTCCAAAATCCAAATAGGCCCACTAGGTGTTGTGTCTCTTTCTTGGCTGTAGGAGGGGCCAAATGCAGTAACTTATCCTTCACCTTAGAAGGAATATCTGGACAAGCCCCACACCACTGGACCCCTAGAAATTTTACTAAGGTAGAAAGTTCCTGAATTTGAGTCAGATTTATTTCCCATCCTCTGTCATGCAGATGTCTCTCCAGTAAGTCCAGTGAGTTTGCTACTTCTTGCTCACTGGATCCAATCAGCATAATGTCATCAATGCAGTTGACCAGCGTCATATCTTGTGGAAGTGAAAAGTGATCAAGATCTCTGTGAATAAGATGATGACACAAAGCCGCAAAGCCGGAGGGTTGATATACATCTGAGGTAGGACAGAAAAGGTATATTACTGGCCTAGCTGGCTGAAGGCAGATTGCTTCTGATGGGCCTTATGAACAGGAATAGAGAAAAAGGCATTTGCCAAGTCCATGGGTGCATACCAGGTACCAGGAGATGTGTTAATTTGCCCAAGCAATGAAATCACACCTGGTACAGCAGCTGCAATTGGAGTCACCACTTGGTTAAGCTCACGATAATTCATTGTCATTCTCCAAGACCCACCTGTCTTCTGCAGAGGCCAAATGGGAGAGTTGAATGGGTATTTGGTGGGAATCACCAACCCTGCATCTTTCAAGTCCTTGGTGGTAGCACGAATCTCCACAATTCCTCTAGAGATGCAATATTGCTTTTGATTTACTATTTTTCTAGGTACAGGCAGCTCTAATGGCTTCCATTTGGCCTTTCCCACCATAATAGCCCTCACCCTACCAGTCAGGGAGCCAATATGGGGGTTCTGCCAGCTGCTAAGTATGTCTATGCCGATTATGCCCTCTGACACTGGGGAAATGACCACAAGACAAGTCCGCGGACCCACTGGACCCACTGTAAGTTGGACCTGAGCTAAAACGCTATTAATTATGTGACTTCCATAGGCTCCTGCTTTAACTGGAGGACCACAATGACATTTTGGGTCCCCTGGAACCATCATCAGCTCAGAGCCAATGTCCAATAGTCCTCGAAATGTCTGATCATTTCCTTTTCCCCAATGAACAGTTACCCTGGTAAAAGGCCAGAGGTATCCTTGCGGAAGAATGAGAGAAAGATTCACTGCATAAATTGTCAGTGATGTAGTGAGGTCCTTTCTCAAGGGGACCTAGCCTCCCTTTTATTCAAAGGGTTCTGGGTCTGTAAACTGGCTCAAGTCCAGAAATTGATTGAGGGGCCATGATTCTGTTTTTATAATTCAAATTAGTGTTTTGTCTATTCGACCTAGAAGTTTTCAGCTTATATAAATTAAGTAGAAATACAGTGGACTTTCTATCAACTTCACTTCTAGGAACACCATGATTAATTAGCCAATGCCAGAGCTCTACACAGGTCAGACTCTGATTGCTGCTTTGTCTCTCCTTTTCATTGTGATAGCTATGCCCCCCTTGCCTTTGACAGTTGAGTGCTGTCACTTGGCCCTTGCCACCTCAGGATCCAATTACTTCCACTGTATTTAAATTTTGTAGTTGAGTGACTGTGGTTCCCACTTTTAGATCTGACATACAGAGAAAAGCAATTACAGGGCTCTTCAAAGATGCAGGTGCTGCCCTCACAAATCTATTTCACAAAACATTGGTCAAGGGTATATCTTCTGGACCCTCCCAGCTGAGATGAGTAGGTCTAAAATGACTAATTCAGTCCACCATTCCAATCCCCTAAGTCTTTGGATCTCTTCCTCTACATTAAACTCAGGGAGATCAGGCATTTCCAGCTTGCTCACAGTGGGCCATCTTTTAATCCATATTTCAGCTAGCCAAGTAAATAAACTATTAAAACATTTTTTAACTCTCTAAGCTGCAACATTAAATTCGGAGTCCCTAATTAGTGGCCCCAAATCAATAAATTCGGCCTGATCTAACTCTATGTTCCTTCCACCATTATCCCACACCCTTAATATCCATTTCCATACCTGTTCACCAGATTTCTGCTTATATAAATTAGAAAACTCAAGCAGTTCTTTTCGAATGTAGCTCATCTCCTCCTGCATCACACTCTCAACCTCACCTTTGGGGGCCTGCCAGGACTTTAGTTATAGGTCTAGAAGCAAACAGGGGTGTTAGGGGTAGCTCTTGAGGAGTATCAACATTATCTTGCCTGGAAACTGCCTCAGAGGAGTCTTATTTCCTCCGACAAAGGTGGAAAGACTGATGGTAGAATGGGTTGGCGAGGGGATTTTGCCATCACTAGGGATGGGGAAGCTGTTTCTTCTGGCAAAAAAGATTCATCAGAATTTACAAACTCAGTGTGCCCAGCTTCCTCAGGATCCTCCCACATGTTTCCATTCCAAGTTGCAGGGTCGCATTCTTTTCCAATCAATGCCCTCACTTTAACACTAGACACCTGATGAGGCTGTACATGCACCTTTCATTGCAGTTTGGCCACTCACGTGATAAGAGCTTTTGTCTGTTTCTTCACAATTTCAGCTCTTTCTCTACTGGAGATAAGACTCTCACTCAGGGCAATCTTAGCAGATTTGAGGCTCAGTATCTGCTTCTAAAGCCAGGAGATAGAATTCCTGTGTTTATCATTTTCTGTCATCATTTTGTCCACTGAATTTAGGAGCAAACAACTAGCTTCACTATGTTCCTTGGTTCTCCACATATGGCCAAAGGTATTATGTATACAGTCACTAAACTCCTTGCCTCTCACAGGCAATGAATCAGGAGTGTCAAATGTATTTATTTTGCATAACTCTCTAAAACGTCCATGCCAATGACTATCAGTGTTCTCTATACTATTAGAAGTAGAGTCTTTAGCATTTTGAGGTCTAATCATATTAAGCAGCCAACTCCAGAAACCCCAAAACCAATGAAAGAACTCCATATTTAACATTCCATTCTTCTAGAACCACTTCTGGTACCAAAATCTGTATTAATCAGGGTTCTCTAGAGGGACAGAACTAATGGAATATATATATATAATATATATATAATTAAGTATTAACTCACATGATCACAAGGTCCCACAATAGGCTGTCTGCAGGCTGAGGAGCAAGGAGAGCCAGTCCAAGTTCCCAAACTGAAGAACTTGGAGTCCAGTGTTTGAGGCAGGAAGCATCCAGCACAGGAGAAAGATGTAGGCTGGGAGGCTAGGGCAGTCTCTGTTTTCACATTTTTCTGCCTGTTTATATTCTAGCCACACTGGCAGCTGATTAGATTTTGCCCACCCAGATTAAGGGTGGGTCTGCCTTTCTCAGTCCACTGACTCAAATGTTAATCTCTTTTGGCAACACCCTCACAGACAAACCCAGGATCGATACTTTATATCCTTCAATTCAATCCAATCAAATTGATGCTCAGTATTAACCATTGCAAATGCTTAGGTTGTTTCCATATCTTAGGTATTGTGAATGGTGCAATGAACTCAGGAAAGCAGATACTCTTCAACATATGAATTCAGACAAATACCCAGAACTGGAATTGGTAAATCACATGATAGTTCTATTTTTAATTTAAGAAACCTTCATACTGTTTTCCATAATGACTGTACTAATTTACATTTCCACCAACAGTGTGCAAATGTTTGCTTTCCTCCACATCTTCCCCAACACTTGCTATCTCTTATCTTTTTGATAACAGCTATCCTAGCACATGTGAAGTAATATCTCATTGTGATTTTAATTTGCATTCCCTGATGATTAGTGATACTGAGTAGTTTTTAATATACCTGATGGCTATTTGTATATCTTCTTTTGAAAAATGTCTTTTCAGGTCTGTGGACCATTTAAACAATTCAGTTATCTATTTTCTTGCTATTGAGTGGATATTGTGTACTTATATATTTTGGATATTGACCACTTATCAAATGTACAGCTCACAGATACATTTTCTCATTCCATAGGTTGTCACTTCACTCTGTTGTTTGTTTCCTTTGCTGTGTCCAAGCTTTTTAGTTTGATGCAAACCCTTTGTTGCCTCAACTTTTGGGATTATCTCCAAAAAACTAACTGCCCAGACCAATGTCAAGTAGATTTTTCCCTATGCTTTCCTTTAGTAGTTTCAGTTACAGATCTTACATGTATGCCTTTAGTCAATTTTGAGTTAATTCTTTTTTTTTTTTTTTTTTGGCATATGGGTATTCAGTATTCCCAGCATCATCTGTTGAAGAGACAGTGTTTTCTCCATTGTGCATTCTTGGCACCTTTCTCAAGGATCAGTTGACTATTACATGTGCAACTTTATTTCTGGACTCTTCTGTTTCATTGAAGTTTATGTCTAACAGTACCATGCTGTTTTGATTACTAGACCTTTGTAATATATTTTGAAATCAGGTAGTGTGAAGCCTCTAGTTTTGCTCTTTTTGCTCAGGACTGCTTTGGCTACTCAGGGTCTTCTGTGTTTCTCTTAGAATTTCAGGATTTTTTTTTTCTATCTCTGTGAAAATTGTCACTGAAATTTTGATAGAGATTGCATTGAATCTGTAGATCTCTTTGGGTTGTATGGACATTTTAACAATATTTATTGGTTCAATCTAGGAATACTGATTGAATATAAAATATTGTTAAAAAAATTGAAGAGTTTTCAGTTTACAGATCTTTTACCTCTTTAGTTAGATTTATTCCAAAATATTTTATTTTTCTCAATGCTACATTAAGTATGATTTTTTCAAAATTTCCTTTTTGGATGGTTTTTTATTAATGTATAGAAATACTACTGATTTTGATGTTGAATTTGTGTTCTGTAATTTTACTAAATTTGTTTATTCTAACAGTTTTTTGGTGGAGTTTTGAGGGTTTCCTCTATATAAAATCATGTCATCTGTAAAGAGTGGCAATTTAACTTTTTCCTTTCAAATTTAGATGACTTTTACTTCTTTTTCTTGTCTAATTGCTCTAGCTAGGATTTTACCATGTTGAATAAAAACAATAAGAGTGGGCATCTTTGTCTTGTTCTTGATTTTAAAGGAAATGCTTTCAACTTTCCATCATTGAGTATGATGTTTGTTATAAACTTTTTATTTATGGCTTTTATTGTGTTGAGGTACATTTTTTCTTTACCTAGTTTGGAGGGAGTTTGTTTTTGTTTTTTTTTTTTAAACTCCCATTCTCATTTAAAAAAAAAAAAACTCCCATTCTCATTTTAAACACCATTTAGTAACATCTCATTTTTAGTACCAATTTCTAATTTTTCCCCTACATGTCGTTTTCTTATAAAGTATTAAATCCTTGAGCAAGGTAGGATGGCT
This sequence comes from Homo sapiens, assembly GCF_000001405.40. Taxonomy (NCBI): domain Eukaryota; kingdom Metazoa; phylum Chordata; class Mammalia; order Primates; family Hominidae; genus Homo; species Homo sapiens. The sequence goes on from NC_000004.12 coordinate 23,472,006, forward strand.
GACTTTACAATTATCGATGACACTGAAGAGATAATTGAAGAGCAGAGATCTCTGCCAGCCGCCAAGGAGTGTGTGTGTTATCAGAATGAAGGCAGAAAATGTAGCCTGCTCTGGTAAGCGTTTTGATAGTGAAAGAAAGCAGAGTTAGGCTGTTTTCTTCAAAGGTATGGAGTTGGATAAGATATTTTTCTAACATAAAAGAGACCTGAGAACGTATATGCAGAGAAGTATACTGTGTATACAAAAATAAGGAAAAATGTAAGAAGAAAATGGAAGAGTAGATGCAGAAGGTCTCAGGGAAGACAAGAAAAAATGGAAATAGGAGATTGTAGGATTTACCTGAAAAAGGTGGAGGGCCACTGTATTAATTCATTCTTATACTGCTATGAAGAAATACCTGAGACTAGGTAATTTATAAAGGAAAGAGGTTTAATTGACTTACAGATCCACATGGCTGGGGACGCCTCAATAAACTTACAATAATGGCAGATGGCAAAGGAGAAGCAGGCACTTTCTTCACAGGTTGGCAAGATGGAGTGAGTGCAAGCAGGGGAAATGACAGATGGTTATAAAACCACCAGATCTCCTGAAATTCACTCACTGTCGTGAGAACAGCACAGCACGGGGAAACCACCCTCATGGTCAGATTACCTCTATCTGGTCCCACCCTTGACACATGGGGATTACGGGGATTACAATTTGAGGTGAGATTTGGGTGGGGACACAGAGCCAAATCATATCAGCCACCTTCTCCCAGACACAGGAAAGAAGTTCAAAGTCTACCTAAAAATAACAAAAAACATAGGATGGATAAGGCAGGGTTGTTAACCAAAAAAATTTTGAGAGGGAGAGAGGAAAAAAATTACACTGGATTACAAGAAAGTTTAAAAGAGAATCTTTTGCAAATGTTGCTAGGAACCAGCAAGTGATAAATAAAATAAACTTTAAAAATAGTCTTGAAATAGTGAAGAATTAATTCCGTTTGTTTTTTTTTTTTGTTTTTGTTTTTTTGAGACAGAGTCTCACTCTGTTGCCGAGGCTGGAATGCAATGGTGCCATCTTGGCTCACTGCAAACTCCGCCTCCTGGGTTCAAGCAATTCTCCTGCCTCAGCCTCCTGAGTAGCTGGGATTACAGGTGCCCACCACCACGCCTGGCTAATTTTTGTATTTTTAGTAGAGAAAGGGTTTCTCCATGTTGGCCAGGCTGGTCTCGAACTCCTGACCTCAGGCCTCAGCCTCCCAAAGTGCTGGCAATTAATTCTTAATGGATTCATTATTCCCAAATCTTGGTTTCTGAGCATCATTTTCCTCTAAAAGAAATTAGAGAAATAAATGATTCCAGAGATGGGCATAAAGAATATAAGAGAAACTGGAATATCTTGCTGTGCCTGAAAATAAAAAGGGCTGAGAAAATCAAGAGGACAAGTAAAAAGTACAAAAAGGCCAGAGTAAAGTGGGTCCCAGAAGACAAATCTGAGACAATTTGATCTTCTAATAAATAATGACACTAATGAGTTATAATCCATTGAATAAAATAATAATACATGAGCCCCTACTGGTAATAAGTGAAAAAAAAATAAACATTTAGGGAGAAAACACAGCACAATGTCATCTAATAAAAGTAGAAGAAATGAATCAGTTAGCCAAATAACCATTGTGCAATCACCATAATAATAATAGAATCAGGCAAGAATCAACAATGGACACTAAAACTAGTCTATAAAAATTTCATGAGGAAAATAATATTTGAAGTATCTCCTTACAAATTATTTATTAATTAACATGGGAAAATATTAACTAAGTGGAAAAATGTGACAGTCATCACTTTAACCAAGCAATCAAAATCAAAATTACTAAAAATGGGACAAACCAATTGACATAATGTGCCTCTTGATATGCTGTACTGAGAAGAACACAAAATTACATTAATGGCATCCCTGCCTAAAAATGTGTACTTAAATCTAATCATTAGAAAACATTAGACACACTGAACTGAAGACTATTCTACAGCATAATTAGTCTGTATTCTTTAAAATTGTTAGTGTCATGAAGGACAAAGAGAGGCTAACAAATGATTCCAGATTAAAAGAACCTACAGAAACACACCCAAAAAATTAAATGTGTGATCTTGCATTTCATCAATCATGAAAAATAAAATCTATAAATAATAAATTAGAAAAATTTAAATATTGACTATAAATAATAGTGTTTATTAGTATTAAATTTCCTGACTTTTATAATTTTACTATGATTACCTAGGCTAATGCCTTTGTTCTTAGAAAATATATGTAATGCTAAAACTTTTAGGTATAGAGGCTTTATGTCTATAATCTCAGTGTTAATTCCAATTTCTTTTTTATTCTAATTTTTATTTTTCTTTGCTCTTATGTGGTTCAGAAAAAAATATGCTTATATAGAAAGAAGAAAATTATAAGGCAAATGTAGCAAAATGTTGATTTATGAATCAGATTGAAGGATATATGAGAGTTCTTAATATTATTTCTGAAATTTTCTGAAAGTATGAAGTTATTGCAAAATAAAAGGTAAAAACAATAAGATTTACAACCAAGCAAGCAATAAATTAGCACCTGCTAGACACCAGGCCTGGGCCAAATGCTGGCCATACAGAACTATAAACTACAAATTCCTGGTCTCAGATGGTTCCGAGATTGTAGGAGGAAACAGACAGAGAAACCAGCACTCAGGACTCTGTGAAATCAACACTATAGCCCATAAACATCCCTTGAGCTGGAAGGTGAGGTTAAAAGGTAGGTTGGTGCATTTTATTTCTCTCCTCAAAATGTTCAAAGGGCTTCCTCTTGCCTACCAGAACAAAACAAAACTTCAAATATGTTAGCTCAATGGGTTTTCTCTCAGTTTTGCTAAGCCCAGTTGACTGTTACTGGCTGCCTGGAGTTCTTTTAAGAAATGTTCTGAGGCCATGACATGCACTGAGGTGCAGGGACGCATCTGCCACAGCACTAGGGATTTGAGGTCACCGCCCCTATTAGTCTCCTAGGACTGCTCTAGCAAAGTACCAAAAATTATATGGATGAACAACAAAGATGCATTGTCTCACAGCTCTGGAGGTCTGAGATGTTGGCCAGCTGGCTCCTTGTTAAGGCTGTGAGACAGAAATGGCTCCATGCATCTCACCTCATTTCTGTGGGAGTTGCTGACAATCTTTGCTGTACCTGGGCTTGTTGACGCATCACCTCAATCTCTGCCTTTGTGTTCACATAACATTCCCAGTGTATGTCTCTCTATCCAATTTTCCCACTTCATAAGGACTCAGTCATGTTGGACTAGGGCTCATCCTAAAAACCCCATCTTAGATCACCTGCAAAGACCCTATTTCCAAATAAGGTGACATTCACAGGTACTGAGGCTTAGGATTTTAACATCTTTTGGATGGACACAATTCAACCGCTAAGACTGCTTCTCTGTGATATTCGCAGCTTTCAAAGACTTTTTTCCCAAACTATGTTTCCAATCTTATTTCATATTCCTTTCTACAAAATCATCTGTTCCAGATAAACTACTGTAAGTCTCCTTGAAATATTTTCTTCCTAGATCTGATCACGGCTAGTACATTCCCCTCCTTCCATTCACAGTTTGTAACACTCTCAGTTACTCTTTAACACTTCATGTTGCTCGATTTCCTTCGTGGAGTTTATACTTTGATTTTTTTTAAATATATTTACTTTTTTGTTATCTACCTCTTGCTGCTAGACTGTAAGTTTCTTGAAAGCAAGGGTGCTGTCTGTTAGGGTGACTACCATAGCCTCAGGGTCAAGCTCAGCTTCTGGCATATAGCAGATGCTCAGCATTTCGGCAAGTGCAATAAGTACAGGGACCATTTAAGTTTTCGTTGCGTGTTTTCTTATTTTGCCCAGATTCTGGTTCACTGGCCCAAACTAGGCATTCTAGGTTTTGGATAAGTATATACATCGGAGCAACCAAAATGACAGTAACAAGAGGTGACCAACAATAGGATATTATTACTTGAAGGCAAACTAAATGAGCATCTTTTCATGGTTACAAATAGCAAAGAGGATAAAAACTCAGCTGGAAGTAAAATGGAAATGTACAAACAGTAAAACACAGGAAAACAAGAAAACCAACAAAATCTGTAACATGGAAAATTGCTTAAAAGCCTTCATAAAGGCTTATGAATCTACCTTGTTGTGCACCCAAATGGTCAACATTGGAAAAAAACACTTGCAGAAAATATTCATTTTGGATCCATTTCTTGTTGCTGTTGCCCAACTTGCTTTTGTACAAATTGCTTTGGTTCTAAGTGCATTCAGCCTCAGTGCTTTTGTGTGTTTATTTTCTTGCTAATAAACAAGGGCATGCAAAGGCCACTTATTAAATCATTTAATGTTAGTGACTATTACTATTATTATTACTGCTCTTTACCGTATCTAATTGGAAGGTGGAAAAGGAAATGGATGCTCAAAAGTCTTAAGTGCCTGATTCAAGGTTAGAGAGTCCAGAGGGCTCCTTCTTTCCCTGGTCCACACCATCTTTTTAGATTTTATTTGTTCAGTCATAATCTGAAACCAAACTCACTTGGGATGGAGTGCCTAGGGTCTCATTTTGCCTAGCTTTCTGAGACTCACACTGCTAAGCTGTAAAGTTATCCCATGTGACTCAGCTGCCTGCTGTACTGCCAGTTGATAGAGTCACATGGTCAATTCCTATCAGCAAGGAATGTCACCATTCCTGGTTTAGTCACCTGTGTGTCAGTGAAGCAAGAGGGCCCCAAAGGTAAAATTGCAGTCACATTGATATAATTACTCAGCTGTTCTGTCCATGCACTGGATAGCAAAAGACGGCATGACACTCAAAAACAGACCCTATGTGACAGAGAAAAACAACTATTGATGAAAAATGCATTAGGGGATGAGAATGTGTCTTGAGTTTGATTTTTGAGCAGTGCTTGTCAAAAGCCCAGACTTAAGAGCTGCCATATGAGCAGGTAGTTATAGTTGTAATATATTTTAATGATAGCATGTGTGTGTAAAGGGCAGAAGATGGACTCTCACTGAGTTCATGGATGACAATGTTGAATTGGTAAGCTGCCTTCTAAGGAAAAGAGGAAACCTCCCCGCAACATAACAAGATACCCACAGTCTAATATAAGCTTTGTATACAATGACATATTTATCATACCTTCCCTGCCATCCATTCATATCTCTCCTCTTGTTGTCTTGGGTGGCCTTTTGCATAATGGTAAGCAATGTATCACTTATACACTCGAAACAGAAGTATATACTTTTTTAATATGCAAGTCTAATGGTTCCATTTGACGGAAGAAATCCCAGTGATCTATCTTGTCTCTCAAATTGATCCAACATATTGTGGCGTTCAGGCCGAGTTACTTCCTGCTAATAATTTCTTAACAGAAAATGGAAAGACAATAGCATTAGTAAATCAAACCAAATGTGTGATTAAATGCTGCTTGAATATCAGGCATTTGTTTCAGTTCCACCAGCCTGACTCCATTGCAGCCCAGGCAGAGAAGGTCGTGTCATTTGCATGATACAGCAAGGTGCATTCTGCAAATCACCTTAAATTATCAACCGCTATGAGCAAACTGGTTGCTGGTATGTAACATTCATACATCAAAGGCAAACCTCCAGTGAGAATACACCTTGATTTCTCATTTAAGAGAGTACACTCCTTGTTGCCTTAGCAATACTTGCCTTTTCCCAAATCCAATCACACTAGTTTCAGGTTTTTCTAGATTTAGCCATCCTGGCAAACTGGCAGCAAACTCATACTTAAAAACGTTTACATTTTCTGTATCCATCTCAACACTAGAGACACTTTATATTGCCCATTTCCACAGAATTCTTGGCTTTAAAGCTGAGATTGTAAACATTCTAAACTACAGCTTTAAATCACATGAGATCTAAGTTTTCTTTTGGTCTGTATTTCTGATCTCAGTTTGAACAATTGTTCTACCTTCTTTCAGTGTGCAGTTTTGATGACTTGGGTCAGGGATGCATCTGAATTGCATGATGGTACCTAGGTGCTGTTACACACTGTGGAACACCTTTCTGTGAGTGACACATCCATACATTAGGTATCTGAACTGTCAGAAATGACATGAGTAATGCAGTTGCTGGTAAAGTGTGAGCACTCACAGTGTCTGTGTGTGGGAGGATGCCTTCCAATTCTTCATGTAGATAGCTGCCTCAGGGTCTCATTGAGAAAGCCTCAATTTAAAGGGAGAAAAGCCACCTCTATGGGACAGAAGATATCTATCCATTCAATCACTACAAATATTTGTGGGTATGTAAAATGTACAGATGTGTATCAATAGATATCGGCGCAATGAATTAATTTAATTATAATCCTTGGTTTATGGCCCATGTCGTCTTTCTTAAATTATCCTCTCTTAATTTGTCAATTTATTTTAGTTAGATATTGTCAATTTTTGTATTGCTATAAAGGAATATCTGAGGCAGGATAATTTATTTAAAAAAAGAGGTTTTTTGTTCGTTTGGCTCACGGTTCCACAGGCTGTAGAAGCAGCAAGAGGCCAGCATCTGCTTCTGGTGATGGTCTCAGGTTGGTCCACTCATGGTGGAAGGTGAAGAGGAGCTGATGTGGGCAGAGATCACATGGCGAGAAAGGAAACAAGAGAAAGGAAGAAGGTGTCAGACTCTTTTTAACAACCAGCTCTCAAAAGAACTCTTGAGGGAACTAACAGAGCAAGAACTTACTCATAATCGGCACCAAGCCATTCATGTGGTATTCACCCCCATGACCCAAACACCTCCCATTAGTTCCCCACCTCCAATACTGAGTATCAAATTTCAACATGAGACTTGGAAGGGCCAAATAAACCATATACAAACCATAGAGACATTAAACAGATGACAATCATGAACCCAGCACTTAATACCTCATATCTACCAATTTGCTTCTACCCAGTCCCATTCCTTTTGCCCTCACAAGGTAATCACTACCCTGAATTTTCTTTTTCCTCACTTTATTAAAGTACTTTTTTCAACATTGTACTGTTTTGTTTTAGTTGCTTTTGAATTTTATAAGTAGGGGACCACACAGTCTTCTAGGATGTGCTATTTTCGCTTAGAATTATGTCACTAAAATTTATCTAGTTGCTATATAGTTGACTCTCATGATTCAATAACGATGTTATATAAAGCCACTCTGAACAATGCATTAGCCAATACTGAACTATTGCTTTTAGGGAAAATACAGGCTTATGTTCCTGTGAAACTCTGATTACAACATTTCCATCAACCAATCAATGCATAAACTTGTTTTATGTGTGTTTCTATTTAAAGATGCCTTATTTGATACATACTGTTGACTCATTAGAATTGAACTCATGGCCAACCATACTATCAGTCATACCTGAACAAAACTTTTTAACACATAGCTTTTTCTCTGTAAGGTACAACACAGTTTTATTGTACTGAGGAATATTAGACAGGACTTCAGCATTCACTTGGGGTCAATTTTGAATAGCAAAACCACTTACAAAAAACAGTAAAGTGAGAAAAATAGGGCACTAAACAGACCATGCAAAGGTCACTTTTTTAAAGCCTGAGAGCTGAAGCAAAAAGTCAGAGCATCTCCTTGTTTGACCTCAGCTGGGAATATGTATGTCACAACTCACGTGTTTTCACCATTGTGTGCATTATCACAAATGACCATGTGATTTTGAAGTTACAAATAAATTTTAGCAAGTAGGCAACTTTACAACGACATAAGCCCATACATAGTGAGGATCAATTTTAGTTATATTTCATTTGCTTTTCACTGTTATGTAATATTCCATTGTCTAAATATATCTTATTTATAAATCATGCTTCTCATAATGTAGCTTTGAGATCTTTACCAGGAAGTTTTCAAAAACATTAATTTTGCATCATACATGAATTGAACGTGTTATTGAAGTTATTTCAGGTGGGAAAATACTATTCTCCTATAGATATAATATCTGTATTAACAATGACATAATGCCAACTTCCTTCTTCTACCAATTATTATACATATTTAACACTGGACTTTGTAACAGAAACAGGTGTATTGAACGCAGTGCAATTTTTATTATCATTTCTGAAGGCAGACATGCAATACTAAAATATATGTTAGATGCACTGTGAGAGACACTGAAAACACAGAAATAAAAGGCATGTTCATCATCCTCTATGAGTTTCAAGTCTAAAAACTTGAATGGTTATCCTGTAAATGGTAGCATAAAATTATAACTACTACCAGTGTAGTATGGACACTACACAACCCAGGGGAGGAAACATTTACCTCTGCCTCAAGCTATCAGAAAAAGATTTCAGAAGGAGGTAGAGGTGAATGTTAACATTTGATGCATGGTGATATGCTAATTAGGATACTTTTATGGTGCATTTCAGTGAAAAATTTGTAAATTGTCTGGGCTTCATTATTATTTGATTTTGAAATACACAGAAGCCAGGATTGGCCTTTATACATAATCATTTTCCTCAATTTCATGCGGCCCTCTCTGCTGACAGTAAATAAGGGCTTTGGATGCTGTGAGCTGGTTTCAGCTGCTGTGAGTTTTGATGAAATAGGATTTGTCCTCCTCTATACTCCCTTAATCTCTTGGTTACATGTGTATTGCATTTGTGCTATTTCTGAACCTGATGGTATCAAGTATGATTGGCCACCCTTGTCCAAACAGTCAGTTCCTCTTCGCAGACACGCAGACCTCATTACTGTAAGGCATTTGATTCTCCAAGTATGGTTTTCAAACCAGCAGCATTAGCGTCACCTTGGCTCTTGTTAGAAATGTAAATTGTTGGCCTTTAAACTGGACTTTCTGAATCAGAACCTCCTGAGATGGAGTCCTGCAGTTTATGACTGAAAAAGTCTTCCAGGTGATTCCAATAAATGGTAAAGTTTGAGAACCAATGCTAGAAGGAAATCTTTATCGATTTAACTTGTCCCTAAGCACCAGGTTTTGTCAGGGCTGTGAATTGTTCAGAGGATGTATTCTGACTGTATCTTAATTAAGGAGTTAGTGTAAGAATTTAAAGAGTAACTGATGAGAGGGCCACAATTTATAAATCACAAGCAGTAGGGTACAAATACATTACACAGGTTGTAATTGAGAGAGTACTTAGAGAAATGAAGAAATTTGACATTGTAACCAAACCCAGATGTCTACACCTGGAAGCAGCACTTAAGCCTGTATTTTTTTAGACCCACCCAAATGGACTAATAGATCCATGATTCAAGTATCTATGCTAATTCTCCACAAAATCTAGTCCACTGGTCAGTAGTGTTAGCATCATCTGGGAACTTTAAGAACTAAAGAATCTTGGTGCTCTATCCCAGACTTATTGAATCAGTATCTGCTTTAGAAAAAGGCCCCTAAGTGAACAACAGGCACATGAAGGTTTGAGAAGCACTGGTCTAACCTCTTGCACATAGTACATGGTATATGGTACCCATTGAAAGAATGAGGGAAACCTGCCATGAGTCATTTACCCTTAGGCATTGGGTAGAAACCCATCCTATAACAGGAAATACACATCTAGCATCAACTGTGTTCCAACCCTGACTTAAACATGTTACATATGTTAACTCATTTAAAACTCACAGTGACCCTATGAAGTACATACGATTGCTATCCACACATTACACAGACAGGTTATGTCACTGGTTCAAGATCATTTAGTTAATAAGGGACAGAATTAGAATCCAAATATCACAGCTGTGGCTCTTTTTCTTGTCCTGAGACTCTCTCTCTCTCCTGATTTTCACATGAGCAGAGAGTGATAATGCACTCCATTAGATTAGGAGCTATGTTGATGATAAAGATCCTCCTGCCAAAACTCATGGAAAATAAAGCTTACTCTGGACAGAGGCAGATTATAAATCCACTTGGAACATTTAGTCCATACTTTTCATGATTTCTTTTGAAGAGCTTTCACTAGAGAAATACTTCTGGCCTCTCAGGTTCCCTGAACTGTCTGAACTTATAGAAGTTCCCTGAACTGCTATGAAGAGCTGGGTCCCTATGAATTAGCTGCTTCTGGGCGATCTTAGGATCTCCCTAACTGGAAGGAAATCTGATATTTCTCAATATACCTAGAGAAAAGAGCTTATCTCTATTTTGTGAAGCCTGTGTTTTTCTAGCCCTACCTAGTACTGGGAATTAAATCTTAGCAATCAGGAAATACATTGTTGCTGTATATTTGTGATATATCCTCCAATCTGCCCATCATTACAAATTTATCTATAATAGTCTATTCTTATGCTTCTAATAAAGACATACCCAGAAATTTATAAAAGAAAGAGGTTTAGTTGACTCACATTTCCACATGGTTGGGGAGGCCTCACACTCATGACAGAAGGCAAAAGAGGAGCAAAGTCATGTCTTACATGGTGGCAGGCAAGGCAAGAGAGCTTGTGCAGGGGAACTCCCCTTTATAAAACCATCAGATATTGTGACACTTACTACCAGGAGAACAGTATAGGGGAAATTGCCCCATGATTCAGTTATCTCCACCTGGCCCTACCCTTGACATGTGGAGATTATTACAATTCAAGGGAAGATTCAGTTGGGAACACAGGTAGACCATATCACTACCCATCATCACCAATAACAAAAATATTTTTATATCTCCTTATCTACAATATTAAATGTCTCAATAGTGGAACTCTTATTTTGTCCTCTTAAAATCATTAAGATTTATATACAAATGGGTGCGAGACTTCTTGTTTAGAATTTTCATAGCAAAAATATTCAGTCATTATAGCAGGCATAAGTGAAATATAATTAAATTGTTTCCATATAATGAGGTACCCAGACTTCCGTGGTACTGTATATACTCTTTTCTCCATCTTGTCTACCTGCAAAAGTCCTGTTTCCCTTTGTGATATGGTCACCTCTCTAGAAGTCCCCTTTGTTATGAAGCTTTCCTTGGCCTCCCTGGAAAACATGTACTGTGCTCTCAATGATCCTGTATTATAATACTCAACTCCAAGCTAAGAAGCCTTGAGGATAGGGGACATCTTACTCTTTTTTGAAAATATAGTACTAGGAACAAAGTGGATATGTATTAAATGTTTATTCAATACATGAATGAATAATTTGGACTTGGAAAGTGAACACATTTTGAAATTAAACATGGACCATCTCAATCTCTGCACACAGAAGTAAAAAACTATCATGGAGATTCATGAAAGGGTATTTGCTCTGATCTGGAGAAAAGCCCCAAAACCAAATTGAAATATAATTGTGTAACTTTAGAACACATACGGAAATCATGGTGACTTACAGCCCCATGTTTTGGAACAATATCAGACTGAGCTATTTGCCCAATGAGCACACTCACTGGGGAGAGACTACACGGTCACAATAACAACAACTCATTCTAATCTTGCACTGTGACTTAGTGTAGGTCTTTTGGGAGTTTGCTGAAAGGACCAGGTAACAACAGTGCCTGCATGTGGCCTACGAGTGGCTCTGTGGGAAAGTACACCACTGATACATTTGGGAAAAGGCTAGCTCTCATGAGCATTTTGAATATTTCCTAAGACTCCACGTGCTCCTGATTTGGTTTGCCTCGGACTTGCACAATCCATGAAGGAAGTGTTTGTTAATAAAATCTCCATCTGAATTATCACAAATTTCAAATTGTCAGCATCTGAATTAAAGCGATTTTTACCCTACTTCATTCCCTTTCAGCTCTTCCAAATAAAGTGTGCTGTGAAAAATTTGGAGGCAGTCCAGAAGATAGCAACTAAAATGATTAAAGGTTTGACTAATATTCCCTCTGAGGAAAGGCTAAAGGAACAGAGTTTATTTAGCCTAGAGAAAAGAAGGCTGAATAAGGAATTAATAATAATTCTCAAGTATATGAAGAAGTGTGTGAGTGACAAGAAACAGATTCCCTTACTTCTAATGAGTCCAGAACAAGAAGAAAGTGACTTGTACAAGGGAGCAAACTATACTTTATCCTTAGAAGACCTTCCCGGCTAAGCAAGATTCACACTAGGCACCTTTAGGGACTGCTCCAATAAGCAGAAGTCTCTTTGAAGCCGGGCACTGTGACTCATGCCTGTAGTCCCAGCACTTTGGGAGGCTTAGGTGGGTGGATCACCTGAGGCCAGGAGTTCAAGACCAGCCTGGCCAACATGGTGAAACTTCATCTCTACTAAAAATAAATTTTAAAAAATTAGCCAGGTTTGGTAGTGCACACCTGTAATCCCAGCTACTCAGGAGACTGAGGCAGGAGAATCAGTTTAACCCAGGAGGTGGAGGTTGTAGTGAGCTGAGATCGTGCCACTGCACTCCAGCCTGGGTGACAGAGTGAGACCCCGTCTCAAAAAAAGAAGGGAAGGGAAAGAAGAAAAGAAAAGAACAAAAAGAAAAGAAAAGCTTAAGCACTTAACCTCCTCCATGAATTTATGTGGAGTCTTGCCAGGGACGCAGGTGGGTCACAGTAAACGACCCCTTAGAAACCTGGTGATTCCGTTTGATAAAAGGTCATCTGAATTAATCAGAAAGTTTAAGTTGCGCGCCTGGATCAGTGAATCCATAATGCAAGAGAGAAGTTACCATTTGGAGTGTGAGTTTGAATTGCATCACACTGGCCGAGCACCAAAGTTATACTACGTTTTCAGTGCATTCAGGACAGAATGCACTATCTAAAGTAATAAGCCTTGCTGGCGTTGCCCTGAGAGTGTTCCATCTTGTCTTTGAAAAGAGTGATTCAGGGTTGCACGAATGACCAAACTGCAGCCACTTTTAAATTGACCTCAGGCACTAAGGCAGTGAAGCCTTTACAACAAAGCCTTGTGGTGACAGAGGAAATGAGACTGCTTAGGATTTCACTTCTAAACTCCAGAGGCTCCAAAACAAACACAATAGGATCAGAATCGGGATTCCTAGAACATGAGTGCCCAGAGATAAGCCTGAGGGACGTGTTGTCTCCATCCTGTCATCTGAAAGACAGGACAGGCACAAACTAAGAATCTGGAGCTACTATAGTAAACATCACAGCAAAAAGTCTTCCTAAGAAATTAGAGAACTCAGCCAGACTAGAAATCCAGGTGAGATTCTTGACTCCTTCCTGTCTCTCTGAAACTCTCTCTCCAATTAATATCCAATTACTCATCCAGCCCTGGGCTTTTTCACTCCGTAACAGCTTTCATATAGAACCTCTCTCTTGAATCCTCATTGCATCTCCCTGACATATTTCTTTTCAAGTTTCCACTGGACTTTTAAAAATAACCTCCTCAGTAGTCTGCCTCTCTTGTCCAGCCCTCAAACCACTCTTCGCAATAGCCAGACTTTCTGAATTGCAGATCTCATCCTATCACCTACTGCTTAAGGATCCTCAGATGATTCTCCTGAATTCCAAAGTTCAGAATTTGTTACAGTAAAGGCATGAAAGATGTTTATAGGGTTGCCAGTGCCCACTTCTTTAGCCATATTCACATCCCATATCCAAAAGTCTCCTGTTGACTTGGTGTGACTAACTAATTTCCCATTTCTTTAATGAATTATAGTTTTCAAGCCTCTATGCCTTGACTCATATTACTGAAGTAATATCGGGCTAAAATTCCTCGTGACTTTCCAGCTCCACTCCCTTTTCCCTACTTCATACTGATATTTATTTTCATATTTCAGTTAAAGCATCACTTCCAACAGGAAGACACCCTAAACCCTTCGGGGTTATTCCAGTGTTAACGCTATGTACTTCTAAATTTTTCTGACATAGAGCTATTTTAGTGGCAATTTTCTGGTTTTTTTTTTTTTTTTTTTTTTTTTTCTGCTCAGAATTCATGCCTTCTTTTTCTGATTTTCTTTCTTTGTGATGTGCATTCTTAGGTGGTTTGCCATCCAGAGTGTCCTGCTTCCTTCTGGCCAAGTGGTGGGTTGAGATAAAGCTAGGCCAATTGAGCTTACTCTCTTGAAAATTGAGATCTTGAGTGAAAAGACACCAGGATGGAGAATGGTTAGGGCTGATTACTACCAGCACTGGCAGCCTGACAAAAACAACACTGATTGGTTCCTGCCTTTTATCATGAAGCTACTCTGGCTCTTGTCCATTTGGAAGCCTTAGTTACTCCAAATTTCCTTCAGTACTGTGAGCAACTCCATAGTTTACATTTAAGTTTCTTTTTGAATTAAGTTAATAAGAGTTGATTTCTATTGATAACAACTAAAAAATCCTAACAGATAACAACTTTTCCAGGATTTACCTCTTTATTTTTCTGGCTCATGTAACAGGCTACCTTCCCTTTAAGGGCAGGGAGTGGGCATTAAACCTTCTCTTAGATGGATACTCATCGTCCAATGTAATGCCTGCCTTATAATAGGTGCTGACAAGTAAGTAGATGCACAATTTACCTATTGGAATGAACATGGACAAAAAGCAATCATGAATACCATAGAGGAAGGATATTAATAGCATACAAAATAACTTTGCCATTAACTTTATTTTAACTTACAGTATGTATCAATGATTAGGATGATGATACCGATGACATGCATATCACATTTGCAATTGGTATTTACTGGAAAGGATAGAAAATATTACATTAAATGACCAAATCTGATCCCAAACAGTAGAGGCAGGATAAAATGATCACTTGCTTTTTTAACAGCTTTATTGAGATAATTTGTGTACCATAAAACTCACCCATTTAAAGTACACAATTCTCGGATTTTTGTGTAATCACAGAGTTGTGAAACCATCACCGCAATACAATTTTAGAACAGTTTCATCACTCCATACAAAACCCCATACTCATTAGCAATTATTCCCCATTCCCCACCTTCAACCCTAGGTGTAGACAATCATTCATCTACTATCTGGATTAAAAGATTGCAGTTCTGGACACTTCATATATACAAAGTTAAATAATGTGTAGCATTAGTGGATGCTTCCTCTTTCACTTAGCATAGTATTTTCAAGGTTTATCCAAACTGTGGCATGTATCTGTACTTCATTCCTTCCTGCTGTTGAATAATGTTCCATCATGTGGAATGACTACATTTCATATATTCATTCATTCAAGTGATGGATATTTGGATTTTTTCCACTTTTTGGCAGTTGTAAAAATGCTGCTGTAAGTATTCATGTACAAGTGTTAGCTGCATATGTTTTCCCTTTTCTTCAGTGTATACTGTAAGTGAAATTGCTGGATTATGTGGTAACTCTGTATTTAACTTTTTGAAAAACTGCCAAAATATTTTCCAAAGTAACCATTTTACACTCTCGCCCACATTGTATGAAGGTTCCAATTTCTTCATATTCTTGTCAGCACTTACTATTGCCTCATTATTGATAACAACTAAAAGTCCTAATAGATATAACTTTTTCTGGAGCCATCCTTGGATGTGCGAAGTGGTATGCCATTATGGCTTTGATTTGCATTGCTCTAATAAGTAATGATGTTGAGTATATTTTCATGTGATTATTATTTGTATAAGTATTTTGGAGAAATATATATTCAATTTTTTTTTTTTTTTGAGACGCAGTCTTGCTCTGTTGCCCAGGCTGGAGTGCAGCAGCGCTATCTCAGCTCACTGCAAGCTCCGCCTCCCGGGTTCACGCCATTCTCCTGCCCCAGCCTCCTGAGTAGCTGGGACTACAGGCGCCCGCCACCACACCCAGCTAATTTTTTGTATTTTTAATAGAGACGGGGTTTCACCATGTTAGCCAGGATGGTCTCTCGATCTCCTGACCTCATGATCCACCCGCCTTGGCCTCCCAAAGTGGTGGGATTACAGGCATGAGCCACTATGCCCAGCCATATATTCAAGTATTTTGCCAATTTTTAAATTAGGCTTTTTATTGTTGAATTGTAAGAACTCTTTATATATAATGAATAAAAGTCCCTTATCAGATATATGACTGCAAATATTTTTCTCTCACTTAGTGAGTTTGCTTTTCACTTTCATTATGGTATCATTTGCAGCACAAATATTTACAATTTATTTATTCTTTAATCACTCATGCTTTTGGTGTTGTATTTTAGGAATCACTGTCCAACCCAAAGTTATGAAGTTAGTGTAATATTTTCTTCTATGAGTTTTAAGCTTTTACATTTAGGTCAATGATCCATTTTGAGTTGATTTTTGTACATGGTGTAAGGTAGGTGTTAAACTTCATTCTTTTGTATGTAGACATCCATTTGCTTCACACTATTTGTTGAAAACACTATTCTTCCCCCATTTAATTACCTTGGTGCTTTTTTCAAAAATCATCCAACCCAATGCATGGATTTATTTCTGGATTCTCAATTGTTTTTCTATTCCATTGATCTTTATGTTTATCTATATACTAGTACCACATTATCTTGACTTGATAGATTTGTAGTCAGTTTTGAAGTTGGAAATTGAAAATCTCCTAACCTGTTATTTTCAAAATTGTTTTGGCTATTCTGAATCCCTCACATTTCCATATGAATTGTTTATCTTAGCTTGTAAATTTCTACAAAAACAAATAGCTAGCAATTGAGTAAATTTACATTCTATGTGATGACATATAATCTGGTTAAATACATATAAACATTATCAATGATGAGTGGGCTGAACGGAATTGAAGGTCTTTGTCAATTCTGAGATATCAGGCTTCTGAACATTAGCCATGTTAAATCAGAATAAAATATCTACTAACAAAGTGTCAGGAAATAATTAATTTAATTCCTAAACTGGCAATTTCCTTTACTTCCTTGGTAACATCAAGTCTCAGAGCCCTCTGCTTCTTTGCCCATGTTTCCTCACTGTCATCACCATCAAGCATTAATATTTCTAGCTATTCATGATGAAGCTGTTTGCTCAGTATTCTGATTTAAGCTTACTTGGAAGAATAGTAATAATTTTTATTTTAATTAGAGTGACAGTAAAGGTTTTCTGTCCTCAGATGGCAGCCTCCATGATCTACTTCTCTTTATAGAACCAGCGTCTAGGCTCTGATATTTCATCCTTAAGGCTCTGATTTCCCAAGCTAGTCCCAAGGTATGAAAAGGTGGTTTTATAACAGCTCCCAGATGACATTCATCTGGTTGTTCTCCCACTGGTTATTGCGATACTTCTAAACTTTTTCTTAAGACTCCTTCTAATTTCGTCACCAACATTTTCTTAAAAAGCCCCAGAAACTGTCTCACAGATGGCCACAAGGGCCATCTTCTTGGTTATTCATTGTCGTGTGCCGTTTTCCTATTATCCAGTTACAGCTCCATGGAGATGTGTCTGAAGCTTCAAATACACAGAGGCTGAGAAGGGTACACGTATCTCTGATGACTGTTCTTTCATCTCAACTCCCACCTATACTCCATTCTCAAGGCCACACGCTGTTGAAGTTGTGTTCCACTTCTCCAGACCAGAAGTCTCTAATAATAATAGTAAAGATGTTAGTATTATTATTAATAATAGTTATTTGTTGATTGTAATTTCTTTTAATTCCTTATTCACAGCTTTTAATGATTTTTTAAGAGACCTCTTACCCCCTTCATTTTTATTTACTTTTAGGAATTCCTTTTATATTGAATTTTATGTTGGCTTTTGTTTTTGCAAGTAATTTTTTTATGGTACACTGGAAAAAATATATCTACTATTATTATCTATTTTCCATGATAAACTTTATTAATGATTTCCTTCATTAAATAGATATTCTTAATTTTTAAATATTCACAATTACCAATTTTTACTTTTATATTTTTCCTTTTGCCATCTTATTTAAGAAGTTCTTCATTACTCCTAGGTGATAAAGATTTTCTCCAATTTTTTATTTTTTTTTTGAGTTATGTAGATTTATCTTCCACATTTAAATCTTTAATCCATGGAGTGGCACTTTCTTTTATGGTGGAAGGTAAGAATTAAGCTTTTTTCTTCTATAAATTTAGCCAGTTTTCCTTCCTCTGTGATTTAAATCAAATTACAATATGCAAATGAGTATTACTTTAAGCAAGTGAGTATTATTTTATTAATTTACTTTTTCCTATTCTTTAGCCCATTTATTTCTTTTGTTTTGGTATCAGATTTTTCATGGTTTTTTTTTTTCTGTTTCTTTTTACAATGAATTTGCAATATACCCAGAGGAAATGCTCTCATTACTTTTCTTTTAAAAAGTATTATCTATAGCACTTTCATCTTTCCTTATGTTTTGGAATAAAAGTTTCAATTTTGTCAAAATGTTAAGATTTTTATTAAGATTACATTGAGTTTATTGATGAAATCTGGAAACTATTGGCCTCTTTGTAAATTAAGTTGAATAATCCAGGAACATATTGCTTTCTATTTGTTTTCAATTTGCTTTTAGGTCAATTAATGAAGCTTAACATTTCTGTTGTAAAAGTGTTTTTGCAATCTTTGTCAGATTTTTTTTTTGGAAACTTTAGATATACTTTTATTGCTATTTGAATGTTATATGTTTTATACGATTTTCTGGATAATTATTGTTGGTAAACGGACACTATTGATTTTTATAAATTGATTTTATATCAAATAGCCTAATTATTCAACTAAGTCTAATATTTCATCTTGGGAGTATGCTGGATTTCCTATATAGACGACCATCTTACTCGAATCCTAAATTGTATTTGTCCTCTTCTAATCTTTACATTTCTTATTTCTTCTTTTTTCTTGCAGCATTAGTCAGGAAATTCAGTACTATGTTAAACAAGAGTGATTATAAAAGCCATCATTATCTGATTCACAAACCTGAAGCAATGTGGTTGAAATTTTTTTATTAAATATGAAATTGTTGTAGGTTTTAATTATATGATCTTTATTAAGTTAGGGAAGTTTCATTCTACCACTGATTTTCTGAGTTTATACCAAAAGTTAACATTGAAATTTAGTAAATGAATCTTTTGAAGCAATTAAAACAGTTATATGGATTACAATAATTATTTGGCAGAT
The DNA here is from genome assembly GCF_000001405.40 of Homo sapiens. Lineage (NCBI taxonomy): Eukaryota > Metazoa > Chordata > Mammalia > Primates > Hominidae > Homo > Homo sapiens. The sequence continues at coordinate 23,490,917 of NC_000004.12, forward strand.
AAATCAAAAACTATAACATACACACATACAATTGAATATTATTCAGCTTTAGAAAAGGAAATCCTATCATTTGCTAAAACCTGGATGAACTTGGAGGACATTATGCTAAGTGAATTAAGCCAGACACAAAAAGAAAAATACTATATGATCACAGATCTTTGTGGAATCATTTTTTAAAGAGTCAAATATACAAACATAGAGACTACAACAATGAAAAGATATAAATCAGAGGATACAAAATAGTAGATATGTAAGATGAATAAGCCTAGAGACCTAATGTACAACATGAGGGCTACAGGTAATAATGTTGTACAATATTTGGAATTTTTGCAAAATGGGTGGCTTTTAGCTGCTCTTGACAACAAAAAACAAGGGGGTGGGGTAAACATTTGAGATGATGGATGTGTTAATTTGCTTCACTATAGTAACCATTTTACTACCTATGTGTGCCTCATAGTATGCCTTAGATATATACAATATAATTTATTTTTAAATTTAAAACATAAAATACACACTATAAACTACAAAATATAGTTATATGATTAGTCTTATATGTGGTGATAGATAACACGAATCTATAAATGTCTTATTTTGCATTTTCTTTATTCAATATATATTAGCCTCCTCAAAACTTTAGTTTTCTAAAACCTTTTTTTTTTAGTTTTCTAAAAAGTCTTTTATAAGTTAGGAACCATCTATCCCTTGAAAGTATGGAAGAACTCAGCTATGAAGCTATTTGGACTTGAGGCATCGTTTGAGGAAAGCCTGAAATTACCATTTCAATTTCTCTAATGATTATTGGTCTATTCAGGGTTTTTACTCTTCTTACTCCAATTTTGGCCTTTAATATTTTTATACAATTGTCTCTCTTCTTTCTAGATTTCAAATATATTCAAATGTATTACTGTATAGCTGCTATAAGAAAATTTGTATTATTTTAAAACCCCTTGTGTACACATATTCATTACTTTTTTCTATATCATGTTGATTTTATATTCTCTTTTATTTTGTTCTATATGTCTTGCCAGAGATATCTTTACCATAGGAATCCTTTAAAATACATTTTTTGCTAATATTCTTTATGTATTACAGGGTTTACTTATTCATTTACTTATTAAATATTGATTGAGCCACCTGTCATTTGCTTGGCACTGTTCTGGGCACCCAGATTTAGCAATGAACAAAGCAGACTAAATCTCTGCCCCTGGGGATTGCATGCTCATGTATTCTCTAATCATGATTGGCTCCCCTCTTGCTTCATTGGCTTTCTTCTTCTGTTTGTTTTGTCCAACTTTTTAAACTGAATGCTTATTAATTTCCCTCTTAGAAATGCATTTGCATTGTCACTCAATGCTAAATCTATTGTGTGATTATCTCTTCTATTTCTTCTTGATATACGCTCTATTTTTAGCCTTCAATTATGTTTAACTTATAAGTGTATATTAAAATATTATTTTAACTTTATTAGTAGCTCTCTCTTCCCCTATGCCCATATAGTAATTGAAAATATCTCAGTAGCCTCAGATATGTATCATCTTCACTTCTCTAGGCAATATGTACTTTCTTTGCTTCTTTAGACAATAAACTTGACAGAATTATTTACTCATTCCTGATTTCATGTACTTATTTCATGTACATTTCATGTGTGTGCATGTCTGTGTCTGTGTGTTTCTGCTAGAAATTATTTCTCTTCTTGCCTGAGTACTTCCCCCAATAATTTTCTGAAAGAGGGTTGTGTAGGGTAAACCTCATGAGAACTGAAAATAGCTTTATTTTTTAAATTTATCTTATTAAAAATTTTAAGTTTAATTTTGTTTAACACTTTGAAAATATTGCCCCTTTAGTTTTCCTTGTATTGCTGTGGAGAAGCTAAATATTAAATGATCTGTTTTTTTCTGAAAAAATTTTAATATATTATTATTGCCATTTTTATTCTTATCATTCACTGTAAGTTGTCTATATTGTGGATTTTCCTTATCTAATTTTTCAGCACACTGTAATATTTTTCAATCTGAGGTCTTTCATTATCCTCTAATCTAATTAACTCTCACCCCTTATTTCATAAAATATATTTTCACCTCCATTTATGTCCTTTCTTTCCTTTATAAAACCTTATCATAAAAACGTGAAAACTTACAGTTCTCTTCTTTACATCCCCTAACTTAAAAAAAAAAAAATTTCTATCTCTCTATTCCTTCCTTTTGTCTTGTGGTAGCACCCAAACCCCATATTCTAGGTCGCACTATATTTTAGCTGGATACATTTTGCTATTTATCCTTTCTATTGAATTTTTAATTTTAATTCATATTTTTATTTCCTGTGTGCCCCTTGAGTCAATTTTATAACTGCTGGGTCCTCTCTTTTCTTCTAGTATCTACCTTGTTGCTCTGATGATGTCTCCTTGCTGTTATTGCTCCTCTAATTCACATAGCAAAAGCTCTCCTGTGTCTTATCCTCTCAATGCGGATGACAATGGAGTTTTCCCCCATAGTAGTCTCCATATGCTCCTTTTTTTGGTCAAAACTGCTTCCTATGTCTCCAAGATTGTTCACATTGTGTTGCTTTTGTGTATCTAACACTTCTCTCCTATGTTATACCACCAGGACAAGCTTCGGGAGACAGAGGCATATTATACTAATTCACAATCTTGTCAGGGACTAAAAATCAAAATTATTATATCAAGGGTAGAAAGAAAGAGAGGCAGGGAGGTGGAGCATGAGTCCTGGCAGAAGATCCACCTGGCCAGGCTGGGTCCCTTTCACGCATGTCCCAACAACTTCCTTGGACCTGATGAAGATTGAAGACCTGGGACAGTGACGTAAAAATCAAGCAACAAGGAAATGAATTCCAATGACAAATAACATTTTGACTGAGAAACCATTATCCTCTTCCCTGGATCGATATTATTATTTTATACTTACAGAGGCAGTGACTGAAAGATCAAAAGAAAATAGTCTCGCTCTCATCTAGGCAATCCAACCTGGCGGGTTTCAGGAGGTACATTGATTGATCCTGAGCAACTGAAGCCTTCAGAATTTGCTTTCTTCTTGCTTGTATCTTCTTCCTTCTATTTGCCCTTATTTATACACACACACCAATACACACTTATTTCACCTGAATTCCACTTATACACACACACCAATACACACTTATTTCACCTGAATTCCACATTACTTAAAAACTGACTTCCCATGAACTGTGCACAGGTTGTCACTAAGGATTCTTCATTGTCTTCCACATGTTCTGCCACCTAATTGTAAAGAGCACCTTACGCTGCATTCTAGAGGTATATGCAGTAATATAGGTATATATATATATGCCTGCTATATATATATACATGCTATTTAATGATAAACTAGTAAATAATAGTATAGCATTATCATATAATACTATCCTGTAATATTTAATAAATTATTCTCAGCTTATCTGCATTAGGGATATATTATTCTATATGTTATGCAATGGTCTCATACTATTCTATATATTATATTCTATAGGATAATATAGTATTATATTTAATAATATATACTATTATTATTATGTACTATAGTATATAATAAAGTAAAATTTAAGTTCACTTGGTTTTCTTCTGGTGTTTTCTACAGGTCTTTGGCTATCTGTACATGTATATCATAGAAAAATAGGTCGTGGAATTCCCAGTGGTTTTTTTATGTTAATAGTGCTGACGTTAAAAACTACCAGTCCTGTTTCTTCAAAGCCCAGCCACACACTTCCTTTTTTCTTTGGGGAGGTAGAGGAAAGAAACAGGGAGAGAAAATAGGTAGAGCCAACTGTTGAGCTTCGACTTCTCAGGCAACTCTAACATAGTTTTCATCATGCTCTGCCAAAATGACAGATCCCTCTTTCATGTGCTGCTGAAGGAGGAGAACAGCAAAAAACTGAAGAGGTATAGGAAGCCAAGGGGAGATTTCTGTGCTGGATGTGGACTGGTATGTATGCAGGCTCTACTCAACCCAGACACCTTAGGAACATTATTTCATCTGATTGTCCCAACAGCACTATTCATTATATGTTATTATGAACTTTTCATAGATAATGACACTGAACTCAATGAATTTCAATATTGTCCCGATTTCATGAGTAATAGTGGAGAGACCAGGAATTCCTCAGAGGCACGTCTGAACATAAAGACTCTGTCCACTCACCACAAAATCAGAGAAGAGAGGATTCTTGCCGTAAGACAGGGCTTGCTACTCAGGGTTTGTCCTTGATTAAATATGAGAAGTTTACCTGTGATACCCCCGACCTGTAACTTTTCTTTCTGAGGCTTGATCTTCTCTCTGTAGTATCCAGCACCCCTGCATTTGTGCATCCAGGGCTCTCAGCTTATCTGCATTTTCTATAAGAGGACCATCTACCATAAACTGATTCTCACTTAGGTGTTAGCTAAGAAGTTGTTTTTTCTTATTGTTTTTGGTTTTAGAGGACCATAGATAAAAGGAGAAATTGTTTCTTTAATATTTGCTATTAATTCAAAGAAATGAATCTCCAAATGTAGAATTTCCATCTCTTGAACCTTAGCAAAAAACATATAGATGTTAAATTTGCTATCAAAAAAATGAAGTTAAGTCTAGCCAATTACCAATGTCACATGGTCTGGTTGGCACCAGAAGGCCTAATATCTGAGTATACAACAGAAAGCAAGTCAGGTGGTCTTTAAACAACACTCCCCTGAGACAATCAAGGTGGAAATAAACAAATCTCAAAAGTTTAGCGAGTAGATGTTTATCTTGCTAGATAGTTTTCTGTAGCTACTTTTTAAAGCTAGCTAATGTTTAATTTGAGTAACCTTGTGGAAAGACCTGTTTAAATGGCACTATCAAACAATAGCAGCAAGAGGAGAGATAAGAAGAAAGTAAAAAAGGATTATTAAAGAAATGCTGGGGGTGAAATTTATCTCTTCAAACAAATCAGGGTGCACTAAGTTAATGGAAAAATCCAATAATGGATGGACTGATAGTAAACTGTTATTTTCCAGAAGTTAAAAGCATGTGAGTGATTTTTACTCTGATTTGGTGGCAGGGAGTTGGGCACAGGAGGCTGTGAATTTCAGATTATTATATTTATAATATATTTTCCAGGATACTGGCATTCCAAATACCTTTTTAAAAATATTACATAACAAAGTTGCAAAGGATGAAACTGAAGGGGAGGGACAAAGACTGCCTATCCTGAGCTTCTATCCATAATTTATCTCTGTAGGAAGAAAATCTCTTTTGATCCCATTTTCAATTCTAGTACATCTAACAGCAACACCAGAATAAGATTTGACCTACTAAGTGCTCTGTTACATTGGAGTTGTTTAGATTCACCAGAGTATAAAACACATATATAGAAAGACTAATTACAAAATAGAGGCTAAGTTTGTCTTTCAGTATTTCTATTATTTGGTTAGTCCAGGCTCAGCCCCTAGAATCTGAATTTGTCAGGCTTCTGAGCCCAAGCTAAGCCATCATAACCTCTTAGCCCCTAAACTCTGAATTTGTCAGGCCTCTGAGCTCAGGCTAAGCCATCATATCCCCTGTGACCTGCACGTGTACATCCAGATGGCCTGAAGCAACTGAAGAACCACAAAGGAAGTGAAATAGCCAGTTCCTGCCTTAACTGATGACATTCCACCATTGTGATTTGTTCCTGCCCCACCCTAACTGATCAGTTGACCTTGTGACGTTCCTTCTCCTGGACAATGAATCTCAGGAGCTCCCCATGGAGCACCTTGTGGCCCCTGCCCCTGCCCGCAAGAGAAAACCTTCTTTAACTGTAATTTTCCACTACCTACCCAAATCCTATAAAACTGCCCCACCCCGCTCTCCCTTTGCTGACTCCTTTTTTGGACTCAGTCTGCCTGCACCTAGTTTATTAAAAAGCTTTATTGCTCACACAAAGCCTGTTTGGTGGTCTTTTCACATGGACACGAATAACAGAATTTAGATACAGTAAAATTTCCAATGTGTTCCTCAGATTATTACAGAAGAGAATTAATAATGTGCATGTATTGATGCTTTATTTGTACCATTTTTGAAGCAAAAGAGTTGAAGTAAATAATTCAAGATTCTATTTGACCAGTCAGCTTGTATTTTTAAGGGCTTAATGAGTAGCTGCCTCTAAGGAGGTTTAGAGAAGGGCTGTCAGAGATGGGTAACTTTTCTTTAGGTACTTACAGATGAAGAAGGGTGACAAGACAGGCACCAAGCCACTGGAATGGTGGAGAAAGATGCTGTGGCTTCTGACTACTTGCCTGTGGTCTTTTGTGTTAACCAACAATACAAAATTACTAGACTTTTCCATAGAGATAAAGAGCTATGAAAATAGTTGGGACCAGGCAAGGTTGCTCACGCTTGTAATCCCAGCATCATTGGAGGATGAGGTGGGTGGATTGCTTGAGCTCAGACGTTGGAGACTAGCCTAGGCAGCATAGTGAAATCTCGTCTCTAACAAAAAATATAAAATATTAGCTGAGGTGGGAAGAGGCTTGAACCCAGGAGGCAGAGGTTGCAGTGAGCCGAGATTGCACCACTGTACTCCAGCCTGGGTAAGAGAGTGACACCCTGTTGAAAGCAAGGAGGGAAGAAAGGAAGGAAAGAAGGAGAAGGAAAGAAGGAAGGAAGGGAGGGAGGGAAGGAGGGAGGAGGAGGAAGGAAGGAAGGGAGGAAGGGAGGGAGGGAGGGAGGGAAGAGGAGGAGGAGAAGGAAGGAAGGAAGGAAGGAAGGAAAAGAAAATAATCTGAGCAAGTAGCTGTGTGTCCCAACTGCTTATGAAGTTCTAAAAGTTCAGATAGACAGGCTCCACTCTATATAAAATAAATCAGAACATCTCTTGGTGTTATGGGCTGAACATGTGTAACCTCCAGATTTATTTGATAAAGCCCTAACTCCCAGTGTGATGGTGTTTGGAGGTTGGGCCTTTGGGAGGTAATTAGGATTAAATAAGGTCATGAGGATGGGACTCTCATGGTGAGATTAGTGACCTTATAAAAGACACCAGAGAGCTTGTTCTCTCTCTCTTTCTCTGTATTCACATAAGGAAGCGCTCATGTGAGCACACACCAAGAAAGGGATTGTCTGCAACCTAAGAACCTAAGAGGACAGCCCTCCCCAGAAACTGACCATACCAACACCCTGATCTCAGACTTCCAGGCTTCAGAACTGTTAGAAATAAATTTCTGTTGTGAAAGGCAGGAGTTTGTTGGGAAATGAGCTCCTAGTCTTTTTGCCTTTACTTAAACTACTTTGGTAACATGTAATTGGTTTTTCCCCACTTGTCTCATTGCCCTCCAACCATTGAGCTGTAGTCACTTCTGCTTCTGTAGGAGGGTGAATACAACCCAGGAAAAAAAAGAAAAAAATGGATTTAATTACATGAAATTTCCTCTGACCCTTGCCAAAAAAGAAAATATGTGTTGGAATCCTAACCAGCCAGAATGTGTCCTTGTTTGAAGATAAGATCTTGATAGAGGTCATGAAGTTAAAATGAGGTATAGAGTTGGCATTGAAACTATGTTAAAAAAAAAAAAAGGCAGCAAATCAGATTTATTTTCAAAGGAGGGTATAAACAATGTTCAGGACGATCACGGTTTTAGTAGTTCAGATATGTTCATACACAAGCCACATTTTCTTCAAAAATACCCACAATTCTGTGGTTGCTGGATTATTAGAAATGGATTATTAGAAATGGATTATTAGAAATGGATTATTAGAAATTAGAAATGGTAAAGGCAAATTAGAAAAGTTCCAGCAGAGTGAAACAGTAAATAGTATGTACAAATCCTTGTAACTGAACCTGATACCACACGTTCAAGTTGTGAGAGGTCTCTCTTGGGCATGCTTTATACAGGCACTGATTCCATTCATGAAGATTCTGTACCTATGACCTAATCACCTCCCAAAGGCTCCACTTTCTAATACCATCACCTTGGTGGTAAGGATTTCAACATATGTATTTGGGGTTAGGGGATGCAGATGTTCAATCCATAGTAGGTTGTGGGTCTGGAGAAGCAACAAGTCTCCCTCAGCCTGAGCTTGGGCTCTACTCAAGTAGGCAGGTTTCAGTGCGTCTTTCATAAGAAGGAATATGGATTTATTCTACTTTCATTTAACTTAAAGTCATAGTGGTGACTCTTTCAGAACAATGGAAGTCTATTGTTAAAGAGGGATCTGAGTTTATAAGTTCAGAAACATAAAACAGCCAGGAATGTTCAGAAGGCAACTCTAGCTAAAATAATTAAGCCCCTTCCTTGGAAGTACCATGATGTAGTTTGGATCTGTGTCCTCACCAAATCTCATATGAAATTGTAATCCCCAATGTTGAAGTTTAGGCCAAGTGCGAGGTGATTGGATCATGGGGGCAGAGTTCTTATGAATGGTTTAGCACCATCCACCCTTGCTATTGTGTAGTGAGTGAGTTCTCATGAGATCTGGTTGTTTAATAGTGTGTGACACCTCTCCCTACCACCACTCTCTTGGTCCTGTTCCTGCCATGTGAGACACCTGCTCCCACTTTGCCTTCCACCATGACTAAAGGCTCCCTGAGGCCTCTCCAGAGGCAGATGCTGCCATGCTTCCTGTACAGCATGCAGAACCATGTGCCCATCAAACCTCTTTTCTTTATAAATTACCCAGTCTCAGGTATTTATCTATAGTAGTGTGAGAATAGACTAATACATACCACAATGCACGGAGAGTAATATCAAGCAGCCTTACCTCAAAGAGCAGGAAGAGTATTTTTTTCTGAAAACTATTTGATTTTCTTTCCCTGCACTATTGTAGTTCAATTCTTCCCTGAAGCCTATTCAAAGGTGAGGATGGAAAATAATGACTCGAGATCAACACAAATATCATCCCAAGCAGAATAGCCCTTTTCCATGAGCTTGCCACCATTGTAGCCTTCAATTTTACATGACTTCTGGTCAAACTACATAAATAATTAAAATATTTTTGCTTTAAAAGCTTTTGTTAGTCTTTAGGCTCCATGTAGGCATCTAAATAAATAGTTGTAGGGCAAATATGCAAAAGAGTAGGGATTCTGGCATCAGACAGAACTTGATTTGAGTTTGAATTCCATCACTCTTGTGCAAGATATGCAGCCTCCCAGAGATCTAATCATCTCATCTATAAAATAAAGCTGATTATGTCTGACCTCAGTGATTTATTGGAAGGAATAATCACATTACACTTGTAAAACTTTGAGCACAGTGTGTGGCACAATTAGTCATGAGTAAAGTTAATATTAACTATCATAAAACAGTATTTTTGAAAAGAGTGCTAGGTAATATGTTAAATAAAGAAGGCTGAGAAAATAGTTGTGTAGGCCTGCAGAAAAACATTCTCTATTAATCACTCCATAACTCAATTTATCATTGAGAGAAGGATTTGACTTGATAATGAAATTTGTAGAATAAGCAAACTCTAGTTCTTGACAGAACTTTAGAATCAGAATCTTTCAAATGATCAAACTATACCATAGACTGGGCAGCTTGAACAACATTTATTTCTCACAGGGCTGGAGATTGGGAAGCCCAAGATCAGGGTGCCAGGAGATTGGGTGTCTGGTGAGGGTTCTCTTCCTGGTTTCCTCATGCAAGAGAGAGAGAGAAAGCAAGCAAACTCTCTTCTATGTCTTCTTATACGGGCACTAATCCCATTATGAGGGCTCTGCCTTCATAATCTAATTTTTCCCAGAAGTCCCACCTTCAAATACCATCACATTAGGGATTATTAGTTTTGGTGGAGGGGGTGGGGGTCGGGGTACAAACATTCAGTACCTAGCTCTTGCTCCAGATCAAACAATCACTAGTCAGAGCCAGCACTAAGCTACATTTCTCATATGACTCTACCACAATATATTAGACCTTGATTTCTATTTGCTGAAAGACTGGTCTCATCTCTTTTTGAGATTTATACATTTATAAAATTATAAAGCTGATTTAGGACCGTTAATTCCATGTAACATGTCACCCAAACAATTGCACATTGGTTTGACAAACAACATTTCAATCCATCAGAAAAGTTTAGGTTGATGCCTGTACATATTCCAGAGACATGAAAGTGGAGGATAAGTGCTTTTAAAGCAAACAAACCTGAGGCGTGTTGTTAAAGGACACTTGCTTTGGAATGGAACTCTGGAGTGTTTAATTATCAACATGCGCCTTTCCATCCCTGGCCTATTAAATCATCTGGCCTGCTAATAATAGCCTGTTTAGCCATCAGGAAAAGATGGATGAGTTTTAGTTCCCATTTTCAAATCCAAGGGATCTGCCCTGTTTCTGAATTATCTGCAGATGAAGATTAGTCACTGAGGCATCTGTAGGTTGTGCAGAGGACATTGGAGTCCTGGCCAGGATATTTATCCTCAGCAATGTGCTCCTCCCTCTCCTTCAGGCCTTCCACTGGTGAAAAGAGACTGAAAGAGCTAAACTTAAAACGTGAGGAAGGGAATCTTACCAATTAAATGCTCTTTTTAGCATTGCAAACTGAATGTAATCACTTCCTGTGTTTAAACTGTCTGTGAATAGATCATGTATTTAGCTTTGCAAAGGAAGTTTTACATGTAATACCACTGCTTTCCCAAAGCCAGCTGTTTGGGTGTTTGTTTTAATCCATATCCAGTGTTCCCATTACCTGTTGATATGTAACAAACTATTTCAAATCTTAGTGGGCTAAAAAAGCAGTTTCTTTAGATCATGATTTTTGTGGAAGAGGAATTGGCGAAATGCTTAGCTGGGTGTTTCCTTTCTGATCCCTGAGATGTTAGTTGAGGTGGCATGGCTAGTACTAGTGGATGCATTTTTAAGATGGCTCCCTCACATGGCTAGCAAGTGGGTGTTGGCTGTTGGCTGAGAACTTGGCCAAGTCTTTTGTTAGGGTAACTTGGTTGTGATCCATAAAGGCCCATTCACAGGATGCTTGGGCTTCCTCATTGGCAGAGCAGTAGAGTTCCTAGAATGAGTATTCTTTCAGCTGAGTGTAATCTGCAAGACTCATTCTGACCTAGCCTCAGAAGTCCCAGAAGACCACTTTCACTGCGTTCGTTGATCAAATAATTTAAAGCAAACTCAACTCCAAGAAGATAGAAAATAGACTCACCTCCTCAGTGGTAGGTTAGCAAAGATATAGCAGACACCTTTAACCTGTCACATCAAGAAAAACCGTAATTGCTAGATTTCAACTACCCGCTCCACTTTACACATTATCTGGTGATTCTCAGAAGCTTCAAAAATATGTATTTAATTTATTCATTGCATCTTTCTCCACTCAAAATATTTAATAAATATTTTCTGATTGCTTTGAAACTATGGTTCAATCAATCAATCAATTCCATTTCTTTTTCTGATGATTACTTCTTTCATTCCTAACCATTCCCGTATTGATTACAGTACTTCAGATGCATTCTGGATCCTGAATAACTAATCTACTCAGTAACAAATAATGTAATCTTCAACATAACATTCTCTCTGAGAGAGTGCAAGGCAGACAATGGAGACAACAATTCAAAAACACTTTTCAAGTTGAAGTACAATCTTAACAATGGCAGTATTTTTGAGATATTTAGGTGGCTTTCACACCATCCTTTTTTTATGCCCCAAGGTGTAAGGGTACCAAATAAAGCAGTTTTCCAGATCTTATCAGTAGACCCAAAAGTAGAAATTAACTAGTAGTAAAAATCACTTATATTAAACCCCTTTCATTTGCATATATTTGCATATGAATACCTAATTGTTTTGAAGTAACAAGAGAACAATGGAGGAAAAAAAGGGGGCTTGAGGCTGCAACAGACACCTGGGAGACTGTATTTTAAAAGTCTATATTTTTACATATTTGATTTTATTTCTTAAATAAAGAGAAAGGTACTGAGTCATGCACACAAAGTACTACCAAAAGAATTAAAGTGTGAGAAAGTTTCAACCTAATGATGCTATTTTCTGATAGACACCTCTTTAATTCTTCCCACTTAAATCTTGAGTAACAAAGCCATGTAATGTGTATAGAAATCAAAATTCTACAGATAGTGCTAAAGGAATTTTTAAGATTCCCTTAACAAGCTCTTAAGTTGATAATGGCCTCTGTTTGAACTAGTATTTTTAAATAAGTAGTTGTGTAACATTCCTTTAGTATACAGAAAAGCCTGTACACTATCAGTAGGATCAGGTGGCCTTCCTTTCCTCTACTTTGTTGTCCTGAACAATTCAGCTCTGGCCCCAAATTAGCATCATCCACTCAGCAAAACAAATGCTCCGTATTTAACTCTTCTCATTCTTGTTACACTTTAGCAAACATCTGTGTCTTGAGCATGCTTTGTGGCATTTACTCCTACAATTGATTTTTTTCTTTTTTTTTTTTTTTTTTTTTTTGCCCACTTAACATTTATCCCTCTTCTGATAATAGCACCTTGATTTTTCTTTATACAACCTCATCTCACAGTCTCAGTGGCTTCTGATGAGACTCTCACTGCCAGCTCTAAGAATTGAGCCAAAAAAGGGAGGCATAGTTCAGAAATAGAGAGAAATAAATCAGAGTAAGATAAACATAAGAAAAAGGAGAAGAAAAAGACAAAGGGAAGAAGTGGGGCTGGGACACTGATGACATTGTTTGAGATCTTGGATCCAGTCATGCTTCAAACTATATTTTTCAGTTACACAAGCTAATTAATATTTGCTCTAACACACGCACACATGCACATATACATACATGCACACAGACATATTTTATTTATTTATATATTTATTTATTAGGATTTGCTTAAGCTGGTGTGATTTGAGTTCCTGTCATTTAAAATTAAAGATTGAAATTAGGCTTTACCAATACAGCCACTTACCAACTCAAAATATATTAGCAAAGTATTTCTTCTAGTTATTTATAGAATGTTCTTGAAAGGCATTGTGAAATCTGAATTAGTACATAAAATTTACTTCACTGGCTTTAATATAATATGTGCAAACCAATAAAAGGCAGCCTGTTCAAATTGCTTATATTTATTATGAGATTATTCAGTATTACTAACCAAAATAAAATTACTAAATGTGCGTAAATTAAACTTTTCTATTAATATACAACACACTTGTGTATTTTTACAGAGTCAGAATAAAAGGCCATGGAACCACAAACCTGTAGGTGAATGCACATCCATTAGCATTCCTGTAAGTACGTGTATTTGGTGGCTTTGCTGGAGTAACAAACTACCTCAAGATCTCAGTGTTATATGAAACAAAGGTATGTTTCTTGTTCATATTGCGTGTAGGCTTCAGGCCACCCGAGGGTCTGCTCCCATTGTGCTCTGCTCTATCAGTCTTCTCAGCTAGACTGCCAGGCTAAACAAGCAACCTCTATTTGGAAAGCACCATTCTCACAGCAGGAAGCAGAAGCAAGATTACCATGTCATCCTATTTAAAGCTTCTGCTCCAACAATGGCTTATATCATATTCACTTAAATTACACTAGACAAATTTAAGAACAGGACAGGAAAGTTCATGCCATCTACACAGCTGTACTGCCAATTACAAGGCAAAAGCAAGGATCTATAAGTGCTTACAAATATGAGTGTCAATGATTTTGAACAATAATATTACCTGACAAAATAGACATGTCCTGTCTTTACCTAGCTGCTTTCTAATACACTGCTGTGGCTTAAGGGTAGTACCCAGGCTTTCATTGCAATTTTAGAGTCACTAATGTAAGAATTTATCTTCAAGTTGTAGAATCAAAGAGGGAAAATTTCTCCTTTACCCTCTGAAGACTTAGTGAAAATGAATTTACGATAGTCAGATTAATAGGAGAAAAAGGCATACAAAATTGATCTAACAGGCAAGGAAGAAATATCACAGGAGAGTGAGTGCTCAATTTTTTTTAAAGAAAGAGAAACCCAAATTCCAGTTTTGTTTCAATGTACTTTTGATATTAAGGCTCAATATTAGAACCCTTTAATACATTTATTTAGCTTGAGTTCGTTTAACCATATAAGATTTTCTTTTACTGTCTTTTATTTTTCCAACTTTTTATATTCATTTGTTTTGCCTATAACAATTTTTCTCCACTTGTTCATTTTGAAACAATATTTAAGCATACTCTACACTAGACAAAATTAATTTTCCTTAAAATCCATATCTTCATGCATTCCTTGCAACCTTCCTCACCAAAAACACATCCCTGTATGCTCTATGTACAGAACTGTTTTTCTTATTTTTAGTAGTTTTAATTAACTACATTAATTAGAGCTTCAATTTTTAGCAATTGTAAACCAACATTCTGTAGACTTACGAACATCATTTTATAATTTATAAAAATGTATCTTTCTTAATGGAACTTTTTTTAAAAAAATTGGAATAGAACATATTTACTAACAGATCTAAATATATTTTGTTTCTTTGTAATAAGAAGCCAAAAGCAGATAAACTTAAACCTCCTGTTAATGTTTTAGTATCGTATATTACTTAGAAATAACCTAGAAATGTGATGAATATCTGTCATTAACTTAGCAAAACTAGAGGGGTATATTGCTAAAGTGACTTGGGAAATCTTTTAAGTAAGTATATTATAAGTATGATTATCCATGAAAAAAGTGTATTTATCAACTTCTATCCCATTTACATCTATTTGATTTATTAATCCTTAAGAATTATGCTTGGAAAATTTTTTTACTTTATTTTATTTCATTTATTTTGAATTTCTGTGGTTTTGGGTAAAAGTGGATTTGGTTACATGGATGAATTGTATAATGGTGAAGCCTGAGATTTTCGTGTACCAATCACCCAATGTACTATACATCATACCCAATATGTAGTTTATTAATCCCTCAGCCCCTTCCTACCCTCCTGACTTTTGAGTCTTCAATGTCCACTCTGCCACTCTGCATGCCTTTGCAGACCCACATCTTAGCTCTCACTTATAAGTGTGAACATGTAAGTTTTCCATTCCTAAGTTACTTATCTTAGAATAATGGCCTCTAGCTCTATCCAAGTTGCTGCAAAAGACAATATTTCATTCTTTCCTTATAGCTGAGTAGTATTCTATGTGTCTATATACCACGTTTTCTTTCTTTCTTTCTTTCTTTCTTTTGAGACAGAGTCTCACTCTGTCGCCAGGCTGGAGTGCAGTGGCACGATCTTGGCTCACTGCAACCTCTCGGGTTCCAGCGATTCTCCTGCCTCAGGCTCCCAAGTAGCTGAAACTACAGGCGCAAGCCACCATGCCCAACTAATTTTCGTATTTTTAGTAGAGACGGGGTTTCACCATGTTGGCCAGGATGGTCTCAATCTCTTGACCTCATGATCCGCCTGCCTCGGCCTCCCAAAGTGCTGGGATCACACGCGTGAGCAACCATGCCCGGCCTACATTTTCTTTATCTACACTTTGGCTGATGGAAACTTAGGTAGTTCCATATCCTTCCAACTGTAAATTGTGCTGTGATAAACATACGCATGCAGGTATTTTTTTTATAAGGACTTTTTTGGGGTGGTAGATACCCAGTAGTTGGATTGCTGGATTGAATGGTAGATCTGCTTTTAGTTACTTGAGAAATATTCACACTGTTTTCCATAGAGGTTGTACTAATTACATTCTCACGAGCAGCATATAGGCATTCCCTATTCACCATCCATGCCAACATATACTGATTTTTGACATTTTAATGATGGCCACTCTGGATGGGGCAAGGTGGTATCTCATTGTGGTTTTAATTTGCATTTCCCTGATGACTAGTGATGTTGAATATTTGTTCGTATGTTTCTTGGCCATTGTATATATTTTTGGAGAAGAAATTATTAATGTCATTTGCCCACTTCTTGATGGGATTATTGTTTTCAGATTTTTTTTTTCTGGCTTATTTGTTTGAGTTCCTTTTAGATTCTGGATATTAGTCCTTTGTTGGATGCATAGTTTGCAAATACTTTTTCCCATTCTGTGGGTTTTCTGTTTACTCTGATGATTATTTCTACTGTTGTACAGAAGCCTTTTAGTTTAATTAAATCCCATTTATGTATTTTTTGTTTTTGTTGCATTTGCTTTTCGGATCTTAGTTATGAATTCCTTGTCTAGGCCAATGTCCAGAAGAGTTTTTCCTAGGTTTTCTTCTAAATAGTTTTGGCTTCAGATCTTAGATTTAAGTCTTTAAGCCATCTTGAGTTAATTTTTGTATATGGTGAGAGAGAACAATCAAGTTTCATTCTTCTATATGTGGCTATCCAGTTTTCCCATATGTTTGAAAATTTTTATCAGACGTTAGACACAGTTTAGTCATCTCGTTTTTTTTCTGTTAATTATTATATAACACATGTATATCAGGCAGTTACCATCCAAACAAAAGCTACTGAGGTATTTTGCTGATAACTTAGAAGATAAATCTGTTTCTATTAAACCAACAATCTTTAACTCATCTAATTTCCTAAAGATTTATTTCAGTCAAATAAACTTTGAAAAGTATTTGGGCTTAATTATTTAATTCATACATGCTCATTTTATCTCTATGTCAATTTGGCACCATGTAGATAATATACAAACTCATGTATAGAAATAAACATGCACACACAATATGCAACACACATAGACGTGTGCATCCAAAAGCCAAATACATTAGGTTGCTCAATACAAAAAAAGAGCAAAATTTCAGACCTGAGATGAGCCCATCCATGTCTCTTTGAGACTCTATAAGGAAGGCACAAATCCCCAGTAAAGAGGTCAGTGGCACATTTTTTTGTGTGCCTCTATAGGTCTCAGGGTCACTAGAAGTCTCCTTTAGATCACTTCATGTGATAACCGAAGATCCGATGTTTTCTCTCAGTAATTTTTTCGCCATTAATCTTCAAATAAAAGAAGTAGGGGCTGACAAAGGTGGCAAAAAGAAGGAGAAGCAGAAGTAAATGGAAGAATGGGTCTTAAAGTAACCAGTTTCAGGAGATCTTAAGTTTCACAAAAAGGCCAATGAAGGTCTAGTTAGTAGAGGTTCAAGAAAAAGAAGTCCAGTTGACTGAAAAGTAGTTTAATGGGAGAAACAGGATTCAAAAGAGAAAAATCAGAGGCTTTACAAAATATTATAGCCTGGATTTTAGCTTTTAATTAAGCGACTTTTGACCATAGAACACTTAAAACATTTTATTATCAAGTTTTAGCCAAGCAAAGAGCAAACTTTTCCATTTACCAGTTTTTTTCCCCTGAAATTTGCACCTAG
Organism: Homo sapiens; assembly: GCF_000001405.40. Lineage (NCBI taxonomy): Eukaryota > Metazoa > Chordata > Mammalia > Primates > Hominidae > Homo > Homo sapiens. The sequence continues at coordinate 23,508,092 of NC_000004.12, forward strand.
AAGGAGTTTTGGATGTTGGTAAGAATGGGTGGGCTTTGGAAGCAGCAGGTGTTCCCCTGGAACCAAGGGATTGGAGTGGGCTGTAAATGGGGCAGCATCTTTCCCACTGCCTGGGAGGAACCTGCTGCTGACTTGCTCAGAGATTAGGCTCAGGGCAGAGGCAGGAGGCCTGTCTCTCTGGCCCAGTCTGTGGCTAGTCACAAGGGTCTCTCCTACCCACTCCTAAGAAAGACCACATAAAAATCAAATGAACAAAGATGAGAAAGACAGGGCAAAAAGAGCTTCCAGAGTAAGATTTCTGTTTTTGTCTCAACTGGCTCCTTTGTTTCTGAGTACATAGTTCCATTTTTACCTCAGGAGAGAAGGCTAAACAAACAAACAAAAAAGTTTCTATCATGCTCTGAATATAAACCAAAGGAGTATATCAACAATGACCTATAAATCAAAACAAATATTCACATACAAGACCAAAGCCCAGAAGCCCTTTGTGATTTTAGCCAGTCTCCAAAGAAGAACAAACTGAAGCCCTTCTAAGATCCAGACCTCAAGACAGCTTAAAGGAAGGAAAGTTTTAGTAGGCACAGATGGGGTACAACACACATTTCTATCCAGCCATATCCTCAGGGATTCCATCCTTTGAGTTAGTCATGTGCATAGAGCTGCCTGACAACCAACGTGCCCCTAATCCATGAAAAACTAAGAGATGAAGAGTTGGTAAGACAAACAGGCAAAAGATTTTCATGGGAATGAAACAATTACTAGTCAAATGGGTACCCCAAAGACTCAAGAGTCATACAAATATAAATTCAAAAAGATTTTTACAAATAACTCCAATTAACTCTCATAAATGTTTCTCTCCTGAGCCAAACAAGTTTATGTCTCTAAGGTAATTGTTCCCTGACCAGGTATTGACCCTAGGCAAAAACGTTGACCGTGCAAATCTTAATCACTGGACCACAGACTGAAACATCTTCTAGCAAATCTCACAGAAAATTCAAAACAAGCAATTGGAGCGTTCAAAAAAATTAAAATTATTTTAAATCTGATTTTTGCTTTTCAATCTTGCTAATGAATTTTTTGAAGTAGATATTATATTTCTGTTGTAACTTTTTATAGATACATATCGGACAGCTATTTGAAAGAAAAATTTCTTTTAAAAGAAAAATTTAAAATATTTAAAATGTATATTTTATATAAATTAAATATTTAAAATTTAAAATATTTAAAAGAAAAATTTCTTTTAAATGCAGTCAATTTAGTCCAAAGGTGACTCAAGCCAATAAGCCTTTCTCATAGAAAAGCCTGAACAAATTACTGATATTGGTAATTTGTATATTTTCACTTTTTGTTCTCAGTCTTGCTAGATGTTTGTCAATTTTATTAATCTTTTCAAATAATTAGTTCTTGGTTTTACTAAATTTTCTATGTTTTAATATTTTCAAGCTCATTAATTTCTGCTTTTGTGTTTATTATTCTTTTCCATTGTTTACTTGGGTTTATTTTGTCCTTTTTAAGGCTCTTTTAGTTTTGTTTTTGCTTCTGGCTTTTGTTTGCCTGGTTTTGCTTAGTATGTTTTTGATGAAGGAGCCAGGGTTGTTTTAATTATTGATTTGAAACTGCTTTTTTTACCTAATTTTTGAATTTGGTTCTATAAATATTCTTCTTAGCACTGCTTTAGCTGTGTCTAACATATTTTAATAAGCTTTATTTTCTTTCAATTAAATATCCTTTTTACAATTTTTCTTGAGACTACCTTTTGACTCATGGATTATTTACAAATACACTATTTAGCTTCCAGATGTTTGGAGACTTTCTGCAATAATTCTCTTATTGATTCCTAATTTAATTCCATTGTGGTAAGAAAACACCTTCTGTATAATTTCAGTTAGTTTAAATTTACAAGATTTATTTCATGGCCCTGGATACAACCTACCATGGAATGTGGTTCGTAAGCACTTGAAAATGAGTGTATTTTGCTGTTGCTTCTTTAAAAATATTGAGTAAATACTGTTGGTTGATGGTATTGTTGAGTTCTTCTATATCCCTGCTAATTTCTGCCTAGTTTGTCTATAAATTTTTGAGAGAGGGGTGTTGAGGTCTCTAAGTATAATAATGAATGTCTGTTTTTTGTGTCAGTTCTGTCAGTTTCTGCCTCACACATTTTACCGCTCTGTTGTTTTGCTTGGTGTGTGTACATTTAAGATTACTGTCTTTTTTGTAGGCTTTAACTTTTATCAGTGCATAGATCCTACTGTCTTTCCAGTAATTTTTTATACGCTGAAGACTACTTTTTCTGTTATTAGTATAGCCACTTCTGATTTCCTTTGACTGTCTGAACGATACATCTGTTTTTTAAACAGTTGGACCATTTTGCCAATTTTTGTCTTTTAATTCGTGTAATTACATCATTTACATTTAATGTAATTATTAATATGTTAAGCCTGCAATTTTATTTTTAGTTGCTGTTTGTTCTTTCAGCTTCTTGTTTCTTTGTTTTCTTTTTCCTGCCTTTCTGATTCACTCGAAGTTTGTTAGAATTCTATTGAGATTTAGCAGAAGTGCTTTTTTTATATTAAAATATTATAGATAAATTATATAGAAAACTTTATGTAGCTATTGCAGTGGTTATTCTAGACATTACATTGTGTGTGTGTGTGTGTGTGTGTGCATGTATGTGCCTGTCTATGGTGTTCTATCACAGTCTACTGGTGACATTATTTTATTATTCAAAAAATCATAATAATTATATCTCTCTTTAGTTCTCTTTGACCTCCCCTAGTTATAATATAGTTGTCTTAAATATTTCCTCTGCATATATTTATAACCACATTATAAACTGTTATAATTTTTGCTTCAACTACCAAAAAAATTAGAAAGCTTGAGAAGAAGGAATTGCTATTATATTTTTCCATTTTTTCTTGCCTTATTATCTCCTCTTCCCTGATCTTAAAGGGTTTCTTATTTTTACAGTTTCTTAATGTTTAAAGAAACTTCCTCTAACCATTAATTTAGAATAGGTCTGAGACTAGACACATTCATTTTATTTTTTTTTCTCATTTTAGAATATCTTTACTTCCTCTTCATTCCTGAAGAATTTTTTTTTTTTTTTTGCTGGGTATAGATTTCTGGGTTGACAATTAGTTTCTTCCAACCTGTGATTCATCTGGCTTCCATCATTTTTTATGATAAACAGCTTTTACTCTAATTGCCATTTTTCTAAAGGTAATGTGTCATTTTCCTGTGGCCACTCTCAAGATATTTTGCCCTTAGTTTTCAAAAGTTTAATTACAATGTATCATTGCATGGATTTCTTTTTTTTTTTTTCTGCTTTGTGTTCACTCATCTTTGATCTGTAGATTTAAGTCTTTTGAACAAATTTGGGAAGCTTTCAGTCATTATTTATTGGTATAGTTTTTCAGCCTTGTCCTCTTATCTTCTTCTGGAACTCCAATGGCATGAAAGTTAGATCATTTATGATAGTCACACAGTTTCTCAGGATTACCTCATTTTTTTTTAGTCTACCTTTTCTTTGTTGTTCATATTGGGTAGCTTCTATTATTCTATCTTCCAGCCAACTGATTATTTTATCTGCCCTATCCATATTGCTACTAAGCTCCTCCACTGTACTTTTCATTTTAAAAATTTTATTTTTCAGTTATAAACTTATTTTATAAGTTTTATTTCTTTATTGAGACTTTCTCTTTTCAATTTATTTTAAGAGTATTCATAATTACTCATTAAAGCAGTTTTATGATAGCTGCTTTATAATCTTTGTCAGAAAATTTTAACATTTCTGTTATGTCAGTGTTGCCATCTTTGATTGTCTTTTTTTCATTCAGTTTGAGATCTTACTGCTTTTTGGTATGACAAACTATTTTTAACAGACACCTGGAAATTTTTGTGTTACAAAATTTTCAATCTTATTAAACCTTCTATTTTAGCTGGCTTTCTTTTATATAACTCTGATAAGGAAAGAGGAAGGCATCACCATAGAGGTAGAATTTCAACTTGGTACCCAGCCTTCATTGGCATAGAAGTTAGGTAAGTTTCCTCATTACTCCTAGACAGAAGTAGGGGATTTGACTCCCATTTTGTCTCCACTGACAGCACTGGGGGTGCCCTTGTCACCACTGGGTGATGGTGAATGATCACACTCTACATTAGGTCTCCTTGACACCACCCAACTAGAGAATGAGAACATTATTGCCAGGCACAAGTAGAAGTCCAGGCTCCCACATGACATGCACTAACACGGTGAATGAGGAGCTCATTACTGGCCAGCAGGGATTGCAATCCTGGCTTTCTACATGACCTTCAACACCAGCCCAGCAGGGGCATTGGGATTTTGGTAATAGCCTTGAGTGAGTGGGTCCCTAGTCAGCCTTTGCTGGTAGGATGGGATGAGAGCTTTAGCTAAAATAGAGCAGCTTTTTTTTTCCAAAAATTTTTCATCTTCCTAGGCTGCCTGTTTCTAGTTCTTTGTCTAGGGCTTTAGTTGGAAATTTTGACATCTGTGCAAATTTGTGTTTTTAGTTTACTGGCTTCATTAGATCTAGGTCAGGATATATGAGGCAAAAGGAAAACCCAGGTAACTGATCACCATGTTATACTTTAGGTCCTAAGATTCTTGGCCAATCAGCCATCTTCTCTTGTATCTTTCAAAGATGTCTTATGTTTGTTTTACATATAATGTCCACTATTCTTAGTTGTATTTAGCATGATGATGAGGGAAGTATGTCTACTTCATCTTTTGGAAGCAGAAGTCAAATTAGAAAACTTTAAAACAATGATTGTACTTATAGTTCTTTATTTTTTAAATTGGTTTCTTTTTTTTCTGAAAACTCAATAGTCCAGTTCATGTGAAAGATTTCCCAGGAAATAACAGAATTACTAAAAGAATATTTGCTACTGTGATTATACAAATGAATGCATTCAAAATGTGCTTAAAATATTATCATCTATTCAATCTCCAATTCCCAAAGACCCAGAAGATGAATAATGTATGTATGCTTTCAGTTAATACACAGGGGCAGTGCTTGAGCCAGACACATGTAGCACAATCTTGGGATAGAGGTTAAGACCAAGTAAAACATGGTAGTCACAGGTAGGCAGACAGACTTGGGAGGAGAACAGGCTTGCCAATAGTCTTTTAATTTCATTTAGTCTCACTTCATCTTTACAGTAGCCCTAGGAGTCAGGTACTATTATTGATTGCAATCTTATAGAAGGGGAAAGAGAAGCTTAAGAATTAAACAATTTTTCCAAGTTTTCAGAACTTATAAATAAAGGAGACATTGTTCAAAACTTGTGTGTCTGACTCTAATTAATGTCTAGACTCTTAACTATTAGAGATTAGAGATGCTCAGATACAGTGACTCTAGTATTAGTATTTCAGACTGGGGGATACAGCAATAATATTCAAGAATTATAATGATCTCTAATATCAATTTTAAATGATTCTGCTAAGGGAGGGATTCAAAAAGTAGCTGTGGGTTTTCAACAGATGTACTGAGCCTCAATAAGTGAGATTCTAGCACAAATACAGTGCAGTTGTTTGCTGAGAAGCATGACAGCAGCATCAGAAAAATAGGCAAGGAGAGGAAAGCCTTAGTTTATGGACTAAGGTCAGAGTAAAAAATTCTGGACCTGTTTGAAAGAATGTAATGGAGATCTAAGAAGTGGTCATGGAACTCACAGGGAGAGGGGAAGCCTGCCCAAGTGACTGTAACATTGACTAATAATCAATAATCATGTTGATAATGATGACTACCAGTTAATGAGTGCCTGCCATATGCCAAGGACTAGGCTAGATACTTAAATTTATGTTTCAGTAATTGCAACATACTACAAAAGCTTAGGCTTGAATTAAGTGCACTGGGTTTCCTTTATCATAATGGAATACCCTAAAAGGATATACTTGAGATTACATCATTCAGCATCAAAGGCCTTAGAGCCCTTATTAGGAAAAACAACATTATAAGAAATTCATGAATAAGAGAATGGGCATTTTTTTAAGTTTTCTTTTATTTTTATTTTTTAATTTTATTATTATTATTATTATTTCTTTTTTTGAGATGGAGTCTCGCTCTGTCGCCCAGGCTGGAGTGCAGTGGCACTATCTCAGCTCACTGCAAGCTCTGCCTCCCGGGCTCACGCTGTTCTCCCGCCTCAGCCTCCCAAGTAGCTGGGAGTACAGGCACCCACCACCACGCCCGGGTAATTTTTTTGTATTTTTAGTAGAGACGGGGTTTCACCGTGTTAGCCAGAATGGTCTCAATCTCCTAACCTCGTGATCCGCCCGCCTCAGCCTCCCAAAGTGCTGGGATTACAGGCGTAAGCCACCGCCCCCGGCCTTTATTTTTATTTTTGGGGGGTACATAGTTGGTGTATATACTTACGGGGTACATAAAATATTTTGATATGGGCATGTAATGCACAATAGTCACATCGTAGAAAATGTGGTATCCATCCCCTTAAGCATTTATCCTTTGTGTTACAAACAATCCAATTATACACTTTTAGTAATTTTTAAATGTACAATGAAATTATTAGTGACCATAATCACTCTGATGTGCTATCAAATACTAGGTCTTATTCATTCTTTTTTTTAAATTTCAAAATGTTTATTGAACAGAAATGTAAACATAAGCCCTGACGAAAGCAACATGACAAACTTTATATGTAAAATATAATTTTACCCTAATTAATATATTTATTTTGTGTTCATGGTTTACAAAATGACTGATCTTTCCCTTCTATCCCTTTGTACTTGTGTGTATCTAGCAGAAAAGTTCTTAGTCTGGCTATGGGCACACAGAAAGTTCCTACTGATGATTATATTCAAATGTTTATTTACTTTCCCCAGAATAAACTAGGGGACTGGCACTGTCTGGATCCATTACAGGAAAGATATTCAGGAAGCTCTGATCATCTTGAGTTTCACGTTTATGAGCAAAAAATGGACGCAGCGGCTCCCTAACAGAAATTTTGTTGAATGTGTAGATATGGCACCCATCACTAACATCATAAAAAGAAATGAACCTCATACCTATATCCAGGAAAATCCCCACTCTGTGCAAGTGTGGACTCACCCAGAAAATAGTCAAAGGCATAGTGCTGGCAGCAAAGACCTTTACTTTGCTGGAACCCACAGTCCAGAAGCCGAGTTCTGAAGAAAGTACAATTCTTTATTACTTATTCTTTCTTTCTAACTATTTTTTGTACTCGTTAACCATGCCCAGCTCACTCCCACCCCCATATACCCCCGCTACCCTTCCCAGCCTCTGGTAACCATCCTTTTATTCTCTGTGTCCATGGGTTCAATTGTTTTGATTTTTAGGTCCCACAAATGAATGAGAGCATGTAGTCTGTCTTTTTGTGCTTGGCTTATTTCACCTAACATAATGACCTCCAGTTCCATTCATGTTGTTGCAAATTACAGAATCTCAATTTTTATGACTGAATAGTACTCTGTTGTATATATGTATCACATTTTCTTTATCCACTTAGATGTTGATGGACACTTAGGTTGCTTCCAAATCTTGGCTATTGTGAAGGGTGCTGAAACAAACATGAGAGTGCAGATATCTCTTTGATATGCTGATTTCCTTTATTTTGGGTATATAGCCAGCAGTGGGATTACTGGATTGTATGGTAGCTCTATTTTTAGGGTTTTTTGTTTTTTTTTGTTTTTTTGTTTTTTGGTACTAATTTACATTCCCACCAACAGTGTACAAGCATTTCCTGTTCTACACATCCTCTCCAGCATTTGCTATTGTCTGTCTTTTGGATAAAAGCCATTTTACGCCAGGCACGGTGGCTCACACCTGTAATTCCAGCACTTTGGGAGGCCGAGGCAAGCAGATCATGAGGTCAGGAGATCGAGACCCTCCTGGCCAACATGGTGAAACCCTGTCTCTACTAAAAATACAAAAATTAGCCAGGCGTGGTGGTGCATGCCTGTAGTCCCAGCTACTCGGGATGCTGAGGCAGGAGAATTGCTTGAACCTGGGAGGTGGAGATTGCAGTGAGCTGATATCCCGCCACTGCACTCTGGCCTGGCAACAGAGTGAGACTCCATCTCAGGAAAAAAAAAAAAAAAAAAAAGCGATTTTAGGTGGGGTAAAATGATATCCAATTGTAGTTTTGATTTGCATTTCTCTGATAATCAGATTATTAATGATGTTGAGCACCTTTTCATATGTCTGTTTGCCATTTGTATGTCTTTGAGAAATGTCTATTCAAATCTTTTGCCCATTTTTTAAATCAGATTATTGGATTTTTTCCCTGTAGTTTAAGCTCCTTAATTATTCTGGTTATTAATCCCATGTCAGATGAGTAGCTTGCAAATTTTTTCTCCCATTCTGTGTCTTGTCTCTTCACTTTGTTGATTGATTCCTTTGCTGTGCAGAAGCTTTTTAACTTGATGAGATCCCATTTGTCCATTTTTGCTTTGGTTTCCTGTTCTGGCAGGGTATTACTCAAGAAATTATTTCCTAGTTGAAAGTCCTGGAGAGTCTCCCCAATGTTTTCCTGTAGTGGTTTCATAATTTGAGGTCTTAGATTTAAACCTTTAATCCATTTTGATTTGATTTTTGTATATGGTGAAAGATAGGGGTCTAGTTTCATTCTTACGTATATAGATATCCAGTTTTCCAAGCACAATTTTTTAAAGAGGCTATCTTTTCCCCAGTGTATGTTCTTGGGAATGTATATTCCTCACCTGTTAGATGAAAAGTTCTGTAAATATCTATCGAGTCCATTTGTTCTACAGTGCAGCTTAAGTCTGATGTGTCTCTGTTGAGTTTCTGTCTGGGAGATCTGTCCAGTGCTGAAAGTAGAGTGTTGAAGTCTCTAGCTTGTATTGCATTGAGGTCTATTGCTCTCTTTCGCTCTAATAATACTTGCTGTATATGTCTGGAAGCTCCAGTGTTAAGTGCATATATGTTTATAATTGTTATGTTCTCTTGCAGAATTCTCCACTTTATCATTATATAATGACCTTCTTGTCTCTTATTAACCATTACCTGGTTAGCATCTATGTTCACTCAAGGCCCTAGTGCTCTACAATCAGCAGGTAGTGAAGCCAAGCAGGTTTGTGTCCTTTCATTAAGTACAGTGAGTTCTTCCAGGCTCTAGGCAGGTCCAGAAATGCTGTCTAGGAGCCAGGGATCGAAGCAAAAACTTTAGAAATTTACCTGATGTTCTATTCTCCCGTGACTAAGCTGGCGCTCAAACAGCAATATAAAGTCCTTCCCACTCCTCCTTCTCCTTTCCACAGGCAGAAGAGCCTCTCCCTGTGGTCACCACTACCACCGGCCCAAAGCGGGTTCTGCCAGGCCACCGCCCATATTCACTTAAAGCCCAAGGGCTCTTCAGTCAGCTTGTGGTGAATGCTACCAGGCCTAGGACTCACCCTTTTAGCCCAGGGCATAAATGTTGTCCAAGAACTTAGGCCTAGACTTAGGGACCCCAAGAGCCTGCCTCTTGCTCTCCCCCACTGTGGCTGATCTGGTGCCCATGGTGCAAGACAAAGTCATCTTTACTTTACCCTCTGCTTTTCTCAGACAGAAGGAGTCTTTCATCATAGCCACCATAGCTGGGAATGTGCTGGGTCACACCCAAAGAGAACATGTCTCAGAACACAAGCCCACGGTGTACTATTTGGGTATCACCACTGGTTATTCACGGTCCAAGGGCTTTTTAGTCAGCAGGTGATGAATCCTGCCAAAACTGAGTCCTTCTCTTCAAGGTAGCAGGTTCCCTTTTGGCTCAGTGTGTGTCTAGAAATGTCATCTGGGAGCCAGATTTTGGAATGGGGGCCTCAGAAAATGGGCATTTTATCCACCTCCTGTCCCAAGTTAGGATTGGTCCAGAACACAGGGTGCAGCTAAAGCTGCAATTGAACAGATCAGTGACCTATAAGGATTCGAAATAAAGAATTGAGGAATGAAGACTCTCACCTTCACTAGGGATACACAGATTGTTCCAAATCCACGAGGTGAAAATCATAAAAGAGAGTATCCCTGTAATCCACCCACCTACCAACCATTAATTCATCAATTGTTGACTGTCTGATCTATGCTTGGACTCAAGCTATGTCCTCAGGATACAGAAAAGAACAAAGCGAGCCTGATTTCTCCCTTTATTGAACTTACTAACACCAGAGCATGCATAACACTATTGATTGATTGGTTAATCTCAGAAAATACTTGATGTAGTGGATTGACTGCTTAAATATGGAAGTGTCCCTTGCAACAAGGGGTATAATAAAATTGTGTAGCAGAGAGACAAAACCTAGCCTAGGGGAACAGAAAGCCTTTCCAGAGGAAGTGACGTTTAAACTGATGCCTTGATTTTGAATGGGGTGAGGAGGGTCAGAGTTAAGAAAGTACCCATCAGAGTGAATAGCCTGTGCAAAAGCCCTGAATGTGGAAGTTGCCCTGCACACTGCAAAAGTCAAAAGAAGGTGGCTACTCACCCCTGTGACAACAGAGGCAGAAGAGAATTATCTTAGAGGGGAACATGGAGAAGGGCTGGTGGGCACCATAGGAAGTGTCTATGAAGTGGCCAGTTCAGTTTAGTTACTTTATGGGTGACAAGAACCTCTTTAACTCTCTGCTGCCTTTTCTGTCTTTATGCTAAGCCCAAAGGGCGAGGAGGTGAAAGGTCCTCATCTTTATATCTTGAAAACCTCATCTTCTCCGCAGCAGGAGTTCTCAAATGGCCTCGAGTTGGTATTTGGAGAGCAGTTCCAACTCTGGCCTTGTGAAGAGTCATCTATGAGCAATGGAAGTTATTTCTGTGTCAGCTCCTCGGATCAGAGGCAGCCGAGCATCCTGGATCCTCATGGCAGGCTCCATGTCACCATGTAGCTGAAGAAAAGGGACTTGGAACTCTGCCAGGTATAAGCTCTAGTACTGAGGAGCTAAAGGGTGTGTTTTAAGCTACTTCAAAACCTATGATTTTTTTTTTTTCTCTTTGAAGCTCATTACGGCGCTGAGCCAACTATTAGGAATCCCACTGAAATCTGATGCCAAAAAGCAGTATAGAGGTATAATTTTTACCCCATTCAAGCATCCTGCTTTGCTGAAACCCATCTCATTGTAAAACTACAGAATAGCATATAGCATGTATTCTTTCCCCCATTTATAAGTGAAATTATTTTAGCAAGAGTTTTATTTGTGTATTTATGTACAAGGATGGGTGTCACACCTTTGATTGAGTAAATACCAACTGTATGCAGCTAGAATAATTGAGTGCACAGGCTTATTTCATTTATTTCATAAATATTTAAAGATACCAACTATCTGTGAGGCCTACTTCTAGGTACTAGAGATGCAGTAGAGAAGAGATTCACAAAGTTACTTTTTGTGTAGTGCTTATAATCTATAGTTGAGGCAATAAATAGATACCAAAAAAAAGGAAATAAAGACAGAGGCAGAGAAAAGAAAAAAAAGAAAGGATGAAAGGAAGGAAGCAAGGGGAGGAAAAAGGAAGTGAGGGAAGACATTTCAGGCAGTGATAACTAGTAGAAAAATTAAAAGGATAGTGTGAATAAACCATACTTGGACATATGTTCTGATTAATTATTGCTGTGTAACACTACTCCAAAACTTAGTGGCTTGACACAAAATTGTGTTTTGTTTACAGTTGTTGTGGATTGAGAATTCTGGAAAGATTCAGCTGGATGATGTGTCTATGATCCACACAGCAGCAGCTGGGGCAGGAAGATTCACTTCCAAAAACCATTCACATGTCTAGCACCTCAGAGTCTCTCAGGGTGTTTCTCTCTCTCTCTCTGTCTCTCTCTATATAATCACATGGCTTTTTATCCTTAAGAGTTGCTCCATGTGGCTTGTGTTTCTCAAAGTATGGCAGTTAAGGGGATTCACACTTGTAGTTACATGGCAACTTGCTTCTAAATGTGAGTAAAATTTGCCAACATCTTATGGCCAGAGCCTAGAAACTAATGCAACACTTCTACCATATTCTCTTGGTGTGAGCAGTCACAGAGCCCACCCAGACTCAAGGAGATGCTGTATAAACTCTAACTCTCCAAAGGAGAGGTACCAAAGCATGCGTTGCTATCTTTAATTCACCACAGGGTCTCCAGCATAGTGTTGAGTGATCAAGGATGGCTTTCCACCTAGGCGGCATTTGAACTGAGTCCTGAATGACAAAAAGAAACTAAAATGCTTACTTCTGACAGCAGACTATACTAGGCAGAAATAACAGCAAGTACAAAAACCCTAGAGCATCAAAAATTGATATATTTAAAAGGAGCAAAAGCTATGGCAGATAGGGCTTGGTGACTGAGAGGGAGATTTTAAGGAGATGGGGTAGGAAAAGTAGTCAATAGGCCCTGAACTGAAATTCATATACTATTCTTAGTGTGAGAGAAGGCATTGGAAACTTTTGAAATTAGTGTGAACTAATTTACATATTTAAAAGATTATAGAGGTTCAAGAATAGCAGTTGGAAGAGTAGTAAGGGAACTATTACAGTAACCCAATTAGGAGATGATAATGACTTGGACTAGGTTGATTCCAGTGGAGATGGATTTGAGATGAATGTAGGTATAAGTATAGATATAGGTATAAATAAGTATGGGTAAAGGTGTAGGTGCATATGTAGGTATAGGTACAGTCATAGAGATATATATATATGTAGATATAGTACAAAGATAGGGATATGTTGCTATAGATATAAATAGAAATAGAGATTTAGATACAGATACGCATAGAGAAATTGATGTAGAAATAGACATACATATAGAATTAAAGATAAGGTATACAGATAGAGATAAAGATGTACTGTCATTCCTTGGTATACTCATAGGATTGGTTGCAGAACACCCACATATACCCAAATCTGCACATATTCAAGTCCTGCAGTTGGTCCTGTGGAATCTGTATACAGGAAGTTTTGCATCCAGGAAATATTGTATTTTTGATCCATTTTGGTTGAAAAAGAATCCATGTATAAGTGGACCTGCACAGTTAAAACCCATGTTCTTCAGGGGTTAACTGCACAAATATAGATTTAGATAAAAATAGAGCTAGATATCAATATAGAAATTGATATATGTATTTAGGCAGAGATAGAGACACAAGAACAAAGAGAGGTATTTGAGATGGAGACAACAGAATTTGCTAAAGGATTAGTAAAGGGGTGAATATATAAAACATCTCAAGGATAACATGAGCAACTGGAGGCAGAGTAATGCTGTACTTTGAGTTAAGGGAGACAGAGTTATGGATATTATTCCATAAAGAGGTAAAATAAGCCCAAGGAAACTTCTGAAATCTGCAATACTTGAGGGGGAAATGTCTAAAGTTCTATAGGTACCTACTGATTTTTTTTTCTTTTTCTCTCTCACATAAACAGTCTCCCTTGCCTCTATATTTTATCATAGCAGTTCCCACCTCTGAAATATTGTAATGGGCAAAGCATCATAGACTTTGGAGAGAAACAGGCCTATATTTAAACCCCACTTCTGCCATACATAAGCTGTGAACTGTGGATAAATTCACTCACATCTTTAAGCTTAAGTTTCTTCAACTACAAAATGGCAATAATTTTATCTGTCTCATAGGACTGCTACAAAAATTAAAAGTAAAAAATGTGTATGATGAATTTAGCACCATATCTAGAAATGAGTAGGGCTCAAGAAATGTTACTCTCATTTTTCTGATATTCTTGAACTTTTCAAAATCCTACTTGTTCTTCAAGACCCAACCTTTCTTAGCTGCTTTATGAAACTTTTTCAATCATCTCCGTTCCTCATTGCATTATTCCAAATTTATTTTCATGGAGCTAATGCAATTCCGCAATCAAACTGTAATTTTCTTGAAGGTAGTGATTCACTCTTAAATATCCTCCCTTTTCTATAACATCCAGCCCAAAGCTGAGCATTCCATAAGTACTCTATAAATCCCTGTTGATTGATTTCTATCTCTTTCTTTTTGGTAAATTAAGTAGTTCTCCACCAAAATATTGAAGATCCAATGAAAAATTGACTGTAAAATATATTTAATATATAGAGTTGAATGGGTTTTCTCAACTAATATGACAAGGACTTTTAAGGGAACTTTTTTGATTTTCCTATTCTTTTCAGGTAGTTCTCATACTAAACAGAATCTTATAGATGTAAAAATGAAGACCTCTGTAACAAATGATTTTTTTTCTATTAAGTTTTCTGAAGGCTAGACAATCAACATCTACAAATCACACTGATGTGTCGTAGTATTAAATGAATTGTATTATATTAGAACATTAGTGAATACTGAAAAATTTGTTCAATACTCTTGATATAAAATTTACCTCTGAAAATTTAACCTCCTGAGAAAGACATTGTATATTGCATTTTAAAATGTATTTGTGAAAACTAGTTTGTTTTATTAAAAATGGGAGTACTGGGCAAAGTTACATATTAAAATAACATCTTGTTCTGCTCTCTGAACATGAAAATACTCCCTTTCTTACACAACCTATAAAGGCATGCTCACCAAAGTTGGGGCTCTTCCTATCTCTAGGAAACTTATCACCATTCAGAATGAAGCTTTGTCTTTGCCAAATATCTTTAATGTGAAGAGAGTTTCTCTTCTTGTAGAATTGTTTTCTTCTTTTTGTTTTTGTTTTGTTTTTTTTAGACAGGGTCTTGCTCTGTTGCCCAGGCTAGAGTGCAGTGGCGTGATTCACAGCTCACTACAGCCTCTACCTCCCAGGCACAAGCAATCCTTCCACCTCAGCCTCCTGAGTAAATGGAACTACAGGTGCACCCGCCACACCAGACTAATTTTTTTTTCTGTGTTTTTTGTAGAGACAAGATCTGGCTATGTTGTCCAGGCTGATGAGGGACCTCTAGGCTTAACTAATCCTCCCACCTCAGCCTCCCAAAATGGTGGCATTACAAGCATGAGCCACCACACCTGGCCTTTTCTGGTCGAAACTTTACAATGTGTTTGTGAAATTATTTATCTTTGATTTGGGAATCTCTATTTTCCAGAAATATTTATTTTATTTCCTTATTGTCTTTCTAGTAACTTACTGATCTTAGTATTTAGTGATTTTCTACATTGAATACTTTTACAAAATGATAATCTTTATTTTAATAACTTAATATCATGTAAGATATTTCAAATAATGTATAGACTAATATTCCCTTAGTGCACTGTGCAAGTCCTTTTGTTGGCATATTCTTCTTATCAAAATCACAAACACAGCATTCTATAACAAACACTACATATAACCACACACAAAAAAGAAAATTATAAGAAATATCAAGAGTGGCCAAGATGGCCGGCTAGAAGCAACTGGTGTGTGTGGCTCTCATGGAGAGAGATGGAAGGGGTGAGTAGATACAACACCTTCAACTGAAACATTCAGGTACTTGCATTGGGACTAATCAAAGAAACAACTTGACACATGGAAAATGAAGAAAAGAAAGACAGGAGGACAGCCCACCCAGGAGCAACACAGAGCCGGGACAACCTCCCATATCAAGGGAAACAGTGAGTGAATGTGTGACCTGGGAAACCCCACTTCTCCCACAGATCTTTGCAACCCTCAGGTCAGGATATCTCCTTGTGAACCCACTTCACCAGGGCCTTCAGTTGGACAGACAGAGCTATATGGATTTTTGGCACTCGTGGAGACGCTGGGACCTTAGATACCTGGGCTCCAGACTTCCTGGTAAAAGTAACTGCAACTCCAGCAAAGTGGGAGGTTAGACCCGTGCATATAACCCAAGGAAATAGGCTGAATCCAGAGGGCTCAGCAGCGACAGCCTGAAGGCCCCACTTCCATGACACCTCACAGGATAAGACCCACTGGCTTGGAATTCCAGCCAGCTCCCAGAGCATCATTGCACTTCCTAAGAAGGAGATCCTGGTGGGAGGGGCAGGCAGCCATCTTTGCTCTTTGGGCACCTTAGCTTTTCCAGCCTTCAGGCTTTGGAGAATCTGAGCTGACCAGGGGAAGGGATCCTCAAGCACAGCACAACAGCTCTACCAGAATGTGGCCAGACTGCTGCTTTAAGCAGGTGCCCGATCCTATTCCTCCTCACTGGATAGGACCTTCCAACAGGGGCCTCCAGCCACCCCTGCCCATGTCCCCCAGCTGACAGAGATTTGAATCCTCCCTGAGATACTGCTCCCAGAGGGAGGGGTGGGCTGCCATCTTTCTCATTTGGGCAACTTAGGCATTCTAATATTCAGGCTTCAGAGCATCCAAGGTAACTGCAGGCTGAAGTGGACCCCCAGCACAGCATAGATGCTCTACTAAAATGTGGCCAGACTGCTTTGTTAAACAGGTCAATGATCCCAATTTTCCTCGCTGGGCAGGACTTCCTAACTGGGGTCTCCAGCCACCTCCTACAGATGCCTTTGGTCCAGCAACAGGCCCATACTTCACCTCCCTGGGATGAAGCTCCCAGAGAGAGGGTCAGCCCCCCATCTTTGTTGTTTCTCAGGCTTCACTGGTGATACCTCCAGGTGCTGGGAAATCTGAGGCAACTAGGGACTGGAGCAGGCTCCCAGCATACCACAGCAGCCCCACAGAAAAGTGACCAGACTGCTACGTGGGTGCTTGTTCCCATACCTACTCAATGGGCAGGTCCTCCAGGCCTGGGCCTCAGCCACCTGCCACCAGAGGTATTGAGCCAGTACCAATTCACCAACTCCGTGGACAGAGCCTCCAGGGGCAACTGAAAGCCTCTTTGCCACTGCCTCTGCAGTGGAACTGCCCTTGCCACCCTTGCACTAACAAAAGAGCAAAGACCTTAAATGCCTTATCCACACCTCCAGCAAGCTGCAGTCGACCCAAGGACAGGAGGCCAGTCTGTCTCCCAAGGGTTTCACATATCCCCCACTGCTTGTCACCAGGCAGAGAAGTCCTGGCTTAGGCCCACAACACAGACCCTCCACCCAGGGCTGATTGCGCCAAGCAATTCCTAATCTGCATCTCTCTGGGGTGGAGCCCCCAGGAGACAAGCAAACCACTATTGGCCACAGCCATTACTAAGGTCCCTCCCTCTGCTGCCTCCAAGCTGGGGAAGGAACATAAACACTGAGATCTCCCCAGAGCTGCAGTGGCAACCCAGGAGTGTCAAGTCATGATCTACTGCCAGCACTCAAGGTAGGGAGGAATGCGTGCTTTCAGAACATTGAGAGGGAACATGGCTGCAACTGTGAGGAAACATAAGGGAGCCACACAACTGAGCAAGAGTCTACCAACTCACCAATAAGCCTAAGTGCCACCTGCTGGATCACACCCCAAAACTTCAACACCAAAAATACCATGCTTGTTTATCCCCCTCTGAAACCAGAGTCAAGAAGTTAGCTTCAAATAAAGACTCTGCACAAAGCATTGGCCAGGTGAAAACATCCAGAAAATAAGTTGATTGACTGTAATCAACCTTCACTGCAGTTAAAGAAACACCCATGCTCAGTTCTCCAACAAGTTCTTAACCAGCCTGAACTGGCTGGAATGACAGAACTAGAATTCAGAATATGAATAGAAGCAAAGATCATTGAGTTTCAGTTGGATGGCAAAACCCAATCCAAGAGAAATAAGAATCACAATAAATAATACAGGAGCTGAAGGATGAAAACACTGGTAAAAAAAAAAAAAAAAAAAAAGAGCATGACAGCTGAATAACACAATACAGATAACACAATCCAAGAATAACACAATACAAGAGCTGAATAACACAATATAAGAATGTTTGCAATCACAAGTATTAATGGAAGAATAAACCAAGCTGAGGAAAGAATCTCAGAACTTGAAGACTGGTTCCCTGAAATAAGACAGTCAGACAAAAATAAAGAAAAAAAGAAAATAAATAAACAAACAAAACCTCCAAAAAGTATGAGATTATGTAAAGAGGCCAAATCTATGAACCATTGGCATTCCTGAAAAAGAAGGGAAGAAAGTAAACAACTTGGAAAATATATTTCAGGATATTGTCCATGAAAACTTTCCCATCCTTGCTGGAGAGGCCAACAGTCAAATTTAGAAAATACAGAGAACCTTGGAGGCAAGATCTATGCAAGAACCTCCCCAAGACACATAATTGTCAGATTTTCCAAGATGCACATGAAAGAAAGAATGTTAAAGGCAGCTAGAGAGAAAGGGCAGGTCACCTACAAAGGGAACCCCATCTGGCTAACAGTGCACCTCTCAGCTGAAACCCAACAAGCCAGAAGAAATTGAGGGCTAATATTCAACCTTCTTAAAGGAAAAAACATCAACCAAGAATTTCACACCCAGCCAAACTAAGCTACCTAAGGGAAGGAGAAATAAGATCCTTTTCAGATAAGCAAATGTTGAGGGAATTCATTACCACCAGACCTGCCTTACTAGACATCTTGAAAGGAATATTAAATGTAGAAAAAAATAACGCTACCAGCTAACACAAAAACACACTTAAACACGCAGATCAGTGTCATTATAAAGCAACTGCACAAACAAACCAATGTAATAACCAGCTAACAGCACAATAACAGGATCAAACCCACACATAGCAATACTAACCTTGAATGTAAACAGGCTAAATGCCCTAATTTAAAGGCACAGGGTGGAAAACTGATTTAAAAAGCAAGACCCAATGGTTTGCTGTCTTCAAGAGACCCATCTCACAGGTAATAACACTCATAGACTCAAAATAAAGGGATGGAGGAAAATCTACCAAGCAAATGGAAAACAGAAAAATGCAGGGTTTGTAATCCTAATTGCAGACAAAATAAAGATTTTTTTAAAAAGACAAAAAAGGGCATTACATAATGGTAAAGGTTTCAATTAAGACCTAATTTTCCTAAATACATGTACACCCAACACATTAGCACCCAGGTTCATAAAGCAAGTTCTTAAGGAGATACAAAGAGACATAGATCCCCACATAGTAATAGTAGGAGATTTCAACACTCCACTGATGGTATTAGACAGATCATTGAGGCAGAAAATTAGCATGGACATTCAGGACTGAAACTCAGCATTGGACCAAATGGATCTGATAGGCCTTTACAGAACTCTTCACCTCCAAAACAACAAAATATATGTTGTTCTCATCACCACATTACCCATACTCTAAAACTGACAACATAATAGGGCATAAAGCAATCCTCAACAAATGTAAAAGAACTAAATCCAACCAAACAAACTCTTGGACCACATCACAATAAAGATAGAACTCAAGACTAAGAATATCCCTCAAAGCCACGCAATTACATGGAAATCAAACAACATAATCCTGAATAACTATTGTTATTGTTATTGTTGTTATTGTTATTGTTATATAACAAAGATCTAACATATTAGAATCTCTGGGACACAGCTAAGGAAGTGTTAAGAGGGAAATTCATAGCACTAAATGACCACATCACAAAGTTAGAAAGATCTCAAATTAAAAACTTAACATGACAAATGAAAGAGAAGCAAGAACAAATCAGCCACAAAACTAGCAGATGAGAAGTAACAAAACTCAGAGCTAAACTGAAGGAAATTGAGGCGTGGAAAACCATTGAAAAGATAAATCCAGGAGTTGGTTTTTTGGGAATATTAATAAGACAGGCCACTAGCTAGACTAATAAAGAAGAAAAGAGAGAAGATCCAAATAAACACAATTAGAAATGATGAAGGAAATGTTACTACTGATGCCACAGAAATAAGAACAACTGTAAAAACTACTATAAATACGTCTATGCACATAAACTCGAAAATCTGGAAGAAATAGATAAATTCATGGACACACACACCCTCCCAAAACTAAGCCAGGAAGAAATTGATTCCCCAAACACACCAATAACAAACTCCAAAATTGAATTAGTAATAAATAGCCTACAACCAAAAACAGCCCAGGACCTAATAGATTCACAGTCAACTTCAGCACCATTCCCAGTGAAACTATTCCAAAAAATTGACCAGGAGAGACTCCACCCCAACTCATTCTATGAGGCCAGCATCATCTTCATACCAAAACCTGGCAGAAACACAACAAAAAAAGAAAACTTCAGGCCGATATCCTTGATGAACATTGACTCAGAAATCCTCAACAAAATGCTTGCAAACCAAACCCAGAAGCTCATCAAGAAGCTAATCCACCATGATCAAGTAGCCTTTATCCCTGAAATGCAAAGTTGTTTCAACATACACAATTCAATAAATGTGGTTCATCACAAAAACAGAACTAAAGACAAAAACCACATGATAATCTTAATAGATGCAGAAAAGGCTTTTGATAAAATTCAATATTTCTTCATGTTAAAAGCTCTGAATAAACTAGACATTGAAGGAACATTCTTCAAAATAAGCGCCATCTATGAAAAACTCACAGGCAACATTATACTAAATGGGCAAAAGCTGGAAGCATTTCCATTGAAAACAGGCACAAGACAAGGATGCCCTCTCTCACCACTTCTATTCAACATAGCATTGGAAGTCTTAGCCACAGAAATCAGGCAAGAGAAAGAAATAAAGGGCGCTCAAATAGGAAGCCAGGAAGTAAAGCATTTTCTGTTTGTAGATCACATTATTCTATATCTGGAAAACCCCATAGTCTCAGCCCCACAGCTTCTTCAGCTGATAAACAACTTCAGCAAAGTTTCAGGATACAAAATCAATGTACAAAAATCACTAGCATTGCTATACACCACAACAGTCAGACTAAGAGCAAAATCAGAAAGGCCATCTCATTCACAATTGCCATAAAAATTATAAAATACCTAGGAATATAGCTAATTCGGGAGGAAAAGATCTCTACAACCAGAATTACAAAACACTATTCAAAGAAATCAGAGAAGACACAAACGAATGGAAAAATATCCCATGCTCATGAATAGAAAGAATCAATATCATTAAAATTGCTATACTACCCAAAGCAATTTATAGATTCAATGCTATTCCTATCAAACTATCCATGACATTCTTCACAGAACTTGAAAAAACAATTTTAAAATTCATATGGAACAAAAAAAGCCTGAATATCCAAGGCAATCCTAAGCAAAAAGAACAAAGCTGGAGGCATCATGTTACCTGACTTCAAACTATACTGCAGAGCTACAGTAACCAAAACAGCATGTTACTCATATAAAAACAGTCATATAGACTGGTGAAACAGAATAGAAAGCCCAGAAGCAAGGCCACACATCTATGACCATCTGATCTTCAACAAAGCTGACAAAAACAAGCAATTGGGAAAAGACTCCCTTTTCAATAAATTGTGCTGGGATAACTGTCTTGCCATATTCAGAAGATTGAAGCTGGACCCCTCCTTACACCATATGCAAAAATCAACTTAAGATGTGTTAAAAACTTCAATGTAGAACCCAAAACTAAAAAAAAAAAAAAAAAACCCTAGAAGACAACCTAGGAACTACCCTCCTAGACATAGGAATGGGCAAAGATTTCATGAAAAAGACACCAAAAGCAATTGCAACAGAAGCAAAAATTGACAAGTGGGATCCAATTAAACTTAAAAACTTCTGCACAGCAAAATAAACTATTAACAGAGTAAACAGACAGCCTACAGAATGAGAGAATAATTTTTGCAAACTATGCATCTGACACAGATCTAATATCCACCATCTATAAGAAGCTTTAACAAATTTACAAGAGAAAAACAACCACAATAAAAAGTGGGCAAAGAACATGAACAGACACTTCTCAAAAGAAGACATACATGTGGCCAACAAACATGTGAAAAACAGCTCAATATCACTGATCATAAGAAATGCAATTCAAAACCACAGTGAGCTACCATCTCACACCAGTCCGAATGGCTATTAGAAAATCAAAAAATAACAAATGCTGGTGAGGTTGTAGAGAAAAAGGAACACTTATACACTCTTGGTAGTTCCATAAGTTAGTTCTACCATTGTGGAAAGCAGTATCATGATTCCTCAAAGAGCTAAAAGCAGAACTACCATTTGACCCAGCAATCCCATTATTGGATATATACCCAGAGGAATATAAATCATTCTACCATAAAGACACATGTTCATTACAACACTATTCACTATGGGAAAAACATGGAATCAACCTAAATGTCCATCAGTGACAGATTGAATAAAGAAAATATGGTATATATACACTATGAAATACTATGCAACCATAAAAAAGGAGATCATGTCTTTTGTGGGAACATGGATAGAGCTAAAGGCTGTTAGCAAACTAATGCAGGAAAAGAAACCAAATAACACATGATCTCACAAGTGGTAGCTAAATGATAAAAACTTATAAACTCAAAGCAGGAAACAACAGATACAGGGTCTACTTGAAGGTGGAGGGTGGGAGAAGGGAGAGGAGCAGAAAATATAACGAATGGCTATTAGGCTTCATATCTGGGTGATGAAATAATCTGTACAACAAACCCCCGTGATACATGTTTACCTGTGCAACAAACCTTCACATGTACCCCCAAACCTAAAATACATGTTAAAAAAAGAAATACCAAAAAAGGAATAAAAATACTAAGCAGAAAGTTTATTTCCTTAGTACTACTATAAAAAGGATTATCTATGTGTAACCTCTTAATGAATGCCGGCACATGTGCTGTTTCACTGTTGAAACATTGACACAATAATCTATGACCCAAATGGATGATTTTGTAAGTAAATAAAATACTCAAAAATGTTCAAGTCTTTTATTTGATTTTTTTTCATCTACACCAAGTGCAGGTGAAATAGAAAGTTTAACATTGGAAAATCCAACGTTTTTCAGCTTGTCACATGGTGTATTTTCATCTTTCAGTTTAAATATTACCTCCATACTCAGACTTTCTCTGGCTATTTGAAGTACAGCTCCCTGTGTATCTCACAGGCATTTTATTTTTTTCCAAATGCTTACCACAATGTGTGATTATGCTACTTGTGTGTTTAAGCATTTGTTGTCTGTCTTCCTAACTAGAACAGGAGCTTCATAAGAACAGGGAATGTGTTTGTCTTGAACATCACTCTATTGCTAGTGCTGGTGAAATGACTGGCTCATAGCAGACGCTCAACTCATTTTCTGCATGTATGAATAAGTTTTGCACTTACACCGTGGAAATATAGTGAGTGGTAAGTTTATATGACCCAACCATCAGCTGCTAATGAAGTGATTGTAAATTCTTTCTTTTCATTGTATTCTAAACCTCTCCATCACTCTTTGTCTAATGCGTAATAAAAACATGTCCTTTGGAGTTGGATAGTCCTAGGTTTGAATCCCATCTTGACAAGATTATTCTTTAACTCATCTAGTAGTAAAATGCCAGGCATGATGTTAGATATTATGAACTGCTAAAGAGTGACAGTTTGTAAAGTGAAAAATGGGCAGCTACCAGACTATAAAGAGACTAATATGTAATTATTTATCAAATTTGCTTGTTCACTAGGATCCGTGGGGCTTGTTAAAATGTATAGAATTATAGCAACTCATGCTCTCCCAGAACCACTGAGGTTAACTTTCCAGGTGTGACACTTAGAAATTTGGATATCTAGCAAGAATATATTTTCTTCTTATGATTAAGCAAGTTTAGAGAATATTAGCATATTGCAAACTAAAGATTTAACCTGAAAAATCAAAAAAAGCAGTAAAAACATTTAAGCTGGGAGAAATCTTTTGTAAGGATTTTCTGGTGGCTGAATGTAGCAGTCAATATAGAGGAGGCAATTATTTGTATGCTGTTAGGTAGAAAAATGGAGTTGGGCTTGGCCAATGCTTATATTTATGGGCTGGGGCTTCTGTTTGAGAAAAAACAAGTGAATAATGGTGCCCTTCACTGAAATAGGATTTAGAGGTAGAGGAGAAAATTAAGAGTTGAGAGATGTGTGTGTGAAATTAGTGAAGCTTAGAGCTGAGGGCTCAGTCTATAGAAGGATTATGAGCTTAGCTTGGGATACATCAATTTGAGGTGCCTGTGGTTCATTCAGTTCCAGTAAGCAGTTGGGAATATGAGTCAGGGTTCTAGGTGGAGTTTTGGGTTAGATGTATTGATGTGGGAATAGTCAGCATAGAGATAACTATTGAAGTCATTGAAGTAAATTAGATTGCAGTTGGTGACTACGTAGACAAAGAAAGGAGAAAAAGCATGATGTTAGGTATCTGTGGAATTCCAACAATTAAAGTATAGACAAAGGGAGAAAGATTCACAAAAGAAACTAGGAAGCATTTGCCCAAAGAGGTAGGAGAAAATCCAGGGATGAATGATGTTATGGAATAACGCAGAAAGGATTTCCAAAAGAAAAGAGATTATAGTATTAAATTTTGGCAAATCCAAGTAGTGTTGGAACTCAAAATGCTCATTGAGTTTATAAATAAGGAGATCACTAATGACATTTGCTGGTGAACTTTCAATAGATAGATGACAATAGAGGTCTGATTGTAATGAGCTGCAAAATATATGAAATAAAGTTACAGAGATCTTCAGAATCCCATCTATAAAATAGATACAATTCTACCTTCTTCGAAGAACAGATGTAAGGCTTAAATGAGATCACTGTCTTCTGACACAATATTGAGCATCCAGTAGCTACTCAAAATATTTCGATGGAGTTTTTTTTCAAAATTATCAGTACAAGGCCAGACATTCCATAATAATTCAGTAGGATTTAGTTCAATTTATGTAGGCTAAAAGCAAAGATGGCATTAATTCATATGGTGAAGATAGCAACTCATTTTCATAATTATTTTTTACTAATGAGGAGGACATAGGACAATCCCTTTGAGCACATAGAGTTTATAAAATTTATCTAGATAAAATGTGCTGAAGCCCAATCAAAAATAAGTAAAGTATACATTGATATGTTTGGTCAAAATGAAGCACTTAAAACTCTATGTATGCAAAGACAGACATAATTTAATAAACTTATACTCATAAATCAATTTTACACTCCAATCCAGAATAATGCTTATATACTATATTGTGAGTGGCAGAGATCAAGGGAGCATGAATAGGAACTGTAAGAAACGTTATTGTTAGATAATTAATTCATTTTTATGCTTAGTTTTGAGCGAATTCTATAAGTGAAACAAATGTCATTACAAATATCACATAGCTTCCTAAACTTTACCATAACTACTAAGCAGAAGATTCTCATTCCTCTTTTGCAGATGAAAAGATGGGGGCTCACAGAGAATAAGAGTTGTCTGGGAGACACAGTTATTTAGCAAAAGTGCTGAGATTTAGCCTCTGACTGTTTAAATCTGAACAAACTAGGATGTATTTTCTGTTATTGTTTTTGGCATCACTACTCAAAGAAGCAAGGCATTGAGTTACAGTCATGATTCAGCCCCATAAACAAATATCTATTGGTTAATGGGTGTAGTTCTCTGTAAAATCTTTACAAGTCAATGGGTATGATATGACATTGCCATTTGCTTAATTAAAGATAAATAAAATAATTATACATACCCTCAAAGGACTTCTGATTAGTTAGGACTTGTTAGTAGTAGTACTATATACAAGGGAAAGAAAGTTTTACTCATCTTTAACTTCAGAAAGTTTAAAGGCTGGAGTTTTATTCACCTTTGAGTGCAGCTTTGTTCTTGGGCACTGCCTTGTGCAGAGTTGGCACTGGATGTTGTTTATAGAGATTAAAAAATTAGTAAAGATGACATCTTAGTTTATTCCTGATGCTATAACAAAATGCCACAGGCTGGGTAATTTGTAAAGAACAGAAATTTATTTCCTCAGAGTTCTAGAGTCTGGGGAATCCAAAATCAAGGTACCAGCAAGTTTAGTGTCTGGAGAGGGCTCCGTCTTTGTTTCCAAGATGCCACCTTACTGCTGTGTTCTCACAGCGCAGAAGCTGGAAGAGCAAAAAAGCTCAGCTAGTTCCCTTCAGTGCTCTTATAAGGCCCTGATTCCAGTTATGAGGGTGAAGGCCCCATAGTCTAATTGCCTCCTAAAGGCCCTAACTCTTAATACTGTTGCATTGGGAATTAAGTTGCAACACAAATTTTGGAGGGGAGACAAACATTCAAATATAGCAGATGATGAATTACTGAAGTACCCAGACACTGGCAATCTGTGGAGCCAAGAGTGCAAAATGAAACTGGTTTTCCATTGTGCCTGGAGCCAGAATGGCAAAAACTGTGTGCCATTGGTGAAATGAATAAATACGTTGTTAAATCTTTCAACAGAGAGGGTACCATTATGGGTTTGTTAATTGGTTAAGCTACAACCCACATGCAGATGGCTGCTCTAATCAGGAATTCACTCCAATGGTGTCTAGCTAGCATTCTAATTAGGTAACTCTTGCATCTAAAAATAAGTTCCAGAGACCTGCTATACAGTATAGTGCCTATAGCTAACAATATTGTATTGTATATGAAATTCGCTAAAGGGCTAGATCTTACAAAAAATAATAATAAAGGTCACAAGAGAAAACTCTGGAGGTGATGAATATGCTTACGGCCTTGATGATGGTGATAGTTTCACAGGTGTATAATCATCTCCAAACTTATTGAGGTTTATACATTACTTATATGCCAATCATACTTCATTCAATAAAGTAGTTTTAAAAAGAATGTGAATAAAATAAATGTATTCTTCTCCTAGACTAAAAGTATTTTTTGAAAGGAAAAGTCTTATTCTAGAATTGGCATTTATCTGCACTTCTGTTACCCATGTCTAGATCAATAACAATGATTCGCTAATTAACTTAGGAATTATCAGAAAAAAAATGATCAAATT
This sequence comes from Homo sapiens, assembly GCF_000001405.40. Classification (NCBI taxonomy): domain Eukaryota; kingdom Metazoa; phylum Chordata; class Mammalia; order Primates; family Hominidae; genus Homo; species Homo sapiens. The sequence continues at coordinate 23,534,766 of NC_000004.12, forward strand.
TAGTATCCTGTCAAATACCATGGTTAATATTAGAAATGGGTTATCTCTGGTAAAATTACTCAAATTACATGGACCAGCAAACATATTTTAGAAAAATTCTCACCATTGCATTAACAGGGTATACAAATGCAGAGAATTCTCTAGCCAGTACATCACAGAAATGTTTCCAAAAGTTTCTGTGCCAGGATATTGGCCAGGAAGGTTTTCGGTTGCCTTATAATAGACCATAAATGAAAGATCCCTTTGTATGGCCTGTTGTTACATCTGCTTTGAGTGAATATTTCATGCAAGATGATGGCCAAAGTCCTTAAAACTGTAACTTCATCAAATTTAAACAACAAATCGTGTGTGGTGGCTGGCAAGATGGCCAAATAGGAACAGCCTGAGTGTGCAGCTCCCAGTGAGATCAATGCATAAGGCCGGTAATTTCTGCATTTCCACCTGAGGTACCCAGCTCATCTCATCATGCTAAAAACTCAGTTAAATAGGTATTGATGAAATATATCTCAAAATAATAAGAGCTATTTATGACAGACCAACAGCCAATATCATACTGAATGAGCAAAAGCAGGAAGCATTTGCTTTGCAAACTGGCACAAGACAAGGATGCCCTCTCTCACTACTCCTATTCAGCATAGTATTGGAAGTTTTTGCCAGGGCAGTCAGGCAAGAGAAAGAAATAAAGTGTATTCAGATAGGAAGAGAGGAAGTCAAATTGTCTCTGTTTGCAGATAATATGATTATATATTTAGAAAACCCCATCGTCTAAGCCCAAAATCTCCTTAAGCTGATAAGCAACTTAGCCAAAGTCTCAGGATACAAATTCAATATGCAAAAATCACAAGCATTCCTATATACCAATAATAGCCAAATAGCCAAATCATGAGTGAACTCCCATTCACAATTGCTACAAAGAAAATAAAATATCTAGGAATACAACTTACAAGGGATGTGAAGGATCTTTTCAAGGACAACTACAAACCACTGCTCAAGGAAATAAGAGAGGACACAAACGAGTGTGAAGGACCTCTTCAAGAAGAACCATAAACAACTGCTCAAGGAAATAAGTAAGGACACAAACAAATGGAAAAACTTTGCATGCTCATGGATAGGAAGAATCAATACCATGAAAATGGCCATACTGCTCAAAGCAATTTATAGAATCAATGCTATCCCTGTCAAGCTACCATTGACTTTCTCCACAGAATTAAGAAACTACTTTAGCTTTCATACAGAACCAGAAAGAGCCTGCATAGCCAAGACAATCCTAAGCAAAAAGAACAAAGCTGGAGGCATCAAGCTACCTGACTTCAAACTATACTACAAGGCTACAGTAACCAAAACAGCATGGTGCTGGTACCAAAACAGATGTATAGACCAATGGAACAGAAGAGAGGCCTCAGAAATGACACCACACATCTACAACCATCTGATCTTTGACAAACCTGACAAAAACAAGCAATGGAGAAAAGATTCCCTATTTATTAAATGACGTCGGGAAAACTGGCTAGCCATATGCAGAAAACTGAAACTGGACCCCTTCCTTACACCTTATACAAAAATTAATTCAAGATGGATTAAAGACTTAAATGTAAGACCTAAAACCATAAAAACCCTCGAAGAAAATCGAGCCAACACCGTTCAGGACATAGGCGTGGGCAAAGACTTCATGACTAAAACACCAAAAGCAATGGCAACAAAAGCCAAAATTGACAAATGGGATCTAATTCAACTAAAGAGCTTCTGCACAGCAAAAGAAACTACCATCAGAGTGAACAGGCAACCTGCAGAATGGTAGAAAATTTTTGCAATCTATCCATCTGACAAAGAGCTAATATCCAGAATCTATAGGGAACTTAAACAAATTTACATGAAAATACAAACAACCCCATCAAAAAGTGGGCAAAGGATATGAATCGAGACTTCTCAAAAGAAGACATTCATGCAGCCAACAAACACATGTAAAAAAGCTTATCATCACTGGCCATTAGAGAAATGCAAATCAAAACCACAGTGAGATAGCATCTCAGGCCAGTTAGAACAGCAATCATTAAAAAATCTGGAAACAACAGATGCTGGAGAGGATGTGGAGAAATAGGAATACTTTTACACTGTTGGTGGGAGTGTAAATTGTTCAACCATTGTGGAAGACAGTGTGGCAATTCCTCAAGTATCTAGAATTAGAAATACCATTTGTCTCAGCAATCGCATTACTGGATATATACCCAAAAGATTATAAATCATTCTACTATAAAGACACATGCACACGTATGTTTATTGCAGCACTCTTCACAGTTGCAAAGACTTGGAACCAACCCAAATGCCCATCAATGATAGACTGGCTAAAGAAAATGTGGCACATATATACCGTGGAATACTATGCAGCCATAAGAAAGGATGAGTTCATGTCCTTTACAGGGACATGGATGAAGCTGGAAACCATCATTCTCAGCAAACTAACACAGGAAAAGAAAACCAAACACCACATGTTCTCACTCATAAGTGGGAGTTGAACAATGAGAACACGTGAACTCAGGGAGGAGAATATCACACACCAGGACCTGTCAGGGGGTAGGGGAGCTAGGGGAGGGATAGCGTTAGGAGAAATACCTAATGTAGTTGATGGGTTGATGGATGCAGCAAACCACCGTGGCACATTTATACCTATGCAACAAACTTGCATGTTCTTCACATGTATCCCAGAACTTAAAGGATAATAAAATAAATAAGTAACAAATCATGTGGACATTTAAAGTCTGCTTCCAAATAAATGCTTTTAAAAAAACACGATAGTTTATGTGAGAGATGTTGGTCTGAAACCTGCTGTTATTATAACCAAATAGCAAACTTGTAGAGGATTAACCAGCCACAGCCCTCCTCAGACTTCTTGGTTGGCCTGTTTTCTACCACTAGGAATCTGTCAGATATATATATATGTATCTAATTTAGTTCAAGACCATGTGCATAAAAGAAATGCTTGTGGACCAAAACATAATGAAGAGACATAGAAACAGTTACAGCTGTCTAAAATAAACATCTATAATAAATATCATCATCCAAGAGTAGAAAAAGATCTAGGAGGCCAACAATCCTGTCTCTCAAGATCCCACTCCTTTTTCTATTTTCTGATCATCTAGAATCCCCTTTAGCATTTCCACAAAGCTTCTTTTCTACATAGTTCAGGGTCTCAGAGAACACTGTCGCAACCATTGGTATACCTTTCTGACATGAAAGCACTCATTAAAACAACACCTTATAAAACTACCAGTTTTTCAAATATTTTTCAAAAGCATATTGCATTCTAATGTGTAATATGAATGCTTTGCTGCTTAGAATTTCTTCCACCAGATACCCTAAATCATCTCTCTCAAGTTCAAAGTTCCACAAATCTCTAGGGCAAGGGGCAAAATGCCACCAGTCTCTTTGCTAAAACATAACAAGGGTCACTTTGCTCCAGTTCCCAAGAAGTTCCTCATCTCCATCTGAGACCACCTCAGCCTGGACCTTATTGTTCATATTACTAACAGCATTTTTGTCAAAGGCATTCAACGAGTCATCTCTAGGAATTTTCAAACTTTCCCACATTTTCCTCTTTTCTTCTGAGTCCTTCAAATTGTTCCAACCTCTGCCTGTTACCTAATTCCAAATTCACTTCCACCATTCTGGGTGTCTTTTCATCAATGATCCACTCTACTGGTACCAATTTATTGTATTAGTCTGTTTTCATGCTGCTGATGAAGACATATCCGAGACTGGAAATTTACAAAAGAAAGAGGTTTATTGAACTCACAGTTCCACATGGCTGGGGAGGCCTCACAATCATGGTAGAAGGCAAGGAGGAGCTAGTTGCATCTTACATGGATAGTAGCAGGCAAAGAGAGAGCTTGTTCAGGGAAACTCCCATTTTTTTAAAACCATTAGATCTCGTGAGACTCATTCACTTCATTAGAACAGCGTAGGAAAGACGTGCCCACATAACTCACCTTCCACTGGGTTTCTCCCATGACACATGGAAATTGTGAGAGTTACAATTCAAGTTGAGATTTGTGTTGGGACATAGCCAAACCATATCACCCTCTAACAGAGGTTATTCCACAGCATTTAGAGAAGAAGCAAAATAGTACATGGTTCTGAATGCATTCTAAAAATGTTTGATTGGAGCACCTGTTAATTCTTTGTCTTTAATTTTGCATATAGATACCATGTTTGGTGCCAAAGCAACTCAAAGTTTTATTTTTGTGTTAGGGAATCAATATTAGTGACTGAATGGGACAAGTTCATCTATCTATGCAATATTAAAATGTGACTGATGTGGTAAAACTACATCTAGTTGGCAGGAACAGAGATATTTGATAGCAGAATAACTGGGATATTGCCAAATAATTTTTTTCCCTCCTCTCCCTCAGTGACATCTGGATCAGAACCAACGTAAGAACTATCACATTTCTGGAATGTTCTGAGGTCTCCTTTCTGAGAGTTGCTGCTACTCTCTTCCTTAAATGTACATTTACTCTCATATTAACATAGGTTTCATCTGTGGAATAGTTTTTATTACAACTTGTGCCTTTTAATACAAAATTATATAATTTAATAGAGTGGGAGAGTTAATTTTTCACAAGACACTGTTTCAAAATTTTTCATCCTGCAAACTGCTTTTTCCTCATTTTGGTGGTATCGTTGACAGAGCCTGAGGTTAGCCCCCAGGCATAAATGCACAATTTTGGGGAAAAGGTTTAAATCCTCCAATGCAGATTTGCAACAAGATTTTTTTTAACCTGCAAAAGAATCATTTCTTAAAATGCTGCATTAAAAGTCCTTGACACAGCATCAGACAAAAATGGTAAATACAGACATAGGCACAATAGATGACTAAATATATCTCACCTCACCTCAATAGACTTTTTGGTATTTAGTTTTTCAGTGATCTGTTAAATGCTCTGCACATTTTTTTTTTTTTTTTTTTTTTTGAGATGGAGTCACGCTCTGTTGCCCAGGCTGGAGTGCAGTGGCATGATGTTGGCTTGTTGCAACCTCCACCTCCCAGGTTCAAGCGATTCTCATGCCTCAGCCTCCCGAGTAGCTGAGATTACAGATGTGCGCAACCATGCCCGGCTATGCTCTGCACATTTTAAAAGCTGTTTGTAGGCAATACATGTAAGATGGGATACAGGCAATGGTTTGGCTTTGCAAAACATATGTATTTAAGAAATTCAGTTTTGCTTCAGTTTGATTTTTTTGGCATACTATGTATATATTTAACTTTTCTAGGTTTAAAAATCTTTCTTAGTAGCCTTCCTATCTTTCCTACAAAGAAGTAACAAATGCTGCCTTTCTTAGTACTTTTGAATGATATTCTCACAACAAGATTATCAGAATTCATTTTCCTAGTATAGAATCCTGAATCAGCAAAATCTGCGACTTTGCTGCATACTTAAAATAGACTGGCATGAATCTAGTATGGTATTTCCAGCGTGTTTTCTTTAAAAAAGTCTCTAGGATCTTTAGAATATGACCAACGCATGGAAAGAAAGAATTTGTCTTCCTAACACACTCCATTGTCTGCTCCCTTTCTATTCCTTTGCCTTTGTGCTTCAAGAAGACATGACTAATGATTTTGAATTACAGCGACCTGGTGACTTGTCTGTGACACAGAAATGATGGGCTCCTTCACTAGCTCAGTCTTCACAACTGCCTGGTACTAGTTTCTTCTTAGCCGTTCATAATCAGGATTCAACATTCTTTGAGATACTCTTAAGTCTCTAGATAACCCATTTAATACAGACAGCTGTTGAAAATTGGGAGAGGATATTGCCATGTGGTAGAAACTACCACTTCTTTGGTAAATAGAAGAAAGCTGGGTTTCAAGGCGCCTTGGGAAAACAATTCAACGACAAAAGAAAAACAAAAAGAACCAAGGTAGAGGAGTGGTCATTTGTTTTATTTCTGAAATGCTCTTTTTTGCTGAAGTGGCAGTGTTCTCCTCTTTCTAAAACTTTTCTCTATGAATACTGGTGGCTTTGTGGCTTGTGTGTGCACACACGTGAATATGCACATGTGTTTTTTGCTTGTGATTTTGCCTCTAACTCATCGTCTCCAACTGCAAAGGTTAATGCTTTGGGCTGCTTTCAGAGTTTTTGCTCTTTGAAGAGAAAAATAACTATGGGAGAACGTGTCCAAATGCTGTGGATATTTACTGTTCTGTCTGTTTAATATCCATGGGTGCTTTCCCATAGCCCCTAAATTTCCTTTTGTGGAATTTACCCTCTTTCATTGATTGTATTCTTGATGTGATGATACATCATTTTCTCCATTATGGGAGCCCAATGAGTTCTTGGAGCCACTACAGCTCTTTTGACCAGATCCATTCTCTGCAATTGATTATAGCTAAGTAGTAAGTTAGTATATGCCATAAGCTCAACCAATCAGATTTTTTCTCCTGGAACTTTGAGAGATTCAACATCTGAAAACATGGTTTGTGTTCATTCATCCTAACTCTAGCACTCTGATCATCTAACTGAATAGTTGTCCTTCCTTAGTTGTTCTTGTTCTGTTTAAGACTATGTATGTGTGGTCTAGTTTTCTGATCTATACAATGGTTTCATGAGCTACTCAATTTCTTTCCAGTAAATTTACTTTTGCTTACCTCTAGCAGTATAGGTTTTTATTGTTTGCAACTACAACAAACAAATGAAGCAAAAAGAAAAAAATCCTGAGGGATATTCATCATAAGTCATTTCTGGAATAAGGCTATTAAGTATAAACATAAGCTTTGAGCATATTGTGTTTTTTCAGTAGTTGGAGGTATTATTAATCCTGAACATCCCTTTGTAAGACAGCTATAAAGAGAATTCCCCAACAGAGATCTTAATTCTCCCTGGGACAGAGTTCCTAGGTGAAGAGGCAGACTGCCATCTTTGCTGTTAGGGCAACTCAACCACTCCAGCCTACAGGCTTTGGAGAGTCCAAATTGAGTGGAGAGAGAAGGAATCCCCCAGAACAGCACAGCTGCTCTACCAAAATGTAGCCAGACTGTTTCTTTCAGCGGGTCCCTGATCTATTGCTCCTCATGGGGTGGGATTTCCCAAGTCAGGCCTCCAGCCACTACTGCAGGTACTCTCTGGCCAACAGAGGCTTGAAAACTTCCTGGTACAGAGCTCCCAGAGGAAGGGGTGGGCCGCCCTCTTAGCTGTTTGGGTGACTTAGCCATTCCACCTCCAGGCTTTGGAGAGCCCAAGCCCATCAGAGGTGGAAGCAGTACTCGAGCACAGCAGAGCCACTCTACAAAAGCATGGCCAGACTGCTTCTTTAAGCAGGTCTCCAATCCCATTCCTCCTTACTGGGTGAGACCTCCTAACTGGGGTCTCTAGTCACCTCCTACAGGTGCATTTGGGCCAGCAACATGTCCATACCTCCCTGGGGTGGAACTCCCAAAGGAAGGGGCAGGCTGCCATCTTTACTGTCTCATAGCCTTCACTGGTGATACCTCCAGCTACTGGAAAATCCAAGGTTACTAGGGACTGGAGCAGACTCCAGCAAACCCCACAGCAGCCCTATAGAAAAGTAGCCAGACTGTTAAAAGAAGAAAAGAAAAAACCCATCCACCCATCCAAAGGTCAGCAATCTCAAAGACTGGAGGTAGATAAGTCCACAAAGATAAGAAAGAATCAGCACAAGAATGCTAAACTCAAAAAGCCAGAGTGCCCTCTTTCCTCTAAATGACTGCATCATCTTTCCAGCAAGGGTTCCAAACAGAGCTGAGGCTGAGATGGCTGAAATGACAAAAGAAGAATTCAGAATATGGATAAAAACGGAAGTCACTGAGCTGAAGGAACACATTGTAAGCCAATGCAAGGAAGCTAGAAATCATGATAAAACATTTCAGGGTTGGGTGCGGTGGATCACACCTGTAATCCTAGCACTTTGGGAGGCCAAGGTGGGCAGATTGCCTGAGCTCAGGACTTCGAGACCAGCTTGAGCAACATGGTGAATCCTCTTCTTTACTAAAAATACAAAAAACAAACAAACAAACAAAAAAAAGAAAACAAAAATTAGCCTGGAGTGGTGGCACATACCTGTAATCCCAGCTACTCGAGAGGCTGAGGCAGGTGAAATCACTTGAACCTGGGAAGCAGAGGTTGCAGTGAGCCGAGATTGTGCACTCCAGCCTGAGTGACAGAGTGAGACTCTGTCTAAAATAAACAAATTAAATTAAATAAATTTCAGAAGCTGACAGACAAAATAGGCAGTATGGAGAAGAATGTACTGACCTGACAGAGCTGAAAAGCACACTACAAAAATTTCATAATGCAATCACAAGTATTAGCAGCATAATAGACCAAGTGGAGGAAAGAATCTCAGAGCTTGAAGACCATCTTTCTGAAATAAAACAGGCAGAGAAAAAAGAATGAAAAGGAATGAACAAAACTTCTGAGGAATATAGGATTATGTAAAACAACTGAATCTATGACTGATAGGTGTATCCAAAAGAGATGGGGGAGAACGAGGCCGGGCGCAGTGGCTCATGCCTGTAATCCCAACACTTTGGGAGGCTGAGGTGGGTGGATTGTTTAAGGTCAGGAGTTAGAGACCAACCTGGCCAACATGGTGAAACCCATCTCTACTAAAAATACAAAAATTAGCCAGGTGTGGTGGCAGGCGCCTGTAATCCCAGCTACTCAGGATGCTGAGGCATGAGAACCGCTTGAACCCAGGAGACAAGAGGTTGCAGTGAGCCGAGATTATGCCACTGCACTCCAGCCCGGGAGATAGAGCAAGACTCAGTCTCAATAAATAAATAAATAAAAAGAGAAATGAAGAGAATGGAACCAATTTGGAAAATGTATTTCAGGATATCATCTATGTGAACTTCCCCAACCTAGCTAGAGAGGCCAATATTCAAACTGAGAAAATGCAGAGAACCCCAATAAGATACTCCTCGAGAAGATCATCCCGAAGACACATAATCATCAGATTCTCCAAGATAAAAATGAAAGAAAATATGTTAAGGGCAGCCACAGGCAAAGGCCAGGTCACCTACAAAGGGAAGCCCATCAGACTAACAGAGGACCTCTCAGCAGAAACCCTATAAGCCAAAAGAGATTGGGGGCCAATATTCAACATCTTTAAAGAAAAGAATTCCAACCCAGAATTTCATATCCGGCCAAACTAAGCTTCATAAGCCAAGGGAAAATAAGATCGTTTTCAGACAAGAAAATGTTGAGGGAATTTATTACCACCAGATCTGCCTTACTAGAGATCTTGAAAGGAGCACTAAATGTAGAAAGAAAAAACACGCTACCAGCTAATACAAATACACACTTAAACACACATACCAGTGTCACTATAAAGCAACCGCACAAACAGGCCAATATAATAACCAGCTAACACCTCAAAAAGCTTATCTACCACCATCAAGTAGGCTTTGTCCCTGGGATGCAAGGTTGGTTCAACATATACAAATCAATAAATGTGATTCGTCACATAAACAGAACTAAAGACAAAATAACATGATAATCTCAATAGATGCAGAAAAGGCATCTATTTTGATAAAATTCAAAATCTGTTTATGTAAGCACTCTCAATGAACAAGGTATTAAAGGGACATACCTCAAAATAATAAAAGCCACATATGACAAAACTCACAGCTAACATTATACTGAATGGGCAAACGACGGAAGCATTCCCCTTGAAAACCAGCACAAGACAAGAATGCCCTCTCTCATCATTCCTATTCAACATAATATTGGAAGTTCCGGCCAAAGCAATCAGGCAAGAGAGAGAAATAAAGGGCATTCAAATATAAAGAGAGGAAATCAGATTATCCTTGTTGGTAGATGACATAATTCCATATTTAGAATACCCCATCATTTCAGCCCCAAAGCTTCTTAAGCTCATAAGCATATTCAGCAAATAATCAGGATACAAAATCAATGTGTAAAAATTGCTAGCTTTCTTATACACCAACAACAGTCAAGCTGAGGGTTAAATCAGAAATGAATTCCTATTCACAATTACCACAAAAAGAATAAAATATCTAGGAATAAAGCTAACTAGGGAGGTGAAAAATCTCTACAAGGAGAACTACAAACCACTGCCCAAAGAAATCAGAGATGACACAAACAAATGAAAAAACATTCCAAGCTCATGGACAGGAAGAATCAATACATTTAAAATGGCCATAGTCCCCAAAGCAATTTATAGTTTCAATGCTATTTCCATCAAACTATGATTGACATTCTTCACAGAACTAGAAAAAACTATTTTAAAATTCACATAGAACCCAAAAAGAGCCCTAATAGCCAAGACAATCCTAAGCAAAAATAACTCATCTGGAGGCATCCTGCTACCTGATTTCAAATGATACCTCATGGCTATAGTAACCAAAACAGCATTGTACTGATACAAGAACAGACACATGGACCAGCGGAACAGAATAGAGAATCCAGAAATAAGACCATACACCTACAACTATCTGATCTTTGAAAAACCTGACAAAAACAGGCAATGGGGAAAAGATTCCTTACTCAATAAATGGTGCTAGGAAAGGTGGCTAGCCATATGCAGAAGATTGAAACTGGACCCAACTTACACCATATGCAAAAATTGACTCAAGGTGGGTTAAAGAGTTAAATGTGAAACCAAAAACTATAAAAACCCTAGAAGACTACCTATCCAAACCCTCCTGGACATTGGAATGAGCAAAGGTTTCATGACAAAGACACCAAAAGCAATTGCAACAGAAGCAAAAAATGACAAATGGGACCTAATTAAACTTAAGAGCTTCTGCACAGCACAATAAACTATTAACAGAGTAAATAGGCAACCTACAGAATGGGAGAATATTTTTGCAAACTACCTATCTGGCAAAGATCGAATATCCAGCATCTATAAGGTACTCAAACAAATTTACAAGAAAAAAAACAACTCCATTAAAAACTGGGCAAGGCCAGGCACAGTGGCTCACCCCTGTAATCCCAGCACTTTAGGAGGCCTAGGCTGGCAGACCCAGAGGTAGGGTGCTCCAGTGTAAGCCACTCTTCTGGCTTTATGTCAACTTGAACCTAGTAAGTCTCATTACCTACATAAAATCTACTCACACCAATGTGTGTCACCAATATAAAACTTCTTAAAGATGTGTTAGAGAGTAAATGGAGGATTTTATATTGGATATCTTCAACTTAGCCTTATATATATTTTCTAGAGGTCTCCTATCTCAAACCCCCTTTTTTGTTCTTTCTCTGACAATATTTGTCTATTCCCCTGTCTTGCCATCAAATGTCTTCCTTGAGATTTCTCCTCCTCTCACCTGGTGTTTTCAAAATAATCACTATTCCATATTTGCTTTAGCTTACCCATTACTGTTTTTAACTAGCAAATAACCTTATGACTGTAGGATCCATCATCCTTAGAAGACAATGAAGGTGTATGAAAATGTTCGTGGTAACAATGAGGATATTTGATGTGGGTCTCAGCCTGTACCTAAAATTTTCCAGTTAACGTGGGTCTACAGAATTCTTATAACCTCCTTGAATTTTATTTTACCCAAGCTAACCTAGACCTACTTCCTTTGAGGTTCTGTTGTGAAAATAAACTATGAGTGTTGTAAAACACTGCATGTCATAGATATGTAAGAAAATAAAACTTGCCCACTTTTTAATGGACTGGTTTTTTTTTTGTTGTACATTTGTTTAAGGTCCTTGTAGATGCTAGATATTAGGCCTTTGTCATATGTATGTCATGGATGTGTTGGAAAGTAAAATAAAATAAAATAAGTGGTGGTTTGAGCTAGTCAACTGTAAGTTATCTCAAGATGTTATTTGCTAAAGTGAATCATTACATAAAAGAGAGTGAGGAGAAGTAAATGACAAGAGAGCACCAAAACTAAGAAATTCATCGCTAAGAATTTCAAAGCAACCATCTTTGCCTTGTGAAGTTAGATGCTTTCTTAGCACTGCTGAGTAACCTGATATTCTCATTCCAGAGTATTCATTTGGATCACAGCATGGTATAATCAAATACTGTTACCCATGGTCACTTTTTCCTAATTGTTCAGTGGAACCCAGTCTAGAAAGATGAGATTACAGGCAGGGAGGCAAACTCATGACACTAAAAATGCTCCATTATAACAAGCACTCTTCTAAACAACACACACACACACACACACACACACACACACACACACACACACAAGCACATACATTCCTTTAGTTTAAGAAAACCTGCTCACCTTGGAGTCTTTTTCCAGTAGTTGATTTTGATAAAAGAGAATGCTTCTATTCTTTCTGAAGACTTTTTGTCCAGAAGAGTTGGCTTTCTCAAGAACAAGCCAAAACTCAGCATAGGACTTACTTACCTTAAAATCCAGTTGAAGATCCTTGAGATGTAGTGTGTTGGGCTGTCTCTGGGGTAACAGATATTCCCCTTCACTCTTAGCAGTTCCAAAATCAGATTCATTAAGAAAGTAAGCATGGGTAAAAGCTGTGTGGTTTCCCTGCCACCGCATTTGGTGTCAGACAACTAGAGCGTCTAGAGCTAACAAATACACAAGAGTTGGTCACAGTTCATTACACTGCCTTGTCATGGGGTGTTCATATTAGCAGTCACCTCTAAGCAATCTATTTCATCTGAAGCAAGCTTAATGAAGTGTTAATATATGTTATTATTACATTGAAACTATAGGCAATGTTCCTCATATCTGTGCTGACCTAAGACAGTAAAACATCAGGCATTTACTAATCTGTAAGACAAAAATTCTATGAGAACCAGTTGCTTTATATGAAATAATGATTGTAGTAACCTATGGCCCCAATATGGAGAATAAAACAAAAATCTTTGCCTAAACTTAATCCTACATAGAATTTCCCAGAAGGCATGTCTAAATAGACCAGGACATTTTTTTCAATTACCCTTCCCCAACTTGACAGGCTAAACCTTGCCCTACATAACAGGTCTGTGTAATGCATAACAGAACTCTGCCTTTGTATATTTAAATCTGGAGGCTACACAGCCATCTATCATTTGTGCAAGCAAGACTTTCAGTGTAAGATGCTGGGGAGTCATGTGAGGAGAGACCTGGCTGCTTCCTCCCCACTGTCGTGACCTACCGCCCCAGAGCCACCAGATCCCCTGAGGGTGTTGTCAACACTAATTGACAGAAAGACTAAGACAAAAACGTGGCTCCCACATGGTGAAGTTACTTACATTTGTGACTTCAAGTTCAAACAATTCAGCCTTGCCACATTTTCAAAGAAGGGACACGTTGCCCTCCTGAATTTTCATTAAATGACAATATTTGAAAATATATATTTAAGCCCTAAGGGAGTATTCAGGCAAAAATCAATTTAAGAAGTAACTAAGATATGCCTCGTATGCAACTAAAAGTTAGATGAGAAGGCCAGTCATTCCCTTCTTTCCCAATTCCCACTGCATTACAATTTCTAAGTACATAGACTTGAACTTGAAGCAATCCAATGGACATGTCCAGTTTAGCCAATTATTATAGTTTCCTAATGTCCTCAGAGATTCTGATGATTAGAATCAGGAGAGGGTCACTCCCGAGCTTACAAGCAGCAAGTGTTTTTTTAAACTGGAGCCACTGCTAACACGAAAGATTTTCTTTGCTTCATATTGGCAAACATGTAACACGTTCCTATGTGGTATGAACGTTTCAGAAAAAAAAAAAATAAATGTACAACATGAGAAACTGCCAGCACCTACCCTTAAATGTGCTTAAAAGACAATAGCATGTTTTTCTGTTGCTTTCTGAATTAACCCTGAATTGAAAAACCTAAGTTTCTTCTGACAGCATGAGTCACTCATGTAGTATCCCTTCTTCCCACCCCTCTTTGGCAGAAGAGAAGAGCTAGTAAAGCACAGTGATACTTAAGGATCAACATGGACAAATTGGCCTGAGGATTAGATACAAATGGTTACACGCAGATGATGATGATGCTGGCACAAGGAGATCTTTCATTCTAATTTTAGGCACTGAATTTGGTTTACTGAAATGAAGGGTTTTAGGCATCACATATTCAATATATTTTAATCTTTCTGGGGAGCGTTTTCCAAACTCACTTTTTAGTGTGGGGTACAGGGGAGTGATAGGGAACTTTTGCTGAGTTGCCAGCCCATAGGTTCCTATACTCAGCCATTCTGGTGTCTCTGACTGCAAACTAGGCTTGAATGCAGTTGCTGTGGAATGCACTAATTAATTACATTTACTTTACATAATTGGCATTACAGCTTTTGAACAAAAATGCAAATTTATGGAAATTGGTTGAAATACTTATGCAAAATAAAATAAAAATGGACCCCTAAATTATTGAAAAAAAAAGGTAGTTTTAATTGAACAGCTAAAAGATTTGTACTTCGTTATATGATTACATCTAGTAAACTCAATTTAAAAAGTAAGTTCATTTGCTTTTATCTAACCCTTCCATATCTCGCTCAGTGTTGTTGGTATAATTATCACCAATAAAGGGCCAATCTTATTTTCTATCTCTTTTAGCATCAAGCGTTAGTTCTGTAAACAGAAATGGAATATGTTATTCTATTGAACAGAGCCTCGTGCATTACAAATTAGGAAGCACTGGGCCAAAGACTGGCAAAGCAACCAATTATTGCTTGAAGGGGACATGATGCAGTACCCTTCTTGTGTTTTTCAGGGAGAATGACTTTGCTGTCGAACAAGCCTTTCCACAAAGGATCATTGCAACATTGCAAGGCAGTTGTAAGGTAGATGGCTTTGCAATCAATAGAATATATCTGGCAAGGGTGGCAAGGAATGGGTAATGCAGATGAATATGCAGTTAGTGGTGCCATAAAAAGAGTATTAAGATGCTCATGACATAGGAGTGAATAGCAGTAAATGGGTACTTAATACAAAATGTGTCAAGAAATGTGAAATACAGATGGGTAAACCCTAAATGACAAAAGTGAGAAATAAAACATTGCCAAGTTAAGTGACATAGACATTTATGCACAATTAACTAGCTGTTAATTATTGATGGACAACTCCCAAAATTCAGAGTGCCAGCTTAATATACATTCAGCTAATCAAGAACTTATACTGACCTCCAAATTCCAAGGGTATGAAAGTAATTTAACAGGATCCCAATAATTATGATTATATTTTAAATTTCTTATTTAGTATGTTTTTTCTTGGAGGGTGTGGGGTATTGTGGAGCAGATTTAGGGTGGCCTTACTTTTCTGGTGCTATTTTAGGACTTCTACTTGGGTAATTATTTCTTAAAACATCCTTGGGATTTCAATTGAATATTTCATTCTCTTTAGGTTCCTATGATAAAATGTAATGGGGATGTTGCCTGAGACTATTTAAAGCTTGTCAACCACTCATCAGGAGACAGTAGGTGAACTGATCTTTATAAATAGAGGGCTACATTCTCACACCTTGTTTCTTTGGAGTGACAAGTAGCTAATGGACAAATCTCCTCTAGCAATCTGAAATGGATAAATGAAATAAGTAAGCCTTAAAAACTATTACCTGAGATATTCAGACTTTTAAAGCCAAAATGGGGCTGTGATCTTATTATTTCCATTTTCCATTTTCTGTGAGATGATAGACAATATCTTCTGTTTTCCTCTTTGTTTTTTAATTTAATGCACTGCACGTTTCTTTTATTCCTACTATGTGCAAAATAGTACCTCAAGCCCTGAGGAGAAACACAGAAATATAATTCTTGCTCTTCCATGCAGACATAAACAAAATACAAAAGAACACGCACTGTGTGGAAAAGGTTATAATAAAAGGAGAAAATAATCAAGTTTAAAGATAATTAACTTGGCTGGTGCTAGACGAGATGTATGACAAATCTGACGTAAAGGTTCATCTCTCCTAGTTAGTGATTAATATCATATATTTCACTTCCTTGTGCTGTGGTAGAAGGCATTGAAATAATTATAGCACATTCTCTTCCTCTCTTCTTCGTGTCTCTCATCATTCATTATTCATCCCTATGTTAAAACTATTTGGTTCGTCCATGCAAGATTTCTAAAACTTTTGTCTGCCCCAGTGGGGAGGAGTGCAAGTTCAGAAAGATATGCTAAAAACTATTGAGTTGTTCAATTCAAATGGGTGAACATTATGGTACATAAATTAGATCTCACTAAACAAACTAAAACACTAGGCTAACTAGCAAATTCATACTAATAAAATCATCAACATGATTAGAGTCTGAGCTCACTCATTCATTCACAAAGTCATTAAGTATATTGTTCATCAAATAGTTGGTTCAATGTTGGAATTACACTGATGAATATGAATCAGTCCCTACCCGCAGCCCTTAATGTGGGAAAAAAGACAGATGTGCAAAAACACCATTGAGCATACCCAGAAGGGTGCTGAGTGTGACAAAAGGAAAAAGTTTTAGGATCTGAAATTGGAGGTTTCAGGATGCAGGGTGGTGGTAGGGAGGGGGTGGCGCTGAGAGTGGTGGGATGGTCAGAAGCAGAAGTATGAAAGAGGAAATCTTGGGGAAGGTGAGTGCCGAGCTATGGTTTGACAAATAGACATTTTTGGACAAAGGTATGTACGTTTGGATTGAGAGATTCTATATCAAACACAACAGACATGGAGGCATTAACCATAATGGGAAAACTCAAAGATACTAAATATTTTTAGATTATAAAGTTCCAGGAGATAAGCAAGTGGAGACAGTGGTCTAGTCATAAAATATTTTGCATGCCAGAGCAGTTAAGTTTGAACTTTTTCACCTGTTGGCAAGAGGAAGTTAAGAAATTTCTGATGTGGTTCTCCCAAAGGACGATTTCATTCAGTTTTGTTTGCTTGTTTAATACTTCATACACCTACACGATGGGCTTGGTTAGGAACCTGTGGTGAACAAAAGAGAAAGTTTTTTGTTTGTTTGTTTGTTTGTTTTTTAAATCAAATCTTCCAATTGTTGTCCTTTTCCTATTTTGAAAAAAAGAAGAAATAGGTTAGATTTTTGTTTCTCTTCTCCTTGCCAACTCCAGAGTTCTGCCTTTAATTAATTAACTGATCAATACAATTTTTAAGTTAAATATCTCTATTCTCAATAACAGCAGGGAAAATGTTCTTTTGTAATCTTTATTAATATCAACAGAAAGCATCAATTCATAAAGAAGAAAATTTTCAGAACACACTAAATTTTGTCAGTTCAGAATAAGTAAGTTACAAAAAAAGTTCAGGTATTTTAACCTAGGAATAAAAAAAATGATACATGATACATTTGTATATTTCTTTCTTTGCACCATAAAACTTCAATGAACTCATATGAGAATCCTATGTAAACCATTTATTAACTCCACAAGCTATATCAATATACTAGGTCCAGTAGAGATTAGGACACTTGCCACATGCCTCACAACTCTTTTTTGAGTACGGCTGGGTTTTGACAGATTGTCTCCTAATTCTAACTCAAGGCTCATCCACCAAAGACATGATACTCACATTCCATCCTCTGTGCTTCAGAAATCCCACCGGCAAAAAGCCAGAATGAAGACAGATTAGAAGCATATTATTATTGGAATTAAAAGAACATTTAAATTTTGGTAAATACTTGTAAGCTTTAAGGAAGACAGTTTATTTTTACGTGATTTTTTTTTTTTTTTTTTTTGAGATGGAGTCTCACTCTGTTGCCCAGGCTGGAGTGCAGTGGTGTGATCACATCTCACTGAAACTTTTGCCTCCCGGGTTCAAGAAATTCTTCTGCCTCAGCCTCCTGAGTAGCTGGGACTGCAGGCATGCGCCACCATGCCCGGCTAATTTTTGTATTTTTAGAAGAGACATGGTTTCACCATGTTGGTCAGGCTGGTCTCGAACTCCTGACCTCACGATCCGCTGGCCTCAGCCTCCCAAAGTGCTGGAATTACAGGCATAAGCCAAAGCGCCCATCCTTAAGTGCCTCTTTATAGGACATATCTCCTTACAGCAAGATTCAAAAGTTTCCAAATTGATTTTATTATGTTGATATTTCTATAGAATAAAAAGGGGGACACTCAAAAACTTTAATACTTTTTGTAAGTAATCTAATAGCCCTAAACACATTCACACACACACACACACACACACACACACACACGCAGTGCCAAAAAATACTGTATTGACTCTCAGGAGGCGTGTGTACTGGACCAAGAGTGGGGTCTCAAAATAGAGTCACCCAATGCCTTATTGTGTTTTTCATATTTGAGCCCATGTCAGTTCCAATCACTGTGCTAAATGCCTTATATAAATGTAATCTCATGAATATCCTACAATAATAGGGAGTTGCTGTGAAAGTATAAATAGTAAATGTTGATTTTGAAATAATGTCTGTCTGATTCAAGAACTCATGCACTTAATCCTGAAATCATGAATACCGAAATTTCAGTATTAAGGTTCAAATGTCTTCCCAACCAAAGCACCTAGATGAGTATTGCAGGAAAGGTAATGACTAGACTTCCACAAACTATTATATTTAGAGTTGATTGTCGTATAAATAGTAAAGCAAATGATTAAAAACTGAAGATATGAAACAGGAACTCCTTATTCCACTGACTTATTCTCATCCCCACTCTCATCAGGTAATTACTGTAAAGCATTATTTCAGAACAAATAGGGACCACTAATTGTACAAAATATTTATCAACATTAAACAGATCTTTTGATTTTTAATTTGAATAAGGTATTTTTCAGTTATACCACCCTTATTTCTTCTCTATTCAACCATGTTCTTTCAGCAGTACCATAACTGTCACATTATCAAGGTTTGCAAATATAATTATAACATCTAGCTTAGTTTTACTGTGAACTTAAAGCTTCATACAAAATAAGTCTATTAAACACACACATACACACAAAAATACATACATGCACACAAAACAACATACAGTGCACCATCACAAATTCAAGGGACAAAGAAATAAAACAGAGAAAAGGGCAGGAAAAAGTATTTGAAAAAACAATAATAAAAACTACATATCCAGGAAGCTCAAAAATAAAAAAGAAAGATAAACTCAGAGATTCTTAAGTAAATGTATCATAGTAACTAAAAAAAGCCAACAACAAAAAGGGATTGTGAAAGCATCAAGAGAAGACTGGCGCAATAAATACAAGGCAACCTTAATAAGGTTAACAATTGACTTCTCACAGAAACCATGTAGGCAAGAAGGCAGTGGGATAATATATTCAAAGTTCTGAAGGAAAAGGCTGTCAACCAAGAATTCTACATCCAGCAAAATTATCCTTTAAACATGAGGAATTAATTAAGATATTCCCTGACAAATAAAAACTGAGAGAATCAGTTATTAATAAACCTGTCCTCCATGTAATACATGAAGAAATAAAAGACACCATTAAAGGTACCTACATAGATGAATATAAAAGACAGTACAAGTATATTTTTGTTTGTAATGCCTTTCTTCTCCCATGTAATTTAAAAGATGAGTACATAAAGTAATAATTACAAAATTGTGTTGATGGGCCTATTATGTATAAGAATATATTTTGTATGAAAATACCAGCACAAAGGAGGAAGAAACAGAGCTATATTGTATCATAATTTTTGTATACTACTGAAATTAAGTTGTCAACTTGATATTAATACAAAGTAGATAACTTTCTTTATGCTGTGAATTGTAAACCCCATGCTACCACTAAGAAAATTATTTACATATATGCATATGTAACATATCATATATATTATTTTAATTCAAATATATATATTTGCTGGCTCAAGTTTGCCAGCAGCAGCAAATGCCCTCAGAGCAAATATTTCTCTATTCCAGTGCAGGGCACTACCTCTAATTCTATGCTTCTACGTTTCCACAAAGTGTTCACTTAGTAGCTCCTCACTGTGTTTTCAAATATTCAATACTTTAAGTAATTTTTTTATTATACTTTAAGTTCTAGGGTACATGGGCACAATGTGCAGGTTTGTTATCTAGGTATACCTGTGCCATGTTGGTTTGCTGCACCCATTAACTCATCATTTACATTAGGTATTTCTCTTAATGCTCTCCCACCCCCAGCCCCCAACGATTAAAAATATATTATCTATACTTTTTAGCAAAACTGTTGGTCCAAACAATGTGACCCTCTATTACTAAAAACAGGAGGTTTGTTTTGTTTTTTTGTCAATTTTTTTGTTATCCTCAACATTTATTACTTTACTACTTTTTTTATTGCAAATGCAAGCTTTTCTTTAAATTTCAAGGCAGCTATTTTCATTATATATTTTAGTATATTTTTATTTTCCATATATTCTATTCTCATTTTTGTAATAGAAGACCATATTTTACATGTGTTCACTTATCTTTTTCCGTCTTCCATATTTGGTAGTTTTTTTTAAATAATCAATTTCAAATGTTATTCTATTGTGTTTTATTTTATGCAGTTTTTTCAAACCCATTTGCCATATTCGTGATGGCTTTTTCTATAGAAATTATAATTTCTTGTTGTTTCTTATTTGCCTTTGCTCTCTATTATGTCTTCATTTATCTCTCCCATATACTTCTTGAGATTTTGCCCGCTTGGTTTTCGTCTCTGACTTTTGTTTCATAATTTCTTATTTAAACATGCATGTCTTTTGTTTAAAACTTTGTTTCTTTGTTTTAATAGATATACAGTCTGTTATCCTTTTGTGTCTAAGGCTAACTAGTTGTCTGAAGCAACTATCTAGTGTTTTCTTATATAATTCTGTTAGTCTTTGAAAATTGTTTCATTAAATTATGTTTTTTTAAGGAAATAAATTCAGAGGACAGATCTAAGGGTATTGGCTGGAAAAGTTTTGGAGGAGGCTTAAGACTTCCTATAAGTCCACACTTCCCATATGAACTACCAATGGGCCTATGGGACCAAGATTTGACATTCAGAGTTGATATGCTTAATTTATAAAATAAGGAAGAGCATTTTTCTATTTTTCACATAATTCCACAGTGCTTGCTGTCTCCCTTGCTGTAACAGTTCAAAGGGTGTCTCCTTTTTTTTTCTCAGACGGAGTCTTGCTCTGTTGCCCAGGCTGGAGTGCAGTGGCACGATCTTGGCTCACTGCAACCTCCACTATCTGGATTCAAGCAATTCTCCTGCCTCAGCCTCCTGAGTAGCTGGAATTACAGGCACATGCCACCACACCTGGCTAATTTTTTTTGTAATTTTAGTAGAGACGGGGTTTCACCATGTAGGTCAGGCTAGTCTCGAACTCCTGACATCGTGATCTGCCCGCCTCAGCCTCCCAAAGTGCTGGGATTACAGGCATGAGCCACCACACCCGGCCAAATGTTATCTCTTTAGTATCCTAATGGATGTAAGACTAAGCATTTACAGATCATGTTATAATGTAAAAAGTCATTTTAACAAAGTGTCTAATACATGCCTGTTGGAAAGTATAATATTTTTATTGTTATTGTTACTGTAATAAGCAATCAAATGATTGAAACGAGGTGTTTCTTTATTGTAGCCTACAGTGGTTTTCTTCTGCTCTAACGGGAAATGACACTTGAATTACTTTCACTTTATTTTGATCAAGAGTTTGTTCAAATTACCTTTGACTCCTCCAGCAATGTAGATATTTGAGTGACTTCGCTGTTGTCTTTGAAGAGAAGGAACAGCATGCCTAGGCTGTAAGGTGGGAACACAATCAGTGTTAAATCTCAGGGAGACAGTTTGAATGAAGCAGGGGGTGGTGGGGAAGTTGAGGTCAGATGGGTTTGAGGATAGGGTTACACAGGGTCTTGTAACAGTTTTGTTGTTCACTCTGAATAAAATGAGAAGCTACTTGAGAAATTTTAGCAGGAGAGTGACATAATCTGACCTATGTTTCAAAAGAATCGCTCCAGCTGGTGTTCCAAAAGTAGACTGTAGGAGAAGGGTAGAAGTGAGGAGACTGATCAGAAGGCTCTAGAAATGATCCAGATGAGAGATGATGGCTGCTCATATAGTAGCATTTGCAGTAGGGGACATGAGGAGTGGTCAGATTCCAGAGATATGCAGCTGTAACCAAGAGAATTTTCTTATGTATTAGATGTGTGCTGTGAAAGGAAGGCACTAAAAAGAGATCATGCTAAGTTTCTAGGCCTGAGAAACTGGAAGGATTCTATTGTTATTTAACTGAGATAAGAGAGACAATGGGTGGAACACGTGTTTGGGGATAGGAAATCAGGAGTATAGATTTGGACATGTTAAGTTGAAGGTGCCTCACAGATATATGTGAGCTGAACTGGAACATGGGACTCTAATATATTGGGATGAATAGTGTCCCCCCAAAATGTATGTCTACCCAGAACCTTTGAATGTGACCTTATTTGGAAACAGGTTCTTTGTAGATGTGAACAAGTTAAGGCGAGGTCATGATGGATTAGAATGAGCCCTAAATGCAGTAAGAATAGCGTTCTTATAGGAAGAGGGAAATTTGAACACAGACATGCAGACTCTCAGTGAGGAAGGCCATGTGAAAACAGAAACAGAGACTGAAATAACGCATCTACAAACCAAGGAATGCCAGTGTTTGCTGGCAACCAAGTGAAGGTTAGAAGTGGCAAGGAAAAGTCCCCTTCTAGACTCTTCAGAGAAAGCTTGTTCTTTCTGAGACCTTGATTTCAGATTTCTAGCCTCTAGACTCATGAGAGAATAAATTTCTGTTGTTATAAGCCACCCAGTTCATCGTAGTTTGTTATGAAGCCTAAAAATTTACCATACTTAGTGAAACTTTACTGGCCCTCAGTAGTACAGAACCATCATTTCCTCTATTTGAGATTTCCTCTTCTCCTGCTCTTCTTGCAGTGATGAATGATATTCACCCTAGGGGGCAGGTGGTGCCTCACATAGCTGACTCCCATTGGGCTAAATGTCTAAATTTCCTAATTGGATTTTAAAAGTCAGGGGCACTGATTTTCCTTGTGGCCCTCATGGCTAGTTTGTTCTCCACCTTGTATTTATGCAGATTATTTTCTCAACATGAAATCTGTTTGAAATTTAATTTCCTCACTTCTATGAGAGAGAGGTACTAAGAAATACGATGCCCCTCTATAATGGACTTTTATATAGAATTAGTATAAAAACTTGGAGAAAACATAAGAGTTTGCCTTGTGTTATAGATACTGATTCTAAAGAAAATTTTTAGATTAAGAAGATCAGTAAATATTTTTAAATAGCATTTTGTCATGTTTAGGTACCTTTCGTCTTGGTACCTTGAATAATGATATGTAATATCCAAAATATTCACTCATTAAGGAATCCAATATTGCTCTTTTGGAAATTAAAACTGCCTTATTCACATTCTATGTGTACAAGAAAGGTTTAAGTTCTAAAACTGTAAGTTGTAGTATCTTATCTGAAAGGCCTTTAGTGTCCTCTGTTTTAAAATTCTGCATCTGAATTTGCTTATGGCTGGTAAAAAATAATGTGTTTGTCTTTTGTCATGTGTCCTCATCAGTTTGAGTTATATGCAGTTGCAGAAAGAATGAAGCTAGGGAAAGACCCTTAGAAACTGCAGAATTTTTTCAAGGGTCAGAAAGACAATAGGTTTTTTGGAAAGTAATGGGGGATTATCACATGATGAGGATAAGTTGATGGGGTTGAGCTGAAAGCTAAGCATCTGGCTTATGAAAATTTTTGCTGTCGCTGCTGGAGCTAGTCAGCATTATATAGTTCCTTGATCACTGGGGACTTTACGATCTGTCTTAAGCTATTTGTGCACTAACAATAACTCTAACTGTTCATTCCATGATTTCTACTATTTGTGGAAAAAAAGAGTAAATGATGTCTAAAAAATTTGAACATAAAGAGATGTTAAAATAAGGAGATTGGATGTAAAAAAAAATGCCAAAGAACACCAGGAGATGCAATAAATCCAAATGGTGTTCAAAACAAGAGGGAAAAAAATAGTTAATGCAAAACTGAACTGAAAGATGCAAATAGGTAAGTAAATTTCTCATTCAGGATCCATTTGGAGGCTGTGTTTGTTGGCAGAGTTACTGCTTATTATTTTTATGTTTCTAGTTTCCCATCTCCTTTTGTCAGTCTATTGAAAGCTTGTTAAAATCTTATTTGCTTTTGCTGTACCTTTGTCATTGTTTTTGCCTTAACTTTAATGCTAAATCATGTAGAAGTAAGGTAAAAGGGAGAACAGAGTTAACACAAATAGTCATTGTAGCAGCCTAGTTTTATGGATACTTTATATATTGATCAGCTTATGTTTTATTCAGACTAGATGGAAGAACAATTGGGAAATAAGAAGGAATCTCTCTCCTAAATAGTAAATTGCAATGCTGATGCAAAATGTGTAAGGGTTTCCAGGAGAGACTGGTTAGCATCTGAAAGGTGCACTGACATGCAAAAGAAATAACCTGTCTGTCCATGGGAACACTCCAAGAAAAATAAGAGTTGCTACATTAAATTCTTTCTGTTTCCTTTGAAAAAGACAGAAATGTACTTCATATATATATATATATATATAGAGAGAGAGAGAGAGAGAGAGAGAGAGATGTATGTGTATGGGAATGTATACATATGCATGTATGCATGTATAAATATATGTGTATGTATATGTATGCATTTATAAATGCATGTATATAATATGTGTATGCAAATACACACATACACACACACACACACACACACGCATGCTTGTTTTGCACAATGCTTGGCACGTAGTAGACCTCTAATAAATAGGTGGTCAATGTGAAGGAATATATAAATAAATAAATATGGCACCAAGTATGTCAACCAAGCCAATTAAAAGTTATACAAACTTTCTAATGGTCAGAATAGTTGGATTGTCCAGATTCAAACCAAGGACCATATGAATGCTGATCCTGTGCTCTTAGACACGCCCAACATGGTTCAGAAAGTACTAGCTGTGTGGTGTTTGGCAAACAGCCTAACCTCTGTGAGCCTCCGTTTCTCATACTGAAGTAGAGTATCTCAAGGCATAGTTTTGAAAACAAGGGGTGATGATACGTGTAAAGGGCTTAGTATTGTGCCTAGCACATAATTAACATCGCTGGTAATGATGATGATATATGTAAAGGTAGAGTTGTCCTCACTGCTTTCTTTTCTATTCTCAACCCCTCCCACTCCCCTAACATTTGCTCTTTCTTGATTTCCAACACCTTCTAGAGATTTTCAAAACTTATATCCACCCTCAGCTGCCTTTCACAGTGCTGCCACCTGCATCATGGAGAACTATGATCCACCTAGTATTTGTTCATTCACCTCTGATAACTATTACACTCAGGCCTAATTTAAACCTCATTAAACTCCATACTGAACTAGGTACTATAGAGATGATAATGAAGCATTCCTGGCCATTTTAATCACACATATGCAATTCCAACAGAATAACAGTGTTTTGCTTATGGTGAGCCTGTATAAAATATTTATTTTTATTTAAGAGCCCTACTTTACTTTCTTCAGCTACCTATGCCTTTTGGCAGAAGAACAAGATAGATACACATGACTGTGTTTCTTTTTTTTAATTTCCCCTCCAAATCTAAGTATAGATTTCAGCAGACTAAATCAAGAGACCTATTGACCCTGGTTCTTATGTTAAAAATTATAGGGATCTCAGCCACATTTCATGAGAACATTAAGGCAGTTTCACCATGATTTACCAGTGAGGTTAATTATTTTTTTTTCAGAAACATATGGTGATGCCTCTTTCTAGAAGATGCTATGGTGAACATTACTCTGTATTGGAATCCTAAATTAACTTCTGACCAATATTCTAAAAGAAATGAGAAGGAATTAATCTCTTAAAAATTAAGATTACCTCTCTCTCTTCTGTCCATGCACCCCCCCACCCCGGCCAACCCCATTCAGCATTCCTAACTGAAGGCTGCTATATTGGTGCTAAATATAAAGTCTCTTACCAGTGTGTGCTCTGCATATCTGAAAATCATGCAGTGGTGAACCTCTTGAGTGTATTTCTTTCTTTCTTTATTAATGAAAAGGTTTTTATTTGTGCCCTCTGTTATTCTCAGAAGTACAACACAAAACAAAATGGGAAACCATGATTTATCTTCTATTTGATAAAAACATCTGCAGAATAAAATGAGCCTCTTGTTGCCGGAATTGTCATCAATGATGACTTTGACAAAATGAGCAATACATAATTTGCTAGCTCCCTTGTGAAGCTGAAACAGATTGTCAAATAAAACACTGGAGGAGATGCATATGGGCTGAGTAGACTGGCTTTGAATAGGAACATGCGCAGGTGGAGGCTTAGTAGTGGCTGTAAGAAGGAGGACAGCCCTAATTTGGAGGGTCATTTGCATTTGAAAATGCTCCTTACTAAATTGTGAGTATTCCCTACAGGAAAAGAGAATGCATTCTGCCAAAACTGCAGCTATTTTTGTTTCTTGGTAACTTGAATAAACCAGAAAACCCAAGGCAAAGTGGAGGGGGTTGCACTCAAACCAACCATTTTTTAATGGTGGGCTTATAGAATACAAATCAGTAATATATGAAAAGGACACTTATGAAAATCAATTGCTTTATGGTTAAAAATGGATTTTTCATCAACACGAAGCATGGAAAGTGTACTAATGGGTATATTCAGCATGCGTTTTTACAAATGACAATCAAATGCTTTTATTAGTCTTCATATCTGAAAAGTATGGCAAAAATCACATAATTAATTCTAAACTCATTTGGTTTTTTGTTGTTGAATGGCCTAGAGGACTTTGCTTGTTTATATATTTTATTATTGGTATATGAGTTGTACATATTTTGTGGGTACGTGAAATATTATGATACCTGTTTACAATGTGTAATGATAAAATCAGGGTAATTGTGATGTCCATCACCTCAAACATTTATCTTTTCTTTGTGTTGGGAACATTACAATTCTTCTCTTTTAGCTATTTTGAAATATAAAATAAATTATTTTTAATTATAATTTCTCCACTGTGCTATCGAATATTGGAATTCATTCTTTTTTTTTTTTTTTTTTTTTTTTTTTTTTTTTTTTTTTTTTTTGAGACAGAGTCTCCTTTTGTTGCCCAGGCTGGAGTGCAGTGGTGTGATCTCGGCTCACTACAACCTCCACCTCCCAGGTTCAAAAGATTCTCCTGCCTCAGCCTCCCGAGTAGCTGGGATTACAGGCATGCACCACCACACTTAGCTAATTCTTTTGTATTTTTAGTAGAGATGGGGTTTCACCATGTTGGCCAGGCTGATCTCAAACTCCTGACCTCAGGTGATTCCCCCACCTTGGCCTCCCAAAGTGCTGGGATTACAGGTGTGAGCCACCATGCCCGGGCTATTCTTTTTATCAAATTCTATTTTTGTATCTGTTAACCAACTTCTTTTTATCTCCCCCCTCTACCTCCTTCCATTCTCGGCCTCTGGTAGACACCATTCTACCCTCTGCCTCAATGAGATCCACTTTTTTAGCTTCCAAATATGACTGAGAATGTGCAATCTTTGTCTCTTTGCCTGGCTTGTTTCACCTAACATAATAACCTCCAGTTTCATCTGTATTGCTGAAAATGACAGAATTACATTCATTTTTATGGCTGAAACATACTCCATTGTGTATGAATACCACACTTTCTTTATCCATTCACCCATTGATGGATGCATAGATTCATTCTATATCTTGGCTATTGTTAATAATGTTGCAATAGACGTGAGAGTACCAATATCTCTTCCATATATTAATATCCTTTCTTTTGGATATATGCCCATCAGTGAAATTTCTGGATTATATGGTAGTTCTCTTTTTAGTTTTTTGAGAAACCTCCATACCCTTTTCCATAAGGACTATACTACTTTACACTCCCACCAACAGTGTATGAGCAATCCCCTTTCTCCACATCTTTATCAGCATTTGTTATTTCTTGTCTTTCTTATAGTAGCCATTTTAATTGGGGTGAGATGATAGCTGTTTGTGGTTGTGATTTTTATTTTACTAATAATTAGTGATGTTGAGCATATGCCTGTTGTCCATTTCTATGTTTTCTTTTGGGAAATGTCTATTCAGATCTTTTCCCCATTTTGCAATGATTTTTTGTTTTGCTGCTGTGTTGTTTGAATTCTTTACATATTCTGGTTATTAATGATTTGTCAGTTGGACATGATTTTCACCAGTCAGTACTGATTGCCCAGACAGACAAACAAAGCTTTTATATCCTAATAGCTGCGGAATCCTTTTACCTGTGGAATCTTGCCTTTGTGGAAATTTCTGTTAATTTCAGTTCTTTAATCATGAGAAAGAAGCAATGAATGTTTTCCCAAAATAGTTGCTCTTTTTACTCAAAATATTGTTCCGTCTTAGTGTATATATATTTTAAATAGACTTTTTATCTTAGAATAGATTTAAATTTACAGAAAAGATTTGAGGATAGTAGAGAGGATACCCATATAGCCCACGACTGGTGTCTTCTATTAACACCTTATATTAGTATGATGCATTTGATCGAATTAACGAATCAATAAAGATAAGTTTTTATTAACTGAAATACACCGTTTATTCAGATTTCTTAGTTTTTCTCTAAATATGCCCTCTCTGTTTTAGAATCCCAACCAGGATACTGAATTACATTTAGTCATCATGTTTTTTAGGCTCCTGTTGGCCGTAACAGTTTCTCAGGCTTTCCTTGTTTTTAGTGATCTTCACAGTTTTGGGGAGTACTGGTCAGGTGTTTTGTAAAAGGTCCATCAGTTGGGATTTGTCTGATGTTTTTCTCATAGTCAGATTGGGTTTATGAATTTTTAGGAGGAAGACAACAAACACGAAGTGTCATTCTTCTCAAATGCATAAGCAGTATATGCTGTCAATGTGACTTACATTAAGGTTACTTTTGGTCTCCTGTGTAAGGTAATGTTTTTCAGGTTCCTCTACTGTAAAATTACTTTTTTCTCTCTTTCCATACACTAGTCTTTAGAAACACGTCACTACGTAAGGCCCACACGCAAGGAGTGGGGGATTGAACTCCACCTACTTGAAAAAGGAGTATCTACATTATTTGAAGTTCTTGCCTATGAGAGATTTGTCTCTTCTATGTCTTTTATTTAATTATTTATTTATGCCACTATGTAATTATGAATATTTTTATATGTGGGGTTATAATTCAATGCCACTTGTACTAGTAAGGTTTCTCCAGAGAAACAGAATAAAAAGGGTGCATGTGTCTGTGTGTGGTATATATATATAAGTGTGTGTGTGTGTGTGTGTGTGTGTGTAGTAAGTTACAAAGAGAGACGTTTTAAGGAAGTGGCTCACATGACTGTGGAGGCCAGCAAATCCAAAATCTGAAACATAGGCCAGCAGCCTAGAGATTCAATGGAGAGTTGATGTTGCAGTTCCAGTCTAAAGGCAGTCTGCTGGCAGAATTCCCCTTTTCTTGAGAAAGACAAGTCTTTTTTTTAAATTAAGGCCTTGAACTGCTTGGATGAGCCCCACTCACATATGGAAGATAATATGTTTTACTCAAGTCTAAGGATTTAAATGTTAATCTCATCTAAAAAATACCTTTACAGAAACACTTAGAATTGTTCCAGACTTGTCTACTGGTAGTTCTTTAAGTGGTCTATCATGACCCTTTGACATAAACCCATCATTGTGGTTTTTTGTTGTTGTTGTTCTTCTTCTTTTTGTTTTTTGAGAAATTCCTTAATTTCTGACACACAATAAGCAACTCAGTCTTATACCGTATACTTCCTGCTAGAGTCATAAGTTAGCTATTTCTCCAAGCATCCTGTATTGAAGAAATGTATTAGAAACTAAGGCTTCCGGGCGTGGTGGCGGGCTCCTGTAGTCCCAGCTACTCAGGAGGCTGAGGCAGGAGAATGGCGTGAGCCTGGGAGGCGGAGCTTGCAGTGAGCAGAGATCGTGCCACTGCACTCCAACCTGGGCGACAGAGTGAGACTCCGTCTCAAAAAACAATAACAACAAAAAAAAAGAAACTAAGGCCTGCATGCTAAGCATTCTTCGGCTACTGGGAAGTTGTTGCTTCTGGGCCCTCTCAGCTGATAGATCAAGGAAATATATGTATCAACGATCTCATGTAACTATGCGTATTATATTACATATATATACACACATGTATATGTATACACATATACATGTATTTCTATAGGTACCTTTATTAAGCTAAACATGAGTTTATACTGGTGTTTCCAACTCTAGCCCATTAACACAGATGATTCTAGACTTCCGTTCTTGCTTCTCTCTTATTATAATCCACTATTCATTTACCTAATTGTGCAGTTCTAGAACACGTATATAGCAGTATTGTAATTGTTAACACATATCCCAAATGAAATAGCTTTATCAACCAGAGGACAGTGTTTATGTTCAGTTACTTTTGCCTTATGTACTATAGACTCTAATTATTTCCAAAGTTATTTTATAGTAAGTGGCTTCCCCTTCACCTCCCCCTCACTCCCTTTAGTGAGTTTATTTTGTACATTTGTAATACAGTTAGATCATTTGTCATAATATGTATTCCCTCCTCAGACCCTTGACCTGATCAATGAGTTTATTTTAATTTGCATACATTAAGGTTTGCTTTTTGTATTGTAACATTATATGGGTTTTGACAAATACATAATGTCATATATCCACCATTATAGTATCACACAGAATAGTTTCAGTGCTCCCCACAAATCCCTCTGTTTTACCTGTTCAGTCCTTTCACTCAGCAAACCCCTGGTGACTACTGACAGAATCATATAAAAGGAATTTTAAGGCTATGCATGGTGGCTCATGCTTGTGATCCCAGCACTTTTAGAGGCCAAGGCAGGTGAATCACTTGAGCCCAGAAGTTCGAGACTGGCTTGGACAACATAGTGAGACCCCATCTCTACAAATAAATAAATAAATAAATGATTAGCTGAGCATGGTGTTGTATGCCTATAGTCCCAGCTACATAGGAGGCTGAGGTGGGAGGATTGCTTGAGCCTGAGAAGTCAAGGCTGCAGTGAGCTGTGGTCGTGCCACTGCAATCCAGCCTGGGCAACTGAGTAAGGCCCTGTCTTAAGAAAAAAAAAAAATGTGGTTTTACCGTATATAGCCTTCACAGTCTCCCTTTACTGATGTAAGTGTCCATTTTCACTTCTCTCATTCAAATATGCCCTTAAGATTAATCTATGTCTTCTAAACTCAATACTAAGTTTTTTTTAAAAATGCTGAATAGTATTTCATTGCATGGATACACTACAGTTGTTTATCTATTTACCTATTAAAAGACATCTTTGTTGCTGTAAGTTTTTGGCGATTATAAATAAAGATGCCACAAACACTCATGTGCAGATATTTTTGTGGAAATAAGTTTTCAAGTCAGTTAAGTAAATACCTAGAAGTGCAATTACTAGATTGTATAGTAAGATTATAGTTAATTTTGTAAGAAGTATCCTGTTTTGCAATTTGGCTGTGCCATTTTGCATTCTCACCAGCAATGAATCCTGCTGTTTGATTTCCTCTTCAACACTTGCTATTATCTGATTTGTTTTGGAATATTAGTCATACTAATATGTGTGTAGTGGAATCTTGTTTTATTGCATTTTCCTAATGATGAATGATTTTCAGCATACTTCCATATGCTTCCTTGTAATTTGCTTCTCTTCTTTGGTGAGATATCCATTGATAAATTTTGCTCATTTTTTAAAATGAGTTTTTGTTTCCTTATTGTTGAGTTTTAAGAGTTCTTTATATTTTTGGATACAAATATTTTTAAAGTCATTTTTTGCAAATGGTTTATCTCAGTGCATGTTTTCCTTCTTTTAACGGTGACTTCCATAGATGAAAAGATTTTAACTTTATTTTTTTTCTTTCTTTCTTTATTTTTTTTTTTTTGAGATGGAGTTTTGCTTTGGTTGCCCAGGCTGGAATGCAATGGCACGATCTCTGTTCACTTTAACCTCCACCTCCTGGGTTCAAGTGATTCTCCTGCCTCAGCCTCCTGAGTAGCTGGGATCTGTAATCCACCACACCTGGCTAATTTTTTGTATTTTTAGTAGAGATGGGGTTTTACCATGTTGGCCAGGCTGGTCTTGAACTCCTGACCTCAGGTGATCCACCGGCCTCGGCTTCCCAAAGTGCTGGGATTACAGGCGTGAGCCACCACACCTGGCTTATAAGATTTTAACTCTATTAAAGTCTAACTTATTTTTTCCTTCATGAATCAAGTTTTTGGCATTGTATCTAAAAACCCATCAACACACTGAAAGTCATACAGAATTTTTCTCATATTTTATTTTGGAAGTTTTTATAGTTTTGCATTTTACTTTTAGGTCTATGATTGCTTTTGAGTTAATATTTGAGTAAGGAAAGAGGTCTGTGTCTCAGATTTTTTTGGGGGGTATGAACATCCTATTGTTTCACATCATTGGATACAAACGTTGTCCTTTCTTTAGTTGCCTCTGCCCTTTTTAAAAGTCAGTTGATATTATCTGTGTTAGTCTACTTCTGGACTCTTCGTTCTAGTTCAGTGAATATCTGTCTATTTTTTCATTAATCCTATGCTATCTTGATTAGTGTTTCTTTCTAGTAAGGCTTCAAGTTCAGTAGTCTGAGTCTTCCAACTTTGTTCTTCTTCAGTATTTTGTTGGCTATTTTTAAATTTTTGCCTTTTTGTGTAAACTTTAGAGTCAGCTTTGTTTATATCTACACTAGAGCTTGCTGAGATTTTTATTGAGTTTGTGTTGAATGTATAAAGTTGAGAAGATTTATCTTCTCAACAATGTTGAGATTTCCAATATATGAATATAGATTATCTCTTTATTTCTTTGTATCTTTGATTTATTTTACTTGTTATTTATACTTAGATTTTATACAAAATTTGTTAGAATTATTATTAAATATTTCAATTTTTGGTATTATTATTATTATTATTATTATTATTATTATTATTATTATGTTTTGTTTTGTTCTGGGGGGATGAAGTCTTGCTCTGTCACCCAGGCTGGAGTGCAGTGGTGTGATCTCAGCTCAGATCACTTGATCTGGCCTCAAGTGGTCTGCCCACCTCAGCCTCTCCACAGTGCTGGGATTACAGGCGTGAGCCCTCATGCCTGGCCTAATTTTTGGTATTACTTCAAATGGTATTTTGCTGTTAACTTCTAAATCCCTGTGTTTATTTCTATAACATAGAGAAGCAATTGATGTTTGCCTGTTGACATTATATCCTACAACCATGTTATACTAGCTTATTACTTTCAGGAGCTGTTTTTATTTATTTACTGATTTTTAAAAACAGATTCCTTATGGTTTTCTACATAGACAATCATGTCATCTGCAAATGAAGATGTTTACTTCTTCCTTTCTCACTTGTATATTTTCATTTCTTTTTCTTTTATTACACTAGTTATGCTTCCAGTGTGATGATGACTAGGAGTGCTGACTGAAAACATCCTTATCATGTTCCCCACCTTAGGGGAAAAATCTCTAATCTCTCACCATTAAGTATGATGCTTACTGAAGGTTTTTTCTAAATGTTCTTTATTGGGTTGAGGAAGTTTGCTGAGAGTTTTCTTCATGAACACATGATAGATTTTGTGAAATGCCTTTTATGTATCAATTGATGTGATCATATTATTTGTCTTTATACATTTCATAAAATGGAGAATTTCATTAGTTGATTCTTAAATGTTAAACTAGTTTTGCATCCCCAGAGTAAATAACATTTGTCATAATGTATAATTCTTTTTATAAATTGTTGAATTCAATTTGTTAGTATTTTGTTGAAGATTTTTATATCTATGTTCATGAAAGATATTAGTCTGTAATTTTTTTTTCTATAATGTCTTTAGTTGGTTTTGGTATTACAGAAGGCTAGCTTCATAGACTGAGTTTGGAAGTGTTCACTTTGCTTCTATTTTCTGGAAGAGTTTGTGGAGTATTAGTATCATTCCTTTCTTAAATGTTTGGCATAATTCACTGGTAAAACCATCTTGTCCGAGTGCTTTTTTTTTGAAACATTAATTATTGACTCAAGTTATTTAGTAGATATGGTGTCATTCAAATCATCTGATTCCCCTTGTTTGAGCTGTAGTTTGTGTCTTTCAAGGAGTTGGTCTATTGTATCTGAATTATCAAGTTTGTTAGATTTGTTCATAGTATTCTTAGATTATCTTTTTAATGTCTGTGATTAGTAGTGATGGTCCTTCTTTCATATATAATATTTTAAATTCATGCCTTGTTTATTTTTTGTTCTAGTTAATATAGTTAGAGGTTTATCAATTTTATTGATCTTTTCTAAGAAACAGCTTTTGGTTTTGTTGATTTTCTTTACCATTTTTCTGTTTTTAAAATTATCTCCACCATAGTTTGTATTATTTTGTTCTTGTTTGGAGCTTCATTTGTTCCTTTTCTTTAATGTCCTAAGGAGGGAGCTTAGATTATGGACTTTAGATTTTTGGTTTTATTTCTAATATATGTACTTGATGCTATAAATTTCACTGTATATAATACTTTTGACTCATGCCACAAATTTTGTTGTTATATTTTTATTTTTGCTCAATTCAAATTACATTTTAAAATTTCTCTTGAGACTTCTTAAATCTATGCGTTATTTAGAAGATTTTTAAATGCAGATCTAGCTATCTTCCTCTTATTAGTTTATAGCTTAATGCCCTTGTGGCCTAAAAGCAGACATTGTATGATTTTTGTTCTTTTAAATTTGCTTTTTGTGGCCCAGAGTATGGTTGATCTTGGTGAATGTTTCATGTTCGTTGGACAAGAATAAATATTCTATTGTTTTTGGTTGGAGTATTCTATAAATGTTTATTAGATCACGTTGATTGATGGTGCTGTTCAGGTAGTGTATATCCTTTCTGATTTTCTGCCTGTTTAATCTATCAATTACTGGCAGAGAGATGCTGAAATCTCTGACTATAATGATAGATTTATCTATTTCACTTAATTCTGTCAGTTTTTGCTTCATGTATTTTCAGTTATTGGGTATATATATTTTTGGAATT
The DNA here is from genome assembly GCF_000001405.40 of Homo sapiens. Classification (NCBI taxonomy): domain Eukaryota; kingdom Metazoa; phylum Chordata; class Mammalia; order Primates; family Hominidae; genus Homo; species Homo sapiens. Next base: position 23,569,667 of record NC_000004.12, read on the forward strand.
GTTATGTGTTCTTGGATAATTGACTTTTTATCATTATGTAATACTCTTATTTATCCATTTTAATTTTGCTTATTCTGAAGTCTGCTTCTTCTGCAATCAATATAGCTATTCCAGATTTTTTTTTGGTTAGTAAATATGATGTATATTTTCCTAGTTCTTTACTTTTTACCTGTGTCTTTATATTGATACTGTGGTTCTTGTAAACTATATATATATATATTTTTTAAATTCACTGTGATAATCTCTTATTTTCATTGATATAGTTAGACTGTTCAAATTTAAAGTCATTATTGTTATAGTTGTATGAATATATGCCATGTTTGTAACTTTTTTATTCATCGAATTTCTTCATTTTTCCTCTTTTTCTCTCTTCTCTGGTTATAATTGAACATTTATGTAATTCAATTATATCTTTACACATTTTCTGCATATGAAAATAAATTTTTATGCTTTTCTTCCTATTAATCTGTCTTCTGTAAGTTCATTTTCAGTGAACTTTCAGTGATTCAAGAGGAATCGTTATCTCCACCCCTATGCTTTCTTTATGTAGATCAAAACTTTTGACCTATATTGTATTAGTCTGTGGGGGTTGCCATAACAAAATACCACAGACTTGGTGGTTTAAACTGCAAACATTTATTGTCTCATAATTTGGAAAGGTGCAGGTTTAGTTTCTGCCTTATAGCTGGCCACTTTCTGCTGTGTCCTCATATTGAGTGAGGGGGTGGGGAGGGACAGAGAGAGAGGGCTCGCTATCTGATGTCTCTTCTTATAATGACACTAATCCTATGAGATCAGAGCCTAATCCTTATGACTTCATTTAACCTTAATTAGCTTCTTGGAGATCTCATCTCTAAATACAACCACATCGGTGGTTAGGTCATCAACACATACATTTTAGGGGACACAAACATTGGGTTGGTAACATATATTATTTTCCCTATGGCTGAAGAACTTCTTTTAACATTTCTGGCATGGTTGGTTTGCTGGTGATAAATCTCAGATTTTATTAGTCCAAGAAAGTTTCTATTTCTTTAACATTTAAAGAATAATTTTGTTGGATATAAATTCTCATTTGTGAGTGTTTTTTTCTTCCAATACTTTACATATTTCACTCCATTCTCTTTTTGCCTCTCACTGTCATTATTTCACTCTCATTTTGAGATTTTTTTTGTCATTATTGAGATTATTATTTTTGTCATTATTTCATTCTCATTATTTCACTGCCTCTCATTTTTCTCAGGATTTCTCTCCATTAATTTTTTTTCTCAGTTTTAATAAAGTATGATTAAAGGTAGTATTTCAGGCTATTTATTCTGCTTTTTGTTTTCTGAGCTTTCTGGATTTGTGATTTTCTGTTCTTCATTAATTTTGAAAAGTTTTCAGCCTCTATTATTTTAAATATTTATTCTACTCTATTATTCTTCTATTATTATCTGAATGTTACACCTTTTGATTCTGTCCAAAGCTCTTGGATATCTTCTCTGCTTTTAAAGTGCTTTTATCTTGCTGAATTTCAGTTTGGAAAGTCTCTATTGACTTATCTTCAAGATCACTGATACTTTCCATTTTCATGTTGGATCTACAAACGAATGTATAAAACATCCTTCATTTCTGTTACAGTGTTCCTAATATCTATCATTTCTTTTTGATTATTTTTTAGAAAATTATCTTCCTCCTCAAATTATCCATCTCTTCTTGTATATTGTCTTCCCTTTTCTTCATTATAGCCATTGCCAAGTTACTTGTAATTATTTTAAATCCCTTGTTTGATAATTTCAAAATCTCTGTTCTAGCTAAGCCTGGTTCTCATGCTTGCTCTGTCTCTTCAGACTGTTTTTGCTTGGTGGTTTTTGCCTTTTGACGTACCTTGTAAGTTTTTCTGGAAAGTCAGATGAGTTGTATGAACTACTGGGAATTGAGGTAAACTGGCTGTTAAGTTGATGATTCCAGTTAATCTGTGGGAGTTCAACTGTGTTTAATGTTTGCTGTAGCTATAGATGCCTAGAAGCTTCAAATTTGTTTACTGCCCTTGTTTTGTTTTTTTCTATATCTTATTCCTCAGAAGTAGTCCATATCTAACAGCTTTTTCAGCTGTAACCCGCTATTATTATACTGGGGCCCTATTTGTGCAATGGCAAAGTGAGAGGGGATACAGAATGTTTTATAATATGTCAATTAAATCTCTGTCCTTTACTGGGAATTCTTCCCAGGGCTGTTAACTTCTCAGATGGTTCTCCTTTGATACAGCTTTTCTCCATCAACTATCTACTCCCTTCTTTCACCTCACTCTTCTCAATCTATTTTTGCAGCATTGATCCCAGTAGGCTATGCTATTTCACCCCTCAGGTGAGACAGAAAGACTAAAGGGGGCCAAGGTGGGAGGAATTACATTTCCCAGCGAAACCTTTTCCCTAATAAGCAGGCCTTTGTTATGGATAAGGCTCTGGGTGCATTTCACAATGATTACTCTTCCCTACCTCATGCCCTGTGGGTATCTTTTCTGAATTTCTACTTTGAAAACTTGGTGGAGTTTCTAAAGGCAAATCCTGTAGAACTGTGGGTTCCCCTTCAAGACTGTGACCACCAGGAATTTCTCATTCTCAAGCTAGTCCACACTCAGTCTCAAGCAGTTTACCAAAATTACTACTTGCTACATTCTAAATGTTTGTGTGTCCCCGAAGTCCAGATGTTGAAATCTTAACACCTAAAATACGGTATTAGGAGGTAGAGCTTTGTAGGTGACTAGGTGGATAAGGGCAGAGCCCTCATCAATGGGATTAGTGTACTTACGACACAGGATTTTTATCAATTGCTTTGCTAGCCAGGGCCCTTTGCAGCTGACGATGCCCCACCCAGGACTCATTCAGCCCCAGGCCTGCCGCAGGAGCATCCCACCCACTCAGCCATTGGGCCTTGCCTGGCTTGCACACTGGCTCATCCTGCAGCTGGGCCAGGCATGCCCCACCCAACCTGTGTTATAGCTTGTACCTGCATTTGGTGGTACCCAAGTTCTTGTTCCATGTCCAAGAAGAATGAGGTTATGCTGACAGTTGAAGGGTGAGGAGGGTGGGGAAGAATTTTATTGTGCAATACAACAGCTCTCAGCAGAGACAGGGCATGAGGGTGGTCCCCCAACCAAAGTCGTGTGACCTCTTTTTTCCATGTGGCTAGGTTTGGGGCTTTTATGGGCTCAGAATGGGGAGTGCATGCTGATTGGTTAGTGAGTATGCAAAAAAGATTAAAATAGAGACACCACTCAAAGGTGGGCATGACATTGTAAAAAAACAATTAGGGAAGGGTAGGTATATCTAAAATAGGTGAAGGGTGGGGATCAATCTGAGGAAAGCATTCCAAACAGGAAGACAGGTTCTCAATCTAGTCTGTGGATTTACCCAGGATTTGTAGCTAGACCTTAAGCTGTCTTTGGCTTAAAGGTCAGGTTTCACTGTGGACCCACCCTGTTTGCCTAGGCATGTGTCAGCCTCCTGCTGCTATCATTCTCCCATCTGAAGAGGTACATCTAACTGCCATTAGGATAGGGATGATGACCAGTCTTAACTGCTTCATGCTGATAGGGGGTGCTATTTAGGGAAGATGGCAGTCAGATCTCTCTCAGAGGCCTATCTAAGGATCCCCAGTAAAAGGGAGCCATCATCTGAGGCTCCAGTTGCATGACCATTTAGAGTTTGATGGCCTGAAGATAAGAAGAGAAAAACCAGTTTATTAGAAGACATGTATCAAAATGAAGCAAGGGAGTAAGGATGGCTCAAAAATCCTGAAGCTGCTAACACACTCAGTTAACTGGTGGCTATAGCTATGCCTACTAAGATTTGGGTACATGGGGCTTTGCTTTGGTTAGCTCCCTTGGTCTTATTTTCCACAAAAAGAAACCTCTGAGTTATGGGCACCCTATTTATCCCTATTTACCTGACAGGGTTTGCAGGATAATTGCCCAGAACTAGAATATTGATCCAGATTTTTACGTTACCCATCCCTTTTTCTTCTTCTGAATTGCAGCCAGAGCTCCCTGGTTGGTTCACAGGAATAAGCAGAGCTAGTCTAAAATGCAGGAAAAAAAATTAAAAACAACTAATGAGACTAGAATTTAATGACAAGTATATGACAGATTTTGAAACCACTTTTTCTCTCTCCAATCCTCATTTTTGTTAAAAACAAATCATGATAGGACTACATTGTTTGCAAAATAAACTTTAGTCTTAATACTTGGCCTGATTATTTGCATAAAGTGTAGCAAGAATAATTATTTTCACATAGGTTTTTAAAAATTGGCTTTGATGGAATCTTGTTCTATCAGGAATCTCATATACAACTTTTTAAAGCTGAGCCCAGCCATGGGTTTGTACCCTGAAATATCTATGAGTTGGGTAAATTTCTCCCTTCTTGAGGTCCCAAGAAAACTTGGAGCTCCTGGGCCTGTTAGAAAGTGACATTCTTTACTCATCACAGGTTAGGAATCCTGTACAGGGATTGTGTAGGCAAGGTATGAAGCCAGTTTTTTCAAGGGGCTTTTATTGGCTTTGCAAGGCAAGCTTGAGTCCTTAAAGGGAAGCACACCCTTCCAATCAAATCATTGGTAAAACAACCACTTTCTCCAATTGCATCCTGTTGCAAAAGAAAACGGATTCTTATTGCACTTATACAAATAACTATGTTGCCCTAAGTTAAGAATACTCACAAATAGTTTCCAAATTCTGGAGATACTAGGCAGAGAGAAACAAACATGCCCATAATTTTGTTCCTAGGGGTATACCTTACTCAATTGTGAAAAGCTGCAAATAGCTCGAAATAAAAGTTTTCCTGACTTTGGAAAACAAAGGATCAGCAACATTTTAAGCAAAAAGTTAAAATGATTATTTCAGTTTTCTATTAATTCAGTCCATTCAGTTAACTCTTGTTCTGCTTAGTATTCAAGAACATTTCAGTTCTTCATGAGTCCTGTATGTTTTTCCTCTATTTCAATGTCACAATCTCCAAAGATATCATAAACCTGCATTCAAGAGCACCTGTCAGAATTCTATAGCTGATTATAAACCATCTTTTGAAGACAATGAAAACAAGTCAACAATTGCCTGTGAATGACAAAATATCTGGGTAGTAACAGTCAAAAACACAATTGACAAAGGAATTTGGTTATTTCTGTGGTTTACAATAACTTAACACAATAACCTTAAGTATAATTGATAGCATGTACTCAGACATTAGAATTTTAGAAATCCCATACTATCTGGGATAATATTAATATTATTCACTAAAATATAACCTGAAGAAGATTAAATGTTATTTTTATTTTGGTGATCCCATGTAACTAAACATGTCAAATAATCCTGTTTACCTCTCTTTTGGATGCTCCAAGGGCCCTCTGCAGCATCCAAAAGTTAGGAGTTAGAAAAGACAATTTTGAAGCAGTAATTTGATTTTGGAAAGCCTATCAAATATGTTAAAGGTTTAAAACACTTGATATTATGAAATAGAATTCCAGGTTATCGCAAGCCATTTATTTGGCCAAAGCGATGACTGAAAAAGTTTTTTAAAAGGCACAAAAGTCTGGGCACAGTGGCTCACGCCTCTAATCCCAGCACTTTGTGAGGCCGAGGCGAGTGGATCACGAGGTCAGGATATCGAGACCATCCTGGCTAACATAGTGAAACCCCGTCTCTACTAAGAAAATGCAAAAAAAAATTAGCTAGGTGGACACCTGTAGTCCCAGCTACTCGGGAGGCTGAGGCAGGAGAATGGCATGAACCCAGGAGGCGGAGCTTGCAGTGAGCCGAGATCACACCACTACACTCCAGCCTGGGCGACAAAGTGAGACTCCATCTAAAAAGAAAAAAAAAAGGGCACAAAACCTTTAGCTATTAAAAGGGAAATTCACCTTTCCAAACAATCTGTCTCTTGTCTCATAAAAGAGGCATGAGCGAGCATCCTCACCACTTCTACCATATAGTGAGAAGACACCATCTATCAACCAGAAAGTTAGCCCTCACTAAACACCAAATCTACTGGTGCCTTGATCTTGAACTTCTAGCTTCCAGAACTGTGAGACATAAATGTCTGTTGTTTATAAGCCACCCATTTTATAGTATTTTGTTATAGCAGCTTAAATGGACTAAGACATCACTTAAGTGTTTCTACTTGTTTATGGCTCCAGGGTTTCCGTTCCATGTAAGCTGATCAGGCTATATCTCTTTGGACACACCTACATCCAGAAATAATCTAGATATTTCAGCATGATGGTTTACTCTGAGACTTCAGTTCTCTGACTAACCTGTGAAAAAGTCATTGATACTCAACTATCTAGTGTTTTCTTGTAAGAATTGTGGGTGACAGCATTCAAGTACTTCACATGCCAGAGCTGATGTCAACAGTCTCCCTCAAATACATATATTTGAAACAGCGTCTTAATCTGTCACTCAGATTGGAGTGAAGTGGCACAATCACAGTCATAGCTTACTCAATCTCCCTGGCCCAAGCGATCCTCCTGCCTCAGCCTCCTAAGTAGCTAAAACCATGGGCACGCACCATCATGCCCAGCTAATACTTGTATTATTTTTAGAGATGGAGTTTTGCCGTGTTTCCCAGGCTGGTCTTGAACTCCTGAGCTCAGGCAGTCCTCCTACCTCTGCCACCCAAAGTGCTGGGATTATAGGCATGAGCCACCATGCCTGGCCAACAGTCTATATTTTTAAAACTCCATTTCATTGTTCAGATATAATTTGTACTTGTCTTTCAAATTAGAATTTCTAAATTACCATGTCCTTGAAATTGCCTCTTATTATCTTCCTCTTCAGATAGATTCTTATGCATGCATTATTATTGTGGTGGCCCAGGAACTTGGCCTCCTGGAGATTTGCTAAAAATCACTGATATGAGGCAGATTAATCAGCAGGAGAAAAGGTATACAAATTTATTTAACGTGTATAACAGGAGGCTTCAGAATCCCCTCCAGTGAAGTTTGGAAGCTTACATAACTGCCTGGCAAAACATGTTATGGAATTAGGGAGAAGAGGAATTCTGTTGACAGGATTACTAGGGAGAATGAATAGATCCGGGAACACAGATTAACTTGTAAATAGTTCTCTTTGACAGTGAAAGGGTCTGTTCTGTTCAGTTGTGGTTATATTCTCGGTCTTATAGGAGGGAGAAGAAAAAACAATTGTTCTTCTTGATGGGTCCAGATTTTAGGCAGATGAAGGACCTTCAGAGAACAACTTTATCCTATGCTTTGAGCGAGACTGGGAAGCAATGAGGTCAGAGGGACCTTGAGGCTTCTTCAGTTCTGCATGTCAAAACACCATATTTTTGGGTATTGGCTTGAGCCTTAACGTTATCTAATGATGTTCTGTCTTCACCAATCTATCATGAGAATTTTTGTTAATTTCTTTTATATTCCTCATCTACTACATGAGTCAAATCAGTTCTCCACTAACGACTAAAGATTAAATGATAGCAATTCTTATCTTACGACATCAAATGGTAAATAATCAGAGTAATTTATCATCAAATATAACCCCAGGTATTCCTCAAGGAGACATACTGTCTGTAATGGTAAAACTAACATGAGAGACTAAGAATAGAGTCATCAAAACTGGTCCTTGCCCTTTTTTTGCCTTTTTAAAATTCACCACTTTTAACTATTTTGTGATTGTTTGTGTGTTTATGTGTTTATTTGTGTGTGTATGTGTGTGTTGGTGGTACTTTATGGATTCTGTAATCGAAAATTTAAAGTCTGGGATAATGAATGTGTCAAAGCACAGGACGAAGTGAAACCTGGTGCTTCCTGACAATAAATGTTTAATCCTCTTTCCTTGGAGATTTCAGGAAACTCCAGTAATTGAGGAAACAAGAATATGTAACCCTGGAGTACAACTTTTTATGAACACTGTGTAGTTCATGACACACAAGGGATCTTTTAAAAGCAGACGTTGGTGTTCAGTAAGTTTACCCATTGACAAATGATTGTTTTACTGTATACAATACTCCCTACAAAACTTTTACTACTATTACACAAAAGAGTAATAAAATGAGAAACACCTTTTCCCCTCTATTTATACATCTCGCTCATCTCTGTAACTAAGTTTAATGTTTACCGGAGAGAGGGAAAAATATAATTCCTAGGGAACCCTGTGCTGTGCTAATGAAATGAGCAATAGGGCACCCTAAGGAGTAGTGATTGGCCTCCCACGAAATGATCTAAACGTTGTCTTTGCAGCACCACACCCAACACACCCCGTATTCTGCCAGTCCACAGTTAGAGAGCCAGGGACAATGACCCTTCCAAAAAATGTTTTATCTAAGCTTAATAACAAAATCTCTCCATAAAGATAAACAAATATTTCCCAATTAATTATTGACATTTTCTGTACCATCCTATTGGGAAAATGTTCAATATGAATGCAGAAATTTACAAGCACCCCTTCTATCCCCTTTCCATCCCTACACTGTGTGCCTAAAGAGAAATGGTCCTGGGGATGATATTATGTGGAAATCACAATGCACCCCATTGATTACTCTCTCTAAGGAAGAGAGATGTGACACATTTTACAGAATCAGCCCAAAAGACAGAAAATCCAAAGCACTCATTATATATTTTCGTCTGACGCAGCACATTAAAATTTGAAGAAAGAAAACCATCTTATCATAAAGTCAGCAAAAAAATAAAACAAAACGAAGCTCCTATTTATCTGCACACCTCTGTTCATTTGGAAGATGATGCATTGTGCTACAAATATTGTTTTCCAAAGATCCCACATGGTACAGTGGGAGGAAGATGGAATGCTAATTAAAAACGAATTAAATCTCTGTGATTTCCAAATCCATATGATCTTCTAAGAGTTACTTAACCTCTACGTTCCTCATACTTAAAATAGTACCTGTCTCTAAAGGTTGTAGTGAGAAGCTTTATGAGATAGTGAAAGAAAAGCACCTCCCAAAGGGTTGGCCCAAAATGTAACTCAGCAAATGTTTATTTCTTTTTGACTTACAGTCTTTCATTAGGCAAGCATGACCTGAAATGTATCCACAGAGTGGTAATTCCTTTTTGCTACTGGTAGGTTGAATGATAGTCCCTAGAAGTGTCAACTATTCAATCTGATCAACAGTCTTTTCTGCATCATCTGTTAAATGCTTTTCTCCTTCTGTAGGTTTTAAATAGAAGTTGCTTAGATAACCAGCATTCCAGGCAGATTGGATGAGTCAAACTAGACCAATCAGAAAACACCATTACCTCAGCCAAAATGATTGGACTAAGTATTTCCAAGGAAATTCAAGCCAGGCAAATCAGAATTTTTTACTAGGTGTTTTCAAGTGGTTGCCTAAAGGAGAGAAATCTTTGCCTATTTAAAAAAATATGAACTTAAAAATTGGGTGGGAGAGTGATGTTATGTGGCTGAGGAGAAAGCCGGACAGAAGGGAATGAGGCTGACAAGCCAAGGAAGCTTAGGGACTTCTATTCCAATGGCAACTCTCAAAACATGTTACCCTCTTGACAATTAGGTCATTCCTTTAAGATTCAGCCCAGGTGTCTTCTAGGAAGTTTGTCATGATTCTTTCAGGCTGGATTTAGGGCTCTATCTTCTGTCTTTCCGTAGAATTCTGTGAGTAATTCTGTTCTGAATCTGACCACTTCGTAATGTATCAATCACTGCCTGTCTTCACCACCAGTCCATAAAAGTCATGAGTGACTTGTCTCAACTTTCAATACTCAGTACTTCTGTTGGTGCCAGGCGTATTTTAGTCTCCGAGACACAGACATATTATTCTATTTTAACAACTGTTCTGATCTGAGTTTAGTTCTTTGTTTCTTCGTAGTCCACAGCTGTGCCACAGTATTTGAAGTTTCATCTCGATGTGTCTTTATGGTTGTTTTGATTGGCCTGGTTGAGATTTGATGACTTAAATGATCTATGGCTTTTATTTAGTTAGTTATTTTAGCATCTTCTTACTACCACCATAGGCAACTGGAAACCTTTCAGCAAAACAGTCCTGGAAGAAAAAGAAAATGTTATCTTTCAGGACAGATATTTATATCCTGGTAGAAAATCCTGCTAATCTCTGTGTAAGTGACTTGAAAACAAAATGGCAAAGAAAAGAACCACACTGCGATTTGAAGTTTGTCTCATTGTTAAAATGGCATCCTGTTTGTTTGCATTAATTACGAGAGTACTTCCACCCACAAATAAAATATCACATGTTAAATGCCAAAGTTTGAGAAAAGTCACAATCTTGTCACACTATAATTAAGCAGATTTTTGGTATTTATTTAGACTATTAAGTATGTAGAACTCTTAATTGAATTGAAGTGAACCTAAAGTAAAATGATTATCACTTTCCCTACACTTTCCTCCAGGAAACAGAGATCAGAAGCCAAAGATGAAGATGCCCCCAGGCAAGAAGCAGTTTAAAAATAAATGGGAAAATTTCCTAAGAAGAGCAGAAAAAGATTGTTCTGGCTCATAATTTTCAAGGTTTTTACTAATTCTCCTCTAGAAAGTAATCACCAAGTCCTTGGTATTTAACAAAGGTAATTAACAACTGAAGGCTTGCTCTTAAGATTCCAGTTTCCAAAAAATGCCTTCAAGCCAATCCAAGTTCAGTACCGTTGAGAGGGGATCTATGCCTAACCCCTTCATTCAGATTTCTTGTCCAGCCTCCAAAATCAAGGGGCAGTGGTCTCAGCCCTCACTTTGGAGCCAGGGAGGCCTGTGTTAGAATCCAGTTTTTACTGACTGCAAGCTATGATTTTTAGCCGGTCTCAGTGCTCCCGTGACTCATTTAATTGTATGAAAATTTCAGTGAAATGATACCAACCTCTTGAGGTTGTTGCCTGTAAAAATGAAATTTATACATAAAATGTGTAGTAGGTGATCAATAAAGATAGTTGTTATTTAACAACATTAGGAAATTATATATTTGTTTGTGCCAGGTGTTGTGCTGGGTACCAGTAAATAAGGGGTGAGGGCAAATTCTTTCTCTCTGAGAGCTTACCTTTTGTGGGAGACAGAATTAGTTAAGGAGCAAATTAATGAATGAATGAACAAAAAAAAGAGTGAATGAATAATTTCAAATTGTAAAAAGTACCATGAAAGGGAACAGCAACAGACAGGATATAGGCATGAGAGAAAGAAATTTGTATTTAAATGGAAAAGTGTTAAGAATTGGGGTCTCACCCATGGAAATCAGGTGGGGAAGAACATTCTAGGCAGGAAGGACACATGCAAATCCCCTGGGGCAAGAAAAGGCTGAGCTTTCAGTCAACTAGCATGAACTAGGAAAACTAGCACAAAAGGAGCTTGGAAAACGTGTAGATTTTGGTTTAGAGATGAGCAACATAAACCAGGAAGCGATAGTAAGTAAGAGTTTGAATTTGATTCACTGGAGAAGAAAGTCCTGAAAGATTTAAAAAGAATGTAACTTATGCTGAGTAATCTGGCCTGTATTAAATAGCCTGCAGAAGGGCAAGAGGTGAAACAGGGGAGTCCAGTCAGAGAGTTATCAAAGTAGTCCAATAAGAAAAGATGATAATTTTTATTCAGGTGATAGTCATGGAATTGAGGATATTTGGAGTGACACATCATACATATTTGTTGCTTATGATCTTAATATTAGTAACATCAGCCATACCAGATCAAAGCACCTGCATTCAACCTTGGCTCCAGCTTCCTTAAAGCTCCACTTCTTCCACTGTCTGTGTTATGTTTGTTCACATCTCTCTTGTCCCCGTGTAGATCAAAAGCTCCTGTGAGATTGGGGGCTCCATCTTACCCGTCTCGCATGCCAACTCTTTTCATCCCTTCATTCCTCTCCTAGAAACAAGCATATAATATTTGTGCAACAACAACAAAATATGGCCCAAATAAATAAATGATGAACATCACAGAAGGCAATTTGCAAGGATAACAATTCTCTCTACTTCTTTTCTTCTCTAGAAAAGTATTACAAGTCTCCTTCCTCTGAAATTTGAGGTGCCCTGACATTCCTCAGAATGCTACCCACAGCAATAGTGCAGAAAATTCTGCCCAATTTTATGGCTCAGAAATAGATTCTTTGAACTTCCCATCATAATCAGAGGTGAGTTCTTGGCTCTGGTATTATTGCCAGCAATAATTAGCTCCAGTTAAACTGCCTCTGTGCATCCTGGCAGGCAGATCACCTACATCAATAATGCTACCAGCTTAAGCTTGCTCTGGGGAGACATTGTGTGTGACAGACTTTATTTTCAGGGCAAACTGCCATTGAATGCAGTTGCAGAATCCATTGCTCTGCCCAGTTAAGCCAGAACTGTATTTGATCAATGGGCCTTATGGGTGAGTGTCAGAATAATAAGGCCACTAATCATTTGCAACCCCATGGCACCATTCATCAAGGGATCTCAGAGAACTTTACCTGAGTTAATTAATACTGGCAACGCCTCTGTGAACTAGATAAGTGTTATTATTCCCATTTTACAGATGAGGAGACTGAGTAATGGAGAAATTAACCCAATGTTGCTCAATAAAGGGATGAAAACTCAAATAATACCTCTGAGCCTCTGTCTGCCTTGTCAATTAAATGCATCAGCTCATCAGTACTAGCTGGCTGCTTCTTAGATGATCATGTTTTATTGATGTACACTGTTAAGCAGCTGTCACATTTCACCTCCTTTCCATCAAGGAGGAAGTAATTCTGGTTTGTAGCAATTGTGGTAACAAATGCTAAGGAAAGCTAAGCTGACTTCCTTCCATTATATTGTTCACTATCTGCCCTAGATGACTTCTTTCTCAAAAAAAAAAAAATCTGGACAAAAATTTTTGATATGTTATATTGTACCTAAAGTAGTTGGGAGTAGTTTTTGACACAGGAGGAAAACACGTGGCAGTCACATTATTCAATCAGGGAAGAAAACCTGCCTTGATATAAAAATAAAAAGCAAAAACTCATTATTTTACATCAACAATGGAAAAGTTACTGAAATAAACATGTGAAATGTCTCATTTAATGCATCTGAGGGGAGAATAAAAAACTTTGAAAGCTTCAAGCTATCCAGGTAGAAATTTTTAAAGCCCTTACTTTGGTCAGAAAGTGATAAAATTTCTGCTTTTTGCAGGATTGCAGAGTTAATGGAAAGGTGAAGGGCAGAGAAGCCAAGCCTGAGACAGATGTGGAGAAAGGGAAATTTGTTTTCAAGGCCCTCCCATGACCTTTTCTTTGTTTGCTTTCTTGCACTGTAGCATGTGACTGTGCAAGAATGTGATCTTAGGAATAGGAAAATATTTTCCCGTATTTAATTGAGTAACCTTGAACAAGATTTTCAATTTCTCTAAACCCCTGTTTCCTCATCTGTAAATCTGGAATATTAGCCTTCTTGCAGGATTATAAAGAAGATGAAGTGAAACAGTGGATGTAGGAGTCTAATTTGGTGCTTAGCATTTCGTAGATGGTCAAGGAAAGGTAGATAATGCTACTATTGTTAGCAGCCACTCTCTCTACCTTAAACCACTGCACACCCTCCAAACCTGCACACACACCTTAGCTATTCAGCATGCTCCCTGCTGGTCTAACAAGAACTGACCCTGCAAATGCTATCTCTATTTTCTGCTTCCCCCTTCTCTACAATCCTGTCGTTTAGAACGTCCTTGAACAGTCAGTTGACCAGTCAGAGCCTCAAATTGTTCATCTGTTAAATGAGAGTAACAGCTCCCCTCTCCCTACCTTATCTCTTAAGATTATTGTAAGAAACAAATGAGGGAATAACTCAGTTTGCATTGTAAACTCTAGCATACAATACATTTTGACTTTTAAACGTTACCATTATTATTTCTTAAGACTTAGCTGAGGGAAGAAAACCCATTTTAATTATTCACAGTAAGAGATTAATGACAAAGAGTTAGTAGTTTACCCCTGCTAGGTAACATTGGTTCATTTTAATAGGCACATTTACTGCCTTAATCCAAAACGAAATATTCGTGAAAATTCAAGGCAGAGAAACAAACAAGGAGAGAAATTCATTTGAATGAGAAAATCCCTAAAGTGATCCTCTATGTGCTAACTTTTAGAGAAGGACTGTTCTGGCACATTTTGCTATCTTTACAAACTCTTTGCTCAGTACTCAGAGTTGATCCCATGGAAAAATTGTGACATAAAAGAAGTTGATCCTGTGGTCTCCAAACAGCCTCCCTGTCTCTGTTCCCAATACTGAAAAGATTTTCTTGCATAACAAACTCAATTTAAACTCCTCTTTTCTCCTGTTCTACAGCTAAGAAGAGTTTTCTGCTGCAAGTGTTAATTGTCCTGGCAGAGATGCCTGTCCTCTCTGTTTGCAGCAGTGGCTGTGCTAAAGGATTCAAAATATACAAAAATCTATTGTTACCTCCCCGAATAGAAAATGCTATTAAGAAAAGGTCTTTTTTTTATAGAAAAATCCGTGCTAACTGTTTCAGAGGTAGAAAAGTAAGCCCAGTACAAATACAAAATCCAAGTGCCAAAAAGCTAATAAAATGATAAGAAGATCCTGGCACTGATTTTCAGTGCTTGCAATGACGTGCTAAAATATGCCAAGTCATGCTCAGGAAGAACATTAGGCTGTTCCTATAAATGGGACCTACAGATCAGCTAAAGCAATAGAGTCTAATTACTATTATTAATAATAGCAAGAGTATATTAATCTCTCCTATCAGCAAGCAGGTATAATATTGAACTTTTCTTTCAAAGACAGCTATAATGCTATTATTTACTATTCTAGGCATTTTTTTCTGCAGTAATAGTTACAAAATGATTAACACAATGATATCCCATGCTGCACTGTCAAAATTCTCCTAAATTCTGTTGGAGAAAAGGATGGTCATGCCCTTCAGCTGAAGAGCATAGGAGTCGACTCACAAGAAAATGTGGAAAATAAACACCAGCTTAGCTAAGATAATTATCTGAAACAATGATAATCAATGAGGCATCTCATATTCATCCATCCATCTATCCATCCATCCATCCATCCATTCATCCATCAATCTCTCTTAAACATAATCTTCATGATCTGCCACCACCATCACCAGCACATACTGAGGCATACCCACTGATAGTAGACCCCAAATTCTCACAGGAGGTCAAGTATGGCAAAGACTCAATAAATTTCATGCATTCTTACACATTTCTCATATTGGGGCAATAAAGATTGTGTGTGCTAATGAACTGCGAGAAAATGACTTCCATCAGTTCAAGAGCAAGACAGTTAAGGGTCTGTATGTGTCCTTCACATCTCCTTTCCCTTACTAGAACAATTTTGGAGGTCACACATGCCACATGTCATACCTCCAAATGGATAAGACCACCCAGCCTGCATCAGTTTCATATGAGAAAAGAAGGATACTCCTGTTTTATTAAGCCACTAAGACTGTGAGGGTTCATCTGTTTCAGCAGCTAGTGTTAATTTTTCTCATACGTAAGACCCCAGCTTGATTTTAACATGATCAGTGATTTGGGGATATCATTCAACCTGCTGGAGTCTATTTTCTCTTGGATGAAACAAGGAAATACCCTTCTCTAAAGCGTTCTATAATTTGTAATAAGATCCTTGAGTATATAAGAAAAAGAAAACACACGCCAAACAAATAGCTATGTCATTGTTGGATTTCATCTCTAGGTTTCTCTTACTCTACAGACAAAATATATTGTCAAAATATATTGGCATTCTTAGAGTTTTTATGCATACTATTTAACCCACTGTATTGTAACTATTTGTGTACACATCCTTCTGTGTTTTTTTGTTGTTGTTGTTGTTGTTGCTGCTTTGGTTTTGTGTTTTGTTTTTGCATAGAACTGTGAGCTCCTCTGGGGGCAGGAATTGCCTTTTTGATCGCTTTATCACCAGAGTCTGGGACAGTGCTTAGCAATCAATAATTTTGTTGTTGTTGTTGTTGAAATGTAATTATGAATCTTGAAAAGAAAGCTTGCAATAGCTTATCTGTCTCTTCCCTGCCACCACTGAGGAAAAATTGCCATAGATGATGCGTAAGGAGTTTTAGAGAATGGAAGCGCATACAAAGGAGGGACAGAGGCTGAGACAGAAAGAATGAAAAAGCAATTGAGGAGACTAGACAAGAGAACAGGAATAACTTATTGATGTCAAAGGGGACATGAAGAAGGTACGAGGGAGTTAAGCCAGGTAACATAATAAAAAGTCCAGGTCAGAGCACAAAGGCCATCCCTAGCAGAACACCTCATCATTTTTTGAAGCCGAAAATGAAATGTGACTGACAATTGGGAGTTCAGAGATGGGATGAACGTGTATCCAATATATATATATTTTATTTTAACCTGGGATATGCATTGCTGGGACTTAGAGGGAATGAAAATTTGAGATCTGATGGCAAGGCCTCAACTCTCCAGATGTCTGGGGCCAAGGAATATAAGGCAGGGTGAATTGGTCAGGATGCTGGTGACAGTTTCAAACTTGTTTGACAAGTAGAACAAGACAGGATGATAGGACTACATGCCAAATGGAGTATTAGGCCTCTGCTATTGTCTCAACTAATGTAATCAGGGAAAGAAAACATTTTATGCTGTCTATCACTAAAAATGTCCAAACAAGGGTTGGAATCTCAACAAGGCAAAGGCTGCTCTTCAGTGTGTCACCCTGTTCCTTAGAAGGCCATTTGTTTTAATACTAGTTAGCCACTGGTCTTTACCTGAATGCTTCCCGTCACTGAAACAAGAATCCTTACTCTTTCAACACGGTGTCTCCTGCCTCTGAAACTGATCTTTGGTATATTATCCCCATTCTGGGGAAAGTGACAAAGCCTGGTAAGCAACACTCAACAGCAACCTGCCTGAACCTTTGTCAAATTCCACCTCCACTGAGGCTGCAGCACCCAGACCAAGGAGCTAGCTGCATAGAAGTATATCCAGATCAGGGTCTAACTTGCAGAGTGCCCAAAAAAAGGCAGGAGCTAAAGGGTATTACAGAGCAAAGTGTTTAGGTAGTTCTGAGAGTCAAGTATAAGCCCTGAACCCAGAAGGCAGCAGCAAAGGTAAAGCTAAGAAATGGAATTCATGATCAGGAGACAGGACCACTGGAATAGACGGGAGGAGGTAAAGAGTAAGAGTATAATGTTTCTACATCAGTATTTCTCCAAATGTGTTCAACAAAAATGTATACCTCAAAAATATCCGCCTCTATACGCTAGTTCAAATACATGATGTTCTTTCTGAGCACTTCAGTTCCAAAAATATTCCTTAGAACAATTCTCCTGTATCTAAATTCTTTTCATAGGTTCTACGTAGTATTCTTGCACCTACAACTTCACCAGTTACTCCTACTACCAGGAGGCCTCCTATGGGCTAGAATACCACTTTCAAATTTCACAAATTCAGTGGCTTAAGCCTTTTGGCCTCCTCATGAGTAACCCATCAGGGATTGTCAACCTGTCTGTCTCTTTGTCTACTGGATGGGACTTTATTTTCCTACCTGCCTCTCTCATGTCATTTCTGCATTAATTTCTGGGACCTCTTAACCCTCTTCACTTTCTCCAGGATCACTGTGATGATAGGTTCAGAATTCCTCCCTTCAATGCAACTAGGTCAGTGTGTTGTTCTGTCCTCAGGCATTGACCCTTCAACAATTTCTCAGTTTCTAGGTGATTTTCAAGTTCCAATGCTGATTGCTACATGGGTGAAATTGCTAATTATATAGCATTGATGTATGTGGTGTCCCAACAAGAGTAAGCTGTTAGCCCGTTCTGCCTAACTGAAAACATTTTGCATTTCTAACCAAGATTGCTAATATTATCATTTTTTTGTTTTAATTTGGGAAGGAAAGTCTCCAGTTACCAGCTCCCTAATTTCTCCTGTTGTCTCATTATCCAGAACTGGGTGACATGGCTGGCCAAGGGGAATGAGAGGATGATTGGATTACATCAATCATGATGCATTCTGGGTCAGGAGTCTGAATTCCTTGCAATCAAGGGATTCCTACCAATTACCTGAGTCAATTAGAGTCTGGTATCAAGAAACAAAGGGAAATTACTGTTGAATAGGACATGGACAAGGTCTATTCTATTTTCATTTATAAGAGCATCATCAAGTTAATTAAGAAAATTCCACAAATTAAAACTGTCCAACAACCCAAAGAAGTCATGAGTTCCACTCAAAATAATCTCTAAGGAAATGTAATTTGACCATCTTAATGTATATTATAGATGAGTATCTGAAATAGATACTAATTTCCCTGCCCCACATAGCAGGAAAAGTCATTATATAATAGGGGAAATCATGAAAACACTACAGGTGAGGACAAATGAAAAGAGAAAGATTTAAAAAGGAAATTTGACTCACTCTACAACTTTTCCAGGACCCACAAACATATGACTTTTATTGTCTGTGGCATAAATGGTTTTCCTCCATTTTTTTTTTTTTGCCTTCCTACTTTAGTAAAGGAATTACTAAGTCTCAGTTTTGCATATGTCTGCTCAATTGAAGACTGCAGTTCCCAGCTTCCTTTACAGCTGGGTGTGGCCATCCTAAGTTTTATGTAAGGGAATAGGAGTGAAAGTGACATGTTCAACTTCCTAAGAATAGCCTTAAATTCAGCAGACCACTTCTTCTGCTCGTCATCCTCGTTTCTATTGCCTGGAATGTGTACATGATGGTAAATAATCTTGAATGGTGTAGGTGAGGGCAAAACACTTGAGATAGCAGAGCAACAAAACAGAAAAAGTTTAGCTCCCTAACACTATGGGGCCACCAAACCAGTCTGCATTGCTTATGCTCAGATTGTTACATGAAGGAAACCTAAATTTTTTTGTTTAAGCCACTGTTATTTTGATCTTTGTTACATGAGGAAAATCTTTATCCTACGTTGACCCTCCTCCATTTCAAACAATGGCTTTCGCAAATCTTTGATGGGTCTCTAATAGCTCGACTAATCTTACCGCTTTATCTCTGTAGATGGCTCCATATCTCACTTCTAGAAATTAAGGGGATCTGGCTGGAAATCTGAACCCAGTTTTAGTCAGTTCAAGCTGATATACCAGAATACCATATTACGGGTTACTTAATCAACACATATTTATGTATTACAGTTCTGGAGGTTGGCAGATACAGAGACTGGTGAGGGAACTCTTCCTGGTTTGCAGATAGTCATCTTCTCCTTGTATCCTCACATGACTGAGAGAGAAATCATCGCTTATGTCTTTTCTTACAAAGACACTGACTCTGTTCATGGGAGCTGCACTCTCATTATCTAATTACCCCCTGGTATGGCTTGGCTGTGTCCCCACCTAAATCTCACCTTGAATTGTAATAATCCCCATGTGTCAAGGGTGGGGACAGATGGGGATAATTGAATCATGGGAGTGGTTTCCACATTCTGTTCTCATGGTAGTAAATAAGTCTCACAAGAGCTGATGGTTTTATAAATGGGAGTTCCCCTGCACAAGCCCTTGCCTGCTGCCATGTAAGACACGATTTTGCTCCTCATTCATGTTCTGCCATGATTGTGAGGCCACTGCAGCCATGCCACACTGTAAGTTAATTAAACCTGTTTCCTTTATAAATTACCCAGTCTCAGTATGTCTTTATTAGCAGTGTGAGAACAGACTAATATACACACCAAAGGCCATGCTTCTAATACCATCATATTGCAGGTTAGGATTTTAACACACAAATGTTGAGGTGACACAAACTTTCAGTCCATATTCTTTCTCTGGCCCTCCAAAATTTATGGCCTTCTTGTATGGAAAATACATTCATTCCATCTGAACAATTCTGAAAGTCTTATTTCTCTTCATCATCAAGTCTAAAGTTCATAATTCATCTAAATATCATCTAAATCAGATACGAGTAAGACTAAGGTGTGATCCATACTGAAACAAAATTTTTCTCCAGCTATGAATCTGTGAAATCAAACAAGTTATTGTTTCCAAAATACAATGATGGGACAGACATAGAATAGATATTGCCATTCCAAAAAGAAAAAATTAGAAAGAAGGAAGTGGTAAGGAGTTCCACACAGTTCCAAAATGTAGCAAGGCAAACTCTTAGAGATGTTAAGCCTTGAGAATAATCTTCTTTCACTCAATTTTCTGGCTTCCAGGCACACTTGGGTATCAATGGCTTGGTGCGTTGGGCCTGCTCCTTCTACCTGAAACTGCAGCTCTCTACAATGGCCCCACAACCAAAATCAGACAGGCAATTCCACCCTTAGAAGACAAGGAGCAATTATCCATTCCCCCGTGCCTGTAGTAGGAGTGGCAGCCCTGTAGATCTCAGAATCACCTTTGGGGACCTTCTTTTCTTTTCTTGACAGACAGCACATGTTCACAGCCTTCTTTCCATTTTCTCTGTTTTCTTTAGCCCCAGCTGGCAGTGTTTCTGCTGGTGTAATCCCATCTTTATCCCTAGCTTCTGTTGAGATGAGTGATTAAGTCCTCAGTTCACACTCACACTAATCTTATCAAATGGTCTATCTGCCACACCCTTAGAGCTGTCCTCAGAATATGCGTTCTCATTTCTTGCAATATGGATTGGCTGAGAATGTTTCAAATCTTTAATTTCTGGGACATTTTTGCTTAACAATCGCTTCTTCAAATCATTTCCCTCTTCTTGCTTTTTACTGTAAGCAACCAGGAGGAACCAAGCCACTCCTACAAAACTTTGTTTAGAAGTTTCCTCAGCTAAGTATTTAATTTCATTGTTTGCAAGTTCTACCTTCCACAAAACACAAGTACATTAATATAATTGAAGTCTTTTCTGCTTTATAACAAGGCTTGCCTTTTTGCCATTGTTCAATAGCATATTCTTTATTTCTGTCTGATAGCTCATTAAAATTTTCTTTAATGATCATGTTTCTACGAACAGTCTGTACACAATTATTTATATATTCTCTAAGAAGACAGAAGCTTTCTCTAGAGCACTGATTTTTTCTTTTACTGAACTCTTACAACCAGAAACACCTTTAAAGTTCCTTTATAGCAATGTCAGCTTTTTCTGGCACGTTGATATGGTTTTGCTGTGTCCCCACACAAATCTTATCTTGAATTGTAGTTCCCATAATCCCCACATGTTGTAGGGGGGACTCAGTGAGAGGTGATTTAATCTTGGAGGCTGTTACCCTCATGCTGTTCTCATGACAGTGAGTGACTTCCCACAAGATCTGATGGTTTTTTAAGGGGCTTTCCCCCTTTGCTCAGCACTTCTCCTTGCTGCCTCAATGTGAAGAAGGATGTGTTTGCTTCCTCTTCTACCACAATTGTAAGTTTCCTGAGGCCTCTCAGCCATGCTGAACTGAGTCAATTAAACCTCTTTCCTTTATAAATTACTCCATCTTGGGTATGTATTGATTAGCAGCATGAGAATAGACTAATACAGTAAATTGGTACTGGGAGTGGGGCTCTGTTTTAAAGATACCCAAAAATGTGAAAGCAACTTCAGAACTGGGTAACAGGCAGTTACCAGTTGGAACAATTTGGAGGGCTCAGAAGACAGGAAAATGTAGGAATGTTTGGAACTTCCTAAAGACTTGTTAAATGGCTTTGACCAAAATGCTGATAGGGATATAAACAATAAAGTCCAGGCTGAGTTGGTCTTAGATGGAGATGAGGAACTTGTTGGGAACTGGAGCAAAGGTGACTCTTGCTATGCTTTAGCAAAGAGACTGGTAGCATTTTGCCCCTGCCCTAGAGATCTGTGGAACTTTGAACTTGAAAGAGATGAATTAGTGTATCTGGTGAAAGTAATTTCTAAGTGGCAAAGCATTCAATTAGAAGCAGAACATAAAAGTTTAGAAAATTTGCAGCCTGACGATGCCACAGGAAAGAAAAATCCATTTCCTGAGGAGAAATTTAAGCCTGCTACAGACACTTGCATAAGTAACAAGGAGCCAAATGTTAATCACCAAGACAGTGGGGAAAGTGTCTCTATGGCATGTCATAGACCTTCATGACAGCCCCTCCCATCACAGGCTTGGAGGTCCAGGAGGGAAAAATGGTTTTGGGAGCTGGGTCCAGCGCCTTCCTGCTGCATGCAGCCTAAGGACTTGGTACCCTGTATCCCAGCTGCTCCAGCCATTGCTAAAAGGTGCCAAAGTACAGCTCAGGCCACGGCTTCAGAGAATGGAAGCCCCAAGCCATGGCAGCTTCCAGGCAGTGTTGGGCCTGCAGGTATGCAGAAGTCAAGAATTGAGGTTTGGGAACATCCACCTTGATTTCAGAGTATGTATGGAAATGCCTAGATGTCCTGGCAGAAGTGGGCTGAGGGGCTGGGCCCTCATGGAGAACCTATTAGAGCAGTGTGGAAGGGAAATGTGGGGTTGGAGCCCCCACATAGAGTCCCCACTGGGGCACTACCTAGTGGAGCTGGGAGAAGAGGGCCACCATCCTCCAGACCCCAGAATGGTAGATCCACTGACAGCTTGCACCATGTGCCTAGAAAAGCCACAGACACTCAATGCCAGTCGATGAAAGCAGCCAAATGGGGGCCTGTACCCTGCAAAGCCACAGGGACATATCTGCCCACAGCTATGGGAACCCACCTTTTGCATCAGCATGACCTGGATGTGAGACATGGAGTCAAAGGAGATCATTTTGAAACTTTAAGGTTTAATGACTGCCCTATTGGACTTTGGACTTGCATGGAGCCTGTGGCTCCTTTGTTTTGGCCAGTTTCTTCCATTGTGAATGGCTGTATTTACCCAATGCTTCTACCCCCTCCCCCTCCCTCCCTCCCCCTCCCCCCCCCACCCCGTATCTAGGAAGTACATAACTTGCTTTTGATTTTACATGCTCATTTGTGGAAGGGACTTGCCTTGTCTCAGATAAGACTATGGACTTGGACTTTTGGGTTAATGCTGAAATGAGTTAAGACTTTGGGGAACTGTAGAGAAGGGCATGACTGTGTTTTAAAATGTTAGGATAGGAGATTTGGGAAGGACCAGGGAGGGATTATGTGGTTTGGCTGTGTCCCTGCCCAAATCTCATCTTGAATTGTAGTTCCCACATCCCCATGTGTCATAGGAGGGACCTTGTGGGAGGTAATTTAATTGGGGTGGGGGGCGGTTACCCTCAGATTGTTTTCATGATAGTGCGTGAGTTCTCACAAGATGTGATGGTTTTATAAAGGGCTTTTCCTCCTTTAGCTTGGCACTTCTCCTTTCTGCCACCAAGTGAAGGACACATTTGCTTCCCCTTCTGCCATGATTGTAAGTTTTCTGAGGCCTCCCCCGCCATGCTAAACTGTGAGTCAATTAAACTTCTTTCCTTTTTAAATTACCTAGTCTCATGTATGTCTTTATTAGCAGTGGGAGAATGGATTAATACACATATACTGCAGATTCTTCCGGCCTCTACTCATTACAAAGCTACTTCCAGATTTTTAAATATTTATTAAAGCAGTACCCCAATTCTTGGTACCAATTTGTGTATACTCAACCCTTTGTATCTGCAGGTTCCACATCCACAGATTCAACCTGCCGTGAATTGAAATATTGAAAAAGAATAATAATACAATAATAATAACAAAAATATAAAACAATACAGTTTAACAACTCTATATATAGCATTTTCATTGTATTAGGTATCATAAGTAATCTAGAGATGATTTAAAGAAATGGGAGGATGTGCTTAGGTAACTATGCCATTTTATATAAGGAACATGAGCATCTGCAGATTTAGTATCTGCAGGGTATCCTGGAACCAATTCCCCTTGGATACTGAGAGACAACTATGTTAGGGTTCTCCAGAGAACCTTGGCTTATGCGATCATGGAGGCCAAGTCCCACAATCTGCTGCCTGAAAGTTAGAGACCCAGAGAAGCCAGCGTTGTAGTTTGAAAGCCTGAAAGCCAGACAGCCAATGGTATAGATTCCAAAGTCTGATAGCCTGAGAACCAGAAGCACTGAGGGAAGAAGATCAATATCCCAGCTCAAGAAATCAGGCACAGGGAGGGTGAATCCAACTTTCCTCCACTTTTTTGTTCTTTTCGGTCCCTCAATGAGTGAGACGATGCTCATCCATATTGGAGAGGACCATTTGCTTTATTCAGTTCACCAATTTAAATGCCAATATTTTCCAGAAACACCCTCCTGGACACCTCAGAAATAATGTTTCATTAAATTCTAGGCATCTCATGCCCCAGTCAAATTGACACATAAAATTAACCATTATACTTTTCAACCCACCAATCTATCTCCATTCACATCTATTTTAAATTTAGACCCTCCCACCATCACTGAGTAAGTGAGTAGGCAAACTTTCTCAAGGAACTTACTGCATTTTTTCCTCTTATATAATGTTAACAGTACTCTGTTGTTATAATGCCATTGGCATTAATATAAGCTTGGGTTCTCCAACTCTGCTTGTGTTTTTGTGTGTGAGTGTGTATATGTGTAGTTGAAAAGCAGGGGTGGAATTGAGAAAAGGGCAGCTTAAGAAGGTGTTTGAAGAGCATTCTTTATCTCAGAATTTGTGATTTTCGTGATAAAATATCTAGAAAAACACAGAAATAGATGGGAGTGCATAATAGACCAAGAAACTAAGATTGACAACTAATCTACTGCCAAAATCTTAAAGGAATTTCCTCTAATTATAATATTCATGAAGTGGAAATGAGAAACACAATTGTCAGGTGACAGTAATACATACCTTGTCACCTGCAAGAGATCAAAGCTGCCAATGTGAAGGACAATGCAGAGGCACATCAACACATTTGTCTATGCCTTGGCTCAGGAATACAGAATCTGTGACAACTGCCAACCACGAATTGATTGCATAGCTACAGCTCTACCAAATAGAACATAGAACACAAATTCTACAGTAGCCGTCTGTGTGTGCATACACACACGTACACACAGGCACACCCACACACATATATATTGCAGATGTAAAGGATTACAGGCACACATATATTCCACCCCAGATTTCCCAATTTGGACTTGTCCTTCTAAATAAGTTCAGATATTAAAAATTTCAGGAAAGCTATGGACTATAAGGCAGAAAAGGGCATATGACATATTTACATCTTAGAATACAACTCCAGTAGTATGAAGACAGGCGAAGAGAAAAAACCATGTAATTGAAACACTAAATTTACCAATATTGTTTCAGGACAAGAAATAACTACTCACTGATTTAGATCATATGTAAATAAATTTTTATATAATAATAATAGCAAATATTAAATATGGAACACAAAATGGAAAGTAGGTTACATGAATCCTAATCTCACTTATACATCTTACAAGCTATGTGACCTTGAACAATTTACTTAACATGTTTCTACTTCAATTTCCTCACCTGTAAAATGAGAATAAAAATAGTTGGGAAGATTCTGTCAGTTAGTAGGTTTAAAGTACTTTATGTTTGATATTAATATCAGTCCTGGTGATGATTGATCACAGTGATGTATGTGCTAATATTAATAGCACAGTGATGTATGTGCTATTATGGTATTATCTTGCCCATTTCACAGATAGAATAAAGTGAGTCTTGAAGAGCTTCAACTACTCTTTTAATAATTGGTAGAACAAGAATTCTAATGCACCATTTTATGTATAGAGCTAATACTCTAATTACTATACTATACTGCCTCACACAGCAAGTTAACAATACTTTAAGAATAGGTAGTCTCTCCTAAGACCAACAGCACATACGATAAATGACTGCTAGACACCATAAATGTGGGACCAATCCATGAATATCAACAAATCTTTATGCTTGAGATCAAGAACTGTATTTTAATAGTAGTCTAGGGCTGAGGGGAAGCGACTGACATAGTCTGTCATCAACCATGCATAGCGCTCCTTTGTTTAAAGGCGACAACCCTGAAAACAGAAAAAAAAACTGTTTCAGTGAAAATATTCTGTACATTAAAAGAAGGAAGGGACAATTAAGATGCAGAAAAATTGCACTTTAAGAAGTTACTAAAGAAAGCAGAAATTGCAGAAATATTCTTTGTAATCTCAAAGGAATATGAAAACTATAGTCTGAATGAAGCGATGAAAGATGAGATTATATGAAAATAAGTTGAGATAAGAAGGGAATTGGCTGAGAGGCAGGCAAAAGTAAAAATGAAAGTCTGCCATGATAAATAAAGATTATAAGAAGATTAAAAATGCAATAATAGTATAGAAATCTGCATTAAAAGCAATAAAGAACAACATTAATGCTGTAGAATTAGTGATGATGAGTTTAAGCTCTAGAAACTATAGAAGAAATGCAGAATGAAGAAAAACTCAAAGATGCAAATGTTGATGGTAGGAATAAAGGGCAGAGAAAGAGAGGTCAGTTATGAGGATACTTGGTTTTTTTTAGAAGCACAAATCACAATGAATGCAATTATTAAAAATGTTTGAAGAGACGTACATGTAGCATGTGTTCAGTGAGTTTACAGATCATAAAGGATTACTTAATACATGGAATACACCTGACTGACATTTTAAAAATTGTATTTATAGATCAATGTTACTGCTAATTACATGATATAATATGCACATTTGGGAAAAATTGAAAAATGTAGACAAGAAAATATTTTTAAATTTTGCCACAATCCCATTATATGGAAATACTATTAACTGTATGCTGGATATTACTTCAGACTATACATGAATATTAATTACATTATACAAACTTACAAATGTGCACACAAAACATGCATGATGTTTTGTATAATATGTTTAGTCTATAATTGTACTATAGATTTTCTCTTCAAAACCAACATTTTTTCATTAGGGATCAAAATATATTCATGGTTTATAAAATCAAGCAATTGCAAAATGTTATGAATAAGGGAAAATTTAAAAATCACTCCAAATCTTGTTGACTCAGAAATAAATTCTACCACCATTTTGAAGATCATTCTTTAAGATATCTCTCTATGCAAATGGGAACCTATAAATATAGATTAGATGTGAATTTTACTAGAGGTAAAAAGACAGAAATAGTTCGAGATAGAAATAGATATAGACATTTTTCATAAATGAATCATATAGCCAATGCTCTATTAACAATGCATTTTCACTTAACAAGGTATTGAACATACTTCTGTTAATTAATATAGATTTGTTTTATTATATTGATTTCATTCGATTACCTTAAATGGCTATGCCATGATTTATTTAATGCATTCTCTTTTGATGGGCACTCTGGTTACATTTAACCTCTCTGAAACTTAGTTTTTTCATCTGTGTAATGGAAATAAATAGCACTACTCTCAGGTTACTTTAAGAATAAGCTGAGTTAAGTATACAGAAATTACAAAAGTGCATAGTGCATAGTAAGAGCTATATAAATATTTGATATTTTAAATATTACATTTAGATTATATATAACATAATGTTATCTAAACCATAAACAACCATGAATATAACTATAATGAAGAAAAAAATCTTATGCATGCTTTTTATAAATTAGTTTGATTTTATTTTAAGCAGGACTAGAACCAGGTTTTGGGGTCTGAAAATGCCACTTTTAAGAAGTAAAATTCAAAATTAAGCACTGAGATATCTAAGAACTTGGAAGGAAGTCATGCGAATTAGACACTCTAAAGCTTACGCTTTGGTACCTTCATTGAAAAATATGCCTCATTCTTTTAGAAAACATTTTGAATCCAAGAAGGTGGGGGACCATTTATGGCATAGTGATGTATTTTTAGATAAAACCTAGCACAACACATGTATACTAGATCTTCAATACATACTAATTGTATAGCCTTGGGGGGATTACTGGATCAAATAAAATTTTGCTACAATTGGCAAACTTACTTCCTAAAATTTGTACCAAATTTAGCTCCACTCCAATATTCATAAGAATTCCCATTTTATTTGAGTCTTACCAATGCTGGGCATTTTGTTTGGTTCAGTTTTGTTTTGTTTTGACACACTAAAGTTTTTAAAATATGGATTCACATTTATCATCTTTCTAAAGAATAACCATTAGGTTTCATGTCATGTTTAAAAAGGTCTTCTATGTTCCAAGAGGATAAAAATAATCACCCACGTTTTCATCTCAATATTTTATAGCATCATTTTTTAGATTTAAATATTTGATCATTCTAGGATGCATTGCGTTATAACAAATTACTTATAAATCTAATGTTTTCAATGCTTAGTCAGTTTTTCCTCTGAAATTTTTGATTAATACTGATTTTCCCTGATAAATATAGATAAATATATAGATAAATATAGATAAATATAGATAAAACATTATCTATATTATATACTGAATTTCAGCATGTAGTTAAATTAATATCTGAAGTCTCCATTTTCTTTTAATGATCTATCAGGATTTCAACTAAGATTGGTTTGGATTAATAAATTAAGTTAGACAAAAATGTTTTCTTTACAATATTAAGCCATCTTATTCAGAATAATATATGTCTCTTCATTTATTGGAATCATCTTTTATGGCCCTCTGTAGACTTTTAGGGTTTCTTCATGTAAATTTTGAAAATTTTGTTAAATTTGTCCCAGAATCTTTATAATTTTTGTTATTCTTTTTTTATTATTATTTCGAGTTGGCTATTACATGATATGTTAAAAGCCTATGTAAATTATATTTAATTTTGTAGTCTCCTTAATTAATTTTCTTATCAATATATTTTTCTTAATTTTTATTTATAGATTTTCATTCGAATATTTTGATTTATCTTATTAAGTATACTTTTTTATTTTTTAGTAATATATAATCACATTATAAAAAAAGAGTATAAAAGATAAATAAGTTTTCCAAATATTCTGACTTGCCAGAAACAATCAATATTTGATGTGTCTTTATGCATACAAGAACTCATATTTTTAATCTATTTAAACAGACATAATAAGAGTAGAGAGATACATACACACCAAGACATGCTAATATGCTAGTATTAAATTAAGAAGGGCTTAATTTCATGTTACCTGAACTTAAATGTAGTCAAGCTAAAGGAATTAATATACTTCAGTTAAAAGGCTTTTTATTTGATTTTTAAATTAAGAGATATTAAATTCTTTAAATTCTTCTGAGCTTAAGGAAAAAATATTAAAATTACTAAGCTGAAGGCGTGATATATTTAAATACATGTTTAACGTGGAAACATTTAATTATTCCTTTCTATCAAATGTGAAATATTTAGATTCACACATTTCCTCATACTTCATCCTTCCTCTAATTACGACTCTTTTTTTTTGAGACAGGGTCTCCCTCTGACATTCAGGCTGGAGTGCAGTGGTGTGATCACAACTCACTGCAGCTTCAACTTCCTAAGCTCAAGCAATCCTCCCACCTGAGCCTCTGGAATAGCTGGAACTACAGGTGTGTGCCATCACTCCTGGCTAATTTTTTAAAATTTTTGTAGAGACAGAGTCTAGCTTTGTTGCCCAGGCTGGTCTTGAATTCTTGGGCTTAAGCGGTCTTCCCACCTTGGCCTCCCAAAGTGCTGGGATTACAGGCGTGAGCTGTCATGGCTGGTCTTATCACTTTTTACGCATGTATTTTGTTTCACATTTTCTAGCATTCAGGTTACGCTCTGGAACCACCATACCCAGTCACTTCATCTTTTTTGTACATTTAAGTAGAATTAAGATGATATGAATTCTCCCCCATGTTTGAGCTCTTCATTTTAATCCACCTTTTGGTTAGCTTTTAGTATATTTTTTCCAAGTAGAATATTTGGGTGCTGTCTTCTCTGAGTTTTTTTCAAGATTATATGTCTTTTGTCCCACATGTCTATTGTTCTGTCTAGTTGAGCATATCGTAGTTGGGCATTGCAATTTTAAGTAACACTTCTTTTCCCTTGGAATTTTGGAGATGTTATAATAGTTTTCTGAGAAGTCTGAGACCAATATAAATTTTTTACCCTAGAAAGTACACTTGCTTTGTCTATGTGGCTACCTTAAGAAATCTTTTGTTATGATTTAAATTTAGTACTAAGTCAAGTTGTAGCTAGAAGCATATTTTTGATTCAATTCTTCTAATAGATGGTTTAGAAGAATTTTAATTCTTTAAGTATTTTTATTCTTCCATATAAGTTTGAGAATATACTTACTATCTAAAATTTGAGTTATATAATAATTTCTTGGGTAGTTTATAATATTAGGCCATTCCACAGATAGAATATAATTACCTACTTAGTAGTCTTGTAAGATCTTTATTATTTCATAGATTAAGAATAGTGTCTGTTTAAATATAGATTGCATTTTATTTTTTATTTTATTGCAAGTGGATCTTTAGGTTATTTCAGATTGATCTTATAACTGATAAGATTACTTAACTTTATATTTGATAAAGTTGTTTCCACTTTTTATTTCTTCTGGGTAGATAATCATATTCTTTGCAAATAATGATAGTTTTAGGTCTTACCTTTCAGTCTCTACACCTATTATTTCTTTGTTTTCTAAGAGATTTTTTCCAGTGCTATGCTTTTAAGAAAAACATAATAATGGGCTTCGTTGACTTAAAGAGAATACATTTAAATTATTCTGTTACATATGTTTACCGAGTATAGAGAATAGGAGGTGTATTGGCCAGATCCTCTCCTCCCAGATTGAAGCTCTAGTTCTCCCAGCTGTTGGCATATTGAAGGCCAACAGCTCTTATCCAAGTCTGCTCAAGACTTGACTTTAGCTGAAGACAACTTCCTTGCACAAGGTCACGCCTTTTTCTCGGTAGCATCCTTTTATCTAATGATGGATAGATTTGATTCCCTAAAACCCTGGCCCTCTTGTCCCAAATGGCCTCAACTCTGAATAGCTCATACTAGTTTCCATTCTCTGTACAAAATTGAAGTCTGTCACAAATGCATAGCAGTGGGCCGTCTCTTGCCCAGTGCTACTTTGTTTACTTCTTCCAAACCCCAAGTATTGTTCATGTGAGCACGTCCCAGGAAACTTTGAAAATGTCTGTCTCAGTAGGCTTCCCACCAGTGACATGAAGATAGGAAGGGCTCTTTAATATTTTCGGTTTAGTAGGAATGTTTTAACATGAATGCATGCTAAAATACATTAAATGTATTTCTTCATCTATTGAAATAATTGTATAATTGTTCGCTTATGTTGATGTAATATATCATCATATGGATACTTTCTGATGTTAAGCCAACTTCACATTCCAGAGATAAACCTAAATTAAGGATCATAATATATTTTATAAAACTTGCTGTATTTACTTACCTTATATATGTATAATATATATATGATTAAAATTTAATATATGTTTCTATTAGGTTTTTAAAAACATGCATTTATAAGTGAAGTGAGGCTATTATTTTCTTTTTTGTACTTCCCTGAATCAATTTTATAATAAAAACTATACAAGCTTTAGCAGAAAACATTGGTTATAAGGTTAATCAGCATACATGAGGTTAAATCTATAATAAAAACAATCTCCACATCTCAATGTTTTAAACACAGCATTCCAATTTTTTTCATGCAAATAAATGAAAAATGAAAAATGCAGCTTTCAACATTTCTCTAACCAAATTGTCTTCCATATAATAATTCAATGACCAGGTCTATCTTGATTTTGCAGCTCAAATGTTAGATACTTAAGAAATAACTCCATTACCACTTAGAAAACTTTAGGCATCCCTCTATTATTTTTCTTTCTCTCTTTTCACATTTCTTAGTGTTCATTATGTTACAGTTTGTCACTATTGTGTGATAATATGATGTTTATCTCTCCTCTAGATTGTAAACTTCAAGAGTACAAAAAACCCTTTCTCCCTAACCCTTGTCAGAGTGGCTAGCATATGTTAGAAACTAAATAATGTTTGCTTGATGAATAAAGTACACTATTAAAGTTAACTTTGAATCATCTAAAAAATTTGAATAATTGAAAGATATGTATCTCAACCAGAAGTGTAAAAATTATGAAGTATAAACTTTATTAATTTATCAATTATTAACTGAAAAGAGAGCATCAGCCATTTAATTTATTTCTTTAGTTAATTACTTTCTGGATTGTAAAATCCATCAGTAGCACAAACTGAACAAAAATAACAAATAATTTTTTTGATAAATAATTGACTAATTGTCCCTTTTAAGGTAATGAGTTATATTAACAAAAGACCACGTCTATGACCGCAGTATAGATATAAACACCAATGGGGATAAAAGGAAAGCACGATAAGCTCGTGTCTTCATCACTTAAGCCAATTTAAGAATCAGGGTTTATTTAGTTTTGCCCATCCCAATTTTTGAAAAAAAAAAAAAAATTAGAATGTCACTGGGTAAAACAGGATCTCCCAATTTTACAATGTATCTATGACCTACTATTTACGAATACATGTCTACTGAACCTATTTAAATGACTTCGTTGGGATTCAAGTTTATCACTCTTGCCCTTTTCTAAAGAAATTTAGAAAATAAAAAATGAGCACTGCAATCAGTTAGAAAATGAAATATTATTTTGTAAATGTCCCTAGAACATGCTTCAGAAAATGATTTACATTTCATTTTCATTCATTACATTCATTGCATATTATTTCATTCAGGAAATAAGGGATTAATGTACTCACTTAATACAAGAACTTACAAACCAAAAAGAAAATGTAAATCAACATTTCGAAAAACTAACGTATATTTTATGGCATGTTCACATAGAAGAATATTATATAGCCACTAGAAGTAATGATGTAGAAAAGGCTGGGTGTAATGGCTCATGCCTATAATCCCAGCACATTGAGAGGCCAAGGCAAGAACATCACTTGATCCCAGGAGTTAGAGACCAGCCTGGGCAACACAGTGAGACTCTGTCTCTACAGAAAATTTAAAACTTAAAAAAAAATTAGCCAGGCATGGTGCTGCGTGCCTGTAGTTCCAGCTATTTGGGAGGCTGAGGCGGGAGGATCACCTGTGCCCAGGAGGTCAAGGCTGCAGTAAGCCGTGATCGTGCCACTGCACTCTAGCCTGGGTGACAGAGAAGAAAGGAAAGGAAAGGAAGAAGGAAGAAGGAAGGAGAAAGAGAGAGGGAAGGAAGGAAAAGAAAGAAGGAAAGAAGGAAGGAAGGAAAGAAAGAAAGAAAAAGAAAGAATGACATGGATGTGTAATAACTTAGGAAAGGAAATATATATATTATAAACTCAAAAAAGTTAAAAAAGTGTGTATTGGATATAATCTTTTCATTAAAGAGGAAGAGCTAGGGAGATAAGGAGAAGAGGGGAGGAGAAAGAACAGGAGGGGGAGTATGGAAGAGAAAGAAGGGGAGAGAAGAGTAGAGGATACAAAGGTGTTAAGAGTAAAAGTTTCAGTTCCTTGATGCCTTGGTGAAAGTCTAGATTTGCCTCTTAACACAGAACTTGGATCAAGTTACTGACCTCGGTTTGTCTTAGTTTCCTCATTAGCAAACGGAAATGATAATAATAGTATTTCCTTTACAAGGTTGTTTTGAAGTCCAAGTAAGTTAGCATATATAACAAATCACTTAGATTTGTGGCTAGGAAACATTTTACATTACAGATTCTAAGCTATTATAGGCAATTGTTTCAAAGAAAAAGAAACTGGAAATACACATTTCAAAGAAGTAGAATCTTGACGTTGTGGAATTATGTTTGCCAAACAAGGATTCAGACTCTGAGCCAAGCTGCCTAAGTTGAAATCTTGCCTCTGCCTCTCAAGAGCTTTCTGTCTTGGGATAGATTATTTAAACCTTTTATCTCTCAATTGTCACATTTGTCAAGTGGAAAAACAGCAATAACTATCTCAGAGAATTAACTGAGCTAATGAATATGAACGGAACACAGTGCTTAGCCCATAGCAAGAGCTGCAAGAAAGCTGGCCGGGTGCGGTGGCTCACGCCTGTAGTCCCAGCACTTTGGGAGGCCGAGGCAGGCAGAACACGAGGTCAGGAGAACGAGACCATCCTGGCTAACACGGTGAAACCCCGTCTCTACTAAAAATACAAAAAAAAAAAAAAAAAAAAAAAAATAGCCGGGTTTGTTGTAGTCCCAGCTACTTGGGAGGCTGAGGCAGGAGAATGGCATGAACCCGGGAGGTGGAGATTGCAGTGAGCCAAGATCGCGCCACTGCACTCCAGCCTGGGGGACAGAGCAAGACTCCGTCTCAAAAAAACAAACAAACAAAAGAAAGCCCTGTCATATCTAAACACTTTCTCTTTAAGAAGGAAATAAGGTTTTTTTTTTTGTTTTTTTGTTTTTTTTCACACGATTGCATGTGTAAGGTATATTGGAAGGAGTGCATGCCTGTGTTTTAAGAATTTTAATTGGCT
Organism: Homo sapiens; assembly: GCF_000001405.40. NCBI lineage: Eukaryota > Metazoa > Chordata > Mammalia > Primates > Hominidae > Homo > Homo sapiens. The sequence goes on from NC_000004.12 coordinate 23,603,848, forward strand.
TATGTAATGAGTCAAAGTTGAAAGGTTTAGCAAAATTCCATCGTGGTGTAAACATTTATATGCTCTTGGTATTTTTTTGTAAAGGTTTGGCCTATATAACAATTTTTCATTATTGCTTTGTCTCTCCTTCATAATTCATTTTTTTTTTTTTTTGCAATTTGGACTTTTCTTATTGTTAAACTAGTATTTATTCATTTCCTCACTCTTCATTTCTCTGAAGAACCTCGTGCCTCAAAACTTGAAAGACAACAGAGGAAGTGTTGAATACCTGTTTCTCTATTTTTTAAAGTTTAAGTAAGAAAGTAGACATTCAGACCTGCATCCTCTGTTTAAGATCTATGCGGCATCTGAAAATCATGTATTCTGATCTCAGGATAATCTCTCTTGCCATGAAAAAGATGTACTTTACATTGAAAACTTGCACTAACCTGTGTGAGCTTTTCATTCTAAGAAAAGTTCTTATTAACATCATTGACATAATTCCTAGGTAAACCATAAGGAACCTTTCTTATTTAATCTTGCCTATTTTTGTGGTTGGTACTATCTTGGAATCTGAAATACAACAGTGAATAGCTCAAATAAGGTCTCTGTCTTCAAGGAGCTTGCAAATTAATGAGGAAAAGGCAATTATACCAATAGAAAGATGGAGAACACATAGAAACTGATTTTTTTTTTAATTTTAAATGTCCAACACCCACACATAATTTTAAACTCACAAACAATACATCATTTTAAAAATAAAATATCATCTTTACCTATCCAATTAAACTTAGAAAATAATAACAATATGATTTTTGTATAAGAAAATAAATGAAAAAGATATCTAAATATCCAAAAAGAGTGAAATGCTCAAATGAATTATGGTGCACTCACACAATGAAAAATTATGCAGTTCTGTTCTCTGAGGGAACATGAGATTAAGTAGTCACAGGATTCTACCCTTTGGGCATATCAATAGTAGCATTAAGAATTGGATATCATTTCAGCACATTTAAGACTGAAGCAAGAAATAGATCTTCTCAGTTAGCCACCATGTGTCGCCTGATCCTATTTATAAGGCTCTTGAACATTAAATGGCTCTTTGAAAATAGTTTTTTTATACCTTAAGTGCAACTTGAATCAGAAATATACATATTTTGTAGCTATTTGAATCACAGAAATGATTGAGTTTTTGTCAGTTTAAGAGGGATTATCAACTGTGCATATTATATCTTTGAAATGCCAATGGGCTCTCTTCTTTGGATTTTTACCAGCAGAAGAACACACAGTATTGTCAGATATGATTTTGTTTGCATCTCAGCTTTGACCACGCATTACCTTTGCAAATATCTACATTCACTTTAGCATATTTTACTTATCTGTAAAATGGAGATTACAGTGAATGGTTTTAAAGTATTGAATGGATTCAGATTTATAGAGCATGTAGAACTGTATTTGTGTCACAGTTTACATTGTGAAGATAAGTTTATTTCTACCTCTTATTTTTTCCTTTATGGCTTCTGCATACCTGATGGGAAGACCGAAAGATGTTTAGCTTTGGTTGGAAAATTAAATCTTCAAAAAGGAAGAAAGAAAGATGGAACCTGGGTCGGGGAGGGGGTTGTCTTTTGCAGTAGCAGAGTTAGGCCTGCTTCAACTCTTAGCAACCAGAGAAACTTCACATTATTCAAGACAGAGCTCAAAGGAGTCCACATAACTGATGAGGGATAAGGAAGTACCTGGTAGCTAATAGGAGTTCCAGGCAAATATAAGGGAACACAGACAATTTTTGGACCCCAACCATCTGGGTGATCCAGAATCACCACAAAGTCAGACAAGAGATTTGAGTCCAATGTGTCATTTAAGTAGCACGTTGATGTCTTAGTCTGTTTTGGGCTGCTATAACAAAGCATGATAAACTTGGTAACATTTAAATAATGGAAATTATTTCTCACAATTCTGGAATCTAGAAAGTCGAAGATAAAGTCACTTCCACATGTGGAATCTGGTGAGGGCCCACTTCCTGATGCATAGACAGCCATTTTCTCATGTCCTCACATGGTGGAAGGGACAAGGTAGCTCTCTGGGGTCTCTTTTATAAAGGCACTGATCCCATTCATAAGGCTGTATTCTCATCTAATCACCTCCCAAAAAGGTATTCTCTTCTAATAGCATCACATTGTTGATTTGATTTCAACATATAACTTTTGTGGGGGACACAAATATTCGAACCATAGCAATGTATTTTAGAAAAAGAATAAAAATAAACAGTACATGTGCCACTCACATATGAAAAAAGTAGTAAAAGTGGTATACCTGAATGAATGTCTGAAGGTTAGGAACTACTCTCCTAGCCAAAGTCATGACGGAGGGTTCAAGAGGGAAAGCAGTGGCATATTCCCCAGCCAACATTTAATTAGAGCTGTTATCTGGTTTGGCTGTGTCCCCATCCAAATTTCACCTTGAATTGTAGTAATCCCCATGTGTCAAGGGTGGGACAAGGTGGAGATAACTGAATCATGGAGGCAGTTTCCTCCATACTGTTCTCATGGTAGTGAATAAGCCTCATGAGATCTGATGGTCTTATAAATGGGAGTTCCCCTGCACAAGTGCACTCTTGCTTGCTGCCATGTAAGATGTGTCTTTGCTCCTCCTTCGCCTTTCACCATGATTGTGAGGGCTCCCCAGCCAAGTGAAACTATGAGTCCATTAAACCTCTGTCTTTATACATTGCCCAGTCTTGGGTATTTTTTCATAGCAGTATGAAAATGAACTAATACAAGCTGCGAGACATTTATTGCTCCAAAAACTACTTAAGTGCCTCTGATTTAGCACCCAGCATAGTGCTATGCACACAATATATATGTGATGAAATGTTAGTTCCTTTCTCAGTCTATTGACCCTTGTCCTGTTCCTTGGCATTTTAAATGTCCTCCATTGGTGATTAGACCATCTCATTATGTCTGTCAAAAGGGCTATGACCTCAAAGACTGAATCTCATGTCTTCTCCTGGTCATCACTGCCAAGGCCTTGGCAATTCAGAGAACTGTCAAGCTTCATCAGAAACTTTCCCAAATTGCACACTTTTCTAAACTTTCAATAGGATAGGCAATTCTCTACCTCAATTTTAGACTATTACTCTGAAAAATCTTAAAGACAATCAGTGATACTAGGACCTTTCCATTTGAAGAAAAGGGAAGTCAAACTGGCAAAACCATAACTACCAAAAGAGACATTGCAACAGGCTGGAGATCCAAAGGTGAAAAGCAAATGCAGAGATGCAGAATTTCTGCTGGCATCTGGAAAGCAAACATCCCAAATATAATTGGACACATGAGCATACCCAGAACCTAAGAAATCATTATGACTAATGATAAAAAAGGAGCATTCAAATATGCTATGACCTCTTGTCAATTCAAGTACAGAATGGCCTGGGCTCAGGAAAAACACCACCCAAAACATGCAATTCAGTAAATGGAATAGATCCTTTAAGTCTTTATTATTGAGAATTCAGGGATGTGAACTGTAGGGAAGGAATTAAGCCAGTTTTGCATGTGTCTTCAGAGTGACTGCAAATATCACTATTGTAGAATAAATGAAAAGGAAAGATAACATTCGTTAAGTGACCATTATGTACCAAGCATTTTGCACAAATTGTCATTTTATTTATTCATTCAATATTTATTGAGTACATAATGCATTATTATAAGCCAGGGAATATCAAAGTGAAGAAGACTTTGCCTCAGGTAGCTTAGATTTCAATGAGAAAGATGACAAGTAAAATAATAAATATACAATACAACTTCAGGTATAAATAAGTACTATGAAGATAGATAAAGGAGGGTAAAATTAAGGAGTGGGCTGGGCACAGGGGCTCACGCTTGTAATCCCAAAACTTTGGGAGGCCGAGGTGGGAGGATCACGAGGTCAGGAGTTCAAGACCAGCTTGACCAATTTGGTGAAACCGCGTCTCTACTAAAAATACAAAAATTAGCCAAATGTGGTGGTGCGTGCCTGTAATCCCAGCTACTCAGGAGGTTGAAGCAAGAGAATCGCTTGAACCCAGTAGGCGGAAGTTGCAGTGAGCCAAGATCGCACCACTGCACTCCAGCCTGGGCGACAGAGAGAGACCACGTTTCTAAAAGAAAAAAAAAAAAAAAACAGATTAAGGAGTGCCTGGGAAGATAGGCAGCTGTACACACAGTGTTAGGGAAGGCCACATGAAGATGTGCTTTTAAGCTTACTGTTGAAGGAATTCATAGAGTAGGCCAAGTAAAACTGTAAGGATATTTTCCAGCTACGGGAAAAGCAGATGCATAAGCCATAAGGCAGGAATGAGCTTGGTCTTGTCAAGGAAGAGCAAAGAAGACAATATTGATGAAGTCGACTGTGTGAAGGGAGAAATGATAATAAAGAAGCTAAGATTGCCAGGCAGGGACCAAGTGATGGACTGAGATATACTTCCCAGCAGGAACTTTGGATCACCTCATCTGCACAATAATCTGGTGAGGGACGCTTTCTGATCCTAGATTCAAAACATTCAGAAAGCTGATCTCAAAGTTTTTAACTGTCTTATTACATATGATTTTGAATGAAACAGAGAGCTAGATAGAGATAGACAGAGATACATAAAATATTATAACCCAGATTTTAAGAAAGCACATCAAACCCTAATTTCACTGTACTACACCACCTAAATTACATCCTGAGTTACTCAGCAGTATGAATTACAGAACATTTATAACAAATTCTCTTTTAAAACTTTGAAATAGGCATTTAGGCAACTTGGTTCTATTCAACATGTAATTATCAAGACTAGGTATGTCTCCAAATGGGAAGAAAAGACTTTCAAGAGATCCTTTGCATCCAAGGAATTTTCAGTCATTATGGAGAATTCAATAGTAACTGGAACCGTTTCTGAAGTCAAGGCAACTATAGATACAAGAGAGACACTGACATGGAAGATAGAACCTGTGGGGGCTGGTTAAAGAAGCCAGGGTGAGGGAGTCTTAAAAAATAAAATGTTGCAATTCCAATAAAAATATCAACTTCTTTTTCCTGCAATTAGCAGTCTATTTTAAAAATACTAATTTCCATATGGAAAAATAAGTAAGACTATTGAATAAAACTGCGCAAAGAAAAATAACACAAGTTATTTTGGCCGAGAATGGTGGCTGATATGTTTTGGCTCTGTGTCCCAACCCAAATCTCATCTCAAATTGTAATCCCCATGTGTCAAGGGAGGGGCTTGGTGGGAAGTGATTGGATCATGGGGGTGGTTTCCCTCATGCTGTTCTCATGGTAGTGAGGGATTTCTCACAACAGCTGGTGGTTTGAAAGTGTGGCATTTCCGTGCTCTCGTTCTCTCTCTTTCTTGTTATCATGTGAAAAGTGCCTGTTTTCCCTTTACGTGCTGCCAGGATTGTAAGTTGCCTGAGGCCTCCCCAGTTGTGCAGAACTGTGAGTCAATTAAACCTCTTTCCTTCGTAAATTTTCCAGTCTCAGGTAGTATCTTTATAGCAGTGTAAAAATGGACTAATACAATGGCTCATGCTTGTAATCCCAGCACTTTGGCAGGCTGAGGAAGAAAAATTGATGCCAGCCTTGGCAACATAGTCAGACAAAAAAAAAAAAAAAAAAGCCAGGCATGGTGGCATGTGCATGCTTCAGTGACTAGGTCGCAGAGCAAGACCCTGTTTCTAAGAAAAAAAAAAAAAGACAAAGAAAAAAAAGGACATATGTCAGGAAGCTCTGCCAGATATTAAAGCATAGTGTATACCATCTTCAATTGAAACACTGTGGTATTGATACATGAGTAAATAGATAATCTAAATGGAGCACAATAGAAAATTCAGAAGTATATCTAAGTTGACGATGAAAGTATGGTATAAGGAAAAGATGGTACCTCCAATCAGTGGGTGTATTACCTTCCTAGGGCTGCCATAAAAAATGTACCACAAAGTTTGTGGCTTAGACCAGTAAAAACTTATTGTTTCACAGTTCTGGAAACTAAAAGCTTGAAATCAAGGTGTTGGCAGAACAATGCTCCCTCTGAAGACACTAGGGAAGAATCAGTTCCAGTCCTCCCTCCTAGCTTCAGGTAGCCTCAGGCAAACCATGACCTGGGAATAGCCATCTGTTCCTGCTGCCCGTTCACATAATCTTTCCTCCCTCAGCATGTATCTATCTCTATGTCTAAATTTTCCCTTTTTAAATAAGGACATAGTCATATAGAATCAGGGTCTACTTTATTGACCTCATTTTAACTTCATTGCCTCTGTAAAGACTCTGTTTCCAAAAAACATTGCATTCTGACATACTAGGGGAAGGACTTCAACATGTGTTTTTAGAGAGAACATAATTCAACACATAACAATAGGAGGAAAGGTGTTGGGGAAAATAGCCATGAACAAAAATATCCAATCACATCCATACTTCACTTTGGATACTAGAAAAACATCTAAATGAATCAGAGATTTAAACATAAATACTAAAATCATAAAGATTTAGTAATTCATTTAATACATGAGAATGAAGAACACTTGTAGCTTTAAATCAAAATCCAAAATAATAAAAGACCATATGGATTCACTCAACTGTAAAAATGTTGTTTTAAACTTTTAAACTGGCAAAAATTTCTCCACTAAAATCAAAGTCAAAATAAAAAAGGAAAAACCACAAAATTTATTTGTAGATCCCATCATAAAGGAGTAATATCTCCAAAAGAAGACAAGGTCTTAAAACTTGAGGAGAAAACAACAAACAAGAAAAGAATAAAAATTAGCAAAATATAGATAGTGAATCTTAACCATATGAAAAGAGAAGATCAACTTCATTTATAGCAATATTGTTGAATATTAAAATTGTCCTGAAATACTGTTTCTTCCTTATCCGACTGGCAAAATTGGAAAGTTTTAACAGTATATTTTGTTGGCAATACTATGGGGAAAGAGGCTCTTTCTATATTGCTTGTAAGAATGTGGTGATTCCATCTTTATGGAAGTAATTTGGACATCAGTCATATTGAATTAATAGTCATTCAATAATAATAATTCATAATAAACAATATTATTAATACTTCAAAAATTATTATTCAATAATAATTAACAATATCAACTATTCAATAATAATAATAATAGTGGTTATTGGATAATTATTAATATCCTAACAATTAGGACATTATACATGTATTTACCATTTAACTTAAAAAATAAATTTTGAAGTATAATCAAAAATATAAAATGACTTATGTATAATGTTCTTCACTGAGATATTATTGATATGGCAAGTGTCTATTAATAGGAAGCTGAGCAAAGCATATCATACAATGAAACGTAATTAGCAAAAGATCTGTATACACTGATATGGAGTAATCTTCAAGATATTTGTGCAGTACAGTAAATAAGGTCTAGAATATGATATATATTGTGATTCTTTTGTGTAATAAAAGGGATGAAATATGCATTTGCTCTTTTTTTGCAAAGAGAAAGGGGTAGCAAAAATAAAGAACAAGTAAAGTGGTTATCATAGGAGAAACTAAAAACAGGGAATCAGATATTTTTACAAGATAAATCAAACTTTTCTGAATATGGTCTCTATTTCAGAGGTATATTACTATACACTTCTATTTTACATTGATGTGTTTACGTACTCCAAAATGAAATTAAATTTAAACGGCAATCACTAGGAATTGTAAACAAATTGAAGTGAATGTATCCGTGTATCGAGTTGATGACATAATCAAAAATCTGAATTAAAATTACTTAAAAACACAGTATAGTACAGTATTTTGACTCTATATCCTCTGTAGGCAATATTTAAAGGACAGTAAAACCTGAAAGGAAGTCTTAAAATTTGTGTAGTAATCTAATATGTTCATAGCATTATTGATGCTATTATTTTAGAATTATTTTACATGTGTTACAGGACAATGCAAGTAAATAATTTTGCTAACGTTACTAGAAATCAAGCTTTCAGAGTAATAAAAAGAGAAAATAATTTACTTAAGGAAGTAAAAAAATTGTATTAGTAAATCTGAATTGAAAATATCAGTATATAATCATATTTGCTATTAAATAAGTATGTATTTTATAGCCCCAAAGCAGTGAGCCTAACCATCACTTCATTGTGTCCCTGAATATTATTCTTCAAAGGAATCGTGAGTCCTTGAAAGATAAGGCTGGCTATTTTTTTTTTGTACCCAAAACAAGGAAGCTAACAAAGACTCATGAGTTATCAAAATAACCCAAGGACCAAAATTAGGAAGTATCTTTATTTTGTGCATCAAAAAGAAAAATCTATGGAAATGATTGAAATGTATTTTAAAAATCCTCATTTCTTTACAATAATTTTAAATTGAAATAAAAAGAGTAGTAAAACAATTTAATGAAAATACATACCTATATACCTGTAGAGAGGTACAGCATACATCTCAATAAATGTCATAAAGAAATTAGGACACCAATTCCTTTCTCTGAATATCGGAAATTAAAAGAAAAGAGTTTAGTACAAACTCTTTATACTTCGTTTTCTGTAGAATATGTACTGAAAGATAACCAAGTAGTCATAGATGAGGTGGGAAAATTGTTCTTTAAATAGGAATTTCATTTACTAAATGTGGGAATAATGACAAAATTAGAAAATCACCATTTTGTGCTATCCAGTTAAGTAGTTGATTCAGACAATAATCATCAATGGATGAAACCATTAGATGAAAGTTTAATGGAGAATACATTGTGGTGATCAAATTGCTATTATTTGAACCATGGGTCAATCTTTGCATCATTAAAAGTAAGGAAAATCAGACATCGTTAGTCTCCTAGTGAAATTCAATATGAGGCACAGCACATCAACCATGAATTAATCTGTCAAAAAGTAAAATCCAAATATAATCAAGAGCTAACTTCCATGTATGACTACCCAGAAAATAAAAGGAACAAGTTAAATGACACAAAAATAAGCAAACAGATAAATGCATTATGTGTTGCACTCTGCATAACAACTTATCAGTCTCTGCATTAAGTCCTCAGCATGGAAATCAAAATGGGAAGAATATTCACTTCATTAAAAAAATAAAGAGTTGTGACATACAAATGTAATGGTACCTTATTTGTTCCATAATTCATACAAACCAAGTGGAAAAATAATTTTTTAGACAATCAGAGGAATTTGACTAGGTACTATTATATAACTAACTGTGATATTAAGATATCAATATCTTAAAATATAGATAAATATCATATAACTATGATGTTTTTAATCTGGTAGATGTGATGAGGACTTATCTAATACTTTCTTCAAAATATGTAAGAAACACATTTTTGAGAGGAAAGGAATAGATAAGCAAATTTTAGGCAAAATTGGGATAATTGTCAGATCTCAATGGTTAGTACCTGGGGGATAATGTACTAAATATGTAGATTTTTTTAATTAAAAACAAAAACAAAGAAGAAATAAAGTCTCTGTTTCTAAACTTTTTTTTTCTTTTTTTCTCCAAACTTTTATTGAGTAGTCACTTGCTTACAACTACTGTTCTGTTACATGCGATCGAGAACTTTGACAATAAAACCGTATGGCAGCAAAATTGAAGAAAATGAATGACATATATATCGAAGGTCTGGTGATTTTCCACAGGGAAAGACGTTCTATAAATGTATTCTGGAAAACTACATATATATCGTTCATTTGCACAATATAAAATCACATGATTTTATTTAATGAGGAATCACTGAAGTACAGCCAATAACCAACAAAACAGTGACCAAAATACTCCATGCTGCTTATATGACAATGAGTAAACCTTCATGTACGCAAAAAAATTAGGAGACCACAGGATCCTAGGATGGACTAGAGAATGTGACAAAATATAATCTAATTATATTACAAATGTATGAAACAACTTCCCTGAAGGGTTTGAAGGAAAGGTGCTAATCTAAGTAACTTTGGAAATGAGTGAAGTCTGGGAGTCTAAAGGCAAAACAAATTATACATAAGCACTGGACTCTAGTTGATGAAGCTGTTTCCCACAGGGATATGGGTTAACAGCTCTGATACTGCTTTACATGTATACTGTGATTGAACAATTAAGTAAATGAATGGCAGATGGTGGAAGCCAGCTTTCTCACTGTAGGAGTGTAGGTTATAGATAAGCAAGTGAAACAGTCTAGAATGATCTATGTTGTAAAGGATTAGTCATAGACATCTGTATGAATTTATATCTAGCTCAATATAAATACAGATGGTTACACATAGAAATATTTATAGATATTTGTATACACACAGGTTAGTATACACAAATACATATATCCTTGCTCTGTCAGCTGAGTCAGTCTGAAAGCAATGAAACCCCAGAAGCAAGGAGTTCATCTGGAACTGAGAGTGTGGTTTGTAGTACCACTCTCTGACTAATGAAATTGGGGTTCCTTGGGAAAATATTTGATTCTAAGAACAGGGGCTGCCACCCTTCCTGTGCAGAGATCCTCCTGCAGGGATGTGTTCTGTCCACTCCACATCCAGGCAGGTCTCCAGGAATCTGGAGCTCTCACTCTCCTGAATTAGTTTAGGCCATCTCCCCATCCCTGTGCAGAGAACTTGGGGCCCAGGAGGTTTCCCAGCTCCACACCTAAGCACACCTCTGGGTGCTTAGTGGTTGCCCACTGGATTCTTCCTTGGCACAGGCGCTTGTGTCTGCTGTCAGAGGACCTGTAGTTGGACTTGTCAGGTCTGGCCCCACCCTTTTTGACCACCTCCTCAGGGCTGAACAGGGAGTACAGACCATTGAACTTCATAAATCAGCTCTTGCCTGAGACAACAGAGAGCTTCTCCCAGGAAACAAGGATCAAGTATATACCCAGCCATGTTGGCTACAGCTGGCTCTTACCCATAACTGCCATCTACTGGCTTGTAGGTCAAACTGCACAGCCCTATATTAAACCTGTCAACAGAGGGAGGAGGAGCCAAGATGGCCGAATAGGAACAGCTCCGGTCTACAGCTCCCAGCGTGAGCCACGCAGAAGACAGGTGATTTCTGCATTTCCATCTGAGGTACCCGGGTTCATCTCACTAGGGAGTGCCAGACAGTGGGCGCAGGCCAGTGTGTGTGCGCACCGTGCGCGAGCCGAAGCAGGGCGAGGCATTGCCTCACCTGGGAAGCGCAAGGGGTCAGGGAGTTCCCTTTCTGAGTCAAAGAAAGGGGTGACGGACGCACCTGGAAAATCGGGTCACTCCCACCCGAATATTGCGCTTTTCAGACCGGCTTAAGAAACGGGGCACTACGAGACTATATCCCACACCTGGCTCAGAGGGTCCTACGCCCACGGAATCTCGCTGATTGCTAGCACAGCAGTCTGAGATCAAACTGCAAGGCGGCAACGAGGCTGGGGGAGGGGCGCCCGCCATTGCCCAGGCTTGCTTAGGTAAACAAAGCAGCCGGGAAGCTCGAACTGGGTGGAGCCCACCACAGCTCAAGGAGGCCTGCCTGCCTCTGTAGGCTCCACCTCTGGGGGCAGGGCACAGACAAACAAAAAGACAGCAGTAACCCCTGCAGACTTAAGTGTCCCTGTCTGACAGCTTTGAAGAGAGCAGTGGTTCTCCCAGCACGCAGCTGGAGATCTGAGAACGGGCAGACTGCCTCCTCAAGTGGGTCCCTGACCCCTGACCCCCAAGCAGCCTAACTGGGAGGCACCCCCCAGCAGGGGCACACTGACACCTCACACGGCAGGGTATTCCAACAGACCTGCAGCTGAGGGTCCTGTCTGTTAGAAGGAAAACTAACAACCAGAAAGGACATCTACACCGAAAACCCATCTGTACATCACCATCATCAAAGACCAAAAGTAGATAAAACCACAAAGATGGGGAAAAAACAGAACAGAAAAACTGGAAACTCTAAAACGCAGAGCGCCTCTCCTCCTCCAAAGGAACACAGTTCCTCACCAGCAACAGAACAAAGCTGGATGGAGAATGATTTTGACGAGCTGAGAGAAGAAGGCTTCAGACGATCAAATTACTCTGAGCTACAGGAGGACATTCAAACCAAAGGCAAAGAAGTTGAAAACTTTGAAAAAAATTTAGAAGAATGTATAACTAGAATAACCAATACAGAGAAGTGCTTAAAGGAGCTGATGGAGCTGAAAACCAAGGCTCGAGAACTACGTGAAGAATGCAGAAGCCTCAGGAGCCGATGCGATCAACTGGAAGAAAGGGTATCAGCAATGGAAGATGAAATGAATGAAATGAAGCGAGAAGGGAAGTTTAGAGAAAAAAGAATAAAAAGAAATGAGCAAAGCCTCCAAGAAATATGGGACTATGTGAAAAGACCAAATCTACGTCTGATTGGTGTACCTGAAAGTGATGTGGAGAATGGAACCAAGTTGGAAAACACTCTGCAGGATATTATCCAGGAGAACTTCCCCAATCTAGCAAGGCAGGCCAACGTTCAGATTCAGGAAATACAGAGAACGCCACAAAGATACTCCTCGAGAAGAGCAACTCCAAGACACATAATTGTCAGATTCACCAAAGTTGAAATGAAGGAAAAAATGTTAAGGGCAGCCAGAGAGAAAGGTCGGGTTACCCTCAAAGGAAAGCCCATCAGACTAACAGCGGATCTCTCGGCAGAAACCCTACAAGCCAGAAGAGAGTGGGGGCCAATATTCAACATTCTTAAAGAAAAGAATTTTCAACCCAGAATTTCATATCCAGCCAAACTAAGCTTCATAAGTGAAGGAGAAATAAAATACTTTATAGACAAGCAAATGCTGAGAGATTTTGTCACCACCAGGCCTGCCCTAAAAGAGCTCCTGAAGGAAGCGCTAAACATGGAAAGGAACAACCGGTACCAGCCGCTGCAAAATCATGCCAAAATGTAAAGACCATCGAGACTAGGAAGAAACTGCATCAACTAATGAGCAAAATCACCAGCTAACATCATAATGACAGGATCAAATTCACACATAACAATATTAACTTTAAATATAAATGGACTAAATTCTGCAATTAAAAGACACAGACTGGCAAGTTGGATAAAGAGTCAAGACCCATCAGTGTGCTGTATTCAGGAAACCCATCTCACGTGCAGAGACACACATAGGCTCAAAATAAAAGGATGGAGGAAGATCTACCAAGCCAATGGAAAACAAAAAAAGGCAGGGGTTGCAATCCTAGTCTCTGATAAAACAGACTTTAAACCAACAAAGATCAAAAGAGACAAAGAAGGCCATTACATAATGGTAAAGGGATCAATTCAACAAGAGGAGTTAACTATCCTAAATATTTATGCACCCAATACAGGAGCACCCAGATTCATAAAGCAAGTCCTCAGTGACCTACAAAGAGACTTAGACTCCCACACATTAATAATGGGAGACTTTAACACCCCACTGTCAACATTAGACAGATCAACGAGACAGAAAGTCAACAAGGATACCCAGGAATTGAACTCAGCTCTGCACCAAGCAGACCTAATAGACATCTACAGAACTCTCCACCCCAAATCAACAGAATATACATTTTTTTCAGCACCACACCACACCTATTCCAAAATTGACCACATAGTTGGAAGTAAAGCTCTCCTCAGCAAATGTAAAAGAACAGAAATTATAACAAACTATCTCTCAGACCACAGTGCAATCAAACTAGAACTCAGGATTAAGAATCTCACTCAAAGCCGCTCAACTACATGGAAACTGAACAACCTGCTCCTGAATGACTACTGGGTACATAACGAAATGAAGGCAGAAATAAAGATGTTCTTTGAAACCAACGAGAACAAAGACACCACATACCAGAATCTCTGGGACGCATTCAAAGCAGTGTGTAGAGGGAAATTTATAGCACTAAATGCCTACAAGAGAAAGCAGGAAAGATCCAAAATTGACACCCTAACATCACAATTAAAAGAACTAGAAAAGCAAGAGCAAACACATTCAAAAGCTAGCAGAAGGCAAGAAATAACTAAAATCAGAGCAGAACTGAAGGAAATAGAGACACAAAAAACCCTTCAAAAAATCAATGAATCCAGGAGCTGGTTTTTTGAAAGGATCAACAAAATTGATAGACCACTAGCAAGACTAATAAAGAAAAAAAGAGAGAAGAATCAAATAGACACAATAAAAAATGATAAAGGGGATATCACCACCGATCCCACAGAAATACAAACTACCATCAGAGAATACTACAAACACCTCTATGCAAATAAACTAGAAAATCTAGAAGAAATGGATACATTCCTCGACACATACACTCTCCCAAGACTAAACCAGGAAGAAGTTGAATCTCTGAATAGACCAATAACAGGCTCTGAAATTGTGGCAATAATCAATAGTTTACCAACCAAAAAGAGTCCAGGACCAGATGGATTCACAGCCGAATTCTACCAGAGGTACAAGGAGGAACTGGTACCATTCCTTCTGAAACTATTCCAATCAATAGAAAAAGAGGGAATCCTCCCTAACTCATTTTATGAGGCCAGCATCATTCTGATACCAAAGCCGGGCAGAGACACAAGCAAAAAAGAGAATTTTAGACCAATATCCTTGATGAACATTGATGCAAAAATCCTCAATAAAATACTGGCAAACCGAATCCAGCAGCACATCAAAAAGCTTATCCACCATGATCAAGTGGGCTTCATCCCTGGGATGCAAGGCTGGTTCAATATACGCAAATCAATAAATGTAATCCAGCATATAAACAGAGCCAAAGACAAAAACCACACGATTATCTCAATAGATGCAGAAAAAGCCTTTGACAAAATTCAACAACCCTTCATGCTAAAAACTCTCAATAAATTAGGTATTGATGGGACATATTTCAAAATAATAAGAGCTATCTATGACAAACCCACAGCCAATATCATACTGAATGGGCAAAAACTGGAAGCATTCCCTTTGAAAACTGGCACAAGACAGGGATGCCCTCTCTCACCACTCCTATTCAACATAGTGTTGGAAGTTCTGGCCAGGGCAATCAGGCAGGAGAACGAAATAAAAGGTATTCAATTAGGAAAAGAGGAAGTCAAATTGTCCCTGTTTGCAGACGACATGATTGTGTATCTAGAAAACCCCATGGTCTCAGCGCAAAATCTCCTTAAGCTGATAAGCAACTTCAGCAAAGTCTCAGGATACAAAATCAGTGTACAAAAATCACAAGCATTCTTATACACCAACAACAGACAAACAGAGAGCCAAATCATGGGTGAATTCCCATTCACAATTGCTTCAAAGAGAATAAAATACCTAGGAATCCAACTTATAAGGGATGTGAAGGACCTCTTCAAGGAGAACTACAAACCACTGCTCAAGGAAATAAAAGAGGACACAAACAAATGGAAGAACATTCCATGCTCATGGGTAGGAAGAATCAATATCATGAAAATGGCCATACTGCCCAAGGTAATTTACAGATTCAATGCCATCCCCATCAAGCTACCAATGACTTTCTTCACAGAATTGGAAAAAACGACTTTAAAGTTCATATGGAACCAAAAAAGAGCCCGCATCGCCAAGTCAATCCTAAGCCAAAAGAACAAAGCTGGAGGCATCACACTACCTGACTTCAAACTATACTACAAGGCTACAGTAACCAAAACAGCATGGTACTGGTACCAAAACAGAGTTATAGATCAATGGAACAGAACAGAGCCCTCAGAAATAATGCCGCATATCTACAACTATCTGATCTTTGACAAACCTGAGAAAAACAAGCAATGGGGAAAGCATTCCCTATTTAATAAATGGTGCTGGGAAAACTGGCTAGCCATATGTAGAAAGCTGAAACTGGATCCCTTCCTTACACCTTTTACGAAAATCAATTCAAGATGGATTAAAGATTTAAACATGAGACCTAAAACCATAAAAACCCTAGAAGAAAACCTAGGCATTACCATTCAGGACATAGGCATGGGCAAGGACTTCATGTCCAAAACACCAAAAGCAATGGCAACAAAAGCCAAAATTGACAAATGGGATCTAATTAAACTAAAGAGCTTCTGCACAGCAAAAGAAACTACCATCAGAGTGAACAGGCAACCTACAACATGGGAGAAAATTTTCGCAACCTACTCATCTGACAAAGGGCTAATATCCAGAATCTACAATGAACTCAAACAAATTTACAAGAAAAAAACAAACAACCCCATCAAAAAGTGGGCGAAGGACATGAACAGACACTTCTCAAAAGAAGACATTTATGCAGCCAAAAAACACATGAAGAAATGCTCATCATCACTGGCCATCAGAGAAATGCAAATCAAAACCACTATGAGATATCATCTCACACCAGTTAGAATGGCAATCATTAAAAAGTCAGGAAACAACAGGTGCTGGAGAGGATGTGGAGAAATAGGAACACTTTGACACTGTTGGTGGGACTGTAAACTAGTTCAACCATTGTGGAAGTCAGTGTGGCGATTCCTCAGGGATCTAGAACTAGAAATACCATTTGACCCAGCCATCCCATTACTGGGTATATACCCAAAGGACTATAAATCATGCTGCTATAAAGACACGTGCACACGTATGTTTATTGCGGCACTATTCACAATAGCAAAGACTTGGAACCAACCCAAATGTCCAACAATGATAGACTGGATTAAGAAAATGTGTCACATATACACCATGGAATACTATGCAGCCATAAAAAATGATGAGTTCATGTCCTTTGTAGGGACATGGATGAAATTGGAAACCATCATTCTCAGTAAACTATTGCAAGAACAAAAAACCAAACACCGCATATTCTCACTCATAGGTGGGAATTGAACAATGAGATCACATGGACACAGGAAGGGGAATATCACACTCTGGGGACTGTGGTGGGGTCGGGGGAGGGGGGAGGGATAGCATTGGGAGATATACCTAATGCTAGATGACACGTTAGTGGGTGCAGCGCACCAGCATGGCACATGTATACATATGTAACTAACCTGCACAATGTGCACATGTACCCTAAAACTTAGAGTATAATAATAATAATAATAATAAAATAAAAAAAAATAAAAAAAAAAAAGAAGATACATGAACTCAGTAAAGAGGTTGTTACAAATATATTGGATGGTTTTGAAAGGCCAGGGTTTTCTCCCCGCTTTTGGATAAAGCTGTCCGCTAAGTATTAAAAGGTTTTTTTTTTTTGGTTTTGGTTTTGCTTTTTTTTTTCAAAAAGCAATAACTGGCACCAGCAGTTTGTTACAATTGGCAGAAAGAGTTATCACTTTTATTTAGGA
The DNA here is from genome assembly GCF_000001405.40 of Homo sapiens. Lineage (NCBI taxonomy): Eukaryota > Metazoa > Chordata > Mammalia > Primates > Hominidae > Homo > Homo sapiens. The sequence continues at coordinate 23,621,048 of NC_000004.12, forward strand.
TTTGGAAATGAAATCAAAGAGGGGCAGATTGGAGCTTGAATTAAATAAAGCTTAAACAGGCAAAAAGAAAAATCTCGGCTGGTCTTTTAAACAAACAAACACAAAAATTACAGTTCCTTGTTGTTAATTTGAAGCTATAAAGAATTTGACACTCACACTTGATTAAATGGTGCCAAGCAGAAAACAAAAACAAAAACAAAAAAAACAAAAAAAAAACCTGTCAACAGAAGTGCATAGGAGTGTAGAAGCAAAGCCAAAAGACTCTACCCAACATTCTCTAAAGTCACAACCCGCAGAAAGGGGGTGGAAGAAGGGAAAGCAAAAGAAAAAAAAAATTAATGGGAATGAAACACAAAGAAAAAATTCTATTCATATGAAAATAATTACAAAAATTAGAAGTACCAGCTTCTCTAGATGAGAAAGAATCAGAGCAAGAATTCTAGAATTCTGCATCTGAATGTGCTGACAATACCAAAAATCATTCTAGCTCTCTAGCTATGGTCCCTATCCAAAATGGAAATTCAGAAATGACAGATAAAGAATTCAAAGCATGTATTGCAAAAAAACTCAACAAGATACAAGGTTGAAAATCAACACACAAAATACTTCTAAAGCAATCCAGGAAATGAAGGAAGAGATATATGTCATAAAAAAGAAATCAACCAGAGCTTCCGGAATTGAAAAACTCACTTAAGAAAATTCAAAATGCAATTGAGAGCTTTATCAATAGACTAGATCAAACAGAAGGAAGAATTTCAGAGCATAAAGACTGGTATTTCAAACTAATCCTGTCAGACAAAAACAAAGAAAAAAATTTTTAAAGATGAATGGTCTTTGAGAAATATAGAATTATGTAAGGCAGCCAAATCAGTGAATTATTGGCATTCATGAGAATGAAGGAATAAAAACAAACAGCCTGGAAAATATATTTGAGGGAATAATTCAAGAAAATCTTCCTAATATTGCTAGAGATATAGACATCCAGATACAAGAAATCCAGAGAACATCTGTGAGATACTATACAAAAGGAACATCATCAAGTCATATAGTCAACAGAGTGTCCAAGATCAATAATAAAGACAAAATCTAAAAGGCAGCTAGAGGACAATGTCATATCACATACAAAGAGAATTTTATCAGGCTGAGCGGGCTTCTCAGCAGAAGCCCTACAAGCCAGGACAGATTGAAGGCCTACTTTCAGCATCCTTAAAGAATAGAAATTCCAAGCAAGAATGACATATCCTACAAAACTAAGCTTCATAAGCAGAGGAGAAAAAAAAAATTCTAAGACAAGCAAATGGTAAGGGAATTTGTTACCATTAGAGCAGACATCCTTAAGGGAGTTCTAAACATGGAAACAATAAATGATACCTGCCACCACAAAAACATACTTAAGTACATAGCCCACATACTCTACAAAGCAACCACATGATAGAAACTACAAAGCAACCAGCTAACAACTTCACAATATAATCAAAACTTCACTTATCAATATTAGCCTTGAATGCAAATGACCTCTATGCCCCACTTGAAAGGCACAGAGTGGCAAGCTGGATAGAGAAACAAGACCCAACCATCTATTGTATTCCAGAGTTGCATCGCACACATAAAGACACCCACTGGCTCAAAGTAAAGGGTTGGAGAAAGATCTGTCATGCAAAGAGAAAACAAAAAAAGAGCAGAAACACAAAAAAGAGCTATTCTTATGTTACATAAAACAGACTTTAAACCAGGAACAGTAAAAATAGGCAAAGAAGGGCATTACATAATAATAAAGGGTTCAAATACAACAAGAATACTTAACTATCCTAAATATATATATACATATGCACCAACGTTGACCCAGAATTAGAAAACAAGTACAGTTAGACCTACAAAGAGACTTAGACAGTCAGACAATAATAGTAGAAGACTTCAGTGCCGACAGCATTAAGCAGATCACCAAGTCAGAAAACTAACAAAGAAATTCTGAATTGAAATTTGACAGGACCAATTGAATCCAATAGACCTCTCCAGAATACTCAACACATCAACAACCAGATATAAATTCTCCTCATCTGCACATGGAACATACTCCAAGATTGACCACATAGGTGGCCATAAAGCAGGTCTCAAATAAATTTCAAAAAAATCAAAGCCATACCAACCATATCCTTGGAACATATTGGAATAAAAATATAAATCAATACCTAGAATATCTCTCAAAACTACACAATTACATGAAAACTAAACAACTTGCTCATGAATGACTTTTGGGTAAACAACAAAATTAAGGCAGAAATCAAGTAATTCTTTGAAATGAATCAAAACAGAGACAGAATACACCAAAACTTCTGGGATGCAGTAAAAGCAGTGTTAAGGGGAAAATCTATAGCAATACGCACCTAACTTAAAAAGTTAGAAGATCTCAAATTAACAATCTAACATCATACCTAGAGGAACTAAAAAATTAAAAAAGCTAGCAGAAAGAAATGACTAAAATCAGAACTAAACTGAAGAAAATTGAGACTCCAAAATACATAGGAATAATCAACAAAACCAAAAGATGATTCTTTGAAAGGATAAACAAGATTGACAGAACACTAGCTAGATTAACAAAGAAAGGAGAAGATCCAAATAAGCATAATCAGAAATGAAAAGGTGACATTACAGCCAATCCCACAGAAATACAAAAGATACTCAGATATAATGAACAACTCTATGCACATGAAGAAGAAAAGCTAGAGGAAATGGATAAATTTCTGGAAAAACACAGTCTCTCAAGATTGAATCAGAAAGAAATTGAAACCCTGAGGAGACGAATAATGAGTTTCACAATTGAATGAGTAAAAATAAATAAATAAATAAATAAATAAATAATTAATTTACCAAATGAAGAAAGTCCTGGACCAGATGAAATCACAGCTGAATTGTACCAGACATACAAGAAGAGCTGGTACTATAGAATTAGTACTATTTCAAAAACTCGAGGAAAAGGGACTCCTCCCTAACTAATTCTACAGAGTAAGCATCACCCTAATACCAACATCTAGCAAAGACACAATGAAAAAAGAAAACTACCAGCCAATATCCTTGATGAACATAGATGCAAAAAGACCTCAAGAAAGTGCTATCAAACTGAATCCAGCAGCCCATCAAAAAGTTTGTTCACCATGGTCAAGTAGGCTTCATTCTGGTTTGTAAGGTTGATTCAACATACACAAATCAATAAACGTGATTCACCACATAAAAAGAATTAAAAACAAAAACCATATTATCATCTCAATAAAAATGGAAAAAGCTTTCAATAAAATTCAACATTCCTTCATCAAGAAAACCCTCAAGAAACTAGCCTTCAAAGGAACATACGTCAAAATTTTGAGTCATCCATGACAAACCCACAGCCAACATCATACTGAATGGGCAAAATCTGGAAGCATTCCCCTTGATAACTGGAATAATACAAGATCTCCTATTCAACATAGTATAGGAAGTCCTAGCCAGAGCAATCAGGCAAGAGAAAGAAATAAAAGACATTGAAATACGAAAAGAAGAAGTCAAATTATCTCTCTTCACTGAAAATATGATTCTAGACCTAGAAAACTGTAAAGACTCCACCAAAAGACTCTTGAAACTGATAAAGAACTTCAGTAAAATTTCAGAATACAAAATAAACATATGAAAATCGGTAGCATTTCTATACACAAAGATCAATCTGAGAGCCAAATGAAGAACATAATCCCATTTGCAATAGCTGGAAAAAAAATGCATTGGAATACATCTAACCAAGCAAGTAACAGATCTCTACAAGAAGAACTACAAAACACTGCTGAAAGAAATCATACATGATACAAACAATGAAAAAACATTTTATGCTCATGGATCAAAACATCAATATCATTAAAATAGCCATCCTGCCCAAAGCAATCTAGACTTTCAGTGCTATTACTATCAAACTACCAATGTAATTTTCACAGAACTAGAAAAAACTATTTTAAAATTTACATAGACCCAAAAAATAGCCCAAATAGCCAAAGCAATCCTAATCAAAAAGAACAAAACCAAAGACATCACATTACCTGACTTCAAATTATACTATAAAACTACAGTAATCAAAGCAGCATGGTACTGGTACAAAAACAGACACATAGGATAATGGAATAACATAGAGAACCCAAAAATAAAACTGCATGCCTAGAGCCATCAAATCTTTACCAAAGTTGACAAGAATAAGAAATGGGGAAAGGACTTCCTAGTCAATACATTGTGCTTGGATAGCTGGCTAGCCATATGCAGAAGATTGAAATTGGACCCCTACTTTTCATCATATACAAAAGTTAACTCGAAATAGATTAATAATTTAAATGTTAGACTTCAAACTATAAGAATCTCAGGAGAAAACCTAAGAAACACCAGTTTTGACATTGGCCTTGGGAAGGAATTTATGATTAAGTCCTCAAAAGCAATTGCAACAAAAACAAAAATTTAACAGTGGGATCTAATTAAACTCACAAGTTTCTTGCACAGCAATAGAAGTGATAAACAGCATAAATAGACAATATAAAGAATGACAGAAAATATTTGCAAACTGCATCTAACAAAGGTCTAAAATCTAGAATCTGTAAGGAACTTAAACAATTGAACAAGCAAAAAACAAATAACCCAACTTAAATATGGGCTAAAGACATGAACAGGCACTTATCAAAAAAGACATATAAGTGGCCAACAAACATGAAAAATGCTCAACATCGCTAATTATCAGAGAAATGCAAATCAAAACCACAATGAGATACAAACTCACATCTGTTAGAATAGTTATTATTTAAAAAGTCATAAAACAACAGATGCTGAAAAGGTTGCAGAGAACAGGAAAAGCTTATATACTCTTGGTGGCAATGCAAATTAGTTCAGCCAAAGAACTTAAAACACAGCTATCTTTTCATGTGGCAATTTCATTACTGAGTATATTTTCAAAAAAAAAACTGTTCTATCAAATAGACACATGAACTTTTATATTTATTGCAGCACTATTCACAATTGCAAAGACATGGAATCAAATCCAGGTGCCCATCAACAGTGGACTAGATAAGGAAAATGTGATACATATACACTATGAAATATTACACAGCAATAAAAAAGAATAAAATCTGTCTTTCACTGCAACATGGATGCATCTATAGTCCATTATCCTAAGCAAATTAACACAGGGATAGAAAACCAAATATCACATGTTCTCACTTATAAGTGGGAGCTAAATATTGGTTACTTATAAAGATGTCAATGATAGACACTAGGGACTATTAGAATGGGATGAGAGGGAGAAGGGCAAAGGTTGAGAAGTTATCAGGTACTATGCTAAGTACCTGGGTGATAAGATCAATTGTACCTAAGCCTCAGCATCACACAATATGCCCAGGTAACAAACCTGCACATGTATCCCCTGAATCTAAAATAAAAGTTGAAATTAATTAAAAAAATAAAAATATATAAAGTAAAACGGGCTGGAAATATACAAGAAGTTCCCAGAACATACTGTAGTGCTCAAAACTACACAAACTGCCCACACACACTCACACACACACAAACGCACACACACACTCTCTCTCTCTCTCTCTCACACAACACTCAATAATCAATAGCACGAATGTGAAGATGTCCCAAGAGCCAACCGAAGGAACTCTCAGTAGACAAAGATAAAAAAATGTGAGCAACAAATTAAGTAAAATAATATTTACACACTGTTGGTGGCAATGTAAATTAGTTCAGCGAAGGAAAGCAGTTTGGATATTTCTGAAAGAACTTAAAACACTGCTACCCTTCGACCCAGCAATCTCATTACCGGGTATATTTTCAAAAGAAAATACATTGTTTCACCAAAAAGACACATGCATTCATACGTTCTACCAAAAGACACATGTTTAAAGTATAAAATAAATATATCTGAGTTCATGATGACATAAATAAAGGATAAATAAATGCAGGAGAAGAGACAACCCTTCCTTTCAGAAAAGTTCCAAACAGCTTATGTAGTTACTCTACCCTCCAGGAAGTGGAGTATAACTCCCCATCCTTAAGTGTGGGCTGTTCATAGTGACTTAAAGTACAGACAGTATGGAAAGGGACAGGCACAAACACTACCTTAGCCAAGTGATCAAGGTCAACAGCAACAATGATAAGTTATATTGATAGTTCATACTCTTGATATAATGTAAAGAAAGTGACTCTGCTCTTGTATTCTTCACGCAAAACCCACATGCCTAATCTAATCATGGAAAAACATCAGACAAAATTGAAGGACATTCGACAAAATATCTGACCAGTACTCTCTAAACTATCAAGGTCATCGGAAACAAAGAAAATCAGGAAAGTGTCACAACCAAAAGAAGCCTAAAGAGACATGACTACCAAATGTAATGTGATATATATGTATATATATGTATATAAGTGTATATATGTATATATGTGTATATATGTATATATACGTGTATGTATATGTGTATATATATATGTGTTTGATTTCATCTTTCACTTCAAGAGACATACACATCTGACTGCTTTTGTACATCTGGCTTCATCAAACACATCTGCCATCCTTCAGTACATATGTCTATTCTAAATGCATCTGTCTGAATCAAAATCATACTGCATTCTTCCACAAACACAGATTTTCATGAAGCCCAAATTTTAAAATGTTTCAGAAATAAGATATAGAGTCTGTTTTTGGTCTACCTAATTGCCTTTGTTTTCCTTTCAATGTTCTTTCGTGATTTAATTTTTATCCCATGAATAAGCGGCCTGGAAGCTATGGTTCTCCCTTTTTCAAACCTCACTGGGAATAACTCTTATTTCAAAACTGACACCAAGATTTAGCTCTGAAGTTCCTAGAGTCTGACCCTTTGCTGGATTTCATGATTGAAAACAAAAAGAAAGTAAGCATGCAGTATTATTGTTTCTGGCTTTCTTTGTGCAGAATAGTCCTCCCTAGCTAAGGAAACATCAAAGGAAAACATACAAGATAATCTTTAATTACCCGTGAATGCAACCTGCTTTAAAGATAATGAAAAGGGGAAAATTGAGGCCTGATTTGTTCCAGTTGACAATCATTAAGGGGCCTTTTGCAATGCTGATCCTAACTGCAATCATATCTGGCATCATTCATTTTCTTATACATTTCACCCCAGTGGACAGTTTAGAGAATGGAAGGCAGAGCAAGCAAGTGGTGCATAGGTAGGTGTGTTACCATGGATTCTTGCTGTGTGTCTGCATGCATTTGTCTTTATCTGATTTTTCTCCCTTTCAATTACCTCTACACGTAAACTCCCCCACCATTGCCCCATCCCCATTGGGTTGATTTATTTTAAAGTAATATCAAGACATTAGATGGAAACATGGCTCAAATAACTGAAGAAACTTGAAAGCTGCTGCGGCTTTAAAATGAAAGAGAGAATTTTAAAAACAGTAATGAACTGTTTCCAACAAGCCTTCAGAATCAGTCTCAAGGAGCTAGATATACTCCAGGCTAAACCCGTAGTAGTTCCAGCGAAGTGGTCCACCGGGGCAGCTAGTAGTAATTGATTCACATGATACACTGCCTCTTTACCTTTGTCTCTCCCAATTCTCTAAGTTTCAAGGTTTTATAAGGGCTAAGCATGTATCAAATACTAGTGCACTTGTACCTGCTCAGTCAATCCAATCAAAATTTAGTCAAGTTGAGCACTTTCTATATGCCAAGCACACGACATTGCACTGCGAGTACAAAAGGAAATAGACACAGGCTCTGCCCTCCATGTGTTTATTGCCTAAGAGGAGAAAGTAGTCATGTAAAAGATACATGCATAAAACGTTGTAGTAACACAAGGAGAGCTGTTGGATATACCTGATAATTCAGAAAAGGAGAGGAGAGGACACACAGATGAGATGAGATTTAGGGAAATAAGCATGGGAAGACTTTTACAGTTGGAATAAAATGAATCAAGTAGGAAACAGAATGGTAAACGTGGTTAATTCCAAGATGTTGAACAGTGTAAGCACATCAACTGTGAGTTGACGAAGGCAGAAATTAAAGCTATAGACATAGGTTGGAGGTGGTCCTGGGAGACTAAGAAATTTAGAATAATTCTCTATATGATTGTCATTTAAAGGATTTAAAGCTTAAGGTGGTTGCCCAGTTTTCTGACTTGAGTGTACAAGAAAAGAGGGATACCATTGTGCAAGGGAGTCTGGGGAGAGAGTAGGCTGAGGAGTGAAGATGAGATGGTGAGTTCAGTGAGTTGGGGAAGGCTGGAGACTGCCAATTGGATTTTCTCAGAAGGTTGTCAGCTGCATGCGTTTTAATCTGTGAATTAAAGGTGAAGATAGAGATTTAGGACTCATCAGCATATAGATGGTTATAACATTATGAAGGTAGAGTATATTTATCAATAAAAGCATATATGAAAAAACAAGGTAGATAATATGGTTTGGCTCTGAGTCCCCATGGAAATTTCATATCAAATTGTAATCCCCATTGTTGAGGGAGGGCCCCTGGTGGGAGGTGATTGGATCATGGTGGCAGTTCCCCCCATGCTGTTCTTGTGATGTTGGGGGAGTTCTCACGACAGTTGATGGTTTTAAAGTGTAGCATTTCCTGGCTCTTGCTCTCTCTCTTTCCTGCCACCAGATATGAGGTGCTTGTTTCCCCTTTGCCTTCTGCCATGATAAGAAGTTTCCTGATGCCTCCCCAGCCACGCAAACCTATGAGGCAATTAAACCTCTTTTCTTTTAAATGACTCAGTCTCAGGTATTTCTTTATAGCAGTGTGAAAATTCACTAATACAGTGGACAAGTGAAACCTTAGAAAACATTATCCTTTGAGGGATCAGATTAGGACGGTACTTCCTTTTGAGGAATGCCCACTAGAATCATTTGTGCTGCCTTTTCAAAATGCATATGCTCAGGTCCTTCTTCTAGCCTGTCACATCCAAAATAATATATCTTAGGTAGGACCTGGCCATAATGCATTTTGAAAAAGTTTCCCATAGATTCTTTTTCATACTTCTAGTTAAATACTGAAGTGGAGAGTTTCAAAAGTTATAGGTAGAAATATCACTGATGTCTTAATACTTACCCTAACCTTGATTTAATGGAAAGTTCTAGGACAGATGATGACTGATAAAATCAATAACTCACAGTGTGAGGTACTTAAATGTTGCCCAATGAAAAAAGTCAAGTAAGGTTCAGAGTATAAGCAACCCAAGTGCATTGCCTTTTGATTCCCATTTGTTTTAAAGAAACATCAATCAATAGATTAGTCAGGAATTCCACTCATGGAAGGGAGTTTCAAAAGTGGTGAAAGATAATGCCTGGAATGTCCTGTCTTTAGGTATGTTTGACCTAACCATCTGGGGACACTGGGCCATGCTGCATTCACACAAATGATTGAGATTACAGCTGTGACTGCTATTATCAATTCCAAAGGAGTGCCAAGAAGGCAAGTCTGATTTAGAGGCATGGCGAAGACAGATTACTGGTGGGTGTGACCACAGGAGTAAGAGAAACCAGGAGGAATTCATGTAGAAAGACTAAATGAGCCTTTAAAATGATGTTTTTGAAAGCCTTAATGGAGTGAAACAAAGCCTATAGTACAATTTTAAGTGAAAAAAAATGCAGTATTCAAAATTGTATATACAGTAAATAAGTTGAAAAATACAAAATTTAGCATATCTCTACATTACCACCTCCCCCCGTCCACCACCACCACACACACAACACATACCCAAGATTAGGGAACAAAGTGTTGTCATTTTAGTGGTTTTAATGATACTTGAATGATAGGACTACAGATCATTGGTTTTTTCCTTCTTCATCATTTTCTATTTTTCAAAAATTTTAGAATGTATGTGAATTAACTATACAGCTGACAAAAATAAGAATAAAAACACATGTTTCCTTGGTTTATGATAGCCATCTTCTTCACCTAGCTGATGCCTACATGCTCATGTAGCTCTTATTAAATCCAGGAATACAACCCTATCCTAGAAATATACATTAAAGGCCCTACTCTTATTCCTATGGGACCTGTGTTTACCTACACCCCCTGTCATATGCACTATAATGAATTACCTGTTTCTCTACTAAATAGAAGTTCTGAGGACAGGGACCATGTGTGATCTCACCATTGTTGTGGACCTCATTCAGTGCTTATAATACCTGGTACATAGTAAGACCAGAGAAAGGCCAAAATAATTAATGCAAAATATTACCTACAAAAGAAGGCATGAGGGAAGTGACACTTTAGTGGTGAGTAGAAATTGAGGGAGGATCTGATTAAGTTAAAACATCCAGAAAGAATGTCTCTAAAGCAGAACACAATAGAACCAGGGCAGGGAAGAGAATTGCTTGAAACAGTCCTCGTTGACTGAAGGCAAGGGGAGGTGGAGAAAGGCAGGTTGGAGTCATATGAGAACCATGGAAATTTAGTAATAAGGTTGTCACCTGATATAAAGGGGTAAGGAGACACTGTTCAGGGTTTAAATAAGAGAATTGTCATCGTAGGAAGAAATAAGAGAGTTTTTAATCCCTGAAAATAGACACAATTATAAGTAGCAATACAAGGATATTACCTGTGCTCTACAAAGGAAGCAGAGGTTTCTTTGTTTCTCTAGAGTCCTTAAAGTGCTGTGTCATTCTCCTGCTGTAACCTCTTCTGCAGAAAGCTTGGCAGCAGCTACTGCTTCCTCACCCCAGGTAAACTGGAACAGGAGGGAGGACAGAGAGAGGAAGATGGGCTTACAGTCAATACAGGACTAAGCAAACACAAACTCTTGCCTGTCACACAGTCCGGAGCCTCCTGCCCACCACTGCTTTTGAAGGAACGGTGGCTTTGTATTCTTTTGGATAAATTTATTTGCAATACAAAGAAATAGTTTTGCAATACAAAATAAATATATTTGTTATCCTGTTTAATCCACTGACTAAGGAAGTAGAGCCAAAGCGGACAAATTGTCTTTTCAGGACAGAACTCAAAGCGAATTATGTCAACTTCCTGGTTTAAAAGCTGCTTTGGTTTCTGGAATCTAAGAAAACACTTACCTCATTGAATTAAAGCTGCTTTAAGGTTCTGAGTGTCTATCATTGGAAATAATATAATGTCAAAGACTACAGAAAACAGGCCAATGACGGGTCTTCTGATTGGCTTTGCTGTCATGAGAGTTATTAAAAACCCAATGCACCACTTCAGGAAGATTTTAAATACAAAGGAATTAGAAAATTAACAGGTTGTCTTCAGAACATTGAGAGTAGCTTAAACTGGTCAAAGAATATGTCCTTTGCAACAAAAGATCTTGAAGAACAGCAGCATAACAACTGAAAAAAAGAGAAGGAAACAAAAAAAATCCTCTGGGTCTAAGATTCTGAGAAAATTCAGGAGCATAAGATAATCAACGATCCCACAACATACTGAAGTCTTCTGTTTCAAATTGAAAAATGACATTTTATACCCCTGAGGCTACTCATTTGTGGTCATCATGAGAATTAATGCTTAATATATACTAGAGCTAAAAATATGTTTATGACATTAAAACACTTGTAAAACTTTGAATTGATAAATCATAGCCATTCGTGTTTTTCTAGGTCCCTGAGGTGAGATCCATGTTACAGAATTTAGTCCTTACTTTTAATTTTATGTGGATACTAAAAATACTTCTTGATAAGTTTCACTGGACTGAAAGAAAGTATTTTCCAATAGTTACAATGTAGGATGGCTGTCAGTGTACCATCAGAGTTTCAGATTTTGAGAACAAAGGAAACTGATTCTAGATAAATTAAATGGGAGGATTTTTCCTGGGAAGACATGGTAACATAAGAAGGAACTCACAGAACCTATGAAAACCTGGAGAACCAGGCTTGTAAATGATCAGTCAACAAAAAAGTCACAAAGTATTAAGCTGAAATATGCCAATGCTTCATAGCAGGAAATATCTGGCCAGTTGGAAATAAAATGATCTCCAATTGACACTACATTCTAGTACTACTCTACTAGCTCAAGATTTTAAAACCTCGGTCTTCCAATCCATGAACACAGGATGAATGTCTTTTCATTTCTTTGTGCCTTGTTTTAATTTCTTTCAGGAATGCATCACAGTTTTCAATATACAAGTCTTTCACGAAACTCTTTAGTTTTTTCCTACATATATTATTCTTTTAGGTGGTATTGTATGTAAATGGGATTATTTTCATATTTTTCTTTTCAGATAGTTTATTGTTAGTATATAGAAACACAGCTCATTTTTGTATATTGACTTTTTATCCTCAGCTTTATTACATAGCAGCTCTCGCTTATCTGCAGGCGGTACATTCAAGACCACCAGTGGTTGCTTGAAGCTATAGAATACCAAATCCTATATATACTATGTTTTGTGCTGTCCACATATAAATATAATAAAGTTTAATTTATAAATTAGGAACAGTAAGAAATTAATAATTAGGGCCAGGTGCAGTGGCTCATGCCTGTAATCCCAGCACTTTGGGAGGCTAAGGTGGGCAGATCACTTGAGGGCAGCAGTTTGAGACCAGCCTGGCCAACATGGTGAAACCCCGTCTCTACTAAAAGTACAAAAATTAGCCAGGCGTGGTGGTACATGCCTGTAATCCCAGGTACTTGGGAAGCTGAGGCAGGAGGGTCACTTGAATCCAGGAGGGAGAGGTTGCAATGAGCCAAGTTTGTGCCACTGCACTGTAGCCTGGGCAATGGAACAAGACTCCATCTCAAAAAAAAAAAAAAAAAAAAAAAAAGAGATTAATAACTAATAATAAAATAGAACAATTATAACAATATACTGCAATCTTCGTTATAGGAATGTGGTCTCTCCTCCCTTCTCTCTCAAAATATCTTATTGTATGCAGTATTTTCGGACCATGGTTGACTGCATGTAACTGAAACCAAAGAAAGTACAACCAGGGACAAGGCAAGGACTATTGTATTTATTTATTAGTTCTAACAGTTTTTTAAATGGAATCTTTAGGGTTTTCTATATATAAGATCACACCATCTGAAAATAGGAACAATTTTACTTCTTCTTTTGCAATGTGGATGGATAACTTTTTTTCTTGCCTAATTGTTCTAGCTATGACTTTTAGTGCTATGTTGAATAGGAGTAGGAAGAGTGAGCATTCTTGCCTTGTTTCTGATTTTAGAGGAAAAGCTTTCACTTTTCTATTGTTGGGTATAATGTTAGCTGTGGGCTTGTCATATATAGTCTTTATTGTGTTGAGAAACATTTATTTTATGCCCAATTTTTTGAGAGTTTTTATCATGAAAGGATAAATTTTGTCAAATGCTTTTGATGCATTCATTGAGATGATCATGTTGGTTTTTTTCCCTTATCTTTCTAATGTATATACATCACATTAATTAATTTTCATATGTTGAATTGTTCTTGTATCTCAGGAATCAATCCCACTTGGTCATGGTGTATGATTCTTTTAATATGCTATTGGATTCAGCTTGCTAGTGTCATATTGAGGAGTTTCATGTCTATTTTCACTAACAATATTAACCTATAATTTTCTTTTTTGTAGCTTATTTGACTACATTGTTATCAAGAGAATGTCGATCTTATAAAGTGAGTTATGAAATATTCCTTTCTCTTTAATTTTTTGGAAAAATTTGAGAAGGAGTGGTACAAATTCTTTGAATGTTCAGGAAAATTCACCAATGAAGCCATCGGGCCTTGGGCTTTTCTTTGTTGGGAGATATTTGATTACTGGTTCAAACTCCATACTAGTTACACATCTGCTTAGATTTTCTATTTCTTCATGTCCATATTACTCAAATCAAGCTACATATTCAATGCAATCCATATCAAAATCTCACTGGTGTTTTTAACAGAAATTTAAAAAATTCTAAAATTCATCTGGAGTGACAAAAATGTCACAAACCCAAATTAATCTTGAGAAAGAAAAATAAAGCTAGAGATATTATACTTTCTTATTTCAAAATATATTGCAAAGCTAAAGCAGACAAAACAGTATGGTGCTAGCATAGAGCAGGCATATAGACCAAGAAAACAAAGTAGAGTCACAAAATGAATCCACCCATATACAGTCAACTGATCTTTGACAAGGGTGCCAACAATACACAATGGGAAAGAATCTTCTTTCTCTTCAACAAATAGTGCTGAAAAAACCAGATATCCACATGCAAAAGAATGAAACCGGAACCTTATCTTGCACTGTATGCAAAAATCAACTTAAAATGGATTAGAGACTTAAATGTAACACACAAAACTATAAAATCCCTAGAAAAAAACATAGGTTTTCCTTCATGTTGTTGGTTTTGGCAAGGCTTTTATGGTTAATACACTGAGCACAGACAAAAATAAGCAAAGAAAATAAAAACACAAACAAGTGGGACTACATCAAACTAAAAATCTCCTGCACAGCAGCAAAGAAAACCATCAACAGAGTGAAAGAGAAGCCAACAGAATAGTAAACCATATTTATAAATCCTATAACTGATAAGAGGTTAATATCCAAAACATATAAGAAACTCTTGCAACTCAGTAGTGAATATAATATATATAGAAACCTGATTAAAAATGGTTACCCACTTGAATAGACATTTTTCCAAAGAAGATATACAAATAGCTGACATCGATTAAAAAATACTCTATGTCATCAATTATTTGAGAAGTACAAATCAATACTACAATAAGATATCATCTCACACCTGTCAGGATGGCTATTATCTAAGAACAGCAAAAGACAACAGAATGTTGGTGGGGATGCAGAGAAACTAGGAACTTGTACACTGTTGGTGGGGAAGTAAAATGGTGCAGCCACTGTGGAAAACAATAGGGAGGTTCTCTGAAAAATTAGACATAGAACTACTATATGACCGAACAATCCCACTCCTGAATGTCTTTCCAAAATAACTGAAATCAGAATCTCAGAGTATTAGCACTCATGTTTGTCGCACCATTATTTGCAACAGCCAAGGTATGTAAACAACCTAAATGCCCATAATAGGTAAACTGATAAAGAAAATGTGGTATACATAACAATGGAATACTATTTTGTTTTAAAAAAGAAATGAAATTCTGTAATATATGACAACATGGACGAACCTTGAGGACATTATGCTAAGTGAAATAAGCCAGTCCCAGAAAGACACATACTGTGTGATTCCACTTATGTATCTAAAATAGTCAAAGTTATGGAATCAAAGAGTGGTTGCAAGGGGCTGACGACAGGGAGAAATGGGAAGTTAGTATTAAACGGGTATAAAGTTGCAGTCAAGTAATATGAATAAGCCTTAAAAATCTGCTTTACAGATTTTTAGGTCAATAGTAATATATTGGATACAAAAAATGTTTAAGAGCGATCTCATGTTAAGTGTTCTTAACACAATACAACTTTAAAAAATAATGTATTACAAAAAACACAAAAATAAAAGTGAATTTTAAAAATGGAAAACAAAAAGATTCGAAGCTTCAGGATATGGGTAAAAGTGAAGAGGAGAAGAAATGAAAAGCCAGCCCCATCTCTCACACCAAGACTATACACAATAGAGGATTTCCCCAAGGGATCTCAGAGCACTATTAGGAAGAAAGAATTGAATGCTGATCAGCCAAAAATAAATGGTAATGGTCATTTTGATCCAATAGTCACAATTAACAAATGCAGAAAGGAACTTTAGAGGTCATCTAATAAAATTCGCACATTTGACAGTTACATAGCCAGGTTTTAGGCAGGTATGAGAATTGTACATCTCAATATTTTAATTTGAATATTATAACTTGAAAAATGCATTTGCTAATTTAACAGTCAAGTGGAATCATTGTATTGATGTAAGTTATGCTTCTTCATTTTGTATTTACTTGAATGTTGGTGAGCATTGTAGGATTATTGAGCGATATCACAGAAAGAATGTCAGACAGCGACCTGATTCTCATATCTAGTGTGACCATTTATTAACTGTGTGACTCTGACCAAGTCATTTAACCTCATTTTATGCATTTTCTCTCATTTACAAAATAAAGACATAACAACCACCACAGTGTGCTGTAAAGACTAAATTAAATCATCACACATAAAATTGCTTTGTAAACTTTAAAGCTATTTACAAATCAGAGGGTTTTCTTAGACATCACTGTATTTTAGAAGTTTGGGTGAGGGGTGTCTAGAAAAAAGCTCATCTATTTACCTACTTTCACACAAGTCCAGCACCTTAACATAAAGTATGGGAGTCTCTGCCCTCTGATTAAGCCTAATCTAACATTGTTGTCGCTAGGGTATCTGATTCAAGTTTGACCCTCTCTCCTCACCTGAGAATGTGGAGGCAAATTAACATTTTATCATAATTTAGCATAATTATATCTACATCTCAGGGTTTTACCAATATTAAAATTGGAGTGCAGCATTGCAAAGAATGAAGAAAATCATCAAGGAGATTCTCAAGGAGATTCTCTCGCCAAGAATTTCTCCCTCCATTTTTCTCAGAGCCCAGGCTGATTTACACAATGGTTAGAGTACCACACAATGAAAACATCATAAATGGCAGGTATCAAACCAAGTAACCTCCACTAGTTACCACTGAGAGAACCTTCTCTCCCAGTACTATGTGACAATTGAGTCAAGAGGCCCATTATCATCAACAGGCCAGGACCTTTACTGTAGCATCAGGAAAATGTCAACAATATGCTTTTTTCCAATAAAGCTGATAATTCTTCCACTTTAAGATAAAGCTTGTCTTGATTGGAGTTTGATCTAAAAGAGATGGAGAGCCTTGGAAGAATTCTAGTGTATTTTTTATTTTGTGCTGTTTTAGTAAGTGTATGTATAGTGCCCAAAGGTTAATTTTGCAAAGGAATTATTTACAATGCCTCCCACCTGAAGGTAAGAGACAATGGCAAAATATAGCTAAGATTTTCCACGATATTGTCTTTTAAGAAAAAAGTGTTTGATAACATTCCTTGTAGAAATAGTGGTGGATCCACCTACAATATAACTTGGGATCGCTGATTCTAATAGACCAAAGCAGGAAACTCATGTGTTCCAAAACAACATAGTCCAGGTAATAAAAGAAGAATTCCTATACAAAACAAGTGTTTTTTGAATTCTTTATCCTTTCTTTTTAATTTTTTATTTCCATAGTTTCTGGGGGAGCAGGCAGTATTTGGTTACATGAGTAAGTTCTTTAGTGGTGATTTGTGAGATTTTGGTGCATCCGTCACCTGAGCACTATAAACTGAACCCACTTTGTAGTCTTTTATCCCTCACCTTACTCCCACTCTTTCCCCTGACTTCCCAAAGTTTATTGTGTTATTCTTATGCCTACGCATCCTCATAGCTTAGCTCCCACTTATGAGTGAGAAAATACCACGTTTGGTTTTCCATTCCTGAGTTACTCACTTAGAATAATAGTCTCCAGTTCCATCCAGGTTGCTGTGAATGTCATTAATTAGTTCCTTTTTACGGCTGAGAAGTATTCCATCATATATATATATATATATATATATATATATATATATATATATATATATACACACACACACACACACACACACACACCATATATATACCACATATATATACATCATATAAATATATAAATATAAATATATATACATCATATAAATATGTGTGTATATATGTACCACAATATCTTTATCCACTCGTTGCTTGATGGGCATTTGGGCCGGTTCCAAATTTTTGCAATTGGTAATTGTGCTGCTATAAATGTGTGTGCAAGTATCTCTTTTGTATAATGACTTCTTTTCCTCTGGGTGGATACCCAGTAGTGAGATTGCTGGATCAAATGCTAGTTCTACTTTTATTTCTTTAAGGAATCTCCACACTGTTTTCCACAGGGGTTGTGCTAGTTTACATTCCAACCAGCAGTGTAGAAGTCTCCCCTTTTCACTGCATCCACCACAACATCTATTATTTTCAGATTTTTTGACTATTGCCATTCTTGCAGGAGTGAGTAAGGTGGTGTCACATTGTGGTTTTGATTTGCATTTCCCTGATCATAGTGATGTTGAGCATTTTTTCATACGTTTATTGGCCATTTGTATATCTTCTTCTGAGAATTGTCTGTTCATGTCCTTAGCCCACTCTTTGATGGGATTATTCTTCCTAATTTGTTTGAGTTTCTTGTAGATTCTGGATATTAGTCCTTCTATGTTAGCTTTTCTTCATACTATTCTGAGGAGCTATGAGTAGTAATATCAGGTGGTTAATAACACAGGTTCTGGGGTCAGACTGCCTTGATTCAAATCAAAGCAACTTTATACAAAAGCAGTATGAACTCGGGAAAGATGCTAAATACACTGACCCTTAGTTTTCCTCTCCATAAAACAAGGGGAGTAATAGATTCCATATCTTAGCCTTGTCATGAGTATTAAATTAGATAATCTGTGCAAACCAATTACTGCAGTTCCTGGCACATATTAAATGCTCAATTAGTACTACTGACATTATTATAAGAATTGGTCTTCAATAATCTGGGTAGAAATAAGAAAGGTTTCCTTAGTTAACTAAATTTTTGAAATCATAATAATAGTTGCACCTTTTTTGGAAAGTCACAATATATATTTACTTATTAAAAGCTCTGAAAAGTCCTGCATATGTTTAACACAACATTTTCTAAATTAATTAGCCATGCAATCATATTGGGCTTTTTCTGCATTATGCCCATCTCTCCTCTCCAAATATTCCAAACGAGTATTTAATTTATTCATGGAGTAATAATTCAAATTATCCTTTTAGAAGCAAGAACCTTAGACTGTATTGTAAATGGGAAATCCCATTTCCTTGGGAGTGTGAAGGTGGTCTGGCTATGACATCTATTCTATTGTCTTGTCCATGTTTGGGAGCTCTGGGCATTCTCTTCACATATGGTCTGATGAAATAGCTTTCTTAGATAAAGGAGATATTTTCTCTAGACAAGGTTTAAAATGAGTTTTATTTTCCTCTAGAATTTCCACCCTCTCCAGAGAACCCCAGAAGCCTTAGGAAAGAGAGTTTTCATCAATGGGATTTTTCATATACTATGCCAGTTTTTGTTTGGATTACCAAAATGAGTCTCTTATGCATTCTTTTACTTTGAAAATGCTAGGATTAACCAATACCATTTTTTTTTATTAAGTAATTGAAGAGGAGTGAATACTATTTCATTTTTGTCCCTTAGAGTTCAACAGTGAACTGGGCTGAGCCAATTTGCAGAGAAATGCCAAGGGCTTTGGATGATATTGGTGATTCCAGCATGTCCTCAAGGCTCTTCCCAGGGAAATCAGGGTACAGACCTGACCTGTGGTTTTATATTTCCTATTCCAGCTCCTCAGTCCAGAGGTCTCCAGATATATATATATATATGCATATATATATATATATATAGCCACTTGCAGATATTAGATATTTTCTACCCTCCCTTAGGTTAATTTATAAATATGCAATGTGGTATGGGGGTGGGTGTTGTCTTCTGAATATTTTTGTTCTACATGTATACTACTGATTGTTCCAACCATAGTCCAGACACCACTATGAACACTCAGGAGATTCCATTTTATTCCTTTGCTCAACAGTTACTGGTGTCAATAAACAAATGTGATATTACTAGAACTCTATGGTGTGGGTTGTCATGTACCTTTTGCAGTTATAAATAAAGACCATTGACCAGAGAAGAAACTGGATAATCTCCTGGACCTACTTGGACCAACAAACTATGGCCTGAAGCAAAGGTTATTGTGACCGGTCTACTTTGGATTATGTGTATTCCTAAAATCAATAGCCAAAAATCAATATGAGTGATGAGGCTGGGAGTACCAGTAGTAACCATTAGAATGGGGTAAGAGCAGTTCCTAAAAAGAAGCAGCTGGTAGGAAATCCTAGAGGCACACTTTGGAGAAGAAATACAATAAAAGAAGAAACTTGGGAAATAGGTACAGGGCAGATAACATAGGACTTAAAGAGTGAATTAGTAAATGTTAAGTGTAATCAAAGACCCTGGTAAGCTTCAATCATGACCCAAGATGGCCCATAGGTTTAATTGACTTGGCCCAGGTCTCCAGCTCAGACTCACCTTGCACCAATCCCTCTGGTTCTTCTGCCTCAGCCACATCATGCTATAAATCCCACCAAATCACTGCTTTCATATCTTCTTTCAGAGATATTTTGCACATAGATCAAATATCACCCTCCCCAGGGAAGCTTGCTGAAGGTGGCTCCACCCATAAACTTTAAGTCCCATGACATCAGGACCCATATTTCTATTGATCACTATTTCACTTCTGGGGATCAGTGTAATACCTAGCATTCTTAGTATCCAATAAATGTTTGTGGAATGGATAAATTAATAAGCAAGTAATCTTAATTATTTCCTGAATACATAATGTTATCTCACACTTCTGTACTCCTATAAATGCCATGTGCTTCTTCCCAGGTTTTCTTCATGGAAAGCTTTTGCTTTAATTGTGATGACAACTCAGTGTCTTCTTCTCTGCTACACTTTCTCCAACTTCCCATTACCTCTAAGAAATTCAGATGCTTCCTCTGTGTGACCCTAAGCATCATAGGAATTTTTCAATAATGGCAAGTCATTGCACTTTATTGTAAATTATGTTTCTGTAACCAGCTTTCACTGTAATGTGAGTTCTTACAACATAGTAATGTGACTTTGCATCAGCAGCAACTAGCAAAGTGCATGAAATACACTATGTAGTTAATAAATATTTCTTTTTTTATTATTATTATTATACTTTAAGGTTTAGGGTACATGTGCACAATGTGCAGGTTAGTTACATATGTATACATGTGCCATGCTGGTGCGCTGCACCCATTAACTCGTCATCTAGCATTAGGTATATCTCCCAATGCTATCCCTCCCCCCTCCCCCCACCCCACAACAGTCCCCAGAGTGTGATGTTCCCCTTCCTGTGTCCATGTGTTCTCATTGTTCAATTCCCACCTATGAGTGAGAATATGCGGTGTTTGGTTTTTTGTTCTTGCAATAGTTTACTGAGAATGATGATTTCCAATTTCATCCATGTGCCTACAAAGGACATGAACTCATCCTTTTTTATGGCTGCATAGTATTCCATGGTGTATATGTGCCACATTTTCTTAATCCAGTCTATCATTGTTGGACATTTGGGTTGGTTCCAAGTCTTTGCTATTGTGAATAATGCCACAATAAACATACGTGTGCATGTGTCTTTATAGCATCATGATTTATAGTCCTTCGGGTATATACCCAGTAATGGGATTGCTGGGTCAAATGGTATTTCTAGTTCTAGATCCCTGAGGAATCGCCACACTGACTTCCACAATGGTTGAACTAGTTTACAGTCCCACCAACAGTGTCAAAGTGTTCCTATTTCTCCACATCCTCTCCAGCACCTGTTGTTTCCTGACTTTTTAATGATTGCCATTCTAACTGGTGTGAGATGATATCTCATAGTGGTTTTGATTTGCATTTCTCTGATGGCCAGTGATGGTGAGCATTTTTTCATGTGTTTTTTGGCTGCATAAATGTCTTCTTTTGAGAAGTGTCTGTTCATGTCTTTCGCCCACTTTTTGATGGGGCTGTTTGTTTTTTTCTTGTAAATTTGTTTGAGTTCATTGTAGATTCTGGATATTAGCCCTTTGTCAGATGAGTAGGTTGCGAAAATTTTCTCCCATTTTGTGGGTTGCCTGTTCACTCTGATGGTAGTTTCTTTTGCTGTGCAGAAGCTCTTTAGTTTAATTAGATCCCATTTGTCAATTTTGGCTTTTGTTGCCATTGCTTTTGGTGTTTTAGACATGAAGTCCTTGCCCATGCCTATGTCCTGAATGGTAATGCCTAGGTTTTCTTCTAGGGTTTTTATGGTTTTAGGTCTCACGTTTAAGACTTTAATCCATCTTGAATTGATTTTTGTATAAGGTGTAAGGAAGGGATCCAGTTTCAGCTTTCTACATATGGCTAGCCAGTTTTCCCAGCACCATTTATTAAATAGGGAATCCTTTCCCCATTGCTTGTTTTTCTCAGGTCTGTCAAAGATCAGATAGTTGCAGATATGTGGCGTTATTTCTGAGGGCTCTGTTCTGTTCCATTGATCTATATCTCTGTTTTGGTACCAGTACCATGCTGTTTTGGTTACTGTAGCCTTGTAGAATAGCTTGAAGTCAGGTAGTGTGATGCCTCCAGCTTTGTTCTTTTGGCTTAGGATTGACTTGGCGATGCGGGCTCTTTTTTGGTTCCATATGAACTTTAAAGTAGTTTTTTCCAATTCTGTGAAGAAAGTCATTGGTAGCTTGATGGGGATGGCGTTGAATCTGTAAATTACCTTGGGCAGTATGGCCATTTTCATGATATTGATTCTTCCTACCCATGAGCATGGAATGTTCTTCCATTTGTTTGTATCCTCTTTTATTTCCTTGAGCAATGGTTTGTAGTTCTCCTTGAAGAGGTCCTTCACATCCCTTATAAGTTGGATTCCTAGGTATTTTATTCTCTTTGAAGCAATTGTGAATGGGAGTTCACTCATGATTTGGCTCTCTGTTTGTCTGTTGTTGGTGTATAAGAATGCTTGTGATTTTTTACATTGATTTTGTATCCTGAGACTTTGCTGAATTTGCTTATCAGCTTAAGGAGATTTTGGGCTGAGACCATGGGGTTTCTAGATATACAATCATGTCGTCTGCAAACAGGGACAATTTGACTTCATCTTTTCCTAACTGAATACCCTTTATTTCCTTCTCCTGCCTAATTGCCCTGGCCAGAACTTCCAACACTATGTTGAATAGGAGTGGTGAGAGAGGGCATCCCTGTCTTGTGCCAGTTTTCAAAGGGAATGCTTCCAGCTTTTGCCCATTCAGTATGATATTGGCTGTGGGTTTGTCATAGATAGCTCTTATTATTTTGAAATACGTCCCATCAATACCTGATTTATTGAGAGTTTTTAGCATGAAGGGTTGTTGAACTTTGTCAAAGGCCTTTTCTTCCTCTATTCAGATAATCATGTGGTTTTTGTCTTTGGTTCTGTTTATATGCTGGATTACATTTATTGATTTGCGTATATTGAACCAGCCTTGCATCCCAGGGATGAAGCCCACTTGATCATGGTGGATAAGCTTTTTGATGTGCTGCTGGATTCGGTTTGCCAGTATTTTATTGAGGATTTTTGCATCAATGTTCATCAAGGATATTGGTCTAAAATTCTCTTTTTTGGTTGTGTCTCTTCCTGGCTTTGGTATCAGGATGATGCTGGCCTCATAAAATGAGTTAGGGAGGATTCTCTCTTTTTGTATTGATTGGAATAGTTTCAGAAGGAATGGTACCAGTTCCTCCTTGTATCTCTGGTAGAATTCGGCTGTGAATCGATCTGGTCCTGGACTCTTTTCGGTTGGTAAGCTATTGATTATTGCCACAATTTCAGATCCTGTTATTGGTCTATTCAGAGATTCAACTTCTTCCTGGTTTAGTCTTGGGAGAGTGTATGTGTCGAGGAATTTATCCATTTCTTTTAGATTTTCTAGTTTATTTGCGTAGAGGTGTTGGTAGTATTCTCTGATGGTAGTTTGTATTTCTGTGGGATCGGTGGTGATATCTCCTTTATCATTTTTTATTGCATCTATTTGATTCTTCTTTTTTTCTTTATTAGTCTTGCTAGTCGTTTATCAATTTTGTTGATCCTTTCAAAAAACCAGCTCCTGGATTCATTAATTTTTTGAAGGGTTTTTTGTGTCTCTATTTCCTTCAGTTCTGCTCTGATTTTAGTTATTTCTTGCCTTCTGCTAGCTTTTGAATGTGTTTGCTCTTGCTTTTCTAGTTCTTTTAATTGTGATGTTAGGGTGTCAATTTTGGATCTTTCCTGCTTTCTCTTGTGGGCATTTAGTGCTATAAATTTCCCTCTACACGCTGCTTTGAATGCGTCCCAGAGATTCTGGTATGTTGTGTCTTTGTTCTCATTGGTTTCAAAGAACATCTTTATTTCTGCCTTCATTTCATTATGTACCCAGTAGTCATTCAGGAGCAGGTTCTTCAGTTTCCATGTAGTTGAGCAGTTTTGAGTGAGATTCTTAATCCTGAGTTCTAGTTTGATTGCACTGTGGTCTGAGAGATAGTTTGTTATAATTTCTGTTCTTTTACATTTGCTGAGGAGAGCTTTACTTCCAACTATGTGGTCAATTTTGGAATAGGTGTGGTGTGGTGCTGAAAAAAATGTATATTCTGTTGATTTGGGGTGGAGAGTTCTGTAGATGTCTATTAGGTCTGCTTGGTGCAGAGCTGAGTTCAATTCCTGGGTATCCTTGTTGACTTTCTGTCTCGTTGATCTGTCTAATGTTGACAGTGGGGTGTTAAAGTCTCCCATTATTAATGTGTGGGAGTCTAAGTCTCTTTGTAGGTCACTCGGGACTTGCTTTATGAATCTGGGTGCTCCTGTATTGGGTGCATATATATTTAGGATAGTTAGCTCTTCTTGTTGAATTGATCCCTTTACCATTATGTAATGGCCTTCTTTGTCTCTTTTGATCTTTGTTGTTTTAAAGTCTGTTTTATCCGAGACTAGGATTGCAACCACTGCCTTTTTTTGTTTTCCATTGGCTTGGTAGATCTTCCTCCATCCTTTTATTTTGAGCCTATGTGTGTCTCTGCATGTGAGATGGGTTTCCTGAATACAGCACACTGATGGGTCTTGACTCTTTATCCAATTTGCCAGTCTGTGTCTTTTAATTGGATCATTTAGTCCATTTACATTTAAAGGTAATATTGTTATGTGTGAATTTGATCCTGTCATTATGATGTTAGCTGGTTATTTTGCTCGTTAGTTGATGCAGTTTCTTCCTAGTCTCGATGGTCTTTACATTTTGGCATGATTTTGCAGCGGCTGGTACCAGTTGTTCCTTTCCATGTTTAGTGCTTCCTTCAGGAGCTCTTTTAGGGCAGGCCTGGTGGTAACAAAATCTCTCAGCATTTGCTTGTCTGTAAAGTGTTTTATTTCTCCTTCACTTATGAAGCTTAGTTTGGCTGGATTTGAAATTCTGGGTTGAAAATTCTTTTCTTTAAGGATGTTGAATATTGGCCCCCACTCTCTTCTGGCTTGTAGAGTTTCTGCCCAGAGATCCACTGTTAGTCTGATGGGCTTCCCTTTGAGGGTAACCTGACCTTTCTCTCTGGCTGCCCTTAACATTTTTTCCTTCATTTCAACTTTGGTGAATCTGACAATTATGTGTCTTGGAGTTGCTCTTCTCGAGGAGTATCTCTGTGGCGTTCTCTGTATTTCCTGAATCTGAATGTTGGCCTGTCTTGCTAGATTGGGGAAGTTCTCCTGGATAATATCCTGCAGAGTGTTTTCCAACTTGGTTTCATTCTCCCCGTCACTTTCAGGTACACCAATCAGACGTAGATTTGATCTTTTCACATAGTCCCATATTTCTTGGAGGCTTTGCTCGTTTCTTTTTATTCTTTTTTCTCTAAACTTCCCTTCTCACTTCATTCCATTCATTTCATCTTCCATCGCTGATACCCTTTCTTCCAGTTGATCGCATCGGCTCCTGAGGCTTCTGCATTCTTCACGTAGTTCTCAAGCCTTGGTTTCCAGCTCCATCAGCTCCTTTAAGCACTTCTCTGTGTTGGTTATTCTAGTTATACATTTGTCTAGATTTTTTTCAAAGTTTTCAACTTCTTTGCCTTTGGTTTGAATGTCCTCCTGTAGCTCGGAGTAATTTGATCGTCTGAAGCTTTCTTCTCTCAGCTCGTCAAAGTCATGCTCCGTCCAGCTTCGTTCCGTTGCTGGTGAGGAACTGCGTTCCTTTGGAGGAGGAGAGGCACTCTGCTTTTTAGAGTTTCCAGTTTTTCTGCTCTGTTTTTTCCCCATCTTTGTGGTTTTATCTACTTTTGGTCTTTGATGATGGTGATGTACAGATGGGTTTTTGGTGTGGATGTCCTTTCTGTTCGTTAGTTTTCCTTCTAACAGTCAGGACCCTCATCTGCAGGTCTGTTGGAGTACCCGGCCGTGTGAGGTGTCAGTCTGCCCCTGCTTGGGGGGTGCCTCCCAGTTAGGCTCCTCTGGGGTCAGGGGTCAGGGACCCACTTGAGGAGGCAGTCTGCCCGTTCTCAGATCTCCAGCCATGTGCTGGGAGAACCACTGCTCTCTTCAAAGCTGTCAGACAGGGACATTTAAGTCTGCAGAGGTTACTGCTGTCTTTTTGTTTGTCTGTGCCCTGCCCCCAGAGGTGGGGCCTACAGAGGCAGGCAGGCCTCCTTGAGCTGTGGTGGGCTCCACCCACTTCGAGATTCCTGGCTGCTTTGTTTACCTAAGCAAGCCTGGGCAATGGCGGGCACCCCTCCCCCAGCCTCACTGCCGCCTTGCAGTTTGATCTCAGACTGCTGTGCTAGCAATCAGCAAGACTCCGTGGATGTAGGACCCTCCGAGCCGTGTGCGGGATATAATCTCCTGGTGCGCCTTTTTTTAAGCCCGTCGGAAAAGCGCAGTATTCGGGTGGGAGTGACCCGATTTTCCAGGTGCTGTCTGTCACCCCTTTCTTTGACTAGGAAAGGGAACTCCCTGACCCCTTGTGCTTCCTGAGTGAGGCAATGCCTTGCCCTGCTTCGGCTCACGCACGGTGCAGGCACTCACTGATCTGTGCCCTCTGTCTGGCAATCCCTAGTGAGATGAACCCGGTACCTCAGATGGAAATGCAGAAATCACCCGTCTTCTGCGTCGCTCACACTGGGAGCTGTAGACCAGAGCTGTTCCTATTCGGCCATCTTGGCTCCTCCCCCCAGTGCAGCCTTTTTTTAATGATCTCTGAAGTTGAAGATAACCTAAATATTTATCAAAAGGGTGTACACATTTATACAATAGGATCCTCTACAGCAGTACTTCTCAACCGGGAGAATTTTGCACCCCAGGGGGAATTTGGCAATGTCTGGGGACATTTTCAGTTGTCACTACTGGAGAGGTTATATAAGCTTATATATCCTGACAATATTTCTGGAAAAATGTATTTAAAAATTTCTTAGCAATGGTTGCTACTGGAGGGAGACTAAAGACTGGAGATCCACTGTAGAGGGAGGAGTTGCATTTTACTTTTATACACTTTGTACTATTTTAAGTTTTTAGCAAATCAACCTATTTCATTTCCAGTAAAAATTTGATTTTATGGTTGTTTTTGTTAAGCAAAACGAGTAAAGGTAAAATGGGACAGTGGCCAATATCTCTCCTCTTTTTCTACCCTTCTCTTCTCTCCAAAGAGTCACCCTTCAATTTAGGATGTCAGTAATTTTCTGTGATCACAGTGGTCTCTCAGGAAAAGCTCAGCTACCAGTAATTTTAACTTTAATAAAAATCTAATTGAAATATAGACTCTTCTAGGAAGATTTATGTTTTAAGTTTTGCTTTTCAAATTCTGTTATGTAATAAAAGATTGTGTTGTGTGTAGTGGGATTTTAAATATGGAACTTTCTGGAGTCAGGAAGACATTTTTGGAGCTATTAAAAATATGCCAAATATGGAAGTATCTCCTCCTTTAAAAAAATAAATGTTGTGTATATTTAAGGTATACAACATGATGTTGTGGGATACATATAGTAAAAAGGCTACTGGAATAAAGCAAATTAATACAGCCATCATCTCACATATTTATCTGTTTATTTGTTTTTGTGGCAGGAGCAGTTAAAATCTACTCACCATGAATCCCAAATACAGTACACTTTTATGTCCTATAGTCCTCATTTGTACATTTGTTCTCTAGACTTGTTTGTCCTACAGATCTGCTACATTGAATTCCCTGACCTGTATTTCCCCATTTTCTCTCCACTTCCCCACCACTGTTTTCTTCTCTATTTCTGAATTTGGTTTAAAGAGTTCACATATGAGTGATACCATGAATTAGTTTTCTTTTTGTGTCTGGCTAACTTCACTTAGCGTAATGTCTTCCAGGTTTATTCATATTGTGGCAAATGACGAGATCTCCTGCTTTTACAGGGCTTAATATTATTCCATGGTATGCATGGACCACAGTTCCTTAATCTATTTGTCTGTTGACACTTAGGGTGTTTCCACATCTTGGCTATTGTGAATAATGCTGCAATAAAAATTGTAAAAATGGAGCTGCAGATGCCTTTACAAGGTAGTGACTTTTTTCTTTGCGTATATTGCCAGAAGAGAAATTGCTGGGTCATATGTAATTCAATTTTTAATTTATTTAGAAAACTTTATACTATTTTCCATAATGACTGTACCAATTTACATTCCTACCAACAGTGTTTAAGAGTTTCCTTTTCTCCACACCCTCACGCAACATTTATTTGTGACTTTTTGATGCAACAAAGGTCAAAACAGGTGTGAGGCGTTATCTCATAGTGGTTTGGATTTGTACTTTTCTTCCTCATTGCTCTTGGGTTGAATGCACAATTTCCTTTGGGTACTGTACCACTTTACTTGCGTGTTCAGCGCAGTCACAAAACTTTACAACAGATTAGCTCAGCAATGTGTACTTCAGTCTCTAGGAAAGCATGAAAATTTTTGGTTTGATCTTTAGAGTCCTCTTTTGTCTCCAAAACTTCCCAATGAACTCTAAGATTAAGAACTCTATCTCTATTCCAAGAATCAATTATAGCATTTACCAGTTAACTAATGGTCATTACATATGACAAAAAAAACCCCACTAAAACATTGAAGTCCTGCTCTAATTGGAAAAGAAACACTCTAAAAATAAATAAACTAGTGTGTTTAAGTTTTATCAACAAATGAGAAAACAGTCTGGGACTGGTGTAGTTATGTAATTTAAGAAAAAAAAATGCCAAAGGATGGAGATGGAGATAGGGACTAGTGCCAATGTTATTAGATAATACTGACACATAAAGGGCTATACAATTCTATCAGCATTTATGTTGTGCATATTTACAATCCTTCAAGGCAGGAAATACTTTTCTCGTATGCTTCTTCTTTACTATGTAAAGTAGTCTTTTATAGACTGGCCTCTTGGTTAATATCAGTCCTTCCAATCAAGCATCCATTTGTAATCCTGACTCCCTCCCTTGAATCAGTTTTTGCTAGTTGTATATTAAACATACAGCCAATACCATATAGTTATGATCTCCATCTGTAGAGTCTGATATTTTCAATGGCCCTAGCAAGATTTCCTTTGGGTACTTTGAACAGAGACAAAATAGGCAATCGACTATCCTGAAGCAATTACAAAGCTGGATTGTTCAATTTTGTATGGTGAGAATCCATTTGCCTTACGTCTCACCTAACATCACTGCATATAAATGCAGTAAAACCTATAGGCTCAGACTCAATCTTGGCATCACATATCAGAAAATTTTATCTTATCAAAAGCATTTCTCAGGTGAAATAAGCTGCCTTTAGTTACAGAAATGCTTCAGCCATAAATGTGATTGCTATAAAAAATTACATTAGCTAAAGGTCTACCATTTAAAGAGTCAAAAAAGCTATCTAACATGCTCTCTAAAAAGAAATTCATAGTTTCTGCTGGTAAATCCCAAAATTAAAATACTTTTCAGTGAGCCAAATACTGTAACATAACTATAACTACTTACCTCGTGTGATCACTACAATGGCCTCCTAATTGTTTTCCTTTAATGGAGAATAGTAAACCATTCCAAACTAGCCTTCATACTTCTGCCAGGATAATCTTTCTAAATGGCAGTCTTGTCTGGTCACTCTCCAGTTTAAAACCATGACTCCCTGGGAAAAGTCTTTGGAGATCTTCCTCAGACAACAAAATAAGGCTTCTCATGATCTTACTCCAGCCAGTTTTTGCCAGCTACCCTTCTGCAGTTCTTCCACTTCCACCATACACTTCAGCAATACCTAATCAATTGCAGTTCCCTAGGTAGTTCTGCTACCTGATGCTCAGAGCCAGGAATTACGGTGAAGAGAGTGAGGCATTTGCTTCAGGTGCAAAATTTAAGAAGATGCCAAAAATCAATAATAACAGTAAATATTGTTTTAATGCAATATTTTTAAAACCAAAATTAATGTAAAAATCTGTAATAAATAAGATTGTAATAATATAAATATAATATTGTAAGCATCAAAATATTATTTTTCTTCTAATAATCATTCCTCTTGCTTGACATATGTGTTCTGCATTTGTTAACTCTGCTCATCTTACTCATCCTTTAAGACACTCCTCTTCAAGGAAGTGCTCTCTGATTTTTCTTTTCCCAGAAAGAACTCAAGTCTCCTTCTGAACTACCATGGTACCTTGTACATGCTTCTATTTATTCATTTATCATCCTGTGTTTGTTTATTTCTGTACCAGTGTGTGTTAGAACACATGTCTCTATAGACACTATGCTTATTCTGCCTAACATCTCCTAGAGACTATGGTAAGCAGAATTCTAAGACAGCCCCATGATTTCCACTCCCACTGCTATTACACCCGTGATTAAGTTCCATTATATGGCAAAGGTAAGGGATCTCACCCCCTTGATTAGGTTACATTATAGAGCAAAGGTGGAGGGATTTTGCAGATGTAATTAAGGCTCCAAATTGGTTGAATTTAATCAAAAGGGAAATTATTCTGGATGCCCCAGACTTAATCAAAGCCCTTGAAAAGAGGGCTTAGGTTTTCTTTGCAGTCAGAGAATATCCTGCTGGCTTTGAGAAGCAAGTTGCCATGAGTTCTTCAGCTATAAGGAAATGAGTTCTGAAAAAACAAAACAAAACAAAACAAAACAAAAAACAACTAAGTGAACTTGGAAGAGAAGCTCAAGCTTCTGTTAACATTTTGATTGTAGTTTTGTCAGACCCTGAACAAAAGATCAAGCTACTCTGTGCTCTAATCTGTGCTCACACTACTGACCCACAGACACTGTTTTAAGTTGCTGTGTTCATACATAATTTCTTGTGAAAAATAGAAAACTCATACAGAGAATATTGTATTAACCTCCTAAGTGAATTCCCTGTATACAATTTATCATTAAACTTTTGATCTGTTATACCACATCTAGATTAATCTTTCTGAAGAAGAGCTACGATTTTATTATTCTCTGCTAAAGACCTCCATTTAAAAACTCCTCATTTCCCACAAAGTAATGAAAAACTCCACAGTCTATATTCTCAGTGATCTTCTTCCAATTTGTCTTTCAAAACCTACCTCCCATTACTCTATAAAAACTTACTCCACTCCACTGAAATAATCATTCCCTCTTCTTACACATGATCTAGGCAATTATTGCCTCTATACTTTTGCTATATCTACAAACAATTAAATACAGGATGATAAGTGCAAAAATCAAAGCATGTACAAGGAACCATGGTAGTTCAGGAGGAGCCCTGAGTTCTTTCTGGGAAAGGAAAAATCAGAGAGCACTTCCTTGAAGAGGGGTTTCCTAAAGCATGAGTAAGATTAGCAGAGTTAACAAATGCAGAACACATATGTCAAGCAAGAGGAATGATTATCAGAAGAAAAAATGATATCATATTTGATGAAAAATATGAAGCTACAATTAGTAGATATAGCAAAACCTATTTTTCAGCTCTCAATCCCAATTCTTAACTTTCATTATTATTATTATTTATTGAATATATACTTTCTTATCTTTAAAGATAAAAGTTTTGCGTTAGGTTGGATATAATAAGAGCATATTTTACCCAAATTCTCCCCTGTAAAGCCAACTGAAAACAATGAAGAACATAAAAAGACAGTGATAAATGCCTATAATTGATGTAGAAGACGTCCATCCTGTCAATCAATAAACTATAAATAATCATCACTAAATATTGTGAAATACAACCATATTGAAGGAAGACTTTGAAAACATATAAGTACTCCTGCAGAATGTGGAAAGCTAGAAGAAATCTCCATAGTCAGGTGGCTTATTCTAAGGGATAAATTTATTGACTTATAAAGTACATGACAGTACTATAAGAGTGTCAATGAACTTTTATAGAAACCTCAGCCATAGACGAGAAAGGGCCAAATGAAGATAACCACTGTGTTAGTCAGGTTTGTTATATATATATGTGTGTATATATATGTATATATATGTGTATGTGTGTATGTATATATATGTGTATGTATATGTATATATATGTGTATATATATATACACACACACAGCTACGTGTTGCTTAATGTCAGGGATAGGTATAAACTATTGCTGCTAGTCTACAACCTTGTAGAACATGTCACTCTCCTGAATACTGTAGGCAATTGAAATACAGTGGTAAGTATTCATGTATCTAAACAGATCTAAACATAGAAAATGTACAGTATTATCATGACATATCAGATAAAAAATGGTACACATATGTAAGGCAATTACCATGAGTGGGGCCTGCAAGACTGGAAATTGCTCTGCATGAGTCAGTGGTTGGTGAATGAATGTGAAGGTCTAGGACATTACTATACACTACTGTAGATTTTATAAACACTGTGCATTTAGGTTACACTAAATTTATTTTAAAAAATTATTCCATAATAGGCTGGGCATGGTCACTCATGCCTGTAATCCCAGCACTTTGGGAGGCCAAGGTGGGAGGATCACGAGGTCAGAAGTTCAAGACCAGCCTGGGCAATATGGTGAAACCCCATCTCTACTAAAAATGCAAAAATTAGCTGGGCATGACGGCGCGTGCCTGTAGTCCCAGCTACCGGGAGGCTGAGGCAGGAGAATTGCTTGAACCCGGGAGGAGGAAGTTGCAGTGAGCCGAGATTGAGCCACTGCACTCCAGCCTGGGCGACAGAAGCTCTGTCTCAAAAAAAAATATATATATATATAGATATAGATAGATAGATAGATAGATAGATATAATTCCATAATAAATAACCTTAGCTTACTGTAACTATTCTTACTTTGTACAATTTTTTTTTTTAATTTTGGACTCTTTTGTAATAACACCTAGCTTAAAACACAAATATATTTTACAGCCATAGAAAAACATTTTCTTTCTTGATATCCTTATTCTGTAAGCTTTTTTTCATTTTTTTTTAACTTTTTAAACTTTTTTGTTAGAAACTAAGACACAAACAAACACATTTGGCTAGGCCCACACAGAATCAAGATCATCAATTTCACTGTCTCCCGCCTCCACGTGTTGTCCTAGTAGAAGGTCTTTAGGCGTAATAACAGGCCTAGAACTGCCCTCTCTTATGATAACAATGCCTTCTTCTGGAATACTTCCTAAAGGGCCTGCCTGAGGCTGTTTTACAGTTAAATTTTTTTTTAATGAGTAGAAGGAGTACACTATAAAATAATGTTAAAAGGTGTAATATAGTAAATACATAAACCAGTAATACAGCTATTTATTATCATTGTCAAGTATTATGTACCATCCATAATTGTATGTGCTATACTTTTACATGAATGCTAGCACAGTAGGTTTGTTTACAGCAGCATCACCACAAACACATGAGTAATGCATTGCACTATGACCATACAATAGCTATGACATCACTAAGCAATAGGAATTTTTCAGCTCCATTATAATATGTATGGGACAACTGTGTATATGTAGTTCATCATAGACTGAACTATGGTACATGACTACCTACACACACACACACACACACACACACACACACACACACACACACACGCTGAGAAGTATCAGGATCTGCTGTCTGCAAGCGGGAGACCCAGGAAAGCCAAAGAGATAATTTAGTCTGAGTCCCCAGGCTTCAGAACCAGTGAATCCATGCAATAAACTCAGCCCAAGGCATGGAGAAGATGAAATGTGATGTACCAGTTCAAGTGGTCTGGCAAGAAAAAAGGGGTAATTTCCTCCTTCCTTTGCCTTTTGTTCTTTTCAGGCCTTTAGTGAGCTGGATGAATGACCACTCACATTGAGAAAGGCCATCTGCTTTACTGAATCCACCATTTCAGATCCTGTCTCATTCAAAAACATTCTTACAGACATACCCAGAAATAATATTTAAACTGGAAACCCTGGGGCTAGTCAAATTGATACATAAAATTAATGACAAGCACAGAAACTAACTTTGCAAGAAGCTGGTTGCTTTTGTGGCAAGATGAATGAAAAACCAGAGTGAGTAATCACATATGAATCTACTGATCTTGCCAGTTACTTAAACAATAAGCCCATAATAATAATTGTAATATGTGATTTTTTGCTGTAGAATTAGCAGACCTTCTATTGACTTCGAATAGAATCATGTTTCTGGGGTAGATTGTGTCAACTGAATTAAATCCAATCTGCCTGCTGTTTAGCACCCTTTGCAAATCTCTCTCCACCTACTACTAGTCTTTAGCAAACTGCTGGCTCAGAATAAATGCCCCAGATTTAAAAAAAAATATGAAAGTCTCCAACATTGTTATTACTCAAAGTCACAGCCAGGAGAAAAGAGAAATATCAAAGAAATGTAAATAATTTCAAACATAAATATCAACATAATTGTCACAAAAGATAACTAAAAATGAGGTACAACCACTTTTTTATAAAGTCAAGGTAATTAAAAAATTAATGTCATGCTGAAAGGAGACTTAAAGATTTAGACAAAAGTGATAAAAAATAGAAAAATAATAAGATGGAAAGTAAGATAGCAATAAATGGAAAATGTAAAAAGCTTCAGTTATTAAAATTATATTAAAAACAGTAAATACAAGAGTAGACATTGCTAAAAACATTGTGAACAAAATAGGCTTCAGAAAATTGAACAAAATAAAATAATAAAATATTTTAAAAAGAATTACAGAGGAAATGACAGATCTGAAAAGCAGTCAAAAGATTCATAATGTGCACATACCTGGTGTTTCAGATGAAGTAAAAAGTAAAAGTGAAACAGGAGAAATATTAAAGATATAGTAAAAGAAAACTTTCCAAAAGTTAAAAAAGACATGAATCTAAAGAATAAATAGGAAAATTGTACCTTAGGAAAACTTCATACAGGATAAAAACAAAGAATAAATGATAAAGTATAAACAATGAAAGGGTTATCTAGGGAAAATGCTCAATTTATGCATAAAAGTGAAAAATTCAGACTGGCTTCAGGCACTTTTATTAAGTTTAAAATTGTGAAATGTGTGAAGAGCAATGTTACATAGTCCTCAGAATAAAAAAGTGTAACCCAAATGTTTTATGCAACTTTCAAGAACTCTTAGAATACAGCACCCATGAGCTCTTAATGAAAAAAAAGTTGATGTACATTCTTTCATAAATCACATAGTGAAAGAAATAAGCCTGAAAATAGGAATGAGTAGTAAATACATAAAAATAGATAATTAGAAATAAAGAGGTATGGGAATTATGGAATACAATATAAACATTATTTATATTGTAATGTAAAATTATGCAACTATAATACAAATCTCAAGGTAAAAAAATAAGTTAAAGAAATTTTAAGTGTGCTGTTTCTCTTCCTTTTTAATAATGAGATTAATTCAATATATAAATAATTTAATACAAGTTTTAGAAATTTAAAAGTTTGAAGTGACCTATAG
Organism: Homo sapiens; assembly: GCF_000001405.40. NCBI lineage: Eukaryota > Metazoa > Chordata > Mammalia > Primates > Hominidae > Homo > Homo sapiens. The sequence goes on from NC_000004.12 coordinate 23,656,427, forward strand.
AAAAATTAAAAATAGAAATATAGCCAAACCAAACTTGAGGTTAGTTTGGAGAAATAGATGTGGTAGACAGGAATGAAAATTAACTAGATACTTCATTTTTGTTGATAGGAGATCAATTTATGGTATCTAAAGTTGACATATACAGAAAAAAAGATTTAAATCTAATTAATATATGAAACTTTAAAGACAACGTTCCAAAATACTAAAAAGAGCCCATAAACTTGTTAAATTATCAGGAGGAAAATGCACAAACATAGCAAATTAGAGAAATATTGGTTTTAGAAAGGAGAATGTTAAATGAATAAATAAATTGGGATTACATGTTCTCACTTCTGTACTTGTACTTTGATATCCATGTATATGCATTGAAGGTTTCTAGAAGTATAATAAGTAGTGACTAATAGTAACTTCCTGGAAGGCTGAATTAATAGAAAAAGTTTTATTTTATAAGCTTTTGATTTGTTTGTATATTTTGCTATGTCCATTTATTACTTTACAAAAATTAATAAAAATATATATCTATTAACCTACATCATATATAAAAATATATATTAATTATACATTGTGCAATATATGTAATGGTACAATATAGGTACATTGTACAATATATGCCACATAAATGTACACAACTTCTTATTGTTTGATATAATCATTATATACATATAACAATATAGACCTTTGAAGAAATATAATCACATTTGCAATATGATTACATTGTCTCTATTTAAAGGGGAAGACAACACACACGGAGATCAATCCAAGATTGTTATTATTATCTTTGTGTATATTATGAAGCCTTTTCCCATACACATATTTTTCTAATAGATTTTATTATATTTTACATAGAATTCTGTATCCCACTTTTTCAGTTGACTAACATAATATTTATTAAAATGATTCCATATTCTTCATATGCATAATTGTAATATCTGGAAAATATTTCTTAAATAACCATACCATATTTATTTGAGTACATTATGAGTCAACATTTAGATTGATTTCTTTTTTATCATTGTAAATAATATTACAAGAAACATTTGTTTTCCAAATGATTATCCTTATTTAGTACATTTTTATTAAGGTAGATTCTCAGATGTGGAACTGTATCAAAGATATCAGTTATCATACTTGTGGACATTCTTTATTTCCCACTGGCTAATGTAATCTCTAAACTAAGACACCTTGGCACACTTCTTTACGATGTACTATACAAATTTATATTTCATAGGTGACTAATATCCAACCAATATATGAATATATAAAGTGGATATTAATCAATAAAAGACACTCTAACCAGGTTGTAATAACATTAAGCTATTGGTAAGAGGTCTACACTAGAGATGTCCAGTCTGTGATACTTCTGCTTCACGCACCACTACTGTTACATCAAGATTTTCCAAGAGCTTCTGAGTTTCCAACTTCCTTAGGTATTCTTTCTTAAAATTAGTCTCCTTGAGAACACAAAAAACACAATGCAGATTTGTTATTTCCACCTTCTTTGACAAAAACATTTTTTCTTCCACTTTAGGAAGGAAAGGAGTAGCTCTCACTAATCTAGAATCTACCGCTGGTGAAGTGCCCTGGGGTGTATAAACCTCTATGACACCAAACAAAGGGACAAAGTTTGGCGGAGATGCTGAAAAGCTGAATGACTCTAATGACTACCTGACAAATCTTTCTTGAAAGTCAAATGGTTTCCAAATCTTTGCTTTCAGCAAAATTGGGGAGGACCTAATCAAGGTGTCAGCTAATAAGAGTAAAAGTAATTTATGCTAGATGACTGTGAATTTGGGCAAATATCTCCAAAGGAGATCAAACATGGATTGACATTGCTCCTTCCATTTATGCCCACTTATTTATATGACTATGATTCCTCGGGGCTTATATCTGTAAGACCCCAAAATAGAAGCAAAACTCAGGCAGCAACTATGTGATTCTTGGTAATATTCCACCCATTGATATCAGAACCAATGAACAAATAAAAGACATCTACCTCACTACAAGATAAACATCCAATAAAATATTAAATTCATGCTTTATAATTGTTAATCAAATGTGAAGTATAATACGTTTTTTGATCAATGGTGTGCTTATGCCAATTTCAATAACTCAATGTGGAAAATATTTTTAACATTTAACAGTCTTATGGTTACAGGAAACATTTAAAAATTAAATCTCCATTTATATACATAATATATTTTAGAAAAGTATGTTAAGGTAATCAATAAAATCCTTTCAAGCATAAAATACATGACATTAGGATAAAACATTTTGGAGAAAGTAGAATAAAAATGCTAGCTTGAAGAGCAAAATTAATGCTGTTATATTTAAAGCTGTTTATGTATTTTAAATGAATACTGGTGAGTATTTAATAATTTGGTATTTACATTGTATTGGAAAAATTTAAAGCATGATCTAACAGTTTTATTTTAAAATGTCAATATTTGCACTATGCATGAAATGACATCTTTGAAAGTGTTTAAATATATGATGACAAATTTCAGCTGCCAACCAAAAAATGTAAAAATGTATGTATAGTTTTACTAAATTATTTTAATGATACTCAAATAAAAACATTTCAAGGATACTCTATAAGCTACACTCACTAATCTTGATACTTTATCATAATTATTATTCCAAGTATTATACACAACAGACAACCTCACCTCATCCTTGAGCTCCACTTTATCCTTATGACACACCCCACGATGGTCTCACCCCAAAACATTAACGCCATTTAAGCTCTGAAACCATATCTGACAACCACCAAAATGGAAGAATTAAATGGCACACATTCAGCAAAGCTAACTAATGAACTTTAGTGTTTTCCAATGATCCTGTCACTTTGCTCCTTTAGTACAAAGGAAAACCAACTGCGATCAAGCCAATTTCTTTTCTTTTCTTTTTTTTTTTTTTTTTTTTTGAGACAGAGTCTCGCTCTGTTGCCCAGGCTGGAGCGCAGTGGCACGATCTCGGCTCACTGCAAGCTCCGCCTCCCGGGTTCACACCATTCTCCTGCCTCAGTCTCCTTAGTAGCTGGGACTACAGGCGCCCGCCACCACGCCCGGCTAATTTTTTCTATTTTTTAGTAGAGACGGGGTTTCACGGTGTTAGCCAGGATGGTCTCGATTTCCTGACCTCGTGATCCGCCCGCCTCGGCCTCCCAAAGTGCTGGGATTACAGGCGTGATGCACCACGCCCAGCCTATCAAGCCAGTTTCTAAAGTGAGCATCTCTTCTGACAAGAAATGACTCCAGATGGACCACTGATCTCTCCTGTTGCTCCTACCACTCACAGCCATGGCTGTTGCCTCTCAGTCTTCTAGTGTATTCTACATCCAGAGGCAACAATTAGGCTTTTACTGTCTTCTTTCAAACGTCCAACATGTTTGTTACAGGGTAAGACATTCCAGATGTGAACGAAAAAAAAAATCTTTTCACTTAAAAATTTTCTTGAAGAGATTTCTGATTTTCCATGTCTGTGGGTTATTTAGAGTTTTATTCTAGCAATTTTTATTTGTTCTGGAATTAAATAATGGAAAGGATAGAAATGAAACTGATTTGAAAATATGTATTTAAAAGGTAATATGGAAGATTTATATAAGCCTAAGCGTAACAGGTTGTACCACATGCTTGTTACTCAAGATAAAGCTCTATTAAAATGCTGTTTGATAAATTGATCTATTGGGAATATCTAAAGTTCTTATTCTCTCAATGAGGAGGAAGAAAGAATTATTTCCTTTCTGTAAATGGAGATGTTTCAAGGGTTTCCTCAAAATTAAATATAAGATTCAACCAGGGCATAACTCTCTGGCTCCAAAGGTGCCTTACAAATATGTCAAGCTGGAAGAAAATTGTATGTAATAAAATAAAACAAACCAGATTTTTGATTGCTCTACTTCTTTTTCACCTTTCCAAAATATAGTCATAAAAAATGTAATTAAATCAGGTAATCCAGTTTGAAATTATGGTGATTTTTAATGCTGAATCAAAAAGATGCTAAAGGGAAAACAACATTACCCATTTCCACCAAACACACACATCTAGAATTTGAAATCTCTACCTTTGCAATATGAAAGAAACCACTCAGACTTTCACAAAATTATTTGTGCATGTAAAACATACACAGCAATGTTAAAGGTATTGAGGATTCAAGTTGAATAAAAAATAATCTCTCCATTCTAAGAGCTCACAGTCTATAGGGAGCTAAAATTATAAATTGTAAGTTTATAATTGTATATTGTAAAAGGTAAATTTATAAATTGCAGTGCACTATGTATTTTAGTGAGAGGAATAATAATCATTTTCTCCTACTAAGTGTGTTTCTTCTACTTGATAGCTACATGCCAAGCATGTGACTTAATATTTTTGGTCTCCTAATGGTGTCCTAAAGTAGATCTTATTATCTACTAAATCTGAAGTTGAGAAAGAAAATGTAATCAATTTTACATAACAAATATGTAATTATGGGCTGGGCATGGTGGCTCACGCCTATAATCCCAGCACTTTGGGAGGCCAAGGTGGATGGGTTGCTTGAGGCTAGCAGTTTGAGACCAGCCTGGACAACATGGCAAAACCAAGTCTCTACTAAAAATACCAAAATTAGCCAGGTGTGGCAGCACACGCCTGTAGTTCCAGCTACTCAGGAGGCTGAGGCAGGAGAATAGCTTGAACCTAGGAGGTGGAGGTTGCAGTGAGTCAAGATTGCACCACTGAACTCCAGCCTGGGTAACAGAGTGAGGCCCTGTCTCCAAAAAACTAAAAGTATGTGATTATAGCATGAGAGATAATAAATGTATGTAAAATGCATAGTGTAGCTGCTAGTACATTTTTAGTGTTTAATAAATGGCAGACACTAATGGTTGGTCTTGTAACACAATTGTAAGTCAATCAAAAATGGAGAATGTCAGGAGTTCAAGACAAGTCCGTGCAACATGGAGAAACCGCATCTCTAAAAAATATATAAAAATCAGCCAAACGTGGTCACCTGCACCTGTAGTCCCAGGTACTCAGGAGGCTGAGGTGGGAGATTGAGGCTGTGGTGAGCTGAGATTTCACTACTGCACTCCATCCTGGGTAACAGAATAAAACCTTGTCTCAAAATAACAAACAAACAATAAGGGTATGGGAGTCAATGGAAAGGGGATTATAAGGAAAGACATTCTAGAAGAAGGGACACCCATAATGGGAGCTAAATTTTGCATGGACGGCCATGCAGATGATAAGTATTAGGGTATGAAATACTCTCTGCCTGACTTTCATGAAAACGTGCTGCTGGTTGTCCTTCTGCCTCTTTTCTTGCAATTTTTCATGATTTTTCTTAGCTGGATTTTCCTCTTCTATTCACTGGCTAATTCTGAAATGTTTCCAGGGCTTTGTCCTCAACCCTCTTTGTTGGTTCTTGTAATTCCTCAAAAGTGAACTCCTCCATTCCCATGACTTTAAATGCTACCTTTATGTAGGTAACTTTCAAATTTATATTATCAACTGTAGCAGACCCTCTAAGCTCCAGGCCTATATACCCAATTCCATACTCGTCTTCTTCATTTGAGTATCTCAAAGGCATCCCCAAACTTGTCTGCTCAAATATGAAAATGTGTTTACTCCTAAAACCTGGATTTTCCCCATTCATTGCCATTAAAGTTTCTATTACTTTTCAGTTGCTGATGCCAGGACTCTGGGGGTTATCCATAATGATTTCTTTTTTTTCTAGCAACATGAAATCCATTAAAATCTGTTATCGGCTTCACCTCCAAAAATATATTTTGAATCTACCTCACCTCTCCCACTATTGCCATCATCACTATTCACCTAGTCCACACTTGAAAACTTCCCTCTTGGTGTTTTTGTGTGTATGGTTTAAATATGTTCCCCCAAAAAGCATGTGTTGGAGACTGAATCCCCAATGCAATGCTATTAAGAAGTGGGAATATTGACAGTATTAAAATTATGTCATGAAGCAGAGCCTCCCTCACTAATGGATTGATGCCATTTTCAATGGAGTGGGTTCCTAATAAAAGGACAAGTTTTGCCCCCTTCTCTTTCTCTCCCATTCTCTCTTTCTCTTGCTTTCTTACCTTCTCTCTCTCTCTCCTTCTCACCCTTTGCCATGGAATGATGCAGCAAGAAGGCACTCCCCAGATTCTGGTCCCTCAGTCTTGGATGTTCTAGCCTTCAGAACAATGAGCCAAATAAATTCCTGTTTATTATAAAATACCCGGTCTGTGGTATTCTGTTATGACAGCACAAAATAAAATAAGACAAAATTGGTACAAGAGTAACTAGAGTATGGATATAACAAATACATAAAAATGTGAAAGCATCTTTTGAACTGGGTAATGGGCAGAAGCTGGAAGAGTTTGAAGGAGCAGGCTAGAAAAAGCTGATATTGCCCTGAACAGAGCATTAAGTGCAATTCTGGTGAGGGGTCAGAAGAAGAGAACAACTGTAGGAAAACTTCTTAGAGATTACTTAAAGTGGTCATAATCAGGTTGTTAGTAGAAATATGGATAGTAAAGGCAATTCTGATGAAGTCTTAGATGAAAATGAGGAATATCTTATTGGAAACTGGAGCAAAGGCCATTTTTACTATAGAGTTGAAAAAAAACAAAAAACAAAAGCAAACAAAAAGAGAATACCCTGGCAGAACTGTGTCCATGTCCTAGGGCTTTATGGAAGGCAGAATTTAAGAGCAATAAACTAGGATATCTAGTAGAACAAATTTCGAAGCAAAATATTAAAGGAGCTGCACAGCTTCCTTTAACCACATACAATAAAATGAGAATGGAAAGAAATGTCTTAAAGGCAGACTTTATAATTAAAAGGGAAGCAGAATACAAAGCTTTGGAAAATTTGCAGCCTGGTCATGTAAAAAAAAAGAAAAAGAAAAAGAATTTAAAAAATAAAAAAACCTGCAAGGGTGCCACCAACGGACACTTTGATAAAGAGATTTGTTAATGGAAAAAACTAACTCTGTACAATATTTTAAAGAGGTTTATTCTGAGCCTATATGAGTGTCCATGGCCTGGGAAAAAAGTCTTAGAAGAGCCTGCAAAGGTGCATCTGAGGCAGTCTGGATTACAGTTTGGTTTTATACATTTTAGGGAGGCAAGAGTTACAGGCAAGGACATAAATCACTATATGGAATTTGCCCCCAAAAGGCGGGACATCTTGAAGCAGGGGCTCACAGGTTACAGGTGGATTCAGAGGTTCTTTACAGTTGGCTAAAGGAATAAGGCTCTAAAATTTAGAGTCAGCAGAAACATACGTTTTAAGTTAAGAATGCTGTGTAGCAAGATTGACAGCCTGCAGGTATGACTTAACCCTTGCCTTGAATGGACCTAGGTTTTATTTTTAACCTGTTATCTTATTGCCACTAGAGTCTGTTTTGTTAGTCTTGTTTCTATTTCTGGTTAGTTGTGCCTAAAGTCCAAAAGAGAGGAGGTATAATAAGGCATATCCGATCTTTCTTTCCATCATTGTCAAGAACTTTGTTTTTCAGGTTTTTCTGGGGTCCCCTTGTCCAAAAGGGGGTTTGTTCACTCAGTTGGGGGGCTTAGGGTTTTATTTTTAGTTTGCAGATTAGTAGAGATAAAAGTAGGTCAGGTGCTATTCAAGACAATGGGAGAATGACCCCAAAGGCATGTAAGACACCTTGGAGGGAAGAATGGATTTGGGGGTTGAGCCGGGGCATACTCCACAGGCTTGCTGCCCAAGGCCATCTTGGGACTCTGCTCTCCACATTCTGGTACAGGGCTCCTTGGCCAGCCCAGCTGTGATTCACGTTGTCTTGGGTGCAGCTCACACTGCTGCTCCAGAGGGTGCAAGTGATAAGCCTTAGCTATGTCCATGTGGTGTTAATTCTGCAGGTTTTACAGAGTGTACAAGGTGGGTGGCCATGGAAGTCTCTACTTGGATTTGGAAGGATGTATCAGACAGCCTGGGGGCCCAGGCAGAGACTTGCCACAGGAATAGAACCACCGCAAAGAGTTCCCACTAGGGCAGTACCTAGTGGAGCCATGAAAGTGGGGCTTCAGTTGAAACACCAGAACTGTAGAGCTGTCAGCATGCAACTCCAGCCTGGGAGAGCTGCAGGCATGATACCTGCTGCAAGCTGTGAGCACTGCTGCATGGGCTAGTCACAACAAAGCCATGAGACAGAGAAACTTGAGGCCTTGGTGGCACAACCTTCACCCCAGTGTGCCCAGAAGGTGGGACACAGAGTTAGGAAAAATTCTGGAGCCTTAGGTTTACTGTTGGGTTTTGGACTTAAGTAGAACCTGTTACGCCTTTCTTCTCACCTATTTCTCCCTTTTGGAATGGAAATGTCTACCTTATGCCTTTCCCACCATTATATTTTTGAGGTTGACAACTTGCTTAATTTCACAGGCTCACAGCTGGAGGGTAATTTGCCTCAGAATAAATCATGCCTTGAGTCTTACCCATATCTGATTAAGACATGAGATTTTGGATTTTGGATCTTTTGAGTTGGTGCTGGAAGGAATTAAGACTTTAGGACTATTGGGATGGAATGAATGACTATATTTTGCATGTGGGAAGGACAAAAATTTTGGAAGCCAGGGATGTAAGGTTATGGTTTGAATGTGTTTCTCATAAAAACATTTGTTAGAAACTTAATCCCAAATGCAACAGTATTTAAAAAGTGGGAAGTTTAAGAGGTGTTTAAGCCCCTTCCAATCTCATCCTCTCACCCTCTGCCATGGGATGACTCAGGAAGTGGGCTCTCAACAGATGCCAACCCCTTGATTTGGGACTTCCCAGCCTCCAGAACTGATATAGTTTGGATGTTTGTTCCTTTCAAATCTCATGTTGAAATGTAATCCCCAGTGTTGGAGGTGGGGCCTGGTGGGAGGTGTTGGATCATGAGGGCAGATCATTCATGAATGGCTCAGTGCCATTTCTTTGGTGATGAATGAATTTCTGCTCAGTTAATTCATGTGAGATCTGGCTCTTTAAAAGAGTCTGGGACCTCTGCCTTCTCACTCTTGTTCCCCCTCCTGCCATGTGATACAGTGGCTCAGTCTTTACCTTACACCATGATAGGAAGCTTCGTGAGGCCTCACCAGGAGCAGATGCCAGCACCATGCTTCCTGCACAGCCTTGGAACCACAAACTAAAGTAAACCTCTTTTCATTATAATTACCCAGCCTCAGGTATTTCTTCACAGCTGCACAACAATGTACAAGTACAAGAACCATGAGCCAATAGTTTTCTATTTCTTATAAATTACCCAGTTTGTGGTATTCTGTTATAGCAGCACAAAGTAACTAACACTGTGCTTTCACTCCTCTCCTCCCCTAACCACCCTCAATCTACCCCTAGAACTACAGTCAACATGCTCTTTTTTTTAAGCCACAATTCTGATCTTCTCACTCTTCTGCTTAAAGCCTCCAACGACTTCCTATGTTATATGAAAGAAAGCCAAACTTCTTATTATCACCTGAATCATTATGACCTGTCATTCATGATAGGACTACTGCTTATTTCTTTAACCTTATCTTGCGATATCATTCGTATGCTCCAGAGACATTGGCCTTCTTTCAATTATTCCCAGAGGTTAAGTTTTTTCTTTCTCAGGATGTTTACACACATTTACTACCTGGAAATATCTTCATCCATGGATTACACAGCTTTTCTCTTCTTTACATTGATCAAGAGTTTTAACATCATCTCCTCAGAGAGGACTTCTCTAATTATGATAACTAAGAAGAATTATTGATGACAATTTTTTATTGCATCCGATCCCTTTCTCTCTCTTCACTCACTTTACAAATACCCATGTGTTTACTTATTTCCTATCTTCCCAATTGAAATGTAAGATTCACAAGGCCTGAGATTATCTATTTGGTTCACTGAAGTATTAATATATCTAGAGCTTATCAGAATGTTTGACAATAGTTGATACTCACAAATATTTGCTAAGGAACTAAATACAAAATTAATGTTTTATTTAATGAATGAAGGAGGAACAGTATAGGGACTTCTAAACATTTGGGAAGCAGTCAAACAAAACTACATCTTGTTTAACCCACCTGTAAAATAGGGGAAAAAAATGACTATCTTTACTAAACTCTTAGAGATAGAATAAATATTATAAGAAGGAAATCGATGTGGAAGTCTGGAAAGTTGAAGGCTTCAAATAATTGGCTTTTATTAGTATTTAATTATTAGTTTTAAACACATTATTATCCTAGATAATATAAATTCTAATTATTGATAACTACATGCTAAAAGAAAGTTAGTCTCTTCTTGACAATTGTGTACAATGTTCCAGTACAAGTGCATATATAGGAGTTTCTATGTTAATAAGAAAATCGAGTCAACATGACTTCATGGACTAAAAAGATCTAAGAACAACAAAAAACGACCAATTTCCACTTCCTGCCTAAGGCTGACTTAATGTGGAACTTCAGAAAAATTGCTTGACATCTGTGGGACTCAGTTCCTCCATCTGTAAAATGGAAACTCTTTCTTAGAAAGGACTCTGAAAAATAACTGAATGAGAGCAATCACTAATTGTCAAGAACGAGGTTGGAAATGAGGTGCCATCTGCATATTAAGGACTATTCATTCTAATAAAGCACAAAGGTCACTAATTTACATCTTTCTCCTTCGAGAGACTCAGCCAAATGGTCTTGGAACACTTTTGCCGAAGTCTCTATTAGGCCCTTGCATTGAGCTCACGATGTCCTGGAAGTCAGGAAGAAAAAATTAATTTTTCACAATAATAGGTGTCCTGCAAGGGTAATAATGTATTTCAAATTTCTTTCTATGCAGCTCTTTGGTAATCCACAGATAATGCTTGGCAAACAACAGCTGAGATAAAAAGTTTCCTCCTTTAGTGATTTTCCTTTTGATCACCAAAGCCAATATTATTGGGACAGTGAGCCAGTGCTCATCATGCCCTGCTAATGGACTCAACCCAGACAACCCCCCCAGAGTCTTACACTTAGGAAGCTTCCTGCATTCCGATGCCCAATTCATCCTCTGGAAATATTACTTTAAACAAGTCACTTTCCTGCTTAAAGACCCTCAGGGCCAGTTACCCCTGTGGTCTTCCAGAGACATTAAAAAGTCAAGCCCATGAACAGAACCCAGCTGGCATTCCAGACTCTCCATGTCACTAGCTTGTCTTCTGGTGCTCTCCTTCAGGTCTCCCACACTATAGCCAAAGTGATCTGAAAATTAGTTCCTGGTGCTGCAGTCCCCGTGGTTGTGCATGCTGATTCTTCTGGGCATTTTATTTAAGCTAAACAGAGCTCTCTATTTTAAGCCCTCTATAAACCCTTCACTAACTGATCCTCTTCCTGGAATTCTCTTCAACCATGTATTCGTTCAATGCATGCTTATTGAGCACCTACTATGTACAAGCCTTGGGCACAGAGCTGCAGAGACAATAGACAAATTGCTGACTCATGAAGCTTAAATATTGCTGAAGAGAGGTACCCCAGAAACAAACACAACAATGGTATGATAAATATAATGAAGAAAAATAACAGAAGCTAAGGCATGACGGGTAGTAAGGAGTTGGGGGAAGGAATGTCACGTATGGCCATGCAGAGCCTCTCTGGATGGGTAAGAATTGAGTGGAAAGCTGAATGATGGAAGGAAAACATCTCTGTGTGTATGGTGGTGGTGATACGTTGGAGAAGGAGTTCCAGGAAAAGGAAATAGTTAGGAAAAGAGCCTGTCTGGTTTGAGAGAAAGCTTGGAATTTCAGAGGCTTGAAGTAACTCAAAATGAGTGAAAAAGGGGCAAGCAAGTAGGGGACAGAGGTAATTATGGAGAGAGTGGAAGACTTCATGCCTGGTAGATGTTTTATTTCCTGGAGATGAGACAGCATGAGTGGGTTTTAGGAAAGAAGGAGTGTATTAGTCAGGGTTTTCTAGAGAGACAGAACTGGTAGGATATGGAAGTTTATTAAGGAGTATTGACTCACACGATCACAAGGTGAGGTCTCACCATAGGCCATCTGCAAGCTGAGGAGCAAGGAGGCCAGTCTGAGTCCCAAATCTGAAGAACCTGGAGTCTACATTCAAAGGCAGGAAGCATCCAGCATGGGAGAAAGATGTAGACCTGAATATAAAACTAGTCTAGTCTTTCCGAGTTCCTCTTCTTGCTTTTATTTTGGCCATACTGGCAGCTGATTAGATTGAACCCACCTGGATTGAGGGTGGGTCTGCCTCTCCCAGTCCACTGATTCAAATATTAATCTCCTTTGGCAACACCCTCAAAGACACACCCATGATCAATACTTTGTGTCCTTCAATCCAATCAAGTTGATACTCGGTATTAACCGAGGAGTGATACCTTTTGACTTAGTACTTTAATAGTCCCCCTGATTTTTTTCCCTCCACTCAGTGAGGCTGCAGTGCTGAGTTAGGGGCTCCCTCCTTGCACTGCAGTCCAGAAAGCGCTTCCCCATAGAAAGCTGGGGCAATTGTAGAGCTCGTATCAATTGCTTCTCTCCTCTGTCCTATACTTCCCGTTTTCCAATGCCTCACGACAATCATTTTGTACATTTTGACCTGTTTTCTTGTTATTTACAGCAGGAGGGCAAGTCCAGTACCAATTAAGAGGAAGCTTTAAATGATTTGCTTTTGAAATTATTCTCTTTATAGTTTGAATGGTTATAATTATTTTGTTGTCTGTTTTAAAGGGAACGGGAAGATTTGGAAGGAAAATGTTTAGGTTGCTCAGACAATCTAGAAAAACCACAATTCCAAGAGAAGTTTATGAAAACTGTAAATTCAGAACACATTTGTCCTTTCTACCTATGGAGGGAGAGGTACATCTGATCACTTATTTAATTTATATATGTCTAAGACATCATATTGTGGGCAATGTCTGCTCCAGAAAGTCTCTTTCAGCTTTATTTAGTGCTGACACTAAAATGACCTAAAGATCATACCCCCTCTGGTGGGCACATTGCTGTCTTGTGGTGGTTAACATTGTCTTCGTTATTATTTTTCACCTCCATAGGTCTTGAAGTAAGGTTTTTGTTTGTTTGTTTGTTTGTTTGTTTGTTGAGACAGAGTCCCGGTCTGTCGCCCAGGCTGGAGTGCAGTGGCGCGATCTTGGCTCACTGCAAGCTCCGCCTCCCGGGTTCACGCCATTCTCCTGCCTCAGCCTCCCGAGTAGCTGGGTCTACAGGCGCCCGCCACCACGCCCGGCTAATTTTTTATATTTTTAGTAGAGACGGTGTTTCACCGTGTTAATCAGGATGGTCTTGATCTCCTGGCCTCGTGATCCACCCGCCTCAGCCTCCCAAAGTGCTGGGATTACAGGCATGAGCCACCGCGCCCAACCTGAAATAAGTTTTGATTGGAAAGGGAGGACAGACTGTTAGAGGATGGAAAAACATGAAGTCACATGTCTAACACCACCAATTATTTCAAATAATGTTGGCTTCAACTCATCTGCTAAAGCAATAGATCACAAGTCTCACTCTTCTTATTAATCCACACATATATATTTTGTCTTTCTACCATTTGTTTTTAGTTTGCTTCCCTCAATCCACACAGTATTTTTCCTTCAAGGCCCAATACATACCCAACTCTATTAAAAAGACTTCCCAATTCCTGTTATTTCCTGTTGTGTATATTTGTTGTTTATGATGTGTTTGGGCCCTTAGTCATAAACTCTACTCTGAAGGGTTAGGTTATCAGATGAATCGATATCCTTCCACTATATCTATGGGCTCTTTGGAGCATTAGATATTTTTGTATCTCTCACAGTTCTAGAAACTAGGAACTCTCAGTAAATATTTAATGAATTGCTTAACATTGTTACATGTAATTGTATGGATCAATTGCTCATCATGAATGTCTTAGTGCATTTGAGCTGCTATAACAAAATACCATAAACGAGGTGGCTTCAAAACAAAAGAAATTTATTTCCCACTGTTATGGAGGCTAAAAAATCCAAGACTAAAGGCAGTGGCAGATTTCATGTCTCATGAGAACCTGCTTCCTGGTTCATAGATGGCTGTCTTTTCACTGTGTCTTCACGTGGCCGAATGGATGAGGGAGCTCTCTGGGGTGTCTTTCATAAGGGTACTAATTGCACTCATGATCACCTCCCAAAGGACCCACCTCCAAATATGTTCACGTGAGGGATTAGGTTTCAAGCTATGAATTTAGAGGGGACATAAGCATTCAATCTATCGCACTAAAAATACAGAAAAATATTTTAAAAGAATAAAGGCATTTGGTAAATTAAGGTAAATTAAAATAAAGAAAGTAAAAGTAAAAGACATGAACCAACAATCTACTGAAGATATGTGTATGGCCAATAAGCCCACAAAACTATTTAACTTTAATAGTTATCAAATAAATGAAAATGACAACGAGATATATATTTTCCATTTTAAAAATAGGCAAGCATATTTTTAAGTAATAATATTCAATGTTAAAAAATTGTAGTGAGAATGGAACATCTTTTTACTAGAGGATGTATAAATTAGCACAAACTTTCTGAAAATCAATTAGCAATATATATGAAGAGCTTAAAACAATTCATATCTTTTTATTCTATTTTTAAAAATCTACCCTTTGGGAATTATCAGAAATTTGCCAAAGAAATGTGCAGGAAAGGATGTTCCTCAGCATTATTCATAACAGTGCATAAAAAAGCAAATATCAACCAATAAGGGAGAGGATAAATAATAGCACATATAATAAGATTTTTATGTAGCCATTAAAAATAATGTTTCAAAGAATATTTAATGGCATACAGTATGACATGAAGTAAAAAGTCAGGCTACAAATCCATATGTAAAAATGCTAACAATTTTGTTAAAGTCTAGCTCCACAGGCAGAGAAAGCAAAAAGAAAAAAAAAGAGAAGATAGACAAAATATTTAAAAAAGCAACAAATAATAAGATTATCTTTTTATTTCCAAGTATATTAGTAATTACATTAAATGGAAATGGATGAAATACCCTTCTGGCTCTTATTCTTTCTAAATGGAAGTGCCTATTTGGTTATCGTCTCTGTTATTTACTATTCATTTAGTGGCTTCACTGGAAATTACAATTCGCATTGTTGACCTTAAATTAACAATTTTTACTGTCTCAAAGACAATGCAAGTAATAAGACTTTTAACCTCATCTTTTGTGCTACTACTATCTTTTTGGCTACGATGTTTCAATAGGCACTAGTAAATGTTTGGCAACCAGTTATCAAGGGAAATTGCATGCCTATATATGTGCATGAATTGATTTTACTTTATCCTCATATAAAGGGTGAATATTTGTACTAAGTGTACAAATAATAAAATATATAGTACAGTGGCTAAATTTCATACAGCCAATTGATTCTTACAGAATGCCTATGTTTAATTTTTTCTAATTCTTGCATCCTTAGTCAAACTATGGTTGATATTGAGTAATATAGTATAGTTACAGGTGAACAAAGTATAGTTATGATATGAATGGGTTCATATCTTAGTAATATTAATAATCACTGTGAAAATGAAACAATGAAGATGTTTTGATCAAACTCTGAACAATGTCAGAGTTTGACAGATGGACATTAGCAATTTCTTTGCAAAATTGAATAATAATCTGCATAACCAACTTTTACTTCATTACTTTCTGGACAGTGAATAAAGACAATAAACCAAGTTTTGAGTTGTGGAGTTTACCAGTTTCCATGATGTAAATACTCTCATGATGCCCATCTCTAAATTACAATGCAACGTCACTGAATGTCTGTTGGGAAGAGATGTGCAGTAGTAGTATACCACTATGTAGTAATCTAACCATAAATTTTTTTTAAGAGACTAGGTCTCACTATGTTGACCAGGCTGGTCTCGAACTCCTAGCCTAAAGTGATCCTCCCATCTCGGCCTCCCAAACTAGTGGCATTACATGTATAAGCCACTATGCCCAGGCCATCATCATAAAGATTTAATAGAAGCAAATAACCTCAGGAGCACAGATATAATAAAATGTAGTAAAATAATTAGGAAGTGATGACTTTTGAGTATTTATTACATTTGTTTTTCATGTCATGTATTTAATTATAATTGTATACAATTTAATTTTTAATAATGGTTAAAAAAATAAGGCATTTAACCACCAGCTTTCAGAATTACTGAATGTTTAGCAGTAAGTTTCTACAAACCAGTGCTAGCTGGCTCCAGTATGTCACTGGAACTTATATATCCTTCAACTTCTCAAGATGTTATTATCATCTTAAACATTTATGCTATTCATGTATTTACTCTTTTTGATGACTTTTGTTTATTACTGTATTGTCATGCTTATTTTAAAGAATAATTTCTCTTCTTCCTGAAGATCTGCTTTTGGTATTTATTTTAGTGACTGTTGGTGAAAAATTTTCACAATTTTGTCTATGTGATAGGCAGAATAATGGTCCCAGAAGATGATCACACCCTAATCCTCAGAACCTGTGAATGTGTTACCTTTCCTGACAAATGGGACTTTGTAAATGTGATTAAGAATATTTACCTTGAGATAAGGAGATCATCCTAGATTATCCAGAGGATCCAATCTAATCACATGAGTCTTTAGAAGTGGAGCACCCTTGACAGTTTCAGGAAACCAAAGGGGTAGCAGCTTGGGAAAGATTTGGACAACTGTTGCTGATGTTGAAGATGGAGGAAGGAATATGGAGGACCTCTAGAACTTTGATAAGGCAAGAACATGGATTCTCTCCTAGAGTCTCCAAAACTGAATGCATCCCTGCCAACATCAAGGTTATAACACAGCAGGACTAACGTTGGGCTTCTGATCCATAAAATTGTAAGATTATAAATTTGGATTGTTTATGCCTTCAAATTTGTGGCAACTTATTATGGCAACAAGAAAATACTAATGCAGTTTGCAATACCTTTACTTTCATTTTTGAGGCAAGTTTTTGGTGACATTTAAATTCTAGGTTGGCAAATACTTTTCCCCACAATTTAGAAGTCATTCCATTATCTTCTGGCTTCCATCATTTCTGTTTAAAAATCAACTATTTTTCTTAGCACTATAGCTCCTCCTTTGAAAATAACCTACCTTTTGTTGCCTGGTTTAGTCTTTTTTTTTTTTTAAGTTTGACTTAAAATTTAAAATATTGTTAGATATTGTTTATTCTTTTTTTAAAAAAATACTGTAATTTGCCTAGGTTTTTTGGTATTTATCCTGTTATGGTTTCCCTACACTCTAAATCTGCTGTATAATATCTCATTGGCTTTGAAAAATAATTTCTCAGGATCTGTTCAAATATATTTTTGTTCAATCCTTTCTCTTTCTCTCACCTACTATGGAACTCAAGTTTCAAGGATGTTACACATCTGTATTGTGCACTAGATATTTGCTATACTTGATTTTTGTATTTTGCATCCTTTTTTTCTCTCTATGTCTCATACTAAATATGTTCTACTGCTCTATCTTCTCATTCATGAATCCTATCTTCTATTTTGTTTAATC
The DNA here is from genome assembly GCF_000001405.40 of Homo sapiens. NCBI lineage: Eukaryota > Metazoa > Chordata > Mammalia > Primates > Hominidae > Homo > Homo sapiens. The sequence continues at coordinate 23,673,887 of NC_000004.12, forward strand.
TTCTGTTAAAAAATCTATTCAGCTCTTAATATCTGTTATTTTCTTTTTCAGTATTAAGATTTCCATTGATTTCATCTCACATATTTAAGTTCTATGTCAATATTATCTCTTTCCACCTATTTTAACATATTAATCTTACTTAAGGTCTCTGTTGGGTAATTCTAATAACCGTTTCATCCAAGGTGAATAGATATATATTTAAATTTTCTATCTTTCTTCTCTTTGGGGTCATTTGGTTCTGTTTACAGTAGTTACTTAATGAAATGCTAGATATTGCACGTGAAGAATTCTAGAGATTCTGAAGATGTCTCTGAGATTTACTTTTCTTCTGGCCAGTAGCTAGAATATGGTCCTATCACCTTAATCAGTCAAGGCTATTTTTCACTGGCCCTTACTTCTAGGGTATTGCCCTTTAAGGCTCTCAAGAAAGCCTGGACTGTACTTAGACTTCTCTTTCTTCATTGCTCAGATTTCAGTTTTATTCCCCAAGCTCCATAAAACTGATTGTTTTTATTTAGTTTATCAGCCTCTCAGAAATGTCTCTCTGAAATCTTGTCTTTCAAATCCTGATTACCTAGGTTGTTCTCTGCATCTTTAAATAACTGTTTTTTTTTTCCTTTGTGTTTTATCCAGATTTTATAGTTGGTTCTAGTGAGAGGTTTAGCCTGATACCAGCTATTCCATTAAAGCCAGAAGCAGAAGTGATTAAGGCACTATGCTTTATCCCTGTATGTACTTAAGGTTTAAGGGAATGTTGTCAAATAGTAGATGACTGGATATTTGGACCAATTTGCATAACCCTCATTAGAACTGCACTTACTGAATTATGCTTTGATTTTATGCCATCTCTCTACACTATTGGGTACTAAAAATTAATAGTCCTATGAAAAGTATTATGATATTATTGTTAGATATGTTCTTGAGGAACTTCCTTATTATGACAGTAGTGTCCTCTCTAGTAGTTCACTCATGAAACACACTCATGTGGCTGTACTGCCAAGAATAGTTGTCCTTTGTCATATCAATTGATCTGTTTTTATTTCTGAATTTACTATGTTCTGTAACTGCCCAGGGTTTTGTTTTGTTTTCACATTTGGTCGATAGAAAGGTTAGAGGACATTTGTAGTCTATTCATATTAAGTCTCTATGATATATGATTTAGCTTTATTCCTCACTACTTTTTATGGTCCATCCTTTTTTTTTTGTTCCTGTTATACCTGCTTAGAATATTTGATTTTATTTTATGTATTTTTGGTTGTCACCTCAGGTTTTTAATGGAACAAGATAGAGTACAAGTAAATTATTTGACTTTGTACAAAGTGTTTTCTGTAACATATATTCTTTCTCAAAACTGTCCTTGACCACATTTACATCGGTAAGAGTGCTTTGGTAAATATAACATATACATATATAATAAATATTTTATATTTTAAATAATACATTTATGCATTTATTTAGCTATTTAATATCTAATAAAATAGTACAAATATTAATTAACCCTGCCATGACTACAATAGATAAGGAAACCAAGACACAGAATTAGACAGCATGTGAAAAGTTAAAATCCGAGCCAAGTATCTTTATTCCACGTAATGTGAGTAGAAAATAATACATACATAGAAGTGGCTTTGTCTATTAAAAAAAAAACATGCCAAGACCTTCGATGCTTATTCCTGCCGTCTTTCTCCCTTGCTCATGAGAGTCTTCAATTAAACAGTACAAATATTTTCTTAAGTATGATAATACCATTTTATTTTAGCTTAGTACTTACAAATCCTTTCTTTGCTTATCACCACACTTTTTGTAAAATAAGAACCCTTTAATTTGCCTTTCACACATTTCTGCTTAAAGGTACACCTTCAAATGGATCAAACTTAATTGCATTGTGGCCCTTAGCTAGTTCAAATTCCTCAATCAATTCACCTCAGACTCATCTTCTTTCAAGACTAAACAACCCCATTTTTCTTAATCTCTTCTCATATGTTCAGTAATCCCTTCCATTTCATTTATCATTTCTGTTGCCCTATGCTCTCTCCAATTTAGCTATAATGTTCTTCAAATAAGGTCCTCTATCAGATGGGCACATGCTTAAAACTTCCCCTTCTACACTCATATTAGGCCAACTAAGAAGCTGCTCTGGTAATTTCAGTTTGCATGGTTATTATAAGTCCCAAATCAATGAAATTTTAAAGGCAATATTCTAAAGACCTGGGAACAAATGACATTTCCTAAGTTAATATTTTAAGATGCTATGGTGTTTTGCCTAAAAAAAGAAATGCTGTGTCTTCAAAGCCCCCAAAATGAAGTGCTTTGCCGGCAATATGGACTTTGTGATATCCATATTGAAGAGCTAATTTGCAATTTCAGGAGGCAATGCCATCATTGTAAATGATTAAATATAGTTCCTTTTTCCAAAATGCCCAATTACTCTTTTCAAGAGGTTATCTATCATTATCAAGGAGATGAGTTTGACGTGAATTCAGGGTCTTTGTATTAGCGAATCAAATTCATCATAAGATGATACCTGCTTGAAAAATAAATAAATAAACAAAAATGTAAATGTTACCTAAGGATATTAGTCTGAAGCTCTCTAAGGCATCTCTATAAAAAAAAAAAAAAAGAAACATTGGTATGAGAAGCATCAATTACAAAAACCCCTGAGTGATAAACAGCTACTTTCATGTAAAGAGTAATTGCTGTCTCCAGAGTTGACCCAGAGAATCTCTGTGGGGAGTGAATGTAATAGTGTAGCTGAAGCCATATGCCATGGGCATCTCTATGCACTGATGGAAAAGACTCATTTGGGAATGAGTTGGAGGAAATCGTGCCTGTTCATACAAAATAATCTTGCCATTCTTCGATAAAGAACACAAATTCTATAATTAGATTCTTAAGGGAATGACACAGTGGTAAGAACAGTAGTTGGGCAAAGCAGATCACTGGTTAGACCTTGAGAGCAAGTGCTCAAATGAGACAGGCAGCAAGAGCATGGCTGAGCAGTCAGTTTAAAAGGCTTGGCTTATAGACGCTGACAATGGTGCTAAGCATTTCAAATGCATTTGGCCATTCTGACACTTGAAAGTCAAAAGAGAATGACTAGCTTTGTATTGTTTAGTGGCAAGGGACAGAGTACCAATTTTACTAGTTTAAAGGAAAAAAATGATAATTTGTTGGCTCTGGCAACTGAAAAATTTGATCATGTTCTGGTTTCAGACACAGATGGATCCACAGGAAATCAAATGGTATCCTCAGTACTCAGTCTTCATCTATCTCTTTACTATGCTTTTCTCTGTTGTTCCCACTGTTAGGCAGGGTCTCCACTCATGTTGGCAAGAGAGCTGCTAGCAGCTCCAAGGTTATTTCTACATCCTAGCCTCTCAGCAACTCAGTAGAAAGAGTCCGTTTTTTTTTTCCTAATCATTTTAAAAGAAGTCCAGAGTGAGTCTCACTGACTCTGAGTGGTCTGGCTTGGTTCGTATGTCCACCCCTGGGTTACCCCTAAGCCCTACTCAAGTCACCTTCTTAAGGCCAAAAGATGACCTCCTCCAAGTTGTCCCACAGGATCACATTAATATTTCTCAATGGAAGAATCATGGTGTTGATTAGAAAAAGAAATGAATGAAAACAAAGAGAAAAAAAAGCCCTGTTTAATTCACCATAGAATGTAAAGGAAAAGAACTACTTTGGGAAACCCCATAGGACTATAAAAAGTAGAGAATGCAATCCCTCTCCACATCTAAATACTTATGCGTATTTATGACTACCACACTGCCCCAGAAATGTTTAAAATGTTATTGAGAACAAAAATCCCAATGGATGTCTTTGGTCATTTCTTAGCTTAAATTTAAGATTGGCAACAGACACAAGGTCAGTTACATCAACAACCCTAGAAATCACTCATGTTTTCTCCTTTGCTTATTTCTTTGTTGTAAAGGATAGGCGCATCCTGCTAAATGATTTATAAACTATATCCCATTTAATAATTGAAACAGTTCTGGAAGGCACTAATATTGATAGCTTTTTACACGTAAGGAAACTTGGTCACAGGAGGTTAAGTGGCTTCTTTGTGGCTCCACAACCATTGATGGCAAAACTGGGATTAAGACACCAATTTATTTGACCCCTTTTCTACATAATGCTGACCTCACCGCTCTAAATTAGCAACACCATTTGAAAAGCATGGAAAGTAAACTCTAGTTTTATTGTTAAAAGTAAAGCTCTTTTTATAATCACCGTATGCAATACTCCAAATCTTTAGTTTACAATTGTTGCTAGCCTTTACATAACCATTTGAAGAGAATAAGAGTTTATTCAGAGCTCTGCATTTCTGAGTTCTGTTCAGGTTGGCAGTCATTACTGGATTAAGGCATGTGGTTATGAGTGCAGTCTAAGAGATTGGACAGTATTAGTTCAAAACTCATTTCTACCACTTTCTGGACGTATGAATTCAAAGGTTTTTTAACCTCTGTTTTCAATTTTTCCAAATATTAAATTGGTCTGATATTTGTACCTATTCCTGATAGCAATTTTGAAGATTAATTTTGGGTGAAAACTATTTAAAACAGTCCCTTGTACACAAAATTCACTTGCGAAATGTAGTTTTACTTTTTTTTTTTTCTTTTTTTTTTTCTTTAATTTATTTAGCGACAGGGTCTGGCTCTGTTGCCCACGCTGGAGCACAGTGGTGGAATCATGGCTTACTGCAAGTTCAAACTCTTGAGCTCAAGCAACTCTCCCACCTCAGTTTCCCAATTAGCTGGGACTGCAGGCACATGCCCCCACATCTCTGATTTTTTGAAAAATGTTTTTTGTAAATATGGAGGTCTCATTTTGTTGCCCAGGCTTATCTTGAAATCTTGGTCTTTTCTCAACTCAGCTTCCCAAAGTGCTGGGATTACAGGCATGAGCCACTGTACCCAGCCTAGGTTTATTATTAGTGTTATTTATTGTTTTATATTGTTGTTGCTGCTGTTATTATTATTAAAAGCAACATTATATGACATAGTTATCAGAACCCAACAAATCAGAAAGCAGAGTCTATGTGTTCAGGTTGATAAAAACTGATGTAAGGCAATTTTTTGTTGTTACTGGAGCTTGAAATATACAAATCCAAATATACACATTGGGGATTGATGACTAACATTTATACTTTAGTCATCAAGAATGGGTTCTCAGCAGGGAAAGAAGTTGAACACTACAAGAACAAAAGAATTGGCCATTCCAATATCATCAACTCTGGGAATTTGTGTAGTTGCTTACCTTCCTGAAACCTCAGGTTCCACATTTGTACATTTGGGATTATCATATCATTTAAAAAGAGATTTAAATGAAGCAATGTCATAGTTTATGATATATGTGAGGTCCACAACATGACTTAGACGTTAGTTAACTCACATCTTCATGGATACAGGATTCTGTCTGACCTTTCTGACCCTAAATTTTTCTCTTTCCATTATCAATGTGTTTCAAAATCATGTATATATATGCATATATATACATATGGCCATTTTCCAGGTAAATAAAATAAAATTTAGAAAGTGATATGGTTTGGATGTTTGTCTCCTCCAAATCTCATGTTGAAATGTGATTCCCAGTGTTGGAGGTGGGGCCTGGTGGGTGGCAATAGGATCAGGAAGGTGGATCTTTCATTAATGGTTTAGTGCCATCCCCTTGGTGAAGAGTGAATTCTCACTCAGTTCATGGGAGACCTGGTTGTTTAAGAGTCTGGGACCTCCCCCTCTTTTCTGTCTTGCTCCCTGTCTTACCAAGTGACATGCTGGCTTCCTGTCACCCTCTGCAATGATTGTAAGCTTCCTGAGGCCCTCACCAGAAGCAGATGCTGGCATTATGCTTCCTATACAGCCTGCAGATCGGTGATCCAAAATAAAACCTCTTCTCTTTATAAATTACCCAGTCTCAGGTATGTCTTTATAGCAATGCAAAAATGGACTAACACAGAAAACTTTTAACTTATTTAGGCTACATGTTTTTAAAAAGCAATTGACTTTAACGTATATCATATTTTTCTTCCTCAACTACCTGTTCTAATTTTTTCTCTATTTTGGCCAACACCTTTGGCTGCTATGAGTGGTTTACTGAATGGAGTGAGCCAAGCCCTCATTCCTGAACCTTGCCATAAATTCCACTCAGTATCTGCCTTAGACTGAATGTTTTTGTAGCCCCCAAAACTCATGTTAAATTCTAATGCCGATGTTTGGAGGCCCTGCCTCCAAACACCATCACATTGGCGTTAGAATTTAAGATGAGTTTTAGGGGCTACAAAAAGGAATTAGTGCCCTTATAAAAGAGGTCCCAGAGAGGGCTTTTGCCCTTCTGCCATGGGGGCTACAAAAGGGAATTAGTTCCCTTATAAAAGAGGTCCCAGAAAGAGTCTTTGCCCCTTCTGCCATGTGTGAACAAGAAGATGGATGTATGTGAAATGCGAAGTGGGCCCTCGCCAGACACTGAATCTTCTGGGGACTTCGTCTTGGACTTTTCAGCCTCCAGAGTGGTGACAAATAAATGCCTGTCATTTATCAGCCACACAGTTTATGTGCTCTTGTTATAGTAGTCTGAATGGACTAAGACACTGTCTTTTACCAACATCAATACCATTAATAACTTAGAGTTGGCCATGGTCCAAGCAGCAGAGTCACTTGCATGAAGCCCAAATCTGCAACAGAACCCTTTTGTGTTCTGTGCCTCACTCATAGAAGTCTGTCTTTTTAGTCATCCAGAATAGCGACCGGAGCAATATTACTAAGTATAGAATTGGCTGTTTCCTGAGCCTAAAGACCCCTGTGACATATTTTGCTTCCTTTGTCACTATGTGAGGTTCAAGATGCAATTATTTGTCCTCTATTCTGAAAGGTGTGTCACAGCATGTCTCATACCAGTGGAATCCTAAAACCTTCACTGAAATATTGGTCCCTTTAATCTTCATCATTATATCCTATTCTCTTGAGGGTTTGTGTCTTACTAAGGCTGGTAATATACTTGCCACTTCTTCTCATTCATACCAATGAGCATGATGTCATCATATAATGGGCAGCTGTGATGTTCTGAGGTATGTCAAGACAGTCCAGCTTTCTTCAGTCTATACTTTGACAGAATGTGGGAAAGTTTTCACATAGTTCTAGGGCAAGTCTATAAATGCCTGCAGTTGTCTCTTTTACGTAAATACAGGCTGTTTTTGATCTACCCTTTTATTAGGGAAGGCAAAAAAATTAAAAAATCATCCACCAGATCGATGGCTGAATACCATGTGCTTGAGGCCATTTCTATCTGCTCTGGCAAATGTGCCATGTGTTGAATTGTCAGTAGCCTACTATTAACTTTCAGAATTCATCTGACTTTTATAAGGTACAAATTGATGAATTCAATGGCAATATGATAGAAACCACTATTCTTGTATTTTTTAGGTCTTTAGGTGGCACTATTGTCTGCCATTTTTCTATTTTTTGGTTTTGTTTTGTTTTTCCATAGCTATCTTGGCAAGAGAGGGAGGCTCAGTTTCAGAGGCTTCCCTTGGCCTTCCTCATTACAGTAGCTCTTATTCCACAGCTTCTGGAATCTATATGGGGATAAAACTAGTAAGAATGTCTATTCCAATTATGCATTCAAGGACTGGGACATTATCACTGTGCCGCTCCTTGGACCCACTGGACACACTGTGAACCAGACCTAGGGCAGAACACTTTTTACTACTTGGCTGACATGTGCTTCGTGTTCACTAGGAGGGGACGATAACGAAGCTTTTGATCCCCAGGTTTCAATGCTAACTCAGAGTCTCCGTTCCTAAAATATTTGTATATCCCTTTCCTTGTTGTGAATGGCCGAAGTTCCCTTTGAGAAATATAGAGCAGCAGTCCTCAACTTTTTTGGCACCGGGGACCAGTTTCATAGAAGACAATTTTTCCAAGGTGGGGCTGGGGGGTAGTGTTTTAAGGATGAAACTGTTTCACCTCAGATCATCAGGCATTAGATTCTCACGAGGACCGTGCAACCTAGATTCCTCACATGTGCTGTTCACAATAGGGTTCGCGCCTCTATCAGAATCTAATGCCACCGTGTATCTGACAGGAGGCGGAGCTCAAGCAGTAATGCTCACTTGACCACTGCTCACCTCCTACTGTGCAGCCCGGTTCCTAACTGGTACCAATCTGAGGTCCAGGGGTTGGAACCCCTGGAGAGAAAACAATACTGTAAACATTGCTGTATTGCCACAGTGTTCTAGGAGGCTTTCTCCTGAAAAGTTGACCTCTCCTCAGTCAGCACTCTGCAGATGTGAAAACTGGCCTTCAATCTAGCAGCTGGGGAGGGGATCATGACTTTTATAGGGTGGCTACTCTCAGGCTGTTGATGATCCAGTCTTGATTTCTTTTGTTAGAGTAGATCAGCAGTTATTCTTTTGGCTATTGTTTATTTACAATATCCATAGCTCTCTGTAGGTGATGTCCTCCTGGCTGCCAGTCCAACCCTAGTGCTCTTTGTGATAATTATGCCTAGTTGGCATCTAAGAATTAAACACTGCCACCTGCCCTCTTTTATTTGGAATCATATTATTCCCAATGCTATAAGAAGCCCAATTTTGTAACAACATATCCAAATACTGAGACTAGCCCTTAGAGGACAACTGTCACTCAGTTTCTCAATGATGCTGACACCATTTTCACTAGTGACCTCTTTATTACTTTGGCAAATAAAATGTCCTCTGGGCTCTCCCAGAGAACAGTCACCCAGTGTTCAAGCTTACATAGTATATCAACCCTAACATGCCCACTTCTTGGAGCTTTTTGAGCTCTTCTTCCATAGTCTCACATGAGAGTTATAGTATACCTAATTCATTCAATGTGGACCATAACTTTAAGCTTCTAAGAACTATTCTAGCAGTATGTTAGCACAGCCTCCTATGCCTAGGCAAGGGTGTTAAATCCTGTACTCCAGGAATACACTCACAACTAATATGGCATTTACAATCATGCCAATCTGATTTCAAACCCAATGTTCTTTGATTCATTTTCCCTTATTTAGAAAGTTTTGCATTTTTCTAATTTATGTAGATAATAGACAGTTTAACATCTTTCTTAGGAGTAATTTGTGTTGTTTTTTAACATAAAGTCTTAATATAAATGCTCTTTGCCAATGTTTGCTCCAAAATGAAGAAAGAATGAGTATGAATACTCACTTTCCTAGCTGATTTCTGTGAATTGCCCTCATATGCATATGGGGGAATATAATTAAGATAACTTTGATTTTTATGAGATTCAATAGGTTCCTTCTGAGTGTCTGGAATAGATTAAGAGGTCAATCAGTTTTATAGGTTAATAAAAGATTAAATACTCATAAGCAAATAAAAGATTGAATTTAAAATCTAATTTGCTGGCTCTGTTCACTGATCAATACCAAACATCTAGAGCAGTGCCTGGCACATGGTACATAGTACTCAGCAAATTATTTGTTGTAAGAATGACCAGTAGGGAATGGTGGTTATATGTTTGCATATGTGTGTGTATATATGTATATATATAGTCTTAATTTACATCATTTTAATTAATATATGCTTATCTTAAAATATTTAAATAATATAGGTACCTATAGTGAAATTTGTATTTTACCCAAACTCAATTTATTTAATTCATTCACGTAAGAGTCTTTCAAGTGGCAATGCCTGTACAATGTACAGCAGACACAATACTTAGCAAAAATAGACTTTTTCTCAAAGTAACCACTGTTATTAGACTGGTGTTTATCCTTCTGGATTTTTGTTTTTTGATTGAGACAGGATCTCACTCCATTTCCCAGACAGTGGTGTGATCATGACTCTTCTTCAATTCCAAGCTATCTTCCTACCTCAGACTCCCAAAACGCTGGGATTATAAGGATGAGCCACTGCTCCTGACCATCTATTTTCAAACACACACACATTCATGTCAGTTACATATTATTTCATATAAGTGAAATGAAACTCTACATACGATTCTGCAGCAAGTTTCAGGGTTGAACTAGGATATCCAAACTTCTTTCTGTCATGGCAAACATAGAAAATAACAACATATGCCTCACCAAGATAGACAGGTTATAACTTAATATAGACATTTTCTTTTTAAAATGAATTCTTCAGTAACATAATACCAAATCATGAAATAATATTTTAATAAGATATTAGATTAAGATTGCTAAGTTTTAATCTATAATTTTTGTCTACATAAGTATTATTGAATAGTAGGTTTTTAAATTTTTTTATCTATCCTTTTCCAATGTTGGCATAAGAATTATAACAGCTTTATAGAATGAGTTGAGAAGCTCTGCATTTTATCCTAAGAATTGGGATAGTTTTTATATGAATGAAGGACTTATTTGCTTACAACGTATAAGCGCCTCACCTATAAAACTGTCTTGGTTTATTGCCTCTAGTGGGAGCAGGGGATGGGGAATGGTAGAATGTGATCTGAATCTTTCCTGTGATTTTCAGCCTGTTAAGATTACTTTTCTCCTCTGGAATCAATTTTGGTCACTTGTATTTTTCCAGAAAAATCATCCATTTCATCTTGATTTTAAAATTCCATTTTTCAGGCTTTTTTCTCCGTAGCTTATATCAACTTTCTGATTTAAAGTGAGTTTGTGATTTCTCTCTCTATCATCTTGACTGGACTGTTACTGCAGCAAGCTTCTCCCTTGAATGAGAGGGCTAGCAGAGTGCTGTATCTGGTAGGCAGGGCCTGTTAGCAAGCTGACTTCCTTAGGGTTTGTGAATTGATCAGAAACAGGCGTGAAATTCACTCCCTCCCACAAAATCTCCAGGGGAAGCTTGCCTTTACTCTGAATAAAACACATCAATGTGTTTCACACTTTCGATACTAGGTGAAGCTTCCTTTTCTTTTTTCTTTATTATTATTATTATTATTAATTATCTTTTTGGATCTATTACAAAGGTTGGAAATCATAACACACTCTGGTTTATCAGCCCTGCCTGACACATGGCTAAGAGCTCTCACCAGAAATACATCTTAGTTTTAGCTAAGGGTCCTGTGCTGCGGGCAGCCACTGGACTGACTCTTCCATAGCGAAGCCCCAACACTTCCCTCATTATCACCCCACTGTTCATGCTGTCCCTGCCTCTTCATTGTGGAGCTAAGCTTCCTCCTAGTCCTCACTGGTAAAAACTCCTCTTGCCTCCAAAGTTGTGATTTTCTCTGGTTTAATTTCTGCATTAATTTGATTTCTTATGCTTTGTAACTTCCAGAATTTTTCAAAATTTCTATTTTGCGAATAGCATTCTTTTCTCTGTTCCAGGTCTGTGACAAATGCGTACAACTTTTACAATATTTACCTCACCCTTGAAATTTATCATTAATGGTCATTTTGTTATCCTGTTGAATTAAGGAAACTCTTGGGAAGCTAGAGATGACATTTGCATCACATTCACTTCCTAAATGCATCTATTCATGTGGGAATTATAAGTAATTTTGTAGTTCTACTTATACAACTATGTAATTTGTGCATAATTTATAAAATTTGTCCTAGTTCTTTGAAGAATCATTTTCAAAATCTTTCATATTCTAGTAAAAACTGCCACTTTGGCAGCCTGATGGGGACCTTGTTTGGAGATGGTGATTGGAAAACATTCCTACCACCATACAAAGGGTTCCTGATGTATGTCAGCACTTTGTGATTTTAAAGTATGTGCATATTTCACCACCCAGATTCCCACTCACGAAAAGTGACATGTGGACTTTTAGGCTCCCTGCTCCAGGGACTCTCCTCCCACTCAGACCATGAAGTCCTTTCAGATTTCAGCAGCATTACTCATCTTGATTATGCCACCAGTCTCTTTGATGGGAGGCTCACCTGCTTCCTTTAAGAATAAGGATGCGATTTAAGGTTTAACTTCCAACATTTAAGGCACTTAAGGTGCCAGGTCCAATTTATTTACAGCTTCTGATCGATGAGTACTTTCTGTATGGAGCATGCACTTCGGGCCAGGATTACTTCCCTCCAGTTCCCTCACACATCCCTATTCACATGTGAAGTGGGCACCCTTTCCCAAAACTACCCAATACCATGGCTATTTGTTGGTGTCTGACCTAAGCAAGATCTTTGATTTTTTACTTATTGAAATTCCAGTAGTCTAACTGGAGAAGTGTTTGAAGAGTATATGCAGGAAAAATGTTAAAACTTGAGCCCCTTAGGAAAATTCAATGCACATTTGCCACTGTGAAATCCAACTTTTATTAAGGTTTTAAAAATGCTATATAATCTGGTTTGGGGTTTGGGGCCGACCGAACAAGTAAACCAAAATGGTTAATGGGAGGTAGAAAATTTTCTGCCTTTGAACAATATTGGTTGTGTTTTGTTAACGACTCTTGCGATTTTTAATGTAATTCTCCTGGGAAGAAAGCAGGGTGTTTGTGGTGTAACAATGCCTAGGCAGGGACAAGTGTGGTGTGCCCTTTAAGTCTCAGTTTGTCATTAGGAGCTGTCTGACCTTTGTCATCTCACCTGTCTGGCCATGAGCTTCTACAGCTGTGAAATAAGCTTTAAGTTTCCTTTCATTTCTAAGAATCTGTTGTCTGTGCTACTGATTGTGTTTTTTGTTTTATGATTAGGCTCTGAGAAAGTTATGAAAATTCCCATACAAGTAAATAGACAATCATAATAATGACAAAAACAAAAATTAGAATCTACAACTTCATTTTTCCCCCTAGCAAGTCTGTAGTTATTCCAGTATTGTCTACAGGTATCTGATTTTATGGGAGTGCCATATTTAAACATTCATTATCAACTCATGCAATCAGACTTAAGTGCACCTAAGTACACCATCTGTCTTTTTCTTTCTCATATATTCCTCTGTAGTCACACATGGATATCTGCTATTCTAGTAGTGTCTGGAGCCTATTTAGCTGCACCAGTTACAGTGTAATCAGCAGAGAAGGCATTCCCTTCCAACCTCTGATTTTCAGAATTTAACAGCACCAATGCTTTTAATGGCTCTATCCTTAAATGTGATACATACACGCTTTTCTACACAGGTGTATGTTTTTTGTTTTTAGTTTTTTTTCCAATGCTCCAGAGGCAAAGTCTATCTTTAAGGGAAGAGTTCAAAGCTTGGACCTCTTTTTAAAAAGCCAAAGGATGACAGAAAATGCTTTACAAATGCAAGCAGTTTCTGGTCAAGCTGCACAGTCATGCAAACCATTTCAAGGCTGCTGCCTACTAGGCAGGCAGAGAATGGTTGGAAGGCTGCAGGCTGTTTCATCACTATAGTCCCTGGAACAACAACCTGGGCCTTTGGATGGGTTCTAAAGCAGTGTTATTCAGACAGTGTGCCTAATTTTGACCAAAAGAGGCATCAGTTCATTCTCTGCAAAACAAACCAGAAAATATCTTTTCATCAGTGATGACTTGATGACAGTGGAACCCAAATGTATGAGGTGCTCATGCTCAGTGGCAGGACTTGCATTTTCTATGCTTTGGTGGCCTAAAGCATAGAAATGAATAGGATATGCGGCTACAGTTGAGGCCACACAAAAACCAAATAAGATCCCAGCATGTATTCTGAGAAAATCAACCATGTGCCATTGAAATAAAATTCCCCAAAGAATGTTGATTCTCGACCCTCAGCCTTCTTACTATATGTGGTCTCTTGGGACAGAAATAGTTCTGATGAAACAGGGCAATTGGGCTTTGAAATTCATCAGCTTTCATTTTAAGTCTCATCCATGCCACCAATTATTTATGTGATTTTGATCAGTTTGCTTAACCCTGTTAGTCCTGGTTGCCTCATAAGTGATGTGGGAATTACAATATCCATTGTTCATAGTTGTTGTAAAAATTAGCAAGAAATATTAGAAAAAAGTATAATGTGTCAAATGTATGCTTAGTTCTGCATAAACATAGAAATTAAAAAAAAAATCTATAGCACTAATATGCCAGGCTCTATTCAAATAACTCATATATTGTTATAGTTAATCCTCACAACAACCAAGAGGTAGATATCATTAGTCTCTCCATTCTCCAGATGAGAGAATTGCAGCAAGGTTAAGATGCCTGAGTACATTCAGCTGGTACTTGGTAAAATCAAGTTTTGAACCCAGGAAGTCTGACCTAGTCCAGGCTCACACATCAAATACTCTTTTGAAGGAAGTTCTTTTTGAAGGAAGCCAAACAGTCATCCAGCCATGTTGCCCAGTGCATAAGTATGCTAAAAAAAACAACATTTGCTATGCCTAGCTATCCACAGCTCAATGGGAATCACAGTGATTCTCCTACTATGACTGGTTGAACTGCTTAAATGACCTGGCTCAAGAACTGCCCATCCAGAAAAAGTCCAGCGAGTGATGATGTAGCCAAATGTAAAAAATGGGGTGATATGGTTTGACTGTGTCCCCACCCAAATCTCATCTTAAATTGTAGTTCTCATAATCCCCACATGTGGTAGGAGGGACCCGGTGGGGGGTAATTTAATCATGGGGGCGGTTTCCCTCGTGCTAGTCTCGTGATAGTGGGTAAGTTCTCATAAGATCTGATGGTTTCATGAGAGGCTTCCCCCTTTGCTTGGCTCTCATTTCTCTCTCCTGTTGCCATGTAAAAAAGGACGTGTTTGCTTCCCTTTCCACCAAGATGATAAGTTTCCTGAGGCCTCCCCAGCCCTGCAGAACTATAAGTCAATAAAACCTCTTTTATTTATGAGTTACCCAGTCTTGGGTATGTCCTAATAGCAGTGTGAGAACAGACTAATACAGTAAATTGGTACCTCAGAGAGTGGGTTGCTGCTATAAGGATACCCAAAAATGTGGAAGTGACTTTGGAACTGGGTAACAGGTAGAGGTTGGAATAGTTTGAAGGGCTCAGAAAAGGACAGGAAAATGTGGGAAAGTTTGGAACTTCCAAGAGACTTGGAGGGCTCCGAAGACAGGAAGATGTGGGAAAGTTGGGAACTTCCTAGAGGCTTGTTGAATGGCTTTGACTAAAATGCTGACAGTGATATGGACAATGAAGTCCAGGCTGAGGTGGACTCAGAGGGAGATGAGGAACTTCTTGGGAACTGGAGTAAAGGTCACTCTTGCTATGCAAAGAGACTGGAGGAATTTTGCCCCTGCCCTAGAGATCCATGGAACTTTGAACTTGAGAGAGATGATTTAGGGTATCTGATGAAAGAAATTTCTAAGCCTTAAAGCATTCAAAAATCAGAAGAGCATAAAAGTTTGGAAAATTTGCAGCATGATGATGCAATAGAAAAGAAAAACCCATTTTCTGGGGAGAAATTCAAGCCAGCAGCATAAATTTGCATAAGGAGGAGCTGAATGTTAATCACCAAGACAATGGAAAAAATGTCTCCAGGGCATGTCAGAGACCTTCACAGCAGCCCCTCCCATCACAGGACCAGAGGCCTAGGAGGGAAAAATGGTTTCCTGGGCTGAGTTCATGGGCTGAGTTCATGGAACCCTCTGCTGTGTGTTGCCTCGGGACTTGGTGCCCTGCATCCCAGCTATTCTAGCACTGGCTAAAAGGGCCAAGGTACAGCTGAGGCCATTGCTTCAGAGGGAGCAAGCCCCAAGCCTTGGCAACTTCCATGTGGTTTTGGACCTGCTGGTGCACAGAAGTCAAGAATTGAGATTTTGGAACCTCTGCCTAGATTTCAGAGGATGTATGGAAACACCTGGATTTCTAGGCAGAAGTATGCTGCATGGGCAGAGCCCTCATGGAGAACCTCTGCTAGGGCAGTGTGGAAGGAAAATGTGCGGTAAAAGCCCCCACAAAAAGTCCCCAGTGGGGCACTGCCTAGTGGAGCTGTGAGAAGATGGCCACCATCCTCCAGACCCCAGAATGGTGGATCCACTGAAAGCTTGCACTGTAGGCCTGGAAAAGCCACAGATACTCAATGCCAGCATGTAAAAGCAGCCAGGTGTGGGGATATACCCTGCAAAGCCACAGGGGCAGAGCTTCCCAAGGCCATGGGAGCCCACCTCTTGCATCAGCATGCCCTGGATGTGAGACATGAAGTCAAAGGAGATCATTTTGGAACTTTACGATTTAATGACTACCCTATTGGATTTCTGACTTGCATGGGGCCTGTGGCCCCTTTGTTTTGGCCAATTTCTCCCATTTGAAACAGGGTATTTACCCAATGCTGGTATCCTCAGTGTATCTAGGATGTAACTAACTTGCTTTTGATTTTATAGGCTCATAGGCAGAAGGGATGCCTTGTCTCAGATAAGACTATGGACTTGGACTTTTGGTTTAATGCTGAAATGAGTTAAGGCTTTGGGGAACCATTGGGAAGAGCATTATTGTATTTTAAAGTATGAGGACATGAGATTTGAGAGGGGCCAGGGTTGTAATGATAAGGTTTGGCTGTGTCCCCACCCAAATCTCATCTTGAAATGTAATCCCCACGTGTGGTGGGAGGGACCCAGTGGGAGGTACTTGAATCATGGGGCTGGTTCCCCTATGCTATTCTCATGACAGTGAGTAAGTTCTCACAAGATATGATGATTTTATAAGGGGCTTCCCCCTTTGCTCGGCTCTCATTTCTGTCTCCTGCTGCTGTGTGAAGAAGGACGTGTTTGCTTCTCTTTCCACCAAGATGGTTAAGTTTCCTGAGGCCTCCAAAGGCCTACTGAAGTGTGAGTCAATTAAAACTCTTTTCCTGATAACTTACTCAGTCTCAGATATGTCCTTATAGCAGCATGATAACAGACTAATATACAGAGCAATACAACTTTTTCACTAGGGAATGTGAATAAAGAAATGTAGAGATAATTTGTCCTTAAACAATGGGAATAAGAGTTGAACAATAAAGAGGCTATGGTGGCTGAGTTTAGTCATGGTAATATCAGTGTAATTAAGTCCACATTGAATGCACCATGATACTTTTAAGTACCAAAATACTGGTGGTTTTTTTTTCTATGATATCACTACCTCATGCACACACAAAAATGTGAAATTTGAGCCATTTAAAACTTTAGAATCATACAAAGAGGTTAAAGGAACAAAGTGGTACTCTGAAAGTTTTCTAACCATATTCCTCCCTTCATAATAACCCTTCCCAGGTACTTTGTTGATGTTTTCAATCCTTTCCTAGATAAGCCTCTTTTCATATATTTATGAATCATTTGCATACACACTAGTAAAAATTTGAATTTCTAGTTACTTCTGGAGGCCCTGACGGGGCTGGCTTAGAGTGATAGAGCAGGTGCCTTAAGGAAAATAGCAGGATGATGAAGAGAGGGGATTGGGAAAGAGGAGGGCAGAGTAAAGGTGGGAGGCTCCCCATACCCAATTTCTAGCTCTTTTCCTAGCCTAAGCATCTCCCTTCCCCCAGTGCTGGGTTCTCTTTTTTCCTGCTCCTTTATCCTCATAAATCAGATCCATTTTTAGATTCTCATCACTGCCATTCCTCCAGCACTATGAATACTATCATGTGTCTTATCAAGGGCTATATTTCCCAATAGTCTTCCCTGTTGATACTTTAGCCAAAAGGTCAGAATAGCCTCAGTCCTCTCTATGGTAGAACAAAGTCTAAAGACAAAATGTAGAACTGTGTTGCTCAATACAATAGCCACCAATTATATGTAGGTAGATCCTGAACACTTGAAATGTGGCTAGTCCAAATTGAGACCTGCCATAAGCATAAAGTACATACTAGATTTCAAAGACAGCACAAATAAAATAATTAAAGAATTCAATGCATTTATATTGATTACCTGTTAAAACATTTTGGAACTGATTTAAATAAAATATACTATTAATATTAATTTCACATGTTCTCTTTTTTCAAAAAAATGTGGCTACTAGAAAATTTAAAAATTATATATATTTATGTTGGGCAGCCCTGGAGTAGAAGTTGATAGTAATCATATTTCACTTTTTATTAAAATACTATAATTAATACTAATGTTAATACAGCCATTTTGAAGGCACATGAAATAAATACCACAATGCTTGTAGGGTTATTTTGCTTTATAGCAATCTCTGTGATGTATTATATGCAAATCAAAATTAGGAGAAATGAGTCAGCAGAAACACTGAAAAAAGAAAAATACACAGAACAAGTTGAGGATCAAGAACCCAACTGCGTAAAGAACAGAACAGGAACAAGCTGTAAGAAGGTAATGGCTAATAACACTGACTCCCGGCCAAAGGGCAAGGGTCCTCAGCTACAGCTCTTGAGGGTCTCACCTTGGATCTGGAGCCATTTGCCATTTTTCAGTTTCTATTCTTTCTGAGGTTATGCATGTGTAGCTTCAGAGGCAAACTTTTCTTTATTAACCAACTTCAACATGTAAACCACCTTTCTCCTGCTAGCGTTATAATAGTGAACAAACCAAGCAGGGCTTTGCCTTAACATAGCTTGCACTTTTGGGGAAAGAAACTATTATTATAGAAATAATCAGTATTTGATAACAACTAAACTAAGCATTTACTAAGCCAGAAAAATTGACATAGTGAGAAGATCTCTAAAGGCAATGAAACAGGTTGATGCCACAAAGAGTTTTTGTTAAGAGATGACTACTCATTCAGAAAGTGACAGTTGAATTGGGACATGGAAGATGAGAGAGAGCCAGTCATGCAAAGAGCCAGGATTAGGGAGAGAAAGGGGAGAACATTCCAGGCAGGAGGTAACAGCAGGTGCAACATCCCTAAGTCAGAAAAATTTTTAGTTTGTTGCAGAAACAGTAAAATTGCACTGGAGGGAAGGAGAGTGGTGTGAGAAAACATTAAAGAGTCAGACAATGAATCAGGTCATACAGGGTCTTGTATGCAATTTGGATTTTCTTCTAAATGCACTGGAAAACTATTGAAGAGTTTTAAGCTGTGGAATTGCATGACCAATTAGGAGTCTACTGCAGTGTTTCAAGTAAGGTGTGATAGAAGCTTGGATTTAAATAATCCCCAATTCTTTCTAATCACATAGGGTTGTGCTATTTTATTAAATTTACTAAGAAATAATAATGTTCAGCTAGTTTTTAAATGTTCAATTCTACTTTTTTTAAGAGACATAGTCACACCGTCATCCAGGCTAGCGTGCAGTGGTGCGATTTTTCTCACTGCGGCATCAAACTCCTGGGCTCATGTGATCCTTCCACCTTAGCCTCCTGAGTGCCTGGGACTAAAGGCACATGCCACCACTCTGGGCTAATTTTTTTTTTTTTTTTTTGAAGAGACAGGGTCTCACTATGTTGCCCAGGCTGGCAATTCTATTTTTATTGATTACAAACTTACATACATTCTTTGAAACAAATTTTGAAAATATGAATAGGCACCAAGAAAAGAAAAATAAATTCATATTTCCACCACGCAGATCACAGTTGACATCTTAGAGTGCACTGTTCCATAATTTATAATTTCTACATATTTGTGTATATACAGAAATAGAATCAGATGTTATATACTTTTCAGAAAACTTGTTTATTACTCACACTGAGAATGTATTTCTATATTATTAAATATTCTCCTACAGCATCACAGATTACACGGCAATTCAACTGTATGGATATTTTAAAATTGACCTGATATACTATAGTTAGGAATTTATTTTGCTTCCAATTTATTATTATTATATATTTTAACAATATAATATGTCATGATGATTACCATCCTCCTGTAAATAAATATTTGTATTCACCCTTAATTATCCACAGGATAAATTTCAAATCATGTAATGCTATCATAATTTCAAACTATTTTCAAATTTTTATGGCTTTTGATACAAATACTATTTTCTTCCAGACCAGCTAAACTAATTTACATTTATATCCCTAATATATGAGGATACACATTTCCTAGAACTTTTGAACACAGAGTATTATAATTTAAAAATTATTTTACTATTTAGTAGGCAATTCATAATATATCTCACTATTATTTTACTTAAACTATATGTTTGAAATTTGTATTTCCTTCTGTCTAGTGAGGTTGAATTTTTTTCATATGCTTATCGACCGTTTATTTTCTTACAATTGCTTATTCATATTAATTTTGCTATGGAGGTGTCTGCTCAGCCTAGTCTTAAAGTAAATAAAAGGATAAAGAAATGGTTATCAATTTCTGAATCATGAAGTAGAATCAGGAAAAAACATTCTATTAATTAATGGCATAGCTAACACAATTCCTGAAAAAATGATAACATCAGTAACTGACAAGATTTCAAGAGACTAACCTACAAGAATGTTGTTCAACACGAAATTTTCTTCTCCTCTATAATGTTTGCTGAGAATATTCGCAGAGGTCCCTAAGGATTCTAAAATACTATGTATGCCATATTTCACATACTCTTATTTATAGGAGTCTCCACTTGGCACATTATCTACTCAACTTGTTCAAGGTTCTGGTCTCCCTAAAACACAGCTCAAATTAAAATATAAAATCTAAGTACCTAGTGAAAGAAAGAGCCATATCCTACCAGTTGCAAAACCTAATATTCTCTGTTTAAAGTTAGGAATTTCAAATTAATCATTTGTTTAATTAATAAATGGTCCCAAGACACTTTGCAGAAGTTTTCTTATGGGCCAGAATTCTGAACTGTATCTTAATTCTTGGCCATTTCTCACATAAAACAAATTATTTTATCAAAGATGCCAAATGCTAGTACTTTAGGCTCCAAATACAGGAGGCTTACTTTCACTGAGAGCATTACAATTGATCTCAGACCAGAGTGGGCAGGGCTCCGTAGAAAGGTAAGGTAATTAATTGTCAAGACATCTGGGTTCATGTACTGGCTTCATGTTACTACTGACTTGTCTCCCTGGGTAAGCCACTTAGATAAAGTCATACTTTATTTTTCTGTAAATGATATTTATTCTAAAAAGTTATTGTGAGATGAACGAAGTTACAAAATGTGAATTTACTAAATGAACTCAAAAGTTACATATGAGTACAGGAAATGTTATCAGAGCTAGAGTCACCAACTCAAACACCTATAAGGGCCATACTAACTTCTCAATGCATGAAGTGGATCAACCAGGGCTGTGGGTAATTCTAGTGCTTGACCCAATTTGACAGGATTGTTGCAGTTATGGCAATAAGATGCCAGTGTTGCCTGACATTTTAATTTTTTCAAAAGAAAAACTATAAATCCTGACTTCATTCATCTTCCACTTTCAAAGTATTGACAGCTAATTAAAATGTAAGTCAAAGTAATTTTGTTGGCCAAATAAGTCATACGTTTGGATCAAAGTTGAACCATGACTAGCCAGTCTGTAAACTCTTGTATTGTCTCTGATTTATATAGTTAGTAATACTCTCAAACCTCCATGGTAACATCTTTAGTTAAGAGCATTTATTGTACTGAGTGCATCAAATATAGTCCCATCTTACAGTAACCAATTATTTGTAATTATTTCCACGATGAGGGTTTTTCCCTTCAGGTGGCCAATTACTTCCTATCAAATTATCACTGAAAACCATTATTTTCATTTCCATTTGTAGACATCTCAAGACTTTATTTTCCATTTGGTACAAGTAAAAGGAAATTATAACAGCCAATGCAATTATGACTGTGATCTTATCTGTCTGGATTGATTAGAAGTCCTTATTCTAATCACCCAAACTCTTTATTAATGTTAAGTTTATTAAAACTTAGGTTCAGATTTAGATTTTTATTAAGGATTTCATTTATGTTATCTTTTTTCTTTTATAAGATGATAGGGAATGCAAGATGGGGAAACCAAAGAAAAACCTAGTCACCAAAGAGACCTCGTCTCCCTGCAACTTGGCTTCACAACACTGATCTCTCTTTTACCATTTATCAAAACTCCATCTCTGGCAAATTACAGTGAATTACAGTGGAGTGTTGCTAATTCATACTAATGACTGGGGTTCCCAGTGCAGATTGAATTCTGAGAACTGGCAACTGAGCAACAAAGGAAAAAAAACAGTAAATTGAGACCACTGCATAAAAAAATCTTTTGTTCATTTATTTTTTTTTTCAGTATAAGCTAGTTTTAATTAATTTGGTTAATGTATCATTGATACCAGTACAAATTATATCCCTAAATCTCTCCAACATTAAATATTAGTTTAAAAATTAGTTGCAACTTTATTTGGCAGTGAATTGAAATAAAACACTGGCAGAATAGCAAGGTAAGATTTAGATAGTAGTAAATTTACTACATTTCCACTTAATATAATATTCTTCTCTTTTCTTTTCAGCCTTGGAATCAGTACCTGGTATTAAATAGGCTTTCTGATTGTCACACAACAAAATTGACTAGTACTCTAGGGAAGAGTTATCCACTGTTGAACGCTCAACCTGCTTAAAGGGATGGCAACTGGATGTTCATAAAGAATTACCATAGTTGCCACGTATCCAGGTATCCACATATTTCCACAGACATCTCTGGATGGAGACCAACCACCCCCATCCCATACTTCCCACCACCTACCCACCCCCTATATCCCACCCTCCACTTTTTTTGGAGAATAAAGGAAGAAAAAGTGGGTAGAATATAGTGAAAATATAATTACCCTTTTTTTTTTAAGTGGTAAGCACTGGAAGCCTTCTTATTTTATAAGTCCCATGAACTAAGATTGGTTTCATGCTCTTCTTAATTTACTTCTTTAGATGCTGGAAGATGGCTCACATTCTTTCTTACATTTCTTCATTTATTCTTTTAGTGAACAGGCTCTATGACAGTATCAACCAAGGTTTACATTTGTTTTCTGCTCATATTGTGCCCACACAACTTAGCAGAGTTTATTGGCAAATAGAATCATTCTTTAAACACCCCTTTAGTGACTGTATGCTTACAGCATACCATGTGGAGTCCCAGGTACCAAGGATACAAGACTGTGGGCCTTTCCTTTAGGGACCTTGAATACTTGAAGGGAAAGAAAAATTATCAAACCGATGTTTCTGTGATACAGGGTAAAGTCAGATTGCTATGAAAGCACAGAGTAGGGGAAACTAGCCCAAGGTGGTGAGATCATGAGAGGCCTCCAGAGGGAAAAGTTTATTTTGAACCTTGAAAAATCATGAACAATTATCCAGGTAGAGAAGGTTGGAAGTGTTTAGGGAGCTTCACATAGTTCATTGTGGGGAAGGGATAAAAAGGGAACTAGAAGGTAGCTAGGAAGCAGTTCAAATGGAGTTTGTATGCCATGTGAGCTGCTTAAATTTCCTTTTGTTGTTATCAGGAGCAGTATCAAACATGCACCAGAAGAGACAAAACCAGTGGCAAGGAGCTCAGTTAGGAGATTTGCAGGACTCCAGCTGTGATTTGACAAGGGCCTCATGTCATCTGTGGTTGTCACTCTATATATTTCCTTCTCGAGTGATCAACAGATTTCTAGACAACAACCCTTCCACCCACTTGCAGTTTGCAGATTGGGTGAGATGATTTCATCCTCAGCTCCAAGGGTGATTCTTAATTAGCTTAAGTCAATCAGCAAAGTCCACAGCTAAGCCATAGTAATTGGATTGGGAATAAACATGAGACTCAAGTGGTACAAAGGAGGCTGGAGAGTAGCTGAGCTGGGCTTTTGGGAGAGAATCTCCTTTGTTCTCTGGGAGAACTACTGAGAGGGTTATTCTTTCTTCCTGAAGGAGGAAATGCATAGGCTGGATGCTGCTGGTTACCATATTGTAACAAGAAGAAAATCAGTGAACACTACACAGAACAAATATAGAAAAATAAATGTAGCAAATCTTACATTAAGCCTATGCTAATTTGGGACTTTCATGCTATCCATAATTATAAGGATTTCTTTTTATCATCATTCATGTAATTCAATGTTGTTGTTCTGTAATTGGGGCACTTTTGTTCCTGGAATTACCTTAACTGCTAAAAACCTGGCTGTTGGCAGTGATGATCAGAATAAAGGCAGGATTAGATAACCTCTTCCAGTCTTTTTCTTCTATGATTCCCTTTCACCCTTAGTTTATCAAGAAGATAGTTGCAAACAGCAAGCTGATGACTGACAAAAAATGGCAAGAACATCATAAGACTCAAATTACTCCTCCTCAGTCCCATGACAGCTCTTCTCCCCTCTCTGTTGCCTGCCTGCCTTTGGCTGCCAAGAATTTGCTGTTTGCTTCTCACTTCCCTCATCCAATCCATACTGAGAAGATAATGTGCCCAGCTAGCTCCAGAACAGAAAACTGAATGTCGGCACGTGTTTTGCCTTGAATGAAAATAACCTATCGGTGCAGAGTGGCCTCTGCTATCCAGGGCTGAGACTGTATTGGGTTTGGTGGTTAATTCTTCAGCCTTATAGCCCTGGGACTTAAGCTAATGGCGTTAGGGTTTGCACAAGCCCCATGTCCATGGTTTTGAAGTTACCACTGTGGAAGAGAGCTTGTCATGTTGTATAATATTACAGTTATTCCAAAGCAGCTTTCTGGCTAAGTGACAGCATTTGACATTCCTCTAATATTGACAGTAGTGATGACTTTCAAGTGTTTTATTTATGTCAGGTAGAAGGGGAGTAGAGGTTTTTAAATAAAATAAACATGTGCAAAGAAAACTTCTGGTTTAGTATAATAAAAATGTCAAAACAGTCTGAATACCTGCTCTGCTATTTTCTTGCCATGGACTCTGGAGCAAGTTTAAAAGATACAGTATCTCCATCTGTAAAATGGAAATAATGATGGTGCCTACTTTGAAAGGCCATGGTTGTATAATCCAATGTCTCTAAGGTGCCTTACGTGATGCCAGGCTCATGCTCATCACAGACATTTAATAATGTTTCATACATTAATTGTTATTCGTGCCATGCCCATAAACTTTTTAAAGTAAACAGCTTCAACCAAGCACTTAACTCCAGGAATTCTTAGGGAACATTGTTTCCACCATAAAGCTTAGATGATTGAATGATTGGTAGCCACACTCTACATGTGGCCTATGAGGTGGCCAAGAAATTATGACCTGTGCTGGTGTCAAAATCTGAGTGGAGTCCAAGAGTCTGACAAACTTTTGCTTGAGTCCTGAAAGAATCAGAAAGAATTTACAGAGAGAAGTAATGATATAAGGCCAAGGCATGAGCAGTCACTGAGGTTATGAGGAATGAGAATATAAGCAAAGTGGGCAAGTTCAGAGAGATTTATAGAGAGAAAGAATAAATGAGTTTATGGTGAGAGAAGCAGATAGACCCAGAGAAAAGCAGACATATTTAGAAAGGCTGAGTCACATAAATGGCAAAGCATAAGATTAAAGCCACCCACCTTTCTGTTGAAGTCTTTGCTACTTCCAGTAGATCATCTAGAGGCAGGATGGTCCAGGAGGAGTCTGTATGGTGGAACTGTGAATGATACAGCTTGGGAATAAGAGTAGCTGGGCTCAAGTTTTGGCTCTGTCATTTACTAGCTGTGTCACTAGGGAAAGTTTCTCAATCTTTCCATGGCTATAAAATGGGGTAAACCATGAAACCTACTATTGGAGCCATTATGATGATTAAACAAGTTAGTATATGTGGCTTAGTATCATAATGGAACATAGTAATTTTTCAATAAGTGGTTATTAGCCATTATTAGCTGCCATTAACTATACATCAATAGCCATAAAACTGACATACACATTAGCCCCTCAGCTCCAATATAACTCCTGTTTCCCTTATGTCCAAATGCATCTTATAATTAATATTGTTGTTAATAAAAAAATTTTAAGTAAATATGTATTATCATTTTTATTTGAAGAAGAGCATGAACTAAGAGAGACCAAAAAAAAAAAAGGAGATTAGGTAGGGTGTGGTGGCTCACGCCTGTAATCCCAGTGCTTTGGGAGGCTGACGCAGGAAGATCACTTGAATTCAGAAGTTCAAAACATGCCTAGGCAATATAGTGACCCTATTTCTACAAAAATTGAAAAATTAGCCACACGTGGTGACACATGCCTGTGGTCTCAGCTACTCTGGGTGCTGAGGTGGGAGATCACTGGAGCCCTGGAGTTTGAGGCTACAGTGAGCTAGGCCTGCTCTACTGCACACCAGCCTGGGCAAAAGAGCAAGATCCTTTAAAAAAAAAAAAAAGAAAGAAAAGAAAGAAAAGGGGAGATTAAATGTTGAAATAGCAATACATTACATGCAATAATATTTACCTTTAAAATTTTTGTTTTTGTCCCAATAATTTTTTGAATTTTTTTTTTATTCATGTGTCATGTTTTATCAGCCTCCTGAGTAGCTGAAACTACAGATGCACACTATTATCCAGGGTTTTTTTTTTTTTTTTTTTTTTTTTGAGATGGAATCTTGCTTTGTTGTCCAGGCTGGTCACAAGAATTATTTTGTGCAATTCATTTATTCATTTGTATATTTATTCACTTTACAAATATGTATTGAATTCACACTATGCTGAAGTACAATTTGAAAACAAAACAAAACAAAACAAAAGTAGTCCCTGTACTTGTTCAGTTTTAAGGTCTTGTGGTAGTAAACAAATGATGAGGAAGGATTTGAAAGCTGACATCAAAAGATGAAAAATCTGCTTACTCCCTTGCCTCATTTAGATAGTGACTCAAAAGTGAGTTCTTACCTAACCAACCATATTAGCCAGGATAAGCTAGGTAATATGGTGGTAACAAATTAACACCCAATTACTGGC
Organism: Homo sapiens; assembly: GCF_000001405.40. Lineage (NCBI taxonomy): Eukaryota > Metazoa > Chordata > Mammalia > Primates > Hominidae > Homo > Homo sapiens. The sequence goes on from NC_000004.12 coordinate 23,700,426, forward strand.
TTAACACAACAAACATATATTTCTTGCTCATATTGTATTACATGTTTAAAGTGGGCTTGTCAGGCAGATGGTTTTCCACACAATCACTGAGGGAGTCAGGTTGATGAAGGCTCCGCCGTCTTTTACCGGCACTATTAGAGCACACGGCCAGCCTTCTTGTTACAGTGACAGAACAGCCATGGAGGATGCATAGGCACTCTTCAATGCCCTAAATGGAAGTGATCACATCACTTTGACTATGGGCCCATTGGCCAAACCTAGTAATGTGGCCCCATCTCACTGCAAGGGGCTGAGAATTCCAGGGTGCAAGGGTGCACAGGGCACGTGTAATCTGTACCTGACTATCTCAGTTAAACTAGAGAGCCAACCCTAACCCTTTCTATCCCTGCCCCTGATTTATGTTTCTCTTTAGCTTGTATTCCATTTTACATGTTAATTTGAGACTCTGTCTCCTAAATAGAATGTAAGCTGTAAGCAGGAGGGCATTCTTGTTTATTTCATACTTTGATATATCCCTAACACCTAAAACAATGTTTGGCACAGAGAGGGCACTCAATAAATATCTGCTATATAAATGAATAAATAAAACTTTGTAGTGGCAACATAAGTAGTAAATAGCATAAAAAAGATCCTGGGACAGGAAGGAACTTGTCTTGTTCAAGCAAGAGAGAAGAAAAAAGAAAAAAAAAACAGCCTGGCTAGAACAGAATGGTAAGAAAAAAAAAAAAGTGGCCCAATATTAATATGCATTTTCTTTAAGGCTTACAAGAAACTTTAAAGTAAGAGTTGTGATATTCCTGGAATATAAAAAACTAAATCTTGGAAAAGTTAGGTAACATTCCCAAGGACAGACAGCTAGCAAAGTGAAGAACCAAAATTCATCCTGAGGTTATGGAATTTTTACTCTCCCAGAAAAGGGGTGCTTGTCTGGCTGATTCAAACTAATCTATAGCTGCCAGGAAACCAGATCCATAAAATCATTGTTATGTGACCAACTAAGAATAGTATCTACAATGTCAGCTACATACCTATGAGTTTAGGTACCTCCTTTTAGTAATGCCTGATTGGGTCCACATGCTAAAATTATGTTCAGTTACTAAGTCCTGATAACTTCTACATGTACATGATACACACTAAGGAGAGGTAAAAGCTTAATATTGAAACTCAGGGGCTTGATTTCAAATTAGTTGTTTGAACCCAGTAAGATAAACCACTTGATTACAAAAATTAGAGAAAACTGAAAATCACTCAAAATTAGGGAAAAATGAAAATCACCCACAATTAGCGTGAGTACTAAGAAGAGAAACTAAAAGCTACAAAACCAGTGAGGGGAAATTTCACCTTCAGCCCATTCATTAGTCACAAGGAAACACTCATAACCCTTTGTTAACTTTCCAGAAGCCATAATCCAGAAGTAAAACCTGAATTTGGGTACTAGATACCACAGTTCCATCGGTCTTTGACATTTTGGTCTACCTCATATATAAAAAACAGGAAAATAAAGGTGCTCAACACAAATGTAAGGATTAAATTGGAATAATATATTTGAAGTGATAGGAAAGTTCCTGGCCCAAAGTTAAGTTGTCTGCCTTCAAGACTTATATTAGAGAAAATCCCTCAAACATTGAGAAGTGTTTTATATAACTCCATTAGAAATGTCAAAAAAGCAAAAATCAAAATTCACTTTTCCAAAGTCCTTTTCATGCACACGTGGCCTGCTCTCCCTCAATAGAATGCATCTTCTAGGGACTTCTACTAGGAAGTAGCTGGAACAGTGGAGAGTCTACTCAAGTTGGGGCTGTATGTTGGAATCAACATCCAGCTTACATGTGCCCAAGGCCAGAGACAAAAGTAGAACAATGATGGCACCCAGTATTCAGTGTCAATGAGAGCAATATCCCTATAAATGGATGGTCCCAAAGTGAAATTTTGTGCTGCTATCTTGACCACTTTCTGAGCTTCATTTCCAGTATTTTTTAATTAAATTATTTATATGCTTCAATCTAACAGAGTCATTTTCATGGCTTACAACTAAGAAACCTGAGTATTACAACATTCAGATATTAATAACCAAGTGTGACTCTAGCAAGGAGGTGACACAATAAAATCTATGAAAGATGACAGATAATAAATAGGTAGCAAGGTAGGTAGGTAGGTAGATGGATGGGTGAATAGATAGATGATAGATAAATAGATGATAGATAGATGATAGATGATAGAAAGATAGATAGATGATAGATAGATAGAAATAATAGTTGACGTTTATTACATAATTACTATATGCCAGGAACTTCCTAATCACTTCAAATATATTATTCCAATTTAAACCTTACATTTGTGTTGAGCACCTTCATTTTCCTGTTTTTCAGATGAGCAAACTGAGGTTAAGAGAGGATAAACAAACTGCTCAAGACCACAGAGCCAGTATGGTAGATTATTGTTCCTCAAATATTCACCCTTTTTTCTCCAACCCACCATTCCCTTGGAAGATTGTCCCCCCCTGTTTCACTGATGTTGAACTTGGTCTTGATAGTTGATTTGGTCTCATAGAGAGTTGAGTGTACATCTCCTTATTTTAGGACTTGGTTGTGTGACTTGCCTCAGTTAATGGTGAGTTAGTGTGTGTGACATAAGCAAAGTGTGAAGAAGCTTGCATGTGGTTGCACTTTCACTCTTGCACTTCTATCTTCGCTATTAAAAGAACATGACCCAAGCAGCCTGCCAGTCTCAGAAGGATGAAAGGCAAATGCAGTACATCTGAACTGAACCAACGGCCTGATGCCAAGTACAGGTGAGCACAGCCTTGATCAGCTAAACCTTAGCTGTCTCACAGATATCTGAGTAGGCAAAAGATTCTACTTTTTGCGTGCCTCTGAGTTTGGGAGTGATTTGTTACTCAGCATTGTTGTGGCAATAGCTAACTGATGCAGCTAGTAAACCATGCAACAAGGATGAAAACCCAGACACTTTGACTCTTCAATCTCCTTCCTAATTACTTTGCTGTAATTACGTTCCCTGCTAGGTCTGACAATTTACACCAAATAAACACAAAGTATTAGTGCACCCCAATCTCTGACACCTCTGCAGGTATGAGAAAATTTATCTGCTAGAAATGTCTAGGATGGCATCTCCATCTTTCTCTGACCACAGCCATATTTCAGTACATTAGCCTTGCTCTGTATGGTTTGCCTCTGTGCTTTGTCTCACGTTGTTATCCAGAAGGCAATGTTTCCTGGTGTCAGTGCTGATGTACATAGTACAAAGATTCTCAGACTCTTGGACAGCAATATCTTGAAGTTCTGTCTTTAACTCATGAAGCCCAGCAACAAAATCTTAATTTCCTTTCTTGTTTCTCCTGTTTCTGTCCTAAATTCCCATTTCACAAAGCTAAGAGAAATGAGAAGTACATGGGGTGAGAGTATTTTATAAATAACTTGTGGTGGCTCCTAAATATCTCTGATGCCCAATTATTCTTCTAGTGATTGAGGGGTTTTTTTCTCCTTTGGTTTAGAAAGCACATCTTTGACAAACACTCTCTAAAAATGGTTTTTCCCATTACTCCAAAACACTTCCCATTATAACTGTTTCTTGCCTGTTCCTTAGATGTTATTATATGGCCAAAGCACTGCCTTCTCCTACCTGGTCTTAGGTACATCTCTATCATGCCACGTAACCACTGCCCAAAGATTTACACCAGTACATATACCTCACATCTCCTTACATTCTACTGACATTGTGTAACCAAGGACAAGATGATCAGGTGAAGGCAGCTGGCCTCGCCTTGTAGTTGTCTGGAGTGAGAGATGCAAGACACAGGTGATGATGTTTGAACATCAATGCTGATAACCACCATCCATTTAATAGCCTGTCATTCATGTATTTGTAGAAGAAAGGAAAAAAAAATCTATAACTGGTTTGCCTCATATAAGGAGGAGCTTGAAAGTATGATGTTAGTTATGCCTAAAGAAGGAAGGAGTTTTGAACTCCTGAGAGTGGCACTTGGGTATGGTAAGAACTGGATCCTTCATGCTTCTACTCTTCAGGTAATCCAAGTGATTTATTGCCCAAAAGGATATGGTGTGCTGAGCTACATGAGGTACAAGTAGATCCTGCTCCTTTTAGCTAAAGAGGAACAAGCTGGAACTGAGTCTTTCCTGTTCTTGCCACTTACAGAAAGTCTTTTCTCAGAGAGCTTCCTGATCTGTGTCTTGACAGCATGACTTTGCCCTATAGATCCTAAGGGTATGAGAGCTAGGAAACAACAAACCAGATAGAATCACCCATGTGGATCTGTGATATCGAACCCAGGCTGGTCCCAGACAGAAGAGAAAATTGCCCAACAAAATCCTGATCTAACTCAGGATTTACAAAGTACAGAGGATGGGGACCTTGGATCCAGGAAACAAAGTTAAAAACCACCCAGGGACAGGACCTCCATCTCCTGCTATGGGTAAAACTTCATTGAGACAGTCATTTGTGTAAGTAAATGCACTTTACAGAGCCACACACAAGGTTCTAGATTTCTTGTACTACTGAAATTATTTTAAAGACTAGGCAGGATCTCTGAAAACACCTAGTAAGAAGGAAAGAGGTGAATATACTCAATAGTGTTAATGTGAAAATAATCTACGGCTCAGAGATGCATAAAGTGTTTACAAACAACATCCTCTTCCCACGTACAAAAAAATGGATTAAAAGCGTCCCTTTACTCTTTCTATCCTCAAATCCCTAGAGACATCATATGTAAGATTCTATTTACCTCACAGAGCATCAAAATCAAATGATTAGGGGAAGACAACTGAACTTGTCTGGTTGCCACCTGCAGTGAAATAAATGATGAAAGTCTCTGAGTAATTCCCAGAACTCAAGAATCTCAGTAGTTTCGGGTTTTGTTTTTCCTTCTAATCAGGATTCACACATTCTTAATGAGAAAAGAATTAAAGGTAGAAAATCTGGGTTCCAGTCCCAGATGTCACTAACTATACAACTTTGGTCAAGTCTCTTTACCTTTCTACTTCTCAGCTACTCTATCTTTAATGAGAATAATACCCTTTGTTCCTTCTACCCAAAAGGACATCCACTGACTGGCACCTCTGTACCATTTTCAACTTTACAAGGTACTTTCAACACAGCCCCTTACTTGCTCCTTATATAGACTCTCTGGGAGAAGTTGGTTAATGGTAAGTCTTCACACCCCAACTTCCCACTGCATGAATCCAAAAACTAAGAAGCTGGGAAATGAAGGGATTTCCCAAGCAGTGAGTTGGGATTCATATCTCATATTCAAATTCTAAATCCATTGTATTTTTTTCCCTTTACACCACAAAAGCATTTGTAAAATGTAAATGTATTTCAACATTGCAATCTGGCTTCTGAAAAGGAAACATTGGTAGAGGTATTATAATTATCCCAAACTCCATTTTCCTGTTTGCTATGTCAAGAAGGAAAACAGGTTTCATTTTAAGTCCATGAATAGCCCCAGAGCAGCAAAACAAAAAGAGGCTGCACGGCCCAACATAGCAAGGATACCACTGGAGGAGAAACAGCAGCAGAGCACTGCTCCAAACAGTGGGTAAAGGTCAGTGAGAAGGTTCCAGAACGCATGCTTCACCTGAACATCTGCACCCTCACTCCTAAATGGCAAAGCACCCACAGTGTCAGGAAGAAAATCATTAGACCAAAGAGATGAGTCCAGCTAGTGCTGAGGGCACACATCATCTTAAAGAAAAGAAACTGCCAGGTTATGGGGACTGAGGCAAATTCTAGAATCGAGGACTTTAAAGGCCAAGTCAGACTGTGTGATGGTCAATGGGAAATCCTTTGGATCAACCCCATCTTGCTGATAAAGTTGATGATGAATTCCATGATGTCACATAATAGGGGCAAGTAGTAGGAGTAAGGAGTTTTTGGAGAATGGAGAAACTTTAGCCAAAGATTAGCTAGAAAAGGGAAGATACAGATCCACCTGATCCTCTCATTATCCCGCAGAGAGTTGGGCCAGGACCAGGACACGGCTGTGCATGCAGTGTGAGTCTCCATTCCATGGAAGTGACCATTCGTCACTCCTTACTCCCTACTGTATGGGCAAGTGTAAGAAAGCAATCCTGTCTGTGGAAAATGTACAGGCTGCTTGGCATCCAACAGTCTGGATATGAGTACCAGCCCTTTATAGGCACTCTCTGCACCTGGAGTCTCTAGCACCATGAGAAGTATAGTTCCCCTAATGGAGAGGAGGAGGCCCTGTTTCAGGGAAAGCCAAACTTGGATGCAATTTCTTCCACTGTGGAAAACACTATGGAAGGAGAAGCTGGCCCCACTGTCTCTTTGTCCAAACATTCCAGAGTAAGGACCCAGGGTCACTTTCCAACAATTCAGCTTCTCTGAAACCACACTGTTTCACCAGCCTAGTGTCTCTGCAGCGTGTTAGAGAAAAAAAGTATCTAGGCAAAGATAACCCTGCAAAGCTGAGGAAACCTCCTCAATACAGATTATTAATTAAAATAAAACCCGAACCTGAGTTGTCTTTTATTAAATACATTGATTGAAATGTCATTAATAGTGATTTTTGTTTTGTTTTTTTTCCTCGCTGCTTAAAAAAATAATTCCAAGGCTGCATTCCATAAAGGCATTTCATTAACCAGTCAAATTTAAGTGACCTAATTGATGTAGTTAGAGCATTAACTTTGCTGATAAAAAAATAAAATGACTCAGGGCAAACACACTGTCATATTGTTATTATTTAACACAGACTGCAAAGCCCTAGCACAGGAGTTGCTGCCTAGCACACAGTTAGACACGGTCCGTGTCCCAGGGGCATGCAATCCCAGCAAGGTTATTTTATGGTATTCATTGTAATTTGATGAACTTCATTTATCTAGACAGCCACTTATTTAGGATGAATTGGAACCTACTGAATCATCTTAATTCAGAGGCTTCTACTGCACCATGGGTCTGCAGCAGCTATTAAACTTGGGAAGATTTGGCGGCCATGACACAATGAATGTATTATTCCTGCAGAATGATCTGGGTATGATGAATCATCAGCTTTATGGACAGGTGTTGGGTGATACCTGCTATCAGCTTCCTTCCCCTTTAGGTTTTTAAGTATGATATCAGTACTGCAGTCACTGTTACTCATCTTCCCCAATAAAGAAGTTATCTGTCACAGATGATGCTATTTCCCCAATAGCACAATCATTCAATTCTTGGGGGAAAAAAAAACACACAGCCTGAAACCCTGGTACAAGATGAGGGTTCCCCTAAGCACTCAGTTCTCGAAGCGATGAGTTAATGAGGAGAGAAGAGTTCTTTCTGCAATGGATACAGCCACTTTATGGCATTCTATTACTAATTGAGAGTAGGAATTCCCATAAACTATACATAGAGGATTTATCTGGGTTATTTACAAGGCCAAGGGAGGAAACTTGCAAATAGAAAGACTTGCATATAGAATGAATCCAATTGCTGAACAACTGTAAATTCTATTTATGGACAAAAGGGCTTTTTCAAAGACAGGTGATATGTAAGATTTGAATAAAATCTTAAGGTTATAACTCCCAAAATTCTTGACTGCTCTCTAAATTCAGGACCACAGACTCTTGCAACGTGTAGACCAAGTCTATATTTATATTGTCTTTGATGATGAAGCGTAGGGCTTGGAAATTAAAATGAAACAGTTTGGTCTTATTCCAGAAAGTCACAGCAACTTCCAATTTCTCAGACTTGAATAAACACTAAAGGCATTTTATCAGTCAGGGTTCTCCAGAGAAACAAAACAAATAGGATACATACATATGTATCTACATACATAGATATTTGATTTATTTTTAAGCAATTGGCTATGCGTGATTGGGTGGGCTGGCATGTCTGGAATCTGTAGAGCAGCTTGGCAGGCAAGAAACTCAGACAAGATTTTCTGTTACCTTTTCGAAGCAGAATTCTTTGTCTCTGGGAAACTTGCTTTTGTTCTTCTGGCCTTCAACGGATTGGATGAGGTCCACGCACATTACTGCTGTTCTCTTTTAAAGTCAACTCTAGGTGTTTATCTCATCGGCAAAATACCTTCACAGTCATCTTGATGAGTGTTTGACCAGACAATTGGGCACCATAACCTAGCCAAGTCGACACGTAAAATTTAACCATCGCAGGTATCACCTCTGTTTGTCAATGTTTATGCTATGAATGTCATCAAACACTATTTCTTAAATTGGCACATACAAAACCAGTAGGATTTGCGTTCCATAAAACAGAATCATCCAACTTTTTTTTAATTTTTTTATTTTATTTTATTTTTATTTTTATTTTTTTGCTGTTATAGCTCAAACTGAAAGTTCTTTGGAGTTTGAATATGCTAGGCCTTTTTTGTGCCAATGTCAATTATTTTGTTGAAAAATAGTTCTTATGTTTCTGTAAACTCAGTATTTGCAAATTATGGCCCACAGCTAACTGACCTATCACCTGTTTTTGCATGGCCCATGAACAAAGTGTGATTTTTACATTTTTAAATGCTTACATTATAAATGGAGATGCAAGGAATTGTACATTCGAAAATGGTTAAAATGGTAAACACCTTGTTATATGTAATTACAACACACACGCACACAAAAGTTATGTAATTATCTACATAATATTATCCTGCATTTTGCCACTTGGCCCTCAAATGCTAAATATTTACTCTCTGGCCCTCTAAGAAATGTTTGCCAATGCTTGTTATAAATCAAATATTTTCTTGTAGGAGAAGTCCTAAGCACCCCATCTAGCTATATGGAGCATTATTGTATTGTAAAGGGTTCCTTTAATTCCTTTCTCTCTCTCTCTTTTTTTTTTTTTTTTTCTTTGTTTTGTTTTTGAAACAGTGTCTCATACTGTCACCCAGGCTGGAGTGCAGTTAGCGGAATCATGGCTCACTGCAGCCTTGACGGCCTGGCCTCAAGCGATCCTCCCATCTCAGCCTCCCAAGTAGCTGGGACTGCAGGTGCATGACACCACACCCAGCTAACATTTTTTATTATTTGTAGAGACAGGGTTTTGCCACATTGCCCAGGCTTGTCTCAAACTCCTGGGCTCAAGCTATCCTCCCACCTCAGCCTCCCAAAGTGCTGGGATTACAGGCAGGAGCCACTGTGTCTGGCCCTAATTCCTTTCTTAATAACATAATTCCTCAGTAAGCACTATAAATACAACCTTTAAAACTTAAACTCTTATCTTGATTAACTAAACTTTAAGGAAATGAGCTTTAGTATTTAGTGAAAGAATCTTCATTTAAAGCTAATAAAATCAATCTGGCAGCGGATTTGCAGGGCCTGCCTGATTTGGCTTTGCCCTTTTCTCCACCTCACCTCCCATGCCTGTCCCCTTCCTTCATTCCACTCCAGCCATCCTGACCTCCTTTTTTATTTTTATTTATTTATTTATTTGAGATGGAGTCTCACTCAGTCACCCAGGCTGGAGTGCAGTGGTGCGATCATGGCTCACTGTAACCTCTGCCTCCCGGGTTCAAGCAGTTCTCTTCCTTCCACCTCTTGAGTAGCTGGGATTACAGGTGTGCACCACCACGCCTTGCTAATCTTTGTATTTTTAGTAGAGACGGGGTTTTGCCATGTTGGCCAGGCTGGTCTTGAACTCCTGACCTCAGGTGATCCACCTGCCTCAGCCTCCCAAAGTCCTAGCCTTCTTTTTATTCCTGGAATACTTCTACCTTGTTCCTACCTGAAGCCTTTGCACTTGCTATTCCCTCTGCCTGGAACACAATCCCCACAGAACATCCCAAGGCTGGCTGCTTCTTATCATGCAGATGTAAACTCTGATGTGACCGACTGAGACAGGCTGTCCCTGACCATGCTCCTAACCCACACTCTCCATTCTTCTCTCTATCTTACTACTCTATTCTATTTTTTATATAATGCTGTCCGGAATAATCTATAGATTGGTATATTTCTCACCAGTAAAATGACAACTCTGAGAGAGCAAGAGCTGTCTGTCTTGCTCATGGCTGTAGCCCAGTATCTAGAACATCCCAGGGTCCACAGAAGGTGTTTCTTCTGTATTTGTGGACTTTGCAAATAGACAGACACAACATGCAATGAGTCATCTTAGTGATTATTCTTCCAATTAAGTCACCATTGGAACAACAGTGGCCTGGAAGTTATTTAACCTGACTATTCATTCTTTTACCTAAAGTGCTTTCAGCATCCAACCCTGTCTCAGGCCATATACTAGGTGTGGTGGATACAACAGTTAAGAAAAAAAAAAAAAAATGAGTCCCTGCACTCAGGGATCTCACAAAATAATACATTAGCAACAGAGGAATTTGAGGATAATGCCATGCTCCAGTGATATTAGAAAACATGTTTTGTATATGTCATTGAGTGTGTCTTTTCTCACCTCAAATACTTCAAACTCTTTTTTTTTTTTTTTTGAGACAGAGTCTTGCTCTGTCCCCCAGGCTGGAGTGCAGTGGTGCAATGTCAGCTCACTGCCACCTCCACCTCCCAAGTTCAAGCACTTCTCTGCCTTAGCCTCTCAAGTAGCTGGGATTACAGGTGCCCACCACCATGCCCGGCTAATTTTTGTATTTTTAGTAGAGATGGAGTTTCACCATCTTGGCCAGGCTGGTCTTGAACTCCTGACTTCATGATCCACCTGCCTCAGCCTCCCAAAGTGCTGGAATTACAGGCATGAGCCACGGTGCCAGGCCTTCAAACTCTTTTAAATCAGTATTTTCTAGCTTTAATGCATCTGAGCATTCACATGTGGTTCTTTTAATAGGCAGGGCTTTAATACCACATCAATGTTGACAATAAGAAATTATAAATATTTAAGCTCAAAATTAAAATAAAGACAAAAAATTATCCTGTGCACTACAAAACACAATATAGAGAGGAATTTATTCCCAACATTCAAAAACATTGATCCTCTGACTTTATGCCTACCAGTTTGATGTTACAGATGAAAAATTTCTAAAGATGTATATGATGCTTTATCAGTTGTTCAGATTTCTAACATTCGTATATTACAGCTCTTTTTAGTCAGAAAGGGGATATTTAACATGCCTTTATTTACATCTTCCTTTTTATGCTTCTTTTTTGTTTTGAGACGGAGTCTTGCTCTGTCGTTCAGGCTGGAGTGCAGTGGCGCGATCTCGGCTCACTGCAAGCTCCGCCTCCCGGGTTCACGCCATCCTCCTGCCTCAGCTTCCTCCTGCCTCAGCTTCCTCCTGCCTCAGCTTCCCAAGTAGCTGGGACTACAGGCACCTGCCACCGCGCCCGGCTATTTTTTTTTTTTTTTTTTTTTTTTTGTATTTTTAGTAGAGACGGGGTTTCACCGTGTTAGCCAGGATGGTCTCGATCTCCTGACCTCGTGATCTGCCCACCTCGGCCTCCCAAAGTGCTGGGATTACAAGCATGAGCCACCACGCTCGGCCTAAGCTTCTTTTTAAGAACTTACTTTATAGTTTAACCATGACCTGGTCCCATATATCAGGGACCCCCACCCCTGGGCCAGGGACTGGACCACAGCTTGATAGGAACTGGGCCACATGCAAGAGGTGAGTGGCAGGTGAGCAAGTGAAGCTTCCTCTGTATTTACAGTTGCTCCCCATCACTGGCAGTACTGCCTGAGCTCTGCTTCCTGTCAAATCAGCAGTGGCATTAGACTCTCAGAGAAGCATGAATCCTATTGTGAACTGTGCATGGGAGGGATCTAGGTTGTGTGCTCCTTATGAGAATCTAATGCATGATGATCTGTTACTGTCTCCCATCACCCCCATATGAGACTGTCTAGTTGCAGGAAAACAAGTTCAGGGCTCCCACTGACTCTACATTATAGGGAGTTGTATAATTATTTCATTATATATTACAACATAATAATAATAGAAATAAAGTGCACAATAAATGTAATGTGCTTGAATCATCCTGAAACCACCCCTCCAATCTGTGGAAAAATTGTCTTCCACGAAACCTTGGTGCCTGGTGTCAAAAAGTTTGGAGACCACTGCCATATGATTTTAAAAACATCAGGTGACCTCCACAACCCAGGGTCTCTATCTCAAGAAGAAAGATCAACAGCAAAACTTGGCAAGGAGTCCAGTAACATCTCAAAACAGGAATGAAAAAGAGATGCAGAGACACTGGATCTACATATTGTAGTTTATGTGTTGTTTTTCTTCATGGAGAATTTTGCATTTTTAACTCAGCACAAGTTTATTAAATAGAAAAAAACATCAAGTCTTACCTGATAAATCTTTCTTCATGTCCCTGCCAATATCTGTATGGTTGTCCCTTGACATTTTTTCTTGGAATGTACCGTTCTAAACACACACACACACAGTTAAAGGGGAATTGGAGGGCCTCTCTCTTATTTACTTCCTAGTAAATTTAGTAAGAAAATTTGCGGCCGGGCACGGTGGCTCAAGCCTGTAATCCCAGCACTTTGGGATGCCAAAGCGGGCGGATCATGAGGTCAGGAGATCGAGACCAACCCGGCTAACACAGTAAAACCCTGTCTCTACTAAAAATACAAAAAATTAGCTGGGCATGGTGGCAGGTGCCTGTAGTCCCAGCTACTTGGGAGGCTGAGGCAGGAGAATGGAGTGAACCTGGGAGGCGGAGGTTGCAGTGAGCCAAGATCGCACCACTTCATTCCAGCTCAGGCAACAAAGCGAGACTCCATCTCAAAAAAAAAAAAAAAAAAAAAAAAGGAAAAAGGAAAATTTGCATGTAAACCAGGCCTTAACGTAATGTTCGTAATGTTGAGAATTTCTTTGTTTGAATTACTTTTTCTGTCATCGAGACTGAAAGTGAGAACTGGACATAGATAACTGTCATGAAACCAACAATCAGGAGACCTGCTACGTCTATGTCACTAAAAATCTTTGATCTTGAATAAGTGGCATTAGTTCCTTGATCCTCAGTTTCCTCATCTATAAAATGAAGATATCTTATTATATCATTTCCAATCTGCTTACTTCCAATTCTACATTCCACTATAAATTTTTATATGTTTATAGTAAGCACAGTCAGTTTTAAGCAGTAAAACCAAAAATGAACCAGGACTTTTTTTTGGAATTTCAAGATTGAAGCTGTATGCATATGTCAAAACACACACAATTGTACACTATAAATGTATGTTGCTTATGGTACATCAATTCTACCTTAAGAAAGCTCTGAGGTTAAACAAAAAAAGCATGACACTTTAGGTTGTTATCTAAGAAGAATTAACAGCATTTTGGGGAGGAAAATAAGAATAACATAAATTTTCATATGTTTTCTTTTTTAACTGCTGCTTGGACAAGTAAAGAATCAAAATGACCCCTTTAAGTGTACAATCACTCTTATTGCACAGCACTAAGTAGCCTTGTCTACACAAATAAATGGCATTGAGACAAAACCCCTGCTGGCGGAATTGTATTTACCTATTTCATTATTGTTGTTGTTGTTAATTTTAATGACAGGATCTTGCTCTGTTGCCCAGGCTGGGAGTGCAGTGGCATGATCATAGCCTGGAGCTACTGGGCTCAAGGGATCCTCCTGCTATAGCCTCCTGAGTAGCCAGGATTACAGGCATGTACCACCATGCCCAGCTAATTTTTGTAACTTCTTTAGAGACAAGGATTCGCTGTGTTGGCCAGGCTAGCTGTATTATTATTTTTTAATAATCTTGAATTCTGCTAGTGGATAGATAGTCATCATTTTCAAAATAGCCAGTGGTTTGATCTGTACCTCCGCATCTCCCTGTGTCCTTCCCAGCCTGGGTGGAAGCTGAGGCAGAGTCTCTGCTACCAGCTGGTGAGTGGAAAAAGGCAGATCTATTTACCTGCCAAGAAAGGCCTAGAATAAGAATGGTATTTAGTTGCGCTGCCTCAAAACGAAAACATGTTACAGTGAAAAAAGTCCAGTCAAACTGAAATACAAAATAAATTTCTCTAAATTCAACCATATTTTGATAGACAAATTCAATGAAACCAATTAACAGAGGGTCAGGGAGCTTTAGCGATAATGAAGAGAAAGAAAAAAAATACAGGATGGAGAGAAAACAAAAGAAGAAAAAATAGAAACACAAGAAAAGGGGGAAAATTATAGTTTACAGTTTTAGGGTTAAAATGTACGCTTTTTTTTTCATTTATTTATTTATTTATTGAGACAGAGTCTCACTCTGTGCCCAGGCTGGAGTGCAATGGCACAATCTCGGATCACTACAACCTCCACCTCCCGAGTTCAAGCCATTCTCCTGCCTCAGCCTCCCGAGTAGCTGGGATTACAGGTGCACCCCAACATGCCCAGCTACTTTTTTGTATTTTTAGTAGAGACGGGGTTTCACTATGTTGGCCAGGCTGGTCTCGAACTCCTGACCTCGTGATCCACCCGCCTCGACCTCCCAAAGTGCTAGGATTACAGGCCTGAGCCACCAAGCCCGGCCAATTTACACTTTATTTTAAAAATCCCTTCTAGAATTCCCAAGCAAAATGTATGCCAACATGCCAACTCTGTGACTGCAGACAGGAAAAGAGAGAAATGAATTAACTACGCAGATACTGAAGAACAGTCTTTACTGATCATCAAGGAAGTTAAAGCAAATTATTTTCCTTTACCTCGAATTATCCAGAAAATCATCTCCATGCTTTACTTCTCATTGTGTTGTAAACAAAGCTTAAACCAAATGAAAAGTTGGTCGAATTATTTGTAATTCTTTTATCTGTCTTCATAACGCAAGCCAAAAAAAAAAAAAAAGCAAAAAACAAAAAACCTCTGAATTACAAACTACCCACAAATTTGCAAATGTGTGGACCTTGTATTGGAGAATTTCATGAAATAGAAGAGAAGAGAATGGGGTGTGTCTATGAAAAGTAGATAACATAAAAATGCTTTGTGGCATTTCCCTATGTCTTTTCTGAATGGTTGGAGATGTTTTATATAAGGTTCTGCTTCCATTAACACTTAGGCACTGTTCCCTTCCTCAACACTGAAATGACATTCTAAATGGCATGTCTGTGTATTATAACCAGGTCCCAATTTCTTCTCCCTTTTTGCATCTCATATCAACAGCAGGACAGGCAAAAGATTGGCTCGGACAACGACAAAGCAATGGAAAAATGCCTTTAGTTATTATTACCAGAGTAAATGAAGAAACTGCACACCAGATGGGTGTATATTATCTATCCAACTAAAAAAGTGTCTTGTTAACAGAGATAAATGGTCTGAAATGGCAGAACATTATCTTGCAATTTTAAAAAATAATAGCAGCAATATTTCAGAGGATAATTCTGCAATTTTTTCAAGGTTTCTGTTAAAAACCACATTTGATATTGATAGATACATGCTTAAAGTGTTCATTGGCACATTCATAAATATGTGAAGTTGAAAGGGATTTTTTTAAAAAATCCCAACTACAATAATCTCTATTGGAAGTGTGAAGACATGATGTGAATGGCCTATAGCATTTGCTAGGGCTGAACATGTTTCATTCATTCCTGAATCAGCTTTGTCAAAACAAAGCAGAAGCAGTGTGGTGCAGTGGGCTGTGCCAATTGCCAATTGCTATCAGTGTGACCTTGAACTTGCCAAATAATGTAAAATCACAGTTTTCATCTCTCTTTTTTTTTTTTTTTTTTTTTTTTTTGAGACAGAGTCTCCCTCTGTCACCCAGGCTGGAGTGCAGTGGCACAATCTCCGCTCACTGCAAGCTCGGCCTCCCAGGTTCACGCCATTCTCCTGCCTCAGCCTCCGGAGTAGCTGGGACTACAGGCGCCCACCACCATGCCCAGCTAATTTTTTTGTATTTTTAGTAGAGACGGGGTTTCGCTGTGTTAGCCAGGATGGTCTCTATCTCCTGACCTCGTGATCCGCCCACCTCAGCCTCCCAAAGTGCTGGGATTACAGGCGTGAGCCACCGCACCCTGCAGTTTTCAGATCTCTAAGATGTAGACAAAATCTACCACACAGGATTGCTATGAGAATTTTCAAAAAAATCCTGTAAGTATCCTGTCTGGTACATGAAGGTGCCATCTAAATGTTCACTTCTCAATGAGCAGTATTTGTAGAAAGTGTTAGGTTTTTTATCTCCTTATTGAAAGGAGCGTCTAGTTTCACACAATGGGAATGTTTTGCTTTCTTTTAATGTTATGGTACATTGTTCCACTTTTGATAGTGAATAAAACAAGATCTCTGGCAAAAATATACAATAAATATTATCCCCCTTCTGTAGTCCTTGGCCTAGTTAAATCTGTATTACAGTTAAACCTAAAATCCATTATGAATATGAAAACACCACCTTCATTTGCATTCAGCCATATCTGTAGGCAAAAAAGGTTATTTACTAGAAGAAAAATATAATTAATTTCTGAGATGTTTTATTTTATTTGGAAGGCCTCCTCTCTCCAGGAACATAACAACGACTTACTGATTTAAAAGTCTTATACTTTAGAGGTGGTCAAAATACTTTTCTAACAATCATGATGGCTTGTGTTTCTAATCGCAGTAACACCTGGCTAGAAGATAAAAACGGTCTTCAGAGAACCTTTGGGCCTTTTTAGTTTTTGTCACCTCAATGTTGCTCTTGTATGCACCCGGGAAACTTGGGTGGGTTTTAATCTTTCCATTTAGCATTTGGTTAGTTGGTTTGTTTAATAACTAAGAGTACTGAAACATACAAGTTGACTTACCAGTTTGTCAAGCCAAGGAGAAAAATACAATGCTGTCTGTGATACCCCAACGATAATAAAGAAGATAAAGGTGCCTACCCTGGAACAGCTTTGTAAAGTTCACTGTGGTGGGCATGGTCAAAGTAGTCTCATCGTGCTTGGGGATTCGAGTTGGAGCCTTTGGTAATGGTCATGTCAAGTCAAATGACCCTTGAAAAAAGTAAAAGCCATCATAGGCAGAACCCACACAATATTTTCATCATAGTAGGCCCCTTTCGCTCCAGTATATTCTCTGTTCTTCATTTGAACACCAGCGGAGGTAGTTTGCTTGGATTGAGAAGATCTATCATATATAAAAAAAACAGTCTCAACACAACTTGGAAGCTGAGATTGATGGTGGTAATATCAAATTGATCTCTCTTAATTCATGATATAGGAGAAAACTCAGTGGCATACGGTAGATCTGCAGTTGTATTTATGTGATTAAATGTGTATTTTAAATAATTTCATCACATTTGTTTTCTGCACAGGAAAATTCTTTTACTGGGACCAGCTCCTTCTCTACTCTATCCATATACCAGTAACTGGGACGGCCATGTTTTTACAGAGCCTCACCCCTCCCACAGTCTGGACCAATCCCTGCACTTTCCTGAGATATTTTAAATTTCAGAGCACAGAGAGGGTGATACAGTCTCCCTCTTGTGGTCAAAGCCAAAAAATGTGAATCCTGTTTTCCATATGCCTCCACAGAAATAGAACATACAGTGAAAAAATTAATAGTAAGAATACAGTTGAAAGGCAGACAGATGGAGCTTTGAGACCTGGAGGGAGGGTCTATAGCTTTCAAACCCCTGATTCCGTTTGTTCGTGAGATTCTGCAGGATCCCGCCCTTGTCTGACTGTTCAACTCTGTACTAATTGTGAAAGTTGGTAAATGATCCCTCTAGCCAATAGCTTGCTAGGGTTAACTTTCTGCCACTTGCAACTACATTGATATAGTCACCAAAGTGTTTACTTAGATCAATGTTCTCCCCAGCAAAGACAGAAATAGCAAACTGATAAAAACTTTATTACTGGCATAAATGTATAGTGGCCTTACCTTTGCAAAAACACTTCACTTGGATAGTCCAACACGACTTAACAGTTTATTTTTGTTCTCTGGGTTTTAATTTCCTCATCAATGAAATGGTAGGGTTGAGCTAGATCAGAAGAACTAAGGGAGCCCCATGGACCACCTAGCCGCACCGCAGTGAGTGTGCGCTCATTCTGACATTCTTTCCCAAGGACTTTCAGTTCTGCTTCAGAAGACTTCTCTCCGCAGTATGCGGGGTGGAATTTACTTTTCGTTCCTGAACCTTAAATGATCTCGAAATGCCATTATAACCTTGCTAACAATGTAGTGAATTAGACCAGGCAAGTAACTGATTCCCATTACATGAGTAAGGAAATTGAGTCACAGAGAAACTTGTAGTTTAGATAAACCTGTTCAGCTTCTTTTTAACCCTCTTTCCCCTCTTCATGTGTACCTGGGGAGGTGGAAGGAGGATGAAAGACTGTGGCTGTTCTTTAGTAGTTTCTTTCCTTGGAAAAAGAACAGGGTGGGGCATGCCACTGCTCTCGAAGGCTTCTGTACTCTTGCATCGGAAATCATCTCCTTTTCTTCTCCATCCCTTTGTCTCTCCTAACTTATTGCATCACATCAGCACCAGCTGGCTGTACCCCATATTAGAGGAAGATGGGGCCCAGCCAATGATTGCTTCTCTGAACTAAGCTGTACCCTGGTGAGTAGCATTCCCAAAGGGGTTTAACTTAGGAGTGGGAAATAACAGAGAAACTTGTTCAGAGACCAACTTTTGAACCCAAGCAGAGATGCAAATTTGGGGTCTAGGCGTGCCATTTAGTCAACCCTGCAAATTAGCACATGCTCGCTTGCCTGGAGCCCTGAAAGAAACCAGGAAGGGACCACAAGGAATTCCAGTCTGTTCTGTTTCTCCTTCAATTGACTTTTGGTCATGTTTTAGTTGGTATTTGCTTCTGTGGGTGCCTATGGCTGAAGGTAAATGTTTGTTTTCTTAACCTGGGCATCAACAAGCAGAGATGACATAAAAATGAGTTTAGATTGAAAGTTAATAATGGTAAATTTTAACAGTAAACTAGGAAGAAAAATAGAGCATGTGTATAATTTATATAATATTATGTATTTATATATAATTTATATATTTACATATATATATGCACACACACAAAAGCTGAAAAATTAGTCCAAAAATTAAATTACAACCTAGTCAACTCCATAGCTAAGAATCTTCCTTTTTTTTTCCTTTAAAGGTCACCATTCACAATTACTGTTCATGGGTGCAGGGGTGAGGATGACTGTATTTAGGTGCAATTGTTTAAATTTATGCTCTTCATAAAAGCAAGTGTCTCACTCTGACAAGGGTTGTAACCCTCATGCATTTCCTACAGCTCTAGCTGAATTGGAACTATTAGGTCCCGTTCACTTACACCTTCTCAGAGAAGATTCCATTTCCCAATTATTGGAACATTGAGTCAAATAAAAGCAAATGTTGTTAAAGAAAACAACATGGAAAGAGTCTTTCGATATCTAAAGAAAGCTGGGGATTGATCGAAACTAAGTAGTTGAAAATGCATCTCTATCCATGACTTGAACCACAAAGGTGGTGGGAGGCGGGGTAAAGGAAAGAGGGATAGGAACTTGGAGCAGGGGCAAGAAAGAGAGAAAATTTATTGAAGTAGAGAAAGATAATTGGTATCTGGAATTTCCTCTGCAATTTAAGGCTGTCAGGCCAGCATCTTGCACATCTTCCCACATTGAACACATCGCTATTACGGAAGCAGAGCTCTATTCTAGGATAGATTAAAGAGCTGATAGGTGAAACCAGCTGCAGAGAGCATCTGTTTTGTTTTTGTTTTTGTTTTTATTTTTTTTTTATTTCAGAGCAGGAGTCCTTGCAGAACTAGAAAAATACAGATTCCAGGCCGGGCGCGGTGGCTCACGCCTGTAATCCCAGCACTTTGGGAGGCCGAGGCGGGTGGATCATGAGGTCAAGAGATCGAGACCATCCTGGCTAACAAGGTGAAACCCCGTCTCTACTAAAAATACAAAAAATTAGCCGGGCGCGGTGGCGGACGCCTGTAGTCCCAGCTACTCCGGAGGCTGAGGCAGGAGAATGGCGTGAACCCAGGAAGCGGAGCTTGCAGTGAGCCGAGATTGCGCCACTGCAGTCCGCAGTCCGGCCCGGGCGACAGAGCGAGACTCCGTCTCAAAAAAAAAAAAAAAAGAAAAATACAGATTCCAGAGTTCTTAGGAGGTTGTAGTCTAGGAGGGAGTTTTCACAACCTTCCAATCTTTAAAGTGCACTGAGCTCAATGAATCCCCATGAGTCCTTCCAACACGTGACTTGCCATAGCAACTTTATCTTCCAAAATATTACTGGGGTGAAAAGACCTGGAGCACAGCTTCACTTTTACCCAAGGTATTTCCTATTCATTGCCTTATTATTTGACTAACGCCTGGGTGGCTATGTTTGCAGATCCTGTCTTCTAGGCTACCGTGAGGAGTTGCTCCATTACTTATTTCCTAAATGAATAGAACTACCTCTTCTCAGTCATCACAGCCTAAGCAAATGGTTTGAAATGATAAACCTGCCAAACAGCTTGTGGTCACACAGCTGACTTGTAGAATCTTTAGGAGCTTTGATTAGTATGACTTGTGGGGGTGTTGGAAAAAGAGAAGTCACTTAGGATAACATTTGTTAAGAATCAGTGGTATGTCCTATGCAGCCATGAAAAAAGATGAGTTCATGTCCTTTGCAGGGACATGGATGAAGCTGGAAACCATCATTCTCAGCAAACTAACACAGGAACAGAAAACCAAACACCACATTTTCTCACGCATAAGTGGGAGCCGCACAATAAGAACACATGTACACAGGGAGGGGAACATCATACACTGGGGTCTGTCGGGGGTGGGGGGCTAGGGGAGGGATAGCATTAGGAGAAATACCTAAGGTAGATGATGGGTTCATGGGTGCAGCAAACCACAATGGCACATGTATATCTATGTAACAAACCTGCACGTTCTGCACATGTATCCCAGAACTTAAAGTATAATTTAAAAAAAAGAAAGGAAAATAAATCATTATGTGAAAAAAAAATCAGTAGTATGTCAAGAAATTTAATTTCAGTATATTTTCATAATAACCCTGCAAAGAAAACCTGGTTATTCCCCTTTTTCATTGAGGAAACATAAGACTTCTCAAGAATCTCCAACGTTCTTGGCTAGGCTCGAGGGGGCAGAACTCAGTTGTCTTTGACTCCAAAAACTCACGAACCACAGAAAGTGCATCAACCTTTTTTTTTTTTTTTTTTTTTTTCAAAGCGGAGTCTATCTCTGTCACCCAGGCTGAAGTGTAGTGGCGCGATCTCGGCTCACTACAACCTCTGCCTCCCAGATTCAAACAATTTTCCTGCCTCAGCCTCCCGAGTAGCTGAGATTACAGGCGCCTGTGACAATGCCCAGCTAAATTTTGTATTATTAGTAGAGATGATGGGGTTTCACCATGTTGACCAGGCTGGTCTCAAACTCCTGACCTCAGGTGATCTGCCTGCCTCAGCCTCCCTAAATGCTGGAATTACAGGTGTGAGCCACCGCGCCCGGCCAAGTGCGTCAACTTTTAAAGCTGCGTTACCTCCTTCTGAAAGCCCATTTGAACAGTGAACTTTTATGGTATGAAGAGTGTATTCCTATACGCCAATATGTTAGAAGATTCTGTGGATTAGTAGCAGTGCTTTTTAAGCTTTTTTGTTCATGGTGCAAATAAGGAATGAATTTTATATTAGGACCCTGTACACACATACCTATTCTATGTCTATAAAAGTACATTTGTAACTGAAAACCACTCACAAAACAATACCTTCTTTTATATGTGAAAAGCATTCTGATATGTTCTAGTGTATTTTCAGACTATGTATAATACTAGAACAGTGGTTTTGAGTACTCATTATGGAGCAAAACCAGCTGGGATCATATGTGCATGCAGATACTTGACAATCGTTGTAGGAACTTGGAAAAGCAACTTAACCTATAAAAACAATTATACCTCAAAAGGTTGTCATGAAGATTAAATAAATATTATGTGAAAATCACTGACATAAAAAGTACCCAACAAATGTTGGCTCTTACTCTGTTAGGACCTCAGCACAGGGCCTAGATGGAGCAGCTTTACAATGACTGACACATAAAAGCACCACAAAAAGGTTTGCTGTTTGTGATGCTGTGTACTTATTATGTCTACTAAGTGTAGGGCAATGTGATAGGATGTATAAACAAAAGAAATTGGATAATATTTACATAGATGAGCAAAAGGAATGGGACATCACACAACATAAACAATTTTGTGGAGACAGATTTTTTTTTTTTAAATCTGAGATCAGATTCTTAGTCATTTCCTTTTATAATTTAATATAAAAATAAATATGGTATATGTATTTGTCTAGTCCCTTATTTGAGGCTACTTCTCCCACTAGACTGTAAACCTTTTTAGGGCCAAGACTGTGTCTGTTAACCCACCACTGTATTTTCTTGGCCTGTAGCCATATCTTTGACGTAGAAATCATTCAAATTACTACTTACGGCCGGGCACGGTGGCTCACGCCTGTGATCCCAGCACTTTGGGAGGCTGAGGAGGGTGGATCACAAGGTCAGGAGATTGAGACCATCTTGGCTAACATGGTGAAACCCCTTCTCTACTAAAAATACAAAAAATTAGCCGGGCGTGGTGGCGGGTTTCATGCGCGTCCCTGTGAAGAGACCACCAAACAGGCTTTGTGTGAGCAATAAAGCTTTTAATCACCTGGGTGCAGGCGGGCTGAGTCTGAAAAGAGAGTCAGCGAAGGGAGATAAGGGTGGGGCCGTTTTATAGGATTTGGGAAGGTAAAGGAAAATTACAGTCAAAGAGGGTTTGTTCTCTGGCGGGCAGGAGTGGGGGTGGCAAGGTGCTCAGTGGGGGTGCTTTTTGAGCCAGGATGAGCCAGGGAAAGGACTTTCACAAGGTAATGTCATCACTTAAGGCAAGGACTGGCCATTTACACTTCTTTTGTGGTAGAATGTCATCAGCTAAGGTGAGGCAGGGCATATTCACTTCTTTTGTGATTCTTCAGTTACTTCAGGCCATCTGGGCGTATACGTGCAAGTCACAGGGGATGCGATGGCTTGGCTTGGGCTCAGAGGCCTGACATTCCTGCCTTCTTATATTAATAAGAAAAATAAAACAAAATAGTGTTGAAGTGTTGGGGTGGCAAAAATTTTTGGGGGGTGATATGGAGAGAGAGAATGGGCGATGTTTCTCAGGGCTGCTTCAAGCGGCATTAGGGTCGGCGTGGGAACCTAGAGTGGGAGAGATTAAGATTTTAGTTTCCTGACTCCGGACATGTTGAGTAAAGCTAATTTGCCAGTCCTGGGTGGGGGCAAATCCTCGAGCTTGATGTGTAGGGAAGGGAGGGGGCCTGAATAATCCCTGAGGAATAGTAGAATAGCAGATGGAACACTGAGAAATTATTTCCTTGAGGATAGATTTCCACGATGGAAAGGAAATGAGAGGTTCTGAGAGGCGGGCTAGTGGCTTGTACTATAGCATAGCCTGCCTTTGCTGGTGTGTGGCGATTAGGCCTGGTGGAACTGCCATCAATAAATCAAGCGTGATCAGGGTGAGGAACAGGAAAGAAGGAAATATGGGGAAATGGGGTGAATGTCAGGTGGATCAGAGAGATACAGTCATGGGGGTCAGGTGTGGTATCAGGAATAATGTAGGAGGCCAGATTGAAGTCTGGGCCAGGAACAACGGTAATTGTGGGAGACTCAACAAAGAGTGAGTACAGCTGAAGGAGCCGGGAAGCAGAAAGTATATGCGTCAGGTATGAGGAAGAAAATAGATTTTGGAAGTTATGAGAACTGTAGAGAGTGAGTTGAGCATAGTTTGTGATTTTGAGGGCCTCTAAAAGTATTAAAGCAGCGGCAGCCGCTGCACGCAGACATGAGGGCTAGGCTAAAACAGTAAGGTCAAGCTGTTTGGACAGAAAGGCTACAGGGTATGGTCCTGGCTCTTGTGTAAGAATTCTGACCGCGCTAACCATGCCTAGGAAGGAAAGGAGTTGTTGTTTTGTAGAAGGTGCTGGGGTTTGAGAGATCAGTCGGACACGATTGGCAGGGAGAGCACGTGTGTTTTTATGAGAATTATGCCGAGATAGGTAACAGATGAGGAAGAAATTTGGGCTTGATTGAAGTAATGGGGGCTGTCTGTGAAGCTTTGCAGCAGTACAGCCTAGGTAATTTGCTGAGCTTGATGGGTGTCAGGGTCAGTCCAAGTGAAAGTGAAGAGAGGCTGGGATTAAGGGTGCAAAGGAATAGTAAAGAAAGCATGTTTGAGATCTAGAACAGAATAATGGGTTGTAGAGGCTGGTATTGAGGATAGGAGAGTATATGGGTTTGGCACCACGGGGTGGATAGGCAAAACAATTTGGTTGATAAGGCGCAGATCCTGAACTAACTTGTAAGGCTTGTCTGGTTTTAGGACAGGTAAAGTGGGGGAATTGTAAGGAGAGTTTATAGGCTTTAAAAGGCCATACTGTAGCAGGCAAGTGATAACAGGCTTTAATCTTTTTAAAGCATGCTGCGGGATGGGATATTGGCATTGAGTGGGGTAAGGGTGATTAGGTTTTAATGAGATGGTAAGGGGTGCATGATCGGTCACCAAGGAGGGAGTAGAGGTATCTTATACTTGTGGGTTAAGGTGGGGGGATATAAGAGGAGGACGCAAAGGAGGCTTTGGATTGGGAAGAAGGGCGGCAATGAGATATAGCTGTAGTCCAGGATAGTCAGGGAAGCAGATAATTTAGTTAAAGTGTCTCAGCCTAATAAGGGAACTGCGCAGGTGGGGATAACTAAAAAGGAGTGCTTAAAAGAGTGTTGTCTAAGTTGGCACCAGAGTTGGGGAGTTTTAAGAGGTTTAGAAGCCTGGCCGTCAATACCCACAACAGTTACGGAGGCAAGGGAAACAGGCCCTTGAAAAGAAGGTAATGTGGAGTGGGTAGCCTCCATATTGATTGAGAAGGGGACGGGCTTACCTTCCACTGTGAGAGTTACCCGAAGCTCGGCGTCCGTGATGGTCTGGGGGCTTCCGAGGCGATTGGGCAGTGTCAGTCTTCAGCCGCTAAGCCGAGAAGATCTGGGAAGGAGTCAGTCAGAGAGCCTTGGGCCAGAGTTCCAGGGCCTCTGGGAGTGGCTGCCAGGTGAGTTGAACAGTCCGATTTTCAGTGGGGTCCCACACAGATGGGACGCAGCTTAGGAGGAACCCTGGGCTGTGGGCATTCCTTGGCTTGGTGGTCAGATTTCTGGCACTTGTAGCAAGCTCCTGTGGGAGGAGGTTCTAGAGGAACGCCTGGCCACTGCAGTTCAGGCGTTTAGAAGTTCTTGTGTGCTGGAGATGTGGCTGGGGTTTGTCTCACAGTGGAGGCAAGGAATTGCAACTTTTTTCTATTATTGTACACCTTGAAGGCGAGGTTAATTAAATCCTGTTGTGGGGTTTGAGGGCTGGAATTTAATATTTGGAGTTTTAATGTCAGGAGCAGATTGGGTAATAAAATGTATTTTGAGAATAAGACGGCCTTTTGACTTTTTAGGGTCTAGGGCTGTAAAGCGTCTCAGGGTTGCTGGGGAACGAGCCATGAACTGGGCTGGGTTTTTATATTTGATGAAAAAGAGCCTAAACGCTATCTGATTTGGGATAAAGAAAAAGGAGCATTAACCTTGGCTATGCCTTTGGCTCCAGCCACCTTTTAAGAGTAAATTGCTGGGCAGGTGGGGGAGGACTAGTCACAGAACGAAACTGTAAGTCGGACCAGGTGTGAGGAGGGGAGGTGATAAAAAGATTATAGGGTGGAGGAGCGGAGGCTGAGGAAGAATTGGGACCTAGCTCTGCCTGGCGAGGAGCAGGCTGGGGAGGAAGGGAGAGGTCAGATGGGTCTGTAGAAAAGGAAGATTAGAAAGACTCAGCGACGCTTGGGGTTGGGACTGAGGGGACAGGCGGGAGGGAAAGAAGGAAGATTTGGGACGAGTTGCACTGGGCACAGAGACCAGGACGGGACTGATGTGTAAAAGAATGCCTGGACGTCAGGCACCTCAGACCGTTTGCCTATTTTATGACAAGAATTATTTAGATCTTGCAGGATGGAAAAATTCAAAGTGCCATTTTCTGGCTATTTGGAACTACTGTCGAGTTTGTATTGGGGTCAAGTGGCATTGCAGAAGAAAATAAGGCATTTAGGTTTTAGGTCACGTGTGAGTTGAAGAGGTTTTAAGTTTTTGAGAACACAGGCTAAGGGAGAAGAAGGAGGAATGGAAGGTGGAAGCTTATCCATAGTGAAGGGGCAAGCCCAGAGAAAAGAGTAGAGACACGGAGAAGGGGTGGGGGGTTCTTGCCCTCCAGAAAAGCAGAGAAGCGGTTGGGGCACGGAAATAAGGGATTGGGGCACAGAGGTAAGAGGTCAGGGTGCGGAAATAAGGGATTGGAGCACAGAGATAAGAGGTTGGGGTGCGGAAATAAGCGATTGGGGGGTTCTTGCCCCCTAGGGAAGCGGGACTTGCCGCTAAGGGTGAAGGAGAAGGGGTTGAGGGGTACTTGCCCCTGCCCCAGGAAAGCAGAGAAGGGGTAGAGACAAGGAGAGAAGGGGTTGAGGTACTTGCCCCTTCCCCAGAAAAGTGGGACTTGCCGCTAAGGGTGAAGGAGAAGGGGTTGAGGGGTTCTTGCCCCTGCCTCAGGAAAGCAGAGAAGGGGTAGAGACAAGGAGAGAAGGGGTTGAGGTACTTGCCTCTTCCCCAGAAAAGTGGGACTTGCCGCTAAGGGTAAAGGACCAAGGCAGGTGTCCCTGCGTGGTCTGACACCCTTGAAATGTGGGTGTATAATCAGAGAGGTGTCCCTGCAATGATTAAACACCAAGGGAAGGCTGCCTTCCCAGTCTGTGACCGGCGCCGGAGTTTTGGGTCCACGGATAAAACGTGTCTCCTTTGTCTCTCCCAGAAAATGAAAGGAATTGAAATTAAGAGAAGGGAGAGATTGAAGAGTGGAAAGAAGAAAGTGGTTGAGGGACAGTGAGAGAGGTTGGAGAAGAGAGTAAGAAGAGGCCGCTTACCTGATTTAAAATTGGTGAGATGTTCCTTGGGCTGGTCCGGTCTGAGGACCTGAGGTCATAGGTGGATCTTTCTCACGGAGCAAAGAACAGGAGGACAGGGGATTGATCTCCTAAGGGAGGTCCCCCGATCTGAGTCGCGGCACCAAATTTCATGCGCGTCCCTGTGAAGAGACCACCAAACAGGCTTTGTGTGAGCAATAAAGCTTTTAATCACCTGGGTGCAGGTGGGCTGAGTCCGAAAAGAGAGTCAGCGAAGGGAGATAAGGTTGGGGCCATTTTATAGGATTTGGGAAGGTAAAGGAAAATTACAGTCAAAGAGGGTTTGTTCTCTGGCGGGCAGGAGTGGGGGTCGCAAGGTGCTCAGTGGGGGTGCTTTTTGAGCCAGGATGAGCCAGGTAAAGGACTTTCACAAGGTAATGTCATCACTTAAGGCAAGGACCGGCCACTTACACTTCTTTTATGGTGGAATGTCATCAGTTAAGGTGGGGCAGGGCATATTCACTTCTTTTGTGATTCTTCAGTTACTTCAGGCCATCTGGGCATATACGTGCAAGTCACAGGGGATGCGATGGCTTGGCTTGGGCTCAGAGGCCTGAGAGCGGGCACCTGTAGTCCAGCTACTCGGGAGACTGAGAGAGGAGAATGGTGTGAACCCAGGAGGCGGAGCTTGCGATGAGCCGAGATCGCACCACTGCACTCCAGCCTGGGCGACAGAGCGAGACTCCATTAAAAAAAAAAAAAAAAAAAAATTACTACTTACTAAATGGAAACACAAATGAATGGAGCAGCATTGTTAGTTTGTTTGTATCCATACAACTTTATTTGCTTTTTGAAATCATGTTGGGACCCTCATAATATATAGTTATTGAGTATTTACAATGTGCTTTCCCAAGCCTCACTCCCACAAAAAGCTAGATTTGGAGAGATTTGACATTTCTCTGTGAAACACATCTTTCTAGGCATGTGACGCCTCTCAAGAGCACGATGTAAGGGCTCCAAGATGAGTTTGGGCTTCCCAGTTCCCCAAGTTAGGAAACTGGTAGCCCATGAATCCTTAAGCCATCTCCTAACCCATAGAGGGGAGAGGAGCTGAATGAGATTATATCACCTAAAACTTCCTTTTGCAGGTTTTTTTGTTGCTGCTGTTTTGTTTTTTGCCTTTCTATATTGATCTGGGCAACAGCACAGAGGGAACTGGTGGTAGGAGAAAAGTACTGACATCCAAGAGGGAAAAGACCTGTGAGATTATGACACATTGTTTCCTGCTGAGCTTTCCAGCTTCTTTTCATGCCCAATTGGCATTTTACCCTTAACCACACTCATTTCCATTTCTGTTAATAGAAGTGCAAGGGAATTGCAAAGTTGGAATTCTCCAAAGCATTGAGGGATGAATCATGTTTCCAAGTAGAATGGTCATGATTCACCTCTCTAAGTGGGAGATGGTAGAAGGAGCAATTCTGAGATGGATAAGCCAATTATGTAGCATTGCTGAATGACTATTGCTTACCTAGTATTGTGCAGGCAAAACAGAGGAGAAGAAAACAGAAAACTCCATCCTGTTCAAGAAGCTGGCATGCTTTCTTTGCAGTAGGAGACAATTGACTAAAATATAAAAGATATAAAACCCAGAGGGTATGACTTGTTCCTTGTTAATCTCTGATCCTCTCTACTTAGCACACAGTAGGTAAATGTTAGGAGTTGACCAATGAACAATTTAAAGTGGAGCAAGCTTAACCCTTGGAGTTGAACAGATGCAGATCTCAGATTTGTCATTTTCCAGATATGCTGATTCTATACAATTTTTTTGATCCAAGTGTTGACTTTCACAACTTCCTTCATCTTATCTTAAAAATAGAAACATGAAAGATTAAGTGGATCAGAACTAAAACATCCAGGACAATGCCTGACAAAGAGTAATGCTCAGGAAGTGGTTATTGCCTTGTGATTGTTGTTGAGATCACATGTTAGCTCATATTCAGCATGGATGCCTCCTTCTTCTATACATGAGGATCCCTAGACAAAGCAGAGAGCAGAACACAATCCCAACATGTACCTAGAAGTAGCCCTGGAGATGTCCCCAATTTAAATATGTTCCTCAAATTTCTCCCTCACTCACATTCTGCTAATCTTAAGCTCTACTCTTAGCCATTCTGAGATAATACTGATACCTGGTATCATATAAAGGTAGCCTAATTTATATCCCGACAAATCAACAGAGGCCCAATCTCACTAGAATGATGCTACCAGGAAGTAGGGTGACACTAGAGGGTGGAAAGACATAAAGCAGAAACAAGATTTACATGATAAAAAGAGAACACACTTTTCTGAAAAATCCTGAGTTCAAGTTCAAGTTGTGAAATATACTAAGCTATATGCCCTAGGGCAAATTATTTAATCTTTCATAATTATACATTCTAAATTTTGATGTTATCTTCAAGGTTATTGCCAGAATTACATGGCATAATGTTTCACACGTTTAACATAGTTCCTGACACAGAATAATTACCCAGTACCTGAACTTCATATTTTTTATCCTCTTAACCTGATATTAGAACCCTAACACTGGGCAAAGCCATTTTTTTGCATACCCATTAGACTCTCCTAAAATAGTTTAAAAAGTCCTTTAATTTCACACTGCTACATTGAACACTAATATTTCTTACCCTTTTTAATCATAAGTCTTTTTAGTTTGTGAAGAATTGATCATTTCTGTCACTGGACCCCAGAAACTCTTAACTCCTGAAATAGTAGCTTTCCTTCTTGAGCTAAAAAACCTTCATCAACAGCCATTACCAACTGCAGCAAAATTTATTCCTTCAAAGCCTCTAGAGGGCAAGATCACTGTAATTTTCTTTTAAATTTTATCTGATTGTGATTCCAATTTGGCTGGAATTATGAAATGTCCCTTCAAATTAAGTAAACCGCAGCAACTCTTGCACTATCTACTGGATAACAATATATCCCATTAGCTCTGCTCTACAGATTTCAGTGAAATCCAAACTCATCTGTAATGGCTTCACAATTGGCACTACTGCACTTGATCAGTCCCAAGAAAGTCTATTGATGGAAAAGACGCATCAGCAATCAATAGACAGTGTTAACTTTTTAAAAAGCTTCTGTCACTTGCAGATGGTAATAATAACTTATTAGGATGTTGACTGAACCTAGTCATGAATCAAGACATAAAAAAGAGAAAATCAGTGGACTGCACCACCATTTATGAGGTATCCTGTGAGAAGGTAGAAGTATTAGATAAGTATAATGGATCCCATATTCTTAAAAGGAAATAATTGGACATAAGGTCCAAAGAACAGAACTTTTGATCTCTCTCTCCAGCAGGTTTTCAGACTGAGTAGTTAAGAAGTGGATAGTGCCATGTGGGTGTTAGAGAGGGGAAAGTATTTCATATACCTACTCTATGCCAAGTTGCTGAGCATTCATTGTTTATATCATGTAATCCTTTCCACAGCACTATAAATAAAATATCTCAATTTTTAAAATGAATGAATTGAGATTCAGAAAGGTTGAATAAACTGTACAAGAGCACACAGCTAGAGGTGAAGGAATCAGGATAGGAGCAGAGGTCTGTCCAACTTCAGAATCCACACTGCATGTTGGCTACTAGACTAAAAAGCAGATACATAAAGGGCTGGAAGAATATTATCTTGAAGACAAGGTCCAGAGATGGTTGGTTTTAAATTCAATTTTTAATTCCATTCAATTCTGTGAATACTTATTTGGTAACTTTTATCATAGCTGCCCAAAAAAGGCTACATGCTCTAATGGTTATGCCTGTACATTCTAGACTCTGATTCTCCTGTCATTCAAATTTCTGCTCTGCCATTTCCCAGCTGTGTAAACTCAGGTAAATGTACTTAACTCCTTCTCTAAGCCCAGGTTTCCTCATCTGTAAAATGGACATAAAAATAATTACCTTGTTTATAGTTTCTATAAAGATAAAACAAGATGGCATATAAAACCAAAGTACACTGCCTGGC
Source organism: Homo sapiens (assembly GCF_000001405.40). Lineage (NCBI taxonomy): Eukaryota > Metazoa > Chordata > Mammalia > Primates > Hominidae > Homo > Homo sapiens. The sequence continues at coordinate 23,731,269 of NC_000004.12, forward strand.
AAAATGTATTCAATATGTGGTAGCTATGGCTACCACCCTGTTATTACAAAGCTATCTTATAAGATAACAGCATATAAATGAAGTTGAAGTATTTGGTATCAATATTATTTATTAAAGGAAAACAGAATAAGATAGACAAAACACTAATTATTCAGGACAAAGAAAAAGGTTGAATTCAATCATCATACCTCATCCAGAAATATGAGGAGCATTCTGGAAAACAGGAATATTAAGGGGACTACTCCTATGGCACTGCCAGAAGCCATACAACAAACAATAGGGTAGGAGAAGGGCTATTACCTGCCTATGTTAAACATATTTTTCTGTTATTATGTAATCAAAATATCAGAGAGAAAAACTTTTGCTAGAGTTTGTGGCAATTAGCATTGGCTGGGGAAATTTAATGGGCAGCAGACATCCAATGCTATAATACTTTGAGGGTGTGTATCATTCCAGAAATGTAATTGTCTTCTCTCCGAATCTGATTCACCTATTCAAAACCCCTGCTTAGCTGCTAGATTAAGGGCAATGCATCCTTTTAAAAAAGCAGTTCGTCAAGGATAGTTTTCTCAATTCTGACCAATGGGTTTGTCAGGGGAAAAGAAATGCAAATAGTGGCCATAAAAATGCAAAAAGTCACCCGAAGCTCCTGTATTCCATGATGGCCAACCTTTTCTTGGCATATAATCCAGATGAGCTGAACTTGACCCAATTTTATTCAGATGCAAGAAACCTTGGGATCACAGTGGTAGAAACAAGACAGTGATGAGTTCCTAGAACGTGGAGAGTTAGCCCCTGACAATCTTACTCCCATCTAGCCCCATCTCATGTTGTAGATGAAACGTTCACATGATCTTTTGGTTATTAGCTTCCCATACAGCCGTATCATTTCATTTTGGAAGCAGTAGTTCTCTAGGTGGACATCTATCAAGCCATTCTGTTTCTCCAAAAAGTCACTATCCTCCATCTTACTTGGGGAAATGTTTTTATGAGGTACTTGTAGAAAATTGATCTATTATACTTTGATAAATTCCACCTGAGACAAAGAAAAGAGAAATCAGACTGCATTCTAATGCCATGGTATTTCTCTAGTTGCCCTTGACATCCATTCCTGGAATCCTTGGGCACGCTTACTTCTTCCCGGCCTAAGACTATTCCTTTTAACTAGTATTTTCTCATTATCTTCTAAAGTCCTTTGCCTTTCTTTTTTCTTTCCCTCTACCTTCTTATTTGTTGCAGTCATCACAAGCCTACACCAATTGTTAGTATGCTTCCTGTTCTTCTAAGCTTGACTTTTTCCCAGCCATGGCCTGGGCTCTTTGTCATAAGCTTTATTCTTACTGGAATCTTCTCCCCAAGCAAACCTCTACTTGGGATCTCTTCCACAGCCTATTTTCAGTTTTTCAAAATGCTTACAGGAAGCAAGGTAAGCTTGGAAAGCAAGTCTTGACATTCAAAGCATCTTCGAATATTCACCCCTACTGGGTTCTTATTCCCAAGATGTTTGTCTTCCTCTTCTTGTTAGCAGAAGGCTGGATTGGAAAATAGGAACACAAAATATGCTTGCTACTATTGGTCTTATAAGACTGATATTTTCATGGGAACAGCCTGTTTGTTTACAAATAGTGCCTTCAGGGTGGTTACCATTGGTGATTGCTGTGGCAGCTTCAACAACACCATCAGCAGAGATTCACCTCTACTCTCTCTTTTCACCACATTTCTTTCTCCTCCTCCGATTGCCCAGACCCTAGCTATGGGGAAGCAACAACAACAACAACAACAAAAAACAAAATGTTATCTAGACCCTTTTTGTCAATAGAAAAGCTCGTTTGCAGTAGTTGAGCCTGTGTTTGCAAAATTAAAGTCAGCTACTTGCCTCCATTTCTAAACGTCTCACTCTGTCAAAGCCCAGGGTAAATGAATCTGTTCCACATTCAATCAGTCTTACCTTTGACTGAGTCCGTGACACCACATAGTACCATAGAAAATTCCAGTTTCACATGGACACTGTGAGGGTAACAACACAGACCAGGGCCTGTTGGGAGGTGGGAGCGAGGTGAGGGAACTTAAAGGATGGGTCAATAGGTGCAGCAAACCACCACTGCACACGTATACCTATGTAACAAACCTGCACATTCTGCACATGTATCCTGGAACTTAAAAAAAAAAAAGAGTAAATAAACTTTACAAATTATATATATTAAAAAAATCTAGTTCCTACCTTTCTTGATCAGCTGATGGCTTAGTGACCCCTGTGGCTGACACCAAGGAAAGCTCGGTGTGGTAAGAGTTAGAATGAACAAAAAGTTGGCTGTTACTGTATAGTATGCCTACTTTCCAGTGTGCCTGAGGATAAAATGAGCTCACAGTCTCATTATTTAGTCTTGAATGTGATGTCATACCATCTGATTGGCTTTATCCTTTCTCTTTTTCCTTCCCTGTCCTAAACCTCAACCTATTCAACCAGAACAAACCCTAATTTCATATCCTTGTATCAATCGAAACTGACCTCTTGAATTTAAAACTGTAAACCAAAAGTTCACCATGCTTCACCTGGGTCATTTTGTATTTGACTGCTAGAATACTGGCAATAGCTGAATTATCCTGAATATAGTGCAAATTGGACTAACACTAAAAGACACCCTGAATACAATGCTTTGGACTCTGGCTCTTCCTAGAAAGAAAACTTATTCAAAGGGATTTGACTTCTAATGTTTTTTAGCAGCTTAAGGGACTATAAGTAGAAATGTTATAAAACAAATCACCACTTTAGTAGATCAAAGTCCTGGGAAGCTATGTCTTTCATGTCCATGACCTGGGTGCTCTTTCCTATCATGTGGAAAAGAGAGGAAGATAGCCATAACTTCATGCCAGTAAAATATAATGACTAAACAATTTCAAGAAAATCACAAGAACCCAGGCAGCCAGGCCTTTCAGTTTTAAATGACTATGAACTCATTTAAGCATTTGTTCACAGAGGGCCAAAAGTCTATGATGGATCATGCAAGTCAGAGCTAAGTAATGGTTCACCATGGTCTGGTTAATAGTTAGACAAGCTGTTCACGTTTGATTAGGGTTTTCTTTTCCATTGCTATAATTGTATGATAATTAACTCAACAGACTTACATCTCATTTGGGGGAAATATGTACATTTTGAAGTTTCAGGATTAACAGACTCCACATGTCAAGAAAAAGTCTGAAATCACACTGTAGTTCTCCCACACAGCCATAAAGATCGGACCACAAGGTGTGTGTCTTGTGAGTTTCTGTCTCTAAAGAAGCTGGTGAGTTTCCTTAGCTCCGACTTCTTTCAAAGGCTCTATGCACAAAAGTGCTCTATCCAGACATCTGTTGATAGATTAGAATTGCCAAGTGGCAAAGAGAATGAACATCGAATGACTCTGGAGCTCGACTTAAGATGGAGCACATGAGGCTTTCCTAAAAGAAAAGGCATCCATTAATATAGGCACAACCCCATGATCAGGTGTTGTACATAATGAAGGGAAATTCTTTTAAAGCAGATGGCAAAGTAGCAGAGTGAGTGTCCAAATTAAGTCATTTATAAATTGGTCATGCTGATAACCCTGGAGATCTTTTCTTTCCTCTGACCGCCTATAAACTTATCCCTATCACACATCACAGCTAATAATCATTTACTGCCTCATGGTTATGCTAATTTCTAGAGTTCCTTAGATCTTTAAAGACAGAAGAAAATTTAGAGTGGGGACCCATCTATGTTTCCTTCAATCTTGCTAATTCAGTGTTAGTCCGTGATGCCCTAATACATGTGTAGAATCATGTGAGCTTTCCTAAGAGGCCACCCTTGATGACCAGTATTGGTAAGTTGTCTCTACTCTGACATTCTAGAGCTTTTTGAAGTTAGAAAAACATAGGACTCATATTCATGTATTAGAATTATTTTCTTTGTCCCACTGCTATTCATGAAGAGTAAGAATTGTGTGGGTATTATTGTATCCCTAAACTCCAGCAACATGTGAGTCTACAGTTTATTCTTAATAAAAAGTTTTGAATGATCAACCACAATTACCTTTCTCTTTTAGCAAACAGTAAGAATGATAGAAACATCCTTGATTAAACTGGGTGTGGCTGTCAATTTGTCTTCCGTCTAAAACAGAATTATTTTCCTGACAAGTTTCAGTAGTCCTATCACATTACAATTTAGAAAGTTAAACATATTCCCTTAGAACTTTTAGAGCATAGTGGGGTAGGAGTGAGGGGGAGAGAATTGTAAAATTTCTGAAAGGTTAGTACAATCTTGCTTGATGAGGCAGATAGCAAACAAATTATCTCCATTAACTCTTGTTCATGGCTGGCAACATCTCTTCCGGAGTCCTTTGGATCTTAGACTCACAATGGGACAGACAATCAAAGCATGGTTGGTTGGCCAGGTGCGGTGGCTCACGCCTGTAATCCCAGCACTTTGGGAGGCCAAAGTGGGTGGATCACGAGGTCAAGAGATTGAGATCATCCTGGTCAAAATGGTGAAACCCAGTCTCTACTAAAAATTCAAAAATTAGCTGGGCGTGGTGGCACGTGCCTGTAGTCCCAACTACTTGGGAGGCTGAGGCAGGAGAATTGCTCGAACCTGGGAGGCAGAGGTTACAGTGAGCCGAGATTGCATTGCTGCACTCTAGCCTGGCAAAAGAGCCAAAAAATAATAATAATAAAAATAAAATAAACCATGGTTTTTCTCTGCTGGAGAATTCTAGAGACCTAGTATCTCTTACTGAATTCCTTGATTTGGAGGTAGATTAATGTTCTGGGACATAACTATGTTCTATATTTCCTCTTCTTTCACTACCTAGCTACTCCTGCTGTCACACCATGAATTTGTTTCTCTCCCTTTGAACTTTTCCTGTCCTTTACCTATTTCTGCTCTATCCCAGCAAGGAAGCTCTTTTCTTTCTCTCTGTTCCAAACCTGAATACAAATCTCTCTCTTTAGTTCTCCTTAGAATACCTAAAACAAGTTGACATTTTGAACAGACACTTAAATTATAGAAAAATAACCAGATCAAATACAGGCTACATAGTTCATCTTAGCAAGTATAGTTTTGATTTGATACATCCTAGGAAATGCAGTGAAGAGCCTTCACATCCCAAATTCCCTGTTCCTAATATAATTGCATTCTTGAAAGTGTTTGGCACAGCCCTTACCACGGTCCTTCCTTCCAAGCCTGGCTGTCAGCCGTTTTACCTGAGGCACCATCTTGCCTCTCCAGCACCCACATGTAGAACTACTTATTTATTATATCCTTCCAAGGATAGATGCCAACACATCTAATGACAACATTTGCTGGTTCAGAACTTGCAGAAACCTAGGGCCTTTCCTCTCAGCTCCTGTTTCCTGGTGGTGAGTCTAGCCTGGTGCATAAATAATTTTCAAGGGGGTATTTCCTGACCCTGCTTGTGATCTCCTTGAGTAACCTGATCCTTCCACTCTGGATAATCATTAATTCTTTACATATCTACAGAATTTTAAATGACTCACTAAAGGGAGCACCATCACCTGTATACCTAGAGAAGTAATGTCTCACTTAACCATCTAACTGTACAGTTACTAGAACATACTTAACAATAAGCACAAGCACTACTTTTTTGAGATATATTGGGTTTATAGACACTTAAGTAATGGTACTTACAATGTTCTACTGATCATTCTACTGAGTTAAAGGACTATAAGTATTAAATATATGACTGCCTATAATAGTAATCATTATACTCTCTACATACTTGTTTATGTTTCTGTCTCCCTAAAAACCAGGAGCATCTTGAAGTCAGAGATTATGTCTTCTTTTAAATGTTTTATTCTCCCTCATTAAGCACAGTCTGACACTTAGTTAGCCCTCAGTAAATGTTTGATTAACAAACGAACATGCAAATTAGGTCTGATACAAAGTAATTTTTGCTTTCTATTCAAAATATTATTCCAACTTAAATTATGAAAAACATAAATTCAGGTAAAGGATTGTGATTGAGTGTCCTAAATGTATGTGGAAGGTGTTATTATCTTAGGAATTCAAACTTGAGGATGAAAACCTGGATTTGAATCTTGCTCCTACCACTAATTAGGGACATCATTTTTGGCAAGTTTATTAACTTGGCAGTTTCCTTGTGTGAAAAATTGGGATAATTATACTAATCTCATAAAGCTGTTAATAAAATAATATTTGTAAAGGCCTTAGCACAAGCCTGGCACAGTAAGCATTTATAAAATGGAAGCTTCTGTTGTTACCAGTGTATCATTGTAACAATAGAACAAATGACACTGCTGAAGAGGCTCTTGATTAAGAGATGCCTAGAAGTCTAAGCAAATCATTACCTGAGGCATTTGTTTAGATAGCTGAGTTCCAGACCATGGATTTAAGTTCACAGTTAAATATGTAATCTCTAGAGACATTGACAGGCGCCAAATGAAGACTCTTAAGTGGAACTAGGGGTTTTAAATGGACAGTGATGCATGAACTCAGCAATGAGACCAGAACAGAAATGTTATCTGACCACATAAAGTCTAGGACCAGTAGGGACAAAGAGCAGTGACTCATGGTCCTGCAGGGAGAACTCATGCTCAGGAAGGGACACCAAGCCTTCATATCCAAGGCAACGGATTCATACTAAGTCTCATTAGATATAGAAAGTGTTTCGAGTATTGGACTAATATGGAAGGAGCAAAAGAGAGCAGAGGTAGGTCAATAGAAACCAGGCCTGGCACAAAGCCTGCAGTGCCTAAGGAATGACCATGGCATTGGGGTAATGGTCTAGAGCTAAAGTTGGCCAAAAGAAAATCCTGTATGGTCAGGCTCTATGTATATGACAAACACACTAGGCATCTATCAAACTAAAATCATATTCAAAGTAAAATCATGTTTGCATGACCAGCAACAATGTGTCAATCAAAATGTACATCCAAGTCCAGGATGTAGTGAGAAATCAGAAATACATGATAGCACCAAATGCCTATAGCAGTATGATACAGCAGAAAGACTCAAGAGGGAAAATTTGAAAGAAAATGCCACAGAAAAACAAAGGTATGGACATATATCATGCTCCAGGGCTAAGCTGACTTAAATAGGCATGTTCTAGGATGTGTTCTTCCTTGTATTAAATGTGTAAGTGGCTCCAGTAAAGAAATTGTTTCTGTGCTCAAGTAACTAAGAAAAGCCACATGCTAAAGCCCTTTTAGGGAGGTACATTATATTAGCATATTAATGACCCGAAAAGTCTTGTTAAAAAGCATGTGTATATTTATTTAATCTAACACTTCTCAATATTCTAGGGCCACTCTTTGCTTTTGATAATACTTAATATTCTCTGAAGTAACTTTGGAAAATGCTAGCCCTAAACCACCCATATTATAGTAACGACATGTGTTTGATCTTCAGTCTCCTCACTTTAATAACAGAGATACCAGCAAACACCATGACAAAGTGTAAGGATCAAATCAGGTAATGTATAGGAAGCACCAAGAAAAGCACCTGACATGTTAAGTGCTATTTAGAAACAATGAAAGTTAACAAGAAGAGTTATTGAGAGTAATAGTAGCTAAGAAGAATAATATTCCCATTAGAACTAGCATGTCTTTGAAATATTAGAACTAATACTCATTGGATTATTTTAACTAATGCATTTTTTCATCTGTATCCTCTCTCCAAGAATATTTATCTTTAGATCCTCTCTCTGAGGTCTCATGTTATAAAACATAGTATTAATCATTTCTTGTTTCCTCTTCACAACAAATTGTCAATCACTGTCCATCTTTGTCAATATCTGTCAATTTCTGATCACTGTCAATCTCAGATCTCATCTATGTGGTCACCCAACTTCTATCTTGTTTCCTTCCAAAAGCAGCATCATTTGGAGTGAAAACTGAAAAACAAAACAATACAACCCCCTCTTCCACCCCCCACACAAACAACATAACTTACCTATTTTCTTTCATTTGGATTTTCAACAGGAATGAAGAATCAGATAAAACTAAAAATCTTAAAATTGAAACAGAGAAGAATAAAAAGGAAGGATCCTCCTTCCCACAACATACACATCTCAGTGACACCAAAGTCATTATAGGTCTTGCACAAGTTTGAGTTCTAGAGAGTCGATGTTGAGTTTTCAATAGCCCTGGGCTTCTCCTTAGAATTTGACATTCTTAAATTCACCTTCCTATTTGGCATCTCCAATTGGATATCAAAACTAAATTCTTGATTGAGCCCCTTGGCTACCAAATTCCTTGTTCCACAGTCATTCAGTAAATGCAGTAAACAGCACCTCAATCTTATTGCTCACCCAGAAGACTCGGGGTTATCTTTGACTTTGCCCTCTCTTACACACTACTTCCAGTTCTGCACAAAGCCTATCAGTTCCATCACTAATATATGCCCTTGACTGCTGTGCAAGCCACCAGTATCTCTTCCACGGATGACTACCCTCTCCTCCTAGAAGATATATCTCTGTTTCTACCCAGTGATTCTTCTAACATGTTAGTCCTCTAATGCAAGCCTCCCAGCAGCTTCCTGGCTCATTCACAGAGTTATTTAAGTTCTTCCTGGGGTCCCTGAGGATCTGCATTCTCTATCCTCCCACCCCACCTTGTCACATCTCTAAGTCTCCTCTCACACATTTTTCTCTTGTCTCTGGCCTTTTTGCTCCCTCTAGAACATTCAAGAATGTGCCCGCCTCAGAGTGAGGATTAAATGATTAATACAAATAGAGAGCTTAGGGCTGCATCTTATTCATAGTATGTCTTAATATTTTAAGACTACTATGTCTTTTTTTTTCTTCTCTGTATATTTTTACCACATCATGTACCATCTTACTATTTTATAAACAGCATTGAGGAATGCTGCCACCTCAGGGCACCTTCTCTAAGTATTCCCTCTGCCTAAATAGTCTTTCCCTGGAAACCACATGGTCTGCAGCTTCGCTGTCTTCAAATCTCTGCTAAAATCATCTTATTGATACATCCCTCTCTGATTACACCGCATAAAATAGCACCTATGACACAAAATGGTGGTGAAAATATAAAGAAGCACAACAAAAAAAAAACATAGGAGCTCCAAATGGCTGTGAAACATTATTAATTGATACTAACTATGAGTAAGATGTGGATTTAGCACTTTACATGAATTGATTATTTAATCCTCATAACAGTTCTATGATACAGTTAACATTAGCAATTCAGTTTTTTAGATAAGAAAGTTAATGTACATAGAACTTACTAACCTGCATAAGGCCACACAGCTGAAAACTGATAAACCTAGGATTTGAACCTAGGCATTTTAAATTGATAGTCAATGTGTTTATTTACACTACGGCCTGTGTTTCATGCTGATATTTTCATTTTAGTGTACTTAGAGTCCATCTTTCTCCTATTTAGCAATGTTTTGTAGGCACCCGCTATGTGTTATGCTTTAGTTCTGGGGAAAAAATATTGGTAAGAACTTAATTTGGAGAGGTAGCCAGGGCTCAGATCATACACAGTTCTCCAGACACTGGTGAGAACCTTAGGTGTTTTTCTAAGTGTGATGAGAAGTCATTGGATTGATATGATCACATTTGCAACACTCTGGTTGCTGAATGAAAAGTAGATTGCAGGGGGCAATAGAGGAAGCTGGGAGGTCAGGGAAGAGGCTGTTGCTAGGTCCTAGTCCACAGGAACAATGTTGGATGGGGTATGGATGGTGTCTGTGAAGGAATTGGTAAAAACTGGTCAGAGCCAGGGTATATTTTAGAGGAAGAACTAACAGCGTTTACTGATGGATTGAACATACGTCTTCCATATGCTTTTAAATCATCCTGTCACATTCTACAATATGAATATCCTATTGTTTACACAGTCATTCCTTCTATTTAAGACATACTTCACACTAACCACCACCATTTTTTTCAAATTACAAATCATACTAGGTTGTTTGTCCATATCCGTGATTTTTTTATGCATCAGTGATTGTTTCTATAGGGTTATGAAGTGAAATTTCTGGGTCGTAGAGTACACAAAAGTTTAATATTAATACCTACAGCCAAATAAGTCTCTAAATCATGTATATCAATCACCCTGTGCCAATTGTTATTTCTATAGTCCACTCTTTCCAATGTATTGCCAATGTGATTTCAATTTGACGTTGAAAATAGGCCCTCTCTCTGTTTCCCTGTCTCTCTGCAGGTTATGCTGGAACTCAACCTCACCTGTATACGGGTGAACCATAAGATGGTCCTTGCTACATCACTAGCCTTCCCTTATCTAGTAAGTGCAATGCCCAAGCAAATTCCCCCTTAATCCTGTCTTTTCTGGGCAAAGTTGAGAAATCACAGAGAGAGGAGGCGTGGTGAGTTTCAAAGGAAATTGTAACTGCTGCATTTAGCTACCCTTGTTAAATACCTGAATACAAGGAGAGCCCTCACAAGTCTGGTTATTTCCTTGTCAGGAAGTGTCTTTTCACAGGCCTGGTACAAGGTCAGGCAGTGCCTTCAGGGGCTGTTAAGAACAGGTTGCTCTGTAATTAACTGATTTGCTACAATACAGTAGTAAGGCATGTGCTTCCTCTAACCTTGAATATAACCCAGTGCATAGGTGCTCATTGACCTGTAAGTTGAGAGCTTTCAAGGAAAAGAGATAACTGTGCCCAGTAATCTTTCCTACCAAGCCTTCATAACCCTCCACTATCTTGCACACTCACCCATAGATTGCCTATCACAACAGACTGTAGACTTTCTGATAAATAGTGCTTGACACTTTCTAAACTTTCTCCTATTAACCCTTTCAACCTTACATGCCTGGAAGCCAAGCAGGCAGGGTGATATTATTCTAAGTTTATTGAGGTCAACTTGAGGAATGGAAAGGTTAATTGACTTGACCAAGGTCATAAAACAAGCTACAAAGAAAGCCAACAACAGGATTCAGATCTCTAGAAAAGTTTCCAGTCTAGTGTGGGAAATGTGAAATGAAGTGTATTTCTCCAACTGCACTGTTCTTTTCTACAATCTCATCCCCCAGGAACAAACTTGCTTTTCAAATTCTTCTTAGTTATGTTACCACATGATGACACACAGAAAATGGCACTTCTCATATAAAGCATGAGAATCAATAGATGATGATGTCTTGCTGTCTAAGTGACCAGCCTTGAGCCCCAGCCATTCCATAGCCTGCCAGACTCCCCTGAAGGATGAAGGCTTCAGAATCTTTACCAACTGTAATCCATTGGGGGCAAACCAATAAGGAAACATTCCACTTTCTTATAAAGTTCAACTTTATGCAAAGAGCTATCTCCCTCTGCTTGAGGAAAGATATAAAAGTATGATAGTACACTCATAATTGAGATTGTATGTATACTGGGGGAACTTCAAGGCCTGGGGTTTATAGCGGCTCCTGACTGGAGCTATAGGAGACCACGTTTTGGAAGAGGTAGCTAGGAACTATGTCATAACTCAGGTAAGGATGAGTTACAGGACCATGAACATGGCAATGAGACAGAGAGCAGGCACCTGATTTAAAATAAATGTCTTAAGAGATGGTGACCATCTGTGTGGAGTGCTGTAGCAAAAGTCAAGGATGTCTTCAAGATGTTTAGATTTTAAACTTCTCCCTAATGCCCCCTTCTCAATACTTCAACATACAATCTCAAATCTGATATAGTTATCTTTCTAACACAAAAAATTAATCACACTTTCTGTGAAAGCTTTAATGTTTTTTCATCAGGCATAGGAAAAGTTCCAGACTCATTTCCCAGGCATATAAAATTCTCCGAAGCCAGTGCCTAGAAATAAGCCATGAGATTTCTCTCTCTGTACTACCTATCTCAAAACTGGCCTTCAAGTCACACAGAAGGATGATCATTCCCTTTCTAAAACTGAGTTCTTTTATGCCTTCAGGATGGTCTTTGCTGTTGACTTTACCTTGTTCTTTGCCTGGCAAACTCCTACTCAAGGACCAACTCAAATGTCACCTCCAATTTAAGATTTTTCCCAAATCTATCAAGCATGTATAGTTTCTCCCTCCCTTTTCCTCACATAGAACCTTGTACTTCCCACGTACTAATTAATGATCTGCTTATGTCTGTCTCTTCCATCAGACAATGAAATTTCCCACCAAGGTGAATGCTGAGAAACTCAGCATCTAGCATCATATAGTAGTGGTATATAATAGATATTCCACAGGCATTTATTGGTGGAATTAAATAAATATATTCTCTATGCTTGATCATATTTAAAGACTAAGAAAATAATGACCTCACCTTCCTCCAACATCCTACTAGAAGTTGGCCTCAATGGTGTGGTGAACTGGCTTAAAGTAATACATAATCTCTTTTATGACTTAAGATTTTAAGTGAGTTACTTAATATCTTGGGGCCATCTTTTTCTCACTTGTAGAATGAATGTATTAATTCACACTTTACAAGGTTGCTGTGAAGATTCATTGTGACCCTAAGACTTGGTACATTCCAGGATGCTCAGTGAACTCTTCTTCATTCCTGCTTTTCTTCATTAAAGCCACTCTGAGCAATAATGAAAATATTTCTTCTGCAATGCTCATCTTCATTTGCATTTACATCTTCTCTTTTGTAAAGTGCAGACATTTACTTCTTTAGTTTTATTTTTCAGAGACAGAATTTGACTCTGCCACCCAGGCTGAGTGCAGTGGTGTGATCAGAGCTCACTGCAGTCTTGAACTCCTAAGATTAACTGATCTTCCCATCTTAACCTCCCAAGTGGCTGGGACCACAGGCCCATACCACCATACCTGGCTAATTTTTAATTTTTTATAGAAATGGTGTCTTGCTATGTTGTCCAAGCTAGTTTTGAACTCCTGGGCTCAAGTGATCTTCCCACCTCAACCTCCCCGAATGCTGGGATTACAGGTGTGAGCCACCATCCTGGCTTCACATATACTTTGGTAATTATTTATCTATGTGAACATAGCACTTTTAAGTACATATGAATAGATATACCTTTATGTATATAAACCAAAATTTTGAAATAGTATTCCCACAAAATATATTATTGTTGCTAAATAAATACCCATATAGACACAATATATAAATGGCTAAAAATATGGTTATATTATTGTAATAACCTGAGAGATATAATATGGAAGTTAAGAGGTTAGCCTAGGAGTAAGAAACATTCTGAATTCTGACAGTGTCTCTTAAAAGACTAACTTGTGATGCATCAGTTTCCTTGACTGTATCATGGATGTGATAAACATATATAACTCAAAGAGTTATCATGAAGTCTGAAAGAAACACTAAATGTAAAGCAGTTGGCACAGAACCTAGCACACGTTAAACTCAATAGATGTTATTTGTATGGTTCTAATCATTATTATTATTTCTCTGGCTTTCACCCAAACCTGCTCTTGCAGACTTTGAGACCTCTGATAATCTTACTCACCTATTCTGAGCATTCCTGCATGGTGTCCTCACTGTGCCTGTGTACATGGCATCTCAGCCTTCCCCAAACGGAGAGTGTAGGAAGAAGGAATGGTGGCTATTGGCAAAGAAAGTGTATGACCACAGCAGCTCCACCCAAGAAGCTGTGTACCTCTTCTTAATCAATCTCATTCATGCCATCAATGTAGTAATCTACCCTTCAACCCTCTATCATCCTTCTGCCCTCACACAGCCACGTCTAGGCACTGCCTCCTCCTATTCTTCTGCCACCCGAGCCCTAGGTATTCTCCTGATGTGCCAGAGTAACTCTGGGTTCTGTGTCAAAAGTGGAGAAAACACTTTGCTGCATCTGTTGTATTACACTTGTGACATAGGTACAAAAATTATTTTGTCTTGTGACTCAATATTCTATAGAGTTTTTAGTGTGGGAGAGATTGAGAGAGCCTGTAGGTTAGGGTACAATAGGAATGATCTAAAGAATTTTATTACAATCACCATTATTTATGTTCCAATAATAGAGTCAGATTACTAGATACAGTAAATTTATTTGTCTTGTATTTCCATTAGAAGAGAAAGTCACTCTTGTTAGCACTCTTCAAAGTCTCCCATCCCAGTTCTATGCACAGTGAATCTGAACCCTTGTGTGCCTGGGAACAGAGCCTGAAATGGGCTAACACAAGATCAAAATCTCTTTGATATCTTGTCTGTTACCTTAGAAAAAATAGTCACAAGAATTTAGCATCGTCTTCATGATATTATGTGAATATGAAATACTAGTATTCTTCTTCCGGATCTTTGAGTCCGTTTCATGGCTTGGATACCCTCTGCAATGTCACATCAACTTTAAGAGAACTCATATCCCAAGGCTGGGATCCCAGACAAGCCTTGGAATAAATGAGTTCTCTCCCAGCAGATCCCTCCTTTGTTAGTACTTGGTGGAAAAATAGATTTTTGGCATATACTTTCCACCCATTTGTCAAGTATGCCCTGACATAGCTGAATCCCAGCAATGAACACAATTTAAGGCTAAGCTTGATTCTCCTGTCCTCTAACAGATTTAAACACTACTTCAGAGCCATTATCAAGAACCTCAGTTTTTATTATACCACCTGCCTGTGTATTTGCCTGTTAAATGTGAGATTCTATTGGCTGAATAGTCAGGAGCAGAAGGTTTGCTGTGCATAATTCCTGATGTGAATCGCATTTCTTCAAAGTATGGGCATGCACGAGGGAAGCATTTGATAAATGTCTCTTAAAGATAATGCCTTGCATGGAAGTATCACTTTATACGAAGATATATCGGGTCATCCAAAGGCATTCAAGACCTTACAGAAAATAAAACCTATGCAATTAGTTCCCTTCATAGACTTAAGCATTTAAAAGTAATGGATCCATATAAATTATTGCATTCCCTACTCACACCAATTAAAATTTTCTCAGATGGTTCAGTCAGTGGCCCATATGTATTATAGCTCTAGTAACTCTCATCTCTTTCATAGATGCAAGTCAACCATATGTAGTGACATAGGCTGTGCCAGAAGTACCAAAATAGTTTTTGAAAATGAATGCTTCTGCACTGTGGCTCATAAAATCACCTGTTAATTATAAACGTAAGTTGACTCAGCCCAGTATTAGTTGAATGACTTAAACGTAATTTTTAAAATGCAGGGAAATCAGCAGCTAAAGGGAGTCACCAAAGACTTAGTAAAAAAGTAATAAGATTAAGCCATGTTACTATCATCTCCTAATCCACGTGGTTTTCCAGGAAACATGTGGAACTCACTGCAATCCTCTGAGACACAGCGGTACATGGCCTCTGCAATGGTTTTGCTTAAAAAGAACAACCTACCATAAAAAACAATGAAGCACTGATGCATGCTGCAACATGGACAGACCTTGAAAATACTAGGCATAGCAAGAGAAGCCAGTCACAAAAGGCCACATGGTGTATGGTTACATTCATACAAAATCTCCAGGATAGGTACATCCATAGAGAAAGGAAGTCAATTGTGGTTGCCAGAGTCTAAGGGAGGGAAGAATGGGAAGTGACTGCTGATAACTACAATATTTCTTTTAGGGGTGATGAAAGTTCCAAATTTAGATAGTAATGATGGTTGTATAACTCTGTGACTCTTCTAAGAACCACTGAATTGTACACTATAAAAGTGTAAATTTTATGGTAGATGAATTACATCTCAACCAACCAGGGTGTGGTAACAAGTGGAGCTCAGGAACAGGGAAGGATGAAGCATGATAAAGAAAGCTAAGGCCCGGTCACAATCAAAATCCTCAGAAGGGCTGCACTGGAATTATCCCTTCCTACACAAGCCTGCAACGTAAAGTCCAGAATAATTCTTGGACCTTAGAGTTTCTATTCCCAAGATCCAAAAATCAAGTTACTCACGTGTTTGTGTTTTATTTTTTCTTTCTTTCTTTTCCCCCTCATTGGATTTTCTAATAATTTTGAGTCAGGTGGAGGGGAGTCTGCTTTTCTCGTGCTGTTCATTATGGAAATTGATTTGACCCTTATTTGCATCTATTTGCACCACCATCAAGCTGATTTAGAATCCAGGGGTGGTTGCAACCTCCTCTGAAGCTGGCAGATTTGCTCTAAAAACAGAGCCCTGGAACTTTCCAACCAGCTCTGAAGAACTTGGTCTCTTGCCCTTTTGATTTCTGCACAGTATGGGCAGAGTTTCAGAGAAATACAACCAGTGGTAAAGGAAAGAAAGGAAACCTTTGTTGCCATCTGCTATAAATAGCCTCCATTCCCTTGCTTTCCCACCAAGCTGCTAGTCAACCCTGCCATCGTGGGTTGCACATCTGAAATGAATACATTGGGCCTTGGAGCAGGTGGCCCCAGGCCAGTTTGCAGGCTGCTAAGCAGAAGGAAAGGTGTTCAATCTTAAACAATCCAATATAGCTTGAGCACGGCAATTATCCCTGCTGGGCTGACTCACAAGTTTCTTACTAGCCTCAGAAGGGCAGGACTGCAACCTGGGGGCCAATGTGCCAAGGTGATAAGAACTTAGGAGAAGGCAGAGTTTACCAGGCTTAGCTGTTCTTCCCTCTCTTCTCTGCTTTCCCTTTTCTTTATCTGACACCTGCTCTACTTGGTTTCTTTATGTGTCCAACAACAACCCCCATCCTCACCTTCCCTATGCAGCCTGCACTCTCTTTTATTGTCAGAATGGAAATCACTTTATTGCTGTTTATGATTGTAAAGTATTGAATTCTCATTGTAAAAGAAGAAAGATCAGTTTACAAAGAAAGAGAAGAAAAAAAGGCATAAATATTAACTGTACTCTCACCATGCAAAGAAATTCACTCATACTTCAAATGCATAGTCTTCATATTCAAAGGGACTATTTCTTTTTCCAAAATGAAAGCTAAGAGACATATATAGTTTTCACTTCGAAATCCATCATGCGCATCTTTCCATTTCAATAAATATAGATCTACTCTACCATTTTTAGCAATCCATAAATGTATCCATAATTTGGACAGTCTGTTTCTTCTATAAATATATATATATATATATATATACACACACACACACACACACTCGTAGATAATGTACACATTTGCAGTTTTTTTCGTATCTCCAAATTTATCCATGAGGCCCTCATTCTGTCCTCAAGTTTTCCATATTTCCTCAGTCGCACCTGACATCTGTGCCTTCTGCTGCCCCGAACTGTCTGATCATCACAAGTTACCCATCCCAGGCCCTACTCCTTAAGACAGTATCTGCTTGGTGATAACTGGAAAGCTGTTAGGAATAAAGTGAGCTAATGGGTTAATTGGTACAGTGGTCTTTATTTAGTTTCCACAGATAACTGGAATAGGGATGGCTTTAGAAATAACCTGACGCGGCATTTCCCCAAGTTGTGGGTTCATAAGAACTTAGGTTGGGGTGCAGGAGCTAGGTTGAATATTTAAAAGTCTGCTGACTTCTCCGCAGAGATTTCAATGTGATTAGTACTGCATGGGGTCTAGAAAGCCGTCATTTAATAAGGATTCCATGAGATTCTTTGGATGAGTCAAATTTCAGAAAACCTGATTTTATCAAATTTTTTAATCTTTAAAATGAAGTAATACAAGAGCAAATATATATAATTTGTCTCATTTACATGAACTATTAGGGGCAGGACTTAAGGTAATGTCTACATTTTTCTATCCCCAAGCCTGTCATCTTTTCACTGCATTAGAGCTATTTTTTCTAAGGAAAAATTGTATTAGAACTTTAACTTCTGATTAGAACACTGTAGCAGGAAAGATTTTTGGCTGGTACATAGTGATAATTCTAGAACTCAAAGTGTACTTAAGAGAGATTGAGGCAAGAAATGGCATTTTATTGAAACTCAAATCATATATCTTGCAAATGGCTGTTTACTTCCTATTTGGGTGTGTGCATGTGTGTGTGCATACACAGCCACATGTTGGTCTTAAAAATAATTAAAGTTAAATATGATTATAGAACCAATAATACAAGAATAAACCATCTGTAGAGTTTTTTCTAGACTTGTTTCCGATGAGGAAAAAAAAAAAATACCAGTGCTAATGCAGAAAGACTGGATCTAATCAAAAGCAAAGTTTTTCCTTTATTTGAGTCTGTCTTCATCTGTGCAGAACTGCTTCAGCAAGATATTCAACTTTCATTGAAAATATGTGGAACAAAGAACACACAGACAGAAAGAAGGATCCTTAAATCGATATTTACTAGGGAGATACTTACACGGTCTGGTGGTCAACTCGGCCTTGGTGTTTATATATAATAAGTACCTGGTAGAATTTTTTTTTGATTCAAAACTTTATAAAGATAACAAAAGTGGTCATTTAAAATGCCCTAACTCATGGAGTAGGAACTATAATGAAGTCCTTCCAATTTTCAGGAAGACTATAATTCTTCCCGTTGGTAGAGCTTTAGGTAGCACACCCTGTTGAACACTTTGTGTAGAAGGATAAATAGCCTTACTGACCTTCATGGTACCTGCTATGGGTTGAATTGTGCTTCCCCTTTGTCCCCAAATTCATATATTTAAGTCCTGATTCTCTGGTCCTCAAATATGACCTTATCCAGAAATAAGGTCATTGTAGATATAATTAGTTTAGTAAAATGAGGCCATGCTAGTGCAGGGTGAGCCTTTAATGCAATGATTGGTGTCCTTAGTAAAAGGGGAAATTTGGACCCAAAAGCAGACACACACACAGGAAGAATGCCATGTCAAGACTGGAGTTCTACTTCCATAAGGCCTGAACTACCAAGAGCTATGAGAGAGGCCCAGGACAGGTTGTTTCCTAGAGCCTTCAGAGAAACATGACCTTCCAACCCTTTGGTCTAGGACTTTTGGCCTCCAGATCAGTGAGAAAATATATTTCTGGTTTCTAAGCCACTCAGTTTGTGGTACTTTGTTACATCTACCTAGGAAACTAACAGAGTACCCTTCAGAACATGACCTCCAACCAGGTAATACATTTTAAGGCAAGGGCAATGCAACAATGGGCTAATACCCGTGACACTCACTGATTTAATCATACAAAAGCTTAATGGATTTGGAGATCCTAATGCCAGTGAGAGACACCTGCAACAAGATACTGAGCCTGATTTTCTTGAAATAGAAGCTGATTCTTCCCCTCAGCTATTTCATGTTCCTTATGCAGCTGCACATCAGTGGTAAGACAAGAGTGTCTATGCTTGCACAGGTGGCTAATCCTGGGTCATTGGATTGCTGGCATCAATGAATACAAGGAGGGCCAGATTTCAAACATCAAATGTCCCTAGGGACATCTCTTAATACTTCTTATCTAATAGTAATAATGAATAGAAAACCGAATCTACCCAGTGTCCTCCTCAACTCCCACCAAAGACAAGATCACTAAGGACACAGACCTATTGAAATAAAGGTTTGGGTCACCACTCATCCAGCCAAGGTGTGAGGAACCTGAAATAGATGGTAGAAGATGGGAATTATGATGGACAACTTAGGCCTTATGATCAGCCACTAAAGCCGAACAAAAGCAACTAAACATTATGATTCTTTATGCTTTCTCATCTTCCACTAATTTATATCATGACTGTTGGCTAACGTTTTAAGTTTCATGTAGAAGAATGAAGAAATTGACATCACCCTCACTATGATATATTTAATAGTAATGTTTTTGTGTGTCTCTTTGTTTGGGCTGTACATATTACAGAACAAGAATGGTTGCCCAGGGACGAGAGGGCTTGATTGTGTTGTAGGTTATCTCTTTTTCTCTCTAGATCTGCTCACTTCTCTCTCCCACATCTTGTTCTTTGTTTTGGGAGGCTAATCTATAAAAGTCTCATCAATGGACTCCCAGAATCTTTGGCTTCCTGTTAGAGTCAACCAATGGGGAGCACTGGCTAGAAACCAAGGAAAGGGAAAAAGAAGAAATCGTGTAGTTTTCCTCACTCTCCTCATTAAGTCATTGTGCTTGACTGGCTATATTCTCATTAGAAGATGAAAGGGCCTATCTTCACCTTATATTTTTCCCTTTGCTTCCAGTAACTGTTCTCTCTCTCTGCTCCTTTATTCCTAGAAATGTTAATGTGTGCTGCCCACCCCCACATTCATAGTCCCTGGTTATTTCTCTCTATTCTTTGTGGTTTCCTATATCTTTGAAGGCACTTTCTCTATTAAACACTCTTAAAATTACTTGATTTGTGTATGTCATCATTTATTTGCTAGGACTCTGACAGAAAGAAACTCTTGTTTAACCATATGTATAATGTAAACAAAATTATATTTAGCAAATTCAAATTGTATGTAAATGAAATTCCCATTTTAATTTCCAATTATTCCTCCCTAAGAAATTGATGAAAACCCCTAGCTGACAGTGAGTGGGTTCAATCTAGTATAGATTTCGTTCTATTGGCAGTGGCTGTATTTGGCTAACCCTCAATTCATGAGAATTGAGCTGCTCTTGTCCCATAGCAGTCTGCATTATGTTGTTCTGTTCTTATATCCAGGACATTTTTATATCCAAGTTCATTTTTCTCAAATGTTGGGCTATCTGCTTATTTAGCTATGCTATTTCTAAAATTTGTTATCCCTTCAATATATTTTTGCAAAGTTCTACCCGGGTGTTATTTTACCCTGGCAATGCCTTTATCCCCACCTCTCTCCCTATATTCTTCCTCTCCCTTTCCTTCCTCCCCTTTCCTCTCATTACTCTGTAATTGCACAGAGGAGTGATGGGAGAGCATTTCATTCTGCCTCTCTCGTGGAAGGGGTAACTTTCTTATTGGGAACTAAGGTCAAAGGAATCATGCCCCCTGTTTAACAGTGGCTGTAGCTTCTTAGAGGTGTTATTATTAAACTGTCATATGCGTGATTTCAGATGGTTTCACTACAATCTTCCTGCTACTGATTTTATGTAGGAATTCTTTACAGAGTATGTCAGCTGTTAACAACATACTGCCCTTGAAGCATTTTAACATAATAGATATCTGAGGCTAAGAAGAAACAGTATGGTCCATGAGGCACCCTATCATCACCATAATCAACAACATTTTGAAGACACCTTATTTTGGGGAGACAAGGTTTTGAATCACGTCTTGGTACCACAGGCACTCTTGGGGTGGATTTTTCCATTTTTATGATAAGCAAAACCTACTTTTGGCCAGGCATGGTGGCTCACACCTGTAATCCCAGCACTTTGGGAGGCTGACACAGGCAGATCACTTGAGGTCAGGAGTTCGAGACCAGCCTGGCCAACATGGCAAAACCCCATCTCTGGTGAAAATACAAAAATTAGCCGGGCATTTTGGCTCACACCTGTAATCTCAGCTACTAGGGAAGCTGAGTCAGGAGGATTGCTTGAGCCTACAAGGCAGAGTTTGCAGTGAGCTGTGATTGTGCTACTTCACTCCAGCCTGGGCGACAGAGTGGGACTCTGTCTCAAAACAAACAAACAAACAAAAAATACTCTTTTAGAGACTATGACTCAGAGCCTTCTTTCTTTTCTTGAGTGGAGGCCATTCAACTCAACTCTATGAAATTCATTGTGATTTCCCTTAATTACAACCCCAAAATATATCTGAAACACTATGGTGCTTGGTACTGTAAGAGATTAAATAATGACTAAGTTGCTATCATGTTATTCTTAGTACATTTCCAGTCTCAATTTCACTTATTCTTGCTCCAGTCTCAATTTCACTTCTTGTTTATCATTCATGTTTGTTTCTCCCCCATGTGCTCAGGTCCTTCAAGTTGTTCCCTGGTTGGCCAAAGCCTGATAGTTCTGTGTCCTATCCTTGGTTGGACCTCACGAAGCTAAAGCTCTTTTTTCATTATTTTTAAGAAAATAGTCCTACTCTCCATGCATTCCAAGGAAGACATGCCTTAATCAGTGTACAAGATCTAATAAACTCATTTCCACTATTTTTCTCTAAGGCAAAATAGGAACTGGTAAGAACTAACTTGATTATCTCTCCCTGGAGCCAAGTTTGTGTTTCAGTATAATTCTATGGGGCAATGGAGTCTGTTACTAATAAAACTCAAAGTTTCAATGGAAAATAAGTTGGGAAAAAGACCCTAGATAGGAAGGGCCCAGATGTTTTCCATTGATTTTCATCTTGCCAGTAGGGTTCTTTCTCCCACTGTTACCACATGGAGATTCTCTTTCCAGAGTTCTTCTCAGTGAAAACCTTAGATGGTTCTGTGCTTTGCATCTGTAATTGTGGGATTGGCTATATCAAAGAGAATAAACTCGATGTGAAAGGTGATGCTGAGAAAAAAAAGAATCCAAAACCATTTATGCAACTGTCCTATCATTCTCCTTCTGGAGCACTTTTTTGTAGTGCTTTGGGCTCTATTTTCTCCTGCATGTATTGAGGCATATAATTTGCATATAATAAAATATACTCTTTTAGATGAACATTTCTATGCATTTTGATAAACTTTTGTAGTCAAGTAACCACCAAAAGTCAAGATGTACGATATTTCTATCACTACCCTTCGCCCCACACACTGCCAAATTTCTCTGTGTTCCTTTGTAGGCGATACACTTTCCTCACTCCCAGACCCTAGCAACCTCTGATCTGAAGTCTTTCCCTTTAGTTTGCCTTCTTTGAATGCTATGTAAGAGGAATCATACAGTCTTGTAGCCTTTTGAGTCTTACTTTTTTCACTTAGCGTAATATGCTATTCTGTTTCATGCTTTAGAACTTCATTTCTCTTTTTATTGCTGAGTGGTGTTTTACACTTTGTTTAATCATTCACAAGCTGGCAATTATTGGCATTGTTTCAAGTTTGTGACAATTATAAATAAAGTCACTATTAAAATCCACATACAGTTTTCTGTGTAGACATGTATCTTCACTTCTCTTTGGTAAACACCAAGGAATGCATTGATGAGATGTGTGGTAAATTATGTTTAACTTCATAAGAAACTACCAAACTGTTTTATAAAGAGCTGTGTCATTTTGAATTTGTACCAGCAATATATTAGCATTCCAGTTCCCCAACATCATCTCTAACATTTGGTACTGTCACTTTTTTTTTTTTCAATTTAAGCCATTCTAATAATTGGGTAGTGGTATTTCTTTGTGGTTGTAATCTGCATTTCTTTAATGGTTAACACTGTTGTATATCTTTTCATGTGACCGTTTGTCATCCATATATCTTCTGTAGTGAACTGTCAGTTCAAATATGGAAACTATTTGGAGTTGTTTGTTTCATTATTATTGAGTTTCAAGAGTTATCTATATATTCTGGCTATTAACCCTTTTTCATGTGTGTGTATGTGTATGTGAATTCAAGTAGCTCCCTTACAAATATGCAAACCAAAAGAAAGAATCATATCATAATTGTCTTACCAGATTTTGAGTATTATTCAACAGCAGCTATTATACTCCTCCTTCGATCGTTGTAATCTTAAAATTTTAGATTAAAAAACAACTGCTTTGAAAGTTGTGTGAAAACTAAGGACTCTGTATAAATGCATATATATATGGGTATACATATACACACATAAATATATGCATATATGTATATATACACATAAATATATAAACATATATATTTATGTGTGTGTATATATATAGACACACATATATACACATATATATTTATATATGTGTATACATACACACACAGAGTGAGAGTAAGAGTGCACCAGAGAGAGACAAATTGTCGCATTCCTTTCTAGGAGTCCACAAGATAACTACTCCTCAGGTGTTATATAAACTATGAATCATGAACCTCAGGTTAGAAACTCAAGTGTGACCCCATAAATGCCATCTTGCATCACTATAATTATCTGCCTTCTTTATCTTAGTTTGACACACACTATTTCCTGATGCTGAAAAAAATCACACAACTGTGCAAACTAATACACAGTAGATACATTTTCATTCATTTTAGTAAGGTCTGCACAGCTACACAATAATTTTGTTTATCACTCCGCTTACTTCCATGTTTAATTCCCAGAGAAGCCAGTCAACAGTCACCATTTACAAGTTCTCTTTATCACCTCTGTCCCCTTCACTTTCAGAAGATAATCTTGATACCTTCTTGCTGGAGAAATAGAATAAATCAAGTGTGAATGAATTCCCCATTTAATTCAAACTTAGGCCTGTACCGATCCTTTCTTCCTTCTAATCTCAGACAGAGATGTGACTCTCTTTCAGGCAATGCTAATTCTTTCATCTGGGCTCTCGATACCATTTTATCCTAAGCCTTGTTTCAGGAAACATCTCCTCCCCCTGTATTATTAATGTTTCCCTCTTAAATCACTGTTTATTCTCAAGATGTGATCATGTTTATCTTTTACCATATTAAAAAAAAACTCCCTCCACTGTGTAGCTCACTTCTCATTTCTCCTCCTTCTTTACCCCACCTATTTCTCGTCTATTACAACCAAGGTTTTTAGAACATGTTACTCTTACTGGCTCTAATGACTCTAATTTTCAATCCAGTACCAACTCCGTGGTAACCCCAAGGCTCCATTAAAATCATTATAAGTAATAAATAACTTA
This sequence comes from Homo sapiens, assembly GCF_000001405.40. Taxonomy (NCBI): domain Eukaryota; kingdom Metazoa; phylum Chordata; class Mammalia; order Primates; family Hominidae; genus Homo; species Homo sapiens. The sequence goes on from NC_000004.12 coordinate 23,755,673, forward strand.
ACAAATAGTCTAATTACAAAACAAATGAACTGATTATTTTTTACCCTTATAATACCTGACCTCTTGGAAATATTTGATATTGTTGACTATTTCCTGAAATGTATTCTGTTCTTGTCTCCTATAGCAACACTCTCTCCAAACTACTCTATTAGTGTCCACACATTTGTTGTGGTTCTCCTTGACCTCTTCACCAACCACTATGTTGGTGATACTCAGGCCTCTTTGTTGAGACCATTTTATTATCAGTTTACCTAATGCTCCTGGGTGACTGAACTATGATTTAATCATCTATAGATAGATAACTAAACTACCATCTCTCTATAAATTATAAGTCACAACTCTGGACTTCATACCAGTTCACTTTTAGGAGTTCTTCTCATAAGCCCCTCAAGTCCATCCTGTTCCAAATAGATGTCATCATTGTCACCTTTCCCAAACTATTCTCCAAACTTGTTTCTCCCCGTTATTTCTATCTCTGTGATTATTCCTATCATTTTCCTTATCGTCCAGTAAGAAGCCTGAGAATCTCACTTCCCATTTCTGAGGAGTCATTTAATCATTCATACATTCATCAATGCAAAAAATAGTTATTGAATGGATACCCTATGCCAGTCACTCTGATAACATTTTGCTAAGTGGAATCTTCTCTTAGCTTTCAAACTGCTTAAAATTTAATGTTGCAGAGGCAACATGCTATATTCGATAAGAGCTTAAGGAGGTGGTATCTTAGTCAGACTGCGGTGGAAGAGTCAGAGAGAACTTACCAGGGGCAACCCTTGAATTGCATGATAAAGGATGAATGGCTTGGCTAAAGAAAGGAGGAAATAATAATCCAAGAAGGAAGAGCATATTTCAAACCTTTGCAATGCAGTTCTACCTCCTAAACCACTCATAATCATTTCACTTTCTCTCCAGATATATGGTCAGAAACTTACATACAGCAGGTCTACCATATTTCTCATACTTTTAATGCAATTAAAAAGTCTTCCTAACAGGTCTCGTTGGCCTCTAATATTACCATCCTCCAATCCATCTTCTACACTGGTGCTAGAGTGATCTTTCTGGAGTACCAGCCTGAGCATATCTCTCTCCTACCTAAAATGAATCAGTAGCCCCCAATTTTTTTTTTATTTGCATCAAAAGACATAATGATTTAGCCCCTTGCTAGCCTGGCAGGTTCAATGAATGACCATCATCCGGCACATTATTGATCATTCAGCTTACTGGATATGCTAATGTTCTCATCAGCTTTTGATCCTTTGCATGTGTTGGTTCTTCCTTTTAGGAATTGATTTTTTCCTTTTGTTAGACTGATAGCCACTTAACACTTCATCAGGCTCAGTTATGAGCTCTTCTTATAAGTCCCCCTTCTTATAAAAACTCATAAACTGAGTTCTTCTCAGTTATGAGTCTTGATGAAGTGTAAGTGGTTATCAGTCTAACAAAATATATTAGTCTATCCCTTTAGATGCTCAGGTAAACAAACATTACTTCCTTTATGTTCCATAGCAATTTATGCATACATTTATTATGCCATATATTACATCATATTATAACCATTTATGTCTCTATTTCCCCAGAGTTTCTTGAGGAAAATAAATATATCTTTATTCATCTCCATATCCTCAATACTCAACATAGTCCATGATATATTTATAAGCTGTTCAAAATATTTATTGAGTGAACATGAATTAATGAATTAATATTAGGTAGTTCCATTGATTAATGAGAGGGATTTTTGCTGTGAAGCTGAGAACTTTTCTTTTCTATTACCCTAAAGAGTTAACAATTATTTACCAAGCTCTTACTATACTGCAGTCATGGTGCTAGATGCCGATGATTTAAAAGTGAGAAATGCAGTCCTTGCTTTCAAGAGGCTTATGTTCTATCAGGGAAGACAGACTGAACAGGCAACTACAAAACAGAATTGTTAAGAGATGTGATAAGGAAAATAAAGAGAACTATGGGCTTCTGAATAATTAGGGAAAAAAAAAAACCAGAGTAAATGAGGGTTAAGCTGAGACCTGAAGAATAGAAAGGGATGACTATTCTAGAGAGCCAGAATTATATGTGAAAGTCCTGGATGAAAGGAATGGCACAGCCTATCCAGGGAACTTATAGAAAATCAGTCTGGATAAACCACAGTAATCTATGGAGAGTTAATCAGAGGTAAGATTATGAAGGGCTCAAATAGTTCCCAAGGCTTAAAAACAGGGGACAGAAAAGGGGAGATTATATTTTTAAAATTCCACTAGCTGCAGGTTAGAGAGTGTGTTGCAGGATGGCAGAAGTGATAGTGGAAGTTTATTCCAATCATCCGGGCAGAAGCTAATGGTGGTATCACAGGAACTCTATCTTCTCCACCATCCTTTAAGAAAGTGCTTTGTGATGATGGAGCGAGAAAAAAAGCCATTATGTACTGAAGGGCCTCTAACACCCTGCATTCTTCCCTGGGAAATGATGAGAAAGCAATGGCATGAGAGCCATAACTTAATGGCAAGAAAGAGCTTCTATATCTGGCTTTATCTGTATGCCAGTTTAAATGTGATGTAACTCTTTATAAGACAAGGCATGAGGTGCTTAGGCTCAGAAATGATGAGAGATTGGGAATTAGGCCTGAGCCAGATAGAAATAAGAGTATGTTACAGAATAGATCATGAAACAACAACAATAAAAGTATCTTCCACAGGCAAGAAAAACCTGCTCTTGATAGTCTGCTGAATAGTGACTGAGATGACTGGCAGTAAAATAGGAGACTTTTCAAGTGGATGAAAGTTAAATTCAATAGGTAGGAAATATAATTTGAAAAAGGAGCTTCTATTCATGTACTTTCTGGCTGTGAAACAGATTTTAAAATGAGGCTTCTCTGGTTCTACATCACTGCCTAGCATGGGCACCCAGGCTGAGTCCAGATTGTCCCCAGTTGTTGCTGTCATTTTGCTTTCTTAGAATCTGGCTCCAAGGCTTCCTTCCCTTTAAAAAAAAAAAAAAAAAAAAAGTCACGTGAACCAGAAAGTAGAATTTGAGTGGCTGGAAATATTTTCTACCATACATTTCTTTCAAAATAAACAACTACTGTAGGGAAGAGCTCCCCTAAAGCTCCCCGCTGCGTTCCTTATTTCAGTGCCTCCCAGTGGAGCTTCCGTTTGGTTCCATAACTGGAGGAAAATAATTCAAGTGTAAACCAAGCCCCCTGGTGCTCTAATACAACCCATCCTTTGCTGTAAATATTGTGCTTATTTCATTAAAATGAGAGGTTCTCTTGTCCTGTATTATGAAATATGAAAATGTATATTTGCAGGCACAGGCTTCCCGTAAGCCCCCAGTCACTCATTTAGATGTTACAAACATGGCATGAAATCTTAATTCAGTGATATTTACTCCAGATGAATAGCAATATAGGCATTATAGTACACAATCCATAAGGAAGGCCCATGACAAGTTCTGCTTGACTTGACTTCCTAGACATCTCTCCATCCCATCCACCGTTATCTATCCTAATGGCCAGTGCCAAAGTTCAAGTCATTACTATTTCTTCCCTGGTGACTGTAACTGACTGATCCCAGATGACTTTGCCTACAGTTTTGCCCCATCCGGTCTGTCCTCCACACTGTGGCCAGAGTGATACTTCTGGAATGCAAAATGAATAAATCATGTCACTCATCTATTTAACACTTATCAAAGGCTTCTTGGTGCCATTAAGTTAAAGCCCAAGCCCTTCAGAATGCCCTTTGCAGCTGGGCATTCTGCCTTTTTTTTTCCCTTAATCTCTCATCCTTTTGTCTTTCCCACTTGATGTTCCAGTTAGGAAATGTGTACCTTTCTAGTTCTTGAACATAGTTTTACCCCTGCTCAGCGAGCTCTTAGTGACCATTTGTTTTTCACTTTAGATATTTTTCTTAAAGTCTGTTCTGCCTCTTGATAAACAACATTAAGTGCCCTTTCAATGAAGTCACATTGTATCTTGCATATTATTGTTGTACCTCACACTTGATCACAAATGATGATTTATTAACTGATTTTTTTCTGCTGAACTGTGAACTTCCAAAGAAGAAAGTTTGTCAGTGTTGTTCACCATTGTATTCCCAGCACCTAGCATAAAAATGTGCATATCAATGTGTTAAATTAGTTAATTAAATCAGTGAATGGATGGATGGATGCATGGATGGATGGATGACAGTGAGTCAGAAAAAGAGTGTATTAGTCTATTTTCATACTGCTATAAAGAAATGGCTGAGACTGGGTAATTTATATAGAAAAGAGGTTTAATGGACTCACAGTTCCACATTGCTGAGGATGTTTTACAATCATGGTGGAGGATGAAGGAGGAGCAAACGCACGTTTTACATGGCAGCAGGCAAGAGAGCATGTTCAGGGGAACTGCCCTTTAAAAACCATCAGATGTCATGAGACTTATTCACTACCATGAGAACAGCACGGGGAAACGCATTCCCATGATTCAATGACCTCCCACAGGGTCCCTCCCATGACACTTGGGGATTATGGGAGCTAAAATTTGAGATGAGATTTGGATGAGGACACAGCCATACCATATTATTCTGCCCCTGGCCCCTCCCAAATCTCATGTCCTCACATTTCAAAACATAATCATGCCTTTCCAATGGTCCCCCAAAGTCTTAACTCATTTCAGCATTAACTCAAAAGTCCACAGTTCAAAGTCTCATCTGAGATAAGGCAAGTCACTTCTGCCTATGAGCCTATAAAATCAAAAGTAAGTTAGTTACTTCTTAGATACAATGGGGGTACAGTCATTTGGTAAATACAACTCTTCCAAACAGGAGAATTTGACCAAAATGAAGGGGCTACACACTCCATGAAAGTCCCAAATCCAGCAGGGCAATCAAATCTTAAAGCACCAAAATTATCTCCTTTGACTCCATGTCTCACATCCAGGTCATGCTGATGCAAGAGGTGGGTTCCCACAGCCTTGGGCAGCTCCTCCCCTGTGGCACAGCCCCCATCCTGGTTGCCTTCAAGGGCTGATGTTGAGTGTCTGTGACTTTTCCAGGTACACGGTGCAAGCTATCAGTGGATCTACCATTCTGGGGTCTGGAGGACTGTGTCAAAGGGAAATCTTCCCACTGGGCAGAACTTTGAGCAGTGTAACTGGTTGTGCACTTTTCATGGAAGGAGAAATGGCCAGATGTGCAATTATATACTAATTCATGAGCTGTAGCCAATGGTTTGGCTGGGTGGTCAGGGACTTGGAAGAAGCATAGTTGGATAACTGGTGACAAAGAAATTTGGGGAAGAGGTATGTGAATTGACCTCTCTGAGTGGTCAAAAACTGGGAAGACATTTGTATCCCATGTGAATATTCACCAATGGGTGACCTTAGTAGAGGAGGATTTTAATAATCAAGTGGATAGGATGACTTGTTCTGTGGACACCACTCAGCCTCTTTCCCCAGCCACCCCTATCATTCCAAATAGGCCCATGAACAAAGTGACCATGGTAGCAGGAATGGAGGTTATGCATGTGGTCAGCAACATGGACTTTTACTCACCAAGGCTGACCTGGCTACAGCCACTGCTGAGTGCCCAATTTGCCAGCAGCAGAGACCAACACTGAGCCCTCGATATGGCACCATTCCTTGCGGTGATCAGACAGCTACTTGGGGGCAGGTTGATTATATTGGACCTCTTCCATCATGGAAAGGACAGTGGTTTATCCTCACTGGAATAGACACTTACTGTGAATATGGGTTTGCCTATCCTACATGCAATGCTTCTGCCAAGACTACCATCCATGGACTCAAAGAATGCCTTATCTACCATCATGGAATTCCACACAGCATTGCCTCTGACCAAGGCACTCAGGTTATAGCTAAAGTAGTGTGGCAGTAGGCTCATTCTCATGAAATTCACTAGTTTTACCATGTTCCCCATCATCCTGAAGCAGCTGGATTGATGGAACTGTGGAATGGCCCATTGAAGTCACAATTACAACATCAACTAGGTGACAATACTTTGCAGGGCTGGGGCAAAGTTCTCCAGAAGGCTGTGTATTCTCTGAATCAGCATCCAATATATGGTACCGTTTGTCCCATAACCTGGATTCATGGGTCCAGAATCATGGGGTGGAAGTGGAAGTGGCACCACTCACCATCACCCCTATGACCCATTAGCAAAAATTTTGCTTCCTCTTCCTGCGACATTAGGTTCTGCAGGCCTAGAGGTCTTAGTTCTAGAAAGAGGAATGCTGCCACCAGGAGACACAACAATGATTCCATTAAACTGGAAGTTAAGATTGCCACTGGCCACTTTGGGCTCCTCCTACCTCTAAGTCAATGGCCAAGAAGGGAGTTACAGTGCTGGTTGGGGTGATTGACCCAGATTATCAAGATAAAAGCAGTCTACTACTCCACAATGGAGGTAAGGAAGAGTATGTGTAGAATACAGGAGATCCCCTAGGGTGTCTCTTAGTATTACCATGCCCTGTAATTAAGATCAATGAAAACCTACAACAACCCAATCCAGGCAGGATTACAAATGGCCCAGACTCTTTGGGAATAAAGGTTTGGGTCACTCCACCAGGTAAAAAACCACGACCTGCTGAGGTGTTTGCTGAAGGCAAAGGAAATGGGTAGAAGAAGGGTAGTAGAAGAAGGTAATCATCAATACCAGCTATGACTACAGAATGGGTAGTAGAAGGTAGTCATCAATACCAGCTATGACCACATGACCAGTTGCAGAAACGAGGAATGTAATTGTCATGAGTATTTCCTCTTTATTTTGTTAAGAACTTATTCGTGCACGTATACAATTATATTAAGAAAAGTCTTCATTTTATTTCCTTTCTTTTGCCTTTATCATGTGACATAAGATTTATTGACTTCATATCAACGTTTAAGTGTTGTTAACTTTATGTAATAGCACTTAGGTTAAGGATTAGTGCACTTCCAGTTGTACAAAGGAAAGCTGTATAATGTTAGGCATAATTATGACCTTATTATTGTTTTTATTTGAAGATTATGTATTATTTCAGGAAGTGTGTATGGGTTGAAGTTGACAAGGGGTGGATTTGTGATGGCTAATATTGAGCGTCAACTTGATTAGACTGAAGGACACAAAGTATTGTACTTGGGTGTGTCTGAGATGGTGTTGCCAAAGGAGATTAACATTTGATTCAGTGGACTTGGAGAGGCAGACCCACCCTTAATCTGGGTGGGCACCATCTAATCAGCTGCCAGTGTGGCTAGAATAAAGCAGGCAGAAGAAAGTGGAAGGACTTGACTTGCGGAGTTTTCCAGGCTTCATCTTTTCTCCTTTGCTGGATGCTTCCTGCCCTCGAACATCAGACTCCAAGTTCTTCAGCTTTTGGAGTCTTGGACTTACTGGTGGTTAACAAGGGGTTATCAGGCCTTCAGCCACAGATTGAAGGCTGCACTGTCAGCTTGTCTACTTTTGAGGTTTTGGGACTCAGACTGGTTCCTTGCTCCTCCGCTTGCAGACAGCCTATTGTGGGACTTCACCTTGTGATCATGTGAGTCAGTACTCCTTAATACACTCCCCTTTCTATATGCATCTATCCTGTTAGTTCTGTCCCTCTAGAGAACCCTGACTAATATGGGGTTAATAAACTGTACAGTTTGTACAAAGAATGTAAAGGAAGAGGATGGAAACTTGTATCCTCTCTATGAAGTGAGGATGATTAAAACAAAAAAAAAACCCTCATATTATTATGAAAGTTAAATGAGATACTTATTATATGTAGTGCACTAAAAACTGTGTCTGGCATATTGTAAGCACTCCCTCCAACAATCTCAGCTATTGTTAATAATCATAATGTCATATTCTCAAAAATATGACAATAAATGGATAAAAATTAAAAATTAAAAAACAGTGTGCTAGTAAAATCCGGAAAAGTTCTTGCTGATATCTCTGTCTTGGCCTTAATGATAAAAAGGCTTTGAGACTTTCTGACAGTGCCCAGCATCTGTGGTCCTAACTAACTCATTGGCATTCAGCAGGTAGTAATAGAGTACAATGGAGCACTTTCTGCCCTAGGATCAAAGTTCAAGCCTTATTACTAGAGTTGTTTCTGCCAACTTTCTAACCTCTTCAACTCTGGACCCTGCCTGTGTTCTGAGGCCCGTGGCACCTTTTTGCTCCCCCCTTGCTTTTGCTGACCTTCTAGTCGTTGGTCCCTTGCCCGCCTACACTGGTGGTACTTGATTAAATGGGCTTCTGCTTCTCACCTTTCCTTGTCTGGCTTGTATAGAAGATGGGTCAATGGCTTAAGGGCCTGCCCCTGGTCAGAGCACTGTGCCAAGACACACAGGAGAGGAATGCCACAGTGATTAGTCCACATTAGCATAATTATCTCCTGAATCCACTTTCTACCAATTCATACTTTGTCTCTAACCAATCTATTTTTTTTTTTTTTTTTTTTTTTTTTTTGAGATGGAGTCTTGCTCTATCGCCCAGGCTGGAGTGCGGTGGCGCTATGTCGGCTCACTGCAAGCTCCGCCTCCCTGGTTCATGCCATTCTCCTGCCTCAGCCTCCTCAGTAGCTGGGATTACAGGCACCCGCCACCACGCCCAGCTACTTTTTTTGTATTTTTTAGTAGAGACAGGGTTTCGCCGTGTTAGCCAGGGTGGTCTCGATCTCCTGACCTCATGATCCACCTGCCTCGGCCTCCTAAAGTGCTAAGATTACAGGAGTGAGCCACCGCGCCCGGCCTAACCAATCTATTTTTTAACCTTCTCTTTATTTTTTATAACTTTCTTATAAGTAAGTGGCATTTACAACTTGATGTTGTCCTTTTTAAGGCTTTGATTAGCATTTTCCTAATGTGACATTTTCTCGGAAAATGTTTGCCTTTGTCCCAGGATCCCCCATACTAAGGAACATACTTCTCTGCTGCCCTGAGTATAAGCCAGAGTTGATATATGAAATATTTCATATTTATTAATACCTGGTAAGGTGGAGGCAATGAAGAATCAAATGAATGTTGGCAACAAGGCTGGAGATGGATCCTTGAAGGCCCCTAAACTTTGACAAGCATTAAACCTTTAGTAGTGAGATCTTAGGGTACAGATTGCTAGTTTGGGTAAGCAGCTACCTACCATGAAGTGTAAAAACATTCCAATATTTAACATCTGCTCCTTAACAAAGAATTTCTCCAATAATGTCTTCCAATACAAGCCTATATTTTTCATATCTCCACAAGGTGTTGTCCATTAGACTAATCCCTAAACTTAGGCACTAGGATACAGCACGTCTCACAATTAGAGACTATGCCTACACATGTACTGGCTCTTAATTATCCCATGTGGAAATTATCAGAAGCAAAATGACTCCCAGAATTACTATATTTTTGAGGGGATGATGTTGCTCAAGAAACCCAGACTTTGACTGTTAACCCCCTAAGCCCTTGAACCTATGTGAATAAGAAATAAACTAGGAAAGTTGTACGTTCCTCAGAAGAGCATCTTCTCCAAGCTTACTTCAGGTGTGGCCATCTGCATAATTAGCATATTTATCTCCCTAATCCTCCCAGATTCTAGGGATCCTCCTAGAAAAGACAGGGATGGGCAGATTGTCTAATAAAGGAATTTACTCCACTGCCAGGGCTAAGTCTTTGCTGTTTAATGTGTGTGTTATAGGCCAGTAATTTGTAAGTAATTCCCGTTGTTCCTTTTCCCAAGATGGAGATTTCATTGTAGGTATCCTGTTCCCTCACAAATTTTTTTTTTTTTTTTTTTTTTTGAGATGGGATCTCGTCTCATTCTGTCGCCCAGGCTGGAGTGCAGTGGTGCGATCTCAGCTCACTGCAACTTCTGCCTCCCAGGTTCAAGCGATTCTGCTGCTTCAGCCTCCACAGTAGCTGGGATTATAGGTGTGTGCCACCATGCCCAGCTAATTTTTGTATTTTTAGTAGAGACGGGTTTTCTTCATGTTGGCCAGGCTGGTCTCAAACTCCTCACCTCAGGTGATCCACCTGTCTCAGCCTCCCAAAGTGCTGGGATTACAGGCGTGAGCCACTGCACCTGGCCGGCTCACCAACACTTTATGCAGGATAAAGGGAACAGATAACTTGTTTTTTAGCTATTAGTCACTAGACCAGAACATCCACATCTGGATCTGATAGTGAGCAATACTGCACTTAAAGCTAGATCCTAAAATAAATACTATTATGTGTGGTTATTTTCCATGGAATAAAGATGAATAGCCTCTGTTAAAACATATCTATAGGAAGAAGGATATGTATGGATAGCCACTAGGCTAAGAGGTACACCGTAACAGAGACTATTGGTAATACCCTTCCTCCTTGTCTCATCCACCACAGAGGGCAGTAAAGGTAAATATATATTTTCCCAGCTGCTTCTGCAACCGGTGTTAGCCATATGACATGCTTCTAAATAAGAACATATAAAGGTCAGAGGTCATATGTGAAAGTTTTACTTTACTTTACTGACAAAAGGGGATGCCACTGGTTCTTTACCTTACCCCATTTTTCATTACATAAAAGTGGACATGAAACTTGGTGATGTGGCATCCCTCTGATAACCATGAGAAAAACCCCAAGAGAGTTGAAGAGTTGCAAATCCTGACACTATTACACTACTGAACACATCAGCAATAATCAATCTATCTCCTGATTTCTGTGATATGATAAACAGTTATTCATATTGCTTTAAACCACTGTGAACTGGGTTTGCTGTTGTTTGCTGTTGAAAGCATCCTTAACAGAGTCTTTGTAATGTAGTTGAAGTCTTTAGTATCACTGCTCTGGTAAAATCAACAGTGAATTTTGCACTGAATATCTTATTCTTTTCTTAGGTCAAAGTCTCTTGTTTCTTCACAGTCCATGTGGGATATACGCTATCTGCCGTGAAATCTGTCAGGGTGCAGTTTTGCAATAGTCCCAACTGGGCAAACAACAATACAAGGGCCAGATGGCTATCATGATACATCAATCTTCCCAGAAGTAAATTTTATAATACCAGATTTAGAAACAACAACAACAGCAAAAAACAGAATAAAATGAAATTAACTATGAAGTAATAATTAGACATGAATAAACAAAAAAATCATAGCACTTAATGCTAGCACTTGCAAGTACGATGCCCACAAGACATTGCTGATAATTATAGCATTATTTCTCACAGATACCACTGAATACTCGAGAATCCTTCCTAATGCAAAAAGTTCTAGGCAGCCACTACCAATCAGTTGGAGTTGGTATATGATGTAAAACATAACTGTATTTTTTTTTTTTTTTTTTTTGAGACAGAGTCTTGCTCTGTCGCCCAGGCTGGAGTGCAGTGGTGCGATCTCAGCTCACTGCAACTTCCACCTCCCGGGTTCACGCCATTCTCCTGCCTCAGCCTCCTGAGTAGCTGGGACTACAGGTGCCTGCCACCACGCTCGGCTAATTTTTTGGGTTTTTTTTTTGTTTTTTTAGTGGAGAGGGGGGTTTCACCATTTTAGCCAGGATGGTCTTGATCTCCTGACCTCGTGATCCAACCCCCTCGGCTTCCCAAAGTGCTGGGATTACAGGCGTGAGCTACCGCCTCTGGCCACATAACTGTATTTTTTAACAATTACTTACACACATTGTACAGGTATGGTTCATGATTCAAACACAAATCCATGCTGATCCGGGAATTGATAATATCTTTCTTTTTGTTGTTGCAGCGGGTGTTAGGGTACAAGGTACTGAGTGTTTTAGTCTTGTTTTCTACCCTCTTATTTCCCTTCAGTCCTAATTGACTTTGCCATTTCAAGACTACCTACTCAAGAAGACACACAGAATCTCATTGAATTTATTCAAAGCCTCATAGTTATGATACTTGTACTCATTACCATAGCCAGCAAACCATCAATGTCCTTTATATTGATAATTAATTGCTTTTATCTCTGTCCCTTTGTCTTTATAGCTGAACACTGAAACTTGGTCAAAACTATTCTTACTGTTATGTATAAAAAGATGACTCTACTCACCCTACACAAAAGGTTATTTATCTATCATTTTGGAGAAACTACAGCTGTCATTAGAAGGAATTTGCTTCTACATGTGACTTTTGAAACTCTGCCCCTCCCCTATCCAGGAAAATGGATCTTTGTTTGAGTGACCTTCCACTTATCACTTGAAATCTGTCTGGCAACTTACCTGAAAGGAGACTAATAAGGAGTGAATTATTAGGAGTTAATGCTTAACACTTTCTTGCCAAGTACATTAAATGTACTTATTTTATCTAGGCTATATTTAAAAAGGGCTAAAATATACCTCAGAAGATACCAAAATAAAGAGAGATGTTATCAGGAAACTCAGACAAATTGCTGTTTGGTGACTTGAAAGGAAAGAATTACATAGGAGAAGAGCAAATGAGAAGGTACAAAGAAAATGTAATATAGTTTGTGGGGAACAAAATAAAGCATAAAATTAAGTTTAATAACATTTTGGAAATAAACGTATGTACATAAAAAAAAAACTAAGAAAAAATGGGCTTCTAATTAAAGCCAAGCCAGAAGTAAAAAGAGAGAGTGTAAAAAATATAGAAAGGTTGACTTAAAATCAGCTGATGTCACGGAGAAAGAATGAGCACAGAAATCCCAGCTCCCCATGTTATAATGACATGAACTTGAAAAATAACCCTAAATTCTCTCATTGTAGGTGATGCTGTGAACCCTCCCCAAGGGAGGTACCAAAAGCCTGCATGAAGCAAAAACTGGAAACAAATAAAGGAGAGTATGGTGACTTTGCACTAAGTTACTCATTTATTCACATAATTAATGAGTTTCTATTAGTGTTAGGCACCGTTCTAGATGATGGTATAATTAGTTAACAAAAACCTCAAAACTCTCGCCCCCCATGGAGCTTACATTTCCAGGGAGGGAGAGAGATGATACAACAATAAGAAAATACAGAGCTAATGTCATTCTATATTGTATAATTATGTAAAATCAAGCCTGAGTATTTGACAGCTTCTCAGATACCACAGATCTGTTGTTTAATGAAATCAGCCTAAAAGATAAAATTGTGTATTTGCATGTACACATCACCTTGCCTGTATTATGAGTCAGCGTTTCTTCTTATAAGAAACCACAGCTTGGTAAAAGGTAGAAGCTCAATTTCCTAATAAAGAGATATGTTTTACTAGGCAGGCTGTTGCACTGCATATTACTCTCTCTGACCTTGGCTTTAGTCCAAGGAGGATTAAACCCAGAAAGAGAAGGGAGTAAAGCAAGGTGTAGCAGAAAAGCAAAACAAAACAATACAAAATAACCTCAAAGAAATTAGTAACAATAATTAGTGCATTCAGAGATTATATCTTTCTTTCTTTTTTTCCTTTTTTTTTTTCTTTCGAGACGGAGTTTTGCTCTTGTTGCCCAGGCTGGAGTGCAACGGCGCGATCTCAGCTCACGGCAACCTCCGCCTCCCCGGTTCAAGTGACTCTCCTGCCTCAGCCTCCCGAGTAGCTGGGATTACAGGTGTGTGCCACCACGCCAGGCTAATTTTGTATTTTTAGTAGAGACAGGGTTTCTCCATGTTGGTTAGGCTAGGCTCAAACTCCTGACCTCAGTTGATCCGCCCGCCTCAGCCTCCCAAAGTGCTGGGATTACAGACGTTAGCCACCGTGCCCAGCTGAGATTACATCTTTTTGAAAGCTAAATATATATATATATAACACTGAGTGAAGGAGTTATGTTTTCAGGTAAGGGCTACTGTTCTTGACAATCCATCATCCATCCATCCATCCATCCATCTGTGTATTCTGGAAGGAGTGAGGAACTCATGCAAAGACATAAACAAGTTTACTCTCCATAGCAAAGAGTTGCCCTGATACATGATTGCTTGCAAACTTATATTCAAGTCCTGTGGTGTTTATTCTGTAGGCTTTGCCAATATAGCTGAATCTTAGGAAAAGACAAACCAAAACAAAATTGTAACATAAGCCATATTTGTCTTCAGTCCAGCCTTTTTTTCTGTTACTGCACATTTCCATACCTTTGCATTTTCTTTGTAACCCATAGGCTTGAGTGTTCAGTTTCTTAAAGTGGCTAGATGTCCCTGTCCACAATAGACAAAGTCACACCAAAATCCTAAAAAGAGAAAATTTGCTTCCCATCAAAGGCCTGACATACTTTTGCCATGAATGATATAGAAAGATTCTATAATAGATTAAAGGAAGCTCTGGGAAATTTGTTTTAAATACAATCAGTCTTACATAGACATATATCTTTAAAGTCGACTGCTTGACATTTTTTCCTTAAGATGAAAATTAAATAATGGCCCCTGTAAAAAATCATCAAAGGTCTCCCTTCACTGAAAAAATAAGCAAAATAATGAGACTGAAGCTCAACTTCTGTTTTGCCCACCTTGAATCCCTTTGACACACTTCCAAGTCTACCTTACAGCAGTAGGAGCGATTCCATAAACTGGAGATTTATAACATGACAAGTCAACCCAGATCCTTATGAAACTAGAAATGAGTCAGCAACATTATAGCTGCTTGAAATTCAGGGCATTTCAGAGTGAGGGGGAGAAATCTTCAAGAATTTCACAGAGGATGTTTTACTTTCTGAAAAATTGCTGAGAATTCTTCAGAGGCAAAGTGGTGCCTGGGTTTTTATTTTCCATGTCTAGGTGGTCAGTGAACCAAGGCTTTATGAGCTGGGATCAGATAGCTGGCAATAAGGGCCACATCATCATCTGGATATCTAATTACTTACACACCCCCCTTCCTAAAAAGTGGTTAACCTTCAATGAATCCCTACTTCTTAATGCAGGAGCCAGTTTATGACAGCCTTGTACTGCATTAAGCCTTGTACTGAAGGCTCTCAATGAACTGGCTCCTGCATAACCATCCACATGTCTCCGCTCCAGATTTCCTACCCTTCCCCTCTACACCCATTGCAAATATCCGTGAAACTGAAAGCTTTTCATTTCTTCAATGGATCGTGCTCAAGTTCTAATTATTATTGAGTTTATACTTGATAAACTCTTAATAAATAAAAATTATTATACATAATAATAACAAAAATAGAATTTCATCTCTTGAGTATCTACTTTGTGTTGGATATAAGGATATAAGTCTAGCACTTACCTATATTTTGTTAACTTTCACAAAAACTCTGCAAGCAAGGCTGACCTATTTTGGGGCTCAGGAACCTGCATTTTAAGAGGATCAGTAATAGGTCCAGGGTAACATGGCTAACACATGGCAGATATGGAATTTTAGCATATGTGCAAGCCCACTACTTCTGCTTCTTCCTTGACATTCAAGATTCAGTTCATGGCAGCTATGCCGAGAAAGATTTTCTCTGATGCTCTCTGCCCCTATGGAGGAAAACGGGGGCTTCTCTTGCCACTTGAAAAGCAGTTAAGGGCTCTGTGATGCTTTTATTCTAATGTCCTCACTGACTTACTTACTGGTCTGTCTCTCCAACTTGGATTGGGAGCAACAATCCGGGACTCTTTCTTCTCCACAGCTTCATTCTCTAGCACATGGTAGGTGCTCATAAAATATTTCTCACACTTGGCCTAGCATAAATGAACGAATGATTTAAAAGATGCTGCATAACTACTCAGGGACCAGGTAAAGCCCAGGGAGTAACCCTGCCAAGCCATCCTCAGTCAGCACCATCTGAAGCTACTTTTATGCTATAATAATTTGCCGCGAAAACTAAATGGAATAACCAGATGCGGCTAAAAGTTTTGTTTTTTCAGCCCTCACCCTCACCCCGGCACCCTGGCCCAATTCACCTCCAAAATGATCCAGAAAAACTAAAAGACAAAATTATTGCCCTACAAGGAGGTTTATAAGGGAGCATGAAAGGCGCTGCTGTGAGCCTGTGTGGAGGGAAATCATGATAAAGGCCATTAGGAGGCTTTATTGAATTGTAACCTGGGAGAAATGTGGCTGGATTCATCAGGCCGTGGTTAGGGGACCTAGGAGCAAATTTTACTGGCTGACCTTAGCTAGAGAATTGATTTTTCTTTTCTCACAGCTCCCATAACAAGAGTGAAACAGAGAAAAGACTGGAGGCCAGCAGGGATGGAGAGAAGAGATAGCAGTTCTGTGACAGCCCAGCTGGAGGGAGTCTTCCTTTCCTCCTTCAAGGAGAATGTACTCTGTGTAGGACTGAGGCCTCGGGTAGAGAGGCCCCGACAGGACCCTGCTGAAGATGAAACACCTGTGTCCCTGGGTTCCACTGGGTTAAGAATTTCCAGACCATATCAGAAAGCAGGTCACAGAATCGGGGTCCCAGGTGGGGACACCATGGTTTCCTGCTTCATTTTCAAGTGCCAAATGAGGCATATGAAATTATTCTCTCTCTCTTTGTTTCTATCTCTGTCTCTTTCTCTTTGTTTCCATCTTTGTCTCTTTCCCTCTGTTCTCTCTTTCTTTCTTTCTCTGTCTCTCTGAGTTTGACAAGGAATCAGTATCACACATAAGTGCTCTACACACTTGTTTACCAGGTAATATATATTTTCAGCCCACTAAATGTCTTATAACCTACTACCATGAGAGGACTCAGTAGGAGTTGAAGGTAGCAATATCTATTTACATGAAGAAGCCCTTCCAAAGCATTCCACTTATTAAATAATGAAAACTCCTCTCTGGCAATGATTATTATCATAGAAGTCACACAGTCATTTGTACTTTAAAAAAGATAACCATGATGTTTTTTAAACGTCACCTCTAGTAATTTCTGAACTGCAACCATGATTCTTGATAAAAATAGCTATTTGTAGGTGTAATCACACTTACCTTGTGGGGACTGTGAGCATCCAATGAGATGAGGTATCTCCAACATAGAGTGCCTCAACAGAGAAATAATCATTTTATCAATGCTTGCTGTTATTGTTAGCCATATTACTATTATCTCCATTTTACAGATGAAGAAACTGAGGCTTAGAGGAGTTACAAATTTGCCCAAAGAAACACAGCTAGTAGATGGAGCTTGGATTTGGTTCCACTTGGGCCATGGAAAGAATATAATGAAGTCTCTTAACAAAATCAAAATGAGCGCAGAATCAGAGGAGCAGAGAGGTTCATGAGGCTACCTCCTCCTCTGCCTTAACTCACAAGAGAATGCCAATGGAAGCTTTCCAATAGGTTAAGTAAGGAAGGTCCAGCAGTATTTTGTGCGGTGAGAAAGCAGCTGTTCTCTGGGTCATTTTCACCAAAGGCCTCCCTAACCATCATCAGGAACAAACTTGCTCAAGCTGTGTTTACTGGGGAACTTGCTGTAACTGCTTAGAACTCAATTGCATTCTGACACTCTATTCATCTTCCAGCTTATTTCCCATCACTGACCCTGATCTTATTAGAAAAACCTTGGAGAATATCAGTAATGGCACCTTTTTATTTTTTGACAAGTTACTCCAGAATGTATTTAATATCTTAAAATTGTCATTGATTGAAACTAGTAATTTTAAATGAGCAGTTTCAAACTAATATTTCTCTTTTTTTTTTCCTTAATATTTTTTTCTCCCTAGTCACATACTTGGTCTTTTCAAGGGTATCTTCCTAAGTGGTCAACAAGCTATAAAATTCTCTAATGACAGAGGACGATAGATAGAGGGAAAATTTTTGGTACAGGTTTAGCATCCCGAATTTGAATATCTGAAATCCCAAATGCTCTAAAATCCAAAACTTTTTGAGGGCTGACATGATGCCCAAAGGAAATGCTCATTGGAGCATTTTGGATTTCAGGTTTTCAGATTAGGGACACTTAAGCAGCAAGTGTAATACAAATATCCTAAAGCCCCCCAAATGGACAATTCAAAGCACTTCTGGTCCCAAGCATTTTGGAGAAGGGATACTCAACCTGTAGCATAGGCCATCTCCAGGTGCTTGAGTTGCTTCCCTCTGAATGTCTTACCTAGAACAGAGCTTAGCACATAGGAGGTGCTCAGGAAATATTTAACAAATTATGGAAAGTCATTTCTAACTGAAACTTATTAAGACAATTAGAGGCTTAGATCTCAATACCCAGTTTTTCTGTGGGGTTTTGTAAGCAAGGAAATGCCAAAAACATGTGGATAGAATAAGTGACTGCTTCTCTGAGGTTTGGGAGGCAATAAAGTTTTGTCTACTTCAAAAATTTATCTTTCTCAGCAACCTTTACCAACTGAAATTTCTCTATTTGACTCTGTATTTAGTACCTAAGGAAAGGCACTGACTTTGGAATTAAGAGCTATTAGGCAAGATAAGTTTATTTAATTAGCTAATTAAGACCCTGGACCCCTAAAGGACAGGGATAGGGCTGGTGAGACACAGTTTCAGGAAAGAATAAAAGGGTGCTTGACTAAAAGGGCAGCATGATTTGTTGCTGTTTGAACAGAGGGAGTGGGAAGGAGAATGCCAAAGGTAAGGGATGGCCACCCCAAGATGTAATTCACCAACTTAAACAGCCCTGGCCCCAGTTCTGAAGGAATGCTATGTATTTGCTCCAAGAAGCTACATTTGCATGATCCATGAGAGAAATGCAGCAGCATTAAAAAAACAAAAACAAAGCAAAACGTGGGTTTAGAGTGCAGAACACCTAAATTTGCATTCCAGCTCTCTCACTTTTTAGCAGCAGTAGCAAGTGACTTACTGTGTGTTAGCTCCATTTCCTCATCTGTAAAGTGGGGACAGTTGCTGCTCCCATTCTGAATTGTGATAAGGCATAACTGATGTCACAAATATTCTAATGTAGAGTCTGCTGCAGAAGAGGCATTCAGTAAATGGTGGCTATCATTGACAATAATTCTTTTCAAAGTAATCTTTATCTTACTAAAGCAGAAATGAAAGAGGGAACTGAAAAGGAGCGGGAGCAGCAGGGATAGGAGTATTTATAAAGCATCTAATATATGCTAAATATCTACTCAATTACTCTTCATATACAAACACTCCATGTGAGACAATACAATTTGTATATATGAATTTTGCCTCCTTAACTTTTCTCTGCTCACTTCACTATATCCCTTAGGTCCAAATTATTCAGGTTTTTCAATATATGGAAATAAATAGCGATGAGAAAAGGAAAAACAAGAGAGGAAGAAAGAGGAAGTTCTATGTAAGCCAAAAACTTACCTGCTTGAATGCCAAACCATGCTCTTTTCTTAAAACTCTGAGCACCCCTTCATGGGGAGAGGGAGAGTCCCACACTGCAAGTAGGAATCAAATCCTAGGAACAGCAGCCCCTATATCAAATGGAAACCCTATGTGCGCTGGACCTAAAACTTTCATTTTAAAACTAAAGAGAAAGCAGCCATAGGGAAGGGTGGATCAAGCAAATCACAGAGTAACATTATGCAACATTCTCTTATCATCTTGGGATATTCCGGAACAGAAGAGGTTCCATCCCTCCTGCTATTTTTTCATCACCTCTTCAGAAGTATTCAAATGAGTTAAGACAACTGCTTCACTTGGCATTTGGATCCATCTATTACTACTCCAGGGCTCGGGTGCTTAGTCATTTCTTAGCTCATGTCACTGCCACTTTGTTCTCGCATTTGACACTGACTCCAATAACCTTGTAGCATCTGCCCTCCCAATTCCCTTGAAAACCCTGAGCAGCCTGCTTCGATGAATGCTCGTTTGAATGTCCTTTTTTTTTTTTTTTTCCTGTCTCTCTCTCTCTCTTTTTGACAGGGAAAACAGCTATCAGGTTTCTGGAACATTCTTGAATAGCTAATTCCTGGAGTCCTTGTCCTCACTTCTTCTCCTCTGTACCTCACTGGCATTTGCTCCAAGATCTCCTTTTCAAACAACGTCCTGGCACTGAGCTGAGATTTCCAAATGTTAACTCCCTGGCATCCATCCTGTAGGTGCAGAAAGGATTCTTCCCTGATTTGCACACAAACCTTTTCATTTCGATGCATATCAGGGTCATCTCGGCTTTGTGCCTTGCCTACAAGGTGGTTTGGAGGCCATGTCCCAGAGAACAAATTAAAGAGATTTTCCTCCTCCTTTTCAGAACATCTCCCCCCAGCCACTCTCACCTGGGCATCTGGAAACTCAGTCCTTCCAGGCTCTTATTTTTACCTCCGTGGGCTGAGTCCCAGGGTGGACACTGACCTACATACCAGCTTTTCAGACTCCTTTCAGGAAGGCCTGCAAAATTCTCCAGCAGCTTGTCTGTGCTGTTCTCATGCCCTTGCTCAGGGGAAAGCTTGTCTAAAGCTCCTGTGATCAAAGGACCTTTCCTTCCCAGGTGCCACTATCAATACAATTTCAGCAGAGCACCAGGGGGCAGTCTACATGTCTCCTCTGGGTGAAGGTGTGTCCTCACCTGCCTGATATCCATTAGTTTCCACATTCTCTACCTGATTCTTAGAAACAGAATTTAAATGGAGCATAGTAAGAGGGGGAAAAGAGGAAAAGAAAGAAACAGAGGTAAAGAGAGAATCCACTCATTCATCACTCATCCAGCCATTCCTTCCTTCACTCATGCATTCATACAGGCTTTTTTTAGTGTTACTCTATGGAGCTGAGAAAAGTGTTGGGGATTCAAAGGTGTAAATGGTGCGGTCTTTGCCCTCCAGAAACTCAAGACTCTACTGAAGAAAGAGAAAGAATTCCAACTGTGTATAAACAGAGCCTATTACTTAAGTAATTAACCAATGCTGAAGCAAGATTAGGGGTTCAATAAAAACTTCCTAGAAGAAATAGTGACTTAGTTGAATCTTGATGGAAACAGAAATTCTATGGTAGGCCTGCTTGGGTCAGACAATGACAAGTGCTAAATAAATGTGAACAAAATAGACTCTGTCTCTGGCATCCTGTAATGTAAATTCCAGAGCAGAACATGAGAGGTGTGGTTAGGAGAAGAGAGGAGGATCATAGAGTCTAGCTGTAGAGGACAAACATGAGTTGCCAATTATTGATGTTCCTATGTCCCTGGCATCACATTAAACACCTCATATTTAATCTTTACAATGACATTATGTAGCAGGTATTGTTATTTGCATTTTAAAAGTAATACTACTAAAATTTAGATGATAAACAACCTGCCTACTATCACATAGCTTATAAATACTAGATCTGGACTTTGATCACGGGTATGTCTTACCCCAAAGCATAGGCTCTTAGCCACCCTGGAAAAAACTCCCATAGCCTCTCAGATAGAGAAAGAAAGGTAGGGCATTCCAAGCAGAGAGAACAGCTTTTACAAAATTTTAGAAATATAATAGAGTCTATTCCACAAAACGCAAAAATTGCAGTAGGAGTGGAGCTGTGGGGCTGAGAGCGTGGTGAAAATAACTTTTGAATGAGAGGGTGGGGATCATTCAGGGATAAACTTATACTTGATGCTAGAGACTTTATGTTTGATTCCAGGAAACCAGGTGAAACTGTTGGTAGGCTCTAGATAAGATAGATAGGATAGAATGTTAGCATTTTAGAAGCAATGTTTTGACTGCAAAGTGGAAGATATAGTGAAATTGGTTGTAAATGGAAAAATGCAGATGAAAGATGATTGATTTGAGGGCTTTGAAAGAAGTAAAATAAACAAGACTTGGTAATCAATTAGATGTGATTGTGAATGGCAGGGAGGGCTTGTGTGACTCCTAAGCTTTGGGCCAGGGAAATTTGAGTTGATGACAATCTCTGAAAATGGAAGAATATAAGTAGATTTTGGTTGTGAATAAGATAATGGGTTCAGTTTGAGACATACTATGTTTAAACTTTGGGAGAAAACTCAAAAGGAGGTGTCCAGTAGTTAGTGAGTCAAAAGCTTGGGAGAGTGATTTCAGTTGGGGAAATAGATTTAGAGTCATTTCCCATGGTCTTAGGGAAGTCAATGTTACTGCAGTCAATGATACATCTCAAGGAAAACATGGACAAAGAAAAGAAATATGATTAAAGAAAACAACTAAGGGAATATTTGCATGAAAGATTCAAGTAGAAGAATAGTAGTTAATGAAGGAGAACATAAAGGAGTGGCTAGAGTGGCCAGGAAAAGACGAGAGGTTGATGCACAAAGTACATTTTTTCATTTGCATAGAATGTCAGAATTGGAAATTGTCTGGCTCTTTACTTTACAGATGTAGCCGATGGATCCTGGAGAGATAAAGCACATTGGCAAAGTAATTGCAGCTGGTTAACATTAAAGCCAGAACTAGAACCCAGAGCTTCTGGTTCCAACCTTGGCCAGAGTCTTTGTGTTGTTTTTATTTCCCTTAGCCTCACTGTCTAGAACAGTGTATGGGAAGTAAAATAAAATTGATTTTTTAAAAATGCATTATTTTTAATTGTTTTATTATTTTAGAGACAGAGTCTTGCTATGTTGCCAAGGCTGGAGTGAAGTCTCATAATCATGGTTCACTGTGAACTCGATCTCCACAGCTCAAGGGATCCTCCTGCTTCAGCATCCCAACTAGCCAGGAATGCAGGCATGTACCATCATACTCAGCAAATGTTTGTATTTTTTGTAGGGTTAGAGTCTTGCTATGTTGCCCAGGCTAGTCTTAAACTCCTGGCTTCAAGTCATCATTCCCACCTCAGCCTCCCACAGTGCTGGTATTACAGGCATGAGCCCCACACCCAACCAAATGTATCCTTTGACCCCAAATTTTATCACTAGTTTCCATTTTTTCAAAGACATTTATCTTCTTGGCCACTAATTATGAAAACGGAGCATGACCATTGTTTGCCAGGTCCTTTTAGATAGATTAACCTAAAAAAATGGGTCAGATGAACCCCACCAAGTTGGCTTTCTTTTCCTATTTTCTATTGAGGAAACCGAGGCTAAGACATGTAAAGAAATAAATGCCCTAGAGTCCCATAACTAGGGTAGACCATTATTTCATTGTCAGGTTGTCCTAATTATTTCTCAGTCAACCTCTTGGGGATTCAGTGCTGAATCTACATGCAAACTACCCAGAAGAAATCATTTGGGGGTAGAATCTTAATAATTTGAAGGGGGATAGGTTGATTTTAAAACTTTGTTCTCTGTACTAGGGTACTTAGATTAGGTCTAAAGCAGGGCCATAGCTTTGGGGCAATTAGCAATATCTTTTTGTTTGTTTGTTTGTTTTGAGACGGAGTCTTGCTCTGTCACCCAGGCTGGAGTGCAGAGGCCTGATCTCAGCTCACTGCAACTTCCGCCTCCCAGGTTCAAGAGATTCTCCTTTGGGAGGCCGAGGCGGGTGGATCACGAAGTCAGGAGATCGAGACCATCCTGGCTAACACAGTGAAACCCCGTCTCTACTAAAAAAAAAAAAAACAAAAATACAAAAAAATTAGCCAGGCTTGGTGGTGGGTGCCTGTAGTCCCAGCTACTCGGGAGGCTGAGGCAGGAGAATGGCGTGAACCTGGGAGGCAGAGCTTGCAGTGAGCCGAGATTGTGCCACTACTTTCCAGCCTGGGCAACAGAGCGAGACTCCATCTCAAAAAAAAAAAAAAAAAAAAAAAAAAAAAAAAAAAAAAAAGATTCTCCTGCCTCAGCCTCCCGAGTAGCTGGGACTACAGGCGCAAGTCACCACACCTGGCTAATTTTTGTATTTTTAGTAGAAATGGGGTTTCACTATAGTGGCCAGGCTGGTCTCGAACTCCTGACCTCAGGTGATCCACCCACCTCAGCCTCCCAAAATGCTGAGATTAGCGGTATCTTTTAAGTAATGCCAGTAATTGAGAACTAGGTCCATCGTCATTAATGGGGGTCGTGCTTTCTACTTTCAGGACAAGTCTATCATTGTGCAGGGGCCTCAGCTTCCTGTGTTGGAAATGAGTTAATGTAGTCACACTATGACACGCTATTTTTATTCCTTACCCAGATCAGCCATATTCTAACAATACATTTCAAAGTACTGCTGACGGAGGCTCCACCTGAAACCTGTTCTCTCAGATAAGTATCTTCATCCCATTCATCGTTTCAAGAAAAATAAATAAATAAATCTTACAGCACGGCAGCATTTTCATCTGCTTTGGTTTCAGCCAGAGATAAACTGTTCCTGCTGCAAAGTAATTAATATCAGTCGCCTGGAAAGCAGAAATTGGGAGACAACAGGCTCCTCTTTCTTGATAAACAGATTGTTGGGTAAGGTATGCACATGGATGTGACAATTCATTTGGCCATAGAAATAGCAGAAATGAGACGTTTTTAGACAGATATTTGGAAGGCATGAGCAAATATCCCCAGGCTTCATCCATTTGAGCTCAGATGAGTCTTTTGCGCTAGGTTTTGAGCTTCTCTAAGTCCCTAGGATCAGCAGAAATCTCTAGACCCCCCAGGGGTGTACCCTTAAAACAATACGCAGAATCAGTACGATCATGGCCAACTCCTGGGAAAGCTGGCTCTATGCCCGAGTCCTTTGCAGCCCCCGCCTTCCTGACCCAACTTCCCATGTGACTAAGGAATCAAAAACTTGGCCTAGTTGATATATAATCCAGGCAATCAGAAATTAGAACCGTGCGGCTAGGAAAGATGAGCAAAAGATGCTTAGAAACAAGACAAGCAGAAAACAACCTCCCCAGAGCTATCCTGTGTGGGGAAACCTCCAAAAGCTAGGGAAAGACAGCGTATGTTTTGTATGGTCCAGGAGGAGCAAGCTCATCATGGCTGCCTGCAAATGAAGAAATCATGTTTCTGTCATAGCAAAATGGTTATGTTTTGGAGTGTTCTGTGAATGAGACATGAGAGGGGAAACGCCACCACACAAGTATTCCTTACATTCAGTTCTTCAGAGAAGGCTTCAGGGATCATTTTCCCATCTCAAAAAGCATAAATTGCCATTTTATAGGAGCTTGAGAAGAATATTCTAGAAGTGATTCAGAGCCAGGACATTTGGGGATTTGTTTAGGTAAACATGAAAATTCTATCCATCTTTATTCATCCATCCCAGCAGTCAGCCAGCATCCTTACAAACTCAAAGGGCAAAGTAAAGGTAAAGAAATAATTTAGAATATACTATTATCAGTGCTGTGATAGGTTAATGTGCAGGAGAGACAATAAAGGAGTGAGTTCTACAAGTCTGGGGACAGGGAGTGAGGAGAGATGGGTCAGGAAAGTTTTTATTGAGCAAACACTTGGACTAAGTAATTGAACAATGTAAGTGTTTATAAGCGGGTAGATTAGCAAAAACTTGGATACTCTCAACTCCAGGAGAGATCCAGGAAAAGAGAGAGTTGTACTATTTCTGCTCGTCCCATTGCCTAATTCTACATGTCAGGGGCCAGCTCAGGCCATATAGATCCCTTAGAGCCTTCACTGAACTTCCTCCCTCCTTAGTAAATTTTTTTTTCCCACAGATCTTGAGACATTTATTAGTTATACACTAATTACCTTATGTACATCCACCAGACTGCAAATTGCTTGAGGACAGGGTCTCTTATTAATTCATTTCTACCACATTGGTGACTAAAACAATGTCTGGGATACAGTAGGTGAGCTTTTTAAAGTTTGTTGAATACTATCTATGTCTCCACAATTGATTAGAAGTTTCTTGAAGGCAGGAAGAACATTATTTATCCTTTCTATGCCTGGCACAGGGCTCAAAGTGAATGTTCAATAAACGTTTAATGAACAAGGAGCCCACTGAAATTTCCACATGATAGTGAAATTGATGGCACACTCACTATTTGTCCTTTCTCTGAGCACCTAGTGTCACTTCTTCCTGCCTTTCTCCAGGCAGTGAGGTCTTGGATAACCTTATTTCTCTCACTTCTGTCCTAATGCAACTAGCTTTTTTTTTTTTTTTTTTTTTTTTTTTTGAGACGGAGTCTGTCTCTGTCCAGGCAGGAGTGCAGTGGTGCGATCTCAGCTCACTGCAACCTCCGCCTCCCTAGGAGGTTCAAGCGATTCTCCTGCCTCAGCCTCCCGAGTAGCTGGGACTACAGGCACGTGTCACCACGCTCGGCTAATTTTTTATTTATTTTTTGTACTTTTAGTAAAGACAGGGTTTCACCATGTTAGCCAGGGTGGTCTCGATCTCCTGACCTCGTGATCCATCCGCCTCAGCCTCCCAAAGTGTTGGGATTACAGGCGTGGGCCACCAAGCCCAGCCTTAGCTCTCCTCTTAAAATGATCTAGGTGAGGATTTGCTAGAACTGATGATGGCTACAGTTTATTGTCTTTCTTAATTTAAAAATACATGAATTAAAAAATGTTGGGTTTCCGGTATTATTTGTAAGCCATGGAGAATATATTTTGGAGAAAAATATCAACTCTGAATCTTTCAACTCATACTATGGATACAGCTGCCTAAACTGTAATAGGACCAAGCCTTCCTTTTGGTCACGCACCTGACTGGTCCATTAATATCTCTGCTCTTTGTGTCGAGTCGGTTTATTCTGCATGAGTTTGTTTTTGTCAGTGGTTTATGTTCCAATGTTGTATGGTGCCAGGCAACTTGAACTGTAACTGCAACAACAATGGCAGCCTGTATTCTAACTCAAATTATTTTATCCGCTCAAAAAGAGCTCATGAAATCAACTGATGTATTTCACTGCTTTTTCTTAGGTTTCCTTTGGGAGGGGAAGGAATAACCTTGAAGAGAGGTGAGAATTGTCATGGATTTTGTGTGACTTGTTACTCAAGATGACTCATTAAGCTGCCAAGAGCCTCACAGCCCATCCAAACTTCTCAAACAACCCCTTCAATTCCAGCCCTTGACCTGATCTATGTAGAGGGTTGGAAAATTCACAGCAATACAAAGCTATGGAAACAGACTGTCATCCACATATATGTTGGGTGATGGGGGAGACATGAAGAGTGAGAGACTGTGGAGACAGGAAAGTAGCAACATTTGCCATGAGATTTTCCTCGAAACCATCTCCTTCTTGAATTTAGACACTCATTGTTTATGTGCAGTGGCCCTAGGTACAGAAGGGTCACCACCCCAAGGAGAACTATACCCTCCGGACTCATAAACCAAATTCTAGCCAGATTCTCCCGGAATAAAATACTACAGTTCATCCATTAAGCTAAATCTCCTTTCAACAATTCCCTTCTTACCTGGCCCATGAAATGAATAATGAAGAGATTATTTTCTGGGCAAATTGGTAGAAAAATCCTGATGCAGACAGTTCCCCTTCTGATTGCACCTGACTTCCATTCATTGACTATCACATCAAGTAGTGGTTCTGGGAATTCAAAGGAGAGCTCAGCAAAAGAAGAAGAAAAAAAAGCCCACAAAGTTTTTCAAGGTACCTACTGCAGTTATCAGTTCATAGATCTAAATGTTCGCACTGTATGCTTGATTTGCACATTCCAAACCAATTTGGTAATTTTTTTCATTTTTATCTACACGCATGAAGTGATTTGGAATACTGAAACAATTTAGAATCATATTTCGTTTGCAACAGTTCAATTAACTTAAGTGCTGGAACATGCTCTCCAACTGGTAACTAGTTTAATTGGTTACTATTACAAGAAATAAATTCTATAGTCCTGGGGCCTCCCAGTGTCCTTTCTAGACAGGGCCCGGCCATGCAGAGGTATGTGGGAGTGGGAAGGTGAGGAGTGTAGCAAAATTTCTTACTTAAAAAAGAAAAATCCAAGAACCCATTCTCTTAATAACTAGGTATGAGTTTCCATTTTCTGCTGTGATTTTATGACCTCCAGTTCCCTTGGATCAACTTTACAACCACTCAATAAGCAAGAGAAGGGTGTGGATCAAGGGTCGAAGACTTTTAAAGCTATTGCATAAATGCACTTAAGCATGAGCCAAAGTGATAAATAGGAAACCAAGACGCATGTCAGGAATGCAGCAAAGAATGAGTAGCTGGGACACTTTGAGCAGCTGTTAAGGCAACTCCAAACCCCTGGAAAGAAGGATTTCCTTCTGGCTTACACCAAGGCTCAATTGCTCTAGTTGCATTTGCATTGAAAGGCACTACTGCCAAATTGTACAAGAACACTTATAGTAGAAAAACATGTAAATTGTCAAAAGATACAAAATAATACTGCATCTCATTTGTGGATATACGGAAATGTAGTTAAAGAGAAAAAGTGAGTAGGCATAACACATACTAACTATTGGGGAGAGAATGCTACTGAGGAAGAAAGGAGAATAAAGGGATAGGTATGTGATTTAAGTGCAATCTTAAGCATATTGAATAAAATATTAACATCTCATAAAGCTGGGTATGAGATACATGGGGCTCAATTCTATTATTTTATGCACTTTCATGTTTATTTGAAATGATTTCTAATTAAAAGTTAGAAACACTTAAAAAAAGAATCAGTCCCTGTTTCGCAGCCATTGGCAAACCAGTCATTTCTCAAAAAATTCTTCTGTCTTAAGATCACAAACTCTGGAGGCATCACGCTACCTGACTTCAAACTATACTACAAGGCTACAGTAACCAAAACAGCATGGTACTGGTACCAAAACAGAGATATAGATCAATGGAACAGAACAGAGCCCTCAGAAATAATGCTGCATATGCATATCTACAACTATCATCTGATCTTTGACAAACCTGAGAAAAACAAGCAATGGGGAAAGGATTCCCTATTTAATAAATGGTGCTGGGAAAACTGGCTAGCCATATGTAGAAAGCTGAAACTGGATCCCTTCCTTACACCTTATACAAAAATCAATTCAAGATGGATTAAAGACTTAAACATTAGACCTAAAACCATAAAAACCCTAGAAGAAAACCTAGGCATTACCATTCAGGACATAGGCATGGGCAAGGACTTCATGTCTAAAACACCAAAAGCAATGGCAACAAAAGACAAAATTGACAAATGGGATCTAAGTAAACTAAAGAGCTTCTGCACAGCAAAAGAAACTACCATCAGAGTGAACAGGCAACCCACAAAATTGGAGAAAATTTTCGCAACCTACTCATCTGACAAAGGGCTAATATCCAGAATCTACAATGAACTCAAACAAATTTACAAGAAAAAAACAAACAACCCCATCAAAAAGTGGGCGAAGGACATGAACAGACATTTCTCAAAAGAAGACATTTATGCAGCCAAAAAACACATGAAAAAATGCTCACCATCACTGGCCATCAGAGAAATGCAAATCAAAACCACAATGAGATATCATCTCACACCAGTTAGAATGGAGATCATTAAAAAGTCAGGAAACAACAGGTGCTGGAGGGGATGTGGAGAAATAGGAACACTTTTACACTGTTGGTGGGACTGTAAACTAGTTCAACCATTGTGGAAGTCAGTGTGGCGATTCCTCAGGGATCTAGAACTGGAAATACCATTTGACCCAGCCATCCCATTACTGGGTATATACCCAAAGGACTATAAATCATGCTGCTGTAAAGACACATGCACACATACGTTTATTGCAGCACTATTCACAATAGCAAAGACTTGGAACCAACCCAAATGTCCAACAATGATAGACTGGATTAAGAAAATGTGGCACATATACACCATGGAATACTATGCAGCCATAAAAAATGATGAGTTCATGTCCTTTGTAGGGACATGGATGAAATTGGAAATCATCATTCTCAGTAAACTATCGCAAGAACAAAAAACCAAACACCGCATATTCTCACTCATAGGTGGGAATTGAACAATGGGAACACATGGACACAGGAAGGGGAACATCACACTCTGGGGACTGTTGTGGGGTGGGGGGAGGGGGGAGGGGTAGCATTGGGAGATATACCTAATGCTAGATGACGAGTTAGTGGGTGCAGCGCACCAGCATGTCACATGTATACATATGTAACTAACCTGCACATTGTGCACATGTACCCTAAAACTTAAAGTATAATTAAAAAAAAGATCACGAACTCTAGGCTATTTTGATTAAGGTTCATGGAATTCTGAAAATGAAAGTTTATGACCACCTTTCCTTCTTTCCCACTTCATAATCTTAACTGACCTCATGCTGACTGAGGATGACCACTGGATTGGAGATGGGCCTCTTGTATTGCAATGTTAGAAACTGAGCCCGCTTTTCCCTACAACTGATGCCAGGTGCAGCAAAGACACTACCCTCAAAGGGCGATCCATAAATTAGAACACTGAGTGTCTACCGATCAGTATCTACAGTAATCCTAAGATTTGATTGTAGACAGGTTAGCATTGCAGAGAGAAATCCAAATAAACATATTTAAGAAATCTTAAGAAGGTCTTCTATCATGAACAGCTGATATCCGAGCTAGCATTGTGTCATGACAATGAATGTAATCACAGAAACAAGGAAGCATTTCGTCCAAAGGTGGATTCTCCACGTGCCTATCGCTTGTCTGAGGATACTGTAAGAATCTCTGGAAAGAGGGGCTCAGTTTCTCACACTGCAATACCAGAGGCCCGTCTCCAATCCAGTGGCCATGCTCAGTGAGCATGAGGTCAGTTAAGATTATGAAGTGGGAAAGAAGAAAAGTTGGTCATGAACTTTCATTTTCAGAATTCTATGAACTTTAGTCAAAATAACCTAGGGTTTGTGTTCTCCAAGACAGACGAATTTTCTGAGAAAATGACTGGTTTACCAATGGCTGCAAAATCGGGACTGATTATTTTTTAAGTTTTTTTCTTATATTAGCCCTAAATTGAAAACTTATTTATTTACTTATTTATTTGAGATGGAGTCTCGCGCTGTCACCCAGGCTGGAGTGCAGTGGCACAATCTCCGCTCACGGCAACCTCCACCTCCCAGGTTCAAGTGATTCTCCTGCCTCAACCTCCCAAGTAGCTGGGATTACAGGTGCACACCACCACGCCTAGCTAATTTTCATATGTTTTTAGTAGAGTTGGGGTTTCACCATGTTGGCCAGGCCGGTCTCGAACTCCTGACCTCAAGTGATCTGCCCGCCTCAGCCCAAAGTGCTGGGATTACAAGTGTGAGCTGCTGCGCCCAGCCCAGAAACTTTTTAATAGTGCTTGAAAAACCATAAAAAGCTCTTCAATTTGATTATTTTTGTGATTTAACTTCTCAGTGGTAAGAATATACCATTTTATACCTCCAAATCCACTTTAACTTATGGAAGAGGTTTCTACCTCTTTGTAAAGTTGGTTATCAGCCCTTGTAAGTAAGATCGTACACCTTGGAATCACAGCACTAGGTCATTCCTGCCCATTAAGTATGAGGATCTCTGGCCTCAACCCTCATAGACATTGGTCTTACAGCAATATACTTTCCACAAAATGCAATATATGTAGGTAGGTGGATAGACAGATAAACAGATGGATAAATAGATGATAGATAGATAGATGATAGAAGATAGATAGATACACAGATACATAGATATATAGATACTCACAATAAGGATTCTGGTGAGAGTGTCCTACCGAAGCTATTACAAAATATATTTTTTAATTTTTTCTTACTATACTGCCAACTAGATGTGGAGTTTCTAGTACGTTGGAGAAGTTCCATCAATATAGAATGATGAATGCAATACAAGCAGATTTTGGTTTCAGTCAGACGGTAGCAACAAAAGTACACAAATTTTAACAATTAAATACCTCTAACAGATTTCTTTTGAAGATTAATATTTTATTCCTGGAGGCATTATATATAGGACG
Organism: Homo sapiens; assembly: GCF_000001405.40. Lineage (NCBI taxonomy): Eukaryota > Metazoa > Chordata > Mammalia > Primates > Hominidae > Homo > Homo sapiens. Next base: position 23,787,098 of record NC_000004.12, read on the forward strand.
AGACTTTCAAAAATAAGTTTTAGGACCAACTGGACTTTGCCCAAATCTGGGCAGTTTTCCAGCTACCTTAACCCTCCATTTCCTCCTCAATAAAATGGGAAGAGTTGTATACCTACCTTACAGTTTGTTTAGGAGGATTAATGAAGAAAATTCATGTAAACAGCTAAGTAAAATGACTAAAAGATAAATCCACAATAAATGTTAGCTAATACCATCATCATCTTTGTCATTATCTTCACTGTTTTAATCACATCCTGAATTCACTGGACTTTCAAATGGAGGGCAGCTTTTCATATTTGCTTTCTTACCAGTACAGGAAGATTTCTCTAATTTTAAAATGAGGATGTTAAGAGGTCTTATTGAGCAACATCATTACCTGAGGTCCAATGGCTGGGATACAGGATGACCAGGTGTGTCACTAAGCGCTGATTCTAGGAAAGGGAGTCTCCAAGTTGATCAAGTTTCTAAAAGGAGCTGATAAAGCTAAGTTTTTAAGACAGCAAAAACAAGCAAATAACGTCTTTAAATTATTGCAATGCCATGAAGTTATGTCTCCATGAAATATAGCAGATACGACTTTTGAGGGGGCTTGAGTTTAACCTTCAGAATGCTGAAAGTTGGTGAAGGTTCCTTGCTGGAAATGGCTACTTTGAGATGGTAGAACTGAAACAAACAATGAGAAGAAAATAGGGGGGCCTCCTCAATGCATTATTGAAATCTAAAGAGCTCTTTGTATTCTATGAATGTAGGGATTATCTTTTTATCATTCCACAAAATTAAAGCTTAAAAGTTCTATCCAAAAACCTAGCTGTGGAGAAATCCTCAAGGGTCTCCCATTAACGTGGTAGCCAGGAAGTACACAGGATTTTAATCAAAGGCCAGCGGCTGTCTATGTGACACAGAACTACCCTCACATATAGAACCAATATGTGAGGTTCATTCCTTTCTTCACAATTCTACAGCCTAGCTGCACAATTGCCTATTTTGTCTATATAATCTCATGGAATGAGTTGGCATACAAGGCAAATAAGAAACCACGGGAAACCTCTGTCCAAACCTTGCTTCGTGCCTGAAGTTCAAATGTGTTTGGTTAACCTTCTATTGATTCCTTCTCTTTCCTTCAGGTGACCTTTTTGGTCTTAGTTTTTGCCATGGCATGCCATGGCACACAGTGGCTCAATGAGACTCTGGCACCAAGTGACAAAGAAACTCTTATGAGTTGTCTATGAATTATTTCATTCATCAGGTGCACACATTGGCACTCCCTTTAATGCCGCCACCCCTGCCACTGGAAATGGCAAAAAGTCAGCCCAACAGATAGGTACTTCCCACCCTCCAAATACTGAAGCCAAACAGTGGATGGTGAACTCCAATCTTTGCTTTCTGTTCAATTGTTTTCCTGTTGGATAGTCGGAACTGCAATTCAGACTGTTGACCCTGGAAAAGGCAGCTCATTGAATCAGTACCAGGATGCTTTTCCCATGTAAACAGATAAGTGGAGGAGAATGACGCCATGCATTGCACTTGATCATTAAATTGCCTGACATGAAAGTAACACGGCTCCATCACATGCCGTGTGACCAGTTTACTAACTTACCCTTCTCTAGGAAGCAGAGTAATTAATCATCATTCTGTGATAGTGTATACACATTCCTGCCAACAAATAGGGAAGTGCTTACAGAGGGCAATACTTCTAAGCACTATGAAACATTAGTCATACATCTGATTAAAGGGTATAGTGATCAAGCCGAAAACCTAGTAGATGGTTAAACTAAGAACAAGCACGTCCTAATTTTCTTTTAAGAATTAAGTCAGTCTTTCAAGCGCACTGTGAAGCTATGAGAGGAATAAGCAGGGGACCTGCTTGGAAATGAAGTGAGAAAGCAATGATGATACGAATGAAGACAGGACTTGATTTTCAGCAACACCAACGTCCATCAAAGGAAAGTACCTGTGAATTTCCTTAAATGACTTGCTGGAGGGCATTTTGTGGTAACTATAATACTATAGCCACTTTTTTTCATCAATTAGTATTGTTAAAGAGAAGCTTGACTATAGAGTTCCTAACAGCAGCAAAAAATAAATTCCCTCCAATTAAGTAGTCTAATAAGCTATTTAGGATTTTACCACTTAACATTCTTTCCTTCCCATTTAATTTTGGCTTTCACTTGGATGTCATCTTGTTGAAAATCCATCACAGAAAACTATGTGGAAAAAAAAAGATAATGTTGCTAAGTGCCCCTGATGTTCAAAAACAAGTAGAAGCACAATATTTTTTTTAAATCATCCCAGGATTTTTCCTAATAATTCAGCTTCTTCCTACTATAAATTAATATATGAAAATATATGAAAATGGTCAATATGCAAATTCAAGTATCACACTAGCTACTTGCCTTCAGTAAGTGCTATATGCATAAATTTGAAATGATACAATATTTTAAGGTCCTTGATTATAATAATGCCTTGGTGTGCATATGTGCATGTATAATTACATTCATTTAATTTAATCATGAAAATATTATAGGATCATTTGGTTTTCTCCTCTAAAAGTTCTCTTACTCTTTTCAATTAATTAATTTCACTCTGCCCCTTTATAAGTCACCTAATGGTAAGTAATGGGTTTTGAGCTGAACAGAATATGGTCACATTCCTCTGGAATTAATTATGGACAGAAAAGAGACATGTGGGAAAGTGGTGGCCTCTTGCCTTTAGCCTACATCCTAGTCATGAAACAATGTTATGGCTTTTCAGTCGAACCTGGTCCTCAAAATATTCACATTTCATAATCATTTCTTCTACAAGTTTCCAGTGTCCCCAGTGCTGAGAATTCGCCCAAGGGCAGTCACCTGATTACGACAGAAGAGACCTGGAAACCAGCCCATGTGACCCCGCATTCCACATGCTTGACTAGAGTGGAGCTTTTGGGACTCTGCATAGTTACTGGAATCACATGGAATATAACAAGGGAAACATGGGGGTGGAGGACATTTAACATTCTCCATGCACTAGGAGAACAGATAACGCCCCAGTAAGTGGAAAATAAAAATGGGCCATTTTGAGTGGAAGGGAGGAAGCATAACGTGAAGGTTATGTCTTACCATCCTTCCCCTACAAGAAAATCTTATTTTCCCTCTCACAGAAAATCTGTATTTCTTTTCCCCAACATGCTAACAGAGACCGGTGAACAGAAATAGGCTGCTTTGTGTCCATCAATAGAATCTATATACTATCTTTTCCCCCAGGGATTAATTCAGCTTTTGATTAAATCTTTCTGAGATTTAAATCATGATGTTACAAACCTCCAAGGAACTCCTCTATGAGTTGTGACCTTCTTTATTACTCTCTGCCGTTTGATAAAGTACAAAGATTGATTTATAATGGATTGTAGTGTGTTTGAAAACGGAGTAGCAACGAAAATTGCAAAATATAAGATTAATATAAATATTGCAAATGGAATGTTTTAGTTAAAATATTCTATAACTAATACTGAGTTATAAATGTGTAGCTAGTAACACTACAGTCGAGTCAGTATAGTAACGTTATTAGGGCTGTAAATTATATCCAATGATTAGCTAAATAAACCTACAAAGAAGAGAAAACCGACAATGCTAAAAAAGAATTTCAATTCAATATCATATTGTATACAGTTTAGACAGATTTGGTTTGGAGGACTTTTGAATTGAGACAATCTTTTTTTAAAAAAAGCTATATCAAATGTTATTTTTGTCAGCCCAATTTTGGTTTTAATAATTATTTTGCCATTAGTATCAACAAGAATGAAAGTGAGTCAATGTTTTGAGGACAATATGAAATAAATCCTTTATCTCAATCAGGATATTCCAGTACCAAACTAGCAGCTACTAATGCTGCTTCTGAAAATCCCTCATTTTCTCTCCGCCCTCAAAAGACTTGTTAGGTTAAAAAGTTAAGCATTTAGGGAAGAGTTCTAATGTCCTTGCTGGTTCCAACCGGAAGATTAAAAATGCCTTATGCAATTTAAGCAACAATAGAAGACAAGTCAGGAACTGAGACTTATCTATTGAAACTCAGGAGTGCTTGGTATCCACAGTGGCAGATAAATTCAGTATTTGGGTAAGATAAGATAATGGTAGATTTTTATTTTCCATTTCCATAAAATAAATAATTGATGAATTTTATATTGGTATAAAACAATCCATGGGGAGTGTATCTTATGTTATTTAGCAGATTTCAATGCACTTCTGATAGCTCTTATCACATTTCCAATATTTACAAACACTCTTTTTCTCTCTAGGAGATGGAAATGATGGAATATAATTTAGCCATCTTTCCCCAATGTTGCATATGTTGAGTCTTGCAATGCAAATGATTGGCAATGGGAGCAACCATTTGAAATTGGGCAAGGGCATTCTCTGTCATTAGGACCGTCATCATCTACCAGCCACAGTGGACATCCTGACAGCACGATGTGTCTTCAGCTATCAGCTCATCCCATATTTAACCAACCCGATGACTTCCATATGATGGGGAACTGCATCCTGTTACAAGTCTTGGAGAAATATTCAGTCCATCTACAACAAAATCGCTTTCTATACTGAATATTCAGTGAGTTTTTTCCCTAGGGGAAAGAGCTTCTACTTAAAAATACACACTTCCCAGGGTTAAGTACAAAAATAGAGCTAATCCATTTGATACAATCCCCTGTCATTTTTCACCTCTGAACGTTCGTTATAGAAACCACCACGTCTGCCTTTGCCGTTTAGAAAAAGACAAGATACAGAAGATGCACGTTACCTTAGAGCTGAAATGCATCCATGAATATGGAAAAGCAAGGAGAAAGGGAAAGAGAGCCAGAGAGGAAATAGAATAATAATAAGCGAGTAATGGGTACTGATCTGAGAAACATGCCAGGAGTTTGGTTACGATAAATAAGAAAAGCAGAAGTAGATTTGAAACATTCGTTTCCCTTTATTAGCTCAGTGAGGCTGATGTGTACTGCACATTTAAAAAAAATCACAGGAATTTTCATACAATGAATAAAACCACAACAATACATGTAGAATTGGCAGGTGGAAAAAAGGCCCGGCAAGGGCTCAACTAATCGCTCACTTTCCCTCTTCAGCATAGTTCAACCAACAGTATTACACTTTCACCTACAAATCTTAAAGTAGCTCCATCAAATCAGCAGTTCACATTATTGAAAATGTCTGTCACATAGGTACAAATTTAGAATCATCACATTATAGTACATGGCTATTCTAGGTCATCTATAGATCAGGTCTTAGACTACAGTGATTGAAGTTCTCATTACAGCCATCAAGAAAGGACACATAATCATTACCTACTGGAAGCTCACATCTAAAGGCATGAAAAGGTTTCCTTTTATCAACTGACCCAAACATCATACCCCAATAGTGCAAAGTTCCCTCTCTGCTGCTTTGAATGTTGACAGCCCAACTGTTGTTCTCGGAGTCGTTTAGCAAAAAATTGATTTTGTTGCACTGGAAGAATTATTCTGCTACATCTCTTTTAAAAAAGAAAAAAATCCACATTACTAAAGCACCAGTTCGGTTACCAAAATTGTAGATGTGGTACTTACCACGGCATGAAGGCAATGGCCCACGGTCTTCTAAAAATCCTACAGATCTATGCTGAAATTTGCCTCCAGTGATGATGGGGTGCACGTGTTCATTTGAAATATTCTCTCCCAAAAAAATAAAAATAAAAATGAGAGGAGCACAGCTTACATTTTGATGGGCTACCCACAGTGTCTGCAGAAGATACAAAAGCTCCACTAATTCTAGATGCAATTTGAAGTCCATTGAGGAAAACTATCTTCATGGTAACAATATTTGTCAGGCTGGGGGTAGGGGGGATAAATTAATCCTCAATATGATATCTGTAGTGCTGTCTTTTGATAAGTAAGAAAAGAAACCAAGTATTCCACTCATGTCAACAATCCAGGGCAAAAAGGAGAATGTATTTAAAATTGGTTCACAAAAATTTAAAGGCAAAATAGAGAACACATGTGGTCCTTGAACACATAATAGGATTTACTAAATCTCGATTTCTTAAAAATAATTTATTGCTCTTAATAGTCTTTTTATTATTATTCTACAACAGAAGATACTCAAAATTCAGAAAGAAAGACTGTAAACTTTAGTTTGGCGTTCACACAGTTAAAATACCTGCATTTAACCTACAGAACAACAAGAATTAGGCGGATTAAAGATGTGTTACTGTTGTAACGCAGAACCTGTGAACAAGTTCTTTCATTTCATAGTATTTTTATTGCTTTCTATCTACTTAGAAATAAGAAGCCAAAAAATCAAGCAAGCATCCGACAGGACAAACAGTGGATTCACTCAGAACACAATATGCTGGTGATAAATGAATGCAGCTATCAAAATTAGCTGCATTGGCCTGGGGGTGAAATCCATCTTACAAGATCGTGTTGGGCGAGAGAAAGGAAAAGAACAATTGAGTAGTAGGTGTATCATGTCTTCCAGAAAAGTCATGTCAGCCAAACAGTAATCGAATCTCAATTTAGAAACTTGAATACACACTCCAAATGTTACTGAATTCCATTCCAGGGACTCCACACTCAGATGAAATCCTGATGATCAAAATGGAGGTTTTTCTGAAGTTTTTATTAAATTTAGCAGAAGCAATGTCATCAAGAACAACACCATGGTCACGTCAGAGGCCATGCTAGTGCAAGTAGAAACACTGCTTCTGCAAAAGCTGAATTTCCCAAATGAAGCACTTACACTCCAACCTGACAATTGTCATGCATCCTAGGTAGAAAATTTCCACTGGCTTTATTATTTTCATCATCTCATAATTTATAATAAATAGGCTATCTGCAACTGATAAATATGTCTCTTTAGTAAACAAAGGAATGAAATATCAGTATTTATACAGGATGCATAACTGTAAAAAATACAGATAAATACCATCGTCATACTCTGCCAAGGGAAAGAAATACTGGCTTCAAAGATAGTCTTCAGACACACATTAATTATTGTAAAAATCATACTATAATTATTACCTCAGCATTTTGTATCAAATTAAAATCACAAAAATTAAAACAAAACAGCATTTTAAAAAGATTTTTGACTTCTAGTTTCAAAACTACTGTTGATAGAGAAAATAAAAACATTTCTTAATGGTTACCCATTGAGAGACTTTACATAAAATCATGATATCTTCTAGAAAAATTTTAGATGAGAAAATTTCATTCCCCTAACAAATCCAGTGTATAAAACTTCAAAGAAAAACAAGCGACAAGAAAATGTGGAAAAATATCGCAGAAGTGGTTAATACCTTTAGGGGACTAGGATATTTCTTGACAAGATGCTTAGATTGAAGCTCACCTAAGGGATGGATGTGCGGAAAGCATCATTTTGCTCTTGTTGCACTCAACAGACACACACACTGTCTTTTTGTTTTTACAATCAAATATATATAAGCAGTAAGTTCAGCTTCTAAATATGTTAGTGTACAATAATTGTTTCACCTCATAATTACATTTGAATATTCTTGATTAAGAAAAATTTAGCAGTTTTGAAAAGAAGGCTGCATTTACAGTGCATAGCTGTAACAAAAAAGAACATTGTTGTATAGTATATACATAAAATAAAAATACTCCATTTAACATCTGTAAATACTTAACTACATCAGAGAATGTAGCAATTACACTATCTGAACACATCTCAGAGAGTTCTACCCAACTCTCATTAGTAATGTAACCCGGTGTCCGCTCCTCAGAAAGAACCGCTGAACAAGCTGCACGCTTGACCATTGACAAGGCTTTTGAAATTTGCAGTGGAAGATCAACATTTTGGACATTTACATGGGTGTCAGGATTAAGGATGAACTACAGAAACTTCAAAATGTTAGGAAACTTTAGCATTCTGGTGCCCGCAGTATCCTCTCCCACCCAGATTCCATGGCAAAAGGAAAAAGAAAAAAAAAAGAGAGAGAGAGAGAGAGAGAGAGAGACAGGATATTAGTTCTATGGAACCTGTGGTTTCTTCAGGATTGTCATATAATCATTACGTTATGAGAGAAAGCTTGCTTCAAGTTGATTCTGCACTTTCTTAAAAAAACAGAGTACAAAGGCTGATGCCCAGACATCAGCGGCTGTCATTTTAGGGTGGTTTGTGGTTGGTTGGTTGGTTGGTTGGTTGTTAGTTTTCTTTCCTTTTTAATTTATATATATATATATATATATATATATATATATATATATTTCCTTTTGAATAGAATACGAACATTTTGAAGTTCTAGGTTTTAAGCGTGTCTTCATGGAACTGCTGCCATTTGAAATGGTTTGCCCTTGCGCATTCTGGTCAGGTGCCCCCAGTCCTCACATGTACCCACACATACTTCCCCTAAACCAAGCACACACACCACACACATACATACACACACACATACATGCACACACGCACACTCCATCACCAAGAGACTCCAGGAAAAGCAAAGCTGACACCCATGAATAAACATGTGCTTACTGGATATCATTCTGTCTCTTGCCTCTTCAGCAGCTGTGTTCATGTAAACCATTGTTGTTATTGTTGTTGTTGTTCTTGTTGTATTGTTGTTGTTTTGTTTTGTTTTTGTACAGAGAGTGTAAAGTAGGAGAAATTCCTAAGTATGACTTGCAATAGTCTTTAGGGAAGGACGCGCTGTCCCATGAGGTATTCGCCATCCCTCTGTCATCCTCAGCTAGGGAACATGTTACCTGCGCAAGCTTCTCTGAGCTTCTTTCAGTAAACTATCAAAATCCAGAGAGTCATACTTGCTCTTGGTGGAAGCAGGGTCAAAGTCATCTGAGTTTGAATCTGAAAAAAAACACAAGCCAGTTTAGATACACACTTTGCTGATGGCCATTAACTCAATCATTCCAATTCAAGATTACTGGATTCGATAACAACTCTTCCAATCAATATACTTTAGAAAACAATAGTCAGATTTTATTGGATATATATGGATATATAGGAAGAGGATGGGGAGTAGTGAGCTTTCAAAAACACGCACCTGTTGACTCGTTTAGGCTTAAACACCCTGGGAGTTAGGCAGAGCACACGTTAATATATCTCTGGCAGATAACCACCCTCCCCTTCCCCCGACACGTCAAATGACTTGCCCATGGTTCCTCAATAACTTAGATGTAGACGTGAGAGTACAAGCTGGAACTAATTTTCCTATTCAATGGGATTAATTTAATTGAGCATAAAATCCAGTAGAGTATGAGAGAAAGAATCATGAGAATTTCCCCTAAACTTCAACCTGATGCTTCTCTTTGAGGCAGGAGGGGACATATGATGTGGTCCTCTACTTCCGTACCTCTTGGCCTCCCAGAATTTTTGGTGCAAATTCTCCCCAAATTGGAAGGTTGAGAGAAATGCTTCACATCCCAGGAGAGTAAATTCGGAAAGAAGAAATAAAGTGCAGGTATAAATAAAGCCATGCCCTTCTTGGACTCTTAAACTAGTCCAAGTAAGCTTTTGAGCAGTTTCACTGCTACTTCAAATAGACCTTAACAAAATAGATATGTTTTAGCAATATAGAAAGCAAAGTAAAATTCTGTTAAATATTCCTGGTTTTTCTCCATTGACTTCTATGAAAAAGCTAGATATTTCTGCTGGTCTTGCAAGTAACAAAGGGGGGCTTGGAAATATAATAAAAAGCCTCTTATAAATACGTTAATTCTTTTGAAAACATTTATTTGAAGGAAAACAAAACCATTCTGGAAAACTAACAATTCTACCAAAATACAAGAATTCCCATGCTTTTTCCCAGAGTAAATTACAAAATCGAAATGGTCAAAGTAATAGAAGGATATAATACTAGATACTACAGAGGCATAATCGTTGACCTAAAATGTTGTTTTGCTGACAAGATTGCAAACCAAGCTCTCTAGCTCCGGCCTGACCATCCCATTTCCAAAGTTTCAATCTACCTTTACATACCTAGATTTAAAGACAAAGAAATGTCTTTATTTATGTTTTCCTTTCATTCTGATCACCTTTGGTCTTTACTGAGTTTTTTTCAGCAAGTTTTTTAAGGTAAGAGCAACGAGAACAATTACAGTCTCAATCATAAAAAACGGAGACAAAACTGGCCAATCTTTCCTCAATAGCATCTTAAATAGTCAATTCTTAAATTACACTGGCTTCAACGCTTCTCTTCATAGGCTAATGAATGGTTTTCTTGTATTGCTAAGGCCTCACAAACAACTGCTGTTCAAATCAAAATCTTTTTTGTAGAGACAAAAAAAAAAATGTCTAGCTCATTGCTAGAGATTAGTCTGAAATCAGAATTCCACTTGCATTGTAGATCAAGAGGGAAGATTCCCCCAGTGATGGAGTCTGTGTGATAAAAGTCAGCCTGGAACCATCAGGGACATACACACATACCTTTCCTTGAGGAACTCTTTGAGAATATTTTAAATTTCCTTACTTTGCAATATTCTAAGCAAACTCTAGAATTTCAGTGTTTCTGTATTTTATTAGCAAATATTTAAAAAAATTGTGAAATAGTAGTTCTCAAGAGTTTCTTCACTGTGAAATATAGTGTTCACATATATACCCACTTATACAGGCACACTGTTACTCAGAAAACAACCAAAAATATTTTTTGTTGCATGAGATAGAATGTGGTTACATTTAATTTCTGAGGCAATAACATCTACTCCACCAATTTCTCTCCCGCTAATGAAAGGATATTGGAGCACAGTAAGATATAATAAAAATGTTATAGGTGTCAGGCCTCTGAGCCCAAGCTAAGCCATCATATCCTCTGTGACCTGCACGTACACATCCAGATGGCCGGTTCCTGCCTTAACTGATGACATTCCACAACGAAAGAAGTGAAAATGGCCTGTTCCTGCCTTAACTGATGACATTGTCTTGTGAAATTCCTTCTCCTGGCTCATCCTGGCTCAAAAGCTCCCCAACTGGGTACCTTGTGACCCCCACTCCTGCCCACCAGAGAACAACCCCCCTTTTTCCTTTACCTACCCAAATCTTATACAACGGCCCCACCCCATCTCCCTTCTCTGACTCTCTTTTCAGACTCAGCCCGCCTGCACCCAGGTGAAATAAACAGCTTTACTGCTCACACAAAGCCTGTTTGGTGGTCTCTTCACATGGACACGCATGAAAATAGTAATAACTCAAGCCACTCTAATTTTTCAAAATAAATTGTTAGAAATAATGATACTGTATTATTTGAAACAAATCACATCACACTTATATTCCCAGCACCTGGAAAACTGTTGGCACAAAGGAGGCACTCAAATTAATATTTGTTGAAGGAATATACTAATCTCAAACACCAAAATATTATTAAAACCATGGTTGAAAATATTTATATTGGGATGTGGGAACGATTTATCAATGAATGGCAAAGAAATACATAAAGTTACGTGTATAATCAAGAATACTGATAATACAATACATTCATTTCAGTTAATGAATAATTTATAATGTATGTGTCATTTATTTTTTTAAATGTTTAAGTTATGTAACATAACTAATTCCTAATCAAAACTATTACATTCATAATACTGACCCATCTTTCTGTTTGGATCCTGTAGTCCTACTTTAATTTCTCTTGGTCTTTCCCCTCTGATTTTTTTTCGTTGAGGTCTTTAGAAAGATCCATTTGCTTATAAGACAGTAAATAGAAAGACACACAGACTACTGATTCATGGCAACTAGAACTTAAATCTGGGCTTCACTGTTTTAACCTTGATCAAGTCATTTTAATCTCTCACTCTCATTTATAATACTGGGTCATAAATAGTAGCTGAAATCGTTATGTTTTGCTCTAACAATATTGTAGTCACCATTATCTAGTTTCAGTAGTAGAGAAATAGGATGTATAAGCTAACTTAATTTGGGGGAGCAAGTAAACAGAAAGAAAATTGGTTAAATCTATCTAGAATGATAAGTAACTTTCCTGTCTTGGTAAAACTAATCTGTGTCACATCATTTTTGCTTTACTATTGTGACATATGTGTATGCTCCTAACCCCTGAGTCCAGTATATTCTTATGCCCTGAAATGTGCATGAACACTGAATATGGTGAGCACAAGAATATTTGAATTCTTCAGGGAACAAAGACAAGACACAGGAAAAATGTTTTGAGTTCCAAAGCTGATTCCTAGAGTCGATTCTTCCATTTTAAAACGACTTTACACTTCTAACTTCTCATTCCCATCATTTTAAATTATAACCATAGCCACTATTTATTGAGCACCTATGTTATGCCAGACACGTGCTAATAGCATCACAAACATTTATTTAATCTTCACAATAACACTATATGGTATTTTACAAATGAAGAAGCAGAACTGAAGGGGTTGAATTCTTTGCCCAACGGCAGTGGTAAGTCAGATTTCAATCCCAGGTCTGCGGGATTCCAAAGCCTGGCCTCTTCAGACTATACAATGATGGAGCTCAGAAAAAAACTACCTTTGTGCCATCGTACAGCTTGAGGGAATTGGAAAAATCCATCCTACTACAATGCACATCAAACATACTTTTCAGAAAATACAGAGCGAGCTTAGCAATGGCAAAGTTTCTATTGCTGCCGGCTAGGCAGGGAGATAACGAGAGAGGAAGCATCCTTCTTAGAAATATTTCAAGGAGGCTCCAGTTCAATTTGGAAATACCATCCAATCCTCCCTCTCTACCAGTGATGAATCGTGATCTAAAGGCCCCTCTAGGTAGCTTATTTTAAACTCTAGATGTTTTGAGAGACTAGAAACACCCTGGCCTTCATCACTGAAGAAAATAAGTCAAATCAACTCAAGACTTCAATCCGTCTTGACTGTTTTTATCAGCCAACATTTGAACAAATGACTTGCCACATTCTATATTTTCATCCCTAGCCTGCTATCTCTCTAACAGTCAGCTGCCTCTCCACTGCTTCCTACTATCTATTTAGCTTGTGGAGTGAATTATAGCATATTCCCTGTGAACAATGCACATCACCTGTATCAATTACTCTAGGAAGACATCCCTTCGTTGGACAGAAGAAAAAAAATCCCTGTATTTGTATTTGTTTCCTTCTTTTTACCAACCCAGAGAAAGTGCATATAGATATCTAATAATGATGAGGACTAGATTTATATGTTAATTTCATGATAAATATTACAAATAAATTTAATATAATTATGTCATATGCACAAGACACTTATCACTTTCCTTCCTCAAAGAATTTAAAGGCTTACTATGCACACATTAGATGGGGAATGACATGCAAAGGAACAAAATTAAAATTGGAAAGGAAATTAAGATGTCCATTTTAGCATTATTTATAATATTGAAAAATTAAAAATTAAATGTTTGGCTATAATGTAATGACTAAATATAATGGTACTATTCACTCAGCAAAATACTGTACAACCATTAAAGTATGTTAATAAATTATTTTTAATCTTGTGAGTCACAGCAGAACACGAATTTATATATTAATTGAGAAAAGTAGAATTTGGAAGTTTATATATATATAAATAAATATATATATAAATTCAACTGTAAGAAATTAGACATGCTGAGACAAAATACTGGAAGGCAAATCACTTCGTTGGTAATAGTGGTTATTCCTGGATGACAGGCTGATACATGATTTTAATTTTTTTCTTAATACCTTTTTATATTTACCATATTTTACCCCTTGAGTCTGTACAGCTTTTATAACAGGAAAAATTAATATTATGTATGCTTCAGTTTCCTTATCTGTAAAATGGGGATGATAGTAATAATATACACCTCCTAGGATAGTTCTAGTAATTAAATGGAAAATGCTTTCAAAGCTCCTGGCACAGTGTCTGGCATATGGAAGCACTCAACAAATAACAGGTGTTTCTTTCTTTTTTTTTTTTTTTTTAAAGAAAGCAGAGTGTGATTTAGTATATGAAATTTAATTTTCTTCTCTCTTAGTTGTAGTTCATAGAAAATGATGATATTTCTAAGTGTCTGTGAAATAATAAGAGAAAATGAGACTTGCATATTCTGTTCCATAAAACAATGATGGCAATGCTATGGTTCGTGAAAGGATTCAGGGTAGGCCTGGAAGGCAAAATCAGGTTACAAACACACACACACACACACACACATGAATCATAAACACATGTAGACACATACAATACCTGCATACATACACACACAAAGACACATGATAGCCACACACATCTGCATAACACACGCACACACAAAGCACAATACTACACACATACATGTTTAATATTCACACAACACACACAGACACACACAATATCCACAGAGATACACACAATACATGCACTCACAAAATATAAAGCTGCATGCACACACAACACACATACAGAAATCATGAACACATGTGGAAACACACAATATCCACATACATACCTACCACAATTTTCAGCACCTGAGTAGATAGTACAAAGAATTTACTTCTGTCCTTTCTTGCCAAAACCTAGGCCCCTTTCTTCTGAAACTGTCTTATACGTTTTTCTTAAAAATCTGTATTCAAACATTCCCTTTAGTAAAATAAAGTGATGGTTCAACCCAAGGTGCCTACGGATTATGTTTGTTCCCATCTTGAGCTCTACATTATGGATTCCTCATTCCACGTACAATAAAATCCATACCTAGGTCTGCATAGTTAGACTTGAAAAATTGCTTGCGTCCACAAAAGTACAGCTCAAAGTCAGTTTCGTTTGACCTGCGCAAAGTGTATCCATTTTCAAGAGCAGCAAAAGCATCACAGGTATAACGGTAGGTAATGAAACCATAGCTGTCTCTGCAACGGACAAAGAAAAGTTCAAAGCTGGTTAAGAAGTATTAGTATATGGGACTGTAACCCTTTCTACTTTGTGAGACTTCTCCAGTGCCAACGTCTGAGCCACTGAATCCATTTATCAGTGTGATTGTCCTGTCAAGCAGCTAAATACTTATTTCTGGGACAGGAAATCTCAACTAGAAAGATTAATAAACAGGGATGAAAGAAAATAAATAAGGTTCTGAACTCAACATGTCATCTGTCAAAGCACTTACATTGGCAACTCCCATCCCAGTAATCTTATGGCCATAATTTTTTACATACGTCAGCTTCTAAACAAGAAATAATCTTGAAGATTCTCACCCATCATCCCGCAGATTTACTGTGCACTCCTCAATTTCACCAAAAACTTCAAAACGGTCCCTCAGTTCTGTCCGTGTTGTGTCAGGTCTGATTTTACCGACATAAATCACACGGCGCTCTTCCTATGGGGGGAAGGAAGGAGAGAGTTCTGGAGTGGGAAAAAAGCTAGCCCTCGGCCGGGCACAGTGGCTCACACCTGTAATCCCAGCACTTTGGGAGGCCGAGGCAGGTGGATCATGAGGTCAGGAGTTCAATACCAGCCTGGGCAAGATGGTGAAACCCCATCTCTACTAAAAATACAAAAATTGGCCAGGTGTGGTGGTGGGCACCTGCAATCCCAGCTACTCAGGAGGCTGACGCAGAGAATTGCTTGAACCCGGGAGGCAGAGGTTGCAGTGAGCTGAGATTGTGCCACTGCACTTCAGCATGGGCGAGAGAGCGAGACTCCATCTCAAAAAAAAAAAAAAAAAAAAAAAAAGCTAACCCTCTAGAAACATTCATAAATGTACAATCATGCATAAGAAACCCCACTGAGCATGGCAATTAGAGCAAAACATACACTACAATGGAAGGAAAGACTACATTTGAACCAAGTATTAATTCCCATTTCTTCAGTATCAATCTCTTCTTGCTCACATAGATTCTTCTCTTCACCTCTACTCTTTTCTACCTTTCCTATCTGTCTCTGTTCTACTCTCAGATGAACTTGATGTGTTAGAAAAGAAATCTGTATAGTGCATTCTTTTTTCAAATCATGGAACAATACCTATTAAATATTTGAACATTTGTGACTTGATTATGAATCAAAATTGTTATGAAACTGACCTGGCTTACAAAACTATTACATTTCTCATTAACTCAGAATTCTAATACTGAGATGAACAAACTCTGACGTCCTCAAAAGAGTGGTTCTTAAACTCTACTATACATAAAAATTACTTGGGGTGCTGATTAAAAATGCAAATGATTGGGCTTTATCTAGTTGTACTAAAAAAAAATGTAAGATAAGGTTCTACAACCTTCATTTTTAACAAGCACACCTCAGCTATTTTGATGCAGGTGGTCCAAAGACAATAATTTAAGAAATACAGTCTTAAAATGTAGGCCATTTTAAGCCATGAGTCTCCGAAGAATAAGAGCTAAATAAAAGAGGCTATAAATTTCACTTTGCCAATAAATCTAGTCTTATTTTAGGAACAGACTAGAGGGGTGTGGCCTAATTTTCACAAGTGGAGTCAATATCATCATAGTCTGAAAGTCATCAGTAATTTATAACCTACAAAATACAGGAATAATATTTATAGCCTGAGGATAAATTCTTTTTTTACAGCACAGAAATGCATTCTTAGTGTAAGAAGCAATCCTATACCTCTTGTTCCAAGAAGATAAGGCCAAAAGTTATGATGTCTCTCAAAGTTTTAAGAACATAAGGAGTTAATATAAAGAATGTGCTCACCAACTAGTTTGTATGTATACTAAGGACAAACAATGATAAAATGAATTTAAGGTTGCAGAGATTTAAGCTAGGTTGAAGCAAAGACTAGAAGCAGAGAACTGAGGTACAGACTTAGCTTGCCCAAGAGTTTTCTTTGGATGTACTGAGAGTCCCTGGTCTTGGGTGATGAAAAGAGTAATTTGGACTGAAAGCAAAAAGATGCCCTTTCTTATTTACTGAATGGTTTTCCTTTTCTTATGCCCAGTATTTGGCCAAGAATCTGGTAAGGAGTAGGCACCCGACAAGCATTTGTGAAATGTAACTGAACAATTTGCAGACCCTTTATCTTCCTGGATGATAAGCTTACCAATGTCTGGTCTTATTCTACCACATGTAACATGCTCGCCTCTATTTTTTATTAGGAAAGTAAGTTCATCTGAGCCTCAGGTGCAAATAATCAACTGTCTACTTGACATCTCAGGTTGGTTGTGCCTGAGGAACCTCACACTACACCAACATTACCGAAGCCCGACCCTCCAGCCTTGCCCTCTCCCCATTTGGTTCTTTCCCAATGTTCTTGTATTAGTGAAATGAACACCATCTAGCCAGTTATTTAGGACAGAAATTTAACTACCTCCCTTTACTCCTTTCTCTTGTTCCTCTCCACATGTCTAACCACTCAAGTCCTATTAATTTTTATCCCCTAAATCTCTCTGTAATCTATTTTCTTTATTCCATTGTCCTAAGCCAAGCCTCCAGCTTCTCTTTCTGGACTAGTATAACAAACAATCTCCTAACTTGGATCTGTGTCCATGTTTATTCTTCTCCAATCTATTCTTCCATTGTTGTTAGGATAGTCTTTGCTAAGGAAACAGGAATCCAATGACGTCCATTAACTTCTAAAATATTCCAATGGCTTCTCATAACTTTTAATGAAAGACCTAAATCATTAACAAGACCTACAAGGCCCTGTATGGTCTGGGCCTGTTGTCATCATGGGCTTTATCTCTTATATCGCATTCTTTCTGTGACTCTCTTTTCCAGCCACACTGAGCTTCTATTAGTCTAGTATATACTGTGCACCTTCCTTCCCAAAGCCTTTGCACATGCTCTTTCCCTGCTACTGGGACACCCTATTCACACTGCACCACTCCCAAGCCTCTCACATACACACACTGTCTACAACAACCTTAAGCTCAACAATCACATTTTTTCTGAGACTTGCAGTGAGGTCAGAATTCCTATTAGTTGCTCTTATGGAAAACTCTCCTTTCCAATTGTAATTAATAGTTTATCTACTGTTTAATGTCCACTTCCCCAGGATAATAAAAGCTTCATGACAGTAGAGACCATATCTGTTCTATTCACTACTGTATTTTAAACAAAGCATCAAAACATAACAGACTATCAATGAATATCTGCTATAAAATCAATCAGTTACTAATCAATTAATCATCTTGAACACTTATCCCATTCCCTTCATTACATCAAAGATGCCTAAGAGTGGTCCTTCTTCTCTGAGACTCTCCAATACAAAGGAGAAGGGAAGTTAGATTTGGTGTTTTATCACAGAAAAAAAAAAAAACCTTGCTCAAGTAGCTCAGCTGAGTGAAGAAACAAAGATTTCCATAATTTGTTTTTACAGATTTAAGTGTAAGAAGTAGCTACATGTTTGCAGGAATCTCACTCATAAAAATCACCTCTGAAAATCAAAGGTAGGAGATAACAAACAGTTGGTAAAACAGAACTCTACGAACAATAGCATTGAGACTAAATAAATGACCAGATGAAGCAGAGTAACCAGTGCAGGCTGCCTGACGCCCTTCCATGTAGATTGTATGTCTCAATTGAAGGCTGTGATTGTGCCACTTCAGAGCACCGAGCACATCCTGGCAGTCAGAAAGTAGAAATGGATGAAGAGGCACATCCCAGACCATCGATACACACTTGAGCAAGGGAATCATAACACCACATTCCATTCTGTTTATGCAGCCAGCTCTAGTCAAACAGCCAAATGTGATGGGACTGCTATCTAAACTTAAATTTCCTGGCGCCTGCTTTCACGGGTGTTAAGGAATTTTTTTTTAATGAGCCTTTTAGAAAAGTTACTACTGTATAGAGAGGAGGGGGAAGTGCAGAAGTGAGAGAAAGAAATTGAGACATTGCAAAGAAATTGCTCAACTACCATTATGGGAATAAACACAGCCTATGTATTCAAGGAAATTTGAAGTTAAAGCGAAAATCGACCATATGTATGCCCATATGCAGACATACTGGGACAGTCTCTGAATTGCAGCTTTATACGAAGTTGTATGCAACAACGATCCCATACAAAATATAAACCAGAGGACCTTTTATAATGGATACTGATACATTCTACAGTAAAAAGAAGATATAACCTAGAGGGGAGAAACAGGAAACCGAAGGGGTGTTCCACAATTACTTGAATTACCTATTTTTCTACCATCTCTTTTTATGAAACACAGGAATGGGGCCATGCCTCACTACCTTACAAAGATCAGAGATTGAATACATGTTGAAAGGCTTATTTGAGAAAATTATTGAAGTGCTTGATTTTCCTACTGCTAAAAATGAAAATAAAAGGCATCCAAATGCCTAGAAAGCAAAGACAAAAATCTTTCTAAGATTGGCCAAAATGTCTAGCAAAGAACTGATTCTTTTAAACATGTTGCAGTTGTATTAGACAGATGAATAGATTTCATATCTTTAAAAAAGCTTAACATTTGCAGCCAATTTTTCAAGACATTAATTTCTAAACAGGAGATGAAAGGAAAAGAAATCAAAATGCTTAATGACATTTTCAACTTCTTAAAGGCTTGGAGGAACTCTAAACCTTTGGAAACAGCTCCTCGAAAAATGATTTTCGGACCAGTTTTCACTATTGAGGAGGATGGTACATTTATCAAATAACTTTTAGCTTCAGTTTTCATAAAAGCTAGTACGCTGATGGGGTGGATAATAAAATTGAAGACTTACATTGCATTAACATCTATAGTAAATCCTCACTACACCAAAACGTGGGGGATAAATAAAGAAACAAGAAACTGACTGAATTAACTGACTTCACATTACTAAAATCTTTATCAAAAAGAGTCTAGAGCTTCCCAGTTACTGGAGGAAAACATACAGTGGTTGTTTCTCATCAAATAAACTACTCCTGATAAAAGGGGTTTGACAAAGAAAAGACAGAAGGTAGTAGAGAGATGAACATTTGTTGAACTCTTAGCTATGCCAAGTACTGCATTTAATGCTTTTAATGGGTGATCTCTCTAAAATGTCCTTTAAGGTAGGTAACAAGGAAGAGCTTGATATAATGTAGATTTCAGCTCTCTACGTTTGCAAGTCAGAATAATGTAAAAATCTTTTTTTCTATGCTAAGGAAACTACATATCAACTTTGGCAGTGAAATACTAGTGTTCATTCCTAGATTAGCTGTAACCTGACTGCCTCAAAAATTGCAAAGATATTATAAATTGAGTGTATGGTGTATTCCAACTAAAAGAAGAGGTGAGTGGAGTGGAGGGTCATGGAAAGGTACAGATAGAAAGATATACCAAGATTCTAAAAAATGCTGAGAAGTGTTTTTCTTTCTTGCCGTTAATATTGATTATCTAACCTAATTCATTAGGTAGTCAATAAATGCCTACTACTAGGGGGTGTTCTTAGAGAAAAAACAAAATTGTAGCATTAAATTTGTCCAAAGTGTCCCCCATTCACGTACCGTGTGCTACTATCCCTGCTTAGTGTCTAAGTCTGGTTAATGTGAATAAGTCCAGGTTAGTCTATTTAAAAGGTAAGATGCAAATAAAAGCTAACATGCAAGTAAACATACTGGTAAGTCAGAAAACATGAAAATTATAGAATAAGAGTATGCATAACTACTTTTTAAAAAAGCTTCACTGAAGCATAATTGATATATCAAAAAACTGTACATATTAAACATATACATTTTGATGGGTTTGGACATATGCCTATATCCTTGATACCATCATCACAATCATGGTACTATATGTATCCATCACCTCCAAAATTTCCTTGTGTTGTGTTTTTTTCTTTTGTGTGTGTGTGTGTGTGTATGTGTGTGTGTGTGAATAACATGAAATCTATCCTCTCAACATTTTAAAGTGTACAATAGCATAATTAACTATAGGTACTATGTTGTATAGCAGATCTCTATAATTATTCATCTTTCCATAAAACTGAATATTTCTAAATATTGAACTTAGAGTCACAATATAACATATACTCACCCACACAAAATATCTCTTTAAAGAGGCTTGCATAGAAAGCTATTTCATTTTCTCCAAAAAAGAATAACTCTGAGCACTTTGGGAGGCCGAGGTGGGCAGATCACGAGGTCAGGAGATTGAGACCAGCCTGGCCAACACGGTGAAACCCCGTCTCTACTAAAAATACAAAAAATTAGCCGGGCGTGGTGGTGGATACCTGTAGTCCCAGCTACTCGGGAGGCTGAGGCAGAAGAATGGCGTGAACCCAGGAGGCGGAGCTTGCAGTGAGCCAAGATTGCGCCACTGCATTCCAGCCTGGGAGACAGAGCAAGACTCCATCTCAAAAAAAAAAAAAAAAAACCCTGAGTAATTGCACAATTTTTTTCATTTCATTTGGAAGAAGTTTATAATTATCAGCAGTACTACACTGTCCCTGGCTTCTGAGCTGGACACTGACCAACAGAGAAGTGAAGCAGCAGTCATTGCCGCCTGAGCACATCTAGTTTTGGTTTTGAGTGCTGAGCCATATCACAATGTCTAGATTTGCCCTTTAAATTAACATCCCATTATCATGTTTTCTGGCAGAAAACTGTACAGATTGCAAATGGAGTTGGACTTAGAACTCCACAAGAAATTAGAGCAGTGACAGTTTAGACACTAAGTACTAAACTCTGGTTTGCAGAGTCCCAATATAACCTGAATTATTTCAAGCTTACGAGTCTGAGAAAGGCAGAAAGTGAATTGCTTTTTGAGAAAGAGTCAGGATGGAAATTACAGGAAAGTGCCAACTGAAACAATGGTAACATTCAACCACAATATAAGATTTTGCATTGGTAATTACTAATTATTAGTGTTCTCTTTGTTTTTGGATTTGGCTCACTCAACTTGGGCTGAATTAGGATTTTAGAAACATAAGCAATGAAAAGTTTATAGATCTCCTAAAACACCTCCTACTTATGGAACTCAAAATAGAAGTAATGCAGACAAAGGTTAAAAAGATGACTTTAATTTTGTAAAATAACAATTATTAAATTTCTGAAGGTTTTTTTTTTCATTGCCTTTTGGAGTCTCTGTTTTTCTGGTTCCCTAAATATATGATTGCTTTGATTAATGAACAACCCAACACTGACCCCAAGATATCTTAAATGTAATTTGCTTCTTACTCATTACTTTAAGGTTGTTTCAAACATTGAAAGAACATCATGTACCTGACCAACTTAAGTCTGGACTGTCCTTGTTCCCTTAGCTCTTCTATGTATGAATTTTCAAGCTAATTTTTTCAAATCAGTTAAAAATCATTGCATGTATCCCTGCACTCAAGTCCATAAAAATATACTTTGGGGATGCATTATGGTACTAGAAAGCTAACTATTTGGAGGAAGGGAATCAATAAAAAAAATTCATGTAGGTAAACTCATTAAATAGTTCCATGATGCCTTCAAGATAGCTTTCAAAATCTTTAGCATGAATTATAGGACCCTTTAGGCTATCTTCCACCATTCCCTCTAGACTTATTTCTTGCCCCTCTTGTGTCTCAGTGTTCCAATTAAACGACTAGTAGTTTCTCAATATACCTTATTCTTTTTTAGAGACTTAGTATAAGCTATAGCCGCTGTCTAAAAAAGCAATGTCCAGTAATCATACAATGCAGTATGTCATGTAAAATTTTCTAAGAGCCACATTTTAAAAAGTAAAAATATGAAAAATTCAATGTTAATAATATATTGTATTGGTCTCAACATGTCCAAACTATTATATCAATTTGTGATTGATATAAAAAGATAAATGAAGTATTTTACACTATTTTTTTATACTAAGTCTTCTAAATCCAATCACACAGTGCATCTTAATATGGCCCAATCAAATTAACCGTGTGGCTAAAGGCTACCATATTGGATGCTGCAGGTGGAGAAAATCTTTGTCCTTTCTCCCTTTAGGATTTGGATCAGTCTTATACCCTCTCTGAGGATGTTCTCCTTCATATATAGATCTGGATGCCCCCAATATACCACCCCAACAGTGCCACAGATGCACCCCTTATAATAGCACTTATCACACTGTATTGCCTGTTTGTGTATTTTTATCTGCCAGTATGGTTGAAGCTCCTTGGATACAGGGACGATGTCTTTCCTAATTTTATATCCCAACCAAATGGCAAATATTTATTACAGAAAGAGCTATGAGCTTTCACTCATGTTCAATAGAAACAGCATGTAATTGTCCAAGTGGAAATTGGTTAAACAGTAAGTCCCAAATCTTTATTAAGCACTTATCACTTATAGTCCACTCTGTTGGTAAACAATCTCTATGTTCTAGGTTTCCTTCAATCTACTTTTCAAAAACAAAAGCGAATTTTAAAGCCAAAATTCTCACAAATGTCTAGTTAATGTAAAATGATTTAATAAAAATCAAGTTGACACTTGTATTACAAGTGCTCTTTGGAAGAGAACTGATACAGATTACTTTCATCTAAGAATTAACAGAGGAACTAGTCAACATTTGTAACACAAAGGGACAACAGGGTAGCATCTGCTTCCAAGCTGAGGCTGGTGACCCTCAGGGTGATTTTGTGTCATCTAGACCAATGACACTACTTGCTCTATCTGTAAAGGGCCGAACTAGCAACAAAAAAGACACCTCCCTTCCTTTCTTTATTAATATCTGGCACTTAATCATCTTTAGAAGGCATAAAATAAACACATCATTTATTTACATGCTTTTGATTAAAATATTAATCTGGCTTTAGTTACAACTGTGTTGTGTCATGGCCATATAAGCAAATTTATGATGAAACTATTAATCTTTCTCTTTAATGTCCTATTTTTGGGGGAAAAATGAAGGATTTTATAAAATATAAATTTGCAAACACCAAAATAATCATTTTCCTACATGTTCGCTCAGCATGATTTTCTTTTGTAATGATTATAATGTGCCATATTAAAAGGCTTTGTAAATTATATGGCACTATATAAATGTGAGTTATTATAATTATTGAATAGGCCATTAATTAAATACAGTGATATTAGAAAAATTGAATTTTAATTTTCATTAGTCTTCGTAAGTGTTAACTAATGACACTTTGGCAAATCTTAATATCACTGCTCATTTGGAAGTTGAGAAAAATGAGGCAAATTGTTGTAATTTGCAAAATGCCTTTGAGTCAGTCTTAGGTAGATTCAAAGTTAAATGGCAGCAAACCCTCCAAAACTTTGACCTAAGTGTTCAGTTACTTCTCACTTATTTCTCCTTAAGTGCCTGTGTTGAACAAATCTCTCATTTAACCTTTTTCCTCCAGCTGGTAACTGTTGGCCAATGCTTGATTTTGATTCCATTAGTCAGCTCTTTTATATAGCTTTTGCAAAATTGTGTTGATGTTAGTGAGTTTTTTTAAAGATAACACATAAATCTAACCTTTACAGTCAAAAATCATTTCCCTAAGCCTTGGCTAGCTTAGATGCAAGATATGTCAAAAGCTGATCTTCACTGAGCTAACTCTGAGTGGCTAGCACACAGGGAGCAGCTGCACTGAATAAAAGCAGTGCTATATCTCATTGATTAGTCATGGCTCCCTAGAGCATCATGTCAGAAAAGACCGTAAGGCTCTGAGGGGGCTCAATGGGAAAGAGTTCCATTATCGATTAGGAATGTCTGCCATGGGCATGGGCTGGATTTTGACAACTGGACTGACTTATTTTTGCCATCCAAAGTCTAGGTTGATAAACAGCGGTAGGGAGTTGGGGTAAAGCCTACCCACTAGTCAGCAGCTGCTGAAAATGAGGACTGATCTTCAGACAGCAAACAAATATAACATAACGTGGATCTTTACACAGAAGGGTCAGCACTGTCTATATGTCAAGTTAATATAATACCCCCTGGTAAGTGGTGCTGAAATCCATAAAATGTCATTGAAAAGTAGTTCATAAGAAATGTGGGTGTGTCAATTACCCAGTTAGATGACGACCATCACGCAGAAGAAATGACTTTTTTTTTTTTTTTTTTTTTTTTTTTTTTTTTTTTTTTTTTTTTTGAGACAGAGTCTCACTCTGTCACCCAGGCTGGAGTTCCGTGGTGCGATCTCAGCTCATTGCAACCTCCACCTCCCTGGTTCAAGCAATTCTCCTGCCTCAGCCTCCCTAGTAGCTGGTATTACAGGCATGCACCACCACGCCTGGCTAATTTTTGTATTTTTAGTAGAGACAGGGTTTCCTGTCTCCTATGTCGTTTCCTGTTTCCTATGTTGGCCAGGCTGGTCTCAAACTTCTGGCCTTAAGTGATCCACATGCCTTGGCCTCCCAAAGTGCTGGGATTACAGGCATGAGCCATCGTGCCTGGCCAGAAATGATGACTTTCTTAGCAACTCTTCCTCCACTGCTCCTTTAAATCCAACTTGAACTCAGTCTCTTCATGGACAATTTAAGTCTCCTGCCGGCCAAAAAGACAAAAACTGAAACGAGATAGCAATCCCTCCTCATTTTCCGCTCAAAGAGAGAAGTAACAGGAAACAGAAAGAAAAACTTATCCTGTGATCAGAAAGAACAAATATCTGACTGAAAAAAAAATCTCTACTCCCTCCATTTTTCAAAACAGAAGGTGAAAACAGTAATGAACTTCAAAATGAAACTGTGAGTGAGAAATATACTGACTTAAACATTTTGTTTTCCAATAAGTTAGGTCAATGGGGACCGAAGACTTATGGATATTTTAAAGCCAAAAGGCTGAAAATGGCCTGTTCTAACAAAGACTTAGCTTTTGTTTATTTTCTAATCTATCACCAAAAAAAGCACACAGAAAAAGAAGAAACCCTACTTTAAAATAAAAGTGAGCTCCAGGCCACTTACAATTGCCTTCTGCCTCTGCCTCTCCCTTTGCTTGGCCCTCTCAGACTCTCGCTTCTCATACTCTCTGCGATATTCTTCCCTCTTCAGCCTCTCGTGCTGATATTCCTCGTAGCTGTCATACCTGGGAAACATAACTTTATCACTAAGTCAACCACCTCAATTTTCATGAGCAAAATGAATAATAATATGGGGAGGGGTATAGGGTTTTGGAGAACATCTTGTCATCTCAAGGAGGGGATAAAGGGAGCTAAAGGAAAATGACATGCCTCATTACCTGGGCCGACGGCTGTAGGGCGATCTTGAACGTGATCTCACATACAAGGGAGAATTTCGGTGCGTGCGGTGTCTGTAGTGGCTTGACTCATAGTAATAGCAGGATCTGCGCCAGAGGAGAAAAGCAAAAAGGGCATTTGCAACTGCCACTTAACCCAAGTTTATCGGCACTGTGGAGCATCCTCTGGGACACTGTATTACAGAGACTGGCTTTTTCTTCCCAGCTACTAGGGAGATTTCCCAGTGACAGTTTGTGATCATCTAGTCAACTTAGAGGGCTGGGAGTGATGTGCTCTCTCTCAGCGTCTCTTATTGATGTTAACACTGAGCACCAGGTCTGGTACACTGTCAGCTTTATCTTGCATGGATCTCCACTATCCTGGCACAGGGCAGCTCTCCAGGTAATGGAAAAAGTTGGATGAGCAAGTTTCTTAACAAATTGCTCTCTCTGATAGGACTGGCTCAAGGCACTGTGCTCAGAGGTGACAGATTTAAGAGAACATGGAGAGAGATGTGAGTGTAACAATGTTCTCGTTAGTTCCAGCAGTGCCAGAATTGCAGTGGTCAGGGGCCAGAATGGCTGCAGATTTCAAATTTTTATTTGTATTTTATTTTATTTTTTACTTCTTAGGAACACCTTTTGTGTTATTAGGGTTTTGCCAAGGTTTACCTTGAAGAGGATCTACTGCCTGGAGACCTTGATCTTGACCTGGAATATGGTGATCGGGAACACGACCTGTGTCGAGAAAAGGACCTTGAACGAGAGCGCATCCTTTGGGGTCTTTGAGAAAATAAGGATTTGGGTGGTGACACAGAATCTCTACATGGAGAGTTAAAAGAAGAACAAGAAGGAGACACATTGAACAATGAATAGGATTGCGTGCCATCCCAAGGGTAGCTCAGTTTATCACTTTCATCTTCGCTGTCATCAAACAGGCCATCCATGGCTAGTCCTGAATTTATAAACATAGGTAGTTTGGAGAATTGTTCATTACTGAAATCACTGTCCCTCAGTTCACCGGTCTTGTCTGCTTCGTCGTCAAAAACAGCTTGACTGGGATGACCGAAGTGCTTGTTCAGCTCGGCTCGGATTTCCTGGTCTTGGAGCTGTTTTCTTGTGCTGCAAGGAGAGACCTGCTTGCTTGCCTCCAAAGTCTCTCTCAGGTAGCACTGGTCTGAATCTGTGGAAGAACAAATCTGCCCCTGCCAATCAGAGGAGACATCTTTATTTTCTAGTTGTCTAGAGTCTTGGAGCTCCTGTGATATATTAATGAGTATTTCTGTTTTGGAATTAATTGACTGGCAATAGTCATGGTCACCAAACAGCCGCAGACTGGGCCGCTTGGTCTTCCTTTCCTCGTGTCCACCAGTGAGGACTGAGGACTTGCTGAGTTGTGCATACAACTCGGATTGCTCCGGCCCTTTCTTGGTGGAGTTATTGCCTTGTGTACCAGAAGACTCACTGTACCTGGGCTTCTTTGATGGTGGTGGCACCACAGTCTTGCAAGAGGACTTCAGCTTTGGAGAAGCCCTAAAAGGGTTATCTTGGTTGGCTTTATGAGGAGGAGTGGTGGGTGGAGTTAGGCCTAAGGCAAAAATTAAAAAAAAAAAAAAAAAGAGAGAGAAAGAAAAGAGACAGAGATAATGTTCTTAAATGCGAAGACACATGTTTCTAATTTTTCCAAGATTTCAGACAAGGGTTCAAACTGAGTGAAGAAGAAGGAAACTAATTTCATGACAAGGCCTGAAAAACTGACTCATCCCCTAAGCCTCTGTCACCAAGAAAAGATGGATCTACAGTGCTGAGCAGGAGGCTGTGATCTTTTGTATTTCAAACACCAATGCTAACAAATCCTGCTTCCCAGAAAACATGAATGCATCACCCCTGGCCTGCACGGAACTAGGCATTATTACCAAAGCTTGCATTTTCAAGGGGATTGTATGGGCTGCTTTATGGAAAATTAACAAAGTGAGACTGAGGAATCACGGAATAGCCTTGGTAGCATTTGTCTGCAAAGAACATTGCAGAGGATGCAAGCAGCTCAGGGGTCTTTGTCCAATCAAGAGAATCTACCCTTGGAGCCAAGGAATTAAGCAACTTAGAAGAAAAAAAAAAAAAAAAGATGGGATGACAGGAAATATGGGGCAATGGTGAGAGTGACATAAGCAACTTCAAAGTAAGTTCAGTGAAATACGACAGCCGAATGCAGGGACCTAGAGCAACTCTACAACTTAACGGCAGTGATTCTTTGTCGCCACAGTTCATTAACCTAGTAAACCATGGCTAATGTAGGTATAATACATTCTTGTAAGCATAACTAATACATTCTGTCTAAAATATGGTTCTGCAACAGAAACCTAAGTGAACAGTAACACTAAATATCACAGTGCCAGCCGACCATTTTATATAGAGCACAACATAAGGGAGGGTTATGAGACTGAGGGATTGAAACTCAGCCAAGCTTCAGCAGCTAACTAATTAAATAAATAAAAAGGAAGAAAGAGGAACAGCCATCAGCTGTTGCTCTTTCTGCTTTTCTATAGGAGGGCAGAACATTTCATCAGAAACCACTGTGGGAGAGTCCGTGAAGCGTAGTAGTTTCCTCTGTTGAGTTTTCCCCCAAGTAAGCCCTACTCATCCGTTTGTGCCGAGGAAGAACCATTGTCAAGTGGCTCCAGAGTCCAAGGAACTTTGAAGAAGGGCAGGCTGGAGTTCAAATGAGTTTACGCTTACAATGGAGCATTTTAGTTTACAATACATTTTCTGTTTAGGAGGCGGGGTGAATACCATTCAGCAAAAAGAACTTCAAGTCTGCTAACAAGCCTGGGGTTAGACTTAAGGCAAGTTGCAAGGAAAAAAATGCTACCTTGCTGGAAAAAAAATAAACACAGACATACACAACACACATATATCGAGAGCCAAGTAGGTCACAGAAAGCCACATGAGATTTTGATATGAACAGGAAGATGCTGCCTCACTCTCCTACTTTATAATTAAGAAATGGAAAGAATGAATGTTTTCTCTAAAGTGAAATATTTTACACCAATATTTGGCAATTTTTATTATTCAAAGCTAATTCTCCCTGAGAGAAGAAAAGGTATACAAATGCAAGGTGGTTTGACTTCGGAGTTCCAACTCAGAAAATCTCAGAAAGACAGAGAAATGCAAACACAAAGTGAATGGGACACTGTACTCCACTCATGGTCACACCTGAGTCTCAAAAAGGCTTCCCTTTGTTAACAGCTGCTCTTGGATGGCTCTTTGCCCTTCTCTTTGCTGTAGCAAAGGAAGTGACTTACATGACTGAATGAAACATCTGTGCCACTGAGGCACACTCAACTCTTGTTTCCTCTCTCATAGATAAGTATGTCTTTTACTCAACCTAATAAATTCCTATTTGGTCAATCTTATCTTTTCTCTCCATTTTCACTTGCTTTATTTACGAATTGCACTGCCTTATTCATGCATACTGATTTCTTCTACATGCTACCTTCAATTACCACTTGCAATTCCCAGCGAGATAAAAAAAAAAGCACATTCTCAAATATTCCTCCTAGGAGCCTAAGATACTTAAAGAAATAATGAGGAATAATCTCTCTTTGCTGAGTAAATACCAATCAAATATGTCCAATGACATAGCCCTTGAATTGGAGGAAATGGCATTCAACATCCTCATATCCAACTCCGTAAATCTTTGCATGATCACCCCAAGCTAGGGTAATTTTTACTTCTTTAGTAATTTACTGTCAGGATCCCTCTATTGATACCAATCACATATTACTATACATTTTTGCTTATCTCTTTTCGAATGTGAATTATGTCTTGTCTTTCCAAATCAGTTATAAGCGCTTTGCAGGATGTTGCTTGGGCACATTTGTTGCATTATTATTTTGTACTAATTTTATTTTTTCTAGATTCTCCTTTAGTCGTGGGTCTCACATTTCAGCAGCCCAAGAATCACTTGGGAAACCGGGTAAACATTTTTAATGAGATGCTTCACAGGCCACATCTGAGAACCCCAGCCCTAGAGTGTCTGCCGCACGCCACTTTGTACTCTCAGGTATACATATCTTGACAGATATTTTAGATTTATAAAAAGAAACCTTAAACTTCAGGAACGCCAAATTAGGCCACTATTAAAGAGCGACTGGTTCTAAAAATAGCTCAGGTATCTAGGGATTTCAAATATAGAAATCCTTCTGAGTCTTGAAAATTTGAAACCCTTGTCCTAGTACCCAAGCTCATTATCGCTTAAATAACTGGTTCTCAAGTTGCTCTGGGGAGTGGCGACACCTTGATTGTACTTTCTTTGGGTTAAAAACAAAGCCTTTTACCTCTGTCACACATTAGACAGCCTGTGGCCATTGAACAGACATTCGTTGAACACCTACTATGTGCTGGATATGACACCAGATACTGCTATTTCAGGGACTCAGCCTCCAGGGACTTCACAATCGATTTTAATAGAAAAGCGCTTCTTTAAAATTTGACATAAGTATATTTTTCTGCATATACACTTAAAATTGATGGAAACACCCAGAGACCATCAAATATGCCCTGTGAGTAAAAATATAAGGGCTGGAAATTTCTGCGGGCACCATTTGTTGAAACAAATAGGTAATATTTGCTTATTGAATGGAAGATATTTCAAGATTAGTGAGTAGATGGAGAGAGAAAAATAATTTGGCTAATTCCCTAAACCCTTCATTGTTTACTGAAACATCTCTAACCGGAGAATATCTCAAAGCAAGATTGAGAAATCTCACGGATGACAAGATTTCCTATCACCAAGTGCCTCCCTAATGGAAAGCCTATCTCCAGATACAGTTGAGACCCAAAGCCAAACAAAACAAAACAAAGGTGCAAGAAGTATGTTTCTTTCTTTGAACATAGTGTTAAACTTTTCAGAGCTGCTGATGAGACAGGCAACCCCTTGCTGCCTCTGAACTAGTTGTTATTTCTCTAGCCTCACCTCCGCTACCCACAACTTTCCCCCCTGAAGTAAGAGGGAGGTCAGTGCTCAATCCCTTGATGCCACTACCTTTGCTCATCTTCCCACTAATCTCTGGACTCTCGATTTCATGCCACAAGCCCAAATCAACAGTGCTAATGCCTCCCATAACCTCTGGATTATTTCCTGCGTGTTGATTTTCTGGGGAATGTGTACATTTTGGTGTTGACAGTACAAGGTATATTCCATGCTCTCTCTTGAACTTAGCAGGTTTTGACAGATTTATGTGAGGACAGATGGCCATTACAGGCTGAAGGCTGACAAGAGGCAGTTCCGAGCATTGTTAACACACTTGCACAAACTCTCAGCAGTGCAGCTCGGTGCAGAATGTAATTCAGACTATAGCTTTTTTATTGCCGCCTATTTTCTTTTGTCAAAAGAGCCTGCTGTGCAGAGCAACAAATGGCTGCTATTACCCAGAATGTAATGGGTGTCAGACAAATCACATAACACAAACAATCAAGAGTATGTAGGTCATATTTCAACAGAGCACAACCTTAGCAATATTTATGATTACTGCATTGAAATGTGCTCCATAATAAACAAGCACCTCTACATCACTCACACTTACGCACTTCTGCACAGCAAATCTGGGAGAAGTGGTACATACTCTACAGTCATCTTTTTAAACAGCCCTTTTATTTAAAAAAAAAAGGCAAAGACAAGTTTTGTTTTGTTTTTCATTATCGCTATGAAACGATTTTCTTGGAGGAGTTTTCTTTTGGGTTTGTTTGTTTAATTGAATGACTCTGATAAATGGTGAGTCCCTGGCTCTGTTTCTTGTGATGTGCTATTCACCAATGGCATCTTTTTTTTTTTTTTTTTTTTTTTTTTTTTGGAGTTTATAACATTTTGCAGAATGTACTGCAAAATCTGCAACTTACTTTCAAGTTTGTTTAACAGTGGGATTTTGCATATGTTGCATGCCAATTCAGGTATTTAAGAAAAAAAAAATTAGGAGATGAGTTTCTAAGTTGCTTAAAAACACACCAAAATAGGAAGACTGAGCAAAGAGAGGTGTGTGACTTGTCCTACTCACATATTTCAGGCCTCATGAATTTGGAGTGGGTGTCAAGAGTGCAGAGGGAAAGCTGATATTCACTGAGTACCAACCGTTACCTCTACAGCAGTTGTTAAAATATTCAGTAGATAAAAGCTGCCCTAGTGTTCTCTCCTTCTGCACCTACTTCCCCAGGACTCACTGGAGCTCCACAAGACCCAGCAACTGAAGTGTTCACACTTGGCACAGAAGACTATCCAACAGACCCTGCTGGTCCTCTGGCTGGCCACAGTCCATTTGGGAGTGGCCTGCCTCCAGTACATTTTAAGTATTTCTCCTATCACCCCTGGTTACTGGGTAACAAACTGGCCTTGGAGAAAAGCTTCAGAACATTCCTATGACATAAGCCTAATTCCCCAACTCTTGCTCATGGAAGATGAAGATATCATTAATTGACCCTTGTGTAAATTCCCCACAGAGCTGGGATAGAGGATGGGTAAGGGGAACCTGGCATTTCAGGTGGCTATTGCCAAACCCCAAAGCTGATGTGGGAGAGAAAATTCCTTTGCTATCCTTGGCTTACAAGAAATAGGATGGTACCATTTCCAGAGAAGAAAAATTAGGAATAAAGGAATTGTCATTATAGACACTGGGTCAAAATGAATGAAATTGAAAATAGAAAATGAAGAATATGGTTGAAATATGGAAGAAATCTCTGACAGTAAGAGTCGCCAAGCATTGGAATGGGCTGTAAAAAGAATTTGTTGGGTCTTCCTTTCTTAGATTCTTGAAGCACAGGAATAGATTATGTGGCCTGTCAAAATCACCTTCCAGTTCTCTGATGCTATGCTTTTCCTTTTAAAACTACCGACAACTACCCATATTTTACTTTGGTCCACTTTCCCAAAGATATGTCACATACACAAGGAGTATGTATGCCAAAAGGCTACAGCCGTTTGTCAATATTTATGCTGTTTGTCAGTACATTTTTCCAGCAAAGTGAACTTTTAAATTGAGAGTCCACAAAGGCAATGTAAAATTCAACATAAAAGTGGTAGTTACAAATTGGTTAATGAGTATTTTGTTGTTGTTTATTTGTGAGTCTACTAAAGTACACTTTGAATGACTGCTGATTAAAGCGTAGAGAAAAAATTAAGTAAAAAATAAATAACATCAAATCACATGTCCCCTCTGATGAAAATAATGTGGAAAAACATATATCAATGGAGAAAAAAATTATGAAGGCCTACTTGTTTTAGGGTGATGACATCTGATTATATTTTTTGCTCTTCTCATTTTATCAGTTATAAAATAGTTCTACTGCTGTTACAATGTTTACAGTAATAACAAATAAAAACTATATATACATATACATAAAATTTTGGGGTCACTTTGGTCCCTACCCAAATTCCTTCGTGTCTGTGGTTTAAACCGTCACCTTGTTGAGCTGACATTGCTTTGCCATTCCCATTTCAGAAACAAAAAAGTGTAGCACTCTGAAAATCTCCATATGCAATAGATTTAAATGCCTTCTGCCAAAAGAGCATTCTCTTTTCTCTCATCTTGCTTTACTAACAGCTATTTTGAAATCAAATTAGTTTTTACACCTGTAAAAGAGAAGAGTTTTTTTATCAGCCAAAATGAGCTAGTTTAGGACAATCACAAAGAAGTCAGACCAGCTGGCAATACCTAATAAAGCAAACTTCCTATCTCATCCCTCCTGTTTCTCAAAGACACTGCAGATGGGGCAGAGGCATTATTCTGGAGGTCTTAGAATTTTGTTGACTCCTTACATTTCCACTTAAACATTTGGAAAATTTCACCAAAATTTGTGAGAGTAAAGAAAAAGAAGACACCAGAAGGCCTGAGCCAAAGCTTGGGTCACTTCTGCTGCTGCAGTCAAACTGATTAAGCCTGTAGACCAAGGATCAACAAACCACCAATATAAATGCTATTTCTACCCTTGCCACCCACCTGCTGCACCTATGGTAGACATCACTAATTGATCATGACATTCCCCATGAGCACAGACTTGGCCTTAGAATCTTTCTCAACACGATGCTCCTGGCAGACAGTACCAATCAATGACACTTGGCAAGTGCAATGAAGCCTATTTAACATAACATATGTCAATTACTATCTTTAAAATTCAGACTTCAGGAAAGAGATATAAGTTCTCTTCAGGCAGACCTGCTTTGAACCCAGGGTCCATTAGATAGCTTGTGTCAACGTATAAATCTTTCCTCAACAATGAAATGGGCAGAAAGTAAGGAAGATACTGTATGTGAAGTACCTATTTAGGGAGTGCCTGATTGCCAGAAATTGTAGTCATAGAAGTAGCTGTTGCTGAGAGAATCTCAAATCAGTGAGTGTTCTGCCTTGATTTGGTAAATTCCATACCTACACCAAAAGCAGTATTTGTTCAATTTGATGTGAAAATAGTAGGGGGTGGGGGAGGCACAGAAAAAGAATAAATAACTTCATATATGAGATTGCCAAAGAGGATACACAGCAAGGGCAATAAAAGGGAAGAGGTGAAACCAGTCAAAAGTTGGAAAGATAAGAAGTAAGGTACAACGACCACTGCAAATGAAGTTAACTCAGAATTAGTAATTAAATATCTAATATTTATTGAGTACTTATATAATAAGGGGGCACTCATATTTTATCTCATTTAATCCTCACACTGACCCAGTGAGATGTAGGTATTGTAACCATCTTCATATCATGCATAAGAATCCTAGTCTTTCAGAGGTTAAGTAAATGGACCAAGGCCACACACTAGATGGGAGGTCATTCAGAATTTAAACTTGGGTTTGCCCAACATCCAAGCCAAGGTTTTGTAAACTTCACCAAGCTATGCCATCTGCTCTTTAAAATCACGATATACTACTTTTAATTGAAGCTTTGCTGCTTATAAACTGTTTTACTTCAGATCGAACCACATAAAATTCCATTTTTGTGTGTCAAAAATGATTGCATACTGGCAATTTTATTTTTCAACCTATATTTTAGTCTTTTGAGTAGACAATTTTATCAGTAGTTATGAATATGACTTTGAAATGGAGGAAACTGAGGTGTACAAGAGATCAAGGATGTAGAAAAGAGTCTTAGCAATCAAAAGATCCAGGAGGGAAAGTGTGTGTGCCATCTTGTTGCTCCTTATTGATTTCACAGTCCTTGCCAAATTCATTGTCATCTGAGCATCCCTTTGGTTTCCTGCTTTCTTGCTTCTGCTCCATCAACATCTTCTCTCCATTCCACCCCTACGCTTCAAAATCTGTGCATTTTTTTTGTTTGTTTGTTTTCCCTGAAGGCTCTCCAAGTCAGGTTAGCCTATGGAGAGCTTAATTTCCTCCACATTCCTTTCCATGAATCACCTCTGTCATTCACTAGGATGATAGTATTGCCTAAATATTTCTGTCAGTCCTTTAACTGCCTTTATCATTTTAAAAAACTCTTTTGGCCAATCAATGTCTTTAAACTTGAACTATGCTGCAGTGTTTTCCCTTTGATAACTCTTTTTCTCCCTTTGTGATTCTTTCTAGGTACAATTAGTGTTTGTCACAATCTTCAAACACTACTAAGCGACCAATTTTGCTGAAGATTTTAAGAGGAGATGACAATTGTAGACATTATATGTTGCACTGCATTTCAAGCCCAGAATATCTCTAGAGAAAAAACAAATCTCCCTCAATCTCCTCTTTATGTTATTCTCCAGGAAGGTTCCAAACTTTACCTTCTAGCCTCATTCAGCATCTTTCAAGTCCTCATCTCCTTGCTTTCCAAAGCTCTAAATCACTTCTGTTACATAAATGCAATTGGGCTTTACTTCAGCTTCCCCAATTTATATCTGTACAGCTATTACAATCACACTCAACAAACTAAAAACTGCTTTCTGGGCCTACCTTTGTTAGAAGGTGGTGGAACATATCCAGTAAATAATATTTGCTTTCATGCTACTTATCAATGTGTCTCAGTACCCCAATAGACTAAACAGTTCATGTGCATTGTACTGGTGATTGAAATTATGTAAGATGGTAAAATCTCCTGTAAATGAATGAAATGTGAGTGTGGAAAAATATTCCTGTAAAAAAAAACTCAAAAAAGGTCATTGCTAAAAGAAGTGTTATCAAATTAGTTGTGGATGGGTGGAATTGGAAAATATTTGAAAAATTATAAAAATCTAGAAGAATTCAGACTACCATACCAATGTCTCTAATCTTTTCCTTCAAGGAGCAAGCAATAAAAAGTGGCTACCATCTATAATATGTATTATATAATAATATATTAGTGTGGTTTATACAAGAAAGATGAATCAATAGACCCCCAAATAGTAAAAAATAAGCTTAAGGTAAAGATCTCCATCTTCTACCAAAACTGTAATATTTGAATGTATATTTTTGTGTTTTAAGCAAAGGTAAAATAAAACAGTATAAGCTTGAATCAACTTTTTTAATAAACCCACCAATTGCTGGTCCTCACTGGTCAGATAAGAAGGCCTCTACTGCATATCATATATACACACAAAAGCTACTCCTAAACATATATGTAAGTTATAATGTATTTAAGAAATAGTGTTATGTATTTAAGAAATGATGTTAAGTATATGCTTATAAGTAAAGATTTGTGTCTATGTGTGCATGCCTATAAAAATATGTATATATGTACATATGTGTGAGTCTGCACACACATACACTATATATCTACACCATGAAATTAACTACTCTACTGCTTGACCAAGTCATGCAATCATGCATTAGACCTTTCATAAGAAGGTAATTTAGCAAACACAAAGTGTGAAATTAAACTAGCAACAATGACCACGGTGCAGGTAGGCACCATAGTTCTGGTTCAAAGCATCTTGTTTAATGTACTGTTCCTTTAACCTTATCAGCAATGGCCAGAGCCAAGGAATTTCTTGTTTAGACATCCCACGACTCACTTTTTGGTGGGGTTCAAGTACCTAAACTTAAAGCACTTAGTGCAAGGGCACCATTTGCAACCAACTCAGAAGTTTGCCTAAGAGCTCTTCAGTTAGTCTAAGTTTTTTAAGCGCTTCAATATTTTTTATTAGTTTTTTTTTTTTAAATAAACAACTGGAAATATTTGCAGATAACTTCTTATCCAATTTTGTATTCTTTGTTAATTTCATTAACCACATAGACAGTACACTCTGTTATCTTATTACACACACACACATATACAGACAGACACACACAAGTTCTAAGTGAAATATAAGGCTTACCTGCAGTTCCAGAGAGTTCCACACTTAAGGTGCGTTCAATAGTCTTGTTCTCAAATGGGGAACCCTTGGGGTCACTGGAAGATATGGCACATTTATAAAAACAAACTGAAATGGAGTTGCTGTAGCCAAATGTATTAGAACCCCCTTCCCTTTCAGAAAATGGTTACATTTCTTAATACTTACTTTGGTGACTCTGGGGTCAGAGGAAGAGATAAAGTTGTTGGTTTGGCTAAAGAAAAAAAAAAGAAACTAATTATGTAATATTGAGTGTCTTTTAGATTTCTTTTCTCTCCACAACAGTCAAGTTGGAAAAACAACCAGAAAACTCAAAGACTAAACTAAGGAATTCTCTGAATATTGAATCAAAGTCAGACAAAAGTCCATTATGCTAAAACAAATTCCAAACAGCGTTTGCATCAGTAAACTACCATTCGAAAACACATATGAAAATAGAATTTTTCCAAAAATGAACCCTCCCTGTTACAGATACAAAATTTGCATCATACCATCAGAGAGAAATAATGTTTTCTATTTTAATTTGGAATACAGTACACGGTTTGTTTAGACAAGAAAACAGCAGAGCAACTATAAGGCGACAGAACATTATGAATATTCAGTTGATTTTACTCCTAAAACGTATAATTTTATATCTAGCCCTGATAATAGTTATTTCTATGAGGCCAAAGCTCATGCAGTAACTATTCCACTCACTGAAAATTAATTGAGAGATGATGGCAAATTGTGGGCATTGATCCAGATGGTTTAGAAGGGGTTCAGATCCCCAAATCTGATAGACAACTAAAGTAAAACACCATGTTAATCAGTTGAAAGGTGTGTAGACTTGCAAAGAGGCTAACTACTGCCTTTTGTGCTTTTCTGAATCTTACCTCCTACAGGAGGCATTTCCCAATAATGAAGGGTGGATTAAGAATCTTCTCACCCAAAATTTCAATTGCTTCTCTGTGGCAATCTTGTATTTTGAACAGAAGGAGGGGAAAATATGATGAGAGGCATACTTGGGCTATACATTCATGTATTATGTATATCTATGCTTATCTATAAGCATATGTTTATGTGTATGTAGGTTTATGTCAATTTTTTCTCATTAAAATAATTACTTTCAAAAGGTCAAGTGGTAGTTATTTATGTAATGAAAATCATAGTGTCAAAACCAAAAAGGTCTTTAGAATAAAGTTTCTTATCTTATGGTTGAAGAAACTGAGACCCAATGATACTAAGTGATATTTTCAGGGCCATAAAATAGTTACTCACAGAGTTGGCCAAGATTCTGTTTCCTTTATCCTATTGTCAAAAGAAATTGCATTCAACGACTTTAAAGTAAATTAATCAACCCCAGCAATCAATTTTTTTGAAATGTGAAAATATTATTCATGTCCAAATTAACCTGAAATTAGACACTTTACTTGGATAAATAGTATTTGCATATTTATAGATTTAGATCTACACAGTTGAATGGTATATCATACATCCAGAAATATGAAGCTCATATCTTCAACAAATTAGATACATTGATTCAGTTTTTCATTTACACAGATAAATGAGCTGATTTTACATTAATTTTTGAGTATGTCTAATATAACAAGTTTTTCAAAAAGAATCCATTTATGAAGAAACTTTACCAAGTTTTATGATACTCAACTAATAATTAGGATAATTCATACAACTTCCATAGAAAATATAACCAGATATTAGCTATATGCTATGTGACACAATAAATGTACATTGAAAATCAGTCACTGAAATTCTGGTTTTCAAGAGGTAGGGTAGGCTATTTGAAATGCTCAAAGGAAGACTCTCGAATTCTGATTGTTGGGTACAGGTAAGGTCAAAGTCAATGAAAGGAGAGGAGATGGCAACAGTCATAGTTAATGAGACCAAAGGCAAACAGGAAATGAGAGCCATAAGAAGGGGACAGTCCCCAAACCACATACAGAATCCGATCCCTGAATAAACCCAGACTCTCTAATTCCACCATTAGAGGAGTATTGATTTGGTTTATTGAGAGTTTAATCCACCCTGTTCCAGTGACTGGTAGACCAGAGACTAGTAGGATCCTTAAAGTCAGGAATGTGTCTTTTTCATGTAGATTGTGGTATTTGGGTGAATGCATGAATAAATGAACAAATAAATGAGACATCAACACACAACCATGGCTAGACAATCATCCTAAGGAAAAGAACCTGACTCCAAAACGTTTTATGGAGATCATACGTGATGTTCAGTGAGAAAAAAATTACAACACCTTAAGAAAGGTAATTTCAATCGATCCTCCTAGTTATCTCTAATTGTTCATGTATTTTCCGCATTTTGATTTTGAATAATAATTCAAATAATCACTGAAGTTGAGCATTTATTAGTTCTTACTTGTCAGCCATGTTTCATTTCTTTTAAGCCTTTCATAACTAAAGAATTTTGTCTGTTTGTCAACAGGTTTTGTTCTGGGGTGAGCGTTTTGTACCTTGCCACAGATATATACCAAATACAGCCAGTCTCATCTAAAGAAAATTTCCTCCAAAGGCCTATTTAATTCTTCATTGTCATGATTTGTAAAAGTTTACTAAAAGAAAAAAAAAACAACTTTAAAACCTGTGCTGCCGGGCTGGGTCACATATTACAAGGACTTTAAATTTGGCCCCAGAAAATGCATGCATGACCAGCACAGGGTGAGGAGTAGCCCGGTGAATTCATTTGTTCACTCACTAGAGCGAGCTCATCTGCTTCCCCTCACCTGAGGCCTTCATGACCAACAAGGCCTATGGCAGAGTGGTTCTACTCCAGGAAAAACTGTTCTAGTGCTTATGAGGAAGATCCAGCTGGAGCAATGAGAATGCGGTCCATTTCACTAATTATATTTTCCCAAACTGACAGAAAGTGATGGGCAGTGGATTTGAGATATCTACCAGGGAAAACCTAATGGAAAGCCATTTTAAAATATTACAGGAAGGCTTCTGAAAATCCTGGGCTAATACTGAGGTAGTGAAGAGGGAAGAAAATTCAGAACACTGGGGAAAAAAAGCGTATTGAATCAGCAGCAATAACAGCATACCTACACGAATTAATCATGGTTCAAAGCAGAAATCACTGGCTCCCACTCTGCAGTTAAAAGGAAAAGTTGGGAAAATGAAAGTGAAAAAAAAAAAGAGGTATATGTTTATAATTGGTGTGTTATAATATGCCTACTTCCACCACAAGGTTAAAGTAGAAGCTGGCATGTTTTAAATCAACTGCCCATTTCAAGGGGTCTTTGGGCTTCTAAGACCACGACATTTTGAGAAGGAGGAGCCTAAAAGATAGAAAATTGTATCTCTGCCAAGAGAGGTTTTCCCCAAATCACCAGGATCTGCCTCAGAACCATCAGCCTTCTCCAGCAATATATGGTGATAATAAAAATCAACCCAGATGTTTAGTTTAATCTAGGCACTTTCTTAAATAGAAAGAAAACAATCAGGATTTTTCAAATCTTTATTTACAGAATAAAATCTGTGAGCATAGCATGTGGTTGTAGAAAAGGAGGAGAAGGGGAAGAAGGAGTGGAAGAGGAAGAAGAAGAGGAAGGGGAGA
This sequence comes from Homo sapiens, assembly GCF_000001405.40. Lineage (NCBI taxonomy): Eukaryota > Metazoa > Chordata > Mammalia > Primates > Hominidae > Homo > Homo sapiens. The sequence continues at coordinate 23,827,862 of NC_000004.12, forward strand.
AAGCAGGAGGTGAAGGAGGAGAAGGAGAAAGAAGGAGAGGGAGAAAGAAGAAGAAAGAACAAGAAGAATTAGAAAAGGAATGTACTTAGTAATCAAGAGAGGCTGCATAAACACTATTTACTACTTCTTAAGGTGTATATAACAAATCACTGGTGCCTCATTTTTTCCATTACTGGAAGGGAAAAAATAAAAGCTCTATAATGAATTGGTTAGCCCAGCTTGTTCATAACCTCAATTATCTCAGCTATTCTGAGATTCATATAAACATCATGTGATGTTGCAATTCCTCACCACCTGGCTAACATTTCAGGAGTCTTTTGGTGCTTGTGAATTAGACTGCCTATCAGCTGAATAGAATATGTTTAACCTGTGTCCAAGGAAAGGTTTCTTCCCCCGCTCTGTAATAAGTGCTGAATTCTCTTTCCACAGAGTGACGCTGATGGGACGGAAGCAAGAAGTTGGTGTGTTCTCAGACTTTGCATGTGCTTTCTTTGCTTCCAGTGCCCTCACCAACAGCTCGTTTTGGTCCCCAGCCTACCTTGTAAGTGTTGTGACTGCGACTGTGTGTGGGACTTCTTTTTGGAGGTGCATTTGTCTCTGCTGCTGTTTCTGTTCTCTGTGGGTTTGGTGTGAGGAGGGTCATCGTTTGTGGTCAGATATTTGAGAAGCTCCGAGCAGGGACGTCTTTGTGGCTTTTGCTGTTGACAAATACTCTTCGCTTTATTGCTCCATGAATTCTCAGTCTTAAAAACAAGGCATAAAGAAAGCTAAAATTAGTGAACTGAACCTTATCAGAATGGATATAGGTTTTCTGGAGAGATGGGATTTTTCAATGAAGTGTTCAGTCTAAGTGTACTAGATCTATGAGCTGTGAATAACTGTTTGCAGAACAAGGAAAGAAAATTACATTTAAAATTCCTAAATGACATTTATGCAGCTTTTTATTTTATTTCTCCTACATTTCAATGTTCCTACTCAGCAACATGTAACTAACAAGACCCTACAGCGCCTTTATTGTGAATAAAAAAAATCGGCTGGCTTAAACCTTAATTTGCCACTGATTGCTGACGCCCAGTACTCACAACTCTCTTAAGTACCCCTTAATGCTCCGTTTTCACTCACAGTGAATAGCAAGACAAACATTGTTTAATACAGCCCACTAGCTGAATTATGGCATTGCCAGCATTCCATCCAATTAATGGCAGAGATAGATGTTTTGTGGTGATTCCAAAAGCAATCTTTCTCAGGTTAGACAGCTAGCAAAACAGCAATTCTGCATCTTAAAGCCACTCATAGATAATACCAGCTTATCAGCAAATTTTACCGTGGCCCACAATGCTGCAGGTAACAATAAAGTGGGCAAGAACTAACAGACAGTGGCACTTCCATTCCAAACACCCAAAGACGATGCGTAAATGAACTCTGCCTAGTTTAAAGTAGCTCAAGCGCTGTTTACGGAATCCCATTCATAATCTATTTCATCATTATGAGGCAGCTTCGGGGTCCCAGCTGAATTAATACCTACAAACTTATTTGTTTTACTGCTTCAAGCCAAAATCCTTTGGTACATCCCCCCTGTATTAAAAAATTTACATTTGTACCTTAACAATTGCAGGGTTTGTTCTGATCCTGTGATTGTGATTTGCATGGTTCTGGGTACTGAGACCACTGCATTCATTATAACTTAGCTGAGTGTTGGCTGGTGCCAGTAAGAGCTTCTTAAGCTAGAAACATTATCAGGGAAAGGGAAAAGCAAGTAAAGTTATGCATCTTTTAAGCATTGGAATAAGTTATTGAAATTTTAAATGTAATTTATTATAATTATAAAAGTTAATTCTATCATTTTATTTATGTCACACCTTAGCGCAATAGTGCTACAGGAAATATGATATTTAAAGAGTAGAAAAAAGTTTGGCATTACACTACCAACTATGAAAATATTTCCTTTCCTTCCAATTCAATTTCTAGAATCGTATGCATAAGAACAAAAATGCAAATGTGCCAATTATTATACAAGAAATAATAGTGAAAAGTAGAAGGAAAATCTCAAAATTTCCAGCCATAAGGGATTACTGCATAAATTGGACTTGGTGTTGTCTACATATTTTTTTTGAACAAATAAAGCAAAAAACATCTTTCTAAAATAATTTCCAAATCACTACTAGGTGAGAAAAGCTGCCTTGCTAAATGAAGACATGGGAGTGGAGTGTGGGGGGTGGGGGAGAATAGATACACATTTTCTTTCTAAAAATCCAAATAAGTCAAGTGGCAACAAATGAAAGATTTTGTGATGCTTTGAACCGTGTTTCATAACCTGGTGTATGAAATTACTGATTCAAAGAATGTTTGGATAAAAGAATGACTATCACTGATTTTAGAAAAGAAAAAAAGGATTTGTAAGTAGAGTCCTGGCCTGTGGATCAGGAGATGTGGGTTCTGACACAGGCAAAGTATTTGCTGTCTCCTGACCTCTGTTTCTTCATTTCACTGGATGACCCTCAAGGACTTCCCTGTTCTGACATACAGTATGTCTCTGAGTCAACTGCTCTTCCCAAATGAACAAATTGAATAGATGAAAACAATCTGATATCAATGGAAAGAAATCAGGGTACTAGGGAGCAAAGCCAATGACACTAACAAATGGAGAAATTGGAGAATAAATAACAATTACTTATGAGATATTCTCCATATGAGAAACCTCAAAATCCAATGGACTCAAAGTAGGGCCTCCATATATTTGCATAGAGTATTTTTAACATTCAAAAACTTAGTGATAGGAGAGTAACAACCTCTAAATGGCATGCCAAACACGATATTAGAGTCTGGAGGATCATGGCATCCCATAATTTACACAGCATGTCCTTATGTCTGATTTTTAGCAAATGACAAATGGCTATCATAGATGAGAAGGTAAACTGTGTCTTAGAACTAATAAAACTCTGGTCAAGCACTGCATTGAACAGAAAATTCTCTCTTCATTTCCAACAAATTCAGTCTTCATTGTCTACCATAAATTTAAGTAACTTGGGTGGCAAACGTGCTATAGTTTTTCAATCTTCATAAGAAATATGGATCCAAAGTCTTAAAACATTGCACATTCGTTGATCTACCAATTCTTTCTAGGATTGTATGTATAAGAATAAAAATGCTAATATGTTAATTATTATACAATTTGAAATAGTGAAAAATAGAAGAAAAAACTAAATATCCACCCATAAAAGATTGCAAAATAAATTAGAATATTTCCATACAATAAAATACTATGCAACCATTAAAAATTATGCATGTATTTAAATTTGAACCCATATGCTCATGATATATCTTGAAAGGATATTGCAATCATTTTTATATGAGAGGTTATTTGAAATCACAGGTGAAATTTTTAGTCTTTTCCTTTTAGTTGCCAACATTTTCTAAGTTTTCATCATGAACATAAATAACACTAAGATAGAAAAATACACACACATAACAGCAAAAGATAGTAAAAAAAACTGCAATAAGACTACACGAAGACGTGTATTATCAACACTTTTAAACAGAGAATCACACAATTTGCAACTCTGAGTGTGCTTGGGGATTGCTTTGGCATCATTCTAAATGAAAAAATCCAAACCTTATTGTGACTACATCATACCCATGCAGCGGGTAGCCAGAGGCAACTCCAATTCCTGCTAAACAGTAGGAAGGGTTCTTACTAGAGACGGCTCTTCTGCCTCCTGGGGTGGAGGGGTGCCGTCAGGCATGGAGGAAGGACTAGCCTCATTGTCAGTGGTCACGTCTCCATCTGTCAGCGCATCAAATGAGGGCAATCCGTCTTCATCCACAGGGAGACTGTCTAGTGTCTCTGTGAGGACTGCTAGCAAGTTTGCCTCATTCTCTTCATCTATCTTCTGCAGAAAGAGAAAAAAACAGAAGATGTGAGTTGACCCTGGGAGGCAGGTAACACTATGCATCAACATGTTTGACCAAATGAGTGAACCATACGTGAAATCTAGAATGCCCATTCCAGAACACAAAGATCATGTCTTTCTCAAACTCCAAATTCATGTTTTGGTCCAAATGACACAATTAATGAATACCTCTACTCTACTAATCTCTGATGGTTGAGCTGCCTAATTTATCGATTTGTTATGTCAGTGCTAAAACTGCTGTATGCAATTCTTCTTGGTTACAGAAGTGTTTTCCACTTGCTCATGTTTTCTTTCTTTCCCTGAGTAAAAGAAAAGATTTAGAGAATCTTGGACCTTGAGAGAATTTTAACCATCAATTTCATTTTCAGATATAGTGTTTGAATCTCCTATACAGCATACCCCCCAAACTGTCTAGACAGCTCTTTATTTGAACAACACCAGAAAGTGGAACTATACTGAAAGCAACTATACACTTTCATGGTTTCAATTATAATCTCATCACTGAACACTCCAAAATCATTTATTTATTTTGCTCCCTGACATCTCTCCCAACTTTAGTCATAAATCTCGAACTGCCTACTGGACACTTCTACTTCATAATAGCTCCCTCATCCCCAAAACCCAAACTCTATACCTTTCACAACAAAACTGCTATTTCTTTTGACTTCTTTAGTTTGGGTAACAATTCTTCATACCCAAACTCTGGACGTATTTTTACTCTTCTTTCTGTGATCAGTCACTGAATAAAGTCTTACTTTGTAATGTTTGTTAAATGCACTTATTTCTTGTGGCTGGGGTACTATTCCAGTGCACTATTATTTCTTTTTCTTTTTCTTTTTCTTTTTTTTTTTTTTTGAGACAGGGTCTTGCTCTATCGCCCAGACTGGAGTGCAGTGGCGCGATCTCGGCTCACTGCAAGCTCCGCCTCCTGGGTTCAAGCCATTCTCCTGCCTCAGCCTCCCGAGTAGCTGGGACTACAGGTGTCCGCCACCACGCCCGGCTAATTTTTTTGTATTTTTAGTGAAGATGGGGTTTCACCATGTTAGCCAGGATGGTCTCGATCTCCTGACCTCGTGATCCACCCACCTCGGCCTCCCAAAGTGCTGGGATTACCGGCGTGAGCTACTGCGCCCGGCCCCAGTGCACTATTATTTCTAATAGTGGCTCCTGCAAATATATTCTACCTTGTTTTTGATTCATTCCCACCAACACACTCATAGAAAGCTAATCTTCAATCATTCACTTAACAAACATTTTTGAACATCTACTCTGTGCCAGGGACATCTGAAGTGTGGGAGATACAAAAAGAAACAAGACAAAATCTGTCCCTCTAATAACACTACTGTGGAAGGGAAGAACCTGTAAACAATTCATTATAAAATATAATATTTATTTCAGTACTCTGTAAAAAATGTTCAAGGACTTCCAAACATGTACCTTGTTAACAAGGCAGTGTGTGATATTCTATGCACGTGGACAACCAGTACCAACACTGGGCACATGGCATAGCTAATCAATGATTACTTGCTAAATAATTCATTGATCTGCATTTATTGCCAACAATATCTTCTGGACCATTTTCTTTTCCTTCTTTTAGCACTTCACATTGTTTGTTCAATCTGACCTGCTTCCAAAATCTTCTTTTGAAAGTTCTGTATGCTATGACATTAACAATATGGGCTAAATTATCCCACACAGATTTTATTATAAAATGCACCTAGCTGCTGACATCTAATGAAGCTAGCAGTACCCACACTTCCTTTCTCTCTAGCACTGAACTCCAGTTAATTGACCTGACAAAATTACAAGAATCACAGAATAAGATAGCTAATCAGAAAATCAAATTGTATTACTAGAGAAATTAGGCAGGCCTTTATCACGTATACATTCTATTTTCACATAAAAATTGTTTTCCTTAATTCCTGATCACCCTCCATCCAGCAGTAAAACTAAGGACTTCTTTTGGATTCAAGAGGCCAAAAAGAGCCATTTGTACTCCCCAGGGACTTTAATTGACGTTTTTTAATTTGCATAATGCATCCCTCTCACGTCCCTGGATTTGAGTTTGGGTGCAACATGGTGTGTCTGAAGTTTAAAACTTTAATGCACTTGCAGGGCACGGTGGCTCATGCCTGTAATCCTAGCACTTTGGGAGGCCAAGGCAGGAAGATCACTTGAGGCCAAGAGTTCAAGGCCAGCCTGGCCAATGTGGTGAAACCTCGTCTCTATTAAAAATATAAAAATTGGCTGGGCACGGTGGTTCACGCCTATAATCCCAGCACTTTGGTAGGTTGAGGCAGGCGGATCACTTGGTCAGGAGATCAAGACCATCCTGGCTAACATGGTGAAACCCTGTCTCTACTAAAAATACAAAAAAATTAGCCAGGCGTGGTGGCGGACGCCTGTAGTCCCAGCTACACGGGAGGCTGAGGCAGGAGAATGGTGTGAACCCGGGGGGTGGAGCTTGCAGTGAGTCAAGATCTTGCCACTGCACTCCAGCCTGGGCGACACAGCGAGACTCTGTCTCAAAAAAAACATATATATATACACACACACATATATATAAATTAGCTGGGTGTGGTAGCACATACCTGTAATCTCAGCTACTCAGGAGGCTGAGGCAAGAAAATTGCTTGAACCCAGGAGGCTGAGGTTGCAGTGAGCCAAGATCACGCCACTGCACTCCAGTATGGGTGACAGAGGGAGACTCTGTCTCAAAAAAAAAAAACAACCAAACCTCTAGTTTAGGAGGCAAATCCTAATCAGAAGGGGTAACTGTTAACTTCAAAATGGTGCCACCTACTTCCATAAACTGACCAATTGTAAAAATCCAAATTGCACAAGTCAATAACTGAAGCTTATTGAATACCCTCAGGCCCTCAGGTAGATTCTTCAATCTACCTTCTTTCAATATGCCTTTGAAAGGACCCTGTATATGTAATTCTAATATTAAATAGGCTGAAATGATATTCCTTATTTTCTGCCCAGGATCATAATCTGGTATCCAAAGATTTCAATAACTCCCTTCTTTGATTCCCCCACATACAAAAATTAAATTGAGGTTATTTAACTGTTCTGAATACAATTATATTTAAATGAAATACATGTATTTAAAAAATCATCTCAAAGTCATGAGATTTACACCATTATAACTATCTCCATATTATCTAATAATTTTAGAAAATACATCAAATACACATGCACACACAGACACATATACACACTTTCAGTAAATTGGGCATTTTTCCAAGTATTCCGTTTTTCAAAAAGGCTTATTTCATTGATGTTCAAAAACAGTTCAAGAAAAAGAGTTAAGAATATTTACCAATAAATGGATAATTTTGTTTACTATGATGTAAATTTTGTGTTTGGCTTTCCAGCAATACTACAAGCCGTTATTTGCTTTCAATCACATAATACAATGGCGCCTTAGCTCTATCCCTAGTGTAAACAAACTATGATAATTCCAATCAAGTTAAAACGACAAAGAACACTTAAATCAACCAGTTTTCTCCAATTTCTTTAATAAGTCTGGGAGAATGTATAACAAATACAATGGCAAAAATATTGGAGCTTGATAATGTCATAATTAATTTATAAGATCTGATTAAACCACCAACTATTTTAATTCCCCTCTCTACTGGAAACACAATGAGAGGGAGGATTTGTAAGATGGGAGATTAGCATGGCGGCTTGTGTGTGTGTGTGTGTGTGTGTGTGTGTGTGTGTGTGTGTTGGAGTATGTGGGTAGTAAGGGCTACTATTCAACCAGTATCTACCATAGGGCTGTAATGATTATTTACGGTCTGTATCCATTACAAATGATTATTCGATATTATTGTTATCTCTGTATGTGGGTGACTCACAGAGGTGCTCCAAGACCATTTATTTTAGTAAATTTTTTAGTGAATTAAGGAAGGAAAAAGTTATTGTTTCAAATTGTCTGTGTTTTCTTTAATCATAGAAAACTGGGAAGAAAACTTGCTATTTGCTGATGACACTTTGTGTTTATATAATGTTGAGTGGATATTGCCCCTCACTGTGGCAATTTCAATTAGTTTAGCATGAGTTTCAACAATCAAACACCCCGGAGAAGGCAATGGATGTGACAAAGAGGACTCTGTTAAACAATTAATGTCACTTCCCATTATTGCTTTGGTCCCAATTTACAGAGCAAATAAATCAAAGTCACCGCAGATGAAGCACACTGGCCTACTCACACATGTCTGTTCACAGGTGACAGGGTATAGAAACACATTAGTCACTGCACTGACATTGCAAGATAACCTTTCAAAGACTCGGCTCTGATACTGCTTTCTAATTGTTTGAAAATACTATTTTACAAAAAATATATGTCTTAGCTCCATCCGAGTTGGGGAAAAAAGAAAAGAAAATGCAGAGTAGGGAGGAAGAAAGAGCAGGTCACCAATTAGACAGTGATCTACAGCTGCACAAACTAAGCTCAGCCTTGGAGCTGGCAGCAGAGGCGGAAGGAAAGGTAGAAAACAGGCCAACGGGCATTTCCACAGTTGAGCTCTGTGGCTATCAAACAGCATTTCCCATGGTGGGTGTCAACCTTGGGTTCTCCTTACACAATGCAATTCTTCCGACCTAAATAAAGGTCTGTGTGACTGTAACACCTTATTCTCTAAGGGCGCTCTAGGAAGAAAGAAGGCACATCAACAAAAACTCACTCATGGTGTAAAGAATTTCCAGTGACAGATGATACACATGCATTTATACTAACAACCCAAAATTTAGAATCTGCAACAATTCCTAAGTGTTACCGTGTCGTTAATAAATGATAGTTTAGAACAGTCAACAAAATGAGAAGGTTTATCTCTGCTCTTTGGGACAGCTGAGTCCCTCTATGACCTGTACTAGTCTGACATCATTTAAAAGGCATAGTTGAAAGAAGATAGGTTCTGGCCCTTCAGGTAGCCAGGGGCACCTCTACATTAAAATTCTGAACCCAGTTTGTAATATTTGGGTCTTCTTCCTTTGTGCACAGTTGGCAAAAGGATCTTCCAACTGGTTATACATGGTGTGGCAGACAGTGCATTCAACTCACCCAACTGCACACAGAGGGTCAATAAATCCACTAAATTAAGGAGGAGAGGAGGGACTCTGAGATGCTAACTGCCACCTGAAGGGAGAAATGCAGAGTGAATACTGCATGCGGTATCCCAAAGACTTCTAAATGCGAGCTATTATGAAAGGACCATGCCCTGCTTATGTTAGTAATTTTTTCTGGATCCTGTAGGATTGCAATTACACTCTGTGTCCCCAGATTCTCACACTCGCTTGATCTCTGTTTGATAAAAATAGTTTAATAGCCATTTAATCACAGCTTCATTATCTTGGCTCTCTTAATGTGAATTAGGCCAGAAGAATTCTCGCTTCCTCATTATTCAAATCATCAATAAGAAGGAAACAGTGGGGTCTTCTTATCATTCATTAATCAGTTTCAGTATCTTAGGTACTGTGTACTTAGAGATCAATCTGTGTGAGAGGTGACTTAACCTCTCTGAGCCTCTAATTTTTTTTCTGTACAAAATTTAATGTGATTATTTGCCTAATTCCTATTACGGAATTTTTTTGCACTCATGATTAATAGAAAAAAAAAAAAAAGAGTTGACAAAGGCCTGAGAATTCTTCAAGAAGGTGTTCATAAACATTTCCAGTGTATATTCCCATCAACTTGATTATCTGTGTTTGAATTTTGTTCTTTGAACAGGATCTACCACAGACGTTTAGCACTGGGCCAACTCCCCCCAAATACCCAGCATGCCCCAGGCTTCCTCCTTGCCCCATCCTGCTGACTTGGAAACAGCTAATGAAGACAAAATTAACTCCTACTTTAAGTGAGGCCTAATTAGGAAAGGAAATCTGCTAGAGTAACATCTGGTAATGTATTCCAAAGCCAAATATAAATGACATTCTTGGATTATCCACTACTTTGGATTATTGGTTCCGCTAGGCCCCACCAGGACTTCAAATAACTACATGGGAAAGCAACTTTTATAATAGATTCAGGAGTTCAAATAAGAAATACAGTGGGTCAGAGGTGTGTCTCTTTCTTGAATCTCCATAGATAAAACCTTGTACCTGTTTCATGCATGGATCAGCAAAAAATATTTGCAGAAATGTACAGATTTTGGTTCTGATGCATAAAGTTTGATTCAATATTTATAAGAAAGTAAAGTCAAAATTTAAAGAAAACTAAGTTTTTTTCCTGCAATAAAATTTAAAAATAACAATCCAGAGTTGACTACTGGAATAGGATTTGAGGTTTTTAGCTTTTTTCTTTAACCCATTCTAATCAGAACAGACACCACTTCACTGCATGTGTCTACTTAAAGTGCTCTGAGCCTTTGCTTATAGGTTGTTAAGTATTTTGAATACCCACATTCAAACAATTGATTTTTTTTCCCTCTTCGTTATCTTTCTCCTCTAAAATCTCTGCAATCCACTGTGGGTTTTGTTTTTGCTTCTTTTATACCCAAGTGTGGGCACTGACAGTATATCTGTGCCCCTTTCTCACACACCCAACCAAAAGTGGGCGGACTCCCACATGTAATGACTGAGAGGTTCCTAGCTCCTACCTCACTCAAAGGAGGAGTCCTTAAAATAACCCAATTACTTTTTGTTTGTCATATGAAATACAGGGCTGAGAATAAGGTATGGGCACTGGACGGTGGGGAAAAAGAAAAGAAATCTCAAGCATATGTGTGCAATAAAAAAATCAAGACAATAAATACCACCTTACATTTCGTAACACATTATAAAATGCTTTTTGTCCACTCATTTCTTACATATGCCCTGAGAGTTAGCTTATTCTTATTTTATTCCCATGAGAGATAAGCACATTATATGACAATCTATTTTGCCCTGTTGGATGCCAAATTTGCTGGAATTTGTGGGCCGGTAGAAATAACATAAATTTTAATTTCACTGTCTGAGTAACTCCCCATGGGCATACAGGCTACTTGAAATACCACGTGTGTAAATATGTCTGTCCATATCACACCCACAAGTTTATATCTCAAGCACACATATTTAAAACAGAATCTAATGCACATATATATCTCAATGCCTTGAGTGCATTCTCTGATATTCAATTGTAGTTGACTATAAAAAAATGTATAATCTGTACATACATTGCTCCTCTCAGCCACTCTAACTGAGGAAAGCAACGATCAAAAACCAGGGCTAATTCCTGTAAAAATAAAATAAGAATCAAGTGGAAATAAAATATAAACAAAATTGAAGAATTCACAGACATAATTAGACCCATGGGAATCCATTTAATTCCAATTAATACACATATTCCTATTTAAACAGGCATAAAACATATATTCACATCTGTACTTAGACTCCATCCTTATTGATTTGCTTCTATCACACATTCATGAGTTAATAAATATGTACTGTACACGTGAAATTCAGTATTCTGTAGAGGTTATAAGAGCCAGAAGTATAAATACAGAAGTTCAACAGAAAGTCCTAAAAATTCCTGGTTAATATATGCAAAATGAGCTATTTCAGGAGAAAGGGGAAAAAGGTTCGGGGAGGTTGTGGGGGTCATGCCTATTTCTCACAATGGGAAGAGGAAGGAACTGAGTTGTGCCATCAAACTGGAGACTTAATAGGCCTGAAAAGAGCGAGCAAGGCATTCTATTTGTTCTCAAGTTTAAACTGAAAGAGAAACTGGGCACTGTGGGAAGAAGTCCAGACTGGAAGTCAGGAGAATTAATCCTAGATCCATTTCCACCACCAGCTAGCTACATGTCCTCAAGTGAAACAACTCAACTCTCTGGCTGCATTGCATAGTCTCGAATGAAAATCCCATAGGTTTCTGCTATCAGTCTGTTTTCACGCTGCTGATAAAGACATACCTGAGACTGGGCAATTTACAAGAGAAAGATGTTTAGTTAGACTCACAGTTCCACGTGGGTGGGAGGCCTTACAATCACCGTGGAAGGAAAGGGGAACAAGTCACATCTTACGTGGATGGTGTCAGGCAGAAAAAAAAAGAAGTTTGTGCAGGGAAAGTCCCGTTTTTAAAACCATTAGATCTCGTGCGACCCATTCACTATCACGACAACAGCACAGGAAAGACCCGCTCTCATAATTCAGTCATCTCCCCCGAGGTCCCTCCCACAACACATGGGAATTATGGAAGCTACAAGATGAGATTTGGGTGGGGACACAGAGCCAAACCATATCGGTTCCTAACTGGCTTCCCATTTGCCAACCCATCTCAATATTTTATTCTCAACACAGAAGACGAAGTGATCCTGATGCAACCTAAGTCATGTGAAACCCCTCTTCTGACCAAACCCTCCGTGGCTTCTCATGTCTCTAAGACTAAAAGCTAAATCTTAAGAGTGCCTTACTAACCAAGGATCGCCATATAATTTATCATCCAAGCAGAACCTTTTTTGAGAGGGAGAGCGGATAGTGCACATAATCAGCTACTCAGGGATGAACCCAGACTACACCAGGCTAACTGGAATGTATGGTGGCCCTACACTTGGCCAACTTCATCTGACTCTGGCAACCCCTCATTCACCTATCTGAATCCTTCCCAATCAGTCTGATCTCCTCACTACTCCACAAAAATGCCAAGCATTCTCCTGTCCTCAGGCCTTTGCACTTGCTGTTTTCTCTTCCTAGAAGGTTCTTCTGCCAGAGGGCCACATGGATTGCCCCTTTGTCCCCTCATTTACTCAAGTGTCACCTTCTCAGTGCAACATTTCCCAACTACTCTGGACACATTCTACACATTTTCCCTATCTTATTTTTCCCTTTGGCATTCATCTCCCTGACTCAACATATGTTTTAGTGATTTATCTTCTTCATGAACTATCTAAAAGGGGAGGTCTGTGAGACCTATTTGATTATTATTGAGATACTTAGTATATAGGAGAGGCTTAACTAAAATGAGTTAGAATGGTAACTAAAGAGTCTAATCCATCCTGATAATATAAGAATATATGGATTTTCATTCTTCTTTTGTTGTTGTTGTTGTTATTTTCTTTGTAATCCTCACCTCCTCCTATCCTCGGACAATTTGTCTTCTTAATAATGTTTAGCTTAGGCTATGATTCAAAATTATCTCACATTCATTTCACATATACCAGCTGACAGGCCAGGCAAGCAAGTGATATATTCTTAGTGGGGAAGAAAGAATATGAACAGCTACAGCTATAGAGGGCCTAATTCTGAAATGAACTCCTAGGCAGTGAATCTATAGAAGTAAATGTAATGATCATCTTTTGTAAAAGAGGAAGTTTAAATGGGTCTTGAAAACGCAGAAATTTACCCAAATCTGTTGTCTGGAAGGATACTGGGACACATCATCAAGCAATCAATTTGCAAACATCTTGAAAGAGTCAAGATGCTTTCGTGAAGAGATAATCATGCCAGACAAACCTACTCTCTGACCATGCAGGAGTATTGACTCTCTAGTCAAGAGAAAACCATTGATGTAATCTATCTGAACTAGAGTGGTGACCTTCTTCATTCCATACCATATAACACACTCATCTTCAAGCTGGGAATATATATTAATCTTATCCAGAAGTTTTTAAACTATGTTTCATAGAACTCTGGACACTAGAATAGCTGGTATAAGGATTTATTATAAATATTATAGTGTATATTTTATGTATTTATATACCTTAATTCATAGCCAAAAGAAGTCATTTTTTTTTTTAGAAAACACACTCACGTGTGTTAACTTTCTTATCATAAATACAGAAACACAGTGGAAACCATGACCAAATTAAGCAGCCAAATTGAATCGTTTTGTATTGTATTCAGATTTTTAAAAACCTTGAGAACTGAGGGTGAATAGTTTCAAACCTGGAGCCATTTTAAAATACTCATTTCTATGAAGCAGGATTTTCTCAATCCCCTTCAAACAAAACAAAGCACAAAATAATCAGTTGCTGTGATTGATGATAAGAACCTGCCATCATCTTAAATCCCAACTTGTACTTTTTCTGTTCATTTAAATAATGCCATAGTTCTCTTAGATAAATATTACTTTAATAAATAATAATAATAGTAAATAGCAGCTGATCTTTACTATTTTCTATATTCCTGATGTTGAGTTAATTTCTCTACATGCATTATTTAATGGAAACCACCCATTTAACCCTATTATTATGTCCAAACTCACATGGCTAATGAAAGACAGAGTTGGATATTAAACCAGATATATCTGATGAAATATCATTCTCACTCCCTTTCTTTATATTTTGGGATTTTATGGAAGATATTATTAGAAAAATGAGTGGGCGTGGGCTATTTTATCTTCATATTGGGGACTAAGAAGTGAGTTAGAATGACATAGCATGCATTTATTGTCAGCTAAAATCTAAGGTGGGAGATGCAAGTTACATGCCATGAGGCACAGTTGGCCTTCCATGCAGAAAGAGGAGGTTGCTTTGCAAATGATTCTCACTATTTATTGCTGGCTGGCCCAGTGTTGGTTCACAGCCTTTTTTTATCCTACTGGGTGTGATTTGCTCTTCTATTTGAATGTTCTTCCCTCTTTACATCTTTTGTTTCTATTCTATCCCTACTCAAAGCCTACCTTAAGCATTCCCTTCCATGGGATGTTTTTCAACAAGTCCAACTCTATTGATAGCACCAAGTTTCCAATCTTTTATCAGAAAAACTTGGATCCATAGACAGAAATGCAGATTTCAAAGCCTCATCACAGACCACTGAATCAAAATCTCTAGATATGAGTTTCTGGGCTGCAGCACTGTTGACATATTAAGCCAGATAATCCTTTGTTTTGGGGGCTGTCCTGTGTGTTTTAGAATGCTTAACAGCATCCCTGGCCTCTACTCACTAGATGCCAGTAGCACACCTCCAGTTATGACTACCAAAATGTCTCCAGATATGCCAAATGTTTCTGGGAGGCAAAATTGCCCTCAGTTGAGAACAACTGCCCTGGGAGGTAGAGCCTAGGATTCTGTAATTTTGATAAGCAACCCAGGCGATTCTGATAATCAGGCAAGTTTGGGTAATTTGCTGTTTTGTGGCTGTTGAGTAGTGTGTAAATCAAGTTGAAATGTATGATTCCATCTATGCTAGATTTATTCTCTCTAACACATGTGATTCTAGATCTTAATAGTTATTATTAACACATTTTTATTTATTCAATGTGAACTATTTTTCCCAATATCTTACATTAATGTGCCTAGTTGTTTTATGGTCTGCCCTTCCCTGTTGATTACAGCATATTGGTTATTCACTTCCCGAATTTGTTTTTGGCAGTCCTAAGGCAGCTCAGTCTTTATATTGCCAATCATTCTCTTTCTTCAACAACTTCTGACTATCACCATTATCATAAAGTTCATTTCAGTTCTGGAGTCTATTTTATTACATAGTCTACCTGCTAAATGATTCTTAAGGATTTTCTTCTATATATTTTCACAGAGGTCTTAAGCATTTCTCAACTTAAGATTTTTTAAAGGCCGTATAATATTGCTATATTATTTGAAATAGGCAGTGAGGCAAAATACAGACTCCAAAGTTAGATTTCCTGATTTGGGGTCCTGAGTACATCACTTACAAGGTGTGTGACCTTCTGCAAGTTACTTAACCTTAATAAGACCTACAGTACAGGGCTGTTTTCAGAACTGACTGAGCTAATCCATGCAAATCATATAGAACAGTGCCTGGTATATAGTGAGGATTTATCTTTACTGCTAATAACAATAACATTATCATTTTCATGCACTAAATTGAATTCAAAATAAGTGAGACAAAATATGGATTTGTTGAAAACAAATCTGAGGAAGAGATAAGACATGAACAAATGGAGTGAAAAAGGAAGAACACTGTACAATAAGCCTACACAATGTAGAAATTGTAAGGATGGTACCAAAATTACTAAATACATATTACTCAAAAATTCCTACAATTTGTATAAAATTCATTATCTCCCAGTTACTAGTTAAGGTTGAGATGCTAGAGTTAACAGGCATGGTTTGACATGATCACTGACTGCTTGCCAGTTATTACACAGAATGATCACCTTTAATCCATACTCAGCTGAATTAAAATATCTATACCTGACACACCCTTCATTTGTGAACATACATGCAGACCAATATCATATTTACAGATACATATACATAAGTATACATATATACATTTTTACACATACATATTACAGATACATATAAACATGCATATTTATGTGCGTATTTACAAATATTATATATATATCTTTATTTACACATATTTATTGAGTGCCTACTATGTACTATAATTTGTTTTCTAGGAACTTGCATTTTAGTTTGGTGGTGAAAGGATGGCAGATAATAATAGATTTTATATTTATACATCGGGAGAATACAGTATACATATGTGTGTATATATAAAACATAAACACACATACAAAAAAATTATTTTTATTAGCCTCAGAGAGTTTATAATCTAGTCAAGGGAGTGAGACAGGAGCAGTGAAAATACAACTAATGACACAAGGCCATGTGTACATGACAACATATTATATTAGAATAATCATAAACTATATTATATATTATAATATAATAATCTATAATATATTATAGATTATAATATGACAATCTATATTATTTATCATATAATAATATATAATATATTATATATATTATATATAATATAGAATATATTTATTATATATTCTATATTAATATATTATAATAATCATAATATATAATATAATAATATAATAATCACATAATATAATCATATAATATATTATATATTATCACATAATTATATTGTATATTGTTAATATATAATAATTATAATTATATTATATAGTAATATATTATATTAATATATAATAATATATATCATATTATATGATATATATCATATATTATAATAATATATATCATATAATATATGATCTATCATAATATATGATATATATTATTATAATATATGATATATCATAATATATGATATATATTATAATAATATATGATATATATTATAATAATATATGATATATATTATTATAATATATGATATATATTATTATAATATATGATATATATTATTATAATATATGATATATATTATATACACACACACACACATACATACAGAAAGAGAAAAAAAGAGGTAGCATTTGGAGCAGCAAAGCATAATAGCTAAGAAAGAAATGTTCTAGACAGGGAAAAGAGTAAGAGTAAGGGCCAAAGGCCCTGAGGGGGAACTTGCAATGAGTAAGAAATTACTTTTTCATGGTTTACGTATAGGTATAAGCAGGAGGGGGGTGATAGGCAAAATATTTAACAAACATCGCACAAGAACATTGATCAATCAGAACAGCAGCACCAGGACTTTAGCACGGAGGCCTGCTGTGAATACCTCACAAAGCTCTGCTGTTACAAATTAGCAGACTACATTAACCCTAGGCATAACCAGTGTTTTTTACATTATGTAAGGAAGAATAATTTCCTATTACAACCTGTGAGTTCTCTATAAGATAGTATATTTGCTGACAAAAAGAAGTGCTTAGACGGCACCATCACAGAGGTCAATGCTATTTGTTCATAAAGACTTAGCACCACAAGATAATATGTGAAACTGTGCAGCTGCAGATTCCTGACACTTGGATCTATATGGTATATTAAGATTGCGGACACTAAGATGCAGGTAACGTCAAATGATCTGATTACTGTAATATCCTGGCAATGGCATTAGAATGAGAGAAAATTGTCTCAAGGTGGTTGGAAGCTATTCAGAGGCAGGGTGTCCTTTCTGTGAGGCCATCTAGGGTGAAAGAGATCCAAGTGTGCTCCATGTTAATCCTCTGAGCCTTTCCAGCTCCTTTCTCCAAGAAACTAGGAGCCACTTAGAGCTTGGGATTGGGTCTTTGACTCCTTGACTAACTTTCGTATTCCACTAAAGTGCTCTGCACAGAGCAACGGGTTGTCAATAAATGCTTGCCGAACAAATACAATATGAGAAGTTCATCTTCTCAATGACTTTATATCTAAGTATTTTACATGGGTTTAGGTTTCCAAAGCATCTGAGCAAGTTTGCAATCTCCTAGGATTTAGATACTGAGCTTCTTTTAATGCCAGACTGAGTGAACCCCTTGTGAAGAATCTTTAAATACTTCACACTGAATCAATTCCAAATGCAGACTCATTCATGATTATCAGTGACTTATATGCATATCTGGAGAGCATGCACAGTGGAGAAGCATATGACATTGGGTTAGACAAAGCAGCTAATAACCTCAAAGGGGGATTTTAAAAGTGAGTTTGATAACAGGATAAAAAAGCACGTGTCCCTGTAACAGCATGGAAAATGACAAGACAGGTGTAAATGGATCTGGATAAAAATGTAAGATTTACAGAACGATGAAAAGGAAAAACATGCCATTTAATGCCTTGCCACATTGTGGCTCCTATAACGATAGGATGTAGTAACATGGAAACACTGAATAGTAAAAGCTGCGTGGTCAACTCTTCCAACAGTATGATGTTGGAGATGAGAAGCCTGACATCCAAAGGGTTAAACAAACTTTCTCAATGTCCTCTGGTAACTGATCTAATTCTACATCTGTTTTGGAACTATTGGCTCCTTAGTTTTTCTATTATACCATGTTGCTTATCAGGAGAATAAAAGGAAATAAGTGGCAAAGACTCTGTCTCTTACATTTGCCATATGCTTTCTTTAAAACTCAACATTGTTTAACCTACTGTAAATATATTACAATTCATTAACCTCCATAGAAATACTGGATTGTATTTTCATGTCTGTGTGTTTTTAATAGATCACAAGCTTCCTGGGACTAGGAATCATGATCTGTGCATCAAAATTAGTGTCAAAAATTTTGACAAGAATTTTTTGAGCACCTAGCATGTGTCGGACACTCTTGACACTGGGGATATAGCGATGAACAAAATAATTAAAAATTCCTGCCTTCAAGGAGCTTATTCTGTTGGGGGAAGAGAGATGATAGACAAAATAAATTACTATAAACAAAATAAACAACTGTGAGAAATAAATGAAAGGAAAAAGCAATAAGAACTCTATTTGTATTTATGTAAAGCCAAAATAGATTTAAAAATCAGGCTTATTTACAAAAACAGGGCACAAATATTTTTTCTTAGAAAAGGTTTCATACTGGGATAAAGGTTTTCTTCTGACTCTTACAGAGTAATAGATGCTTGTAAAGTAGTGACTCTCAATGTTGGCTTTAAATTTAATCACATATGCATTTAAAAAAATATGCTTGCCCCTTCCCTACACCCTTGAGCAATTAAGTCAGTATCTTTGGAGGTGGGAGTTAGTAGTTTTAACATCTTCCCAGGTGAGATTCTAATAGAAGCCAGGACTAAGAATCACACCTGTAAAAGATTAAATAATAAAAACTTTGAGGAAAGGTGAGAATATTTGTTATGATCTAATGTGTAGGCTGAAGGAGAAGGCTTGCCCATCAGTGAGAACCAGCTGTGGCATACTGAGATGCCCAGAATCCCTCACATGTGCCACAGAACATGATGTTTTATCTTTGTCCAGTGCATACCAAGTCTGGCCCCTTGACCGAAGGAGTCTTCTTTCCTGAGTCACAGTTCTCTCCTCCATTACCACTCATACCCTGTTTCAGTACTTGTGAGTCCATGAAATGTCTTAAGTCATGAAATCTCTTTAGTGTATGATGGCAACACCCGCCAGCCAAAAGTCTTATTACAATGACTACTGCCATCAGATTGAACACCTTTAAAAACAAAGAATCACAGATCACATTAGAGTTACCTCTGACCATAGGCTGTGTAAGCAATGAGTACCTGGGTTTAAAGATAAAAAGAAAACCAGGGAACTCATACTGTGAAATGCTTGATACCCATTAAAACAATTATATAGGTATACCTTTGTTAAAATGAAACATAGCCATTAAATATTATGAAACGAATCAAGACAGTTGTCAAATAGCACTTGTTCAGTCCATGATCTATGCATGGATACTGGAAAAAGCCTAAAAGAATGAATCCCAAAATATTACAAGAAGGTGAGATTTCAGATGACTTTAAGTCAATTTGTCTTTTTCCAGTTTTCTGTAATGAGCATTTTATTCTTAAAAATATATAAAAATAAAGAACCCCAGAGTGTGTTTGTGTATGCCATACATGAGAAAATGGGAAGAGAAATAGCTAAAGTGTGATTAAATAATTAATCAAAGTCAGCCCAGGTCTACACAACTTTGTGGCCCTGCTTTCAAATTGTCTTCCCTGGGCCTTAATTTTTTGATCTGTAAAAAGGCAGAAGTGAAATCTGCCATAGTTGTCCCATAAGGTTACAGGACATAAAAAATAGCATGATCATTATGTGCTTTAAGGAAGAGTTAAGCAGCATTATATAAAAATGTAGTGCTAAATATTCATGCCTCTCAGATAAAATCATTCAAGCAATATTTACTGAATTCGTACCATGCTTATATAGTTACAAACTTGACTTAAATTTATTTCTTCCTCACAGCACCTCACAGTAGCAAGTAGACTATAACAACCGGCATAAAAACAATGACAGCATTGGTCTGAGACTCTAGAGCAAAGCCACAGAAGCAGAAGAGAAATCATGATGCCCTCGAGCTAACCCTCTCCCAGAGTCCTCTTTGCCTGAGCTCCCATCAGTGGTTGTAGACAAACTTTCCAGGTCTGTTTGTGAGGATAATGTTAGCCAGCTGTAATCTCTTCAGGGGTGAAAGATCTGATGCTATCAGCTAGAGGTGGCCCTGGAATAGATCTGCACACGATATGAAAACATAAGGCTTTAGCAATTGATAGCAAAATAATTCAGTGCCATTTCAGCGTCAATTGCTGCTCAATTTGTCCCCGGAAGAGCATTCAATATTCTTGAAACATTAACTCAGGACCTCTCATTTTTTGCTGCTGTTCCTATCAATATTATGCCCATTGTGAATATTTCCAAAGTAGTAGACTCAAAGTCTTATGGGATTTAGCCTTAGAAAAAAAGGGTTTCAAGTTACAATTCTGTCATATACAGGCCTGTGTCCTTGAGGAAGGCATCTGGGCCCTGGAATCCCAGTACTATCAACGTAAAAATGGAGACATCTGTAATCCCAGCACTTTGGGAGGCCGAGGCGGGCAGATCACGAGGTCAGGAGATCAAGACCATCCTGGCTAACACGGTGAAACCCCATCTCTACTGAAAATACAAAAAATTTAGCCGGGCGTGGTAGCGGGCGCCTGTACTCCCAGCTACTCGGGAGGCTGAGGCAGGAGAATGGCATGAACCCGGGAGGCAGAGCTTGCAGTGAGCCGAGATTGCCCCACTGCACTCCAGCCTGGGCGACAGAGTGAGACTCCGTCTCAAAGAAAAAAATGGAGACATCTGCTTCATAGAATTGTGGTGAGGATTAAATGAGACACTGAGCATAAAGAGCACCGTAATACATCAGATAAAAATTTCCTACTATTCCTCTAATGATGTTCGTTATTTAAAATTGTTTTCAAAATGTTATGCTGGCAATAAAAGAACATAACTTAAGAAGGAACGCTAGGAAACCGTATGCCATGTGAACTTAATCTGTTACCTAAGATGAGCCATATCACAATCTTTAGCCCTGAATACATGGCCTTTCTACTTACATAATAAATTGACTATCGCATAGCTGATAAAAAGGCTCACAGATATTGCCTTCAATTTGGAATAGCTGAACTAGGACAAAACTGTCATTTAAAAAATCAAAAACCACTGAATCATAGCAAATATAAACAGGGGATACAGATGAAAAAGAAAAGTTTATTGTGTTTGAAGATGATAAGGGAAGAAAAAATGGATTTATCTTACATAAAAATAAGACTAGAGAGAATAGAACCTTTAGTAAATATAGCAAGCATTTTACTTTAATTCTGGATAATATTTTTAAAAAGAAAAGGGGCCATAATACATATTTAAGCTCTTTGAAGGTCATAGTCTTGTTTCATTTGGCTTTACTCATTTATTCCTTCTTGTATTTATTTGTAGATTTAGAATTTTTTTTTTTTTTTGGAGGGCAGGTGTTTCATGCATGTGAGGACACAGCAGTGGCCCTAACAGACACTGCTCCTGTCCTCATGATGTTTACAGAATCCTCGCTGCACGGTACAGTCATTAGTCTGTAATGTCGTATAATTATTTAAATGTTGAATGAAGGAAAAAAATAGACAAAAATGAAAATAAGAAGAGAAAGAAAAGAAAAAATCAGAACAGGGAGTTAGAAGGAGAATGGAATTATCCATAATTTTATTTTCGCTTTTTGATGGAAATGAAATACTCTTTTCATATCACACTGTTTGTTTGAGCTACGGGCTTCAGGAAATAATTAGGTTGGTGCAAAAGTAATTGTGGTTTTGGTCATCACTTTCAATGGCAAAAACTGCAATTAGATTTGCACCAACCTAATGCTATCTTTGAAATATAAGTTAAAGGTTTAATCACCACTTGCAATGCTTGTACTGCTTCTTATACATTGCCAAGATCATCTTTGGGAGCTGTCGCTAAAATAAAGCATAAGAAGAGAAGCAAGAATTTTCTTTGAGCTTCTGTGACAGTGCTCAGAGTAATATTGTCATAAAGGCCAAGTGAAAACAACCACGATCTACCAGGGAACTAAAAGTAAACTCCTGCTTTGGTAGACACCAACAATTTCTATAAAGTACAAGCATGGCAGTAAAGTACAGCCTTCTTTCTAGCCTTGTTTCTAGTAGAAAATACAGTGGGATACATGATCTTTAATGATTACATCTTTGGCCTTGAAGAAATAAAATCAAACTTATTTCAAGGCAAAGGCAGGAGAATTAAAATATCTAGGTTGAAAATTAAAGAGTGACAATAGCGGTCATTGATACGCTCTTGCTGTGCACTAGGGATACTGTCAAGCCCTTTCCACACGCCGCTTCCTTTTATCTTCATAGTGATAGTTTGAAATAACTATTAAATCACCTTTTTACGTATGAGAAAACTGAGGTTTAAAGAAGCTAAGTAACTCATTAAAGGTTACTTAAACATGTGTCTGAGTAGGAATTCAAATGCTGGTTCCCCTCTTTTCAGTGACCCTAACTTATCCAGAACATTTTTCAGGGCAGAATTCAAAACTGTTTTACCTTTATAGGTATACATTTAAACTTAATTGTTAATTTTATTTTCAAGATCTCTTTGGGGGAAAAAGTAGCTCACTGAATATTCTAGAAAAAATGTCATGTGTTTCATTGCTTCTAATGAGTTGCTGCAGTTCAGAAGTTTCATTACATTCTGACAATTAAGTTGCTAATAAAGTGAGGAACCACTAATGGACTTATCCATCTCACAAACTCAAGATCCAGCTAGCAACCTAGAACACAATTTCATCACTGGAACAAAAATAATTCTCATTTTGCAATACACATAGTGATTCGATTTAATCTAGGTAAACTGCAGATTGCTCCTGCACTTGACATGATGTTCTGACTGGGAACATACACACACACATGCTCACACACATACAATATTAGTAACAATATGTTGTGCTGATGCAGACTGTATTATCAGAACCAATGATAAGATGATAAGATATTGTTATGCTGGGACAATGCAATGGCTATGGACCCAATATCAAAAATTTATGGTAATTGAAACCACAGAATCTTAGGAAATGCAGTCGATTTCATAGAGTATCAAAGGGTCACTCTATTCAATTTATATTTGAGGCTGAGCACAATATTGAAAAAACACGTGAAAGCAAATGATGTTATCAGTTGTCCAGGATTCAACAACTGACTTACTATCTAAGGTAATTTACTGATTACCAAATATGTGCATAACCTGTGTTGAGTCTTGTGCTTGGCACACCAGTTCTTGCAAAAAACTTAACACTGTGAACGCATTACTAAATATATCAACATTACCATATTAACTGCTCTGTTCAAGCTTCAGTAAGAGTGAACCTTTTTATTGTCTCATGTTTCACTAGTTACACCAAAGATTCTCTGAGATTTTGCTCTCTCTTCAAACTTTTGCTGTATGCTGTGTCTTACAGAAGCTATTTTAAAACAAGAACATTAAGTATACTACATCCAGTGCTTCTTTAACATTAATGTGCATATGAATCACCTGAAGATGTTGTTAAGATGCAGATGCTAATTCAGGAAGTTTAGGGTATAGCTTAAAATTCTGAATCTCTAACAAGCGTCCAGGTAATGCTCAAGCTGGTCCACAACCAAGAGTTTCAGAAGCCAGGTTCTAGTTTTCTCCATCAATTCAGCACATTTTTCTACTTGTCCCCATCATGCAGGGCATAAATATTCTGTTCCATTACAATTAATCCCCACTAAGGAGGCAGACCACAACATTTTGAATTAAAATGTAGAATTATTTCATTCTTTCTAGCTCAAGTTTCAAACTAGAGGTCTTCAGGAGGAACCAGTCCAGACATACGTTTCATTTGGTGAGCATGGTTTTGCCTACAAAAGGTTTTTAAACATTATTAGATTACTTAACAACAGTTATTGAACCGCAAATTGTATCTGAAATTTCTGCTTTTAAAAAATAAATCTGAAGATCTAGAGAAGCTGGGATTTGAGGAGGAGCTGATCACTTTACAGAGAGGCTGCTCTCCTCAGATTTCCACTGTCTCCACCCCTACAGCCCTGACATAGAATTTTCATGGCAGTCTTCATTGTACTTGCTCCCCATCAAGGCCACATCACTCATTCTCTTTCCTGCCTACCTCCCATGAGCACTGGAGTCACTCTCCTCTGATTGTCGTTTTAAAAATCCACCCTCCCCCATTTTTCTACCTCCACATTTTGGTATCTTCACTATAAAATAGTTTTCTCCGTTTTTTTTTCTTCATAGAAATCCTAAAGCTTAAGATCCTATTCGAGTTCTCTTCTCCCATGAAATATTGGTTAAGCACACCAACATAACTCTTTTAAAGTATTATACAGCATCATGCCATGTTTTATACTTACCATATAAAGCCTAGTTTTTATCTTTTCGTGAGCACATTTTTATCAGCCTTTAGGGAAATAGATATGTACAAGACACATGACCCAGACAGGCATATGCATGTGTGCGTGTTTGCACATGTATTTGTACACCAATTATTTCAACTTCCAGCTACATCATCACTGCCCTAAAAAAAAACTATAATGCACTTTGTCTTTTGCAGGTTAACAGGATGGTCTGCATGAAATAATTCCAATCAAAATTATTTGTTAATTTGATTCTGGAGCTGAGAGATTTCCTTTCACAGGTTTTCCTTTTTATATAAGAAATTTGTAAAAGAATTTTTTTAATTAAGCATTTAGCATTTAGGATACTGGTTTTCTATATTAGAAGAAGGTTTTCATTATAGAAAGCAAAATACAATCAAAATTTTTAAATACACAAAATTTCATAGTTCGATTAAAGGAAAGTACAGAAAGGGGTTAGTTTTTAGTGGCAGGCACTCCCTAGAACATCTTTTAAAGGGGGAAAAGTGAGAGACATGTAAGATAGAAACATGGTACAGAAAATAAAGCATAAAACAACATTAACTTAGGGTCATTATACTTTATGTGTTCTATTACAATGGTCCAAAGGACTATTACTTGTTAAAGAAATGAAAATAAAGACTTCCTAAGTTACATCTGCTATGTTACCTCAGATCAATGAGACACATTTTGAGGAGGTACTCAAATGTCCTAGATGTGTACAAGAGGAATCTCAAATTTGGAGATGGGACAGGTTTCCATCATATTTGAACCTGATAAGCACTTAGGCACTGTGAATTTTCAGTGGTGATAATGAGGAGGGATTTCTGTAGAAAATTCTTTGCTGTACCTGAAATAAACCCTTATCCTTTATACTCTCACCAAGAATATTAAGACAATAACAACTGCCTTATATCTCCTACCCAGAAGGATAGACAGAAACTTGATAGGATTATGAGACATTTAGAAAACTATCTGATAAAACAACGATTTAATTTCTGGAGTATCTTCCACATGCAAGTCAGCATGTAGTAAAGCACAAGACATCTAGAGAAGACAAACAATAAAGTAAACAAGGGTACAGGTTCTACAGTCAGACTGCCTGGGCATGAATCCTAGCTCTGTCAATTACTAGGATTGGGGACCTAGGGCAAGCTACTGAACTTGTCTGGGACCAGTTCCCCATACACAGGGAAGATAATGATAAAATACCTGCCTCACAGGTTGTTGTAAAAATTAAATGAAACGTATAAAGTGCTTAGAATACTGCCTGGCACATAGAAACCCTCAATAAATATTAGCTATTGTCTGTATTATTTTTATTAGCCTCAAAGAGTTTATAATCTAGTCAAGGGAGTGAGACAGGAGCAGTGAAAATACAACTAATGACACAAGGCCATGTGTACATGACAAGTGTCAGATAAGTCAGTCCGATACTGAGTGTTAGTTCTGAGAAGAGAGAATCATTTTTAGTTTTAAGTAATGTTGCCAGGAATCCAGGCAAGGGATTTCTTATCAGGTCACAGAATTTTTAGCATAGTTATGTTATTTTGGTCATGGAAATCCCTTTGAAAACAATTTCAGAAAAGGCCTCTCCTAACCTTTGGGTGTATTAAGGCATCCAGATTTTCCCTCTGACCTGGGAAATGAAGGCACATCATCAGCACATCCAGACTTCATATAAAATTTGATTATGGTCCTATCCAATTACCGGAAATTCCTACAAGTTTCCGATGGCCTCTCAGCTGTGTCTGGCTTGACTGAGAGGCCATACAGTCCAACAGTTCCACAGACTTGGCCAAGAAACATAATTTGAGAGAAGGAATAAGAACTATATAAATGAAGATGGCCTTGTCCCACAAATATGAGTTTTTATACTGAAAATAAACACTGTACTAAACTGTTTGGTTCAAAGGCAAGATTCACCTTTAAAATTTTTTTTTACTGCTGTGTATTTCCTGAGGTTGGAGTGTGTCATTCATTTTTATATTCCAAGTATCTAATACGATGCTTGGAATATGGTAGACACCGGGTAAATCCCAGATGGATGAATGAGAAGCTATAAAGAAAAAAAGGGGAAGGAAGGGAAAGAAAGGCCTGTTTCCAATATAAACTAGGTTGAAATACTTTACCAGCCTAAGTGATATCCTCACCCACTGATATGATTTGGCTGTGTCTCCATCCAAATCTCATCTTGAATTGTAGCTCCTATAATTCCCACGTGTGTAGGAGGAACCCAGTGGGACATAACTGAATCGTGGGGGCGCACTCCCCGATACTGTTCTCATGGTAGTGAGTAAGTCTCATGAGATCGATGGTTTTATAAGGGGAAACCCCTTTCACTTGGCTCTCATTTTCTATCTTGTCTGCTGCCATGTAGGATGTGCCTTTCACCTCCTGCCACAATTGTGAGGCCTCCCCAGCCATATGGAGCTGTGAGTCCATTAAACCTCTTTTTCTTTGTAAATCACCCAGTCTCAGGTATGTCTTTAGCAGCAGAGTGAGACTGGACTAATATACCCATGCAACCCCTGACCCTTCACTGTCTTATTTGAATCTGGCTTTTACCACTCAAGACTTTTAATGTTAGTTATATTTTAAAATACTTATCTTTACTTCCAAATAGATGGTAAACTGGAACATAATTGGCATTCAGAAAGCATTTGTCAAATATATGAGGATTACTTAGCTAACTGAACGCTCTCTTGGGACAAGCAAGGACCTACTATGCTCGATGCTTCTAAAAATGCCTACTCTTGTGCATTGTATAATGTACTCCAAAAAATAATTTCAGGTTTATTTAATTCCATATTCTGCATGCATTTAATATATGCTTAATAAGCACCGACTATATTTCAGACACTGAGTTAAGTAATGATACTGGGTTAGTGACAACCACAGCCCAGACCCTTAAATAGCTTCTCATCCCATGGGAGAGACAGGACAAATAAGAAACAGGCAGATTGAGAAATCCTGGGAGAATGTAAAGCTTCTACAGGGCCCACATCAGAGGCACCTAAGCTGTGGTAGGGTGCCAGGTGTTGGTGGTTTGGGAGAAGTGATGTAGGAGGGGAAGTCTGGATTGTTATAAGGAATTAGGCTGGCAAAGAGATGCAGGAAGGGATGTGCTACATCAGAATGAAACAATAAAATTTAAACACAGAAAAACCAAAGTGTCACCAGACTCAACATATAGTAGACACTTAATAAACAATAATTGAATAAATAAATTACTGCACTAGTGTTATGTCACTTGAAACCATCTGACATTGAACTATCCCCAGGTTCTCCCACCATGGACAAAAAGTGACATTTGGAAATGTGTTGCAATAGTTATAATACAAAACAAAGCTTGTATATCTCCTATTCCCACCCCATAGAGCTCCCACAGTATATACTTGAGCTTCCTGACTTTCCAGAATGTGCCAACACAACCATAAAGAAAATCAAACAGCAATCATTGCAAATGCCAAACGCTGAACTTTTGCAGCCAGTATTCCAAGAAAGAATTCTCTGTGCTTATATTTTTTGAGGTGTAGGCCACTTCTTGGTGTTTTCTTACCAGGGATTAGTCATTGCAAACACTGTTGACTAAATGTGGTTTGTTTTAACATACAAAATGCCTTTGTTCGTTGGCTTTCATCAGCCCCATCAGAGAGAGGCCCGGGCCATGCTCAAAGCTGCAGGACACTCGGAGAAGTCACATTGTGATTGCTTGTCTTCCCTCTAAAGGTTACATTTCATGACAGAGATTAAACGTCTTGCCCATTCTATGATTGCTTTTGAAAATTATGCACTAATGATAGCCACTCAGCAAGTAGCTTAGTCATTTCCCTTTAGCCTCTGTAGAGAGAATCCCAATTTGGTCATTTCTCCAACAAATGTTTCTTGGGTGCATATCATGTGCTAGAAACTGCTACATGCAAGATACAGTGGCCTATAAAACAGGCATGGCCCCTCCCTCATGGAATTTACCTTTGATTAAAGGTACACATTGAATACATACTGGGGAGCCAATAACAGAAGCCGGACTCTCCCTTCATCACCGAGAGGCTGGCACAGAGCCCAGGGGCAGGCTGTTGAACACCTTCTCCCTGGAATTTGAATCTTGACCAGCATGCTTGTGCAGTTTTGTTCCCAAGGACACTTTCCGTTTTACAGAGCTATCCAGGAAGTTCAAGGTATTGGAATGTCAACAAATTGCCATTTATTGACTATCAATTAAGTGCAAGCATTGAACTATGTACTTTCCTTATATTATTTCTACATATATTATTTGAAAACTTAAAAAATGGAAAGGCTAATGTTTCCTGGCAGAGACACACAAATGATTTCTCAGGAATAGCAAATACATGTAATTATAGAAGGTAATGTAACAGGTCTCTCCATATTCCCAGAGCCAGTGCACCACTGGACTCACAGAAGATGCTCATCACTGATGTTCTATAGGTGTTTCTGGGATTCCTGTGACAATATAAAAGGCAACAAGTGCATAGTGACAAATGCCAAAGAGATGCAGAAACCACAAGATGGAGGACTCGCCTTTGGCAAATAAAGCCAGGGATGAAGTTTCATAAAATCTATTTAGTATGTGCGTGTGTGTGTGTGACACACACACACACGCACGTACTAAATAGATTTTATGTACTAAATAGATAAATATACATTTATCTGCATATGCATACAGATAAATGTATATTAACTAAATCATAAGCACTAGTTTCAATTCATGGAATTTCAGAGGATAGCCACTGGGTGGTAGAATTCCCACTGTTTAGTTGGGAACAAGAACCCCATTCTTTTACTTAATGTCAAACACTTTGTGCTGACAGTATAACTCATCCAGCTTTAAGACCTCAGAACTGTCACTGGTTGTTTCTTGACTGCCCAGTAGATTTGTAAATGCACCACACTTTCCTTTCACAGAATTATCCCTCCTTGACTGGATACACACCGAGAGCCAGTAAGCAAAAGCCTCACACTATTCTCACCACTCCAGGGCTAGCACAGAATAGGGAAAACCTATTGACATTTGAATCGTGATGAGACTCCTCTTGCAGTTTAGTTCCCAGGCTCCAGGTCTTTTAGGTACTAAGCCTAGTTCAACACCCTCTCATCAATTCCATCAGCCATACATATCCTTCTGCCTTTCTGCTTGAGGAAGCTAGAGTTGATTCTTTGTTTTCTATTCCATTGTTTGCAACCAAAGAACTCTAAATTATAAAAACAACTACTATGGCTAAATTATAAAAACAACTACTATGGCTAAATACTACTATGGCTTTCCGTGGAATGAAATGGTTCTTGGAAAAGTAAAGGACTTATTAATATTACATTTGCTATCTTTATAGATTCAAGGAAAGGCAAAAGCTATTACTTCCAGGAGTTTGTAGACTTTGTCTTAATTCTGTCAAAATGCATACCCCCTCTATTCCAGGCACTATACAGGACATTTTCAATGCATTGTCTCATTTAATTTTAACAACAACCAACTAGAACATAAGCTCCAGGAGGGCAGGATTTTTTTTACTCCCTGGTTCACTACTATATTCCTAGAACATTTTCACACATGATAGGTGATCAGTAAATGTTTGCTGAATGAATAAATAACCCTGAGGCAGGCACTATTTTACAAAAGGAGAAAAAAGATAATCATGGTCCTACTGCAAGTCAGTGGTAGAGCTAAGATTTGAAAGGCAGGCATGTCTGACTACAGGGCCCAGTCTCCTAACCATCTTGCTACCATTGCCTTTAGGTTCTTGGGATACAAAGAGAAGAGAAGGTTGCTGACCTCAGGGAATTTGGGCAAGCCCCTTTAAGTCCTGGTTTCCTCATTGTGAAGTAGAGATATGTCCCTCATTTGGTTTTTGAAGACCTAAGAAAGTCCTGGAAAATGCCACATAGAGATGATATGTGAATATTGGAAGTCTGTCTAATGTTCAGAAAGGTAGAAAATTGACAGTCAAATCTCACCTTTGTCATTGCTAGCAATTACCTGGCAAACCTCTTAACTCGGAGACTCAGTTCCATACTGCAGAACATTTGCCTTTTAGCCTTTTTAGAAAGACAGGAAAAATAACTACAAGTTTTATGGACTGGCTGAGTTGAAATATAAATACAAATTAAGGTATATAAATATATACTTATATAAATATAAATTATATAGATTTAAAGTGTAAATTTATATTTATATTTTGTAGAATAAATTAAATATAAACATAAATTAAAGTATGTAAATATAAATTTATATAATACAAATAAATAAGTTTATAAATATAAATTAAAATAGTATTGTAATAACTTTTAATACTAGCCCATTCCAGTACATGATTCAAATACATTATCAACTCTGTGGGCTTTCCAGGGAATATTCCCAGGGAATGTAGTAAGAGAACACTCAAGCATCATTTCAAAAACTATTCTTTAGGTTGCCTCTGTTAATTAGTGAAGAGTTTTAATGCTTAAAATGTCAGTCCCAAGTTAGGCCAAGACAAGATTCTTAAAGATGATGCCAACCCATTCAGACACAGAGCCACTAGCGAGCCATGTCAGACATGATCTTTGGCTTGTCCAATTATCTCTAGTTGGCCTGAATGCTGAAAGTGTAAGGGGAAGGTACAGGTACATTTAGGGTCTTCCAGCAAAGGAAGGAGAGAAGATGTATTCAAAGAAGAGGGAAGGAAATTGGGAGACTGCAAAGAAGAACATTAACAAAAATTCAAAATATTTAAAATGTAACACCACGGTGGCTCACGCCTGTAATCCCAGTACTTTGGGAGGTCGAGGTGGGTGGATCACAAGGTCAGGAGATCGAGACCATCCTGGCTAACACAGTGAAACCTCGTTTCTAGTAAAAATACAAAAAATTAGCCCAGCGTGGTGGCGGGCGCCTGTAATCCCAGCTACTCGGGAGGCTGAGGCAAGACAATGGCAGGAACCTGGGAGGTGGAGCTTGCAGTGAGCCGAGATGGCACCACTGCACTCCAGCCTGGGAGAGAGTGCAAGACACCGTCTCAAAATAAAATAAAATAAAATAAAATAAAATAAAATAAAATAAAATAAAATAAAATAAAATAAAATAAAATAAAATAACACCAAAAAAGAGAAAGAATTTTCATGTAGCCTGGTCAATAAGGAATATTCAAGTAGCACAGAAAATTCAAGAAGAATGGGGACCTGAAAAAGGGCTTTTGAGTTAGACAATTAAGAAATCTTTGAGTAGAAGGTGGGGCATAGTAGCTCAACCCTACAATCTCAGTGCTTTGGGAACTCTACATGGGAGGATTGATTGAGGCCAGGAGTTCAACAGCAGCCTGGCCAACATAGTAAGACCTTGTCTTTACAAAAAATTTAAAAATTAGCCAAGTGTGGTGGCACGCACCTGTAGTCCTAGCTATATGGAAGGCTGAGATGGGAGGACTGCTTGAGCCCAGGAGTTTGAGGCTGCAGTAAGCAATGATCACATCACTGCACCCAGCCCAGGCAACAGAGCAAGAGACACCCTACCTTAAAAACAAAAAATAAACGAGTAGAATGATGGTTACCAGGGGTGGGGGGAGGGGAAGGTATGGAAAGATAAAGGTCAAAGTGTACAAATTGCAATTATGTGGGATGGATATGTCTAGAGATCTAATGTACCACATGAGGACTATGGTTAGTAATATTGTACTGGATTCTGAGAGTAGATTTTAGGTGCTCTTACTACAAAAAAAAGTAACTATGTGAGGTGATGGATGTGTTCATTTGCTTGGCTACGGTAATCATCACTATGTGTTTGTAAATCAAAACATAATGTTCTATATCTTAAATATATACAGTAACAAATAATGCTATTTAAAATAAGTCTCTGATAACAGCAGAGGAAGCACCACTAAACTCAATGGCAGAGAGATTACAAGCAATGCTATTGTTTCCTGATAATCCTTCAAAAAATAAATACCTCAGCAAGAAGCCAAAGAAGCAAGGAACAAAAGAAAAATTCTAAAAAGTCAAGGAAATCTAAATAAAGAGTCAAAAGATGAATGCAGGAAAACACAAGGGCCAGAATTCAAATAGTGGTGAATGGAGAGAATTGGGTACCACTGGCTTGCACTCTGCCTACTAGACTCTTGGTAATATTTACCTTCTGACCATTCTTATAAAACCCCCTTGGGATGACTAGGCTCCCAGGAAAAACAATAATGTCAGGTAATACCAGTTGCATGCTTGGATATTTATCTTCATCCAATCAGCAGTACAGCTGTTACCATAATACCCTGATCAATAATTTGCTACCCAAACCAGAACACTACGACCTCTAAGTACAACATATTTCAAACTAAGGGCAAAGACTCCTAACAGCCCTTTCTCAATGTGCTGCAGTGGGAGTGGTTGAGAGCACTCTCATGTTTAGACAGCAATAAAACACTGTTTTGTAAACATAACTAGAAATGCAAAATAGGCACCACTTTATCTTAAACATCAATGCACAAAAACCTGTATTATTCGAAACAAAGAATGAACATGCTGAAGTGGAATTACTGACGTATCTGAAGATTTTGATACAGTCACCAGACCCAGCCCAGAAGCTGCTCAACAGCTCATGTTACCCAGGTAATTTTCCCAGTCCCCTAAAAATATTTCCAATTTGGTTTAGTAATGGTTTAGATGATCACAAGTTAAATGTCATTCATTCATTCCTTCATTCACCAGCTACTGAGTACCTTTTATGGACATAATGTTGAACTAGAAACCAGGGAGTTGCTAGGAGAACACAGGAACCAAAAGAAATAAAAGCCATTATCCCTGCTTATAATGTAGGTGAGAGAATACCATGCAGTGTTACATATTTACTGAGCTCCTATTATGTGCAAGGAATTGTATATAAGAAAAAGATGAATGGGGCATGGTTTGACTCCTTGGTCCAGAAACAAAAAAAAGGCAAAATATTTCTGAAAAAATGCATAACACAAATGCAACATGATTTGCTGCCCACTAAAGGAAGGGGAATGATCACAGCTACGTGCAATTTGTAAGAAATTGTTTATTTGGGGAAATATACATATATTCCATTGCATTTTAAAAAGAGTTATATTCCTCACTAAAGTTGTCTCTCAGGAGACTTATCTAACAGGCATATTCTACTGAATTTAGTATGAAGACATGCCCAAGAGTTCAATAAAAGACTTTAAAGCTAGGTTTAAGATGCATTATCAATACTTGGTAATTGCCTTCCTTCTCAACCAAATGCCAGCAAAAATCTTAGTCAATCAGTCAACGAGTATCAACCACATACACAGTGAGGATGAAGAATGTCACAAACAGTGCCCAGTTTCACAATTCTAATATATGCTTTTAAGTACAAGCCTCTGCAAATGGAAGTGTCTACAGCTCTGTGGTCAGTAGGGCATGAACTGATCTGTTGACCAGTCTGTGGCTGAACAGATTCATGCTGATCTCTCCACTAAATAATACAAAATCTACTTGGACAAAGTCAGGTCAAGTCTCTGCTAGATGTTTAGGTAGAGGTGGAATTAATCAGGGAACACTTCCTGAATTTGAGAGGTTCCTGTGATTTTAAAATTTGAGAAAATTGCAAACAAGAAGACAGAAATAATTCCAGGCATTTGGAAAATTTGAAAGAAGCTGGGAGTAGGAGGGGATGAGAAGCGTAGTGCCTGGCAATAGAGGTATTAATTGGGAAGCAGTGTAAGGGAATGATTACGAATTTGACTGTTGGAGTTAGGTAATATTAGTTCTTCTGGTTACTTTCTGTAACTTGGCCCTGGGCAAGTTACTTATTTAAGCCTCACTTTCCAAACTGTAAAATGAGGTAACACTTTCAACCCATCATGGTGATTATGAGAATTAGATAAGACTAGTTTTTATTTTTTTAATTAAACTCTGTAAAACTATGTTTTTAACATTGTCTTAAGATGTTGAGTCCAGTGCTGGGCAAGCCCAAAGCTACTGTAGTATTATTATTATTGGCAAGAAGAAGCCTGGCGAATTATCAAACTCAAAGCAAGAGAAAAATCTTTACTATGTGGGGCAAAAGGGGATCCCTTAAATCTTTCCTCCAGTTTATTTGCCAAATAAACAATGTTCTTGAAGACACCCCTCCTTATCAAGCACTCCATGACTTCTCCAGAGCTCCATCGTCGCATATTGTTCATGGACTTCCTTCCAATAGCAGCCGCCCCACCTGCTTTACAATCTGCGCATCACATTCCTCTCTGCGCCTTCCCTGAAACATGTCCTCTTCTCATTCTCTCATTTTTGTTAACCAAGCCCAAATTCTCCAAATCACCCAAGGTTGAAACCACAGCCATTTTTCCTCCCTTTTTTCACCACAACATCCAACCTATCACTTAATATGACAACAATCTTTATTGATCCTTCCTTCGGGAAGTCTGCCATATGCATTCCTTCCTTTCATTGTCACCATCACCCCCTAATTCAAGCTCTATGACCTCAAGCCTGAAAACCTCAACAGCTTCCTCACCAGGCCCCTGGTTGCAAGCTCTAAGATAACCTTTCTTCGCTGATGCCACCAGATAACTTTTAAGAGTCCCTGGTGTCTAACAAACCCCATATTGTCTTTTTTTCTGCTCCTCCTGACTTAACCTTGATATTCTTTATGCAAGTCACTTCACATGCCTGGGCCTCAGTTTCTCCATTGTGAAATGAGCATGCTAGATGAAATCTCCCCTCATGTTAATTTAGTACAATTCCAAGATCCCATTCACTTGTATCTACTTTCTCTGCTGCTCTATTAGATGAGTCCCCAGTCATCACTTGGTCTTTCCTCACCACTACTGTGTTGCTCATAGCATTGTCTCTATCCTGTTCAGTTTTTTATTCCAACATCTAGCATAAATCCGTGCACATAGTAGGTGATAAATATGTGTTAAAATAATAATGAGATGAAAGCCGACGTCTAAAATGCCCACGTTTCCTCTCCGTCCATGGAAATCTCTCTACACCTTGAAGATCTGTATCTTTTTTGTTGTTGTTTTTTGAGACAGAGTTTAGCTCTGTCACCCAGGCTGGAGTGCAGTGGCGCAATCTCAGCTCACTGCAACCTCTGCCTCCCAGGTTCAAGTGATTCTCCTGCCTCAGCTTTCCCAGTAGCTGGGATTATGGGCGCGTGCCATCACGCCTGGCTAATTTTTGTATTTTTAGTGCAGACAGGGTTTCTCTAGGTTGGCCAGACTGGTCTCGAACTCTTGACCTCAGGTGATCCACCTGCCTCAGCCTCCCAAAGTGCTGGGATTACAGGTGTGAGTCACTGGACCCAGCCTTGAAGATCTATTTCAAAGGCAACCTCCACCACATTAGCTTCCCTCTTCACTCATAGGTTTCACAGATCTCTTCCCACCTCTAAAATTCTTAGAGTAGTTTGTTAATATCAGGCCAATGCTCACATGTTTCCTTAGTTTTTAAGGACACTGAAGGCAGGGGCTAATTCATTGTCTCTTTTATTTATATGGTGCCTAGAACAGGGCTTTGTCCACATTTTACTATCTACATTTTACCCATTGTCTGATTGTGTCACCCGGGTAAGTCTTGCCTCCTTATACAGCTGGGCATCCCCAAAGGAAGGGAATCCCAAGCCCATATACTTGGTCTGTAATTATCATGGTTTCCGGCAAAATTCTAGGTACACAGCAGATGCTGAAAAATAATGTTTGGTTTAACAATCAAGTATGGTATGTGTGGGGTAGTATACCTTCAGGAGTAGCAGCAACCAGCCCTGGCAGGGGAGAGGAAGGCTAAATCACCTAAGTATGAGTTACTGAGGGTTCAAAGGAAATGATGGAGGAAGATGGTGAACATGCACTCAAGAACAAGAGGAAAGTCTTTCGCAGCAGACTGTACATGGAGAACAAAGGACAGATAGAGACAATGACCCCAAGGCTTGTGGTTTTAGGGGGAAACAGCAAACTGGTTTCTGATCCCTGGGAGCACATAAACAAGAAGTTAGGCAACCTGGTGTGTGCTGTATTGCAGAGTCAGCCTTGTGCTAAAGATTAACAGCCCGTCTTAAAGGGGACTAAAGATCAGCAGCAAGCTTGCAAAGCACCAAAGACCTCATTGACAGCAGACGGCAGTTGCAATTGCAACCAGCAGTTCTCTGCAAAAAAGAGGCACCACTGGCCAGGCACGGTTGCTCACGCCTGTAACCCTAGCACTTTGGGAGGCCAAGGTGGGTGAATTGCCTGAGCTCAGGAGTTTGAGACCAGCCTGGGCAACATGGTGAGACCCCATCTCCACTAAAAACACAAAAAATTTGCTGGGCATGGTAGTGCTCGCCTGTAATCCCAGCTACTCGGGAGGCTGAGGCAGGAGAATCACTTGAACCTGGGAGGTGGAGGTTGTAGTGAACCAAGATCATACCACTGCACTCCAGTGTGGGCAACAGAGTGAGACTGCCTCCAAAAGAAAAGAAAGAGTCACAGCTTGATCCTTCAACCATCAATGGACCACCTCAGTCAAGCAAATATATCCTTGAACATGGCAATGTGACTGGCCAGCGTTTCTGAGGATTCCTGATAGAAAATACCCATTTCTTCTCTGACACTGAGGAGAAGCAGTAAGAACCAGGAAATCTGAGTTCTGGTTAAATACTAAGTCCTAAGTTCCTCATCTGTGGGAAGACAGAAATCACACATAACCAAGGGTAGTGATTGACACTTAGCACGGCCCCAATAAAATGTTTATGAGAAGGCTGGTAATTCAGGTAGAATCAGATCTATTAAGAGAGAAGACCCATGCATGGTGTCTGGGACACAGTAGGGACTCTATAAATGTCTTAAAATTTCCTTGGGTGGCATTCTATCAACATGGGTATCTCATTTCTGCAGTTCAGTGACAAGTCTCCTTGAGGACTGAGGCCTTGTGTTAGACACCTTTCCACCTCTTACCGCACCTGGCATAACACCTTGCACATAATAATATGAACTCAAGAAATATCTGGCGATTAATTGCCTCACAGGTAGCATCTGCGGCTGAAATCTATTTCACACTAAATTGGCAAATGCAGGCTTCAGAATGTAGGTAAACTGGTCAACCTGAGAACAGTCTTAAACTTTGATGATCAGCAGCATGGTTTCTGATGAAATGAGTGGAAACTAGTATATTGTTAAGTGTTGTAATCTACACATGCAGTTATATGGCTTAAACTGAGACAGCCCACATTTATTCCTACACACACACACACACACGCACACATGTACATGTGCACTTAGAAGGTGGTGAATAATAGTTGATGAAGTTGTTTGTATACACTATATAGAGACAGACAGACAAGAATTGACAGAGCAATAGGCTCACAAAGAGTTGTGAATATGTAAGAAAGAAAGATACCAGGAATAGCCAGCCTAGTGTTTTAAAACTGCATTTTCTTTGCTTTCTGCTTTTAAATTACACACTGCAAAGTCACTGAGGAGAAAGCTTTAAGAAAACTTTCATTTGCTATGGTACAGCTCGCCTTTCTTTACCTAAAAAAAATAAATAAAGCCCTAGAAACATTTCTTTCTTCTCATAGACATTAATAATGATAGCTTGAACTGTAAAGATTTGGTTTTACTGAAGGTAATGGAGTAATGTTTATTTCCATTAGAC
Source organism: Homo sapiens (assembly GCF_000001405.40). NCBI lineage: Eukaryota > Metazoa > Chordata > Mammalia > Primates > Hominidae > Homo > Homo sapiens. The sequence goes on from NC_000004.12 coordinate 23,866,371, forward strand.
TAGGCCTATAAAATCCTCTTTTTATAACCATGAGCCTCCAATTTCAAAACAGCAAAGCTTGACATTTTGGTCTCTGACAGGCAACACTTAATATTGGGATGTTTTAAAAATCTATATGAAAAAAGCTCTTAACACAAGATAGGCCGAACATTTTCCCCGCAAATGGTTTGTTTTAGCTATCTCTCTTCCTCCCTGATGGACCAGGAAAATCAGACAGCTTATTGGCTTAGTTTGTTAGGCCAGGTTAAAGGGATGCAATGCCGAAAGACTCTTACAGGAGCTTACCCTTGAGCTAAAAATAGCAGGCACTAGAGAATTATCTTAAATACGACCAAACTTGTTCGGTACTGTGAATGCAGATAACTGTAATACGTTTCCATTTTGGGTCATTTCAGAGCTTTTTTTTTTAGCTTGGCTTGCTGTAGCTGACTATTTAATTCATTTCTGATTCTATTTGTCACATTTGCTCTCAGAGATACCGCCCGGGGGTGCTTGACTCAAGAATCCTTCTTATTTTGCTGCGCTGCTTTTGTTAAAACCTAATGAGCCATTGAACTGCGGAGTGCAATGTAGACGGGACTTGTTAGAAGGCAAATTTATTTTCAAATGTTATTAAGAACCTACTATGTGTATCCTTTTTCTTGTCTTCCTCCTAAGAGGTGGGAAGTGCAGTTTGCTAAATTTTATAAATAAATAAGAGGGTATTTAACTTCTGACTTATTGAAGACTCACGAGTAAAAAAATCTAGCAACAATTATCAAATTTCCTCTCTTCTCACCCTTTTCACGGACATTTTTACTCCTCTATGTGTGTCTTCATGGTACTTCATTTCTGACTTTAATACAGAATGCATCCCCTTATTTTATAATTAGTTGCCGAAGTCTGTCTTTCTCACTAGCCAACCAACTCCTGAAGGGAAAATTCTGTGTCGTAGGCATTATGTACTTAATACATCTTTGTATTATGCGCACTTAAATTAGTGCCTAGCATGTAGTTGTTGCTTTTTAAAATAGTTGATAAATGGGTCAGTTTAAGAATGAATGAAATCAGTCTCTGCATTAGAGCATCCTGCATAGGAACATACTGAATTATAACATGACAGTCAGACTAAAATCCTGGACTGGGTAGACTGTCCCGTCTAAAAAAGATAACTCACCAGCTTTTGCTAAAATAGCAGTGATGTCCATATAGTCAATTGTACTACAGATACCAGAAAAGGGCAGGGAATTAAGGTGAAGGAGATCCTCTCTCTGCTATTTTTGCATCCTGGTTCCAATGATCACAGACTATAAATGAAAGTAAGGTCAGAATCATTCACAACTTCTGAAAGATCTGAATGCCTTGAGAAATTACCCATCATTCCCCAGCCCAGGATTTCTTTCTAGCCCCTAAGCTTGATTCTTCCAAAAATAAGGCAACTGCGATACAAGTATGGCACAGTAAACTTGTACAATCATGCACACTTTTCCACAAGAGGTAAACTGTTTTCATTACAATCGTAAACGAGGAAACTACAACAACAACAACGACAAAAACAGTTGCAAAAATTTTAAGTCTGAATCCATTGAGAGGGTCAAAACCAGCCAGGAAATACGGGCACAGTGCTGGGAACAGCGTGTTGGGAAGCTGTGGCCATGCATTTGCATGAGCTTCCTGGGAACAGCGGGTTCCTTGAACAGAGACACACTTACTTTCATGCTCTGGAACCCCGGTAAGGTACCTGTTCCTGAGCTCTTCATTGAGTGGCAGAGCCCTTTCCTCTTCTCGGGGAGAGAAGAGTAAATGCTCTATGTCTTCAGTAGACATATAGCAGCGCCTTTACCCGCCAATGCACATTCGCTTAACACAACCACATGTCTCCCAACTCCATATATCTTCATCTGAACAGCAAGTCTTGTAGCTGAGTTAGGGGGTAAGTTCACAGACACTCTGGCAGACACACAGCATACTGCTGTCACTATTGGCTCTGTTTATAAACCATCTCTTGGAGAACATGTTCTCAGATCTTGGATATGTCTTATTTTTAGCATGATTGGTCTGAATGGCTGGGAAGGTCATGTTATATTCTCTCTCTCTTTCTGAATTTGGTAGAGCCCCTGTAAATCTGTCCATTAACAAAAACTAGAGAGAGTTTTAATGTGCACAGCTTTGTGCTAGGGACTGAGGAGGTGATGAGGTCCCTCTTTCCCTCATGCAGTTTATAATGCACCTTGAGAGATTTAGCCAAAAAGCTATTACTTAGAAAGCTGAACCACAATTCGAAGGCCTTAACGAAAGAAAAAGATGCTCTTTTGCACATGTGACAACAAAAATTCACTTTGTGCCAAAGACGGCCACAAATACTTTCCTAAATTTCGGGACTTAATAGTTTATCCCATGCCTGGTAAAGGCTTAATGTAAACACAGACCAAAACAACCAGTCTTTAAAATAGCATATTGTGACAATACCGTTTATGGAAATGGTGTCTATGGAAAGTTTCCTTTCAGTTCTCATTCCTTAAGACTCATTTCCAATGGCACTCAAAGGAAGACAGATTTAATTTCTGATAACTCCCAACTGCACACCTTATTTTATCCCTGCTTCTGCACTTAATTTGCATGGATACTCTCCTTTCCACTGCTTGGTTTCATGGAGGGTGCAGAGATGGCAGGGCAGCCAGCCTTGCACACAGCCTGGAATCAGCTTGTATGTCACTGGATGAAAGGTCAGGTGAAAAGGCTCACCACTGGCACCATTAATCTAGTCACTCAGGGACCATCCAGTGGTTCAAGAATAGCTTGCAGGTGAGTGATGGACAGGGTCATGGCTGCCTGGCTGTATCAGGGGCTATTACGACAGCCATAAAGAGAAAGGAAAAAATTGAACAAGGGGAAGAATTACTCCTGAAAGAGACATGAGGAAAGACACAGATGTCTTCGTACAAAGGATAAGCATGAGAGAAAGTAGCAGGGGAGCTGGACTGCTCACAGTGGTCGAGGAGGGCAGCATTCTTTGAAACTGCCAAAGTTTGAATATTAATGAAGGGTTGTGGCCCGACCAAGGCTCTGGGTCCGTATAGAGAATCTTGAGCTGTGCATTCTCAGGTGAAAGGTGCCAGAATCAGTCAAGAGAGTTTGGATAGAGAAGATACAGCTACAGCATTCCCTAGGTTTTTAGACAGAAATTAGATTTAGGAAGCCCAGTCCTGTACATTATCTGAAATTCTTTATCCAAAGGCAAGTAGCAGATCTTAATGACTGTTTTGAAAGCTCTAAGGTTGTTCATTTATTTATAAGAGTCTCCAAAGGAAAATGGCACGGCGGGGTGGGCGGGGGGGCAGTTAGTCTCTGTAGTGATATTACGATTTCGTATGCTCCAGATGAATATTTACAAGTGAGTTGTGCATTGCTGGGGTGGTGGCTTATTTGAGGACTGGGTAGGATAAATACGGAAAGCCATGAAGGAGAAAAGTATAGGCGATTTCATTCTAAAGTAATGTGGGAAATTGCTTACTTAACGATAACTCTACTGAGCTATATTTGTCTTGACCAACGTCCCTGTAGCCAAAAAGCTTTACTATTGATAAGGAAAAAGAATCCAGTGGTCTCTTTATTCAAGAAAATTTCAATAGCTGTATTTTTAAGGGAAGATGTAATCTAACAGATTATAAAATGAAGTTCGGTATTTCATGGAGCATTTTCTTCTTTATTATCAAAGTCTACACAGGAAACACTTACAGGATAATATATAAACTCCATTAAAATCTGTTAGATCTAAAACTACGTGTTTGTGTTTGTATATATGCCTCACCTATTTCCTCACATGATCAGGCTTTAATCCACATAGGCACTGGTGCAGATAAATCAAAGAACTTAACTTGCTTAAGCACCAAACTTTTTATTAAAACTTTTTTATGGAAAGATTTCCGAATCACGTATTTACATATTTTCCCCACTTTAAAAATTATGAGGATTGATTTTGGTAGCACTGTCTGGTATTGCAAAATGACTGTATGGACCTATTGAGAAATATAGGATTATTTTCCCTCAAACTAAAAGGCCCCAGACTGTCATATTTTCAGGGTTTGTCAACTTTCTGTAGTTTGTAGTCTTGTCTCTTTTGGTCAGTTGTCACTGCTCACCATTATCTTTTTACTGTCACCATTTCATGAATTTTCTAAACCATTTCTTCAAATGTCATATGTGCTCATAGAACATCACATATTGAATAGAACATTAGACAACCGGATTCATTTAAATCATAAGTAAAGCAAAAGGAAGCAAGCGTTAAGTGAGGGGTGAAGAAGTGTATCTGGGAATAAAATGTGCTCCATCTGAGGGAATTTTTCTGAATCTAGTTTGGCTTCTCAGAGACATTTTAAAAACAGTGTACTTCTCACCTATGTTTCAGACAATTAATAATCCTAAATTTTTAATGGCTACAGAAATTAGGTTTTCCAGTATGAATTATAAAAATAACCATAAAAATGCGTACTATCTATGGAACATACATCTTCTCTTTCAACTATAAAAGATGTAGCTGGAAATAAAAATAAACCAGCAACTAAAGGAAAAAAGTGGTATCCGTGTTTTTTTTTTTTTTTCTTTTCTATACCACAAAAGCAGCAGGGAGGTCACACAGTCCTATTGGAGGGTATCATCCCTTATGCTGAATCACAGAAGAAACACATTTGCCATTGAAAGACAAATTAAACAGGGCATGGCTTGCACTATGTGGGTCCCCAGACTTAGTTATCTGCCAAGACCAGGCAACATTTTGTAACCTCCAAATGTATCGAAACACAGAACATTTGTTGGCTCTTTGTGAACAGAATGTCTTTGTCAAAATTTTCAGTTTGAACAAATGTTGCAAAGTGGTCCAGACTAGATTTGTCCCAGGAGAAACTGACACAAAGTCCTTCAGGACAGGGGCAGCCACCTCAGCTACATTGCTGGGATTGCCGGTGATAGGATTAAAGGAGCTAGACAGTGGCATTGTGACCTAATGTAACTCTCAAATCTGTTGCACGCAGAGCCCTGGAATTGGGGACCAGCAAGGAAAAGAAGTCACTTATCCTATATGGCATTGCTGTGTTCAAACTTTCAGGCATTTGCCCAGACTCTTCTCCAGTGGGAATAGGAGGTGAACCTGCCTATCAGACAGCATTGCCTAAATGAAAAATGCATGCTGAGATATGCAGCTCAGAGGAGAGAGCAGGGTGTCCCCGCTAAGTATGGGCTGGCAAGACACAAGAGGATTCTGACATGGGAACATATCTGGAGAGAATCTGGGTTGGCAAGGATCCCTGGACACCCAGGAGAACTATGTCTGGAATACAGAAGCTCTAACTTCACATCTGAGCAAATGAGATGGCACCCAGGGAAGCTAATGTCCTTAAGCCAAGAGCCCATGGAAAAACCAAGGGCAGTGCTATAATAGAGGCACTTTTCCCCTATACAAGAGCCGTTTCAAAGCAGAAATAAATTTCTCAGAAAGAACTGTGGAGAAGAGGATTTAAGCTCGAGTATTATAGGAATCTGAAAGAGACCTAATTGAGTAAGGCTTGGTAGGGATGTAATGCCTGGTACCTCCAGAGGGAAGAGGAAAGGGATCGGTAGCATTCTTCCTGCACATGCCTCTCCCAAGGGTGCAGGATAGCCCCTGAATAGCATTACCCCATGAAGCAAGGAGCTATCACTTAGAGATGATGGATCCAAGAGAGAGAGAGAAAAGCCACATACACCAAGTGTCTCAAACAGGCAAAAAGCGTGTCAGTCCTTCCAGCTGGACTGAAATACCATTCTCAAATAGAAAGGTCAACAGACCTAAAATGGTACCAAACAGTTCTCATCCATAGAAGCCCCACCAAGGGCACAGCACTCTGGTCAGGTCAGACTTGCACACTGGTTAAAGAACTCTCCACTGACGGTCTTGCTCTCTTCCCTTGGTTGGCTTCCTCTTGTTTTCCCTCCACACTCCCTGGCCACCCAGCACTTCCAATGAGCAAACTGTTATTTTAATATACTGTGTGTAGGACATCATAAATTTCAGGTCTTCCAACCTCAAATATTCTGTCCCACTGCCCTGCATTTGTTGGGGCAGTGGGACAGATCTTGGTTTGGAATAGAATATTCCTCTAGCTAGGAGAAATGCTCTCCAGCAGAATTCCATTTCAAGGTGAAGGCATTTCTAAAGACAATAAGTAGGAGAAGGGCAGAATTTATCTGCTAGTGATAACTGGGTAACAGACAGATGGAGAAATTCCCTGCTCTACTTCCTCAAACAGACAGCTTATCTTATTTGTAAAAGGCCTGTCTTCATCACTAACCAAAATTTTCATGGAGCCAGAGACTAGGTTTACTTTTAACCACTGTATCCCCCTAAAATGGCCAGACACTAAGCATGCTAATGGATGACAATTATATTTTGATGAATGGGTAAGTAAATAAGTGAGAGATGAACTTTTAAAATCCACAGGCAAGAAGAAATGTGACGATGTTGCAAAAGTTGGAAACTGAGAGCTTTAGCCAGTGAATTGGTTCTTGTCTAAGAAAATGTGGGCCGGGTGCAGTGGCTCACACCTGTAATCCCGCACTTCGGGAGGCCGAGGTGGGCGGATCACGAGGTCAGGAGATAGAGACCATCCTGGCTAACACGGTGAAACCCCGTCTCTACTAAAAATACAAAAAAAAAATTAGCCAGTCATGGTGGCAGGCACCTGTAGTCCCAGCTACTCACTCAGGAGGCTGAGGCAGAAGAATGGCATGAACCCAGGAGGCAGAGCTTGCAGTGAGCCAAGATTGTGCCTCTGCACTCCAGCCGGGGCGACAGAGCGAGACTCCGTCTCAAAAATAAAAAATAAAAAATAAAAAATAAAGAAAAAAATGTGACCAGCCATATCCCAAGTGATATGGGATGAAAAGAAAAGTGTTGGTAATAATCCCCTGTAATATTGCATAGTGCTTTAGAGAAACTGAAGTACTATCTCAAGGTGTTGAAGTTAGCAGCTTAAGCGGGTAATACAGATTGCAATGCCTTTTTGTCTTCAGGCCATTGGAAGAAAGATGAGGAAGGTTGAACACATCTAAGAATTTCTCAAAAGTGAAAACAGACTTGCATCAGTTTCTACCATGCCTCTGGTGCAGAAATATCAGCCACTGTGGAAACTGGTCTCTGAGTTTCTCCGTAGCTACCGGCAAGCACATTTCATTCATCCTTTATCTTTTTAGTAAGGTGCAAATTTGGTTCAATAATTTTTTTCTGCATCTCTTTAGATGATTCTCTATCTCAACTAAGTTTGAATAAAATGTCCAGCTTTCATTATTTCCTAATGCTCTAGTAATACATTAAGAGTTAACTGGGGTGAAAAGGCAACAAGAAAGCTTGCCAGAGTATAGTTAGAGAATTTCATGACAATTAGCACTGATTTGCACTACAAGAATAGAAAGAAAAAAAAAGAAGTTTTAAAGGGGAAAAAAAGCTACTCACACATACACAACCCAAAAAGAGCCTCCAAGTACTAGCTGAAAATGATACCGTTAGATGACAGCAGAAACACACCAGATTAGCCAATTAGCATTCACCCGAGAAAAGCTAGTGCTTTGGAGGGAGGGGAGAAAAGGAACCCATCAACAGTAATATCAACTTTACAATAGCCTTGACTGGTTATCTACCCAAAGGAAATGCTACCTCCTCACTTTTCTGTGAACCTCTCAACAATTCTGGGGGAAAAAATGTTAGTTCAACATTATCGCAAGCCAGAATATGACTCTATTTATGTGACAGGTTGACAACATACAATTTCATGCTTGTTGAACTGATCGGTGTTACATATTCACTGTGAATATTATGAAGCTTCACCATTATAAATATGAAACAGTATACACTTATTCAAAGTAACTCCAGAAGTGGCAATTTATAGCTTGGTTGTTTGTGTTCTGATGAAGTCCAAATGCCACCTTAAGAAGCTGCAGCTCGCAGAAACAGATGTGCAGTGTGACTGCGACCAAAATGGATTGACGATGACCTATGTGAAAGCAGGCTATTACATTTTGGTCTGCATGGCAGCTGACACTGGTTTGTATTTAGATATGTGACTCTTGGGAACACTGTGTCCTTAAAGCTCTGTTTAAACATGGGCCAAGACATTTGTCTATTGGACTAATTATTTTACCACCCTTCTATGGCAAAGATCACTTTTTTCCCCCTAAAAAAAAAAAAAGGATATGAGAGAGTGTATATGCACATACACAGGCACACACTCTCACTACGCTTTGTAAAATTACAGCAAGGACTTTAAACCTTGGTCATGTCAGGTGAATGTTGGCAAGATTTCCAGAATGTCTGCATAGCAGGATTGTACCACTTTCTTGATCAGGTGCCTGAGAACAGGACAAGACCACAAACCATCAAATCATAAGCTGTCACAGCAACTGCTTTTGGTCAAGTTTTTTCCTCCTCTTCCCTACCTCCTCCCTTTCTTTCTCTTAGCAAGCTTCAACCAATTTACAAGTGTTCGCTTCCACAAGGACAAATTTGGAAGAGTGAAGAACAACACAATTTATCCAAATGTGGGATGAAATGAAGGAACCAGGCACCTTGCTAAAGCTAGATATCAAAAATTTGCATAAGTAGTTTTGCAACCACAGAGGTGCTATTTGGAACAAAATAAATTGCTTGTATTGTATGCAAGGGTACAAACCTTGACCAACTTTGCGGTGTCTTCCCTGCTTGTACATTTCTTAAGCACATCCAGATATTCCTACTAAGAAGTTCAAGTTAGTATCCCTCAATAGGGAGACCTAAAAAGATAATTGTTTGTGGACTTAGAAGTCCTCAACATCTTTATTTGAGAATTAAGAAACATCAGTCCAAAATATTTGAAATATAGAATTAGTTCTCCAGGATGTTCTTGTAATTCTTTTGTTTCTTTTTTGTTTATTTGCTTAATATTAGGTCATATCCCTAGCTCTTTTTTTGAGATCCAGCACAGAAGTCAGTGACTGGAATCCTGGCTCTCTTCTGAAACATTTGAATTACAGTGTTTTGGAATTTCCTATTCTAACAAAGTTTGTTATCCAAACCTGTATCTCTTTCTACTTTTCCTGTTGGGCTAAAGTGAAGGTGTTGTCGGTCTGTCTAGTAAATCCAACCTACGAGATAACATAATCACATACATTCATTTCTCAGGGACCTTGGCGGCTCTTATCTCCTTGCTTTTATGATCTCTTATGAACAGCCCGGAATAGCAATTTGCAGCCTGTTTGTAAAGCCATCTTAGTCTGAACCCAGCCTTCTTCTCTTTTATCACCCAGCGATATTCTTCAGCTAAATCCCATTCGCCACAGCAAAATTTGCTCTGAGATCCATTTTAGAATAATATAAGTATTCTCTGTGTGTATGGAACATATCAAACACGTAATGGAGGGTAATTATCATTTCAATGAACTATTTATTAATAGAAGATGTTTTGTGTGCTTTGCTTAGATTTATTGCTATGCTGCCCACTGTACATTGTAGCTTGAAGCTATTTAGTTCACGTTCATCAGCCTCTCAGGCAAGCAGCTCTGCTGTTCACACAGTTTTGGTTTTTCTATGTGCTTTTTTCAACTTTATTTTACCATTATATCACCTAGAACATTAAACACAATGCTCAAGTTCCACGTGTTAAATCACAATTGCTTTCTACTAAAGTTCCAAGCTACCCATTTTTATTAACAGTTACTTTATTAAATCCTTAATAACACAGATAGCATAGTTAGTTAATTTGTGTGTTGAGCCATGGATGTTAATTTGTAAACATAATAACATACTGCAATCATTTGCATAATAGCATTTTAATCTTTTTAGTAAAAGCTGTAATTCCCTACAAAGTACACTGCAGTAGAAACTAAGTGACTATTGGTAATAATACAAAAGGCCTTAAAATTCTGATCCTATTATAGTGCTGGAGCATACCCAAACTGCTTCCATAATCTCTGAAATGTTACTGTTCTCTGATTTAGGTGTCTGTGTCAAGAATAAAAATGAAGTATAACTGGTAGCAGTAGACTATTTCCTAAATGTAATTTAGTATTCACTAAGCACCAGCATTTTGCAAATAGCTCTGAGGCTTTCCTTCAAAGTTCAGAGCTCCAGCTATGCATATTGTGTGAGGAGGACCCTGGAACTCACTCTCAACTCTGTGCTGAAGAGAGGGCTCTGATAAATCATGCTGATTTGGCGCAGGGAAGGGCATCGGCCACCAGGGATTTGACTACTGAGTCTCCTTCCTCCTCTCTGCCCTACCAGCCTGATTGCTCCTCCTTGAACTGACGGTTTCTGAGCAGAAGTTCAGAAAAGAATGAAAAAGTGCAGTGAAGCTTTAAAAAAGCTAGTTTAAAAAAACTCAATGGGGGCTCACTCCCTCTACAGCCCATTAACACCCATTGTAAGACTGCTCCCCACCCTAACCCCCAAAAAAAGAAAAGGAGAAAGAAAAAAAAAAGTAGTTGTTTAAGTCAGGCCAAGTCATTTTATGCAAGATCTGGTAATTCATTAATCCATCTGGCTGCAAACCTTGAATGAATAACTTGCAGTAGTAATGGAGATGGGCAGGTCTACAAAATATTAGTGTTTAGAATCTGAAACTGTGCAAATCACTCCATCATTTTGGAAAAGAAAAGGCACAAAAGTATCTTCTATCATCACTTTGGGACAAATGGCTTAATGGATAAGAAGTCATTTAGCTTCAAACAACTCTGCCATTGCCAAGAATAAGAGTGTGTATTTCATTGTGGATCTCTCTCCCCTTTTCCCTGCTCTCATTCTAGCTACAGTAAAGCATAGGATGCTGCCTTGCTTTCAAACGTACCTCTGAGCGCACAGTCTTAAAAGTTAAAAGGAGGCCGGGTGCAGTGGCTCACGCCTGTAATCCCAGCATTTTGGGAGGCCGAGGCAGGCGAATCACGAGGTCAGGAGATTGAGACCATCCTGGCTAACACGGGGAAACCCCGTCTCTACTAAAAATACAAAAAAAAAAAAAAAAAAAAAAAAAAAATTAGTTGGGCGTTGTAGCAGTCGCCTGTAGTCCCAGCTACTAGGGAGGCTGAGGCAGGAGAATGGCGTGAACCCAGGAGGGGGAGGTTGCAGTGAGCTGAGATCTTGCCATTGCACTCCAGCCTGGGCGACAGAGCGAGACTCCATCTCAAAAAAAAAAAAAAAAAAAAAAAAAAAGTTAAAAGGAACCTGAGAGGTTAAGAAGAAGAAAAAAAAATGGCCCTTACTGAAATTGTTTTACATCACAGGCAATTCATTTTATAAAACCCACAATAAAATTTTTCATTACTCAAAGAATAGGCACATAATTATAGGGACAAATTAACCTTGTTAGATGTGAAGTCTGGGATAGGGAATGGTGGAGGAACAATTTGGCTCTCTGCTTTAACAATGTGGTCTTTAATGTTCAGCTTTTTATCTGCTTTGTGTGTTGATTCCATCCAGAGGTGAGTCATCTGCTGGGCTGTGCTTCCAGGACCTGGCGTAGAGATAGTGGGGCATGGACAAATAAACACAGCAAGTGTATAAGGTCTCCACACAGACACATGGTTGCTATACAAATAGACAGTTTGTCCAATGCAGCACCCTGAACCTTGTGATTACTTTCACCTACACTATTATCTTTGAAGTAAATCTAAGAAGCAATGAGCCACTTTTTCCTGATTCTGCTCCAAGATTTCCTCCTTGTGAATTTGGGTCTCCACTATTTTGGCCCCAAAGATATCCAGGCAGAGTAACTTTGATGAGCCAGTTGAGACTCCGGGAGGTTGGAAAAACCTACAATAAGCCCATAAAATGTCCCAGTTTACTTTCTGGAGTGCCTAGAGTATCTGACATGAAATCATTGGTTTCTCCTATCCCAAAATACAAAATAGCACTTTCTGAAATCCTTGTGCCTAATGAAACATACACATTCTCACTTTGCAAACTGCAAATGGCTAAGAACCGAATCAACGTCCATAAAAAAAAAAAAAAAAAGCAGCCAATTTCATCTCTCCTAGCCACACCTTCCATTAACAAAAGCCACCAGCAGGAAAGTTAGTGCCAGTGAAAGATGGTCACGTAACCTGCATCCTGTGAGTTGCTATTTATTAGCAGGGGTTGATACCAAGAGACAGAGCCCTGTGGGTCAGAACTCCTGAGCCATATTTTTCCAGTGGTCAGCATAATGGCAGGGAAGAAATAGGGTGATAAACCAGATGTTCCCAAGATAAGCCAGATGTTATCAAGCCGAGAAGTCTAAAACCACAGTGCTTAAATGAGGTGTGTAGATGAACACACACACACACAAACGAACAACACTATTTAGTCTCCCTGCAAGATAAGCCGACAGGAGAGGCTGAAAATAAAGCAGCACACAGGCTGGGTCAGATTGTTGCTTCCTGATTTATGACTCTCCAAGATGAACATCTAACTGATTTATACCCAGAATTTGGAATTTTGTGGTAGACTACAAATGCAAAGATAAGTACAACATAAATTTTTAAAATACTCCATAAGTCTCCATGAGTTTCAACATTCTTCAATGTTCTTATGTTACAGCCAATTATCTCTCCACTTAAATGGCTATTATTTTCTTACTTGAAGTCTATGTTCTCTGTAAGTGTCATTACCAAGTGTGGCAAAAATCTGGCTGTGGGCCGTAAATTTAATTTAAATGACAAACATTTATTGATTGCAAATTGGAAATCCCAGAAATCTTATAAAAGTGATTATTGTAAATTAATTCAGTCCTCCCACATAACAAAAAAGAATTTATTCTTCCAATGATTAAATTAAGGTGAGGTTGTATATACATGCATTCTTTTTTTCTTGTCTATTTGTTTTGTTAAAATTCCAGGAGGTTTGCCATTCATAGAAAAGTCTGTCTGACCACAGGCACAGTCAGAAGCAGGAATTCATTACCATGGAAGGCTGCAGGATTTCCTCCAAGGAGACAAGTGAAAAAAAGCAGACACCACGTAAATTTGTGGATTGGGTTAAATATGTTCTGTCCCTGAGGCAGTGGAAAGATAGAGGGCCCCTTTGTAAAATGACTCACGAGTCTAGGAAAGTACTTCAGCTCCTAAAGGTGAGCAGAAACTTAACCAGGAACGATATCCACGAGGTTCTGCTTCTCTTTGGAATATCTTTGAGTTAGCATTCCTTACCACCTCTCTCTCTATCCGAACTCAGAGTTATCAGGGCTGATGGAATTTTCCTTCAAGGTACTTTGAATCTGTTCCCTGAATGCCACCCCCTCTGCTATCACCTTGTCCCTTCCCTGTACCTGTATCACATTGGGTTTGGAATGCAGCACTGCCTGCTGTCTGATTTTCCGTATTTCCTACTTGCCTACACCTCTTACGACTGTCAGCATTATCACTCTTAAATACCACCTCCATTATGTTGATCTGCTAAAAAATCTTCAATGACATCCTACTTTCTAAACAGACTCTAAACATTTCCAACTGGGTTCTCATGACCCACCGTAATTTTGTACCTACCTTACATCCAAACTTACTCCCACTACTGCCACGTTCCCATTAATATGTATTTTACTTTGAGTAAACCAAGCTCACCTCCACATCCCGTCTATGAAAACGCTCTGCTCTTCTCTTACAAGGCTTTGTGAATTTATTCTTGCTGTTTATCTCCTCAGCTAGAAATACACATACATACACACACATATATATGCATGCATATATGCATACACGAGCTCGCAATGTTTGCAAATTGCAAATATATATATAATCCTATGTAGGTACATACACATATATACATATACATGAATATACAGTCTTGTATTGTTTTCGAATTGCTAAGAACTAAAAACATATGCATATACTTGTATATTTGTATACACAGCCTTGCATGGTTTCCTAATTGTTTTACATTTGTTCATTTTGCCTCCCAAACTAGATTTAAAGTCCTTTAGGACACAGGCCTTCTTTTGTGCTTTGTATATAATCTTCACATTACCTAACGCAGTTCATTCTATCAATAAACACATGAAGATCAACTCACTCATTATGCAACAAGTATTTGTTGAGTTCTTACTTTCTGCTATTTTCTGAGAAAATATCTAGAAAAATGTCAGTGAACAAGACAGGCAGATTCCCTACTCCTCAAATGCTCATGGTCTGTTGAACTGCCAATATTTGTTATTTTTAACTTTTTGATAGGTACATAATATATGTCCATTTTTGCAAAATTTAGAATATAACTGAAAGCCAAATGAAGAAAAGTAAAGTATCTATATTCCCACTAGAATAACCAAGTAGCCTTGAAAGCGTCCACATTCATTTCCTTGATTGCATATAGCAGGATAATTTACACACAAATACAAAACCACCACTCACCCTTTTCTGCTACAAAGTTCACAGTTTCAGGCTTCCTGAGAGTTCCAGCAATGACCAAACATGAACGCTGGCTACAGCTGTGAGAGTCCTTCTCCCCCCATCAGCAAAGGCAGTCCTCAGAACGTATTACAAGTAATGACCTAGAGACGACTGCATTCTCACTTGCCATCATTCTAACGAACCCCAAGTAGCTTCATTCAGAAGTAACAGACGAATGAATGAAAGATGCCCATTCAGTTGTATCATGGAGGCATTAAAGCAGGTGTTAAAATAAACCAGGGACAAGGTTGCCCACAGTGACCCAGAAAGGCCAATATGCTATTTAAACTAACCCCATGCCATCCATCTTTACAGACTGCTGTGCTGCAAAAGTAGTCCTTTATTCTCCTCCTTCAAACAATGCACAAAGGCAACAGAGGGAAGGAAGTTATGTTGCAATATTCTGAAACATAAATCTTGCTACCAGCCGGTCCAGGGACGCATCCTGTTTTCCTTACACATGGATCAGATTCACTGGAGGCTGTTACCTCTGAGCCTTTTGCTTTGTTTTTTAAAGTGGCTTCTGAATCGTACCTGGTCACCTGCATTTACACATCCAAACACAGGTTGCGTAAGCAGAGAACATTGTTTGCGTGTCCAGTTACTCAACCAACATGTGCTATTGCATGTTGCTACCCCTCTGCCACCACCCAGAATTCCCTTTCTCAAATTGTGACATTCAGCTTCATTTTTTATCATTATTAAGTTTGTGATGTTAAATAAAAATTAAACTTAGATTCAAACATATGGAAGAAACAAAAAGAAGAGATACATAATTTACTCTCAACATTTTAAGACTCTGCCACTCTATTATATATCCCTAAATCCCACTTTCTGCTTTGATGAGAATTCAGTCGATGGCCAGTTTCCAGTGGTGTCATTGACGTGCTACTTGAGTCAGGGAAAAGCATTTAACTACTCAGTGCCTGATTTTATTCTGGGAATCCAAAGTAGATAATGCTTGTTATTGTCAGATCAGAGACAGCAGAGCCCGTGACTGTTTAACTTACTCAAGTACAAGGCCTTCTCAAATGTGATGAGGCAGGGCTTTGCAAATTGGAAGAAGGTGAGTGCAGGTGAAAAGTCCACTGTGAGTGGCCGGCCCTGGGAAGGCACTTCCCTGAAATGCTGCTTTGGTAGAAGCAACACAAACCTGTGGCCATGAAAGAGTTATCTGGTTTCATACGAACCTTCTTCACAGGGAAGACCCAATTTTAGAATGTCACCTGTGCTGAAAACACGCTTTCCTTTCACATTACAGAAAAGATGCCTGAGTTTAACACTAGAGGGCAAAGAGTGGAGGTGTCCTCATGCCATGCAAATACTCCTGAAGCTGCTGCTGTTGGTAAGGGCATTGCCACATATGACTTTACCCTTTGCCTCGATAAAGAATGGGCTTTGTGACATCAGAGAAAACTGTTATGGGAACTTACCTAAACAGTCACTTTTGCCCTCTGACACTAAGAGGATACCTGACATATTAGTCCTGGAGCCCCAGGCATCCCGATATCGTTATACGACTTCTCATTCTTTATATCCAGTAGCTTACTATGTCTTCTCTCAGAAATCTGACCAATTAATCATTAGTAATTTATAAAGGGGAAGCCTGTGACTTTATTTAAAAGCAGGGTTTTTCAACCTCAGTGCTTTTTTCATTGGAGGCTGAATCATTTTTTGTGGTGGGAGCTGTCCTGTAGGCTGTTGGATGTTTAGCAGCATTCCTTGTCTCTAGTCTCTACTCAATAAATGCTCGTAGCATCCCCTTGTCCCCAGGGATAACAACCAAACATGCCTCCAGATATTGTCAAATGTCCCGTGAATTGGGGTGTGGGGCGGGGACCAAAATCGCCTTTGGTTGAGAATCATTGGTTTAAAATGACCTAATGAGAGACTAAATTAAATGAACTTCTGTTTTAGAGTGCTGAAAATAATTTTATTAGCATAGAATATGATACAGGGAGACAAAAAGGGTGGCATGGCATATATTAAGCACCTACATGTAGATAATTAACTAGATGCTGAACCAAGTCTCCTGAAGGTATAAATGCAAAGTACCTCTCACAAATACCACAACACAAAATATAGGGACATAAAAGTTATGGAGAAAGTTGTATTTTTTTTAAAGTAGCCCACCAGAGAGGCATTGACTCCTATGCCATCTCCCCTACCGCTAAGTTATTCTCTAGCCTCTACAAAATGCATGGCATTCACCTGATATGAAATAGGTGATTTTTAGATAAGAGGTCTATGGAGATGGACATTTTTTAAAGCATTGTTTATTTAATGCAGCATGACTTAGAATGGGCCTGTAACTTGACAAGTGTACTGAGTGAGGAATGTTCAATTTACCAGTTCTAACTGGCCAAGTCCTCACATGAACTTTCTAAGACCCGGCTGAGAAGCCTGGGAAAGTAGAACTAACCACAACCTTCAGTGTTCCCTCCACCTTGTTCTGTCTCCCCAGTCCAAACTCTACTACCTTAAGCATTCTTCTAAAACCCACTTAATCTCCAGAGGTATTACAAAATCTCAGCCATAGGCAGAACCTACAGCCGTCTCGGCTCACCAGCTAACTCTACCTCCGTGCCAACCAACACTGAAAGGAAAGATTCTGTTCTATTTTTAAATATATTGAGCAAAGAAGCAGCTTGATATGTCTTTGTAAAGGATGGCTGTCACCCAAATTCATGGGTTCTCTATTTTTATCAAGGATATAAACTTTGAAGTCCGATAAATTTGGGGTTCAAATCCCAGGTCTTTATTGTCAACTGTGTGATTTGGGGAAAACAAATAACCTCTCTGAGTTTCAGTGTCTGCATATGTAAAACAGGAATGATAACAATAGGACCTAACAATAGGTTGTTTTCAAGGATAAGTGAGATGACATATATTAAGCATGAGTATACCAAAATGTTGGCCATTATTGTCATTACTATTATTGTTATCAACATTAATATATTCATCATTCTCTCATGATTTAACAAACATTTATTCAGCATGTATTATATGCTGGGTTCCAGCAAAACTCAGTTAATATTTTAAACTTGGCTTTCTTAAGACTCAGATTTCAACCAAATAACATGGAAGTATAAGAAATGTCTTTGCTGATGAATAAGAAAAGTCCAGCACATAGTAGGTGCTCAGAAAACATTAGATGATGATGATGATGGCACTGGCGGTTGTGATAAAGAAAACTAGCCGATATGTCATCCTTCGTTTAATTCACTTGCCAGAGTACTCACTAAATGTTTGTTCCTATAAAAAATAATGTATTTCAAGTAAATGAGTACTGATCTTGTGGGAAAGAATTCCTTTTCTCAAAGTAACACTTTAATAGGAATAGATTAACATTCTTTATTATAGGGTAGGCTTATAATAAGAGTCCGGAGTCACGGAGGTAATTCTTGCTACTGAAAAGTAAATGAATTTTGACTGATTTATAAGTATACAGTAGATTAGTCAAGTTTAGCAATTCCCATTATATAAAGAAATTAGAGATATGAACCAAAAATATAATTAATAATAATAATCAAAAGAGCTCACCTAATTAGTAAAGCAAACAAAGGTAGACATCTACCCCCTTGGTTAAAAAGAAAGGCCTTCTTATTTATTAATTTATATGAGGTACCATTTATTGCTCATTCTTTCTGTGGGAAATAGACAGGAATAAACAGGTTTAGACTTTTGTTCTTCTTTGTCACTAATCTTTCACAACCCTTTAGTATTTCAACACAGTTTAACTCACTCACAGTTGTTGATTCCTAGTCCCTAGTTGATTTATTTTTTAAATCTTTAAAAAAATAAAAACAAAACATTTGTTTTCCAAATGCTGTTTTTCCATAAATTAGAAAGTATGTAACTGTGATGAAAAGTCTTTTGATGATAGCAAAGTAAGAACTCATTATGCATTCAGGTCTATTACCATGTTAGTCGGGCCCAAGCCAAACTCAATGAAAAATTAATGTTTCCAAAGGATGTCCTTACCTCAAATATGTTTGAAGGCTCATTGTTGTACTGATTGGATATTATTTCTGATTGGTCACTGCACCACTTGAGTCCACCCAGAAAGCTGTCTGTATCCAAGTCGTTCACATCTAGTTCAGAAAGATCAAGTTCAGGAAGATCTGGGCAAAGAGGCTGGTCTTCACCAACCAGAGCAGCACACTGCAGGAGGCAGAAAAAAAAAATTTAAAAAAGCTTCCATTAACCACAGGAATTTATTAAACTGCAATAGCATGTGATAGGAATTAAGCCTAGTTAATTCAACTACACTACCAAAGCTAGTTTCTGGCACTTTAATCACCAGGAAAAACATCCTAAAATCTTTACTCACTTGGCTCCTGAAGGATAATTTCCCTGCTTTATTCCATCCAAAAGCTACCTCCAAACACATGGTAAATACCAAGCTCCACGAAGCTTTCTCTGATTCTTCCAGTTAGAAATCAACTAGATATTTTTGGACCTCTTTGTACAAAATCCTTGATACCTGTTTGATAGTTACTGCTTCCAAAGTTTTAAACTGTCTTATAGTTAACCATAATACAAACTTGATTTTACCTTGGAAATTTTATCACACATAATAGACACTCAATAAACTATTGCTAAATGGAAAAAGAACAGAGGAACTACACTAGGAAAAATTTTCTCCATTTACACTCCTTTTAAGCATTATAATCCAAATAATTCATTTAGCAACTAATGATGCAAAGCCCTTTGACTCATCTGTGGTTCTCCTGAATTGTTATTTAAATCATTTACTCTTATTTGACTCTTCATGACTTTCTGGACTTCATCCTTAAAGGCAAAAGCAAGTTCCTTAAGATGAAGGACAAAAATCATAATTTTTTTTCTATACGGCTTTTGTATGTAACTTGCAAGATGTGTGTGTGTGTGTGTATGTGTTTGCACACGTATGTGTGTGTACGGTTGGAATCACCTAGTACCTGGAAAAGAAAACTCACAATAGCATACCATCACTATATTTTGTTCATTATTTATGTATATCTAAACTGTGCTCTACGTGAATTCAAAATAACTATTTTTGTTTAGAGTTTTAAAATAATTTCTACATATTGAGAGGTTTAAAATATCTCTACCATGGCTGGGCTGCTTATCACCAAGATTATTTTAGATTGTCAAAGCATTTCATCCCCTTACATGAAATAGACAGTCTTTTTAACTGTTTTACCATGCGGCTTTTGGAGGCAAGTGGACTCCCCTTACCAATGAGGTGGTCTCCTAAACTTGAATTGGCTACCTAACCGCTAATGTCAGTCCGCAGACAGTAAAGAACACTGCAGGAACTCCTATTGCAGGGGTCTGGCATTGCCAGAACAGTAAGGACTTCATCCACCTGTAAGTGGGGGTGTCTAAATCAGGAGGCACACACTGACGCAGCACCCTCATGGCCCTGCCTTCCAAGGTCAGGAGAGATGCTGTGGAATTGTTCACATCCAGGCTGCAGTTAGGCATAAAATGAAAGATGCTCCTTGACATTTACATTTTGAATGAAATAAGTTTTATGCAGATTTTCTTTCTCAAGCACCCCTGTTATCCCTGGCAGGGATTCCTAGCAGGCCACATTACACAGGTCATATGCAGCAGCGTGATCAAAAGCAACACGCTGAGAAGTAAGTACTGGGTAATGGAGTCAGCAGTTGGTAAGGGGAGGATGGGGGGAGACTGAAAATCATTGCCATCCTTCTCTAAGACCATTGGACCCCAGTGAGATCCCTGGCAGCAGGGACAAGGGAATGCAAAGAAAGGGCCCTCCTCACCATCAAAACTCTTTCCTTATCATTTTATTGGTCTTTCCTTTTATTATCTGAGTTAGCCCAAAATTACAGATCAGTATACTTGACAAGGCATATAAGTAACTGGAGGCTGGGCTGAAGAGATCTCGTTCTGGTACAATGCTCATATTTGGTTGTGGATGTAACACTGCCCAGACTCCATTCTTGCCCACACAGCTGATCCTCCAAGCCCAAACACACTATCTTAACTTTTCCTCAATGTCACCAATTCAGAGATGGGGGAGAACTTTTTCAACGGTGCAAGATACACTAGGATTTTATAGGGGCATAGTCTTTAAAAAAAAAAAAAAAAAACATGAACAACAAAAATAGCAACACAAAAGTAAAAATAATCAAGAAAATGTAGGCTGTCTACATATGGCTTAAGTTCCTGTTGTGAAACTTAGGAACCAACCATGTTTTGGAATGCTAAAGTAGCATACTGATTTGTGGACAACTTCTTCCTGTCCCTCTCTTTAACTGCCCTCTTTGGCATGACTTGCTCATAACCCTTTAACCTTCCATAAATATGTATTTTTAAATAACTTTTGAAAACCATTGAAAAGACCAGGTCAATTTGTTGTATTGGTGCTATCTTGTCATTTACATATTCCTTTCCTTCCTCTCACTTGTTCGCTCGTGCGCTCTCTCTCTCTCTCTCATTTTGCTTTTATGTTATGGTTGAGAAAAGTGCATGTGTTCTTGCCAATGTTGACATGCTAATAAAATCTGTGCTTCTGAATGTGGCATTATCCTGCTAATCTAAAACACATTAGTGGTAGCAAGTGTTCCTGTTATTAATTTATATTTGGCCTTTGGACAATGCCAGACTTAACAGTCCAAGCCCTGTAACTGTCCTCATCTGACATGCTGATATTTACTGTTTCCCTATACCTCTGTAACAGGTGTGCTTTATTGCAATTACACAGACACATTCTACTGCCTCTTTGCAACTATGACAGCTATTTCACAACTGTAGCCTCAATTTTATAATAAGATTTAAGAGGATAAAGCAGTCACTAAACACAAAAGGCTAATTATTGTATGTTATTTCACCCCAACAGACTTTTCTCTTAGTTAAGGAGCAGACAATAAATTAGCTTAACTGCACTGATGATAATGAATCATTATAATTAAGTATAATTCTCCATTAACCTTTTGGAGGTTTTTGTGCCATTGATGGTAAATTTTAAAGAGAGAGAGAGAAGAAGGAGTGGACTTGGCCACATTAATTATATTAATGAAAAAAGAAACTGGGTTCTTAAAAAAATTAGTTAAGACAGGGGAAAGGGGGTGGAGAGAGGGGCAGTAAAGAATGACAGTCTTAGTGGGGTGTATGTCATGTGAATTGTCTCTATCAATCTTAGTAACCTTACTGTATATCACCTTCATTAAACTGTGAAACACGGGGCACTCCAAGTAGCTATAGTGATATAGGCCTATATTAACCAATGTACTACCCTGTCATTATGTGCAAAAGGGCATAATACGTTTTAGGATGACAGCAAACATTAATGATTCAAAAAATGAAAACTGCCAACGCTACCTGCTGCTCGTAATATTTTATACAGGCGGAGGTGATTCCCAGAGCCGCTGCCATGTAGGCAAAGCTTCTAGCAGCTAGCTGCCTATAGTGCAACAGAGAAGTGACTGGCCAATCTCAGCCGACTGGCGACTCTATCCATGGCTGGACAAGTAGCCAAGACCTTTCCTCCTTAAGAAAAAAATTTAAAGGCCACTATTCTAAATGCTTCTGATGTTTATTTGAAAATGACTGCAGGAATTCCAATGATTAAAATAAATCTTCCTTATTTCCATATGATCTAGTTCCTCAATCAACTCCTAACAGCATCAGGAATAATACATGATGGAAAAATGAAACTACAGCAGCTGAGACCCACAGTGCCAGCCAGACAACCACCCACAGGACACTCCGGCTACTCAAAGGCAATTAGGACTTTGAAGCCACTTATAACCCTGACTCATAATGGCTACAGGGCATATGAATTATCCATATCTATTCCGCCTTACCAAGAAATCAGAACAAGATAACAATTACAATCCACAAATACGATCTACCAAGGCAAGGGAGGGCAAATGGAGCCAACATTTGCAAACCCAGCAAAGAGTTAAGAATCCCGGGCATGCCTCGCTAGATAGGAAAAATGCATTCACAGACGGCCTTGGCCAAATTATTTTCACTTTAGATGTGTATCGCTGCACCACATGGACATCTTATTTAATCAAATCACGTGTGGGCTTGATCCTCCCCCTTACCCTACGTGCCCCCAGCTACCCAGAGGAAACACTCGCAGTCTTTTGCCAGATTCATTGTTAGCAGCTGGGATCCTCCATGCAATTCAATTCGAGTCCATCTCACCAGAGTCCACAGAAAGTTTTGCTTGTTTCCCAAGTTGCCCAAACTTTCCTTCCGAGAGCATTCCATTGTGCTGAATGCAAACACGCCGAGGTCCTCCGTCCCCCCACTAGACTCCAGAGATTACGAGGAAACTGCTTGCGTTATTTTCCCCCCTGTATGAATTGTAGCCAGCAGAGACTGTGGAATTGATGTATTGCTGTCTATTTTTACACTAGCAGCGAGCAGCTCCACACACAGTCCTGCATAAACTCTATTCTCTCTCAGCTTCAGGCAGCTCTCCGTGGTACAGGAAGATTTAACCATTGGCTTCCCTGCCACCGACGCGAACGGAAAACCTTGCACTGCCAGGCGTTTCTTTTTATTCGCTGGCCAAATCTTTCAACCACGTATAGGAGTTTTAAAGGAAGCAGCATCGTTGTTTTGTGTTCTGTGGGAAAAGCAATCTAAAATAGCCCAGCAGGATTATTTAGGATTTTGTAAGTTCTCTGTCTGATGAACAGAGAGAGAGGGGGGAAAAATCCGGACTAGAGTCAAAACGGACTATATTTGAACACATCCATTTTAATATTTTTATCTTCGTCTTATTATAAATAGAAATGGCATTTTTCCAACCAGGCCACTAAACACCACTGGAAAGACTTCAGCTTCTGATTCATATCAATATCTTAGAGCATAAATATTGCATATGAGTAGAAACAGTGCCAAAGTCACATGGAAAGAGTTTCTAACTGCAACAGATACTGATGACAGCAGCTAAGCTTTGATTTGCTCAAGCCATCTCAGAGCCACCTTAAAATAGCAAACTTATTGGAGTTAAGATAAGATTGAGATTCTTCTAAAAGCTCCTGCCTGGACTACTTTCCTGGCTCCTCTCTTTGCCCAAGCCCATCCCCCCTTACAGGAATAATAGCATCTGAGGGAAGCGTCAGTTGTGGCTGCAGCGCCGAGCCCTGCCCCAGCTCACCTCGATGTCACTCCATACAGACTCAGAGTCCTGGTTGCACATGTCCCACGCCATCCAGCTCCTGAATGACGCCAGTCAAGCTTTTTCAACTCCAATCCACAGTGACACAGAGCACACACTCATGCAGGCAACCAGCCCCTTACTGAGAGTGAACTGAAGGCACCTGTCTTACTACAGTCCCCAGTCACATGACAAAGCTATTAAAAAGTAGGCTGGGCTGTCACTCACCCAGCCTCCCTTCCCCTGTGCAGCTTGCTGCTCTAACTCGTGACGTCACTCAAAGGCAGCCCTCTGCTTCAGTGAAGTAACGCTTTAAAAAAAAAAAAAAAGAAAGAAAAAGAAAAGAAAGAAAGAAAGGAAACACTTAGACTTTTGGAGGCTTCAAGCATCATGCTGTGATTAAAGCCAGCTTTGAATGCCACAGACTCTAAACGGAGCCCTGGCCATATAATAACCAAAATCCCCTGCAATCTTTTTTTAATTTATTTTCCTTCCAAAACAAGCAAGTGGCAAAGCTCCCTGTTTCATGACAGAGTAACTATATTCTTAGCTAAAACGTGTATTCCCTAAGAACTCTTTAATTCTAAGATCTCCAAGTGGACTCAAGCTCAGTTTGGGACTAAAGCAAGAGCTTATCACATGATGCATTTTTATGAGACATTTTCTCATTGAGGGAGTGTTTGAAAGCGCAAACGGGGCTTTTTTTTTTTTTTTTTTTTTTTTTGCTTGTTTAATCAACAAAATAGCCTGTATGTGTTAAGGTATAAACAAACTCCTCCACCCAGAATTCGGCTGCCCCCATGGCAGTAGGGAATACCAGCTCCCGAAGAGTTGCTGCAGTTTTCTTTGCTCCATATAAGGAGAACAAGCCACAAAACCCCATCCTTTCAGCTTCCTTCTAATTATTTCCATTTCTCTCATAGGCTCCCAGAAAACAAGTGTTAGTAAATACAGTCGCTGCTGCTCTGCTCAGATCAGCTTTGATTCCCGGCTCCTATTTTTCATACATGTAGCGTTTCCTCCCTAACTGCCTTAGGGTGCCTTTTTGAATAAACATTGAATTCCAACCCTAGTGCCCTGGGTTGTGTAGTTTGCGTTTTGAAATCAAGAATGTCTGTGAACTGAGGGAAAAATACCAACACACTATTAGCAGAAATATTCAATTCCTGAGCTTTACTTTCTATTATTTTTCAGCTTGTACCTTGAGACAATGAGGGCTAATGCAGGTAGGTGCAACTGTTTTATGATGACACTACATATTGAATACATAACAAACTCAAGGTACTGGACACAGTGGAAAAACACTTCCTGTAACATGACAGTGGTCTGACTTAACCCTTCCAAGTTCCCAGGAGATGTACACGTGTATGTATCTGTGTGAATAAACATGTTTTCATAAAATGTTAAACCCAATATACTTTTAGAATCAGCTCAATTCTTTTACTTGATAATAATTTACCTGAAAACAATCCCCCAGTTACCTAAATATAATTTGTAAAGCATTATTCTACTGAGGTTAATTTACACTGTTCTTCATTGTCCATCTCCTTAAACAGAAAAACATGGTTATTTGCCCTAACACATATTTTAAATATTAAATTGCTCAAATATTAAAGTGAAAGAAAGAACAAAAGAAACAAAATACCAGCAGACTGCTGCTTCTTTCAGACCATACATATTATAAGAGATTTGTGTGCTGTGAGAGCTGCAACAAGTTGCTAGTAAATTCCCAAATAATGTAAGGAAGTTGACAGTTTATCATTACTGGGCATAAAAAGGTGGCCAAGAGCTTTGACATTTTAAGTTTGCTGAATACAGTTCACCAGCACATTTTCCCTTTTATAAACAGCAGAAAATTACTGTAGTTTTAATTTTCTAATGAAAGAACAGGAAAATACAACCTCGGGAATGCTTTTATACAAGCAATTAGTGGCATTACTCTGCACTCCCCACAAAGAAACACTAATTTTCTTCCCAATTATATTCTGATTTAATGTAAAACTTCAGTAAATTATTAAAATTCAGGACAAAGGTCATTGGCTCTGCCCTCAAGGATCAACTGTGAAATAATATTGGTCACCTGGCCAAGAAGAGTCAATGTTTATTAATTATTATCATGTGATTCTTCCATTGTGATATTCACTGATACCTTTATTTGTGTTTATCCAATGCTAGATATTCATCATATTTTTAAAACCTATTCACATCTTTTAGAGATGTTCTTTACATTAGAACAGGCTCGTTATAATTTTTGATATTCTAACCTGCCCAGATTGTATTGTTAGGGTTTTCTTATTTTTTGCCATCTAATTCTACTTCTAAAAAATCAAATCAGCACATGCACTGAAACCAGAAGTGATTTCAAATACACTTGTGTTTTCTTCACTCTCACTATCACAAAGAGGATGGAATTCAGAAGTAACAACATTTAAAAGACTCATAAACTACAGTATATTGCATTTCCCCCTCAAATTTCTATTACTGGACAAATCAAAATTAAATAGATTCCTAGGACAAATTAGAGTGCTTTCCACGATATTTTTTTTTTGTCTTAAAACTACAACTGTAATGAGAGGGATGTTTTAGAGGTTTTATAATTTTGTTAATTAACTCTTCAGATTAAATTTTTTCTTCAGTCCAGTTTTTTTTTTTTTCTTTTCTCAGGAGAACTTAAATGGTTCATTGCTCACCAACCTTGGTTTTTTTCTGGTTCCCCGGGCCATTTCTCTATTTAATTCTCTCTCTGCTTTGACTATTTCTCTTACTCTCTACCCACAGCCCTCCTTTCACCCCTTCGTCAACTCTGTCTCCAAAATTCCCAAATATCTGGTTTCAGACAACAAGGATCTATTGAAACCTTACTGTGTGCACAGCCATGTATCACAAGGACTGCCAAGAAAGCATATGACATGGACACAAGAGAGCTTACAATTTTAGGGGGATGACAACCCTTAAAAATGGGGAATAATTTGGTATGAAAAACCAACGTCACTTGGATCAACACCCAGATTCCTCTTCTACTGCTTAAAACACACCCTGGTGAGATACAAGTTCCTTTCATTGACCACTGCAGTTCACACCCAAATCAAACCCATTTTTTCTCAACAATAGAAAGAGGTATTTATTAACATCTGCTGAGTGCCCCCAATGTTGCATATCTACACAAAGCCTACATTCCATCCTGATAATTTCTCCCCTCTGTAGTTCTGTTAACATTTTCCAGGGTTTCAATATTAGTAGAGGCAGGAGAATCTATCTCGAGTTGCTAACAAAGAGAAAAAAAAAAACCTCAAGAGAATAATTCAATTCTCTAACAAATACGTTGACTGAAGTGTATAACATTTGGGTTTCCTTCCTCACTCCTACTCCAAATTAAAGGCTTTTCCCATCCCTCCATATTTCAGACAACTGCCCATTTCTAAAAATTAGAATCAAATTCAAACCCTCAAACTCAAAAACCTCAGAGAATAGCAAAAACAATTGGTTTTGTTGTCTATATTGAATATAGGTGATTTCAGAAGCAAACTCAGAAGAGCTATTAGGATAAATATATTTGTTCATTTGTTTTTATAAGTTTATAAGTTTTTATTTTAATAAAACAAACAAAAAACTACCAGACTGCTGCTTCTTTCAGATCATACATATTATAAGAGATGTGTCTACTGTGATATCTGCAGCAAGTTGCTAGTAAATTCCCAAATAACGTAAGCAAATTGACAGTTTATCATTACTGGGCATAAAAAGGTGACCAAGAGCTTCAACATTTTAAGTTTGCTGAATACAGTTCATAAGCACATTTTCTCTCTTACACACAGCAGAAAATTACTGTAGTTTTAGTTTTCTAAATCAAGAAAGAACAGGAAAATACAACCTCGGGAATGTTTCCATATACACTATTTATACAATAACTACATAAGAATATATGTATGCAGAAACTTCTCAAGAAAGAAAGGTGGAAAGCAAGACATATACAGCAGACCACGTATGGGCTAGACATTAAGATCAGCACTTCATATACCACATCTCAGTCAATTTAGTCCTCCAAACTATCCAATAAAAATGACCTGTGTACCCATTTTATGATGGAGAAAAATAAGGCTGGGCAAGGTTTGGAGGGCAGCTGGAAAGAGCATGCAAATCGCTGAAAGCCTTTCTAGGAAGAACTAAAGTTTCATCCATAAGAATAATAATCATCCTCAAATCAAAGCCATAGCAAAGACCCTGGAGGCAACTTTATAACTGAGGGACAGTCTACATAGCTGGAAACCAATATTCCTGGGAATGCTGCCTGCCTAGAGCATTCGTCCAGAAAGCAAAGGGGCCTGCCTAGAATTGCTAATATTTTTCAAGTTAGTCATTGTTAACAGGCATTCAATTGCTTGCTTTTAATTCCTAGAGGGACTAATTGATCCTGATACCCCACATCAGTTTCTAAACACATGCTTTGGGCCTCTGGTTAGAAGCAGAGACTGCATAGAACACAAAAGTTGGTAGCAGGATAGGATATAACAAAGACTTCTATTCTATAAATACTATAAAATTAAACCTCATTTTGCTTGAAAAAAATGCCACAGTGATGTCCATGTGAACAAAGAACCTTTGAGGAAATAACTAGAGGAAAATCAAGACAGCTTGAATGTCTCCTAGCATTTATTTTTATTTTTTTAATAAACAAGTTATGATAGACAACCTTAGCAAAAACATCTCTCATCTCCAGTAAAACCTTCTGCAGACCGGCTCTATGGAACTGAGTCAGCCTCTATTTTAATTTGGACCTCAAAATGTGCTTTTGGTGTTTTTCATATTAAAACAAAAAATAACATGAAAGTTAATCTGAGTTGCAGTCAATTGGACTAATCTAAACTTAAAGCAACAATTGTACTTATTAAGCACAGAGATAAGAGATAATAAAAGGGTGGTTAAAATCTGATTTTGTCTGATGTTCAACTCGGTTGTATTTGTGAATCCACATTTTCATTTACCTTAATTATTCCAGGTTAATTTATCTATAATGCAGACAGTTATTGATTATTTAGACAATAAATGTTCAATAGGATTATCTAGCAATTTTTTTAAGTGGAACTGAACAAGGCATATTACATATTGTCAAATTTGGCACTATTTAAAATTTTAAAGTGCTACAGAACTTCAATACATAACATAACATTTCATTTACTAAGAAGGATTTTTTTTTTTTCACACTAGCTGAACTTAGTAAGTGCCAGGGAAAATTAAGGTACACAAATTGTTTAACTGAAAAAAAAAAAAAAAAAAGCAATCAAACCATTCCCGTGATACTTATTTTTTAGTGCTTGAGTACTAATTAGCTTAGCTTTTCTCGATCTTAGAGAAACAAAACAAAACTGTATTTTGCAAATAGTCTCAAAAAGGTAACAATAAATATATATATTTTTTTCTTTTTCTTTTTCTTTTTTTTTTAATACCACCAGGCAGAGTCTTGGAAAGATTTTTGGTTATTTGACTTGTGTTTCTGTTATGGGTTTTTCCAGTGCTTTGATATTTGAATTTTGCTCTAGCTAAACTGATATGTATATACATATATCCCAAACATGTCGGAGAGGTAGAAGGGAAATAAATTCTCATCTTAAGAAGCAATTAGCTTTGAGGTCTAAGCTCAGTTTTGTGGTGACAGATAAACTCTTACTTTATATTTGCTAGCCCAATTAGACACAAGACTTTTGAGAAAACATCCTTAACCAAGACGACCGCTTCTAGGATTGACCTCTACATTTAGCAGCTCAATCGAAAAATAGATGTCAGATACTACTGGTAGGATTATACTGGGTATAATTTTTATACAGAGCAAGCAGGCAATATATATTCAAAACTTCTAAAAACCTCATAGACCTAGAACATCTACTTCTAGAAATTCATCCTAAGGCAATAATAAGGGAATGTGTACAAAGATTTTTCATATTAGGATGCCCAATGCGACATTATTTGCATTATTGAAAACTTGAATGCAATGTGAATATCCAACATTAAGTGACCTGGTTCAATAAATTATAGAGATGTGTGTGTGTGTGTGTGTGTGTGTGTGTGTGTGTGTGTGTGTGTATATATATATACACACACATATTTATATTTAATATTATCATTAAAATCAGTTGTAAAATATATTTAATAGCATAATGGGAGAGTGTTCAAAATACATTAGGGTTTAAAATGAAGCTTGAAAAAACTATAATCATGAAAAGTTTACCTGTAAAAATATATCCTCAGAAAGAAGAAGAGGATGAGGAGGAAATGTAACAAGCTGTTCGTAGTGGCTGACGACGTTATAAGTACTTTTTACGTTCCTTTATGTGAATGTGCCTTTCTGTAATTTTCAAATTTTCTCTTATAAACATGCATGACTTTTATATTCAGAAGAAGAAGAATTATTCAGTTTTGAGAGGAACAGAGAGATTCAGTATTAAAGCCATGCCTGCTTAACATACTGGGAATGTAGCAGATAGAAATAGCCCCTGACGCCCAATATTATATCTCAAATATGCATCATATATTTAAAATGAAGCCATTTCTGCCTGTCATACCAAGTCCAACAGCTGCTCCACTTAGGATGCAAAGCTCATGAGCAACACTGAGGGAAGTTAGTACCTGGTATACTTAGAAATCCCAGAATTATGGAGAGAAGGAAGCTATCAGCTACTATCAGCTTGCCTCAGAGGTAGACCCAAAACCACTAACCCCCAGACATGACTACCATCTTCCCTTTGTTTCTCAATCTGAAATTTAATCAATTGTAAAGTCAATTTTCTCTTTAAAAATCTTAATTAGCCCGGGTGGGGTTAAAGAAACTTCATTCATTTATACAATAGTAAATATTTTCAAGAATGGTATAAATAAATAGGTAAGAATAATTCTTGAGAAGAGGGTCTACCAACTAACTGGGGAAAAAAGGAGGGGCCACCAGCAAAGGCTTAGAGAAAGAGTGTTTGGAGACATGGCTTCCACTGGAGATGACTGAAATTGATTTGACCAGGAAAATGCAGTCCCAGTTTCAACCCGGTGACATACAAGTAAATTTCTGGAACACAGCCCATCCCTAAATGTGAAACAACCTGTGTAAATGCTGCCATGTTGCAGCCCCGTGCTTGGGCAGAAAGCTCATGTTTGGCTTCTCAAATATCACAAGAGGGGATAACTCACTTTCTTTCCCCTGGAAGGTCAACTATATTCATAGGAATGAAAGCTTTATATCAGCCAATTTGATTTCATGTTCTCAAATTTCCTGGGCCTTTTCTGCAGATCATTCTTCCTACACATGGGTGTTTGTTATTTTGACCATTAAGAATATTTGTAAGAAGAGGAGTAATGAGGTTTAAACCAAAGTCAGCCAGCCTTATGAGATTTAAGGTGAGTACTGGAGACTCAAGTCTATCTGACAGGTGGAGTCACTTTGAGGATCTTGATTCAGCCCAAAATGAAAGGAAAGTGCATGGTAAGAAGAACATGGCCCTCATTCAGCTATGTCACTTGCCAGCAATTTGACTTTGGGTGATTCATGTAATGATACTGAGCCTCGGTTTCCTTATCTGTCAACAAAGATGGCCGGATTCAATTAAATCAAAGATCTCTGCCAGATCTAAAATGCAGTGATGTGCCTGTCTTGACAGAGACAGACAACTCAGGAAGCCTTCTTTGCACAGGGTGAATCCAAATGTCTCATTTCACAAAGATACTGGAAATCAGAGATATTGTACAAGAAAGGCAACTGGCGCTCAGTGTTGCTGAAAGAGCACAGCTTCATCATTTTCCTTGCAATACAGATATTTAACCACTCAACGATTCTAGAAAAAGAATACTAGAGAACTTGTGAAATATAATACTTTCAACCACAGGTATTGGCTCTGAGAAGATCAGCTTCTTAGAGACCAGCATTTCTTACAAAGCTCAGGTAGCTGTCCAGAGAAACAGTGGGCTTTCATCTTGTTTATCATTAATTCTGGAAAGTAGCACGAGTCATATGTAAGACCGAGTCCCTGCATGCACAGCAAGTGTGAAAACCACACAACTGATGTGGTAGTCATTACAAGTGATTTAGAAATGGTGTCACCCAGAGAGAGAAGATTTAGAAAGAAGGGTGGATATTATATTCAGGGTTTTGTAAATAAGAATAAGGTCTACAGCAGCTAAGGAAATGAGAGCTTAAAATAACATCCTTTCTTCCTAATATGAGAAGACCCTCCTTAAATAAAAAGCTCATTATATTTGGTAAAAGACTGTACATATTTTTAATTTAGAAGGAATCAGCTGAGATATTCATGTAGGGTGTGGAGGGAGGAAAAAAGGTCATATGCCTAATATTTTACCATAACAGTATTAGCAAATGTATTAAACCAAGACCATATCACAGGATAGCGTTACCTTTTCAACTTTTTCCTTTGTACATACGACTCTATTGAGCAAGAGGTAGAAGATGTATGCTTTGATGCCACCTAAGACCAACCAGCTTGGAGGTTTTCCTTTAAGGTTGAGTGAATTAGTCACAGGAAAATTAACTTCTCTACCAGAAATTAGGAGAGGGAGCACTGACAACATAGGAGTAAGGAAAGTATGACCAGGTAAATGATAAACCTCAGTCAGGACAATGCCTTGATAAACCCTCAGCTATTCTCACACAATGCTGGGTTCTCACTAGCAGTATTCACTGGCATTACATTCACATTTTCCTGCAACCAGGAAGAAGAAGCAATAAGAAAACTAACATAGCAAATCTTGATTCTGTGCTTGTGAGACAATCTGCAAAAAGAGGTTGATGAGAGATCCATTTTAAACAAGCCAAAACCTCTATTATTCTTTGAAGGGTCCAGATTGTACTTTGCACCAAGCAGGTGATCAGAGTAAATTCTTTCTCTACCTCTTTTCAAAACAAAAAAACAACTTTAACAATTCCTGAGGTGGGTATTTTTTTTTTTTTTTTTTTGAGACAGAGTCTTGCTTTTTTGCCCAGGCTGGAATACAGTGGTGCAATCTCAGCTCACTGCAACCTCTGTCTCCCAGATTCAAGCTATTCTCCTGCCTCAGCCTCCTGAGTAGCTGGGATTACAGGCGAGCACCACGACGCCCGGCTAATTTTTTTTTTTGTATTTTTAGTAGAGACGGGGTTTCACCATGTTGGTCAGGCTGGTCTCGAACTCCAGACCTGATGATCCACCCCCCCCCGGCCTTGGCCTTCCAAAGTGCTGGGATTACAGGTGTGAGCCACCGCGCCTAGCCCCTGAGGTGGACCTTTCTACCATCCATGTTAGTAGATCCATTTGCATGCAGGCCACCTAAAAACAGGCCACACCTAACATTTTGTACAGCCATACAAAGCCACTAAGTGGGAACTCCCACCTGGGGCTCTCCTGTGGGTATGTTCAGCTTGTGTGCTCTCTTTGTCTTCTCTATGACATCATTCAATGTTATTTATTATGTAAAACCACAGGACAGGAGTGATCTCCTGCATTGTGTTATGCTTTGTAACTGCTGACGCACCATATTTCAGCTTTGTTATTTTGTTTTAGCCCGAATCACACAAAACTACAGCTAATAATTTTCTAGGAAAAAAGCAATTTAAATATTAATTAATGTGAAATAAACCTATTCATTCCACTTAGAGTATTATGGTTGTTAGGGATTTTATACTTGAAAGTATGGCCAAATATATCAATGAGAATTAATGAACTTCTGCTACACACCAAAATGTAGATAAATCCCAGAAATGTAATGTGAAGCAAAGGAAGCCAGACACACATAAAAGGTGCATACGTTATAATTCCACTTCTATAAAGCACAGAAACAGATATTTAACCTAGGCGGCTGCAAATCAGGTGAGAGGTTGCCATGGGTGGTGGTTTGGGGCAGGGCAGGGAGAACCACAGTCAACCGGGAGGAAGGCTCCAGCAAGCTAGTTAGGGTTTCTTTCTTGCTGTCTGTGCTGGTTACATGGGTACATTGTTACTGACAATTCACTGAGCTAAACTCTTATGATACATGTACTTTTCAGTATCATATACTTCGATAACAAGTTTAAAATGCATAGAAAAGAAAGAGAAATAAATGTTTCTATACCATAAATTTTTGAAGTTTGCTGCCTGTCCAAAAAAAAAAAAAATTCCAAATGTCCAACTTACCTCCTTAAAGGGGCCCTTAAACCACTTAGACAAACAGCCTTGGAGCAGAAATCAAAGGACTTGATGTCTAGGCTTGTTTGTCTGACCTTGCACAAAGCCACTTTAAGTTTCTCGATCTATTTCCTCATCTATCAAAAAATAGAATAGGATTACATATTCTCTGCATTTATTTCTTGAATAAGTGAAGTGAAGGAATATTACAACTCTAAAATTTTAGTCTTTCTTCTTGGTTCAAAACTCATTATTGAACGGTGTCATTGACTTGGTTGGAAAATGTGTCCCTCTTCTCTGAGAGCATGGACTTTGGGGTCAGACAATGTAGATCTGTTACTTATTATCTATCTGTAGGAACTCAAGACAGTTACCTAAACTATCTGAACCTCAAGCACTTCATCTACAAAAATGGAAATATAAATGCCTATTTTACATGGCTCATGTTAAGGTTAAAGAAAATGTGTATAAGCCAAGTGCTTGGCATATAATAGCTACTCCATAATGATGCCTGCCATTCATGTTTGACTGCTTAAAACTCAATGTAAAATCAAGCAACATTACAGTAGATGCAAGTCTTTGCTCTTCACCTGCCTTCCTCACCTAAGAAAAATAAAGATTTGGAAACCAAGCACATCAGATGTTCTCTTTAAGTCCTATAGTAAGTCGACTTTCTATGAGGGACAGTGTTATCACAAGTTGTAGGAATGCCAGGTGCCTGTTTGTTTCTCTACTTACCTAAAGAAAAATAAAATCCAGCCTCATACCAGTCCCGAGCTGGCACTACATCTGAAGAGACCAGAAGCAGCAAGTGAAGAAAACAGTTTTTGTTTCCATTAGGCTGGCCACAAAGTTATTTGAGCCAAAAGTCTTTCAAGAATTTCTCTGTTAAGAAATAAAAAATCCAGCTGGGTGCGGTGGCTCACGCCTGTAATCCCAACACTTTGGGAGGCTGACGTGGGTAGATCTGGTGTGGTCAGGAGTTCGAGACCAGCCTGACCAATATGGTGAAACCTGGTCTCTATTAAAAATATAAAAATTAGCCAGGAGGCCGGGCACGGTGGCTCATGCCTGTAATCCCAGCACTTTGGGAGGCCAAGGTGGGTGGATCACAAGGTCAGGAGATCGAGACCATCCTGGCTAACACGGTGAAACCCCATCTCTACTAAAAGAAATATAAAAAATTAGCCAGGCGTGGTGGCAGGCACCTGTAGTCCCAGCTACTAGGGAGGCTAAGGCAGGAGAATGGCGTGAACCCGGGAGGCGGAGCTTGCAGTGAGCCGAGATCGTGCCACTGCACTCCAGCCTAGGCGACACAGCAAGACTCCGTCTCAAAAAAAAAAAAAAAAAAAAAGTAAGTAGCTGGGCATGGTGGCATGCGCCTATAGTCCCAGCTACTCGGGAGGCTGAGGCAGAAGAACCGCTTGAATGCAGGAGGTGGAGGTTGCAGTGAGCCGAGATTGTGCCACTGCACTCCAGCCTGGGCAACAGAGTAAGACTCCGTCTCAAAAAAAAAAAAAAGAAAAGAAAAAAGAAAAGAAATAAGACATCCATATGGTGCATGAAAACTGACAAGACAGCATGAGCTTGGGACAATGAGAGGAACCACAAAGTATCAAATTGTGTTTTAAATGATGATATCTGAAATACACACAGAGGGAAGAAGGGAAAACAAAGCCACAGGACAAAACAATTCAATATAAAGTCCATTGTACCACCAGTGGGCTATCAACTAAATTGTCTTAGCATTCACACTTCTCGCAAATTTGTGATCAATCATATAATCGCTTCTTAAATTGATAAATGACATAAAGGATACATTATATTTTGTCTTAGATATTTAAGGGTTTTTTTTTCTTTAAAGCAATTTTCTGTGTAGTGAAATGCTGGCAAGTTGCTATCTAAGTCCAAAACTATGCCAGCCAACGCAGTCGCCACTAGCCACATATATGGCTACTGAGAACTTAAAATGTGTCCAAACAAAAATTGAGATGTTCTACAGATATAAAATATACCTGGAATTTCAATCTGAATACAAAAAATAGAATGTAAAATATTTCATTAATAACTTAGAGCTATATGTTAATATAATATTTTGAATATATTAAGTCAAAGACATTAAAATTAAATTTAAAATTTTTAAAAATGTAGTTACTTTACAATTTAAAATTAGATGAGTGATGTGCCTAGTATTCCTATTTAACAGTACAAAACTTTAAAGTTTTGCATTTGGTCTTCAAGTAACCTATATCATAGATGCATATAAAATTTATAAAATCAGGAAATTTCAGAATTATTAAGGGAAAGTAGAGCAGAGCCCCAGCAATGCACAACTCCAGGGGGCGCTACTCGCATCACAATCTGTCAAAAGTGATCCTCAGGACTTCACAGGGCTCAGCCTGCATGGCCCTGTATTGAATGCTGTGCAATCATTCTCCCTATAAAATCAGCAATCCCTTCTAGAACATCCCTGGGGCAATCCCATAAAACTTTTCAGCACCCTCCACATCTGTTGCAAAACATATAGAGAGTAATAAGACAAAAATATATAAAGTGAGTGGAGAATAGAGCTGACCGTACTCTAGGATGAAGAAGATGGCCAGAGCAACACCAAGTATGCAAAGTCTGAGATATATACAAGGATGCAGTGTTCTCAAGAAGGCTGTTTCCTTCCTAGAGACTAGAAGCATTTTTCAGAGGGTAATATTCACTTTAATTACAAAATGCACCCGCCTCTCTCTTCCAAGGGAGAAAAGCCTGTTGTTGCATTTATAATGTAGCTTTAGTTTTTGATGCCAAAAACGATTCAGTAAACACAGTTATGTTATGATATACTATTTCTTATTCAGTACTCAAATTAATCTCAAGGCAGTGCTGGCATTAATTCAATTTGACGCCTGTACTTAGGATTTCACATAGGTGCCTTCATCCAGTTCTTCTTTGCAACTAATAAAATCTTAATTCATGGTAATATATTTATTTCTAGTTCAGTTCATGTTAAGGAGTGCAGTACTTTACAGAAAACTAATTAATATCAATCATATATTATAACACTTTTAATGGTTCATAGGAAAATCCTACACTGGGGGAAAGATTAGATGAACCAAGGGGTCTTAGCCCATCCTATTTACTCTATTTTTAGGACTTGAGAAAAAAGAATATCAAGCATCATTTCAAATATAAATTTAATTGAAGGTGTGCATCATAGGATGGCTGGGAATTAAGAACCCGGGTTCTTATCCCTAAAAGGAAATTGATTTGATGTGGCCCAAGAATGTAATTTACACCCTCAGACTGTTTTCCACCTATTTTGTGTAATAACCATATAATTTGCAGTCGGTGAAGATATTTAAATGGAGATGCATGGCATTATTAAAATAATGAACAACTTCACTAATAGCAAGCCTTCTGCAATTGTTGGTAACAATTCTACTTTTACATAATGTTTGAGTAATGTTGAGAGCATCATATTTCTGGAGATTGTACACATAGCCAGCAGGATAGTTTAAGTGTGAGTTCTTGACTATGAGTTCCTGGAGCCATGCAATACAGTGGTCCTCGCATTTCCTTAAGGAGCTACATTTAAAAAGCTGAATTCTCCCCCAGAAAACTGGAGCAGTGGATTACACAACTCTAAAAATCTTTAAAAATAAAAATTAAAAAGAATGCACTAGATCACTTGAAATGCATGGTCATAATATCCAGTCTTCCCAAATTAGGCATTTTATTCACTCTACAACAAATCCTCCACACTGACAAACGAACAGCTTTAAAAAAAAATGAAGTATACTACACACTTCTCTCTTTCTTTTTAGCAATCTACACACAAAACCTCCAAATCTGGTATACACACATATATGTATCTTTAAAAGCCCTCATCACCAGAAATAAAACAAAACCCACCTACCAATAGCATAAAGCCTCCTAGGTGCAGACATAATGCCTCCTGATACTCACTTTCAAAATTGAATCCATAGATGATAACCCCAACATGTGTGTCATTCATTTTACTGCAGTGCAAATACTGGTATCATGAGATGAGGGAACACTCACAACAAGGGCTTCGGCAGGCCACTTTTTAATTCACAAGGGCATGGTGACGTGGGAGGGCATCTCAGAGTCACTACTAAATGAACTCCACAATAGGGCACAAATCTGAAACCCAATCTTAGCCAGATACGAACGTAAGAGCAAATATGTACAGTATCATGTGCTTTCCAGCAGCCCTGTGTCTCGAGGGAGCTCTCTGACATCAGCAATTGAGACAGGTGGTTCCCTTTCCAACCCGTGGAAAATAAAACCCTAGTTCAGAGGCACTAAGTAAATATAGCAGTACTGTAATTTTTCCTTGGTGCACTCTCCCTGTGATTTCTGTCCTATGATGACACTTTATCCCGGGAACCCATTCAGGACATCCATCCATGCCCATAACTGACTGAACATTTGCAAACTGGTTAATATTGACATTAAAGAGAGTGTAGAAGACTCTGTTTTATGGCCCCAGTTGGTAGAGCTAGGGTTTTCCTCCTCTCATTTATTTGGAATACGTTGTCAAGTGGCTGCTCAAAACTTTACTGGATTATTTCACCCTTTGTCCCCTGTTATTAATATAACCCAACAGAATGACAGACAAGAGTCAGACCATCTTAAAATCACATGCACAGAGCAGGTCAATACCAATCATATCCAGTTTGAGTCTGAGAGCTAAAATCAGCTGAGATGTACTAAGCCCTTTGTGGTCACAACTATTTGCTTTTGAATTTAAGAATTACTCACAGAAGGGCACCCCATAACGTGTGTATAAAATTACTTAATTCAGCTTCTATTTCCCTTTCTGAACATAGATACTTTTACACTCTGACAGCCGCTGGCTCTTAAAGCATTCTCCTTTTTGTTGTATCTCCTTAGAAACACAAATCTTGTTCCCTGGCAGCGGTGGCGCTAAGTGCTGTACCACATGCCCAAACTAGTTCTCCCTCGCAGCTTTAATTCACAGTAAGTGGCATGAAAGGAGGTCAACCCTTCTCAAAAAACACTCGGAGTTCTTTTCGACTTCAGAATCTATTTTGGAAAGCCCCACTCCCTAGTATGTAAAGAGCAGCTTCCCATTTTGAAATTCTGGCCATAACTATTGACAACTTTATGGAATGGTCCACAAAAGGGCAAACATAGGGATATGATCACACTTTCAACTCTTGATCCTAATTCTCTGTGGATTCTGGAAACGATGTCAGACAAGGAAGTCAACAACTGCCATCCACTCTTCGCCCCCAGATAACCCTTTTCATTTGAAAACTACTTATGGCATGCATACATGTTATGGCTTTTCTTCCCTGAGGTGTTCATTGAATGCTTAACTCAATAATGCCATCTTAATCCTGAAAGTTTCCATGGTGACCTACAACTGTAATAAACAAGTCTAAGGAATGGAAAATGAAGTCAGGTCCTCTTTTTTCACCCTATTCTTCTTCACCTTTACAAATGCAGCCTTCTCTGCTTCTCTAAGTTCACAGTTCATAGATTTGGTGGCTAGAATAAAAATAAAAATAGTAATACAGAAATAGCATCCAGCATTCGGTGAATGTTTACTGTATATCAAATGCTGTGCTGAGTAGTTCTGTAGATTATCTCATTTAATCCTTACACTAACAGTAGAAGTAAGTATTATTACTAATCTGATTCTAGGGATAAAATCACTGAAGTTGAGAGAGGTTAAGTAACTTTTCTAAAGACAAAAGCTTGTAAGTGGGAGACCAGAAACTTCAAGACAGTCTTATTTGGCATCAAACATTTTGTTCTTAATGATCAGGCTATGCAGAAAAATAGCATTTTTTGTTTGTGCCCAACAGTCGCATAACTTAGACATCTAGGAGTCTCTTCACAAATCAGAAGGGAACCACAGCTTCATGTTCAGCAGGAAGATAAAAACACCACACACATCCAGCTAAAACCACCAGGGAAATTAAGAAAAGGCAGGACTCAAAGATGAGCACAGCCAACACATGGCACCCTGCTCTGATCAAAAGAAGCCTTACAACAAGTGTCTCTAAATTTGATCTGACATACCATTTAAAAGAGTGCACTGTTCTTTGCAGATCAACCCCTACAGTTAACTTGGGGTGTCTGATTCAGGTCACTGAAGCACACCCCCAAGGAGAAGAAACACTTATTATAATGCCACCCTTCTCCTTAAATGAAATGAAGGCTCCTTTTGAAGATAGCAATTCCAAACAAAGGCCGGAGTAAAACACATATTATGACCACATGAAAAATCTTATTATAAAGATGTTTTCCAGCCGGGCGCGGTGGCTCATGCCTGTAATCCCAGCACTTTGTGAGGTCTTGGTGGGAGGATCACTTGAGATCAGGAGTTCAAGACCAGCCGGGCCAACAGGGTGAAACCCTGTATCTACTAAAAATACAAAAATTAGCTGGGCATGGTGGTGCATGCCTGTAATCCCAGCTACTCAGGAGACTGAGGCAGGAGAAGAACCCAGGAGGTGGAGGTTGCAGTGGGCCTTGACGGTGCTACGCACTCCAGCCTGGGTATTGAAGTGAGACTCTGTCTCACAAAAAAAAAAAAAAAAAAAAGAAGATATTTTCCATGCTACAACTGTGTTTCCATGAAGTACATACAGTATGTTTATCTAATCTAGAACAGACCTTAACAAATAGACTTTAACTTTGCCTCTTAGCATCAATAGTAGAATCAACGTCCAACAGATATTTTGCAGCCCCTGCTTGGAAATGTAGTCAAATATGAAAAGGGT
This sequence comes from Homo sapiens, assembly GCF_000001405.40. Classification (NCBI taxonomy): domain Eukaryota; kingdom Metazoa; phylum Chordata; class Mammalia; order Primates; family Hominidae; genus Homo; species Homo sapiens. The sequence continues at coordinate 23,906,807 of NC_000004.12, forward strand.
CACATGGATTAAGGTCACTCAAAACTCACTGTGGTGCCAGCCTTCAGAAAGTGGGGCTAAAATATGTGGCTTTCTGATCTCCTCTCATTTAGGAAATAAGAATAAAACAAACTCCACTAAATTTATTTCCAAAACTGTAGGCTTTGGGAACTTTGTGGCTCTGATTCAGGAGTAATCATAGCTAAGCTCCAGAGTGCCTGGGTCACCTGGCAGTCTGGCGAGCTATCACTCAATAGGGCAGTATCCAAAGTAAATGGCCCAGAACACAAAACCAGAAGAGACTGCCTCTCCTGATATCTTTACACTTTCTGGAGCTAGAAGAACAAAGGCCATTAGGGATGACCTATGGCTATTTAGAGTAGACCCGTGAATACTAATTCTGAAACCCCTACTGCCACCATCACCATCGCACCTAAAAAAACAAACAAGGAAGAACGAAACATAAACCACTGATTATAACCGAGTAGCAATGAAAGTTGCATGCATTGATTCTGTAATAGTTTGATGTCTGACGCAAAGGTAGTGATTTATTTTTTAACAACTAACTTTGTAAGAAAGCATTAAGTTTACATTCATCACCCTTTCTCGATTTGCAAATTATGCATTTAAAGACACAGACCTCAAAGCAGAATTAGAACTCAGTCACATGCAGAATACGTTGGTTGTGAAGGCTGTGCATTCAGTAAGGAGTCCCAGAGACACAAACCTGAGTGTGAAGTCCACTTCAGTACACCCTACCTCAATACCACTAGTTAAGCTGCTTAACTTGTCTGATTCTTTATTTTTCCATCTCGAAAATGGGGATAATACCTACCTCACAGACTAAACATGGGAATTCAAGAGGACTAAGTAAATGGTTGTAGATGAGGAGCCTTTTAGAGCGCCTACTCTGCAGTTCGCACTATATAAATGCCCTTTTCTACGTAGTTCGAGTGGCTCAGCTTCAGTTAGCTTTCTGTTCTCCTAACCTTTCCTCTTCTTCCTTACTTGGGGCATTTTAAAATAAATGCACACATTAAGATTTCTGCATGTTTTATCCCATGAAGTGGGCGTTGGGACTCAGGAATGCACAAACATGTATGGGAAGCAGCGGCTCATGTTTCCCTCTCTGTGGGTGCCTTGCGCACATGGAGAAGGAAGAAAGAAGAAAACTGTTTGGGGCACAGAGTGAGCCTCTAAAATCAATGTGTAAGAGAGGCATTTTTGAAGATTAAAGATTTGTATGAAAAAAACTGAAAACTTTGAAATGGACAAAGTGATATTTGAATTCACTACCGATGCTTCGTCATGGGATGTTGGGGCACATGTTTGTGGAAAGGTACAGTGCACATTGCCACCAAGTGTAACTCTTTAAGAGAACGAGCGACAGTGTCTGCATTTTCCAATTTCAAGTGCCTCTTTAGGTATTTATAAGCAAAATCATCAAGAATTAAATGTGAAAAATTAAAATTTTAAAAATTCCAAAAATAGGCGAAATGCAGTAATTTCTCACTCAGAATAAAAGGAAAACTTGTAAGCTAGAGCACTTATATGTACTGAAGCTTTCTTTGAATATCTGTATCATAAAACTACACTATAACTACCCAAAGTTGAAAATAAGTAAAATAAATTGGTGACATAGGAGAGAAGAAATGTAAGCATAAAATTCATAGATTATATCTCTAAATATTATAAGTAGCCACCACCACTCATAAGGAGAATAGGGAACAGGAAAAAAAAAAAACACCCTACTTGGAAAATTATCCAGAGAAATATATCTCTTCAATTCATGTGTACAGTAGTTATTTATGTCTCAGTCAGTAACTTTAGACACGTCAAAGGGTGCAGAACAGACTTTATTCTTCCCTACATGAACTCTGCCTATGAAATTCTAAATGTTCGCAGTCTTTCTACCTTATAAAGTTGATCCTAAAAAATTAAAATTAAAACTAAAAATCCTTGATAAAATGCTCCACTGGGGTCCAATAACTACCTTAGCTCCATGATGCCAGGATAAACAGACACACATCACAAAGCTCTCTACACATGGGTGCATGTGTGGGAATGTGTGTATCTGCAAATGTGTAGAACACAAGATAAAAGTGGAAACCTCAATCAGAATTCACTACACTCCAAATGATAGTTCCGCAACATCCCAGGTGCTTAACTTGTGTGAGATTTTATTGCTGTCTTCTCTGAAGCTGCTTACAGTCTGAGTAAATAGAAGATCCAACATGTAATCAATCAAAATATCCACATGTGATTAGTACAGTAGTTGAGTGCATTGAAGGAGAAGTGGTGGGGATCAGCCAGGGTCTTGAAAACAGATCTAATTAATCTCCGAAACATCCTAGAATGAGTATGCCAGTCAGGCCCTATGAAGACTTTTATAGGTCCCTGACCCGTACGTAATTTGAAATAAAAACTAGACTCATTACTAAATTATGTATGTATAGAGAAGCTCAGTAAAGTCCTAATATTTGTCATAATAGCAGCTACAATTATTACTTTAAAAGATCAAATATAATAGTCTTTTAAGGAAAAATGACTGGTGCCCTACGTTGGGCTTGTGCATTGCTGGATGCCCTAATCATGAGGTTAGCATAGTACTGGCGAAACCTGCGTGGATGCCAATGTACAGATATAGGAAAATAGGAATGGTTTGGCAAGACCTTGCTTATTCATTCATAGCCCCTCTAATAAAAGTTCTGGGATCCAGAACAAATGGTTACAAGAGTCATACTTGGCTGGAGAAGAACACATGGATTCCTCTGGCTTTTGAGGGGTGCCTGCTGGGACCCCAGGAAAGTGACAGGCAGAAGGAGGAGGGATGATGAGGGAGAGACAGCATTCCCTTTGACATGAGGCCAATCTGGAGGCAGAACCAGGCTGTGACACTTCCTAACTCTTTGAAATGGGCCAAGACCCTGAATGTCCCTGGGCCTCTATAAAATAGAGATGAAACCACTATCCTTATCAGTGTATAAGGATCAGATACCTAGCTTGGCATCTAGTAGACATTTGGTAAATGTTAGTTCTTCTCAATACTAAGGAGGCTAGAAAATAAAAAGTCCTAGTGACAAATGATGAATCATACCAGGTCCAATGTTAGCTGCTAAGGGAAATACAAAGAAATATGAAAGGTAGTGGGAGCCAAGATTTGGCTCTCAACCAGGTGGCAGAATGCAGCTGCTAACGTGATTTTATTGTGAAAATTGTTCTTTAATCCATAAAATAGCAGCAAGTCACTAGAAGACCAGAGACATAAAATCAAGAGTAGTTTACAATGAAAATAGGCATGTATATTTTACACATATATATGTATATGTGTGTGTATATATATAAAAAATATATATCTATATTATATATAATATAAATATATAATATATAATAAATATATATAAAATATATAAAAATTTATACATATATAATATATAATATATTATATATAATATATATAAATATATATTATATATATTAATATATATTAACCCTATATATTATTATATATATTAACCCTATATATAATATTATATATATTATATATTATATATATTATATATTATATATATTATATATATTATATTATATTATATATATTATATATATTATATATATATTAACCCTATATATATTATTAATATAATATATATATTAATATATATATATTTTTGACACAGAGTCTCGCTCTGTCACCCAGGCTGGAGCACAATGGCACAATCTCGGTTCACTGCCACCTCCGCCTCCCGAGTTCAAGCAATTCTCCTGCCTCAGCCTCCCAAGTAGCTGGGATAAGAGGTAGGTGCCACCATGCCAGCTAATTTTTGTATTTTTAGGAGACATGGGGTTTCACCATATTGGCCATGCTGGTCTTGAACTGCTGACCTCATGATCCACCTGCCTCAGCCTCCCAAAGTGCTGGGATTACAGGTGTGAGCCACCGTGCCGGCCATATATTTTATATTTTATACCCATTACTATTTAAAGTGCTTTACACTTATTATCTTATGAAATGTCAACTATTGTTATCTCTTTTTTTCAGATGGAGAAACTGAGGCAGAGAATTAAGTAACTTGCTCAGGGTTACACATGTAACATGCAGGAAGGGTGACACTTGAACCTGGGCAGCCTGGTTCCAGAATTCATGCCCTCCCCTCCCCTCAACCCCCACCCAAACTGCCTCGCTCTAACGTCTGCCAAACTTTTAAATCTTTACTGTTTAAAACTGAGTGAAGCACTAAAGCAGCATAGTTGAGTAAGACCTGGATCCTGGTTTCCCTGCAGCCCACAGCCTAACAGAGAAAATGGAATCAATGAGTCTGGAGTAACAGAGAAATCTACAGGACATAGTGAAATGCAACAGAGAAACCCAGGCTGCCTAGAATAAAGTGGAGAAGGAGAAGCAGGTGTTAGCAGAACAGTATTCCTCCCCCCTCCCCTACTTTGATATCAACCTACCTGTCCCTAGCATAGCACTGGGCACATTCAGGAAAAATGATCACCTTTGTCATCTTTGGATAATCAAAATAGCATTTCCACTAATCTTATTTACAAATATAAACAAAATAGAATCTATCCCCATAAGGTGTCACCAATCTTCAGGGGGCAGCGATGCGAACACAAATACTTCTAATATGCATCCCCATGGTTTATGGCTATGACCTGAGATCTTGAGATGACAGATACAATATAGAGCTAGAGTCCTGACATAATCACACCATCGACTTCTGAGAATTAACTGATGATTTTCCTAATGGATCATGAGTTTGAAGTATTTGCTCTTAAATGTTGATAAACTGAGATAAACAAGCATACATTTATCCAGGAAACACATGTTAAATTATAATTAGTCAATAACTTTCCAATTGGACAAGAAATTGACAGTGTCCATCAAGGACTAGAGAAATTGTGATAAGTCAATATGAATTTCACCAAGAAATATATATATATACTAACATGCATATTGGTAGCTTTAAAAAAATCACTCATTTTTATTGTGGAAAGAACCCTTAACATGAGAGCTACTTCTTAACCTATTCTTATATGTACAATACAGTATTTTTAACTCTGGGCACACTGTTGTGCAGCAGATCTCTAGAATTTAGTCACCTTGTGTAACTGAAACTAAAAAGCACCTGTTTTTATAAAGGTGTGATCCTGGAAGCTTCTCTGAAACTGCATGTCCCCAAACATAACCAACTTCAAACTGAATAATTGCAAAATGGAAAGCTTGAACCACAAAGAGACCATTAGGATAAGTCTGTAAAGATATCCAATATGAGAAATGAATTTTTTAAGTGGGGAAATTTTTTAGAAAAGGAGAGACAGAGAATTCCCAGTGAAGAGGTGGCATTTTCAAGAGTAGGTTCTAGAAAATTCCCAATGAAGAGATGGCATTTTCAAGAGCAGGTTCTAGATTGGGCTTTCTAGGTCAGACCAAGAGACAGCTTGTTGCAGAGTAGGACTTAACACCCCTGGCTTCTGACAGTGACCTCAGCTCACAGCTCTATGGCCTAAGGAAAGGTACCAAGGCTTTCTGTGTCTCAGTTTCTTCACGTATAAAGTAGGAATCACCATGCCTATATCTTAGGGTCTTATGATGATCCCATCAGGATCATGTGAGACAATACAACTGATTCTTAATCATGTGTGTCAATTTGGCTCGGCTATGGTGCTCAATTGTCTAATAAAGCACTAGTTTAGATGTTGCTGTGTGGGTTTTGTGTAGATGTGATTAATATTTATAATCAATTGATTTAGGTAAAGCAGATGACCCTCCATAATATGGGTGAGCCTCATCCAGTCAGTTGAAGGCCTTAAGAGTGAAAGCTGACGTTTCCTTGAGAAAGAATTCCCTATGAGCTATGAAACCTGCCTGAATTCCCTGTTTGCTGGCCCACACTGTGAATTCTGAACTCAAGACTGCAGTGTCAACTCTTAAATGAGTTTCCAGCCTGCCCTACCAATTGTAGCCTTGCCAGCCTCCACAATCACATGAACTAATTTCTTTTTTTTTTTTTTTAGACGGAGTCTCACTCTGTCGCCCAGGCTGGAGTGCAGTGGCGGGATCTCTGCTCACTACAAACTCCGCTTCCTGGGTTCATGCCATTCTCCTGCCTCAGCCTCCCGAGTAGCTGGGACTACAGGCGCCCACCACCACGCCCGGCTAATTTCGTTTTTTTTTTTAATTTTTTTATTTTTAGTAGAGATGGGGTTTCACCATGTTAGCCAGGATGGTCTCAATCTCCTGACCTCGTGATCCGCCCGCCTCAGCCGCCCAAAGTGCTGGGATTACAGGCGTGAGCCACCGCACCTGGCCACATGAACTAATTTCTTAGCATGCATGTGCACACACACATACACTCTCTCTCTCTCAACTGATATATGATATATATCATATTATATATGATATATATAGAATCTCTCAATTGGTAGATATTATATATATTATATATTTTATATATATATATATATATATATATAGAGAGAGAGAGAGAGAGAGAGAGAGAGAGAGAGAGAGAGAAAGAGAAAATCTGTTTCTCTGGAGAACCCTAACTGATATATCTTCCAACTTACTGAATTCTCTCTATATGGCAGGAGTGATCAAGCACTTTAAAAACTTTAACTCTTAAATCCTTTTCTCTCTGTTTCCAACCACACTCCCACATAGTAAATGAGCTTATGGAATGGAGGCCCTTCCATAGTAGTAGAACAACTGGTGAAATGTGTAAAAGCCCAGGATAGTAACTTTCAATGTGATTTCAAAACCAAATCTAGCACTCTCTGAGAAGAGGAAATGTGAATAAAATGAGACTTGGAGATATTTACAACATAAGCTCCACGAAGACAAGAACAATGTCTTGTTCACAATTATGTTCTTAGGTCTTAAAATGCTAACTGAACAACTCAGTAAACATGCGTTGAACAAATGGATCATAGAGTTCTATAGTTAAGTAGAGGCAGGTGGGAATTTTTTTTTTCTTATTACTTGGTATTAACCCAAACTATTTGACATCTGAGCTGCTACTAGAGCCTCACAGAGGAGGCATGTGCTCATTCATCCATCTGCATCCATCCATTCACCTCACATACACTGCGTGCCTTCCACATTCTACAGGCTGCACCTCAGGACGGTGAAGATGAAAAAGACAAAAGGCTTGCCTTTGAAGCACTCGCAGAGTAGTAAGTTGAATAAGCAAGTTATATTTATATTAATGTTATGTACTGGAGTAAAGCTAAGCAGGAGCTGCTAGAAAAGTCCAGAGAATGGACACCTAACCTCTTCTGGGAGGGATTCATCCTTTAAATGAATCTTTATTGAAGTCAGCTCTGTGCCAAGCACTATGCTATGCCATGAGAGTATTCCCCTAATATAATATTAAATATTAATCATGGTTAAATTTTATTGAGTGCTTATTACTGTGTTTCAGGCATTGTTGTAAGACCTTTGCATTTATTTACTGATTCTCTTCATACTAGGGAATCTGGTATGTGTTAATATTTTTTAATATCCTTTTCTATAAGACAATCATAGAGACATACATTCACATACTGCCTTTTCAAATACTTATTGATTACTTGCCCTCTAAAATACACTGTTGGGCAGCAATTTAATCAGCATATAGTGTCTGTCCTTAAAATTAGTGGAGGAAACAGACAGATCCACAATCACTACAATCTCAGGCTGTCTGACTCCCACAGTCCTGCAAAGGCCTTGTTATGAGCATAATCACAAACACACCACCTCTAAAACTTCCCCAAAACTTGAGAATATGATTTTGAACACAGCCAACACAAATGTGTTGAGAATGTTTTGTCCCATCCCTATATAAGGAAAATAACCAAAGAGAAATATTTTTAACATACATGACAGATATCTTCAAAATTGTATTTAAAAACAACTCTTTCTTTCCATGACTAACCATGCCAACGGCAGTCAGTGCGGCCTGAACCTAACATAGCTACCTTAGATGTCAGTCAATATCAAGATGTTTTCTATTACCTTCCAGCCACTGACACAAACAAAAAGCATTGTTTCTCAAGATCTAATTGCTAAGAGTGGGCACACAGCAACAGAAGATGCTGATATTAATATTTTGCATTATTGATAAATAGCAAGTATTTGTCATCAATTAACAGCAATTATATATTGCAATAATTTCTGAAGGAGTCCTTATAAATAACAATAATTTTAATTACTGGAGAAACCTACCACATCCATCAACATTCATGGCTCCCAGTAAGTATGGAGGTCCAAGGAAGTTCCATAAAACTTAAAAAGGAGGAGAGACTCCTTCGAGCTGGAGGAAAATAGCCTGTCTTCATTTCTTTTGTACTTTGGACTGACTCCATTTGGTTTTTTAATGTTTAAAATTTATTTTCTTTTTTTTTAAATGGGATTTTTGGTTACATTAAAAGCTAGGCACATAAAACAAGGCAATAGGAATATCATATCAATAGAAACACCATATCAAATCCACTTAAAATGAACAGGGAAGTAAATGCTAGAACATACCTGGAATTCACCATTTTTTGTAGCTGAGTTGTGAATTGAGCTTTGAGTTTCTTGGCAGTTTAGACAAAAATTAAAGTGTGTTGTATTAAATAAATTTCACTATCCAACAAAAGAAAACAGACTTCCCTGACCTCCCTTATTCAATAGTAACACCATCCTAGTCCCCAGCCATTTCTTTTCTATTTCTGATTCTTTTCTATTTTTCTTCATAGCATTTATCAGTTTTCTAAATTCTATCTTTGGTATATTTTCCATCTATTCTGCTAAAATGTAACACTCATGAGGACAAGAGTCTTTTTTTGTTGTTCACTGTTTTAGCTCAGCTCTAGAATAATGCCTGGCACGTGGCAAATGTGACATAGACACGTGATAGATATAGATAGTCACACAGAGAGATTTTATTCCAAATACTGAATTCCAGGAGAAATTTATCATGAAGTCCCATAAATAAATTACACCAGGCTATGAGGCTATGTTGAGGGGGAGAGACAATAGCCTGACAATTCATGACCAGCATAAAATAAAAGGCACATGCAAATGTGTAGTGACAAGGGAAAAGTATTTGGAGCAGAAGATCTAAGTTCAGCTCCTAAGGCCACCACCCCCTCCCTGTGCCTTCTATCAGGCAGCATGGCATAACTGTGAAGCATCTGGGCTCTGGAGCCAAGTGGCTTGGCTTTAAATCCTGGCTCTGCCATTTATAGGTTTATAAGCTGTGTGACCTCCAACAATTTATTTAGCCTCTCTGTGCCTCAGTTATTTCATCTATAAAATGTGGATAATACTTCAAAGAATTACTGTGGGAATTAAATGAGTTTATGTAAGTAAATCAACTATATAAGGCAATAAGTAAATTACATTGCCTGGCACAAGTAAAACAACGTACTGGCAGTTAATTTGAACTTACCCTTCATTCGTAAAACATGGATAATAACTACCTTTGGCATAGATGTAAGGATCAATTAATCTTAATATGTGATAATGTGCTTAGGTGTTTTAAATAAATGACTATTGCTTTTTATTTTCATGGAAGAATATATTCATCATAAGGCTTTCAGAAAATGCAGAAAGATAGAAAGGAGAAAGTAAAATCCCCTACATCCTAGCAAACAATGAGAACCACCATTAGCATTTTCCTGTATAAATTTCCAGATTTCTTTCTCTGCCATAATCACATGCAGATTTATATGTGCATGTGTGTGTTTATGAAAACATAATTTTTAAAGAGCTAGATGCACACGATATACTGCTCTGAAACCTGCTTTTTTAAAAAAAACATATCATGGGTGTTTCATCTCATATCTCACGTGAGTAAATAAAGATCTATATCATTCTACATAATAGCTGCCTACTATTCCATTGTATGAAAGTGCCTTGATTTATTTAGGCAATACTCCATTCACAGACAGTTAAGTTGTTTCCAATTTGTGAAAGTGCTTTGTAAACTACAAAGTAATATACAAATGTTAGTTATCATCACCACCATTTAAAAAATAAATATCCAGACATTATCATTAAACTTGTGAAGGTCTTCTCTCACTATTTCTTTAACCGGCTGGAAGTGGTGCTTCGATCTAATTGTATTAACATGAACATTTTTAAAACATGACATTTATGGATTCCACAACTGAACACACGCAAAAACACAAATGAACTACTGAGTCAGAACTAGGGGAAGGTGTTGTGGACTATTCCCAAGAGCCTGTTTCTCAGTACAACGACTGTGTTCTTGTTCCCCGCACATGCTACCTCACCCTCCTCTGCCTGTAGATTGACATCACTCACTGACTGCTGCCCTTTTCCCCAGAACCTACCCATGGCCTCAGAATTTTTGACAATGAACTCCAAGTAGTCATTATGAAGCAATTGGAACAGGCAGTAGAGACGAAATGTATTAGCTAAACCCATGTTGAAGATACAAAGAATAAAATGGGTACTTACTGAGTTGCTACCATGAAATGTGTACATGCTGTAAGTGGCAGATTTCACAGTTATATTACACCACTGCCCTCCTAGATTCTCAGCTCCTTGCTATTAGGAACCACATCATACTCTTTTCTGTGTTTTCTTTCTTTCTTTTTTTTTTTTTTTTGAGACAGAGTCCTGCTCTGTGGCCCAGGCTGTGCCATTCTCCTGCCTCAGCTTCCCGAGTAGCTGGGACTACAGGCGCCCGCCACCACGCCCGGCTAATTTTTTGTATTTTTAGTAGAGACGGGGTTTCACCGTGTTAGCCAGGATGGTCTTGATCTCCTGACCTCGTGATCTGCCTGCCTCGGCTTCCCAAAGTGCTGGGATTACAGGCGTGAGCCACCACGCCCGGCTTTTCTGTGTTTTCATCTTTTCCTGATAAAAGACCACATAAGGGTAGGTACTTAATCAATGTTGTTTATTTGTGGGTGAGCAGTTGAAATAATGAGTGAAGCCCCGATCTTATGTATTTTACAATCTCATTGATTGATAACTAAAATTAGTAGTGCCAATGTATTCTTTGAAAATTAAACCTGCCATATTATTTCTGGTAGGATGGGGTTTGGTAAGATATCCAAATGCATGAAAACAAGCAAATCAATATCGCCACTCTTTTTGTAACAATAAATTTTATCTATTAATTAATGTTGTGACTTAGAGCAAATGTGCATGGCAGGAAACAGAAGGCCCTGCTGATACCAATTTTACAGAAGGATGTAGTAGGTCCATTGAGATACATTGTGGATATCTATGCTATGGCTCCAGTGCCGGCATGAGCTGGATGGATTTAGCTTATAAAACTCTGGCCTTTCACCTGTTCAAGGCTACAATTAGCCCCTCTGTGAGTTTCATTCACTTAAAAAATATTTACTGCATGCCCAATAACTACCAGGCACTGCAATAAGTGCTAGATTTGGGGAGGTCCGACACAACAAAAATAATTTAAATTCTTTTTTTTTTCTTTTTTTTGGGGGGATGGAGTCTCCTTCTATTGCTCAGTCTGGAGTGCAGTGGCATGATCTCTGTTCACTACAACCTCAGCCCCCAGGTTCAAGCAATTCTCCTGCCTTAGCCCCCTGAGTAGCTGGAATTATAGGTGCCAGCCGTCATGCCCAGCTAATTTTTGCATTTTTAGTAGAGACGGGGTTTCACCATGTTTGCCAAGCTGGTCTTGAATGCCTGACCTCAAGTGAGGTCACCTCGGCCTCTCAAATTGCTGGGAATACAGGTGTGAGCCACAGCACCCAGTCAAAAATAATTTAAATTCAAAATCGATTATACATAAACATTTTGGGTCTCTTAATGAGACATCATGACAAATATTACTTATGGCTACCAAAGTTAGGGCTTGCATATTTTTATCTTCTAACATTAAAATATAAACCCATTGCTCTGGTCAGGAAGATCTTTTTACCCAACATGGAGGCTAGTCAGTAGATTTCATGGTCCCCTGTCTATTCTAACTATTTCATGCTGACTATCAGAAATTGTTTAAAAAATAATAAAAAGTAATAATGATTTGATCATTCCAGGGCTCTGGAAAAGTACTGCAATTAAGCAGAAATGTCTAACATGAATAAAGATAGGAGCAAGCGGCCTCTGTGTCAAGGATTTGCAATTCCTATCCTATACATTTCATGCAAACCCTGCTTCTCTGTCCTCTACTAGTCTCTCTGTTTATTCTGCTGGTTCTCTGTGACTTATTTTAGGACCCATCTATTTTATAAACCATGACCCAACATGGTTAACATTGAGTGCTTCTCCTATCCATACTGCACCTTCTAGCACTTGATTATAAATCAAGCCTCACCCTTCTCTAATTTCATCAATTGGATAGGTCCTATTTTTGAAAAAAATAATGTAAAACTCCTGAGGGCAGCAACTTTACATACACATTGTTTTAACTTGTATAGCACCAAGCATACTCCTAGCTATATCAAAAGTGCTCAACAGATACATTTAGGATAATGTTTATACTAGTCCTTATAAATGGTAGTTTGTTTCTACTGTGGTCAATTGCATTAGAAAAAAAATTAGTCTCAAACCCCTAAAAATTCGGCTTCACATACTTACCACATGCACAACTTTGGATCAATGTATTAAAATACATTGGGCCTCAGTTTCCCCATCTCTAAAATATAGAGATGGCAACACAAAGTCTCCAAGTCCCAGATTAACCTACCATCCTATGATTTTACACATCTTAGAAGGTATTATGCCTCAAGGAGGACTTTGGAGTTTGAAATATCTCTTTTCATCTAATAAAATGAGTAGTTCTTAAAAAAAAAAAAAAAGAAGTGAATTGTGAATCCCTTTAAGAGGCAGCTCAGATTTTGCTTACTCTCTCTTCTAAGTTCCCAATAAATGAATGGTGATTCTCTCCTCTTGCTTCAGCCCTTAAAAAAAGTCCATCCTCTTACTAATAGAAAATAGGATTTGAGTGATGGCCCTTACACTAATTGGTCAGGAGCCCTAGATAAAATATTGTTATTGACAGAATGTTCTCCCTTTTTCATGCACAGATAAAGTAGCTTAGCAGAACATACAGATAGAGAGCAGGTAGAGGACAAAGAAAGAGTGCCTGAAACTTGGATCAAATCGGAAGAATCAAGCCAGTGCAGTAAGGTTCTTGCTAATAAAAGATCCGCTAAGAGGATATAACAGAAGCCAGCATATTCAACAAGATAATGGGACAAGGGAAGCAAGAATCACCAGTGTCGAGTGAGAGGCTATGAAAAAAGCAAAGATCCAAAAGATCTGACTTGTTCTGTTTGACCCTTGAGGTCCACGTAGGAGCAAATGTAAATGAAATAATCTTAGAGACAGTGATTTTTAACTCAGCAAGAAGAGAGGTATGCATAAAGAAATCCCATCACAAGCTGTCAGAAACTATCTATTGATTTTAAAAAGATAAAACATAAAATGTTCAAAGGAACATCATAAATATAACAGTATGGGTTAAGATCAAGTACAGGGAAGCTTCTACCGGTGGGACTGTATTCTGCCATGGCAGGTGATGAACTAGCTCCATAAACTACCAGGTCTTTTCCCTGAAAAGAGCCTCTGGCTGCTACAACTTGATCTATCTAATTTTTAAAAAAATGAATCCAAGGTTAATATCTATATTAGTCCTTATAATGGTAGTTTGTTTATACTGTGGTCAAAATTTCAATTTGTCATCCATTACCACTGAACTAACTACTAGACTGCAGAAAACTCTATGTGGCCAGCAGCTTGGTGATGGATTGAAGGAAGCAGTAGCCATGACAGGGCCAGCAAATGCCTTTTACCCCTGGGTGATTTAATTCAGGCATAATAGTTGTACAGTTCAAAGCTTCATTTTCCCTGAAATTCTAAAGTTGACTATGAGAAACCCTGTCTTTTCTTCTCTCCACTTCAACTTTCTTCCTCCCAGCTCTATAATCCTCACCCTCCCCTAAACTCAGAAAAGGGGAAATTATACAGTGTTTTGCTAGAATTATTTTACATTATCTTCCATCTCCTACAGTGTCAGCGCTTGCCCTGCTACTGAAATGACTGAAGCCAGGACAGACTCAGGTTCCTATTTGGAAGTAGCAGGGAGGTTCCTCCCATTCTTCAAACCAGTTCAGCCACGGGGAGCCTGTTCCAGCCAGAACTCCCATCTCTGCTGAGGATATACCAGCCGCAGGACCCAGCCTGGGCTTGCCCGTCCAGTAAACAGCAAGGAGGCTAGAGGACACAACCCAGAGGACTGGGGGTTCTTCCATAAAAGGGACAATTGAGTCTCCCGTGCCACCCCCCACCCACTCCTACCACCTTTCTCAAAGGGAAAGGAGTGGGCTACACCACTTTGAGCACAGTGCAAAGCGAACAATTCCTTTCTCCCACACTCACCCCGTTCTTCTGAGGAATGGGGCTGACTTTGATTCTTCAGATTACATTCACAATTAAACTCTTTAAGACTTTGTACCCTGGGAAAACAGTAAACAACTCAACTCTTGTCCTCGGATAACCAAGTGCATGCGTGTGTGTGTGTGTGCGTCAGGGGACAGGGAGTATAAAAGAATTGAATTGAATGTGAAGGGATTCTTCAACTCCGGAGAAAGTCTACCACAAAGAGAAATGCATGTGGGTGAAACACCTTGTAATTTAAAACTATGTTTCTTCCAGCGTCTCCAGTTCTCGGCCTGAGCCAGGCATGGGATTCGGTTTGGCTGCCCTTACGTTAAAAATGCACTACACAGCAGACATCAGGGTGCCAGGCAGCTCATCATGTAAAGCCCCCAGGCACACTGAACACCATTTTGTTTGACATTTCACTGGCGACAATAGAACTGTCTGAAAATGCTCACACCCCACAGGCAGGTGGGAGGGGAGGGGTTAACGAGACAAGCGCACTTTGTGTGTGGCTCTCCTGGAATGTATTGGAAAAGGTACATGGAGCCTACTGAAAGCAAGTGTGGTTTTACTGGTGCATACTTCGTGGATTAGTTGGGAGTTGGAAATTATTTGGACTCAGTTTTCAAATGAAGGCTCAATCCTAAAAGTTAAAATAATAATGATTCTGTGGTTTAAAAGGAAACATGGCATTCACCTAAACGGAATACCTCTTCTTGGCCCCAAAATTATGGTGTGGTACTACAAGTGTCGGAGAGCACGTTCTACATGGTCAAGCCTTGCTTATTACCCAGGGACAGAGAATAATACCATTCATTCATTCATTCGTTCATTCATTCCACAAACATTTACTGAATATGCACAATGTTCATAAAATATTATGCATGCTTGAAGGTTAGCAGAGCAGAGAAAAAATGCCCAGATAATCAGAGATGGATTTTGACCTTATGGAATTTGCAGTCTTAAAGGGGAAATGCTACACAAACACCTAAGATCCTTCCAGAGAGTGCTAGGCAGAAATGTTAGGCATGTTAGACACAGACCTCTAATGGACTGGGTGCTTGGCACTCAAAGAGAAATTGATTCCAGCTGGGGCAAAGTCTATTGCTTAGCTTTGGTATCCAACAGAAGACCAGGAGTCCTCAACATCCCATCACATCAAGGAAGGAACATCTCCAAGACAACTTCACTTTCTTGCCAAAATATGCAGGTACACATCTATGTGTGGTCTGAATTTCTATAACCATCGAAGCGTTTCTCCTCCTTTCTTTCCCCCAGAAATGGCAGTGGAATAGATGCATTCACACAATAGCTAAGATGAACTCCATCATGTTTTAAGAGAGTTGGTTTTATTAGTTCAGTTAGTTCACTTTCCTTTGGTTTCATAATGTAAGAAACAAAAAGAGTAAGAGCAGTGCTTTATTTCAGTAGTATGGGGTAAGGCTTTAACTTTCTGGGTCTGAGGCGGAGGTTTCTGCTGGCATCTTAGCTTTCTGTGTGTTTGTTTGGTTTACTCCTGACAGAGACAATGGAATGCTTCAATGAAAACGCCCAACTCATTTTCCATCTATGAATGAACAGAAGGCATCCCGTGGCTAAGGAGGGATAAATATTCCGCGCCACTGGAGGCCTGCTGGCTCACCCGGGCTACACCACTATTGTACCCACTCTGGCTTCCACACGCAATTTACTAAAGTTTGTGCTGTTTCATGGCAAGGTGATTTATCACTGACACCTCTTTGCCATTTCAACTGGGGGCCACTGCAATGGGGCAAGGTTCAAGGAAGTTGGCCGAAACTGAAGCAGACATTTTATCAGCTAACTATTGCATTTTCTAGTTCTTGACTTTTCCCCAGGAGCTTTTGTTTTCATTTTGTTGGCTGCCTTTAACTCCTCTGATGCTGTACAACCCCAGGTTGTTTTTTTCTAAAAACAATAGAGCCTTTAGTACACTGGGTTTTGTTGCTTGTTTTTTTTTTTTTTTTTTTTATTTTTGGTGAAACGATATTAGGGCTCCTTACCTCTAACAACTGAGTCTTGCCATGGTTTTGAGTGTGAGGAAAGTATTACTGAAGGCATTTAATAGGTGGACAGACAGGTATGGAACTGTGTTGAGGGCCTTACATTATATGCAGGTCAGCAGAGGTAACAGAAACGTGGTTGTATGCTTGACTCACCCACTTGAAAACAATCCAATTCCATTATTTGTTCCTTTCACAACCTGTTCACGTGCTCAATCACTGATTTATTTATTCACCTATTCATTCATTCAACAATTGAGTGCCTAATATGAGAAATATTACTGTCCAGTGACAGCATGCTAGTAGACCAAAAAAACAATGAATAAGATATGGGTGGTCCTTACAAGGAATTCACAAGTCTGTGGAGAAACTACTCAGTCAACAAAAAATGCAAAAAAAGAAAAAAGAAAGAAAGAATGAAATGATTGCTAAAAAAGAAGTAACATCAAAGAGCTGTCAGAATACAAAGGAAGGGAATGTACCCTGATATGCATATATTTAGAAATAGATTCCAAAAATGCTGCAATTGTACTGAAACAAAATTTTAACTTGACCTCCTCAGATGGAAAAGGAAGAGGGCAAACTCATTCTTTTTCTTGAGATAAAATATTTCCCCAAAAGTTAACTTTTGAAATCATTTTCCAACTTCCTTTCCCTTAGTTCTCCCTCCACCCTCAATACCTTCTTTATATTCTCATTCTTTTTGCTCTAGTGGAAGCTATGTCATTTTCCTTGAGAGGACTACACTCCAGAGTACAAGGAGAAATCATGACATTTCTTCTGGGCTGGGCTGCATGCTCACTCTTTCCTATGGAGAGATGCCTTTTCAGAGCCCAGGAGGCAGGGGCAATTCCATTTCCATGCTGGCTCAGCCCTGGCCTCTCCTGGGCACAGGTAGAAATGATACCAGGCCATGCTGAATCACTTACAGTGGTACTGTGATGAAAATAACTAGTCACAGGAGATTGGCTTGGCCATCAAATTCATTGCATGTTGCTGAAAATCAACTAGGACTCCAAATGGGCCAGTCTTCAACTTCTTGGCAACCCTCTCTATGAAAACAAATGCTTTGCCTTATCCTTCCTATGAGATTCCTCACTCCCTTTTTTGGGGGGACTGTCAGCACTCCTTGAAGGAACGGAACAATTAGTGTTCACAGTAGATGTTCAAGTGTCTAGGCCAGGCGTGGTGCCTCGTGTCTGTAATCCTAGCACTTCGGGAGGCCGAGGCGGGTGGATCATGAGGTCAAGAGATCGAGACCATCCTGGCTAACAGGGTGAAACCCCATCTCTACTAAAAATACAAAAATTAGCTGGGCATGGTGGTGCCTGTAGTCCCAGCTACTTAGGAGGCTGAGGCAGGAGAATCACTTGAACCCAGGAGGCAGAGGTTGCAGTAAGCCGAGATCACACCACCGCACTCCAGCCTGGGTGACAGAGCGAGACTCCATCTCGAAAAAACTTTCATTCCATTTCTTTTCTTAGACAGGTGTCCAGGCAGAAGGATCTCAGAGTTTACTTTCTGCATACACAAACCTCCATACAGCACCATGCCTAGACATGACCAACTTCCTCACAGTTGCTTATTGAATTCCTCCCCTCACCTGCATCACCAAAGTGTGCCAGGATGTGATTTCCTGGCATAGCTCACTGGTCCTGCACAGTTTTTATTTCTCTCCTGCTCTGTCCCCCTTCATACACCAAACAGGAGAAAGGTGGATTCCTACCCCCACTTTCCTTTCTTTTATAGAAGAGTGATGGATTCATGGTGCATAAGATCAGAATATGTCAGCTTCAAGCAACACACATTATCTTTTGAAAAGTATGAACTACTGTAACAATTAAAGCGTTTAGGAGACAAACCTTCAAGTGTCCTCAGAAGAAACGTGTAAGCACAATTTTCTTCTAAAATGCAAACTTAGAGAACAAAATATGGGTCTGAAAGCATTTTGTTTTTAATTAACTTTTCTAAAAATCTTCTCAATTTGAGTGATCTTTTACTGACCCATTGTCGACTGGAGGAAACAATTACTTTGGTCATTGAAAGAGTCATTTTTACCAATGAGCTGTCATTATCAATCAATCTAGGGTTCCCTGCTCTAAATACAAAAATGAATAGGTGAATAAATCTGTAAGTGGATAAATTGTCTGCACACCAATCCCCGCAGGCCATGTGTTTATAAGTCAACAGCTTAAAATGAAAACATCTGATGAAGGTAATACACCTGTTAAAGGAGCATAAAATTCCAAACCCAATGGTAAAATATAAAGATTATAAAGCCTCTTAAAGGAGCCATCAAAGCAAACTATTAAATGAATACATCTGCTCTGTGCTAGACTCTAGTTTATAAGTGCCGCTCAAAATAAAAGAGATTGAGGACAAACATTTCATAAAAGGATGTGAAAAGCAGTGAAGGAGACGTATTTTGAGGATGATGAGAGAAAATGGAATGGATTCAGTTAAAAAGAAGAATTGACCTAAGCTCAGGCCAGGACTCACAGGAAAGGTTTTATGAGTCTAGTTTTCATTGGAAGGGGTAAGATGTGAGGAGGTATAGCAGAATCATTTTTCATGTCCAACTGTATACTTTCGTTTTAGTCTACAGACAAAAGGGGAAAAAATCAGTTTAGCACTAGATAGTTACTTGCAGTGAAACTTAATACTAGAAAGAGAGAGAGAGAGAAAAAAATTTTTTTAAATAAGGAAGAAACTTCTAGTCAAGGCAGTTCCCATAAAATTTCAAACTTATAATGTTACCAAAGAAGTGTGGTAAGAGATTGGTGTTAGTTGGGCTCCTAAGACCGTATTTCTACCCGACCCTCTTAAATGTGGTTTTAGTCGTGATGCATTTTCCTGGTTTGCCTGACTCTCTGAATGCTGCTTCTCAGTGTTTCATCCTTTGACTGCTGGTGTTGCCTATAATTCTGTTTTCAGCCCACTTTGCTTATTCTTCTCAGTCTTCCTTGGCTCATCTCATTGCCTCTCATGGCTTTAACTGCCACCATGACAGAATCTATGTCTCCAGCCCAGATTGTCCCCAGAGTCTCAGAGACAGCTGGGTACTCACCACCAACATCTTGCAGGACCAGAACACTCAAAATATACAAAATGGGCCTTAACATCCTCCCAACCTCAGCTGCTTGCCTGCCTGTGTTCTTTGCATCTGTTGAAAAGAAGTAACCCAATCCACCCAAACCAAAAATACACTCATCCCCTTCAATCTTAATCATTCTTAAGTCTCTTCCTTCCTTTCCATTCCATGATGAATGTCCTAGTTCAAGCCAGCGATCTTTCTAAAACTTGACTCTGGCTACATCCTACCTTAGTGTCTATCATTTCAGCCCCTCAACATTGACCTAGAGAAAGCGCTTGAACATGGCAGGAAGGTCTTCTCTGAGCTGGCCCCTGCCCTGCCTCCAGTCTGACCTCTTATCCCTCCCTGCTTCCTACTTCCAAGAGAATGCCCTTTTATCATGCTTTTGCTCCAGCTCTACCTGAAATCATTTCCCAAATCCTTTTTCCTTATCTAACTCTCTTCATTCTTTAAGAATCAGCTCAGTTGTCAGTTCTTCCAGGGAGTCTCACTGCCTGCTTGAGGCCATGTTAAGTCCTTCTGCTCATGGCTCCTCCAGAGCCTGGTGTACTCATCTACTACTGCACCCAGCACATTATAATCGCTAGTTTATGCATCTGTTTCCCCCACAGACAATGAGCTCATTGACAGCAGTGGCTCTCTGTTATTCATATATATCTTCCATGCACATAACAATAATTACTGAATACATGATCTATCTAACAAAAACACATTTACACATACAGATGTGCCTTGACTGACAATGGGGTTATGTCCAATAAATCCATTGTAAGTCATAAATATCTAAGTCAAAAATGCATTTAATACATCTAACCTACAACCTAGCTTAGTCTAGCCTACCGTAAATGTGTTCAGAACACTTACATTAGCCTACAGTTGGGCAAAATTATCTAATGCAAAGCCTATTTTATAATAAAATGTAATTTATTGAATACTGTACTGAAAGTGAAAAACAGATTGGTTCTATGAGTACTCTGTACTTGAAGTATGGTTTCTACTGAATGTATACCACTTTTACACCATCATAAAGTCAAAAAATCAAAAGTTAAATTATTATATGTCCAGGACTGTCTGCATATCCTACATGTAGATATTTTAAAGATATATGTTATTATGCCAGTAAAATAAAAGCCTCCTATATATTTATTTCTTCACATCCATCAAGAAAAGGTTTATGGTTTTTTCTTGTTTTTGTTTTGTTTAATTTTGCAGTTAGGAGAGAGGGTAATTGGATCTGTTTCACCTTTCTTGAAATCAGTCAAATTTAAGCTTGAGTTTTACAAAATTTTCTAATAAGAATAATAATAAGTAATCCCTCCTGAGCACCTGTTATCTTGAAACACTGTTCTAGGTGCTTTGTATGTCTGACTTAATTTTTCCTTGCAGTAGCCCCAGGCAGCCTGCTGTCTAGGCATTCCTATTCTTACCATCTACACAAACTAAGGCATTGAGAATAACTCAGCCAAGTTTACCCACATCAGAAGGGATGGAATCTTGATCCAGCCAAGGCTCCTCAATTGTACTACACTGTCCACAATCAAAATTCAGTTTCTGTTATTGATTCCTACATCATGGAACAGAATTGTATTATGACTCAAAAATCCTTGCAGGCTTAAGAGCCAGTATGGAAATGGACTTTAACCAATCAGAATGCATCCTAGGACCCTGCTGTGTCAAGCATTAATCTTTTGGTTACTAGATCGTGAAGCAGTTGAGGAGTTCCAAAAGCAGGAGCCACACTGACAGAGTCTGGGCACTTGGAGGGCCTGGGCAGCAGCTAGTATTTTAATATTTTTACAACTGGTACTGCCATGATGGTGCATCCCAGCCGAATATCAACCCCGGTCTGATGCATCAAAATAAAGATGTCAGGAAAAAGTGTCTGGACTATTTTCAGAGTCTGGTGCTTCGTTCGTTCAAGGTTATTGTTCTTGGATGCAGCTGCCACTAAGTAGAATTTCCTTAGAGGGAAAATCCACAATTTCTGGTGGGAAAATGGAGGCAGCGAAATTATATCCTAGGCTTCTAGGCTCTATTTCTCTTGTATCTCCAGGCCCAAAAAGGGTACCTGGCACAAAATAAATACTCAACAAGAATTGCTATGAATAAAATGCAAATCAAAGCCACAATGAGATACCATCTCACGCCAGTCAGAGTAGTGATTGTTATTAAAAAGTCAGGGAATAACAGATGCTGGTGAAGTTGTGGAGAAATAGGAATGCTTTTATACTGTTGGTGGGAATGTAAATTAGTTCCACCATTGTGGAAGACAGGGTGGGGATTCCTCAAAGATCTAGAACCAGAACTACCATTTGACCCAGCAATCCCATTACTGAGTATATGCCTAAAGGAATATAAATCATTCTATTACAAAGATGCATGAACACATATGTTCATTGCAGCACTATTAACAATAGCAAACACGTGGCATGAACCCAAATGCCCATCAATGATAGACTGGATAAAGGAAATGTGGTACTTATCCAGCCACAAAAAAACAAAAAAAACAAAAAAAAACAACAAAAAAAAAAACCCAAGATCATATCTTTTGTAGGGGACATGGATGGAGCTGGAAGGATTTGGAAGCCATTATCCTCAGCAAACTAATGCAGGAACAGAAAACCAAACACTGCTTGTTCTTGTTTATAAGGGAGCTGAACAATGAGAACACATGGACACAGGGAGGGGAACAACACACACTGGGGCCTGTCAGGGGATGCGGTTGGGGGAGGGAGAGCATTAGGAAAAATTGCTAATGCATGCTGGGCTTATTACCTAGGTGATGGGTTGATAGGTGCAGCAAACCACCATGGCACACGTTTACCTATGTAACAAACCTACACATCCTGCACATGTACCCTGGAATTTAAAAATCAAAATCAAAATAAAATAATAATGAATAAATAAATAAATAAAAGTAACTCACCCAAACTGGATTAAATGTTAGGTCAACCCAGGGAGGTACATAGAACACCAGTCTATAAAGGACGCTAAAGTATTGCTATAGACAAAATGAGACAGAGCATGCTATATGTGGTAGAAGGAAAACTTGTGTGAGTTACTAGAGGTGGAAAAATAAAACCCCTGAGGATGTGCTCACATCATAATAGATGTTCCATCAACCACCATCTTAGGATGCCAGTTAGCCACAGACCTTTTATGTGGTTGAACAGCACATGCAAGTTTGGAGCCAGAGGTGAATTGCTTGGAAAAATAAAAGGAGTAAGGCTAGTGCTGCCTCCCGAGGCTCTCCCACTCACACTTTGCTGGAAGTGGTTCAAGTCCCTCTGCAGTAGCAAAGTGTGAACACTGTTGAATGTTAATGACAGAAACCATGGCAGGCACTTTACTGAGAGGAAAAAGTGCGGCACCCATTATGGAGAGTGGGGAAGAAAGATTGGCAATGGCTTTACCCTCAGTGGGAGAAGGTTGAAGTGGCCCCAAGATTGAAATCATCCTGGAGGTGTTAACACTTCAAGTCTGTGTTCAAACTTTGCTGCCTTCTGCTGCAGAGGATTTGCCTACAAATAACAATAACAAGAATAATAACTAGAATAATACCTGCCACCTTTTATTTAGCATTCATTGCGCCCTAGGCTAAGCCTTTATGAGGCTCTTCTCATTACATCTTTTTAACAACCCTATGAGGAGGGTATTATCATTCCATTTTACAGCTGAGTGTTAACAGACCATAAACTCACCAAGGAAATCCTCAAAACATGGCTGATATTCAACCTCTCCTATAGATTTGCAGACTCTGTTTTTTGTCACCCCACTCCAGGGTGCCACGTTAAATATATGTATATTTTAGCATCCTTGACATCTTTAAATGATATCATCTGAATTTTTACCTAGATATTCTGTTTCATTTACCTTTAAGTCCCCAAATCAGGTTTGAAATTCCTTTTCATTCACACAGAAAGAATATTTATATTACTACCCATGGCTTCAAGCAGGACAAAATCCCTCTCCACCATGAGTGACTCTGAACTTGATTTTTGGTGTAACAGCCCTCACATTGTACCATTACATATATACTCAAGGGCAGAAAATAAATAATAAATTATAGCATTTCTTATGTTTGCTTTGCACCATCCAAGATGTCAATCATATTGTGGGGAGTAACGCCTTCTGACCACTGACATTTAGGTACAACGCTGAAGGACTATTTCTCCAGCTAGCACTTCAACACGGTTCTCTAATATCTTAAAGATCAACCTTAACAACAACAATGATGACAAAGGTATGAATTTTATCAGTTACAAGGTATAAAAAAAGGTTTTGAAATATGAACAACCTTATCATTGATTTCTTTCTTTTTAGGCCAAAAGAGCATATATCATTCAAGCTATGGGGACAAAAATAAATTGTTGCCAGAGGCTGTTCAAATGGAAACCAGTAGCACCCTTCAGGGTTCAATGTACTTTTTTGTTTCTTTTTTCCTACCCAGACTCTCAAAGGGACAAACACATGCAGGAAAGTGATCCTGGAAAGAAGGGGTTAATATAAGCTGCACAGTGCACTCAGTGATGCCTTAAATAATTGTCACATGTCCCCTATAATCTGTCCCATGCTGTCAGCACTGAGTTAGTCATAATAATATCAGATAAGAGCTGTTCAAAGTGACACACTAACCAACATGGGAGCCACATGACTTTCTGGCTTGGCTACTGCCCTTCAGCTGAACTTTGGCTTAGAACACAAGGCTCCCAGAGGCAGCCTGGCACATGCCGCCGCGTGGAGTGTCCGGTGGCATTTTCCGTTGCTAGGGCCTCTGTTGCTTCACAGTCTAGTGAGGGGCAGCTGGGGATCAGTGACAGGGAGTCACCTGCTCACCCCACCTCTGGGGACAGGGAAAGGAATTGGCTGCTGTGGTGGCCGCTGCCTTTCTGAGCTTGTGCTGGGACTCCCTGTCCCCTCCACAGTTGATTAGTTTTGCAAATGTGTGTGTCACGCGTTATGCCAAGAACCACAGCAGGGAAACTCGGACCCCCAAAGGGAGTTTGTGCTGGAAGAGGTAGAGAAGGAATGTGACTCTTGGCTAAGAGGACACAAAGGCAAGGGCAGGAAGGAAGGAGGAAAAAAAAAGGAAGGAAAGTTATTACCTCTGGGTAGAAGGTTACTGTAGACTAGCTCTATTTTATTTGTGCTTTTCTGTATCCCCGCCCTGACTTTTTTTTTTACTTCCAGCATACTTTAGATTTTTAATTTAAAAAGTTAAGGCACATATTTTTTAAAGGAGAATAAAGAAAGAATAGTGAAAAAGAGGAAGAAAGGAAGGTGACCCATTCACTCACTGATTCATTCACAAAGCAGAGACCAGAAAGGAAGCAAGAATCCAATGTCATCTGACATTGGATTTGAGAACATTTATTGGCAGTGTGCCTCTGGCATACTTACCTAACACCTCTCTCTAAGCTTTATTATCCTCGGCAGTAAAATGGAAAAATAATACCTAAGTTACAAGACTGCCATGGGGATAAAAAGAGGTGATATATGCTAAGTGGCTAACAAGTGGTAGGTGCTCAATAATCAGTAGCTCATGGGAAGCCATGGAAGTTATGACGATCTTTGGAGTCAGAGATACCCAGATCCAAAGTCTGACTCCAGCACTTACCATGGTGTGACCTCAGGCAAATTATCTCACCTTGCGGAGCCTCAGTTTCTCATGTACAAAATGGGGATAATGATACCCCATTGTCAGGGTTGTTAAAAGGAGTTACTGTTAATGCTTTACACTTGGCAAATAATCAGGCACATGGTAGTTATACAGTAATTTGTAACAGGAGTTGCCATAGTGGTGGTGGTCATAGTAGCTAAAAATAGAAAGAAGGCAAATCCATTCATTAATTCAACAAACGGAAATAGCAAGATGTACAAGTAAAAGTAATAATCAGACAAATGTATAGAGAAGAGATAACTAAAAACCAAAGGTACTGATCAATAAAGATTGGAAGAGTCTAAAAGGACCCAAATACATGAGAAGACAGAGAACAAGAGAATGCTCTTAGTGGGACTAATTAGTTCCTCGCTTAGTTCCTCGCTTGGCTGGGAACTATCTAGTCCATCCTCCTCCTGCCTCCAGGGAGCTAATGCTATCCTTCCATTCTATAGATCGAAGTGCAGACGTCTCCAGTGGCTTTTCCCAGATCACACAGCTAATAAGTAGCATAAAAGGGGTCAAAGCTCAGGAGTGCCCCTACTGTGCTCTTTTAGGAAAGGCATTACCAAAATTAAATATAAATAGAGAAACATTAGCAACTAAACTAAAAGCAACAAATGTCAGCAGAGAAAAATTATTGTTTACTTTAGGGAAAATGGAAAAAACGAAGTAGTGTTTTTTTAAAAAAATAAAATACAAGAAATGGTAGCTTAACGAATTTTTTTTTTGAAAAATGAGAAATAAAAAACTGTATTTAGTAGAAAGACATCTTATTGGAGATAAATCTTAGGAGGCAGAATTTCATGGAGAACTTAAGAGGGAAGAATTCCAGTTGGAAGGAGGAAAGCAAGATTTTCCTGTTCATGTACTCAAGTCTGATTCCTCAGGGTACTGCATATTCTAAGATTTCTCTGACAAAATTCCATAGCAATTTGCTCAGAAGAGGAGAAGGCCACCAACACATGGGGTCCAGGAATCAGTCTCGCCGTTCTAAGCTGTTAACATTAGACAGGTGCTTCAAGGAGAAGAAAGAACACTTGTGTTGTCCAGTTGGGCAGAGTTTTCCCGACAAGTGGTGACTCTAGTGGTATAAAAATCAGAAAACCCTAAAGGGAAAGTGAAGTGAAATAGGAAGGAATTCGGGCCAGCCAATGCCTGGAGCTTCTTCCCAATTCTTCTGGTGCCAAAACGTCTGAAAGCTCTGTGAATTTTTTTTTAAGTAGGGGCCATTCCCTTTCCAGAAGCCAGGCGGAGTGCTGGAACAGAAAACAACCACAAAGAATGAAGTCTACCTCTTTCCTTTGTTATTCAAGAGCTGTGTGGAATGGGCCTCTCCCTAAAGCTCACCACCTTCATTGAATTTTTCTCCTATGTAGAAAGAAAAGTCCTCAGTTTGTTTTGGAGAATAAATGAGATAAAGTAAGCAAATATATCTGATGCCTGGTAAGTTATACTATTATTTTCACTTTGCTTCCAGGAGTAAGTGTTTGCAACTTTCTCTTCCCCACCACACAAATAGTTGATTTGTTGGACCAACTCTCAACCTCACCTCATACCAGTAGGAGGATTGTGAGCCTGAAGCAAGAGAAACTCATGTGGAAATGGGTGACAGAGGAACTGGAGAATGGAAAGAAGAAAGGAAACATGATTTAATATTAAGGAAAATAGCCTACTGGCCCAGCAAACTCTGAGAGGCTAGAAAGCATTTTATTTTAGACAGCTTTCTGGCTATCACCTGAAGTTTATGAGAGCTAGCCTTGCCTGTGCCATGTGTATAAATCATCCCTGCCCACTTATTAATAATCATAATGCCTTCTTTTATATAGAGTTCTTTGGAAGGCACTTTCACATACATCACCTAATCATTCATATGCCACAGGGTATCAGCAGCTGCCAGCCACTCATCCGCCCAAGTGGGCAAAGCAACTCGGTCTTTGGTTATGTAAATATGAGGCCCACAGGCACCATGACTTCAGGAAAAGGTGTAATGTGTCCTGTGTGTCTCCCAATATCCTTTGCTAGGCCGAACTGTCCACTGGGGAAAGGTGAATACACTGGCATAGGGGCTAAGGAGATCCCTGGAAAGAAAAATGGAAAGGTCTCACTTGATGCCCAAAGTTATTAGAATCCCTCTGTTAGAATGGGGCAGTCTCAAAGTTTTAAAGGAGCACCCACAAGAAAGGTGGGAAGGTTAAGTGGGTGGTGACATGGGGAAGGGTGAATCTGGCTGAGACTGCAAACTGCCTAGGACCTGCTGCCCTGTCTTGGTGTAATGCTATGAGGAGCACTAACCTAGCATGTGAGTGTGATGAAAGAAAAGTGGCAACTTAAAGTCAAAACAAGGGGACGTCACTGGATCCATGTAGAGAGCTGTGGTAACAACAGCCCCTACAGAGCAGAGGCCCAGCCTCCACTGTGCTATGCAGGATCAATGTTCAGCAGCGACACTGTGTGGCAGCAACTGAAGTAGCCGTGCTAGTAGACAGCATGGCATCCAACCTTTTCCCGCAACCACCCCCTGCAGACTGGTGGGGTTTTTGTTTTGTTTTCAAGGCTGAGCTAACTAGCCTAAGTCAACCCCTAGTTACTTGGAACAATTGGGATTGTAATCTGTGGAATGATGGAGAGACTTCATGAAGGAGATTTTGATCTCCTGCTGATAATGGTGTCTGAGACTCTCTATTGACTAATCAGAATAACAAGAGACATAACTACATGTGTGTGGCCCATGCTGGTGAAGCTAATCATATTGGTTACATTTGCAAAAAACCCAGCAAAACCTCTGAGTTAGGCACTATGATATAGGCAGAGAAGTTACTATTAGTCTCAATTTATTGATAAGGAAACTGAGGCTCATCTAGGTTTTAAGTGGCTTGCCCAAGACCCCGGATCCAGGAAGTGAATAAGCAGGTTCCCTTTCCAATGGAGAGGATTTTAGTTAAACAAAAAACAATTGCCACTGCCTTTCTCTCCTTTGGAACCAAGGTGGAATATCCCACCAGATCTTGTGGAATTGTCTCTGCATGTGAGCTGCACCCTTTCACAAAGCTTCCCTGTCTTTTCCACTCCCCTACATGTACTTGGGCAGAAACCAAGCTCGAGGTTCTGCTCACATGCTTGTGGTTTGGCTCCCAGCTGGGGATCACATTCTCTGCTCCACAGGCAAAGCCAAGGATCCTTCTTGCAAAATACTACTGGTGTCCTGGTGCCACCTCCCGAAAGAGCTGCCCACAATGCTCGCATGCCTGGGAGGTAGGGTGAGCAGGATCAAGCACTGGCAAGCAGGACATCCAGCAAGAAAAGATTATGCCTGCTCTTTCTCCCAGTAAGTTTCCTAAGAGCCATAGACTTGGTCATTAATAAATCCACACAATTTCAGGAAACCTCTCAGATACAAATTGGTGAAATTAAAGTGAGACAACATCTGGAAGTAAATTATATACTAATTTTGGCTATTTTCTTGCTGCTTACACACTTAGCAGAGAAAGAGCAAATGTCCACGGATTTCTGGTTCACAGGTACTTTTTTTCCTAGCTGTATCATCATAATGATAATGTTAGTAGATATCAATTTTTGTATCAGGCCCCCTACTGTGCAACTCCAAGGGATACTACTTACATAGAATACCATGTAAATAGTGCTCCCCAGAGGTATGCAATATGGCTTTTTCCATAGAATTATTTCCTTAATCCAGGCATAAAAATTATTTACCAGTATCTTATTTTATTACAAATAACAAACCACGTGGTAGACATTTGTATCTCTGTTTTACATGTGAGAAAAACAACAGGCATTGAAAGTTTAAGTGATTTGCCTATGGTCATATAAGTAGTAAGTTGCAAAATCAGGAAGTCAGGATTCAAACTCAGTGCTATCTGAATCCAAACCTCATGTTCTTAACTGTTTCATTATCCTAACTGAAGCCCTTGTATAACAGTAAGACATGAACCTTAAAAAAAAAAATTGCTAAGTTGGTTAACATCTAAATGTTGAGCCTATATATAAACAGCCTATACATGTATTTTTTTCAAGAAGAAAATAGTTTATGTGTTCTGTCTTCTTAGCATGTAAGACTTTTCAGCACGTTTAATTTAGTGAATATTAAGTATTGATATTACTGCATATGAATTCCTATGTACATCGAGGAAAAAAGTTTAATCAATTTTATTTCATTTTAAATAAGCTAATATTACCACAAAGCTTTCAGATACAACTGATTCACCAAAATGATTGGCGAATCAATACAATAAGTAAGATGTATTGAATGCCTACTATGTACTATTCTAAGTCATTTTCATATATTAGCATGTCTAATACCCCGAAAATGCATATAACATAGGCACTGTTTTCAGCTCTACTTTGCACAGATGGATTGAGAAACTTGCCCAAGATCACATAGCTACTAAGTGAAAGACCCAGAATATGAACCAGGCAATCTGGTTTTAGGTTCTACTCTATAGCCTCCAAGATCTGAAGTATGGCAATCCACAGGACATGAAAAGCAGCAGAGGGAGTCAAGAAGCCTAATCAGAACAAGCGCAGTGGCTCACGCATGTAATCCCAGAACTTTGGGATGCCAAGGTGGGCAGATCACCTGAGGTCTGGAGTTTGAGACCAGCCTGGGGAACATGGACAAACCCCATCTCTACTAAAAATATAAAATTCAGCCAGGCATGGTGGCAGGCGCCTGTAATCCCAACACTTTGGTAGGCCGAGGCGGGTGGATCACTTGAGGTCAGGAGTTCAAGACCAGCTTGGGCGACATGGGAAAACCCGTCTCTACTACAAATACAAAAATTAACTAGGCGTCTTGGTGCGTGCCTGTAATCCCAGCTACTCGGGAGGCTGAGGCAGGAGAATCGCTTGAACTGGGAGATGGAGGTTGCAGTGAGTCGAGATCGCACGACTGCACTCCAGCCTTGGTGACAGAGTGACTCCATCTCAAAAACAAAACAAAAGCCTAATCATGTGAAAACAAGTAAATAAACTAAACACAGACTCCCAGAATGGAGCAAAGCACCAGCTCCTGCATGTACTGAACATGACAGGCATAGGCTTCTAGAAAATGCTCAGAAATAAGAAGGCACTTCTGTGCGAAGTCACGAAGAAGACCAGAGACCAGGAGGGGTGCCATGAAGGTCAATTGCTAAGGCAACAAACCACTAATTTCATGGTCCACAGAATGATACACCTCTTTTACCAGAACAGAGAGGGAGAAAGGATACGAGATACTATATGATTATAATATTTCCAAAGTCCCTAGGTAGCTTCTCCTGATTTGTCTTACTTCTACTGCTTTCATGGTAGTTTTACAAGTGAAATCTGCCTTTCGTTTATTTATTGGCTTTCTCCCACCAACATAGGGAGCTGATTAATCTTCAAAATATCCCCATGCAATGTGCAGATGCATTCCAAAATGCTGCTGATCCCGTCTGTACCAGGAAATTGGGGCAGAAAGTTCTGCCACTTCTGCCCAAAGTAAAACTTGGCACTAAGCCAGAGGTAGAACTGTGGATCAACCCCAAAAGTGCCTATTCCCAGCCCACAACTTCCTTTTTCTTTTCACTAGAAAATAAAATAAAATAAAGTAAAATAAAATAAAAAATAAAATAAAATAAAATAAAAATAACCCAGGTCATTAAATTTTGTTGACTCCTTTCAACATTTTTTTTCCTATTAAAATAAGCAAAATTTCTGCCTATCCTCAACAGGTCCAGAAAGGTAGAAATGTATTGTTCAATTTTCAATCATTGAACATAAATTCACTTGTTGGATATTACTCTCCCACTATACATACTATAAGTCTGAATGGGTTAATAGATCTCCACCAGGGACAGAAATGATCTCTCTGCCCCTCTGCCCTGGAGGAGGAGCTGAGATATTCTGTGGCTCACAGGTACTTTTCCTGTGATATTTTTCTGCCTCATCATCACAGTCCATTCAATTATACGACTTCTCATTATTTAGGATCAATCCCCTTTCACAATGTCCCAAAGGAAAGTGCCTTGACAAGCATCCTATTCATCTCAATAGGACTTTGCAAAGTCAGAATAATATGCGTAAACACAGTTGGGCTTGGAGGTGGGTCCAAAAGAAACTATCTAATGCTGTTGTGGCAGATGAGAGCCTTGGAGAGGCCAAAATGGGTCCTATGAGATCCAGAGTAAAGATTTCAGGGAGACTAAAAAAAAAAGTGCACCAAGGAAGTAGAAGAGTTGCATAGAGACAGGAAAACCAGTAAAAAAAATTCAGTTTCTGCTAAGTATTGCTTCTGGTTCTTACCTTGTATTTAATTTTAGCATCTTTGGGTATCTTGAGTAAGAATTGTTACAGGTAAAGTCTTAAGAACCATGAAAAGTCCCTCCCTGGAAGGTAGAGGCACCAAGGTACACTTCCTCATTTAGAAGTAAAAAATGCACATCTTCTTCTGGTCCAACAATTTTCTAGGTCATTCATTTATTTATTCTTTCATTAAATGATTGCACTTATAATACATGTCATATGTTATTCTAGATAGTCACCAT
This sequence comes from Homo sapiens, assembly GCF_000001405.40. Taxonomy (NCBI): domain Eukaryota; kingdom Metazoa; phylum Chordata; class Mammalia; order Primates; family Hominidae; genus Homo; species Homo sapiens. Next base: position 23,938,449 of record NC_000004.12, read on the forward strand.
AGGATACAGTAACAAACAAGACATGCCTTCCAGGAGCATGCAGTAGAGAGAGAAAAACTGACTCTGCAAGACTGTTTAAGATGTACAATGATGGAGAGCAGAGAATGATGAATGCTAAAGATGACACGGAGAGCTCTTCTTGAAGATTCACAGTGTAAAGCACCATGAACATGAATGGGAGTGTGAAAGACCTGAAGAAAAGAAGGACACCAAATGGAGTGGTAGCACCATAGTCCCTTTCATTAGGCAGGGATCACATAGAGAAAACATGGAGGTTTGAGCATGAAAATTAGAAACAGATAAACAAGAAGGTTAGGAGGTCAGAGAAATAGTGTAGGACAGTGACAGAGAAGCAAACCTTCCTCCCATCCCCCTAGGACATGACTTTCGCTTAGGAGAAGTAAGAGCTAAGGAGAGAGCATGTCTGCTGCCCAACAAAGGTTGGTCACTGGTGGCCATATGGCATCATGTGGCTGCCCCAGTGGATGCTCCCTTGGTGTCAGGGAGAAGCCTCCACAGCTGCTCTTGCTCAGATGCTCAACAAGGCTATTTTGGGCTGGATGGGGTCCATGGTGATGACTGCCCAGCCTGGGCAGCTTACCCAGTGTTGCTTTTTAGCATTCTGTTTTTCTTGTCACTTAGCTCTCTACCATACAATTACTCAAATAAGGAAAAGAAGAAGGAAAAAGGGAAGAAGAACATGACTACATCTTATTTTTAGTACTCAAATCAATGGTAGCAACCTCCTGTGCATTTCAATAAGAACTTTGCATATCAAACCCCCCCCCAAATAAAGCATAGTAAACATATTAAAATCCATAATGACATTTTTCTGTGCTGTTTTAAAATATGTTTGTTTGTTTTGAAATACCAAAATGGCTCAGCCCAAATTAAAGACTAATTCATTGACAGATGGGCCAAAATAATGCATAAATACAATAAGCATACTCAAAAATGTGTGTTTCACCTTATTACCCTCTAGGTCAAAGGATGTTTAGAAAATAACAACTATCTTTTATTTCAATATATTTTCCTTCCAAAGAACCAAAGCACATTTCAAAGATTATCATGATCACAGGATTCTATAGTGGTAGGAATCTCAGAGGTTTTGCTGCCTTTGCCTATGTTTGAACATTTTCTGGAAAATAAATTTCCCTCTCTAGAGATAGAGAAAGGATTGAGGAACAGCTAACCAAGAAATGCCACAAACTTAGAAGTTATAGAGATCCCCAATTCAACACTAATAATGGCTACCATCTAACTAACTATGCAGACACTAATGCTGAGAACTTCAGAATACAATATCATAATTTAACTCTCACAACTCAAGAAGAAAGTGATATTACCCTAGGTTTATCTACAAGAACAATGAGGCCCAAGGACATAACCAGTAAGAAAAGAACATAATAAGAACCTCAGCATCTGGTCTGTTTTTCAAAAGTAGCATATTATCCCTCAACCACAAGGAAAAAAGGTCACTCTCATTATTTTAAGCCATCTCTTCTCATCTTCCCTCACTTGGAAGTATTCAGAATCTGCAATAACTATGAATTTGAAAACATATTTCACATCCTTCAACGTTCCTGGAACCTTCCCTAGAGCTCTAACTTCTCAAGGCTCCCCTAATTTATACAAATTTGTAAAATGTAATCAATGATTTATCAGAACCAGTCTGGGTCTTCCTTCAATAATTAATTTACCAAACAGTAATTAATTTATCAAACATGTATTAAGTACCTTCTTTTGTCATGTACTGTTTCATCGACAGACATGAAAAAATACAACCCTGGTCTTGAGAAACTCAAGAGACATGCAGAAATATCTGCAGCAATGTAACAAACCATCTTATAACAGAGAACTGTGGAAGACGCTACATGGAACGCAGAAGAGAAAACAGTGCCAACTCCACCATTAGCTTCAGGGAAGCTCCAGAAGGAGGTGACATTTCATTTAAGTCTTAAAAGATGAGTTGGAATTTCTCAGGTGACCTCAACAGGCAATTGTCCAAGGAAGAAGGACAGATTGAAGCACATTTGAGATTTCCATTTGAAAACATTTTATAGATTCTGCTATCATGTTAAAAACAAATCACCAAACAAAAAAGAAAAATCTCATTTTTACTGACTCACTAACTCTACATGCTAATGAAAATATCAAATGAACAGTAATTGTATGGTCACTAATAGCAGCATCATGAAACCAAATGACATCAACAAAGAAGAAAACGAAAAATTCAATTACTCCATGAAATGTTTGTAGTTAGTTAGCTCATGGAACTGTCTTGTTCTCTGGGCTTTCTGACAAACTAGATCCAGGCCTCACAAAGAGTCAGTGTGTAGGATGCAATTCCAATTTGCCTGAGTCTTTCTTGGTTGCTTGCTACTTAAAAATCCTAGCCTAAGATTATCCCCTTCCAGACTCTACAAAAAAAATTTAGCTCAAAATGAAATCAATGCACTTTAAAACCCCAAATGTAAGAAGTATCCAAAACCATAAGCTAAAATGTGGCTTCCTAGAATGTCTCATAAAATTAATGTTTGTTAAACAGATACCTTGTCAAAAACAGAAACTTGAATCACTGAAAATAGTTTTTCTTAATTTTATTATTATTATAATTTTAGAGACAGGGTCTCACTCTGTCACCCAAGCAGGAATACAATGGTGCAGTCATAGCTCACTGTATCCCCCAACTCCCCTCTCTCAAGCCATCCTCCCACCTTAGCCTCCCACGTAGCTAGGCCTATAGGCGTGCAGCACAACACCCAACAAATTTTTTTAATTTTTGTTTTTCAGAGATGAGGTGTTTACTATGTTGTCAAGGCTGGTTTTGAACTCCTGGCCTCAAACTAATCTCCTGCTTTGGCCTCCCAAAGCACTGAGATTACAGATGTGAGCCACTGTACCCAGTTTTAATTTTTTTTAATGTCATATGTCTAAATGGATTAACCAAACTATTTTGTGGGAGGGAAAGTAAAACTTCAATTTACAGAACGGGGTGTGATATCTGTCAGACTCGATCAGATGGGCCACTGATATAAACAAAGAATTTAGGAATCACCTTCTAAAATCGAAATAATGGCCCACTTTTAACCTCATCCCTGAAGGGACTTACAGTTTATTTCATTTCACATACACTCATTTGGGAAAAGAGAATGGCACTGGTGATGGATTTCCATGTCAGAGGGCACCTAGTGTTGCTTTTTAGAGCAGGAATTCTGATGTGAGATCGTTCTAGCTCTACAGGGGTCATGAACAGTCCTAGGGCACAATGTCACCACCAGGTGGGCTTCAGATCCATTGATCCTTTCAGGTATGATTTCCCTGGATACATGTTGGGAATTGTCACTAAAGGAACTCACTGCATGCACCCAAGCCACAACACTAACCACCACTACAACCACATCCTAAAGAATGACTATAATATCATTCCTTTTCCTGCTTACCTCTACTACTAAGAATGACTTTATCTAGATTTGGAGACTAAAATATCTGCCATCATTTCAGAGAATAGCCAGAGCTCTTTGGACTCCCTACTTTAAACTGGATAGGCTTTAGCTCTTAAAAATCAACAACCCAACACCACACACTATGGGCAGATACAGTCTTTTCACTGTGAAAGATAGTGGGAAAAAAAAAAGAAGAAAGAGAAGAATCACACTCTCATGGATTTTTGTATTTTTACCTTAATGGAATGATTTTCACATTTCACCTCTTGGCAGCAATCCATGCATGTTCTAAAACTGTACCATCAACATCAACACACAGGCCTCTAAGCAGGGAGTAATACACAGGAACCCATAAGAAATAAGGTGAGTGAGTCATTGAATTCACTGAAAAACATCTGAAAATGTCCCTCTGAGAAAGGACTTAGTATCAATATTTAGATTTTATATCTAAATGATTCCCAATATTCTTGTCAATTCTGCATGGTCAGGTTAAACAGAACTAGTGGATTTGGCTGTCAATACTCTAAGAATTTTTGTCTGTTTTGCTCTTGTCTAACCTACCTAGACATACTACATTACTATCATCCCAAATAAGTATAGAGTTTAGAACAAGTCCCGATCTTTGAAACACCCACATTACTGTTATTTACTTAAAATTCACTTCCACACTTACTGAATCTGTACAGCTCTGTGTTCACCATATCCCATTAAGCACTCATACACTTAGTATTAGTAAATTGGTCCCTCTGGGAATCTAAACTTAGGCACACATAAACACTACATCTTGGAATTCATAATTCTTTCATAATCACCTCCCATTTGGCATCTGTGAACTCACAAAGGCAAATTTCCTCAGTAAAGATCTGTTCTGAGTCCAATATTTACATAAACAATTTCTGTTTGGAGTGTAGGTTTCTTCATGCACCAATAAACTCTCCATCTATGTTGGTCTCTAAATTTCATGTTACATAAATTTTAGCACTACAGAAATACTTCAAGCAATGTTCACCATTTTCTCAGCACAAAAAGTCATGTAGACACAGTCTAAGAAGGTGTTTTGTGCATTTTTAGTGGAATAAATATAAGTACAATTTGAATTGTAGGTATAATTTGAGTTGCAGGAATAATTGAAGCTTTTTTTATGTTGCCTTCATCCTGAGGCTTAAATGTCTTTGGGAGTTGGGACTATTTACGTACTCAGTTCATAGCCCAGCAAATACCCACTGAATTAACTTTAGTCAACCTGAGTTTGTTTCATTGTAAAATAAGTAAGTACAATTTTGATTTATCAGTCAAAATGGGACTTTGACTCTGTGTTCTTCTTTTAAGGGTATGCCCACTACATGCTTAAATTCTCTGCTTATTGAATCTTTACTTATTCAAAAGAATAATGCACAACAGTCCTTTGGTTTAATAAAGCTAGCAAACATGAGTGCAAATAGGTTTTGCCTTTGTAGAAAGTAACTTATCCAGATAAATTAAAAGGTTTTTTTTTTTTTTTTTTCTAAATACATACCCCTTGGCTCAAATTTATACAGAAGGGTTTATTTTAAAGGAAACAATTTGAGGGATTTAAGGATATTTGTAAAGGATATTCATGTGACATTGCCTGTAATAGTTAATAAAATGGTAAAACTGCAAGATCTATCAATAGGTAATTGGGTGAATCGGTTGTGGAACATCCATGCAATGTGGACATGCAATCATGCTTCCCCCTCTAGAAAGTGAAATGTAACTCCTCAACCCTTAAGTGTGAGCTGTATTTAGTGACCTATTTCTAAAAGTACCTTATGAAATGGGGGATAAGGAGTGACTGTGCAGTGGAGAACCCTGGCACCCATGACCTCCGGTGATCAAAGTTAACATCATCATAAATCTTGTTGATAGCATGTCTTCTTGACATGATATGTTGAGAATAGCATTTCACCTCTGTGGCCTTGCTCCCCAAAACCTATAAATCCAGGCTAACCATGAGAAAAACATCAGACAAATCCCAATAGAGGCATATTCTACCAAATACCTGACTAGTGCTCCTCAAAACTGTCAAGATCATCAAAAAACAAGGAAAGTCTGATAAACTGTCACCACCCAGAGAAGCCTATGGAGACATAATGATTAAATGAAATGTGGTGTCCTAGATGGGATCCTGGAATAGAAAAAGGACATTATAGAAAAACTAAGGAAATCTGATTAAAAGTAGAGTTTAGTTAATAGTCATATATCAATATTGGTTCATTAGTTGTGACAAGCACGCCACAGTAATAAAAGATATTAAATTAGGTGACACTGAATACAAGGCATATGGGAATTCTCTGTACTTTCTTAACAACTTTTCCATAAATCTAAAAAGATTCTAAAATAAAAAGTTTATTTGAAAGAATGCAGTCATGCACAATAATGATAAATAAATATGTGGACCCCCTCCTGATTAGGGTAGGTGCTACTCTGTCCTCCAAAGCACCCTGAACTTCTCCCATCATAGAGCACAGATCCCACGTATTTACCTTCTTGTCTCCCTCCAGCTTCATTAGGGCAGAGGCTAACACTGTTCTGTGTAAAATCTCCTAACACTACATAACACCGACCAGGTACTTAACATCTGTTAAATAAATGAGTGTATCGTTATGTTCCCAAGTGAAAACAAAATCAGATTCCAAAACACTGTTGATATGGTTTGGCTGTTTCCCTACCCAAATTTCATCTTGAGTTGTACAACAGTTCCCAGAGTCCCCACATGTCGTGTGAGGCACCTGGTGGGAGGTAACTGAATCAGAAGGGCAGCTTCCCCCATCCTGTTCTCATGATAGTGAGTTAGTTCTTATGAGATCTGATGGTTTTAGAAGGAGCTTCCCCCTTTGCTAGGCACTCATTCTTCTCCTTGCTGCTGCCGTGTAAAGAGGGATGTGTTTGCTTCTCCTTCTGCCATGACTGTAAGTTTCCTGAGGTTTCCCCAGTCATGCCGAACTGTGAGTCAATTAAACCTCTTTCCTTTATAAATTACCCAGTCTCAGGTATGTCTTTATTAGCAGTGTGAGAATGGACTAATAAAACTGTGTACCTTGCTCTATCACCTATTAGCTATATGACCTTGGGCAAGTAACTTCACAGCGCTGAGCCTCAGCTTCCTGATCTTTAAAATAAAAATAGTCATTGCACATATCTCATAGGGGCTAGTATGTATAAAGCCCATAGAATAGTGCCAGGTACATTATAATCCCTCTATCTCTGTCTCTGTCTCTCTCTCTCTCTCTATCACTCAGATGGAGCAATAAAAAGTCTATATTAGAACTTATACACCTAACATGAACAATATTTGCCATTTTAAGATTTATCTTTTCAATTATTTTAAATTTATTTTTGCTTATCTTTATGCATACATTTTAGGTACCAAAAATATATTATACTTATTAAAAACATTAATGAAAAAGAAAATAAATAAACATGCATGCATATACACCCAAGCCACATAACCCAGATACGTAGTATACTGTTCTGTTCCCCAAGGAATAGAATTTACCATGCAGCTGAGAGACAAGGGAAAAAAACCAGTGCTGAGAAGCTGAAGAACCACTTAGTAAAGCAATAGAAGAGATGCCTTAAAAATGCCTCTGATGAGCAGACAAGTGACCAGAAGAAGCAATCATGAGGACAGAATTTGAGAGAAAGGAAAGAATAAGGCTCTGAGATGACAGCTGGGCCTAGACAATAGGAAGTTGAGTAAGCGGGGAGGGTGATCTTAGCAGGAGGGACGGCATGAGCAAAACCACAGCACTGAGGAAGCCAGGGGCAGATAGTGTGATAGGCACAAAGCCTGCCTTATAGATCTGTCCATCAACCTGGGTCTTTTCATTATCCCCAAGTTTGTTTTTTGAAACCTCCTGATTAATAAAGCCCTCACCAAACCTTGGTAACTTGCTACCGTTGCAAGGAAAGAGGAACAAAAGAACAAAAGAAGCCTAACCTGATTTCTGAGTTTGTATTTCCAATGCCAGTGACTCACATGTCATCATGGCCAGCCGCATGTGACCTGCAGATGTGAGTCACAAAAGGCTAGAGATTCAGAACTGGTGCAACCCAGAACAGCTGGAGGTGGACACAAAGCGACAGGCCGGACCCTCCCTCCTCCCCAGGGCAGAATCCGCTGTCTCTATATCATAATTTTGCATGAATATCTTTAAGATACCATGGTCCCAGACAGAGTAGGGGCAAAGCACAGGGAATGAATCTCACTTCATTAGCCTCACAACACATCACAGGGTATATATTCTCTCCCTTTCCCCCAAAACAGAGCACCCATTTTGTCTACCAACAGAAATTATAGACTTTTAAAAATAGATTTTGCCAAACAACCATGTGGGCAAATGCTGACTTGCAGTCTGGGAGATATCTCTTCGTCAGGCCCAGCAAGATTAAAGCAGGTTCTATTTTCATAGAGAGAGAGCCTCAAATGAAAGCACAAGAAAGAAATTCACTTCTTGTCGACATCAAGCAGTGCCCCTCACTAGCCAAGGCTGGGCTGGATCTAACAATTGCCAAAGAGCCGTACGCAGATTCAGAGTGGCTTCCGCTTGAAGAATGGCCTCGCGCTGCTACAAATCCAGGACAAGAGGATTTCCCAGTGCCCAGCTCAAAGGACAGAAAAATTCTTTCCTACTCTGGTGTGCCAGGAACTTAAACTTGACAGTAGAATAATATTAGTAGGAAGAACAGCAAAGGTACAGTGCAACCCAGACATGCAAGAAAGAAAGGAGGACAGGAATAAATCCTGCTACCAAAGTGTAGCAGATTGTTTGTTATTTTTTATCTATTTGGTTCTCCCTCACATCCTAGGATGGAATTTATCCTTCAAGCTTCAAGTCTGAAAGTAGTTTTCAGGGGCAAATATTTCTTTCTTGGTGGGGAGATGAAAATATATGTACACACACACACACACATACACACACACACACATACATGTATGTAACCATTGTCATTAACTGCTACAAAGATGGTATTTTTTAATATTCTCATGGTACCTCTGGTGTAAATATCTCCTTAGAACAATCAAACTGAACCCACAGAGCCCAATCATGCACTATCTGCCTCTGGCAGGTTGGTACGAAATTTGATTTGTACTAATCAGCCCCTGGCTATTGAAGCATGTAGTATACTTAATGTGACAATTCTCTGTCTTACAATATCTACTGTCCCCCCACTGGAGGTTCCCTGGTGCTAGCTAACTGGGAGCAATCACCTCACTGAGAGAATTTGATATAAAGAAGGGTCAGGTTCAAAGCCCAATAATAATGAAGATGACAATGATGATTCCACGAGTACTGATACAAAACCTAGCAATGAATATATATTGTGTGCCTACTGTGTGCCAAGCACTATAGTAAGTGCTTTACATAGATTAGCTCATTTTACCCTCAAAATAATCCTGTAAGGCAGATATAATTATAATCATTGTTATATAGTGATATATATATATATATATATATATATATATATATATATATATATAAAAAAAACGGTGATGGAGAAAATGGAGACTTAAAGAATTTTATCAGTCTGCTCAATGTCACGCTGCTGGTAAGAAGTGAAGCTAGGATTTGAACTGGGCAGTGTAACCCCAGAACCTGCATCTTCATCCACCCCTCAAGCTCATACTCATATCCTCCTCAAGGATATCTGCTCTTGCCCTACTCTCTGAAGCTTGTTGACAACGCTTTACTGCAGACAGAAAACCAATAGCCACTAAATCAAGACGTGGCCCCTCTGTTTCACAGCCGTTAGATGTGGAGACTGCACTCCATGGAGATCATGCTTCTCCATGCCCAACACAAGAGCTGACATCCTCAGGTTCCTGGCTTTGTCCATTGCACCCTAGGCATGTGGCCACCTGTTAGAGCAGGCTTGCAGAGAGGAGCTCCATAATTGCCAATGTGGGAGGCAGAGAGTGGGCACAGGGAAATTATATGGTTTTTCTTCCTCCCTGCTGTCCTAGGCTCCATATTGCTTTTTCTCCATCTCAGAAGCTCAGCAGGAACCGTGGAACCAAGTGGGGACATGAAAGCCCAGTCCTTCCTGGTTATGACAGTCCCTCAGGAAGAGCTTTCTTATTGTGCCACTCAGCTTAAGTTTCCATTTGGGAAAGACAGCTCTGTGTTCGCATGCCTTCTGAATTCTTATCAGCCAAGAATGCAGCCACACTCTTCTCCGACTGCAAACCTCTGTTCTGGAATGACTGCTCTTCTTTTACTTTTAAATTCATTCATCTATTCAACAAATGTTTACTGAGTAGGTCCCAGGAACCATGTGGTTGGGATACATGATGAATAAAACACCGTTGCTTCCCTCAAGGGGCTCAGCATTTAGCAGAAAATACAAAACCATTGTTCCTTCCTCTAAAAATATATATTAATTTTCTTCTATGTAATACTATTTGTCTACATGGGAAGAAAGGAGGGAGCAGGAGGGAGGCAGGAAGACAACAAGGCATTTACTAAGACTCCTGTGTCATGCTTCCTGTCATAGATGCTTGACATATATTTCATCCTTTCTACAGTTCTGAGAGGCAGGTACTGTAACTCCCATTTTTATAGCCTACTGAGGTAGAGAGAGGCTCAGCAACATGTTTCTCAAGGCAATGAAACCTTTGGTTTCTCTCTAGGAGGCCCTTTGGGCTGAAATCTCACTGGAAAAGGAAGTACTTAGAGACTTGGTCTTGAACTTGAATTTGCAGAGCGAGCTCATTGTCCTTGCCTAGGGACACCACACATCCCAGTGTGCTCCGAATAATTCCACTTCATGCCTGTGGACCCTAAGTAATTATTACAAACGCCTCTTTTCATTCTCAAATGTCCCATTTTTATGATAAATTATATGATCACTCTGTTTTCATTTCAATTTTACTTTCATTTGAGGTGGCATGGAGAGGCCTGATGGACTTTGTTGGAACTAAAGTATTTGTTTCCCAAGCCAGCCCTTAGGAGTGCTCAGATCTAAAAGGCTAGTGACCAAACTGAATGGGCTTCTTCCTCAAATTATCAGACTCTGAATCCAGTGCTCTTTCCCTTAGCACCTATGAGAATCATAACTGGATGTAGACTTAGAATTTAACTCTTAAACCATGTTACTCTCTATTTGCCTAAACTAGTTTTCTTCTTCATTTTTCAAGTCACAAGGCAAATGGATAGCTTCATAGCACAGCACTGATTCAATGAAGATCATTAATGAGTTAGCTGCCCATTATTAGGAAATCAAAATACAGATCAATTAACAGACCACTCAGAAACTCAAGGAGTTTGAGTATGTATGTACTACATACATAGATGAAGTACAATATTACCTTCCTGCAAAACATGTCAACGTAATTTCTAATTTTTAAGGCACATTTGGAGTAACATGCACAAAAGAAACAAAGAAAACATAACGACACTTGCAACCATCGATTCTCTCTGTGCTGGGCTGTTCCATTATGGAAGTCCCACAGCACCAAGCACAGCACTAAATTACGTACAGGTAGCGGCTGGCTATAGCTGCCAGCCAGCTTTCAGCAACATCCCCCATATGGCTAGGAACACTTGTGCCAGTTAATTAGCACTGGCATTAATCGAGAGAAGGAACATTGACCAGGACATCGAGGTTATCCTTAGACTATTTAAATACGTCATGTGATCACTCGTTCCATCTGTTATCAACATACTTCACAGTTAATCCAGTAAATAAACTCCCAACCATTTTAAGCAAATGGATTCCATTTTGCCAGGCCTCTGTAGACTTTGCAAATCTCAAGATGTCTTCTTCCTCTAGAACCTACATTGTGAGGTGCCACAAGGTTCAATGACACAGCCTGATGTGAATTCAAGGACAAGAGCCACCCCTTCCCCCACAATCTATGAAACTCTGAGGCAGTATCCACAAGTGGTGGGGGAATAAAAACAAGCACATGCCATCACTCATTCAAATGCATATTTTTCACTTTGCAGCTACCCTACAAATCTGCCTTGTTTTCTTTCCTTGCTCAGAATTCTGCTGAAAGCACATAGAAAATAAAGCCTATTATTCAAATTAATTTCATCGTGCACTAAAAATGTGGCTGAGTTTAGATGGAAACCCATTTTAAAAGTGCTCTCCTCTGAAATGGATGATGCCTGGCAAGGTATAAAGCACTTGGGCACTTAGAAAGGCAGATAGGAAATAGCCTAATCTCAAAACACTTCATCGGCAAATTGACTCATCATTAGGTATAGACCCAAAGTAGATTTCAAATCCACTCTCTAGAAAGGTATATACCCCATACATCTTCAAGAATACTGATATAAATCTTCCCTGAGAATCTTATTATCGTTGATAGAGTGTTCTCTTGCCCTAAGAGAAGTTATATTCATTATCTCATCAATCTCTAGCATTTCTGTACCCACCTCCTCTATAAACTTCCTTCCTCTCCAACCCTATCTCCCAAACCAACTCCTGGTAAATTGACAAAAAGGTACATCATTTGCCCAATACACAAGATGGCCTTTAAAGGAAGACCAAAACCTCATCAAAGCTGCAGGAGGTAACAAGCATCGGTCGATGCAAGTAAAAGTAATAAACCTGATCATGATGAAGCCTCTCTCAGTGCTGAAAGGTATCTTGTAATGATTTATAGAAAACACTGGAACTGACTCAGGAATACCAGGGTTCAAATCCAGCTTCCTCCAAAATGGTTACCTTTAGAAAATTATTTGATCTTTGCTTGCCATAAGTTAACAATTAAGATCCCACCTCAAGAGTGGATGTAAGGATCCTGTGTGACAATGGACATTGTTATTACCATCTTTCTTGCTGTGGACTTGGTGTGAGTGATAATCGTGGTTAGTTCTCTTCCTTACACTTCATGTAAAACATATTACTTAATCTGCCCTTTAGTCTTAACAAAAAGTACAACTTACACTTTCAGGTAGTTTAGTGTGATGAAGCAGACACTTACTGGTCTAATTTTACCCCAAGCACAGGGAAAACCCAAAAGTCATCTCAGGAGCCAATTAATCAGAGAGAGATAATTAAATTTTACACATTGGACTAAGTTTTAACTAGGACACTAAGGCTACCTTGAGGATTACGTAGTCCTCTCTGCTTTGGGGGAAATGCAATTTTTGCAATTACACAATTGTTCAGTTCAACAAATACTTATTGACGATTTGCTACATGCCAGAGCCTGCACACTCTGGATACTAATAAGAATTAGACCCTCTCTCTGACTTTGAAAGACCCCCCAGTCCAGTAGGTTGAGTCAAACACACGGATTTTGATGTATAAATGATAACACAGAGGTACACAGGGAATTGGGGGATGGTTTCCTATGAAGAATGCTGGGACCAAGCCAAGTAAGTAAGAGTTACATGCATGATGAGAAGTGGGAAGGGTATGCCAGGCAGAGGGAACAGCACAAACAAACCCTATAAGTGTTTATACAGGGAGCTACATGTTGGTCATTTTTACTAGAAAATAAACATAAAAGAGCAGAGTCTGGAACATGAGGCTAGGGAGTATGAGAAACAACTCACCCATGAATAGGAGATATAATGCCATGCATTACCAAAGGATTCTTTCCTTTCCCAGCAATTCATCCCATGGTTTTTATTAAAGATCAAAACACACAAGAAAAATGTGTTCCAGTTTGTAAAACCCAAATGTATAACAGATTTCAAAGAAAATGTCCATTACCCAAATGAGGAACAGCAGGATACATGAATGTCAGGGATGAGAGTCTCAGGAGAGCCTTTGGCTAAAACTCACAAAAACCTACATCTGAGTTAGATGAAACATTCAGAGCTTAACCATCCCTCTCCTAAACTCTTCAATTTATTGACTTCAGTAATTTGAGGTCTCTCAATCTAGAACCCATTCATGAAAAATAAGTTCTCTTCCCTCTGCCCTACCAGAAAAGCGTTTACTTTCACTTCCAAGACGTTTCAGGAGTCTAATGATCATATTCATTCATCAGTGATATGTGTAAATATTTGAACAGTTATTAATGAAAGCTCATGATGAAAGGTAGTTGTTCATCTGGAAAGTGTCTGTAGATTGAATGATTCTGTTTATAACTTGCGTTCATTTCCTCCCACTTCCCCATCATATTTACTGCGTGGGACACCCTGGCCCACGGTCACTCTGTGTGTTCTCTTCCTTGTTCCGATTGAGGCTATTGTACAAACCAAAGTCTGGAGTACAACTTTAAATGCCATATTGCATTTTATTCTTCTCAGAATCTACCACTAGAAGAAACTCTTGGGTTCGTAGCCTCATAGGAGTCTCTAAAAAAGAATCCAAAACACAAAACTACACATTTAAATCATCTGAAAGAGAAAACAGGTCACAATGATAGTTTACCCTTTATTCTTTTCTCCCCACTCCCTCCCCATTCCATTCTCCTTCTCTGCTCTGCATCTTGGAGGCCCATATAAAGCCTCCCCTAGGTGCTTTTACCTGCTGGCTTCCTGATGGCTTCAGCCAATGTGAAGCACCGCCAGAAAACCAGGAAGTGGGGTGGGAGAGGGCTCAAGGCCTCTCTTTTTCACTTCCTCCCTGCTCCTGGGCTGCCTTTCTAGAGGCATCTCTGTTGTTCTACAACTTTACCCCCTACTGGACAGTTACCCCACCATAACTCCAGTTCTCATAGGCTAAGGTAATGAATGCTGTGTCCTCTTTTTTACCTTTGGCCCTAGGAGAGTTAAGTCCAGAGATATATCCAGGTTTTAGGGGGCCCGAAACTTGTATGATTAAATTTGTAAATTTTGTAAAAAGAATATGACTATGAGAAGATATTGCTGGTTCCTCTCAGGGCCTTGGAAGGGCTTATACAATGTAAGGAACCCTGAAACTTAAAAACTTTATTAGTTTCACGCCAAGTCTCCACTCAGCTAAAGACTTTCAGTTTTTGCTAATCTTTTAGTGCCTCTACGTGGCTATTTGTTCTCTTTACATGGACACACCTCTCTCAATAGTTCTTTCATTAAAGTCTACTCATTTAAACAATCTGCATAGATTCTATGTCCTGAAGAACTCCTGGTCCATAAACCTACTATAATGCATTACATGAATGCATTATATTACTACTATAATGCATTACAACCTTCCTTTCTTCCCCTATTGCCTACCTACCTGAAAAGACATTAAAGTTTGCTATAACTTACTTAGGTCTAACTTTTGAGTCTCACCTTTCTTTCTGAAAATAGTAAATAAATAAATAAATAAAACTAAGCATGACTAGAAGGAAACACCATATTCTATCATGAGCTTTTTCCAAGCTGATCACAAGCTAAATGTGTTGGATATGTACTCATTAAATGTGTAAAAGAAATATAATAATACCCTTTCAAAGACATGTTTGGTCAACTAAGATTTTTAGTCGGTGTAATTGCAATGTAGCTATCTAGCATTTCTGAATCACTCCTTACTCTTCCTCTTGAATAAATCTCTTAGTAGAAAGTATTACTCCGTACTATTCCTTTTGAATAAATGTCTAGTAGAAGGTATTACTATGTTACAGAAACAGAGAGAAAAACTTTATTATGGAACAATGTTGGATTGGATTGGTTTAACCATACAGGATGCAGTCTGCAGGTATTTGAGTCAGATATTTGAATGATCAGCTTTTTGTCTTTACTGTAATATTTGGAGTATGCATTAGAGATTAGGAAATCCTTATAGAGTAATATCCCCAGGGAAGTAGCCAGGGTCTCATTGCGCTGAACATTCAAAACTCACTTAAATTAATCCTGCAACAGTGCATTGCATGATCTGTTGATTCTTTTCAATTTTCAGAACCATGTCATTACTAATGCCCACTGACAGAATACTTGGGAACAAAAGAAATAGTAACCATTTTATAATCGATTCAAGTCGTCAAACAACTTCACCTTCCAAAGTTAGAAACTCCAAGAGATATGTGCCAAGAAGAAAATACAAGGCTACATTGTCACATGTGGAAAACAATAGTATTCCAGGCACCTCGTATGATAAAAATGCTTCAAGTTAGAACAGCACATACATTGTTATGAAGATTTTTCATAAGACCGTACTGTCTACTAGAAAATATTCAGTTAAATTTCTTTTAAAATAAGGCTTCTTCCCTCCACCTTATAACTTACTCACCTAACCCCTTATACTAAGTATTTTTTTTTTAACTCTGCATAGCAATTTCACAACTAAGAGTTTACATTGCTTGTGGACACTGGCTAGCTTTATCAACCAAGCTGAAATTTACATTCTCACATTTTTAATAGTGTTTCTAGGATGAAAGAAAAAGTATGGGCGAATGAGATCTTCATAGCAAATTCACCAAACTAAATGTGGTACAGAAAATAAGCATGCTAAGTTTTTCCACTCTAGCAGTTTAGTAATGCTAACTGTGTTGATACAGTTTTCATACATTGCACATTTACTAAGAAGTTAATCCAAGGCATATGTTAGTAACCAAATATATATTTATTTTAAGCAACGGTCATTTTAGAGGCTCTCTGGACAATTTTGTTATTTATAATTTAAATGCAATATATACTCTCTTATATTAAAAAATAACTACAGAATTATTTCACACTGTTACAACTCAAGGTCTTCCAGAAAAAGCTCACATTTAAAAGTTTAATGTGAAGAAGTTTAAGTAAAAGTTTGAAATATTCTTGGTAATCATATAACATAATTTTAGCATAATTCTTATAGATGCCAATCTGAAATATAGATGTTTGATTGATATTTGATTAAGAAGGCAAACTAAGATGGAGAATAAGAATATAAATATAAAACATAGGTATTTGTTTCTGCAAAGTTGTGAAGAAATGGATTGTTTCATATTCGGGGCAATATTCTGTTCTTTTTATTTTTAATAATTATAACTTGCTGGATATCTGAGTCAATTTCTCTATTTTCTAACTCTTAAGGCTGTACCAAGAAGATATTTACAGTAATTGAAGATATAAGGAAATTACCTGGTACTTAACACCACAGCCCAAATATTATATTCACAACCAGGAAATAGCAACACGTAAATCTCCTGTTTTACTGCTGTCTTGCTCTTTTCACTAAGCATCGCTGGGTATCAGTATTTGTAGAAGAGATGTCAGAGTGTAGCTAATAAGAAAAGGCAGAGGTAAAAAGCCAATAACATTCAATTTTTCTTCAAACTCTTTCTTTTAAAGGAAAGTTATACTTCAATTGAAGAGATAACCAAAATGTTTATCTACATTCAATTTAAGTTCAAATCAAGGTCCAGGTATTAAATACCAACATGGTTATTTGCAGCATTCTCTCAAAACAGAAGAATATCCATAGCAGTGATTTCTTTATTGCTGCTTTTAAAATGTGTTCAAAACATCTAATGCTTGTGTTTCTATAAATAAATGTTAATTCTTTACCCTAGAAAACCTCTAGAAATACACACAGCATCTGCCCAGAATATAAAACAACATTGATTTATGCCTTGAAAGTAGAGTTATAATGAATAACAAATTCATTATGATGGCATAAAAATATCAAAATAAATTACTCCCTAGTATCTACACCACATTGTAGGTTATTAGTTATTAATATCATTATTCATGACAGGCCTAACTACTGATGTAAAGGAGCAATTTTCTTTATTACTACGATTCCTCTAAAATCAGTTAGTTGGCAAGGGCAGGAATCAAGGTAGCTTACAGTGAACGTTCAGGAAAGCAACAGCATTGGGTGAAAAACACACAGGATTAAAGCAAAAAAACTTGGGCTATAACACGATCATTTATTAACTATTGAGTAACAAGAATAACAGATGATTCATATTGAGCACTTATTATGTGCTAGGCTTTGGGATAAGCACAACAGTTGCATTATTCCTATTTTGTTCTGATCTCATGAGGTTGAATTTGTATCTTCATTTTACAAGTAAGAAAAGTCAAGGCACAGAAAATTTAAGTAACTAATTACATATTGATAAATAGCCATGTTAGAACAAGAACTGAAGTCTTCCTGACTCCCAAATGCTCTCTCTAGACCTGAAGTCAGGAAACTTTCCGTAAAGAGCCAGATTGCAAATTTTTCAGCTTTGAGGTTCATATGTTCTCAACTCTGCCATGTAAATCAAAAGCAGCGATAGGCAGTGTGTCAGTGAACAGGCATGGCTATCCAATAAAACTATTTATGGACACCGAAATCTGAATTTCATATAATTGTTATATAACACAAAACATTATTCTTCCTTTGAGTTTTCTTCAACTACTTAAAAATATAAAAACCATTATTAGCTTACAGACTACACAAAAACAGCTAGTGGGCTGGATTTGGTGTGAGGGCTGGAGTTTGTCAATACCTGCTCCAGACTCCTGCTCCTCTCACTTTAATGTACATGCCCATCACCTGTGGATCTTATTAAAATGCAGATTTTGATTCAATAGGTCTGAGGTGGGGTTTGGAAGTTCTAGATTTCTAACAAGCTCCCAGGTGACATTGATGCTGCTGGTCTTGGGACCACGATCTCAGTAGCAAAGCTCTGCACTCTAATGATATCTTAAGCAATCTCTGAAGATGCAGATTTTCCTATATCCAGGGTTTGAGTTAATGACTCACAGAGTCAAACCACAGAGTTGTCTGAGCTTGGAGCCTTAGAGCCCCCTCCTCCCATTCTTGTTTTTCTGCCACTAAAATATCTCTCCAGAAGCTCTGTCCCTCTCTACCCCCAAGATCATTGACAAACCATATTCTCCAAACAGGTCACTCACTAGTCCTCTTTTTTCTTCAGTCCCTCCCACTTTGAAATCTTTCCTCTATTTAATGACCTAAGAGTTCCTTCTCTCTAAAATACAATGCAAATATTTCCCTCCATGATTTATACCCATCTCAGTAGTGGTCCAATGCACACATAATAAAATTCAAATGCTAAGCTCTTCAAAGTCTCACCAAACCAAGCTTGCCAATTTTGTCTTGCACCATTTCCTTATAATCATTGTAACCATAGCCACAAAGTCTTGTTAACTTCCTAGGTAGAAGGCACAATTGTATTTCATTTCATCTTTGCTTCAGACTAGCGCATGAGGTAGGTGCCCTTAGTTCCATTTTACAGATAACGAAACTAATAGCTTCAATTGCACCAAGTTACAGTGCTCGTAACTGGTGGGACCAGGATTTTAACTCAGGCACTCTGACAGCAAAGCCCACATTCTAACCACTACAAGATACTCCTTTCCCAAGTTCACATGCTAATCACAGCGAAGTGCTTCAGAGACAGGCCATGTCATTTCCTGCCACCCAGCCTATGCAGTGCTCATCCTCTGCCTACAACCCTCATTAGTCATCAGATGCCTCCTTCTCCCCTCTCAGCAGTCAGCTCACATGTCACTTCCTCTGAGAGTGTCCCTTGTCTCCCTCTCTCCCCAACATATGAAAATGCCAACAGAGTCATTTTGTTTTCTGTGTCTGTTTCCCCTAGGAATGTTGACCTCCCTTAAGGCAGGGTCTCTGTTTTATTTTTTTCTGGTATTGACATTAGCTAAAACTACCCTTGGTAGGTAGGGTATTCAAGAAATATGATAGATGAACAAGAGGAATGAATAATAAATGAATGGATAGGCAATCGATTTAGCAGACCATCCTTAGCCTAGTTTCTACATCTGTATAAAGAAGGGATTGAAACATAGGTTTTAAATAGTTTTCATCAATAGCCATCATGTATCTATTCATTTACTGACTCCAATGTTTATTGAGTGCCTACAGCATGCCAGGCACCATTCTAGGTCCTAAGCATGCAACTGCAAAGAAAGCAAAGTCCCTCTTCTAATGCCACCTACTGTCTGATGGGAGAGAGAGAACAAGGTGGTAGTGATAAATGCCACAGAGGGAAAAAAGCCCACTAAAGGAGTACTTTTTAATGTAGATATCCACATACACATAACAAGCATAGTTATTTATAGGTGATATTTATAATTTTATTAATCAACTCTTTTGTGTGCAATTAAGAAACAGCTCCCTCTGGTCTTTAAAAAACATGAGGAAAACCTGGAATGTTGACAAAAAGATAGGGGGAACCTGAGTTTAGGTTGATTATAGAGTCCATTTGGGGCCTGAAAATTGTAGTTTTGCAGTCGATCTACTCAGTTGCTAGGAGTCCATCCCTGTGTGTGCATTTAAATTCAGATACTACAAATAGGAAAACTGGAGAGAGATGAAACAAAAGCTTCCCATAGTTTAAGAAACAGTATTTTTTGGAGGAATGAAACTTTTACTTGCTTGGCTGTATGTAATAAGTGCAAATAACTCTGTTCAGTTCAAGTTTGAGTCAATTCGAAGCACTGGGCGATTTTTACAATAATCATCATTTTACTTACTTTTCATTTTAATTACTGGTCATGTTTACTGTATATAGAATTAAAGGTGTAATATAAATGTAAGCATACCTCTAGATGAAACAATTTGAAATCCTTATTAGATGTTCAGAAAACTCCAGGAAGACAAACATGTAAGTCAGTGTACTGAGGTTATAAATAGCCAATAAATAGATTTCAGATGTACCACAAATTCATAACAAAAATAGATTTGAGCCTGGGGTCCTAAACAATTTCCAAGTTTATAACTCAAAAATTTCTTTATGTTTTCTAAAACTCTGCTTTATTTTATGTAAATACATCTGTATTAAGTGTAATCTACTCCAGCAATTCATTTTGCCTTAATGGTATCAATTTTTCTCAAATACAAGGGAGTTTTTCAAAAGGTAATCTTACATGGACATCAATACATACCTATGTTTGTGAGCATAACTCATTGTGCTTTCTTTTTAAAACACTCAAATATCTAATGTAAAATATTTATACCATAATATTTATAGTAAAATTATCTCTAGAAAGTGTTAAGCTTATTCAAGTAACAGAATTGTCTTTAATCAAGACTCAGACATGGAATAAAAATAGATTGACATGCCCTTCCTACTAAGAAAGGCTAGAAAATGTTAGCAGCAATATATTCGAATAGAATACTATTTGCCTTAGTTCTTTAAAAATATGTTTATTTGTATTATTTATCCTTAAAGGGCTTATTCATATTGACAGAGCAGAATTTGGAACATATCCTAGAACTTGAGTATGCAAATAAATGACTTTAGCTAGTACTCTTGATGTATTTACCAAACCAAAAAAAAAAAAAAAAGAGCGAGAAAGAAATCTTCATCACATGGAAAAACTGAATTCTATGCTCAGTTCTGTTCCAAACAGGTTCTCTCAATAGGAGAGGAGTCTCCCCTTTACCATCTCATCAGAGAATGAATGCAAATGTGACTATATTGATCGAAGGGGCGGCATTGCCCACCATATGGTGCTCCTCAATGGAGTCAACATGAGGAGGAGCTCTTTGCTGACAGAGAGCTAAGCAGGGAACAAAGTGAACACCTGGTCAGATAAAAATCCATCAGGATACATGAACTGGCTGCCCAGTCTCCAAATTACGTGCAGGCATCAAATCCAAGGTAAAATGAAATGTGCCCCTCTTGCATATTTCAGTACTTATTATGGCGTTAGAATGTGTATGACATACTCCTGAGTGCAGAAACCTTCTCAATTGACCAGTATGATTGCTAACTCTACAGAAGGTGATAATAAGATGTAGAAAACAGAGTAAGAGTAATTAGAAGTAAAAAATCCACTCTGTTTCTTCAGTAGGGGCATACCAGCATGACGTGGCTTTGGGGAAAATCACTTGCCTGCCTTCCTCTTGGCAACTTGGAAAGATGC
The DNA here is from genome assembly GCF_000001405.40 of Homo sapiens. NCBI lineage: Eukaryota > Metazoa > Chordata > Mammalia > Primates > Hominidae > Homo > Homo sapiens. The sequence continues at coordinate 23,959,615 of NC_000004.12, forward strand.
CAACAGGAATATAATGAGTCTTGCTGCCCTTCTAAACCCTCAAGAAGCTATGAGCTCTTGGGGTCTCCTATGAAGATGGAAGGAGAAAGGTATTTATGACAGGTCAGTCTTCTTCCTTCTTAGCTGTCCTGATCAGTGCTTCTTTGTCCTTCTCATTTATAGAGCAGAACTTTCATATTAGCCGGGAAGGTAATGGTGGCAGAAGATTTCAAATATTTGGATGCACAAGTCAAGGCTGCTTATCAGTAAGCGCACCAGGCCATGATAAGCTCAGCAGGCTCATGCAATGAGTGCCCAAAAGCAGAGGGGAAACCTTGAGTCTGTAAAAAAGCAACTCAGCCTATAAACTTGGTCAGCCTGGGCAAGTGCTCAAAATGGCAATTTCAAGGCCAGACTAATGAGCTAATAAATTATAGTTAGTTCACACACAACACGGTATGATTTTTCCTGCTGAGTTGAATCAGGCAACAATCTAGGCTAACCTTTAAAAACTGATTTGAAATCCCCTGATAAGGTGGCCAGATAGATTCAGCCTCTACTTTAGATAGGAAGGTCTAAATATTTATTCTTTTGTGTCGGGAATGTCTCTAGATCAGTAACAGTTTTGTTGCTCAAGGGACACCTGGCAATATCAGGGGACATTTTTTTGTTGTGACAACTGCTGGGATGCAAGAGGGGAGAGATGACTGGCATTGAGTAGGTGGAGGCCAGGGATGTTGCTGAACATTCTACATCACACAGAACAGCCTCACACAACAAAAAAATTACCTGGCCTAAAATGTCAATAATGCTGAGGTATGATCAAGAAACCCTTCTCTAGAACATACAAAAGTAGGTAAATGACAACTAGTTTGGCCAAAACAATGAGCTGCTCATCTTTGGCTCCTATTTTGAAAGGTAGGAATGGCCAAAACCCATGAGCCTACTTGGGCAAGACTTGGGCAGGTAAATCCTTCATAGAGTTTCGCTGTGCATAACACACTTATCCTGTGAAAATGACTACAAGGAAAATGGCGAAATTATCATTATTTCCGGCAGAGAGCACCATCATCTGGAACTGTGTGATGTGTCCTGCAGATGGGTTAGTTTAACAAGCAAGTTCAATTAGCTCTCTTATTTCTACCTAAGGCAAAGCCATCACATTGTTAAATTGCCTGAGGCCTCGGGCTCCCCTTAATCTGCCCAAATTCATAAAATAATTAAGCATTACTAACATAAGTCTTTCCAGTTTCTCTGGGAAACTGATGGAATAATTGGGCTTCTATGTACATGGTAAAACCATGGTAGCTAGAGTAATCCCTCTGAACAGTGAGTGTTCTCAGCATTATCAAGGAAATGATCTATAAATAATTGCATTAATTATGTTTCTATGTTTTAACTTAGCTAAGTCTACATGTTGGTAAAAGAAAAGAAGATGGCTAAGAGAATGTGTATGTGTGCGTGTGTAATTTTTCTAGAAAGCGCTTTTAAAAAAGCAGCACAATTCTAGGTAGCAATAATAATGTCAGGAAAGAGGGAAGTAACACCGTCTTACTATTTTCACCTCCTAACAGTACTATCTTTCCATGAAAGTTCTGCCACCATAACAGAACTTCCGATGACAGAGCAGTGATTTAGGTTTAATCTCCCTCTGACCAAAATTTCACTGCACTCGAAAGAAGAAGGTCAAAATCTCCTAACTGGAGGATCAGGGAAGAGTAATGTTACTTCTTGAGGATTTCAGGGATGCAGCTAAAACAAATGATATGATTTATCCTTACACTTCTACAGAAACCATAGGACAGTGGGAAGTTCTCAGCATGTTTAAAATGTATCTTCATAACCTATTGGGGAGACTAGACATCGCCCCTGCTTCCCTGCACATCTTATCCTTTCTATAAACAGTGACAACATGTGTGGGTAATTTCAGCATGAATCCATTTCCCAGAGCAACCCATAACAACCAGGCTGACTGAGAAGGACTCGCTATCTCCCACACTGCCCTGTCACCTGTTACTGCATTGTAACCACATGGTGCCAGAACTGGCCCTCTTCCCTGTGGTAATTGGGACAGGTATTAAATGGCCATGTTCTTCGCCTCCCACAAGCCCCCTGTGCCAGAACTGGCCCTCTTCCCTGTGGTAATTGGGACAGGTATTAAATGGCCATGTTCTTCGCCTCCCACAAGCCCCCTGTACATGTTAGGCCGTGATGAGATGCTCATCACAGATAATTCTGAAATCATCCTTTTACCCATAAGGTGATGGCAGCCCACAAGGTGACACCAGCCCTAAAGGTGTCAAAGTGAACACTTTAACTAATAAGCTGTTTTGAAGGCCCTGGACAAAGAAATGGGTTTGCAGATCACGACCAATAAAGATAATGAGCATTTGCACTGTTAGGTGCCATTTCCAACTAAATCAAACCCTCTGGCCAGTACGAAAAGGGTTAGGGGGAAGAAATCAAACAGCAAATCTGCTGAGAAAGCCAAATGAGCCCATCTTCCATAACCCCTCTTCTCATCTTTTTATTTTTTTTTAATAACAACAAGGGAAAGTAGAAATAGCAAGGGGACAATTTTTTTCTAGATATACTGCTGTGGAATAGAAAAGTCTCAATATCAACTCCACAACAATTGTCAAATTCTGTTGTATATTATGGGGGAAAGAAAGTAAAGCAACCCGGAAAGGGACCAAACTTAGGATAGTTACCTAAGTGGATCACATTTGGACCACAGGGTCATCTGGCCCAATATCCTCCTTCTACAAATGAGAAAGCTAAGGTTCAGAGAGCCGCAGAGAGTTCATAGCCAAACAATTCTCTAGCAAGAGCACCTCACCACTTGCCTTTCCTCTGCTCCACTAAGAAGATACCACTCGAGTCTACCATCTCTGAGTCCAAGGCTGCCCAAGACAATGAGACAGTCAAAAGCAGTCAATGCTTCCTAATTCCAAATCCAAACTGGGTGTTGGAAACTCAGGCTGACTTTTCCCAGCCAGGAAGATATTTGTCTATGACTGAGCAATCCCCAAAGTCAATACAAGACTCCTGTTTGCCAATGGCTTACTGCATGAATTTGGTCTGTTGAGAGCACAGGGCCAGGTGGGAGCCTGCACGTACAGATTATAACCTTGACTGAAACCCAAGTAGGGAAGGTGATAAATGCAATTGCCATTAGTCTGTGCCTTTTACCTCTTCCATTTCAATTGTCTCCTACTCTTACCTGACCCCACAGGAAAGCTGCACAGCAAGAAGCACCACTAAAAGAAGGGAGGCCTCTTAAGCTCCAGGGACTTGAGCTCCTAGCTGCAAATTTCCTTTCATTCAGAAGAACACTCGCCACCTTTTTTCTCAGCACAACACTTAGCATGCTCATGAGCGGGGGAAAGTGTTTCTCGCCAGGAATAAGCTGTAAGGTATATTTGAAAATTGAGATTTTTGAATGGCAATTGCCATTTCTCAGTGCCTTTCCAATGGGGGCCATCTATCTGCAAAGTGACATTTTGTGATCCTGACATGGTGGAGACCCCGTGAAAAAACCACAATCAATCAGCTTCTAAAACACAGGCTAAAGAAATGAGGACCTAGCATTAAACCTAGAAGATCTTTTATGATTGTTCGTCAAAGGAAAATAGCTAGGGATATTCATTTTTCAAATTATTCTCCCTCACTGGCCTCTCTTATTGCTATTACCATGAACAATATCATTCTTTACCCACTGCAAGAACATTTAGCAAGCAAAATACCATTGACAATCTTTACTTTCAAAACCATTCACTCCTGGCAAGAGACAATCCCGGATGAACTTTCAGAGTGCTCAGCAGAGTGAATGAGTGACTTTTGGTTGATCTAATTTACATGTCTCTTTTTTCATCTATGTATAATTTCTGTTACATGGGTATTTAATGCCTTTGTCTTCTAGAACCTGTAAGCCCTTTGTAATTATTAGTTAAGACTCACAGTCTGTTTGAAACAAGAGGTATCTTGTCTTTGTAGAGATGGAGAAACTCTGGAAGGACTGAAGATCTACATGGAGGCACAGTTTTACCTCAAACCCTAGAGAGAAGTCAGTATGTTTCCCTTCACCCTCTGGTCAGCTTACCTCTCCATAAATGTGTGGCCATAAATTAGGTTCCTGCTAACCGCATAATTGCTTTCATGAACCCCCTTTCCTGGTTGTCCTGCAGTAGATCCTGGGTGCTCCTGGAAAGCTGGCCAAAGGAATGGGAAATGAAGGTGTCATAGTCGGGTGAAGAGTAAGGAAGGATCGGCCAGGGAGGAAATTTTGACGGTTCTGGTAATCTTCAAATGAGTCTTCCTGATAATGTGGTCAGGCAGCAGTGTGGAGAACACAGCAGATGGAGGTAATACCCAGAGGCCAGTTAGAAGATCTTTACAGGGTGAAGCCACACCACCATTTTGGCTAAGGGAAAACCTTACACAGTATTGTGGAGATTCTATGAGATTAATGTAAAGCAAACAGAACAAGATTCCTTACAATACAAGTTCAATTATGATTGCAAATGCTTCAATGGTGCCTGCCTAAGCTGGGAACTGTTCTTTTATTCATTAAATCTTTGCAACAACTCCAAGAGGTAGATAACTATATTTTGCCTCCATTTTTACAGATGAGAAAATTAAGGCACAGAGAGAATTAGTAACATAAGTTTTAGAACCAGAATTCAAACCCAACACTTTGTCTTCAGAATCTGTGCTCCTTTCATCATAGCAACTAGTATTAATTATGAAGGTCATAGATTAGAAATGGAGATTGATTTAAAATATGTTAAGAGCATGGTGACCAGTATGATGTAAGGATGATAAGAAAAGGGATGACCTAGGCTGGCTTCTAGGGTTTTTCCTGATAATCCATGGTATTTCTCACTGCTGTGCAGAATATAGAAAGAGAAGCATGCTTAAGACCTGTTGACCAAGTCTGATGTGTCTGCAGAATATTCAGGTAAAAATGGCTAATATGCAGGTGGTATATGGATCTGGGTCTCAAAAGAGAAGTTAAGCCCGGTGTTATAGATTTGGGGGTGATCAGAAAACACATGGGAGTCATATGAAGGGATGAGATCACACAGGAATGTGTGTGCAATGAGAAAAGAGAAGACTGAAGAGAATCCTTTTGAGGGCAGAATGGAGTGGAGGGGAACCAACACTGGAGGGTTGAACAAAGAAGAATTCTTAAAGAAGTTCAATGAAGAGTGGCTGGAGAAAGAGAGAGTGCTTAGTGGAAGCCAACAGAGAGGAGAGTTTCAATAGTCTTGATCTGATTTAAACTGTGTTTTTCTAATTGAGGAAAAAACCTTGTCTCCCTCCACTTGCCTCTTTAGGATACCACTTACAAACCAAATACAAAGAATTTCAAAGACAGCATAGATAGACTGGGGCCATCAACTCATTTCTCAGGAAAATAAAGGCTCACTTCATTAGCTAAGGAGAAGTCATTGGGACCATCCTTCCCCTATTCTCCCATCAGTGGGACCAGAGATGGACCATCCCCCGTATCTGACCACTAAGGACCCATTTCCTTCTTCATCTCAAAGACTCTCTCCTCCATGAAGTTCTTCTGTATACTCCAGTTGGGATTAGAGAGGAGATTCCTTATGGTCCTAGAGATCACCCATCCATAGCTATACATCACTTTTCTTGGACTGATTAAAATCACAGTTGCTTGTGTATCAGTTCAATTTATTGCTAGACCAAAAATTTATTGATGGCAGAGTTCACCTCTTATCATTTCTATACCACTAATGCTTGACACTATGTCTGGCCCACAGTGGGGGTGCTTAATAAAAGCTTGCAGAGCACGAATGAATTTAAGTCTTTAGTGAAAGCATAATGAGTACATTTAAGTCAGCCTCTACAAGTTACTCCAGCTTCACCCTTATTCATTGTGCCTCTCCGTACAGAGGTACAATACAGACTTTCAACATCTGTAAAATGATTGAAATAGCAAGAGCTAGTGAAAAGCAAATGATATTATACAGACAAAGTGCTTAAAACATAGCAAACACTCAATATTTGTTAGCTACTAAGCAGCAGCTCCTCAGCTTGAGGGCTGGCGAAGCTCCTGTGTGGAGGGTTCTAGAAATCCTCTGCCTTCTTTTGGCCTTGCTATGGGCCCTTCCGAACCCAGGGGTCCTGATTCCCAACCCACTCCTTTAACTCCTGTCCTACAGGATTTATAGCCTGACTGCGACAACTAATTTTGGAACTGTAATGCCTCCTGTCATCTTCCATAAATTTGACATAAATAAATCACAAAATACCCTTTTTATATCGCTTTTTATCTTGTCATGCTTCTTGTTTCTTTTGGAAACAGTTTTTATGGCAAATGCAGAGTGTAAATCCACCCGACAATAAAGCATGCCAAACAAGCATGTAGAACAGGCACCTGAGAGGAAATTACCCACCATTTGCAGAGCTCTACACAATTATCAGCAGGATGTTCTGGAGTGGGCCTGTTAAACGCACCGCACTGTATTGCTCGCACACAATTTGCATAGCCCCAATGTAAACAATATTGTTAAACAAAGGAAAGTGGGCACACACTGGTCCACATCTTCATTCTGGCCTCCTCTTGCAGCAACATAGAGTCTAGACTTTGCATGATATCTCCCCTGCCTGTTTCCTCGGAGAGGTCATTTCTCCTAAGGCAGCAACATCCAATAGAGCTTTCTGCAATCATGGAAATGTTCTGTATCAATGCTGCCCAGTATGGTAGCCACTAGCCACCCCTGTGTGGCTGTTGAACATTTGGCATGTGGGTAGTGAGACCGAGAAACTAGATTTTTAATTTTATTATAAGTTGAATCAATTTAAATGTAAATAACCACATAGAGCTAGCAGCTACCACATGGACAGGGCAGTAGAGATTATGCAATATGTGTTCGCTTTCAAATATCTTGTCCCACACATCTTCAATTTCAAATACCAGGAATCACATTAAGTATCCACTGATTACTTTCTCACCCATCTCCCGTAGTTTATCCTAACAGTGACCCACTGGAGTAGTTCTTATCCTCTCCAACATTTAAAATGGGTATCAGCAGCTCAGAGAGCTTAAGGAATGAATATGGACTCTCTCAACTAATCTGTGCTGGAGCAGAGATTTGAACCCAGGTCTGTCTATCAAAGCTTTGTTGCTGCCAGAGTACTTTTTAGACCAGGCATTGTGGCTTGAAGTTATTATGCCTCAACCATTACAGCAACCTGTGTATGAATTTGTTAGCACTGCAGGTTCAACATTCAGAGGAGAGGGCTTCTGTCTGGGAATGGAGAGAGCCAGCTTCTCATCACGCCATACTGCCCACTAGCTGTTGGTGTGAGGCCATGCATCTCCCAAAGCATTTCTTCATGTGTGAGTACAGGAAGAAATCTCTGTCCCTGCCTACCTCTCAGCCTTGTTGACAGCATATGCAAAACTCATTTGAGGATGTGCCACACAGTAAAAGTACTGAGATGTAATGCCTTATTATTAAAGGAAATTCTAATGAATCCTATAGCACCCTATTTATTTCCTGCCTAAGTTGCCACAAAAGCCATATGCAATATCATTACCCACATCGATACTTACAGAACACCCCTAAAAGCCTACACTCTGTGCAGCAAAATTAAAGGAATGCATCCCGTGGCCTTTTTGGAATACCAAATTAAAGCAATGACAATCCACCACAGAAAACCCACGCCACCATGCGCCGATTATTAACATGTTAATTTCTATGTCCCCGCTTTTGAAAATGATTCTGGGAACTACTTATTGAATTTTTAATTTGCAGATTATCGACCAAATTGGCTGCAATGGCTCTGAGCAATGGGGCCCACATGTCAGCTGGGTAGGTAAAGCAGACGCATGCAGACAACAGCAGCTCCAGTGCTGATGGGATTAGTCTGCCGACTCGGGAACCGGGCTTCTGATTGGCTCCTCGGAGTGTCAGGTTCAAGGGAAGGAATTTAAAAATTTCCCATTAGTGTGTATAGGGAAGGGAAGAGATACAGGAATTCTTTCCTAAAGAAGCTTCTAAAAATTATTACACAATCTGAACCTCCAAAGTCATTATCAGGTTTATCTTTGATGATATAAACCCTCCTTTTTCTTTTCCTTTCTTTCTTCTCTCTGCCTTTTCCTCCATCCTCCTTTCTTTTGAATATTGTAATGAGTAAGGCAGACTCTGTCTCTGCTCTCCTGGAGCTCAGAATCCTGCTGAAGGTTATCGACACAGAAGCAGTGTGTGAAGCGGTGTGCAAGGGCTGTGTTGAAGAAAGTACATAGGAACATATAGCTTAGAGGTGGGGAATAGTGTATCAAAAGAAGCCTTCCCAGAAAAAGCAAATTAAAGGAGGAGGAGGAGAGAGTCCAAGAGGTGAAGGGAGAGAATGTTTCAAGCCCTAGAAACAACAGAAGAGAAGAACTGGAAGTAAGGAAGTACTTGGCACTAGCATCCCCATGGCCAGGTCCTCTCTCTGCCACCTTTGCTCATGGAAAGGCTGTGGAGGCCTCATGGTTGAAATCCTAGACATCAGGCAGAACAGCCTCCAGATCCCATAAGCCCCACTGTCCTCAAGCAAGTGACTTAAACTTTCTAAGCCTCAGTCTCCACATCTGTAAAATGGGAATCTGATAGTATTTTTATGAGAATTAGAGGAGAACATATTCAGTAGGGCATACAGCACTGTATCTGTGAAGGGCTTCATAAATGCAAAGGGCTTGCAGTCTTGTCACTATCATCATATTCTTCATGCTCATGAAACTGGTCTCTGGTATCCTTTCTGCTGATCTAATGTCCTTCCTTCCTTCAGAGCACAATGTTAATCCCACTGCAACCAACCAGTCCAGTCCAGCCCAGCCCTCAGATCATGCTGGAGTCCCTTCCACACCTAACGTAACTTTAGCACTCTTTAGTTTCCCATTCATTCTCTACTCATACTTTTATGAAGACAGTCATCTTTTTCTTCTAAATACCTTATTTCTGCAACTGGATGACAGTAACTTATTCTTAATAATACATACCTTATTAAATAAGAACTATTGGCCAGGTGCTGTGGCTCATGCTTGTAATCCCAGCAATTTGGGAGGCCACGGCAGGAGGATCACCTGAGGTCAGGAGTTCGAGAACAGTCTGGCCAACATGGTGAAATCACATCTCTACTAAAAGTACAAAAATTAGCTGGGTGTGGTGGTGGGTGCCCGTAGTCTCAGCTACTAAGGAGGCTGAGGCAGAATTGCTTGAACCCGGGAAGTGGAGGTTGCAGTGAGCCGAGATCACACCATTGCACTCCAGCCTGGGCGACAAGAGCAAAACTCCATCCCAAAACAAAACAAAACAAAACAAAACAAAAAAACAAAGAACTACTGAGGCTTCACACTTGTCCAGAACTTCATAGCTTGCAAAGGGCTTTCACCAGAGAGAGTGTTATGGAGGCCTGCAGAGTAACCCTTCTCGCCCCACTGGGAGAGTATTAAGATTCTAATTTTCCTGACGAGAGCTCTGTGCCTCAGAAAAGCACAGTAGCTAGGTGACTTGTCTGAAGCCACACAGCTACTTCATGGTCAATGTGAGTCTAAGATTCAAGTCTTATGGCCATGACACTAAAGATAGAGTCTCGATAAATGTCTGTTTAGAGTCTTTAGGGAATGGCTAAAATTTATTGAGGGCTTACTGTGTACGCTGTTCTAAAAATGTCATCTATATGAGGTACACTAACGTCACAATTATCCCATGAGGCCGGGATTATCTATGTGTTTTATTGCAAACAAGGGAACTGAGTCCCAAACATGTTAATTGGCCTTCCCAGCATCACTAAACTGGTAAGTGATGCAGCTGTGACCTACCTAGGCCAATTCTATATGCATACTCTCGTAATAAACATGTAGCAATTTCTTTTACGCTTTTTGGGATACTTCCAGTGCCAGGAAGAACACACCAAACATGAACGTTCTCAGTGAGTATTTACTAATATTTTTAACAGTTTACTCTATCCTAAGAAGTATTAAGTATTTTGGAAAACTGGAAGGCGTGGATTGTTTATTTTCTTTCAAAGTTCCCACGATGATCTCAGCTGTCCAGGAATCAACTTTCTCTAATGTCTTTTTAAATTCAGCCCCAGTCCTAGACCTCTGGACATTCTGATGATTTATTTCTTTCTGCCACTGGGTCACTCATTGAACCCACACACGTTGGGAGTTCCAGACATATGCCTGCCTCAAGGGCAGCATCGAAACATGGATTACACACTCTCCACAGGAAGCAACTTTTCCTACTACTTGCTCAAAATATCCCAGTATGTCCCTTAATCTTTTCTCCCGGGATGGGGGAGGACTTCCCTTTGTTTTGTTTTCCATTTCCCACAGAGATGAAGAAACCATTCTATCCAACATGCCAAAAGCAAAAGAGACAGCAAGATGGTGATATAAGATATAAATACATACTGATTCCCATAAGCATTCTGTGTGATGGTTTAGAGTATGACTACCCCATCCCTGATTGACTGAAAGCAATGTGGACTTACTAACATTTAGACAGATTCTTACTTTACTAGCTATGCTTTACCTCTGTCTAAGGATTCCTGTGTAAGTCTGCAGAGGACTGAGGAAACATATGATCACCATAAATTTCAACTCACCATAGTAGCAACCCTTTGGTAAGATAGGAAACCAAATGACGCAAGCAAAACTTGGCCTGCTGCTGCAAAGGGCTGAGGCATTCAGGTGCAACCTTCTTGGGCTTTACCACTAGAGCTGAGGCTGAATGAGTTAATGGCAGGCTCTGAAGTCAGATGAACCTTGCAACTCTGAGTGCAGCCCTGCTATTTTGCAACTTAGCAAAAAACAAGCTGTTAGCCACATGTCCCAGCCTGGCCCCTCCAGTTTTTCAAATCATGATTTATATGCTTGGCTGCTTACATATGATACAGGCACTGTAATGCGTGGTTACTGAGGGGGTAGGTAACGGGGTTGGGAAGTGCTACATAAAGGTTTAGCACAATTAACAAGCTTGAATTTGACCCTTGGAGAACAGTGGATTCCATTCATGGAGTCATGCGCTATGTTCTTTGCCTTGATCAATTTATTCTGGTGAGTGTTTGTGTTACAAAATACTTTAACTGCAGCTAAGGGACTTCAGGTCACTAACTCACACCCTTTCTTCCTACCTCAATGGAAACAATACCAGGTCGGTATCTATTCTGAGGAGTCAGTGACAACGATTTTCATTAAAGGTCAAAAGGCCATTATGTCCCAGATTTTTGCTTTCCTTTTTGATTTTTCTAAAATAAGTAAAATAGTACTCACTTTTGTCTATTTCCTAGTATCCTTCTGATGATGCACACAGGCCTGATATTCAGCACCGTGTAGCTGCATTGTTGTTAAAATATGAAAACACTTTCATGCTGGCTACCTCAGTACTCCCATGCCCACCGCATGATCTGCCAGACCTTTCAACATCTAACATGGCACAGCAGAGGGCTCCACGCTCCAATTTCCAAGCTAGACCCAGGTTAATTCTGATTAATTATTGCCCAAGTGGCTGTACCCATGGTTTCATATGTATATACATATATTAAGAATATTATCTCTAGATAGATGGGACACTAAATGCAAGAGTACTTAGAGATTTTTGGGAGTGAGTTTCCATATACATTTAAGGTAATAGTAATGTAGTAATTCATGTATTACATGGTTACTGATGTAACCATCAGTATAGTTGAGGCATAGTGTGTTGAGAATTTCCTAATTTGCCATTTACTGAAGGTTGATCCACTTTTGCAGGAAAACCACCTGTATTAGTCAGAGTTCTCTAGAGGGACACAACTAATAGGACAGAAAAATATATAACGGGGAGTTTATTAAGTAGTATTAACTCACATGATCACAGAGTCCCACAATAGGCCGTCTGCAGGCTGAGGAGCAAGGAAGCCAGTTTGAGTCCCAGAACTCAAGAACTTAGAGTCCGATGTTTGAGGGCAGGAAGCATCCAACATGGGAGAAAGATGTAGGCTGGGCGGCTAAGCCAGTCTAACCTGTTCACATTTTTCTGCCTGCTGTATATTCTGGCTGTGCTGGCAGCTGATTAGGTGGAGCCCTCCCAGATTAAGGGTGGGTCTGCCTTTCCCAGCGCACTGACTCAAATGCTAATCTCCTTTGGCAACACCTTCATAGATATGCCCAGGATCAATACTTTGTATCCTTCAATCCAATCAAGTTGACACTCGGTATTAACCATCACACCACCCAAAATAAAGATCCTCTCCCTAAAAGATAGAAATGGACCCCCAGACCATGTGTTTCAGGCATCTAACTTTATTGGTTGAGCTTTCTCTAAATTATATATATACATATATTTTTTTTTCCAGCAAACAGCCATTTTTAATCAAATACATAATACATAATCTACCGTCAGGACCATCCTCTGTACTTAGAAACAGCATGTTATGGCTGCCAAGTTGCTTATCTCTAATGATGTTGGTTAAGTAGGATGGAAAAGAAGAAATTCATCTTCCCCAAATGACACAGGAATAAAGGCACTGACATTTAAAGAAATAAAATAAAATTTGAAATGTAAAACATCAGAGGTGGTGCTTAGGAGTAATGAAACTGTCAGAAGTTAAACACAATCAGGTTTAAAGAGATAATGATAAAAATGAAAATCTGAAATCTCTTGCCAGTAGAACAAACCTAGGCTAGGAAGATGAATTCAATATTTCCTGCAAATAAACAGCAGTTTCTAAAAATAGAAAGAACAGATGTGCAAGACAGAAAGTTTCAGAGAACTATAGATAGAGATGGCCAAAGTATGACTTTCTGTTACTCATTGGGATTGCAGATGAGGGCTTACAACCCCTCAGGTAACTGAAATTTTTATTAAACTGACAGACCATAGTTTAACACGTCCTTGATGGAATATACATGTGCTTACTTTTCAGACATAATACGTATGAAAGTGCTTTGTGAAGCACTAAACTAGTATCTCTTCAAGTGTGTTTCAAAAAATCAAGGACCTATGAGATACTTACTGAAAAATCAAACTACTTTTGTGCTGTCTCATACTATGTTTCTCTTATTTATTCACCACACTCATGAATATATGAAAGACTCTGAAAAGTCCTACAATGGAATTATTTTTCTTTCTTTAATCAATATTTCCCAAATTTATCTGAGCACAGAAAGCATTTTCATCTGTCAGAATCTGGTGAATGTTACATTAGAAAACGGTAAGATATTAACATTATTCTATTGGAAGATGCTTGAAAGACACATTTTCCATGCATATCTTCAGGTGTCCTACCCTAAGGCTTCTCAGAGGGACCATCTCAGACTTCGACCTGTGACTTCCTATGTGTGCCAGTGATGTTAGTTTGAGAATCCCTCAGCTGCTCGTTAAGCAAAGATTAACTGCATTATTATTCAATTGCAGGGATTCTACCAACTGACAAATCCCTGCAGGATCAGATAAGTCCTTCCTCTGTGGTCTTCCTGGGCTTGGGATGGATGCTGCTTGCAAACTTTCCTATTGCTTCACTCTCTCACTTCTTACCCAGCATTTTTATCACTGGCCAATGTTTGCAGGAAGGGCAGGAAGAAGAAGGAAGAAAAAATTTAGAGCAAGTGCCTTGTTTTAAGGAGAGCAGCCTTAGCCAAAAATGTCACAAATTAGCTACAATATCAGGTTCTCAATTCTTTCCTGATTTCCTCAGGTGCCTGGTCTTGGCTCTCCAAAGGCTTTCAGACTTTATTTTCCTTTCTTTGATTGTGCTGGTTAAAAAGATGGAATCTAAAGGAAATGCATCATAAAATTTATATTGGGCAGTCTTATCAGCATTGGACATGCATAATCTTGCCTTGCAAAGTTTTTGCTATGAAATTGCACACAAATTTGTTTCTTAAAGAGAGAGAGAGAGGAAACCCTCTATGTTTCTATGGTGTTTGATGTCTATTTATATGTTTCTTAAAGATAAAGCATTTATTCTATGCATGATTTGAATTTTATGCATCTCTTCTCTTTGCCTTAACGGAAGTGAATTCTTATTGCATAGCCAAATTTCACACTCAATTTATTCTGCAGAGTAACTCCCTCCCTCCAGATGGGACTATAAACCAGTAGAATGGAGTTTTTTTTAAAGTGTTCCTAATTGAATATATGGAATCTACTTCTGAAATGAAATCAAAAGCTCAGGGGAAAACACAGAACATCATTGGTAAAGGACACTAATAACCATAAAACAAAACAAATGTGTTGGTGCCAGGATGGGTTGGTAACCTTTAAGGTATTGCATCACCAAGTCATACAAAGGGTCAGCATATGGTGGGCTACGGAGGAGGAAAACTAGCTCTTGAGGCAAAAAATAAAAAATAATAAAAAATAAAAAATAATTAAAAATAAATAAATGAATAAAAGATTTTTCCAGCTGCTTTGAAGATTATTGGAGATCAAAGAGAGGGACTTCTGATGGCATACCAAGATGGAAAAGGAGAGGAGTAGCAGTAGAGAACGGGCCCAAGTATTAGTAGATCGAGAGCTAAGAATTAGTTGCACCATGTCCAATATTTATTGAGAATCCAATAATAATAACATGGCAAAAAACTGTTCCCTGCTTAAGAATGTGTGTGTGTGGCATTGGGTGGGGATGCTGTTTCCGCAAACCATCTGTGACAATGTTATATACACGCAGAGCAGATATCTGCTATGGATCCAAAATAATACCAATAAGAGTAACAATAATACCGACCATAACAATTGCTGAGTGCTTGCTATATACCAGGAAATTGTACTAATTCTTTGCACGTGTTATTTTGCTTAATTCTCACAGTGACCTTTGAGGTCAAAATCCTGTCTCTCGTGTTCACATCATATAAAAGGTGCTAAATAAATATTTATTGAATTAAAAAAATTGCTTTAACGTGGTTGCCATTATTTCCTCTCACTTACATAGGAGAAAATGGTCTCCAAGAGCTTTGAAAAGGTTAGGAAATTACATAATTAGTAGCTGCAAAGGCTGGCTTGCACCCAGGACTGTCAGTGTCTGTTTTTTGTTGTCGTTGGTTTTTTTTTTGAGACGGAGTCTTGCTCTGTCGCCCAGGCTGGAGTGCAGTGGCGTGATCTCCGGTCACTGCAAGTTCCGCCCCCCGGGTTCACGCCATTCTCCCGCCTCGGCCTCCCGAGTAGCTGGGACTACAGGAACCAGCCACCAGGCCCGGCTAATTTTTTTTTTTTTTTTTTTTTTTTTTTTGGTATTTTTAGTAGAGAGGGGGTTTCACAGTGTTTGCCAGGATGGTCTTGATCTCCTGACCTCGTGATCCGCCCACCTCGGCCTCCCAAAGTGCTGGGATTACAGGCATGAGCAACCACACCCGGCTCCAGTGTCTGTTTTATTTAGATAATATTGTTCAAAGTAGGACAGCTGTGGGGACTTGGGATTCAGAGCCATGGCTACGGGCGCAGCACAAAGGCAGGAGAGAGGTTATAATGCAAACAGCCACAAAGATAGGGTTTTGAGTTTATTATTAGCTAACTATTTAATTATTTTAAACTATTTTCTGCCCTTGGTTTCTTTATCTGTAAAATGGGGGAATTGAAATCTATCTTATTCAACTGTGAAGATTTGCGATTGTAAAGTGGTATTTATGTATTCAAAACTGGTAAATATTTTTATTATCTGTTGTAACAATAATAATCCCAGTTGCCTACAGTTTGTTGGGTGGCATTTCTTAAACAACCATGTGAAAATAAGAATGACTTGGGACCTTCTTTTTGATTAAAGAATGAGTTGAACTATGGAAGGTTTCTAGAGTCTCTTCCTGATCTAAACTATGCTATTCATTCTTTTTTTTTTTTCCTGAGACAGAGTCTTGCTCTGTTGCCCAGGCTGGAGTACAGTGGTGCAATCTCCATTCACTGCAACCTCCGACTTCTGGGTTCAAGCAATTCTCGTTCCTCAACCTCCCAAGTAGCTGGGATTACAGGCGCATGCCACCAAGCCCAGCTAATTTTTGTATTTTTAGTAGAGACAGGGTTTCACGATGTTGGCCAGGCTGGTCTTGAACTCCTGGCCTCAAGTGATCCACCCACCTCAGCCTCCCATAGTGCTGGAATTACAGGCATGAGCCACCATGCTCAGCCAAACTAGGCTATTCATTCTTAAGAGCATAACAATAAATAGTGCAGGTGCTAGAACCAGGTTTTCTGAGTTCAAATTCTTCAGCCAGTTACCAGTGGTGCAATCTTGAGCAAATTATGTAAACCCTTAAGAATCTTTATTTCTAATTTACAATATTCAAATAGCATAATGATCTCAGTTTCAGCATCTGCAGTACACAAATAACCATAGTAACTACTGGATATGGTTGTTGCAAGAATCAAATAAATTAACCTACTTAAAGCAATGGCTGCCCAATAAATGTTAGCAATAATGATGAAGATAGCAATGAGAACAATAATGATAGTCCTTTATCAGCCAGCTATTGGAGTTTGAAATTCTCGCCATACAAGTAAGTCAGGTGTGGTTTAGCAAATATGAGACATTCAGAAAAATGAAGGGCAGAATGTGCAAGGAATGAGCACAAGGGTGAATAAACTATAATGTGGGGCAGGAAAGAGGAATCATGGGACATTTATTTGATCATTAAATAAAGAAGGATCCTAAAACCTAGTGATTTTGCTAAAAACATTCCAACAGTTCTGTAGGCTTGGGACCCTGAAGAGGAGTAGAGCTGATCTCTGGGGAAAGACATGCACTGAGAAAGATAAGTGGGATATTAAAAGGAGGGTGAGGGTGGGGATGGGGGTGTTAACACCTTCACAAAGAGATCCCTCTTGGAAGTGAAGTGTATAACTTTTGCTTTCCAAAAAAGTTTGATGATATCTTTTCATACGATGGCCTGAATTGACTATTTATCTAGACAACCTTTCCAGCAGCTGTTTTGGACTGAATTATGTCTCACCCTACCACCAATACTTATGTGTTGAAGTCCTAATCCCTAATGTGACTATATCTGGAGATAGAGCCTTTAAGGAAGTAAGTAAGGTTAAATGAGGGCATAAGGGTAAAGTCCTAATCCAACAGTATCCATAAGATGAGAAAAAGACAGACACCAGAAATGTGTATGCACACAGAGAAAAGGCCATGTAAGGACAACGAGAAGGTGGCAGCCTGGAAGCAAAGGGGACAGGCCTCATGAGAAGCCCACCCTGCTGGCACCTTGAGCTTGGATTTCTGGCCTCCAGAACTGTGAGAAAATAAATTTCTGCTGTTTAAGCCACTAGGCCTGTGGTATCTTATATTAGCAGCCCTGGAAGACTAATACAGTAACTCCAAGAACTTGCGGTTTCTCTGATTAACAGAAAGGAAGAAGAAGGAAGAAGAGGAAAAGGAAAAGGAAGAAGGAGGAGGAAGAGGGAGAGGAGAAGGAAAAGAGAGAGGAGGAGGAAAAGGAGAACAAGAAGGAGAAGAGGAAGAGGAAGAAGAAGAAGAAAGAAGAAGAAGAAGACTTGCAGAAGGGAAAAAGAGATGGAGAGGCAGAGGAAGAGGAGAGGAATGCTCCTTGGTATCTACTTTGGACCACAATATTGTAAATAGTTATTACTGCTGAAAAACCTTCCCATGACCCTCCAGTGAGGATGAAGAGTTCACCTCTCTCCGGCGCACACGCTCAGGATTAGTGCCACCTAGTTCCCACCTTCCTCTGCATGTGCACTAAAACCATTCATATTTGCCACCCAGTAGCTTTCCCAGCCATCGCATTCACTGAAATTAAATCCAAAGCAAAATGATATTTTAAGTAAAATTACCTCTACTCTAAAGAGAAGAAGAATAAAAAGGAAGCTTAGCTATCTGTAAAACATCTCACTGTGATAAACAGACAACAAAATACTTATCAAATTCTTAGGAAAGTTGTCTATCTTATATAGGGCTACAATGAGAGAAAAATTTGTGTCTAATAAATGGATAGCTCTATCATGATAAATAACTAATGTATGTGGGGCTTAATAACTAGGAGATGGATTGATAGGTGCAGCAAACCACCACGGCACACGTTTACCTATGGAAAAAACCTGCTTGTCCTGCACGTGTATCCTGGAACTTAAAACAAAATTAAATTAAATAAAAAGAGAAAGCAATGGATAGCTCGAAGAGAAATACAAATATGACAAATTAAAACATGTTTTTACTCTCAGTCAGCTTTGTGATCATCAGTCCTTCTGTCCCCTACTTCGACGACTAAGATGGTACCTGTTTGTCAAAAATTTAAAGGTAAAAACTAAATGTTTTTCAAGACATTTCTGTATTATAAGCCACCTGATAAATTTGCATTAGAATTGATTAGTTTGTCTTCTGTTTTCAGAAACTATGGGTGTTATATTAAAAACTACTAGAACATTGTACAATAGGGAAGAGAATTATATCAAAATGACACTATTTTCAGTTGGCATTTATAGAAAGACTGCATTCGGATATGAGGGCCATAGTTAGTACCTCACCACCCCCAGCCTCCAAATGTCCAATTTGCATCCTTACTAGCTAAAGAAAAAGCTCTAGCATTACACTGAACCAACTCCAATGTGACAGAGGAGGACCATTTAAAAGGAAATAATGTATTCAACAGTAAAATTCTTGCCTGTTGAGGTCACCTCATCATCCTTCCCTATTTTGTTTGAGTTTACTGGCTGGAGACTATTTTAATTCGTTTTATAGCAGAACAGTTAGACTATGCTCCATTTATTATAAACATTTGGTTTGCATAGAAGATTTGTTATGTTTTATTAATCCATCACATAGTCTTTCTAAAAATGTGATGAACGAGGCAGCATAAAATGTCATTCTTTATACACTTTAGGTGGTTTGGCAATTAAGGCGTCGAGCCTCTGTGGCTCTTCTGAATCAAAGGCTGTTTTCTGATATGGATCCATCTTGCCCACATCATCTATGGAATGACAAAACAGATGATATATCCAAGCATCTGACAGCACTATTTCTATCAGGTTATAACCCTATTTGATAAACTCAAATCAGCAGCAAAACTATACCAGATTAATGAAAACCTCTCCAAAAGTGCACCCTGCCACTTCATTTCTGGGGAATTACAGCTAAGATACATTCTAAAAACATTCACATCAAATGGGGCAGGCTTTTTAGAAGAATATTTTATTTAAAGCGACTGGGGAGGGGGAGAGTGAAACACCTGCAGGACTGTGTGTTCATCACATCATGTCCAAGAAGCTGCAGCAGGAACAAAATAAAATGAAATGTGTTTTTTGCAGATGAACAAAAGCTTCTTCAATTATAAAAGAGTAAACTGATAATAGAATCACAGAGACAAAGAAGTAATCCAAACACATGGCTCACTGCTTACCATATATGCAACATAGAAACAAGTTGCACCCTATTGCATATAGAAAGAGACAGGGGAAGAAAGTAAAGAAGACAGAAAATAGAAGAAGGAAATATGAGCTGCACGTTTTACTACACTTAGCTCACATTGCATTCAAAGGATAATTTCATGTATAAAAATCGTTTAACTCAATAATGTAGCAAAATTTCTGGCTTGTATGTAATTATTGAAGAACACTAGCACCATTTTTTTCTAAGAAGATAACACTGTCATATTCAGATCGGGACCTTTTACCATGCAATAAAAAACCATTAATAAAAATTTATTTTTAACATCAGCAAGCCCAAAATACTTTGAAATATCAATTTTAAGGGATACTTTCTCCTGTATCTTTTATTATAAATGTTATGCAGACAAAGGCAGTAACCAAAAATCAATTTTTAATATATTTCTTCCTACCACAGGGCATGAGCAACATTAATGGCTTCTGCATCTACATGGTTACAATTATTAGTTTTGCCTTTCTAACACAGTGCACATAAAGTCTGCTCGGCTTACAATTTGGGGGATGGAGGTTCTATTCTGAAGGTTTTTCTGGATGTAAGTTAATAAGCAACAATCCAAGATCCTGAGAGTCATGCCATTACTTGCTTCTCCTATCCAGCATCCTGATATTTACACGATCACTTACACGGAGACAGCAGAGCAACTTAAAACTTAATGATCCCAATTCACAACCCTGCGGGGGGGACAAGAAGCTGCTGTAAACCTATTGAGGGATGGTGCCATGGATCCTGGCTGTGCAGGGAGGGAAAATAACCATTTGGATGGTTTTGCTTCGCCTCTATTCAGATAGCCTCAGCATGCACCTTTGTGCCTCTTCCCTCCCAGTGTGCAATGTCTTTAGTGCTATTGCTGAGGACAGGTGTAGTGGATATCTCCTCTCTCCTCTGCTCAACGCACCTGATCTCTCTGGAGAACCATCCCTCTCTCTATGAACAGCCTTATTGGGGCTGCTAATCAGGGTAGATGGCTCTCTCCTAGCCAGGGGGTAATTAGGGGAATTAGCCCACTGAAAAGACTGTTTAATATTTCCTTCCGGTTGGCTCCTCAGAAGACCCTGGCCCTTCAGACTTTGCTGAAGCTTGGTTCTTCATGTTTTCCTCTGATTCAGTAGCTATCCCGTAGCCTTTCTTTTCTGTTTTGATTAATTTAGACAGCATCAACTCCTGTGGCTAGAATCCAAACTCCCAGCCAGCAAAAAAAAAAAAAAAAAAAAAAAATGGAGGATACATGGCTTGGTCTTTATTTTCTTCCAAACTTGTATTTAGTGATGTCATCTATCTGCTCAAACATCTTCAGTAGCTCCCTTTCTTTATCATTTTAAAAATCATTATTCCTCTGTGAGGCACTCAAGGGTCCTGTCATCTGGTCCCACCCTGTCTACCCAAACTTAATTCCTGCTTTCCCCTAGAAGGAGCTCACTAAGTAAATTCACTTTTCTTGCTTAACACTATTCTGAGGATATACATGTTCTTTTGGTCACTCTACTTAACAAATCTCCTAATCTTTGCAAGCCATGATTCTTAGTTGGAAACAAAAGTACCCATTTGTGCAAGTTTAGACAGAAAAAAATACAATCGAAGGGATATAAAGAACTTCCCAGAAACTCCAGGAAGAGTAGAGCATCAAGCTGGAAGCTAAGCAACCAGGAGCAATGCCCAAATGTCATTTCAGGGCAGCTCAGCGGGGACCCAAGGCATTTGGAGCCGGCCACAGACTCTCCACCACATAGGATGGAGGCTTCCACTAGATATTCTACCCCTACCACCTCTGATAGCAGGTTCTGAAGTGGAGCCTATATTTTCAGGTAGCTGGCCTCCAAACTGAAGTCCCACATGGGTGCAGAACTTAGATCACATGTCTTCACCTTAGAATCAAAGGAGTCTGGGAAACAAGTTTCTGTCTCCTGCCTTCAGGGAGGTATGAATGCATAAGGTCCTGGGTGACCGTGAACTTGACAAACGTCCACTATGCTAGCCTTATGGCCCCACCTCCTCCATAAGACCTTCTTCAAGTTTTCTAATATGTAATTTCTCCCTTGTCTCTGAACTCCTTGTAACTCATTATCTACATCTCAAATGTTCTGCTTGATTTAACACATTTAAACCACATTATAATTTGCAAAGCACTTCTACACATATCTCTTTTGATCTTCCCAATATCCTTGCAGTTGAGTATTTCTCCTAGTCCCCATTTATAGAGAAGGCAATGGACTTTTAGTAAAAGTGAGTGACTTACCCAGCTTCCTACTGAATATATACTATATACATTATCTTCAGTCAATACACCATGAGAGCAGAAATCTCAAATTGCTGACCTCATAACCAGAAGAACATAACACATGCAAAAGAAAAAGTTCTTTACTTTTCAACTTAGATAACAAAGTTAAACAGCATAGACAACCATAGGACATCACCTTTCCAAGGAAATGTTCCAAGGATACAATTGCCATAGAGATCCTCCCTATAAGTCTCCTTGTATAGTCACTCAAGCCAATTGGGCAGCTTGAGGGAAATTAGGTGTGGGCTGGAAAAGGAGCATTCCTGGAAAATGAGATCAGCATCACTGACCAAAGAGAAGGGGCCAGGAGGAGGAAAGGAGTTTCACAGTACAGAAAGGGAGAGCCCAGGTCCAAACCCTTCAACGAGGAGTCCACAACCAGAGACCAGAACCCCCTAATACAGCAGAAATGCTGTAATACTTTTAAACTTTGTAATTTCCCCATGTGTGTACTATTTTTTAAATTACTATTATTCTCTGTGTTCATTTTGCTGTTTTGTTTTGCTTTGCTTTGATCAGTTTGATCACAAAGCGATCTTTAGTAGATTCCCTCACGCTTTTTTTTGAGGTCACAAGGAATAGGGAAGCTAAGGAGATGCTGGGCTTAGTGAAAAGAGAAAGCTCAGGAATTACATAAGAGTAACTGAATCGAAGAAAAGAAAAGCAGAAAAGGTTGGGTCCTGAGGCCAGAAGGAAAATGTAAGGCCAACATAAAGAGCCAGAATTAAGCAGAAAAAGAGCAAGAAGTTTTGACTCACACACATCAAGAAAATGACACCTTTTCATCTCGTTTCTCCCTGAGTGCTGAAAAATATATCCACTCCTACCCATAAGCAAAAGATACTTCTGAGAGAGAATCTCCTCAGAATATGTCTTCTTCTTCCAAAATGGGCTTTTATATTAGTCAAGAGACAGGTTTAGATACTATAGCAAAGATCTTCAAAATAATAGTAGTTTAAACAAAAGAAAAGTTTGTTTCACATAACAGTTCAAATAACAATCAGTCCTAGGCTGAAATGCTGTCCATTCCAGGTACTCAGCCATCCTTAATCCACTGGTTCTAACTCATGGTCTAGAGAGCTGCTCCAGAGCCTGCCATCATGGTGGCATTCCAGCCAGTGGAGCGAAAAATAAGACAACGTCATGGCCATGCTCCTTTCTCCAATGAGCTGTGCCTGGAAGTTGAAAATGTCATGCACACCCACATCCCATTGACTAGAACCATCACATGGCCACACTCCACTACAAGAAAGGCAAGGAAATGTGGTCTATAGTGGGCAGTGTGAGCTCAGCTAAAATTCAGAGATGCTATACTAAAAAAAGAAGAAATGATAAATATTGAAGGACAACCAGCAGTGTTTCTCAACAGCCTACAAATAAAAAAGACCTGAGTTTAAATCCTGGCTCTGTCACTGATCAGCTGCTTCACCTGAAATAAGCTATTTATTCTGGTTAAGTTTTTGTTTTCTCATCTATAAAGTTGGGATTAAAACACTCACATGGAGAGAGTTGTAAAGATTCAGTAAGATAACGTCTGTAAAGCAGTTGACCCACAGAAAGGCAGTTGATATGTAACAGTACTTAATATTTTATTATTATTATTATCTTTAACGAAGTTTGGCAAACTACAGCCCATGGGCCGAATTTGGCTCACCACCTGGTTTTATAAATAAAGTTTTATTGGGACACAGCCAATCCCCCTTTTTTACACACTGTCTATGGCTCCTTTCACACTACAATGGCAGCGCTGGATCATTGCAACAGAAGCAATGTGGCCTGCAAAATTTAAAATATATACTGTCTGCTTCTTTACAGAAAAAAAGTTTAACTGACCTTTGACCTATAAAATCAAACAAACCTTTCTGTAGGTCACATATGTTCTTTTTTCTCAGTGGCAAAATGTAGTCATTGTACCTACTTCAGATTATTATTGTAAAAATAAAGGAAATAAATTATATAAAGCATCTGGCATCACAGAAATAAATACTCTATAACTTTTTATCCTGTTTTATTTCCCTTAGTGTATGGTCAGCATTGCTTCTATGAGAACACTACTGAATGCATGAAGGACATCGTGAGACAAAAGCAAGTATCTTATTATAACGTGCTTACATATTAAAATCAGATGCAGTGCCTTTAAAACAGGTAACGACCACACAGGGCAGCAACAACTCATGCTGGATATGCTAGGAATTGCTGTGTGCACCTTCAGTGATTACCTGAAGTCCAAGTAAGAAAAACAGCATCCACTTTCATACAAGGAATAAGTTCTTTATATACATATGGCCAAAATATGTAAAGTTTGAAATGTGAAGATGCAAAATCTAAGCCAAGAATTTCTAGAAATACAGGATATAGAGAAAATGGAACAATGCCTTATGCATAGAAATATTAATTAAATGAAGAGAAGAAATGGAGGGAGGAAGAGAGGTAGGTAGGAGACAGAGGAAGGGAGGGAGGAAGGGATCCTTCAATGGCTTTCCAGTGTTTTTACAAGAAGGAAGAAAATTCTTCCTGGCCCATCCTGTCTCCCTCTTTAGCTAACCCCACACCACCAGCACCTCTCATTTTCTTCTTGCCAACCATACCATGCTTCTTGAAGTTTCTTAAAATTGCCCCATCTCTCTTTCCTTTATTGTCCTCCATGCACCCTGTTCTACATGGCTAACACAGTATTCTCCTACCATTTTCAATTGTACATTTTCTTTAGTAATAACATCTTATCACCCATTCTTTTATGTATTTAGTCATTTATAAATTATATATACAATTTATGTATGTGTATTTTTCTTCAAAAATGCCAAAAATAAACATTTTAAAGTTAGATTACAAAGTTATTATGAGCTCCGTTATTAATAGTTTCTCATATCTTCTGGACATCCACACCTGAATTTTTCTCCCCAGGCTCTATGACCAACTCATTTTCCTCCAGGTTTCATCTGGAAGGTCACTTCCTCAGGGAATCCTTCCTATACCAGGGGATTCCTGTTCTTCTATGCTCTCATAGATCTTTTTACTTCTCCTTCATGGTGCTTCTCACAGTCTAAACTCTATGCTTGTTTGAAATTATTCAATTAATGTCACTCCCTCTCTCTTTCTCCCAACCCCATCTCATCAGTAATTCTAACATCTACTCAAATGTCTATTCCAACTTCCAGTGGGGATAAAGATTGTGTCCGATTTACCTACCAAGGTTTCCGTATCATGTGTGCTTTGGCATATTGTAGATCTCACTAAAAGAGTAATTAAACTAATAAAAAACTAGTCTATAAAAGAAAAGGATGCTTTAAAAAAAGTCTTAGGGAATAAATTTTTAAAAATTGTCATATTAAGAAGGTAGCTGATAAGGTAAAGCCAGGTGTATAATCATGTATCACTTTCCACAGGCATCTTCATTTTTCAAAAAAGGCTTTTCTATATGTAATTGCATCAGATTCTCTCAACATCTTCAAGTAGATGAGATTAGGGATTTTTATCCCCATTTTACAGATGAGGGAACTGAAGTGCAGAGAGTAGGAATGATTTTCCTAAAGCCATACAGTAAGTTGGTAGCAGAACAAGAACCGAAATCCACATCTCCCAACTCCCAGCCTACACTGGCCAGTGGTCAGACAGGATGTAGAGAGCAATTTCCCCAGGCATTGGGAAGTTCTTGATGCCTTGGGGAAGATGTGAATTAGAGTTGTCGGACGAACCCACTATACGCAATGCCATCTAAGGCTGACAAACATTTCAGAGTGGCCAGAAGACAGAAATGGAAATAATTAAAGCTCTGGGAATTAAAAGCAAGAAAGATTACAGAACGTTCGTGAAAGTTTGGAGGACAAAAGCTGAGAGATGAGTTACTAACAGTCTTCAAGTCCATCAATGTTTATTACATGGCGGTTGGGTAGCCAGCTGTTCTTCAGTTCTGAAGACTACCAAACAAATGGGAAATTGTAAATTCTACAAGGACACACACTCCATTCATGACACAGACGACTGGGTGAGCAAAGCAGTTGTCAGACTGCAGAATTCACTTCTGGTATCTCAGTCCCTGATGAGAAAGAGTGAGAAGGGCTCATCTAACAGGGCGTGTATTCTGATGGAAAGTCTGTGGAAGAGGCTGGCTCCTGCGGACCAGCACTGTCCAATGTACAGAGGTGGCTTTGATGCATAAGGAAGTTTCCAGGCCAGGATAATTAGATATATCTCTGCAATTTTTTTTTTTTTTTTTTTGCTGACCACACTTGAACTGTGGGCATTGATTCTCAGCTTCTTTTTAGAAGAAAATATTTTAGCTAAACAGACATGTAGTAAGCAGAGATAAAGGCACATCCATAAGCATTGTGATTTTGACCAATTACTTATCTAAACGGGAGGGAGCTGTTTTCAAATTTGACAATGGAGCAAAACAAAACAAAAACAAACTATAAAATCACACACAAATCACAATGAGAAAAGAGAACATTGAGATGTTTCTATTTGATCATCAAACTAACAAACAAGTAATTTACATATCTTTATAATGGTTCTAATTGGGGCTATTTCTCATGAGAGTCAATTATGCCAAAAGCACATCATACATCATACCCTACCCAGTTTTTTAATGAGAAAATTATGGTACACAATGGTAAATTAACTTGAAATATGCTGGTTAAAAAATCAGAAAACCTGTCCCTCTAGCCTTAGTTCTGAGACATAACCCCAAGTCTGACCTTGGACAATGACCCTTCATCTCTTTAGACCTCAGTTTCTTATCTGTAAGATAAGAAGACTTGATTTGAAACTCCCCGAGCCCTTTGTCAGTTCTAAAACAACCCAACTCTCTGATTGTGCACTCCTGAAGAGTTAGGAAAGGTAAGTTATGTATTAAAGACTCCCTCAGTGCCAACGTGAAAATTAGAAAATTTCTAGTAAACACTTGGAAGGTAAAGTGTTCACTGGGATACATCACAGTATTAATTGAAATGCCTTAAGGCAGATTAAAAAAAAAGTCTCTGAAATATTTACATATACTTAATAAAGATTAGCTAGGGGAAAATAGAAAGATTTCACCGTACTTTGGTTCGTGGCATTCTTCATCAATTAAACTTAAATGTTTAACATTTTGACTCAGGTTCTCAAATTAAAATGATTTGTATATGACTCCAGGTAACATTCAGTTAAAAGTAAGAGTTAATAAGTCTCTACTTGCAAGGATAACGGTGTAGTATTTAGCCAGCTTACGCAGTCAGCACTCTGAGACTTCTCAACAAGCTCAGAGCACTAGACTTTTTCCTGCAAGAGGTAGAAGCAAACTCTTACAGAAAAGGCTTACAGAAACCTAGACTACATTAGGCATTTTATATACATGATCTCATTTCATTCTTTCAGTCTTACGATAACAGTTGGTAGCAGCCTCTAAATTTTAGTAGTAGATAATGAAATTGAGGCTGAGAAAAGTCAAATTTGCCCTAGGTCACACAGTTCACTATCCAGCAAAAACAAAATTCTAACTCAGGCATGTGGATTCTCTCTAATATACTGTCTTGCCTCTCTGGAGTATATTATTCAACAATGAGGCATTATTGAGCCTCCACGTTAAATAAATGACTTGTTCAAAGAGAGAATTACAAACAAATCCACAAAATGCATATCAGACATCAGCAGGAATATCATTTCTCTTTTGTATCTTCAAATTCTCCTATATAACCTGGCAATTACACTTCGTTTATTTCATTATTAATACTACTGCCAAGAGAATGAACACAGAACTTGTTGTAAAAGTAAATCCCCAGGTATCTAGGCTTACTTTCCATTATAAAGTCCCATAACACCTCTTAGGGAATACGTTGTAGATATTTGATGGATGCAAAATGGAAATTTCCTTATAGTAGTCCATGTGGCAGAAATATCAAGTCAAAGGCACAGAATTGCAAAATCGCTTGATGAAAACAATATTAAGAATATTGAGTTTGTCCACCTCACTTGCTTTCTGGAAGCCCTGCATTTCAGACACAGATGACACAGAGGAATCCCTCTGCACCTGAAGAACAGCAAAAGGTGATTTCTTTGTAGCAGGATTTCTTTTACTACAGATCCAAACCTTTGCATGCATATTGTAAATCACATTAACACTCATTCCCCACCATTGTGCCCTCTAAAATATATTCCAGCCCTCAAGAATTACTTTTGATTCTCTAAGCCCATCATGCTTTCCTTGCCTCTGAGTTTTAACAGATGCTGTTCACTCAGCTCAGACAGCCCTATTCTCTCCCAGCATCCACCTAATTTCTGTCTCTATTGCCTTAGGGGTCTGTGTCACTGCTTCCTGGAAGCCTTTCCTAACTCCCACCCTACCCACCATGTCCATAAGCAGTGTCTCTCCTGTATGTTTCCAGAGCATCTCATCATCCCTGTATTCTAGCACATACACTTCTAAGTTATGTTACCTCCGACCTGTCTCATTTCTCCACTCAATTAGAAGCCGACGTTTATTCACCATGGTATCCATAGCTCCCAACTCAAGGTTAGCACCTGATAGGTTATCTACAGATGCCTTTATTATTATTATTATACTTTAAGTTCTGGGGTACATATGTAGAATGTGCAGGTTTGTTACATAGGTATGCACCTGCCACGGTGGTTTGCTGCACCCATCAACCCGTCACCTACATTAGGTATTTCTCCTAATGCTATCTCTCACCTAGCCCACCCACCCCCCAACAGGCCCCAGTGTATGATGTTCCCTTCCCTGTGTCCATGTGTTCTCATTGTTCAACTCCCACTTATGAGTGAGAACATGTGGTGTTTTTCTGTTCTTGTGTTAGTTTGCTGAGAATGATGGTTTCCAGCTTCATCCTTGTCCCTGCAAAGGACATGAACTCATCCTTTTTTATGGCTGCATAGTGTTCCATGGTGTATATGTGCTACATTTTCTTTATCCAGTCTATCACTGATGGACATTTGGGTTGGTTCCAGGCCTTTGCTATTGTGAATAGTGCTGCAATGAACATATGTGTGCATCTGTCTTTGTAGTAGAATGATTTATAATCCTTTGGGTATATGCCCAGTAATAGGATTGCTGAGTCAAATGGTATTTCTAGTTCTAGATCCTTGAGGAATCACCACACTGTCTTCCACAGTGGTTGAACTAATTACACTCCCATCAACAGTGTAAAAGTGTTCCTATTTCTCCACATTCCCCCAGCATGTTCTTTCCTGACTTTTTAATACAGATGCTTTTTAATTGAATGAGACTGAAGAACTCTGGTGTGCAACATTGTTGGAAAGACCCAGATGCAAATACCATCCTCAAACAAACCTTTGAAAAATACACTTGTTAAAATTTCAGTGTACTGAAGATTAATTAAATTATATAGGGTATGTTCATGTGAAATTTATATACAGAGATAGATATGTATATTTATGTAGAACAGGCATTAAATACAACACATAAAAAGTTTTAACCATAAAAATAATTTGCATCGTAAGTTTATGTGTTTATATTTGTGTGCATATATATATATACACACACACATAAATCTATGCACACTTAGAGGTCAAGGAAATAGTATACTATTATACATATATTTTAAATAGCATTATATATTACTATGTATTTTTTATATAATATTTATACATATAATAGTATAATACAGATTTATATAAATAGATATTATTATATAATATATACTATATTATATATAATATATAAAATATATACTATATGTAATATATACTATACATATAGTATACATACACTATTATATATATACATATAATAGTATACTACATCCTTGACCTCTAGGGAACAAATCTTACATTTGGACATTTCCAGATGCAGACATGGCTATGCACAAAAGCAAGGCTGGAAAGGTTGCCTGCAAGTATATATTTATCAAAGTGTTTCTAATGTCCCATCATTACAAGATCTAATACCTTCTAAACTTTCAGATGACTGGCTTTAGAATTTGGGGTGAAGTTTTCTTTTAATAATGCACATTTCAATCCTCGGTTAACAAGAGGTCACGTCAATAATTAATGGTTTCTGTAGCAGTTGAACACTGCATCATTTTCTTGACAGATTTTTTTTAAATGTATGCTTTGTCTTCATAACTAAGTGCAAGTGGGTAAGGGAATAGGGAAGTGTGGCATGATGCATTTGAGCTTTACATTTTTAACCTGTGCTCTAAGTATTATCATATCTTATCCCCTTTGACAGGCACAGCAATCCTGCAGGAAAATTGGGGAGAGAGGAAGAGGGGCAGGTAACAAAAGTGGAAAACACTATTATATATATTTTATAAAATTAGAGAAACCAAAGTGTAGAAGAATGGCATAGCTTTGCTAAGAACACAAGCTCCATTAGAACAGGAACATTGCTTTTACTTTTCATCACTTTACCACTGGCATGGTTGTTGCTCAATACATATTTACTGTATTAAATAATGAATGAGTGAATAAATGAATGAGCAAATGAATACTAAAGTTTTCTGTAGAAAGAATTGCTCAACTAATTTTCTGACTCCCCATATCATGAACTTATTAATGTATGAAATATTTTGTTCTCAGGCTATTCTTTGACAAGATTTAAAATGATTTAAAAGAAAATAATTACATATATGCAAAACAAATAACTGATAATTTTATCCCCACCCCAAAAGGCAAAACTGTTGAAATTTTTTTTAATTAGCTTCTTTAAATAATTTGTACCTACCATGAATGCTTATTTCTAGGGATATATATACATATATATGTATTTATATATAGATATGTATCTTATATATAGATATGTATATCTATATATCCCTAGAAATAAGCATTATAATTATTAATTATATATTATATATAATATATATTACATATTAATTATGTATATATAATATACATTATATATTATTAATTATGTATATATAATCCATGGAATACATATAACGCATATTCCAATCCTTGGTTAAAAAGAGGTCACATCATATATTATATATATGATAATGGATAATAATAACAATAATAAATTGAGCCTTTTTGTTGATAATTTACAAGGTACTCTGAAGGCACAGAATAACAATATCAATAATAGTAAATTTTGTCATGCAAATATTGTATACAGTATATTATGTGATACTTATGTATTAGTGCAGCAATTACACAGCACCACCTTATCACAGTAGAAGTGCACCCTAGATTGTAGTAAGCAGAACTAAGGCACATTAGGATAGATTGTGTTCTTACAGTAATTACTGGAATACTACATTATCCATAAGAAAATTGCCACATGCTTCCATGAAACATAAGGAACGACATCCGTCTCCCATTTTATCACCGTAAGAACTCTGCCAGCCACTCTGGAGACTGAGTTCCAGCTGAGAAGCATTCAACATTTCCTGATCCCTGGAGAACTGAGTTAGTGCACTCAGGTCTAGCTCATCACTCAGGGGTGTATGCAGCCATCCTGACGTGGGGTTTCTGGAAGCATCACTAACTCGGAGGCGATGAACAGAAATGGAGGAGCATCCAAGACCTAGGCACAATTTTTCATCAATTTGACCTACATCCATTTGTAATCAGTTCTTTTAACTGGAGGAGAGTAAAGCATGACCACTGACAAAGCAAAAACCACGTCGAGTAGGAGAGAGAAAGATTCCTCTCCCTCTGATACAGAAATTCACATCTGTGGCTAAAACTGTTCTCCAAAGCACTGAAATAAAATAAAAGTATCTAAACAGCTCACCCTACAAGAGTTTGGAAGCTGCAATCAAACTATCCTCATAAGTAGAAGACATGTTTAAATGTAGTTTTCACATATCCACTTAAAATGAGAAAGAAAAGAGCTCTCTAGAATCATATTACTAATATTAACCAGGTGGGAAGGCCCTTCCCAAGTCCAGTCCTCAAAGGTCAGTCATAAATGACACAGCCACTCCACTTTCTGGAAATGATAGCAATTCCTCCATAGATAAGCCAATTAAGAGAGAGGGAAAGGCAGATAGCTTTGTGGTTTTGAGAAGGGATGTAAAAGTCCAATGAAAGTTCTATGAAATGAGGAATAATGTTTCTCACCCTTATACTACAGTGTCAAGCACAATACTGCTCAATAAATATTTGTCAAGTAGATCAAACAATTGATTAATCTAGAATTAACAAAAATCAACCAGGTAAGAGAAGCACCTGACACTGAGAAAATTACTCAGACAAACACAATCTCTGCTTGAAGGGAAAGCCCTTCAAACCTGGGGGCTCCTCCACTCTGATTGCATCAGGGGAGCTTTCCCTCTTGAAAGAGCTTCAAAGAGATCATAAAAGGAAAAGCTGGGTGGCTGAGGCAGTGACATACAAGAGCCTACAAAGAGGCAAATCCTGCTCTTGAACTTGACCTGCATCATCTCAGCTTATCTCCCCAACAACCCTGCAAACTAATTTTAAGAGTTTCATTTGACCACTGAGAACACTGAGACTGGGACAGCTTAAATAAGTTGCTCAAAACATCACACTAACAAGAGGCATGGCAGAAATGTGAGCACAGGCTTCTGAAACCCATTGCCATGATCTCTCCTTTACACTCCAAGTGTTTCAACAACTAGAATGAAAATTTAACGTGTGATAAAGGTAAGAAGTCAAGACATAAAGAAAGAGGAACGAAAAGAAAAAAATAGCAAGAAATCTTAGCTGAGGAAGGCTGCAACCTCAAAGCACGAAACAGTTTGCATTAAGTTTCTAGTATCTAACAAGTTCCTGCTATCTCATTTTAGGCAAGAACAAAACATTTTACAGGTACTGCATTTGGGAAGAAATTTACTTTGGGGTTCTTTTTTTTTATGACATTCACTGAACAACATAATAAATAATTATTGCATCAATTACTGCATTTTCCCTTTTTTCAAGTGGTCAGTCCTTAGGTAGTTTCAATCATATTTCCTTACATCTGTCCCATGGAAAACAGAACTCTCAGTCATTCCATTTATAGCTCTGCACTAGTACAGAAGGCAGGAACACACCAGGTTGTATTGCAGTTGATATTATGATTATTATCAGATAATATTATTACTAGTCTATACTATTATTATCAGATAATATTATTACTAGTCTATACTATTATTATCAGATAATATTATTACTATTCTATACTATTATTACTATTCTGTTTTTATTGCATGCCAAGCATTTTTCTGAGCACTGTACACATGATCTCATTTAGCCTACATAACACCCTGTAAAATGGGTATTATGTTTCTCAGGTAAAAATAATCAGAAAACTGGCACCTCGAGTAGTTATATAACTTGCCTACCAAGTTTGCACCCAAAAAAAACAGCCAAGTTGGGATTTGAACTCAAATCAGTTTGACACCAGGGCCCATCTTTTCAGACACAGCTAAATGAAGGATGCCTGGCTTTGTGATTGTTAATCGTACCTTTTGACAAGCTGCATGTTCCCATTTTAAAAGACTGATTGAAAGGCTCGATATAGCCCATTAATTTTATACCCACTTGTATCAAAATCCTTCAATTCCCTTTGCAGCTTTTCTGCTTTCATTTTAAACTCTTCTTCCCTCTGCTGCTCTTGTCCTCTATGTATACACATGGAAATGAAGTCTAGAGGCTCCTTCTAGCCAAATCTTTCAACATTTGAAGAGCCAATGAAAGCACAGTCTCTATGTTCAATTAAACACATTTAATTCACAAAGCACTTTCTGAAAAATTCAAAGAGCCTTAGGTACTTTTAATCAGATGTTCTTGGTAACTAAAATACCGCTTATGTTTAATTGTGATTCCCTTATATGATATCCTAATACTAGAATCTAAAGGAACTTGGCCCTACTATGTCCTTCCTTAAAAATCAAAGGCCACTAAAACAAACAAAGTAAAGCAAACAAAAAAAAGGGCAAACTCTGTGCACATAGTAATAAGAAAAAATTTTTAAAGCTATATTCTATGTCACCTCATTATAGAAACTAAATGGAACAATGATGTTATGTAACAATTATTGAGTATCTCTCTGTGCCAGGTAATGCAATAAGTGTCTTACATAGATTATCTCTTCCTTTGACACTGAATCATAATGTCAGACAATGACGGAACAGAAAAGTAGATTTAACCCCTGTAATGTATAGAGAAGATGACAAATGAAGACAGAGTAGAAAGTAAGTGTACTAGAGCAACAGAGGAAGATAAATTGCTGACATCTAATGATCCCACATCAGAAAGTGTTTACCAACTTCCTCCATGAAGTGAGATTAATGGTTAAAAACAAATTCATATTTTCAATAGTGTGTTTGAAATTAGTCATGCTCTGCTTGTTGTAGGTCCTCAAAATATTCTGTTCATAGTTTCACTTCATGAGCCAGGGCCCATTATCATCAGCCCCATTTTGCAGATGTTGAAACTGAGGCGTGGAAAAGGTAAACAACTTGCCCAAAGACACACAGCTCAGCTCATCAGGGCTACAGGCAGGGTTTGAACCAAGCTCCAAGTCCAAGCTATTGACAACTACACTTAAAGGCTCTTGGGATTGCTCATTACTT
Source organism: Homo sapiens (assembly GCF_000001405.40). Lineage (NCBI taxonomy): Eukaryota > Metazoa > Chordata > Mammalia > Primates > Hominidae > Homo > Homo sapiens. The sequence goes on from NC_000004.12 coordinate 23,993,752, forward strand.
ACCAATGAAATCACCAGGCTATTGGAAAGTCAGCAGGAATTTAGAGGATAGAAGGAAGAAAGCTTTCTTTTTTCCTAAACAGCACAGTAAAGGCACAATAGTTTCTTGAGTGACTAGGATGCCATTCAGTACTCTTAAGAGTAATTTTCTCAGTGGTATCCTAGGGGCTTAAAACAATCCATCAGACACTTTTTCCATCCTAAAGGGACTTCAATATTAAAAAGGTTGTCATTTGTGTTTGACAATTTCTTCTGAGGTTAAACAAAGAAAGAATAGAAGTTTCTAGGTAATGTGAATTGGAAATAAAATGTCCCAGCCTGCTCAGATATGCAGGCTATGAGGTAGCAATAAGCTGAGGATTTGAATCCCGGTCACCTCATGTCCAAGCAAAGGCTCTTTGTACTAATATTCTGGACATTTCCCTCTGTCCTGCTTAACAAGCCCATCCTGCCCTGTCTATGTAATTCCTGTGTTGTAGGAAGTAACCCGTTAAAGGCTCCTGAGCAGACTTGAAATGTTCTGAAGCTCTAGGAGCCCAGAGTTCTTTTGATCCCTCCTGGAAGATTCAGCAGAGAGACTTTAAAGTGTATCAGTAAGAAGGAACTACAGAAAGGGGCTGTTTTGTTTCCTGGGGTGAAAGCCTTCGAGGGGTTTGAGGAGAAAAGTGGTCTGTGGGGAAGTCAATCTTCCCACTAATAAAATAGGCTCTCCTGGTGGAAATAAACATTTCTGCATATTGGGCAGAGAAGGGGGGGCGGTGAGAAGAGCACACAACTAATATAGCACTAATAAAGGTCACATAGATAATACGTGACACTTTCAGGTTTCCATCTAGAGTCTGTCAGATTTCAAAGCCCACATTCCTTGCAATATGCCCCATTGCCTCAAGAGCAGGGATGCAGCAACAGACCAGAAGGAAGGATACAAGAGGCAAGAGCATGCAGGGAAAACAAATGCATAAAACATCATAAGAAAGAAAGAAGGCTGTAGGGCAAGGGAGGAAATTGGTCAGGCTTTGCAGGAAGGACCCCAAAGTCCTATCAGAAATGACAGTGACTAGACATCACCAAATGATGTTGATCATTGCAACATATATAGAAGATGACAATAGAAGCAAAGACGAATTCCAGTCAATCAACAGAGTAACAAAGAGACCATCTCAGACTTCAAATGTTTACCAACTCACTGCATGAAGAAGGATTGCTGAGCAAAAGGAACACATTTACGAGGGTATGTTTGAAATTGATGGTGTCCTACCTAAGTTGGCAGTTTAATATAACTTATTGTGAGTCTAAACTGTTTTCTACAATCAATCTCTTGTGGTGGCAAGTTCTAGTTAAAAACCCCCAGTGGTACTGACTGTATCAAAACTCATGTCAAGGTGAAGGCTGCAGACTAATAGAGTGCCCAAACAGGGACTGGTGGGTTTTGGTGGGTCCTGTTAATATCTTGGGCTACACAGTAGAAAATCACGTGGGAAAGTCACGCAGGTTGACTCCCTGAAAAAGAGAAACACACATGTACATGCACACATACATATCCCTCACGTGGGAGTCACTTGTTCAGACTTTCCCAGCTTGCCATGTGCTTATTCTCCTTGCAAGTATAATATTTCAGTTTACAGTTTCCTCTCTGACCTCCAAAATATTGTCTTCTTCTAAAGACTTGTTCACCATTTGATCATGTCACAGTCCTGCTTAATATCCCTCAGTGGTCCTCAGTAGCATGGGAGATAGAATTCAAATTCCCTCAGCTTTGCACATACAGGTCTTTGTGATTTTCTTTGTGAGCACCTCACATCACTCTCCAGAGACATCCAACTGCGTGTACCTCCTCTCACTCTGATACTTACATTTCTGTCACCTCCTTACAGTACACAGGCCTGGAACCCTCATTTCACCCTCCTCCATTGCACAAAGTTCTCAAGATTTAGCTAAAGAGTTCCTTCTGTGGGGGAAGTCTTCGATGACCTCCCAGGGAAGGGGCCAGGCTCTCTAGGAGCCTCCCCATGAGCCCACCCTTTCCTTCCTTCCTCATCCTGATTGTCATTTACCTGCTTGTTCCTCTAGTAGACTATAGGAAGGAAATGAGCCATATTTAGTTTTATATGTTCATTGATTAGCTGAATAAATCCATAAAGAATCCCTTTTAGCAACACAGAATGCTTCAGAAGAAAAAGTAAATTCTCACCAGCCTTCCAAAGGACACCTGACAGTAAGCCAAATCCAGAAGATTCTCAACAGTGCAAAGAATGTCATCCTAGAAATTCTTAGCGATGCTAAGGGGAAAACAGGCTCTTTTCATCTTCAGGGGATAGTAGTGAAAGGGCAATTCTTAGTTGCCCAGACATTGTAGCTTGTAAGCACTTTCACAGCTATGATGGCATCTCCTACCTTTGATTAACGGGAGGTGATGGAGACTAACTACAACTGAATTTTGACTGGTACTTTTCCTATGTTTTGTCACCTAACAACCTCATGCAGTAAGCAGCTCCCCCATTATAATGCAAAGTCCCAAGTCACATGGAAATTGAGGAGTGGTCATGATCCCAATTCAGGTATGATGCTGGGGAAAATGAAGATCTTTACACAATATAGCGGCTTCTGCAGGTGAGAAAAGTCCCCCTATCCATTCGTCTTACCTTCTTTCAATCAAAAATGACTTCCCAGTCAGAACTGCAGAACAGAATACCCCATGAAGCAAGTTTGCTGCTTCTTGTTGCCAGGGCCAGTCAGATCTGATCAAAGCCTAAAAGATCATCTCACAGGGCCTGGCTGGGGAGTAGGCTTTGAGTTCTTCCTCTGCTACGTACTTCCCCTACTCTCTCCTCTCCCAACCCCACTCTGTTTCTCTTGAAAACACTTCCTAATGTGTCTGTTTCTACAAAAAAAGAAAAGCCTAGATACAGGAAACCTATAAAGATTTAGGCCAAACGTCAGCAAACCCTTTCTGTAAAGGGCCAAAGAGCCAATATTTTAGGTATACAATCACAACTACTCAACTCTGCCATTGCAGCATTAATGCCCCCATTGGCAATACATAAATGAATATGCATGACTTTATTCCAATAAAACTTTATTAACAAAAACCGGTGGCCAAGCGGATTTGACAATGAGTGCTAGTTTGCCAACACCCAGTCTAGGTGAAGGACAGTAATTAAACTTCATCTCTTGTGCCAGCTTTGATCAATGAGTATTTGGTTTCCTGGAGTTTGGTGTTCATTAAGACTCAGAAGGCTGCAAGCTCTGTAGGAAAGATGCTATGATCAATTAGTGATGTCTGCTCTGGGTGTCAGAAGAATCATGGTAGTATATGTGCCATATTTGCCATCTTCTGGTTAAGATTTGAGTGTGCATATAAAGACGCCATGAAACAATAGTTTCCAAGTAGCCTGAGACCCACCAAAGCTGAACAATCACCAATGTGCCATTCTGCCACTGTCTCTTTCCCTTGTAAGCTTCATGTCTTTTTTTATTCTAAATAGTTCAGAAATCAGGAACACATGATTTGGAAAAAAAGAAGGAAGGCAAAACGTCTATCTATGGACAGAATCTAAAAGTAAATCATGCATTGAGAAGTTGGATTAGGTAAAAATCCTTTTTTTTATCTAAGGTTTGTATGTCAGATTACCTAGGATTACAGGATTAAGAGGCATCCTGTTCTCTCTGTAGCAAAAGCAACTGTAGCAGGCAAGAATTTTCTTTAAACAAATTCACCCTTAATAAATATATATGCCAAGAAAGCCCTTTTTTTTTTTTTTTTTTTTTTGGCGATGGAGTCTCACTCTGTCACCCACGCTAGAGGGCAGTGGCATGATCTCAGCTCACTGCAACCTCCACCTCCTGGGTTCAAGCATTTCTCGTGCTCAGCCTCCCGAGTAGCTGGTACTACAGGTGCACACCACCACACCAGGCTAAGTTTTCGTATTTTAGTAGAGACAGGTTTGCCCAGGGTGGTCTTGAACTCCGAAGCTCAGGCAATCCACCTGCCTCAGCCTCCCAAAGTGCTGGGATTACAGGCGTGAGCCACCGTGCCTGGCCAAAATCCCTTTCTATAAGCAGTGTTGTAGTTGGCAATAGAGATGGTTCAAGAAGAGTATTTTGAGTTAATATTGAACTTGCAAGTAAATACATAAAGCTTCAGTGCCATAAAGCTAATTTAAAAGGGACATTTCTCTTTATCGTTCCCTGGAGTATTACAGACTAGATCTATGATATTCTTCGGCCATAATGTAGGATTCATTAAGGAACTGAAGCCATAATTGTCTACATCAGTACATATGAATCAACTGGATAAATCGTCCAAATGAATTGGCTAATACGACCTCAGTTCTTGTTATGAAGTTCTCCACATGACCCCTGGCAGGTGGACAGAAAACTGAGGACTGAATTTTAACTGTAAGAATATCAGAGAAGGGAATTCAAAGGGAATTTGCAAAGCATGATAATTTGTATACACATAAGACAATTTCTACCTCACAATTTTATCCCTTCAGAGTGGAAAATGATTAAATACATGAAATCACACACATATAAAATACACATATGTGTCTTTTTAAGATTTATGTAATAATTATGTATATTGCTTATTGCAGTCAATATTACCTTTCTCTTTATATCAATAAGGGAAAATTTAATTTCACTAGAAAAGTATGTATCATATAACGGCAAACCTACGGCAATTTTTTTTTTTAGCCATCATGTTTCTACAATTTCTTGTCTGTACAATGTCAGGATAAAGTATCAAAGAGAGAGTAAAGTAAGAGCTATGCAAAATGATATCTTCTTAATTAAGCAATGGTAGGTCACATGATAACAGGAAACCTAGAATAACACAACCTTTACACTAAACTCAGCATCTAATTTACTGACAACAATTTTGGAAGAGTCAGAAAAGTTAGAGTACATGGGCCAGATATAGATATAATTTTGTCTCTTTAAAATTTCTGTGCATTATCATTCATAAAATATGTATGGCTTTATTGACTTCCTAGGGAGAACAAGAGGTTGCTTCCCTTCAGAATATAAAAAGCCAGGGAAAACTTGAAGAGTCAATAGCTCTCATACTAAATGCCATGGTAGCTTGGTGAGTGGCCTATATTTGAACGTTTTGATCTCCCTTAGTTGTTGTCAAGTTTGAGGACTGTTTCAATGATTAAAATTCCAAATGGGATACTGTGACTAAAATCAGAAATGTAGACGCTTGATTTATTACGTGTCATGCACATTGAGATCAATCTTATGAATACATATTTATTTATTACAATAAAAAGAGGAATCTGTGATAACAAGGAACTCTGGAGATTCTTTTGCCTATGTTTCGTTTGGGCTGGTTACAGACAACAAAGAAAACAGCATATGTAGTACTCCTAGCAAGTGCATATCTACGAGAATACCAAGGGCCTCTTCCTGAGTGCCTTTATAAGCCACGGTATTCCCTACACTCTTCTGTGGAAGTTATCGCTGTATTAGATGTTGTTGAACATATTTGATATGAAAGCATTGTCTGTTTGCTACCAGTATCTAAGGAGTCTCTCCCCCAGAGTTGCCAGCAAGGTGCTGATTAATTAACTGAAGTAGTGAAGCTGAATCGTACAACAGCTGTTTAGAGAATTGTCATTAACTTGGTCTCCTTTCCTGTCTATTAGCTTTCTTGCAGTGAGCCCACTAAAATGCAAATCTTGGAAACTCAGCATTAGACTCTACCTTAACCTCTGTGCCCTGTTTGATGCCAAAAAGATGTGAATGGTCTGGGTTGATTTTTTGTTGTTGTTGTTGTTGTTTTAAGGGAAATAAGACGAAGAAACAAGAATGGAGAGAAGCGAAGCCAAAAGAAGTTGGAAAAGGGATTTTGGAAACTTCTTAGAAGTCACAGTCTGCCTTGTCACTTGTCATTGGCAGGTAACGAGAGGACAGCCCTTTGGGCTGAATGTCAAAATGGGAATTGCAGATATCCTAAGCTTATTGAACGGTCGGCTATCTGACGATCTTTTCCTGGGACCTCCTTGCACGGGAAAGAAAAAGGCACTCTGTGATGGGGAGAGACGACAGAAAGGAGCAGCATGGAGAGGTAGACGCAGCCGCCCCTCTGGAATGAGGACAGTTGGTGAAGGACTCCAACGTGTAGACCTCAGCTGCCCCAAGAACAAGGATGATTATTCAGAGGAGTGGAATCTATATTAAGTGGCAGATTGGAGGGAGGGTCGAGTTGATGAGACGCAAGCACGTCATTAAAATGCTCTCGGGTGAGGCACAGTGACTCAGAGCGAATAAAAATGATAGGTTTCAAATCTTTCCTTCCTTCTTTCCTACCTTCCTTACTTCCCTCCTTCCTTTATTCTTTTCATTTTCCTTTCTTTTTTCTTTCATATATATGTTTAAGTCTACCTGCAGATTTTGTGAATGACAACAATGTCTTCCACATTCAGGCCAACGAAATTACTTCATAACAGAGGCTGTCACCGTTTCATCCTAGGTATCACTTGATAACTCCACTAAGCTCTGCTTATTCCCTCTGACATGAATCTCAGAGACTTGGTACCAGAAAGCTCAGATGTTAACACCTTCTGTTGCTATAACAGTTACCCCTTGCAATTTCATTTGCCTCGGCACTCCTTCACACTGGTCTCACTTTATAAAACAGCTAAGGAATTTTCAACTCAGAAAAAAGTACAAATTAAACACGTGCTTAAATAGCACATAATGGGGTCATCAGGGCATATAATAAAAAAATCCAAATACATCTTAAAAATGCAGCAGGTGCTTTTTTTTAATGAAGCAGATAAATGCAGAAAAGAATGCACTGATACAGACAGAGCATCTGCCTCATGATAAAATTAAGTCTTGTGACAGAAATAAATCACTGTGGGGGAGAATGTAACCCATTATCCAATAGGATTTTTTCTTTTTTTCTTACGTGACAGGACTTATTGGATTCCCTGACGCTAGGCAGCTAAGTGCATCCACGATTTGATGATAAATCAGAAAGACTGCAGGATTTGAAATTTAACAACTACTTATTTTTCTGTGATATAGAGATAAGGGGAAAATTTCAGTGAGTAACTATTAAATTGGGAATCTCCTTTTCTTTTCTGATAATCTGATCCTCTGGTACTATGTCACATCATCACACAATGCCAACAACCAGCAGTGAGCAAAATAGATTTTGGACTAAGATGAATAAGGGAGCTACTTATCTTTCCTTTTCTTTTCCAATATTCAGTTTTATCTAAAGAGTACTATAGAAAGGTTACTTTTGACATAAAAATATACTGCTCTTATTACACTTTCCTTTTTATCCCCTTCAATACTTTAAAAAATGGCAATAAAGGCATGTTTTTCTTTTTAAAACATTTTCATGTTTGAACAATAGAAAAGGAAAATCCATATATCATGTTAAAAATACACAGGAACTAATAGAGCTCAAGATTACCTTACCATGTTTGATAAATGTGACTTGCAAAAACACACCTTCATGTTTTAATGATTTTCTTTGTTATAATATGCTATTAATTGGTGGAAGTGGGGAGGAAATAATTCACATCTTCAAGATGCACCTTTATTTTTCCACGTTGAATCTGTGTAGCACCTTGAGTGCTTTGCTGACACTGGCACCTATCACAAGCTCTCCTACCGAACTATATAGATTGCCCTTGTAAGAAACAGAGAGAGCAAACTCAAATGATTTTTTTTTCTCCTGGTAATTTTTTTAAGTGAGAACGTCTTCAAAAACCTGATCCATTGTGTAAAAACATAGCAACAATTTAGCAACTGACATCCCAGCAGAAATAGTGTATTTTTGTGCCAAGGTATATTTCAAAAGCCAAACCAGAATCCCTTTTCTTGTAAACTAAATCAAGCTCACTATAAAGCTCCTATCACTGATTTTTTTTTCCTACATCTTGTCTTGTGAAGGGGCGAAGGTGGGGTTGGAAAGAGAGGTATTAAACATTGATCACTGGTAATTACGGTAATCTCCTTCAGGAGCTTTAACTGCTACAAACTCATCCTGTCTTCAGAGAGAGCTAACTCCATGTGACAACACAAGGAAAGCTGTTAAAGAACTGTAAACTCCTGCAGCTGGGTACCAGCCTTTAATTAGACTGTGGCACCGAAACAGACGTTCTTCAAGTACCCAGAGAGATATAATGAGTCTATTAGTCCAAGAAGTAAGAGATATAATCGGCCAAATCATACATCTATCAAAAACATACCAAGAAATGGGGGAAGGGCACAGAGAATCAGCCAAACATCCTGGCCGTCAGGAAGTCATTGAATGTGGCTTGTAATTCTGTTTCACACAAATTGGATGATAAATTCACACACACACACACACACACACACACACAGAGAGAGAGAGAGAGAGAGAGAGAGAGAACTTGAAGACAAACATTTCTGGAAGTGGAAGTGCCTGGAAACCAGGCTGGAGTGCAGTGGCACGATCTCAGCTCACTGCAATTTCTGCCTCCTGGGGTTCAAGCCATTCTCCTGCCTCAGCCTCCAGAGTAGCTGGGATGACAAGCATGCGCCACCACACCCAGCTGACTTTTGTATTTTTAGTAGAGACAGAGTTTCACTATGTTGGCCAGGATGGTCTCGATCTCCTGACCTCGAGATCTGCCCGCCTTGGCCTCTCAAAGTGCTGGGATTACAGGTGTGAGCCACTGCACCCAGCCACACCTCTCTATGCTTTAAAAATTCAGTTTGACCTGACTCATTACTTCTAGGGAACAGGAATTACTAATCTCCTTGCAATGTGCTATTGAAACAGCCGCAAAGGTTTAAAAAGAAGAATCAAGCAAGAGATCCTGGCATAATCCCAGCGTTAATTATGGTTCTCAAAAGTGCATGCTGCTTTTTTTTTTTTTTTTAAGCAACGATGACAATATTTTCCTAGCTTTGCTTTCCACAAAAACACAAACAAAAAGAACTAGACACAATATTGACTTGGCAAGTTCTCCATGGGAACCTCAAGATAAAGGACCAGAAAATGCACCTTGTAGTGTCCTTCATTAAATGCCACTGTTTCACTGTTTGGATTCAGCTACTTGGCATGCCACGTATGCCCACTAGTGTCCCACTTTTGTTTGCTGTGACTTGTGCCAGTCATACATGCTAAACACAGTTCTGTAAGGGACCCACATTAGATGAGACTGGGTCCACCTCACAGGATCTTGAATTTTTTCCAAAGACAATTTGAATAATTTGAAATGTAAAACTGTGCTCATTACATTCTTGTGGATTTATTTAGTCTGATTCCTCTTCTCAGTCGCCCCAGAGAAATCCACTTTTATGATCACGAAAGGAATCATAGTCTTGTTTGAAAATTCAGGCCATGAATTAAAAGAAAAATGAAGTAAAAAGCCTCTCATTTTCCAGAAGTGAAAACTCTAAGAACCAGGGAGGTGGATGTGTTACCTACACCCACACAGCTGATTAGCAAGAGGGCCAATCTAGAACACACATCCTCTAATCCAGAGTGCAATATTCTTTCCACTACACGGTGAAACTTCAAGTTTTCTTACCCTCCAAGTGAACAGAACTGAAAGGGAAAATACCAAGGAAATCAAAGATATACTCCTTCAGCCTCTGGGAACTTAGTTGAATATATTTTTAACAATACCTAAGGCCTAAAAACAGATGTAGAATAGATGAAATAATAGAATTAGGACGAAAAAAATGTGCAGTCAAAGAAGATTGGCTTGAGGAAGAGGGCTAGATGTTGGGCTCAGAAATTAGTAAACACATCTGGAGTATTGCCCAGGCTGTGGGGATTAACTCAGCTGACACCGATTTCAGGTGTCAAGGAGCCAACCACACAGACATCTTCCCAGAAAGCATTTTAAGCATAAGACCAGTAAGTACAAAGACCCTGAAGTAGAAGTGAATTCCAGGAATAAGGAAAAGACCAGAGTGGCTGCAAAGAGCCGGCAGGGGGTAGGGTAGAGAGGAAGGCAGGGATCAGCTGCTGTAGGATATCTTACACCATGAAAAGGAATTTGGAATTTGTTTTGATAGCAACAGGAAGTGAATGAAGGGTTTAATGAAAAGAGGTGATAGGATCAGATTGATTTTTTTTTTTTTTCAAAAAAGATCACTCTGGCTGCAGTGTGAAGAATGGTTTGTACGATTGAGATAACACATACGAAAGTCCTTTTGAAGAAAAAATGGTAAGGCAAAATCTAAATGGAAACTGTAACTGTCATTATATAAACAGCAATGCAATCTTCAAAAATAATCATGCATTGAAGTTTTTCAAAGAATGTTAAAATTTGGCACTAGTCAGTCATATGGTTTGTCCATGTTCTGAAACACTGAGCAATAGATCTCTGAAACAGAGGCAAGATGAAACTGATGTTGGGCATCGTTGGCTTGAGTCATCATTGGAATTCACGCCATCTGTGTTGCTATAGCAGATTAAGAAAGCCCAAACTCGAACACAGGCAAGTCTCTGGTGCTCAAAGCTGCGACCATTTCAGAATTCTGCCACCTAAGCTTTCCCAGTTGAATAGAGAGGAAACAATACTTTTAAAAAGAAAAGTCCAAACATCCTCCTGTTTCAAAAAGAAGTGGCATGAATGAACTGAGAAACAGAAAAAACACAGCTTCTGCATTGAGAAGGCACAACACTCCGTGACTTTAGAGATCAAAGTCCACATCAGTTGGGATGATTAAAACCCAATTACTGACTTTCTGCAATGAAAAAGTAGTAAAGTCTTGTACCACAGATAAATCCAAACTGATTAATATTATTCTGCCAATCTCCACTCAGTTTCAGTAGTGACCATACACCATTAACCTAAAGCAAATTTCACCTCTAAGGTGGCTGCTGATGATAAATTTCCAAGGATGTTCAGATAAGACAGAAAATGAAGGGGACAGTTTATAAGTGTCTTTTAGGAAATCACTGATTTTGTTACTGGTCTTCGGTAAAAGCTAAATAATTCAACAGTTGAAGAACAACACGAGCCACACGTTATGAAAAATTGGAGTTCTTGGGTTCAAAAAGGCAAATTACTAGAAGAATGCCAGGCTTCATAAAGAGACAGATTTGAGTTTGAATCCTGGCTCTCCTCCTTGCTATTTGAGTGACTTGTGGATCTTTATAAATGAAAGTCTTATTGATCATCACAGCTGTTTGATGAGAGGGTTAAAACAGGGTCATGTGTATAAGGCCCATTGTAGGTACGCAAGAAATGTTCATTCCATACTAACTTACCTCATCCCTTTTTTCCCAAGGGCTTTCCAAAAGGATTTATGACTTGGAAAGACTCCACCTGCTTATAAAAACAGAGATGAGGTCTTCAAGGGGGTGGGAATCCTTAAGACAGGTCCTTGAAGAAATATCCTAGGTCCCTAGGTTATTCCTAAGAAAGGATTTAAATTTTAAAAGCAGCAATAAAGGGTCTCGAAGCTAGTGGCTTAAAGAAAATTACAAGCACTAAACTTGTAAGAGAATGCATATTTATATTTTTATATATGTGAAATAAATGCAGAGCTTTTGAAAGAAAAAAAAAGATATGAGTCAAAAAGTTTTGTACAACTCACAAGTCAGAGTAAATAGAAACTTAAAATAGGGCTTAGGAATCTATTGTCCCGGGCATGGTTAAGAATGAAAGTCAGCATGGTAGTCTGGAGAGTTGGAAATGGTAGCCTACCAACCCCTACCAGCTGGATAACCTTTAGTAAATTATCCCAACCCCGTCCCCTTGAAAGTCTGCTAATCTGTTAAATGAGCTAATTAGCTGAGACAATCCCTACAGATCCTGTCAGATCCAGCATTTTTATACTTCTCTGGCTCCAAGATCACGGAATGTAAGACAGCAGCGTTCACTGTCACATTATTCAGATTTTCATTTCTAGACACAACTGGAGGTTTCCATATTTGAGGAGCTACACCAAGGCCAACGGAAAGGATTGAGGTGAAAAGAACAAATGCCAAGAATGATGAAACAATAAAACCGAAGGGGAGAAGAGGCAGAGGACATCACTTGGGCATAGTGACCGGCTCTGAACATGTGTTGATTGGCAAAAAAAAAAGATGGAGCAGAATCAAGGGAGGAACATGGGGAAGAACAAACCCAGAAATCTTATGATTCCATTATTATACAGGGTCGGGGGCTCAGATTAAGTGTGGGAGTTGGAAGATTCTTGGCGACATGTAATGCACTGAGCCTCATGGGGTGACACAGCTTGACAAGGTCATTCAGCTGGTTACAGATCCAGAACTAGATGCAAGATTCCTGATTTTTGACCACTTAGGGTTTTGTTTTTGGTTTTGTTTTTGTGTTGTTGTTGTTGGTTTTGTTTTGCTTTTTTGAGATGGAGTCTCACTCTGTCACCCAGGCTAGAGTGCAGTGGCCCAATCTGCTCACTGCAACCTCTACCTCCCGGGTTGAAGCAATTATCATGCCTCAGCCTCCTAAGTAGCTGGGATCATAGGTGTGCACCACCATGCCTGGCTAATTTTTGTATTTTTAGTAGAGACGGGGTTTCATCATGTTGGCCAGGCTGGTCTTGAACTCCTGACCTCAAGTGATCTGCCCACCTCAGCCTCCTGAAGTGCTAGAATTACTGGCATGAGGCACTGTGCCCGGCCAGTTTTCTTTCCATGGGGAGTTCTACTGATTGGATCCTAGAGCAAAGGCTGCAGCACCCATGTGGGGAAGGGAAGCTGAGAGTGTCACTGGTGAGAGCAAGAGCAATGACTTTGCAATTTATGAGTCTGCCCCTTAACATTGGCTCAAACCATTGTTAATCCATTCTTTTTCAGAGTAGCATGCTGCTGAAATAACCTCAGAAAGATGCACAAATATGCTGAAGGGAAAGAAAGGCTTGGACAGCTTTTTGGAAAACATTCTATACAGTTTGTAACTTGCTGGTCCTCTGGTTAGTACACACCATTGATAGCCACAATGTCTTTCTCCTGCCATATTGTAGCCTGCCCCTCATATGCCCAATTGCTTGAAAATTGAGTGTTACTGTTCACCAGTCAAGGATCTCGTGTGTAGCTAGATGTGCCTCAATTCACTTTACATTATCAGATGAAACCAAAAACCAACAAACAGCAACACTTCTGAGGTCTAAATGTAAAATCTGGTATGCAACAGCACCAACCCACATAGACTGCATTCTTCAACCCACCCTATATCCATTTGACTGTCAAGTTAGCTTATTTTTCCTAGATTTAATGTAATTTAATTCTAATGTGTATCAATTGTAAAATGGACATCTTTCCACATTGTGTCATCTATTATTTTGATGTCTAAAATTGGGAGGCATCTTATAATCAATAGTATGTCATAGTTTAATTGTCAGTGTTTTTTCTTCCTTAGTGATATATAAAGTAATTGTGTATCATAAAATTATGGAGTCTTAGAGTTAATGAAATACAGTATTTAAAGTAGAAATTGAGAGCCATTCCATCACGATCTTCTGTAGGTTCAAGAAAATGAACTGCCCATCTCGCTCTCTCTCTTTCCTTTTCTTGCCCTCTCTCACACTTTTTCATTCTTTTATTCTTTCCTTAATTAAACTAGGATTTATCAAATGCCCACTCAGTGACAAGTGCTACTCTAAGCACTGAAGATGACATAATGAGCAGAAACAGATGTGGCCCTTGTCCTCATTAAGCTTATCACCTACTAGAGATAGAAATATATTGATTGAACAGCACAAAATCAAACTACAAATATAGTAAAGGACTCCATGGAGAGGTGCACGGTGCTATGAAGGAGCACAGGGTAATGACCTAGTTAGGAAGATTTCCCTGAGAAAGTGAAGAATGAGTAGAGATGAGAGGAAGTGACAGAGGTTGAAGGCAGGGCATTTTGTGCAGAAGGAATTTAGGATCCAAAGGTTTTTTGGCAGATTTAAGTATAGCTTTGAGAAGGCCACATCCCTGGAGCCCAAAGAACATGGGAGGCACAGATGTGAGATGAGATAGGGAGGGAGGGAGTCCAACCATGGCAGGGCTCTGTCTTTATCTTAAGAACAATCTGGAGGCAAAGGGGAGGTTGGGAAAGGTAAATGCTCAGATTAAAACCAGCATTCTGGATGCTAGGCGGGTTCCTTGGAGGGTGCAGGTTAGGAGGCTAGTGCAGTGGTCCAGTCGAGAACTGATAGGGACATAGAAACTCAGAGCTGCCCTCTCTCTCTCCACCGGCTCAGTGTGCAGCTCTCAGCTCTGCAGTGCAGCCATTCCGTCGTCTCCCGCTCCTTACACAGACTTTGCAGTGACATCTTGGGAGCAATACCCAGAGAATGAGGTCAGAATATTCAATAAAGGTTCCTGCTGCAGATGAGAGAGAACCGTGAACAAAGCACGACAGAGAAGGGAGACTGGGAATGCACAAGGAGAGGAAGAGAACACAGCCCACACGGTCTGCCAGATCTCGCCCAGCTGGGAAGCTATTTGACCAGCCTGGACTCTGTCCTCTGAACTCTCCAGCACTGAGTCAACCTATTGTACCCCTGGCTTGATCCTCATTAGATGCACTGAAGATCTCGCAACCAACTTGGGGAAGATAAAAGTTTATTTGAAGCCTGAAGAAAAAGAGCTCTTTATTTAAAGGAAACAGAAAAGATCCTTAGGAGCTTTTTTTCCCCCTTGGCAGATATTGACTTACAAACTGATCTTATTCCACTGGTTGGGATATATCTATTTTCAGTCCTTGTACATCTACCCTGTGAATTGCGATTTGATGAAGCCATACGAACAACTAATAAAGTCTCAGTGTAAAAATGCTATATGTTCTTAGGAAGGGAAAACATAAAACTTCAATCCATGGTTTATTAAAATCCCTAGGTAAGCACAGTTTACAAAGCTAAACGCCAATACCTATAATTCACCCCATGATAACGTTAGCCATAGAGTAACTGCTATCTCTAACTGCATTCAAGTTTGGTTGCCCTTCAGAAGTACTGAAAATCTAACTCCTAATGGCTTTTGATATAAAAAAAAAAAACAGTCTTTGATTGACAGAATCTAATCACTAGAAGGGCAGCAAACAAAAGCTGGGAAAAGCACAGTTCCCTGTTAATTTTGTTTTTCCTTGCAACATCTATAGGCATCTGATCACACAGTTGTGCAATTATTTGCTAACTGAAGATGTTATTATTCTGTTACTGTCTTAGAAAAATAGTAACCTTTCTCAGCAAAGATAAAAATATGTGGGTTCTTTTCCCGCGGTTTATATATCTTAAATCTTAGGTCATTTTTACAGCAGCTCTCTCCTCAACTCTCCCACCATTTATCTTTCCATTCTCAGCAAGGGCTAGTTTACTTAATACAGGAAGACCTTCACATAACTTTCTGGCATTAATTATTATGGTGGCACAAACTCCCGTGTGAAATATTTGCTGCAATGTGTCCCGCAGTCTATAAAAAAAAAAAAAAAAAAGAGAGAGAAGGCAAAACATTCCTGATGATTATTCATTATTTTATATCAATTTTACATAATTAATTGAGAATTTTATTATAAAGCACAGGGCCCCTTCTGTGCGATCTTACGTTAATAAGCTAATATAAAGATTTTGAAACTGCGTCTGCAAGTAAAGGAGGCAAGAAAGAAAGATGGCCAAGTTTCTTCTGCAGGCTTCATTCTGAAAATAGGGTCTGATTTTATTCTTGTTAGAGGTGCCTTCTGATGATGGCATGAGGGTTATGAGGCAATGTGAGTGACATTAAAATAATATAGCCCTAAATGAAAACTAATAAGCAGCTCTAAAGAGTCAATCAGCCCATTAGGATGACAGGCAGTGAGAAGCTGCGCATTTCAGGGCTGACAATGTATTGCTAGTTTCTTTCTCATTCTCCTTTTAGTAACTACAAACAATTATCTGTAAACTTCCATTCTGAGAAGTGAAGTGGGTAAAACACAAGTTATGGTGAAGGTCTTAAGGGACAGTTTTGGGTGCAGCTTGACTGGAGGGAAACTGATGAGATCTCAGTTTCAGAACACAACAACATTGGAGTCTGCTTCGGAATCAGTGGCAACTTCCCACAAACAGGCTGTAGCTCTGGTCCCAGCAATGGGATATTTCCCTATTCATTCCCACCTTTATTGGGAGTAGCTGTGAAGTAAATTGGCTGAAGCTTGTCAGTTTAACCTGCTATTTTACACAGACCCACCCACACCTCCTCTTCTAATTCCTTCCCTGATACTCCCCTACCCAACCTTAGCATGTAGAAAAGCCATGGACCCTGTCACCAGACGCCTAGCATGATACCTCACACATAGAAACCTCTCAACAGATTAGACTAGATTAGTTGATTGGTTGGTTGAATAAGGGAATCAAAGAAAGACATTGGGAGGCTACATTGGTTCGGAAAGTGCCTCTGGATTTCATTAGACCTGCAGTCAAATATTGGCCTCTCCTATTATTAATACTGTGTTCTTAGGCAAGTCCTTAACCTCTCTAATCTTTAGTTTCCTCATTTACAAAATTAATATAATCATAATCTCTACCTCATAGAATTATAAATGGAATGACTTGTTCATATGTTCAATAAACTACTTATTCCAGTACCTAGAACACAATAGACCGCTCAATAGACAACCTTAGTTTTCAAGGTGGCTTTGTGCAGGATGAAGTATTTAAAGGAGGGAGTAATTCAGAAATACCCAGAAATACACAGAAAGTGTTTCCCATTGCTGCCACCATTTGTTCCCTCACTCGCTCCCCGGAGTCATCCATTCATTTAACAAATATTTATTAAATGCCGACCATATTCCTCTTCTGAGAAAAAGCACTGAATAAAAATAAATTTTTGCCCTCATAGAACTTATGTTCTAGTGGGAAGGACAGACCAAAAAAAAAATCAAGAATGTGTGACATGTCAGAAAGTAGTCATGCACATCAAACATTAATTCATTCATTTAACGTATATTTACTTTTGACTGCTTTCTATAAAAATATACATTAACACATTTTCTGATCACAGGGCAGTAGTTTTGATAAATATGTACCTAAACTATAAATCATGGAGAACAATAAGAACTTGAAACCGTTTACACAGCCTCCTCTGAGCAGACTACATTCCTGTAATATTTGCTTAAGAGGAACAGAAATGCTGTAAATTGTGATTACTGACACACTCCAGGTTGGGGAAGGGTCTCCAAAAACCAAAACTGAGATCTTGGTTTTAGAATGGCAGAGAGTCCCCGTGAGTGATAATTTTCACTTGGCATCATACAGAAATTCAGGGAAATGCTTGGGACCATCTGTTCAACTACGATAATGAGGGGTAGTGGGTTTCTCTGGGGAATGTGCTGAGATGTATGAAGAATTAGTAGCAGAAATAGGACCTTTGCAGATTCCAGAACAAATGGAAGGGACCACTGTCATCCTGTCTGCTACCTGTAAAACTGCAGATTGCCAACACTTCTTTCTTCTTTTAAATGCAAAATAAGTCATCTGCAAAATAATAGACTTTAGAGTAAGGTCATGTTTTTTAGAGAGGTCAAAACTTTCTGTCCCTTCTCTCTGGAGCTCTTGGGCAAAGGCACCTGCGTATGGACTTCACCATCAGCCATCTGTCCTTTTGCATCCCATCATAAGGGCTTGGAGGAAACAAGACAGCCCCAATTATGCATTTACAGACTCACTGCACAAGCACTCACACATACACACTCACACCCATGCATGCAGACACATATTAGAGACTCTCATTCAAGGAGTTTATAGAACTTTCACTCCTATACTCAGAGAATAAACAAGACCATTTGAACCCAAGAGGAAACATGCTAACGTTGCTTAGTTTTCCAGTCTGTGACCTCTGGTGAGAGTCACTGGGGACCATCTAAAGGCTGCCCACAGACTGCTGTCCTGTGTTCACAATGTCCTAGATTTTCCTTCTCACCGAACTTTCCTGACCCTTACTCACTACAACTAAATGCTCCAGCTCTTTAATGCCCAAGACCTGAATTTAGTCAGTCCAGAACCCGCAGGAAAATGGTGGAAAGAGAATAAACTTCATCACAAGTTTGTGGCAGCAGCTTCACATGAAATCTGTGGCAACCTATACCTTTTTTGAATAAGCATTGCCTCTTTAAGGACAATTAGGTATTTATTGGTACAATACATAATTTATTCTGGAGGTTACTGGTTTATGAAGGTATGGGAAAACTGCCAACTTATCATATGAACAGCAGTTATGAGTAATAACAAGCGTTATAATTTACATTTAAATTCTGTTTTTACATTAATGAGGTACCTAAAATGCAACCCAGCAAAAGGCCTTTTGTGCACATAATCTCTTGCTACCTAAAATAGAAATCTGGTTTTATATTATAACTTGTATACTCCCGGCCTCCTCATAGGAGCGCCTATAATATTCACTTAGAAACTAGTGATGGGGCGACTTGAAAAAATGTAGCTGCCATCATGAGCCCAATGAATCTTAGACACCAAGAAATATTTTTCGTGAAGTGTCTAGAGTAATTAATGATAAACTGCTTATATACAAAGAGGTAAGCTGTTTGGGAGAAAAAATATGTTGTGGGTCACCAGACCTCCTAGGGTGACCACAGAGTTGGTCATTTCTAGGTGAGGATGGTGATATTAGGGAAGCCAATTGTCAAGAAGTACAAGTCTTCTCCTAATGGTGGACCTGAACATATTATGCTCTGGACATTTGATTTCTACTATTCACTCTTAGCCTCCCCTCCACAGACAGCATCTAGCCTGAACTTCTACCTGGCCTATCCTATGACAACTGCCAGCCCATCTGAATTGTACACTCCCCTCTGCCTCAGATCTTTGATGGTCTATCTCGTGCCAACCTGCTTTTCTGCTCTGAGGCCCTGCTTCATAACACTTTCCAGATCTAGATCACTTATCTTGAACTCAGTCGTGGCTTACTCATCAGCCTCCTAAGCCCTTCCTTGTCCCCACACCTGGTAGAATATCAAAGTGGAGAACCTGCCAAAACCTTAGGAAATCTTTACTCATTCAGATCAGGTGGGAAGAAAGACTAATTACTAATAAAAGAGATACTATTTTTGGGAATAAAAGATATATTTTTGTATATTTTTCAAAATATACAGTAAATCCAACTGGACTATCAATGGATTTATTTGCAGCATTCCTTTGTAGCTCTGTGGCTAATGAAGGAGAAACAAGGTTTTGTGATTGAGCAAGTATTTCCAGAACAAGTGGAAGCAGCCACCCATCATCCTGTCTGCTACCTGTAAAACTGCAGGTCACCACAAGTACACAATTTATTCTCCCACATTTTTGTTTTTACACATGCAATCACACAATTAATCTTATTAGAAAACCCCTGTAACAGGTTGCTCCAGGGTGAGTTTCATTCATTTAGCCCCTCCCTAGTTGTGTTTAGCACCTACTACGGGCAAAATGGTTAGATGCTGTGGATGTGGCAGAGAATAAGACGGACGTGGCTCCTACCTTGGCAGCACTAACGTATCACAAATTCTAAATTAGCAGAGCATTAATTAATTAATTTTTTATTTTACCATGCATGGAGAAGCACAAAATTTTAACTAAAATTCTACCCAATTTCAAATCCAAGTTCAACGTTTGCTAAAAAATTAATGTTAATCACCACCATATACTCTTCTTCTACCCAATTCCCCTTTTCCTTCCCACTCTAGTCCAAATATCACTTCCCAAGTGCCCTCCCTATTTCCCTAGGCACAGTTTTGTCTCCTCGTCCTCTCTCCTTCTTCTCTTTGTATTCATCGTTAAACAGTCTATCAAAAGTTCACAAGTGGTCATTTTTGCCTACTTGCTTTCCTAATAGACTGTAACCTCCCTGAGGCATGGTTTATCTTCCTAGAACTGTCTTCTTCCAGAGCTCCAGAGTACAACATTGCAAAAGAAGGGACTTAGGAAATAGAATTCATGTTCTCAAATATTCCCTTGCTGTCATATGAATTCTGTCCTTACTCTCCTACACACACAATGACCATTCCCAATCCTGCTTCGGTAAGTTCATTAAACAATTAAATTTTTGGCAAAAGGAAATGCAATAATTGCACATGTCCCATGCCTGGACGTTTAGTCAGTCAATTCGTACCTAAGGAAGTCACAGTTGTGAAGCACTGCTAGGGTGCCAAGAATTAATTACCCCCAAATAAGTTCTTGGGGAAGGACCAAGTTTCCCTCATCAACATTCAAGGCAAATGCCATCACACAAAGGGAAAGGGGAATAAAAAGCCCAGAAGTCTGAACAGGAAAGAGCATTAAAAAAGAAAGCAGGGAAATAAAAGAAGTGTATTAGAGCAGCCACACGCCTTCTTCCTCGTGCAATGCTGTAGGATGATGTATGTAAAGGGAACTTCAGTTTACATTCAAGACCTCATTCCTAGCATCAAATGCCTGGTATTTTCAAACCGAGAGCAACCTAAATACTTTTGTCATGAAAAGAGAACTTCTCCCTGTTGCAGTCATGAAATAAAGCAATACAAATAAAGCTGAGTTCACGTACAGTTGCAAAAGCCCCAGCTGAAGCCAGAATGAACAAGAGACTCCCTCTGAACCTTGACCCTCACTTGCATCTTTCCTTTGGATTCACTTATTGGTGGAGGTGGATGGAGCATGATGCTAAGGAGGCAGGCGGCAGCAGGCACAGGTGCCATCAGAACCACTGTCTGAACACACAGATCTTTTGATGTTTGTATTCATTTTCTCTCATTGCATCACTAATCATCAAAACTTAAGTGATTTAAAACAATGCACTTTTATTATCTCATGGTTTCTGCGGATCAGATGAGCATATCATAGCTGAATCCTCTTCTCACGGCCTTGCAAGTCTACAATCAAGATGTCAGCCAGCCTGTGTTCTCATCTGGAGCTCAGGGTCCTCTTCCAAACTCAATCAAAGTGTTAGCAATATTCAGTTCCTTGCAGTTGTAAAACTGAGGCCCTCAGCTCCAGAGGGTCATCCTTCTTCATAGGCAGCTCACAATATAGCTGCTTGCTTTGTCATGGCCATGAGGAGAGTATCTGTCACCTCAGGAAAGACCCACCCCCTCTTTTTAAAAGCTTTCACCTGATTAACTCAGACCCACCCAGGATTACCTCTCTTTTGATTAACTCAAAATCAACTGATTAGGACCTTAATTTCAGCTGCAAAATCCATTCACTTTTGCTTTATCATGTAACCTAATCACAAAAGTGACATCCCATCATATTGACATATTTTGACCACACTGAAGAGGAGGGGACTAGACAGGTGGGAATCTCAGGGGCCATCGTGATATTCTGTCGAGAGCAATGTTGCAATTCTCACTTGACATTCCCAGCTCCTTCTCTAGCACAGAAGGAAACAAGGAAAAATGGGTGGAGAAGGCAGGCAGGAATCCATTCTGTGGATAGAGTTAGTGGGCTGAGCCATATGAAATTGCCAATATTTCATCATATTTAGGTCAACAGAAATAGATGATATACAGTCATAAATAAATATACACAGAGACACATACACATATATTTGTATGTATACATATACATACGTAAACATAGTTTAGGGATAGGAATAGGTATAGATGAGATAGAGATAGAGATAGAGATAGAGGTACAGGTTCCTTTCATAAACGAGGTCTCTAAGTCTTTCTAAATCACCCTGTTGCTGGGGTACCAATGAATACGCTTTCAGTTTGGTTCATAGTATTTGTATATAAGCTGATATTTCAGTGGTTTTATGGGTAAAACAGTTGCTATTTACTCTCCATTTTCACAAGTCCTCTTTTTCACCTTCACTTTCATTTTTGCAGCAACAATGAAGTCCCAAGGAAGCAAGAAAAAAGGGAAAGCTCATCCTAGATCTGGCTTTTATTTCTGAGTCAAACTATCATCATGACTGCCTAGATCTTCAACAGCTCAGAGCTGACAATGCTATTCTCAGTTCACAGTGGCGTGTGTGCGTGTGTGTGAGTGTAATGCACTCTTGTGTTCAGGCACTTGGGAGACTCTAGAAGGTCTTCAAAGTACTTGTCATTTCTGGTAGATGTGTTAAGTTGCATCTTACAGACAGTACATATGACTTGTACAAAGCCGCTCAGAGAAAGCCTTGCCCAAAGCAGAAACACACTGCAAGATTAAAGAAAACTAATGTTCATTTCATAAGATGGGAGAACTTCAAGAAGACACCATATATTAGCTTGAAGAGAACATACCTGCTTTATTGCCAACAGTTGCTAAAGAGATGAGATTGAAGTCCATGGAGAATCCCAACAGCAGAAAGGCATGAGTTCACTGGAAGCTGATAAAGCATGCACAAATATGTGACCGTGTGCACTTTTGTTTGATAAAATCACTGCCAATAGAGTGGTGCTTAGGCTGCAATAATTGCAATATGACTAGAACAATATGAAGCCAAAATGTCAGAATTCCAATTGTTTAAGCAAGGAAACAGTTTGTAAATGCTCTGAAAATTGGAAACCATTATTTTCATGCAATTCTGTTGGAAATAAGAATTAGAATTTGAATCACCAATACATATGACCATTTCAAGGGCTCATGGAAAAGGAAAATTGAACATTTACTGAGAAATTGGGTCACAATGGGGTGTGATGGGGATTGGGATGGAATGAGAGGAAAGCAGCACTTTTTCACTTAAATATTTGAACCAATCGGCCAAATCTAACCCATTTTTCAGTGACTTCATGTATAACCAAAGACAATTATTTTCTCCTCTCTCTGCTTCAGTTTTATAAACATACATGAAAATGTTCATTCATTTAACAAACATCCATTAAATGCTAAACATAGGCAGTCCAGGCATTGGTGTGCTCTTGGCCTATTCAGAAGGAGTGCCACAGCCAGAGGGGCAATAACAGGGAAAAGTTATCACAAAATTGTGGGGAAAAGGAAAATTGAGACATGATACCATGAAAGATCCTTCCTGAAGCCCACAAGAGTTATGAATATACTGTATCATTGGAAACTAGACAGGCCCCAATAGAATTTTTAAGTTATTTCAACTTTTGTTACTGTTCAAATTGAGATAAAATTTGTTTATTTTATGACTCCTAAGGTTAAGACAATGAATAACACACCTGAGAAATATCAGAGGACAAATTACACCAATAGATCTAAATGGTTGACTCAGATATCAATGATCTCAAATGACATTAGGAGCTGTTTCATAGCAATTCTCGTATTAACATTCTCCATCTTGGGTCGAGTCATAGGAACTGGGATTTCCATTGTTCTCACTCCTTTTAGTGGAGAAGAAAGGGGGTTTCCAAGAGAGGAAATTGTAGGAACAGGAAGGAAGAGAACAGAGATAGCAAAGTGTCTACAGAGATTAGGGTAGTAACATAAGTGAATGAAGATCCCAAGGCGTGAGGGCAGAGCTGCGATGTATTGGAGAGCGTGGGCAGTTGCCCTTTCCACATCAGCCCTTTATCGCCATGTGAAAGGTACGCAAAGAGGTTAAATCTTCTGATCTTTTAAAAGACAGTCCAATGCATTATGTAAAATTTTTGAAACTCTGGCAACCAATTAAAAAATTTAGGCAGTATTTGGATCAAAGAAAAAAACCAGGTAACCAGTTGTGACTTCAACAGTAGAACAGAAAATATGAAGACACTCAAATCCTAACACTGTATGTGAAATTAGCCTAAGATAGTAATTCCTGAGAACTAAAAGGGCTCTGAAGAAATGAATGATGAGGGTGAGTTTTGTTGGGAAAGCTAAGACTCCATGGCAGGGGAGGGGATTTGAGGGTAATGGAGAATGTTTTGTACATAATAGTGTACACCAGACAGATCAAAAAAAGATGGTTAAGCAAACAGAGAGATAGCGCACATACAGAGAGAGGGAAAGAGAGACTACAAAGCAGCAAGGAAAGAGAGAAATTAAGGCAGAAATGGGTGTCTCAGAAAAGTAAATATACTTCTTCTAAATTTGTACTTAGAATATTTTTCCTAATAAAACAGTTTTTAGCAATCTTTACTGACAACAAGGACATCATTATTTACAGCATTCAGCATACTTTATGATGTTCAACTTTTGGGTGTGTTAAAGATGAATGGGACCCTAGAAAAAAAACTTATTATTCCTAGGATTAAATACTTAACAAATGGCAAAAGTGTCTAAGGACAGTTGTGAAAGTATGATAGCTTTGGGACAAATATATTTTTCCCTTGCAAAAAAACTTGAAGTTAAAAGGATAAAATATTCATAAATGTGCTTTAGCCCTTTGGAGGAAAATAGACACATTCACTTATACTCAGTCTTATACATGAACACATATGCTTCCTGTCTCAGAAAGAGATATATTCAGCTGGAAGCCCTAAAAGTTCCAGAACTCTAAGGGTCAAGTTATAGCATCATAAAAATGATAAATCTCCATTTGTGAAAATAATTTTCCATTTATGAAGAAAATTAAGGGACTTGGCCCACTCCTGAGGTATGAATATAAATAGATATTTATAGCAATCATGTGTCCCTTCCAAACATTATTTCAATTTTTACAAAATCCGTTGGGATTTAGACCCAACTATTTCAATAAAGACTTGATATAGAACTATTCTCAGTTCTTCTTGCTTTTTCTCCCTGAACAGGTACAGTTTTCTTTTTTCTTTTTTAACAACAGTCAGTAAAAGTGTTTAAAATGTCACCAGTTACTTTTTCAAATTTCTATCCAGATAAGTCATATTTTGAAAATGACAACTAGTCTTTCTGCACATAGCCATTTTAGAAGTTTTACAGCTTATCCAATTTAATTCAGAGGGTAGATGGGTGAGGGTTTGGATGTGGGGTGAGGGTGATGAGGGGGGGCAAACCATGCCTCACCCTGCCCATAAATGCCAATCAACCTCAAGGCAGAGGCACAAGTCTCCATTTTTCAAATGTCAGTATGTCTTCTAATAAAAAAAATATATGGGGCCAAGCGACTATATAGTTCTCATTCCTCACGATCTCATTTTCAAATGTTCCTGATCTTTCATCTCTTGCTTATGTTTTCTGATGGAATGACAAAACCTCCAGCACATTCAAGTTCACATCCCAAATCTCTGATAAAGCCTTACTGACACTTTCACTCTTTTTTTTTTCACCACTAAAGATCTCCCCCATTTCCCCCACCTGGGGGACCTCACCTCATTTTAAAGTTTTCTTTTTTGCAATCAAAAATAGATTTTAATCAAGTATAGCATTGTAAGAAAAAAGTAGATAAGCAAAAAAAGTAATTAAAACATTGAAAATTGTATTTCCATATACCAGGGATACACCTAGGTATTATTTTTCTATGTGTGAGTATATATTTATGCTCAGCATATTTGAACAAACAATAGAATGATACTATTTTGCAACCTCATGTTTCACTTAAATTATTGTGAATACTCTTCTTCCACTAAATATCATCCACATGGTTCTTAATAGCCAAATAACACAATAGCCCTTGTACCTATATGCTATAATATATTTAGGCAATCCAATTTTTCCCTATTATAAACAATGCTGTGAAGAACATCTTTCCAACCAAATCTTTGGACATATTCCTACATATAATCCTAGGCTAGATTCCTAAAAACAGCACCAGCAATAATAATAGAAATAATTATATTTATTGAGGTGTTACTTTATGTCAGGTTCTGGCTAAACACTTTCATACATTGTCTCATTTAATCTTTAAACTAACTCCAGTTTTACAGGTTAGAAAACTGAGATATAATGATTGACAAGTAATTTGTCTTAGGAAGTACTATTTCTAGATCTCCAAGACCTGGCTGAATTCCAAATTCATTCACACTCTTCTACTACCCTGAGGGTAAAATTTCAGCTCAAACAATATCCACATTTCAAAGTATTCTGATGAGACACTAAACAGCCCTCCAGTTACAACAAAGTCCACTAACTCCGTGTATCTAAGGGTTGAGTTTTCCCAGCACTGTCCAGAAACATCTTACCAACACCACCAACACAATTTAAACACTGCCTTTAAGTTAGCTTTAACACCTCAGAAAATGGGGCTATAAAAATAAGCAAAAGACCTGGGACTCAAATTGAACATAAAAGTTGTTGCAGATATTGTTTCTTGACAAACAGCCTCTCCAAACCACATAAATTGTCCAAAACCTCTTAAACCTTTGCTCTACATCACCCACATAGGACTGCAAAGGGAATACCACAAAAGAACTACAGGCTAATTGAAAAATCATTCACTTGAGATGCTGTAAGGATCATGCTCCATTTCTACAGACATATATAGAAACTGGAAACACGTGGAGTCCTTACTGACCTGAGCAACTGGCTAATCAGCACACTCATAGAGAAATTATCTCATTTTTCCTACCTTGCATGGCTGGATTCATATTTAATAATTCATGGGAGAATGAAAAATAAAATCTCTGCAGGGGAGATCAGGTATCCAAACTCCATCCACTCCTTCATCTTGGCTTCTTCCCTTTCAAAGAGGAACTGCAATATTGACCGACAAGCCAGTCTACCACCCAAAAGCTGATGTTTCTAAAACCTATTGTTCAAAGATCATTATCATGGTTTTCCATTAGCAGGACTAAGAAATCGCTTTCCTAAATAATCCTGTCAATGGCTTAAAAATATATTTATTTTTGGAAGAAAGGCTCAATACGGCACTGGCAAGGGGATTATATTGATCCTCATTTTGGAGGATTTTTCCCCTTGCTTTTTTTGAGGGACAATTAATATTGACTGTACCTATCATTAATTTTCCACAGTCAGCCAGGGCTTTTAGGTTTTATAAGTATAACATCAATACAGACTGTCTTAGAAACTCTTATTTATTCCATGTTTTTCTCCTGTATTCAATGTTCTCTATCCCCACAAGACAATGCTTCACAGGTTTAAGCAATCTGCTACTAGAGAATTCAATGCTTGCAAGGAGATGGGCTCCCCTTATCTTTCCAAAGAGATCGGGATGTGAGTAAAAGGCAGTGATTTCACAGCTCCTCTGTCCTGGGGAGTGGGGAGTGGGTGTTGAAGGCAGAGATGAGAAAGGGAAGGGGGGACAGAGGAGGCGCCTTCCTCATCCTCATTCCGGAGCTCAATTTCTCACACCCCTTGTCTCCGAAGCCTCCATGAGCACAGGGGCATCTGGACATGCATTTTTCTCCCCACGGTGAGCATCAGTACTTTGTACTTTTCTTCGTGAAATACCTGTTTCTCTTCATTCTGTCAAGAATCCCTACAAGAACACCGAGGG
Organism: Homo sapiens; assembly: GCF_000001405.40. Taxonomy (NCBI): domain Eukaryota; kingdom Metazoa; phylum Chordata; class Mammalia; order Primates; family Hominidae; genus Homo; species Homo sapiens. The sequence continues at coordinate 24,020,908 of NC_000004.12, forward strand.
TGCTGTTACGAGTTAAAACCCTGCCTCTGTGGTTCTGCTCAGGCCAGTGTGGCAGTTGGCTTAGCATTGGTGAGGCTGCAAAAACATGAGGGCTTCCAGTCAACTGCCCAGTCTTCTTGGCAACGACCTGTGTATCTCTGGGCATGAAAGCCCTTCGTGACCTCTGAAGTGCCACCAAAATGTGTTGGCCTTGAAGCAGGGTTCCTGGCCCATAGCAGGCAAGCAGTGTTCCCCTCCTCTGGCCCTCTGGCCCTTGCAGGCACAGGAGAAATGCAGAGGCTCTGCGGACTGTGCAGCTGCCTCCAGGGGACTACGGACCACCCATCACCAAGAGTCTCCTCACCCAGGAACATCCCTCCTCCAGCATTCTATCCTATCTCAGACAGGCTTACGCTGGGTAGTGGCCACTCAGGTCTTCCAAAGCCCACGGCTAAGAAGCACACAGGTCACTTGCTGGCCCTCTCACTGAGCAGATGTCCTAACAGTGATATGTTTATTCATTCCTTCCTCAGTGATGTACTTAGAGCTGATTCTCAGCCAGGTACCAAGTAACAACCAAAGATATTTGTCCAGTTCTCAAGAAGCTCACAGTACATATTATCTAGTGGGGTAGGGAGGGTGAGAAGTGGGGGGCATAGATATATCACAAAAAAATGTGATACAGTTAGTGTTAGGAGTAAGTATAACATGTACCTGTTTATTCATATTAGAAGAAAGGGCTGCTCTATTTACAAGCTAGGTTATCTTGGGCAAGTTCCTAAACCTCTCTGTGCCACATTCATCACCTCTAAAAGGAAGCTAATAACAACTGTCCTACCTTAAAGCATTCTTAGGAAGATTAAACAAGGCAATACAGGAGAAGTGTTCAGCACAGTGCCTGACAGTAAGCATCAGATGTGTTCAATGTCACTAGCATTAGCATCCCTGTCTCAGTTCACCTATAGCTGGGATGAGTAGTGGGGAGCCCATTAAAATGGGCCCCCAATGCAGAATGGAGCAGAGAGGTCAGAGAAGCCCTTGCTAAATAGATGATGCAAGAGCTCTGTCTTTAAGAAAGGCCACTTAGTACAATGTGGCCAGCATGGGAGTGATGGTAAGAACTGAGACAGGAGAGGCGAGGAGTGGCCAGTGCTAGGGAAGACAGTGGTGTGAGAAGGTACCTGGCTGAGGGGCCAGGTCAGGCTGCAAAGGAGAATGAGAGGGCTGAGCTACAGGTGGATGGATGAGCATGCAGGTGAAGGAATCCTTGCTCCTTGGCACAGCAAGCTCTCTTTTGCTCTTTCTGCCTGGCTCTCTGTATCTCACTCCCTGAGCATCTTCTCGCTGCCCCTCAAAGTTTCTTTCCTTCCTCCTTTGTTGCTTTTTTTGTCAGTCTCTATCACTGGACCGATGTGTCTGTTCTCTCCCTTCTCTCTCCAACTATGTCTTTCCCTCCCCGAGTGCCTCCCTCTCACCCTGCTCTCTTTTCCCATAGCGCTCACTGCCTCCCCACATACATATCGGTTACTTACTGTGCCTGTCACTTCGTGTTGGACCCTCTCCCTTGCCAACTGTGATGTAAGTGCCACGGGGCTGGGGTTTTCTCCTTGTCTGCTTCCTGACAGATTCCAAGCACCTAGCAAAGCATGTGGCACATGAGAGGTAATCCAGCATTCGTTGTGATGGTGGTAATGGTGAGCAATGAGCCAGGGAGGTGAAGGTGAGACAGGAGCAGGGCCTCCCTCCCTTAACAGGAATCAGAACCCCTAATTTGGAGTTGGTGTCACCAGTTGCCTCAGATTAGAAAGGAGCCAGAGTCCCGGGCAATAAGGATAGGGATCGGGTCCCAGCCCACATGACCACTCAGTTCTGCTGTGGCTCAGGCCACGTGTCCCTTTCAATGCCAAATGGATATGAACCCGAAGCAAGAAATAAACCTTTCCTCTTTTAAAGATTGAAATTTCAGGGTTGTTTGTTAACCGTATCAGAACCTAATCCCTCCTGACATATAAAACTAAAAATAATCCAGCAACTGTACTTGAAATTGGGATGAATAAGACATGTGCCTTAACCTCTAGGAGCTTAATATTTTGAGACATGATAGGAAGAAAAATTTGAAGGCAACACTTAAAATGCTAATTAAAATCTTTTATAATGTACTGTTAATTTCTCAATTCTACTATAAGTATTTTTAGTTAATACTATTTTATGATACATATGTATCATTATTCATGATTTTTGTATGGTTGTTATATTAGATATACTTTGGAGGATTTTACTCCTTTCGTATTTAAGAGTACTGACAAATACTTGCCATAGGTTTGCATTAGTCATCACTGTTATGATGAATATTTAAGATCAAATTCATTTTGATTCTGTTTGATTCCTTTGTCAGGAAGTTACAGGAAAAACTCAAACTGGCTTAAGTTATAAAAAAGTTTAATATCTCACATATATGAAAGTTGAAGCCTAAGTTAACAGAAAATAGACAGGTTTGGAAAAAAAACAGATAAGGGCCAACTGAGATCCTCCCCAAAAAGTAGAGAAAGACAGAGACCAGTGGCCCCTTGGTGCCACACACAGGCTCCCTGCTGTAGTGTTCAGGACACTCCTGTCTGTGCACTGCAGAGTTTTCCAGCTGTGATACCGCAAGGATATAGTAGTTGATATCACAGAAAACATATACTCCTGGGGCCATAGGCTTAAGTTTCATTTCCCTTTGACACTTAAAATAGAGATAATATCGTCACTAGCCAAGAGAAACTAAGACAGGTCAATAAAAGCATCCCCTTACCTTTAAGCAAACATCTGTTGAGCTCCTATTCTAGCCAGAGATTGTCCTGTATCCTCTGGCTGCATCAAAGCTGGATCACACAGGGATTCTGTCCAGAGGCATTAATAACCCCCAAACACTGGAATACAAGGTAGAAATACTAAGTGGCAAAAGAAAAGTGAAGAAAAACATGAGGGCTGATCAGAGAAGGTGGTATCCCTGATAATTGATAGCTGAGATTGTTCTGTTACAAACCTTCAAAGCAGATGGAAAGCTTCTTTGAGGAACTCATTCCAAAGTGTAGCCAACTAAAGCTGCAGATTTTGTCCTGGGCTGTCCATACTGCAAACATGGGCATGATTCGCTAGTTTTTGCCTTCTGGGTGTAGTCAACAGCTAAAAGTAATGGGACAACCCACATGTACCAGGAAGACTAGAATAAGAGATGGCAAACAGCCTGTGTTCTGGTGTAACTCATTGATGGACACCTTACTAAGTTCAGGGTTAGGCTTCTGATCCTGCCAGGATTAGCATTTACAAAGCACACTCTATGTGCCACTTCCTTGCCCAGACATTTTACATGACTTATCTCACGTAATCCTCCCCATGAGCACACTTCACAGACGTAGAAACTGAGGCTGAGTGATTAAGTCAAGTCACACAGTGGGTGAATGATGAAACCAGCTTTGGAATGCAATGTGCGTCTGATTCCACGGACCACATTCCTTCCACTACATCAGCAGTCAGTTCTTCCCTGGCTTACTTCACATGAAGCAGTTCCCATCTCCTTCCACCTTCACTGTCTGCCTGTATTGTCCTAGTTGGGTTTTGCCTTTTCTCAACAGCCTTGGGTTTTGCCTTTTCTCAACAGCCTTGTCATATTGCTGCCCATACCTGGTGTGAGAGTCCCTAAATTCTGATGGGCAGCAATTTAGATCCACATCATCCTGTCCAGGTCTTTCTCAAAGACAGACTTTAACGGTTCTCTGGAAATGAAAAGCAGCAAGCGTCATAGTATCTAATGGCAATTTAAACAGGCCAGCCAGTGGTCAAGCTGTCCCATTGGCTAAGTGTATCAAGTCATCCCCATATAAGTGCGTATTAGTTCACACAACAGCACAATGCAAGGATGGGGAAGCATTGCCAAATAGCTGCTGTGCTCTGCAGTTGTGTAATATTTATCTAACAGCTAATATAATATCAAGTGACAGTTGAAACAGGCTACTTTCACCTAATCTGTGCATGCTGTATGCAAAACAGCTCTGACCCTGGCTTGATTCCTTAAAGCATGTAGGATTTAATTATCTCCCACTGTTATAGAAGTAACGACATGTTACTTAGTGCTTTCAATACTGATAAATAAACTCCTTCTGACAAGTGAGCTAGAAACGCACCCTGTTACAAAGTTGCAATATAAAATGTTGCTGTTTCTAAACTGGGAATTTCCTTTCCTAATGGTGAAAATGATCCCTAGTCCTTTAAAATGGATAGTTCTGTACTTTCTAAAATATGGTACACCTAGAGCAATGAGATATGCAGTGTCTTTTCTTCAGGTGCTCATTGGGACGAATTAACAAAAGGAGACTGGGAGCATGAGGAAAGAGAAATAGAGAGATGCCTCTGTGTACTTTATTAACACAGAACTTCAAATAAACATTGGTGGGAGTCTCAATACACTTGAATACACACCATCATCTTTATTTCACAGCTAAGGCCCTGGATTTTGAGAGTACAGGAGAGATTTATCTTCAGAGATAAAATCTCCAGTTTCTCACAATTCACATTCATTTCTCCCATCTTTCTTGAAAGGGTACTCTCTCCTCCCTCCCCAAGAATCACAGATCTGTTCCCTCCTCCCAGCCCCACCCCCTTTGACTCTCTCTTATTTAACTGACTTTGACATATCTCTAATACTTATTTAGAGCTGCCTGTCACCTCTGTCCACTGCCTCACCCCCTCACAGATGGGTATTTGCTGCTACACAATGTCACCAGGAAATAAGGTATGGATATTAAAACAAGTGGCACAGAAGACAGCAAAGCCTCAAGTGCAATAGATAGAGGGAGATGGAATAAGAGACATTGTCATAAATACACGTAATGTTCAGTGAAGGAGGAGTTGCTCTCGACTGACCTAAATATAACTCCAGGTGTAGGTGATGTATAAAAATCATCATCTAATTCAATGGGGAAAGGAGGAGGAGGAAAAAAAAATGTGTCCTGGAGCTGTAACTGTCATTCCCTAAGTTGCTATTTCCCTGTTTTCCAAAGATTCTTTCTGAGAATCTTATGAGTTATAAATCTGTGTTTGTAAATGTGTGGTCCATGATTTGCACTCAATCCAAAGTAATGCTGTGCTTTGTCTGCCCTACATCTTTAAAACCTTTGAAAGAGTTGCCAACATTTAAAATTAAAATATTTTACCTAAAATGAAGAAAACTGGCTTCTTTAGAAAATTTCAAAGATCTGACAGTCCTGGATCGGCACTACTTCTGGTAACAATTAGTTGATGCTGAAAACCAACTTTTCCTTACAGTGGAATATATGGTGTCCAGTTGGCCCCACTTCCCACCAGTCCCAGTTGCCCTCCACCTGACTATGTCATTCATTTGCATGATCTGTGGGCCCATGCATTTCTGATTCCTGCCATAGACCCTCTCTCCAGAGAAATGTTTGCATACACAAAATTCACAGTAAAGATTCAGAAGTACATGGAACTCCTGGTAGAGATTATCTGTTATCCAGAGCTCCAAGAGCTTGGCTGAGTCACCTGTCTCATCTTCAGCTTCCTTTTCTATAGAATAAAGAGTATGCATAATCATTTCAGGTCCCTTTCTCCTTTTGTATTTAAGTGAAAAGACAAAACCTCTTTCTAAATCAGTACTCAAGATAAGTATGAAAAGCTCAGTTTCAAAAAAAAAACTAAATTCTGTAGACCAATAAAGGAGTCACCACCAACAGCACAGACAGTCAAAGACTCTGTAGGAGAAAATTGGCAAGTTTTTAGACACACGCCTCCACCAAATAATCATCCATCCACCACTCTGAACCTTGGAGTGTCCACTTTGCACAACAGGCAATCATCTGCAGTTTGTCTAAGGAGCAGGGTGTATAGGAAAGCTGTGGGATAAGAAACACAGCCTGAGAAATTTTTCCAGCAACAGTGCAGTTGTATATGTTCAAGAAGAGAACTCGCGCTGCAGGACTAAATCTCAAGTAAGAAGCTGATAACGTGCCTTAAATTGCTCTGTTGGGCCTCCTATCCTGCCCTCTTTCCCTCAAATTTTATAAATAACACCTAAATATAAATTAAGCCATTCACATAATGGCTATTTTCTAACGGGTCAGTAATGTGGTGGAGACATACAAGGAAAGCTGTATTTTGTCCTGCTACTTACAGACTCATAGGCTTTTAGTAACAGAAAGGACTTTCAAGAGGCTCTAATATCCCCTTATTTTACCAAGGATGCCAAGAACCAGAGCAGGGGAAACATTTTGCCCAAGATGCAGGAGGATCATGCACACCTGACCTCAGGCTAGTGTGTGTGTGTGTGTGTGTGTCTGTGTGTCTGTGTGTGTCTGTGTGTGTGCGTGCATATTTTTGCCTGTAATGCCAACTCCACCATTTATAGCATAACATGGGCTATAGAACCAGACTGCCTGCATTCAAACTTTGGTTCAGTTCTTACTACCCAAGTCCCAATATTTCCCTTGACTCTGTTTCTTCCTCTATAAAAGTGGAAATAATGGAGTGTTTATCTCATACTATTGCATGAAGATAAAATGAGATAAATCATATAAACTACTTGGAACAAGGCCCAACGCATAGTAAAAACTAAGTAAATGTTAATTCATTATTTATTATCAGTCTTTTTTTCTGGTCAGACTGAAAACAGTGTGGGATGCAACCAGGTTTACCCTGGGCTCAACCTGTGGGGTTTCTATGTACTCACTATGGGTCATTGAACAAGTATCTTAACTACCTTGAAATTTAATTACTGATCAGTGAAATGCTGAGAGAATTCAATGAACAATGTGTATGGAAATGATCAGTACCATGTCCAACATGTCACAGGTGCGAAGGAAAAATAGTCGTAATAATTAACATTAATATTATCATTAAGGTGCATTGTTTTTGGTTGAAGGCTGTGGATTTTCTCCTACAGGGAGTAGACGATGTCTTGGAACTCCACCCTTTTTCCACCTTGCAACATACCGATCAGTGCCCATAATAATCACTAAGGGTTTATTTATCCTCCAGATACTATACTAAGTGCATTTTATATATTAATGCATTGAATCCTCACAGCTACGCTCTGAAATAGGTCATATTATTATCATCCCCATTTAATAGGTGAGGAGACTGAGGCTTGGAAAATTAAAGTAACTTAGTCAAAGGCCTTCAACGAAAATGGAAACAGCTGGAATTTAACACCAGGCATTGGACCCCAAGGCTCCTCAAGGAAAAAAAAATCTGTAGTGCTACTGGATCCCCAAGGAAACAAAATTTATTCTCATAGTAAGCCTTATTTTTGGCCATTTCTGCCACAGGGTTTGGAAATAAATGGGCAGAGATTTAAAATGACAAAATAAAACAATTTCTTTCATAGAATAAGAAAACTGACAACATTTTCTGAAAAACATGACAGTTGAGACACATTGACATGTGGAATATTAACTGCATCGAATCAAATAATCTACCCCAAATCATTATCAAAGTGCCACTTGGAATTTTGTCCTTGTCAAAATGAATGGCTTCCATTTGTTGAGCACCTATGCCATGCCAGGGACCATCTATGAGCCTTTGAGGAGATGTCATTTAATCCTAATGTCATACAGGTACTAAATGACAGAGAAAAGACTTGCTCAGGGTCCAGCCCACTTTATGCCCAAGCTCTGTGCACTGTGAGTCAAGGAAGAATACAAAGAGGTTAACAGGGAAGGTTCTGGAACCAGCTGCCTGCCTTGCAATACTGGCTCCTCATCTCACTACCTGTAGCCATAGAAAGTTATTTATGGTGCTTCTGTTCCCTCTCCTGCAACATGGGGGAAATAAGCCTCCTCAGAATGACTGCATGTAAGTTTCTTAGAAAAGCACTCCTCAAAATGCAAGCTGGTCTGTATCCTGTATGTCCCTAGTTCATGACCAGATAAGTATGAAATTGACATCTGAGAAAGTTATTTTTATGTCCAATGACTCTAATAATAATAAAACAATAAGACTTGGATTTTCTGTGCCATTTTTACTTTTATTTTTCTATTAATTTTATTATATGTTAATAAGGCAACAGTCTATGACCGATTAGAATTTTTAGGAAAAAAGAGGAAGAGAGGGAATCCTTTCCCACAAATAGTTAGAGAAGCAGATTAGATGCTTACATGTTATACATAACCTCAACCAATGTTAGTTATTTATATAATTATTTGCTATGCTGTCCCTCCGTGTCCTACAAAGAGAACCAAAAATTCAAGCAGCATCAAGATGATAAATTCAAGGACATAGGATGCTGGTAGATTACTGATCAGACTTTGACTCTCTCAGAGCTCTGGTTCATGATCTATTGGGAGAAACGACTAGGGAATTCTGAAGGTTTTGCTGAGCCAGATCAGTGGGCTCCCATGAAGCCCATAAGTGGAAATGGTGGAAAACAATTCAATGCCTCAACTTTTTTTCTCCATTCTATGTCCAACATTATCCTATTTTCCCTATAAATCTTCTCACTTGCTTGCCTTAACCTTTCCCAGGTCCGTTCCTTCTCCTGGATGGTACCTGATGGGATTTATCAGAAGGTTAAAGCAAAGGAAAATCCGGATTGGAAATCTCAGATTGCTATGTAACTGGCTCTGTGATTTGGGGTGTGGTAAAAATCATCTCGGAGCCTTGATTTCCCAATCTGAATAATTGGAATCATAATGCCTATCTTAGAGGAAGGGTTAAATGGGATACCATGTGCAAACATCCAACAGACTTGATTCCCCTTCTCCATCCTCCTTTGCAAAACAGGTAGTACAGTAGTTGGTAGAAGTGGGTGAGGAAAGGGAACTGATAAAATCTGAGGACAGGGTCCCTTCACTCTTATTGTTTATTTAAAGTCAGAACTCCAAAACATCGGTAAAACCACAGGAAAAAAAAATATAATACGATACATCACTTTTATGTAATTACCAGAGAAAACATCTCAGTGGACAACACCATTTGACTGAAAACCTGAGGAAAATGCCCTATATTAAATAATTTGGGGGGATGGCATATGCTGCCAAGTCCTCTCTGTAGAAAAAGGATATGTAAGCCTGTAGAGGGGTCTGCAAGAGGGAACTCATATTTGGGAGAGACTTCCCGTGCAACAATCAGCCCCCATGCAGACAGAGTGCCTTTACAAGTGAAGTGAAATAGAGAGACTCTACTGTAAACTAACACTAATAACCTATTGATGAGGACAACAGACCATTGACCAACTTGAGTGATTCTAAAAGAACTGAATTAACTGCTACACAATGGTGTTTAACAAACACAGCCAGTATGTGATTGGTTGCAAGTGTCTTTGCAATGAGTCAGAACTTTTGATTTCAACGAGGGTTGCAGGTGACAGAAGATGAAGTCACCCACAAACAGATATCTGAATGCATCTGAAAACTCCATCCCCACTCCTATGCTCTAACACAAAAATGCAGTTGCCACCAGAAAATACAGTTCACATTGGGGGCGTCATTTATAATGGCTGATGTCAATAGTCTGAGAAAGGTTTACATTCAGTGTAAATAAGTTAGATTTGAGAAGTTAATGAGTTCCACTACCCAAGCTGCTCCTTATTAATTCATACAACTCAAAGACACCCACTAAAAATAATACCTTTTGAGCTGTATACCATCTTTATGGAGATCATTAATATTTCCCCGTAATACAGCAGTTACTGTTCCCATTATTTCCCTTGATCACCTTCATGCTCCTGACCACAGCACCACCTCATCCACAATTCTCACTTGTGTTAAAAATGCCCTCAACTCTCATCAGCCTTCCTTTCTCCAAGTGACCATTGTCTCCACACACCCTCGTGAGACCTCAGCTGAAAAACTGCCTGCCTCATCTCTCTCATATCTCTCTTTCTAATGGGAGACACAGAGTAGACTGGAATGGAAGGTGGAAGAGAAAAGACGTCTTAAAAACTGCACAAAGACTGGCCTTGAAGCACAGCCTCATTCATTTGCTCACTCACTCATTCTTCCAACAAACAGTTGTTTGTGCCAGGCACTAAGTAAGATATTCAGGATGCAGGAAGCAATTAAAACCTAGTCTCTGCAGGGAAGCAGACAGATATGCAGATGACTGGAGAAAAGGAGGCAGAAAATGAGGAGTCTCTGAGCTGGGTCTGGAACGATTAGTAGGACTTGCCTGGGAGACGAAAAAGGGATGGGCACAGGAAACCTCACATTGACAAGCAGAGACTTGCTCCATTTGGCTCTTTACTATGTCCCTGGCAACAGCACAGAGCTGGGCACACCACAGATGCTCCATAAGTGGTGAGAGACTGAATTAATGAATTAATGATACAAAAGGATTCCCACAAGAATCGAATCACTTGCTGCCTATCAGTCCCTTAGAAAGACAAACAGAACCATTTGCATTCCATTTCTGGCCCCTTAATAGATGAGTTGCTTTATGCTCTCTGCTCTGAGGTATCCCTGATTTCATTTCTTCTGTCACATGACACCTCACCTTTGTTCCCAACTCCCTGTCACCAAGCGATAGAGAGAATAGGAAGCGAAGGCTTTTGAATAACAAAATTTATATGTGGTCCCTTCAAATGATCAAACTGTCTAATAAACCTGATAAATTAACTGTGGACCTGAGCATCAATACATGGGCAATTGCAGCTCAGCTCTAGTTGACCCGAAAACACAAGGTAAGCATTAAGCAAGCATTGTTCAGCCCAGGCACTACTCACACTCTGGCTCCGATCATTCTTCGTTGTCTGTCCTACACATTGTTCGATGTTTAACATCATCCCTGGACTCCATCCACTAGATAACAGTAGCACCCCACCCCTAAATGTCCCTGGGTGGGAAACAGTCAAAGTCACCCCCAACTGAGAACCACTTCATTAAACTGTGATTAGCAGTAGATGATAGTTCCCCTGGTAATCTTTCCCTCTGAGAGTCTCCAGTGGTAGGATGCACAATCTCAGAAGACTATCCCAGTATCCCAGTATTAGAAATGACCTTGGACATCATCCAGTCTAACTTAGATTTTGCCTATGAGGAAGCTGAAGCCCAGAGAGGGGGAACTGGCTGTCCTCAGACCACAATGCCCATGGTAGCAGAAGCCCCAGGCCTCTTGCCTCCTGTAACAGAAGTATTCCACCACACCAAAATCCTGTATGACATTCTTTTTTGAGGCTTCTAAATATAAAGAAAACTAGCATTGATTTAGCAGCGATATAGATGCTTTCTTATAATAATAATGATGAATAACAATAATAATAAAAACTAACACTCACTAAATAATTGCAAAGCACCAAGCACTTTTCTAAGGACCTTTTTGCATTTTCTCATAACCTTTTGACATGGAAAAATCACAGAAATCCTGCTAGGTACATATTACCACTTCTATTTTTATAAATGAGGGGCACAAGTGTGCCAAGGCTGAGAACCTTGCCCACAGTCCCAGAGCAGACCAACTGCAGAGACAGAGCTCACACAGGGGCTCCTGGTGGCTTATGGAGCCTCTTGCCTTTCCACTCTGTCATGGTGTTCATAGAGCTCACCCAGCTCCCCAAGGGCCAGCTCCCAGCTGACCACTGAGCTACCATTCCTCCTGACTTGTACTAGCTACAATACCAGCTGAGCCAGGACTGCTCCACCTTCTGGCCTTTCAGACACACTTCCATCTGACATTTGCATTTTTGAGCCATGTTTGGTGACAGCCTTCAGCAGCTGATGGAGTTGACGAGGTTCATCTAATCCAACAAGTATTTGCTGAGCTTCTCCTTTGGGGCCAAGCTCTATGCTCAGCATGTCTAGGAATGCTAAGAGGAGTTGGTTTATTTTTTAGCACATGTCAAAATTTGTCATTGTTGGTTGATTTTGTCCACTTTCCCACCAGACACTACACAGGAAGCTCAAAGGGCATGAACCATGTCTGTCCTGACCATTCTTGTATCCTCTGAGCCCAGCACAGACCACATGCTCAATAAATGCTGTTAAATCAAACTGAATTTGTGGAACAGCTGCTCTAAGTCGCACACACCCTTAGATACTTAATATTATCTCATTTGATATCTCAAAAACCTTACACAAGATATATCTTTATTTTAAGGAGAAAATCCTAGGAGCACTGGCTTTTAAGGGATTTGTTCAAAGTCACAAAACTTGTATGTAGAATTGTCCTAGCAATGGTTCAGAAGAGGATGTGGTCCAAAGTGAATATACACATGATTCCAAAGAGGCTGAACAGACTACTGGTTAAAACATAGGCTCAGCGGTCAGACTTCCTAGGTCTGTGTCCCAAGTCCACCACTGATTATCTGTGTGATCTACAACCAGTCACCTCCCTGCTTCAGTTTCCTCTTCTGTATAATGGAGGTAATTAGAATAGTCCCTCCCTCAAAGAGTTGAGGTAACAACTAAATGGGTCGATATATACAAAGTGCTTTAAACATTGTCTGATGTATAATAGCTTATATTTATTTAGCACTTACTGTTTTTATAATAAAGGAGATAGAAGGGATAAACAGATACATAGATGTAGACAGACAGACACACACACACACACACACACGCATCCACGTACAAATTAAAGAACAGAAGAGCAGTGTAAGAGAGAATCAAGAGTGGCACACAGGTGAAGTGTCACAGGGGAAAATAATCTTCTCCTGCCCCACAGGAAATAACACTTTGCATTCAGGGTTTTGCTATTCCATTTAGAATTGAAAGAACACATCCTTGTCTCTGACATAAGCCACCTTTTTTACTAGCATTGAATTCAATTTAGCTTTATATGCTGTTAAAAAAGAAAAAAAACACAATTCCAAAATGCCTTCGAGTGGATGATAGAGGGAAAAAGGGACATGTACAGGCATACAAAAGCAGTTATTCCTGTCTCATGCTGCTAGCCTGTGTGAAACTGACTAGGCAAAGTTCTGCAGAAATGGTTTCAAATGGCTGGAAGAGAGGCGGGCTGCGTGGAGCCGGTTGATGGAATGTTTAACTCCAACTCATATTCATTTACTGCTACATTTAAGCTGCTTTCAAGACAATTTCCCCTCAAAAATAGCATTCATATTAAAATGGCAAAGTTCTGGCTCAGAAGCCTCAGGAATCTGAGTGGTCCGTTTGGCCTTCTTCTTCCTAAACAAGTGGGTGAGCAGAGTCTTGGATAGGTCAGCAATGTGGTAGCACCATAAATAAATAATTACGTAGGTATCTGCTGGACTTGCAAAAAGTATATCCCTAAACAAAGAAGCCTCATTATTTCTCCCCAGGAGTAGCTCAGAAGTCAGTCCTAATGCCTTTTTCTTTCAAGATACTTAAGATAGAGAGAAAAGAAGCTGTTCAATATCCATATTCTATTTTGTAATGTAAAGTAAGTTAGAGGTGATTGGCCTTCAATAAATGAATCACAAAGTAAAACAAAAAAAGGACACATACATTAAATGAAACTCAAAAGACATATCACCCAATACCAACATGTGGGCCTTATTTAGACCCTCATTCAAACAAACTATTAAAACATATGACATTTATAAAATAATTGGAAATTTTAACACCAACTGATGATAATAAGACTTACTGTTAAACTTTTCGATGTGATAATGGTATTGTGATTGTTATTCATTAATTGGTATTGTGTATGTTATTCATTAAGCATACACAATAAAATATTCACAGGAGAAATAATACTTTGAATTAGCTTCAATGTAATATGGGAGAGGGAAGTAGATTGTGGTATTGAAGAAGCAAGACTGACCATGAATTGTTAATTCTTGAAGCTGAGTAACAGGTATATCATGATTAATTATAATAACATACTAGTGTGTCTCCATTTTTACATGCTAGATGATGACAGTGGAATAGATAGATTAATTTTTAAAGAAGCAAGAAGAAAAGACATTTTAAAGTAAGTGATTGAGAATAAAGACAAAATGGCTTTTGCTCCCTTTGATCCAAGAGTGATGCATACAGAAACCAAAGTGGCACATACAGTCATCGACAGCTGGTCTCAAGTCTGTTGGGAAGCATCTGGACAATATGGAAAAGCTGCTTTGAAGACAATGACATGGAGCACTGAGAACAGCTCTGCAGCATGTGGCCAATTCTGCCCTCCTATAAAGAAACTTGCAGCCACAGCTAATTCTTCCTCCTCTTTTTTCAGATTGTAATCTCCACAAGATAGACCACTACTAGGACTGGATTTTGCTCATTGCTCTGCTTCAGGAGAGCAATACATGATATCCGGGAGATAGTATATGTGTGGCAAACACTTGTTGAAACTAACAGGGCAGTCCATAGGCATGTAATAGTATGTGTTTATAGCCCATAAATTAAATTAAATATTAATTTTTCATCATTACATAATAGAAACAATTGTTTTAAAAAAAACTTTGGACCAGGTGTGGTGGCACACGTCTGTAATCCCAGCACTTTGGGAGGCTGGGGCGGGCAGATCCCTTGAGGTCAGGAGTTCGAGACCAGATGGGCCAACATGGTTAAACCCCGTCTCTACTAAAAATACAAAAAATTAGCCGGGTGTGGTGGTGTGCCCCTGTAGTCCCAGCTACTCAGGAGGCTGAGGCACAAGAATTGTTTGAACCTGGGAGAAGGAGGTTGGGTTGCAGCGAGCCGAGATCGCGCCATCACATTCCAGCCTGGGCGATGGAGCAAGATTCTGTCTCAAAAAATAATAATAATAAATAAAATAAAAAATAAAATAAAAATAAAAAACTTTGGAAATATGAGTAATTTTTGTAGGTAGAGCTTCATATAGCTTAAACCAATGTTTCCCAAATTATGAGTAGCATGATGGTACACAGGCAGTTTTGTGTGGTTCACAAACAACTTTTCTTTGGGAGTTATAGATTTATTTTTAATATTTATTAAGACAAAGGTAACTGGCGTTTATATAGATGCAATAGTTTAGGAAAAGTCTGCAATCCTTTATGTTTTACATGATTAAGTAAACATTAGCATGGTTGGGAAAGAACTATAACAAAAGTGCTAGAAGTTACTATTCATAAGCTTGAAAAATTGTGGACTTAAATATGAGTAAACGATGTTAAATGATGTTATCCCAGAGAATAGCTACGTGTTTACTTCCCATAACTGCCCCTCTTGGATAGCAAAGTGTTTTAGAATGTGGACTTTGGAACCAGACTACCTAGGTTCCAATCCTCTCTTTGACGCTGACTAGCTGCATAACCTTGGGCAAGTTACTGTGCCTCAATTTCCTCGTCTGTGAAATAGGGATAGTAATATTGCCTATCTCATAGAGTTATTGTGAGAATTAAATAGAAAGCATTTAGATAGAGAATAGAAAAGAAATACTACCATATATTCATCTGCAGGGCTGACATTTAAAAGACTGACAATAATAAGAGTTGACATAAAGGTAGAGAGACTAGAACTCTTACACACTGCTAGTGAGAATGTAAATAATTTCAACCACTGTGCAAAACCACTTGGCAGTGTTTACTAAGCTAAACACATGCCTACCCTATAATCCTGAAATTGCACTCCTGGGTTTATATCCAAGAGAACTGAATATGTACATCCACCGAAGCTCATGTATGAACATATTTATAGCAGCTTTAATTACATGAACTCCAAACTGGAAACAAAATGTCCATCAACAGGAGAGGGACGAAGTGAAATGTGATAAATTAACACAATGAAACACTACATGGCAATAAAAATAGTGAATCACAAATATATGTAAGAACATAGAAAAATCTTACAGACTTTTTGTAGTAAAAAAAAAAAGATGAGAAACAAAAGAGTAATGATTCCATTTCTGTGAAGTATAAGAACAGACAGACAAATTGATAATGATAGAATTAACCTCAGGGGGTGATTGCCACTTGGGTAGGGTATTGAATTGAAAGGGGAACAAGGGAAACTTCTGGCATGTTGGAGATATTATGTACACATGCAAATATCCTTTCAGCTGTATAACTAAGATTAATGTACTTTATACACTTTACTTTTTGTACACAAATCAAAAATAAATGTCAATGTCCAGTACTTAGAACAACGTCAGGTACTTACTGAGCACTATGGAAGTATTTGCTATTAATATTGGCTCATATTTGCTAGTTATCTACACATTTAAAAGAGTTTACAAGCATGTCTCAAGAGCTTAAATGTGTTATGATGATACAAACATTGTCAAATAAAGTTCCCATCCTGAAGAATGGACAAGTTATTTGGGAGTCCTGCTAAGCAGTTCCAGCCACCTCTCTGGAAGCATCATGGCTAGCAAGTAAACAGGCTCTGAAGTCAGAAAAACCTTCCTTAAATTTTGTTCTGTCATTTACTAACCTTGGCAATATTACCTAACATCCAGAGTTTCTGTTTCTTTATTTTTAATATATAGCTGATAATAGAAGCTACTTCATATGGTCTTTCTGAGATATTAGAAAAAGTTAGCTACTATTACTATTATTAGATTCATTTGATCTTTAACTTTCAGAGAAAAATGATGAAGGCTAAAGCTGGGAATTTTACAGTCATTAATTACATTTGAGTTAGCTACCTTCTTCCCGAGCTCACCTTCATTTGACTCATTTCAGAATATTTAAGTAGAAATTACCTAAGAAAGGCCACAAGATCTTTTCAGATCACATAGAAGCATCAACTCCAAATTATTTACAGCCATGCTTGTAAAACCTGTAAATAGAGCCGTCTATTATAATTTTATTTTTAAGTACTATCTCTATTAATAGCAGAGAAAGCAGGGCATCCCTTGTTGAATGTTTGCATTCATCTCCTGATTACCGACAGATTTCCAATAACATAAGAGAAAAATCAGTGGAAGCATCTGTACATGTGAATGTGTATTGCACCCGCACTTGTGTATGCGTCTTGCCAAACCTCTTTGTATCCATGACATGCTGTGTAAATATACTTTTATCACTGGGTATATCACAGTATAGCTCCTTTATCCATTTACCTGGCTGTCATCCCCACTAGGTTCTAAATACTAAAAAGCAGAAACCACAGCTTGCTCATCCCATACCCACCAGAGCTTAGCTTGGTGCCTGATAAAAAGTAGGCACTCAAAAATTTTGTGTTGACCTAAATGTCTAGAATAATCCAGGCTGCTAGTAGTCTAAATGGCAACTCTTTCAAAATCAATGAAGATACCCACTTTCTTCCAGCACAATTAGCCCCACACCATGGCACACAGTTCAGCAAGCACAGAATAGAATGGATTTCAGCCCCCAACTTGCCCTCTCAAACCAACTTCCCTTGTGCAGTAAACAACCTGCCCAAATATAAGTGGATGACCAGGAGAATGTCATGCATGACCTTGTAGAGCAAAATAACATAAAGTGCCTAGGGCTTTGCTTCGCATAACTCTGCGACTCAGGATTGCCTGTAGCCCCTCTACAAAACCAGACCTGGATGTCTCTGTCACTTCCACGTGAGATTACTATAACTCAGAAGGGACTCAACTAACAGAGAGATTGACCTGGGTGCATTAGAGTTTACCTAAGCCTTCCTTTAATGGATAGAATCAGTAGCACCTATCCTCCATAACTTGGGTACCCCTTGAGCCAATGCAATTAACTCAAAGTCTGTAACTGATATTTATATTTCAGGGACCATGTTCTAGAGTAATTACCTCTCCTGAGTCTAACCCTCCAAGGTTATTTGAATCCAGCCTGCAAATTCGAATTCTCTCTTCCAATGTAGAGCAATAACATTCTATATCCAGACCCTGAAACCACTCCTAGTGTTATTCCTCAGGGTGATATTTTCTCCGGGATCCTCAAGGTAGGGGAAGAGTCATTCTATCTGGGTTGCTGGCTTGGATTTTTCCTTTCAGTTCTTTTTTTCACTCCCTCTTCAGTCGTGTTTATGAAGCAAATGGCTATATTCAGCAATGGACCCAGCTCCAGTTTAATTTCTATTTAAACTTTGTAAGTGCATACCAGACACTACACTGAGATGGGCATTCAGAATCCAAATAGAGCAAGTGATATATGGCAGAAGCTAGCAAATCCTCCCTTTTAACTCTGGGGTTGGTATTTCCCCACAGAACACTGGCAGCTTCACCTCACGTCACCACAGAGGTTTACAAGCTAAGAGCCACAGTGAGGTCTTGTCTTACACAATTTAATTACATTCACGAAACAGACAACAGTGCATTTACTGGCCCACCATTAAATATCATCGTAAGTAATTTAAACTCAACTTCACTTGTCCAAATATATGGACAAAATACATTCTGCCATCCCAAAGCTTTAATGTTCCCTCTATAACTGTGAATCATCGACAAATCCCAAGTAATTTATTCGCTTTCCAATTGGAAGCATATCTTAACGGGATAAAAGTCAGAATGTGCAACACTCCTGATAGTAAACTTGTCCACCTGCTATACAACATAAATTAAGAAGCTATACTTTAGTGATTCAATTACACCACCGAGTAATTGAAAACACACAATTGCAAGGAGTTGAGGTTCTTACGAGAAATATAATGTCTGCATTCCAGATTCCCTAGTATTTGATTTATAATTGGAATATTGGCATAATATTCTACATTTGGGAGGAACTGCTCCCTTCTGGATAGTTCTAGAATGTGAATATTTAAGGCTACAAAGAATCTTAGAGCTCATATTGCTTAATCCCTTGCTTTATGTATGAGGAAATGGAGCCCAAAGATCAGTCAGCTTATAAAATGCAAAGGGAGGTCTCAAAAAGAGGCCTCTGATGCCAAGTGAGAACATCTAGGATGATGGTCAAATTCATAATCTCTGGAATTGGACAAAACTCAACCTCAGTGATGCACAAGCTACTTAATCTTTCTATAACCTCATTTCTTCCTCTATTAAAGAAAGATGGTAATTCCTAAAGCAACTTGCCACAAATGGAGAACAACTCCTAGAGTTGCTTATAGAAGTATGTTCTCCAAAATGCTTAGTGTTAAGCATACGTAAGCACTCGATAGAAACGTAGCCACAGCCACTGCTGCCACCACCACCACCACCATCAACATGATCATCATCACCATCATCATCATGTCCAGTGTCATTTCACTGTATCATTTCATAGCTTTCATTTAAATGCTATTGACACTCTCAATATCTAACCAACCATTTGGCCACAACATAGCACTGTCACTGTTCCACAATAGCCAGGATATCTCCACATCCCATCCTGAAGACAGTATACATATACAGTATGCTTCTCCAGTTTGAACAACTGAATTTCTGTCTATTTTGAGGACAACATGATAACCAACCAATAGACATCCAATACTTGATTCATTTCCTGGGCTACACACTGACTAGGTATCTTTGCATTAGGTACGACATCATCAGATCAGTTTTCCTATGCTACCTGTTCCAATCCAGCCACATACACACATCTTCCATCTTAGCCCTGTGACTATTTGTAGACTCTGCATTTTAATGTGCAAATATTTTAAAAAGCACAAATGATTTTTCTCATCACTGACCTCCATTCTGTCTCTTGACAAAGGAAACCATAGCCTCTTTGAAACCCAAAATAAGCAGATGTAATCAAATGCTAATTTAGCAATAAACAGAAAATTGACTTCAAAACATCTCTCTGTCACTCTAATTGATTAACAGTCACATGAAAATTGATAACATGATTTTCAGCAAGAGAGCGTGTGGCACAAGCTCTTTGGTTCTATTGGCTTCGGATATTGACTTCCTTCCAAATAAAGCTTTTTAAGAGTACATTAGTGAGTCCACTAATAAACTTAAAAAGCAGTCTAATTACAATAATGAACTCTGTACAATGAGTTAATGCAACACCGGAGCTTACAGATCTGAGTCTTTCGCTGAAATAAAAACAAACTACAAGTTCTGTTGAATATAGTGCAACCATAGTTTTGTTTCAATAGCAGGGAATAAATTACTATTTTTCCTCCTTGCTTTTCTAACATTTTAGCAAAATGTGCTCATATGCTATCTCCTTTCCTTAAACGTTTTCCCAACATCCATATTAATTATCTTAACATGAAATTCATTTTAAGCTGCTGATTCTCTCATGTTCACCGGGCTCAATTAGAAACCATCCTTTAGAAGTAGAAGACTGAAAACATGCAAATAGAAAAAGCTGCATTAGTCTAGGATGTGACTATTTCTAAACTGCTCAAGTTATTATAGGAGAACTTGGCTACAGTTCATCTTGGCAGTGGGAGAACCGACATTGGGATTATAATGAAACATGCTAGCTAGGTTTCCCTGTGCAGGGAATTCTCTATTTGCTCTTCCAGATCTATGCTTCACCCTTCTCTATTGCCTGTGCCTGGGAGACTGACCTTTAAAGATTGTGTCAATGGGCTTTCTTGCCTTCCACATCTGATTAGGTTGAGATATTGGAAGGCACTAACAATAGAGCCAAGGTCAAGAGGAAAATGAAGTGGGACGTTTTCCCTCCAACTCCTCCCTGCTGGGCACAGTTTAGAAAGGGCTGCATTTCTCCACCAAAGGCTACACTCCTGAAGTATTCCCTCTCTAACAGTGATAGCTTTCCCTCTCTTGAGTTCTGGAACTAGCTCCCTCCGTGGCATCTTCAGGTCCAGGTGGTCCTGGCCTCCCACTGTTGCTAGCCCTAGGGGAGTCATCACCTGCTGATTTCTTTAACCCTTCCCATATCTCGAAAATAGTCTCTTTATTAAACTCTAACCCCATTTGTATGTGCCATCTGCTACCTGCCAGAATCCTACAGATATGTCTACCTTCTATTAACCCAGTGGTTCTTTGCCTGTTGAGGGTTACACACCCCTTTGAAAGCCTAAATGAAAAGAGTATATAGAGATCATTCTCTGCAGAAAATGCACATAGTCACAAACATGAACTTTTTGATACAATGTCAAAGATTCGACACACACCCATGAAGCACATACATGGATCCCAAAGTATGAATCCTACTATGGAAAAGTGATTTTTAAGAAAACAGTTTTTATTTTCAGGAGTGAATTATATGGGTAACAAGTTGTTCTTTAAAGAGTCCTACTTTCAGGTGTCAGATTGTGAGATATGAGGTTATCAGAAGGCATCCCACCAAAAAAAAAAAGAAAGAAAAGAAAGAAATCTCTGAATAATCAACCTAAAAATATGACTGTATATGGAATCTTTAATTTTACTTCTTTCCGTATTTCTCATATTATGTATTTATCACATATACACTCAGAATGTGTTTTCCACCAGTCATGGTTTTACCTCCTTGTAAAGTTTATTATTAATCATTTCAAGTGCCATCTGGACAACTGATAAGTAAATGTCTTCAAAAATCTCTGAAAGAGATTTCTTAAAGTTCTACTGTCTACCAGCCCCGCTCAGCATTCCCATGCCTGATCTCCAAGGATGCCAATATGTATTCAGCTGTTTTTTATTAACACTGGTGGCTTCATAATATTAAAAAATGTATACACCAAGTCACCCCAATAGAAAACAGGCATGGATTGTGATGCAACACAAATTCCACTTCAAATAGTCATCCTCTCTGCCTAAATGCCTTCTCTGTAGTCCAGAATGAGCATCTTTCTATAGATGAAAGAAAGCAAGCAAGCTGAAGTCCAACACTCCAGTGAGCTTGAATCTCTTGAGGTCTCTATCAGTGGCTATTAAAATTTAAAGTGTACTGCATAATCCTTGATTCCTGAAAACACATGCTACTTATATTCCTTAAGCCACTGACAGCTTAAGCTATTCTGTGTGGGAACACAGAGGGGAACAAAGGAGCCAATGCAATAGATACCGGACCACATAAATGTCAACTGAAGACCATGTGAATAAAAACCTTAGGTGATGTCTGCTTTCTCATGTCAGTCATCTTAATGACCCAGTAGTTAAAAGTCACTTTTTAAAATATATACACTTGTTTAAATATCATGATATAGTGTATATAAATGCATATGTGCCCTATGGGTATATAAATTATTCTCTTTTTTAGGCCAAAAAATAAGATTGGTATAAAAGATTCTTAATTTTGAAGAATGCATAGATACATAAACTGCATCATTCACATAGAGTATTAGTAGTGAAGCATCTCTCTTTATTATCTGACATTATTTTCTTTGTTAACAAAGATCTCCTTGATTGTTTTGGTGACTCTCATTAACAGCAGTAATCAGCAATACCAAGAGAGTGCCTCAAAATTTGGTTTTTCTTTCTCATGATGACCTAATCTGTCAGGAAGCTACCAATTTTGTAGGCAGCTATTTGGGATCAGAAAACTGGGGTGCCTTTCCTTCTTCCTTTCCCCACACAGGTCCTCTCCTATGGAATCAGGAGATGACTTTTGTTTAATCTTGAAAGAATAAGTGGGCAGCTAAATTCAGAAGCCCAAAGAAGGGTTCCCTCCTTGCTGTCTCCAGCTCACCTATGTCCCCTATCCCGACGCCATCCAATACACTGCTGCCAAATTAATCTTACTAAAAGCACAGTCCTGATCATCCCCCTTCCAACTCAACTTGTTCAAACTCTTCGAGTGCTCTTCATGCCCTACTGAAAGAAGAAATTGTTTGAACTCTACAGCCTGAGACTCAAAACCCTTATTAGTCTGGCACCGGCTTTACTGTAACTTCATTTTTTCTACTCCGTGTTACTGTGGGTTCCAGGTGAATTACATCCTCATTCCCTGGAGGATCATATTCATTATAAACACCCCTTTTCTCATCTTTTCCCTCTACCAATACAGAATGCCTTTCCTTGGGCAGTTTAAATGTTACCTCATCGATCGCATGTTATGATATCTTTTCTATACCTTTCTACCCACTGCTCTCCAGTCCAACCCCAGTAATTTATCTGGTAATAGTTTATCTATTTGTAAACTATTAGATTCATTTTACCTAGTTGTAAAATGGGGTAAATAATGTTAGGTAACTAAGAGGATTGTATATACAACATACTTAAAACATAGCTATGGTATTTGTGGTAGTTGTTGCTTTTATCTTAAACGGGTTACTATATAGCAAGAAACTTGAAAATTGAATAGAATTTTGTTTATTTTTTTTGTCCTCCACTGCCCCTACCTGCCACAATATAAATAACTTGGAAAGACATGGAGGAAGGACATTTGAAAGAAACCACCTGTCCTCAATTCTGAGGTTAAGAAAGAGCCAGTGGTTTTGGCTTCTGAGTATATCATCCATGTAGATCAATGTGGCCTGGAAATGCCATAAGTGTACGCTGGCTTTCACTTAACAAAGAGCGTCAAATTGGGTCACTACACTACCACTAATTGCATTCTAAGAGATGTCAACCGTAACGCCTAGGCTGAAGCTCCTTCAAGAAGATGGCAGTTGAGTCTAAACAAGAACCCCTGCTGCCTTTACCAAAGGAACTGAGTCTGGCTTTTCCACAGCCTCCTTTTCAGCTTTCCTGAGCATTCACTTACATAAAAAGCAAATGAGACGCCACTTTGTCATCCTGGTCACAGTTTCTCACAAATCCTTCGTCTTTTAAAAGACCTTGAGGGTCCGATTCTAATCTGAGTTGTACCATAATGAGTCTCTTAAAAGAACCGTTCTGATGCCTGCAAGCACAGCAAAAGTATTAGGAAATACAGCATCATTAGTCAAAATCATGGCGGATTCACGGATTCACAGAAGCCTCTGTAGGGTCAGAGCAGCCATTTTGGAAGTGTTTGAGGAAAGAATGCATGCTTCCTAACTACCCACCAGCATTAACGGGTTTCATTCTGCCAAAAGATGGCGTCTTTAATCCCAGGTTTGGCATGAAAAATGTGGGCTTAGGCATATTGAACTGCTCTGCGATATTTCAGACATCATATACATTCAGCTTGCAGAACTTCTGAGCCATAAGAGCACTGGGTGCATCTCAAAATGGCATGTGGTGACAGAGAGTTCCACCAGAGCACAGGGCACCCAGTTAATTGGCAAGGCTGGTCACTGGGAAGCACACTGCACCCTCCAGCAGCTGGCAGGCCACTTAGGCAACACCCAAAGAAACATTTTAAGTGGGCAACAGTCCTTAAACCTCCTTGCACACAGCTCACATGACAACTCAGAAAAACTCCTTATTTGCACTTGTCTTGCACTTCTGGGCGGTGCTCAGAGAGAAAGAAAGGTGAGCCTTTCCACCCAGGCAAGTATTTTAAGCCCTACTGAGCACAGAAGCTCTTGGGGGAACTACCCACAGCCAGCAGGGTCACTGCTTCCTAATTTCCCTGGGTGGTACATGATGACTCAGCAAGAGCCTACATCCTAATTCTTACACAGAAGAGATCATTCTAGCTCCAGGAATGTGTGCAGGTGCCAGAGGCCCTCAATATCACTCACTGCTATGTCAACTGGTGCAAGTTTCTTAATTCATCAAGCCTTTGTTTCTTCTCTACTGTGGAAATGTGATATGAGAATAAGTATAAAATAGTTTTATAATATTGTAATATAAATATATTTTTAAAATCAGTGATTAGTTTAGATGCTGAGCAAAGATACACCACCCTATCTCTGCCAGAACACTTCTTGTGTTTGGTACTGTCACATAAAACACAGAATTAGGTCCCTAGGGGCGCTATTACAAAGTACCGTAAACTGAGTGGCTTAAAGCAACATTTATTCTTTCACAGTTATAGAGGCTAAAAGTCCAAAATCAAGGTGTCAGGGCCATGCTCTCTCTTAAGACTCCAGGGGAGAAATCCTCTATGGCCTCTTCTAGCTTCTGGTGGTTGCCAGGAATCCTTGGTGCGCTACTTGGCTTGTAGATACATCACTTCAATCTCTGCCTCTGTCTTCACATGGACTTCTCCTCCGTGTGTCTGTCTTCAAATTTCTCTCTTCTTATACAGACACCAGTAATTGGATTAGGACCTGCACTAATCCAGTATGACCTTACTCTAATTTGATTAACTATGAAAAGACTAAAAGACTATTTCCAAATAAAGTCACATTCACAGGTACTGAGAGTTAAAGCTTCATCACATAATTCAACCCATAATAAATACATTAGGCCTTTCCTGACCTCACAGTCTAAAATCAATATAACTACCAAAAACGGGCTACATCACATAGCCCAATCAACCAAAAGACCCCAAATACTTAGCAACAGTCACCAAGCCATGATATTATTTGTTTCTGGTGATGATGGCCACAGTTTAGTTCAGGTGCCAAACACAATTCCTACCACATACTAAGACTTCAATAAATGTCAAATGAACAAATATTGTGAGTACATGAACATGGACTATGTAGTACAGAAGATATAGAGTAACAATGTACCCTGAACATCCTAAAATAATCCTGATTATAAATATGCCAGCCCTACAACTTTATTTGAGCATGTCAGAACATATGTCCCTATAATGGTTTGGAAAGCAGGCTCACTAAAAGGAGTCAGGAAAACAAAAAAGCAATAAGGTTGTTTTGTTCATCAAGCACATTATTTCCCCCTCACAAGTTTCTTCTCTTCCTAGGTTTCCTCTCTTAGGAAATAATAGTCAGTAGTTGTTGAACCTTCTCTGTTGATTCCTGTCCTCTCCACTCCCATCCAGTCATTTGCAACCCTCTCCAAACTCTTCCATCTCTCTCAAAGGAGCCCCTTCTTCCCCACTCCCACTACCACTTCTTTGGTTCAGGCCCTCTTTGTATCATAAATGAGTCACTTTGTTAACTTGAATTTGGGGACCCTTCCATCCTTCTTCTACCAGACTGATTTTTTGCAATGCAAACTCGACCACTGACTAGCTTAAATTGCTTCAGTGACTGTCCTTTGTGCTCAGGATAAAATCTAAGATCTTTAGTATGTCCTGTGTGGCATGTGCTGTTGGCTATGTGTTCATCAAAACTCATTTCTTCTTCTCCTGGGCACACAGCTGGAGTTCACTGACTAGCCTTCATTGCAGTTAAGTATGACCATGTGAGTGGGTTTCTTCTAGTCAATGGAATCTGAACGATAATGACACGCACTATTTCCAACATGTTTCACAAAAATCTCTCATGCTGCCTCTCAAGCCGTGTCTGTCCCCATATCTGCCACTTGATGCAAAGGTCCACCATAGAGTTCTGGGGCCCTAGCAAATGGCGGGCCCATGAGATGGAAGAACCTGAGTTCCTGGATTGATATTGAAGACTACCTGCTACATGAATGAGAAATTCACTCCTGTTGTGTTAAGATGCTGGCCGGTGGTGGTTGTTGATCACAGCTGCAAGCCCACTCTGACTGACAAACCATTGAAGACTCTGTTTTCTGGCTGCTACTTACCTCTCCTATTCCATTATTCATTCATTATCCCTTTCCATCTTGTACCATTTTTTGACTCAATGAGTGACTAGTTTCCCAAACTCAATCGTTCCTCCTGGACTTTGGTCCCGTCAGAGTGATGCTCTCTCTACTCGAAATAGTTTACTGTCCCTATTTGCCTGATTTATTTTTCTTTATCAGACTTATCACTGCTTGACATATTATGTATTTATTTGTTTATTCTCATTGCCACTAGAAATTAAACTCCTTGATTAGGACCTTCAATCTCTTTACTACTATATCCCTGGCATTTTGATTAACCTGGTCTGAAGTAGCCCTTAAATATTTCTGGAATAAATGACAATTCATAATTTCAGAGATAATGTGCCTGGCACTGTGCTAAGTGCTTTACATATATCTATTTGAATCTTCACAAGAACCCTATAAGGTAGCACCATTCTTGACCCTCATTTTACATAAAGGAAACTAAGGCTTAGAGAGGTTAAGTTCCTTGCCAGGTCACACAGCTAGTGTGTAAAGTGAGGCAGGATTGGAACCCGGGCAGACAGACACATACAAACCCCTTGCATTTACCCAGTTGTTCACGAAGCAACAAATGCTTAGTAACGAGTCCTTCTCAGCCAACAGCAGAAAAGTATCCAGGATCTGAGAACCACCAAGCAAGTAAACCAGGCCTATCTCAGGCCATAGTGAAGCCTAAGACACCATCCAGAAATCCTATTCATGAACCTACACAGGGAAGCTATACAATCGTCCATGCTTAATGCCACTCTTAATCTTACAGAGCAGGAAGTTAATAATATCATTCCTTGAAGGTAACATAAACACTTAAAATGTTTTCTTTCTAACTCTTTACACTTCACTTCCTGCCTTTTCTGGTTCAGCACCATTGAACTTAGTGGGTAAATGGGCAAATATATATCTCCAGACTATACTAAGCATGTCTTTTGATGTGCCCAAGTTCCAAAATGAATGTCACTCATGTTACAACCTCTCAGGTGCTTAGAAGTATTAGCAATTTCCCTTTTCCTTTGCTATTTTCTTCTCTAGGCTATCTATGCTATATTACTTCAATCTCTCTTTGTACAGTAAGTCATGCCCTCTAATCCATTTATCTTTTTCGTCACCCTTGCTGTGCAGTCTTTCCTTTTTTATCTTTTTCTTAAAAGCAAGATGGTGCTCTAATAAACACACATATACACAGGCACACACTCCACAATTTCAGGCATTACAGGATGACTCTTCTATCAGGATCCTCTCCTGACAACAGTTGACATTTTTTGGCCTCTATCCTCCGCAGCTCCACTCTTTTGTCAATACTTTACTTCTCTTTCTCATTTTTGCTCAATTTTCTTCAATGGTCACAATGAATTTTTGATCTTCTATGATATATATGAGAGCATTTCTTTAGTAAACACAGTTTATGGCCCATTTTCTTAAAACTCAGGAATTCTCAAGAATGATGAATGTAAGAAACTATAAATCATCCCTGGCAAGACCCTATGAAATCAGGCTTCAGACAGGATTCAAGCCAGTCTTGCCAATATTGATGAAATGCATCTTATCCCAAATAGTTCCTGTGAGAATCATGTCTCAACTGTCTCTACCCAACCTGAGCCTATGGACTTTACGAAGAAGGTAAAATTTTGCTTAGCTATTCTTATGCCTTTTTATAATTTCTGTCAAGCTTTCCACAGACCTGATTTTCCTGAACCCTCACTTGCCCACATCCAAGCTTAGACACAAACCTCTTTCCAACTATTAGTCAACTAATTTGATACACTAATTCCAACTAATGGAAATTAAAGAAATATTTTCCTATCCTTAGTCAACATATGGCATTTCTGCACCTCAGTTTCTTTACATGTAAAATGAAGATTATATTCTACTTTGCACATGTCTTTACATAGGGAACTCTCAATTATCCATATGCTTATTATGAGAACAACACATTCATTTTTACAGCCTCTTCCCTTAACTCCTCCACCCCAAGAAAAACTCTGGTATTTATATGTTCTCCTCCTCTGAGCTCCTGGGCCATTATACACACATACATGTGTGTGCGTATGTGTGTGTGTGAGTGTGTGTAAGAGGGAGAAAGAGAGAGACTGTCTCTCTCTATATATACACACATATATATAAATATATATATACATATATATAAATATATATACACATATATGTATATAAATACATATATATACACATATATATGTGTGTATATATATATGTGTGTATATATATATATATGTGTGTGTGTGTATATATATATATATGAATAATCAGGGAAGTAGAGAACCTGAGAAGGACCAAGGACAGATGATTTATTCTGAAAAAGTTAAAAAAATAGTAAGTTCAGGAATAGAATGGAGGGATAAGTCAATACACTCCTGGGGTGAATTGGGTGAAATTTGTCGGGGAAAACGGGAAGAGAGTGAATCTTAAAGGGCATGGAAATTGTCCATCTGAAAGACAAGGTGAGAATAGAGGAAAGAAGTTGTATTACACATGCTTTACTTCCTGGGCCTTTGTGGGAGAGATAATAATGAAAACAAATTAATATCAATGACTATTTTCCTTTAACTTTGCTCCTTGCCTCATGGAGCCATGAGGGGTTTGAGCTCTGTAAAAGTCATATGTAGATTATTCCCTTTTTCATTATCTAAGACCATGGCTGATTTCACCTCCCCAAATTCAGAACAGCCCACTTTAAGCTCTGCGTGCCCTTTTGAGACACTGCCTTCCAACTCTAGTCAGTGCCACCTAGGAATTCCAGCATGACATTACCAAATATAGTCAGGTGTATTCTCTTGCTGAGAAGGGGAAAAGCACAGAAGCACTTGAGAAACAAAGCAATAGTTTCAAGATTATCCACAAATTTGATGTATCTGTATTCTTCATCAGTGTGCTTAATCAAGGAGTGACAGTGTAAAGAATTACATATTTCCATGGTTTCTAATGTTCATTCTGTGATTTTCTGAAGATTTTTTTGTGAATTATTTTATGAATCATTTCCTGTTGGCTTTTTAAGAACACTTGAAATTGATAATATGATTTTGCTGACTTATACGGCTAGAGTTTAGTGGCTAGAGTATTCCTTTATTTAGTCCCTTAGGTGACCTTTTGTTTTTTTTTTTTTTGAGATGGAGTCTTGCTCTGTCGCCCAGGCTGGAGTACTGTGGCATGATCTTGGCTCACTGCAACCTCTGCCTCCCAGGTTCAAGTGATTCTCCTGCCTCAGCCTCCCAAGTAGCTGGAATTACAGGCGCCCATCACCACGCCCAGCTAATTTTTTTGTATTTTTAGTAGAGACGGGGTTTCATCATGTTGGTCAGGGTGGTCTCTAGCTCCTGACCTTGTGATCCGCCCACCTCAGCCTCCCAAAGTGCTGGGATTACAGGCGTGAGCTACTGCGCCTGGCTTTTATGTGACTTTCTAACTCTCCCACTAAAAACTTCCTGCCTTGGCTCCTCTAAGCTCCTCCTGTCTGTAATTTACTTAAAGAGACAGATCAAGTGATTGCTAGTTAATTCTCTCACATCAGAGTTCCCTAGTCTGGCTTCCTTCTTCACATGAAGTGGCCAATCTGACCCCTCATTCTCACTTACTTTCCAATTCTGTTGCTTCAAGGAAATATTTTTGTTGTGGTTGTTCTTCAGTACTGTGGAATCTATTTCTACAAAATGCAGACTGGCCAAGGCAAATCTGATCCTTAATTACTCATTGAATTGACAACTAGTTTATTTCAAAAGCAATTTTATCAGCCTTGCTACGAAATCCAATCAACATTTTATTTAGAACCTAACCTTCCCAAGGCCTAAAGAAAGGTCTGGGCCGGGCGCAGTGGCTCACGCCTGTAATCCCAGCACTTTGGGAGGCCAAGGTGGGCAGATCATGAGGTCAGGAGATGGAGACCATCCTGGCTAACATGGTGAAACCCCGTCTCTACTAAAAGTACAAAAAAAATAGCCAGGCATGGTGGCGGGTGCCTATAGTCCCAGCTACTTGGGAGGCTGAGTCAGGAGAATGGCATGAACCCAGGAGGCAGAGCTTGCAGTGAGCAAAGATTTTGCCACTGCACTCCAGCCTGGGTGACAGAGCATGACTCTGTCTCAAAAAAAAAAAAAAAAAAAAAAAAACCAAACCTAAACTCTATTCATGCAAATATTTTATTGCATGGGAACCATACTGACAAATGGGAACATGATGAAAGGCATGGCTCTTGCCCCCTGGAAAAAGGGATTTCAGAGGAAATATCTTTATATTTGAGAGAAATGAAACACATTTTAAAAAAGCTATATTCTATCATAAGTGATATCAATAATGATAGTTATTTATTGTTCAGTTACTCTATGTAGTCTCTCTTTACACTAAAGGCTTTATCTTCATTCTCTATCTTAACACTCACAGTAGCCCTATGAGTTAAGTGCTATTTATACCCATTTTACAGATAAGAGGGTAGAAGCTTAAAAAGATTAAGGCACTAGCCTCAAATCACATAGCCCACAAGTGGAAGTGCTGGGATTCGCATCCACATTATCTGCTTTCTTAAATTTGTCACTGAAAATGTAGAAGAACTGGCATGAGAGTGTCTGGCAGGCATGTAAGTAAGTGTCCGGCATGCATGTTCAGTGCCTGGATAACTGCTGGTAGGAAGAGGGGCTGGGAAGAAATTAGTGTGGCTTAAATAACAAGTTTGAGTCAAGGAGCAATGAAAGCTAAAAATGAATAGACAAGCCAAGGTCATTCTGGGAGGTGAGATTATGGAGTGAGCAGAGAGAATAGGCACCGAGGCATTGAGCATGGAAGAAACTTGGTAAATGTGTCAACTTGGGACAGTTATTCTCAGCAGTGATTTGCACAAAAAAAAAAAAAAAACTAAAAAGTAAGGGCCTCAAAATCAATTAAAAGAGAATAACTACTCCAGGGTTGGGATAATAATGAATTGAATGAAGATAAAGGGTAAGGGGCATCAAAAAGAAAAAAGGCAATGGGAAACATTTGAATATTGGACGTATTTGGAGAGTATAAACAATGATTCTGAGGTTCTGAGGCTGGTGACCACTACTGCTATTATTGAAAATCATATAAGGGAGGAAAATGTGTCAGTTTGAGCTTGACAAAGCAGTTGCTATGTAGTAGGCATTCAGATGTTCTCACAATGAATACACGTAAGAATGAATAAATGAATGAGTGAAGGAAGTGTTTAGAAAAGCTGAACTTGATGGGGATGACATGGCCTCTTAAGTAGAATCAGGCTCCATATAATTTTCCCTGGAAAGACCGGTCATGGTGGTTCACACCTGTAATCCCAGCACTTTGGGAGGCTGAGGCAGGTGGATCACCTGAGGTCAGGACTTTGAGACCAGCCTGGCCAACATGGTGAATGCCCGTCTTTACTAAAAACACAAAAATTAGCTGGGCATGGTGGTGCACACCTGTAATCCCAGCTACTTGACAGGCTGAGACAGGAGAATCACTTGAACCCGGGAGGCAGAGGTTGCAGTGAGCTGAGATGGCGTCACTGCACTCCAGCCTGGGCGACAGAGTGAGATTACATCTCAGAAAAAAAAAAAAAAAATATTCCCTGGAAAAAGTCTACATTTCCAGTGCTCTCATTTTATTTTCATTTGCTCCTATGTGGCCAAGCACACTGATTGTCCTTCTTTTCTCCCTGTCTTCTTTAAATCTCTTCCTCTGAGTTATTTTAGCTAATGTGGTAAATAAACATTTTGATTTATAGAAGTCATTCCAAGGAAACTCTCCTGTGGCGTACGCAGATTTTTTTTTTTTTTTTTTTTTTTTTTTGAGATGGAGTCTCACTCTCTCACCCAGGCTGAAGTGCAGTGGTGCTATCTTGGCTCACTGCAAGCTCCACCTCCCGGGTTCATGCCATTCTCCTGCCTCAGCCTCCGGAGTAGCTGGGACTACAGGCACCCGCCACCACACCCGGCTAATTTTTTTTTTTTTGTATTTTTTAGTAGAGACAGGGTTTTACCGTGTTAGCCAGGATGGTCTTGATCTCCTGACCTCATGATCCGCCCGCCTCGGCCTCCCAAAGTGCCAGGATTACAGGCGTGAGCCACTGCGCCTGGCCCAGATTTTTTTTTTAAGTCCAGCAATTTTTCTTACTCTGCAAGTTCTCTGATAATAAGAAGGTCCAACCAATACCTCTATCCAGTTAACTTAAAGGTTTTAAACTCTCATTCAGAATTCAAATCAAATAGAGATCCAAAGGCTTACTCAAATAGCCTAAGGAATTAGTTTTAAGTTGTGCAATGACCATAGACATGGGAAAAGAGCAAAATACAAGAGAGAGTAGGATACTATGGGTGAAAGTTGCATGCATAAAAGGCTAAGCACCAGCTTTGATGACCACCAGACCTTTCTTTAGGCCTTAGGAGAATCCTAAGGAAAAAATGAGGGCAATAAGAAAAAATAAGTCAGACAGAGTCCATCTACCCTAAATGTTTGTGACAACTAAAATGGAATTTTAGAGGAATCTCTCCCCATCTATCCAAAAACTATATTTATGGTGAATAAGAATAAAGGCTTCACAGTCAGACATAGGTGGGTTTGAATCTCAGCCATTTACTTTGTGACACGATGCAAGATACTTCACCTCTCTGTGCCTCAGTTTCCTCATTTGTAGTATGGGGATCAAGCCTCAGGTTAGTTGTGGAGATTAAATGAGATAATCTGCTTAAAGCTGTTAGCATGTGACTGGGTATCCAT
Organism: Homo sapiens; assembly: GCF_000001405.40. NCBI lineage: Eukaryota > Metazoa > Chordata > Mammalia > Primates > Hominidae > Homo > Homo sapiens. Next base: position 24,053,809 of record NC_000004.12, read on the forward strand.
AAATTTCTCATTAAACCACGATTGTTATTTAAAACATATTATCCTGTGCTAGGTACTGAGTCAAAAATAAATCTAAGGCTTGCTCCTTCAACTCCTAACTCTCCACCAGCCATAGCCAACCAAACCTCTGGATGGAATGCTGCTTTAATCATCAGAACACCATGAAGATATGAAAGGAGCAAGAAAATGTGTGGAGGAAATTAGAAAAATATACACTAGTTACTGATATAACATTATGGCTTCCCTGGATTAAGGAGATTTGGGTCATGAGCTAACCAGTGTTACTCAAAGTAGTGTTGAAATCTCTAATGGAAAAAGGATTAGAGGATAGAACCAGCTGTTTGGGGCACTGGAATTTTAAGAATCTGAATGTGATTTTAAGAAGAGGTATCCTAAGGGGAAAAGAAGTGCTCATTTTTATATGTGCATTATTATTTGCTACTGAGGAGAGGTGGTGTCTGGGAGGAAGTGAAACACATCTTTCTTAATATCCTTCTTGTAAAAAAAAAAAAAAAAAACACTATATTTGCACTTATAATGCATGTTTGTCAGAGGAAGTAACCCATCTGAGATAGCCCATTATCAATGTCTTGCTAAAAAAGGAAAGTATTTTGGAAATGTTTATTCCACTTGAAATTTTCAACATTTATGCTTATGCATGTCCATTTAGGGTTTTAAATACTATTTTCTTCTCTTTGTCACTAATCTTATTTGTAGCCTGGAATAAGTTACATTGTAGTGTGGTAGGTGTTTAAAGATATCTTTTCGAGTGAGTAAAAATTTTACATAATTTTCATTTTACACATATATTTAATTCCCATGGTAAAAACATTATCTCATTCAACTGGCAAATGAGTTTATATTAACATACTTTTTTAATAATCTGAGAAATTCTACTTAAAAACAAGAAGTATAATCCCTCCAGAACTTCATGTCAGTACATAATTTCTAGGAACTGTGCTTTAAGGTGTCTTTCACAGGATATATCTGAATACAAGAAACAGTCATAAAATGAGTAATGCTTTTAAGCAGGCAGTGGACTCCATCATAGCAGCAGTAGTAACTGTAGAAATAATAATCATAGTAGCAGCAGTAATAAGCACAATATTACTAAATTGCATTAGGCATTGCCCTAAATGCTTCATATGTGTTATTACATTTAATCCTCCCAACAACCCTGTGAATTAAGTTCTGTCACTATCCCCTTTTACCGATGAGGAAGTTGAAACACAAGAAGGAGGCTAAACATCACCCCGGATATTGCAGCTGCTACAGGACAGAGCTGGAATTTAAACTGGTTAAGACTTGAGAACCTGAGATCTTTAACACCACTCTAGAATGTGCCTCATTTACATGACTTGGGGAACTTGGGTTCCAGCCCGTATCTGTGTGATTCCAGAATGTACTCTCTGATTGTGAAACCACAGTTCTGTTTCATGGGCTCCCACATCCTTGGGGACTTATTTCACCTGTTCAGGGTACTGTATAATGACCAGCCATCTTCATTCAAGAAGTAGTGGTGAATTAGGTCTGGATCCTGATGAAACATGAAATGAACATGCAGCCAGAAACAGTTCCGTGAGCCTTAGTTACGAACCTTTCTCATTTCCAGGGTGCAAGTAGGAGGGGTGGAAGGAAGGAGGGAGAAACAAAGAAAAGATGTTTATCGAACAACTATACATGACAAGAAAAGTGCTAAGCATTTATGTATAAGAACCCATTTCATGGGAGCACAGATATAAGAAATAGAGCCACAAAAGTAGTGAAAAGACAGAATTATGTTAACTTGGCAGAAAGATTAAGAAAGCTACATTGAGTTATTGGGAAAAGTAAGCTGTTCATTTTACAGAAGTGAATAGGAACTTCAGTTGGGAGAGCTTCAGTGGGCTGCCCCACATCGTAGTTGAAGTTGATTAAATCCAAGACTGGGCCAGGCCCCTGGATTTCCCCTGTTCCAGTCTGCACATTTGTATCCTCCTCCAGGTAGGAAAGCATTGCTGTACCCTCCTACTTCCCTACAGTAGCCTGGCACCAAGTCGCATCTCAGCTGGGACATTCTGTTCCCAAGGTCTTTTAATGATTAAATCAGTCTGCATTAGGGAACACTTTCGTCAGGTTGAACCAGAGAGAGCAGTGGTGGGACCAAGCTTGATTCTCTAACACACATAAGAAGTTTGTTTGGTTTGTTCTTACTCTTTCTTTGGGAAGAAGAGGACAGATGTTATAAAAAAGGTATTTTTATTCCCATTTTTAGATGAGAAAACTGAGTTTCAAATAGGCGAACAAATTTTCCTAAAGTTTGCCAAGCTAAGAAGTGGCAGATTTGGGACTCCAATCTAGAATTGCTAAGCAGAAGTTTCACAGGTGGGAATGAAATGCGTAAGTTTATGTTTATGCCTTTGACCTTGGATCTAAGACAATACTCTCTGGGCTATCAATTCTTCTTTTTAAAGGCATGTTCTGCTTAGGCTGATAGAAAATAGCCATTCTGCCCCCAACCCTAGGAGGAGTCACTGGGTCAGTTCTTGCTTGCCCAATTAGGAAAGTTAGTATGGCATGGAGAATAAATTATCCCATTGTTGCTTAGCTTATTTCTCCTTTGCTTTGCTTAGAATAATAAAGGAAGAATGTCTTCTTTGTGCTCATATTCAATGAGCAGAGTTCTGTTTCCCTAAGAAGGCATGTGGCAATTTTAGCCATTAAAAGGAAAAAGAAAAGCACTCATTTTTTTGTTGATCTGTGTCGATATGGCCAGCACATAGAATAGGGCCCTTATTTTTCCTAGAATGGCTCTAGAGTCAGATAGACTTGAATAAAACCAGCTGTGCAGGCTTGAATGATTTATTTGACATCTCCAAGCCTTAATGTCCTGATCTGTAAAATGAGGAATATAATACTGTCTACTGCATAGTTGTTGTGAGGCATATAGCGTACTTATCATACCACCTCACACCATTAGGACGGCAACTATGAACAAAAAACCTGAAAATGATAAATGTTGATGAGGATGTGGTGAAATTGGGCCCCTTGTGCACTATTGGTGGAGTGTAAAATGATGCAACTACTGAGAAAAACAGCATGGTGGTTCCTCGAAAAATTAAAAATTGAATTTCCATATGATCCAGCAATTCCAATTCCAGGTATACATCCACAAAGAACTGAAATCAGGGTCTTAAAAAGAGATATCTTTACACCTGTGTTTACAGCAATATTATTCACAAGAGCCCAAAGGTGGAAGTAACTCAAGTATCCATCAATTGATGAATGGAAAAGCAAAATGTCACAAATACAATGAAATATTATTTAGCCTTAAAAAGGGAGAACATTTTGACACGTACTACAGCTTGGATGAAACTTAAAGACATTATGCTAAGTGAAATAAGTGAATCTCAAAACGATAAATATCGTATGATTCCTCTTATACAAAATACCTAGAGTAGTCAATTCATAGAGACAGAAAGTAGAACAGTAGTTGCCAAGGGCCAGGTGGTAGGGAGAAATGATGGAACATTTTTATTTAATGGGTATAGAGTTTCTGTTTTTCAAGGTGAAAAGAGTTCCGGAGATGGATTGTGGTGATGGTTATACAGCAATGTGGATGTACTAAATACCACTGAACTGTACACTTCAAAAAGGCTAAGATGGTTTAAAAAAAAAAAAAAAAAGCCATGGGGACAGCCAGCTGAAGAAAAGGGAAGCAATGACATAAATCAAAATGAAACAAAAAGTATTTAGCATAGTGCTGGCCCACTGTAATCATTTACTGAATGTTGAACCATTGGCATAGACGGCAGGGAAAGCCTTGGTAGTGGTGGAGGAGGTAGTGATGTGCTATTAACACCACGTGTGTACATCCCTCTTCCTCAGAAGAGGCTGGCTTCCTGAGAGGAAGATGCAGGACTTCAATCCCAGAATGCAAAGCAATATGAAATGGATTCACTTCTTTTGCAGTGAGATGAGCCTCTTTGGAAGCTCAATACAGGTAGCGAGCTGAGTAGGCCCAGTGTGGTGGTGGCGAGACACAGCACTCAGGGAATTGCTCCAGCAATTGGAAAACTGTTTTAATTAGTTTGGTTGGTTGGTGGTTCCCAAAGCAATGGGCTCTGAGCAGAAGGCAGGGGGAACGCATGTATGCATTTGAGCATGCTCATGCATGGGAGAGAGAGAGGGAAGCGAGTGATTGATTGGAGAGAAGGGAAGCAACCTGCTGGAAACAGCCCCTGGTGCTCTGAGCACAGGATTCATTTGAAACAGACAGCGAACTCTTGTACTTTTGGACCTTAAAAGCCAATAGCATCTTCACGTGGTACCCAGTGAGAAGCCCCGCCCCAGAGGGGTGGCCTGGGGGCCGGCCCATCGCTCCTGCTCTTCCTCAGCTGACTCTTGACTGCTTTATGAAGTCTAGGAAGGCAGGGGAGGTGAGTATCTCATGGTCCAAGGCTAATCACAATAATAAACCTCCAAGAACAAAATTGACTGAAAAGAATAAAATTTTTAAAGTGAGACAGTTCTCTGTCATTTCTGTCTTGGATTATGTTGGGGAAGGTTGAACTCAATTTTATTGAGAAATCAATTGTAATTTGGCACTCTGCATGATCCCTGGCAGAGGACGCTGGTAACAGTCTCTCCTGAAATCTGCAAGCTAATTTACTTCTGCCGCCTACACACTCACAAACAAGCCCGAATTAGAGACCCTCTTCCCACCACATACCCAGGCAGCCATTGATTTGTGGCCCCCTCCTCTTGTTTATGAGATAAACAGTAAATTTGAAAAGGGAAACAAAAGGGACAAGTTCAGGTCAACGAGTGAAAAACGTGGCTGAGAGACAAAGGTAAAACTAAAGATTAGAGCACATGGCTAGGCAGTGTGGCTCACACCTGTAATCCCAGCACTTTGGGAGGCAGAGTGGGTGGATCACCTGAGGTCAGGAGTTTGAGACCACCCTGGCCAACATGGAGAAACCTCGTCTCTACTAAAAATACAAAATTAGCCGGGCGTGGTGGTGCACACCTGTAATCCCAGCTACTAGGGAGGCTGAGGCAGGAGAATCGCTTGAACCCAGAAGGCAGAGGTTGCAGTGAGCCGAGATCATGCCATTGCACCCCAGCCTGGGTGACAGAAATTAGAGCACATGCTATGAACTGAATTCCTATAATATAGCTAACCAGAGAAAAGAAGAAAAAATGACTGTGTTTTGTATGTGGGTGGCAGGAGTAGAACTGAGGGTAGGTAGTATTTTGTGGTGTTTTACCAATGAAACCCATCAAAAGATCCCTCAAGCGCATTTCCGTGTTTATTTCGACCAAGCCCCACCACTTTAAGAGAAGATGCCAATACTGTGGCTATCAAAAGGGCAAAAACTCTGAATATCATTCATAATGATTTACCAAAAGCAAAATGTAAAAGTGTGCTTTTTAATGTGATGCTATGCTGACCTTTTCAAGGAGAACAGCATCTGGCCTCACCAGACTCATGGATTACAGGACTTTTCTCAGAATTTGTCCAACGTATCAATGCAAATCCACCCAAAGTATCATTTGTTTAGGTGGGAATTGCAGTGTTAGAGGATTAATGCTCACCCAAGTGTACCGCAGAATGCATTGTCCCCATAACAAGCCCAAGCAAGCTGTTTTCAAACATTCCTCTAAAGAAGTGAGCGCTTTTCAAACTTCATACTTGGCAATTCATCCTAATGAAAAGCACCCTGAGTCTCTTATGTGCGTGAGATAGCCAAGGAGGAACAGCCACTGTCTTCAGCTGTGCTTGACTCTCCACCCGTGCCCATCGCTCCCACAGCCCGCATCTGAGCACAGCTGTGTCTATCACACATTCTTGACAAGGGTCACTTCCCCAAAAAGACAACCCCCAATGCAGAAGAGCAAATAAATGTCATCAGTTTTCCAACCACATTCGCAATTCTGGATCCAGTACCCTATGGGAGAATTTTCCTCCTAACCTCCCCTATGGAGTCCCAGCTTTTTTCCACCTCTATAACAAGGATCTCTTCTCTCCATGTTATTCCCAGAGCCACAAAATCTAGGGCAATGTGGCCTAAAATTATCATTTCCTTCAAAGCCACAGCAATCCCAGTCCACCTGGCTCTCTGATTGCGCCGTCTCTGCTCTGGAAGGAATAAGTTTTGGAGTCGCCTTTCTGCGTCCCACTGCCACCATGCACAAGCACACCTGGGACGTCACAGCAGGCACCAGGCACCAGAGAGCACTGAGCATGAAGAATGCTTCTTTCCTCTAGAAAGGATCATCACAGAGCTATTTTTCACAGACTCTTGAGCTTACCTGCAGCACACAGCTTTAAGCTCTGAAGATGTGAATAAAGATTGAACTTCATCTGACTGAAGCCCAGAAAGTTAAAAAGCAGAAACAAACCAAACCAAAGAGACAATAAACAAACACAGAAGTTGAAAGTATTTGCTGGTTGTGTTTACTGCCACACAAGCAGACTCTGGAAATCAGCTTTCATTTTGCAAGCAAGCCACTATGGAGAACAATTTCAGGAAATATACCCCGTTAAACAATATTACAAGCAGCTTACTGCAATAATACCCATAATTTTTCATTCATTTTAATATGCCTGTTTTTCATGTTTAGAATTTCTAGTAACTCTACCTTATTATGTTCTTTTGGTTGATGTGCCTATATAATCAGATAAACATTTGTCTAATACTGGGTTGCACTATTTTTAAAAGTACTTTTGTAGAACAACAACAAAAAAAAAATCGCTATAAAAACAAAAGCACCCAAGCCTTGCATTTTAATATTTAAGCCTTTCTAAGGTTGGGGAAAGATGTAATTTTTTTAAAGGGAGCAATTTGAAGGGAGTGCTTTCTTACACATTCAGATTGTCAGTTGATCACAGTGCCCTGGCCACTTGGACATTTCAAATGAAATCTTTCTTTGTGCTAGGTGAAAGGGAAGTGCTTCATGAGGCCTTTCTTGGAAATCCTTTATTTACAAAAATAAGAGCACTGGGCACGTATTAGTAAAAATAGCCTTTAATGAGGGCTTACAACATGCCAGCCCTTATAAGCCAGTGTTTCACATGAATTAACCATTTAATCTTAACAAAACCCTGGGAGTTCTATATAATACCTAACTCCATTTTACAGATGAGAACATAAAGGCACCCACCACATATCAAGCACTGTGTTAAATATTTGCATATATAATTACTTTAATCCTTGCAACTCATTATTATCCTCATGGCATAAACATCTTTATTTGTTCTGGAAAAAAAAAGAAAAGAAAAGAAAGAAAAAGAGGACCAAAGAGTTACAGGATGTATCAAATGTCCCACAGGGGTCAATCTAGAGCCACCTCCTAGAATCCACACTCTTAACCACCATGCTAGGGTAGAGCTCATAAACTTCCTCTGCAAACGGATCCAGTTTTCACTGTTTCAGCCTTAAGTGGGTGAATGTGGGTTGGATTCACGGTGCCGAAGAACAGCCACCTTGGCTAGGAGTCAGTTTTGGCCTGATGACTTGATTCCATTCATTCAGGCAACTCAGGAAAAGCATCCTGTGCACCCTGAATGAGGCAAGTCTAGCGAAGGAGAACGCTAAGAAAGCATCTTAAAAACCACATAAAATGCCTGGCGACAACCATCCTGCTTCTACTTCCTTTGGGCTCCTACCAACCACCAGAGGATGACGGAGATCCTTTATCCACCCAAGTGCCAAGAACTGTTCTCAATGCAATATCTGTGGACAGACTCAACTCACTTCTCCCTCAAAGAGGAGTCAGGATTAGGAGACAGACCATACACTAAGCAATAGAACTATGGGGAAGTGTGCTTTGGATATAAAGAAGGAAGACTTGAAGCTGTTGACTCAGCTTGCTGAGGTGTCTCCAGGCTCTTAGGTATCCTAGCCTCTGTGGCCTTTCTCTTTGAACTGTGGCTCTAATTTGATGCTCACACACAGTTGACACTGTAGGTAAGGTCTGGAACTGAAACAGAAGCCAGGAGAAAGGAGGCCATTTTCTTCTACCCAGTATGGGTAAAGGAGTCCTCAACCACCTTCTCTTGGTTCAGCCAGCTGCCCAGATCTTGAGTTCCATCGAGTTTGGGAGGGCCACAATCTCGATTGTTAATTTAATGTTGTTTACTTTACCTTGCCATCTATATAAACTTCAGGAAGAAGTGGTGAAGGCTACATCAGGTCTGGCCAAGGCTTTGACACACAGGACCCAGAACCCAAGCAAACATACCATGCCACAAAACTTACTCTACTATCTATCTGTGCTCCTAACAATAAACCAAGTCTTTTGCAAACTCAATCCTAAGACATTATTTTGACATTACTGATTAAAAACCTAAGAAACAAAGAAGTGGCATGACTTGGCCCTCAGAAAGCAACTTTGACGTCCTTCCCTAGTAGTACTCAGGATGCCCTGCATGTGACAATGACACTATTGTAATACCTGCAGGATTCGGCATGAGAATCTCAGCTTTTGATGCCTCCTAACGTTTCATAGGATATGACTGTGTTCAACTAGGTCAAATGTTTTAGAACAGATTTTGTTTACCCGTAAATGAACCAGGTGGTCACCATCTAATTCTTAATAGGTGAAATGTGCCAACCTCATCAAGGCCAGTCCAGGAAGAGTATAATCTGCAAGTAGAATTTCCCTAACATGAATCATCTCTTCCACTGTGCTCCCATAGCACAGTGTACTGCTCTCTGCAGCAGCTCATCTCACAATTCCATAATTATTCATTTGCACATCTGCCTCCTCCAACTAGCCTGGGGGCCCCCAGTGGTAGGGCAGAAGCATCATTCTATGTGACTCTGTATCCCTGGTGCCACACAGCCCATGGTTCTTCGTCAGAGCTTTACAAGTGGCTAGAAATGAGGAATAGGTGGGTGAAGCACCATCCCATCCCTGGTCCAGTTTTCTTCCTTAGCCAGAACACCAAGTGCTAGAAACTGAAACTTTATCATTGACTATACTACCAATTCAAATAGTCAGATACATACCTTCAAAATGAAGGCCTCATCTATAAATACATTTAAATTCTTATTTTTTAGTCCTTGTATTTTTTCCTAGGCATAGATGATCTTCTGTTTACACGGAAAATGTAGAACTATGCTTTATTCCTCCTGAATAATTTCAAGTTAAAGAAAATACGCCAACACTTCTAGAATTCCTAACCTGTAAACGATGGTTCATCTTCTCTAAAATCCTCAAGACACCTTTGATTTGGAAGATCTTCTCATCTTGGCTTCCACTTTTCCAGACTGAGAGTCTTTTTGTTGTCTTTCTGTGGCAAGTCCCTCTTCTTCTTGGCCATTATAGACATCCTTCTCCCAAGTGGGCCCTTTCATACTCCCTGAAAGTTCTGTAATGGAAACTGTCCACTATGCCCCAGCCACAGTTCTGAGCTGGCAGATTTAATTGGTGAAGTTGGCAGAGAAGTGAAAATCTAAACAGGCCAAGAGAGTCAACTCCCTCAAGCCTGACAAGAGGGGAATAAAAGTCAGAGGGAGAAGATGAGACCGCTTTTCTTGCCTTTCTCCGGTGTGTTCAGGGCACACTCTGTTTTCTTCCGTTTAAACAAAGGGCATTCTCCCATTCTTCCAAGGGCTCCACATACTTTTCTGGGATCTGTCCCAGGGCATGGCCCCACCACTCAGTAGGTAGGGAGTGACTTCTGCCAAGTCACTTAACCACCCAATCTCAAGTTCCTCATCTGTAAAATTGGGATAATATTTCTCAGCCGACATCCCAGGTTCCTAGCGATAAATATTAATGTCCGTAGAGGGCTTTGAGATCCCGGGGTGAAGGATGCAGCAGAGTGTTATTTTTATGACGTTGCAGCTTCCATAAAGCATCAAATTCAATGAGAAAGAGGAGAGAAGGGGCACTGGGCTGGAACCAAGAATAATGCAGGCAGATGCTGTTCGAGCTTCCCCCTACTGCTAATGCATCTCGACAGTCACCTGCAAGTCTGCTGCTATTCCAGTCCTGGGGCTTTCATTTTTACTGGTGACCTCGTTCAATGCCTCCCCATCCCCCTCTTCCCAGACTCAGAATCCCTATTTAGCATCCTATTAATATGGAACTTCATAACGCTGATATGGATCTGTGTATTACAAACATCAGGGGGCCCGCCTGGCAGTCTGCTGGCTTCAACATGCTACTCAGCAGGGAATCTGTGTTCGAGACTCTGGAGTGGGCCAGCCTTCCTGAGTTGGCCAGACGCCCACATCTGAACTGCCCGAGCAGCACCTTCCCTTTCCCCATCTCCTTCCCAGAAGAGGCTTTCCAGGGCCCCAGGCTCTGAAGAGGAGCACAGACTGCTGTGCACAGGCCTCTGACCAGAAATGAAGCTGGTTTTGTTTTAGGATAAAAACTTAGAAGAGGAATTCAATAAGAAAAAAAACAACTGGGAAGAACAATCAATGGTAATAACGAAGAGGGGAGGGGGCTGGTGACAATGCGATACCCTGGCTCTATAGCAAGTGGGTGCCTGTACACCCCTGACATGTCCAGAAGGTCTCTGGAGACTTGGTTGAGGTAAGGGGACCAGTGGGGCCCACTGGATACAGTGTAGGGCTCAGGAGGCAATTAATCCATCATGTTAATTGCAATATTTCCATTGCCCTGGATGCACACCACAGGCTGAGGGGGAAAGGGTCACGGGGAAGAGAAAGTGGTGGTGACAGGGAGAAGAGGGCAGGAGCCTGGGTTGGGAGAAGATGCTGTAGAGTTAGTCCCTGCCAGAAAACGAGACACAAAGCCTCCCCAAGCTGCTCATATAAAGACACACAGCTCATATAAAGACACACAGGGCATTCTCCTCCCCCAGAAACCCCCAGCAGCCCCTTGTCCTTTCATAAAAAGTCATTGCCTTCAAAACACCCTCTGCACCATCCTTTTATTCAGATTTTTCATCTACCTGAAGACATTATCCTTTCTGGGGTTTTTTGGTTGGTTTGTTTGTTTTTAATGCCAATATGTGCATCTTACTAGCTGATCGCCCATCATACAACAACACATTCTGCCCCTTTCCTTTCTAATCACTCCCCTCAAGGCCTCACTTACAATCCAGGTTAGTGGATGTTGGAGTTCAAAAAATAAGGAAATATAAAGATTATCACTCTAGAACAAAGAAGTATCAGGGACTTTGTGCCAGGACAACGTTAAGATAGTTGTGCATTGAGCTCTCTAAAGAATGGGTTCAGGGACACCTTGCAACGAGTTTAGGAGGACCACTTATCCCTCACTTCTTCGTTTCCATGGAGAAGACACCATAGGGTAATACTATTCCTCCACCTGATACCTCCCTCATCTCATGGCTGGAGAAGGGACCTACCTGATTCACAAGTTTGGAAGAAGAGACCCAATCGCGTAGATCAGTCCCTTCTAGGTCCCTGCATTGGAGCCTGCCTACCTGCATCTGCTCCTCCAAGCAGGAGACCTGCTTGGCCAGCATCTAGGTGAGTCCATTTAATTCTGCTGTGCAGGCATTAGCGGGTCCCTTCCCCCACAGAACTACATCCTGTCCTTCACTCAAGCTTTCATCAACGGGAGCCCTGACATAATGATCGTTAGGGGATTGCCTTCCATGCCTGCCCAACTCACTCAGGTGGAGAAGTGATCTCCAAAAACCCTAAAGCAGCCCAGCTTGTTCTCCGTTCGGCAATGCCTTCAGTGTGGCTAAGAAAAACAGGTGCTTTTCATAGAATTCATACCTTGCTTCTGCTGGACTGCTAGTAGGCCAATTTGGTGCTAAAAGGTGTCTCTATTGAGAATGGCCCTCTGTCTGCAGAAGTTGTATGAGAAGGAAAACCACCCCCAGCAACAAACACCAATTGAGAGCCTACCCCAGGTTAGGCATTGAGCTAGAGCCTCTGTATGCTTTAACTCCTGGACTCCTCATGAAGGCTCTGTGAAGTCTGAGAAGATTTCTCTCCCTAGGTTAGTGGGCAGGAAAATGAGGCTTGGGGAGGTTATGAAGCTGGTAAGAGGAACGGACAAAAGCCAGTGGCAGCCCTACCTGTTCATTCATCACACAGTTACAGAGGAACCCCCTGTGCTGTGCCCTTTAAAGGCAATGGAAGGAAATTAGGCCCAGGCCCTGTATGATTCTCCACTTCCTTCTCAGAAGCTCCGGCAGGCAACTTGCCTGGGAGATACTAAGTTCCCACCAACCTTGGGAATCAGCTACCTGATTTCTAATTCAGGCGGGCTGCAGCCTCCAATTTCCACAAAATCTCATGCTTCTAGTGCACTTCTCTTTGCCTTCCGTCTCCTTGGGTGCCTTCAGTCTCCTCGGTGGAAGCTTTCCACCGAACACCTCCCTCACAGGTGTCCTCTAACACTCATGACTGGCAGAGCCGAACGAGGGAGGACGACTGTCGCTGTGCCCTGAGCTCAGGGCAAATCAGGTAGAAGCCTCTCTAAAAAGCAAGTGGACTGAAAATCGCCTTCCACAAACTATTGCCAGGCAAGTAAAATAGTCATTTGTTTTCTGTGATGGTGGTTATTGTTCCTTTGAGAAAAACAACAATGACAAAAAGTTAATACTAATATTGAAAAATTTGCTTCACCTGAAAGAGAGTTTTAAAGGTAGAATTATGGCCCTCTAAAAAGGAGCTGACACAAATCTCTATTAGCATAATGGTATCATAACACTATCCAAAGCCTGTTAATGCAGCCCTCTGTCCATCTCTGAACTCTAGATATAAATGTCACAAGAATATTAGTTAGGAGTCTGTTTCTCCGTCAGTGAGAGGACAGTTTGTATGTGGGGAGGACCCATTAGAGCTAATGGGAGCTACAGAAGTAAATCCCCAGGCTCCGATAGGGGAAAAGGTCCCCTGGGGTTTTCCACCAAGAACCCATACACTGTGATAGACACTTGGGAGCCAGAAAGTCTTTACTCATTAGTACAGTCCCACTCGGGGAGTGATTTGCAACCTCACCCCAAATATGAGAGATTGAACTAGTCTATCTTTGCCATGACATCTATAGACTTCCATGGTTTTTTTGTTTTTGTTTTTTGTTTGTTTTGGGTTTTTTTTTTTTTTTTTTTTTTGCCTTTAGATATTGTGCCACTGAAACCTAGTTTAAGACAAATGCCATTTTAATTTGCTTTAGGCGGTGAAGGCCAACACACATTTCAGTGGAGAAAGCTATGTGTTTTAATTGCCTTATGAAGACATAGCATATGCCCTGACACAGTTAAATGATTAACAGATTACTCCAAATGTCTTTGGCATAGAATATCTATACGTTCATTAGGCAGAACAATTTATCTTCTTGATAAAACTAAAATTACTTATACATCAGATTTACTTTCCATGATTAATAAATGATAAAAATCTAAATCTGAAATGTGTCTTCTTGGCCATTAATCTCACATTTATCAGCTTCTATAATACATATTATTAATATAAAAATTCAATTTTCAAAGCATTTAAATTTGCTAAGAGAAACAGAACACAATGCAAACAAGCATCTCAATTAGTAGGAAATGCTATAGTCATTCTGAAATAGGTAATAGACAGAGTTAGCTTTAAATATGCTTTATAAAAACAGATAAAATCCATGGGATACACAGACATCAAAATGCCCCCAAAGGGACGCCTCTCTCAAATATACTTCCAGTAGGAAGCCATCAGCATTAATAGCAAGTTTGGTATCATTCCGCGTATGCTCAAAAGGACAACATGAAGATCTGGCTCAGAAACAGAGCACAGAACACGCAGATCTGGAATCACTAAAGGTCAAAATGCAAGCATCGCACGTGGCCAAGGAAGTGAGCTTCGGAGGCACAGGTTTAGCTAGAGGGAAAGCCTAGGGAATTAGATCCTTCTGTCAGCTTTTTTAAATGTTTAAGACCGTCTGTCCTCCAATTAAACTGATCAAGGGGTCCAGGATGGTTTGTTAGCAACTCTGCTCTGGAGAACACTCATTAAAAGTCTCGAAGCTGATTACGGAGTTCCCATCTCGAGCACTTCACTTCTGCTGTCAGCTGCTGATTTCTCTGAATTCCAACTGCCAAAGTAACTGTGGAGGCCGAGCCATGCTTTCCCCACTGCCAGAAAAGGAGAGAGACATCTGCCAGTGTCCTGAATCACCTGTTACTTACTTGGTGACTCATTCCCCCAGAGGGGCCAGGGCAAAACAGCTCCTGAAATGGTGTGTGAGCACATATGTGTGTGCTTGTGTGTGTGTGTGTGCATGTGTGTGGTCTGCACATTCACTTGTCACAGATAGGTCCTCGGTCTTCCTGAGAGGCTGGCACTGCTAGGCACAGACCATGTGGTCCTGAATAAGAACTCTTTTGTCTCACCCTCCAGGAAGCCACTCTTTAATGAGGTGGACAGAGGAATAAAGAGGAAATTGCAATGCAATGTAATCAATGCCACGGAAGGAATGATGATGGCTCCTAGTTACACTTAACTCAGCTTTTAAGAGAGGAGAGGAAAGCGGCAGAGCACACCTCTGGAGGAGAGAACTAGAAGGTAGGAATGATTTTCCTGTCAGAGAGAACAGTATCTGCAGAAGCCCAGAGGAGTGAGAGAACCCTCATTTACTCATGGGCTCACTTTTTGCCAATCATTCACTGAGCACCTACTATACCCTAGGTGCTATGCTAGGTGGTAGAAATACAGTGAGGGCAGGATGCACATTACAATGGGCTTCAGGGAATTGCAAACTCATTCTGTATGACTGGAGCATAGTAGGGGATGAGGGATAAGAGCCAAGGCTGGGAAAATATGTATGGCTCAGCCCACACCACATTCAGGGTTTGTGTGTGTATATGTGTGCACATGTGTTTATATTGTGGAAGGTGTTGGTGTCAGAACAGGACTCACACAGACCTGGCCTAAATTGAAATAGAAGGAAAAGGTATGCAGTAATGTTTACCTAGTCATAGCCCAGACAGACTGATGAAATAAGTCTTGAAGGTGACACTGGTACTTCCCCTTATGCCTTGAATTTTCTCTCATACCACTCACCATCCCACATCTTCTACTTCATCATGAGAGAGTTCACTCTCATCATGGACCCTCATGGTACCATCATGGCACCTCCTTCTGCACTCCAGCATTGTGCTGGTGATGGATCCACTAATACCACCTTCTATGACTGAGCTGTAGTGAAATGAGCATGGAATTAGGGTCAGATTTGCATTCAATCTCAGCCCTACTCCTGGCAAGGTGTTTGGTAATGATAGTCATAACCATCTACAGCATTTATTAAGCATTTAATATGTGCCACGTTATGTGCATTAACTCAATGAAAGTTTTAACAAAGCCACAAGGTAGGCACTGTTATGATCTCTACTTTATAAAGAGGGAAACCAAGGCAAAGAAAGCTTCAGGGTCTTGCATATAGTCACATGGTTAATAGAATGGCAGTGCCTAGAGCCAATCTCAGTAAATTTGATCCTGTCTCCCTTGGTTGCCTTGTTTTCTTCAAATTCAAAGTGGATATGGTAATACTGATTTTTTGCAAGAATTAAGTGAGTAACTTCAGTGACCAGCACAGTTTGCACTCAAGAAATAATAATTTCCTATGTCTCTCCCAGCCCTACCCATCACCAAAGCTAGGTTAAATATGTGTTATTTCATGAAGACTTTTCTAGACATTGAGTCTACATTGACATGACATTCCTTCTTTGAAGTCACCTTTAGCTTAGCATAAGATGAATAGTGACACTGGTCATACTGCCTTGTATTGTTCTTGAATTACTCAAGCTTTGGTGATTTTTCCAACAACACTGCATGTTACTTAGGCCAGTAATCAGGTCTTGTCTTCCCCTCCAGAAATATCTTCTCCAGAAGCCACTGCTAAAAGCATAGGGTTTTCAAAACAGGTTGAAAGAATAAAGAATAAGTAAATACTATAGGAGTCCACATGTAGAATAAATACATGTTGCAAAGGAAATAAAGTAATTTGTAAACTAGCTGAGGGAGGAGGAATTTGTATGTATCTTCATCCATCCAGTAGATTCCGAGGAATTTGATTTTCAAACACTCTGTACTGACAATAAACTTTAAAAATAATTGACCTCATCACATCAAAGTTTACAAGTGGCTTTAGTCCCAGGCCCTATAAACTCTAAACTAGAGACAGGATGCCTGGCTGAGCAGAAAGAGCAATGCAGCTGGAGTCCAATTTGGCTTTGAGCTATAGTTCTACCACTTTCTACCATAGTGACTTCCCTGAGTGTCACTTTGCCATCTGCATCAGGGATTTTATATAACAGATACTTTCTACCTCAAAAGCATGCCATTCATATAAGGGATTACTGTGATACTAGGGGCCAGAAGCCAATCAAAAGTGCAGGGATTCCATACAGGAATTATACTAAATGCAAATGAGGGGCATCAGTGACCAGTGAGGGATGTAGCTGGGCATTCTTCTCTTCACTGGGCCTACTTCTGAGGTTTATTAGCCAAGTGGAGTCCTTCTGACATATGAGAGGAAGTTCCCACCAGTATACATCCTGCATGACACACTATATCAGAATGCAGAATGCACTTCAGAATAACAGTCTTTAAAAGTGCCTACACCTTAGTCATGATGGCAAACATATCTGGCTGCTGGTTTATACGATGCAGTAAAGAACCATCTTTGTCTCATCCACTAGAATGCTTGGTAGATCAGGAAATGGGGTATTAGAGTGAAAAGATCACACACAGAACTTGCTCTGTGTTCGGTCAAGACTGCTGGCCTACGAAAAACAAAGCAAAAACAGAAAGTACTTAGGTTCCAGAAACACAAAATTAGGGAGACTGAAAAGTGGCAATTCATCTCTAGATGAATTCTAGAAGAATCATTTGTTAAATAATAGACCCTAACCCTTTGTTAGCTAGGCCAACTGTCAGCAAACTACGGTCCATGGACCAAATCCAGCAGCCTACCTATTTTTGCATAGTCTGTGAGCAAAGAATGATTTTTAAATTTTTAATGGTTAAAAACAATATTTAAAAAGATAATATTCTGTGACAACAAAATTACATGAAATTCACATTTCTGCAGCCGTGAATAAAGTTTTATTGGCCCACAGTCATGTTCACTGGTTTACATGTTATCAGTAGCTGCTTTTGTGCTACAGTGACAGAGCTGAGTAGTTGCAACAGAGGCCTTATGGCCAGCAAAGGTGAAAATATTTGCTACCTAGCCCTTTGCAGAGCAATTTTGCCAATCCCTTGTCTAGGCCAATTATGTTTTCTTTCAGCATGTGAAACTAACCTAACATGACTTAGCTGCTACCTGATCAAACGCTTTCTGACCTTAAGACTAGATGTCAAATTTATCAGCCTCTGTTAAAGCTGGTGCCTAGAAGGCCAGGACATCCTATCGACTCTTGCCTCTAACTTACCATCCCCACCTCAGTATGATATACAGACACACACCCACATGCATGCACAAACACACCCTAAATTCTGATTTCCATTTCCCCAATCTTTATACTTTCAGATTTCCTCTGTATCACTATTATATGGTCTTCCATAACCCCTAAACCACCAATACTCTGTTTCCTCATCTAATGACAAACTAAAGAAACTGTCAAGTATGGAAAGATATTTACTATAACTTAATATTAACATTGGAAAGCTGCTACCAATGGTGTTTTCTAATATTAAATATTATGCCATTCCTTTTATCAATAATGCTGTATTTTTCCTGTTCCAAATTGCATGCTTTTTTTTTCTGCCAATCTGGGTCAATTTTATAAGTACATTATAATTTTTATTGGTCCATTATACTTTGCACTGGTCTTTAAATGACAAATACATTGGTGAATTGTATTCACGTTAACTAGCATTTTTAAATGGTCTAACTTTCTAGAGAAGAGAACTACCTTATCAAAGCACTATTCAGGATGTGCCTGAATTGTGCCAGAAAAAAAATCCTGAGAAGCAGTACGGTAGAAAGGAAAGGGCATCAGACCCAAGTTTTACCCCACAGAGTGTCAAAAACTAACTGTTCAGCCTTGGACAGGTCCCAGACCCTGTCTGAACTTTGGTTTCTTTTTGATGTAACGTGAATTCACCTGGATCATGAGAAGTGTTCCCATTCTCACATTCCCTGATTCTAGGAAAATTACTTGCCATCAATTCAAATTAGTCATTTAGTATCTTATAAGAAGTTAAATGTTGAATGGCAGTTTGAAGTAGATTTAAAGTTTACTTTTATTATGGCCTGAAAAATAGGAAGAAGTAATGATATACACCTCTAAGAAATAGGGCTCAAAATGGAAAGAGGTGGGCCATAGGACCATTGTTTCCTAGTATTAGTCCTCTTCAATAATTTCATTTAAATATATATATATATTTATAATTTTTTATTTTATATATATTTTATTTTTATATTATTAAATTAAATAATTTATATATTAAATTAAATAACCATTTTATTTAAATCAAATGGTTTTATATACATATATAAGCACACATTACTCCCATTTAAATGTTATTTAATTAAAGCTAGAAGAAAATTTAGAATACTTCCAATTCATATCTGGATTGATGAGGCTAGATATACTATTGAGTTTTAGTCATCCATATTGATTTTACACATATTTCCCAAGGGGAATTATGAGAGAAACAGGTGGGGTTACCTGACCCTAATTTCCCTTCTGATGCCATATTTTCTATTTCTGCCTCCTCTCGATTTTTTCATTTTCTCACTGAAAACTTCTCAGTTCATGAGCAAGCTCTCCTCTCTAGGAACCAGGCAGTTGGAAAGTTTTAACTTTTAAAGCTCATTTATATTTGAGTCCTCCAAGATCAACAACCCCCCAAAATTAATGATATTATAATAAAAATATTTTATTTCTTCAAAACCTCAAAAAATCATTTAAAACAGATCTTGCATGAGATTTATCCCTTTAGGCTAAAATAAAGCATTAGAGCTTTTGTTAAGGCAAACATTTCCTCAAACTGAAAGAAAACAGAGCTTTAATGGAAATACAAATGCAGGCTTTGCAGTTGCAACCAGCTAATATAACATTAGAATTCTGCATTTGTGAATTGCTCTAATTTTATGTACATATATTATTCAGCAAGAATAGTGTTCCTTTAGTTTTATAGATTTTTTCTCTCATTTAGTTGGTAATACAATTACTTGCTGTTATAAATCTGAATATGAGGGATTCATACACAGAAAAGAGAAACTTGATTCTTAATGACTTATCTTTTTTCCCCAGTACACTGTCATCCCTTCATTGTTCTTTGTTTTGTTTTATTTTTGCTTTGTTTGTTTTGAGATGGAGTCTTGCTCTGTCACCAGGCTGGAGTCTAGTGGCACGATCTCAGTTCACTGCAACCTCTGCCTCCCAGGTTCAATCTATTATCCTGCCTCAGCCTCCCAAGTAGCTGGGACTACAGGCACTTGCCACCACACCCAACTAATTTTTTTGTATTTTTGGTAGAGATGGGCTTTTCCCATGTTGACCAGGATGGTCTCCATCTCCTAACCTTGTGATCTGCCCGCCTCAGCCTCCCAAAGTACTGGGATCACAGACATGAGCCATCATGCCCAGCCCCTTCATTGTTAATCTACAGCCCCTCTGCACTCAATGATCAAAGATTTTTAAACTACCTTCTTGAAATACACATACAAACTTTGTCAGGCAACTTCATGTGCACAAGCACTGTTCTTATTTCTGCTTTTCCGTCTCTTGAACCCTGACCCCTTAACTTGCCCCTAAAACTTTCAATAGCTGAAACCAACCTCAAGTGAAACAAGCCAACAACATGAGAAATGACTGTATGCAAGTTCTTTGGGAGTGATAGCGAGATGATGGTGACAATGATGACAATGATTATGATGATGTGATTTTTCTACTTAACCCTGTGGTCAGCCCTATCAGGCAGCTACTACTACTATCACCATTTTACAGATGGGGAAAACATGGAGGTTAACACAAAGAGGCTGAGGAAATTATCATGTTGTCACAGCTACTATGTGGTAGAACCAGGATTTGGACCTTTAGTGCACAGACTAGCACTGCACTGGCCTCTCCCTTTTACAGGCACTCTGGAGGAAGAGTTAACCAGCTGTGTGTCTCAGTGTGTGAAATGTGAGCATGTGGTGGTGCAGGAAAGAGGGCAGAACTGTGATGTCTCTGGACTCCTGATGGCTCCTGGTGAGTATCCGGTACCACTCCCAATGCAGGACCCAGAAACAGCGCCCAGTGTTCCTCCCCTTCCTCACCTGCGTAGAGGGTTCAGTAAAGGCAAATCACTACCAGGAGGAAAGTGTATTGGCCCAGCAAATGCAGGAAAGGGAGGATCCCGCAAAAGGGATTTCCACTCATTGGAAAATACCTGGAAAAGAAAGAAATGGACTTTGCTCTCACATGAGGGAATGAAAATGAGAGCTTTTGCAGCCAGAAAGACGAGAGAAGATACTGCCTCCTACTACCTGTGTGAGCTTGGACACCCTACGGAGAACCAATTTCTCCATTTCCTCATCTATGAATGGGAATAATTGTAAATTCCTACCAATTTCCGTTTCCTCATCTGTGAATGGGAATAATTATACTTACAATTTGCCATGAGAATTAAATGTAAACTACCACACACACGTCAGCATTTCATCACCTAGGTTGCCTTTCTCCTGATTCAGAATAATTTTTTTTTTGGCTTAACTCCCTTTTTCTCCAGCTTTATTGAAGTATATAATGGTCAAATAAAATTATATAATGTAAGTTGTCCAACATAATGATTTGACATACAAATATTTTATTTCCTTGTTTATCTCACTTTTCCCCATGGAAGTCATTTCCCTCACATGGTCCTTTTCCTTCTCTTCCTTTCCCCAGTCTTTCTACAGCAAAATCAGCCTTGCCCTTTCATTCCTTCCTAGAATTCTCTGAAATGTTAAATAATATGTTCTGTCGGTGCTAACTCCCAGTGCCTGAAAACATTTGCCCCATGTGGTGGGATGCAATATTTGGGTGCTTTGGCCCTTAAGTATCTACCTGAGCAAGTGTTCCCTACACCCTAACTCTGCACAGAGAGAGATGTTTAGGTTTTTGGAACTATAGTACAAAGAGAGTGCAATAAATGGGACACTCACACCTGCTCTAAGTGGCAGAGGGTGCTTTGCCGAAAAGCAGAACAAAGGCAGATCCTCTTTGTGCCCCCCATAGTTTCCAGCTTTTCACTCTGTAAACACCTAGGTGAGCCCTAAGCATCTCCAGCCCTCCCTTCAAGTCTCAGAAGCCAAATAGCAATACTGAGTGATAGACAGAAGTGCATGATGTCCCTAGGGGAGAAGAAAAATTCTACACCCTTTGCAGAAAGCTTCAGGTGTCTATGAGCCCGTCTCCACTTCATAGAACAGAGAACAGGGCTTGTCATCATGTGTTTAAAATATTCTGTATCACAAGTGGAGTGTTTTCTAAAAACAACGAAGTTGCCACATGGGTTTCAAATGGTAGATCAAGCAATCTGCCATCCTTCCTCCCTGTGAAAACACAGAGATGGTGGTGGTGTCCACCAGAGTCATCTCAATAAAGGTAAGAGATCAAGGCCATGCTTCTCATGTTGGGTTAGCAACTTCTCAGAACCATCACCCATGAAAGTTTCAGGTAATTCTCAAAACTTTCATATCCAGAAATGTTCCATGGAGAATTATTCTATGGATATTTGGAAGAAATAACAAACCTTATAATATGCTGCTACTGCTAATCCTGCTCCAACTGTGAAATACGATGATATGGTTTGGCTGTGTCCCCACCCAAATATCATCTTGAATTGCAGCTCCCATAATTCCCACGTGTCATGGGAGTGACCCCATGGGAGGTAGTTGAATCATGGGGGGAGGTTTTTGCCATGCTCTTCTCATGATAGTAAGTCTCATGAGATCTGATGGTTTTATAAAAGGGAATTCCCCTGTGCATGCTCTTTCCTTGACTGCCACCATGTAAGACGTGGCTTTTCTCCTCCTTGCCTTCTGCCATGATTGTGAGGCCTTCCCAGCCACATGGAACTGTGAGTCCATTAAGCCTCTTTCCTTTATAAATTACCCAGTCTTGGGTATGTCTTTATTACCAGCGTGAGAACAGACTAACACATACCACCACCAGAGCTAGGACCAGGTTCTGACCCATGCCAGAGCTTGGAGACACCATAAGACCTGAAAACAGTTTTACACCACCTTGACTAGTTTCTCTGCATATCTCCGTGTTCTCTGATAGTCTTACATCATAGTTCCCATTAGCCAGGTAATGTAATTTTAACATTACAAATATGTTCAAATGCATTTACTAGGATCAACTGCCCTCTCTGCTTCTTTCCACTCCCACCCTCAACTATGCTTCCAGTGCTGCCGCAATCCTTTACATGGCTTATGCTCTTCTATTAGCAGGCACTGTGTTCATCTCTCACATTCATTATCTTATTTAACCCTGTGAGATGCCTGCTATTTTAATCCCATTTTACAGATGAGAAAACCAAAGCTTGAAATAGATGAAGCAGCTTGCCCAAGGTCAGACATCTAATCTGTGGAGGAGTCAGCCCTCTAACCCAGATCCACATCAACAACAAAGCCAGCCCACTCGAATCACAATTCATATATACATTCTGCCTATTCTTAGCATATTTTTCTGCCTCTTAGAATGAAAGTCACATAGAATACAATAAAAATCACTGATTACCTATTTTTAACTCAAATACAAGTTTATTGAGTGGGGAATTTCTATTGAGTCATTCAACATGGAGATGTGGGAAGAACTAGAGAAAGGCAGAGGATATATTTGGGCCAAGATTTCTGCCATAGTTTAGTGCCAAGCCTGGGGGGCTGGACAGCTAGGTGCTCTATCTGTTTCTACCATGTAGGCTTGCTGTGAAATCCCAAACAAATCCTCCATCCCCAGGCTCATTTCCTTGTTTGCAAATTATAGTAGCCCATCCCACCAGGTTGTTGCATCAGGTATTACCTAGTGACGTTTGAATATGGAAAATGAGAACTAAGTCTTACATACCCCCATTCACATACATTAATATATTTCCTTTCTCTTCATCATCCCAATATAGTTACTTTATGTTCTTGTTAAGTAAATATTCAACATTTATGTTATTATAACTATTTAACTTTTGTTCACCGCTGAACTATGGAGTGTGTCATTAAATTTTCTTTCTTACATACTTTTTTGTTTCCCCTGAAGTTAATAATTGTCTTATTTCTTATTTCCCTCCTTTTTTTGGCTCAATGCCAAAAAAAAGTTCTTTGCCAAAACCAGAAAGTTTTTCTCAATATATACCAGCAAATCAGACAACAGATCAGTTCCACTTTTTTCCTCCTGCTCTGATCCAGAGTGGCTTCTCTCCAGGCATTCTGCACAGCTGACATTCTAGTGCTCCCCTTTGCCTTCACTCAAGGAATATCTTTGGCCTCTCTTTGGGTCTGGACCTCTTATTCCCTAGACCCCAGATCTTCCTCTTGCTTAGTTTACTCTTTCGTTTTCAAGGCACATCTCGTTTAGTGGCTTTCTGAGAAATTCATAAAGACCTTGTATATCTGAAAATACTTTATTCCATTCCAAAATTTGATCAAGTTTACATTCATTTTCTTATTTAATTCAATGAATGTCCATTATTTTATTCCCATGGCAATGGGAGGCAGTGGCAGAATATTGATTTCGAGGTAAGAGTTAAATTTGTCAATATAATTATCTATCCTCTCCTAGCTCCAAGTAGTGTTTTTTCAATGTGATTCTCAATTCTTTGCATAGGAACTGTTTTTTTTTTCTTCCTGAATATTTTAGTAGATTTTCTTTAGCCCAAATGTTCTGAAATGTTTCAATGATGTGTCTAGGGGTGTGTGTGTGTGTGTGTGTGTGTGTGTGTGTGTGTGTGTGTGTGTGTTTCATTCATTATGCTAACATTGAGTTGACTCTTACAATCTGTGGCTCTTATAATCTTGTCTCTTGGTTCAAGGAAATTCTTTCATTAATTCTTTAACAGTTCTCTTCCCTCCATTTTATCTGTTATATCTTTCTGAAACTCCTGTGGATTTAGATGTTGGACTTCCTGGGCTGATCTTCAAATTTTCATGTTTGCTTTTATTTTTTCATTCCCATTCTTCTCAGAGAGTTTTTTTCTCTGTTTTCTAGTTCATTAATTAATTTTAATTTCCACTTTGGTATTTTTAATTTCCAAGATTTTATTCTGGTTTTCGGAATATTCCTTTCCATAGTTCCTGTTCTTTATGATAAGTGCAATATACTCTCTTACCTCTAGAAATAAATATTTTAAAAAATGTTTTCCTCTGCCCTGCACTGCCTCAGTTTCCTCAAATTTTTTTTTTTGTTTCTCTTCTATTCTCTCACTTTCACATTAGAGGCCTTCCAAGAATGGTCATCTGTTCCATTCAAGAGTAACACATCCAAGGCTGACTAGAAGTTCCAGGAGCATGGGCAGGGGTTACAAATGGTGAACTTTACTGCAATGTGACATGGAGGAGAGTTGGCACTTTCATGAGAGGCCTTTTTTGGATTGGTCAGTTTCCCCAGAAGACAATCATTTGCTCTCCCTCTGGCAGGGCATAAGGCAAGTTGTTGGCACTTTGAAAGAGAAGAGAGAAACTGGGGTCTCACTCTTTAGTAAACAGACTTTCACTTAAAACCTCCTTATTTTCCTTATTCCATATTAACTGTTCTTCTACTGTGCCTAACTGTCCCCTAGTCCAGATATCTGGCTGAACTTCATTAGAAAGCAAACTGTTGTATGTCTTGGTCCAGTGGGGGAAGGGATCAGGTCTGTTTGGTCATTCTGTGTATCTATTCACCTGTTTTCACTCTGACCCGTATCTCACCTTCTACCTTCAATTTATGAGCATTTCCAGAATTTGGCAGAGCAAAACAGCCTGCTTTTTGTTGATTCCTTCACCTACAAGCTTAAATTTCAGTATTATTTTAATGCTGTGCCAAGTCAGTTACCATTTGTTTATTCTTCTTTGAGCTTTCAAAATGTAGTTGGCATTTCTTCCCCGATGCCATCTCCTCTTTCATTCTCTTTGTCCTTTGAGCTTTAAACTTTTTATAATGTCTTTTTGTAGGATTTCAGGTACCATATTTAACTCAAAATACAGTTTCCACTACTTGTATTTAATAGGATATCAAAAGCATTCTCCTCCATACTGAAAACATAGAGTAAATAAAACACTTTATTTCAGTAAAATACTGAAAACACCATTTGAACGGCTTTCTCATAGTATATCTAACCATTAACCTATCATTGGAAATTTAGAATGAATCAAAATTTCATTATTATAAATAGCATCAAAATAGCCATCCTTTCACATTAAGTTTAGTCTTGTCTCTAATAATTTCCTTAAGAACTATTTCTAGAATAATATTAAGTCAAGTATTTTAAATTTTTAAACTATTGATACATGTTACCTAATTGATTTCCAGAAAGGCAGTAATAAATCAGCACTCTTCCTCAAAGAAGAGTCAGTAGTTAAATGGAATTTATCCCATCATCACCAACAGTATCATTTCTCAAAATCTTTATCAGTCATGTCCCCATTATTGTTTTAATTTGCATTTACCTGTTGACAAATGTGACTACATTTTTTTCATATATTTATTGGTAACATATATCTTCTGTTAATTGCTCATGGACCCAGCTCATTGTTTTCCTAGTGAAATGTGAGGTTATTTCTTATTTGTATGAGATCTTCATTTGTTAAAAGCATCAAGCCTTTTGGCTAGATTTCTCAAAAACATTTTTTCCAATTTTTTTAATCTAATACAATTCTTAGAATTTATCTCTGAAACACAGAGAATTTTTACATTTTTACATAGTCAAAATTGTCACTCTTTTTTCATTTATGCTTAGAGGCCTTCTCATCCCATGATCAGATAAATGTTACCCTACACTTTCTCCTCTTTAAAATATGTTTTGAATTTTTTGCATTTTACACTTTTCCGCCTGAAATTTAATTTGTAGCATTTTCTCCCAGTCAATCAGGTAACTCAACACCACTGACTGCATACTTGTCAGTTTCTCAACTAATATGTAATGTAATTTTGAACACATTTTAAGCTCTTATATTCAATAGTCTGTCTCTTGGCTCTTTCAACCCCATTTGTCTGTTGATTCTTACTCCAGAATATCCTGTTTTAATTACCATTAACTTTATAGCACATTGCAATGTCTACTAGAGAAAAGCCTGCTTTACTGCTCTTCTTTTTCTAATTTTTTTAACTCTCTCATTATATTTATTATTCAAGATGAACTCTAGAATATTTGGTCAAGTTTCCAGAAAACTACAGAAGCAACATGATTTCGATTAGAATTGCATTAAATATGTAAATTCATTTGAGAAAAATCGAAGTGCTGAGGGGATTCATTTTTCCTTTTTAGGAAGATGACACCTATCTCCATGTATCCAAATCTACCTTATATCTATTCTGGGAGTTGTACTGTTTTTCCAGTACAGAGTCTATATAATTACTCAATCAGTTTATTTCTGGATATTTTATGTGTTGGTACTATTTTGAATAATTTTTATCTTCATAGTTTCTAAATGATTATAACCATTATATCAAAAAGTTAGTTATTAATTTTTATATATTTATTTTATATTGAATCAACTAACTCAACTCATAATTTCTAATAATTTTTCAGTGTTTCTAAGAATCTTTGCTTTACAATGTAAACAGTAATTTTACCTGGTAATATCATTTTTATCTCCTCTTTTCCACATCTTACTGTGAACCAGGTATTAGTAGGCTGTCATGAGTGAAACTGTAGACACCCTTGTCATGATCCTGGTTTTAAAGAAAATACTTTCACAACAAGAATAATCATTGCTAATTTTTACTCAGTGCTTTCTGTATGCCAGTCACTTTGCCAAGGGATTTAACTATATTATTTCCTTCCATCTTCAATCACTTTAGGAGAAAGTTACTATTGTAATCCCATTTTAAAGACAATGAAACTGAGGGTTTAGAGTAGAAATATATTCAAGGTTATCCAGCTAGTCAATGACAATGCAGGATTTCAACGCCACATTGATTTGACTCCAGAGCTCATGCTTGCCACATATTAGTATTTCAAGTAAGCACGATTTGTTGATAGGAGTTTTGAAGGAGGGCTTTGAGATTTTTTTCTTATCTCTTTTGGTGTTTGTTTGTTTGATTGAATGTTTGCGCTGAGAAGATGGGAGAGAGAAGAGTAGGTTGCTTCTAGGCAGGCAGAACATAGACATGAAGAGAACATTGAGTACATTAATGATGCAAGAAAAGTGCAACAGAAAATGCTTCCTCATAGTTCTTCAAGTTATGTGTGGACACCAAAATCAATTACTAATGAAAAGAATACATTTCAAAGGCCAAAAAAATGCATCTAAGAGTTTTGGTATTATTACAACACAAATAAAGCTATATCATGTAACCACTTGACCATTTCAGTTTCCAAAATTTCTCAAAAAGCATTTTGGTCTCATTAACTCAGATCTTTGATTCACTGAATAGTAAGGCAAAAGGTGGGGTTAAGGTGATTTGTGCTATTTAAGGCTCATCTTGGCAAGAAGCTGACTTGAGGGAGACGGTGTGCTTCCTTTTCCTGTGTAAAAAAAGGAATCCAGCAATGCAAAAAATAAAGTCTTTTAAAGTGGTACACAAAATTATGTATTTCTGCAGCATATCCCAGGCTTACTGGCTATGTAATAGACCTGCTGGACTCCCACCACTGCAAGAAGCTCGTGCCCAAAGCATTATGATTAGCATAGGAAACATGAAGATCTTACTTTTCCACCACACAATTTCAATTGTTGGGGTTGGTAGGAGAAGTTCTTCCTTAAAAATCATTACATAAAAGTTTTCAGCTTGAAGTGCTAAAAGAGGTTTCAGCATTTAAAGTGCCACACTCTTTTATAGGAAGGGGACAATTGATTCGCACTAATGAGGTGTTCATTTAAGAACACAATTTTTTTTTTTTTTACAAGCGTTAAGAATACTTATCCTTGACCAGTGAACAGAGAGGTGGTTTGATCTGAGCAAACACATACAGGATTGTGTTTCTGACCTAGGTTTTAATCCCGGTCTTTTTGTGCAGGGCTCTTAACCTGTCAGCTCTGGGTCTATTCATTTGTCCATTGGTAATAATAACATTGCTGCCACTTCCTCGATAAGGCTTCTATGAGATTGAAAAAGGGGTATACATGGAAAAGTGCTTTTGAAAACTGAAATACACTTGATATGTGTAAGGAAAGATCCAACGGTTTCCAGGACACTCTCCCTAAAGTGTAGTCATATTTATTGTTCACCCGAACTCCTCTGAAAAAGACAGTCATCGGCAGTAATGGAGTTCTGCAGAGAGCCAGCCTGTTTCCATTTCAGTTCAAAGCCCTTGCGGCAGCAAACTTTCAATCCAGGCACTGCCCCTGAGTCCCAAGTAAATTGTCTGTTTCCCCAATATAAATGGTGAGCATTTAAACAGATCATATTCTTTTATCAGGCAGTGACCATCAAAATTTAAAGGCTAAAGGAAGGATGACCTATTTTACATGGACTTTATGAGAGGCTTTAGAGAGAGGTGCCACGTGATCCTAGGACGGCTTGATAACGTCAGCTCTGGGTCACCACATGGCTTTTTCCCTCAGTCCCTTTGGCCAGTCATTTCTTTTATACACTGTACAGTGGCTCTGTGTACTGGGGACTAGCTTAAATTGAGCTTGAGACAAGGGCCATGGAATGATTGAGTAGTGAATTAGATAGAAAATTGCGGCTTTTGCACCATAAGTGAGAGAATCGCTGCATTCAACCAGCTGCTATGACTTGAGGATTTCACACTTCTTTTGACATTTTTTTTCAAAAGGAAAACTTGATGCAAAATATATTTGTTTCTTTAGACACGCAAGAGCTGCCTGTTGCCCTCGACCTTTTAAAATCTTCCCTCCACATCTCAAATATTCCTTAGCCATCATCAGCATAAGTTGTGACCTATGAAAATCAATGTTCAAGAAAGAGTTGGAGGAGGGAAAAACCCACTCAAGGTTCACTGGGCCCCCATCAGAACAATCAGCCATGAATGTGGGATACAGGAGTACAGGAGGCTGAACATAAAAGGCAAAGATACCACAGAGAGAATTGATTTCTTATATTGGCTATTTGGGTTTTACGCAAATTTGTACCAAGAGGTACATAAAATTGAGTCAAATTTGAAAACCGTAAAACACTGGATTGGTTTATTTGCATTTGTTCATTCATGCATGAGCACAACTAGTTGTTCTAGAACAGGCAGATGAGGGCACTGGTTATATATGGCCACTTGATTTGAGCACACATGACTTGAGCCTGCTCTATGCCTGGAACTGTCCTAGGCCCTGAGAGAAATAGGCAAATGAGCAAGATTTAGATTCTGGCTTCCAGGGATTGATACATAGCTCTGATTCCAGACAGTGAGAAAACTACTAGAAGAGAACCATCAAATGCTTTGGCTGTCTCCCTAACTGAGCTATAGCTTTTTACAGTAGACATAAAGCCCCATGAGCATAGATTAGGCGAAGGATAAGGCAAACACCTCCGCAAGTCTCCCAAGTCCCCAGACAATCTGATGCCACCCAGATGGAAGGACCTCTCCCCAGTGCCTGTCACACCACACAACACAACTAACCACTCAGCATTCTTCAAACATAACCACACATTTACTCTTCCAGGTCCTGTTCACAAGCCTCCTTCTACTTAGAACACTTTTATACCATCTTTGCCAACCTAGAAACCTCTGATTATTTCCCCTGTGGCCAAACTCAGTGATCCTTAGGGTGAAAATGGTCAGTGAGACGTCATTCCAAGGTCTCTCCCAGCCTCTAAGCCAATGATATGTGAACCTAAGAAATATACAGAACAGTTCACCTCTGTTGAACCATGAAGCCATTCCTGATGCCCTGAGGCATAATTGGGCCTCTGAACTTCCATCCCACATGCTTCTTCTGCTACTATAGCACTAAATGCACTGGAATTGTAAATAGTTGTTTGTTAGCCATTTACTAGTTGATCCTTCCAAGTAGAATGAGTACAACTCAAGGGCAGCGTCTGCATCTTATTTCGTTTTTGTCCTGTCTAACAAACAGTCATGTGGCCATAGCTAAGTGTCAATCACTCGTCCAAGTGCATTGTGTGTGTTTCTTCATTTAGTCCTCACTACAGCCCTATGAGATAGATTACTATCATTATCCAAGTTTGCCCATGAGGGAGCTGAGACACAGCAAGTTTAAGTAACATGCTCACGGTCACACAGCTGATCAGTGGGTAACCAGCCTGGTTGTTAACCACGCTCTTATCTGTTCCTTTATGCTGCCTTTTACCTATCTTTGTACCCTCAAGGCTTGGCTCAGAGGTCCAGTATGTGGAGCTCACTAAATGCATATTAGCTGATTAAATGACCGAGCAGGTGATCAATCAGTACTGGTTAGTCCTGGCTAGACCCTCCTGCAAAGTTCTAGGCTATAGAAGTTAGGGATAATAAGCAGATTTGGAGAAGGTTCAGAAAAACTCAAGAAGACAGAAATGAAGAATTATACCTATGGATTTAGGTTGCTTAGCCTTGAGAGCAACAGCCGCAGGCTGGTTTCATAATGATCATCAAGAAAGGAAGGCTGATTCGTGAAGACAGTGACTGAGCTGTTTTTCTCCACCTCCGGGGAGGAGAAAGGAGCAGAACTGTGCCTAAGCTGCAATGGGCAGAGTTTAAATCCACTACAAGGAAGAATTTCCTTGGCCTAAGTGTCATTTGTTAGACCTAGGAATGAGTTATAGAGAGAGGCTACATTAGGTTATCTGTCTTCAGCCTTTTGGACTTGCTTCTGCTCAGAGTGAGGAACATGTAGAATGAAAACAAACAATACAAGGTCTCTCCCAGCCTTATGAATCTGATATTTGAATCTAAGAAATACATCAAACATTTCGTCCTCCTTGATTCAACAAATGAAAAAAATGAATTGATGAATGAACGTGTCCCACATTTAAAAGGCAATAACAAAAAATTACAACCAGCTATAAGAAAAAGGGTCTTCTTAGGAGATACTTTTGTGCTAGAGATGTAACAATAGAAGAAAAACAGAACTTATTTCAGTTCTTCTATGGCGTCTGTGATCCAACTCTCTCTTGCTAGGTCCATCATCCTCTTGACATAAAATTAGAAAAGGTCAGTCTACATCCTCAGGTGCTGGTTTTGACCCATCATCACCATTTACTCACTTGATGGATGACAGTATCTTGATACATATTTCTTTAAACATGAAGTAAACTCAAAATATGAACCACTATTTCATCAATGTCCAATCTAAAGCACTTTAAACATAAAGAAACAAATCCTTCCCTGAGAACAGGAAACAACATCAAACCTACTTATTTTTTTTTTCCTACATGAAAACTGAAATGTGAAATAGTAATGGAATTGAAAGAGAAGGTAGAGAGTACACAAATCTATATCCATATTTGGTACATTTCAAAACCATGATTCGGCTTTATTTTCTGTTAATGACAATAAAACCTTGCACTTGTAGAATGCTTTACAGTAATAAAAGTTATTTAAAACAAACATTATTTCACTGAACTTGTATCTGAAAGGTAAGTATCTTCCTTTTCATCTTATAGAGGCAGAAACAGCTCAGAGAAATAAGGGACTTGATTGAGGTCACACTGATAGGCCTTCAGCCAGGCCTTCTCACTTCTAGATTGACCATTTCAGGTACACCTGTGTTGGGTGCCTGGTGAGCACCCAGTACACCTTACCATGTACTGCCTCTATTGAGAGCTGTGGAGTGGCCCTATAAAACCTTGAGAAATTCAGCTGGTCTAATAATCTTGGGAGACCTGGCATAAGAGAAACTGCTCTATCTGTTCTGAGTACAGAATACCCACTATCAGTGAGAGCCTGCATTCTAACTCAGGCTTTCCCTGCTTGCAAAATTATCTCCTCATGAAAAACCTGGCTCAGATGCCATCTACTCTGTGAAATTGTCCCTATTCCCCTCGCTCCAGGTAGAGGGACATAATCCTATAAGCTCTGGATCCAGGCTGCTTGGGTCTCAGTCTCATGTAATAATTAAGTGACCTTACCCTCTGTTAGCCAGCCTCATCTACCAAATAGGAATACAACTAATATCCCCCTCATTCAGAGGTGGTAAGGAGTCAATGATTCTGTATCAGAAAAATGCTTCCAACAGCTCTTGGCACAGAGTAAGCTCTGTGTTTGTTAACTATCATTGTTAACTGTTCCTGAAATTACTGTCATTGGTAACTATTCCTGAAATTATTACCTTCTCTGAGTCTTCACAGGGCTTTGTTTATCCTCCTGATGTATGACTCATATTTTTTATAACTATTCTCCATGATTTGGTTAGTTATTATCCACCCCATCATCAGCCCAGAGACCTCAGTTTCTCTTCCAACAATCTCTTTTCAGATCTCTTTTCAGATGGAGGCACTGATACCCACTTATATCTACTGCCAGCTGAAGCTGGCTTGGCTCTGCAAGGTTTTTCTCCTCCTGCCTCTTTAGACTTATGTACCACCATTCCTGCCTCACCCTGAATGGCTGGTGTCACATCCAACTGCATGTTCCTCAACACACACTTCAACACTGCTCTCTTTCCTATGTCTGACATAGGCTCTCTTTTGCCTTGAATTGTCTTCCCAGTTCTTTGGCTTAACTCCTTTTCTTCGTTTAAGAATTAGCTCCAGTATTGCCTCCTCCATGCAACTCCCAAGATAGATTAGAGGCCTACCTACAGTGCTCCCATGATACATGGAGCATTTTGTGGTTGTCCTATCATTATAATGACCTGCCGTGCTCTCCCACCATGACCTTGCGTTGCAGGGCAACATCTTCAGTCACTTTCTCATCTTCTTAAGTATGGATGTGCTTTGCACATGGGGGGTATTCAAAAAAACACTGAATAGCTGGTCTCATTAAGTAGGTAATAGATAGATAATGACACATATTGTGCATTTGATGGGTCACCAAGCAGTGCTTACTGATGTGTTCTTCTAAACACTTTCAAGAATGTGATTCATTTAATCTCCATGACAATCTCATAAAGACGCTACTATAATTATCCCCATTTTATAGCTGAGAAAACTGAAGCAAAGTGAGATTTAAAAACTTTACCAATGTTACACAGTTAGGAATTAAGGACACCAAGGTTAGAACTCAGAAGTCTGTCTCAAGATCAACACGTTCTTGACCCATATGCTATAATACCTGCTCAAAAAGGGGTATCATAATAGTAAAGATACCTCAACAGACACAGACAATATGTTCCAGTTCCAATTTTACAGATGAGAAAGTAGCAGAAGAAAGTTTATGGAGAAGCAGTCCAGGGGAAAAAAGGTAGAAAGCTGAACTGGAAGATGATAACCATTGCTCCTCACTAGCCAGCGCTGGAACTTGGGCCAATCTCTTATTCTCCCTCTTGATGTAAAATCGAAGGCTTAGGAACCTGTCTCTGCTTCCTTCCAGATCAAATATCCAATTTCACTTAGTTTTGACAAACATTCATCCAGGGCTTATTGCGCACCAGGCTCCGTGATACACCTTGATCCTTGAGGAGTTCATCTTCTTGTGGGGAGACAGGCACAGATAGACAGTATTTCTAGACCAGTTCAAAATGGCCACAGTGTGGTGACATGGGTTGTTTTAAAGGAAACCATCCTATTATAAATCATTATCCAGACATGAGTCCTTGGCCCCTCCATAATATCTTCAATCTAACAACTGGCCAAAACAATGACGTGTCACGAAGGATACATCCCATCTTCCCTCCAAGTCCTCATGCAAGCGTAATCACCTCGGTTTACAAGTGAAGAAGCCAGTGATCAGGCTAAGTTTGCCCATGGTCATACAGCTCCCTGGTGGCATAAGCCACTGCCATCTCTGTCCCTGAGTGCTCTCCCAGAGCTGAAGTGGGCTATGGGGGACAGGGGCATTAACTGTGCTACAGCTGCTGTTGGTTTTCCAGGATGGTTATATGCTTAAATGGATTTTCAGATTTACAGTTGATTCTAGAAATTGCATCTAGTTCATTTCCAACTCCATAAGTAAAAGCTGGTTCACTTAAGGCAAACAGCATCCAATTAAAATACATTCTGTAGAAGTGAGTGAGCAAGGCATTTTGCCCAACTCTTGACTTATTAAAAAAAGAAAATCCTTTCGGGGAAGTTTTCAAAGAGCAATCCCATCACATTATTGTGAGATGAAAGAGTTAAAGTATGAATGATAAAATATAATGTGAAAATATACTCTGAGGCCAGGTGTGGTGGTTCACACCTGTAATCCCAGCATTTTGGGAGGCCGAGGCAAGAGGATCACTTGAGCCCAGGAGTTCAAGATTAGTCGAGGCAACATAGAGAGATCCCAATATACAACAAATAAAAGACTTTAAAAATTAGCCAGATGTGAGGTGTACACCTGTAGTCCCAACTACTCAGGAGGCTGAAGTGGGAGGATCACTTGAGCCCAGGAGGTAGAGGCTGCAGTGAGCCATGATTGTGTCACTGCACTCCAGCCTGGGAGACAGAGGACAGAGGGAGATGCTATCTAAAAAAAAAGAAAGAAGAAGGAAGAAGGAAGAAAGAAGAAGGAAAAAAGGAAGCAGAAGAAGAAGAGGAGGAAACAAAGAAAATATACTCTGAGAAGCAGCCTTGTCATAAGGCGGGTACAGGTTTCAAGGTCAAGCCAAATGGGTCCATATCCCCATTGTGACTATGTGACTGTGGGCATGTTCCTTAACACCACTTTGCCTCTGTTTCCCTATTGGTACAAAATAAATAAATAATATCTGTCTGCCAGAGTACTTGTAAGAATTATAAGTTTAGTTTAGTGTCTGGCATAGAGTAAGGGTTAAAAAAATAAACTATTAAAAAACATTTTATTAAAGTCTTAATGATTCAGAGATTGATTATTTCATTAGAAGATCATCATGCTTTTTCCCTTTCTTACTGCCTGCCCACATCACAGCTGCTTGTAAGTTATTATTCCATGGGATAAATAATGAGATAAAATTTAATTCAGATGGCATAGCAACAAAAGTGGGAATAGGATAGGCATTGGAGTCAAACAGGCATGAACTGAGACCCTGAATGGCTTTGGGCAGGTTATGTAACCTCTCTGAGCCTTGCTATTTACATCTGTAAAATGGGGATAATCATATCTACCTTCTAGACTTCTGACAAGGATTGAAATATGTGTGTATGTGTGTTTGTTCACTCTCTCACACACATACAACTCCTAGCACTATGGTGGGAAAATAGTAGGTAAGTAGAAAAGTACTGAATCAGTTCCAGTAAGAAATATAGTACTCAGCTAAACTAAAGCTTCAGCATCCATCACAATTCATTCTTAAACAATCTTTACTTCCTCAGCTGCATTACTACCATGGATGGCCAAAAGAAGTCACCCTCGCCACAAAGGCCTTGCATCTGAGGCCATCAGATTTAGTTTCCTCCCTTAGGGACAGCCTTGGTGTCAACTGAAGTAGGTGACTCCAGGCTTATGGGGACCCAGCCTAGCGATACAAATGAATGGGGGCAGCAGGCAGACCTCTTGGGGATGTTCAAGAGGTACAGAAGCAGATGATGCTGTAGCTGACACCCTATGACATACTTTCCACCCAATGCCAAGAGTCAGTGAAACCAAATCAGAGACTAGACTAGGATGCCTTTTTCTTTTCTTTTCTTTTCTTTTCTTTTCTTTCTTTTTTTTTTTTTTGAGACGGAGTCTTGCTCTATCACCCAGGCTGGAGTGCAGTGGCGCGATCTCGGCTCACTGCAAGCTCCGCCTCCCGGGTTCACGCCATTCTCGTGTCTCAGCCTCCCGAGTAGCTGGGACTACAGGCGCCCGCCGCCACGCCCGGCTAATTTTTTTTGTATTTTTGGTAGAGACGGGGTTTCACCGTGTTAGCCAGGATGGTCTCGATCTCCTGACCTCAATCTGCCTGCCTCGGCCTCCCAAAGTGCTGGGATTACAGGCGTGAGCCACCGTGCGCGGCCTAGGACGCCTTTTTTCTAACCACTACCTCCACTAGCTAGAAGGGGGAGCTCCAGCTATCACAATGGAAATGACAGGGGTCGATCAGCTGTACAGGATCACATCTTTGGAAGCAAACAGCACAGGCAATATTTTCATTAGAAGCCTTTTGGTAAATTAATAAGCTAAAGGGTCACGGGATGCTGACAGTGATATGACACATGCATTTTTACATAAACATTTGGACTTCATGTTTCTAGTTTAAACATTTTATCCACAGAGATGTCTGAGTCATCTCCTCACAGTCTTCCTCCCTTCACTCTCCTTTGAAATAAAGACTATATAAAATGACAACTTTCTAAAGG
Source organism: Homo sapiens (assembly GCF_000001405.40). Lineage (NCBI taxonomy): Eukaryota > Metazoa > Chordata > Mammalia > Primates > Hominidae > Homo > Homo sapiens. The sequence goes on from NC_000004.12 coordinate 24,090,152, forward strand.
AAAACATGCAAACGAAAGACAAAAATCCAAAAGTCACATTAACATACCATAAAATATTTGAATATCTGTTTGGACCCCTGGAGACCCACCACATGTCATCCTGAAAGTAGCATGCAGAGATTTATTTTGTATCCTTTTCTACTTCCTGAATAATGCTCCCACTCAAAGTGAAAGGATTCCAATTTCATGGCAGGCTAGAGGGTGTTTTTTTCTGAAGCTCCTTACTTAACATCACATTGCATACAACAAAACATACCAGTCAATACCAGTATTATATTTCACTAAAATTTCTGTTGAAGAAGAAATCTTCAGAAAAGGCTCCTTCTTTTTATAAAAGAATTTTTTTAATTGACATTAAAAATCAACTCATTCTGAATTACCATTTTTATATGAAAGTTTCTGCTATAGACAAAATGGAAAATCAGAGTTTCACTTTATCCAACATCATCCCTAAGAAATGCTTCATACACAGAAGTGTTCTTTTTTCCATACGCCAGCAGCATTATTAAAAAAGAAACAGAAAAAAAGCTCTGGCATCAGTCTTCAATATTGTTGTCTAATTAAATGGCAACGCAGTGGATGCGTAAAAATATGCATTAGAGGTGTGTAATGTGTAATGTGAAGAAGAGTAATCCAAGCCATTCAACAGGATTTAGGAAGGGATTTCAGCTGGCAGCTTACGAGACAGGAGCATATAATTTTGCTAATTTGAAATAGGTATTGTAACGTATAAACATTACTGCTTTGCACATTTTAATGAAAACTGCTTCTACACCAAAATGAATCCTTTAGCTTGAACTCTCTGCATACCACAGAGCTTCTACCTATTATGAGTTCAGCATAAATAAGGAAGGCACGCAAGCTGCATTAAAAGAATGGTCACCTCATTAAAAATAGGTTAAAACCAAGCCCCTATTCTAAGCTACCATAACACCATAAAGTAAGTCTGATGACAGGTGTTGTATTAAATTTTTATATCGCAATGAACTTATACTCACACAAACCAAATCTGCATGTTTCCCTTGATATACACCTGCAACTTGTTAATTCAAGAAACTTTATTAAGAAAGCATAAATTTAGCAACACCTATAGATTTGTAAAGCCCTATTAGCTTGCTTGACAATCTAGAGTAAATGTATTTGGGGTCTTACTTGCATGGTTTGCAAAGACGTGGACACTACCCATGACTTTTTTCAAAAGGACGTGCTTGCAGATAGCACAGTTCCACAAATTGATGTACGCATATTACCTAGACTTGGAGCCAAAAGAGTTGAGAGAGATTTGGGTCCTGTGTGGAGCTGAGGACATCACTTACCTGCCAGCCTGCTTCTCGCTGAAGTACTTTTTTCCAGTCTTCTTCCAGCCTTGGGGAGGTCTCATCCATTGCTGATGCTGCTTGCACAAACTGGATTCGCCAGCGGCTGTTACTCTCTCTCCTTGCAAGCTTTTACCAAAGCAGCAGCCAGGGCAGTCCAGGGGCAGACTGTCATGGAGAAAATGCCATGCCAGAGGATGAGGGATCGGGCAGGAAGAACCCACCGGGGAACAAATTTGGGACACATGGGGCTACCCAGACAGATGCCAACTGGCCAAGCTGAAGGCCAGCTCAGCCATCAAGCGTCCAGAGATTAGGAACAACCAAGCTCCAGGGCCGGTGGACAATGGGTCATTCTTATGCTTGTGGTGTAAAGGTCAGAAGAGGGAAGTGTGCAGGCTTGCTCTATGCTTGAGAAATATGCATTTCTATGTGTGCTCCCGTCTTCTCCTTGCCCCAATACACACACACACACACACACACACATATGCTCACACACACACCAGAATTTGCATTGTTCTGCCAGGTTGCATCAGTGGGCTGGTGTATCCTAGAAGAAATAAACTATTTTACATAGTAGCAACACATTTCATTTGAATACATCTCCCCCAAAAAGCAGCGTATGAATCACTCAGCAGCCAGTGAACATGAATAATAGCAAGCTCCTTTGGGTGAAAATAGACTCATTCCCATAGTTGAATTCTGAGCATCTAGAGTCCCTCCCCTTCCCCCATAAGATGTTCTGCAGGCAGGCATTTCAATCCCACCGTAGGCCTCAACCCCTTTTCTAAATCAGTATACGAAATGATCAGAGGCTTCGGTTTGAATGAACTCCTCAAACTTTAGAACTCAAACCCAGTCAATGCTTCACTAGCACTTCACATGCAGAATGATGCTGTCTCCTGATACTAAGAATTGCCCTTCACCCCTAGAGATTCTTATCTAATTGGTCTAAACTAGGACCCAAGACATTGGGAATTTTTTTAATGCTCTCCAGATGCACCCAGGATTAGAATCACAAAACTCGGTGCAGAGTATCATTTCAAATTTCTCTGATGTAATCACTCATCTGATACCTGAATCCACATGGCCCTGCCTATATCACTTAATACGGTAAATTCACTACCTCCCAAGACAGTCCTGTTCCATGGCTGGTAATTTTTGTCCCAAAATGAATTGATATCCTTCTCCCTGCAACTTCTACCCATGGATGTACTGCTTCTTAATTCCAGAAGGAATGAGACTAAAGCCCATTCTACAGAACAACCCTTCAGAGATGCAAATATAGTGGTGCCCCATGCTCCCAAACTTCTACTAAAGTGTCTAATTTCCAGATTAAATATTGTTAGGTTCTTCAGAAAATGTAAGATGGTTTCAGGTCACTTCTCCATTCTGGTTGCCAGCCTCGAAATGTATTCTACAAATTCCCGTGCTCGCAGAAGCGATCATAATATTCTTGCTATGATCTATTATTGCACACACAGCCAAACAATCACATGCCTTGTTTGAAAAATTGCCACAATATCAACCATAATCATCATAATAAGAGCAACTAACAGTTACTGAGCATGGACCTAGGTGTCCGATGCTGTGCTGAGTGCTTTACTAACCTTGTCTAGCTTACCCTTTACAAACATTCTATGAGGTTATTATTATGCTCCTGATTTACAGATAAAGAATCCAAAAGAGATGAAGACATTTGCCTTGGTGATGAGGCCAAGAGTTAGTTCAGCTATAACTCCAAGGTCTACTCAATGCTACTCGATACTCTTTCACTGATGCAGTCTCAGATCCCACTGGCTGTTTTGACAATCATACCTCATTAATACAGCACCTCGGTCAATTGTGACACTTAAGTTTGTTCTTATCTGAAGATTATATAGGAACATGCTTTGTAGGCTGTAAACTGTCATACAAACCTAACTTGCCATTATTATCCTTTTAGTAATCACAAGACTATACCTTCCACCTCATCTCTAGTAAAACAGACACATGCAAAACCCTTTACTTGCCCAGTTCCTCCCTTTTACTGAGAATATACAGATGCTTCTCAGAGGTTCTTCTGAGGTGTAAGAGAGAAAGGCCAGAAGACCAAGTTTCCAGAAAATTTCCCCAGAGACTAGTCTCAATGGAAGCCTCACCAGTCATATGGTTCTTACCCCATTTCCCTAAATCCTTATCAACAGCATCCCATAAGGACAACTGGGAGCAATTAGTTTTATCATTTGAATTGCATCATCTGCAATGTAGTTATATCTGTTCTTATGGAAGGCAGCACACGAGTGGTTCGAAGCATAGTCTTTGAAGTCAGACTTAGATTTGATTATCAGCTCCATTATTTTCTAACTCTGTGTCCCTGGGCAGGTTACTCATCTTCTCTGAGACCTGGTTTCCATGTGTGTAAAGGGGAAGTATGCGTTATAGTCTCAGGCACATTATTGTCCACCAGTATCTAGTTCCCCTCTGCTTCCAAGCCCACAGCAAGATAGCATTTCCCTAACTCCCTTAAAATCCAGCATAACCACATGCCCTTTTTTGTCCAAGGAAATGTAAGAGGGTGGGTATTAATTCCCAGGGTGGGGGAGGCTTCAATAACAGGCACTTGATTCTCAGCCCGCTCTTTCTCTATTGCGGTGACTGCAGATGCGTGTGTTGCTAAGTCATGCCTTAACACAGAGGCAGACAGGAATGCCGAGCCTGTTCTCAAGGAGAACAGGTGCCTTGGACAGTCACCTGGACCAACAACAGGCATTATGTGAACAAGAAATAAGCTTCCAGTGTTATTTGTTAAAACATAAGCTAGCCTATCCAGAGCAATACACTTTCCAATTCAGAGTTGTTCTGAAAATTAAATTTAAAAAATCTAGCTAGAACATAGATCCCAGGCATTGGGTAGTCCTGCAATATTATTTTAAATAGCTTCCATTACAGGCCCAGTCTGTTCTACCCAGACTCTCACACTTCACTATTTTCTCTTCCTTTTCCAGTCTTGATTTTTCCTGTTCATAAGATACTGCATTAAGTGTCTCAGTTTCTAAAGATGATGCAGAAATATGAATTTTAAAAAGAAAGAGCAAAGCATTCAACAATGCAGTGTGCCTTCATCTCAGAATCCAAACTCAGAATAGCATGACTTCCATGCTACCGATCACTTAGCAAGGAAATTAATGAAAGCAAAGTGAAGCATCAAATAATAAATGTAGCTCTATATGAATTCAATGCTGATAAAACAAAGTACGTGTCTCCAAATTGTAAACATAATGAGAACATACATTAATACAGGAGCTTATTAAACAGCATAGCTTTTATTCACTGTTCTTAAATCAAGCACTAAAAAAAAAAGAATAGGTTTTTTTCTTCTTTGTTGGATGTTTTAATTAAATGAAGGAGAAACTATAAAAATAAACATCAAGGAAAGTATGTATAATGACTCTGGCCAAACCACGACACTGACATTTCAAGAACTCTAAGTCTTTTATTTCAAGCTCTTGTGCTTCTTAACACCACACAAACTTGAGCTTGCTCGAGGACACTGCTGGGAGATTCTTTTTTTAAAGTATTTTCAAATGCAAGTGCTAATAACTAAATGTATGTGGGAGTCCTAACCCCCATTACTTTAGAATGTGACCCTTATTTAGAAATAGGGTCTTTTTTTTTTTTTTTTTTCTGAGACAGAGTCTCACTCTGTCACCCAGGCTGGAGTGCAGTGGCACGATCCTGGCTCACTGCAACCTGTGCCTCCCGGGTTCAAGCAATTCTCCTGCCTCAGCCTCCCGAGTAGCTGGGACTACAGGCACACACTACCATGCCGGCTAATTTTTGTATTTTTAGCAAAGGCAGGGTTTCACCATGTTGCTCAGGCAGGTCTCGAACTCCTGACCTCAAGTGATCTGCCCGCCTCAGCCTCCCAAAGTGCTGAGATTGCAGATTGCAGGCATAAGCCACCACACCCGGCCAGAGATAGAGTCTTTACAAAGGGAATAAAACTGAAATGAGGTCATTAGGGTGGGCTTTAATCCAATATGATTGATGTCCTTATAAAAAGGGGAAAATTGGGTCACAGAGACAGATGTAGACAGGGAGAAGGCCATATGAGGGTAAGGACAGATTCAGGGTGATGCATCTACAAGCCATGGATTTCCAGCAACCACCAGAACCTAGGAGAGAGGCAGTGTCCTAGTCCACTTGTGCTGCTGTAACAGAATACCTCAGTCTCAGTAATTTATGAAGAACAGAAACTTATTTCTCGCCATTCTGGAGGCTGGGATATCCAAAACCAAGGCACTGGCAGGTCCAATTGTCTGGTGAGGGCTGCTTCTCTGGAGGGTAGGAATGCTGTGTGGTCATTTGGCAAAAGGGCAAGTGACTGAACTGTGTGAAGCCACTTCTATGAGGGACTTAATCACATTCACAAGGGAGAAGCCCTCACGGCAGCCTCATCACCTCTTAAAGGCCTCACCTCTTAGTACTATCATGTTAACCACGACTGAATTTTGGAAAGGATCTATTCAAACCATAGCAGGCATGATATGGTTTGGATTTGTGTCCCCACCCAAATCTCACTTGAATTGGAGGAGGGGCCTGGTAGGAGGTGATTGGATCATGGAGGTGGATTTTCCCCTTGCTGTTCTCAGGTTAGTGGGTTCTCATGAGATCTGATGGTTTAAAAGTGTGTGGCACTTCCCTCTTCGCTTTCTCTCTCTCTCTTCCGCCACCATGCGAAGAAGGCGCTTGCTTCCCCTTGGCCTTCCACCATGATTATAAATTTCCTGGGGCCTCCTAGCAATGCTTTCTGTTAAGCCTGCATAACTGAGAGTCAATTAAACCTCTTTTCTTCATAAATTACCCAGTCTCAGTTAGTTCTTTATAGCAGTGTAAGAATGGACTAATACAAGGCATGAAATAGATTCTCTCTCAGATCCCTTGGAAGGAATCAACTCGGTCAACAAACCATGATCTTGGACTTCCAGCCTCTAGAACTGTGAGACAATACATTTCTGTTGTCAACACCATCCACTTTGTAGTACTTTGTTACCACAGCTCTAGCTGAATTAAAAAATAAAATAAATTTTGAAATAAAGTAAAAGTCATGGCAAGAATGTAATATTTAAGTAGAGTAAACTAGGTACCTTACAAAAACTTTTACTCTACCATTTCTTGCCTCAGAATAAACAACACACTTTCAGTACGTCAGGAGTGTGGGCCTGCAGTCATGCAGTTTAGCTGCTGGTACCATATGAAATTTAATGTCAAATTGATGCCAAAAAGTAATGGAAAACCTTTTCCTTACCCACTGTTTTTCCCTCCAGATAAGCAGCATATTAAGAATATGCTGACTAATAAGAAATAGAGTTTTAGAATTTGTAACATTTTCTTTATGAAAAAGTTATATATATACGAAAAACCTATACAAAGTGCATCAGTCAGTCCTCCCTGATTTAGGATAAATTCCTTTAGCTTATAGAATAAAAATGGGTTAAGCCAGGCACAGTGACTCACTCCTATAATCCCAGTGCTTTGGGAGGCTGATGTGGGAGGATTGCTTGAGCCTAAGAATTTGAGGTCACAGTAAGCTATGATGGTGCCACGGCGCTCCAGCCTGGGCGACAGAGTGAGACCCTGTCTCAACAATGGGGAAGGGAGGGAAGGTGGTTAAGACCGCATTGTAAGAATCGAGCAACTAAAAAATAGTTTTCCAGGTAAATTAAAACATGCATGCCACAATGCTAAATGCTGGTAAAAGATGGTACTTTACCCTGCTCTGTTAGATGCAAATATTCAATCTAGAGGAGAAAACAAAAAAGTCTGGGGTGAAGGGAGCAGGAGGATATTGAGAAAATTAAGTTCCGAGCCAAGGAGTCCCCAGGCATGGAAGAAATGGATGATCTTTCACCTACCCATGGGATTTTGTACACACTTGCACTTAACAGCTATGATAGAATTTTTATGAGTCCCTACTGCCCACGTTATACATTTCCACTTTAACTTCACCTCAATGAAATTTTCCTAGACATGAATAGGGTATGTTTTCCCATAGATTTTACTTCTGTTTTTGGTTTTTAGGTGGTTTTTTTTCATTAGATGCTAATAGCAAGGTATTTACCTTCAGAAATTTGCTTCACCAACAAATTCTAATCATGTATCAAACCCACACTACTGGAGGTGGCTATATATTAACTCTATAATAAAACAAATAGATCCAAAAACATTTCTGTCCTAAGAGTGATAAATCAGAAGACTATGAATTCCAGCACTGTAGTCATTGTATTTCAGAAGGTAGGGAAATAGAGTACTGGCTTCCAGTTCACTGCTGCCCTGGAACAGTGATGCTCACCATTCTCTCTGTAAAATACCTAACCTGAACTGCAGTGACACCCATGGTTTTATGGCCAATTGAACACCTGTGGCTGGTGGAGTGAAGACTTTCTGGTCTACTTGTGTCTCTTGGCTCCCACGTACTGACTTGTAGGCTTACCAAGATTCATTTGCATTTGTCCCGGTCCTGTTATTGACAATTATGCCTGTTAATATAATTACATAATTCAATTAAATAACTATATCTATAAAATATGAGTTTGGATAGAAAAAAGTTGCTGTTTTCATGAAACAAGTCAAATGATTTGGAAAGAAAAGTTACTCTTCAAAAAGTTGTTATTGGAGGGCCAGGAATCCTAAAAACCTATACAGATTCTGTACTCAGGTTGTTGGACATTGTCTTTAAATTCTTGATTCACTTTAGAGAAACTAAAACTGAAATTTGTAGAGTTACTTTAAGGCTATGGCTTACATGGGAAAAACTTCAGAATTTCTCTTTGTGGATCCATATTTAGAGAAAAGGCCTTGGCTCCACAGCAAAATAGTGGCAAATACATGTGCATTTATATGTTTTAAGCAAAAGTCAAATGTTTTGTGTCTGCATATCATTTATGATTTCCCAATTTAATCAATTTATGTGATTAACCAGTGAACTACCATTTTCAGTTGTATGGAATAAGAAAGCTTCTATTACAAAAAAGAACATAATAAACCAGGAAGGACTTTTTCTTAACCTACTCAAAATGAACAGAGATAGAAAGCAAAAGACCCAAATATTCAAACCAAGAAACAGAATCCATTTCAATACTTAAGTGTACTTATATCGCTTAAGTGAGAAATAACCTGGCTGTCACTACAAACATTATATTTTGTATGAATCTGAGCCATGTAGATGCCAATTAATTACTGCATGGCATTACTATGTCTTTCTATAACTGTGTAATAATACCAACTGACTGTGATCAGAAGGATTTAGTAGACATTTATTAATGGAAATCAGATGACTTCATCCACAGTGTCTAAATTACTTTGACATGTTTGTGCCCGAAGCAAAATAATGTAATAAAAAACAACATATAGATGAGAACCTCAATTTTTCTGTACATATGAATCTGTCACTGATTTGCAAAGAATCAAATATAAGTCCAACCAGGTGAAGACATTCAATACATCATCCTTCCCAATTCAGTATAAAACTAATACTGGCCTTTCCAGTATGTTTATATCCTGTTCCTGACTTTGTGATATGCTGGGCATCAAGAGAGCCCAGAGACACAGGGTATTGCCTTAGCAAATGTTAATCCCAGCAGAGATAAATTACAGAATACTGTCTTTAAAGTTTCCTTTAAAGACTATCTGAAGTCATAAGCCCCCAGAAATAATCAAAAACTAATGAGTAGAGTGGGAATGCAGATCTAATGACTAGATTGAATGAAAAACAAAAGGGCTATACGATATATTTGAGGGAAGCTGGAAACTTCTTCCCCTCATTCTCTCCCTCCTGCAAAAAAAAAAAAAAAAAAAAAAGACCCCCAGCAGTCTAAAAATCCCACCTGCCATATCTTTTGATTTTAAAACCTTTTCTGTCATTGTCTATGAAATTCAAACACTCCTAGGAGGGGTAGCCTGAAGCTTTATCTTCTGACATTGTGTTACAAGTTATTTTCCAGTTCAGCTTGGAGAGCAGGACTCTCTGCAGCCAGGCAAGGAGCACGGATGGGATGAAAGGAGCCTTACACATGGCTAGATGAGAGGAGCCGGGGGATTGCTAAACTCCCCTAGGCACAAATTGATTTACAAAATATGAATTTAAAGGTTCTGGAAAGTTGGGACTTTAGAAATGACCAAATTCTTTTGATTGCAGATTATTAGAAACTATCCAATTGGTTTACGTACTTGTAACATAACTAGGTTCTTGTGGCTGTTGTAAAATGTAAGTTGGGGAGGGGATGTGGGATGTTTCTTCCCTCTCCATTTACTCGTAATACCAACATCCTAATGTAAGGGGAACCTCAGACAGGGTGCAAGAATTTCAAAATGGGAGAGAATTAAGAAGGCAATTTGGAAGGTGAGCTAAGGCTGCGTTACTCAAAGAGGTACAGACCAGCATCACTTAGGAGCTTGTTAGAAATGAACAATGAGAACACTTGGGCACAGGAAGGGGAACATCACACACCGGGGGCCTGTTGTGGGGTGGGGGGAGGGGGGAGGGATAGCACTAGGAGATATACCTAATGTAAATGATGAGTTAATGGGTGCAGCACACCAACATGGCACATGTGTACATATGTAACAAACCTGCATGTTGTGCACATGTATCCTAGAACTTAAAGTATAATTAATATATATATAAAGCAGAATCTCAGGCCCCACTCCAGACCTACAGTATTTTATTTTCATTTTAACAAGGCTGATTCATTAAGTTTAAGAAGCAATGGGCTACGGACACTTACCTTGAAGGTCTATTGGCATATGAAGCTTTATTTCTTTATTTTTAACCTAGAGCACAGGCTTAGGTTGGATTTGGAACAGAATGACTGATCCACATTATGGGGAAGAATTTAGCACCCTACCAAGAAACTGCTTGTCACTACCTCTGGAGAACTTTCTCAGGGATCTCATTTTTCAAAATTCTGCAAGGATTTTTAGAGGCATGATCCAGTAGGTGCAAATGGCAGGACTCCAGCCCTTAAATCACCCAACACCTTCGACATACGTGGCTATTCCACTTAATAGTTCAGAAAAACAGCTGATGACAAGTGCATGACGCCGCCTCTGGACGTTCAGATGACTGATTTTGTATAAATCAATATTGAGTGCCACAAAATGTCAGAAAATACCAAATGAGGAGAAAAGAATCAATAGATAACCTTGGAATTAAATGAGTGATGAATAATCTTTACCAACTAAAATAAATTAAACTATGAAAACCAGGTTAAAGCAATATCAAGGGTCTGGCATAAAACCACAAAAAAATATATAATTTACAGGTAAGGCCGCTTGCGAGTAACATGGCTGTTCATTTTTTTCTTCCCAGGAAAGCATTATGACGGGAACTGCAAAATAAGAGCTGAATTCATACTTTCTAGCTTCTGTCTAAACAGCCATAATTTTTTAAGGTTCTACAACAAATAAACTACAATTTACAGGTGCAGACCATGTATTAACCTAACATCCATAAAACTGAGCATGCATTTGCTTAACACTTTCAGGGAGGAGGTGGTAAGAGTAGAAAGACAAATTCTATGATTTATTTAATTTACTTTTGATAGGGTTTGGATCTGCATCTGCACCCAAATCTCATATCGAATTGTAATCTCCACTGTTGGAGGTGGGGCCTGGTGGGAGGTGATTGGAACACGGAAGTGGTTTCTAATGGATTAGCACCATCCCCCTAGTGCTGTCTTGTAATAGAGTTCTCACGAGATCTGGTTGTTTAAAAGTATGTATCACCTTCAACCCCTTTCTTCCTGCTCCAGCCACATGAAAAAGGTGCCTGCTTCTCCTGCGCCTTCTGCCATGATTGTACGTTTCCTGAGGTCTCACCAGCCATGCTTCCTGTACAGTCTGCAGAACTGTGAGCCAATTAAACCTCTTTTCTGTATAAATAACCAAGTCTCAGGTATTTCTTTATAGCAATGCAAGAATGGACTAATATAACTTTATTTCAGATTTTAAGTGTGCCTATCAGAAATGTTCTCCACATGAAGAAATGATAAATATTTGAAGTAACAGTTACCCTAATTACCCTGCTTTTATCTTTACACATTGTACGCATGTAACAAAATATCACACGTACCCCATACATATGTAAAATTATAAGGTATCCATTTTTTAAGAAAAATGTAAATTTATAAACAGACCAAACTGGATTTCAGAATTCAAATTCAAATGTGTTTCCAAGTCTGAAACTGACATCATAGATACACCCAGTGCTGTAATAGAAATCAATATAAATGTCTTTCTTCATGAGTAAACAGATGCAAAGTCATGTTTTTACATCATTTTGTTTTTGTCCCAGAATACGTTCATGGATTCGAAAAGCACAAATTAAATACCTACTGTGTGCTAAGAATGGTGCTAGGTACTAACGATTGAGAGATGAGAAAAACACATCCACGCCCTCATGGTCTTGTGAGAACTAACGATTGAGAGATGAGAAAAACACATCCACGCCCTCATGGTCTTGTGAGAGGGAAAGACAGATAAGCAACCATTACAGCTGCAAGTAAGATCAGCTCTCTGGGCAGGAGAATATGGCTGCACGACCCCAGGGATCCATCCAATCCCAACCCCCTGCCCCAACATAGCTTCAGCTCCAATAATCACCATTCTTGTCACAGTGTCGTTGGAGAAGAGCAGCATGGAGACCCTGTCCCACCTTCAGTGGGTGCCACTAAAACAAGAGTATCATGGTGGTATTTAAAATACAATAGTTTCTAAAATGTTTCACTTCAGTACAGACCACAGGACAGGGAACAATTCATGGTACCCTAAACTATAGATTCCTTTCTTTTTTTTCAGGCTCATTTCCAAATCCAAATATCCATGGATACCTACACAACAGTGATGTCCACACAGACTAATACACAACACTGATGTCCACACAGGCTAATAAACTCTCCTCATCTAGACTTCAGTCACTGATTTGTATGAACAGAGAAATTTGGGGACAAGGGTCCTTCTGATCTAATAGCTCCTGAGGCCCTGTTTCTTCCAGGGTCCCCTTTGGAGGTAGGACAATCCCAGAGCAGCTGACATGTTAAGTCTTTCCGAATTGCATTTAACAGCAAAGAGATGCAAAACTACATCTTCTTTTAGAAGGCTTACGGAGTGGGTGGGGATTGTATTTCTTGGACTTGGGCAGAAAGAGTGCTATCCGGGAACTTTTGATTTCCACCTCATTGGAAGACATCCTCAAATACTTCCAGTTGAGGTTCCATCTTCCTGGCAGGGATTGTGGGCTGCTTTTATTTATAGAGGAACGGCAGGGAGGCAAAGAGTGGGAGGCCTCTTCTCCAGAAGGCAGCCCACATGGAGCACAGATACAACACTTGTAGATACAACTTCCCAGCTAAAGCCGAGGCTGCCATCCCACTGAAAACAACACTGCGAATCAGGAGTGTGAACAGATTTAGAAACCAAATTAAGCCAAGTCTGCCCTGGAGATGGTTGTTAAACCATAGTAAACATATCAAACCAGGGGCTTGAAATCATGCCACCTTGCCAGAAATTGCCCTGGCCTCACTGTTTGTTGCAATGATAAGCTCAGAGGCTCAAAAATGTTGACCAGCTGCAACACCCCATGCGCTTCAATGTTTAAAACAATTCTGCATGATATCACCATCATTCCCATTTTGCAGATGAGGACACCGAAGCATGGAAAAGTAGAATTAAGTTCCAAAACTTTTCATGGCTTTGAAAGGGGGAAGCCTTGGCCGAGTGGGTAGTTCCAGAGCCCTCTCCATTAGCCACACTCTCAACTGCCTTCCCTTCTCAATCAGCTCCTCAACAAAAGACTCAAGGTGGTATCCGCACCTGGCACCAGATTAAAGACTCACTTCAGGGACTTCTGCAACCCATATCCCAGATGCTGATAATATAGAGATCCACCCAAAACGAATGGAAATGTGGAGCCTGAAGGTGTGTAGGATACAGAAAAGCACGAAAGAGCACCCAGGACAGAGAGCAGAGCCCTCCAACACAGAGCCCTCGGGCTCACAGCTGCTGCAAGAAGCACTAGTCTCTCCTTCTGGTCCAATGAGTACTCACAAAGTTGTTTTGCTTTTAAGATGCGCTTAATGCCTTCTTCCAAAAAAAAAAAAAAAAGCCTCGTCAGTATAAAATGAACCGGAATTATAGCTGCCGCTTTGATGCTGTGTGTTATTTTTGGCTGAGTGTCCTGCTCTTCTGGAGGCTGTTGGTAGGGTGCTGAAGCCTACTCTAGTAACACAGGCTGACTGCTGTCCCCAAAGGACCCCGAGGAAAACAAGAGGAACTATCTCGCAGTCTTCAGCAGACAGGGGAGGTTTAACATAAATAAACTCCCACTTAACGTTTTCTCCAAAAAGCATCCATTCATTATCTTTATTTCCAACACAGTATTTATGAATTTCCTTTCAGCCGGGCCCGTCAGGCCAAACGTCACCACTCCGTGGTGAAACATCGTGTGCATTTTCTTTTCCTCCTAGGAAGATTAAGGCCGATGAATAAAAGAAAGGGGGATGTGGCCCCTATATTTAGCTCTCCTCACAACATCATGTCTCACAGGTATTAAAAATAGACTCAAATCACTTGAAGACATTCTGAAAAATCAAAGACAGAATAGCTTTCCAAGAGGAAGTTTTACATGTTTTCTGCTTTCTTCCTAGTTGAGTTCCGCTAGTGAGATGTTTAAGCAGCAAAAGCTCCTTAACAGTAGAGTGGGCGCCCTCTTCGTGGAGGCCAGGCCCGGGTGGCTATAGGGGTTTATCACATACTTTATCTCCTACTCATCCTTCTTGCAGCTTCAGTGCTTTGTGGACTGTATTTTAAGAGAGATCTGTGCAGGTCCTTGGTAAAAAGTGTGAAATAGGCTGTGTGGAAAATTCTCCTCTGTCAACAACCTTTCCCCCACTTGGGCTCTGACACTCCCAAGGTCCCTGTCAGAGAGAAATCAGCTCAGATTCAATTCACTGAACAAATACGTGTTATTTGTGATCTGCCAGGCACAGTGCCAGGCAAAGCAAAGGGAGAAGAGGGAAGCAAAGGATGGACCGTCCTTGTTAGAGTGGTAATTCCACAAGGAAGTAGAGCTTCCAGAGGACTGTGGGCAACACAATTCAGAGAGAGAGCTGACATCTCATTGGAAGCAATCAGAAGGAACATCAAACTGGAGGAAGCATGTGAATCAGACAATAAAGACAAAAGCAGGAATGGGGCTGTTTGTATACCTGTGACGAGATGTGGAAGAAGGTCAACAATTAGCTTGGTGCAACGCCTCTCCCCAAAAATATATGCCCAGTAAACCCTGAGGAAAAAGCCTTTTACAGCTAAAGAAAGGAATCTGCAGATGGAGAAATCACACGGTACTTAAAAATGTAGCCTCTTTCAAATACTGCAGTTCACCAGCTGTGTAACTTTGGGCAATTTACTTCCCTTCCCTGAGCCTCAATTTCATCATCTGGAAAATGGGGATCATACTTCACTGGGCTGATGTGCATATTAAATCACAGTGTGAACATGCAACGCCCATGTATGGCACGTGGTTCAAGGTGAGCACTCAATGAATGGGTGTAACTCACTCATGTGGGAGCTATTTACATTGGAACATGTTTCTAATATGCCTCGAGTCACACACAACACCCATTCTTCTGGCAGAAAGGCTTGATTAACACTAGAGCACAGTGAAGGTAAGATAGTGTGGACTTTGCTTATAGAATTGTGTAATTTTCAGACTTCTTCATGGTTTATCCCACGTTACAGAGGAAGAAAACAGCCACCACCAGTTTCCAATGACCCAAGCAAATACACAACCTTGAAAAAGCAAACCTTCTAATGGGACTTTATTTCAATCCTTGACTTGGCAGCTCATCACACTTTAGGATCACTGGTGAAAAGCTAGGGGGAGGTATTTTCCAACCTAAGGTAAGAGATAAAAGGGCCTGAGGACGTTAAAAGTGAGGGAATGGAAATAGCAGGGGCGAAAATCAATGTTTATGAAATAGTCCAGTGTTTCTCAAATCTTCCTGTTCACACAGATCTTCTGGGTATCTTGTTTCAATGCAGACTCTGATTCAGTATGTCTGGAGTCGTGCCCAGAACTCTGCATTCTCATAAGCTCCTCCATGATGCCTATGTTACTCGTCCATGGACCACCCTTATATAATAAGCGAATGGTGTTTGTGTAGAGCCTAAGAAAGGGTTGAGTGGTGGAACCAGGAAATCCCCAAATAAAGGAAGAGAGGCTTGAAAGAAGAGTGATATCCAAACAAGATGGCAAGAAGACTAGATGATTTGAGGAGCAGCCAAGCCGGAGATGTAAATACAGAGACATGGTGTCCAAGGGGAAGGTTTTCGGAGAAGAGGCCCCAGCTCACGAAGTTCCAGTGCATTACTCACTTTGGCTGTGAGTCACTCACAGCCTTTTAGAATTGTTGACGGCAAACATTTTGGAGAGTGCTGCAATAAAGGAATGTGCTCACAGCCATTAACTATGAAGCACTAACTCATTTCAGCAGCCTGACACAAATTATGCTACGCAGTTGAAAAATAGCTATTGATCAGTCCCTTCTTTCTGGTGCCTTCCAATATCCCAGATCAGCACTTCCATTCGTTTCCCCGCCCCCGGATGCCCTCACACACCTAGTTAGATCCTGCCCAAGCCAAAAAAAGATGCCCGCAGACTTTATTTTCTTCCAGATTTTGCCTTTAATAAAGCAAGCCCAGAAAGAGGCAAACCGAAAGATGCCTCCTTTAAGTTTCTCCATGTATCTGTTTCTTATGAATTTCCCAGTCTTTTTTTCTTCTATACTCATTATAGACACAAAGGCAACAATCAACTGATCTATCATTTCCTGGGCTAGAAGATAAGAAATGAAGAGGGCATGAAAAGGACAGAATATGAAATTAGGTTTTAAAGAATTGAACCTGATTCAGGGGCAGGTCGAATGGCAACACTTTGAGCACCTTCAAGTAGCAACT
The DNA here is from genome assembly GCF_000001405.40 of Homo sapiens. Lineage (NCBI taxonomy): Eukaryota > Metazoa > Chordata > Mammalia > Primates > Hominidae > Homo > Homo sapiens. The sequence continues at coordinate 24,106,465 of NC_000004.12, forward strand.
TGAGCCTCAACAGAAAAAGGAAGCCCAGGGTCTTTCAAGAATCGTCCCTAGTTTCCTTCTTAATCTCAAGAGAAACTAAAGAGGCATGTAGATCTTCTATGGCAGACTGATTACAAAGAAGTCCCCGATTCTCTGTCCCTCCCTGTATCTATTTCCTTTGCCATGTGACTCTGCAATGACTCCCACCATATGAGGTAGTTTAGTTGGTTTCCCCACCCTTTGAATCTCAGCTGCCTTGTCCCTTGCTTTAGCCAATAGACTGTGGCAAAAGTGCCTTGTCCCTTGCTTCGGTCAATAGTCTTAAAGCAAAGCCAAGGGCATCCTTGCTCACATGACCTGCCAGCCCCCAGCTGACCCACCAGCTGGCTCAGATGCAAGAGTGAGCCCAGCTGAGATCAGCAGAGCCTGGCCTAGCAGCAGAACTGCACAGAAAACCCTTAGATCATGAGCAATAATAAATGGTGGTTGCTTCAAGCCATTAAGTTTTAGAGTGCTTTGTGATATAGCATTATTTGGCAAAAAATAACTGATATAGCTTCCTCTGGAAAAGCCATGATAAAAAGGCCAGGTATACAAATACTTCCAACAGGGCATTGGTTTTCCTCTGTTCAAAATTATTAATGAACACAAATACATTGTAATAGCATAATTGCATCATTTATAAACACAAAAACACATTAGGAAATTGGATAATAAAAGCACATTGCTATATTACTTTTCATTTTGCAAATGGTTGAATCTGTTAATTAATATACTGTATTCACTTGTGTAACTTTTTAAAGTTTTCTAGACTTCAAATTGAGTCAATCATTTCTTCTTTTGTGCATTCATTTGTTGAAGATTATAATGAACCGAGTTGTGAGTTGGGTACAATAGTAGCTCTGAAGATGAATAACACATTGATCCCTGATCTCAAATGACTTCCGTCTAGTAGGGTTGACAAAGACACATACTCCAAGACTCTTAATGAATGGCAGTGGGTATGTCAGTTTCTTTCTGTCATCCCTATTATTTTCGATCTGACTCACCTTACCAGGTCCAGATGAAATAGTCTTTTCTCTTTCACATCTTCTTTACTACCAGCCTTATTTTTTCCCCAGCTATAAGTAGACCTTCTCAGCTTCAAAAACACAATTTGGAAGTGTAGAGCATGTTCAGACAATAATCTAGGTCAGTCACAAAATTTAAGGTTAGAAGGAAAGCTTAATACTGGATAGATTATGAAGGGCCTTGAATATCAGTTGTAGTGTGTACAGTTGGTTCTGCAGGCAATAGGGAGCCATGGAGGACTTCTGAGAGAGGGAGTGAAGTAATCAAAGCTATCATTTAGAAGGATGATTGGCTTCAAGCCTTTGCTATAGGATCATGGAAACCCAGGGTGATAGAGTTTCAGAATGGATGAGACTGTCAATTGTAGATGCTGCATAGAGATTAAAGAGGATGAAAAATTTATTAGGTTTGCCAAGTAGATAGCCACTGGTGACACTGGAAGGAAAAAATTCAATAGAAGACAAAAAGGGAAGGAAATAGAGCAGGTGGGATAAGACTGTCCTCTACTTCAAATTTTTCTATGGAGAAGGCAGTTGTGATTGACTGTTTACAAGGAGAATTTGAGGATGCACAGCCTCTGATGGAAGATTAGAGTCAGTCTCTTTCCCATATGCCTAAATTGCCTTGGTTAGCTTAAAAAAGCTAAGAAGTTCTAGTATTTCTCCAAGTGCCTTAGAGGGTGCTCCTGTGAGAGAAGAGAGGGTTGAGGTCTCAAGGGACATATGCTGAGAGTATCCAGACATCTTCCTCCCATTTCAACAAGCTTAATCCCAATTATCTTCCTTATGTACAAGTGTTCCTAGCTGAATTTCACTGGGAAAAACTAGGGTTTCTTCTATTGATTAAAAAATAATTTTATTAATTTTAAAACCATTAGGCCAAATAATTTCCACAATCCACTCTAGTTCTAAGATTAAGTTCTAATAATAAGTATTATTATACTATACTAATTATCTTTCAATACTTAGAATGAGAAGAAAATCAGGAGGTGGGCACCTAACATCTCTTGAGCCTATTATATATAGGTTAGCCAATGTGCTGTATCCTGTCCATCCATGGACCACGCATTGAATTCACAACACAGCTCTCTGCAGGAGGAATCATTATCCTCATTCTGCAGATGAGGAAATTGAGGCCCAGAAAGATCAAATAACTTGTACAAGATCTCAGCGCTGAATCCAGAGCCTGGACTCTTGACCAGTAAGTCACAGCTGTGCACATTTTCATGAACACCCAGTGGAGCCTGGGGTTCATCCATGAGTTCCCAAGGTTCACTGAATTTGAATTTCTGGGAGCACATACAGCAGTAACTTTGGCCAGAAGATGCTGCTAAACTTAGGGGAAAAAAAAGGATGTGTTGAGAGAAAAAGATGGGAAGAGGAAGATTTAAAATACTGGAAAGAATTAGAAAAAAGTACTAGTGAACTTTTGGACCTTGGAAATATTGGTAAAAACAAATCCTAATGTGGGAGCTATAAAAATCACACACACACACACACACACACCACACACACACACACACCACACACACACACACACACACCTGAGACCATAAATGCCATTGCTAGAAAGGATATGTAGGTAACAGAAAAGGCATTTTTTTACCCTAGGCTGAAATTGATTTTCATTTGGAAAATTGAAACTTATTGGTAATAATTAATTATTAAAATATGGCCCCCAGCAGGCCTTGTCTAGTCTGCTTTATTTAAAATTTCACATTTCCCCAACTCCTTATACCCCCTCTACTTTATTTCTCTCCATAGCACTTAACACCATTTCATTATACACACACACACACACACACACACACACACACACACACACACTTTTATTCGTTTGCTTATCACCTCTCTCCATAAGAATGCAACTTCTGTGGATTGGGGGTTGTGGGTGGGAAGGAGGCTTAGCATTATTTTTGTGGTTATTCACTTGGTATCTCTAGCATCTACCATAATATCTGGCTCCTAGGAGGCACTGGATAAATATTTGTTGAACAAATGAATGTGTTACTTCATCATGGTATTTATGGAATAAGCTTTCATATCTATTCATTCCCATCCCAACTTACGGCATCTGAAATGTTAGAGTCTCCATCAATTACAAGTCTATTTAGCATTTATATGGCACTTCATATTTAAAACTCACTGTTCAATTATTGATCCCTACAATCGACCTTGAAAATAGATCCTGAGTAGTAGAGTGTCCCACACCACTTTCCCTTCCTAGGCTTCCCCATGGTTGTAAGCAAAGGGCTAGGAAGGAGGAACAAGTTCAAGGATGAGGGGCAGGGAGGCAAGGCATGTGTTCTTGAAAATGCGTTCCGTGGTCTACCTTTGCTTCCTTAGAAGTGGTGGAGCAGAGCCAAGATCCTGTCCTCCAGCTACTGCAGATGGGCTCAGCATCCCCACAGAGGAGGTGGAGAAGAAAGAAACCCCAGGAGCCTAGAGAGGAAGTGAGGCATGAGGGGAGGAGGAACCCCCAGCAGCCATCCTCCAGCAGGGGTCTCTGACTCTGCCCTATGAGCTCTCCATCTTTTTACAGGTGAAGACCAGACTGTGCTTCCTTCCACGTGACTTATTTGCCCTGCTCCAGTGCTCAGCTGTCTACCACAGCAAGCCTGAACTCCTTGGCCTGAATTCCAGTGCCCTCACCTAGCCATCTGGTCTACCCTACCCATTTCGAGCCCAACTTAGCCTTAGGTAAGAAGATCAATGGACACATTGTGTATGGAGATAACCCAAATGTAGTTTAAAACACCACCAGATTTTAACTTAAGAGCTCAATAAGCTATGCTTCACTTATAAATATCTCAACCCGTGGTTTTTAGGATGAGGTTGCCCTGAGCAACTCAGATGAAATCAGATAGATACCTGAATTGCAATACTAAACAAACACCTGTCTAAATCACTTAATTTAGTGCTGTGGGACTTAAAAGTCTCAGCTCCTACTCTACCAACTCCTGTCCCAGCTCTGCAAGAAAGATCACCAAATGATCAACAGGAAAATAATCAACAGGAAAGAAGGCCCAGGTGTTGGTAGCCAAATAGGCATCTGGGGACACAGCAAGAAACACAAGTAAAAACAATGAGGTCCTTTTCATGAACTTGGTACAATAATGGCCATTTTTGGAAAATTTCAAACATACAAGGTGCAAAAAAAGTTTTTCTTGATGTAAAAGGAAAGAGAACTAACACTTGACAGGCACATTAAACATCTCCAATGTGCCCAGCACTATGCAAGCTCGGCACATTCATCATCTTAAACTTCTCAAGAACCCAATGAGATATACGTTGTATCTATCTTCATTTTCAAAAGGGAAGCTGAAAAAGGCTCAGAAATGTATACTACCTTGCTTAAGGTCCTACAGTTAAAACATGAAAGAAACATGTCTGAAAACCAGGCCTTCTGACTTTTAAGCCCAGTACTAGATATTCTGGTAGGTCATTCTACATAAATAACTTAAATACTGTTTTATTTCACACTGACTTTGATTTTTTGATCATTTCTTATTTTAGCAGCTACACAGAGAAGGCATTTTAAGATATTTAATCTCTCTTTGTTGTTTCTCTGAGGTCACACATCTTGCATTGCCCTAGGGAGATTATTGCAAACGTTACTTATTACAATACTGTTTGAACTCTGTGTATTTATTAAACACCTATTGATTGTTAATTGAGATTCCTAGTTGATGAAATGAGTGGGAGAGCCAGCTTTCTTTCTTCAGTGTTGTGTATATTGACTTCATTATTTGAAGCCTTCATCTCAGACTCATGAACATTCTCCAGACATACTTGATTCAAAGACATGTTCTCTCTATTGGGGTTTCTAATCTTCGGTAGGTCATACATTATATACACATAGCTAGTAAATACATTTAAAAAGATATTTTTTGACACACATTAATTCATACTGCATGATACTTCCTGCAAGAAACTTCCAAACAACTAACTTGCTACCAGATTGTTAATAAAAATGTTGTGGAAACTGTTTCTAAAGGATGGCAATTAGCTACAATGATTAGACAAAACATGGTTTCACATTAAATTAAATTGATATTTAAATGTAATTGTTTTTAGCTCCGTGGTGTCAAGGTACTACATAAATCCATTATTACTACTATTTAACAGCAGTAGTAACAGCCGCAATAACTCAACCAAATTTTCCAAGATTGTAAATTGCACTGCCCTAAAGAAGCTAATTGCATGCTTAGGAGGTGGGTTAACTCTTTCAAGCCACTTAGGAATGTTTAATGATAGTTCTTGAAAGAGTTAATTGCCTTCTAAAACGGCTCCCAGTGGAGACAGTCAACACACATGCGCACGTGCACACATATAGCCACACATATATAGCTCTGAAGAAACATATTTACACTTAGCTACATTAACTCTGCCCAAATAGTTTTACTTCATTTACAACTAACTGAAATGTCAACACATTATTAAGAGAACTATTAACAACTCAGATATGAAGTTATTCTTGACTTTAGACAAAATAAACAAACAATAGAATAAAGCCTTTGGAAGACAGTAGTAGGCTTTGCTCTGAGGAAAGATTAGAGAAGTAGAATGATTTCTAAATGGGTAGAGTCTGTCCATTCTGCTTTGCCTAAATCTGAATTAAAACCTCTAAGTCAGGAATGACAAGCTCCAAAGTTTTCATTGTCAGCCAAGGAATATAAATGACTCAAGTAGTGCCAATGTAAGACAGTAGGGAATGGTAGTGATTGTGGCAAACTGAAGAGGGCATGCCTTATCTAAAGAAGTTAGGGTTTCTTAGCTTCAGATAGTTATTGCAGTGTGGGAATGTGGACCCAGACTTTCTACATTTTTCTATTTTTTACAGAAAAGCCAGAAATCTGAAATTTTTTTTATATCTCTTTATTTTTAAAACACCATGTACACCCTAAAAAATGTGAAGCAGGCTGAATTTTACCACAAGCCTCAAGTTTGCTCCTCTGCCCTAAATGGTTTCTGACATCAAGACTAAGTTGGCAAGTAGGCCATTTGTAGATGTACACCTAGGAGTTATTTATGTCATTTTGTCTTGGAAATGTAGCCAAATACAGGGCTATCTGCTTCCAAGAGGAAAAAAGAAATAGACAACATCAATGCCATGATCATTCATCACTGTTAATGTGGTTGATGATTTCTTTGGCTTCTCCTGCTTTTTGCTGTAGTGATCTCACCCTGGATGCATCACTTGAAGTCATTGGTGACATAATTCCAATAGCAATCTCATCAAAACCAGCCACCCAATTCATCCACAAATTTAAATGTGCTCATTATCAAGTGTGGCAAAAGAACGTCGAGACCCATCTCTTGCCCTATCACCACTTCTTTCTCAATCAGAGACCACGCTATGGCTAGATGTGTCACTGGCAGCTATGGGAAGCCGGGCCAAGAGAAGCTGTCAAAAACAACTCCTAAGAGAATAACGGAAATTTCTTTCAATGAGAAAGCTGCAGAAAGGGCTACTGTGTTTAATATAGATGTTAGATAGATATAAAATGCTCAAATCCCATTTTATTCCAGAAAACTTCCTTGCTTCTCCCACCTCTGAACTTCCAGGTACACACTTTCTTTCTTTACTTACAATGACTTGGGCATATATATAATTTCCAAAATATATTAGGGTTCCTTTTAGAGCACAATCCATGTCTGATTTATTTATCTCTCTATCTCACAAAACAATTGATATGTACCCAGCAAGTGGCAGCCATGCTTCACACGTTCAGTAGGTGAGTAGGTAAATGAAGAGAAATGAAGAGATGGATGGATGGATGCATGGATGGATGGATGGATGGAAATGGAAAGGATAGATGGGAACAACCTCCTTTATTTTAGCCCAGAGACAGTGATCACAAGTGCAACTAGTAGAAATATTTACTGTGAACAAACTGTCTTATAAATTGCTTTGTGGCTAACAAGGGAGACAACCAATATTGGGTATTCATTGCCTGAGAGCCATAACCCCACTTTCTCTGTGCATAGAGAACCCTTGATCTTAGTGAGTAGGGATCCCTCTTCATGCCCTAGTCCAATCCTGATCATTTGATTGCTCTTTGTTAGAAATGTGTTTAGGGAAAGAAGGGTTCCAGTGACCCAGTTCTGGCCAATGAAATTTAGGAAGCCTGCAGAGTTTGGGAGAGGAGCTTCTCTTCTATGGGAAAAATAAATAAATAAAGCCTTACAAGACTTTTGCCCCTGCTTTTCCCTGTCTGCTTGTAACACTTAGTGTGAAGATGTGATACTTGGAGCTGTGGCAGCTATCTTGAGACCATGTGGCAATAAACATGAAGAGAAAGAGCTGAGAATAATAGAGAAGAGGGGCTGGGTACAGTGGCTCACACCTGTAATCCCAGCACTTTGGGAGACCTAGGAGGGCAGATCACTTGAGGTCAGGAGTTCAAAACCACCCTGGCCAATATGGCAAAACGCCGTCTCTACTAAAAACACAAAAAATAGTTGGGCGTGGTGTTGCATGCCTGTAGTCCCAGCTACTCTGGAGGCTGAGGCAGGAGAATCTCTTGAACCCAGGAGGTGGAGACCGCAGTGAGCCGAGATCGTGCCACTGCACTCCAGCCTGGGAGACAGAGAGAGACTCCATCACAAAAAAAAAAAAAAAAAAAAAAGAGGGATGGAAAGAACCCTGGGTTCCAGATGATGTTGCTGAACTAATGAACAAACCCTGGGACCACCTAGCTCCTGTTAAGTAAAAAATGAACTGATACAGTGAACCACTGTTAGCTGGGCATTCTGGATCTTACAGCGGAAACTATATTTCTAACCGCTATGGTCTTTCACCCAAAGACAGATGACAATGATCAGCTACAGAAAGGATGGTAATGGAGCAGAGAAATCAGTGAGTGGGTCTGAATTACTTTCACTATCCCACCCTGCAGCTAGGCAAAGGTCTGGAAAAAACAGGGTTTTAACTGCTATAGCCCAAAGTCTCCTTGCTCCACCTCACCAGACAGTGTGGTAAGTGAGTGGTGGCAGCTCCACACTCCAAACGAGGTTCCTTCCTGAGTCTGACAACTCAGGGACTCATTCTTTCATTCCCATTTGCCTCAAATCACAGCCTCCCGGCATGCCTTCTGGACAACATTTACGCAGGGTTGAATATATGGCTCACATTAGAACAAACAGAACTTCCTAAATTGGGCAATTTGTGACTTTGCACCTCAAGTTTCACTCATCCCTGATTCAGAATGCACTAAAAGCACATTATTACTGTTTAGGATGCAAACTACTGCCCTGAAAAATATTGCTCTTTACCTGAGGTGAAACAAGTTATAAATTAATGGTTAGTGGAGGGTAAGGTGCGTGGGTAAATAGAAATTCCTTAGAATCTTGTGTAGGCCATTCTACTAACATGATGAGGCTACATTTGCTGTGGATTAATTACCTTTTCTTCTAACTTAATTTATTTCATACTTTAAGAAACCAAAATGTCCAGTAGCCACTATGCTTGCGACAAAGAAACACAATAAAAGCAATTTCTCCAGTACAAAAAAATAAAGCATTCCCGGTAATGCATTTTTGAATCCAGCATACCTTCCCCTAATGAGGTTTCAGCATGCTATAAATAACACTAATGAGACTTTGTCTTGCCCATGTAATATATTTCCTTGATATAGCCTTAGATTCTCCGTGTTGCATGGAAAACTAACAGCCTCAGAAAGAAATGTCATCCAATAACACATTAAAACGAAAAGCACAATTAAATATAAATGAATTCAGTAATTTAATTGCACAATTGTCGCTTTAAAAAATTCAGAAGAAATGTAATGATGTCATTTTTTTAAATCGGTAAATAATAAAAGTGCTTGTGGGGATGGTACAATATTTAAATAAACATTTTTCTGGCAAAGGGCAGGTAGCAAAGGCAATCCTACATGCTTAGGAAAATCCCATGGCTTGGAAAAAAAACCGAGTACCCTGGCATACATCACTCTGTGCACGTGATATGCAAAAACAGACATCTCAATTTCAATCTAATCTTGAAAGTTTATCCCATGTTTGGAGGGTTTTCTGATTCTGGTCATTATCAACCAGGCTTTATATTATTCCCATTAAAATCGAATGCAAGATGGCAGCGTACCTAGGAAGCTCTCTAACCAGCTCCCAGTAAAATGAGAACTCCATATGGCTACCAGAAATGCAATCGTTTTCATATATCAACGACATAGCATTTTAATGCTGACAAAGTATTAGAAAATCATTAATGGCTCTTCTTCATTTCCCTCTTCTCCAAAGATTGACCCAGCTCAGCCTCCCTTTGGTCTTCCTCTCTGATAAGATCAGAGACATGAAACGTTGTCTAAAGGAAGATCTAAAGGTAGGCTTTGGGCTTCACTTTACATTGATTTTTATTCAATTCCAATCAAGAACACATCCAAGAAATTTACTTACTAGATTCCAGCGTTATGGTGAGGATAATGGGGGAAGAGACTTTTTAATTTTAAGTTAGCTATTACCTTACATTCCAGTTATTGGAACTGACACAAGCAGATGAGAGAAAAGACCTTATGCAGCCACCTAAGCAAATTTTCTGGTAGAGCACACTTGTGCATTTAAATATCCTAAGCAAGTCCACCCCCTTGCTTTCATTGTGTTTGTGCTTGATTTTGACAATAATTTGTATATACGATTTTTGTTTATTTTATCTTGGATAACCATCCAACTAGATAACTCATTAATTTATTTTCTCTTTCATTCTGTCAACAAATATTTATTGAGTGCCCTGTCTGGGCGCTGGCTCTAGGCACTTGGAATTACATAGTTAACCCTTTACCCTTACACAGGCTGATAAAACTATACTCAAAAGCCATATCAACATCTATTTATAAGCTTAACATATACACGTGAACTTCAGGTCATGGTTTCACTTTCAGGAGCTCACACTCTATGTGTTTGGGATCACAGATAATCAACAACTTAGCAAATAACAAGATTTCTAAAAGCAATAGTTGCTATGAAGAATATGGAAAAAACATATAATTCACTCGAGGCTTAAGAGTGGAAGACAGTTCCTTTAATAAACCGGTTTCAGAACACATCTCTAGAAGCTGATTGTGAGCACAATGAGAGACAACCACCCAATGCAACGATCTGGAAAAAGCATTCCTGGCAGAAGGAACAGCACATGCAAAGGCTCAGAAGCAAGAACAAGTTCAGCAAGGAACCAAGGAACACGAAGAAACAGACAAGACAGAATCATGGCTTCTATTTAACAAGGGCTGAAACTAAAGCTCAGACTGGATTCTGTGAAAACTTTGTCTCAAATCCAGACCTTCAAACTCCTAACCCTGTCTATCCCCTACACCACAGCATTGCTCGTCGTACATTAAAAGATTCAGTTATGTCCTTTGGTACAGAGTTCCTAATAACCCTGGGGGAGTCCACTCTCATAACTGTGCTGCATTCCCCAACTGGGTTCTCTCTTGACCATCACAAAGTTTAAAAACAAAAAACAACAACCACAACAACAACAAAAAACAATGAACAAAAGCATGCACAGTGAAGTTGGTAAAAAAAAAAAAATCACAGAAAATACATATATTTTAGGTTCCTCTGACAGGATTACATTTGTACTGAGCAAGGGAATTCCCAGAAGTCTTTTGAAATCCCAAAGTAATAATATCCCATCAATAGAGAGGTTTATACTTTTCCAAGAAGCCCAAATGGCTGGGTTCATATCTTGTCGGTGACTTTATCAGCTTCATGACCTTGAGATCATTCTGTGCCTTGGCTTTTTCTTTGATAAAACAGAGCTAACATTAGTACCAACACTGTCTGGTGGCTGTGACCATTAAGTGAAGGAATTCAGGTGAAGTTCCAGTTAGGACAAGGCCGAGAACAAACTAAGGTTGCTGGATGATGCTGTTGTTTTTGTATTAACATGGCCTCTTATAGAGCAAAGGAGAGCAACAGACAACAACAAAAAAACTTCTGCCCTTTTTTTCTTTATTTTCAAAGGGCCTTCTAGTGGAAGCTACTGAAAGTTCAGCATTTGCAGTTTTGTCTCTCTTGCCCACATACATCTAGTAGGCAAAAAACGTGTCTTTGCAATTAACTTTCAACAGCACCAGGCACACAATGACACTTACAAAAAGAGCTCAGTGACTCCCCTGGAAAGATCGCTGCCCCTTCCATTAATATCTGCCGCTTGATATGAGGATAAGACCAGATGACAGAGGGACCCTGTGGAATGGAAAAGTCCTTTACAGAAAAAAGACATAATTGCTATTAATAATAATTAGTAACTAGGAAGATCAATATGCGTTGGTTGGATGATACTCATGTCCACAGCAGTTTCGGAAGAGTAACCTGAAAGTTCTAAGCATTTCTTATACAGTTCCTCACAAAAGTCCCTACTTTGTCACACAAGCTGGGCCTCATTTCTAATTCCCAGATCTCCACAGCACAATTTCTTTTTATGAATCCTTTGGAATTCCACACGACAAGAGCAACAGCTGTGTTAGGCCAACCCATCATTCATTTTGGCTTCTCTCGCTGTAACTCAAAAAGTCAGTGATCACTTGGAAACCACCTCTGATCCGTAGGAGGTGATGGCAGACTGAATTTACAACAAAGCCCTGCCTGCAGAAATCTTCCTGTCACCTGCAGGCCACATAAACCATTAGCATCCCAGCCATAACGTGCGGTCAATGAGCTACACAGGCATTTCAAAACCAAGCACTTTGCCACTATTTATGGGCCAAGGCAGGGACTCCAGCAGCTCTGATTTTCTTGTCAGCCTGCCAGAGGAGGAGCTACAAAGAACAGCTGCGTTACCCACCCTTCTACAGTTTGAACGTTTGAAGAAAATTAAAAGAAAAAAACCCAAACGTTAGAAGGTGCCACTCGAACCTGTGCATCTCCTTGTGGAGTTTTCCTGGCCCTGAAAACACTTTTAACTCAACTCCTGGTCACTGCCCTCTGCTAAACAGGAAAACAGCAATAGAATGTCATTTTTGTCTAATTGCCCTACACAGAGCGCTCACCAAAGGCAAGCCACAGTAGAATATTATTATTTTTAGAACACTACTCGGTTTTAACATTTTAGTAACCACGTGATCTCTAGAACCACAATGGTTCTTAAATGAACCATTTTCCTCCATTCTAGAAACAGATAAATATAGACACCATATATATTTTTAAAATAAGCTCTTTACCCTTACACAAGCTGATAAAAATATACTCAAAAGCCATATCCACATCTATTTATAAGCTTAACATATACACATGGGATATTTAAAGTGTTGATTGGTCCTCTGAAATGGTTTTTTTCCACTTGCATAGAAAATTAAGTGGAGGTCAACACAATGAAACATTTTCTAAGTCACTGCTGTTTATTAGGAAGTTCAGAATAATAGGCTCCAACCTGAAAAAAAAATGTCAATGCAATCTAAAAATAACAAAAGGTGCATAACAAATTTGTCCTCATTTTGTTCTTAATAGAAGGTGTTTCTAGTGCATCAGCCAGAATGACCTATCAAACGCATCACCTTGTACAGTCAATTTATTCCTTTATCAGGCAGTCATTGGAGAGGGATTTTGTTTTGCATTGCCTCAACATAAAGTGGGATGGTGAGCCTGCTTTCCTTACGCAGTGAGGGAGCCTCTTTTGTCAGGAAACCTTTCTAAAAGATCTTTGATCAAAATGAAGATGAGACAGGGAGACTTTTCTCTTTCCCCGAAATGCTGCCCCCACCTTTGGATCATAAAACCTCTCGATCTAAGCACTAAGAATCAAGCCCAGAGCAGGATCCCTTTGGCTCTCAATGCTATCCTGTCACCAGAAGCACATTCGGAATGTCTCTCAAAAATTAACTGTTTCACCAGACCTGAAAGACCTGGTGTTAGAAGGCAGGAATTGTTCTTCCAATTTCTCAGTTGTAAAAACTGAAGTGGGAGAAAGATAAGGGGGCTTCTCTGTGGCAACTGAGCAGTCAAACTGTCAGGATATCAAATTAGCATCCAAAGTGGGACCAGAGATGGTCGCTTCCTCATTTGCACCTCATTATCTTAACAAGCCTAAAGAAAAGCTGAAGGCCTGCCCAGTGTTACAATAATATACTAAACACACTTAGCACAAAAATTTATAAAGATTTCTTATTTTTATAAATTAACGATTGGAGGATTTTAATTGAAAAATGTGCTGCATGCTTTAATAGGAAAACGGCAGCAAAAAATAAATGAAAATAAATGAATGCAGTCACTCTAGAATGAATTGAAATGTGAGTGACTGTGTAAGCCACTCTCTACCCACACCCTCCTCCAAAACCCACTCCCTATTTGCAGACTCTTACCTCCAAAATCATTGTCTTATACTTATAAAAGGTGCCTGAAAGTCTTCTGCCTGAAACTTAGTCCTAGAATCTTAAAAGCTTTATTAGCCATCATAAATTATTTTCTTAAGTTACAAATATCCCTGGGAGAGATGATGCTCTACAAGGCCTGAGAACAATGTAAATAGTAGAGGAAGGCAGCTAAGGGTAGAGGAGGAAACAAAAAGAATCTTACAGGCATAAATAAAATGCCTGTGATGTACAAGCAACATTGCATATTTGGTCTTATGTAATATTTGCATAAATCTCTTTTAAAGTAGACACTAGTGTTACTAATTTTTAGTGAGGAAACTGAGGCTCCAGGGTTCAACCAGTTGATAAGTGGGATCTGAACCTGGGTCTGTCTGCTTCCCAAACTCCGAGTCCCAGGGATGTCATGGAAGGATGGGTGAGGAGCTAAGCCCCCAGACACCACCATCTGGTTCCTTCCCAGTCAGGCTGGCTGACAGGGATGTGGCTAGAGATGGTTCAGAGACAACAGAAAGACAATAACTCTGCAAACTCTGGCAGAGACAATGGCATGATATTCATAACCAAGATTTATTGTGTACTTATTAGGTACTGATTCCTGTCCTTTACATGCAATATCTCGTTTAACCCCCATAAAGACTTTGTAGATAAACATTGTTCCCATTTTCCCATTTTATAGATGAGAAAATGAAGATCTAGGGAGAGTAAGTAACTTGCAATAGATCTTACAGCTATTGAATGGCAGCTATGGTCTGAATGTTTGTGTCCCCCAAAATTCATATGTTGAAACCCTAACCACCAAGGTGATGGTATTGGGAGGTGGGGTCTTTGGAAGGTGATAAGGTCATGGGGGTAGAGACCTCAGGAAAGAGATTATTACCCTCATAAAAGAGGCCATGGAGACCCCTTCCCCTTTCCACCACGTGAGAACCCAGCAGGAAGGCCATGAGTGTCTATGAGCTAGAAAGTGGTCCCTCACCAGAAAATGAGTCTGCCTTAATCTTGGACTTCCCAGCCTCCAGAACTGTGAGAAATAAATTTCTGTCGTTTATAAGCTGCCCAGTTTGTGCTATTTTATCATAACAGCCTGTGGACTAAGACAATGGCAAAGCAAGGTAATTGGACTTCTCTGCTCAGTGGCTTTTCTCTCTCCAATAGCAACAAGCACAAAATGATTCAGCTTGCTAGTTGCCATTCCTGTAAGCTACTTAACCCTCAGTTTCCTCATCTGAAAAACAGGGGTAGTAATAACAGCCTGGCAAGGTTATTGTGAGGATTCTCTGTCACACCACTGGGACTTCCAGTGGGGCTGGATCAGAAGCCCAAGCCACTAGGGTGGCCAGAGCTTACAGTCCAGTGACAGTGGCCAGCCCCTTCAGAGAGCCAGCTTTGGCCAGGAAAACGCTATGGAGAACACAGGCTCCCAGCTATTGGAATGAAGACTTCTCCCACGCCTGTTTTTCAAACAAGTTAGAACACCGCCAACCCTGCCCTCAGGAACCTCTGAACATGATCACAGGTCTCAGGGGTCACGCTCACTAGGGTCTCCATCTGGTCTTTCTTTGCTCCTCCTCCTCATTGCAGGAGTTTCCAGACACAACTGCTAGGGGGAGAGTAGCGACCACGTGAATATCACTAAGGACTGAACAAGTACCACTGAATGAGAGAAGCTGATCAAGCCAGAGACCTCCGCCATACCCTCTTGGACACAGGAGCCACTCCTGCCGGTTCTAGGCACCTCAGATCCAGCCTCCACACTTTCTGAACAACCACAGGTGACCAGGGGAGAGGAATGCAGAGGAAACCACGAGGCCCATACACAGCTATATATTTTAAATAGCATCTCCTCTCTGCAGCCTTACGTGGGAGGGGAACATATGGTCCTACATTCATTATACTCCTGAGTTTAGGTTTGAAACATCATATTTTCATTACAAATAAGCTTTGATGACACTGCCTATTGCAATGATTTCAACGCATGGTTAATTTTATCTGCGGCAGTGGTGAGAGTGGCATACCAATTTACTGCCAGAGGAGAACAATCTGATTTTAGCATCTTAACCCTGAACTCGAGTTCCCTTTGTTCCTGAGAACCTCATTTTAGCAAGATTCAAGACTCGAAGTGACTGGGAAGAGCGCGTCACTGATGCTGACTCAAAGGGAGTGGAAAAGTTGAGAGAGAAAAGGGATGAGCTGGATAAACAGAAATACATGAGACAGGGGAATAGGGGAAGTGGACAGCAAAGGGTTTGGGTTCGGTGTGACAGTGTGCTTAGAACTTCAACGAGCAGATCAGGTCTTCACAACTTGGCTGGCGAGCTGGTGAGAGCAGACCTATTTGTGAGGCTCTTTTCTGCTGTGTCTGACTTCAGGCCAAGCCAGGAAGCAGCAAGAAAGAACTCACTCATGGAGCCCTTTGTTCTGGGCCAGGAAGTTTAGAGAAAAACTAAAATACAGAATAATGTCACTGGTGGATAGGGTAGAGAGGAAGGTGCTCTAACTTCTTAGCCTCTCTGTGAGTGTATGCGTATGTGTGTGTATGCGTATGTGTGTGTGTGTGTGTGTGTGTGTGTGTGCATATATATATATATATATATAGAGAGAGAGAGAGAGAGAGAGAGATCTATATAAATTTTGCTTCACTCTTAGTAAACTTTTCTGCAGCCATTTGGCTACACTTTATTTTAACTCATCCCATCATTCAGCACACATTTAATGAGCACTTGCTAAGTACCATAAGGTACTGAGAAAAGAAATGGGTATGGAGAACAGTGTCCCTGCTCTCTGAGCAACTCAGAACTAGCCTAGGACATGGAAATGGGACATACCAATTAGAGAGATGTAATAAGTTGTTCAGATGAAGTAAGAATTCTGAAAAGGAAGTATCTGACTCCAACTAAGGGCTTAGAGATGTCTTCAAGGAGGTGACTGAATAGGAGTTGAATCCTAAATGATTAAGAGGAATTAACCAGAGTGATGCCACTAGCGAGAACAGCCCTTAGAAAGGCCCAGAGGCTAAATGCAATAAGGTGCTGGCAATTTGAGGAACTACAGACACAAGAAGACCCCGGGATAACATGTCATGCAATAATGTGAATATGGGCATAATTTAGAATTGGCTCATCCTCCCTTCAGCCCCAGTTCTCAAATGGGGAAGGCTAAAGTTCTGTTGAGTGTGTGTGTGTGTGCATGTGTGTGCAAACACACGCACTGGTGGTCATGCCCATGGAAGAGAGGCTGACGGTAGGTCCCCACTTGTCAAGTATTCTCCCAACCCAATTGCTCCAGAGTGAGCCAATGAAACAGATGACAACTAGCTAGATTCCTGGAATCACTGCAGCTATCCCTGAAAGTCCTGGCCAACCAAAATTGTTCCATTCAACAACCAAGCCAGAACAGACCTCTGCCACCAGGTAGTACCAAACTACAGATGGGACTGGATGGATTTGGATCTTGCAGCAAGATCCCTGAAACCCAAGAGCTTAGCTGTAGAGGGTCTCCCCAGTAATTTCCTGCACCTCACAGCTAATGCTCCCTCTCCCTTGTTTTACACAGTTGACTTTTTTGGAACCCACACATTGCATCTTGGAAGGTTTCACTATAGCCTTATTCATTGTGAATAGTATGGATAGTAGCATGGATAGAGTGTAAGGCAGAAAATAAGCATAGAGACAAAGCCCCGATTATCAAGAGTTGCATATTCCACTATCGTTCTTGTCGGGACTGAGGTTAAAAAAAAGGAGCTGCATATTCCATGCTAAAGAGTTTGGACATTATTCTGAGGTCCAATGGGGGAACCAGTGGGTAAATGTAAGTCAGTGGTTCAAAGTCAAGGTTAGGCACAGATGCAATTTTTTTAGCCTGTGAAAGATTTTCAAAATCAAGTCATTCTGCTTAAACCTGGATCTCTGACTTCCCGTAAGAAGCTGGGCTGACTTTTCCATTTGCTGGAGTAGCATTGCTCTTTTCAGATGGAGTGTGCTCTCCTAGTCTCTATAAGCCCCACCATACCCAAGCAGTTTCAGTTTCATGCCTTTGCTAAGCTTGATTCCTATAGGAATCTAAGTTGGCAAAAAAAAAAAAAAACAAAAAAAACAGCTGTGACAGAATCAAATTTGCATGTTAAAAAGTTTACTGGAGCAAAAGTATTGAGATTGGGTGACAGGACGGGGAGAGATGAGAGGCAGGAGAACCTATTGGAGGGTTATAATAACCATTAGGGCTCTTTCTACATGCAGAACCCAAGGAAAGATGTCAGAAATGGCTGTGAATACCACCTTCAAAAACCAAACGATAGCCGGATACACTATCTTGCAATGCTAACCCATAACCCCATAATCTAAATGCAAATGTCGAGGTTTCACAGCAGCACCACAGTTTGACAATACTGATGGGAAACACAATAAATACTGAGGCAAATACACTAGTCAGAAGTAAAGTAAATTAATAGTACAGCTTAGCTGGGATCACAAATGAATCACTCCAAAAGCAATTTTGTCCTGTTGTAAAATGAGATAAATACCTACTTGCCAGTTATTTTAGGAATAACACAAATCAGCCCATCTGTCTTAATTCAATGGTACTCATCATACATTTTTAAAGTTATCACTTCCTGAAGAGTCATCCTATTGGTGCCAACACACACTTTATGTTGACAGTCTATGGCATGACCTGCAATCTGGGTGTCATTTCAGAGCAGCGTGGAAACCCTAAGCTATGCGTCTTTGCCGAAGTGACTTGTTCTCTGGAAAGCAGGGGAGAGGGAGCTCCTAGTTGCTGGACAGGTACAGTCTTCAAATGACATTGGAGAGGAAGCTGAAGGTAGAAGCATTTTTTTTTTTAGGAAGGAGATGCAAATGTTAGTACAGAGAACAATTTACTGCAAACTAAATTACTAATCAATATCTAGTAGTAGGCAGACTGTCCACTGTGGCTGTGAGAGTCATATTCAATCTATGATGGGAGATGCTAGAAAAGGAGACTGCTCTGCTTAAATTTTATTCTTGTTTTGTATTCAGACATAAATAAGCTTGCTGATCATATCACTGTCTCAGATTTATGGAAAACACAAGAGAGCACAAGAATTTCAGAAAACCTCCCTGGATCTTGCAATTTCTCAGAGTAAATACTTCACACTCCCTCCTTGAATGTAAGAAAACATGGGATAAGAATTAATCCAGGAAACTCCTAAAACTCAGGGTTAGAAACTTAACGCTTCATAGAAAATATTGGGTTAGAGAGCCTGCAGTTGAGAGTAGTGAAAAGATCTCAAAATGTATTTTATGATCAATTCAAACTTTAGGCAGAATAATGAGCCCAAGTTATATAGAGTCCAACAATGGTATTTTATACATCTTAAATTAATAGTGATGGGAATCACATAATTAACTCCCACTTATCATTTCATTCTGGACTCTTCAGAAACTTGCCAGGTCCTCCCCCAATGAGAGCTCCAACAAAATGCCTATAAATTCATTTTTGTCACAGTGAGTACACAGAGAGGCTCTCTCCCCATCTGCTTCTTCAAGGTGGTCTCCATGCAACTATTCACTCTCTTTCTGATTACGTAACCTGGAGCTGTAGACCCCTAGCTCCACACCCCAAAGCTGCTGCTGTTAGTCTCAAAGATAACTAGCCAGGGATCCTCTCTTCTCACAGAAGCAGTTCTGCAAGTAAACCACCAGTCTACTCCCATTGATGCTAGTAGGGCTCAATGGAAAACTCCACTCCTGCATTGTTTCTTTCTCCTTCCCTACTTCTTATGCCCTGTATTTGTAATTATCTTTACAAGAGAGATCATCAATTTACAAAAAAATGGCATTAAATCTGTAAAGTTGCTGAAAAGTTGTATAGAAGATTAGAGGTTCATGTAAGAGTTGAGAGAGAGAGAAAGAGAGAGACCTCATACCCCCAATATATTAAATTGACTTATCTCTACAGTAGGACAACTAGCTCCTAAGCTTCTTGAGGTGAGGCTGCAAGGAATGTGGCTCACATATCTGCCCTGCCCACCTCCCAAGAGGAGTCTCGCAGGGCTCCTCGAATAAATAAGTAAACACCTTTCCTTGCTTCTATGACTTAAAACCAAACTAAGAAGAGGATGGGCTCAAAGTGTAATTTTCTTAAACTCCTGGCGGGCTTTGAAATGAGGTTGCTCTTTAATCTTCACAATGACCTATTGATGTAGTCATCATTATTTCCACTTTACAGACAAGGAAAAGAAAATTGAGGATCAGAGAGTAAAGTGACTTGCCCAGGGTAGTGACTGTCCATTGTAAGTAGCAGAATCAGATTCAGATCCAGATCTTGCTGGGTCTACAATCCCATGTAGATGCCAAACGCGCATTATTTCACAATAACTAATTTCTCCCCACCTTGGTGAGTGCTGAAATCGTAATTTAAATCACTGACTGGCCCTGGCTTCTCACCACACACACACACACACACACACACACACACACACAGTCATTTTTTACATGGGTAAATGGACTCAAAATGTCTTCTAAGTTAACTAATCAGTAATGCCCTTTGCAGTCTAAAGTTACACAAGGGGACAAAATCATTTCTCTAGATCCTTGGCTTTGAATGAGCTATGTGACACTGAGTAGTTTATTTGGGATGTGTGACCCCAGGAGGACTGAGTAGAAGCCCGTAGCAGGATGAGATAGGTGCTTTTCTTAGTCCCTCTAGGATATATGAGTCTCAGAGAGAGGGAGGCAGGAACTAGGTGAGTTTTCCTGACCTTTTCCCCCTGCCTAAAGATGATGTCCCAGAGGCTGTGCAGACATAATGGCAGGATGCCCCAAAGGTTACCCCATGTGTATTAAATGGTCAGCAAGTGTGGAAAAAGGTGGGGTGCACCCAGGGGTCTGACACCATCACTGATGTTAATTATGAGTTCCCAAGGGCGGCATGCTAGTAGCCATTACCTGTAACTTTCAGTTGCAGAGCCTCAGCTCTCTCTGTTCCAGTGAATGAGCCATCAGAGAAGCTGGCTAGCTGGCCAATTTCTCAGATACAATTACTTTTTTATGATGAGGTTCAAGGAAGCTCAGGGCATCACGAGGACTTCCCAGACCCACACATCACACTCAGCCCTTTTATCCAGCTTCCATTTGTAAAAGGACACGTTGGCCTGGGTGGCCATTTCCTATCCCCGAGCCAAGCCGTGGGTCAGCAGCCACTATGCCTTCCTTTCATACTGCAGGTGACCTCCCAAAGTCCTGGGTCACAGCTGACTAAATGAACTGGATAATTAAAAGAGGGGATGAGCCATGCCGTGAGGTTTTGTCTGCCTCATCAAGAACACCATGCCCTTTTTATCAACCTACTTGGTTTTTTGTTTTTATTTTTCCCCCTTTGAAAAATGATTAGCCTTGAGAAACTTCTTAACCATGGCACCATCCACCATTAGCTGCCAAGGCCAGAGTATTTAAAAAGTTTCCAACTGCCCGCACTTAGAAAGTTGAACTAATAAAAACTGGTATGGCGGGGGTGGGGGAACCATAGCCTTTTCACGCCATAAGCCATAGTATCAAGTTTTCTTCCAAATCTGAAGATTTTTTTATCACTTCGAAGTATTGTTTAGAAATATGTTTATCTGGTGGGGGTGAGGATGAGATGAGGGTGGATCATTTTTTGTTATTAGAATTTCAGTACAATTACCAAGAATCATATGATTAACTTTATATATATATATACACACACACACGTGCGCGCGTGTGGATATATATATAGACACTGTATTATATATAGAGATAGAGATAGAACTTCATAAAAATTTAACCCCCTAAGTTCCATCACAGCTTTCCCTTTCTCCCAAGAGTAAATTTCCACAATCAAGGATACTAACTTGGGCCCGGAGGACAGTTACCTCCTTCTTCATCATATCGTGTTTCATAAGCATCAATAAATAGGAGCTCACAGATATGTGTGGAAGAGTTACATAAACACGGCTAGTACATTAGTACATCAGCAGTTCAATAAAGGTACCATTATAGAAAAAAAATAGTAAGGAAAATGCATCAAAATCCAGCCTTAAAGGACCAATAAGAAGCTCAAAGCCTGAGTCCCAGAGAATAGAATCAGACAAAGACTAGTTTCCATTTTTTCTATGCCTGTAATAGCTAGTGTTTATGCCAAATACAAATCCCAAATACTTCTGTCGAACTCCCTCTCACCCAAGTCAATGCATCTGCACACCATATGGGAATGACCTCCCATTCCCCTTAGCATCCTCCATATATATCTGCGGAAAGGAGGGACAGAGGACGAAGGTCCAGGGCTGCTGCTTCTGTGGAGCATGCTTTGATCAGCATCCCCCACTTTGTAGCGTGGTACCAAAGAGCTTGTGCATTATACACTCGTCCTGGTTTACCACTCACCAGCTCTGGGCCAATTACTTAGCTTCCCTGTGACTCAGTTTTTCCTTCTTTAAAATGGAGACATTAATACTAGCATATATCTTATACGGAGTGTTGTGTAAAATCAAATGAATTGATGTATATCTATAAAACCCTTGGAACAGTGCCTCATAAATTCTAAGTACTAAATACGTGACATTTTAGATTATTATGATTTGGTTGAAAGAGTGACTCATGCTTCCAATCCTGAGAAGTTGCATGTCAGTAACAGAAAGAACTAAAGCTGATGTCAGCTCCCAGGGCTGAAATCAACATTCCAGCCTGTCACAGTGTGTGTGTGTGTGTGTGTGTGTGTGTGTGTGTGTGTGTGTGTGTGTGCACGCGCATCTGTGTACAATGGTATGGACGCATATTAAGCCAAATTCAGTATATGTGTGGGTGTGGCATTATGGGTGATTTCTACCTTTATTTCTTAAAATTTTCCATGGTATTATCAGATTAGATTCATAACAATTAGAAATACAAAATCAATTCTCTCCCCATCTTCTCTTAAAAGCAGCTTCAGTCTGGTGAGGTGAGAGCCTTGATAACTTCCCTAATCCCCTAAATAGGATTCGACTTCTCATCCATAATTGGAGGAAAGGATCTGAAGTTTGGGGTAAAATGAAGTAGGACCCCCTCTAACAATCAACGAAGCCTCACCAAAAGAATGACATAGAAAGTAACAAAACACCCTTCACTCTCTGAGTAGGTGGGGAACCCACAAACTTCACCGGGAAGAGCAGAATACTTCAACGAGGAGTCATAGCACATCAAATGGCAGAAATGTATCATGTAAGCAGAGCAAAAAATTAAAGATGACTCCATATTTTAAGGAATCGTATTTGTACTAAGATTAAAATGAACTTTCTGGGTGTTCTTGTCATCTGAAGCATGCATATAAATGACAAGACTGCACATAATAAACAGTAATGGTAATGGGGGGAAAGAGTGCTGGGAGCCGGAATATTTCATCTTTCGGATTTCAATTCTTCATCCATCCACTGAGACCAAAGAACACATAGGTTATGAGACTTGCCTTAGCTATCCCTACAGTTAGAGCCAAAGACCTCCATGAAGTACTTGGTAGAGATCTACAGATGGTACCAAATGTTCCATAGGGCTAGGATTAAATGCCAAAGTCTACATGTTGTCACCTAGCAAATGGCTCATTATTCTAATGTCTAGAAAGTACATCTGGTCAATTATAAGCTTTGATGGCTTTACAGCTGTTTTGGAGAGGGTCAAAGAAAAGCAACATAGTACATTGGAAAGAATACTAGTTTAATAACAATAAAAATAATAATGGTGTAATCTAGTTCAACCATTGTGGAAGTCAGTGTGGCAATTCCTCAGGGATCTAGAACTAGAAATACCATTTGACCCAGCAATCTCATTACTGGGTATATACCCAAAGGATTATAAATCATGCTGCTATAAAGACACATGCACACATAATGTTTATTGTGGCACTATTCACAATAGCAAAGACTTGCAACCAACCCAAATGTCCATCAATGACAGACTGGATTAAGAAAATGTGGCACATATACACCATGGAATACTATGCAGCCATAAAAAATGATGAGTTCATGTCCTTTGTGGGGACATGGATGAAGCTGGAAACCATCATTCTCAGCAAACTATCGCCAAGGACAAAAAAACCAAACACCTCATGTTCTCACTCATAGGTGGGAATTGAACAATGAGAACACATGGACACAAGAAGGGGAACATCACACACCGGGGCCTGTTGAGGGGTGGGGGGACCGGGGAGGGACAGCATTTGGAGATATACCTAATGTTAAATGAGGAGTTACTGGGTGTAACACACCAACATGGCAAATGTATACATATGTAACTAACCTGCACGTTGTGCACATGTACCCTAAAACTTAAAGTATAATAAAAAAAATAATAATAATAATGGTGGATGCATTTATTAAGAGCTTGCAATGCTCAGGGGACTGGATTTTACCTGCCTTGTGATCTAATGCTCACAACAGCCACTGAGGTAGGTACTGTTTTTATATCTCCATTTATACCCCAGGAAATGAAGGGCAAAGAGGTTAAGCTGCCTGCCCAGAATATTCGGTTAGAAAGTGGAGAAGTCAAGTTCAAACCTGGGCAATCTGAGACCAAAAACATGGCTTTTAACAAACAATGTTCCCATTTCTCCAGCCCATCACACTTTCAAAGACCTTCCCATGCATTGCCTCATCTGAGCCTTACAATGATATCTGTCTATCCACCTGTGCACAACACATTGAATTCCTATCTCTGTTTTAAAGATGAAGAAACTGGGGTTCAGAGAGATTACATAACTTGTTTGATGAAATGCTACTTACAAGAAGGCCCAACTCATTTTTGACCATAAACTGTCCTCCTAGAAACCGCCCCACCAAGCTTCCCATTATGCACCATCATCTCCACATCACTTCACATCTCCAGACCTGAACGTCCTCATCTGCCAAATGAGGAAGTAGAAAGTTCTAACATTTGGTGCTTCTATAAAAAGAAATTAACCCATGCCACAAGCTGCTGAAGACCCGTCAGCAGCCACTCACCACCCACAAGATACCCAGGCTCCTTAGTACAGAGTACCAGCCCCACCCTCCACTCCAGGCTGATCTCACTCTGTTCCAGCCATGCTGAGCCATATGGTCTGCACTGTCCCCTCATCCTAGAGTGCTCTCACCACTCTGTGCCCAGCAAAACCTGCTGAGATTCTCCCACCCGCTTCCTGCAGGAAATGTTTCTTGTTCCTTCCAGATAGAACTGACCTCTTCCTCATCAATGGCTCCTTCATCACACTGCAACTTTACAGCACTTCTTTACTGATATGTCTTTCTCTTTCTACTGAACTGTTGGCTTGGCTCTAGGTGCCATGTCTATCTTTAGTACCTAGCACAGTGCCAGGCACACAGTGCTTCTTTGATAAATGTTTGTTGAATGAGTAAAAAAAAAAAATGTAGTCTGAAGAAGTGTTTAAAACAGTATTAATCTGAGCAGCAAAGTTATATCTAACACTCAAAACACAATCTGCTGGTTCGTCCAAAAGCATTAGAAACTGAC
Source organism: Homo sapiens (assembly GCF_000001405.40). Taxonomy (NCBI): domain Eukaryota; kingdom Metazoa; phylum Chordata; class Mammalia; order Primates; family Hominidae; genus Homo; species Homo sapiens. The sequence goes on from NC_000004.12 coordinate 24,131,317, forward strand.
TTCACTAATTCTATCACCACTCTACCGTTACAACTTTAATCAATCAACAAAAGATAAATGAGTGTCTAGAAAGGGCCAGCATCATTTTGAGAATGTCTGTTGCACCAGTAAGTAAGATATGATCCTTGTCCTGGTAGAACTCATATGTTTGCCAGTGCCCATCAGTAACTACACGGCAAGATGGCACATACTGTAAGAAACTTTATACAGGACCACAAAAAAGGAAGATTAAGCATTCTTCTAAATATTTCTCCAACTAATCAGATTGGACAAATGGAAAGAAACCACTTACTTTGATTCTGTATGTTTTCCCTTCTGCAATTTATGTAATTAGCCAAACAAAATCAAACCACATTATCTAAAACATGACAGTTTAAAATATAAACAAAAATGTGAGGTATTCTAAAGGTAACCTTGGTTCTCTTCTTTTAAAAAGGAGCTTAGTAAGCCAATTAATGTTGAAAATGAGATCAGAAAGGAAGCTGACTCTTTTAAGCACTTTAGAAGGAACCATTTTTCGTCCAAACATACCTCTCATGACGTAAGCAGAGGTCAGCAGCTCTGATATGTGAATTACAAATCATTCCACCAGATTGTTAAGGCAAAACTCTCTAGATGGCATGGCACAATGCTTATGCACACTTGAAAATAATGAACCCATATTTATGTTAAAACATGGCCTAGTGCAGGCTTTGTGCCAATTCACACTGGCCATCCTCTGAATTGGCCGCGGGCATTTCCTGAGTGCGAGGAAGACATTTTGCACACATTCTCTTACTGAATCCTTTCAACAACCCCGTGAGGGTGGTGGTGCTGTTATTATCCCTGTTTTGAAATAGAGGAGATTGAGGCAGAGACATGAAACCTTAGATGTTACACTGTTGCAAGTCATGGAGCCAAATTTATTCCCTATTCTTTATAAGGCCACATCTTCCAGTCCTCAATCTGCCAGAGTACCTTTATGAGGCTTTCTATATCAGAAAAAAAAAAAGTCCATTATCAAAATCAATTATCAACCCTCTTTCTGTTTTGTGAAGAAAGCGATAACTGCTGTAAAGTTCATTTTGAAGGCTGCCTAGAGTCCCGGTGACTTTGCTGGGACAATGAATAGTGTCTCCCTCTAAGTAGTTAAACAGTGCAGAACTCTCGAGTAATACAGCAGCTGCTAACAACACTGTCACCATCACATTGTTTAGTCAGCGATTGTACCTCAATGACTTTCTTCTCTTGATATGTGCTTAGGTTACCAAGAGAAATCTGAGAGCCCACTAATGCAAAATATATCTAATGCAAAATGTTTTTCCTCTACCCTCTGCTCTCCCAAAACTGACCTTTGCATTGGGGTCTTGAAGATAAACCTTCCTGCGATTTAAAGATTGATTCAAAACCTGGTGTAGGGGGTTTCCCAGGTATTCATGTATTAACATTTGCTGCTCAGATTTTTTTTTTCAGACAAACAACATCCTTTCAAAGGGTTCCTCTGGCACCTTCTTCACTTGACCTACCCAATTTAGAACAGTCCCTAGTGCTGTCTTGGTGGTGGCATTGCTCTGTGATAGCTAATACACATGCATACATTACTGCTGACATTTAAAAACATTCCTAACAGTTTGTGTGGGTACATGGTAAACAGATGCTATGGGATTTTTACCCATTATCAGTCATCTCTGAAGACTGCAGTCAAGTGACAGGTTTTTGAGACTTTTTGGTCTAAAAGCAAGAGATTTATTTTTAATAGAATATTGATATTATGGTACAAAATGGTATTTGGTGTTTATTTCTTTTCCCCTTCTAGCAAGGCAGTTCAGCTTGGTGGGTTTTGAGGCCCTAGCACCCTTTATTCTATCTGTTATTCTGGTGGTTTCCCCCCTGGGGGGTGGTGGTGGGGGGGAAGTTGCAGACTTTTATGAACTGTCTGATTAAAGTGCCTCCATCTGAATGCAGATTTAAAGTTCCAACACCTGAGAGCTCAAAACCAATGAATATTTATGCCAAAAACCAGCAGATGAATACACTCTAAATCTTCAAATGCAAGTCTAGTCATGGGTTTTATCTTATTTTAGGACTTACTTTTTATTAAAATGAACTCTTGCATATTTACACTACAGAAATAAACGTTATTTGCAAGCACAATACAGTAGAGTCCTTACAAATGCACTGCCTCTGGGAAAAGCAACTTGGCTCCTCAAGCAGATTTTGTTTCGTTATCACGTCTTCGTTGAAGAGAAGTTTCATTGCATATGATTGGCATAATTCGGGGCCCAGAAAATACAACCATTTGGGGAGATTATTCATTTAGTGGCCAAGATAATTGTACGTCCCTCCCTAGATGGGGATTTTTGTTGATTTAACAATTTTCCTCCTTTCATTGGAAACTTCTTTCAGGACCGCTTTTCTAGAAGGTAGAGATTGGTATAGGCAAGCACAAGGGGACATTATTCAGCAACAGGTTTATTTGCCTTCTCTGTAGGGTGGCTTAACCCATTTTGGTTCTGTAGTTAATGTCCCAGTTAATATTTGCTAGGTGCTCCTTCTACTAGAATAAGGAGCAAACTTGAGGTTTACCCTTAAATCCTAAACTGTCCCTTCAGAATACAATCATAGCAAAAGAACACTGGCCCTCATAACAATTAGCTCTAAGAAGTGGTTGAGGTTACACAGTCAGGCCAAAGACAAGGGTAACCAGACCAGAGGCTCCTAACCTAGCTCATTCAACAACACAGGTGAAAGCAAATATTGTTACCGGCTAACATCACAATGAGCAAATGACTCCCAAACACATAAAAGGTGATTCTTTCAAAGACAGAGAAATGTCCCATCTTAGACCATTCCTTCCGATACCTTTGCACCATTTTGCTTTTCATTAAATTGCAATAAACCCCATATCAAAAGCCAAGTGGAGTTATCAGAATTAAGGGAAATACAAATTTTGATTGATCCCACTATGCATCTTGAGACTTCCCTGCCCTCACGTTACTGAGGACTTAGAATATGCAAATTTACCATCATGTTCCTAAACTTATTCCTTCTTTTTCATAAAGTAAGCTTAGAGATAAATGTTTACAAATCAACCCAGTCATCATTTCTTCATTTTAATGCTTAAACGCTTCATTTTGATTGCTGCCTTTTTGACATTTCACCAAGGAAATATGTTTGCGTGTTCGCAATGCCATTGAATCAGCAATTAGATCTCCATATTCCAGATGTCATGAGAGTTTTCAATGCATCTCCCAATAAAATTTATTTCTGAACTTTGGGAAGGAAAATCACAAATGTACTTTGTATAAATTAAACACATTATCCTTATTTTTCTAATTGCTAAATTTAACACAGGGAGGGCTTCTGAATTTATTAATTCAAAATTTTCACATCATTCTACATAATATTTTTCTTGCAATGAATATAATTTTGAGTTATTTATAGGAATGACTTATGCATTTTGGTTCACTTTTTTTCCAGTGGAACAGGAAACATGAAGTTGAATTTTTGCTCTTAAGAGCATGCTACACTTGCCATCCTTACAAGTCTCTCTTGAGCCTTGGCACCTGGCTGGCACAGGAAATTTGTTGTCAAAAGTGGACAAAGAAAAATGTAATTCTGGTCTCATCTGTGCCTTCATTAAGACTTTTGGAGCTACTTAATTCCCTTCCTGCACACCTTGCACTGCTTTGATTCTCCACCTGCTCACAGGGCTAGCTCGGAAGTACTGCTCCTGTGGCCCCTTCGCTACCATGTGTCACTCCAGAGCAATCCAGTGCCAACCTTTTCCTCTTTTACCTCCTTGGTGAACTAAATATACAGCTTCCTAGGTCTTTGCAATAGACTCTAATTGACTCTATTAAAACTACAATAAACCAAAATGGCTATCCTATGTGCAATTTGGCACCACCAATATTTAAATGGGAATGCAGAGGTGTCTCTGTGAGGAGCCATCCTGAGTGGCTTCAGGCATAGTTGTAGGAGGGGAGAAAATAAAATGCTCTCCAAGATTTTGTTTACCTGAATTGGAAATGCACACCAAATCCTCATCTCCATTAAGTTAGGAACATGGCTGAGTAAACAGTAATCCTTCCCAGTGGCCCTCCTTGCAGGCCACACCCATCACCACGGAGAGCCCTGGCAGGCCCCTGAGGTTCCCTTCCCTCCATTACTCCTGTGACAACTCTTTGGCATTTTCTCCTCTCGTAAGAAAATGACACAACTCAGTGCTCCTTGTGATGGAAGGATTTTGCTTGGTATTTACCCAGTTCTAAAGGGTAACACTAGTAGAGTTTGACTCCCTGTTCTCCTCCCATCTGCAAAATGTTTGCAGATGCCTCCTTCTAGCCCAGCCCACCTCCTGAAAGACGCTCCTGAGCAAAAACTCATCTGTTAGTAATAGAACTGAAAAATGTCTCATTCCGGCTAGAAGTGGTACAAGAGCTGCTACTGCTCCAGCAAATTTATTTTGCCTTTCAAGGGTTTAATTGCACACAACATGGTGCAGTTTTGATTAATCCTTCAGAATTTAATATATACTCTGGGGGGGTCAATATGTTGCTTCTTCATGCATCGCTATCATGGGAGTAACCGGAATGCGTTTAAACACCACAGGAGGTACACTTCTCAAACTTACCTGGCCCTGCCAAGGGTAAAAAGTGCTCATTAATGACTCGATCCAGGAGGGGAGAGAGCAGAGGGGGTACGCTTCCTCCCTGACGCTATTTCTGCTTTGCTTGGCAGGCACGGTTCCCTTGGGGAGGTCCCAGGTGAGGCACACACTGGAATCTTCCAGGCTTATGCCCTGATCATTTTAATGAGAGAGCAGTGTTGAAATATTGGCACCTCGCATCCAGCCAACATATGGAGAAGCTGTACAGGCACTTAATTGAACTGTTTTAAGATTATGAAGGGTATAGTCAACTGGGTCAATGAGGGTTTATTCTGTGAACTTGGGCTATAAAGAGATCATTCAAAGGTAATAAGTCCATTTGCCATTTACACAAAGAATAATCTGTTAAATTCTACAATCCATGTCCCACAGTTGGATTTCTGAGGAGCATGGAAAGACGTAGAGTTACAGTGTATCACTAAACTTGTAAACACGCAAAGTAAGATCTTGAGGCTGGAGTGTTAAGATAGGCAAGCTCTAAGTTACTCAACCCTCTCCGAAAGTCACGATCAGAGGTGAAGAGCCACAAGAATAGCGCTTGGAAATGCCGCAATTGGGAAGTCATCTACCAAACATCCTCAGGAGAGGGGTCGCCTTCAGCAGAAGCACAGCAACAAAACAGAGCACGAAATGTGGAGTCAGAGAAGAGCTCACATCTTGGCTCTCCCTCGCTCTGTGGAATGTTAAACAGCCTTTCCCAGCCTGTTTCCTCACCTGAAAATTGTAATATTAGACCTGTCTCAGGAGGGCTGTCATGAACTGAACTGTGTCCCCTGAAATCCATATGTTGAAGTCCTGACTCCCACTACTCAGCATGTGACTGTATTTGGAGATAGGGCCTTTAAAAAGTAATTAAGGTAAAATGGACCTGGGGTCAGTGGCTCACGCCTGTAATCCCAGCACTTTGGGAGGCTGAGGTAGGTGGATCACGAGGTCAGGAGTTTGAAACCAGCCTGATCAACATGGTGAAACCCCGTCTCTACTAAAAATACAAAAATTAGCCAGGTGTGGTGGCATGTGCCTAAAATCCCAGCTACTCAGGAGGCTAAGGCAGGAGAATCGCTTAAACCTGGGAGGTGGAGGTTGCAGTGAGCCGAGATGGCACCACTGCACTCCAGCCCGGGTGACACAGCGAGACTCTGTCTCAAAAAAAAAAAAAAAAAAAGTAATTAAGATAAAATGAAGACATATGGGTAGGCTCTAATGTCATATGCCTGGTGTCCTTATAAGGAGAGATTAGGACACAGACACACAGAAGGATGGCCATGGGAAGACACAGGGAGAAGACGGCCATCTACGAACCAAGGAGAAGGACCTCAGAGGAAAACAACCCTGCCAACACCTTGATCTTGGACCTCCAGTCCCCAGAACTGGGGTTACATAAATTTCTGTTGCTTAAGCCACCCAGTCCCTGGTACTTTGTTATGGTAGCCCGAGCAAACTAAGACAGGGCATTAGGAATCTCCAGTGCAATCAGATACGATAGATACTCAGCACAGCACAGTCCCTCAAGGAATGCTAGTTCCCATTCCACTCTCCCCAACCCCATTTTACAGATGCATAAAGAGAAACAGATCCACAAGATGAATTGCCTAAACAGGATACAGTAAGTGAGAAAAAGAGAAAGTCACCTTCCAAAATTCAGAGGCCCTTGCCCAGTCTACTGGTCCATACTGCCCCCCACAAGAAATGGCAGCACAGTGGGCATAGAGAATCGCTTCAAACAAAAGGCTAGATGACATTCCTGGCTTCTGGCCATGGGAAGATTCATATCTCAATGTAACTTCAATGTTCCTAAGCCACCGACAAGGGGTCAGTGGCAGATCATTGCGTACAAGCAAACAGCTTTTTCAAAATCCTTTCCCTGAAATGCTATCCAAACAATCAAACAAGAGCTAACCCGTTTCCCCCCTCAAACACAGGTAAAACGACTTGATAATTCTATGATGACAACAAGCCCAGTTATCAAGCACCACCCTCATCTAACATGATCATAAAAACCTTTCTCAGTCAGATTTATGGATTGTCATGCGAGCCCCTGAAGAGCTCCTTGCCAGAGGGAAAACCAGGACACCAGAAGGCCAGGTCACGTGAGCATAGAGCCCAAAGTTCAGAGCATATAACTGCCCACACCCCTGGTCTGTGTGCTCACCAGATTAAACCAGCTACAAGATGTCTAAAAGTTAGAACAACAAACACACTGCCAGGTTTGCAGTTAACCTGTAGTCCGACAGGGCCACCTGGTCATGCATCCCCCCTTTTAATTCCCCCTGAAGGTCAGAGAACTCACCCACAACCTGAGAGCATATCCACCCACAGCCTGTTCCAAGTCAGTTTCTCTAGTTAAGTCAGGTCTCTCTCAACCTCCAATTCTTGGCAGTTTTAAGAGCCAGAACCAAAGGGACAATTGGACACAGTCCAATTGCAGTGAAATTAGAAGCTGCCTTAGATACACCAGGGTATACAGAACAAGCACTTGTTTACTCAACATATAAGTTAAGGTCAACAAGGGAAGGTATGCTTCCTGTTCACAAATCCTTGAGGGCTGTTTGTTTTGGGGCCTCTGGCTGTTCCTGGTGAAACCCCAGAATTAAGTGCCTGGGAGCAACCAGCCTGATCACATGAAATGCACTTTCTTTTGCAAATCACTGAAGTCTTAGCAAGCCTAACAGGATTTAGTCCCTGCTTGTTCTTGTTAAGCAAGAGAGGAGAACTGTCTGTCTCTCCTTCTCTTCTCACAATGGCAAAGGCCTTTGGTGATTAAAATGGTCAGCTCTCCCTGTAGCCTACAGACTCAGTTCAACTAAAAACATCAGCAGAAATCCATGGGAATGTAAAGATCCTAGTGTGTGCATATGAATACATTTCACCCTGTCTGAAAACACACAGAGACTGTCTATTAAACTAGAGTATTGATTTTGAGACTTGCTCCTTTAACCTACAAGACACTCTGCGGCCTCTCCCAGCATGTCCTTTAACTTCTTATGTTTTGGGCGAGATAGTGTGATCCACCAAGGGAAGCTTGTTTCCATTAGCAGTATCTCCTTGAAAACTCTGTGGAGTTCTTCAGTGCAGTTTTTCTTCCTTTGAATCAATGGTGGATGCAAAGTGTGTTAAACTATTTCAACCAGAAGCAAGTTACTAAGTTGCTTTTCTCCACTATCAGAAACTTTTTTTTTTTTTTGAGACAGAGTCTCACTCTGTCACCCAGGCTGGAGTGCAGTGGTGCGATCTCATCTCACTGCAAGCTCCGCCTCCTGGGTTCACGCCATTCTTCTGCCTCAGCCTCCCAAGTAGCTGGGACTACAGGCACCTGCCACACGCCCGGCTAATTTTTTAGTGTTTTTAGTAGAGACGGGGTTTCACCATGTTAGCCAGGATGGTCTCAATCTCCTGACCTTGTGATCCGCCCGCCTTGGCCTAGAAACTTCTTAATGACACATTTCCAGACAATTTTTGCTGAATAGCTGTTTCTTTAAAAATCAACTGACTTAAAATCACTGTAAATGTAAAATACTCAGAATGTTTGAGTAAAAAACATTTTTTACAGACAATACGTGAAGAGAAAAACAGAGTTTTGCTATTAATTGATGCCATATCATCCAAATGATCCCATGTAGTGAGAAATCCGCAGAATCTCAACATGAAGATCATTATCCCCGGACTTATTTCCCATCCTCCTGGCTCTGAGGACACCCAAGGATTCTTGACTGTGCATGTTAGCATCCTGTGCGTGCCCTTGTATGAGGGTACACTTACTTCCTTCGCACATATTAATAAGCATTTGAGCACAAGCATCAGGCAGACTGCACGCTCAGTGACTCACAAGGGAAGTGCTCATTTGTGAGCTTAAATGCTGGAACTGAGTGCACCAAAAAGGAGGTCTGTAAAGCTCTAGTCCATTACGGCTCAATTATCCACGGGATTAAACCTAAAAGGCAACATCTCTGAAAGAAGTTCGTCTGAAAACCCAACTGAAAGCCTTTCCAAAAAACAAACAAACAAATGAAAACAGGTTTGCTCCTTCCCTGTGACAAATGGAAAAGTGCTGGGGTCTCTCCAGGTACCATGCCCACCATCAGCCCTACCATTCCAGAGGTCATGGGGAGAGAGGGTTGCTCGGTCGAGAGCCAAAACCCGCCTTTGATGTCTGCTTGCCATCTATCTGTGTGAAACGCTAGGCCACAAGGGCATGGGTGGGTAAGAGAATGCATTTGGCCTCAGCACCACAGCCAAGGGTAAACACAAGGTGGGGTGGAGGGCCAGGACTGGAAATAAATCCATCTTCGAATGCAAAAAACACAGGCAGAGATAAAGGTGGGGACAGATAAAGATAAACTTGAGTTATATTCAGGAAAGCATTCGTCTTGGGTCACCTATCTGATCACAGGCTCTGTAATCACATTGCTTTAAGACAGGAACAAGGAATTTCTTTTGTTCACAACAATGCCAAGGATCTGTGATTTTGTGACCGGGTCATTGGACAATGCTACATTGAAAACTTTCTGAAAATAGCACTCTCTTCAAAGGTACCTGTCGCCAGAAGAGGATGATGATAATACACTCTGCCCTCAACTTAGACACCATTCTTGGCTCTAGAAATTCCTAAAAGGAATGCCAGGACTTGTGTGCAAGGAAAGCTGAATTATATGACAGTGGCCTAAAAATAGAATTCTGCTGACAAAAGGGAGACAAAGAAAGGTGAATCTCTTTCTTTGTGCTCACATAACTGAGAGAAACATGACTCAGGAGGATTTGTTCAAACCCCTAGTTCCTCATGAACATGCTTATCCTCAGAAGATTCATTCAAACCCCCAGCTCCTGATGAATGTGCTTATCCTCAGAAACAATCGAGAGACACTTGCCCTTTCAGACTAGAAGGAGACATTTCCCCCATCCCAATCAGCTCCTCCCCAAAAGAGAACAAAGATGGAGACAGTCCCATCCAAAAATGAGGATGCCAAGAGTGCTCTTGGCAATGCAGACATATCTGTTTTCCATTCTCTAAACCGTCTCAAATAGTTCTCCAGATAACAAAGGGACTAACAGAAGTTAGGAAACTCTAGGGAGTGCTAATCACCAAACACAGGCTTCGAACAGCCATAAGTGCACTGGAAGATGCTGAGTCAGGATCCCTAGAGCTGTGAGTTAGGGAGAGAAGTAGGGAGGAAACAAAAGCAGAAAAAAATCCCTTGCTCCAGAGGAACTTCAATATAACTAAGACAAAATGATGCCTTCTATGGCTCATGAGATGGCAGGTGCATTGAAGAGTCACAGAGAACAAGGCCTTGGCCAAGCGGCCTCAGGTTTCACATGACCAGTCCCCTGCCTACGCAGAGTTTGCCCACCCCTTAGGGAACTCACTGCTAGTAGCAGCTACACAGTGGACACAGGTGGAGGTTGTGAAGTGTCTTCACCATCATCAGCGTTGACTCTATGCTTAAAATTTGCTGGGCTTATAGAGTATAATACCAGATCTGGGGTTTATTAACCAGCTCTGCCAAGGTATGCACATCTCAGACTAATGAGTAGGGACTACAAACAAAGTGGCTAGAGGTGGAGAACATGCCATTCAAGGAATTGCTTATCAAGCAAAAGCAGGAAGGCCCTAGGGAAAATGGTGCATGCTTCCCCCCTTCCAATGCCACAGCTATCTCACTACAAGCTGTCATCTCGAAATGACCATCGAGGCATCGAAAATTCAAAGAGAGGAGCTGGTGAAGGAATGTTGCTTGTTTTTATAGCATATCTTGCTTGCTTGGAGGCAAAATCTGTTGCTGCATTTGGACTCTGGAGAGAGCAAGCTGCATCTCTCCCTTCAGGATCTAAAGATGTGACCGTCTGAAGCAAAGAAAGAAACACTCAGTTCCCTTCCATGAAAATAAAAATCTCTGCAGGTTGATAGGTTCTAAGAACAACTACCAGGAAAAGGAGCCACGTTTCTAATCAGGGCACAAAGTCAGCTACCAAATAGTGACTCAAAAACCGTGGCATCCAGCTAAAAATGATCACCCATAAAACTAATTTATGAACCTTTCGTGAGGCACTCAAAGAACTATTTAGCTTTCATAATATTATTCTAAGAGAGTCAGCATGTAGTGCCACATACATGGAACAAATTAAATCACCATGGCCCACACAGTCCAAGCACCTCACATCATAGTGTTGAGGCATAATTCCTTCCACAAACATTTATTGACACCAGCCTCCATAGAGTGTTTGAAGCACTGGAGTTGCAGGGAAGAAGAAAAGAAGGCAAAATTCCCTGCTCTTGAGGTACTTACATTTTAGGAAGTAGAGATGAAACGCTAATAAATAAGCAAAATGTATATTACATCAGAGGGTGATAAGAACTGTGGAGAAAAACAAGGTGGTGAAAGGAGAAATAAGAGTGCTGGGATTGGACTTTAAAAATGGGGAGGGGGCTGGGTGCGGTGGCTCATGCCTATAATCCCAGCACTTTGGAAGGCTGAGGCAGGCGGATCGCTTTGAGCTCAGGAGTTTGAGACTAGCATGGGCAACATGGTGAAACCCTGTCTCCACTAAAAATACAAAAATGAGTCAGGTGTCATGGCGGGTGCCTGTTATCCCAGCTACTTGGGTGGCTGAGGCAGGAGGATAGCTTGAACCCAGGAGGTGGAGGTTGTAGTGAGCAGAGATCACACCACTGCACTGCAGCCTGGGTGACAGAGTGAGGCTCCATCTCAAAAAATAAAAAATAAATAAAAATGGGGAGGGGGTGGTCAGGGAAGATCTCACAGAGATGATAGTTTAACAAGACCTCAAGGAGATTAGGTTCATGTGGGTCACTAGAAGAAGAGCTTTCCAGAGAGATGGAGTAGGATGAGCCAAAGCACTGAGGCCAGAGTTCTAAGTTTTAGAATTATAGGTGTAGGGAAAGCAAAAGAGATTAAAACCTCTATTTTAGGCCCTGAGCCTGGCGCATAGCTGAGGCTGGATGCTCAAAAACCAGTAAGGAAGCCACTGTGATTATTATAAAATAATAGTGTGCTTAGTAACAGAAACAGAGGAGCAAAATATGTTATTATTACGTGGGGAACAAAGCAAGTAAGGACATTATCAGCATGCAGTGAAACTATACCAATTGAAAAACATGCATACATGTATCTTTCAAAAATAGAATACATACCAAAAATGTTAACAGCAGTTATTTGGGGTAAAGGAGAATTATGAAGATTAGGAGTGATGTTTACTCTCTTGTTTTTCATTTCTTTAATTGTTCATTCAGTAAACATTTATGGAGAGTCTGCTGTGCCCCAGGCACTGGGGATGTCATGGTGTAGGGACAGACAGCCTCTCTCTCCTAACCTGACCTTCCAATAGGGGAGGGGGCAATATAAACTTCAAGAAATAGGTGAACACCACTGCACGCTGTAACATGTGCTGTGAGGAATCAAGCAATAGCTGAAATCGAGAAGAGCCAGTTTAGGAGACAATGGTAAGGGAAGGTCTCCCTGAGGAGATGACTTGGGGTGAACCCAAAAGGATCAAAAAGAGAAGAGCTGATCAAGCAAGAATAGCAAGAAGAGCTTCTGAATTGGAAAAGTATACGACGATATGAATATAAATAGCTTTTGTAACAAAAAATAGCCCACATATTAGACAGATAGATGGATGGATAGAAAGATGATAGATAGATAGATAGATGATAGATGATAGATAGACAAATGTGTAGTCTTAATTACATGACTGTGCTAACTATTTTGATCACTTTTTTATTAAATAAGCATTTATCGGACATATATGCAAAAAACTGAGCTAGGAATAAAGTTATAAATAACACAGACATGGCCCCTGTTGTCAGGAAGGCTTAAGTCAAATCAGAGGCAAAACCAGGATCTCAGAACCGCCACTTGGCATTACAGCAAATTGGGGACAAGCCAGTGACGAATTTCAGGAACCTGGCAGTCTTACTCCAAGTTTGCTTCAAGCTTGAAGCAAAAATAGCAGCAAAACTGGTTTTCTTTAGCATGCTTTTGACTGAACAACAAGTACATGTGCTTTTCACTTATTCACTCATTCATTCAACCAGCCCCTACTGGCCACATGCTCTGCATTGCCACAGTGCTAAGAGGTAAAGGGATGACGAAGGAAGAATGATTTCCCTGTAGGGGCTTATGGCCTATTTGCCAGGATATGCAGGTAAACAATTGCAATATAGAGAGCATCCCAAAAAAGTGTCTTCACGGTTTAGTCCTGTGATGATTAACATGTATTTTAGCAAATAGAATGGACAGATGGTAACTGTTTTGATTACCTTAAAATTATAAATGTCCAAGATGCCTGCCACTAGTGCCAATGTGTAGGATTTACAATGTAAACTTCAGAAAGGTATATATTCTTATTAGGACATTCAGTGACCTAAGGAAAACTCTGATGGAGATATACATAGGTCTGAGATTAAAAATTAGGGAAATGCCTGCTTGATGGCTTTAAGGACAGCTTCCCAGGAGAAGCGATGCTGGAGCTGAGTTTTGAAACCAAGTGGGAGTTATCCAGTGGCTTGGATATTCACATTCAGATGTGCAACCTGAGATTTACAGCCAGGACCCTTTGCTGTACCGTGTCCAGGGATGACACTGATCCCTGCTTCTTGCTCCAGAAAGCTGCATGGAAAGGAAACCTGAGCTTGAGACCAGCGCAGAGAGGGAGCCACCGAGAAAGGACTCACTTCTCTCCTTCTCGCCCCACTAGCCTTGCCCTTCTCCCTCCACTTTCCCCTTTTCTATCTGTCCTCCTTTGCACCTTCATTGTCACCTCATCTGGAGGTTAGAACTCAGTGAGCATCCCTAGAAAATAGATAGTCTGTTCAAATAAATGTTAGCCCTCCTCAGAGGCTAACATTTGGCAAAATCACCGAGGTGGTATTTTGGTATTTTGTATCTCAGCCAGGGACATGTGTGTTTTCACTTTGCAAGCTCTGTGCAGGCAATAAACATTTCAGGTTTTTTTTTTTTTTAACTTTTAGTAAAAGTACTAACTTTTTTAGTCTGGATCTTGGGGGCCAGCAATAATTTATATCTTGCATGACTCCATACCCTTCTGCAGTTTCAAGCACATCTGTTTTATATAAAAACTAGTGTTGAATGAGTGTGTGTGTGTGTGTGTGTGTGTGTGTGTGTGTACATACATATGCATATATATGCATGCCAGGCACAGGGTAAGCACTTTACATGTATTTACATATTTCATCCTCATAACCGTCCTATAAGCTCCACTTTATAGAGGAATGAAGAGATGAACCACTTTGCCCAAAACACTCAGCTAATACCAGCAGCCATGCCCAGCCAGGCTGGCTTCAAACCCACCCTGCACTTGTAACCCTCATAGCATGGTGCCTTGAGCTACCCCTTTGTGGTAGATAGTGCCATATGACCATTGCTGCCAACAGATAATAGTTGATAACGCCATTTGACCATCTCTGCTTACAGCACAATAGTTCAAATCTCAGTGTCTTGCCAACGTCACCTCATCAAACCCTTAACCTGCTTCCTTGACTCTATTGCTGAGTTGTTTCTTTTTGTTTTCTGTAAAACTCTGATGCCCTGAAAGGCTTTGTGACCAGAATGGCAGATGCTGCCTTGGGAAATACAAGGATTGTCCTTCCCAGCTTGGGTAATCCCATTTGTAGGAGAGGCAATGTTTAAAAATCACCTCATTCTTCTAGGTTGGACAGAAAAACAAAATAATACCACGTTCGACTTAGGTTTATAAACACTCAGTATGAGACAGCTAGAGACAGCAGGATAATTCCAGACGCATAACAAACGAATAGCAAATTTAATAGTGTGGGCCTTGTTTATACTTCTGCCATCAACTTTAATGATGAGCCTATTTATACTAAACTTCACTATATTATCGAAGTCATTAGTGCCTGTAAGTGGGTGATAATGTGCTTGAAACTTCCACAAGGACGTGTGGCTTTCTCTGAGTCTTACATTTCAATGTTGGGAGAGGCAGGTCCCAGGAGTATTTTCATACATAGGCCTAGAACAACTATTGGGTATTATAACCCAGAGAGCAGCTTCAAGGCCAAATGAGTTTGAGAATGCATGTTAAAAAGAGTTAAGCAGGTTTGTTTTACTTCAAAATCTGTAACAAAGTAGAAAACATGAATGTGTCTTCTGAACCTCCAAGATGAGACACATTGTGTCAGGTTTTCCAAAAGTATGGACCAAAGAAACTTTTGAGAAGGTGACAAAGAGTCACTCTTCTATTAGTCCATTAAAACAAGAGTTTAATGGCTGTTGAATTGGAGAGCTGTAGAAAAACCAGTGTTTAATGCAAAACCAAAGTACAGACAGAACACATATGAGTTCATTACTTAGCATTAATCATGTGCATGCCTAGCTAGCAGCACTGGCATGCACATTTGTGCAAATGTGAAGTCTTCATTTTGAAGGACTCGGTAAAGTGAGAATCAAAGCTTCAACAAAGAACCTCAAAACTCTGGATGAGTGTCCCTGCTCTATCAATGTGAACCAGAAATCTCATGTAACCTCAAGTATCCCTACACTTGGGACCAGGGGCACCTCGGTCTGCTGACTAGGGAGGCACAACGTCATTAGATCCTAATAGGAGGCATATATTAAAGATCCAATCTGCATCAGCGTTTTTTCCCAAAGATGAGCTGTTATTAGCAGACAAGCTGCATGCTGCCTATATGAGGCCTGAAAGATAAAATCAATATGATGGCCAACACCAGACCTTAACAGCAGGTCAGAAGAGAGTTGGTTGGAATGGGGCACTAGGAGGATTCTCATGCAACAAACATTAGCACCTTCTGACAGTGTCCTCTCATTGGAGAAGTCTTCCCTGACCACCTTATTTGAGGAAGCACCCCTGGTGGCTCTCCAGCCCACTTCCTTGTTATTCTTTTCCACATCACTTATTATCTAATATGGTATTATTATTTGTATTGCCTGTCTCCCCTCTGTAGAATGTAAGTTTCATGAGGTCAGGAATATAACTGTCACATTCATCACTATAGCCCCCATGCCTGGAACAGTGCTTGCCACCAAGTAACAACCCCATAAAGACTTGCTCAGTCTTTAAGGGATGTTCTGCTTTTAGGGAACTCTGATTCAGGTGAACAGGTATCTAGTTTTAGGAGTGACAGTCTTGGGTTTTCATTGACACCAACTGTCGCTCCTCCTCACATTTACACTGGCCTTATTCTAACCCAGGGCAAGAGAGGTAAAGAAATCAGGAAGGCCAGAGTAAACTGGGCAGAGGTCTGGTGCAGAGGCAAATTGTCACATAGGCCCTTGGACTCATGCTCGAACCGGAAGGTCGGGTTGATCAACAAGGGCTCAGTGAGACCGGGGATCCATGAGCTAGGGGTTGTTTCCCAGCTTCCTGAATCAGAGGAGACAATGCCAAGCTTAGCATCAGCCCTCTGGTTACAGGCTACATTTCAAAGCCTTTAAGCGCTTGAGAGGACTCCTCTCTATATCCTTTCCCACTCGGCTGTACCGGGCATAGCTTATTGTCTGTCCTGCCCACAGCCCCTTCTGAAGAACCTGAATTACTCTATCACCCTGGACAGGTCTGCCCATCCCTATACCCGGTCTTGGCCAACTGAACTGAAAATGGCCACAAGGTCAGAGCCAGACAACCCATAGACTGACCAATGGCCAATTAGCTCAAATTCTTCTGAGAGGGCATCTAGGAGCCACAGAAACCATCATCTCTGTGAGTCCTAAGCAATAGAAGAGTGAGGTCTTATTAATTTAGGGTATGCAGTCACATTGGTCAATGAATGAGCAGAAGGAAATGGTGAAACCCATCTCTACTAAAATACAAAAAAGTAGCCGGACATGGTGTGCACCTGTAGTCCCAGCTACATGGGAGGCTGAGGCACAAGAATCACTTGAGCCCGGGAGGCAGAGGTTGCAGTGAGCTGAGATCAAGCCACTGCATTCCAGCTTGGGCTACAGAGTGAGACTCCATCTAAAAACAAACAAACAAACAAAAAAAATACAGAGAAGCTGGATAAAGCAGAAATGAGGTAGAGTATGGCTTTTGCAACTGGAAAAATTTGAAAATCCAGTCCCCAGTTTCTTAGAGATAGAGAGAGATGCTTTCCACTGCAATAGGATGCTTAAATCCAGATCACCTAACATCTGATCAGCTTGCATTTCCCATATTCTATAACATTTCTCCCCCCACAAAAACACATTACTTTAACTAGACCATGTGGCTTTCCTGATCTCACAACCAAATATATTCCTTGCTAGAACACCTGCTTTGGATCTAAGATGCACTAGCATTCAGATCCATGAAATCTTGTCCCTGTATCTTTGGCTCCTAAGGGCTATCCACACAAATTCTGTTTTCCACCCTTCCTTCATGGTCCTGCTCTAATCCTGCCTGTTCTTCAACATCTTCTTTGAGTCCCAGTAGAATGATCACTCCCTCTTATGAACTCAGTCATGATCTCTACCTCCATGTAACACCTACTGAAATTCCCTCCCACCTTCCCACCTTTCCCTATTTGTGGAGCAACTACTATGTGATCTGTCAGATTCTGGATATTATAAGATGTAAGCAACATAGCCTCTGACCTCAAGGAGCTCCTAGCAAGATGAAAAGAAACTAGCACATCAACATGAGCCATAGAACAAAATGTTATGAACTAAACAGAACAACTAATGGGCTGAGAATCCTGAGATCTCCTGGGTAGGTTCAGGGTCAGAACTGGTGCCTACGTGTCTGTGATGAATCCTCAGTTCAAACATGCTAAGTCAGGTGAACTGATTACTTGCTCACACATAAGAAATGTACTTAGAAAGGTTTCTATCATGTAGACATGGACATGATACATGTTTGTCAAGGCAGATGAAAAATACGTCTTCTCCATAAGTAAGGACATTCACAAACAGTAGCTGAGACAACTCATTACTGACATAAGACTAAATGCCTCTCTAAATGCAATGTAAACACATGTGTTTGATTTATCTGTCAAAACTCCAACATGCTCACTAGCATCAAAGGCTGCATTCAAATCATACTGCATCCAAATGTTCATCTCTGGGTGGTCTTCTCTTTCACTATGCCCTTTAAAATTATTACTATACTTATTTGTAAGTTGGGGGGAAGGGACATGCTTAAATGAATGACAAAAATAACATTGTCAAAATACAAAGAGAATCCTGAAAACTGTATGGCAATAAAGAATAAAATCAGTCTGATAAAGAATTTTCTATATGAGTACAGTTTCTATTAGCATTATCTATCTTGCATGGTGAATCAAGAATAATGGAGATATGCCACCTGTATATATTGCCATAATTCATTATTTGCTCCTAAAGCCAATATTTCTCAAAGACAAAACCAAAGTAAGCAGTATTAATGAGTTGTTGGATTGGGAAATTTTAAAAAGATTTTAATAACTAGCATCTTCTATGACAATCTTCTAATTAAAAAAAAAAATAAGTTGGCAGTGAAAAGACACAACCTGTACCCACAAAATTAGGCTGAGGTTAAAGCAGAAAGGCCTGTTGGATTGCCGTTTTTATTACTAATTTACTTTGTTCATTTAGGGAATCAATTTGCTGCCATTAAAGGCTTGGGTTTCATATATTTTATAATTTACACACATTTCCTGATGTGAATGAGCTGTGCAGTTTGTAAGAGCTCAGACAAACTCTCTTCTAATGGTCCAATAGATGCAGATGTTCCTAAAATGGACTTGCAAATAGAATGGAAATGCCACTATGCCTGCCATTCTAAATAACTGGGAACAAATCCCGAGCAGCGTGGAAGCTTTGTTCAGCAGTTTTATGTTTTTAGTTCCTCCTGCATTAAGCTAGTTATGAAATAATAGAAATTAAGAGGGTTCTTCCTGGCCTTAACTGTTTTCATCTAAATCTAAATCTAATTTTTCATTGATTTACAGCAAACCTTACGGGAGAAGTTGAAATTCATTGATCTGGAATAGGATAAACAACTATCTTTCCAAAACCCTTCAGGAAGGTGGAGTGCCCCCAATTTTTAGGACAAAAGAGTTTTTACAGATCATAGTAAATCAATAACTCGTAGACAGTATGACAGATACAGAATATCCTTACTTAAGATGAAAAACAAATTGTACATTGAGATCTTTAATCAATAAAAAGCTAACAAATCAGTAGTGCAAACAAGGTGAGAGAATCTTATTTCATCCTCAGTCACGAACTGAAGAGACACACCGGGCAGTGTTTTGTGGTTAAAAATTGCTCCTAGGCTGGTGTACTAGCGAACTATTGAGTAAGAAGGTCAGTAGAGACCAACTCACTGTGGGATTTGCAATGCAGAAAGGACAAGTAGGTGTAACATAAAAGGGCACTCTATGTAAATGTCAATTAATGTATTATTCTTCAACAAACTTCTTTAACAAGTATTTTGGTGGCTTTGAAGCCTCTGTTCTTCTTGTGGGAGCAAGAATGAGACCTCTTGCTTTAGCTTTTGATTAAACAACGTTCAGAAAAAAACTCATCAACATAGATTAAACCTTCACATTAAAACTAGAGGGCTTGACCCATCCCAATTAGCCCAACTCCTTTGAAATATTACAACCAAGAGGTCCTTTCTTTTCTTGTGCCAGTAAACTCTAAAATAATGTTGCTAGAGCATAACTCCTGAATTCCAAAAACCCCGCCTACTGCACACAGGAGACACACAATAGTAATAGCGATCTTTTCAGTGCCGTGGGCATTAGGACACATGTAAAATAATGTTCCTTTGGCAGATGAGGACTCTGGTGCCAGGAAAGGTGCACTGACATACCCAAGGTTGTACAACAAAAAAAGCAAAGCTGGGACCACATCTAAGTCAGTCTGGTTCCAAAATCCATTCTCTTGTGCATTATACCATGGCTGAGTACTGCCCCCAAGGACCTCCATAATTTGCCCATCCTAATATTCTGCTGCCTCCCTAGATACCCTCTCCTCTCTATTTCCACGCATCTCTTTCATGTCCCAAATATGCCTATGCTGTTCCAATTGCAGTTTCCCACGTGTGATTCCCCAGTTCTGGGATCTTCTCCATGTTTTAAAAGTCTACCATTCCCTGAAGTTTCTGCTATAATCCCACCTGTTGTGAAAACATCGTTGCCTCTAAATTCTTATTGCCTCTTGGTGCTGCCAGCCAGCACCTTTTGCATTTGTTGACATTGCTCCCCTTTCACAAATTATATGTCAACTAAGGACAAAAACTGGGTACCTAGTGTCTTAGTGTACACAGTCTTAGCAGGCTGGGTGGCCTAAACAACAGAAATTTATTTATCACAGTTCTGGAGGCTATGAAGTCCAAGAAAAGGGTGCTGGCAGATTTGGTTCCTGGTGAGGGCTCTCTTCCTGGCTTGCAGGTAGCTGCCTTCTTGATGTGTCATTGAACAGTGAAGAGAGAAAGGGCTCTGTTCTCTTCCTCTTCTTATAAGGGCATCTCGTCATGAAGGCCCTTCTCTCACAAGTTCATCTAAACCTAATCACCTCCCAAAGGTCCACCTCCATTTACCATCACACCGGGGGTTAGGGCTTCAGCATATGAATTTTGAAGGGAACACATTCAGTCTATAGTACCTAGCTATTACCAATTGAGAAAACATACTTTTGTGCCAAGCACTGTTCTAAGTTCTTTATATTGATTAAACATATTAATTCATTTTTTTCACCACAACAATCTGTTCACAAAGATGAGTAGGTACTATTACTAACCCTATCCTACAGATGGGGACAAAAAGGCACAGAGAGTTAGTAACACAGCCCATCCATGACGGAAGGAGTGAGTGAACACAGACCTTATGGTTCCAGAGGTCACAATCTCAACTTAACACTATGGCATCCCAAATAGGTCTATGCCTCTAAAACAGCACCCAGCTAAGTACCTCATACTTAGGCAGAAACAAATAAATAATTGAATAGTAGTTGAAATAATCAAACTCAATAAAACTCAGAGCTTGTGGTCTTAGGAAGCATCTGGTTCACTTGGTTTAACAATAATGCACAGGAAGGGGAAATGCATTGCCTGGTGGCAGAGAGATGCTTTGTGGAGCAAACTAAAGAAGGAAAGAGTTGTTTCTCAACTGAGGGAATTGCTGGATACAAATTCCCCCATGGGATCTGGACATGACATTCTGCACAAGCACATGCCCAAGATTTTTCTTTCTTCGATTTAAGCCACTTCCTCACAAAACATGAAGTTAGCTAAAGAAAGAAGCTTTTCATTAACCACAAAGTTCCCGTAACTGTCTCACTTTTCTATCTGTACTTACAAATTTAAAAAGGAGGAGCTTTCAGGGCAAGCTATTTTCTTGCATGGCATTAAAATCAACAAAACTCTGAAAATCAGCCTTCTATTCATGCAAACATTTATGGAACACCTGATGTGTGACACATGGTGAATGATCCTGGGACACCAAGATGTAAGCCAACATCCATGGAGAGAAAGTGTTCCTTTTTACACAATTCAAAGTATACCCCCATATAAAAAGTATAAATAAGCAGTTAATGGGAGAACACAGAGGAGGCAGAGATTGAGTTGAGCTTTTGAGGTTGAACACAATCAGGAGCTACATTTGGCCAATACTACAACATGAAATGTGACAGAGCCTTTGTAAAATATTTGAATAGTTTGCCGCTTATTATTAGTATTATTTAGTCATAGCTATGAAGTAACTTCCAATCACTACGAACAGCATTTGCTAATTTAATTAATTAACTATATCAAGAATTCCCAGAGTTAACTGTTGAGATTCCAATCACTGCAAAAAGCATTTGCTAATTTAATTAATTAACTCTGTATCAAGCACTCCCAAAGTTAACTGTTGAAACTAAAATACTTCTACCCCAACTCTAGGTCTTAAATAAATAAATGTCTATGTATATGTCACAAATAAGTTGGAATTTCTCAACTCTCACCTTGTTTGCCACTCAGCAACACTTTCATGTGCTAACACTTCTGTTCAAGACAGAAGACATTAATTAAATAATTAGCCTTGAGCTCAGACATGTAAACAAACACAATTGATGAATTCGTTAATTGTTCTTCCCTGCTGTGGACAGGAGCTATTGTTAGCAACAGTAATAATAGCACTGATTTGATTTCAGACAGGCACTTTGAATACAGGAGGCGAAATGCAGAACTCAGATTCAGAGAAGGTAACTATAGAGGAGCATAGAGTGTTTTCTGAAAATACCAATTGTACAATTGCTCTGTTTATACAGTTACATGAAAGAGGACGAGGAATACTGGCAAACCAAAAATAGCCTCGTCGATGAACATTTGAATTTGCACCAAACACTGACAATTCAATTATTTTTGCCAGGCTCCCAGCACTCAGAAATAAAATAATTTAGAAAACATCTCAAAAAAATGGCATACTTTGAAAAAAAAAATCAACCACCTCCCTTCCTTTCAGCATCAGAAAGATTTGATCTGAACAAAAATGAAATTAAATAGTGTAGATTGGTGTTCCAGTGTTCCTCTAGGATTTCTTTATAAATGAAGTATAAATAGCAATTATCAGCAGACATGTGTACACTGGGCATAGGAGACATATGCCAGTTGACAACAAATTTCCAATAGGAAATATGAGGATAACTAGAAAGCAAACTGAAATATTTTTCTGCCGTTTATTAACATGCCAATCAGTCCGTAGTCCATAAAAATTTCATAAAATGCTGTAAACATTTCCCCATGTTCTTCATTCACATGAAAATCTGATGATATTATTTTCTGTGCTATAATTAATAGAGGTTAATGGTGACTCTGCTGATGAGTAGAAGTGGTGTGATCTGATTTTTGTTGGCTGGACTGTAGAATTTCTATCACTGCAAGTTGGAAACAACACCAAATTGTTACCGAACTGGGCCACCAGCCCCAGAAAGGAATACTCGACTTGCCAAACAAAAGTGGATCCCTCCACATGAAAAATAAGGGGAAAAAACAAAAAGGTAGAGAAAATATGAGAAAGGGAGGGAAAGGAGAAGAGAGTACAGGACAAATTGTCTCAGAAAAGCAGGTTTTCCCACAAGAAAAGATAAAGGACCATGGGCAAAGAAAAGGAACTCACAAACCCAAACCCACTTTTCCCATGCAGACACTTGAAATTGACAACCACTGTTATTTTTAATTTTCTTCCAAGGTCAGGCCCAGTTTGAATCCCATCTCCAAGTAGTTGTCCAAACCTACCTGAGTGATGCCCTCCCCTGGCCCTGCAAACTCACACAACTGCATCTTACGCTCATAAGCTGTGTTCTACCACAGTGACTTATGTGTCTATTTTGCTTCTCCACCCAGATCCCAAGCCCCTGTTGGACAGCAGCTGAGCTTTGCTCTCTTCAAATTCCCCACAGGATCTGGACATGACATCCTGCACAAGCACATGCTCAAAACATGTCTGTCAAATAAATTAATCAAGCAAATGGCGTCTTCTAACATTCAGAGATTCTGAACATTTGTATTGTATGGCAGAGCTTTAAAATTGTTGAGAAAACATAGGAAAAAATGCTATGGAAAGAGCCTTGTGTAAGCCATGGTAGTCTGGCACTTGACTACAACTCAAAATACATGGCTAGCCAACCCAATTTAAGACTTCCTCTCTGCTTTCTCATATCACATTTTCCCACTGACTTCGAGTCAGGTGAAGCGCATGTCCCGTTCCCTTCTCAGGCAAGATGCTTCTAAGCTGAGTTATCAAATCTTGAATGAATTAGTAAATGAATGAATAAGTAGCCATGTGGGAGCTGGGAATTCAAAGATGAGAAAGCTCTTCTGTCTGTCCTCAAGATGTATACAATCACTCCGAAACACAAAGCGAGACGCAGATGTAAAAACCAGCATTATAAAGGCAGGAAAAATTAATTGTCTAAAAACAAATGTCATTGACTCTGAAGAGATTCTAACAGGTAAGGGCATTGTGGAAAGCCCTTTGGAATAGTTGCTAAGCCTTGAGTTACACCTTGAGAAATGTATCAGATATCCTCTGGTCAAGTGATGGGAAAGGGTCTTCCAGTCCCAGGAAGTAAAAACCAGCATGATGTAGTGGTGAGAGTCTGGGCTTTGCTCAGGGAAGAGCTAGGTTCCAATCTCAGGTCAGCCACTAAGAAAATGGTTGGCCTTATGTGACTTTCTCTTCGAACCTCGGTTTTGTTTTTTTTTTTTTATCTATAGGTAGGAGTGTCACTGCTAACCTCAACAGGCTCTTGAATTAAAATATGATAATGTATTTTAAATGTCTAGCAAAATATATTGAAGAAGGCAGATGCTTAAGATCTTAAGGTGCATTTGAGAAACAAATCAATCTGTGAAGTATTTATAAGAGGGACATACTATGGATCTAACACTCCCTGTCAAAAAGACAAGCAGAGGGCTGGGCACAGTGACTTGTGACTGTAATCCTAGCACTTTGGGAGGCCGAGGTGGGTGAACAGCTTGAGCCCAAGAGTTGGAGACCAGCCTGGGCAACATGGCAAAGCCCTTTCTCTACAAAACGTAGCGTGCACCTGTAGTCCCAGCTACTCAGGAGGCTGAGGCATGAGGATTGCTTAAGCCCTGGTAATCAAGGCTGCAGTGAGCCAAGATCTCACCACTGCACTCCAGCCTAGGCAATACAACAAAACCCTGTCAAAAAAAAAAAAAATACAAGAGGAATATGATCATTATGTTTAACTTCCTGTGCCCTCATGAAGCTTGTGGTTTAGCTGCAAACAAAAAACACACAAACACTGAGGCAAGTATGACCTAAGGTCCAGTGGAAACTAGAGTGAACATTACTCTAGGTTTGACATGGACTGAGCAGGTTCCCTGGATATGGAATTTTCTGTGCTAAAACCAGGGAAGTCCTGAGCGAACCATAATGAGTTGGTCACCCAAGTGGGCAGATGCAAGTTACAAGATCCACAAGAGATCCAAGAAAGGAACTAGCAAGCACTAGGATCTCTATAATTGGGGGTGGGTCCATGCAAAATGAGAATGTATAGACCCCTATACCCAGCTGTTTTCTTTCTTCCTGTTGCTATGATTATTAATATTTTTTGAAATAAGATCCACTCATCATAAAACTCAAATTTGAACAGGACCCTTAGCTTTGAATATGAACCCTGGCTTTCTGTTTTTCTCATTTTGGAGATGGATAAACTGAGCCCCAAAGACAGGTTAAACAACTTGTTCAAATCAACGACACAGCTGGAAATAAAACCCAGTTTCTTTACCTCCTGGTTCAGTATGTATTTTGGGATATATAACACAGGCTTCAAACAGTGTTTAAGTTCTATTTAACCTTAGTGGGGAATATTCCAATTAACATATCCACCCCCGGGTGTTTCTCCCAGTTGAAATTTTCTTCCTTTTTAGTAAACTGAAGCAGACACTCCCCCACCCTCCCCACTTGCTATTTTTTTTTTTCTTACTAAAGCTGGCAAGTGTTAGTGTCTTCTTTGGTGCCTGCTCAATTCAACTCAACAGAAGCTTGAAATGTATTCCATTTTTTGGTAACAGTTAGGAAAGGACTGTCAAGGGGTGGAGAAGATCAATCACTCGTGGAAAATGCTAGGTGTCCCATTATGGTATGATAAGTTCAGCTGCAGAGTATATGCATTTTTTTGCTCTCTGAATAAATGGCAGAAGTCAGTTCTCCATAAATTCAAAATGTATATGAGAACATGAAATCATATTTTAAGTGGATTTCACAATTGCTCCTCTTTATCATTCTAAATACCAAAGATTAAGCTTGCCTCTTGGCTGTTGCGGTCTTTTCTCTCTCTCTTTTTTTTTTTTTTTTAACTTTTGTTTAATCAGATATGAATACTGGTTGGTGGCTTTTATTGTTCAGAACTACCTGAAAGGGAAAGAGAGAAAATGAACTCTGCCTGCTGCCTCCATTCCAAACAATGTTTATTTTCATTATAACTCTTCCTGGCCTGTTTCAAAATGGCATTGTTACCCAAATGGTGTTGCTGACCAAAATACCTTTTTACTAAGCTAATCCACAGTTCCCATCCCTTCGCTACTTTGATACAAGACACTCATTTTTCTCCTTCAAATTTAATTTATTCAAGGATACCACATAGAGGCTGTATAGGGTTGTGGTTAAGGACCCACATGCTGGAGCAAAAATCTCTGGGTTCAAATCCCAGCAATATTACTTCTTAGCTGCATAAACTTGGCCAAGTCATTTCACTTTTCTGTTTCTGAAAAATAAAAGATGGCAGATCCTCTGATCATCATCCATTTTGTTCCCAAGAAAAGTCGCCCTGAACCACATTCCCAGGCCATCATGGGTCAACTGCTCTGCAGTTAAGATTCAGCTCTCAGCATCTTTAATCCTTTGTTTATTTTTCTTCTCTGAATCGATCTGCAAAGCTCTTCATCTTCTAATAGTGTCAGCCTCTGGGGGACTCCTTCAGAATCTCCTTGGTGTGCTCCATTTTCTCTTCCTCCAAACATCTTCTCAACTCCGTCTTTATTCTCTTCCTAGAAAATCTCACCTGAGCATTAAATAATATCCTACATGTATATCTCTAACAGTGATTTTTTTCTCTGAACTCCTGCATATCCTATCTGCCTCTTCCTGGATGAGTAGTTGAACTTGACCACAAGTGTCTCCCTGAATATGCACCTCCCCAGCTTCTTCCTAACTCAATAAACAGCATGCCCATCCATCCTGTTGTTCATGCCCAAAGCCGAGGAGTCAGTCCTGTTTTTTCTCTTTCCTTCACCCTCCCAAATCCATATTCCAAGAGCTCTGCTTCCAAAACCTGTCCTGATCCAACCCCATCTTTCCATTTCTATTCCCACCATTGTTGATTTGGTCTGAATCTTGGCGGCATCCTTCTAACTGGTCTCCCTGCTTTGATTATTGCCCTCATCCCCCACCCCACAATTCTCCCTCTCTACTCTGCAGCCAGAAAAGTCAGAAAAAATAAAAAAGCAAATTAGATATCACTTTTCAATTTAAAAAACCACTCCCCCAACCCCTTACCCTTCCAACACACACTGTCTTCCTTTTACATGTAGAATAAACTCTTCTTTACCAAGGCTTAGGAATGCCGCCATGATCTAGCCCCTGCCCACCTCCCCACTTTTCCTTCCCCCCTCCCTCCTATGTTCACTACACTCTCCAACCCTTTTTGTTTTTCAAATGCTCTAAGCCCATCTCTACTTTGTGAGAGATCTTTGCAATAGTTATTGCCTCTGACCAGAATATTCTCCCTCCCCTCCCATCATTCAGGTTGCCCAATAGACATCTCCCCAGGGCAAATTCCCTGCTGTTCTACCATGAGAACCTCATCATCAGTCACTTTCTCTCTCATTATCCTGCTTTGCTTTTGTCAGACTTCATTGCCAACCAAAATATTATTTTCTTTGTCACTCATTTATTATCTGTCTTCCGCCAAACTCCACAAGAGCAGGGACCTTGTCTAGCTCACTGTCCCAAGCTCAACATTAAAACAAGATCAGGCATATGTCATGCTCTCCGTTAGTATTTGTTGAATCTCTAAATGGCCAACTTTTAAAATCGCTCACTTCCCTGAATTCATCCACATTGCACTGGTGAGCTTTTACAGGCCTAGATAATTATATTGTAATTAGTCTGAAAGAAAGGCATTTAAGTTATAAGTTAACAAGCAGATGAATGACTGTTCTGAGGACACTGACCAATTCCTCATTATCTCTGGAGTAAAATAAACAGGCAGAAGCTGGCTTAAATTGTTGTGGAACAGCTTGAATTGCTGTAAGGAAAATCTTTTTGATTTTGAGGGTCATGAATAATTGAGAAAGGCTATAAAGAAAGGTGTCAGTACTTGATTCCTAAAGCACTTAGCAACCAATAGCCAGTTATTTGCCTTAGATGCTTCAGTAATTTGTTAATTTATTGCCATTTATTAACGTGTTATATAACCTAGAATATATATAATATTTCAATCACTCTAAAATATACCTTTTCCTACATCTTATCACCTCTGATATCAGAAAGTATCTTACAACTGATAACAGCGCATGATAGTTGAACTGACAGCAGTTTCTTAGTGGTATGTACAATAACGGTACTTAATATATTGCATCTTAGACTCGATAAAGTATAATAATTTATGATATCACATTTGCTGAATGCTGGCTTTGGACAAGCATTTATAAATGTTGTCTTATTTGTTAATCCTTACAATCAGCCTATATGATAAATAATATCAGACCTATTTTATACATAAGAAACTAAGGATCAAGGAAATTAACCTTTTTTTTTTTTTTTTTTTTTTTGAGATGGAGCCTCGCTCTGTTGCCAGGCTGGAGTGCAATGGTGCAATCTTGGCTCACTGCAACTTCCGCCTCCTGGGTTCAAGCAGTTCTCCTCCCTCGGCCTCCTGAGTAGCTGGGATTATAGGCATGCACCACCACCCCTGACTAATGTTTGTATTTTTATTACAGACAGGGTTTCACCATGTTGGTCAGGCTGGTCTCGAACTCCTGACCTCGTGATCTGCCTTCCACAGCCTCCCAAAGTGCTGGGATTACAGGCGTGAGCCACTGCGCCCGGCCGAGATTAAGTAAATTTTCTAAAGTCACATAGCTTATAAATGCTAAAGCCCATGATTTAATCCAGATCTATCTGACCTCCAAACCAATTCTCATCACCACTTTCCTATAATAGTTATTGTTAAATTAAATTAGGTTTTGTACATAAAATGCAAATGCCCATCACAAACAAGTCACATAGTAGGTTTTCAACTCATGTCAGTTCCCTTCCTCTCTGTGAGTTTACATGTGCCTGAATGTACAAGCATCAGCTGTGCTCTGATTCCATGTTTTATATAAAACTTCTTAGAGGGCAAGCTTTGGCAGTCAGAATTTGAGGTCTGGCTTTTGAAAATATCTGAGCCCCTATCAAAGGCAGCAAATTAGCTGGGAAGTCAGTGGGACCATATAGTGATCACACTGCTGAAAGGCCACTCCCTGATGAGCAAGAGAGAGCAAAGCAGCCAAATTAACTCTCTGCCTAAGTCCTGACTAGTGGAACACTAACAAGATTAGACTTTGGAAGTAGGCAGGACAAATCTACTATACCAAGTGAGGTAGAGCACTGTGGGAAATTCAGTGGTTTTCAAGTCTGACAGTCTCAAACTCAAATCCCAGCTCTCCTTCTCAACCACCTGACCCACTTAACCTCTCTGGATTTTAGACCTCTAATCTCTCAGTCAGAAGAGGTACTTCTTTCTCTGCAGGGTTGCAGTAAGGAATTGTTCATTTCACAAATATTCATCGAGAACTTTCTATGTGCATGTGGGATACATCATTGAACAAAACAGATAAAAAGCCTTGTCCTTATTCATCTTACATTTTAGCAACTAGTGCAAATATATGTGGAGTATCTAGCATGTTACTTGGTGATTATTAAGACCATTAAAACTATTAAGTAAGTAAAAGTATTAGCATCGTATATTGTAATTGGAACTGGTGTGCAGTTTAAATTTGCCCAGGTATTCTGAATAGAGCATCAAGCTGTTCCATCATGCCTATGTCTCCTCTACCAAGAAGGACATCAAGACTGCTGCATGCCTGGCTCTTCATCATGCCAATCTCTTCAAAGAGGAATGCTTTCTAAATTAGGTCATTCTTCCTGCCTGGCCCCATGCCTCCATCATCTCAACTCAGCTGTTTCACACACCTTACCACAATCTGAACTCTCATTTTTAAATGTGTTTCCTTATATATTGTCCCTTCCCCTTGTAGAAAATAAGCACCTGAGTTCAGGGACCCTTGTTCTTCATACCTAGAACAGGCCCTGACACTTAATATTTGCAGAATAAGCATCAGTGATATACTTTCCATTTCTAGAAACAAGCTGCAATTTAGAAATATGCTTTGAACTCAAGGGTAAAGTTGGGACCTACTGAACAAAACACTCAAACTATGGCTACCGGTAGCCAATGTGATACAGGGTTGGCTGAAGGCTTCAGAGGCAGGGTCCCAGATCCTGGAAAGATAAAATCACTCTGTTTTATTCTGAGACCTGCAAACTCTTAGAATGAAAGTTTTCAGATCTTTCATAGCTGCTGGCTATAGGATAAGTGATCAGAAAAGGAGTCTGGCAAAAGGCCAGAGCTACCCTCAATGAAATGGTTCTCAAGTCCTACTGACTGGTCCTAAATAAGGAAGAGCATGACTTGGGATTGCAGTGGTCAAGAAGGAAGAATATAGCATTGTTAAATGATGCAGGTCCCCCTTGAGCAAGTAAATCTAAAACACTCGAATCTCAATGACTTTATTCAAGGGTCTCTCTTCTCAAATCTAGCTATGTACTCTCCCACCTCTCAGCTTTTGCTCATAATTAGGAATTCTAGTCTGACCCTACCTAGAAAGTTCAACTCATCACAATTCATCCCTGCCTGCAAGAGTCAGCTCAGGTTTCCCATGGAAGGAGCCTGGGCTTTGAAGGAAGGCAGATTTGGATTCAGATACCAAGTCTGTCACCTATGGGATGTGGGGCTGTGTGCCGATAAGAGGCCACTTAACTCCTTGCAGCCCCCAAACCCCAGTTTCCTCACCTGGAAAATGGGTCTGTCGGGATCTACCTCATTCTTGGGGTTGTCATGAGATACTATGAGGGAATTACTAGAAAGGGGAATGGAGCCTGGGCCGGCAGCAAACTAGAAATGAGTAGTATAAGAGGGTTTTCATTTCATTGAAGATAAAACGTAAAGAGATAGCTAAGCTTCCTACGTAGTTCAGAGAGGTTCCGATGGTAAATTCAGAGAAGGTCAGCAGGAAGGGGGTTGGCAGGGAGCTATGGCTTCACTGAGTGCTAGCCACTGCATCAGGCAGTAGGAGACACAGAGGTAACCAAAGGTGATATAACTCTTTCACTTGTGAAGCTTCCATTTTAATAAAAAGTAATGGCACACACATGTTTATAGCAGCACAATTCACAACTGCAAAAATACGGAACCAGCCCAAATGCCCATCTCAATGAGTGAATAAAGAAATTGTGATATACACACACACACACACACACACACACACACACACACACACACACACACACACCATGGAATACTATTCAGCCATAAAAAAGGAATGAAATAATGGCATTCGCAGCAACCTGCATGGAATTGGAGACCATTATTCTAAGTGAAGTAACTCAGGAATGGAAAACCAAACATCGTATATTCTCACTCATAAATGGGAGTTAAGCTATGAGGATGCAAAGGCCTAAGAATGATACAATGGACTTTGGGGACTTGGGAGGAAAGGGTGGGAAGGGAGTGAGGAATAAAAGACTACAAATTGGATTCAGTATATACTGCTCAGCTGATGGGTGCACAAAAATCTCACAAATCACTACTGAAGAAATTATTCATGTAACCAAACACAACCTGTTCCCCAATAACCTATGGAAATAAAAATAAAATAAAATAAAATAAAAGGGCTTTTGAGCCAGGCTGATCTGAGTATGTACTCCCCTCAGCCATATTCCCACAGTGGGCCTTGGACAAGTGAGCCAAGCTTACCAAAGTTGTCTCCTTAGCTGTAGAGTTAATATTGGCTATATTGAAGAATCTTACTAAGATGAAGTGGGATACATATGTTAAGGGCCTTTCCTGAAATAGATGTTCCTTACTTCCTTTTTTTTTTTTTTTTTGAGATGGAATTTCATTCTTGTCACCCAGGCTGGACTGCAGTGGTGCAATCTCAGCTCTCTGCAACCTCTGCCTCCCAGGTTCAAGCAATTCTCCTTCTTCTGCCTCCCAAGTAGCTGGTATTACAGGCACCCACAACCATGCCCATCTAATTTTTGTATTTTTTTAGTAGAGACGGGGTTTCACCATGTTGGCCAGTCTGGTCTCGCACCCCTGACCTCAGGTGATCCACCCAACTCGGCCTCCCAAAGTGCTGGGATTACAGGTGTGAGTCACCACACCTGGCCCTTACTTCCTTCTTATTGGCATTTTCTGCCATGCCAGAAATGTGCAAGTGTTTTGTTACATTTTCTTCTAATGACAATAAGATAAAATTTAAGGAAAACAAACACCAAGTATTTTTTGTCCATCTCCTTTTCTAAAAAAATAATATTTTACAAAATATTGTCATATGCATATGTTCTGAATACACATCATGTCTCTCATACAATAGTCTTTATTTATTTCTCAAAAATACAGGATCTGATGATTTGAATGCTCCCCAAGCCCTGTGATCAACAGCAATGCCATTTGTGTGTGTTTCCACTAAATTATGTGCCATACTAGATAAAAGATTTGTTGTGAAAAACAGCCACTTCCAAAAGTAAGAGAGTTTATCAATTCTAATCATTCTTATCCAAAATTAGTTGTCAAGTTTCAATGGCTGAAATGAATTTAACAACATAAATTTCGTACCACTGCTGAATGTCTAATGCAACCTCATAGAGCAGTCCTGAATACACAGCCCTGTCGGGGTTCACCAACTACTTTTAAAATATCAGCACTTTTGTGGTATAATAGAGCCTATTAACAACAGTTGGCTGACATTAGAGGTAGTCAAACTAAGCATCAATTTAAAAAAATATGCTGACCTTTCCGAAAATTAAGAAGCAGTTGCCCCATACTCACCAAAGGGAAATCGGAATAATTACTGTGGCATTATGAAACCCAGTTATTTGACTAATAGCGATATTTTTTCACTGCCGCAAAAAGCTAGCAAATACATTATGACGCTATAGCAATACTGATATTCATAAAATCTCATTAGGCCAACTAGAAGTCAAACATTAGCCAATCATGCTTCTGCTTCCTACTTACAGATCAAAGCTAAATACATGCTTTAGCCAGTTAGAAACAAAATTGAATTTGAGATCTGCATCGCTCTCATTAAGTACCACTCTGTTAGGCTGTGTTTAAGACGAACAGCCCATAGGGAGCTTTTTCCAAACCAATGAGAAGGCCTCCTGACCATCTCAAACTTGAAATTCCATTACTGTTAATTTAAATAAACACATTTTGAAGCAGTCTGGACTTCCACTGCCCTGCTTTCTCTTTCCTTGTTCATTTGACCACAGGTTGGTTTATTTATAGCAAAAGAAAATCCTGTTTGATAGAATAATTCTCATTTTCAAAATAAGCATCTCTGTATTGTGTCCCATAATAAAAATAGGCAACTATCTTCCTTGCATGCTTATTTTTCTTCTCTGATATTAGCTCTTAATTGAAAGGAAAGGCAAATAAACTGACTTAAACAGGTGTTATGAGTGAGCTGAGCTCCATGCAGAAAGAAAGGAAGTTGAATGAGTCAGTAGCAGAGTGGGGCTGGTACCCGATGCAGAAGCAAACCCTCAGAGTCATCAGTTGCTGGGACAGAGCAGGGGAGCCTTTTCCTGGATGAGACCACATTTTAAAATTCCAATAAGCAGCACAAACACAGCAGCACTGGCAAAATGTGTCTCCCCTCATGCTGAGAAGGTTCACTGCCTCTCCTATATCATTTATAGTCCACAGCTGGAAGTTATTCCACCGGGTTGCCCAGGAGAGGGGAGCAATGCCCAGAGACTGACAGCTTTGAGCTGAGCCTCCTGTCCATAATCTCTGACTGTATCTCCATGGTGCCACATATACATGTATATATACACACACACACATACATATGCCATCTTGTTGGTTTACACAGGGACATCAAACAGAAAGGGGTTGATTTGATTTTGTTTTATCCTTTCAAATTAGTAGCCTTAGAGAATCTGTTTTAAAATTACTGAAAGCACTGCCACATTACATAGAATGCACAGCTATCATAGCTTGCAGCACATGGGAAAAGTATGACTGAGTCTTTGCTTTGTTCCTGGTGCACAGATTGAAGGGTATATAAACCTTCTGGCTACACACATTGGCAGACCTAGAATTTCTATAGGGGGAAGGAAGGCGGGCAAGCAGATTGAGATGGGGGTAAGGAGGTTGTCTCAATGTGACATTTTGCAGAGCAAGTGCACTATTTTGACTTTGCACATTTATTTGGTGTGGGAGAGGAGCCTGCTGAGGGGGACGATTCAAAGTCCCTCCAAGATTTGCTGACACAACTAAAAGGAGTAGCTACAATAATCTTTTGGTCAATGTATGACCTATCTGACTCCTTTATAACTCTCTCAAAATATGGAAGCATTTGAGGAAAGCGAAATAATTTAAATAAAAATATTAGGACCCTTTTTCCATAATGGAAATTTCTAATGGACATATTAACAATTAAATTCCAAAAATTAAAAAATTTTAATTTTTTTATTTAAAAAAATAACTGAATGCTGGTATTTGGGATCCTGTGCTTGAAAGTGCATGAAATTTGATCAAACTGAAATTAAAATTGTGACAAGGCACACTATATGCAAAAATATTAGGATAATGAAAATAAAACTAATCTTTGTATAGAACTTTTTCAATTTACAAACGTTTTTCAAATGATGAAACTCTCTGGATTTTTGTGGCAACCCTGATTGATAATGACATAAGCAAGATACCAATGACCTCATTTTATACAGGAATACATTGTTTTATTGTGCTTTGCTTTATCACACTTCCCAGATAATGCAATTTTTTTTACAAATTGAAAGTTTGTGGCAACACTGCAATGAGCAAGTCTGTCAGCACCACTTTTCCAATAGCACGTGCTTATTTCATGTCTCTGTATCACATTTTGGTAAGTCTCATGGTATTTCAAGCTTTTTCATTATTATTATATCTGTTAAGGTGATCTGTGATCAGTGAACTTTAATGTTACTATTGTATTTGTATTAGGGTGCCATGATCCATTACCATATAAGAGGTTGAACTTGATCAATAAACGTGTGTGTTCTGACTGCTCCACTGACCAGTGGTTCTCCTCTCCCTCTCCCTGTTTCTCCTCAGGCCTCCCTATTCCCTGAGACACACAATATTAAGCTAATTAGTAACCCCTACTAAGTATTCAAGTGAAAGAAAGAGATGCACGTCTCTCACTTTAAATAAAAAACCAGAAATGATGAAGCTTAATGAGAAAGGCATGTCGAAAGCTGAAACGGGCTGAAAAGTAGGCCTCTTGTGCCAAACAACTAGGCAAGTTGTGAATGCAGAGGAAAAGTTGTTGGAGGAAATTAAAAGTGCTACTCCAGTGAACACACCAATGACAAGAAAGCAAAACAGCCTTATTGCCAATATGGAGAAAGTTTGAGTGGCCTAGATAAAAGATTAAACCAGCCACAACATTCCCTTAAGCCAAAGGCTAATGCAGAGTAGAGCCCTAACTCTCTTCAATTCTAAAGGCTGAGAAAGGAGAGGACGCTGCAGAAGAAAAGTCCGAAGCTGGCAGGGGTTAGTTCATGAGGTTTAAAGAAAGAAGTCATCTCCATAATGTAAGTGCAAAGTGAAGCAGCAAATGCTGATGTCAAAGCTGCAGCAAGTCACCCAGAGGATCTAGCCAAGATCATTGGTGACAGGGGCTACACTAAGCAACAGATCTTCAATATAGACAAAATAGCCTTGCACTGGAAGAAGATGCCATCTAGGACTTTCATAGTTAGAAAGGAGGAGTCAATGCTTGGCTTCAAAGCTGAAAAGAACAGCCTGATTCTCTCGTTAGAGGTTAGTGGAGTTGGTGACTTTAAGTTGAAGCCAATGCTCATTTACCATTTCAGAAATCCTGGATCTTTGCTGAAACCAAGATAAGGGAGTAAGCAATAATGAGGTAAGCAACTCAGATAATGAGGGCCCTTAAGAATCATGCTAAATATATTGTGTCTCTGCTCTATAAATGGAACAACAAAGCCTGGATGACATCATATCTGTTTATAGCATGGTTTACTGGATATTTTAAGCCCAGTCTTGAGACTTACTGCTTAGAAAACAAAGGTTCCTTTCAAAAATATTACTACTTCTCATTGACAATACACCTGGTCACCCAAGAGCCCTGATATAAATATACAATGCTTCTCATAGAATGTACTTTTCATGTCTGCTAACACAGCATCCATTCTGCAGCTCATGGATCAAGGAGTAATTTCAATTTTCAAGTCTTATTATTTAAGAAATACATTTCATAAAGCTATAGTGGCCATACATAGCAATTCCCTTGATGGATCTTGGCAAAGTAAATTGAAAACCTTCTGCAAAGGATTCACCATTCTAGATGACATTAATAACATTTACAATTCATGGGAGGAGATCAAAATATCTGCATTAACAGGAGGTTGGGAGAAGTTGATTCCAGTCCTTCTAGATGACTTTGAGGGGTCCAAGACTTCCGTGGAGGAAGAAACCATAGATGTGGTAGAAATAGCAAGAAACTAGATTTGGAAGTGGAACCTGAAGATATGACTGAATTGCTACAATCTCATGATCAAACTTTCATGGATGAAGAGTTGCTTCTTCTGAATGAACAAAGAAAGTGGTTTCTTGAGATGGAATCTACTCCTGGTGAAGATGTTGTGGACATTGTTGAAATGACTACAAAGGATTTAGAATATTACATAAACTTAGTTGATAAAGCAGCAGCAGCAGAGTTTCAAAGGACTGACTGAGATTTTGAAAGATGTTCTATTGTGTGTAAAATGTTATCAGAAGGCATTACATGCTACAGAGAACTCCTTGGTGAAAGGAAGAATCAATTGATGAGGCAAACTTCTCTGCTGTCTTATTTTAAGAAATTGCCACAGCCACCCAACCCTCAGCAACCACCCTGATCAGTCAGCAAATATCAACATCCGGGCAAAACCTTCCACCACCAAAAAGAGTACAACTTGCTGAAGGCTCAGATGATGATTAGCATTTTTAGCAAGAAAGATTTTTTTCTGTTTGTTGTTTTTAGGGTTTTTGTTGAGACAGAGTCTCACTCTGTCACCCAGGCTGGAGTGCAGTGGTACAACCTCAGCTCACTGCAACCTCCACCCCCTGGGCTCAAGTGATACTCTCACCTCAGCCTCCTGAGTAGCTGTGACCACAGGCATGCACAACCATGCCTGGCTACTTTTTTTATATTTTTGGTAGAGATAGGGGTCTCACCATGTTGCCCAAGCTGGTCTTGAACTCCTGCTCAAGCAGTCTGCCTGCCTTGGCCTCCCAAAGTGCTGAGATTACAGGCATGAGCCACCACACTCAGCCAAGAAAGTATTTTTGAATTACGGTATGTAAAGGTTTATACATAATGCTATCACACACTTCAAAAACTACAGTATAGTATAAAAATAACTTTTATATGCACTAAAAAATCAAAAATTCAGTTAATGTGCTTTATCGCCATATTTGCTTTACTGTGGTGGTCTGAGACCGAATCTGCAACATCTCCATGGAATGCTTACATACTGCAGAGGAAATTGAGGCTCACAGGTGAAGTGTCTTGCCCATGTTCACAGGCACATTTAGATGAACAAGGGTGGGCTAGCACCCCAAATATCAACTAGTTCAGAGCCCCTTCCACCACATCACAACTTTGTCTCCTCAATAAATGTTTGTGTTAAAGATAAGATAACTCCTTGAGGCCTAAAAGTAATACCCAGTAACAATGAGCACTCGTAGCATTCAGTTCTTGGTTTCTTACATCATTCTCCAATAAAAGGAATCAGGACTCTGTACAGAAATGGCTGATTCTTGGACCGGGGCAGGAAATATACAAAAATGACCCTGGAGCACCTTGTACTACAAGAAGGTGAGGAAGAGCTCACACACACACACACAAACACACAGACATAGACACACACACACACACACACACACAATGATAAGAGTATATCAAAGGGACCTAGCCACCAACTGAAAGAATTTTCCCAATGGCCAAAGCCAGAACAAGAAAAATACTACGGTGTTGGATTATAACTCAAAGTATAAAATAAATATCCATGAGTCCATACTGATATAAACACACGATTGAATAAATAAGTGAATTAGGAAAAAGGAACAAATTGCCCATTCAGCAAAATTCCAAAGAATTTATCTAAATATGCTGTCTTTGAGGCAGTAGAGTTTAACTGCAAGTTTTTACATGAGACCTGTGCATAGTGACTTTCTTACAAAAAGTCCTGTGTTTAAAAAGGGAAGATAAGAGAATAACTGTGCAGTGAAGAAATCTGACAAACACTGCCTCAGCCATATGATCCAGTTCAACATCAACAGTGATAAGTTGGGTTGATAGTATGTTTGTGACCTTGATAGGATGTGACAAAAATGGCACTTTACTTTTGTGGGCTTCCTCCTAAACACCCATGAGCCCATCTAATCATGAAAAAAACAAGACTAATCCCAGGTGAAGGACATTCTACAAAATTCCGGACCAGTCCTCCTCAAAACTCTCAAGTCCGTGAAAAACAAAGAAAGGCTGAGAAGCTGTCACAGACAAGAGGAGTCTCAAGGAGTCCTGGGCAATAAATGTAATACGGGGTCCTGGATGGGATCCCAGAACAGAAAAAGGATGTGAGGTATAAAAACCAGAAATTCGAATCAAGCATGAACTTTAGCTAATAGTAACATATAACTATCAGTTCACTAATTGTAACAAATGCACCCTACTCATGTAAGATGTTATAACAGGGGAGACTGGGGCAGGGCAGGTGGGAACTCTATGCTATCTTTGCAGTTTTTCTGTAAATCTATAAGGGATTTAAAATTAAAAGTTTATTTAAAAAAAAAAAGGATAATCTCAGCCAAGCATGTTGGCTCACATCTATAATCCCAGCACTTTGGGATGCCGAGGTGGGTGGATCACCTGAGATTAGGAGTTCGAGACCAGCCTGTCCAACATGGTGAAACCCTGTCTCTACTAAAAATATAAAAATTAGGGAACATTGTGGCAGGCGCCTGTAATCCCAGTTACCTGGGAGGAGGAGGTTGCAGTGAGCAGAGATGGCGCTACTACAATCTAGCCTGGGTGACAGAGTGACACTCTGTCTCAAAAAACAAAAAGATAATCTCTCTCCAAAGCCATCCACATGACACATAAACTATTTTACATGATCATACAAATGAGCCTTAATCCAAGGTAAACAAGGCAATTTAACTATGATTTCTATACACTGGTCATCATGACAATCTCAGTGCTTAGTCATGTAAATATTTGACAATGAATAATTAAAAATTCATAACACTTTCCACAATAGGTGGCTCATCCTTCCTCATCATTGAGCAAACTGGCAAAAGAGCAGAGGCAACAGCTTCTAGAGATAAAAGGAAGGCTTTAAAAATAAGAGAAAGCATAGCAGGTGGTGCCACCTGTGCTATCTGATTCTACCCAACAATCTGCTACTGAGTGGTGGTGAAGGGTAAAAAATCAGTTAGTCCCTCACAGTTGGGGGTGTAAGAGGCAACAACTTCAGCTCAAGTGTGTCTATATCCAGTGTGAAAGAGATCCTAAAATTGCAACCTTAAATGCCTTGGGTATTGACAGAGCAATCCATGTGGCAGCTAAGTGGACATTAATGTACTATAAAGTATCTGTTGGAGCCTCACAAACTAAATTATTTTCCCTCCTACCTATATACCAAGAGGGTATAATCTACTGATGGGAAAAAAGAATTCTTGATTTTTAAACTGAGCTAAATTGCAATGCCATGGCAGGGAGGGGGCCTAACTAAGACTCTAGTTGGTGAAATGAAAGGTTGTGCTGAGCTTCTCAGAGCCCTGCTCACTTCCCATCACCCACCTACAGCAAATGCCAGGGTGATAGTCCATCAGCTCGTTGATAGAGTGGAGGCCCTCTGGCTCAAATCTCCTTCACTCAGACATTCCATCCATTTGGTACGGAACAACCATGTTCTATCTCATAGAATCATGGTGCCATCACAGTTTTGCAAGGGACCTGAAAAGCTGTCCTATCCAGCTGAGCATTTAACACCTGATCCATCATTATAAGATCCCTGCCAAGAGTTCCTTCAGCCTCTCCTTGAGACAAGAACCTCAATATCTTGCAAGGCATATTCCAAAGGCGTCATTGCCTCTGCTGCATCCCCTTTCTCTGACATCATCTCTTATTCTTTCTGCTTCTGCTCCAACCATCTGACCCCCTGGCTGATTCTTGTGTGTGTCACGCATGCTCCTGCCTCAGGGCCTCTGCACTTGCTTTTTCTTCTGCCTGGAATGCTCTTCCCCCATATACTCACATAGCTTTCTCCCTCACAATCTTCATGCCTATGTCCAAATGTTACCTTCTCGGTTAAGCTTTCCCTGACCACCTTATTTAAGTGTCCCGGCCAGGCGCGGTGGCTCACGCCTGTAATCCCAGCACTTTGGGACACTGAGACCGGCGGATCGGTCAAGGGATCGAGACCATCCTGGCCAACATGGTGAAACCCTGTCTCTACTAAAAATACAAAAAGTAGCTGGGCATGGTGGTGCGTACCTGTACTCCCAGCTACTTGGGAGGTTGAGGCAGGAGAATCCCTTGAACCCAGGAGGCAGAGGTTGCAGTGAGCAGAGATCGCACCACTGCACTCCAGCCTGGTAACAGAGCGAGACTCCATCTCAAAAAAAAAAAGTGTCCCGTGCCCATCTTCATCTACAACACTCTATCTTCTTTCACTGCTTAATTTTTTTCTACAGCATTTATCACCACCAAACGTACTATATATGGTCCTGATTTTTTTAATTGTCTTACTCTCCCCTCTAGAGAACGGACTCCATGAGATTAGGACTCTTGGTTCACTGCTGTTCCCCATCACTCAGAAATATGCCTGGCACTTGTCACTAAATATAAATTCACAGATGAATGAATTCCTAACTCTCAAGCAAACTTTCTATGTGATAAGCAGTCATATTTACAGGAAGCACATGTCCCATCCCTATAAAAATATTAATTCATGATAGATGTACTTATGGCATTCCATTTTATGGTATTAGAAAGATTTTTATCCATATATCTTTGTAAGATTGACTATTGTTGTGGAAAACACAGTCACCTTACATATTGAAAGTGACAATCATGTCATGGGTTTCTTTTATTTCTTACTTAGATACTGCATGGGAAATTCACAAATACATGTAAAGGTCACTTCTTATTTATCTCTGTCCCCCTCTTTTCTGCACCAAGCCTAGCACATGACTTTCCATAATGTAAGTGTTCAGGATCTAGCCAGGCACTATCTTACCATTGTGTTCTGAGTCAATACAGAAGACAGAGGCAGGAGAACAGCCTCCAACAGCAGTCCTCTACTATGGCAAAAACTACCATCTAGTATTACCAAAGAGAAAAAGGCTGGGGCCAAGCCTCAAGGCTCCCAAGATATAGCACAGTATCACAGCAGGTCACTGAAAGAGAAGCTGAAGACTGATCCCTATCACTCTGGGTATTTGCCACCTGGAAGAAAATAATATGTTCAGATAAACTTCCAACTCAGTAATGTTTTAATGCCTGAACCTCCACCCCACTCCATCCCCTGGCCAAAGAAAGAGGACAATTCATCAAGGCATTCATTCATTCATTTTTTAAAGAACATTTACTGAGCATCTACTTTGTGTGAGTACTTGCTAGGTGGGGAACACACAGATGCATCAGACACAACGAAGCTGGGAATAGTCTTGGTAGTGTCACCCTGTGTCTCAGGAAGATCAAAATGAGAGCTGCCACTCCTCTCTCTCTAGAGTGGAGATTCCCAGGGAGGAGAGTAGAGGGCTTGCCCACAAATCTGTCTCCCTTCAGGATTCCAAGAGGAGGATTAAAGTCCTAGAATGTGCTCATGGGCTGAATGTGAAAGTGAATGCCTGGGGTGTTTTAGATGTAATTCCCTCCCTCCCTGGAAGGGCCTGGGTTTCGCCTTCACTGTCAGTCTCTTTTCTCTCAGGCAGACAGTTCATCCGTTGAAATCAATAGGTAGGAAATCAATAAAATGCAAACACGGCACTTTACCCTTGCTGGTTTAGTCTCTCTCCCTTCAATCCTGAATACACCGCCGTGTTTCCTTTACATCAGCCCTCTTGGCGACCTAAAAGCCTCTTCAGTTTTTGCCATCTTACCATTCTCCTTGGCTGTAATGTGAAGTTGCTTTGGCATTTATCCAAGGAAGACAATTTTTCCAAAACCCAGGGATTCTATGTCCTGGATTCAACCAACCATTACTTTTCGAACATTGTATTTTAGTACCTCTAATCTTTGCCATTAGACCACAGAAGATCATATATGGAAGTAAATGTGAACAGGTTGTGATGCTTTCCAAAGTTGTTACAGGCATGTTACTGGTGACAGGGCATGCTCTCTGTCTTTTGAGGTACCCAGACAGAGGGCTAACGATGTGTCAGAGTGGAGCTGAAATTCTGACATTGTTGAAGGATTGGCCTAAATGATCATTAAAACCCCTTCTGATTCTGAGATTACGTTATTCAACATGGAGGTGAAATATCCATATTAAAAAAGCAAAATAGCAGTGGCTAGTTTTGGACTGGACAAATAAGTCCTTTCCCCACCAAAAAAAAAAAAAAAAAAAGAAAAAAAATTCAGAAACATTTAGAGAAGGCAAGCTGTCAAAACTCCGATGAACTACAGCCAGGCATGGAGGTGCACAACTGTAGTTCCAGCTACTCGGGAGGCTGAGGTGGAAGAATCACTGGAGCCCAAAAGTTGGAGCCCAGCCTGGGCAACCTAAGCAGACTCTGTTGCAACAACAACAAAATCAGACAAATTGAAGTCAAGGAGATAGTGCCTGGGAGCATTAGTTATCAATGAGACTACATCTGAACCCAGCAGCTGGAAAAGTCTGAAACATCAGGATATGTCGTGAGGAGCATATTACAGCACAATGGTTGGAACTGAGTTCTAGTAACATTTCTGCTATTCACTACAGCAGCTCAGTAATCTTGAGCAAGTTACATAACCAATCTCCAAGCATCAGCTTCCTCATCTGCAAAATGGGAATAATAACTCAGAGTTGTTATGAATATTAAATGGGATAACATTTGAAGAGTTATCACCCATCATTGCCACTACAGGGAGAGCATTTTAATGATAACTCCACACCATCTGATGACCAGCATTGATACTGAAGTGGACTTTGTCACTTTAATTTCTATCTTTTTGGGGAACCATAATTCTTTGACATTTGTTTTAAGCTTAGAATACATTTGAGGACCTTGGAATTTAGATTTGCAGCAACAACAACAAAAAATTCAGTCTGTCAAAGAAAGGCAGCTGAGCCACGCTGTGATGGTCTTGGTAAAGGCAGAGGACACATCTGCACCTCACACCTGAATCAACATGTAACTCTCCATGATGGCTCAGTGGTATTGCTAATTGCAGAAATCAAGGGCCCTGTAAATGGGACAAATAACAGAATCAATCCTGATTCAGCATTCTAGGTGACGGAAA
This sequence comes from Homo sapiens, assembly GCF_000001405.40. Classification (NCBI taxonomy): domain Eukaryota; kingdom Metazoa; phylum Chordata; class Mammalia; order Primates; family Hominidae; genus Homo; species Homo sapiens. The sequence continues at coordinate 24,174,236 of NC_000004.12, forward strand.
GCCATCAAGTAAACCCTTTGCAGGTTCTGTGTCATCACTACTGTGTTCCACCTTAACCTGACCATAAGAATCACCTGAGACGCTTATTAAACGCCCAGAGATTTAAGAGTGAGTCTCAGGCATCTTCCGAAACATCTCAGTTAATAAGTCAGTTAAGAGGCCTGATAATCTGTATTTTTACAAGCATCCCAGGTGATTTATAGGAGCAGGAAAGTTTGGAGAACACTTGTCTTAGTGGCCAAAGGATTTACTATAGATTTGGTTTCTTAATAAGCACTCACTGCGGACATATATGCTAGGAAACTTCCCACTGTAATTCACACAAGGCATCCATCCCTCTTAATCCTTCCAATCCCCATGCTATGTGGTCATGGTTGTCCCCATTTGAAAGACAGACCCAAAGCTCAGCGAGGTAAGTGATTTATCCTTAAGTGTCAGAGCTGGGTTCCAACCCAAGTCTTATGACTGCTGCTCGGGGCATTTTTCCATGATCTCATGGTTGCCTTTGTCATCTAACTCACTCCTCTATCAACAACTCCACAGCCGATGATCCAGGCAGCCATGTGGGACTAGTCATGGGAATGTCCCAGACTAATTTGAACATGTCTTTCACAGCAACAAAGAGCAGCTGCATTTCCAGTGGAATGTCACTGGCTGGAAATGGTGCCCTGCCCAACGCAGGGCCTCTTTATATATCCTGTGAAAATGCCCTAAGAATGCTGTTGCAAAGTGTTTATCTTCTCTGGTAATACTAAATACAAATGTCTCCCAGGAATCTTGTTGCTCGGGGCCTAGTGTATAACTTTCTAAAAGTAACTACTGCCTCCACACAGTCCCCTACAGAGGCCTCGCGATATATATCATTAGTTCATGAGCTTCATTGTTGGGTAAGAATGCCATTAGAAAACATATCATTTACCCAATAGACTAAAATGGACCCCAAGGAGCTATTCTAGTCTATCAGGTAATTATGGGGGAAACCTTGTATTATTTACTGGAGAAAATGGAATACCACCCTGGGAGGCATGATGGCCCATCCCTGTTATCAATGATAAAGAGATGATCCCATTTTGTGATAACAACCATTGAGCTTACTCTGATTTCTGGCGGGTTTTTGTTTTTTTTTTTCTCTTTGTTTCGTTTTTTTTTTTTTTTTGAGACAGAGTTTCACTTTTGTCACCCAGGCTGGAGCGTAGTGGCGCAATCTCAGCTCACTGCAACCTCTGACTTCCAGGTCAGAGTGATTCTCCTGCCTCAGCCTCCCAAGTAGCTGGGATTACAGGTGCCCACCACCACACCAAGCTTTTTTTTTTTTTTTTTTTTTGTATTTTTAGTAGAGATGGGGTTTTGCCACACTGGCCAGACTGGTCTCAAACTCCTGACCTCAGGTGATCTGCCCGCCTCGGCGTCCCAAAGTGCTGGGATTACAGGCGTGAGCCACTGCGCCCAGTCGATTTTTTTTGTTGTTTATCCTTTTGTTGCTTCTTTTTTTATTTTTATACATAGCTAATAGCTCCAACGTAACCATAAATAATAAAATATTTTTAAAAAATATTTTAATCCCGCTCTTATCTTTACTCAACAGAAAAAAACATGAAATCCTCCAGAATCTCGTTTATTTCACTAGCGCTGTCATGACCATTCCCACGGGCAGCACATGGCATCCTCTCACCTCACAGGCCCTTTCGAAGCTTAGCAGCCCTGAGCACAGAGTCAACTGACCCATCCTCAAATGCAAACTCTCTGGGGATTCCAACTAGAAAGACAACGAATAACAAGGACTTAATCTTCATTCTAGCTGTCTCAAGTCTCAAGGATCACTGGGCTGGGTTGCCTCTCTCCCAAAAAGAGCCACTTCTCAGAGCTTTTAGACCAGCGTATGGTTAAATCTCCAGGACCTACTACAGCTCCTGGCATTCTGAGGATATGCAATAAACTTGTGTTGCATAAAGATCTCTTCTTCCGGCCCTAACATTCTGTAACTCAGTTGCTATCATTCACTGCTTTGTCTCCAGCATTTAGAACAGTGCTGCCCCCAAACAGAATTCCCTTTTTAGCTTGTGGGGTGTTTTATTTTTCTTTTTGCAACATATCTCAACTGATTTATTACATGGCTTTTACTTCTTGATCCTCCTTGCTGACCCATAGTCCTGCCACACAACAAAAAAGTGTAATGGGAGGAGAAATGGAGGGGCGTGACACAAGAATCATCCTGGAATGTGAAATGGGGTAAAGGAGAGCCAGGAGATCTTCAAAGGCAGAAGAGGGTCATGAAAATGACAATAGGAAGGGATATTAAGGAACTAGAAAACAGCCAGAAACAGAAGATAGAATCTATTCATTGAAAAACATGTTTCCTGGAGCCCTGGAGTGTGAAGAGCCCTGTGCCAGACATGGGACATGGGGAAGAGCTATCACTTCTTAGCCAGGGTCTCGTAACACTCTTGAAAACTCTCACAGAGAAGCATAACCCCAGAATAATAATAATAATACCAGCTCAGACAGTCACATGGGAGGTGGGACTGGGGACAAGGAGGCAGAGCCTAAAGAGAAAGGTCGAAAAGTGGGGGTGCAGGCAAAAACCTCAAACCACCAGCATGACACCAGTTGGCCCTGTTTTACACATTCTGCACAGAAACCAGTTAAAGGTTCTCATCTTTTTTGAAACTTAACCTTTTCAATTCTCTGCTGTCTCAACACCAGATGGTAAGTTCCTTGAGGGCAGGGGTTGGGCAGCATCTTTAGTCCATCAAAGAATCTTGGACTTTTTTACACTGTTGGTGGGACTGTAAACTAGTTCAACCATTGTGGAAGTCAGTGTGGTGATTCCTCAGGGATCTAAAACTAGAAATACCATTTGACCCAGCAATCCCATTACTGGGTATATACCCAAAGGATTATAAATCATGCTGCTATAAAGACACATGCACACATATGTTTATTGTGGCACTATTCACAATAGTAAAGACTTGGAACCAACCCAAATGTCCAACAATGATAGACTGGATTAAGAAAATGTGGCACATACACACCATGGAATACTATGCAGCCATAAAAATGATGAGTTCATGTCCTTTGTAGGGACATGGATGAAGCTGGAAACCATCATTCTCAGCAAACTATCACAAGGACAAAAAACCAAACACCGCATGTTCTCACTCATAGGTGGGAATTGAGCAATGAGAACACACGGACACAGGAAGGGGAACATCACACACTGGGGCCTGTTGTGGGGTGGGGGGAAGGGGGAGGGATAGCATTAGGAGATATACCTAGTGTTAAATGACGAGTGACTGGGTGCAGCACACCAACATGGCACATGTATACATATGTAGTAACTAACCTGCATGTTGTGCACATGTACCCTAGAACTTCAAGTATAATTAAATAAATAAATAAATAAATAAATAAATAAATAAATAAATAAATAAAATTTTTAAAAAAGGAAAAAAAAAAGAATCTCGGACTTCTTAGTGCCCAGTAGATAGCTAGGTACCAGTCATTCAATAAGAGCTGGCAGGCATACAAGTGATAAGATACAACTGCTCTGTCTTCAAGGAATCTACCTTCTGAAGAAAGAGACCAACAGGAAAAGTGGTCATTTTAATTGCATATGAGAAGTCTTAGGATAGAACTATGGAATGAGTGAGCCACTACTTATGTGGAATTATGCAGATTCTGTTTCTGGGAAATCATCTTCAATTTTGAAGGTTACCTTGTAAGGGAACTGGATTCTCCGTATGTCATAAATTCGTTATCTTACAGTACTATACTCCCGCCAACAGCATGCTTAAATCGCCTCCACAGGAAAACAGCATGGCTGTAAACATCCTTGGTGAAAATATTTGAGATAAAAGATGGCCTTTGAGCCTATTGTATAAATGAGATGCAACTATTCCCCCATAAATCCTATTCATTCATTCATTCTTCATTTTAACATGCACTGATTAAGCACCTACTGTTTGCAACTCACTGAGATTTAAGTAAAATTGAATCGATGCCTTCCAGAACCTAATGAAGGAAACAGCATAGTACTTTTGTTAGAGGGAGATAGAGGCTATCATTATATCTAGGTGTCTGGACTTTAAAACAATGTCTGTCATGAGGAAAAGCCACAAGTTCTAAATGGCATATGGCGATTGGTATTTTTTATTAGCGTTACTCAAATGACATCATAAACATACATGGGGCTACACAGCAGAAAAAAAGGAAACAGTACCAAATCTTTTCTTGGAAGAGCTAACAGTCTGAAGACCTGTATTTATTTTTTTAATCTGATTTCTTGTACAACATCACAGCATGATCTGCCCTCTTACTTGAAGCAGTTAACTGTAGAGAAAAAATAAGTTGAATACTTATTGAAAGAGACTGTCCGTTTCTACCTGCTAATGCACAATCTAAAATGACCATTTATATGCACAATCATTTACCTGATGCATAATACTTAACTTGAAAATTATCACTAAGAGGTACTGCCAGTGCCAGCATTTGAGTGCTGAGCTTTGTTGCGAATGCTAAAGCATTTCTGCCGATAATGAAGCACTCAACAAAGGGCCCTTTGTTAGACAATAAAAATAATTGATTTCAAAAGTCATCAACTGGTGATGAACAAATGCATTTTATAGCAAAGCAGTTGTAGATTTTTGGGTAAACTCATATATCACTACAATAGGTTGGTTTTGTCCTTTGTTTTTGTTTCTTTTTTAATCATAACCTATTCCGTATTCTTCACCTACAGCTTATCTTCATTTTTTTGTTAATAACAAAAGAGCCACTGCTGTTTATGGGCTCTTTCTTTGTGCTAGGACTAAGCAGTGTGCATTCGTTGTCTTATTGACTCTTCACATCTCTTTATGAGTTAAGTTCTGTTCTGTAGAGTAATCTGTGACTGGTCTGATTTACATGGCATAGTTGCAACTGTGAGAGCTGAGGGACTAGTACATTATCTCCTTTTTAGATACAAGAACACCAAGACCTGCAAAAGTGAAGAGACTTGTCCAAGGTGACATATTTGCCAACTGGTTGTAACAAATTGCAAAAGTAAAAAATAAAAAAGGCCATAATGCTTCCCTCCCTTGCAGCAAGTCCCCTTTATCACGTAACTGTGCAGCTCCTCTCATCCCAGGGCAGAGTCTCTTTCCCCTTGCATCTGACCTGGCCTTGGGACTTGCTTTGACCCATCCAGTGTGTCAGAGCAGTATTGTTGCCAGTTCTGCGGCTCAAAAGGTCTTGCACTCTTCCATGTTCTCTCTCTCTCTCTTAGGATCCTACCCTTGCTGGTAGAACAAGCCCATGCTAGCCTGCTAGATAATGAGAGACATGTAGTTCAGCTACCCTCTTTAGCCCAGGTGACAGCCTGACGAGCCCCCAATACAAAACTGCCTAGCTAACCACAGGCTCACTGCAAAAGCATGCATGAACCCAGATGAGACAAGCCCAAATTGCAAAACCACAGAATCATGAGCTACATAAGTGGTTGCTATTTTAACCACTAAATTTTGAGGTGATTTTTTACAGTGCCGATACAGTGCCACTGCTAAAAATGTACTTCAGATAGTCAAGGCTGTCTCAACTGATATGTTTTTTATTTGTTACAGAAAAACAAGAATTATTTTATAATTAATAAATAGAAGTTGGGAGTGAGAGGGCTAATGTCACATTAAAACACAAAAACATGGGATTATTTGATCAGTAGAGATTAATTATTCCTGTGTTTGTGTTTTATTCATAGATCCTACCCACCATGCTACCAAGGAGTGTTGTCTCTCTAGGATGTACCATTGTCACTGCTTTTCTTCTATTCATTAAAACTTCTTCCTGCAATGAATGACTGTGTCGACTCTGACTACATGTTGAATTTGAGCTCCGAAAATATAATCAGCATGAAAAACTTTTAGTATCATTTACATATATAACATGTATAACATTACATTTTTAATTAACATTGAATTAGCCCAATATTCTCCAAATCGTATTCATTTACATCTCCCTTTCACAATCTTTGCTAATCTGCAAACTACCTATATTGTTATCTACTGAGCATCTTTCTTTAAATGAAATTCAAGTTGACTCACATTTTTTACTTTGCCTAATCCTAAGTGATAATAACCATGAGATAATTTGTTTCATAAACTGGTTACATTTTTTCTACATAACTTAAAATTAAAATGTATATATTCATCTGTGTGCCACTTAAAAATCATCATTCCGGCTACGCTCTGGGAACCATTGTTTTAGCCATCTCTGATTAACTTCAACTCTTTACCTTTGGTTCTCAGCTATATAGAAAAGGCAAAGGGATCTCTGATGGAAAGGACAATTTTATCGGTCACTTACTTTAGCAACACCCTGACATCTAAATGTGCAAGGGTTCTAACCCTGGGCCCATAGGCAGCTACTATTTTATTGGTCCCCACTGACTTTTTTACTCTTTCCAGCACTCATGATCTGAATAAGCAACTTGAGGTTGGGCATGGTAAATATCACAGGCCCTTACATGACTTTGAGGCTGTGAAACTCCTCAAAGTTTCTGGTCATTCTCATCCATGTGAACTAGTCATTCTCATCCATGTGGACTAGAATATAAATGTGCAAAGGCTGTTGGACTAGTCCCAATGCCCCACAGCATTTTGGGATACTTTTGATCCTCAACATAAGCTTTTAAGTAGGAACATTTAAAGCCATTCTTCCTGTGTCATTCACAAAATCAAGACTCAAAACATGATCCCTCTGGGACAAAGAAGTTTACCTCTGCCTCATCTAGCAAGTAGTTGCAAGTCCACAATAAACCAGCTTCCAGTTTTGGGAACATATTTTTGTCCCTTCAATTACTGCCCAAATTCAAGGAAATGCCACAAACAAGTAAATCTTAACTTTGTCACAACATTGGATAAAATACTCCCTGGCTTCTTTGAGAATAAGCTGTTACTTAGAGGTGAATTACTAATAGTTAAAAATCACTGTAACCAGGAAGTATTGACTAATGAGTCAGTATCTACAAGAGTGATCATAGCCCAGTTGTGTTACAGCGAAAAACACAGGTTCAAATTTTCCCCTGATTTAATTCCAACTCTGCCTAAGTATCTTGGGTAAATTGTTTTATTTCCCTCATATTATTAGTCATTTAGTTTTCCCACGAATAGATAGGATAATATTGGTAGCTACCTTGTAGAGTTGTTGTAGGAATTAAATGAGCTAATTCATTTGAAATTCTTAGAACAAAAACTCACACATGCTAAGTACTTAATTAACACTAGCTATTACTATTGTAGGTAATTATGATAATTTTTTGATGAATGTCAATATGAGAGGTCTGTACTGGGTGCCACAGACTCTATCCAGATCCACATGTTTGCCAGTTCCTTCCTTCAAGGTACAAAAATCACACAGCCTTAACTAGGTATGGACGAGTGAAGTTAAGAGAAAGACCTCATACAGTAGATGTCAGAATGAAAATTCCAAGACACCTTGACAAAGAGAAACTTAGGCACAGAGCCAAGAAAACTTAATTTAACAAGAATAAAAGTAAAGTCCTACATGGTCAACTGTAATCAAGCAAGAAAATCTAACTTCCTGAAGTCTAAGTTGGCCAGTAGCTAATAAGCGGTACCTGGCTGAAACAGCAGCGCAAAAGCCATCGAGACCTTACCCCGAGAAAACAAGATAAAGTTCCCTTATCCTGTGAAGGAACGTATCCTTCTGAGGAAACAAGATCACATCTATCATATTGCACTCAGTTCTTGGCACCTCACTTTTTTTTAATTTTACTTTAAGTTCTAGGATACATGTGCAGAACGTGCAGGTTTTTGCATAGGTATATATGTGCCATGGTGGTTTGCTGCACCTATCATCCCGTCATATAGGTTTTAAGTCCCGCATGCATTAGGTATTTGTCCTAATGCTATCCCTCTTCTTGCTCCCACCCCGACAGGCTTCGGTGTGTGATGTTCCCCTCCCTGTGTCCATGTGTTCTCATTGTTCAACTCCCACTTATGAGTGAGAACATGCAGTGTTTGGTTTTCTGTTCCTGTGTTAGTTTGCTGAGAATGATGGCTTCCAGCTTCAACCATGTCCCTGCAAAGGATGTGAACTCATTCTTTTTTTATGGCTGCATAGTATTTCATGGTGTATGTGTGCCACATTTTCTTTATCCTGTCTATCATTAATGGGCATTCAGGTTGGCTACAAGTCTTTGCTATTGTAAATAGTTCTGCAATAAACATACGTGTGCATGTGTCTTTCTAGTAGAATGATTTATAATCCTTTGGGTATATACCCAGTAATGGGATTGCTGGGTCAAATGGTATTTCTGGTTCTAGATCCTTGAGGAACTGCCACACTGTCTTCCACAATGGTTGAACTAATTTACACTCCCACCAACAGTGTAAAAGCGTCCCTATTTCTCCACAGCCTCGCCAGCATCTGTTGTCTCCTGACTTTTTGATAATCGCCATTCTAACTGGTGTGAGATGATATCTCATTGTGGTTTCAATTTGCATTTCTCTAATGCTTGGTACCCCACTTTAAGAGGAATAAGGTTAATAAGACTGGAGAAAAATCTAGAAACCAAGTCACCTGATAAAAAGTTCAAGATATTTAGGATAATTCTGCAAAACAAGAGAACCAAGTCGAACAATATTTATGAATGCCTACAACACACCAGGCTGTCCTGCGTGCCAGGAATAACATGATGAACAAGACAGACAGTACCTTTGCCCACAATAAGCTTCCATCCCAGTGTCGGGGGAAGATATAATAAACACGCAAAGGAATAACATAGACGACCTCGGGCTCGGAGAAGTGCTGAGAGGAAGACAAAATAGCTTCTGCAATACTCCAAGTAGAAATGATGTAATGAGGACCAGATGGAAATAAGGAAAAAATGACATATTTGAGGTAAAGCAGTTATCAGAGTGCCTGGCACATGGTAAGTCTCTATAGCTGGTGCAATAACACAAGCAAATGCTTCTCCAGGACTTCTAAGTGCCAGACACTGCTCTAAGCACCCTATATATATCTTCATCCCTGTCAGAGAGGAACTCTTATTACCCCATTTCATAGATGAGACCACTGAGGCACAGGGTACTCACTAAGTTACCCACAATCACTCTAGTTACAAGCTTGTGAGGCTCTGCAGTAGGAAGTCTGTCTCCAAAGCCTAGGCTCTTGGCCATGTTATGTCGCCTTCCAACCACTGAAGAGTTATCTCATTGAAAGGAAGTATCTGCGTTCAAAGATGGGCCAGAAGGAAGAAAATCAAAGTTAGGAAGTTTCTTTAAGGTCTAGAAAAGAGCTTTGTGATGGTCATTAGACACCCGGTGTGTTTCCAGCACCCTGGGAGACATTAGACTGTAGAGAAATCCAGGCTGATATTCAGAACAGACTTGCAGCAAGTGGGACAACATTCCCATGATATAAAATTATGTTATCATGTGCACTGGTTTCCCTTCCTCACTCTGCTCTTTCCTTCCCCTTCAATGACCTTGTTACCTATATCTGGAACATCTGATCTTGAAAAGGATCTACATGTGATAAAGGAAAAACGCAAGATTCAACTTAGTGCTTTCCTCACGGAAATTTTTTTTAATAAAATGTTACAGTAGTCCAGCTTCTGGGAAATGATCAGTTTGCAAGTTAAAGAAAAGATATAAAACTTCACTTGCAGTACGTAGAAAACTTCATTTACAAAACGGGCCTGGTGTGAAAACGCTTGCTTTCAAAAAAGTAAAACAAAGCTGCTGAATCTTCTTTTGCTACATTCCTGAAGGATATATTTCCTGGATATCTTCTGTCCAACTCTCTCAGTTGCACTTCTGTCCTCTGATATCATTAGGTGAAGTGTGATGTTGTAAAAGAACTGCTAAGCTACCTGGAATTGGGGATGAAAATTCTAGGATGCCAATGGATTTGAAACCAATAACAGCAATTATGATAGTAACAGAACATAATAACATGTTTGGCACTGTTTTAAGTATTTCACCCAGAGTTTGGTACTTTTATTATCCCCAATTTGGAAATTAGGAAACTGACTTCTTAAGGAAAATATGTAAATTTACTGGGAAAAAATATTCTGTTTTCCAGTGAGATAACAGAAGATCCAGTGGTGAGCATTAAACTAATTTTCTTTCCCGCCTCCCATGGGTCTTTTAAGAACTCTGAAACTAATATTGAAGAGATGTTTAAGAAATTAATCCACTGATCTTTACCAGGTGCTTAATCCATACCTGGTATTGTGGGAGGTGCCTTAGTTTTACAACTAATCTCATCAGGTTCCCAAGGGCAGAAATGGTGCCTCCCCAGGCAGGACCTAGTTGAAGGCTGCACATGCAGCAGGTATTCAATAAATATTAGCTGGTGGATTGGTGTCCATCCTCTGGGCCCAGCCTTGGCTTGGGCAGGTGAAAGTAATGATGCTGCTCTTGGTGCTGGTGGCAGTCTCTCCTCCTCACGTGCACCCTCTATTTCATCCTTCAGAGCTGACCTGAAATTCCACTTGGCTCAAAACACATAGAATGAGGCACTGAATCCCAATATGGCTCAAAGACAGCCCAGCTAAAATCATTTTCTAGGGTCAAGAAACAGCTTTCTTCAGAAGAGAAATGATGAGGAAGAAAGAGAGAGGGATAAGAAGCGGCAGAAAAGGAAGGAAAATAAAATAGACAAAAGAAGTCAGGAAAAAGAAGCCTCAGAAAGAGGAGAGGTGTGTCCTACTCCTATCCTCATCTGGGTTGTACTTTGAGGTGCTTGAAAGGCACTGTTTTCTGAGAATATTTTGTTCACGGTATAACAGGTGGAGAGGCTTAATTATTATTTTAACAATGTGTTCGAGAAAAGTACAGAGACTGATCTATGCAATTATTCTCCTCAAACACAGGCATTTGCCTGTTTTCACACATCTAAAATGAAATCATCAGATGTACCAAATGTTGACATTTTTCCCTCATGAAATACCAGACAGTTCCTGAAACTTGAGTAATTATGTCCTTCACCACCCTCCAAAAATAAATAAATAAATAAATAAACCTCAACCTGTCACAATGTAATTCCAAAATCATTACAATTCTCAAGTCATATACCTGTGAAACAGAGAGGTGGATGATTTTTCCTCTTAAAACTGAAGACTAAGTCAGGCTCATATTTACAAAGCAAACCTTGGAATTTTCCTAAAAGAAAAGAAAAAGATAAGATGAGCAGCCTCCAGTACCCTAGAAATGCTCATCTATAAAATTGCAGTATTCTGAACATACACAATCAATATGTAGCCACGGTTCCTTCTCAAGGGTAGAGATGGTGGTGTTGTATTTCTCCCCTCACCAGTACGAGAAGCAAGTTAGAGCAGCTGCCAACTTTCAGTTTAAAGATTAAGCTCTTTGTATGGGTGATTTATTGAATGTTTATAGCTAGAAAGAACAAATTCTTTTTCTTTTTAAGTTGATAATATTACTTTCTTTCAGGGCTCTAGAATTTTTAACTTTTTCCTCTCTTTTAAAGTGGTAAAAGCACTAATGTGTCATCTAGCATTAGGTATATCTCCCAATGCTATCCCTCCCCCCTCCCCCGACCCCACCACAGTCCCCAGAGTGTGATATTCCCCAGCGCACCAGCATAGCACATGTATACATATGTAACTAACCTGCACAATGTGCACATGTACCCTAAAACTTAGAGTATAATAAAGTGGTAAAAGCATTATATGTATGAAGAATCATCCCTAGGTCAGATTCTACTTACACATATTTGGAAAGGGGAGAGGAGGGGAAAAAAGAAAAAAAAATTATTAAAGTAATATTTGGCTACCCATGTACAGCAAGTTCAATTTGAATGTTCATGAATTTGTGGCATGTTAATATCTCTGCTGAACATGCCAATGATCAGCCCTACAAACTGTGTGCAGATGGGAGACTTTAGCCTTGTGTGGGGCACAGAGAGGGTGGGCAAAAGAAGAGGGCAGGAGAGACAGTGACAAAGAGCAAGAGAGAGATAAGAAACACACAAATAGAGACAGAGAGACCTAGTGCCAAATGTCTCAGGATGCAAAGAGGACCCTTCTGCGAATCCAGTAAGTTAGAGTCAAGCAACGTCAGAATAGGTATTTGGGTTTCAAATAACTTCACCTCTCGCCTACTACAGCTGTGCCTCCCATGAGTCAGGATCTTCTAGTTATTAATAACATGGGCTCTTCTGGATCGGACCACCTGGGTTCAAATCCATAATGTGCCACATCCTGACTGCGTGACCTTGGGCAGTGTATTCCCACTCTCTGGATCTTGGTGTCCTTCACTGCCTAGAGCCTACCTACCAGGGTTGTTGGGATAATTAACTGAGTATGAATGCCAGTAAAGGACTTAAAACAGTGCCTGTCAGGTGGTGAGGAAGGGCTCCATAAACATTTGCTGCTATTCCTCACACTCTATTATGGCGCAATAGTCTCCAAAGATCGGTTTTTGAGTACCCATTGGAGCCACTTGGAGCACACGCTCCTTTTCTGGGGCACGATGGCTCTTTCAACCCATTCAGTGCCTCTGGTTGCCAGAACCATGGGCAGGGCTGCCAGGAGAGAACAGCTACTTGCCTGCAAAAAAAAAATGAAAATAAAAAAATTAAAAAATTAAAAATAAAATTTAAAAAAACTGTATACCTCCTGGAACCACTGAGGCTGCTTCTGCACGTGCAGTCAGCAGCAGTTTCCAGATGAGCATCTATTTGCGGAAAAGCTTAATGTACCTTTTCCTTAAATACAGTTTTTTAAAAATTGCCAAACATTACTCTTCCTACAATGAGTATCATGCAACTGCAATTTCTGTTGCTTCTTTAGGGACTTCTAGCTTTTCAGGTAACCAGATGCCATGAGTACTAGTCCCCTTTGCCTATGCACTTTAAGTTGGTGTCACTTGGCATCTGCAAATGCCCTTATTGGCTCAAGGTGATGATGATGATGGCGGCAGTGGTAGTGCTGGTGATGCAATGATGATGGCTAATGTTTATTGAGCACGCTCTGTGAGCTGGCATTTCTCTAAGTGCTTCACCTAGATCATCTCATTTATTTATCATAGCCATCAGATGAGGGGAGCAGTCTTTTTATGCCCATTATACAGATAAAAACACTGAGGTGCTGAGGAATTTGGTAATTTGCTCACAGTCACACAGCTAGTAAGTGCTGAGTCTAGGATCTTCACTCTTAACCACCATGTTAAGCTACCTATAAAATTACCTAAAAGGAAAATCATGGGTTTGGAGTTCAGGAGCCCCGGGTTCTGGTCCTGGTTCTGCCATCAACTACCTTTTTAACTGTTTAACTTAACCTGGCTTAGGTAAGTTTACTTAAAATCTTTGGTTTCAGTATCTCCCTCTAAGAAAGAGAAGCTTTTACAGTAAATGTCTGCTGTGATCCCTTCAAGATCAACAATTATATGATCATTCATTCATTTATCCACCCAGCAAATAATAATGGAGGATTAGACGTCTATTAAAATATAGGCACTTTGTTGGTCTTTATGCAACATGGGTAAAAAATATACAGAACTATGTTCCCTTCATGGTTCTCATAGTCTAGCAGAGGAGATAATGTTAAGTAAGCATACCAGCAAATATATAATCACAAATGTTTGATAAATGCCCTGAAGAATAAGTACTGGAGTCCCTTGAACGAGAATAACATGAGGGATCTGATTTAGATATAGGAATCTTTTGAAGATGGAATATTTAAAATAAGGTTTGCAGGATGAGTATAAGTTGATTAATTAAAGCTTGTAGGAAAAGGTATTCCAGGTTGAGGGAACAGCATATATCCAAAAGCCTGAGATGGCAAAGAACATGCCAATTATCCTCTATATGGACTGTGTGCAGCTCTAATATAATTCCAATGTGTAAGGCAATGGCATAATATAATTCCAAAGTCATTAAAATTCCAGGAACTGAGGAAGAGCAACACAGCTAAGACACTGTGAGCAGGGGGAGAAAAATGGTACCAGATAGAGCTGAGAGGCAGGCAAGTGCCATATAGTTTGTGTGCTTGTCCATTCATGTCCTATATTCTAAGGCTACCTTAGAATCCTAATAACCGGTGCAGTAGGGAAGCCTTCCCTGTTCCCATCCCCAAGGACTCCATCTTCACATCAGGCTTTCCCCAAAGAAACGAAAGGTGAGTCTGGAGATCAGGCAAAGGCACTAACTCTTAAGGAACCCCTAGGCACATTATGAATGTATGTAATACCGCTGAACTATTAGTGCTTTGACATTCCCCTTTATCATTCTCCTCACCAACAGGGATGGTCCTGGGGGAAATGCAGAGTAAAGAAGGAAGAAATGAACTACCTGGATAATTCAAGTAAAGGTCCCAATGTGATCTTAAAATCTGACCTAACCACCTTGCACCCATAAGGATGGTTACTATCAAAGAAACTGAAAATAACAAGTGTTGGAGAGGATGTAGAGAAACTGAAACCCTCGTGCACAGTTGGTGGTAATATAAAAGGGTAGAGTGGTGGTGGAAAACAATATAGTGGTTGCTCAAAATATTAAAAATAGAACTGCCATATGATCTAGCAATTCCACTTCTGGGTATATATCCAAAAGACTTCAGCAGGGTCTCAAAAATATATTTATACACCCCTATTCATGTCAGCATTATTCACAATAGCTAAAAGGTGAACACAAACCAAGTGTCCATCAACAGACGAATGAATAATCAAAATGTAGTGTATCCACACAATCGAACATTATCCAGCCTTAAAAAGGAAGGAAATGCTGACACACGCTACAACATGGATGAACCTTGAGGACATCTTGCTAAAGTGAAATAAGCCAGTCACCAAAAGACAAACACTGTGTGATTCCACTTACGCAAGCTACTTGGAGTAGTCAAAATCATAGAGACAGAAAGTAGAACGCTGGTTGCCAGGGGTTAGGGGTTGCAGGGAGTGGGAAATGAAAAATCATCTGTTAGAGCTTCAGTTTGAAGCTCTAAGATGAAAACAGTTCCGGAGATGGATGGTGGCTGCAAAAATTACAAATATATTTAATATCGCTGAACTATATGCTGAGAAATCGTTAGAATGGTAATTTCTATGCTATGTGTATTTTATCATAATAAAAAAATTGAGGGAGGGAGACTTGATCTAAATGATTCAGAATGGTCCTGAAATAGATACCTGAATTCTCCATTCACTCTGCGCATGTAAACATAAACCCATCAGGAAGTTCCACCACACCCCTGAGAAAGCTGTAAGTGCTGTAGCTCGCCTTCTGACAAGACTATGAAATAAGAAGCACTTGGCAATTGTCCTCTTCACACTTCCAGGCTTTTCTAATGTCACCTCTTCCAGGAAGCCTTCCCTAATCACCTCTACTACAAATGAGAACTCCCCATTTTTTCACTTACATTCCTTGTATCACTTCTAGCATAGGCTATTATCTTTCTGGCTTGTATTCACAATTTGTTCATGTGGTGGGAAGCACCTTGAGAAGAGAGGCCACCTTTATTTAGTCCAAAGTCTAAGCACCCGGCACCCTCACTTTTCATGTATTTAGTTTAATGGATTAAGTCGTGGATAGCCCTATCTCTCTGTCACTGCCTACTATGCTCCACAGTGTCCCCACCAGACTGCCCTGAGCTCCCCACCAAAGAATTCCACCCAGCAGCAGTGCCTTCCACCATGTCCTGGCATCCTCCTCCCAAGCACACCTGCTCTGTATTTCATGTGTGCAAGCCCTTGCCACTTCCTGCTAGCTTACAAGGATGGGAAGTGGCCGATGCAATAAATAAATTCTTGCTAACGTAGTGCCTACTAAGGAGGTTATCTCCCAGGTAGCATGATGCTGTGACATGCTTGAAATGTCTAGGGTTTCAGAAGATCTGTACAAGTTGTGACCCTTTGGTCAGTAATCGGCTTCTTTGCTGCAATCCAGGCTTTGGTAAAATCACAATACATGAGTGGCTCCCAACTCCACCCATGGATACAACAGGCCTGTAAGTAATCTAAAAAAATAAAATAAAATATGGGCGGGTACGGAGGCTCACGCCTGTAATCCCAGCACTTTGGGAGGCCGAGGTGGGTGGATCATGAGGTCAGGAGATCGAGGCCATCCTGGCTAACACGGTGAAACCCCGTCTCTACTAAAAATACAAAAAATTAGCCAGGCATGGTGGCGGGTGCCTGTAGTCCCAGCTACTCGGGAAGCTGAGGCAGGAGAATGGTATGAACCCAGGAGGCGTAGCTTGCAGTGAGCCGAGATCGCACCACTGCACTCCAGCCTGGGCTACAAAGTGAGACTCCATCTCAAAAAAATAAAAATTAAAATAAAATAATATATAATAATTATCTCTATTATTTCCTGAATCCCCACAAACTCCCAGGTTCTAATCTTCTCAATGCCCCATTAACTAGGTTTTATTATTCCCACTTTACAAAAAGGGAAACTTAGCCTCGAAGAGATGAAGTGACTTCCTCCATGCCATGTAGTTAGTTTGTGCCAAAGGCAGGATTCAGCTGCAGGTCTTCACAGCCTGGGCATTTTCAATTCTACCAGCTCATTCCTCTAGAAATAGAGGCAAACTCCAGCCAGTGTTCAGCCCTCATTCCCTTCTCAAGCTCAGCCCATTTCCCACCGCTGGTGGACTACGATAAACAGCTGCAGCCCCTCAAGAGGAACATCAGTTTGTCCTTCATTGGAAAGAGGGTTTCAAATGAAGAGAAAGAAGGCTCCTGCAGGGTGCCTGAATACTGCCCTCTTCCATAAAATAGGGCAGCTCAGTTGTTCTTCAGATTCCACGAGATAAAAGGACTACACAGCTGCTGGATGAAGAAAGCAGCAGCCCCTCTATTTGTGCAGACCGTGGACAAAAGGCAGTGCTCAACAGTTCTCAACACAAACCAGTGACATTAACAAGGCATGAAAAAGTTATATGATCCCACATCTGTGAATGAAGAATCGAGCTGTATGTATTCTCGGAGCAGAAATTACAACTCATCTAAATAGGGTCAACAGCAGCTTGGACGTGAATGAGGAAAGAGAAATAGCATCCAGTAGGAGACAGGTACCAGGCTATGTATTTCACATACTTGGTCTCTGAGCTTCCTTCAGAGGGATGCATTAACTAGAGTCCTGCTGTGCAGAAAAGTAAACTGAGGCTCATGGAGGCGATTCGCAAAAGGTTACATGACTAGTAAATGGCAGAGTTTGGAGCCATGCCCAGGTCTGTCTAGTTCCTAAGCCAATGCTTTTTCCATTATACGATAATGTCTCGCCTTTGCATGCTTTCTGGACTCCATTTGTTGTGATTTTCAGCTGCTTGGATGGATTGCACACTTGGACATCCACCAAAAGCCGATCCTACATCTTTAGCCATCCACGTAAATGCTAGGCCAAATTCCAACCACCTTTTTAACAAGAGAACTCTCCAGCCTGAGTTATGGAGCTTTAAAAAAAGAAAAAAAAGAAGGAAAAGGAGAAAGGCAAAAAGTAATTTCATCTCGCAGAGGAGGCCTGTGTGATTAGGATGGGTGTGGGTGGCCACAGCTGGCACAGATAAAAATCACAGCCCATCATGAGAACAATAAGGCCATAACTCCAACTTCTGAAGAATGCCATTCATTTATTCAACAATTATTTTTGAGTGCCTCATTTGAACATAGCAAAGCACCGTGGGAGTGAGAAAGAAGCAAAAAGCTTGGGCTCAACCCTTAGAGAGTACACAACACTCCCATTCAGAGTTCTTGGAGACGGGGATGTGTACAACCATACCAAGAAACATGAAAACTTTCAGCCACGCCTCGATGGACACCACTGATCTGAACTTGTATCCCACCTCTAAGTTTATATGTTTGATCCATGGCTCCACTAGCATTTCTTCCTTATTTTCCTGTTCTTTCTTTTATACTCCTCTAGTTCTATTTCCCTACTGTCTGGTGAAATATGCAATGGAGTGGGAAAAATGTTGTCCTGGAGACAAAAGAACTATTCCCCATCCCAGCTCTGCAGTCCTCCAGACATGTGACCTTGGACCAGTCTTTGGGCCTCCCTGAACGTCCATTTGCTCACTGGTAACAGGATTGTAACAATCCCTTTCTCAAGGGTTATATGACAATTAATTGAGATGATAATAATACGAGAAAGTCCTCTGAAAATAGTAAACAGCTGGAAAAAATGTACGCCTTACCCCCAGTGCTAAGACTTATTAGATTACGTCAGTAGTTAATGTTTAGCTGAACGGAAGACCCTGCCAACTGAACATTATTCCTTTTGGTTTTCTTTGGGCAAAGGATGGCTAAGCAAAAAAGGAAAAGCAAGACAAAGAACAGTACTTTGTGAAATCTTCCCCAAAAGGACAGCATTGTAAGTCTGCCGTGAATAAAGAGTGTAAATTATATTCAGCATGATATAAGTAATGACATATCAATTAACTGTGTCAACAAGGTCTAAAAATATGCAAATTACTGTACTTCAATTAGAAAAATCTACATCCTTAGAGAATATTGTAAATCAGGAAATTTGGGAGACATTAAGAGTAATCAGTGAGGGAAAGCATGTACTTTTTGCTGTATCCTATTTTTATACATACATAATGAAATAATTATAGCTACACTGTATTTATGCCTCTGCAAAAATATTAAAATCTTAAGATCTTTACAATGATAAGTTAAATCTGTATTATGTTTTCAGACAACATTAATTATAAGAAAAAGAAATCTATTATCATTCAATATAAGTAAGTTGAAACTAATTTGGACATGTAAATTAGAAATGCTGTTTTTTTCAGCACCAGAACATTAGAAAAGAGAAAGCAAGAGGAGATATCTAGATCAATTACTGAGTCTATAAATGCAAATAGTTTAGCATATTTAAGTCGTAATGCAAATTTAAGGATGTTTAGTAACTTTTCTCACAAATATCAAACTATTTGGTATTTTAATTTTTTGGATGCCTTCTGATTTTCTTTGTTTAACATGCATTTATCTGCTTTTGATGGAGTTGCCTTTACCTGAGCTGTCTTCTAGCTGCAACTCAACAACACATAGCAGGACGCAAGGCCGGGAATGTATAAGGTGAAGTCAGTTTTCAATGACTT
This sequence comes from Homo sapiens, assembly GCF_000001405.40. Taxonomy (NCBI): domain Eukaryota; kingdom Metazoa; phylum Chordata; class Mammalia; order Primates; family Hominidae; genus Homo; species Homo sapiens. Next base: position 24,193,302 of record NC_000004.12, read on the forward strand.
GGATCTCTACCACAGTAACATGGAGTGGTACCTTTGCTTTGAAATTCAATTTGCATCAATTCTAGAGATGCCAGAAGAATGCAAGAAAAAGGAACACATGACTCAAATCAACATCTCACCTCTCCCCAGCCTTCCCTAGAAGGGCATCGTGGCAGGGAGTGTCCCGCAGTGAGACCCCTGGGCAATGATCTGTTTTACCCTTCCTAATTGCAAGCTACCCAAGGTCTCATCAGGATCTGAAAATCTGACTGAAAGACACTTTCCTGAAAAGTTTCCAACTCTCCCCACTTTCCACACATAGGGACGCCATATATGTTTCAGGGCCCAGAGTTCAATGTCATCTTTTACAAGCTGTATCCCAACTCCTGGCCAAGTCAATTTCTTCCTGGGTTTTAGGAAGCCCTGGGCATTTTGATTGCTTACTGTTTTCCCCTTCAGCTGGGAGCTCTGTGAGGGCAGGCAATGTGCCTTTTCTCTGTTTGTGCTCCAGAGTCAAGCACAGTGCCTCCTACAGAGCAGAAACGTGCTCAAGAGTACACCAATGGGGCCAGGCATGGTAGCTCATGCCTGTAATCCCAGCACTTTGGGAGGCCGAGGTGGGTGGATCACCTGAGACCAGGAGTTCAAGACCAGCCTGGCCAACATGGTGAAACCCTGTCTCTACTAAAAATACAAAAATTAGCCAGGCTTGGTGGCATGCACCTATAATCCCAGCTACTCAGGAGGCTGAGGCAGGAGAATCGCTTGAACCTGGGAGGTGGAGGTTGCAGTGAGCCAAGATCGTGCCATTGCACTCCAGCCTGGGCGACAGGAGCAAAACTCCATCTCAAAAAAAAAAAAAAAAGTACACCAATGAACAACAGGAAAAAGAAGCAGTACGACAGACTACGGGAGGAAGCAACTCTCCAGTAGGAAGAATATATTTAATGTATTTTCTTAGTGCTAGGTATAGGAACTTCCATTAAAGCAGCCTGTACTGACTCAACTCATTTTTTTGGTTAATCCAATTAAATAACCAGACAGAGAGCTGATTTAATATAAAATGGGGAAGAAGGTGTTTACCTTGATACTTTAGCATCCTTTTTCTATACACCAACTCCACTGCTCCTCTCAATTTCCATGAGATCTTCACTGTCCTTGTGCTTTCTCTACCTGCTGTCATCCAAGTCTGCTTCTCTAGGAAACATCTGATTAAATCACTCGCACTAAGTATCAGAGTTTACCATAGCACCCCTTGCAGTTTTGTCATTGAACATGGAATAAAATGTATGTCAAAAGAACCAAGATCAGACACCAGTGGGCTGGCACACACGCGCGCGCACGCGCGCGCACACACACACACACACACACACACACACACACACACACCCCCATCAAGAAGTTACTCAATTTGCCTCTTCAAATGTTGGCTCTGATGGGTGCAGATATGTCTTAAAATGAGGCTATATGAAATGCCTTTAAAATGATTGTTTCATTCCTGGTAGGAACAGAGCAAGACAAGGGATGCTATTTCCACTGAGAAGAGACTAATGTGCAGCTTTACAACTAAATATCAACCAACCAAAATCTTTTCCAGCATACTTTCTCCTCTGGAGTAGAGAATATGGTTAGCTGTTGAGATCAAAACTAGCATTCTTCCTGGTTTGCCCAGTATAAATCCTGGCTTATAATAGTAGACAAATAGCTAAGGTATCCCATGGTCATACTGTACAATCACAGATAAAACTTGTGTATGTATGAATATATATCTGTATAGATACAGGTATGATTATGGATATAGATACAGATATCTCATCTACTCTGTTAAATGAATAGAGTACCTATGTTATATGGAAACAGTGGAGAGTACAGACTCTTACACCTGCTTTAGGTAAATCAAATCCCAGCTCTGTTAACTAATATGATTTTGGACTCTCTAAGGCTTAGCTTTCTTACCTGTAAAATTGAAAGAATAATTATTTCACCCATATAGCTGTGGTGAAGATTAAATGACATAATTCTAATAAAACGCCTAGTAGGTTTGGTGGCAAAAAGTAACCCTCAAATGGTTGCAATTATGAAGTATCTCCACAATAGTAATTATTATGTCTGCCAGAAGTTCTCACTGCAAAGGTGAGATGATGGTATTTCATAAGCTAGTACTTACCTCAATTTTTTGTGAGCATATTGTACATACTCCTTGAGTCCACATAGCTCAAAGTAATTCATCTGTTTTACTTGTTTAAGAATTTGGGAAGGTAAATACTCGGACCAGATTTGCGTAATTAAATGAATTTCCAGAAAAATGAGAACATCAAACAGCAAGCAGGGTTTTAAATAGCGATTTTAAGACCATAAATTCAATACTTATTCCTTATGCAAACCATCATGATATTGTCAAGCTTTTTTCTCTGTATTTTCAATTAATCCATATTTCCCTCCTCATATTCTTCCATTTTTCCCATTCTTTTCATTTTTATGCCTCGCTATCCTTATTTTTGTGTTCTAGATACTCTAGGATTTATAGCAAAAGCACCAGGTTCACATGTAGTTAAGGTTCTGCTAATGGATTATGCTAATAAAGAAATACACTCAAGCTTTAATCACCAAACTGTAGCTTGTACCTCAGAGCATCAAGGGCCACAAGAGAAGAAGTCCCAATCAACAACTGATTTACAAGTTGGGAAGTCAGGAGGAAAGAGACCACACTAAATCTCTCTGCTTCATCCAAAAGAGGCCATGGGGTTTCTCTCTATTTCATCTCATCTGATTTCTCACTTTCAGTGCTCAGGAATAGAGAGAGGATTTACTTGCCATGAGTTGTGATTAACACAAGTTAGCTTTGTTGAATGCCACCACCCTCATCCTGACGGATGGTGTACTAGTGTAGGATGGATATCAGATTGGAATGTGGATAAATTCTACAATGCTAACTGAGTCATAAATCTGTGTAAAAATAAAGGGAGAGCTAGGGAGGAAAATCAGTCTTCCCCTTACCACTCCCAGAGAAGGAGAGAAAAATGAAAACAGGAGAAAGAAATGCATGCTTTACACACAGCCCACCTTTTATTGGAGAGCCTTGCTCTGTATCCAAAGGCTTGGCAATTATTTGGCTATTACTTATCTTTAAACATCAGCTAAAGAGATCTAGCATTTTGGAAAGGTAATTATACCGTAATGCAGATGGTAGTAATAACAATTACCCAAGATAAGCCCTTGCAATGATCTTTACAAAGCAAAGCAAAGCAAAAGTAGCACTGACTCATGACGGACCTCCAGTGGAGAAGGCTGCAATGCAGTAGCCAGGCTGTCCCTGGAACAGTGACAGGCAGGTGCTATCCCTCTCATCCTCAGAGACAAGGCCAGGTGGAGGTTAAGCATTTCCTAAGTTTAAATAATTCTTGATGTAGGCACAATTCCTGACAGTCTTCATTTGATGGGAATCCTAGTCCATCTCAAATGCTAAACAAAAAGGTTTCTTCCTTTGCCTTGTAAATACCAACTTTGGCCTCTATTCCTATATCTGAAACTGCCTGCCCCTTGAATTTATTTCTGTGAGGAAGGATTTATCCTACAACATGATAGTTGTTGAAACAGGGGGATCTAATTGCTTAGAAATCATTAATTGCTATAAATAGATGACTTCTGGGAGTCAATGAACTATAAGCAGAAGAGACAGTGTGTTTGAATGTCATGCTTGAGCACTGGATATTTTTATGACTTGTCAGTGGTTCCATAAAAAACTTACACGGTGAAAGGTGCCTAGTCAACCTGTACTGATGGAAATTGCCAGTTAGAAATAGATTGTTCTTGTTTTAAACCTTGACCACCCTTCTAACAAATCAGGATGTGCATTTATGATGCATTACTAAGGAAAGTTAGTATTAGCCACCCAAGAAGGGGGGATCAAGGAGGACAGTGAGGAACCACTATCTATCTGATCTTTGCTATTTTCCAGGGCATGAAATAACAACCTGCCATCTACCTTTTGCAGGTCATTTTTATCACATTGTGGGCCAAAATGAAATTTGACCTCCATTTTCCAGCTATGCCAGTGATGATAAATTTAATACACACAGAGCAAATGATTGGAAGGCCCACAGAAAGTCAGATTAGAGTGGGATTATTCATTCCTGAATTTCCACAGAGGAAAAGGGCCTCTCTCTCTTTTGAACTTGCCTCATCTTCCTTCCTCCAGGTCCCACCTTGGTGCTCACACCTTGACAATCTGTCTTGAATAATTTAACATGCAAACTCCCAGCATTCCCTGTATGGCTAGGCCCTGTTGCTCCTAAGACTTAAAGAGGAAGGGAAATCATTTATCTGAATCATCCTATTCTGTGATCTGATCAGGGTCCAACAAAGCAATAAATACACACCATAAATGTCTCTTTCAAAAAAATCCAGCAATAAAGAAAGGTGGTGCCACCTTGCAAAGGAGAAAGTGCCACAGAACCCAACAATCCTGCATGGCTTCACCACAAGGAATGCAGAAGTCATCGAGCTGCCAGTTAACAGTTCCTTCTTCACAGACCTGATGAATTAGCTAACATCCCTTTTAGCTGTAGGGTTTGGTTTTGTGAGGAAAGCTTACCTTTACTTTTAGTTCACTTGCTAGAAAACATTGCTAGGTAGGAGACACTCGGACTTAAATTCACCCATCACAAAGCATAAAGTACTCTGGGATCTCTTTGCAGCCTGAAACATCATTCTTAAAATTCTTGGTACCTGGTGAAATTCCAACTGTCCTCAAATTCTTACTGCCCTCCTTCACTTCATACTTCTCAGTCTTACACAGACATACCAAAGCAAAGCAACTTTTGAAAGCAACTAGCTTCAGGGCTATCTAAGCATGTAAGCAAATCAGTTCTGACCAAAATGGTTGTAATTCAACACTGTCTCATGAAATACAAATGCCCATCAGATCTGCATAAATTGGAACCTCTAAATAACCAAAGTATTTGCTTATATCTGTTTCAAGCATAATATGCATGCATGTATGCATTCATCTCAAACTACAGTTTTGCATCCTGCCTCTCCTCTGTTCAGATCCATCCAATTCATTCATTCAGAATGAATTGTAAACTCCCTACCTTGGCTTACAGGGTCGCTGCTCCTACTTGGATCTCATCTCCAGTTTTCTCCCTTGTTCACCTCTGCTCCAGCTGTTTCTCCTAGCTGTTTCTCAAGCACATGCCCCCTCAGGGTCAGGGCTAGGGTTAGACTTGCCGTTCCTTCTCTCTGAGACACCTTTCCTCCAAGTGTCAACAAGCTTACTCTCTTTTCAGTCAGGTCCCCCGTTTAAAAAGTGCTTTCCTAACAAACCCTTTAGCAATTAGCAGCCCCTCCAGCATTCTCTGTCTTGGGTTGGGTTCCTCGAGCCTAAGGCCAGGACATGGAAGCAGGATGTTTATTTGAGTTGTGGTTCAGGGAAGCTGGAATAAGGGAATGGGGAAGGGAAGGTGGTATGAGAGAAAGCCAATAAAGGGCAGAAGCTGAGCTGGTGATCACTGTGGGCAATCAGAACCCAGCCTGTCTGCGAGAAGGGCTGGGGCACCTACAGGCTGGTCCTGAAGAGCAGCAGCAGTATAAGCAGCTCCTTACTATGGAGAACACTCTGAGCAGAAAGTGCCAGAGATGAGAAGTTGTCCTAAGCAAAAGACATCTTCCTCAGCTGCAGCTGAAGTCAAGGTGGGCTGAAGGGACATAAGGCAGGACAGATCAGCATCTGTTGCCCTCTCTGCCACCCTACTCTTCCTTCTTTCCCTGCTGTTTTTATCCCCTGGCAGGGTCTCTGTTGATTGGAAGAAGGATGTATACTGTCTGTCTCTTTTCTCTCCCCATTCCCACCCCATACACGTAAGCTCAAGAACAGAAAGTTAACAGACTGGTTCTCTGCTACATCCCCAACACTTAGAAGAGTACTTGGCAGGTTTTGTTGGATTAGCTTATTCATTTGTTTACTCATACATTTCCATAACAAACATTTTCTGAGCTGTACCTGGGCTAAATGCAAGGGGGTCAAACCTGAACTTGGTACATGTCATACCTGTCCTGGAGACTATCACAGTCCAGTGATAGAAACAGCCACAGAAAATAATAATAATAATACGTGATAAGTGCAACAAATGAGATCTGTACAGAGAACTATGGGAGCAAGGGGAGGGAACCACAAATGACCCTGGGGAATCAGAGAGAGTGCCACAGAGGACATTTTAATTGAGACTTGGAGAATGAGTAGGAGTTTGCCGATCAAAGGCAAGAAAGGCATTCCTAGTAAAAGGAATGGCTTTAGCAATGGTAAGATGGCTACATGACAATACACAAATCTGGGGCATAAGGCACATTGGCAGGAGTTGAACTTTGTAACAGCCATCACCCACGAGAAATAAATTCCTACTCAAAAAACAAAAGTGTAAGGCTCTGATGATACCAAGTGTTAGTGAGAATATACAGAAGCGGTCATTCCCCTGCACTGCTGGTTGAGATTGTCAATTAGTATAGCCTTTTTGGAAGACAATTGATCAATATCTAGTAAAGTTGAAAATATAATTCTCCCACAGTCAAGCCATTTCACTTCTAGGTTACATACCCAAGAGGAACACTGTTATCAGCAAAAGGTAGCATCTATGAGGACGTTGCTGACAGCACCATTAGTAATTCAGAAAAACTGAGGGGAAAACCTACATATGCACCAACACGAGAATAGGAATCTATTAACAGACAATAAATAAATCATGGAATACTACAGAGTAGTTAAAATGGATAAACTAGATTTGCATTATCAACACAGAGAAATAGATTGAGATGATAAATAATATTAAAAATATAGATAAATAATAAATAATGAGAGAAGAGAGCAAGTCATAGAAGGGATGTATATACAGCATGATACCACTATGTCAATTTGAAAACTCACCAGACTCTAGACTGTGTAATACTATTACATAAAAAGTAAGAGTATAGGTCAGATACAGTGACTCATTTTGGGAGGCCAAGGCAGGTGGATCACTTGAGGTCAGGAGTCTGAGACCATCCTCGCCAACATGGTGAAACCCTGTCTCTACTAGAAATACAAAAATTAGCCAGGAATGGTGGTGGACACCGGTAATCCCAGCTATTTGGGAGGTTGAGGCAAGAGAATCACCTGAGCCCAGGAGGCAGAGGTTGCAGTGAGCTGAGATCGCACCACTGTACTCCAGCCTGGGCAACAAGAGCGAAACTCTGACTCAAAAGAAAAAAAAAAGTAAAATTATAAAAACACATGTAGCTTTCTATAGAGTAGCAGTTACCTCTGAGATATGAAACAGGGAAATGGGATTGGAAAGCAGACAAATGGAGCTTTAATGTAACCAAAATGTTTTATTTATTAAGCAAAAAAAAAAAAAAAACTCCAGTAGAAACATGACAATTGTTAGCATTTGTTAAATATGGATACGGGACACATGGGTGTTTCTTAGGCATTTGCATTTGCTATATTATCCTCTGTGTTTTTCTGTTTAGAAAGATTTCAGAGTTTAAAAAATGGCCCAAGGAATTTCCCTGGAAAGACAGATATATTTTATATGGTTTTTCAATCTATGACCTCATTTGTATTGAAGTGACTCTGTTTTCTATGTTTCTTATTAAAACAATACATCAGACACTATTCACTCTATTCATTAATCCAATGATTTATTCACTCAGCAAACATTTATTTAGTGTCCATTATAAAAAAAGGTACCATTCTACATGATAGGGGATACCTACCAGCTAAAAAGACAAGACTCCCTACTTCAATGAGTATATTATCTGTTATAAAAAAGAACATATACATTCAAATAGCTCCTGAGCACTTAAGTATTTAGAAATTATATGCCATAAAACTACATCACCATAATGCACCTATTTTTATTAGTATGTGGCCAGTATCACTGTAAAATAAAATTGGAGCCATAAATACAATATCAGCTCTTTCATATCTCAGCAGTTGTCAAGGTCTAAAAAAGTAACTGCAGAAAAGAACCTTAAACAGTCATGTTATGACTTTCCTGAGGACAAGGGGCCAAAAGTTACATTGCCAACCCTCACCCCCACTAACACAAACACTTTGGATAGAAGGAGAAAATGAAGACAAATGGTGAATCCCTCCACCTGGGTGTTGTTCACGAGCAGAGTCAGCCATTTTTAAAGTCATATTGATTATTGCGGCTACTCCCCAGGCCCAGGCCTGAGAAGAAGCACTTCAGCCAAGTTTGTCTTATGTTCAAATAAGATTGTGGCTCAATATTCGTAGAATAGAGAAGGAGAACACTCACTCTGTCCCTTCTCTCTTCTAATTGCATATAATCTTCACTGCTTTCCTTGTTCATCTTTTAGATTATATAAGGAACATATAAATACATTATCCTTATGAAATAGAAAAACAAAAGTACACATAAAAATTATGAAAGTCTCTCTTCAATGCATTTACCTACCTTCATAAACATATATAATTATTTTTAATATAAGTGACTCATAATGAAAATAAGATCCTTTTTTTCCACTTAACAAATATTCTTGGCAATCTTTCAATGTCATTGCCTATAGTTCTATTTATGGCATCTTTTTAGCAGGTGCAAAATATTCTTCAGTTTGGTTATATCATTTTTTTTTTTTTTGAGATGGAGTCTCACCCTGTCACCCAGGCTAGAGTGCAGTGGCGCGATCTCAGCTCACTGCAACCTCCGCCTCCCAGGTTCAAGCCATTCTCCTGCCTCAGCTTCCCAAACAGTTGGGACTACAGGTGTGCACCACCACACCCAGCTAATTTTTGTATTTTTTGTAGTGACAGGGTTTCACCATGTTGGCCCAAGTGATCCACCCGCCTCAGCCTTCCAAACCGCTGGGATTGCAGGCATGAGCCACCAAGGCTGGCCGATATCATCACTTTTAAGCACTCCCATTCTGATGGACATCAGGATGTTTCTAGTTTCACTGCAATTTTTAAATAATATTGCAAATTCATTTTCCCGTGAAGCTCATTTCTACACAGTCAGACACTGTTTCCTAGCTGCTTCATATAGCCTGCCTCGGGGCCCAAAAACACAAGAGATAATGACTATGTTGTACTTTTTGTTGTTGTTGTGGTCCCACTGAACGTAACAGAGAGCCAGGCACATGCAAAGTTCTCAAGAGATGTTCATGAATTCAGTGCATTTCTGGCCTTGGTACTCCCACTGTCCCTAGTCTTCTGAAGAGTAGAGTGTTTTGGGGTGAAAGCTGACAAAGTGACATCTTCTACATAGTGGACACATTAATAAATACTAAATGACCCCCAAAACTTGAATATATCAAAGCATTGTGGCAAAAGGTTGGAAAACTGTCCATATGAGTCAACTCTCTTCTTCCTTTGCCCTCTGGGGACACAGGGGACACTGCCCACTCTCCCTGGGGCAGAGAGCCAGCCCATTCATCATTCTGCCAGGCCCCTCCAAGCAAGCTACCTGCCAGGCTCCTCTTGCCACTGTCTCTCTCAAGTGAGTCCAAGCGAGGTCATTACCTGGCAACATGAACTCTCCTTATCTCCCTGCCCCTATTTCAGAAAAGAGTCATTGACAGCAGGGATCCAGTGCCCCCTGAAGCCATCCCCAGGACAAACAAGCTTTAAAGAGTCCACAGTGCCAGTGACCTTTAGAGAGGGCAGGTCACCAAATCCATGGGGAAGAGATCTAGGGGGTGTCTGCCACTCGCCAGAAAGAGGCTCTTTCTCCAGAAAGGTTTGTGGCCCCAAAAGGGACTTACAGGAGCAGTTAGGGATCCATAACCAGACAGGCAGCTCTGAAAAGGAATCATTATCAATTTAACAGGTCACAGCTTTTAAAATCCAACCTGTGGTCCACACAGGGAAAGGTGAGGAGTGTGAGGAAGCAAGGAAACTTCCAGATGAGAGGTAGTGGATCGCCAGGCAAGTAAGAGCACAGAAAACCTTCTGCAGTTGTTTCATTAAGAATGACCAGGCCGGACGTGGTGGCTCACACCTGTAATCCCAGCACTTTGGGAGGCCAAGGCAGGTGGATCACTTGAGGTCAGGAGTTCGAGACCAGTCTGGCCAACATGGTAAAACCCTGTCTCTACTAAAAATATAAAAATTAACCAGGTGTGGTGGCAGGCATCTGTAATCCCAGCTACTTTGGAGGCTGAGGCAGGAGAATTGCTTGAGCCCAGAATGAGCAATGCTTGGGATCTATTCTTTCAATTCAGAAATAACAAACTATTTGAAGAAAGTGAAGCAAAAGATAGAAAACAAAAGAAAAAGACAGATGAGAGATAGAAAAAGAAAGAGAAAATAGAGAAAGAATAAAGAAGTATTTATGAGTTCATCTTTCAAATGCAAAGGCATAAAACGTCTTTGAATATAAAAATCCATCCTTTTGCCTGCAGACTCGCAGAGGGCGAGGCAATGATGAACCCCATTGTGAACATCTGATGCATAATGTGAGGATCAAGGAGATAAAACTTGCAAGTTGCTCTGAGCTCTTTGAAAGAAAAGGAACGTGCAAAAGAACTTACTTAGCGTGGTTTAAATTTTGGATTACTCAGATGCAGTGGACTTGACTCTATGCCTATAGGTGCTTTGAAGTGTTCATTTAAAAATGTATGGTTCATTGTTACTCTGAAATTAAGTTGCTAGCGTAGAGCATAACCTCCAGAAATACATGTTTAAGGGATTTGCTTATTATAGATATTGAACTGAAACCACCATTGAGTCAATTCCTGTGGAGCCTCTGCCTGAAAATGAGATAAAAGTCAAGATGTTGAAAACGAAATTTTAAAGGGTAAGTATAGTATCAGTTAGAAAACTTGCACAATCAGCCAGCTGACCAACAAGTACTTAATGAGGGCCTCCTAGGAACACAGCATGATGTCAATAAAACTCACATTGGGCCAGTAAAGAGTTAAGGGGCCTACAAGGAGCCAAAAGGGGCTTTTCTGCTAAGACAGCAGCAGCAGTATTTGATTGTAGTTGAAATATTCCACATGGAGTATTAGAATCTGGTCCTTTAATCAGTGCTAGTTGGCTGCACCACTGGAATATAGGTTCTTTGAGGGCAAAAAACCTTTGTATTCGTCACCATTGTATCTCCAGCCTGGTAAATAGTACCTGCATAATAAGTATTTGTTGAATAAATTAAAAAATAAATGTAAGACTGAAAGGGAGGGACAGGGAAGGAAGGGAGGAGGAAAGGAAGGAAAAGGGAGGGGAAGAGAGGGGAGGGCAGGGGAAGGGAAGGGAAATTCTTTCTATAGTAATTCTCCTGGAAACTACGCCTGGCCACATCCACATAACCCTGAGAAAGATGGAAGCAGAGAGTAAGAACTGGCGGGGGAGGTGTAAATATCAGAGTGAGTGCCAAAGGCATCACCCTTCCTTTGCGACTCAGTAACATTTTGTCCACAACTCCCTTGCACTTACCTCTGTGTACCATATTAGTTGTTTATGGGGTGGTTTACCTGGGCATTCCTGTTGAGATAGGGGGCCTGACAGACACATACCTAGAGACCATTCACGTTTTTTTGTTTGGTTGTTTGGTTTTTTGTTTGAGACGGGGTCTCACTCTGTCACCCAGGCTGGAATGCAGTGGCGCAATCCCGGCTCACCGCAACCTCTACCTCACGGGTCCAAGCAATTCTCAGTTTCAGTCTCCCAAGTAGCTAGGATACAAGCACCCGCCACCACGCCCAGCTAATTGTTCTTGTATTTTTAGTAGAGATGGGGTTTCATCATGTTGGCCAGGCTGGTCTCCAACTTCTGACCTCAAGTGATCCACCCACCTCAGCCTTCCAAAGTTCTGGGATTACAGGCATGAGCCTCCGCACCCAGCCTCATGCAAGTTTATAACTGAGTGTCAGCAGCAGGAAAACTGCATGCAACAGAAACCATGTGTTCTTCTTACATTTTGATAAGGTGGGCACCCTGTATATCTAGTGATATTGATCCCGGAGCATCTTAAAAGCATCACCCAGTCCCTTGTATCCCATACTGAATCATTTCACTCATCTCTGTAGTCCCTTAGAACATAATAAGAGCTCAATATATACTTTTTCGATGAGTAGAAACTTCCTTTTAGACCAGACTGAGAGTGGTCACCGCCAGTATGATCAAGAGAGTCAAGACCAGAAGGAAGACAAAATTAGCCAGAACCACTGGCTGAAAAACTAGAGTCCCCAACCAAAATGAGAGGCTTCAGGTATAAAGGTACATGTTTACTATAATATACATATATTTAGCAGAGAATTTGTTATAAAAATTATGATGTGAAATTAGAAGAAGGTGAAACTTAAATAAGCAAATGTTCAAAATGTGCACCTTTGACCTGCCCTCACAGGAACCCTGCACACACCCACACGCTCCGATCTTATCCTTCCAACCTGAACAGGAGGGATCCATCTTTAGGCTGGAATATGATCACTATATGGTGCAGTTTTTGCTCCAAACACAACACCCATATACAAAAAACTAAAGTCAGAGTCAGAATCTTTGAGATTCATTCTGCTGCAGGTTCATATTGGAATGTCTGTGACTACAGTTAATAAACTATACATTTTCTGTATCAAATAATCCATATTCAGTAAGCACAATATATGGCTAAACATAAGAAACCTCTGACAATCAAGATTTAAAGTAGGTTTGGAGGAAGCAAACTTTGAATTATTAAAACTCAGCTCTAAAAGGCAAGGCAAAGTCCAGCCAAGATCCTTTTCATGGCTGAAGGCAACTATATCTCCATTCTGTGGGCTGAGGGCAAAAATGTCTCCCTGCCAAGGTCAAGAGTTGAAGGTGAATTTCAATAAATCACCTGGGTCTTTTATGCCTGAAACAAGCCTTTGCTAAAGATGTAGGCATTTTAATAAAAAAATAAAGGGCCAAATAACCCAAGCCATTTTGCTTAGTGAAGAAGCTACGTTAAGATACCACAGAAGGAAGTGTAGGCAAATGATGAAAGTATGAGACCTAAAACAAGTACCCGGACCAGAGCCTTCTCACCTAAATTAAGAAGTCTTCAGTTATGTGTAACAAAAATAATGAAAACAAGCTAAATTTCTAATAATAGAAAAATGTCTCAATTATCTCACCAATGAAAATATGAAGCTGCTATAAATTTGCAATAACACAGAAACATGACTATAAGTTACATGAAAGAAAAATCAGGATACAATAATATTTGCGCAGTATTGTCTCAACTGTCCTACTTGAACTTAACTATAAAAAAAGCCAAAGACCATATAAAAAATACTAACATTGGAGGCCAGGGGGCATGGTGGCTCATGCCCATAATCCCAGCACTTTGGGAGGCTGAGGCAGGTTGATCACTTGAGGCCAGGAGTTCGAGACCAGCCTGGCCAACATGGTGAAACTCCACCTCTACTAAATACACACACAAAAAAATAATAGCTGGGGGTAGTGGCACGTGCCTGTAATCCCAGCTACTCAGGAGGCTGAGGCAGAAGAATCTCTTGAACCTGGGAGGTGGAGGCTGCAGTGAGCCAAGATTGCAACCACTGCATTCCAGTCTGGGTGACGGAGAAAGACTTCACCTTAAAAAAAAAAAAAAAAAAAAAAAAAAAAAAAAAAAGCTAACATTGGGTTGCAATGTTACATGTTTTAAATTTTCCTTTGATTTTTATATTTTTCTATATTTTTCACATTTTTTTACAATTGGTAGGGAGAAAAGAAGCTTTAAACCCTCCGTCTCTCAGTTGTTTACTTCCTTTGAATCACAATGTCCTTCCCTAGATGCAATAGGAATAATGGGACTAGTCTTGCTCTCAAATTTTTTTAAATGTTTTGATGTAGCTAGGTAATTATACATAATTTAACATAAAATCAGTCTTTGAGTGATACCAGACAAGGCAAAATGGGAGATCCTGTTCACTCATTCCATTAATACCTAAAGAGAGGTTACTCAATGGAGTTGAAAGGCAATATGATTTTTGAATTCACACTTTTTGAACAAAAGGGACATTCCAGTTGCATATCTCATTTAAATGACAGAAACCGCATGCATACTTATGTACACACCTCTCTAACATAGTCCCAATACCCATACAAACACAAAACAGGCCCTAACTGCCAATTTCACTTTTATAAAACATATTCTGAAAATTATAGGTTTGAAGTGCTAAAAATTTGAAGAACATACTTCAGCAAGTCAGAAAATGGTGGAAATTTTCCCCCTTTTTAATGTAAAGAGGCAGATCATCAACAGTCATTTGCTGAAAAGAAACTTGCTCATTTTTAAACAAGACAGAAATTAAAACTGATGTTGCTCCTGTGTGTGTTTGAGTAATGACACAACCAGGCATTAGTTTAAATCAGCTATTGCTGCTGCAATCAATTTTCTCCTAAATTTATCAAGCATTGTGATGCCTGATTTACTGACGTTTTTGATGTCTTCCCAATTTAAAAAAATTTCCTCAGCCTCAAAACTTATTGTTTTTTTCTGTAAAGCCACAAAAGTGTTCTAATTTTTCTAAAACTAGCCAGAGGAAATAAGGAATAAATAAAAAACCTGAAACCATATAAACAAAGTTGCATTAAGAAATAGAATTCAGGAAAATACCATGACAACAGTCATCACAGTCAAATCTAATGGAACAATTAGACAATTCTGATTATTAAGTTTCTGCCCTTCCATTGGCTAGATAAAATTTTGAAGAATTCCCATGAGCTTCAAGTCATAAGAAAGAAGTTTGGGGCTGGGTGCAGTGACTCACACCTGTAATCCCAACACTTTGAGAAGCTAAGGTGGGAGGGTCACTTGAGACCAGGAGTTTGAGACCAGCCTGAACAATATAAAGAGACCCTCTCTCTAGAAAAAAAAATGTTAAAAATTATCTGGGCGCATTGGTGTGCACCTGTAGTCCCAGCTACTAGGGAGGTTGAGATGGGAGGAGCATATGAGCCTTGGAGTGTGAGGCTGCAGTGAGCTATGAACATCCCACCAAACTCCAGCCTGGGTGACAGAGACCCTGTCTCAAAAAAAGGGAATGGAAGGGAAGGGAGAAGGATGGAAGGAGGCAGGGAGGGAGGGAAGGAGAGAGGAAGGGAGAAGTTCGAACTGCCTTCCCTCCATGGTAGAAGTGAATATACTCATTCATTGCCCTGGCTGCATGGGATAAAGTGGACAGGAGAACTTCTAGGGGCATTACCTAGCCAGGGCCACTATGTGTGATAGTAAAACAGACCAAAACAGACAGTGATCTCACAGTTTTGATGGTTACATGGAAAAATACACACGTTTACTGACTCATAACAAATAATTACTGAGTACCCATTATATGTCAGACTGAACTAGGCAATAAGGACCAAAAGACAAATCAGGCAAGTCTGGTCCCTGCTTCATGGAATCTGCAATCAAACTCACCAAACTCAGAAAAAAAATATATATATATATATATATTCATATTTATATTATATATTACAGTAATACGTATAATTCATCCAGTGCTTACTATGTGCCAGGCAAAAGTGTTTTATGTTATTATCCTCATAATCAAAATAATAGCTACTACTAAGAGCTAGGAACAGTCATTGTGTTAAATATTGCAACTCTATAATGAGAGTGTTTTCTTCTTTATGCTTTATCAGCACTTTGTGATGGGAAGAGTTGCTTAGAGAGGTAGAGGGAATTGTTCAAAGGTCACAGATAATAATGGCAGAATGCAGATTTGAATACAGATATACCTAATTCTAGAACCCATGCTCTTAGCTACCAAGCCCACTATACCCCACAATGCACCATTATGGTCTTCCACACTAGGCCTTGTCGAAGTCATCGGCAGTGAAGAATGAGATGTTAAAATCAGATGTGATATGCATGGGGACAGGAGCCATTCAAAGGCCGGTTTCATCACTGAACAGCTAGACCTCCGTTCTGGTTGGCCAACCTCAGGAGCTGATGGATACAGGTTGGAACCAAGCCCAGGGGTCCTCCGGAAGAATCTAAAACAGGCAAAATAAAATGTCTTCCAAACAGGTGCTGCCTGATGACTTCTTCTTTGGGCATCAGCAAGGAGGAGGAGAACATTCCTACTGATTACCCTAAAGCAGTTGCTCCCAACACAGGGAAATTTTTCTCCCTGTTCCTCAGCAGAGGACATTTGGCAATATGTGGAGACATTTTCAGTTGCCACAGCTGTGCATAGGCTGCTACTGACATTTAGTAGGTTGAGGTCAGAGATCCCACTAAACATCCTACAGGGCACAGCACAGCCCCTCATAATAAAGAATTATCTGGTCCAAAATGTGAATAGTGCTACTGCTGAGAAGTCCTGCCCTAAAGTATCCTGTGCTAGCTAGTAGATTTTTCTATGAGCTGTAGGCATGAACCTGTGCCCCTAACTTGCCAAGAAAGGAGCATTGCCTAGATTGTAGTCTACAAAATGGGGTACAGAAAGAAAACAGTGTGTCTTCCATTCATATCTCTGCATCTTAATGTTCTTATTTCATGTGTATGCTTTATTATGCTCATAAAGTAATAGTACAATAGTACATGCATACAATTTGTATATAAACAAATACACATTTATTGGAGGTATATGCTCAGAAAAGTTTACTGATAGGAGCACATAATCAGAGAATGCTGGAAATCATTAGACTAGAGAAAGGACTATTGATTTAAACTCAAGGAGATCTAAGATCAAATCCCCAACTTAGCTTCTAATTAACCTTGGTTTAACCATCTGTAAAACGGGAAGAAGAACAGTCATCTCTCAAGATTGTATGACAAATCAAATTCAATTATGTACTAAACACCTAGCACATAGTAATTGCTCAATAAATGCTCACCTCCTTCACCCTCTCCTCCCCTCCTTGTCCTAGGTTTGAGGACTCTGAACAAGGTCAAAAATTCTCTGTCCTGAGTGTCATCATCTGCAATCTAATTATGAATGTTCCACCTACTTTACAAAGTTGGCATGAAGGATTAAATAAGATCACTGGTATTAAAGTGCTACCAAAAATACAAAGGATTTATAAATATAAAGTTGTTTTCTTAAATAGAGATCATACCACCTTTTATTAAGGTATTCCTGATAATCACTTCTTTGCCCAATTTGGAAACTCAAAGGCTAACATTCTAAAAGGAAGGAGCTTGAGTAAAATAAACGCATGTGGCTTTTATTTTCTGCTTACCCTATTTCACCATCTTAGCTGAGAAAGTACTTAAATATTGCAAAATCAGGAATTTCAACAGTGATCTATCCAATTAATCAGCATAGTGTTTTGTTATTTTTTTCCCTGGAGGGAATTGATTCACAGTCTGTGAAAACACATTGCATCACACACTGACCACGCAGAGGGGCACAGACGCTGGGCACCTCCTGGACTGTGCTGACGTCAAATTGCAAGGGCATGTGGCCCCGTGCACTCCCAGATCAGCACAATTCTCCCACCCACTTATGGTCTGGGATTCATGCTTGATCATCTACAATTCCAAGTGCGTATTTTTAAACTTTTGAAAATGAAGTGTGTTCATGCAAGCACTCTCCAGAAAGGTCAAAAGCAGGCGGGAGCTGCGGCGCCTTCAACGGAGGGCACTGTACTCCTGGAACCTCTCCCAGTGGGAGCCTAGGAGATGCAGGGAGCTCAACCCCAACCTAGATTTCTCTGGCATTTTCTGACTCTCTCTCCTCACTCTCCCTAATAGAGTTAATAACAATAATAGCTCACCATTTTAAAGCACTTCAGATTTTTTAAAACTGTAATGAATATTATCTCCTTGATTCTTTGAATTGCAGTTGCTTACTTACTTACTTGTATCAACCACTCTAGACGCTGAACTTCTTAAGGGCACAGGCAAGAACTTTTTCATGTCTTGTTATTCCCAGAGCCTGCCTAGCACGTGCATGGCTCATAGTAGGTGCTTAATATTCATTCCTTAAACTCGTGACTAGATGAAAAAATATTATCATCCTCTTCTAAACAATGAGAAACCTGAAATTCAAAGATATTAAGCCGTGTGCCCAAAATATGCATTTATAAGTTACAAAGACAGTTCTGAACTCGTTTTCCGATCTCAATTTCACCAGAGACTTCAATATAGAAGGTAATTCTTACCTAAGTGAGGTAACTAGAAAGGAAGCTGAATGTCACTCCCCTGAGTGCAGCAATGAAGGAGCTGCCAGGATACAGAAGGGGACACCAACAGAACCAGCAAATTTACTAAGGCCAATTCCCTTTTCTTGTGTCCCCAGCTTCGTCCTACATAGACAGGTGTATCTGCCCTATGTGCGTGCATGGCTAGTATATCTAAGAAAAGGTAAGTTGGACCCTGAACTTCACCTTGATTCAGAATCTGATACCATATTGGCCAGATCTCGAGATCTGGAGTGAGATGGACTGGGATGGAATCCAAGCTCAGCCACTTATAAACGTAGGTCCCTTGGGCAAGTTGCTTAACCATTTTGTCCCTCCATCTCATCTGTAAAATAGGGAAATTAACACAGCTTACTTCATAGAGATGTTGTAACAATTAAATGAGTCCATACATTTTTAAATGAGCAAAACAATAATAAGTATATGGCTGTAGTGTACTAACAAATATTAGCTATAATTTTTCTTGCACAGGTATATTCTACCTCCACGATGCTATTTCCTACTGTTTCATCGCCTAAGCCAGCCAATGTCTTATCATCACTCTCTGGGTTATTCCAAAGGCTTCCTAACTAGATTCCTCGTCTATTGGCTCACCGTTCCCCAACACGTCTTTCTACGCCCTTTCTACAACTTCATCTGATCATGTGACTCACTTGCCTGCATACTCATGGCTTCCCCACATCCTGGAGGATGCCGTCCAAACTCTTTCATATAATCTTCAAGACGTTTCTTGATGTAAGTCCAACTTCTCACTCAAACCACATCTCTCATGTCTTTCCTAGGCTCTACTTTGATCTTCGAGCACAATCCATATAAAATCAAAGCAGCATTGTTTACCGATCATGCAGCTTTGATATCTGCACATCCTATAAAAACATTCTAGGTGCTGAAAGAAATGTTCATGAATTAACTTCATACCATAACTGACTATTGAATAATGTCATAATTAAGGGCCTGAGCTTTGGTAATAGGCAGATTAAAGTTTCAGTATCAACTCTGACATGTATTAGCTGTGTGATCTGGGACAAGTTACTTAACCTCTCTGAGTCTCTAGCTGCATTTCTTCACTTGTAAAATGCAGATAATTTTCTATTTTCCAAAGTGTCATGAGAATTAAATGGAATAATGTATTCTAAGTATTTATAACAATGCCTGGTGCCTGGTATACTCTCAAAAATGGCAGCTAAAACTAAAATCCTCTAGTGTACATCAACAGTAAAAAGGCTTATGGTGATAATTGGGCAACTTGTTGGGGATCCTGGAGCCAACTTGCATAACAAACTAAGCCCCCTAATGTGTAAGCCCTCAGCGAGAACCACAAGGCCTGCTTCTAGAAAAGCCAGCAAGCATCTGCTTTAAGACAGCTTTAAATAAGCACTAAGCACTTGGCAGCCCACACGTATCCTCCTAGCCCATTCTTACCCAAGGAAAGCTGAGACAACAATGGTTGTGTCCCTTCCTACTCTCTTAGCATAAATAATTAGGGACATACCTAAGAGCGTGGTCATTTCCAGGCCTACTGCAAGGGTCTACACATATCCCCTCCAGGACAGCAGTGATTAGAGACGACAGCACCTGAAGGTAGGCCTTTGACAGGACAAAATCAGCCTTGTTGGTGGACACCTGCCAGCCTGACCTAGAGCAAAGACCCAATGGCAGTTGCCAAAGAGTCTTCATGTCATGCTTCTAATCTAGTCTTGGAAACCCACAGGCCCTACTCCATCGCCCCCGAGTCTCAGCTGGTCAGGGCACAACTGATTATTTTCCTTTTTTTTTTTTTTTTTTTGAGACAGAGCCTTGCTCTGTCGCCCAGGCTGGAGTGCAGTGGCGCGATCTCGGCTCACTGCAAGTTCCGCCTCCCGGGTTCACGCCATTCTCCTGCCTCAGCCTCCCTGGTAGCTGGGACTACAGGCGCCCACCACCCGGCCCGGCTAATTTTTTGTATTTTTAGTAGAGACGGGGTTTCACTGTGTTAGCCAGAATAGTCTCGATCTCCTGACCTCGTGATCCGCCCGCCTCGGCCTCCCAAAGTGCGGGGATTACAGCAGTGAGCCACCGCGCCCGGCCGATTCTTTTCCTTTAACTCTCACACCCCATTGTGTGTTAACACTTATGTAACTCCAGCCTACTTTGGAAGGACAACTCCTGATGTATAGCTGTCCAGACAGAAACGCTATGACATTGCGGCCTTTTTCCTGGAGCTGGAAGCTGGAAAAAAGTCCCTTCTTATCAAGCAACTTATAAAATTGATGCTACCTAGAAAAGAGTACATATGTGTGCATACACACGTACATGCATATGTCCAGGCATGTGTGTGTGCATGTGTTTGTGTGTGTGTGTGTAACACAGAAGGAGAGAGAAAAAGGAAAAGATTTCTCTGCCTCCAAATATTCTTAATTGATTATCTAACATGGGATGTTAGCTCAGGTAATTTAGGAAATTGAAATTATATGTTTGTACAGAGATAATCTATGCTTAAAAATATCTGGTGTGGTAGGAGGAACACTGATGAACAGTTTAAAAACTTGCTTCATGCAGGCTTAATATGGGGCTAATTCAGAAATACAGAGTTGGAGAGTTATGAGACTCAACATAAAGCGAAGCAGTTCACTGAGCGCTGTAGCGATCAAGAAAACACACATAAAAATTCCGATCAGAATGGAATGTGAGGCAAAAGCACAATTTCCTCCCAATCTGGAATATCAGCAGGATTTGCGCTTGTTGTTTGTGGTTTTCTGGGGTGGATGGTACATTACAGTGGAGCATCAGCACTAATGCTACATGGCAGCTCCTCAGAATACCATCTGCTTCCCTGAGAACTGTTAATATAGTTGTAATTATCTACTTCTAAGCACTTTATTGGGAATATCATTTGCAAATTAATCAACTACAGACTGGTAAAACAAATGACATGCTTCCCTGGAAACAACAGCAGTATTGCACATTCTTTTCCTAAGGATTAAGGGAAGCTGGAGTGAGTGAAGGGGTTTTACACATGCCTCGAAAACTGTGCCCTGTGTATAAAAGTTGAGCAGAAAGAATGACAGCATAGTGTTTTCTAAAAAGGTCTTGGGAAGATATTGGCAACAGGGAAGAGGAGGAAGACATAAAAACCTAAGAGATGGGTAGGACTGCCACGTGAGAGACAAGAGGCAGACAGTGGACTCCAACTGACAGCTCCACAGTGGTGGAGACAAAGATTCCCAGAGTCCTCTGCACTTGCTCTCTTGACTAGAGTGTGCCGCCTTCAGTCTTGCCCTCCAAATCTTCCATGCTGTCTGTGGTGTGTCGAAGGCCATTTCTCTCTGCTATAGGGCAAGAAGCAGGAGTGTTAAGGGGAGAGAAAGGGAGCACTGGAACGCTAATCCTTAATTCCCCCACCATCACTGAAATGCTCACTCCCAAGAAGGTACAGATATGTAAGTAGAAAAGCAAAGTAATGCCCGAGACCAAAAGGAGAAAAAGGCAAAAGATCTACTTGGCAGAAATGGCACAGGAGAGTCAGGGTACTTTGTATTTATGCAAACACCAAGTATGTTGCCTTGTGCTGCTCATTGTAACCAACAAAATGGCTCTAAGTCACGGGTCCTTAAGTCTGTGGCTTCAATCCAGAGGTCCAGCAGAAAAAAAGAATCTTAATCACCATTGAACAGAGCCCTAAGTGCACCTTCCTTTAGCAGCTAATCCAAGAGCCAAAAGACAAGGAAATACCGCTCTTGCTCTCCTCTGAAAAGGCCCTGCCTCCCAGCCTGGCTGTCACCTGGAAAGAGAAGGACTCAGTCTCCCCAGGCTATACCAGGCTATAACAAATGGCCCTTCTGTGATTTCACCAGCATCTTGTCAGCCCATACTTCACACAGCAAAAGAGAATCAGAGAAGCACACACAGAGAGAATGGGATTGTGCACACTTGCGTGGGATATGTAGTATGCTTTATGTGATCAGCTTAGGAAGACCCGAGCTGACCTTCACTGATTGAAATGATGGCTTATTGGCCTCATTAAATTACTGTTAAAAGAATTACTAAGACTTTTTCGGAGAGAGAAAAAAAAATTATTTGGAATCAGACAATCCTGGTGGTGAATCCTGCCTTTGCTAATGACTTGCTTAATCACACTGTGCTTGAGTTTACTTTTTTAATCAATGAGGTTTTGATCTTTTTTTAAAGGGGTTTACATGCAACTTTGAAATACTTATTACGGAAGAAAATAAAGACATAAATGAAGACATTTTAAACCAAACTTAGAAAGGTTTGACAGAGAGAAGCTGAAAGAGAAAATGAAATAATACCATATGAACATCCATGGTTTTCCTCCCTCCTGTAGGTAGAGAAGGAATGGCCAAGAAAGCTGTAGTGGGGAGATATCCACATTGAATTAAAGCAAGAAACATTTATTGAGCATTTACTATACTAAGCAGATTGGCTTGTCATACCTTGGGATACGGCTGTGAGAATGTGCTCTCCTATAGAGAGGGCAAACCCTATTTCTTATTAGTTCTTATAGTTCACCCCTACTCCAGACTAGAAAAAGTGAGATAAATAAATGTTCTAGGCATGGAGCTAGGTGGATAGAATGACTCATTTGACTTTTTTTCATCTGCTGTTTAAATGTGTGTGTAAACCTCCCAGGTAGGTATTTTCACCAAGTGTATTTGACACAAGTATTATTTATCCAGCCTGATCAGACCTCCCCACTGTCTGGAACAACCTCACAACAAAGGCCCATCCATTTTGCAGCTAACTCTTTTTTTTTTTTTTTTTTTTTTTGAGACAGAGTCTCTCCCTGTCGCCCAGACCGGAGTGCAATAGTGTCATCTCACCTCACTGCAACCTTCACCTCCTGGATTCAAGCGATCCTAGTGCCTCAGCCTCCCGAGTAGCTGGGACTACAGGCATGCACCACCATGCTCAGCTACTTTTTGTATTTTTAATAGAGACAGGGTTTCACCATGTTGGCCAGGCTGGTCTCAAACACCTGGGCTCAAGTGATCTGCCCACCTCAGCCTCCCAAAGTGCTGGGATTACAGGCATGAGCCATCACACTCAGCCCATTTTGCAGCTAACTTCTTAAAACCTGGTGTATTCCGGAGCTGACGTACTCAAAATCGGCTCTTCTTCAGGAGGAGATAATGAGGTTCTTTCATAGTTGAGAAAATCCGCTGAGACTTTTTTTGCC
This sequence comes from Homo sapiens, assembly GCF_000001405.40. Taxonomy (NCBI): domain Eukaryota; kingdom Metazoa; phylum Chordata; class Mammalia; order Primates; family Hominidae; genus Homo; species Homo sapiens. Next base: position 24,216,575 of record NC_000004.12, read on the forward strand.
CTTCAGTTTTTGTTTTTGTTCTTGCTTTTGATTTTCTGTTCTAAATTATTTCTTCCATGAAACATAGCTTCCTCTAGGGCCCTAGTCTCTTCCTTATTTAAATATTTGAGGTGGATTTAAAGGAACAGTTTCCAGAATATACAAACAAACCTTAATACCAAAAAACAGGTAGAAAGAAAATCTTACACAAGAGGGAATGAAGTTAGTAAGCACCCGTTAGATTTCCTGATCAACCAAGATTCTCCCTGAGAAGAGAGTATTCAACAAGCCTCAAGACCTGGTTTTGGAACTGTGACCTTAGGTGCATTGTTTAAGCTCTCTGTGTCTTCATCCTAAAATGGAACTAAGTAATATACCTACCACTGTTATAAAGACCACATAAGAGATAACACATTCAAAGCACCTGACACATAGTAGGTCATCACTATGCTATGTCTGCATCTCACTTACAAAGTCTGGGGCAGCCTTCAGCAGACTCCGGAATGACGGCAATGTGTGAATACATGCATGTGTTGAGTTGAGGCAAGGAGAAGCATAAAATGTGAGCTAAGGACATGAAGAGTTTATTTGTCCCTTAGGTATTTTCTCCCAGCAATCTCAAGCAGAACTTCAGCTAGCTTGTACCACATTCATCTTCTGAAGAAACAACAGATCATGAAGCTGATTAAAGAATTGTAGCCCTGCTTCAACTACCTGAGATGTGAAGGCAGAATTAACAATGGGTTGAGCAATTGTAGGAACCTAATATTCCTTCCTGTCCTATGGTCTTCTTAGACCATTCCATACCGTCATAGAAGTGGGCCCCAAAGACACTAGAATGTGGTGAATTGGAGGTGTCTAGTTAGAGGCTACTGCCGTTGTTCGGATGGAAGAGCATGAAGGTTTGGAGGGTGTTGGATGGTGACCATGGGGACAAGAGAAGGGGCCTGGTATAAGAGAACATGGAGGCTAGGCATGGGGGCTTATGTCTGTAATCCCAGCACCTTGGGAGGCCGAGGCAGGCAGATCACCTGAGGTCAGGAGTTCAAGGCCAGCCTGGTCAACATGGTGAAACCTCATCTCTCCTAAAAATACAAAAATTAGCCCTGTGTGGTGGTGCACACCTGTAGTCCCAGCTACCCAGGAGGCTGAGGCAGGAGAATCACTTGAGCCCAGGCGGCAGAGGTTGCAGTGAGCCAAGAGTGTGCCCCTGCACTCCAGCCTGGGCAACAGAGTGAGACTCCATCATGAAAAAATAATAATAATAAAATAAAATAAAAAGAAAACATGGAAAGGCAGAAATATCAGAATATGGCAATTTATTTGAAATAGCCAGTGATTCCCCCCGATTTTTAGCTAAGGTGTAGTCTTCTAATGTTTCTATAAGAAACATGTAATATTTATACAAAAATCACAAAACTTTTTTAAAATTGTTAAAATAAATGACATATTCCAAAAAAGGAAGGTACTTGTAATATTCTAAGGCTTTAATCTTGAGTGCCTGGGAGAGAATGCTGGCGCAATTCATACAAAGTTAGAAAATTAAGACAAACATGTTTTCCTGTGTGTGGATAGGAAAATGGTGATGAATTTACCCAGAGACCTGTTTAATCTAAAATATTGCTAGGGTGCAAAGAAACAATGGCATATAACAAGTGTTCAATAAATGCTTGTCAATGGAATAAATAAATGACATACACTATCTGCTCTGAGAATTAAGGAGCACCAGATAAAAGAGCTAGGCAAGACTCTTACCAAGCCTGGTACACAAAAGATGAAATGGTAATGATAGCTGCAGGAAAAAAGAGATTCCACAATGAGTTTGAAAAGCCCTGGACAAAACCATCCACACAAGTTTCTTCACATCTTGAAGGATACAGAGAAACTAGCAGGTGGATGAGGCAGTCAGCGAGGAAAGACGGAGGTAGCTGTCATCAGCAAATGCTAGCAGGAATACAGGGCTGGCCCATGATGTGGATACCCTGTGCAGACTAATGATTTCTCACCTTTTCAAAAAGGCATTCAAATGTTGCTTAAACATTTATTTAGAAGAGTGGCTGAGAGTTTCAGATAGGAAGGATGCAGAAAGGAACATTTTTCAATCTTTTCTAGAATGTTCCCAGCAATTCAGCTCTGGCCCAGACTTCCATAGCCTACTCAGCAAAGCAGTTACCAGCATCCCTCCTCTTCAGGAGGTGGTTTAGGAAACACCCATTGTTGCTCAATGTGCCTCTTGAGATGATCAGTGCTCAAGCAGCAATCATGGAGAAGATAACCACATTTAGTCTTTTTCCTGAATAGAGTAATTTTATATTGCTTTTTTTCATCTCCAGTGACATTTCCATGTCCCTTTGAGATTCATGCCCCAATGTCCTTGATTCTGCTTTGCCTGAGATGCACATTCATAAGGTCAATCCTCTCCCAGTACAATCACCAAGTACAAGGTGGGGACCACATAAACTTCTTCAGATTAAAACAATTGTAGTGCTATTTGTGTGGGACAAGAAAGAGGGGCTTATTTTCTCCCTTAGGATTCCAAATTTTCAGCTGCTTCTGAAGTAGTGGTGGCAGAAAGGTGAGTACACAGGATAACTGGTATCCAGCCAAACCTCTTGGAGATGTTTTATGGTCCCACAACCCTTGGCAAAAGTGCCAGGAAGTCCGCTCTGCCTTTCTGCAAATGCCAGCACACCAACGGGGTGGTCACACCTGGGCCAGCAGCGTGCTTTGAACTCTTGTTATCTGGCACCAACTGTCCCTGAATCTCTCTCCAAGGCTGAGAGCAGCTGTCAGATCAATGCCTGCAGGCTGGGATTGCTACATTCCCGGGCCGAATCTTACAAACAGCAACCAGGTTATCTCCTCCGTCATACTGGGCTCTAGCTTGCCCTGAATTCTTCAGTGAAGGAGTCATTTTTCTGTCACTGCCTGCGTCACTGCCTCACCCCATGAGAGCCACCATCAAGATAAAGCCTCAGGGGAGGCGTCCTGCTCAGTTAACAATTGATCAATCAAAGAGTTGTCTCCATTATTCTCTTAACTCTTACCTATCTTCACTAAACACCTACAGCCACTGGCTGGACTCCAGAGGCCCCTCCTCCCCTCCTCCAAACATGGACGCTTCTGGTACTAGTCATAAATGTGAAGATAGGGATGATGTTTGGATATTTGATGATCAGTGTGGGGTACCTCAGACCTGGTACCGGAGGCCATACAGACATAAGCCAACACAAAGGCCACTTCCACATTCTGAACTCACACCTCCACCTGCCCATCCGTCCTGTTGAGAAGCCCCATGGAGAGAGTTCTTCCTGCTGATAATGCCTAGTCACAGAGTCCCATCAGTAAAGAGAAGTGATTTCTCTCTTTAGACAAATTTTAGACATAAAGTTTGAGGATTTCTCTCCTTAGGAATAAGTCAATTCATTTTGAGGACTAATATCCATAATCTATAAGGAACTTAAACAAATCAGCAAGAAAAAAAGAGCCCCATTAAAAAGTGGAACAAAGGAGATGAGCAGGCACTTCTCAAAAGAAGACATACGAGCAGCCAACAAACATGAAAAAAATGCTCAATATTACTAACCATCAGGGAGATGCAAATCAAAACCTCAATGAGATACCATCTCACACCAGTCAGAATGGCTATTATCAAAAAGTCAGAAAATAACAGATGTTGGCGAGGTTGCAGAGAAAAGGGAATGCTTATACACTGTTGGTGGGAACACAAATTAGTTCAGACACTGTAGAAAGCAGTTTGTAGATTTCTCAAAGAAATAAAAATAGAATTGCCATTCGGCCCAGCAATCCCATTACTGGGACATGGTCAAAGGAAAATAAATCCTTCTACCAAAAAGACACCTACACTCACATGTTTATTGCAGCACTATTCACAATAGCAAAGACATGAAATCAACCCAGGTACCCATCAACGGTGGATTGGATAAAGAAAATGTGGTACATATACACTATGGAATACCACACAGCCATAAAAATGAATGAAATCATGTCCTTTGCAGCAACATGGATATAGCTGGGGGCCATTATCCTAAGCAAATTAATGCAGGAACAAAAAAATGAAATAATGCACGTTCTCACTTATAAGTGGGAGCTAAACACTGGGTGCATAAGGACAGAAAGATGAGAACAATAAACACTAAAGATTCCAAAGGGGAAAGGGAGGGAGACAAAGGTTGAAAAACTACCTATTGGATATTATGTTTACTATTTCAGCTACTGGATCATTAGAAACCCAAAGCTCAGCATTACACAATATACCCATTTAACAAACCTTCACATGTACCTCTTGAATCTAAAAAAAGAAAAGGAAAAGTAATATGTCCATTTGTTTTACAATTCCTTTGCACAACTCTAGGAACTACTAAAAGAAATAGCAAATCCTACTCACCCACTCATCCCGTAACAAGATGGTGGGGAAAAAAAAATGAGGACATCTCCAATACCCACAAAAGAAACTGTAACATTATTTTTTTAAATTTTTACACAAAATAAATCGTAATTCATTCTACTTTTTAGAGGAAACTTTTAGAAGACAGGGAATAACAAAATTGAACAGAGAATGAGACGGGGAGTCACAGATTTGGGGAAAGAGAAACAAGAAAAAGATAAAATGTTTCCCTCCGAAGAGTTCTGAGTTTGGACATTCCTTAAATTTTTACTATATTTTATTACATATATATTAGTATTAGCCAATTTATTGAACACTTACCAGGTGTCATGTGCTGTGTATGCATTCTATAAGCATTAACTTGTTCATTTTATTTAATCTTTATGGCAAACCTAAGACGTACAATGGTATTATCTTCATTTTATACCTGAGGAAATTAGACAACTTGTCAAAGGTCACAGAATGAGAGATGGCAGAACCTGGTTTTTATCAATGTCTTTCTGACTCCAAAATCTGTGCTCTTAGTCATTCAACTGAATTAACTCCCAAACAAAACTAAAATTTCATATAAATAAAATGTATTACTAATCTTTACCACCAAACATAGAGGAAATATTTGCATATGCATCATAGTACAGAGGAAATGTATAAAATGGTAAGTTTTGGCTGACTGCAGTGACTCAGGCCTGTAATCTTAGCACTTTGGGAGGCCGAGGCAGGAGGATCACTTGAGGCCAGGAGTTAAAGATTGCCGTGAGCTATGATCACACCACTGTACTTCAGCCTGGGTGACAGAGCAGACCCTCACTCAAAAAATAAAGTAAAATTTTCAAAAGCTTGACAATGAATGGAATTGTTATACTTAAATTAACTAGCTAAAATGATTTGGTTTGTTCCAATAACAGTAAGACCGTTCTTCACTCAAAGTTCACCATTCCTTCTGGTAGGAGAATAAAAATGTTCTAGAAACATCCCAGATACTGCAGCATTTGGAATGTTAATTTTAGCAAGTCCCAGTGTTTGGAACATCTGCCTCACTGAGAGATACCCATTGATAACACACTGGGGGGAAGGTAAAGGGTACAAGAGAAGCATGTAATTCAGGGACCATCTCCAAGGGCAAAAGATATCATCATGATGTTTGACTCTGGGCTTGAGTCAAAAAGCAGAGGAGGCTAAAAAATGTGCTTTCAGTTGTCAAGAGAATAAATCTCATCCTCCCATCCTAGAGGCAGAGTGAAGCTCATTAGCATAGAGTAGAAAGTCCTCCAGGACTCTTCATCAACCTTCTGTCCACACTGCTGTGCATTACGCTTGTGAGAGACAGTACCTTGAGGTAGTTAAGAAAACAGTCTCAAAGCCAGGATGCATCTCTTGATATCCCAACTTTTTAACCCATTAAATACATCAACTTCTCTGTGCCTCAATTTCCTCATCCATCAATGGGAATAATAATAATACTTATCTCATAGAGTTAGTGTGAGAATTTGATGAGCTAACGTATACAAAGTGATTGCGATTTTGTCCAGCAAATGGCCAATGCCACATACAAATGTCTGTTGCCATTGTTATAAAAATTTAAAGTGATTACACTGAATCCCTCCTTTCATATTCTATAAGCAGCATCAAACTCCCTAAGAGAAATTCTTGAAAAGTCCAAGGTTATACTGTAGCATCTTCTTTTAAAGGTCCTAGGGAAATGGCAAAAGTCTAATTAAATTTGTTCTCAGAAACAAAAATTGATTTTCTTTTTCAATAATTCTATTAATTGAATCTCCTCCTTCACCTCAGCCAAAGACTAGAACTTTGAAGAACAAACTCTTGTCTTTGTCATTTAAATAAGTTAGTATTATACTACTTTGTCAATAATAACACCTTTTACTGGCAGTTAGACACAATACTAAACTGGCTACTAATCTATCTTATGCCACCTCCCAAATAATCAAAATAATGCAAATATAAACCATCTTCATACATAAAAATTAGCAAAAGAAACAAAACTAAGCAAAAAATTATAATACCTAATGCTGGCAGAGTTGCAACTAGGCACATATACTCAAGCATACCTTTTGCGTAACAGTGTAAAATGTTTTGACCCTTTTGGAAAACATCATGACAGTATGCTTTAAAAAATTATAAAATTTACCCCTATAAATTTGTATTTAAAAACTATTCAAAAGATGAAAGCTATAGGCACAAAGACAGAAGGGTTTTTATGGTAAAAGGAAATTATGAAATATACATATTATAAATTGCTTTATTTTCTCAATTTTATGGTACTTTTGTGGATTTTTTTTTTTTTTTTTGAGACAGAGTCTTGCTCTGTGGCCCAGGCTGGAGTGCAGTGGCACGATCTCAGCCAACTGCAACCTCTGCCTCCCACGTTCAAGCGATTCTCCTGCCTCAGTCTCCCGAGTAGCTGGGATTACAGGCATCCGCAACCATACCTGGCTAATTTTTGTATTTTTAGTAGAAATGGGATTTCACCATGTTGGCCAGGCTGGTCTTGAACTCCTGACCTCAAATGATCTGCTTTCCTCAGCCTCCCAAGGTGCTGAGATTACAGGCATAAGCCACTGCGCCTGGCCCTTCTTTGGATAATTTTTAACATTTCTGAAGTTAGACTACATCTTGTTTTCAATGTATACATGTAAAGTGGTGATATTTCTTTTCTTCTTTGAAAAGCTGTTATGAAAGCAATGATGCATCTTAAAATCAGTGGCATCTTATGATCAAGAAAATGCAATAGTATGCCATCATTAAAAATAGTAACTATGGAAGTTGTACAGAAACATGAAAATATGGATTACAACCACATTAAATTTTATATAATTTAGGGCTAAAGTAGAAAGGACAATATAGACAAATTCAGTTTGATTTACAAATAAAATGTTTTCCTTCCTTCACTTAGCATTCCACTAATGTTACTATGATATTACACATGTGTTAACAGTTTTCCCTTTTTTAAGAAAGAAAGAAATATCCCTTCTCTGAGACGCAATTCCTATAAATAAGATGGAAGTCAAAAGTCAGCTAAATGTTCTTATTGATGATAAGCCAAAAACTCAAGAGTTTAATTCCTATCACCAACCTACATTCCAGTAAGAGTTGAGTAGGGGCATTGATGGGAAGGGGCACGACAGTGTCGTTACTGAGTGCAGCAGCCCTGTCTTCACACCCTGGGGGCTGCAGTGGGTTGGGAGGAAGCCCAAAACCTAACCAAATCCCTCAGATAGATTATGGAACCCATGCAGACTGCACGCCTACTGTCACATTGGACCAAAAGAGAATTGGGATCCATAGAAAGAGGGAGAATGGAGATAAGACGTTAAGAATAAGACAGGTACTCAAAAATGGGAAAGGGGTCAGTAGGTTGCTGAGGAGATGGGAAATAAAGAGAGCTCTGGAAGGAGAAAAAGTTAATGAGAAACAAAAGACAGAGTGCATAGAACATCCTCAAGGACACATCATACAGGTTCTTGTTAAAGGAATAAATAAGTGAAAGAATGACCTAGCGATGCCTAAATGCTAACACAATACCTGGTCTGGCATATGCTCAGTCATTTTTTCAAACACTTATTCGTTCACTCATTCTGAAAATATTTACTGAGCATGTCTTATACGGCAGGCAATTGTCTAGACAAGGTAAAGAAAGCATTGAACAAAACAGACAAAACTCCATGCCCTTGAGGAGCTTACATTATGGTGCAAATGGGGGCAAAGTGGAAAGGGGAGGTGGAGATGACTGATCATAATAAGCAAATAAAGAAAACAAACAAAACATGAGATCATGATGCAAGCCATGGAGAAGTGCAAGAGTTCAGGGAGATGAGAGTATTTGGGGGTAAGAGAGAAGCCTGCAGTTTTAAATTGCGTGCTCAGGAGAGACCTCACTGAAAAGGTGATGTTTGTGAAAAGACTTGAGGAAACTACAAGAGCAAGTCATATGGATATCTATATCTAAGGAAGGGGGAGAAAACAGCAAGTGCAAAGGCCCTGAGGTAGAAGCATGTCACGCATGTTCAAAGATCAGCAAGGAGCCCAGTGTCAATGCAGCAGAGATGAGCACAGAGAGGGAGGGGCTGGGGCTTCAGAGACAATTTGAAGATCACGACTTTTACCCTGAGTGATATGGGGAGCCCCTGAAGGGTCTTGAGCTGAAGAGGGGAATGATGGAACTAGTTTTTAACAGAGCCTGCTGCTGGATTGAGAACAGTCCACAGGAGAAAGGAAAGAATCAGTGAGGTCAGTTTGAAGCCTGTTTTAATAACCTAGCTAACAGGCTTGGACCACAGCGATAATTGAAATACACTAAAGAGTGACTAGGGCTGGGCACGGTGGCTCACGCCTCTAATCCCTGCACTTTGAGAAGCCAAGGGGGGCAGATCACGAGGTCAGGAAATTGAGACCATCCTGGCTAACACGGTGAAACCCCGTCTCTACTAAAAATACAAAAAATTAGCCGGGCGTGGTGGCAGGCGCCTGTAGTCCCAGCTACTCGGGAGGCTGAGGCAGGAGAATGGTGGCCACTGCACTCCAGCCTGGGTGACAGAGCGAGACTCCGTCTCAAAAAAAAAACACACACACACACAAAAACAAAACAAAATAAAAAAAAAAAAGAGTGACTAGATCCCAGGGATGTTTTGAAGCTGAATCCCATGAGATTTACAAATGGATTGCCTATGGTATGTGCTAGAAAGAGTGGGGTCCAGGATGACTCCAAGCTTTGGGGGTCTGAACAAATGGAAAATGGAGCTTCTAGGTGCTGAGATGGGAAAGGCTATGGGAGGAATAGGTTTGGATGGAGAAAATCAAGAGTCACCCTTGGGAACATCATAAGTTTGTGAAATGATTAGATATTCAAGCAGAGTTGTCCTGTTGACTGGAGCTTAGGTGGAATGAATATCTGTACAAATGATCAAAGGACAGAAAAATGAGAAATTAAAACTGAGAATGGGACCAAATGAAAGGAGAGAGTCAGAAAGATAAAACAATAATACTAATAAGGAAACAAAAGACAGAGGGACAAAGAAAGAAACCACCCACAAAACGGGAAAGGATGAGAGGGAGGCAAGGTGAGAGCTGTTTCCACGCGCTCACATTGTCAGGTAACCCTCCCATCTACCATTTCCCCTTTTGCCATTCTGCTAAACTAAGAACATGTGTCTGACTCTGCCGCCGCCTGACACTAAATACCAGTGACATGATGATTTCCTGTAAGTTTGTCTTAAATGTGCTCACGTTTGTCTGAAATGTGTTCATTCCGGCCGGGCTGTGGGATCACAGGAAATTGGAAATCTGTTCACAGCTCAGAGGCACCCAGCCTTCTGCATCATACACTGCCGACCCAGCCTGCATCCTCTTTAATAGATGTTCGCCGTGGAATAAGAATTGTTTTCAGGTCCTTCTTCTGCACTCCTGACTTAGGTAGGCTGGGGAAAGGCTGTTCACCATTAATAAGGAGGATTAGGGAGACATGAAGAGAGGGAAGGTGGAAAACGAGGTGGGGAATTCCCCAGTCAGCAGCTTTCTCTGTCTGCTCTTGCCTGCAGTTAGGTACCAAGGCTGATTTAAAGCAAAGAATTAGCTCCTCTGGAATAATCCCAGGAAAGCTATCTCGCAGCCTTTCGTTTTGGGTTTATTTCCTTGGTTCCACATTTCTACAGCAAAGCTGGAGGAGCTAAGGTAACACAGAAGTCCTGGGGCTTGCCTTACCACTTACTGGCTGTGTCATCTTGGGCAAGTCACACAACCTGCCAGCGCTGGGCTGTCTCATTTGGAAAAATGAAGATAATTAGTCGTTGCCTTCCAGAAGGCAGGATGCCCAGCCAGATGATCTGGCTCAACCCCTTCCAGCTCTGAGGTCTATGATCGTGTGATGTTTATAGATAGTGAAATGCACAAGGGCAGGAGTTGAGAGATGTGAGCAGGAAACAGATGAGCTCGGTCACTCTCCCACACCCCCTCCAAGTGGAACTTCTTATAGGATCTTTAGTCAAAAGAGAAAACCCCTATCTTGGCTCTCTGTTATGTGCACAGTAGTGGAACATGAAACAATGAGGAAAACCACATACTTTGCATTCAGCCAAAGCTGGGTTTGAATTCTTGGTTCTAACACTTCTTTTTTTTTTTTCTTTTTTGGATACGGAGTCTCACTCTGTTGCCCAGGCTGGAGTGCAGTGGTGCGATCTCGGCTCACTGCAACCTCTGCCTCCCAGGTTCAAGCGATTCTCCTGCCTCAGCTTCCTGAGTAGCTGGGACTACAGGCACACGCCGCCATGCCCAGCTAATGTTTTTGTACTTTTAGTAGAAACAGGGTTTCACTGTGTTGCCCAGGCTGGTTTCGAACTCTTGAGCTCAGGCAATTTGCCTGCATCAGCCTCCCAAAGTGCTAGGATTACAGGTTCCATCACTTCTCACAACATAGCCTTGGGCAAATGACTTCCATTCTCTATGTCTTAGGGGACTCATTTGTAAAACGAATATAGAATAACACCAAGAAATCCAGGTTGTTGAGAATATTAAATAAGATGATATCAACAGAGAGCAGGTGGTCAGAAATTAAATAAACAAATAAATAAGTAAATAAAGATGATAACTTTAAAATGCCAAGTTTATCAGTCATGGTACAGACATAAAAACAGAAATCATTGTAGGTATTTTAGACAGGAGGTACTTAATACAGAGGATTGTTTATCCAGGTGATGGACAAGCACCCAGCATCCCCTCACCTCCAACCTCAGCTCAGGCTCTGGACCTCCAAACCCCAGCCTGAGCCTAAGATTCCAGCATCCTCATTACCTGGGAGAGAAAATCAGACATTAATGAAAAATCTGAGAGCAGACTGATGAGAGGAGAGCACTGAGCACCCGAATTGTTGGGGCACAAAATGGTGATGAGAGGCAAAAAATAACTTACAGGATTGCCTAGTGCTTGCAAGGAACACCTTTTTCCTAGTCTTGGTTTCCATGGGGGAAAGATTTCCCTGGGAAACAGCTGTCTTTCCCCATCCGATTATAGTGGAGGAATGGAGTGATTCATTTGTTTGAATTTGGGAAGAACTGAGCCTGCGCAGCTCAGCTCAGCTCCATCCTCATCTCGGGCACCAGCTACTCTCAGGAAGCTGGCATTCCCTTCAGCAAGCACCAGTGGGATGGGGGAACATCCTGCAATGATTGGATGGATAAAGTGATCTAATCCTTGGTTACAGTGATGGGCCATTTGCTTCTCATGGGCAAACCTCATATCAGCTCCCATAGAAATAAAGATGATGCCATTTTAGCTGCCATTTTGACTCTTTTATTTCTCAATTTGTTCAAAGCCCAGGTAGGCATAAAATACTACACAGCCATAAAAAAGGAAGAAATTATATCCTTTGCAACAACATGGATGCAGCTGGAGGCCACTGACCTAAGCAAATTAACACAGGAACAGAAACTCAAATACCAGATCTTCTCTCTTATAAGTGAGAGCTAAACATTGAGTCCTCATGGACATAAAGTTGGCAACAATGGACACTGAGGACTATCAGGGTGGGCAGGGTAGAAGGGAGGCAAGGGTTGAAAAACTAACTACTGGGTACTATGCTCGGTACGTGGGTGACAGGATCATGCATATCCCAAACCTCAGCATCAAGCAATATTCCCAGGGAACAAACAGGCTCATGTACCCTCTGAATCTAAAATAAAAGCCAAGGAAAAAAAGAAAAAAAACCCAGGTAGGGAATAAAGGTAGGACCCCTCAGAAGCTCCCAACAATGAGGATTTGACATGGTCTTTGAGCTAATACTGCCTAAACATACCCATTACAATTAGTAAGAATTTTCATGAACCAATTAAGGCTGTAACTTGTTCTTGTTATCAAAAGTCGATATTTATCAGCCAAAGTCCATCTTTTTGTTTGCCAGTGGATTTATCTTCCTCCTCCAGTTATTGTCAGGGTTACTGGGGGAATTTGTTGAAAATGCAGATATGCAGGCTCCAACCCCCGGGGTTCTGAGTCAGTCATTATATCTTTTACAAACACCCCAAGTGACTGCCATGCTTTGGGACGCAAGGTTTGTAACTAACGATTCTCAACCTTGGCTGCACATTGGAATAACCTGAAAAGCTTTAAAACATACTGAGGACTGGGCCCCACTTCCAGAAATTCAGATTTAATTGATTATGGATGAAGCTTGGGTATCTGGACCTTTTTTTTTTTTTTTTTTTGAGATGGAGTCTTGTTCTGTCACCCAGGCTGGAGTACAGTGGCGCAATCTCAGCTCACTGAAACCTCCACCTCCCGGGTTCAAGTGATTCTTCTGCCTTAGCCTCCTGAGTAGCCGGGATTACAGACACGCGCCACCACGCTAATTTTTGTATTTTTAATAGAGACGGGGTTTCACCATGTTGGCCAGGCTGGTCTCGAACTTCTGACCTCAGGTGATCTGCCCACCTCGGCCTCCCAAAGTGCTGGGATTATAGGCATGAGCCACGATGCCCAGCCTATATGGACCTTTTAAAAGTTCTCCAAGTAATTCTATCGTTCAGCCTGGGTGAGACCCACTGGTATACCCCTCAAAAGAAATCTTTCTTTAAAAGAGTTGTTGGCCAGGCACAGTGGCTCATGCCTGTAATCCCAACACTTTGGGAGGCCGAGGTGAGTGGATCACTTGAGGTCAGGAGTTCAAGACCAGCCTGACCAATATGGTGAAACCCTGTCTCTACATAAAATAAAGAATAATAATACAAAATTAGCTGGGTATAGTGGCACATGCCTGTAATCCGAACTACCTGGGAGGCTGAGACAGGAGAATCACTTGAACCCGGGAGGCAGAGATTGCAGTGAGCCAAGATGGCGTCATTGCATTCCAGCCTGGGCAACAAGAGAAAAACTGTCTCAAAAAAAAAAAAAAAAAGATTTGTTGATGGCAGGGAAAGCTTTCTGTTCATTGGATGCCTCTTGGTCTCTGGGATTCCTATTTCTCTATAAGGGACAACATGGTCGCTGAAGGCATTTTTGGAAATGCAGACCAAAATCCCAAAATCTCACTGCCAGCATCAAAACTCATTACCACTCTATGGCTGCCCAGCTCCTCATTCCACCCTGCTCCATTGTGGTTCTAACCCCGTTTTCAAATGAAGTGCAATTTACATCTCTTTAACTAGACTGGGGTTATTACCATTGCAATCCTATTGATTGCAGCGCTGCTCTTAGCAACTCGCTCCAATTTGATCATCCTTAGTCATTCTTGCATAACTACATGTGTATAAACAAGCCCTGGTATTTGGCTAGCACATGTTTTGGGATGAGAAGGATCATCTTTAAATCACTAACCTGCCTGTGAAATGAACACAAAACAGTCAAAGCCCCCCACTTCAGCGATTCTTAATCCTTTAGATTTTCCTTCTGAGGAAGGTGTGAGTAGGACAAAGATCTGAGGCCGGGTTGTACAGGAGTCAGTTCCCATCTTATATGGATGCTTCATTTTAAAGGTAAGGGAAGAGAGCACAAGAGATGTGGTTGACTCACCTAAACTTTTCGCTGGTTCCTGATGGGGCAGTGAACACAGCCTACTCTTCCCAAATCCACATCTGGTACCCTGGGAACCACCCCATATAGCACCTTCATTTGTCCTGGGATATGGTCTCTAATTTAAACCCTGAGGACAGCAAAAGGAAGGCATCTGAGAACAGGAGTCTGAGTTCCAGGACTGGAACATCTCTGAGCAGTGCGAAGAGAAAAGGAACTGAGGCAGAAGTTAGGAAAGATCTAGAAGTGGAAGACAGCAAACAGGGCTCCTTGCACCTTGTTATCTTGAGACAGAAGTGGTCAGGCTTGACAAAGATAACTGCCAACTATACATGTTAAATAGTGATTTCAAAGGATGATGTAGAAAATGGCGACTGGAAGTTGTTGACCAAGGGGCTGTACCTGGGAGTTGTTGACTAAGGGGGCTGTACCTCTCTGGTGAGAAGTAAGGAAACAGACAGATCACAGAATTTATTAAAAAAAATAAAAAAAGACGAAGAAGAAGAAGCAAAGGTATTGTTTGATCAGGAATGGCATCACTACAACTTTATAATCTGAGAGCTCTCATTGGGTATGGTAAAAGAGAAACAGAGAAAAATCGAGAATGATCCAAACCAAATGACAGGGAAAAAGGGCTCAGCAGTGCTTCCAAGAGAAAAATCAAAGTCCATTGCCCAAAACCCCAGCTCTTTATGATTCAGTCCCTGCCTACCTCCCCGGTCTCTTGTTCTGAAACTCCACAACCCAAGTCCTCTCTACAGCTATGGACTATGCTGCTAAAATGAGGCAGAAGAGACGCGGTAGTTGGGACCAGGAACCTCTGGGTTTAAAACCTCAGCTCTGGGCTCAGTCATTCACTCATTTTGTGACGCAAGGGTAGCTACTTTAAAACCCCAGACCATTCAGAGCCCTCAGGTATTCAGCGTTTCCAATGGATGTAAGGTACTCTCCAGTCCGGTCCAGTCTCTTTCCTAAGGGTCTCCAGTACAGAAGATTTGCCTCAAGGCCCAGAGTGACTCATCCCAAAGGACCCAAGCCCAGAAATCTTAGGAGATGGAGTTCATGTTTTGGGACTTTACCCAGGCAACAAAGGTTTCCGGAAGGGCAACTCTAATCCTCCCCGAATTAGCTGCCCAGCTGCAGTTTGTACAGGAGGTCTAGTATCTATCAGAAACATTCACTCGGGAAGAAACTGTATTTCCATAAGGAAACACAAAGAATGGGGGTGCCGTTAACCATTAGTTGGATATTTGGGATATGTGCTTTTTTTTTTCTTCCTTTTTTTGCCAACTCAAAATCCAGCCCTTTTCTTGTCAAATATAATAGTGCCAGAGTGAAACTGACAAGACATACAATAAAGTTGAGGTAGAGAAACACAAAGACCTAGATAGTAACCTATTTATTTTCCAGGGGAAAAAAGTAACAACTATTCTAGCAAAGAAAATAGACTAGTATTTGGTCATTGTTTTTTCCCATTTTCCCTTCAATTTAAGAGAAAAACTTTTCAAATTCACACAAAATGGTATACACTGTCTACTTTTCTGTGGCTGTCTTCAAATACATAACCTTTCAGGTCACCATGAAACACGTTTTTGAAATATGTCTCAATCTGTCTTTTGGTGTGACAATGAAATTACCAGGCAGTTCGGCATGTGACGTGACTGGATTAGGCAGCTATCATGATCCGACTCCGTTCTTTACTTCTTGAGAGAGGGACAGGAAGGATTGAAAAAAAAAAAATTCTGGATTGAAAAAAAAAATCCTGGAGCAGAATCACAGCTGATTCTTTGTACAAGGGAAGTAACCCCGCGAAATCACATCGTTCCCTTCTCCAAGAGATCTCACATCCGTTTAACTAGTGATGCAGAGCAAGGTTTGCTTAAACTCCACTGTCACCGCTTTGCCAGCCTCCAATTTGTGACTCTATTAGCTCCATATACCTGTCCAACTTCCTTTGGACTGGCAGAGGACATCTCCGAATGCCTGCAGACTAATGTTATATAGAAGTACTTGACCTTTTTAAGAAACACTGATCAAATTTGACTTGTATATTTCACTATATCACGGGAACAATCATAAATGGCATCTAAAAATTCAGCAGCTGCTGGGATCAATAAGCTGCCCACATAGTAATACAGGGATGCACAATACATAAATATACTTTTTAAAAAATTTATAAAGACATGCTGCTACTGTCATAGTAGAGTCAGTTTCATTCTTATGCTAGTGCAGGGAACCTAGCTTTCAGCCTGGCCTGATTAGAAGATACCCACAGGATCAAACAAAAGCCTCACCACAAGCACCATCTTTTTGACTCAGGGCATTGTCCTAGAAGGATTATGCTAAAATGCAAATAATTCTATTTAGAAGTAGTAACATTTTGGCTAATTAGCAGCTTCTAACATATCTGCATGCATATATTTATTGATTTAGCTGGCAGAAAGCAAATCGTGAAGGAAAGGGGTCAAAGACAGGTAAGTGTGATGAGGAGATGGATGGAGGGAAATCTAGGGCAAGCAGGAGTTGACTGAGAGTGTCCACACAAGGATCCCAAGGCTGCAGAGGGGCCCTGGGACCACAGAGGCCCAGCACTGCCTGCCTTGGGCCCCCTTTCTTCTTAAGGAAAGGCCAGAAAAAATGTGTCTCCAAAGTGTTTTGGAATTTGTAAGAACAACCGTCAGAAGTCTCACTTAGAAGCAGATGCAAATAAAATGAGATTTGAGAATTTCCTCCACAATTTAAAACAAAGAAATAAAAATATTTTAACAAATCACCCAATAGCCAAGCAAATATGATGTGATATGATGTGATATGTTGGTCTGTTCATGTATCATACATAAGCCATTCAAAATGCACATTGTACTAAAGAGTTCTCTCTCTGTCTTTCTCTCTCTCTCTCTCTTTTCTCATCTTCCTTCTTCTCCTTCTCTCTCTATCAAATGGATTTAGAGGAAACTAAGACACCGTCCCATTGAAATGGCAGCCAAACACCAAATAAGTGGCAGAGAAAAAGCTTGAATAGAGAACATTCTACACATACCAGACTCAATGGGCTCTAATAGCTGATGATTTCCTCATTTACCTGCACTAAGAGGACACACACAAACACATACACACACACACACACACACACACACACACACACACATATACACACCCAAGGTTTAGTAAATACTCCCATTTGAAAACCTTCCAAACATTTCTCTTCCTTCTCTAGAATGGAGCTAACTCACTGTCAGTGAGATTTTCTATAAATGTGCTTCAATGGTCACACAGGTTAAAAAAAAAAATTAATAGTCTAAGAAGCTAGGGCTAAAGACCAAAAAGTTAAAGCGCTTACAAGGCAAATAATTTGAAGAGGCAGGATAAAATCAAAAACAGAATTTAAATGGTCCCAGCCTAAGAATTTATAAAAGACTAAGTCCTGACCTGTGACAGAGATGAGAACTTTATTGGGCACGTAATTCAGAAAGGCAGGAAAAGCTGATACACAGAACACAATGAATGTCAGGTTCAGGATTTAAATCTCAGTCTGACAGGGTCGGGAAAACCAATACAATAACGCCAGGGAGGAGAGATGTGCTGTGCAAATCCAGTGCGGTTTAGAACTTTGACTGCATAATTAGCCCGTGTTGTAATTAAGAATCTAGAGGGCCTACTGAAATGAAAGCACAATGGGCAGATTTGGATTCTGCTGCATGGAACCAGCATACTTAACACAGTAAGAGTTTTCCCTGATTTTAGCTGGACACTTTGGTAACTGACAGCCAGCGAGGCTTATAAAGATCTTCACACTACCTGTTTATAACAGACGTGACTGACAGAAGGGAAATATTTTAAAAGTCCTTAGAGGGTGGCTGCATCTTTGGGTTTTCTATTTAGCTTCAGGAAAAAATACTTTTTCCAGTTATAGTTTCACTATCTGATCACAGAAAACTGAGTTCATTACAGGCATGAGGTCAATGCTGTGTTGATCTCTAAGCCAATGATACACTGGCATTACAGGCTTGTTTTATTTATAGAGAACCATGATATCAAATTAGATGGGAAGGAAGACAGGGAAGAATTTAGCTCCAATTAGAATAAGTGTCTCTGGAAGGCATCTACTACCAGTTTTCTAAAAATATAAGACAATGTCATGGATTCTATCTTTGTCTTTTAAAAAATCAGAGGAGAAAAGTAAGACGCTTACACACTACTGTGGTTATGTGCTAATTCAAAGGATCCACCTTTACATAGAAGTAAAGTAGCCTGGGAAAGTAATGTATCCTGTTCATTTCCACTGCTCTTTCACGTAATCCAATAAACAGACCCCAGTGATCACTGGCTCAGCTCGTCATACTAATTGGGCAAAATGAAACAAAGTAAGATATGCTTTTCTTTTCTGTTCTGTTCTTTCTTTTTAGGATAGTCCTCTATTACAAGTATTTGCAACATGAAAACAAAACATCACACTCTAGAGGAATAATGGAGACACGTTAGCCTCTGCAAGAACTCCACACCACAAATTTTTGGCTCTTGGCACTTCTGAAATACTCATTTTGGGAATATTGTTTAAGGCAAGGTAAGAGGACACCAGTAATCTTATTTTAGTAATGATGCATCAAGAAAAAACTCCACTGGCCACTTAACAACCACCAAGGTACCTAGAATCTAAAGAAAAAATGTCAGAGAAGCATCCACTTACGGATTCAGAATCTTAAATCCTAGGGGGGTGGTGACTTTAAGAAACTGACATTTATAAGAATCAAGAAAGGAAGACCTCAGTAAAAAACGTGGTGAGCAGAAGCTCTTGGGCCCTTAATATAGTTTATCTTTCACATAAAGGTATCTTGAAAACCTTTACACAAGTCCTTTATGAGGGAATAATTTCTGAGCTGGGGCAGACATGGTCTTTCAAATCCATTCTCAGTTTAGAAAGCATTTGTAAGGAGGATTTTTCCCAGCCACCACATGAGAATTGTCTGATGCCCTTGGAAATCTCTGTAATTAACAATAAGCCTCTTTCACAATTGAAAGTGGACCCTCATACCCTAAAGTAGCACTGATGTTTCTATTTCTGACCTACACCTTGCATTTTATGCAATGTCTTTGTAAAAACCAAGGGCAAGAACAACCTGGAGAGAAATTTTCAAATTTTGGACCAGAGCCACCAAATCAATAATGGCAGAACAAAATGAATTATCAACCTCCACTGCTTCAATCACAGGGAAAGGCAAGGAGTTAGCCAAAAGAGAAACTGCAGTCAATGTTAAGAAACAGAATGAATTGACTTTGAGGTAGGCTTATATCTAATTAAATGAGACTGGGGGCAAAGGTAAGGTAGACTCATCCACAGCTGATAAGGAAGTGATCAGAGGAGGTGACTCAGCTCAACTGAACTGCCTTTTCCAAGCAGAAAAGGAGAGCAGAAAGTGTTAGAGGGTGGGGGACCCACAGTGGAGAAACTGCAAGTTTTTCAGAGGTGTGTTTTCCTTCATCCTGTGACTATATGGATTAACAATCTCAGACTCCCACCACTAGCAATTAAGTTACCATCAATATCCCAGGGTTGTGTGTGAGCCTAAAGGAATAAAATCCTTGCTGTGGGACGGCATATCAACCAAATCAAAGAAGAAAACGAAATTGGTATACATACTATTGCTTTCTTACTTGTCAGCCAACAGTTTTGAAACTTTTGGCATGTATCCGGAAGCTTTATAATGAGAATTTCCAGACTTTCGGGTCGTATCATGAGCAGACACCCATCTGATGCTGGGTGGGTCTTTGGGAGGAGTGAGCAAGCTTTATCTAAGGACAAAAAACACTCCTGATGACCTCTTCATGTATTCTCTTGTGGGCTTGGCACTAAGGTAGTCATAAAATGGGACTCACCCTGAAATCTGTCATCAGCAATGATACCTCCCTTTATCTTGAAGACAGAGGACTTCCAGGGACCTGGTGCAGTACCTTAAGATGTGCATGGAAATGCCATGTGCGAGGCTCTGTGAGGCATCTGCTTTTAGTCTAGAGGTCTTCGCCAGTACCAAGAGGTGGAGCAGAAAAATGAAACCTCATCTATCCCACTGCACTTGCCATGCCAACATCAACTTCTAGTTACACCTGTACCCTGCACTAAAGAAAATTGCACTAAACTGTCATGTCAGACGGTCCTATCAAAGCAGCAGCATTTTTCTGCTGTGCCCTGAGCCTTTCAAACACATACTCACATATCCTGCCCCATCTGCAAACACACAGTGTTCTTTAAATGTGTACAAATGACACCTAGTGTTTTTGAAACACTCTTAAATAAGCCCAGGATGACTCACCATTTTTCTGGTCTTGTACAGCTACTTATATGTTCGAAAATCCCCTTAAAAGTTACAAAAGTCTGTCTCAATACTTTCAATGCATTTAAATGGCTAAAAGGTTAGACATGAAGAAGCGGGACTGGAAGGCCAATAAGAAATTAACATGCGCACTGAAAACAGTCTTTGGCCCTTTTATAGAGCTACATTCACAAGAGTTGTGCATGTGCTTAGCAGGAAATTATAGATCTTATTATTGGGGAATTGGGTGGCAGGTGCCAAAAACATGTAAATTCACTCCATTTCCAATTCATGAAGCCTTTTGTAGCTTGGTACTATGGTTTTATTAGATTTGTACATTTAGCCCAGAACCTATTATTATAATAAAATACAAAATATAATTATTGTTTTCTTGCAGTGGGAATCTCAGAATTATCTAACACTTCATTGTTTCCCCATCAATAGTAATTCCGAGATTGGATTTTTTTTTTTTTAGATTTTTTAAAGAAATGTTGCTTCCTCTGTCTACTTTCCATAAGAGTTCTTGCTTTATGCTGCTTGACAGGAAAAGAAAGAATAAAGGAATTGAGATGGAGGTCATAAGTCACAGTGGTTTTCCTTTAATTACAGTATTGTACTTATATTTCTCATATTTTCTGCTGTTATCTCTGCCCAACCAAATCTCCATTCCTCATTCAGTGCTCATTAGTTGAGATGGTGTTTAGGGAAAGTTGATATATAGATATGAGTTTCATATGGCCAAGTGCTCACCTACTATTACACACCAAATGGAGTTCGATACCCGTAATGGCCAATTTAGCTACTTGTCATATGACACCCAGTCCTTCATCCATCCCCTACTGATGCTCTTATAATTCCTCTTTTCTCCTCTCTCTCTACCCACTTCATGTTACTATTTTCTCTCTTCAACAGAGAATGAAAACGTTTCAGAAATACTGAGGGGGCTCACATTATCCATAAGACACTGCAAAACTATGCTAGAGGCAACAACTTTATAGGCGGAAGGGGCCTTATAGATCACATCTTCTAGCCTGTCATTTTTCGAATGAAGATAGGGTGACCCAGGAAGATGACACTGCCATAGCGACAGAACTCAGGACTTGCCACCCACTTAGGAAGCTATCACTGAGCCTTGGTGATGTGCCCGGCACTCAGCCAATGGCATCATCTCCCATAATCCTCAAGATGTCATGAGATAGATAAGTGCTAATATAGCTTCCACGTGGATGAGGAAATCGACACACAGAGAGGTTAGGTAACTTGATAAAAGTCACACAGATAATAAGCGGCAGTCATGTTTTGAGCCCAAGTTATAGAGCCTACTGTGTGTAGTGGTTAGAGGTAAGGTTCTGTAACCTGGGCTCAGAGCTTGACTCTGCCAAGTTTTGTAATTTACCTAATTCCAGAGCCTCATCTCTAACCACTACACACAGTATCACCCTCTCAGTACTACCATGAACTGCCTTTATACTTAGTTATTACCTATCCACACATGTAAATGCATTGTTAGTGATGTTATTTTACAATAAATAAAATAAAGCATAGGCTTTGGTGGGTTGACTCCTGGCTCTATCACTGATTAGCTAGAGAACTTGCAACAAGGTCATTAACTTCTTAGAGTATCTTATTTGCCAAATACAGACAATAAGAGTAGCCACTCACGGAGTTATGCTGAAAGCCAAATGAGATCACTCAGCCTCCTCTGTGTCAGATATTGACACCCCATGTTAAAGTCCTGGACACACAGCATCTATTA
The DNA here is from genome assembly GCF_000001405.40 of Homo sapiens. Lineage (NCBI taxonomy): Eukaryota > Metazoa > Chordata > Mammalia > Primates > Hominidae > Homo > Homo sapiens. Next base: position 24,238,539 of record NC_000004.12, read on the forward strand.
AATTAAGCCACTGATCTCAACAGCATTGCAGCACTCCTGTATGTGAAATGTATGATGCTCTACAAACGTAAGTTATTATATTGGTCACTGGAGTGATCAAATGTACAAAAAGGCTTCTCAAGAACATTTTACCTATCCACCTCTCCTTGGGCATTTTACCTCTCCAGAAGATCTGTTAAGTGAATCCTATCAATCCAAGGTTGTATATGTGTGTGTGTGTGTGTGTGTGTGTGTGTGTGTGTGTGTGTGTGTGTGTGTAGGCATGTACCCATATCCACATGCTAAGTGCTAAGTGTATGAGATTACATGTAGGTGTGTACCCACATGAACATGCTAAGTGTATCTGATTACCGATTCCCTATATTTTCCTGCTTGAGACATTCTTTGGGAATTTTTACATTCTGTTTCCTATAGATATTTACTAAAGATGGGGAAATAATAATGGTTAATATATAAGCCATTGCTATCTTTCAGGCACTTTGCTACCACAGCACATATAGCATTTTTAGACACAACTATTAGTATAATAAGTTGGATATCAAGCAATGAATCAGAAATTTAGGTTTCTTACTACACAGAAGCTTGCACTGGAAAGTCAGGTTCAACTTAGTCTAATTTTTTTCATCCACTCAATAGTTATTTATTGAGCATCTACTATGGATCAGGTACCAAGCTAGGCAGGCACAAGGAAAGTCTGCTCTCTTGAGGAGCTGATGGTCCATGAAGGAAATAAGCATGCAAATAAACCATGACAAGAAAACTGCAAGTGTGCTATAAACAAGGCAAAACTCAGTGGGTTCACAGGAAAGAATGGTCTCCCCTCTCTTGGAAAATAAAGAGAAGCTTCCCAAGCATGCTTTAAGGAAACAAACCAAAATCACAGGCATCTGAGGGCTGGTGTAGTTCCAGTTGTCTCTCTACCACTAGCTTCCTGCGTGATCTTGTACAAGTCATTTGACTTTTCTAACCCTTTGTGTCTCTATCTATAAAATGAGATTAGGGATATAAGACAGGGCTAGGAATATCCACTCTCACAGGGTAATGAGGATCACAAACTTATGCAGGAGGTAGAATCTAAAATCTACACATGTCAGGGGAAAATAGTGCATAGGCAGAATTCATGCTGAGCTCCAGAGTAAGTAGTTGGCTTGTTTTGGGTAGAAAAAAAAAGTGTATATATATGGTATGAAAAATAAACCACTTTTCTTTGCACACTAGAATCTCACTCAGGGTGGTTAATGAGTGTGCACTCTCTCAAACCCAATGCCAATGCAGCAAAATAAATGCCAGGTCAGGAAGAAGATGGGGGATTGGAAGGGAACGGGTGGGTTTGTGTTGGCTATAGAAAGAGGAGTTTCTTCTACCTGTCTCGCTTATTCTCTCTCTGACTCTCCATGTCTCTGTGTCTCTGATCTCTCCCACCCGCTCTCCCACCCCAGGCACCTCAGCTCTCTCCTCAGTTTTTCCACTTGAATTCAAGTAAATTAAAAGAATGCAAGGTGTACTTTGCTCTATGTCAAAAATGCTTTGTATAAATGGAAAGTGTAGTACAAATGCTGGTGACTGCTATTAGTTTAAATTAATGCCCTTAAAAGACTACCCATAATTTTCTGGAAAGGTATGTCTTATATTAAGGCTCACAAGGAATATATAATAGACTTTGGAAGAACTAGAAGCCAAAGAGATGGAGTCTTAAATCAGAGGCATAGAGACACAGAAGTCCTTAGGAAGTTCTGGGTGTCAGGTGAGAGGAGGACTTGAATGCTTACTTCTCTTTTAATTATCTGATGCTCACACTACCCTCCTTTGTTGCCTTCAGCCAGAGCTGATAAGAAAAGGCACCAATAAATATCTTGGCAGTCTGAAGGGAGAAGCCATGTTTCATGGGACTCCCTGCTTCTACAGCTGTTGTTAAAATATTACTGCTAATTAGCTGGCTAGTTATATATAAACCCTTACAAAGGAGTATTTTTACACAATCATAAAATAAATTAAACTACCAAAAATTCACGCTGTTAATTAAAATAACCCCTGTAGGAGGGGGAAAAATCGCTACAAGGCTGAGGTAAACAGGAGGCAATTTCACAAGCACAAACTGATTAATTTTATTTCCCATTACATGTATTTGCTAATATCATCAAAATTGGGATATAAAGCAATTTTGCCTTGACAGTAGTTCAAACAGAGGTAGTTCTAGCAGAGGAATGTAGCTAGTCAGATATACCCTTGGCCCTAAGGCTGTTCTCTATCTGGCAGGGGTAAGTAGCTTTTCAGCAGAGCCAGGGTCTAAGTTGGGTACACCCTAGAGGCAGGGAGGGAGAAGAGCCTCTCCCCAGTCCATCCAAGCAGCCTCACTGAACTCTGAGATCATTGGTGGCATGACCTGAGACAGTCACATCCCCCTCTCATCCAAAGATACAAAATATTTGAGGATACAAGAGAAACTCTGCTGCTGAGGGGTGGCAGGAAGACAGAGAAAGCAAACTAACCCACCTCCAGCTGTAGGAATGGTCAAGACAGTTCACTCTCAATTTGCTAACACAATTCACCCATTCTTTTAAGCATGTCTCTCCTGCCCTGGATTTTATAATGTAGCTTTACTTTTCTAAAGTTTGTGTATACTTTCTATAGTTAAATAATTGCCCAAATTCCTTGTGGATCACTCTTTTACAAAATATCACAAAAGTTTAGTAAAAAGCAAAACAAACAAACAAAAAGCTTAGAAAATACTTTTGTAAAAGAAAAAAAGGCTATTTAGGAAAGAATGAACTTGAACTTTCAGGGTGTCTAGCTCTTTTCTGGCAGCCAAGTTAAACAATAGACTTGAACTCAGCTGGAAGACAGGGGTAACATTTTAATCTTCCCTGGCCTCCCCTTCCCCCAGTTGTTCCAAGCAAATATTCATCTGAAAAATAAAATGCTTCTTGCAAGCACAGACATATTATTTTGCATCCTTATTGGTCAACCAGAAAAATGTTTCAATCCCTTTGGACTCACAATGTGTTTTATCTTATAGGCTCTTAATGTGGGGGTTTTCCATTCTTATACCCATTAAAATGCATCTGCAGGCTCACGCCTTGTTTAGCACCTACTTTTATGAGATGGCTCTTCAGGAAGACCCACCAGTTTTGTCAATGGGACGCCAAACATCTGCGAGAATAAGCAAAAATTTCAGGCCTAAATCCAGATGTTTTATCTGTGCAACTCCAAACATCCAGATGTTTCGGGAGGGGGGAAACAGTGTTTTATAAATAGTACTCTGCTTTTGACAAAGAAAATGAACAGGTGCATGAACAATCCAAAACAGCAGATAACATGGGAGAAACTCATTGTGGCTTCTGTATGTGGTTGAATATTTTATCCCTGTCGTTTTGCTCCGCTGTCAAGTTTTCTTCCAAGCCACATTTTGTACAGATTCATGTTAACATTAGCCAGCATTTCTCCAGCTATTAGGGAGGCAATAATCAGAGTGCTGTGCCCTGCTAGAACCCAACACTAGATTCTATTGATTCTCTCCTGCTTAATAACTCCAGCCCACTACTGCTGCCCTGATGAGAGATCTCTTTACCCCTCACACTGACTGCAACATGACCTTACACTGGATGTTCCAGCCTCCAGTTTCCACCTCCACACCACAGCCGAGTGACAGTTCTAAACCTCCACCTGAGGCTCTCACTTTTCCCACTCAAGGCTCCCTTCAGAGCCTCATCTTCAGGACAGAGCCCAACACGCCTGGTGTGGTCTATAGGGCTCTAGGCCAGCTGGCTACAGCCTCGTCCTGACGCCCACCCCCAGCACTGGCCCTGTGCTCTAGTCCATGACAGATAACTTGATGTGTTCTGGAATATTCCTATGAGTCTTCAGGCCTGCTTATCTCTGTAGCTGCAGTTTTCCTACCTGGAACACCTTCCCTCACTTGCTGGCTTGGAAGATGCCCTCCCTTACTTCATAAGGACTCAGATGTCACGATCTCCATAAAGTCTGCTGTGACCTCAGCGGCAGAGTTTGTGGCTCTATCCTCAGTGCTCACATGACATTTATCCTAGGTTGTCTTCTCCCTCTACTGATCTATCTGTCCCATAGCCAACCATGACCACGTATGTCATCTTCACCCCCTAAACAATTCTTAAAGTCTCGATAGCCTTGATGTTAAGATAAAGACCAAAATCTACAGCCCCTGAAACCCTGCTGAGTTCTTCAACCTCTGCTCTCAGGACTCCAGTCCTGCTGGCTCCCATCACTCCCAGAGTCCCCAAGCTCACTCCTGTCACAGCAATTCCATCTTCCTGACGGGGATGCCAGCCCCTCACCATCCCTCCCAGCCTCAGAACCCCATCAGTTCCCAATCACCCTTCACAACTCAGAGAAAACAGTCTGTTTATTGGGGAAACCTTTCTCCATCCCCTTTTTCCACTCAGCTGGAGTCAAATTTTATGGTTATATGTACTCAGAACCATGCCCCTTTTCCTCATTGCAATTATATTTAATTAAGGTGAATTTCTGACTCATGTCTTTCTCTTCCATTATACTGCAATTTCCACAAGGGTAGGGATGGCATCCTTGCTCCATTGTATCCCTAGCCCCCAGCAAAGTACCTGGTTCACCAGAACTGCTCATGAAGGAGTAAATGAATAATTTACATCCACTCAACATATCATCATGACCATAATTCACTCCTTGAGTGCAGAAGCTATATTTTATTATTATTATTAATATTTGGAACCCAGCACAAAGTGGATCCTCATCATGCACTTATTGGAAGAATATTAGGTGCAGATATTAGAGACTGTGGGTCAGAAGCAGAGCATCCCACCTCACATAACAGTGAACTCCCCATCTCTGAAATCATCTAAGGAGAAGACATATGGAATGCATCAGGAATGGTCCAGAAGTAATTCAGTCAATGAACTTGATGATCATTCATTTCCTTTCCTACCCTCGCGTGCTGTGGTGCAACTAGAAAAGACTAGAAAGAGGATGGATGTAAGGAAAAGAGACCTGCAGAAATGAATGAAATTGCAACACCCTCAGAAAGGAGAGTGTCATGGCAAATAGAAAGAGTAGGGTTTTTGCCAAGGTTTTCTTAATTGCTGGCAGGTAGCAGACTTGAGAGGCTCTGTACAATATAGGTGTGAAGGCTGAAAGAGAGATGTCAAAGATAATAGCTTTAACCAGCTGTCTGATGGCTACTCCTTCCTCCTTAGCCTGGCCCTTATTTCTAGATTTAGATACAGCTCAAAAGAGACTCAGACTTTGACGAGCCAGGCAGAAAATTGTGCTAGTCACATGGAATCATTTTGACTGTTTTCTCAGCTGTTTCCTAAGAAAACAGACTTAACATTTGTCACCCTCATTCCTGAATAAGGAAAGTGATTCTACTTTCTCCTAAAGCAAAAGACACAGGATAGATTTGGCATCTGTTGAGTGAAGAGTAGGGTTCAGATTAATGGCGTGTTGAGGGTTTCTTTGTTTTTACAATCTTTCTATATTTTCACATTCAATAAACTAAATGAATTGTCCACACCTCCCTTGGGGCTTCCTAATAGAATAATCCCACCAGGAAACTTTTCTCTTCCAGGCCCCTCACCATTTCTCTTTCCAATCTCCCAGTCTCATGTCCTTGGCCATAATTAATCTATTCCTCAAATATAAGAATGACCAGGGGTAGAAGTACAGGGAAAGAAAAGAAGGACAAAAGCAGAATTGAGCAACACATGATTACAGGGGTGCACAGAACTGCCTTTTATTTCTCTACATGTTAAAGTTGACAATTATAATATTTCATATATTAGATCTTATGGTCGGATTGTCAATTTTTGAGCATGTATCATGTGACATATCCTTTGGACATATTAGTTCACTGGTGTTCAGTTACCTTTTAAGTTATGTATTAAGCCTTCTTAATAGGTGAAGAGGTTAAGGCTTAGAAAGGCTAACTACCTTGCCCAAAGTCACACAGACAATAAGTGTTGGAACCAGGATTCAAACCCATGTTCTCTGCCTCCCAATCCACATCTAATAACCACATGTGTACAGTCTCAAGGAGAGTCACAGAGATTTTTCATTAACAAAGACCCAGCAAGCTGTCACACTAAATCAACCAGGGACAACATGGCTTCCCAGAGCACATTTGAGAATGTCTACAGGCATCTTTGGTTATCATAAATGGATAGGTGCTACCAGCATCTAGTGAATAGAGGATGCCCCAAACATCCTACAATTCACAGACAGCCCCCACAACAAAGAACTATCAGGTCCAAAACATTAATAGAACCGTAGTCAAGAAACACTGCACTAAATTATCTCAGCATTATGTAAAACGGGTTCTCTGCTGCCAACTTGTGACCTTCTATATTGAAAAGGGGAACAGCTCATAACTCCTTGATATACAGTTTCAGGCTAACAGTGTCTAGAACTGGCCAATGTTCTTTTTAAGAATGGAGAAAAAAAGAAGGATGGAGAAAGAACAGGCGAGGAAGAAGAAAAAGAAAAAAAAGAGGAAGAGAGAAGGAGAAAACTAACATTAGAAACTGACAATCTGCAGTGTTCAACAGCTGGATCGCATTACATGGAAATCAGTCCCAGTGACAGCACAACAGGCTGCTTTTGTGTCTTCATGAATAACGCAATGTGCTGGGTAAATGCTTTTCCCCATTTAGAAACAGGTAGTTAATGGGAATTGAAGTGATCAAATACTGTGTACCCCAAGGTTACTTACATCATGGGCCTGTGTGGCCCCAAGCTCATAAATAAAGCATTGGAGCGTCTTATTTTAGGCCTGGTCAGATAAGCAAGTGCTTGCATCATGTGAACAGAGCCCACAGCGCAATATGACACCGAGCCTGGCAATTCCAGGACCTCTCAGAATGTGACATTTCAAGCACAGTACACTGAGTTCACACCCTGTGGAAGCTTCGAGGCCCACCATGCCTCAATTTTCCATCATCTTTTTGATTAAGCTGCTGTGAGAGAAGGCTGTCACTGAGCCGGACTTTAAATGATGCCAAGTTCATTCCCTACTATGCAGAAGTTAATTTGAGGCACATTTGCAACTTATAACTCTGATTTACTCATTTGCTGGTACGAGGACCACACACAGCTTGACAACCTGCCAGCTTGCATAGACTATTCTCTCAGAAAAGGTTTGGACCAAGTCAAGACCCAGCTTGGCAGCTCAAAATACAGCTGCTAGACAATGGCAGAATGTGGAGTTGAATACAAGAAAAGAAAAATATCTCCTCTTTGCCTCAAATTTTTACATATAATTTTGTAATCATATCCCTATTCAGATACTTTGACATAAATAGTGCTTAATTAAATTGCTGCTATTTGTTGTTTTATTATTAGTACATGGTTTGTTTGCTGATATGTACCTGAAAGCCATGTGCACACACACACACACACACACACACACACACACACTTATGCTTGGTCCTAGTACTGTTGTTGTTTTGAAAGTAATGAAAATGCTCTCTATGAATAATTTCTCCATTTGACAGAATCAGCAACGATTTTAAATAATGCTTGTTTTTCTGGTACACAAATGGCTAGATGGATAATTCTAATGTAATCATTTTCTGGTGTTTTTGTCTCATAGATTTCCTGTAATCTGTTAAGATCAATCAAATAATATTCATATATTTCCTATAATTCAATAATATCAATCAAATAATATATTATTGGCATGAAATAAATTCTTCCTACTATAAAAAAACAGCTCTCACAATAAATGCATTTCCCTGTAATTCATATTGTGCTGTTTCTCATTCAGATCCTGGGATCCCAAAGAAATGTCTTCAATAAATGTTTGTGCCTGGGGAAACACCTACAATCCCAGCACTTTTGGAGGCTGAGTCAGGCGGAGCACTGGAGCCCAGGAGTTCAAGACCAGCTTGGGCAACATGGTGAAACCCCCTCTCTACAAAAATTAGCCGGGCGTGGTGGTGCCTATCTGTAGCCCCAGCTACTCAGGAGGCTGAGATGGGAGGATCGCTTAAGCCTGGAAGGTTCAAGGCTATAGTGAGCTGTCATGAAACCACTGCACTCCAGCCTGCGTGACACAGCCAGACCCTGTCAAAAATAAATTAATGAATTTAATTAAATAAATAAATATTTGTAAACAAATTTGGGGTAAGATGTAAGGTTTAAATTTTCTGTGAGATTGTAACACTAGTTGGTCATTGACTAAAAGTCACCACCACGTCACCCACGGAACCATCTTCCGGGAGCTGGGTTCTTCTAAACACAAACTCCTTCTCCTGCTCCATGGGGAACCTGCTCTAGAGCCTGCTTTTCTGCCTCTGACATGGTTTCTCAAAGTGTGAGCCACAGAATCCAGCCTGTAAGAAATGAAGATTGCAATACACATGTTGGGTGCTTGCTAGGAAAGCACAGTGTGCTTATCAAAAGCAAAGATTGCTAGAGCCACGCCAAACCAATTAGATCTGACTCTCTGGGGAGATCTACACTTCCAACAGTATTTTCAGGTAAAATTGTCTTTCTTCCTTGAGTCTTGGAGCATATGGATTGGGTGCAGAAGAAAGAGAGTGAGATTGTGAAAACTGTGCTCCTCAACTCACTGTATTTGAAATAAACTATTATCAAAAATTTCAAGCTAAAAATCATCAGTTCTCTAATGCCCTACATCCTCTCGACCCACCACCCCCCAAAAAGAAAAAAGTCTGGTCTTTGGAATGATAACCCCCTGAGGCTCTACAAAAGGGGAAATTGAGTTATCCTCATTGTATCATCTATGCTAAGGCAAGAAACTAGAAATATCAGTATGCTTCCATGATATACTTTAAATTTTCAGCCACAAATTTTTTTTCAAAAAAAGTTTGCTCCAGATAATATGATAAAACTCCGTTTACTTCCGGTTCGTAAATGTTTTGCTATATTTCACCAGATAATTATCCCTTTGGTTTTCTATTCCAGCTTATCATCATTATGATGATAGAGTAAAGAGAATTTTAATTCAAAATTTCAGAAGACACTCAAAAGGAAAAGAGCAGCATAATTTACGCCAAAGAGATCAGCTATACACTAAGAATTATATCTCAACCCCAAGTGGCGCACACACATATTGCCAATTCCAAAGACTTTTGTGAAACACACTCGAGGTAGTTGCCAGGATTGGCTGGGTAAGTGTATGCAGTGTGTGGATTTGGCACATTGCAATCATTCGTTATTATTGTGCTGCAGCTGTGAGCCTGTGAATGGAGTTGCAGGGCCCATTTCACCTACCATAGAGTTCTACAGCCCACAAATGAAGAGATTTGGTGATACAAATTGGCATTCACTCATTCCCACCAACTAAAATGTAAGCACTTTTGGGGGAAGAACTGGTCTTCTGTTTCTGTCAACAGCGTCCCCACTGCCCTGCTTTCCCCCACCTAATATCGATCTGGCTGGGCACAGAGTTTCCCTTCCCTTTCCAAAAGATATCTGTGGCATTATAAGAACCATTCCATAAAGGCCAGCATTTATGGGATGAAGAAAGTCTTCACCCTTGGTCTGCGGCTGCAAAGACTAAACAAAGCATATTATCTGCCAAAACCCAAGAGAACCCTGTATTTCTTTCTCTTTTTTCTTTTTTCTTTTTTTTGAAATGGAGTCTCGCTCTGTCGCCCAGGCTGGAGTGCAGTGGCGTTATCTCGGCTCACTGCAAGCTCCGCCTCCCGGGTTCACGCCATTCTCCTGCCTCAGCCTCCGAAGTAGCTGGGACTACAGGCGCCCGCCACCACGCCCGGCTAATTGTTTTGCATTTTTAGTAGAGACGGAGTTTCACCGTGTTAGCCAGGATGGTCTCGATCTCCTGACCTCGTGATCTGCCCACCTCGGACTCCCAAAATGCTGGGATTACAGGCGTGAGAACCCTGTATTTCTTACACAGGGACATGGACTGCTTCCCCCAAGAGTTGGAGATAAGACAGCAGACACACCACCTCTGGAAAAAAAAAAGTGTATTATCAGCAAGCTTTGTGCAAATTCAGCTCCTTTTAGTCTGTAACTACAGAGAACGAAAGTGTCATACCCTCCCCCAGCGACCATGACACCTTTATCTGGAACCCAGCTGTATTCGAGATTTACTGTGTGGCCTTGGGCAGCTCATTTAACCTCTCAGTGTCTTAATTTCTTCATCTGGAAAATGAAGACGCTACCTACATCATGGGCACAGCGTTTCAAGGTTAATGCATGAGGCTGATATTGAAATGCAGCTTAGCAGGGGAACGTCTAATTCTGGGGAGGAAGTCAGGCACAGCAGTGCCCTTCTGGGGGTTATAACATGTGCAGGATCACAGAGCTGGGCCCTAAGGTCAGGAATGCACATGGCAAGCTCAGTAAGCCACTCCAAATACACCACCTGGAGTCTTTTATTGTTATTGCCGAGTAGAGTTGATAAAGCAAACAGAGCAAAGGGTCGGGAGGCCTAATTTATCAAACGTTATTGATACAGATCTCATATTGACAGGCAATGAGCCACTTTTGGATTCAGATCCATAAATCCATTTTATAATACAGTCCAATCCCAACACTTTGCCCTCAGATCCTTCCATCTAGACATGAGAAATCCATCCTGCTTTGCCTGCAGTCTGTCAAATGTCACCACAGAGTGCAGAAGCCACCCTGCCAAGTCTATATCCTGAACTAAATCCCAGTGGAAACTTCCCAGATATAAATAACCACTATGAACATACAGGAAAGAAAAATAGCTATGAAGTTGCACTCCTACTTTTTTTTTTCATTTTAGCCTGTGACAAGTAAAAATCATAGAGTTATTCACTCTCCAAAAACAATCTAAAACCAGAAGGTTTAACCAATCCAATTTTCTGGTCACCGTGACGACTATTTTAATCTGTGAGGCCGCGTTCAGGACACATACACAGGCCTTGCCCGTGGTTGTTTCACAGCCAGCCCCTGCTGGAAACTCCAAAAGCGGCTTCCGTTCCTGGACTCACTGTGGGCAGTGGCATTTGATGACACTCAGGGTCTCGCGCCATGAAGACAGAATTCTCTGTTTACAGTCAGAGAAGGAGGAACTTTCCTTCAACTTGAGGGTTGAGAGTGAGATCCCGGGGAATCGGTTGGGAGGAAACCCCAGGTTAACAGTGGGAGGAGAAACTCACTCAATGTTTTTGCAAGGCAGGGAAACATGACATAAAGAAATCAGAGAACTGAGTCTGAACGTGGGGATATCTGGGCTTGAATCATGCCGAGCCAAGTGTGTGTGACTTTGGTTAAACTATACTACGTCCCTAAGCCTCAATTTCCCCATTGATGACAGGTGAAGGGGGTTGCTGTAAGATTCAAATAGTACAAAAGCCCCTAGCACAATACCTAGCCCATAGTAAGTGCTCAATACATATTCCTTAAACCATAATCTACATAGAGAAGTATGCAATTATTGATATCACTCATTAACCAACGGGCAGAAGTTCATTTATTGAATGCACACCCTATGTCAAGGACAGCACTAAACGGTGGGAACAGAGAGGCAAAAAGAATAGAGTATGATGCTCGTCCTCAGGATGAGACAGTGGAAATGGGCAGGACTAGATAAGGAGACTGGTTGTCTCTAGATATGAGGACCAGGTGTAACATGGGCAGAACACTGCAGATGTAGAGCCTGCAGGGCAGGCACGCCACACCCAGGCTCGAGGAACTCTGTAATTATCACACCATTCCTTGCCCGGTGTGGCTGGTTACATTCTGGTTTCCTGCAATTTCTGGACTAACACCTGTGCTCATTTGCTCAGGGAAGGCAAACTCATCTTAATGTTAGCTTCAAATAAGTTGATAGGAAGGTAAATCTGCAAATTTAAAAGCCTAAGCATGGATTGGCTTAGGATTATCTGAGCTTTTAGGTTTTTCTGACCATATCCAAGGAGAGATACAGGAGAGATACACAGGTGTCATCCTGAAAAACTGAAGGTAAATTAAAATGCCATCTACAGTATTAAACTCTTTTTCCCATTGATTTGCAACAGGCATTTGCATTTTGGGGGCATGCACTCTTTGAAATCTGTCCTCATGCACAATAAAAAGAAGGAGGTGGGAAGAGGCAAAAGAAGAGAAAAGAAGGAAGAGGAAGGAGAAGGGATGGAGAAAGAGGAGGAGGAAAAAACTAAATAACTTCCAAATAGCACAGGTCTCAGGCTGGCCATTCAGAAGTCCAGGTCAGGTCAAGGGGAGGTTTTTGCCCCTTTGCAATAGAATGCAGGAAATGGGAGAGAACTCACTCATCAAGCTACAGTCTTTCCTTCTGTAAGCCTCCTACCCTACAATACACCTACTGGCTTCTCCCTCAGAATGTACAGGATTTCTTGTTGTTTCACACAACAATTATTTGGAGGCAGTAGTCTCCCATGGTAGCCCCAATCTATCCTTGCCACTGTCTTCCACTGTCCCAGAACTTCCCAGGCCAAACTCATCTGGGGAACACCTACAGGATTTTTGTCACATTTCATGATATGACCACTATTATTCATTGTATATGATTTATTTTAAATCAAGTTACTTTTTAAAACTTTACTGTTATTCTGGGCAACAATATCTGTAAAAATCATTGTTTTCCTGTGCTAGTTATAGCTTCCTAGTACACACTAATTAGCATAAGTCATTATTATTAAAATAGCCTAGCATAGTTATTAGCAATACAGATGCTGAATGTGTTCAAATCCTGGCTGTGCCACTACTAGCTGTGTGATCTTGCGCAAGTTACTTAACTTCTCTGTGCCTTAGCCTTCTGTTAAATAAACAATACCTACTTCATAGAGTCACTATGAAGATTACATTAGTTAATATTTGTAAAATACTTGTATGATCTAGAATCTTCTACACGAACAACACTTTGGAAACACTGAACTATGCACAAAAGCATAAATCATCCCTTACCTCAAGGTTTGGTTATGCTGTCCCGCTTTTTCGGGGTACTCTTTTGCCTCCCTTTTCCTGCCTAAACCAAAACTAATAAACACACTGTTATCCCACTCTTCCTGAAAGCCTGCCTATCTGAAGGTCCTTCTTAAATAAATATAATCACAGACATTTATTTTAATGACAGCCACTTGAGCATCTATCATCTTACTGCCCTGTGCTCAGTACTTTTCACACATCATCTAATTTAGTCTTTATTTGGACTTTATGAAGAAGACCCAGCTTAAAAAGATTAGGTCATTTTTCTGAGATTCTACAACAGGAGAGTCATGATTCAAACCCAGGCCTGTCTGACTCCACAGCCTGTGAATATCCCATTAAGCCACGCAGTACCACTAGGAAGCTCTCTCTTCCAAGAGTTCATTACAGTGTCCAACCAGACAGGAGCACCCTCTCGGCTCCCTTGGTGTGTACCTCTCTTATCAGACTTAGTAAACCCACACTGTAATGTGACTATTACATTTGTCTGTCTTTTATTACTATATTACTAATAGTACTTTATTACTAATATCATTACTAATATTATTACTAATAATACTTTATTACTATTGTCTGTCTTTTCCCCCTGTTATTCGAGATAACTTTCTATTTTAAGCATTTTGGAAGGAAATCATTCTAAAATTTCCCTGAATTTGAAAAAGGGTTACATTCTATGAAACTGAATTTAATATTTTCTTTACACCTCTGGTCATCTTTATCAACACCAAATATGGTAATGTTCTATGATGTAAACATGACTTGAGGGCAATTTTTTCTGTGCAGCCTAGGGTGACAATTAAAAAACCAGACTCCTGAGCCCCTCCCCAGATCTACTGAATCAGAATGTCTGGGTTAAGGACCAGGAATCACTGGAGTTTAGGAACCACGGCCTTAGGGTATGTATGGGTGTTTGATCCTGCTTGCTACTCCCAGATAGCTTTTCAGTTGTGTTTCTGCCTTTCGTGGTTTTTCTGACCTCTCCCACCCTTTGAGTTGACAGCTTTCACTTCTCACTGCCAACCAAGATTGCTGGATAAATGTTTCCTATTTCTCTTCTACTCACTAATGCTATGGTTTCCAAACTATTTCTTTTTAGCTTTAGAACACTTTCATGAAAACTGATTCTTAGACAGATGCCCAATATAAAGCACATCATTTCAGAGCTATTCCAATGGAATATGAGTGAGTGGCCTGGATTTCCAATGCTCTTCTCGTTCCCCTAACTCCCATCTCCACCCCCTGTGATGGCCCTGAGGCCCCTCCTCAGATTCCCTGGGCTTCCATAGAGAACATTCCTAATACCACTGAAATAATACAACCTTCTGTCAAATGTTATCATCGTTTTGTAGGACAGATACCTTATTTTTTAGAAACATTTCAGATTATCAGAAATTTTTTTTTCCTTGTAAGTTTGTCAGTGTAGCCCAAAATCAAGTGTGTAGTTCTTTCTATTTGAGGACATATCCAAATTTATAATATAGCCTCTATATTATATTTGCAAAATCACCCCTTACAGTGAATATTCCTAACTTGGAAAACGATGATCTCATTGTATTTGTAATTGGACTCCCATTTACTTTTGAAAGGATCTCAGAAAAATAATGGTCAAGGGAATTTATCTTTTTTAAAAAGTCTCTCCTCTGCAAAAGAAGGTGTGAGAGCATGCAGGAAAACTTTCTAACCTTTAAGATTTTGGTCATTTTATATTGAGGGTATTCTAAATAGGTTAGTATGTTAATAGTCTAAAAACAAGGTTCAAGCAGCAGTTTTAAAACTTGAAAAACAAATTTAAGCAAAGTTCTTTTACTGCTCTTTTTGTTCTTTTTCTTCCAAATTCATAATTTTGAGACTAAGAATTTAGGAAGCCTATTTAACGTTATGAGCACTAGAGGCAAGGGAATGAGAATGTTGTATCGAGGTTACAACATGATTTCTATAGTGAATTAGGACAAAGTTTGAATTCATATATACAGAAAGAGATATAGTAAATGTGGCAAAGTATTAGCTATTGATGATCATAAGTAAAAGGTATGCAGAGTGTTTCTTGTACTATTCTTTCAACTTTTCCGTAGCTTTGAAATTTTTCAAAATAAAATTGAGGGGGAATTTCAAACACAGGTAGAAATCAAGCATAGTCATACATGTAAGATTAACACATTCAACAGGGCCTGGGCCATGGAGACAAAAGTGAGACATCTAGGACACAAAATTTAAGGAAGCACTTGTGGGACGCTGAGAGCGAGTGCCTCTTTACGTTTGTCACCATACACACCTCACTTGCCTAGTGCCAGCCCTAGTGTTCAACAAAAGCAAATTGCATCTATGTTCTCAAACAGACCATAGTAAATTCTTCTAACTCCTAAAAAGAAGAAGGTTACAACCAATTTTATCCATGCATTCATTCACTCATTTATTCTCCAAGCATGTATGGAATCCACGCTATGTTAAGTAGCTATCCTGTATGTATTCATGGGTGTGTTAGATGCTGGGGATACCAATGATGGACCAGTTCCTGCTCAAATATCTTACTATCTGCCAAACACTGATTTAATAATATTATTTTTATCATCATCGTCATCATGTATTCAATAAATATTTCTTGAATGAGCAAAACCATAAGTCTACTTATTTGTTCTTACTCAAAGATTTGTCACATTCAGATGAACGTGAAACTTTTCCCTGGATTGCCTGATAACATAGCTAACATTTACTGGATGGTTACGAACTGCCTGGTATCTTCTAAGTTCTTTCCATATGTTACCTCAGTTATGCCTTGCAGCAACATGAAGACATAGGTGCTAAGATTCTCCTTTGACAGGTAAGAAAATATGTGAGATATTGGGTACCTTTTCCAGAAATACAGAAAGAGGCCACACCAGGTTTGAACCCAAGTAGCCCAGCTCTGGAGCCTGTCTTTTCAGAGGCTCCACAAAGCAATCTCACATTTACCAACCCAGAGAGGCACTCCCCAGTTCCATAAAGCTCTTTTCTTCAGGTTGCTGTTCAACCATTACTACATAGAAAGATCTAGATAGCACCAGGGACACTTTTAGCAAAATGATCCTCAACTTCCATGGCCTGGGCAGATAAGTCAGAATTTGGGGGACATCCTGCTTAATTTCACCTTGTCTAAATACAACCAACTAAAAATAACCTGAAAGGGAGGTGTTTCAGAACCACAACAGGAGCTGCAGAAGGCTGCAGAGGGCGTGACGTGAAAGAAGGATCCTGGCCTCGGGATAACACTGCTGATGCTTTTCAACATCAGCAAGCTGCATATTGTGATGAGAACATAAAGTTTCCAATTATTGAAATTCCATAGTGTATTTAATTATGCAATTATCTCATTGTATTAACAAGTGCTAGAGCACAGCAGCAATTGCTGAGATTTTTACAATTTGGAAGAGCAGAATTTATTCTTTCCCTCAGCTGATTACTTCTCATAAATCTGTCCATTTTTCAGGGATTATGGAAATGATCCTATTTTTGGAATGCTTCATTCAGAAATCCAAAGCAAGTCAGCACCCCCACTCTTGCCACTCCAATTTTTAAGTATGATCCTTGTAAAGACTGAGCATATTTCAGGGGAAAATGTCTGCAAATTCACATCATTCTTGTTCCCATTAATCACTTAAGACTCTTTCCTCTTTTGAAATTCAAATAAATATAGTGTAAATATACATTTAAAGAGCAGTTGTACAAATTACATATTTTCAATGATGCAAACACAAATACATTCTTGTTCATTTGCTTAATAAGGATTTATCCCAAAGAGTTCATGTATCAGACTGTAAAACCTGAGTATTCCATCAAAACACCTCAAATAGGTAATGCTGTGATACTATTATGCATTTCTATTTGCCTCAGTTACTTTGGCAAATATGAAATGTAATCATGCAAAATTAAACATTCCATACATTTTCTATTCATTCTCTAACACTCTCCCTATATTCTGAAATAGGCTATCACATTTTCAAGTTTAAGGGGACAAAAAGTGAATCAAATTTCTTGTTTCTGAAAGCATTGCAAGTAATAGGTCTTTTTACTTACGGCTTTCCATCTAAGAATCACCAGGCTCTTCACACATAAAACATAATAAATCCATACAGTCTGCTACATACCTACCCAGTGGGAACCCTCCTTGCTGATGAGAAGCTATACCTGTATTTTCTCAACGTAAATTTGGCCCAGGCTTTTAGGAATGATGTTTCATTTACTTGTGCATGATCAAGAGGCATAATCATATAGGTGGAAACCTCGCTTCTTCTCCCAAATAAGTAAGAGTTAGGAAAACAAACCCTGGACCCAATTGCCTGGTATTTGGATATCAGTTTTGCAAACTTTAAGCTATCAGATGATGGAGCAAGTCGCTCCACTGCCCTGTGCTTCTGTTTTTGTAGTGATAAAATTGGGATAATAATAGTACCTATCCCATAGGGTTGTTGGGTGAATGAGTTAATACATGTAAATCCTTGAGAAGACAGCCTTAATAGCATTAACTGTTGTTATCTTGACTTGTCCTGCCCACATATGACACCTGATGCCTTTCAAAGTCATCTCCCCTCAATTACCTCATTGGGATCTCACCATCTTCCTGTGAAGCAGTGGAAGTAGATGCTATTATTTCCATTTTACAGATGAAGAAAGTAAGATTCAGAGAAGGTTGCCAGCAGTCAAGACTGGAACTAGACTAGTACATATTTCCACTATTCCTCTTTTTATCCAGAACAAACTGACTCAGTGACCCAGACATTTCCCTACTTATTTTGTGGGGAAGGGAGGGAGTCTTGTTTCAAAGGAGACATGGAAAGCACTCTGTTGCCAAGGTTTGTCTTGCATACCAAAAAAGATCCAGATCGGCAGGAGACATGTCAACAAGTCTGCCTTCATCATGATTTCTGCTAACTATGAAATGAAAGTTAATTTCATGCCTCGCATTCGCAGACAAAAAGGTTCAGAGCTGTTTAAATTCTCTTCAGCCCAATGACAGTTAGTAAACAGGAGACTTCGTGTTCTAATGCTTGAAATCACCCTTCGTATCTCAATATATTATTTATGCACTCAGCTTAAAATAAACAGCAACTCCGAAGTAGGTGAGTGGTCTCATTTAGTACAAATTTTTTTCACTCTGACAGTTACTTTAAAACATGGGTAAACAACCTTAATTCACTTCTAACGAATTAGTAGGCTACTGCTGTGTCTACAGGAGGCAAGCAGATTGTATTATTAACCAAAACAACTTTCTTCCTGTCAATCGTCTGCACCTCACAGGGGGATGTGGGCTTTGCTGTCTTGTTACTCAAACCAATCCATGGGCACACGTGATTCCAGACGATTTCTTCAGAGGTCATTGTCTTCCGAAACTTTGATTAGATCTCTGGACTCTGAGATGCAGAATGGGGCCTGGAGAAGATAGATTCTCAGTGCTGCTTGTTAAGAAAGATATAGACAGATAAGAACTTTTCCAGAGGGGTAAAGAGTTTTGGAAATCATGGAAATGAGCTCTAGTTGTTGAAAGAACTGAAGGTGACAAAAAGACCACTGTAGGGAGATGCAGTAAGTGTTACTAAATATTTGAAATGTGTCATTTTGTAAGAGGAACACTTGTTCATTGTAGGGATGAATAGGACAAGTAGAACCCAAGGCAGAGATACATCGAGGTTGGATTTATGTTTAACTTGAGAAGGAATTCTCTAACTGTCAGAGTTGCCTTTTTAGGTTGTAGACTTTCTGCCTCTAGAGGTTCTCAGGCTCCAGTCAGGTGGAACCCTTAGAACTGGCCAACAAATAGGGCTAGATGAGACATATAAGACCCTTGCAGACTTAGATCCTACAGCTGCATGAATCCAAGGATTACTCACTAAAATAAGCTTCAATAAGCAGTCCTAATCTTAAATTTCTCTATGATCGATTTTAAAGGGTGACAGCCACCTTTTAAAAGAGAAAAAATGTCAAACCATGGGTTAAGCACTGGGCATGTAGCTGGCCAATCTATGGTAGCACAAACTATTCCAGGGCATTGGTTGTCCTGGCAAAATAAAAAGATGCACCAATTCAATGGAGAAAATCTACCAAAGCAGTTGCTTTGGGATTGCACAGTCTCCTCCTGCCCTTTTGCAGCCTTTGCCATTGCATGGGTAGGAAGCAATTCCCAGGTTCCCCTGGACTGTAACCTGGTTAAGAAGGGGTGATCCACACTTAGCTCACCATTCTGGTTGGCCTCCTCCCCCTGCCCCATGTCTGCAAACACAATAATTAGCAAACTGTCTAATCAACTTTCATCCTTAACAAAATATCATTCACCTCATGGAAACATTCATTCTCTCCCTGAAATCAACCATTTCTTTGAGACATAAAGTGACTGCTCAAAACACAAGTTAAATACAATTTTAAAAGAAAGGAAGAGAGAGTTGAGAGAAGAGAAATAAAGACACCTTATATTTATATCCATGGTTCATATAAACATTTTTACATATAATAATATACAGACATATTTAGTCCAAATTATCTAGTAAGCATTGTTTGAATTTATATTTATGGAGGGTGGCAGGCGGAGGTGGCTTTTCAACATCTGACATATTGTCAAAACATTAGAGTTCAGAAACATTAAATGCCTCAAAGAAGTCAGATTATCAATATCTGGGTGTGAAACTTGGTGTTACAGATTTCCTGATATGGCAAGAGCAGACATTTGGTATTTGCACTTCAGAATAACAGAAAATAACATGACAATAATGTATTATACTTACAAAGTACCCTTCATCCATGGGGCTCCAATTTTACCAATATTAGTTCACTGATTTTCGCAAAAAACCTGAAAGGCAGAGGGTAAGTTTGTGTTACCCCCACTTTGCAGATGGGGATACTGAAAGGCAATAAGGTTTTAAATTATTCGTCCATTATGGTGAGAATTCAGTAATGGGAGAACAAGAATTACCATTTTGGCCTTCCCCATCACAATGCATCTTGACTACCCATCTTTCCCAAGGGGACTGATATTTCCTATGTCATTTTCACCACAATCTTAACATATTAAACACATTTTAGAGTAAGACAGTGATGAGTTGCAACTCCTTGTTTTTATGAGCCCAGACACCAATATTCTTTTAATACTAGAGATAAGATTGGAAAAATTCCCATATCCATTTTAAAACATGGAAGAAAAAATTAGATTGACAAAATGCAACCATCCAACTAAAATTTGGCCTGAAAATAATGTTACTACTGTTCAGTTTGTTATATACTTATGTTCACATTTCAGCATATGGACTTGTCTTTTAAAAAGATTGCAAGGAAGTCAGAATACTTCAGAAGTAATTTCGTTAACAACATTTTTAGAAGGGTGTATTTTTAACAGTCCTTTCTAGGACATCCCATCCTTTCTACCACTCTCAGACCATTTATTCATGCATTGAAAAAATAATCAGTATTTATTGAGTTCTTACTATGTGTAAGTTTAGAACTGTGTGTGGCTTCTTGGAGGACACAAAAATGTATATGACATAGGTCCTACCATCAAGAAACTTACAATCCTATGGTTCGATAATTTTATTACTATGACAACCACTCTAATCAAAAGCTCTACAGAAAGATCTGATAGTTTCTAGACATTCCTGGCAAGTCATAGACACCAATCCCAGAAAGATGGCACCTTCAGAAAATATTCCAAAAAAAGGATGAGTTTGGGTTCTGTGTATGAGCCATACTATTTGGGATTACAGAAATACTAAAAGATGGGTCTCCTTAAAATGACTGGCCCTGAGTTTTCCCAAAGCCGATGATGTGAGGGTCACAATCTCTCACTGTCTTCTCCTTACGCACCTCTGCAACAGCACTGACCCCTTCACTCATCCTCAAATACGCAAGCACATTCCCACCTCAGGAACTTTTTGCTTGGGCCAATATTGTTGCAGTATTTCTATGGCTTACTCCTTCCCTTTCATCAGATCTCTGCTTAAATACCTGCTCAGTGATGTCTCCCTGACCATCCTATTTAAAATACATTCACATGCCACAGAACGACATTTCAGCCAACAACCAACCACATATATGAGGTGGTCCCATAACAATATAATACAGCGATATCATATTTATACTGTAACTTTTCTATGTTTAGATACAAATACTTACCATTGTGTTACAATTGCCTAAAGTATTTAGTACAGTTACATCCTAGCCTACAGGTTTGTAACCTGGGAGCAATAGTATATACAGGGAATTTTTTTATGTGCTGCTAAATTCTAGTGTGAAGGCACTCCACGAATATCGATTGAATTCATGAATCACAGCATTAAACTAGGTGCTCTTCCTTTTTTCTATCTTTTTACTCTTGCTGAGATACTGTTATAATTACTAATAAATGAATTTCAATACTGAATCATCATAGATTTTTTCCACCCAAAGGAAAAAATTAAAACTCCACAAAGACTCAGTGAAATGCTCCTAGAAAATATAATAAACACCTGTTGTTATCATTTTCTGTTATCTTGAGTACCAGGGTGCGAGTTGGGTGACCTGGCTTCTTGGCCAGCTCTGCTGTGAGCCCTTACCTTCTCCTCTCCCTAGGCCTTTGTTTCTCAAGAGTAAAATAAAGCTTAAGAAGCTAATTTCCGAAGTTCCTTCTAGTTCAGAAACTAGGTGATAGGCCAAATTATATTCATGTTTTTACATTTTCTGATTTAATAGCACTTACTAAGTATAAGCTTCTCTCAAAGGTAGCAAGGTCATCATTTCATACTAAGCAAAGTAGGAATGCCGGAGGCAAGAATGTGCATGTCTGTCTACGTCTACAAGCACACCGATTTTGGACACACAACACAGTGATCACTGAAACCCTGTTCCCCCATCCTCACTCTCACACCACCAACATATGACAGACATGCAAAGAAAGATGCCACATCAGCTGTTTATGGCATCTTGAGTCACAGACACTCCACTTGGGTCTCTAAACAGATTTCTTGTTTACTTGCACATTAATAAAACTCACACCTTCGCCAGTCAGAATTTTTTCCCCGAGCATCTGAACATCCAAAGAGATTTAGAAGCAATTAACATTCACGAGTAACAGAGCAATCAACATGGGAATCGCTAATGGGACTGGACAGGATCCAAGAGCTGATATGAGGATAATAGTGAGTCCCTGACATAAGTTATGGTGTTAATTCTGGAGGGCAGAGTCGTGGTATGTTTTCAATAGCTTTGTGGGGCTGCTGTCACAATCACATATGCCTCTCCTATACATGGTTCCTCACCCCCTACAACATGTCTTTTTTTTTTTAACTGCTATGAAAAAGATGGCATTTTTGCACTGATATAACAGAACCTCTAGCATTAATGGTATTATATTGAATCCAAGTTTATTTTTAAATTGCCTACCTGACAAAATGTTAAAATGTCATTTATTTTCCCAGTTTGGGTCTCCAGACTATCTTCACCTGTTAGCCCTTGTAGCTAGAGGCCACAAAAATAACAGCTGTGAATTTCCACCTTGACGCTTCCCCAATAAGTTTTGCCAGTTACTTGTGTGCACATGGGTTCATACATCCCACGTAAATAGGAAGACATGGGTATTCCTATTCCAACCAGCTCTATGCTTGCTTCCTTGTCAGTTTCGCTGGCCTGTTTTCATGAAGATCACAGAAATCAGCACACCACATCACCCCACCCCTTTCCACCCTACTGGGAGAGTCTCTGGGTAATAGAGAATGTTTCCATTGTTCCTCTTTCTGCCTTCCATTTTCTAGCCTTCATGTCTCATCACTACAATCCATCAAAAATGCCAATGCCAGGCAAATCTATCTCTCCCTCCCCTTGGACCACATTCTTGAATCCCTGCCCTGGCACTCCTTCTCCCTCAGCCTACAGAGCAAATGGCTCAATCTTCAGAGCCTCTGACCTCTCCAGACCCACACACACTTCTGAATCCTCAGGACCGCT
This sequence comes from Homo sapiens, assembly GCF_000001405.40. Lineage (NCBI taxonomy): Eukaryota > Metazoa > Chordata > Mammalia > Primates > Hominidae > Homo > Homo sapiens. The sequence continues at coordinate 24,261,390 of NC_000004.12, forward strand.
CCCTGCCCTTCTCCTCCTCCTCCTGCGTCATCTGGTTTCCCTTGGAACCAAGATACCCATCTCTGGTTACAGGACACTTTCTCTTTCTATAGGAACTCTAGGTCCCCTGCAGGCAGACTACCTGCTTTATTTCCATTTTTCACTTTGGATGTAATTCATCACAGCCAATTATGATTTGCTTTATTCTGTGTGGTCCAACAAAATAAATGTGTTCCTAGGAAGAGCTTTTAATTTTTTCAGCTATTTTCACATTAGTCACGAGAATGTAATTGAGTAAACACCACTTTTGTGAATTGTAATATATTTCTGGTTATTTTATTTCATTCATGCTTTCTTCCGTTCCTTTCTCCTATTTGCCTATTTCTGACTATTAAAGGGCCCCTTCTTACTTAAAGATCCAGCATGTCAATTTTTTTTCCTCCACCTCCCCACCTCCAACACACAGCCATTATGAAAGTGTATCCCTTTTTAAAGCTTCAGTTTATTCTCTGAATACAATCAGATACAGATGCACAATCTGCCTCCACCAAGCTGTGTGTGCTAAAAGCCTGTTTTGACAAAGATTTTATACAACATAATCCAAATGAAAGGTAAGTTATCAACAGACCCATACTTAGGAATCCCTCACTGTTATCTCTGGGGCAAGCAGTTTAATATTCCCAGCGGCAGTCTCAAAGCCAGGAGATGCATGCCTAAGACCTGCCCTCCCAACCCCCACCAAGTCACCACGCACCCCCCGCCCCATAACTCCCTTCCCACCCCTAGTAGCAGCAGTGGAGGATAAAGTGCTTCTGGGCCCGTGGTAATCCAATCAGGGCTGGGTGTGCTTCAATCTCTACCTGTCCTCAGAAAACATTTTGGCAGAATGCCTTTCAACTACACTTTGCATTCCACACCGGGTCCTGTGCTCATTCTGGAGGTTCCGCAGAAGTGAAAGTGGCCCTGCCCAAGGAGTGGACTTCACCTGCCTTCCCAAACTGCAGAATATCAGAAGCACTTCCACCATGAAGGTGTGGGGCTGGGGGGTGAGGCTCTGACAGTACCCACCACACACAAGGAGTGAAAAAGGCAAAGGAAAACATGAAACGAACACATCAATTTTTTTAACTTCAAAGAGTAAAGGAAACCATTTTTCAATCCTTTGCTCTTACCTATGCACCAGTGAAAATATTCCACCCAGTCCATTTATTAGTCAGGGCTTTTCAGGGGTCTGTAACCTTTCCAGACCCCTTTGGCTATCTGATGAAATCTATGGACCCCTTCCAAGAATGGTTTATAAAAGATTGCAAAGGAGATTAATTATATTGAAATGCCTTTACTTCTCAAGTTAAGCAGCCCAGCAGGATGTGGTTTTAGTGGATGAAAGGATAGCTGCTCCCTGGTTTTTTTTTTTAACTTGGGATTTCTACAGAAGAGATTTGTGCTGGGCAAGCGATGGCTGTGGTAAAAAGCATGAAGTGGTGACTGTCCACACTGTCCTCAGGGCTGTACAACTTCCTGTACATCAGACTTGGTAGCTGGCTCTGCCTTGCAGACGGCTCCATGCACATTAACACAGAGCGCTTCAATATCTGCTACACTGGAATAGCTGAGATTTGGGCTTCCTTTACTTAACAGTCCTACGTAGATTTTAACTACTCCTGAAAGAGAAGAGTCAACAAGTACAGAAAACAATGTGAGGAAATTTTGGAAAAGAGAAGTCATGGTAGAAAACTTGAATCTAACCATTTACTCTTTTTCTAAATATGTACTGAGCACTTACTGTAGGTTCACAGTAGTAAACAAGTGACGTAAGACCTTTCCCCCAAAAAAGTTCAAGCCCAAATGTGGGGAGACACCCTGTAAGCAAATAAACAAGTAAATGTAAAACAAATAAACACTATCGATATGTCCAATGGTGATAAAACAAAGCAGAAGAGATGCGAGAGTGCATGGACAGTTGTCATATTTCATGCAGAGTTTATTTCCCATTTCACATCAATAAATATTCATCAAGTTCCTACTGTGTTTTAGGCCCTGTAGTGGATTCAAGAAAAATGACATATGTATACACACATGTGGGTGTATACACACACACACACACACACACACACACAGAGTTGACCCTTTAACAGCACAGATTTGAACTGCATGGATCCACTTATACAGAGGTCTTTTTCAATAAAAGTTATACCAAGTGTGCCCGTCTCTCCTGCCTCCCCTTCCACCTTGTCCATCTCCACTTCTGCCGTACCTGAGACAGCAAGACCAACCTCTCCTCTTCCTCCTCCTCAGTCCACCCAATGTGAAGATGATGAGGATGAACACCTTTATGATGATCCACTTCCACTTAATGAATAGTAAAGATATTTTCTCTTCCTTATGATTTTTATTTTTTTGAGACAGGGTCTCACTCTGTCACCCAGGCTGGAGTGCAGTGGTGCCATCTTAGCTCACTGCAGCCTCGACCTCCAGGAATCAAGGGATCCTCCCACCTCAGCCTCCTGAGTAGCTGGGATTACATGTGTGCCCTACCATGCCCAGCTAATTTTTTATGTTTTTGTAGTGATGGGGTCTCATCATTTTTCCCAGGCTGATCTTGTACCCCCCGGGCTCAAGTGATCCGCTTGCCTCAGCCTCCCAAAGTGCTGGGATTACAGGTGTGAACCACCTTGCCCAGCTCTTATGATTTTCTTAACATTTTCTTGTCTCTAGCTTACCTTATTGTAAGAATAAAGTATAGAATACTTATATAAAATATTTATTGACTGTTTATGTGATCAATAAAGCTTCCAGTCAATAGTAGACTATCAGTAGTTAAGTTTTGGGAGAATCAAAAGTTATACCCAGATTTTCAATGGTGTGGAGGGTTGGCATACCCATGTTGTTCAAGGCTCAACTGCATGTATGTGTACACACACATCACACACTCAATTTCCAGTTACTTGCATGTGAAGGGTGCACAGAGTCTCCACCAAGAGAGGTCTGTGATGCCACACTGCTGAACAGTTTCTTTTCAGAAAGGTGACCAGTGAATGCCACCAAGGGCCCACAGGAGCAGAAAAGGTGCCGTGAGGACTGCATTTGCTGTGCTGAAGGGCATGAGCTTTGGAAGCATCAAGAGCCTTGGCAGAAGGTCAGCCACCATGATCCTACACTCGACTCTACCACCTATCTCACTAAGTGCCCCAAGGCAAATTACATACATCACCTCTTAGGGTTTTAGAACCTTCATTGGCAACATGCGGAACCCAGGCTGCCATGGAGTTCAAATGCAGTAATGCAAGGAAAGCACCCAGCACAGTGCCTGCTACTAAGAATTAGAGAGATGAGTTCTTGTCTCATGCATCTTCTTATCCAGGAATAAAAAGCGCAACAGGAATGCAAAAGCCCCAGACAAAGACCATGCACCCAGAGCAGGTGTACAAGAACTGCTTTTGCCTATTTGTTTCCTCTGTTGTTTTTGTGGCCAAATGGATCTGGGGAATACTTGCAGGTGTTACTTAAAAAAAAGAGAAAGACTTCATAGTGAAATAAGTTTTAGAAACAACAAAGAAGTGAGGTAGCACAGTTCTCTTTGCTTCAGGCTTTCTCGTAGTTTAATATGCTAATGCACATCACATATCTCCAAGAACTGTCAACAATGTATGACATTGTATATGTCATACAATGTATGTTTCCCCAATGTATGTGACCACGGAACCCTTTGGCATGGAAAACTCCCATGTGACAGTTATTCTATGGAAAAGACTTTGGGAAATGTGGGTTTGTTAAAAGAACAAATAAATCAAAAGATAAGAAATATATACCCTATTTGGTTCTGATGTGGTCTAGTGGCTTTCATTGAAAAGGCAGACTTGGGCGTATTTTTGTGCACACCAAGAAAGCCTAGTACCAGTGTTTCCTATTCACTGAACCAAGGCAACTTCTCCTTCTTTTCCTATAAAAAGAAGTCATTATTCTGGGACCACAGTGCATTTGGGGGAAATGTCGGCAACATCTGAACACTTCTCATTCCCTTGGACAGGTAATTCCACTATTTTCTGCAATAAATGGGCCCTTAAAATGAGTTTTGTTAATTCTTCTCTTGAAAGCCAAATCCTCTTCTGACTACACAGGGGAAGGCTTCTGCTTAAAGTCACCCTGGGTTTTATTATTCGAATGGCTTCACAGTGAGCAATGCATTACTTTCATAAACAGAAAATCGATGCCGGGGGGCAGAAAAAAAGAAAAGAAATTCCATAGGGATGTGTTGATACACCTATGATTAGTCCAAAAATTGCTTACTTGTACATGAAGATTTTATATATGCTGCTTTCCATGAAGACCTTACTTAATGTTAGAATACTAGATACACTGGAAGTGGAAGAGGTGGTCAAAGAGAAAACTAGGGCGAAAATTGTTCCTCACGTGCTTAGAATTCAATTGCAGAAAGAAAGAATCCTTAAGACTCACCCACATTCTAGGAGGCAAAAGAATAGAGAGAAAGAGAGAGAAGGAAGAAAGGGAGGGAGGGAGGAAAAGGGGAAAGGAGAGAGGAAAGGACTAAAAAGAGGGGGAGCACATGTGCAAAAGAGGGGAGTAAGGGAGTCATTGAAAAGCCTAAGTTTGGGGGAGAGGAGGCTACAAATGCACAGATTTAAATTAACCCAAGCCCGTAAAAAGGCTTTGTACAAGGGCTCTGGCGTTAATGGGATTTGGATTGCTACAGACTGCAAATCAAGAACAGAACGTAACGAGAGATGCCGGAGTTATTTTTGAAATGTATGTCTTAAGTAATGTGAAGCTTAACTAACAGGGACACTGCAGCATTTTGCAGTGGCTGCTGGCTTGTGGCCTGGCTGGGAATCAGAACTGCCCAGTGAATAAGTTGCAGTCTCCCACTTGGGACCAGATGGAGTTGGGTGAGCCTTGACCCTAAGGTGTGCCGCTGAGGAGTTGCTTCGTGTTGTAGGAGGAAAAATGCAGCTGCTCTGTTAGATTGCTTAGTGATGCAGATGATGCAGGTGGAAAGTAACCCTCTGAACCCCAGGATCTTGGGGTCATGGGTTTAGCATTCATTCATTCAGTCAGTCAGTAGGTGCCTCCATCAGTGCCTCCAAGGTGCCTGGAATTGTTTGGGGTCTTGTGAATACCATGAGTCTCTGCTGTCAAGGAACTTACATTATCCCAGAGGAGGGTAAGTTAGCAAATAAGTAAGAATTTCTGTTGGTGATAAGGACCTTGAAGAAAATAAAAAAAGGAAAAGGAGATGAGGTAGAGTGCGGCTTAAGGGCAGGGGAAATGTGTTCAGGGAAGGCATCCCTGTTGCAAGAACATTTAAGCTGAGCCTTGAATAATGAGGACTCCAGGCTGCAAAGATCCTGCAGGGAAGGAACAACAGATGCGGAGGGAGCGCCATCCTCAGATTTAGAATAAGCGGCCATCTTCCCATTCCTCACTACCAGCTAACTCAGCTTTCCACAACACTAAATTGAAAAGCACACAGACATGTTTAATTTTAAGATCTTCAATTGAATACTATGCCACTAGGAAAATATATCCTGAAACTTAGGTATTTTTAGAATGGTCTGCTTCAGTTTCCTCAAGTACTTTTTTCCCTTGTTCAACCAGAAGACCCACATACTTTAGGTACATCAGCTTCCTCTAAATACCTGAAACTGCATTCATCAGCCACTTTCTAAAAATTGGATCTTACTTCAAAGCTGAATGACTTGATGACTCCCATAACAGAATACATTACACTGATTATGGGATTATTCACATGCCATTTGCAAGAGGTTGGGCAACATTTCTCAACATTCCACCCACCAACAAACAGAGTAGCGACAGTGGAATGCTAATATGCAAATGCCCTCCATGTCCTGATACCATGATAAAATTCCTCTTCACTCTTTTTAACTGATGTTAAAAAAGAGAGAGGGATGGTTATTTCGGTACAATGTAGCCCACAGAGAATAAAAGGCGTAAGCCCCAGCAGGGAACCAAAGCAGAGATTGTTTCCATGACCTGGCACTCACTAAGCACTCAGTAAATGTAGGTTCCTTCCCCTTCCCTTTCCCCTTCACCCTTAAATGCCAAAAGGCTAAGGGTTCATTTTTATATCAACAAGCTTTGAATAACATATTCATTGGCTCCTCCTTTTGTGACTATCAATCCGGTGTTGTGTTCTCATCTTCTGGCAATTGTTTCAGCCTCAATTCATGCCAGGAAGAATGACTTGGGGTGAGAAGAGGGTGAGGAGGTGGAAGCTTCATAGGCATGGTTCACTGTCCATCAATGATTAGCATTTTATACTCATGACAATCAAACTCATACTTTACTTTTAAAGTTTTAGAAGGAACACATATTAAAAACCAAAATGAAAACAGGGCATCATAAGTTCAAGGAAGCCACAAAGTAGACCAAGAAGCATAATTCTACTATGCACCATTTTATTAGCTAATCAACGTGTCATTTTTTTTTCCTATGGGCACCTACTTACTGTCTTGTAATTTCCATAAGGGCACCATCTGTATTTATAAAAGAATTATCTTTGTGGTGATCTAGCAATCTACAAACAACAGTGATATTTAACTTTTCTTAGGGGATCAACTGTAGAATTAAGTTAAAGGATTTATAAGTCTCTTTGTCAGGATGAACCTTAAAAGGACTTATTCATACATCTCTGTGATGTTGGAAGCACTTGAAACAACAAAAAAATGTAATTTTGATTCATTAAAATATAAAGTTCTGGATCTTGACATGTACATGGCATGGATCCATGTCATGGATCTTACATTTGTAATCAAGCATAATGACCCTCTACTATAAAGTCCAGTAAAACAATAATAAGTAAAATATTTTCTTTTTTCCATTTTAGCTGAAAGGGTGGGTTAATTTTCAGTGTGATCTGGTTTGGTGCCCTATGGCTCAGACAGAATCCAGTATTAACCAAGGTCACTGCTATGAGTTCAATCAGCATCCAGTCAGCTAACTCAGTTATAACACATGCTTAAACCCTCTCTTGTCCAGTTTTTAATGATGGCCTTGCAAATGCATGTTGCTGGTCCAATGATGGCTAATAACGTGAGTGGAGATCAGCCAGCAAACCCCCTACCACTGATGGAATCAGAAACTCCTAATAGATGCTCTTATATTGGGCACAGATTTCATAGATAAGTAATACAAGGTGCATGCAGGAACAAATTTGTTTAAAGCGTTTCTATGGCTACCAAAGAGGACCTCAGAGAGAACAATCTTTGGTTTTACAAAGGTATATAGTTTCAGTTTTGCATAAATCCAAAAAAGTAAAATGCATGTCAAGAGAATCAATCATAGACAAAAATGTCACTATTTGTCAAGATGCAAATTTCTTCACTAATAATTACTTTGTAAACTTAATTTTAAGCAATATTTAAAATAATTCTGATTAAAATATATGGATGTATTAACAAAATTAAAAAGCAAAATGCAAACTAATATTTATACTTCATTGATTCATTATTTAATCCGTACATATTTATGGAGTTCCTACTATATCGAGTACTGTTGTAAGAACCAGGTATAGTGAAGAACAGAATACACATAGTCAGCCCCTTCCTTCCCTCATGGAGCTTCCTTTTTTTAAAACAAAGTATGTGTAAATGAACAAGTGGGTGGAAATTTATGAAGTTACATTTGTGATTGAATTAAGATATGTAACTACTCTCTCTAATATAGTTTTATTGCTTTTAAAATCTAAATTATGTATTTCTTTTAAATAATTTGATAATGTACCAGCACCAGGAAGTAATCTTTCTGGATTTTGGGTTTTGCATTTTTTGTTTTTATGCTTGTTTTTAGTCATTGAAATATCAATATTTGACATAATGAATTTAATGAATTTTGACGACCAAATTTTTGAAATGTATTGATAAAATGGAGAATTTTCAGGGAAGTGTTAAGACAAGAATATTTGAGAGTGGAAAAATGGGTCTTCTTGGGGAAGGATAAGGAATCAGAGTCATTTATCTCAAGAAGTGACTTATTATCTCTATAGAATGAACACATAAGAGAATGAACTCTAGTATTCATGTCAGATATAAGATGGTGATTTGTTCTGAAATGTATCTGAAATCATTGTACTGTATGATAATTTGAGTTCTACGTTCAAATCTTAGCTCTACTACTGTGTAGAGAGAACCTCTCCACATCTCAGTCACTTTATTTATAAAAGGGACATTTTACATAGACTACGCGAGTATAATAAAAGTATATTACTTAGCATGTAGTCTTTAATCACCATTAGCTGCCTTCATCATCACACTTTATTATCATCATCATCATCATCATCACACAAAAAAACTCAAGGCTTTGTTGTAATAAGGGGCAGCTTTGGTCTCCTGCTGACAATCACAAAGGAAGCTGGTAACAGTCTGTCCTGAGCAAACAGGAATTTAATTCAAAAGTCCTCAGTTCAAGGCCTAGCTCTTTCAGTGTTAACTTGTGCAAACTTGTATAAAGCTCTTAAACTTCTGGGTCTCAGTTTTTCCAGCTCTAAAATGGACATAATAGAACTTAACTATGAGATAATACATGTAATAATTAATTTTGAGTGTCAACTTGACTGGGCCATGAGACACCCAGCTCTATGGTTAAATATTATTCTGGGTGTATTTATGAGAGTGTTTCTGGATAAAGTTAACATTTGAATCAGTAGACTGAGTACAGCGTATTGCCCTCCTCAGTGTGGGCTGTGTTCCCATCCAATGTCTTGAAGACTTGAATAGAACAAATAGCTTCTCCTGCCTTCAGATTCAGACTGGAATTTACACCATCTGCTATCTTGATCCCTCTGCGTTGTCCTTCACTGGAACTTACACCACTGCATCTCCTGGCTCTCAGGCCTTCAGACTGCAGCTCTTGGGACTTCTCAGCCTTGACAATCACATAAGTCAATCCCTTATAATAAATCAACCTCTCTCTCTCTCTCTCTCTCTCTCTCTGTGTGTGTGTGTGTGTGTGTGTATGTGTGTAAAATCGGCTCTTGGGTGTTTCTCTAGAGAACCCTGAGTAATATAATATACTTAAAAAGAACCAGCATATACATTATTTCATTAAATATAGGGCACTACTAATTTTATAGAAATACATACTGTGGCAATAGTCTATCATAAATGATCTCTTATTTTGACCACCCAGGATAAAAATTCCCAGAAAGATTATGAACATGAATTTCAGCTTTACTATTCACTACATAGAAAAAAATCTCTTTAATTCTCTGCATTCCAATTACCTGGTCAGGAAAAAGGAAAGTTGTGTAACTTATGAGGATTACAAATTTAATGTGCAAAGTGTCCAGAAAAGGGTTCAGCATGCCGAAGATATCCACTGATTGGTAGCTCCTATTCCTTTTGGTCAAACGATGGTTTAGTAAATTCAATTTTTGGTATGTCTAAACTCTTAAAATGAAGAGTTTTACAGTTTAAAAGTTTACAGTTTAAAACTCTTAAAATGAAAACCATTACAAATAACCTTTGGATTATCTTTAAATAATTCTTTCTGGTTTGGAGGAAAAAAATCCATAAAAACATAAAATACCCAGGGTGTCAAATACACAGTATAATCATTTTGTATGATCATGGCTAATACGGTTCAATCTAAATTGCAGTCTCATATTTGACATAATTATACATAACCAAAAACTAATAAAAATCGCTGCCTTATATTTCAAATTGGTAATTATGGTAGTAAACATTAACAACATGTCAGATATAAGATGGTGATTTGTTCTGAAATGTATTAGAAATCATTATACTGTATGATAATTTTAATTACAGTTTGGTAGCAAGAGAGCATGCAGGGGTCTACTGCTCTAGTGCATCATGGGAACTGGCAGCCCTTCCATGCAGCCCTCACTCTGACTCCTGTTGTTCAAGTTCAAGAAATGCACAATTCCTCCTCCACCTTTAAATAGCGGACTGAGTTCCCTCTGCAGAATCAGCATATCATGAGATTTGGAGTCATTCTTCCAGGATTAAATCCTTGTCCTTTTACTTTTTTTTTTGAGATGGAGTCTCGCTCTGTGGCCCTGGCTGGAGTGCAGTGGCACAATCTCAGCTCACTGTAAGCTCCACCACCCAGGTTCACGCCATTCTCCTGCCTCAGCTTCCCAAGTAGCTGGGACTACAGGCGCCGGCCACCACCCCAGCTAATTTTGTTGTATTTTTAGTAGAAATGGGGTTTCACCATGTTAGCCAGGATGGTCTCAATCTCCTGACCTCGTGATCCACCCACCTCAGCCTCCCAAAGTGCTGGGATTACAGGCGTGAGCCGAGTTCAAATCTCAGTGGGTCCTTTTACTTTCTAGTCATATGAACTGGGCTAAAGGTAAGTTCTCTGTGCCTTAGATTCCTGTTCTTTAAAATGGAAAACATAGTAGTACCTACCTTGGAGGGGTATTGTAACAACAAAAGCAGATTATTCTGTGTGTAGTACTTAGCCTAGCACCTGGAACATGGTAAGTCCTCAATACATCTATGTATTGAGATAGACATGTATGTATATACATGTATGGTATACATACTTGTTATTATATTATACTAACACTCAGATCATTCATTTTCCTAAGCTTTTAAGATCCTGGTCTTCATAAAAGTGACCAAGTGTTCTATTTAAGGTGGAGGTGTGCTGACTGTTAGCTTCTGTCTCTCAGGGACTGCATTCTTCAAAACGCATTGGGTTTTCTCCTCTGTTTACTCCTTCCATGTTTTCTCCATCTCCTTTTTCTCACTCAGTGCTGAGTCCATGGGATGATGCTATGTTCTTCCTACATATTTTCACCTCTGTCTGTCTTTAGCTCACGTGGGATATGATGAGGTTTCTCTTCAAATAATCTGATCAATCTTTTATTATTTAATTCATAGTACCTTAGGATTTTGAGCATTATTCCTAACACTCATCCTCTCTTGAGCCCTTCCTATTGTCTCTAACGATGGCCTTTAAGTATGGATCCAGGATACACCCCGTGCTCTACCCATAATGCCAGAGAACCACTGAGGAGGCTTCAATCCCTAACAGGTGAATGCAAGTGCCATGAAATTCCCAACTCCACCCATGTCATACCCCCCTGACTTACCTGATCACTAGGCCCTAATTTAGAAATTTAATACACTTCCCCCACAACAAAAAGAAAAAATCTTGTGTGAAATTCATTATTCTAATATAAGAACCAATTGTTTATTCAGAATTACCCATTTCCACCCCTTTTTAAAATACTCTGGGCCTTACTACATATTTGCACAACTCTTCCAGTTCCAAGATCCTCACACAAAGTGGGGAAGAACCCCCAACGTCATCATAAAGCGTCTTTCCTTTCTACATTTCCATACTGTTTCAGGTAAAATATTCAGGGGAACAGACCAGACTGCTAATTAAGGAACTGTCTGAAACCACCATGAACCACATTTCCACTGGTGCAATAAGCAAAGACTCTTCATTAAAATCACTGTCCTCTGTAAGGGAAAGCTGTTTCCAGTGCAATAGATCTAATTCACAGGTGTGATCATGCAGACCCAGGTACAGTATTCATTATTAATTTAAAAAGTATGCCAAATCAATTAAAAACCATTTTAAAGGGAAGGAATAAAATTTAGTTCTACCTAACTGCAGCTCAGCTCTAATTTATCTTCCAGCCACTTTCAAGGGATTTTACTTGGTTCTTAATCGAACATTCATTGGAAAGGGTAATTCTCATGAAATTACAATGGCATCTCTTGCATCGTTTAAAGCAAATGTTCCCATTCTTTGGAAATCGAGAGCAGCTTCTCCAATAAAGACTCCCTTCAAAGTGTAAAGTGGGAGAGCTTGGGGAGCTGCTTGAGAAGAATAAAACATTGCATTTCAGAAGCTGCTCAAATTTAAAACTCTGCCCGCATCACTATGACAAATTGTATTCCAAATATAGGTTATTCACAACATGTTTGTTATAAGGCGAGGCATATGAATTCCTGTCGTGTCTTTCTTTACAAACATGTCAAGACTTGTGAACCCTTAATGAAATGCAGCATTTTAGAGGCAAGGGAAGCCACAAAGACACCAGAAAGAAGAGACTCTCTTTCCTGGGACTGGGACCTTCTTATGCTAGTGATGGTTCCCATTATTAGAGACACTGTATCATCTCAGAACCAAGTGGAACTTTAGAGGTCATTGAGTCCAGAAACTACAGTTTACAGATGAAGAGACCAAAACCTGAAAGAGAATGAGAATTTTCCTAAGTGTCAGGGCTGGTTAGAGACAAAAACAACCAGGCCCAGGTCTCACCTGCCCAGCCCAAGGCACCTTCCAATAGTGTTGTATGGACGAGACTCTAAAATAGCTTTTGTCCCCTTGGGGCACTTTTTTTTTTTTTTTTTTTTTTGAGACAGAGTTTCACTCTTGTTGCCCAGGCTGGAGTGCAATGGCATGATCTTGGCTCACTGCAACCTCCACCTTCCAGGTTGAAGCGATTCTCCTGCCTCAGCTTCCTGAGTAGGTGGGATTACAGGCACCCGCCACCACGCCCAGCTAATTTTTTTTTTTAATGTATTTTTAGTAGAGATGGTGTTTCACCATGTTGGCCAGGCTGGTCTCAAACTCCTGACCTCAGGTGATCCACCGCCTCAACCTCCCAAAGTGCTGGGATTACAGGAGTGAGCCACCGTGCCTGGCCGGGGCACTTTTTTAAAGTCCTGTGGGGCAGCAACTTCTTGATAATCAGATAAAAGTTCCATACATTTGGAAATGAATTTATCCCAGTATCATATTTCTACTCATGCTACAGAAGTTAGTTGGACTGATTTTACAGTCCTCAACTTTTTTACCCAAGAAGTACAATCCTTCTCATTTGTTAATTCATATTGTCTCTTTTAGGTAAAGTGTCACTGTTCACTGGTCACCAAAGTCCCAAGCAGAGGATATCCACCTCCTACTCTATCCCTTCCTAGTACAGGGCTTTCTGATATGGCCAGAACACAGAAGTCTACCCTGGTTTTACTGTAAAGCAGAGGCCAGCAAACATTTTCTGTAAAGGGCCAGACAGTGATGATGATTCTAGGCTCTGTGGGCCAGCTGGTCTCCTTCGTCGCTACTCAGTTCTGCTGTTGTAGTAGAGAAGCAGCCATAGACAGTATGTAAACAAATGAGCATGGCTGCGTTCCAATAAAACTTTATTTATCTACACTGAAATTGAATTCCATATCATTTTCATGTGTCATGAAGCATTACTCCTCCTCTGATTTTTATTCAACCATTTAAACATGCAAAAACCATTCTTAACTGATGAGTTATACAAAAATTGGCAGCAGCTAGATTTGTCTTATCTGCCATAACTTGCCAACCCTTGGTTTAGGGAGATGAAAGAGACCACCAAAAAGACAAATTCCTTTTGCTACCCAGTTGCTCCCTTTTTAAGCTGCTATTGGCCCTCACCTAGCAAATCTACATTTTTTTTTAAATTAAATGTGCATGTTTTCCATTTGTGTCCCATGGGTAATGATTCACTAAGGTTATACCCTCCTTGCTAATGACTTCAATAACCACACAGGGTTCCTGGGTAGAGTATCTTCCTCCATGTGAAATATAACTAAAAGGACCAAGAAACTTTGCCGCTAAGAAATATTTGTGATACCACTGTTACACCAATCAGATGAAAAAGAAACATCTATTCAGAGGATAGTCTTATGCTTTCTACAACCCGGATTCTTAGCCCTCACACGGGAAGTACTGCTTCAATTTTGGAAAGAAATATTTTAGTTTCACATATGGCCAATATCAGCACCAACAAATCAATCATTTGAAATTATTATCAATCTTTTGTCTGTACAATCAAGTAAGTAGGAGCGTGCTATTTAAATACGTTTACTTACACACAGCACAACTCTACTGGCATCAGCATATTACAAAAACCAATTTTCTTACATCAACTTCCATCTACTTCTAATTCTGTAGCATAGCTCTGGGGAGTTGCTACAAGGTCTGTGTAAACTGAAAACCTAAATAACATTATGACGCCTATTACAGAACTAATTTATAATCTAATACCCCAGTTGAATTTAATATCCTATTTATTTATTCAAGCAAAATATCTGGAAAAATATGTCACATCATAATGTAGTTGTTATGAAAATGGAAAAATAAGGCAGAATTTTAGAGAAAGCACGATAATTGCTAGGGACAGGTATGAGCAAGAATTTCAGATCCCCTCACATGAGGAAGAGGCAGGAACCCTTTAATAAATAGGATTTTTGCTTTAGAATGCAATTATTGTCAAATTTAGTATTTTACATCAAATTTACAACTTTAAAATGTGATTCCTATTAATGTTATCTGCTCAGAGCTAGTGCAGCATAAAACTGTTGGCCAAGAGATGCCACCTCATCAACAGTCTTTAACAACTCCATTCCCATCCTGGATGGAAGAACTGAGCTTTATGGCAGCATTTATAAGCATGCACTGCCAATACAAATGCACAAGTGATATGCATATATATAATACACACAGGCTAATGGGAAGAACTATAGAGCTGCTTCTGTGAATACGAAGTTTCATACTGATTTCTGCACCTAAGATAAAAGGAGGGAAGCGAGAAAGAATTGAAGGAAATGAGGGAAGGAAAACATGACATTTGACATTGCAAAGCTACGGAAAGCATAAATATAAAAACACTACAAAGTGATCGTTACACCCTATAGCTGAACGCTTTTAGCCATCCAGGAAGCAGAGGGAGGACTTAATGAAAGTTTAGTGGGGCTCAACAGTACATTTACACTAGAGTTCCGAAGACTCAAAGAAAGGGCAGCAGCCACCTTCAATCACCTGAATCCCTCCAGTAAACAAGGAAAATGCCTACCACTTGTTTTCTCTTGAGGTAGAAGCCATGATTATAGCTTGGGGAGGAGCTCAAAGTCACATTGTCAGAAAAGGAACTATGACTCAAAGCTCCAGGTCCTGTAAGTCCACATGCATCCAGGTGCACAACCACGCAAATGCATGTGTGCCTACCCTCACACTGGTGACTTCCATTCCTACACAAATGCAGAACAAGTATCTGTCTCTACACAAGGTCTCAGACATCGAGGTCCTTGAGTCCTATTCTAAACCTGCGTGACTGGATTGCCAGTCCTACTCTTGACTGCCTGTATTTTTAATACCTTCCCCAGGTTATTCTTCAAAGTTTAGGAACCAATGGCCTCTGTGATCATATTTGAGAGGCATCTGAGAAGAGCTCTTTGCCCCCGAAATTATTACAACACTACTCTCTCAATACCCTGGAATCCCATAATTAGCAATTCATTCTTTGCCTCTTAAAGGTTTTCTGGTCTCCAAAGGTAGGAAAATTAAACTCAAATATACCTAAGAGAAGAAATAGCTTAAGTCCTCTTATCAGATGATGTCTTGTTAGATACTGAAGCCCTGCAGAAATTAAACAAGGCAAGCCCAAAAGGGCAAGAAAAAGACTCATAAAAGGGAAGTATGGAGCACACGTGAGTAGACCCAGTCCTGCACAGACAGATACATGGAGTCTAGGATCACATATAACCCCCAAGCAAAATGATGAATATCAAGCGTCAGGCACCTCAGCTCCATGTAGCTCTTCTGAGTACAGACCGCCCTCAAATTCAGGCTCCTAAGGTGTTCCAGGATGTACTCAGGTCCAAACAGGGATACCTTCAAAGGTATTCATTTGTGGAAACATACACATGTAGACCTTAGGGATTTTTGGGTTTTGCTTTTTGTTTGTTTTGAGGCAGGGTCTCGCTCTGTTGCCCAGGCTGGAGTGCAGTGGTGTGCTCACAGCTCACTGCAGCCTCAACCTCCTGGGCTCAAGCAATCCTCCCACCTTAGCCTACTGCAAGCACACACTACCATGTACAGCTAATTTTTGTATTTTTTATAGAGACGGGGTTTCGCCATGTTGCCCAGGCTGCACATGTAGACTTTGATATAAGAGTCATGCCCTCTCCTGACAGATGAGCCCCTTCTGGTGGCTTACTTTCTCCAAATATACAGTGGGCCCCCAACTGTTTCCCAAGCAGCCCTCCAAGTGTAGGCTCTGTCTCACTCCTCTTCTTGCCCCCACCCCTCCAACAGTGTCAGCTCAATTAGGATGCTGCATGGGAACTATGAAGCCTGTCTCTTCCTTGACCATTTTAGCTGCTCTCTGAAGGTATATGTATGCAACAGAAACCCAGCTCAGCACTCTATTGATTATTACCTATAAATCTAACTGCTCATAAAAAGACTCCATGAAATACAATCCAGGGACATAAATCTCTCTAGGCGAGATGAAATCTGATGGGAAATAAAATTCCCTCATTTCATTTATTTCCTTGTTTAAAAGACTAACTTTGCAATCAGCTACGAACATTAACATGAGCTAGCAGGGGGGTCGAGGACAGAGTACCAAATGGGGGTCAGGACAGGAGAGCAAATGCTGCTCCTGTCACTAATGGGCTATGTGTCATCAGTAAGTAATTTACCCTCTCTGAGCTTCAGTTTTGTCATCTCTAAAAGAAGGATAATAAGGGGTGGGTGTGGTGGCTCATACCCGTAACCCCAGGGCTTTGGGAGGCTGAGGCTGGAGGAATGCTTGAGGCCAGGAGTTTGAGACCAGCCTGGGCTACACAGCAAGACCTTTGCTCTATAAAAATTTTGAAAATAAGACCGGCGTGGTGGCTCATGCTTGTAGTCCCAGCTACTCAAGAGTCTGGGCTCACTTGAGCCCAGGAGTTCGAAGCTGCCATAAGTTATGATTGCACCACTGCACTCCAGCCTGGGTGACAGAGCAAGATCCTGTCTCCAAAAAAAAATAAAAATAAAAATTGAAATAAAATAAGACGAAAAATTTAAAAAAGACAATAAACTCCTTTGCGTGGCTTCTGTGAGATTAAATTAGATATACTACAATGTACCAAGCATAATTTAGGAGTTCAAGGGGTGTTATAAGCACCCCATCTATACCTTTAAAAGGAACTTATTATCTAGAAAAACAATCCATACCTTCTTGTGTCAAGTCCAAGTGATGGCTAATAAGATGTATTTATTTATTCAACTAACATTTATTGAGCACCAACTATGTGTCAGACTTTGTCCTAGGTACTGGGAATTTGTCCACCTCTAATTATAAAAGGTTATGTACAACACTTAAGGCTACACACAAGAAAAAACAGACAGTGGACAAATTTTTTTTGCAAAAAGTTATATACTGCACACAGGCTCAGTCCCTTCTGTTTTTCATGATTTTTGAAAAAGCATGCCCATCCTCTTGAAGCCTCAGAGACCTTCACCCCAACTCCTTCCCTTTCTTCTCGTGGCTCCAAGCAAAGGTCAGCTTTGATTTTCCACACCGTGTTGCTATTTTGACTTAACAAACTGACAAATCCCTACATTGTGAGCTTTGTAAGGAAAACAACAAAGTCGTATGATTTTTTTTTACTTCCCCCTCACCAGAAGTGTGTCTGCACACAGTAGTCAAACCACACAGCTGAACCTCTGCTCCCAGAACAGAAAGCATCCACATCAACACTCTCCCCTAGGTCACTCTTACTCACCAGAAAGTCAGCCCCTGAGCCGAAGCAGCTGAGTCCTAGATACGTTTTCCCACAGCAAAAATACTAAATAGAAACTGTTTGTTCCTGGACCAAGAAGGAAAGCTTACAAGGCTGAGGAAAACATTGGTGTTAGCATTGTCACTTCAGTGGGCCAGCAAAATTTGCCACCACTTTTTTCCATCTAACCTTTTTGGCCTTCCAATTCTATACTTCCGTGGTCCAACCACATGGTACAAAAACACATTCCACTCTGTTCCAACCTGCTTGAACAATCAAAGGGTATATGGCTTGAGTGAATTCAATGCCTCTCCGTTTTGCTTTTTCCCGCTACAAATATGTGGTGCAGATAAATGAGAAGCCTTGAGTTGACTAAATGCTGGGAAAAGAGCAATGCAAGATTTAGTGATTTCCCAGACATCATGAGAAAGAAAGAATATGAACCTATTAACTGATCTTTGTACAATCCCAATCTTGGGTCACATGTAGGGAAGGTTGGAGCTGGAGAAATAGAACATGGGAGTGTTCAGGATGATAGAGAAAGAAGTAACGGGGGGAGAAGAAAACAAGATCCTTCTATCTTGAATTCTGTAGAGAGGCAAGCATTTGTTATCGTTGTGTCTAGCTCTCAAACCAAAAAAAGTAAAATCAAACAAACAAAGAATTCACCAGCCAGAACCAGGCAGACTCTCCCGCGTTGATTCACACATGGTCTTCTCACTCCCCACTCCTGCCACAGATGGTGACAAAGCTCCACTGACACACGCGGCACCCTCAGGCACTGAAACTTCCTCCGCAGTCCCCCTGCAAGGGTGACTGACTGTCACGCTCTCGGCTGGCATGGGGCAATCTCTGCCACCCCCCTTCTTGTCTCTGCTCCCATCAAAATGGCACATTGATAGAAATGTGCTCAGGATGTGCAATTTGGGGCAGATAGTTGCTGGAGTTCCCATATGCTTAAGGTACATAACTGGGCCACTGAGAAAAGGGAATTTAAGCATTCTAGAAAACAGCAGGAGAGCAAATTGGCCTTTCCCTCTGAGAGCTATTATTAGAGAGGCCCAGCCCAATTCAGCCAGAAAGCCAATATCTAGCCCATCCGCTCTTTCTCGCCAACAATGCCCCACACATCCCGCCCCCTTTCAAATAGAACTGCCCTGATGCATCCCAGCCAGACACACGTCTCATCTTTAATGTTAACCACTGGCTTGCAGAGATCAGTGGAAGCGTCCCTTCTCATAGAGCAACTCGACAGTCCAAAGTTTAATTCCACATAATACGGAGAACTCACGGAACATGGCATTACATTTGATTTGTACTCGTGGAATTTGGCAGCCTGCTAGCTCTTCTCTCTGTGTACCTGCTGAAGTCACAGCTGCTATCTAAACTTTGTAAATAAATGCTAAACAAATGCCAAATAAAGAAACCAACTTCCCAGGAAGCAGAAAGGGCAGGAGATCACAGTTTTTGTTCTCAGAAATATGCTGTGACCTGCTTCAGAGCTGCATCCTGAAAGCTTAGGTGTGTCTCTGCTCTCCTGTCTCTTGGAAGCTCTTTTCCTTCTGGAGGGAGGGAGAGAAGAAGAAAGGAAGGAAGGGAGGGAGGAAAGAAGGGAAAGGAAGGCAGAGAAAGAGAAGGGAAGGAGAGAGGAAAGAAAAAAACTTCTATTATCTGTCTCCCTGCTAATGAGTAGAAAATAGTGGTCGGGAAGATAACACACAGCTTTATTATTTCTTAGAGCACACATTTCTATGAAAAGTAGAGATTTTGCAGTCAATTTTTTTAGTGGACTTAATCTCCAATGGTGCAATGAAAGTTAATGAGAAAATGGGTTTCATTCCATTTGATCCCCAAGTTTTCAGGCATGTATCCATTGCATATGTGAAGACACTTTTGTTGTTCCTCGTCTTTGGCATTCTGGGACACATTTCTCAACAGCAACTTCTTGCTGAAGCCTTATAAAGTTAATCACTCAAGATATTCTGGCATGTGGCAGTCCATGTTCTCTTGGGTACAAGTAATATACAACTGAATCAACCAACCAAAGCTGGAGAAGCCCAGCATGTTTCATCATGGGTAGAAATATGCTTTATGAGTGGGCTGTCAGGCAGCCACCTCTATTTCCCTGCCTATCTCAAAGGATACATCTATCCCATATACAAGATTAGGAACTAGAAGGAGGTATAGGCTTGACATGTGGCATATACATGACTTACAGCTCACCTCTGCCATTCAGATTCTGGCTTCTCGTGACTTCAGCCAAGCAAATTCAGTAACAGTGATGAAACTTACAGCTACCCGTCTTAGTCTGTTTTGTGTTGCTATGTAGGAATACCTGAGGCTGGGTAAATTATAAAGAAAAGAGGTTTATTTGGCTCACAGTTCAGCAGACTGTACAGGAAGCATGGCATCAGCATCTACATCTGGTGAGAGCCTCAGGCTGTTTCCACTCACAGTGGAAGATGAAGAGGAGACAGCATGTGTAGAGATCACACAGTGCAAGAGGATCTCACAGAGAGAAGAGTGAGGTGCCAGGCTCTTTGTGACGACCAGTTCTCATGGGAACCAATACAGCAAGAACTCACCGCAGAGAGAGGGCATTAATCTACTTATGAAGGATCCACTCCCATGACCACAACACCTCCCATTAGGTCCCACCTCCAACACTGAGGATTGAATTTCAACATGAGGTTTGAAGGGGACGAAAACCGAAATCATAACACTACAATTTATTGAATATTTACTATACAGCAGGCTCTGTGCAATAGCCCTTTCTTGTCTTCCCCTAATAAACCAGAAGTTCCATGAAGGGCAGAGATCATGCCTCTGTTTCTTCCCCCCCACCCCCAATCTTTTATTTTTCTTTTGGCTTGCTGTTGTCCATACCACATAATAATGGCTAACATTGACATAGCACTAACTAGGTGCCAGACACATTCTAAGGACTTTACATAGAGAAACTTATCAAATTCCCACAGCAAGCCTATAAGGCAGATACTCTTATCTCTGATGCAACAACTGAGGCTCAAAGGGCTTCAGCAAATTGTCCAAGGAAGCATTGAAACCAGAATTCTAACACAGATCTTCTGATTCCAGAATCTATGCTTTTAACCTCTTGCTATTATAGGATGTTTATTACATCAATAAACATTTTTTGAATGAATGAAAGATTTCATGTGAACATTACAGCAACCCAATGGAGCAAATAAGATGATTACTATCTACCAATTAGGAAACTGACACTCAGAGTGGTTAAGCAACTTGCCCTAGGTCACATAGTTGTACAGAATGAGGACCCCACACAGGTTTTTCTGACATGGAGGCCCATGATCTTGAAATAACTGTGGTATTACATAACCATGTAACCAAGCAATTCCCTAACCTACACTTTGAGTCAGTGGCTCCACTTCTCCATCTTGTCAATAACAGCGTCTATTTCTGCACACAAAGAAACTTGTTTAATAAAGCAGATATAACTCTTTAGGGGTTGGAGTGTGTGGTTTTTGTTGCCCCCAAATCAGCTGCATAACAAAAAGAAAGGCTGGTATTTTAGGTGACGAGTGAAAAATGGGTCAGGCAGCTCTCTGATTTCATAGGAACCTGTCCATCAGAACGTGTCACTGATGAGGACTTTATCTGTATGGTTAATTCTGTAAGGAACGTCTCCATGGGCAGCTCTGAACATTTCTTACTCAGTATTGGAAGCACTTGGTGCCAAGCAGCACAGGGCCTAGTGGCGTTGATGACATATTGCAGCTAAATCAAAACCTTGTCCCTCTCTTTCATCCAGGCACAGTCCTGTGAGTCAGTGAGGTCTCCCTCAGCCATGGAAAACTTTTACCTTTTTTTCCAGCACTTGCTCCGGCTGCTTGCTCCTAAATGACTGTTCTTCCATCTGATTATTTTTCTTCCATACACACCTGTCACCCAACTTTTCATTTTTTAAAAAGTTTTAAAAATTTATTATTCCTGAAGCGAGAACCTGAGAATAAGCGGGCGATTAACAGAATCATTTGACTGACCTTCAGGGGACCTAACCGTAGGTGATTGATGAAATGGCTACAGGTTTAAGCAGAAGGTCAGCTTCAATAATACGGCAGTTACTTCCCGTGCTCCTTACAAACCAACTCAGTCGCTGGCCCTCACTTCTCCTTTGCAACATTTTTAAGGTGAAGATATATGACTGATTCCTCTACAAGCCACCCCCTTGTGAGGCTCATTATGTAGTGACAAAGACATGGTGGTGGTATTTGATCCAAAAAGATCATGATCTAACAACAGACATGATTGTTCTCGACCACCAAGGTTCACTGTCAGTTACTTTTCCACCCTATCCATGTCGACCTCCCACTGGGTTATGGCAAGAGGTTACTTGGATGGTAGTCCTCACTGCACCACCAACTAGCCATGCCATGGGATCCATCCCTGCTTCCCCTTTCTCACATTTAAAGTGGGGGTCATACCACCTGCCCTACCCACCTTCAGGTATTTAATACATGAAAGTTCTAACTGGCAGCATTTGAACTTGAAAGAGGGAACAAACGAAGGAAACGGCTTCATTTACATTTTTTTCCGGCAACTTTTAAGCATTAGTAGTAGGCAACTCTTTAACCTGATGAACATTTAAGAGGATAGTTCAGCTTTTCTTTAGAAAGTAGACCAATAAATAGAAAGAATGATAACAACCATCAAGGGGCCACTGCATCATTTTGCCTGCATCATCTCAGTGAGTCCCCAGAGGAATCCTATAAAATCAAGGCAGTGGAGAGTGGTTAGAAGCAGAGGCCCTGGGCCCATACCACCTAGACTGAAATGCTGGTTCACCCACTGACTGGCTGTGTGACCTTGGGCAAGTCATTTAATTCACCTTGCTTCAGCTCTGTACACACAGAAAAGGGATAATGACACTCAGCTCTCAGACTGCTGAAAGGATTAAACAAGTCAATATGTATAAAGTATTTGAACGGGTCTTGGCCCATGACTAGGGCTCAAATAAGCATTGCATATCAGTATTACTGTCATTAATCCAGCTTTACAGATGGGGAAACTGAGGATTGGGGAGGCTACTTAAAAGGCATACTCAGGCTGGTCACAGTGGCTCATGCCTGTAATCCCAGCAGCACTCTGGGAGGCTGAGACTGGTGGATTACTTGAGGTCAGGAGTTCAAAACCAGCCTGGCCAACATGGTGAAACCCCACCTCTACTAAAAATACCAAAAAAAAAAAAAAAAAAAATTAGCTGGGCGTGGTGGGGCAGGGGGGCACCTGTAATCCCAGCTATTTACTCAGGAGGCTGAGGCAGGAGAATTGCTTGAACCCGGGAGGCAGAGGTTGCAATGAACCGAGATCACGCCACTGCACTCCAGCCTGGGCGACAGAGCGAGACTCCATCTCAAAACAAACAAACAAACAAACAAAAAACAAAAAATGCGTACTCAAAGTCATGACTATTGAGTGGAAAGCAACATGGGGATTTGAACTAGGCAGTCTAACTGCAGAACCCAAGTTCTTAACCACTCCATTCACTTCTTCCTAGGGTCAATGTTTACTTCTGAGTTTCTTAGCCTTATGAAATCAATTTAAAATGGACATTTTGAAGGGAAAAGGGCTTCAAAGGGGCAGTACAGTGTCAAGTCAGGAATATAGGGAAGTGTGCGCCCCATTGTTTCCAGAATACCAGTGGGGAAGGGGTTACCCAAAGCTTCACAGACTTGGGGACAGCTCTGCCCCTCACCCCAGACCCTCTACAAAGAAATGAACTTTCCCAATATGTCTCTGCCCTGAAGCAGGATGTAAAAGAAGAGTATTCATTCCTTAGAAAAGAAAGAAGAAGCCCGGGCACGGTGGCTCACGCCTGTAATCCCAGGACTTTGGGAGGCCAAGGCAGACGGATCATGAGGTCAGGAGTTGGAGACCAGCCTGGCCAGCATGGTGAAACCCTGTCTTTACCAAAAATACAAAAAATTAGGTGGGCATGGTGGCAGGTGCCTGTAATCCCAGCTACTTGGGAGGCTGAGGCAGGGGAATCGTTTGAACCCAGGAGGTGGAGGTTGCAGTGAGCCACGATCGGGCCACTGCACTACAGCCTGGGCAACAGGGCGAGACTGTCTCAAAAAAAAGTAAAAAAGAAAGAAGAAGTTAAAAAAAATCATGCAGTGAGGCAAAGAGGGCATGAGCTAGGGTTGTATGCAGCCCTTTTGTTCTCATGAGAACTTTGCATTGATAAAGTTAATCTTGGACACAAGAAGGAGATGCTGTTGCCTATACATAGCTTCCCAAATGAATGTTTCCCTGCTGATGTCTTACTAGTCATGGTTTATGCTTTTGCATTAAGCCTGTATCCATCAAGTCCTCCTCTTTCAAACTACAAATATGTTCTAGATAAGTAAGAAATTAAATCCTGGTCCCTGGTACTGCCTGTGTTCCTCAGATCCTTTTTCCACATGGTGAGATACACAAGCACATGGATGTCCTCAGAAAGGAATGAGGAATGAGAGGGTGAAAGGGGGCTGTAAAAAAACAGGTGGGGGAAAAGCCTTCAAGATTCTGCCAAACAGAAGTGACACGACTTGATGTTTCATGGTAGAGAAGAAAAAGTGGTGCTTACTATGGCGAGTGTTGTCATGTACTACAGATTGTAAAATTGAGCTTCAGAGAGGTTAAATGACTTGCTCAAGATAACACAGCTAATAAGGAACAGAGATGAGATTTGAACATGTTTCTCTCCAAATCCCATAATCTTATCCC
Organism: Homo sapiens; assembly: GCF_000001405.40. Lineage (NCBI taxonomy): Eukaryota > Metazoa > Chordata > Mammalia > Primates > Hominidae > Homo > Homo sapiens. The sequence goes on from NC_000004.12 coordinate 24,285,662, forward strand.
CAAAGCCTCTGCCTCTCTCTGTTAAACTACCTATTCTTGCAACTCAGGCATCACCTTGGGTCTCCCTATTTCTAAATCAGAATCTGTGCTCAACCATTTCTCTGCAGGTCATTGGGTGTACAAACTTTTCTCCCTCATATATATTCTTCATTTCCCCACCACTTCCAATGCAGTCATGAGGATAAAAATATGTGATTTCGTTTCTCCCCATAATTTCTCTTCTAGAAGGCTATGGCCACAGTCAGCAGCAGCAGTGGTTGCACTGAAGCTTAAGAAAAAGCGAAACTATTAAGCCACAGTTCATCCCTCTTCAACTACTCTGCCCAAACTTTCAGAGGAAACAATGCTCCTATTACAGCAGCAATCCCCTGAGGTTCAACCAGCAGCCAAGAGCAAAATCCCTGAACCCATACAGGCTTTCCCTCTCTCCCTCTTTTACCAATCTCTGCATGCAAGCATGTCTCGGTGGGAAAATACCCACTACGAAAGAGAACAGGTGAATGATACGTTCAATTGTCCAAGCAGTCAGTGCCCAGAGAACAAAATAGAGTCTTAAAGTCATGATATGGCTATTGCTACCGAGGGAAAGTTGTCCAAAGCTACAGGCTTCTACTCACAGAGGGAAAGGTATAGAATTATCTATTCCTTAGTCTTGTTCTTCTCTCCTGCTAATAGCAACCACTTCCCATGATAGGGACTGAAAATACCTAATATTTATTTTCCCAGCCTGCCTTACAACTAAGATATCATTAAGTGTCTTAATCATGACCACAAAGATCTGAGGGGAAAGTCTGTAGGTGGCTCCCAAGAGAAGTTTACCTCCCTGATCAACAGATGCCTAGGAAGAAACTCTCTTTCCTGGAAGCCTTTGGATTTGAGTGTGTGATGCCAGAGCAGCCATCCAAGCCCAAGGACCAGCCAACGCACAGAAGATGGCTGAGTGAAGGCACAGAGAGAATCTGGGCTCAGATGCCATCGTTGAATCTCTGATCCAATTCTGAAACCACCTTTCCTCCACACTCCTTATGTATTAGTTGTCTATTGCTGTGTAACAAATCACCCCAAACTTTGGCAGCTTAAAATAGCAAACATTATCTCACAGCTTCAGTGAACCAGGAATCAGAGCAGCGTAGGTGAGGAATTCGGGCTCAGGGTCTCCCACAAGAAGGCTACAAGCAAGATGCTGGCGAGGGCTACAGTCATCTCAAGGTTGAGCTGGGGCAGGATCTACTCCCAAGCTTCCTCACACAGGCCACTCTACAGCATGGCAACTGGCTTCCCCAAGAGAAAGAGATCTTAAGAAATAAAGAGAGTGATAAAAAGAACCCCAGGATGGAGATCAGTCTTTATAACCCAATCCTATTATTCCTGCTACATTCTATTCTTTTAACTGAGAGGTTCTCAACCACGGTACCACCGACATTCATTTTAGGTTGGATAATTCTTTGTTGCCAGGGCTGTCCTGTGCATTATAGAATAGCTAGCAGCATCCCTGAGCTCTACCTACTAGATGCCAGTATTACCACCACCAGCCCCAGTTGTGACCAAAAAAAAAAAATGTATCCAGACATTGCCAAATGTCCTACAGGGACAAATCATTCCCAGTCGAGAATCACTGGTTTATAATGAGTCACAAAATCTCACACTCAAAGGCATGAATACCAGGAAGCAGCGATGGTTGAGCGCCCTCTTAGAGGCTACATACTTCATCTTGTTTTATAAGATAATCAACTTCTTTAATGTTTAAGCCACTTAATATTGACCCTTTGGTTATTTGAAGCCAAGAGCACCCTAAATGATATAAAGGGACTAGCCACTTATCTATGAATAAGGTTATTTTGTCCATCTTTCAGGAGTGCTGAGAAAAAAAAATCAAGCAAAGTACCATTCTTACCAAGAAAGTGGCCCTCTAGTGCCCTGATACAGAACCAAGAGCTCCCATTTCAGACCAATAAAATGCTCAACACCACATGCACACACACACACACACACACACACACACACAACTGCACTCATCTGGTGCACTTTCCATGGATGGAGAAGACACAATAGTCAGAATACCAAGGAAGACAGCAGTAAAAAATGCTACCACTTCCAAAAAGAAATGGTCATATTATACCATTTCTTTAGGCTTTAGGAATTCTTCAGGCTTTTAATAAAGGTTATATGCTCAGAAAAAGACGGCTCCTGACCTGTCTGGTTCTAGAGTGGAAATGGAGAAGAGTCACATACCATTTAGCAGCCTTAAACGTTGACTGTGAGGCAAAGGAGAATGCCAACCAGCTGATCCAGCAGCTCCTTCTCTCATATTTCTGCCTGCTCACACCCTCTCTCCCTCCCCCTCACCCACCCTGGCAACTTTGCGGGTGCCCTCCAAGTAAACCCTCTTTAGAAACCTAGCAACTCTTGGATTTTCCCTCAACATCTATATTCATTCTTCAAGCTTTCAACCCATTCCTGTTCTCTGAGTAGCTTTACTGTTATATCCCAGACCTGAATTACAGGAGCCTGTGCAATTTACCAACAACCCTGGTTTTCATTTTTCAGATCCTTCAGCAGCTGACCACTCCTCAGTCTCCCAGGGGCAAAGAGCTTCTTTCTACCTTATTATGACCCTAGCTGGGTTTCTCAACCTTCCAGGCTTTGAACACATGGTCCTAGGGAAAGGCCATATGGTGATTTTTGTTCAAAAACTAAGGGTCTTTTTATCAGCCTAACCCATCCCTTTACAGAGCTCCCTCAGGAGATTACAAAGTCTGTAACAGGCATCCGAAACCAATTATCAACTAAGGGGCAGTAGTCCCAGGAATAACTATGGAGTTCAAGATGAAAGGCTCAAAATGAAAGCTATTTCCAATACAAATATCTCTTAGAATGGTAGAAATAAACCTTGGAGGAAAATGACATTTTTGTAAAATGTGTTTTATGACACTGTAATGATTAATGGCATTTCACACTAATAAAGTTGACAGGAAGAGGATGCGAAAGACTAACAAAAGTGCAAATACAAATTTCCTTTTAATATCACCAGCATTTTTCTACAAGAACAAGACATGCACCAACAGGATAAGAGGAATGGCTATTTTAAAAATCCAAAATAAATAAATAAACGGCAGTAGACATCAACAACACAACCAAGTGAATAGTAAGTTCCATTTGATGGATGCCTTAGAGAGACGACTGCAAATATTCCTCCCTCTTTTTAGTTACCAATGCTTTTTGCTGACCAAGACTTGTACCTGATGACATGGGATCTTACTGCTCAAAGAAAAAGTTAGGGCCAGGTGTGGTGGCTCATGCCTGTAATCCCAGCACTTTGGGAGGCCAAGGTGGGTGGATCACGACGTCAGGAGTTCCAGGCCAGCCTGGCCAATATGGTGAAACCCCATCTCTACTAAAAATACAAAAATTAGCTGGGCGTAGTGGTGTCTGCCTGTAATCCCAGCTACTTGGGAGGCTGAGGCAGAAGAATCGCTTGAACCCGGGAGGCGGAGGTTGCGGTGAGCCAAGATCACACCACTGCACTCCAGCCTGGGTGACAGAGTGAGACTCCGTCTCAAAAAAAAAAAAAAAAAAAAAAAAGAGAGAGAGAGAGAAGAAAAAGTTAGCTGTTCAAAGCAGGAATCCCACTTAGCCCATTATATTGCTCCATTTCAGCAAATCCATGCCTTACCTCTCTTCTCTGACCCTTCGCTGCACTCTCAGGGGAGAGCTGAACCTTCCCACCCAAGGTTGGCCCCTCTAACATGGCCATCAATCCTGCCTCCTCCAACCCTCTGGGACATTTCTTCTTCTCTACTTCACCAACATCTCATTCTCTCCTCGACACTTCCCCTCATGGGAAGTTTTCTCCACATAGAAAATAACTTCACGTGTTCATGTTTGTTAACTGTTATTTTATTTCACTTCTTTCTCTAACTCCTGGGATGAGAGGTCTCTGTCCATCTTCTCACTAGTGATTCCTCAATATGAGGAGGAATCTGAAATCTGGCATCTATTTGTACTACTTGGGGAGACTGACCACGGAACATCATCAGGAGATCTCTCCAGCCAATTCCTGAGACCTTATCTCATTTCTTATTCTGCTAAACTTCCTGAGGCACTTGACATTGATCACCACTTCCAGCTTTTTTTAAATTTATCTCCCATGTCTCTGACTCCTCCTTTACCTTCTGTATTAGTCTGTTCTCACACTGCTAATAAAGGCATACCCAAGACTGGGTAATTTATAAAGGAAAGAGGTTTAATGGACTCACAGTTCCACATGGCTGGGGGGGCCTCCCAATCATGGAGGAATATTGATGAGGAGCAAAGTCACATCTTACATGGTAGCAGGCAAAAAAGCTTGTGCAGGGGAACTCCCATTTATGAAACCATCAGATCTCATAAGACTTATTCACTATCATGAGTACAGCACGGGGAAAAACCCACCCCCATGATTCAATTACCTCCCATAGGATCCCTCCCACGACATGTGGGAATTACGGGAGCTACAATTCAAGATGAGATTTGGGTGGGGACACAGCCAAACCATATCACCTTCTTTTTTTTTTAAATTTATTTTTATTTTTTCCATAGGTTGTTGGGGTATAGGTGGTGTTTGGTTACATGAGTAAGTTCTGTAGTGGTGATCTGTGAGATTTTGGTGTACCCATCACCCGAGCAGTATACACTGCACCCAATTTATAGTCTTTTATATTTTTTATACTTATTTCTCCCTCCCAGCTTCATCAGTGAATATCCTGCAAAGCTCAGTCTTAAGCCTTCTGCTTTTCCTCCTGCCTTAGCCTCTCTGAGCCTCCATTTCCTCATCTATAAAATGGAGATTATAATATCTATCTCACTGGGTTGTCAAAAGAAATAAATAACATAAATAATCCAAATAAAGTGCTGAACACGGTGCCATCCCAAAGTCAATGTGACTGACCATCATGATTTCCTTGAATGCCCACTCACTCTTACACTTGAATGTAAGCTCCAGGAGGGCAGGGACTTCAGTTCATTCACTCCTGTATCTCTAGCTCATAGAATGATGCTTGGCACATAGTAGGCACTCGATAACCTTGTGACAAACTAATAAAGTAAAAAAAAAATTCAGTTAGTGACTCAGTGCTGATGATTCCTGTATACAGCCCCTCACTTCTGACTCGATTTGGTTTTGATTTTGAAATCCATCCTAGGTGACATTAGAGTCATCATCTGCCTAAAATTTGCTTCAGTGTTTCTTTTCCTACTGATTCCTTTTTGCAAAATCCTCATTTGTATTAATTTGAAGCAGCCACTTCCCTGATATCTAACAGAAAAAATATTGGTTCGATTCTACTTTCTCCACCCTCCATTGCTCTTCTACTGTCTTATGCACCCCATTCACCCCTCCTCTCTGGTTAGCCCTTAATCTGGCACTTTCTATCTCTCAGATCATCACTGAGGCCCCTAAATGGTTTCCTGATCTCCAATCTCGCTAAAGCATTCCACCCAATTGCCAAATAAGTCTCCAGGAATTAGGTGCCCAGTGTCACTCCTTTAAGAAGTGAGTCTCCTTTGCCTTTTAAAACAAATCCAAACCTCTGGGCCTGACAAAACTGCCCATTTAACACTCTCTCTCTCTCTCAGTATCTCTTAATGATATAATAAATTAGCTTCTTCCCACCATGTCCCTCATTTTGGTTTTGTAGTGGACAAGAGGTCACATGCAGCCATTCTACGTAAATACATGCAAGATGTAAATGTTAAAAAGTACTCCTTGAGCTTGAACTAGGATGGCATTGAACAATGAATCATAGCTCATGGCTGCCATTCACTGGGCTCTGTTCTCTGCCAGGCAAGGCACTGAGTAGCACACACAGTCTGCAGTACCCCATTTAATCTTCACGAAAATCCCAAGGGGTAGGTGGTTTTATCCTCAAGTATGGGAACACTGAGGCTCAATGAGCTCAATAACATGTCTCCAAACACACAGCTATTGAAGCAGTAGAACCGCCTTCCATCCGAAGTCCTGCTGATCCCGAAGCCCGTGCTCTTCTTGACCAGCCTGAACACTGAAGCTGAACTCAGCGGCTCTGGGGCCCAGAATGGAGACCAGCAAAATGAAGACTAAATTAATTGAGTAAAAGAGAAAAAGAGCAAGAAGAAAACCATAAGTCAGAGATAAACATCTGGTACAAAACCAGTGAAGAGTGGAAGAGTTAGAGAGAGAATTCATTGGAGAATGTGAGAAATGAATACATAAGTGAATTCGAAGAGAAAAAAGCTATAGTAGCTGGGAGAAAATCAGGACACCCACAAATGCAAAAGAAAACAAAGGTTATCATTTTAGATGTTGAGCAGCACAGAAAACCTGCGAGAGTGACGTGGCTTCTCCAAAGACAAAAAGAAGTGAGTGAAGAAGAAGGTGGAGAGACAGACCTAAAGGTGAACACAGGCTGAGATGCTGTGGGAGATTCAGCCACGCTGAAGTTTCCCTAAGACTCGCCTCCGCCACGGAGGTTGTCCTGCTCTCACCCCTGCATGTGGATGAACCCAGGAGAACACAAATGAATCTCCAGGTACAAAATAGCCACTCAACAAACACTCCCTGCACTGCGAGCGAGAACTCTCGCGGGTTGCTTCAAAGGGATTGATTATGTGGATCCTGGTCACTTTTGAGAAAAGAAGGCCATGAGAGATAAGTCAGGACTGCTGTCCACTGGTCTAAAGAAATTGTCAATTATGAATAAGCTGGTACCCAAGACCCAATGCTCCAACTCCTAAACACACCCTTTCCTGGAGAAGCATCAGGAAGGTTTCCCTCATGCCTGCCTTTCTGCCTCCCCTATGTGCACTCCTTCCTAACCCCTCACCCCCACCCCTTCCTGTGCTCCTCCCTACCCCCCCACCCCACCCCTTCCTGTCCTCCTCACTACTGCCTCACCCCCACCCCTTCCTGTGCTCATCCCTACCCCCTCACCCTCACCCCTGCCTGTACTTCTCCATACCCCCTCACCCCCACCCCTTCCTGTGCTCCTCCCTACCCCCTCACCCCCACCCCTTCCTACGTGCCCCCAACCCCTTCATCCCCACCCCTTCCTGTGCTCCTTCCTACTCCCTCACCCCCACCCGTCTGCGCTCCTCTCTACCCCCTCACCCCGACCTCTGCCTGTGCTCCTCCCCACCCCCTCACCCCCACCCCTGCCTGTGCTCCTCCTACCCCCTCACCCCCACCCCTGCCTGTGCTCCTCCTACCCCCTCACCCCCACCCCTGCCTGTGCTCCTCCTACCCCCTCACCCCCACCCCTGCCTGTGCTCCTCCCTACCCCCTCACCTCACACCCCTGCCTGCGTTCCTCTCCACCCCCTCACCTCTCACCCCTGCCTGCACTCCTCCTACCCCCTCACCCCCACTCCTGCCTGCGCTCCTCCCTCCCCCTCATCCCCACCCCTGCCTGTGCTCCTCCTACCCCCTCACCCCCACCCTTGCCTGTGCTTCTCCCTACCCCCTCACCCCCACTCCTGCCTGCACTCCTCCTACCCCCTCAGCCCCACTCCTGCCTGTGCTCCTCCTACCCCTTCACCCCCACCCTTTCCTGCACTCCTCCTACCCCCTCACCCCCACCCCTTCCTGCGCTCCTCCCTAACCCCTCACCCCCACTCCTGCCTGCAGTCCTCCTACCCCCTCATCCCCACACCTGCCTGCACTCCTCCCCCCTTACCCCCACCCCTTCCTGCACTCCTCCTACCCCCTCACCACCCCTTCCTGTGCTTCTCCCTACCCCCTCAGCCTCACCACTGCCTGTGCTCCTCCTACCCCCTCACCTCTCACCCCTGCCTGCACTCCTCCTACCCCCTCACCTCTCACCACTGCCTGCACTCCTCCCTACCCCCTCAGCCCCACTGCTGCCTGTGCTCCTCCTACCCCCTTACCCCTACCCCTTCCTGTGCTCCTCCTACCCCCTCACCCCCACCCCTTCCTGTGTTCCTCCCTATCCCCTCACCCCTACCCCTGCCTGTGTTCCTCCTCTCCTCATTTTCACATCAAAGCCCAGCTTCTCTTCAAGGTCTAACTCAGGGATTACAGCTTTCCTTGGGGCTTTTTAGAATAATCTTATTCCCCAGGCACCATCCCCTTGCTTCAAATTCTCGTATTAAGTCAACCTAAATTGTTTTCTCATTGTTACAGGCACAAACACCTTCTATTTTGAACTTAAAACCAGGTCTTTGAATATAGAAATATTTTCTCCATCTCTTCCCTACTGTGTTTTCCTAGACATGGGCCAAAGCTGAGGTTATTTTTATGGTATGAAGAGATGGATAAATATATAAATGCATTGAGTTAATTTATATAAAACTTTTGGATCAAGTTTGGCAGAAAATCTATATAACTGGCCCTTATTATTTATCTGAGGCTCAGAGAGCTCAATAACTTGTCCCCAAACACACAGCTACTGAAGTAGTAGAACTGGCTCCATCCCAAGTCGAGCTCATACCAAAGCCGAGGCTTTTGGTCAGCCTGAACACACTCAGGCTGAACTCAGGGGCCCGTTGCCCAGGATGGAGATAAAACTACCTATCCCTGGGGCTTTTGTGAAAATTTAATGTGATACTGCCATCACTACAGTGCCTTTCTTAGTATACAATTGATATGAAAATCATGATCAGAAAATATGATCTCGAATAATGTTTCGATGTCCATTAATACACAGGTAATGTCTTTAAAATGTATATTACAGTTCCTCCGTGGAAGGCTTAATTTTTATGAGCTTTCCTTTCTGAAGGAAAGGAATAAAAATTTATTCACTCTGGGGTTAAATCTTGCTTATCTATTACTACAAATTATCCTTTTTCTGAAATAAATAGGAAGCAATTCAGAAGGACTTTTAGGTCACAAATTAAAGAATAAGTGAGAATTAGTTACCAAGAAAGCCTACTGAGGTCTAAACAACTTCCCCACCCCCACTCCCAAAAAACAAGTTTGCTGTGGGTAAAGAATTATTAGCCTTTGGAGATTCCTAGCAAAACTGAGCATCCACATGAGTCTCTTCATTCATAGATACCAAATCACTGTAGAGTCCAATTTTAATCTCTTCCTTTGAAAGATAAGAAGCCAGGCAAACGTTTCCTTTTATGTTTTCTTCATGATATCCCAAAGATGCAATGACAAGACAAGAAGGAGCTCCCAGTTCTTCCAGGCAAATCGTATCCATAACTCTGGGATGTCACCTAGTCAGCTTTTTGAGAGTAGCAGCTCCAACTAAGAGGACAGTGCAATAACCCAGCACAGCTAGGCCCCTTACTCTCCATGGCCCTCTGTGGCCCTCACCAGCATCAGCAAGCCCATGGGGGGACTAGTAGGGAGGCGGTTTCATGGGCAACTGATTGTGCTGTGGTCAATCACAGGCATCAATCCCCGCTTTCAACCCAGCTACCTCTCCAATTAATGCAACGCTGTTTAGTTAGTGCCTTGAGAGTTGGGGCTAGATGTAGCCTCAAAGAATATTCTATAAGCATCAAACCAAAATCTCTTCATTCCTTATCACGAGATGTTTTTGTGTGTTTGTTTTCATTTTTTAAGTTTACCCAAAAAGGAAAAGGATGGTAATAATCTCTTTCCCTCCATCACAACTTTGAGAGATGTTTATTGAAGCCAAAACCTCTCTTGACGTTTGCCAGTTGCTAAATAGGAGTTGTTTTTCCTGCCAAATATACCCTCTCTTTTTCAATGCTTATGAATAGATTATATATAAATAGGATGAGTTAATGCTGTTCATCTGATGAAAGGGATTAAAATAGATGAATACAAAATTAAGGTAAAACAGGATGCTATTGGAGTTTGTGGGAAAACCATCAGAGAGGGCATTGGACTAGAATCCTGGGCACCAGACACTGGGGAGAAAAACCTAACTTTATCTTGAAAGGCTAATCTTTATTAGCAAGATTAACAGGGTAGCTGCTATGTGGCTCCAAATGAAATTGCCAGGTTTAAGGGGGAAGAAACTATGAATATATATATTCATAGTTTTTTGTGTTATATATATGTATATATGTATATATGAGTATATACATTACATTATATACACATATACGTATTATATGCTACATTATATATATTATATATGTATTTATATATGTATTACACACTGCACTGTGTGTACCTATGATGCATCCTTTAAATTGTTTAAATTGGCATCCCATTCCCATTTCAAACAGAAAATGACATTGTCATCAAGAATGTCTCAATTTTTGTGCCCAGCCTCGGTGCTAGGCCTTTATAACTCTAGCTCATTTAATCTGCACATCTCTGAGATGCCGGTATTATTTATCACTTGGTGAGTTGCAGAAAACTGCCCAACTACTATATATGTGTATGTATGTGTGTATATATATGTATATGTGTGTATATATGTGTATGTGTGTATGTGTATATATGTGTATATGTATATATGTACATATATACACACATACATATATATGTACATATATACATATATACACATGTATATAGATACACACACACGATAGCTTCCCAACTATATTTATATGTGTGTGTATGTGTGTATGTGTGTGTGTGTATATATATATATATTTATATATATATAGGGTATCCAGTTGAATTTTAATGCCAAATGAACAACAAATAATTGTTTAGTATAAGCATGTTCCAAATATTGGATGGGACATTCTTACCTTAAAAATTATTCAGTGTTTATCTGAAATTCAAATTAACATATATTCTTCTCACAAATGTACTTTGAAAGATAAAATGGGTGTCTCCTATTTTATGTTGCAACCCTATCTCCAAAGAACTTAGGTTGCTCTGAGGAGACAAAGAGTTAAGTCCTGTTGGCAAACTCACCTAAGAGCCAGCCTCTTTATCTATGTCAGTTAGTTTGGCTGAGGATTTGCCTGATTTACAGATTCATCAGGACATAACCTTAATTTCAACATGGTTGGTGGCCATGATGTTTGTGAATTTTACAACTTCGGTATCCCTGCACTGTGTGTATCTATGATGCATCCTTTAAATTAGCATCCCATTCCCATTTCAAGCAGAAAATGACATTGTCATCAAGAATGTTTTGATTTTTGTGCCCAGCCTCTGTGCTAGGCCTTTATTACTCTAACTGATTTAGTCTGCAAATCTCTGAGATGCCTGTATTATTTATCACTTGGTGAGTTGCAGAAAACTGCCCAAGGTCACACAGCTGGTAAATAGAGGTGCCAGGATGCATACGAAGTTCTGTCTTACTGCCAAGTATATCTCCTCCTATCTCACCTTTCAAATCAGCACAACACTTTTTTTTTTCAATTGCAAATGGACGATGTGCAGAGGACTGTGTTAGAGACTGCAGCTTGATTCAGGTAATGGAGAGGAAGAAGACAAAAGACAAGGGACTTGAGTGTTGTCAAGAAGACAAGACAAATGCATTAAAGCACCATAAAGAGAAGACAGTAAAGAAGTGTCAAAGTGATTCACACTCGAAGCTAGTGCATTAGAAGAAAGTGTTCTGGGTATCAAATCAAGGCTTCTAATAATGAATATCATTTAATAAACACCTACTATATACAGGCATGAGGTAGGCATCACAACCTTGATAGTACCAGTGAGGAAGTGAGGCAGAGGCTGAATAGCTTTCCTAGAGTTACTACGTAGTAGCGCTAGAAGATTCAAACAAAAATCCCCAGGATTCCTCTTCCATAAAGTCCATACTCTGAACCAGTAGGCTGTGAGGCTTTAATACGTATTCTTCTCGGAAATGTACTTTCAAAGCATCTCCTTTATGCCCACGAATTCGCACAGCTTTTAGCACACCTCAAAACACAATTTACCTTCATGAGCCATCATGGGGACATATAACACTCCATAGAGGCCAACGAACAAATTATATTCATCTACACATAATCTTGATATCTGGAAGAAAAGGGTCAATGCAAAAATGATTCATTACCATAAACTCAAGAAAAGGTGACCTCACTTGTTTATTTCCATTGCAGGAACCAAAAAATAACACTTCATCAGGAGCTTTGAAGGAAGTGGAAGCAGTGAGATCCCTCACATTTTTATTCAATTCAACCACTATTTAATGAGAATCCCACTGTACACCAGAAAAAATGGCAGCAACAGCCTAGTTTGCCTGTGTCCAAAGCTTCTACTGGTCCATGACCAGAGAAATGAAGACAAAACAGGTTGCTAATACGTAACCACTCTCCTGTCAACTATGCTCTGGGTCAATCGGGTTTTTTGTTGCAAGCAACAGGATGATCTTCAGCTAACGTAAGCCCAAACAATTGTTTACAAAGAGAAAATAAGAGGACATGTGGTAGCCAAAGAAAATACTGGAGAGTCAGGCTGCAGAAAGAACAGGAACCATAGTAGCTACAGAGATGGAGATAACAGAAACTGATAGATCCTCTTACCAGCCACCTCCATGGAGGCATATTTTAGCTCCAATTAGAGTCAGTAGTCACATTATCTGTGAGAGAAACTCCAATTGGCCTCATCTTTATCACACAGCCAGTTGGAGAACCAAAACTCAGGTGCTATTACCAAATGAAAAAAAAAAAGATAAGAAAGAAAAGGAGGTAGATGCTTAGACAGACAAAAACATCATGTGCTTACAAAATAATATTGTGTAGTGGCTTCAGGCTCAGACTCTGAAACCAGACTTCCAGGGCTCTAATCCTGGATCTGACACTTATTACTATGTAACCTCGGATAAGTTGCTTACCCAATCTGTGCCTCTGTAAAATGGGAATGATAGTAGTATACATCTCATTAAGCTGTTGTGGAGATTAAAAGTGTTAATCAATGTGAACTCTTTAAAATAGCATCTATTATGTAGCAACCACTCCATAAATATTGGGCACCATTCTTGTCATTGATATATGCATTCTCCATTGCCCACATGATTTTGCAGTTGTTACTGCAGCGTAACCTACTCTATCCTAACTATGGCATTTTACCTCCCTAACAGGTTCGTTCATTTCAACAGACATGTACTACAAGTACCAAGATTCTAGGTTAGGAACTGAACACATAGAAAAAGACACTGTCTGAGCTTAAAATGCAGTTGAAAATGTGTAGTGTCTCAATAAAACATGGCTTTTAGTCTGCTCAATTCCACATCAAAAACAAAACCTAGAAACAGATGTCTAAGAAGCACAGTTCCTATAAAGTTCTTGGATTTTACTGGTATCTGTCGTACAAATTTACTCCTCAAAATGTAAACAACTAGAGGCACCTATGCCTCCCTTCTGTGAAACAGCATTTATACTACATATGTGTTTAATAAATGTGCTTACTAAATGTTTAATGATAAGAACCTAAACAACTCCTCTTCCTACAGCAATATAATGGCTAATAGGCCACTGGTGGACTGAGTGGTAACAAGAAGTACAGAATCGCATCGACTAAATCCATAGGTCTCATTACCAAGAAGGGGATAAAATATTTTATAGCAAAACCAATGCACAAATACTGCCAAAAGTCACAGCCAGATACACAGATTGAACACAAAGAACAGCTGCAGTGAAAATTTTATGCTCTTTATTACATGACTTCTCTAAGGACCTGATTTTAAATTCAGTCACTGATTTCCTCATTTGTCAGCATGAATCGCCACAGCTGACCACAGAAGCTAGTTGATGAATAGGACTTTTGCTATTAAAAATTATTCACTAAAGCCATAGTTTCCGGTTTAATAAAATATATATATATATTAACATCACAATGTTAAAAGTCTATGTCTTGTGCATGAGCCTTACTGCCTAAGCAAGTGTGACTTAGGAACCTACTTACAGAAGTCAATATATGGGCTTTTTTAAGGTTGCAGAATGCCCTGGAGCAGTAATTTGCTAAATAAAGTATCTTCCAGGGGCTAAAATGGTTAAGCGTCTCGTGCAGCCCTGCTGGGATTAAAGAGCTAGCTCACTCCTTGGAGTCTAAAAATTGTGAGCTACCTCAGTCTTTCTTCTCCAAATAAGTCAAAATATTTAAATGATCATATGGGCATGGATTGGTATCCAATCAAATCTCTGTGGCACCGAGCATAACAAACTAAGGACTAATTCATACCACCCCTAACACATAAACGACTACAGTCTTGGGGACCATCTAGGGAAGCATGTCACTCATCTATTTAGAGCCTTCAGAAAAGACCCATCTCAAATCGAAATATGAATAATGTTACCAGAACCAAGGTCCAGGCTAGAAAGCACCATTTTCAGAAATATAAAATGTTCGTATGTATATTCATTGTATATTAATCAACTTCATCTATAAGAATTATGTGGCTGAGATCATAGTCTGCATCAGAAATCACATGGGTTTTTGTTTGTGATGTGCAAATTAAACATTTCCATATTTGCAATTTAAGCTTTTACTTAATTCATCATTTCCAATCTGCTGAGGGTCCCATGCCTTGGGGCTTTCTTAAAGGTCAGGTCTGATTAGGTGGGAACAGCAAGAAGCAAAATTGAGGACTCTGGCTTTCCTGCCTTCGTTATCTACTCCAGTGTCCTTTACAGAAACCGTTTACATTCATTATTTGTGTCTTCCTCACATTTTGTTCAATTTGCCACATTTTTATATATAAGACCTCATTAACTAAAAATCAGGCAAAACGAATTTACTACTGCTTTTATGGGTTTTTTTTCCTCCTTTAAGCAATGGTATTTTTCTATACAATAGCATTTTTTTTTTTTTTTTTTTTTTTTTTTTTTTTTTTTTTTTTTTGCTTAAGTTAAAAACTTACATGATATAGGCATATTGGCATATATATGTGCCCGGAAGATGAAGCATTGGATAAGCATATATCAAAATACACGGCTGTGTAAAAATAAGTATGTTAGACACTCAGGTAGATAACTATAAATGGATAATATCAATTTCCACTTAGATAAACTTTTTCACCTTTGGCAGTAAGCTGACTTGTAATTAAATTGTAATTAAATTGGCCCATCAGTTTATATGTGACAGAGAACATCTACCTAGTATTTATTAGGTAAATTGCCTCCCTCATATTCACTCCCCTTATCCTTAATAGTAAAGCCCCAATTTCATTTGGATCACCAACGTACCCAGTTGATTTGACATTTTGTAGCTTCCCTTGCAGCTAGGTATGCAGAGTCAACTTCTGGCCAATGAAATGCAAGCAGAGGTCATTGACTAACATGTCCAAGAAACTCCTTAAAAGATGACGAAGACTAGAACTCACCCCTTTCTGCCCCTTGCTCTTCCTCTTCCTGTCTGAAACATAGGAACAGTGGCTGGAGATTCTGCAAATATCTTTTATCTTGAAGATAAAAGCTCAGATACTACAGATGAGAGAGCAGAAGGATGGAAAAGGCCTAAGTCTTTAATAAACTTTTGGAGCTACCACACTAGTATTTCTGGTCTTTATTCATAAAGAGAAGGAAAAAAAAAATCCCTAATTTGTTTAAGCCAAAATGTATTTGCTACCAAATTCAGCATGTATAAAGGATACCATATTAAAAGTCAAAATAATCATGTATGAGCCCATTAATAGTGAATAAATAAATACAATTCAGATTTTACCTTAACACTAGTAGATATTTTTTCAATCTTCATCGTAAAAAGAAGCACAGGTTCTTTTTAGACCCCATGATTTGGAAGGATTTTATCTGGCAAAACCATCCAAGTCCAGGGTTAATGAGGTTCATGTTGATGAGAATTGAACTCTAGCTGTTAAGTAAATAATAACACCAGTAGTGATTTACAGCCTTTCATCCCTAAAATTTGTGGCAAATTGCAAATAGCCCTATGGGGTAGGTAAAATTACTGACATAATTTTATTGACAGAGAAACTGAGTCATCAAGTCATTAAATAGCCTGCGGTCTATTTAGTGAATACCCACATCAGTTGAGAGCGGTTACGGTCAGCTGTTAAGGCCATCAGAATATTCTTTGAGGGTCAGCATTTAAATAAATGTTTAAAATGCACCCCCACACCTATTGCCAAAAAAAAAAAAAAAAGAGTACGTGCATGTGGATTTTTTTAATGTTTGAAACTTTTTAATGTACTGTTACTTTTTAAGTTTTATTTTATTTTTAATTGACTAACAATCATTATCTACATTTATGGGGTAGAATGTCCTGTTTCCATACTTGTATACATTGTAGGATGACCAGTTTCTTGGTTCTTAGAACCAGTGCCTCCCTCAAATGCAAAGATCCTGTTTGGGGTCTTTTCATCCTACCCATTTAATCTAACACAGTACTGAGCACTGTGTTATAGGTGCCCCATAAATGTCTGCTGAAGGAATGGCCATTTTCTAAAATCGCCCTGTCAGGGTGTGGAGGGCATGCTGCTCTTGAAATTAAGCATTCACTTTGAAGCAATGCTGTTTGTTTCTGCATGAGGGGCAGCCACCTCCTATTCCCTTCGTTTCCCCCCAAGTTGTTCTTCTTGAGGCAGACACTGCATTCTCATCACTCCCTTGCCACTCTAGATTCAAGCTGCCTCCAAAAATCCATCTTCCTTCTTGGTTCATTTTTCAGCATGAACAAGGAAATGGTTTGATGATAGAATAATAATTGATGGTTATGTTATCTGATGTTGTATAAAAGGTTTGATTTCATGGCTGCATAACTGTTTACAAAACATCACGTATCCAAAAAAACAATGCTCCTGAGTAATGTCTTTGCTGGCATACTGTATTTGCAGAGGAGAGCTGCACTGCCCACAGACTGATGGGCAACTTTGAAATTAGTGAGCACTGAAATGTCTGTTCTCCCTTCGCAGGCTGTGGTTATGAATGGTCAGCATCTGACCACTCTCTTCCTCGCCCCTGCCCCGCAGGCCACTGTGACTACTTGTCTTAAACCGGGGCACTTTGACAGGGTGTTTGATGAAGGTGGCCCTGAGGCAGAAGGCTGGTTTATTGAATCAAAATGCTGTAGCTTCACTGAAGACCTTTCTTTCATCCAACCACTGTTGAAGGCCTTTCAGGCCCTCGTTTACAGCAGGTGGATGAAGCAAACTTCCCACGGTCACTTAGCGAGTCAGGGGCCAGGCAGGGCATTCCGTAATCAAGTCCAGCAGCCATGAAACGTCCATTTGTGCCATTTGTCATGCACATTCAGTGTTTCTCAAATGGCAGTCAGGAATTATCCATCCAAAGGGGTTTCTGGGAAACCAAGGGGTCCAAGGAATAAGGTTAAGGGAAGACAAATAAATTACTGCCTGGGGACATAGACTCAAGATCTGATTCCAGCTTCTCTAAATGAAAAAGAAAACCATCTTAATGAACATTCTTTCCCATTGTCAGTCTACTTCAGAAGTCGTTCTATTCTTGCACAGACCAAAGAGAGATCTCTCAGTCAAGACCAGAGAAGGAAAAGGGTGACATCAAGTAAAAGGAAGTATCCCTTCCCCTGACATAAAAACCCAGACCCCTGTGTGGAACCACGGCCACCTTCAAAAGTCATCCTTTCCCACATCTTCCATCTCCCTTACACAAAGCACCAAGAAATGTCAGCTAAACACGAACAGCTTAAATCCTCACAAAGAATATTCACTTTATTTCCAAGATAGGAGTTATTTTTGAGCAAAAGGGAGGGGCAGAAGACAGAGAAGAAGTTATTTACAGAAATTAGTTGCAAAGTAAAAAAAATATGAGTCTAAATGGAGAGATTATCAACATAGAAAGATGTGTTAGAGTCTAATAAGAAGACACAACACACGCAGTACATCTGAATATAACCATTAGCAGCATGGGAGAGAAGCTGTTTACTGTATTAAAGCTACCTTTACTGGCTGTATAAAAACAAAAAAGGATTGTATTGGGGCCATCACACTCCCATCTTTTCAATTACAGAAATAGAACAATCTCAGATTCCAAAGCTAACTACAAATCAAAATTGTGTTATGTTATCTACTGAGACACAAATGGAAAATAAATACTGTTAACTGTCACTTTCCATTAGGTAACAGAAATTCAATTACATTTCAAACAAGCCTCCATGTCAACAGAATAAATCTGTTTCATAAGTGAGCAGGTAACCATTTTTGATTCCAACTTTCCAAAGGGAAAAAATCAATTTTAATCACAATTCCTCAATTTTTTTCCATATGAATGTTTTGGAGTAGAGTACATCATCTGGTCTAATAAACAGTGTTGTACAAAAGAAGAAGAAAAAAAAGCAAAAATTGGTTGCTGTTCGTTTCTGGTGCCTTTTAAACCAGAGACTCTCCATGTCTGGTTTAACTAAACTCTGTATTGCTCAAATGCTATCATTTTAAAAGTAAATGGCAGAAAGAGGGAAAAATGTACAAGGAAAATTCTTTCTGCCATGGGGTTAGTCCCAATAAGAAATGTACATAAAGAACATTAACCAGTTTTATTGACAAATCTTAAGAGGCAAACCCCCACAACTCCCTTGAAATGTAAGGAGAATCTCGAAAGACAAGCTTCTGTTCTGGAAGACTCAGTCAACCCGAGGACAGACTGCCAAATCCAGGATGGCTGGGAGAACTGAGAATACATTGTTCACTCAGCACAAGGATATTTTGATCTAATAAATGCTTATAGATGACCTGCTTGTGTGGCAATGGGGCAGCATTTCCAAGGGAAGCTTTGTGCACTTATTTTGACTTCTAGTGAGTGCTAAAGGATAGACATTTCCAATAAAAGGCCCCCAGACTTGTTATAACTTGTTAAGAGACTTATTATAACTTATTATAACTTGTGAGAATGGGGTACTCCTAACAGCTGTCACTTAAAGTCCTTACAATGACCCCGGAATTTTTGTAAGCACTTTGCATGGTTGTTTAATTTAATTTCATCCCCACCAGCAATCCTGTGAAGCAGGTCTTAGTCTTATCACCAAGAGGGGTTGGAGACACAGAAAGGTTAAATTACTTGACCAACTCGCACAGCAAATGCATGGCTGAGCTGGGATTCAAACCCAGGTGGTCTGGCTCCAGAGTCTATACCTGTAACCACCTCTCCATCAGACCTCCAAATTCAACCCTCCTGTGCTCAGCAACAGTTTCAGTGTCTCACTTGGATGACCACTTGTTTCACTGACCGAATCAGGACACTTTTGGGAATGAGGGGGATGTTATTAAAAAGTATACCAAAACAACAGGAGCAGACTGAAACTATCCCTGGCAAATGGAGAAACATGGCCTCCTTCATTATAAGGAAGGTATATATCTTATAAAGAGCTCACATGATAAAGGAAGGTCTAAGGCAAAGTCATGGGTTATCGGCTTTTAAGAAAGAATAAAGAAGGACAGAAAGCCAACTTGCTCATTCAATAAAATATTGCTAAGCATCTACTATGTGGCAAACCCCGCGCCAGGTATGAAGTTATTATGGCTGAAGATGGATAAGTCAGACAAAGTCCCTGCCCTCTTGAAACTTACAGTCAAGTAGGTTGTTGCAAGGATCAAAATCAATTAAATGAGATAATATACATAAGAATGGTGGTTGTTTGGGGCACTGTAAAACAGAATACATACATATATGTGTATGTATATATATATATATACATACACACATATATATGTGTGTGTGTGTGTATATTTATATACTCCCAAAGTCGTGGTTTTTTTGCCATAATTTTCTTAGTGATAGCATGATCATATATATAATATATATATGATATCTAAGAAGCAGGGTGTATGGCAGAAAAACAAACAAACAAACAAAAAACATGACTTTGAGAGTGAAACAGATCTGTATTTTAATTTGGCTTTTCCATTCACTATCTGTGTGACTTTGGGCACATTAATTAAACACTCAGTCTCCATTTCCTGATCTATAAAATATGAATACTAACATCTACGTTGCAAAGTGTTAGTCAGAACTGTAATAATGGAAATTACATGACTGGCATGAGATCTGCTACCGCTTAAAAGATGGTGGCCATTGCCAGGTGCAGTGGCTCATGCCTGTAATCCCAGCACTTTGGGAAGCCGAGGCAGGTGGATCACCTGAAGTTGGGAGTTCGAGACCAGCCTGACCAACATGGAGACACCCTATCTCTACTAAAAATACAAAATTAGCCGGATGTGGTGGCACATGTCTGTAATCCCAACTAATCGGGAGGCTGAGGCAGGAGAATCACTTGAACCCAGGAGGCGGAGGTTGCAGTAAGCCAAGATCATGCCACTGCACTCCAGCCTGGGCAACAAGAGCGAAACTACATCTCAAAAAAAATTTAAAAAGAGGGTGGCCATTATCATTATTGGGATGCCTGGGTCCTCGTGCCCTGGGTAGTTTCACAATCCCACAGGTACATACAATTGAAAGGATATCTAGCTGGCTGGGTTTGTACAACATCTGAAGATGGGCTGAAGGAGATGACCACATTAAAGCAGGGATGTACCCTCATCCTATGGAAGAAATCTGAATGACACCAAAAACAGAAGACCTGGGGAGCAGTCAGTATCTATGAGTTACGAGAACACAATCCACAGAAGCAGATTCCACAGAATTCCAGGAGCAGATTCCGGATGCACAATCCACAGTCCCAGATAAAAACAACTGGGTCCCAAGAAGACGAGAGACTTACCCAGAGTCATCCAGCTAATTAAAAATGGGATGGGGGTAAAATCTCAAAAGAGACTGACACAAACAGGGAAAATCATGGTCACATCAGTGATTTTTTTTTCAACATTTGAGCACAAGGTGTTAGAAAAGAGAAAGAATTTAGAGGAGTTCATACATTAAAGAAGGAAACAGTTCAGTACTCTGGGTTTCATTCATTCATTCAATAGGTATTATGAAGACAATGGAAGAACAGCAATCAAGACAGAAGCAGATGACTAAAAAGGACAAAATCAGTAGGCCCATTGGGATTATGACTGGGTCATAGGTTTACTCCAAGACCTTGGACAGCATAGTGAACATCCAGCATAGTAGTACCTTATCTGCAAATTCTGAGTAATTATCTACACCAGAGGATGGCAAACTTGGTGATATACGGCTTGATTGAAAATATTTTAGGTTTTGCAGGCTACACAGTTGCAGCTACTCAAATCTACATTGTAGTACAAAAGCAATCAAAGACAATATATACACAAATGACCATGGCAGCATGGTAATAAAGTGTTATTTACAGAAACAGGTGGCAGGCCAGATTTGACCTGCAGGTCATAGCTTGCTCACCCCTGATCTAGACCCTCTACAAAGTAGTAATAGGAAGGAGGAAGGTGGAACAGCTAAATATTGGCCACAAAACACTGGGAAACCACAAAGGGCTTTTATAAAGTGTACTTCTTGCTAACATTTCAAACAAAATGTTACCATTGTCACTAAACATACTTTTAAGAGGATCCAGGGTACTGAAAAATTGAATCGCTTTCATTATTACTATTCAATAACTAGCTACTTAAATCTCTAGAATTTTACTACTTTTTTGTCTTAAGATTGATGGGATATTCACTGGTTTGTAGAATTTCCAAAATCCAGTTAATTCTTCTATTTAAAAATTCAAGTCATCTATAAATTTCCAGTCCACTGGCCTGGCTCCCCTTTTATGGGCTATGACTATAATCACTAGCAGTGGTCCTGCAATACATACCCAAGTCTCTACAGCAGTACCATGGAAAGGGGATCAGGGTTCCACAGGTTGTGAAACACAGATTTCACCCATCTTGTCAAGACATTTGGGGCAGCTCTCCCCCAAGTGACCCTTGGAATACAAAAATTGTATTCTGGTATTTTTCACATCCTTTGGATGTAAAATCTACACTGTAATATATATTGCAAAATTAAATTTTGTGCAATGTATATTACTATTATAAAGAGAAAAACACACTTTTGTACATATTTGTGTGAACTGCACAATATCAAAGGCACATGGTGTATGCCTGGCATTGTGTTGAGCACTCTTGGGAATTTGAGGCAACTCTATTACCCTTCCTTGGCCTCAAGAAGCTTAGCTATCCCCAAAATAAGAGGAGGCAAGGAAGAATTAGGAGAGTTAAGAGTCCTTGTGAAGCACTTAAAGACTAAAAAGCTACCATGAGTCTATAAAGGCAGATTCTCTGAGGACCACAGGTATATAAGAAGAAAAGGAAGTCTTGATTCAGTACCAGCAGAGGATCTGGTTCGGAAGATGAAGTGTGTTTGAGACGTTAATTAACAGGAACCAGAGTCCCAGCTGACTCTCGAGCCCACCCTCATTTCTAGTCCCGGCTT
Source organism: Homo sapiens (assembly GCF_000001405.40). NCBI lineage: Eukaryota > Metazoa > Chordata > Mammalia > Primates > Hominidae > Homo > Homo sapiens. The sequence goes on from NC_000004.12 coordinate 24,307,807, forward strand.
TTTCCACTAACCTGCCCTGCTTTTTAAATGAATACCCAAGACAGTCTCATAGCAGTGATATTCTTTCCGTCACCCTTTGGGGAATGGGGAGAGACATGGACCCTTGCTCCAAAGCCATGATGCCTAAACTCCTGCCTTTCCCAACTAACAAGGAGCACAACTATAACCTCAGGAAATTTAAGTTTTAAAAAGAAATCAGATCGGGCTGGGTGCGGTGGCTCATGCCTGTAACCCCAGAACTTTGAGAGGCCAAGGCGTGTGGGTCACTTGAGGTCAGGAGTTTGAGACCAGCCTGGCCAACATGATTAAACCCCATCTGTACTAAAAATACAAAAATTAGCCAGGTGTGGTGGCACATGCCTGTAATCTCAGCTACTGGGAAGGCTGAGGCAGGACAATCTCTTGAACCTGGGAGGTGGAGGTTGCAGTGAGCAGAGATCACACCACTGTACTTCAGACTGGGTGACAGAGTGAGACTCTGCCACCGAAAAAAAAAAAAAAAAAAAAAGAGAAAAGAAAAAAGAAAGAAAAGAAATCAGTTTGGAAAGCATGTCTTCTTAGAGGTACATTTGAATCAGGTTAACTTTTATTTAGTTTTGCTGAGTTAGAGGCTATATTTCTTGCCTTAATTTTTTTAACAAGCACAGATATTTTTCAATGTATGTTGCACAGAGGAATTAATCATACCCTTTACCACAGTGGATAGCATGGGATTTATTTACCTAGAGTTCATCTCAGAAATATTGATCATGTTATGAAGCCAGAGGCTGCTCAAGTTGAAAGGGCAACAGCTTCCAGGCTGCATTCAGAGAGTCTTGGGTCTTCCAGAGGTGTCTCATGGGTCAAGTGTGAGGGTGAGAGGAAGGGCTCTAGGCCTCCTGCCTTGCTTTAAATGGAACAATTTGAGGTTGTGCATAAGACTTCATTTGAAATAAAAGAGAGGGAAGTTTCCTACTCCTTAAAAAATTGAAAACTGCTAGTTTTCATTTTACTTCCTTGTGTCACAGATAAAAACAACTGGGTCCCAAAAAGATGACTTACCCAGAGTCATCCAGCTAATTAGTAATGGGATGGGGGTAAAATCTCAAAGGAGATTGATACAAATAGGGAAAAATCACTGCCATATCAGTGATTTTTTTTTCAACATTTGAGTAGAAGGTGTTAGAAAAGAGAAAGAATTTAGAAAGCTAAGGAGTTCATACATTAAAGAAGGAAATAATTCAGTACTCTGGATTTCATTCATTCATTCAGTAGGTATTATCAAGACAATGGAAGAACAGCAGTCAAGACAGAAAAGGACTGCTTTTCACAAGGTTCATATTTTAGTGTGGAAAGAAAAAAAAAGATGTCAAAGGAGTAAATAAGCAAAACAATTACAAATATGACAAACACCTTGAGGCAAAAAAACAAGGTGATGAGATAGAAAGTAACTCTCCTGATTGATTAGGCAAGGTAGCTTTAAGAAGGTGATATTTAATTTTAAAAAGGAGGAGGAGAAGGAGTCAGTAATGCAAAAGGGGTAATGCAAAGATGCATCCAAATCCCAAGTGTAAAATCCTGGAAGTGAGAAAGATTGGAACCTGTTCAACATCAAGGGGGATAGTGTGACTGGAGCCTCATGGGAAAAGTGGCCAGGGTGAGGTTGCAGAGGTAGGCAGGAACTAGATCACAAATGGCGATGTGGACCATGGCATGAAACTTAGATTTTATTCTAAGAGCAAGGAATCTATCTAGATCACTGAAAGGTTTCTACCCAGAAAGTCCCATAATCTTTTTATTTAGTTAGTTTTTTAGAGACAGGGTTTCACTCTGTCACCCAGGCTGGAGTGCAGTGGCATGATCATAGCCCACTGCAGCATTGAACTCCTGGGCTCAAGGGATCCTCCTGCCTCAGCCTCCTGAGCAGCTAGAACTATAGGCATGTGCCACCACGCCCAGCTACATAATCTGATTTATATTTGAAAAACACCCTGGCTGCTGCGTGATGAATAGTTTGAAGGCGAGATGGGATAAACGCAAGGAAGACCAATCCTGAGAGAGTATTGTATGTCAACGAAAGAGATAATGGTGGTAAGGGTGATGGTAACAGAGGTAAAGAAAAGTAAATGTATTCAATGTATATGAAGTATGTAAAGCATTGAATAGGATTTTCTGATGGGTCAAATAGCGAAAATTAGTAAGGAAAAATGTGTCAAGAGTGACTCCTAGTTGAACATCCAGAAGGATGGTATTCCATTTATTGAGAATGAGGGTGGAGAAAGATATTTCGCAAAGAGAAATTTTAAAATGCATTTTAGGCATCCTGTGTTCAAGATGCCTGTTAGAAATCATGAGTAGGTGCCTTGGCTGTATACACGTGGAGCTCAAGAGAGTGTTCCAGGTTGGAGTTGAAAATGTGGCATGTAACATCATAAAGATGGTATTTTAAAACATGGGGTTAAAGAGATCCACTTCTAAGTTTCTCACCTAGGATCAACTAAAAACCACAAAAATGGGAAAGTCACAAAGCGACAGTATCTTTCTCCATGTATCAATTCCTCTCTAGAATCTACCTGGTTTGATTTACTTTCTAGGTCCTTCATATAGTTGTTTTTGGTATTTTGTCCAGAATATATTATAGCTGTTACCTGCAGGATGGTAAAGAGGAGCAATTTTATGGTTCGTAGCTGATTTAAGAAGAGAGAGAGAAAAAACTGTTTTTCTGGTCTGAAGAATCAGAGGACAGCAAATCTCTAGTACCCTGAACTACAACTGCATGGGGCCAACTGAAAGCCCATCACCTAAGGATAAAATAACAGAACTGAAATTTCAGCTGGCATCCAAAAAAAAATTTTTCTATGTGAGTTCAACTGAGTTAATTGCCCACTAAAACTGAGTTCAACTGAGTTAATTGCCTACTAAAACAAACAAACGAAAAACACTCTTTGAAAAATATAACAGAATCCAGAATCTCTACAACATAAAATTCACAATATCTGAGATACGATGTGAATTAGTCAACACATAAAAAACTAGAGAAGTGTGACCTAGTATTAAGAGAAAAACGATCCATGGAAATCAACCTCACAGCTGGCTTAAATGTTGGAACAGACTTTGATTTTAAAGCAACTATTACAGCTTGACTCAATGAGGTAAAAGAATGCATGCTTGTAATGAATGAGTAAATGTGATCTCTCACAAGGAAAAGTAAATACTACAAAGAAGAACCAAATAGAATTTCTACAACTAAAATGAGAATATTAAGATATACGACATAGAATAGTAAGTTATATAATAATTCTTTTTTTTTTTTTTTTTTTTTTTTTTTTTTTGAGACAGAGTCTTGCTCTGTCACCCAGGCTAGAGTGCAGTGGCGAGATCTCGGCTCACTGCAAGCTCCGCCTCCTGGGTTCACGCCATTCTCCTGCCTCAGCCTCCAGAGTAGCTGGGACTACAGGCGCCCGCCACCACGCCCGGCTAATTTTTTTTGTATTCTTAGTAGCGACGGTGTTTCACCGTGTTAGCCAGGATGGTCTCGATCTCCTGACCTCATGATCCGCCCGCCTCTGCCTCCCAAAGTGCTGGGATTACAGGCGTGAGCCACCATGCCCGGTCTTGGCCGGGTGGATCACGAGGTCAGGAGATCGAGACCATCCTGGCTAACACGGTGAAACCCCATCTCTACTAAAAAAAAAATACAAAAAATTAGCCGGGCGCAGTGGCAGATGCCTATAATCCCAGCTACTCAGGAGGCTGAGGCAGGAGAATGGCTTGGACCCGGGAGACAGAGCTTGCAGTGAGCCAAGATCACACCACTGCACTCCAGTCTGGGTGACAGAGCAAGACTCCATCTCAAAAAAAATAATAATAATTCTTTTCTTAAAAGAATGGATAGGTTTAACAGCAGAATAAAGATGACAGGGGACTGATTCGGTAAGCTGGAATATAGATCAATACATGTTATGCAAACTGAACAGAGAAAAAGACTGAAAAAATTTAACAGAGTCTCGGTGCCATGTGGAACAATATCAGAAGTTCTAATATATATGATTAGAAATGTTAGATAAAATCACTGTGAAAGTTGCAGATATCAGGATGAAATCATTTTTGTCAGACCCAGATAAAATAGGGTTGGGAAGCCATGAAGAAGAGGAAGCTCGTCTGTACATGTCTGAGATAAAAACTGTTTCCAAGGACCTTCCACAATCCCCCACGGGAACCCACAGGAAATCCCTTTGCATCCTTCACTCGTCTCCCGCTTTGCACAGCTTGAACGTTTTGCACCTATACGTGTATCTCTATAACAAGTTTTATCACTAGACATTCTTTAAGCCTCACTAATTCAGATAAGACACTCTCAAAAGAACTCTTGCCCAGTAATGACATCCCCACCAATGAACTTATGACAACTCTGGCTTTGAGCCTCTGGACCACCAAACTCTGTTTCTGTGCAGTTTACCTAAACTTCTCCCTTCTTGCCTATAAAAGCTTCTCTTTAGCCTCCGTCACCAAACGCACTTGTGGCTTGCCATTCCATTCATCCTGGACTATAATCCTCATTTTTCATTCCCAAATTAACTCAACATATTTAGGGATATTTTTTCCTATTTTTTTTTTTAGGTTTGAATCACTTAGGTGAAAGAAGAAGAGAAAGGATCCCAGGACTGAGCTCTGAGGCAATATTCAGGGTGTTCTGTAGAAGAATCAACAAAGAAGACAGAGAAACTCTTTAATTTTCTTATTTATCAGAAAATCAGCTTTCGTGTTTTGCTTTTCTCTTTGTCTTAATTCTATGAATATAGTCACCCTAAAAAATGTGGGGTGGGGGGGAAAAGGATTTCATCAACCAAAAAAAAAAAAAAAAAGATTGCAACTTACTGACTCACTGTCATGTTCTCTCTCTCTACTCTGTAACTAAGACCTAACAAGTGGTACAAAGTACAGTGGTTAGCTAAAGCAAATTTACTTTCTTAGAAGTTTTTTATTTGTTTACTGCCTTGTTCCACAACATAACAGTATAAACTATTCTTCCAGTAATTTTATCATGAAGAATCCCTTGAAAGAGAAAGATTTCAAATTTTAAGTCTCTAATAGGAATAAAAGTCACATCAGAACAAAAATTAAAACAGTTACCATAAAGAAAAAAAAACAGCAAAGTTCAGAAGCTTATTGAGACCAAAGAAAAAGGATATTTCAAAAAATTGAAATCCATTCCAGTGTGAGGCTTATAGAAGAATAAACTTTAGCAGGTGAGATGTAAAGTGTAGATTAGAAGGGATTAAAAATGGTGTTTGAAAACAAACAGCGAATGATAACACAACAAATAATATTAAATTCTTTAAGTGCATCAGAAATAAGACTGCTGCAAAGGGATCAGTGAATCGGTTAGACAAGCAGTGCACAAAGGAGATAGTCAAAGGGATAAGGAGATTGCAGGGAAACTAAATAATGTATTTGCATCAGTTTTCACACTGGAGAATAAGGCAATAATGGGAAAGGGAGGAAAAACCTTATTATGTGAAAGAGAGGCCCAGCTCAGATTGAGACATCAAAAGGAACCATGAGGCATGAAACGGTGATAGAAGATATTTGCCATGTTCCAGCCAAAGCAGGAGGCATCTGTCAGAGTCCAGAAGCACAAAATGCCTGTAATCTCTGATTCCTTATAGCCTCATCACTTGCCATGTAAAAGGCTTCACATTGCGGTATACTGCAAGGCAAGTTACATTTCTACTGTGGTTGGAAAGTTTATTCAGTTTCTATGGTAGACTGATCTCCAAACTGCAAAACCTCCAGCCAGTATATTACAACCCAACAGACTGGTTGATCAAAAGTCAAACAAGAGAAGGGAGCTTTCATCCAGCCCGTCTGAGAATGTATGCAATTGGAAATTCTCATATACTGCTAGCAGGAATTTAAACTGGAGCCACCAGCTTTATGGAACATTTATATTATCTAGTAAAGTTTAAAATGTGTATGTCAAATGAACCACCAATTTCACTGCTAGGTACATATGCTAAAGAAACCATAGGAGAAATTACAAGATTGCTCACTGCAAGATTATTTGTAGAAGTGAAAAATGGATAACATAAATGTCCATAAATAGAGGAATGGATAATAAAATATGTTCATGCAATGAATTACAAGAAGTTGTAAACTTCTAATTAGCTAGATGTATATGTATCAACTTGGATAGGCTTCAAAATCATAACAGTTTGAATTAAATGCAATTGAAGAAAAAATAAACAGCATGAAAAACTGCATGTGAAAAGTGTTTAAAGAACACCTAAAACAATAGTTCAAAGATTCATACATATGTCAACAAAAGAGTAAAAAATGCACTAGTGAGATATACAATAAATGTGTAATATGGGATGGCTCTAGAGAGATTCAGCAGTCATGTGGAACTAGGAACGGACTGAGCATTTCACTTTATCTTTGAAGTCTGTGCTATGGTTTGAATGTTCTTGTCCCCTCCAAAATTCATGTTGAAATGTAACCCCCATCACAGTGGTATTGAGAAGTGGAACCTTTTGGGAAGTGATTAAGTCATGAGGGTTCTGCCCTCATGAGTGAATTAGTGTTTTATAAAAGGGCTGGAGGGAACTAACTTAGTCCCTCTTTGTCCTTCTGTCCTTTCTGTCATGGGAGGACACTTATACAATGCCATCTATAAGGAATGGGCTCTTACCAGACCAAATTAGCCAGCCCCTTGCTCTTGGACTTCCTAGCCTCCGGAGCAACTCCTATTGTTTACAAATCACCCAGTTTCAGATATTTTGTCATAGCAGCACAAATGGACTAAGACAATCTATTTCTTTAATTAAAAGAAAGATTTGCGGTAAGTATGACAAAATGTTAACAATGATCAATTCTGGATGGTGATAATAGAGTTTTGATCATAGAACTTACTATATTTTATTATTTGTTTTTAATTTGCAAAAACAAAAATGTGTTCTGTCCATCACCTGGAGACAAAGCTTAACTTTATTAAGTTGATTATTGTTGAATGTACCAAGAGCTATAATTAACTCAAGATTTGCCTTGGAAGCCCAGAGTAGTGCCAGAAATAGTCTCTTCTGCTCACTTAGACAGATGTCTTCAGTTCCTTAGGCTCTCAGCTTTCCACTACCTAAAAACCCAAAAAGGTTAATTAATAACTCTTATGGCATCCCTGTTTCTTCCAGTAAAGTTTGGCTCCATTCTGTAGAACAAATAACTGAGACATACAGACCTTAAAAAAAAAAAAAAAAGAAATCTAAAGAGACTAAAAATCAAGGATCAGACCAAAAGCCTTTGGTCAGAAGGCTTTTCCACACCCATCTTAACATTTGACAGTTCTCTTTGAATTGATTTCATAGAGTCAAGCCCAGAGATGATAAACAGCTTCTAACTTGCTTACTAATTCTAAACAATGACAGCTTCCTGCAACCTATGTTGAAAGGATGCTGAAGCCACTAGTGTCAGTAGAAAAGAATGTTAAGATGGATTCATGATGTCCTCCATGAGCACAAAAGTAGGTGTGGGGTGAGGCATGGGGAAGTCATAAGCCATGTATCTGCTATCTAAGAAGTATAGCCACATGAAGGAAATGGCCTTTCTTGATATGCAGAAGCTGGAAATTCATGGTGTTTTATGCATAGCGTTAGGTGCCAAACATCTTCCAGAATTCAGTCCATGAGGAATAGACTCTGCATTAGTTGCACAGCACTCAGAAGTGCACCTGAGAGGTGAGATGTGTCCACAAACCAAGTCTTCCCTGACTAGCTCTGCCCAAGCCAAAGTTTCACAAGCCAGTGACCCTATAGCAGTGGTTTTCCACCAGGGCCAATTTTGTCCCACCCCAGAGGACATTTAGCAATATCTAGAGATCTTTCCATTGTCACAACTGAGGAAACGCTACTGGCATCTAGTGGGTAGAAGCCAGGGATGCTGGTAAACATCCTACAATGGAATGCACAGGACACCCTCCCACAACAAGGAGTCATCTGGTCCCAAATGTCAATACTGCAACAGTTGAGAAACTCTTTTCTAAGGCTCGCATCATTTGTAGATTAGACTGCCAGGTCCTTTCCGGGCATTCAAAGCCAGACCCAATCTGGAGTGCATGGGACAGATCTAAAGGTTCTATTCTAGATCCGTTCTTCATAAAGGATAGTTCCTATCCAAGAGTTTTGGCCTGCTTGAAGAGCCACAGTCCAACATGCACCCAATGCCCATATAAACAAGGCCAAGAGGGCAGCTTCTGGACCCAAGACTTTTCATTCTGACCTTTGTGGGGTGACGGTTCTGCTCAATTTGTTTCTTCTCTTGGATTCCAGAATGATTTTCAGGACCATGAATGTTTTCATCTATGTTGGTCTATCTGAAAGATCACCAACTTCTCCCAATGCAAGCGTCCAGCCAAAGTGATGCTGAATTGTCAAGACCATATGTGTCTGCCACAGTGGGTTCTATCTTACATGGGCAGAGACAGCTAGACCAGGATAGACAGGCATGGACCAAATGACTAGCCACAGCTCACAAGCTGCTGGCTCAGTATAGGGTCCACATCAAGATTCTAAACCAGACTTTCTGACTCCATTAGCACAATGTCCAAATGCTTGGCTTTGCATTGTTATTTAATGAGCTGTTTGTTATTCGATAACCTGCAGTCTTTTGAAGCAAAAGTGAAGAGGCAGGATTAGGCTGCTGAGGAGCCTTAGCTACAAATGAACTTTTCCTAGATATTAATATAAGAATAAGGTTTTTAAAACCCTCCACATTAGCTTTATAATCATATTTTTAAAATCAGACAAAGCCCATTTTACAGTCCCACAGAAAGAATGGCAAGACCCTAAACCCACTCTTGGCTCTGCCATTTACTCATGCAAGACCTTGGCCTTTGACTTCTCTCAGCTTCCACGTCATCAGCTGCAGAATGGGAAGAATAATGCTTATCCTTAAAGATTTGTTTTGAGGAATAAATGACATCGCATATGTAACTTGCCTGGCACATTGTAAGAACTATGAAAATGGTAACTAGTTTTCAAAAGTCATCTAACAAGCTCGGGTATTCTTGAAGCCACTATGTCTTGGATAATTCAGAACAGTTATGACTACAAATCTCCCTACCTTCCACAGCCCTCCAGCAGGATCCATGTTCATTTCTGCCATGGGTGTAGGTGGAGGGGAGAGGAAATTTACATCATTTTGATTCAGAAAATAAAATAATTTCAAACTGTAACTGAGAACTGTTCTAAGAATTTTATGGCTTAATCCTCACCATCACCCTATCAGGTAAGTAATATTATTATTATCCCCATTATACAGATGAGGAAGATGAGGCTTAAAGAGGTTGGGTAAGCAGCTCACTCATGGTTACTCAGCTAGGAGTGGGCATACTACCCTTAACCATTGCAACTCAACTCTATTTATTCATGTGTTCATTCAAACACTATATACTGCAACCCTACACTAAGCACTGGAGATACACAGTTCACTCCCTAGGCAGACATTGATTGAGCCTGACTATATGGCAGTCACTCTCCTAGGCACTGGCATATAGCAGGGAAAGTGTGACCAGTCCAGTGAAACCCACAGGTAAATAAAGAAATGTCAAAGGTGCTACAGTTCCATGATAGACATTTGTACAATAACCAGGAAGCCTCAAAAAACAAAGACATCCTCCTACTTGCTTTAGGGACTGAGCGGGGATTGGGATGAAAGAATGGAAGTCCAAAAGCCCTCATAGCAGAGGTGACTTTGAGGAGCCCAGTGTTCAGAGGACTAAAAAAAAAAAAAAAAAAAAAAAAAAAAAAAAAAAAAAAAACACCACCACCAAAAGGGCTGGCCCTAAAAAATTGCAGTGGAACTGGTCACCTGGCATCTTGTAGACAGAGAAATCAGTTGTAGGGCTGGATTTTTTTTCACTTCAGAGCTGTGGCTGCTGTTCTCCACAGCCCCAGCCCCGAACCCAGACAAGCATCCACCTATACGCAAGCACAAGAATAAATTCCACAGCAAGGCATTTCAAAGCACCTACCAAGACGAACGTGCCCTCTGGCCTGGTTTTTTGTTTGGGAAAATTGTGTGCTAAAAACAGCAGATAAAAAGGAATCTGTGGGCATAATTTATTTAGACTTTCTAAAGGCTGTTGAGAAGGTCTCTCTCATAGGAGGCTATTAAGGCCAGGCAGGCAAGTCGGTAACTATGGGGTAAAAGGTGAAGTTCTGTCGTGATTAAAGCCTTCTTAACTGAGAGGAACCAAAGCCCAGGAATAAATAGCCAGTTCTCCACATGGGAAGCTAAAAATAATGGGGCCGCTCAAAGATTAGTCCTGAAGCCAGTGTTGTGCTATCTATTTTTAATGATTTGTCAAATGAAGTACAGTAAATAGAAAAATGCAGGTAGCTAATGACAGGCGACCACTTGGTATAGTGACGAAAGCACTGAGCTGGCAGGGTACTAAGAAGCCAAGACCAGCCTGCACATATGACTGTTTCTCCGGGCCTCAATTTCTTTATCTGTGAAATGATGGAATGTGAAATGACACAAGCTGTTTCTAAGGTCTCTGAGACCATCTGTGAAAACATTTAAAATTCTTTGGCTTGAAGTTCATTCAGGTAGACTAGAAGGAACAAAATGAATTAACCAAATTGAGCAATCCAAGATCCAAAGGAACATCAGAAAAGGCAAAGTAAGTACTTTCACTCTGCTATTTTGGGGTGACTTGCTTAGTTCAGAATAAGTGATAACTTCTCCAAAGAAAGCTATAAGCATTCCTGCGGACAGTTTCATGAGAATGCCTATTCTTAGTCGGGCATCATCAAAGTGCCAATAAACCATATGCAGCATTTTTTTAAGCACTGAAAAAAGCACAGAAAAGTATTACCAGGCTATCGCCTAAATCAGCCTTATGTCCTTTCTTTGTCTCTGATATTATCAGAATAGCCTTTTTATAAATTGAATGGCAAATACTGATAAAGCCAACGATGTATAATTTGGGGGCCCCTGAATGCCTGCTCTCAAGAACCTCCAATCTGGTTGGTGATTTTACAAACAAAAAACAGATAACAAAATACAACTGGCTGTGCCAAATTAATGACACAGCCAGTAAAGTTTGAAGAATTTCCCAGACAAGGTAGGATGTGAACCTCACCTTCAAGAATGAATACTATTTCTGTAGTTGGAGGATAACAGGGAGATCTCCAGGACCAAAAAGAGAAACAAACAAACAAACAAACAAAATGAATTGGGAGCAGAAAAGAAACAAGAAGAGATAAAAAATAAAGAAACTCGGCTGAGTGCGGTGGCTTACGGTTGTAATCCCACACTTCGGGAGGCAGAGGCAGGAGGATCACTTGAGGCCAGGAGTTCCAGACAAGCCTGGGCACCATAGCAAGACCTTGTCTCTACAAACAGTTAAAAAATTAGCTGTGTGTGGTGCATGCCTGTCGTCCCAGCTACTCAGAGCCTGAGGTGGGGGGATCCCTTGAGCCAAGGTGTTCGAGGCTACAATGAGCCATGGTTATACAATTCAACTGTACTCCAGCCTGGGTGACAGAGTGAGACCCTACCTCAAAAAATAAAAATAAAGAAACTCATTCATTTGAGAAAAGACCAACTTTGTCCTGAGATGAGAGTTGCTTCATTATGAAAACAGAGAAGTGTCAAGAAAGATAGACTATGAACAAAGTATGAATAAATGAGGGTTCATGAAATGCCACGTGGATCTCCTTAGTTAGCTTGGGCCATAAGGCAAGACCCAGGAAACACTCCATGAAATTAAAAAGGAAAAAAACAATAAATGGGTTGAACACGGGCTTTTAACATAACACAGTGAGTTTTGGTGACTCATTACTGTAGACACTGTTTTCCCCAAGTAGCTTAGTGAGCTTTACTTTTTGATAGAATTATATGTTCATACAACTAACGGTTCTCTCTGCAGTTACGGCTAATGTTATTGATACTCATAACTCAAGGCAAACATGCGGGGTCTCCAAGAAATTTTTTCCTCCTATTACGCTGTTGCAGAATGAGTTGAATTCACTATAAGAGGGATATGTTACCTTTCTCTAAAGTACCTCTTTCTGTCCACAGGAATGTTTCTGATTTCATAGTCATTTTTTTCCTTCTTCTTCATATTTGTTGCTCAAAAAGCTGGCTCATTAAAAAGAAAGACAATTGCCTTCTAAGAGTCATACTAGACACAGGTGTGCCTCACATTATAGAAGACAAGGACTGCAGAAAATACCGACATCAGACAACCAGAATAGCTAACACTGAATTGAATGGTGCAAGAGGAGAAGGGACCATTTAAAAGAATACTAGAGAGATTTCTTCATTTATTTTGTAAACTTAAATTTCTAACTAGTAGATTTCCTTTGAAAATCTGTACTTGCTGTGAATCACTGCCACAATGCTCTTAAACCTTCCTGAGACATTTTGTTTCCTGGAGGTTTAAGCAATGTTTTCTAAAATTACCATCTATCTTCTGTTTCACATCACAAGAAGGAAGAAAAGTTTGTATCTCCTTTTTTATTCTAGAATAAATGATATAGTTTCTTCACAGGAAATAAACACCACACCATTAATTATATGCCTCATGGATTCTATTCTACCAGATTTACATTTACTTGGCCAAGTCCAAAGGAAAGTAAACAACCTTAGCATTCAATATTAATCATGATACACACACTCCTTCTCTTACTCCCCCTTTTCTCCGTAAAGCAATGCATTTAAAATGAAGACTTGGTTTTTGCTCTTTTTGACATTTCCTAAATATGTTTAAGCATCAGGAACTTGAAAATACAGTATTTTAACGGGTAACGAATGTCCTTTGAAAACAAAGACCATCCTTATATAAAAACAGAGAAATGAATTTTGATGCCGAAGCCAGTAAACAGGTGTCTCTCTTGCAAAAAGTTCAGTGAAGCTCTTCTTGGGTGTGTGTGCAAAAGCTTTACATAAAAACACCACTCCTAGGAGACCCTCTTACAGATTCGATTCACGAGAAACATATACAGAACACCATAGGAAGCCGGGTAATAAACTTCTGAATACCTTTTTATTATTTTGAAAATAATCGAAATTGTGCAAACAAGGTCAACAGCTGGAAAATGGCTCCCAGAAAGCCTGCCCTTACGGTCCTCTGAAATGACTAAACTATTTTGGCAGTTTCCAAAAATTAGCCTTACAAGTCCAAGAAGATATCCAGGTCCCCGTTTTCTCTCACCGAGTCCCAGCTGCACTAATGAAGAGTTGCAAGTGTAGGGCCTGACTCCTCTTCGTGCAAGCCTGAATTATCTAAGCAGCGCCTAAGAAGAGGAAATTTCTCTGCTAAGTCATCCTGTAAAGCTTCCAAAATAGAGGTGCCCTTCAAATTAAATTTGCCGGTGTCGATTCCCTCATCCTCAATGATACCGTGTAAGAAGGATCAAGTGATTAAAATGAAGCAAAAAGAAACAAAGGTCACCCAACACCTGGCTTTTAAAAACTAGGTAGATTCCAAGCCTCAGGATGCTTGGAAAAATAAAATGCGTATGACGCAACTAACACACCCAAAGGCCTGCGAACTTGTGTCCTATTAAAATGCATAATCCTATAATGATGAAGCTGGCAGTCTCTCAATAGTTTGACTCATTTCCCTGCTAAATATAACTGAAGACAGGTTTTCCACTAGGAGCTACTGTATTATTGTCTCCCAACTGGGAATCAGAAACTAATTTTGATATGTAAAGAAATCAAAGCAAAAAAGGATGATACAAGTATTTGTCTGACTTTAATTTCTTCGCAGCGCTACCCTGCCGGAACTACTTTTCCAGAACCCAGAGAGGCACCAATAGAGATGTTTACGGATGGATAAGGCAATATTTGTCAGAAGCTGCAGAATGTGAAAATCACCATCTATCTGCTACATGCAACTTGACTGAAATGATTTAGTCATAATGTGTGATGATGGACGTTGGTTGCTATTCTTTAGCTCTGCAAAGGGCACTGCCAGAGACCAGTATTTCAGCTGACTGCTATTTCTTTCCAATTCAAATGAAAAGAGACTTAAGAACAGACAACAACTCAGCAGGATGCCTATTAGAATTCTTTGTAAGGACTTCACTTGCAAGGAGCAACTCTGGACTTGTTCGTAAAAAAGAAATAATCGGCCTCTGACCGAAGTGCTCAAATCAAAAATCTCACGGGCTACATGGGATTGTTTTTTCTTCTAAAATAGATCATGGATTAATGGAGAACACTGACCTAATAGAAGCATCAACCATTTTTAGAACATAGCTTCCCCAAGAAGGCTTGCAAGGAATTATTCCAGCTATAATGCTGTAGAATTCGTTACCCACCGAGTTAAAATCGCCTCAAATCCATTTGCTCTTATGCAGAATTTCCTGATTATAGCCTCCGCTTATTTTGCCCACATACCAAATCTGAAAATGGTTTTTTAAATTAGTGACTTTTGAGCTAGCTTCACTGGTGGCTGGGGTACAAAATTATTTTCCCCCGAGTTGAAGAGTATTTTTTAAAAAGAAAAGAAAAGCACTGGGTGAGAAATGCATTTTGAAAACGAAGCTTGAGTTGTAGCTTCGCTACAATGGAGAAGCAGAAAATGGTCAAACTGCAGCTTTTCTCTTGACAACCCTGATGGTTCATCTGGTAACACCTCAGACACTTTATTCCTAGCTGAGTTGTTTCTATATGTCATTTATAACTTCACATTTTTCAGAGAGAGAAAAGTACCTCTTGGATGTATCTGTGTATCCATGTGTATGTGAGTGTGTGTGTGCAGGGATGATGTTAAGCTGGTATGTTCCTGCTACAGACAGTGTTGTGCTGGAACAGGCTTACATAGGCTTTGCAAGAGCTGATTGTTAAATTTGCAGAAAATATGCAAGCCAACTGATATCACATTGGTGGCTTGAAGCTGGCAGTGGTGGGAGTGTTTCTACCTCAGAAATCAGCATGCACTATGACTCAGGGCTTCATGATTTTTGGGAGAGTCAGGTTTTTAGCACATACTAGCCCACGACTGCTTACTGGGACACCAGCTGTTTGCACAGCCATCCACAATGATTGGCTGCACTCTCCACTTTGGTCATGCTCATGTTGTAAGCACTGTACAATATTTTGAATAGCAACTTCATCAC